>NC_000007.14:50240242-52866712 GCF_000001405.40 Homo sapiens | reverse complement strand
TCTCCCTCAGAAACACCAGTTATTCTTAGGTTTGGCCATTTCATAATCCCTTATTTCTTGGAGACATTTTTTTCCCATTTCTTTTGATTCTTTTATCTTTATCTTTATTTGGTTGAGTTAATTTAAAAGCCTTGTCTTCAAGCTCTGAAATTCTTTCTTCTACTTATTCTAGTCTATTATTGAAATCTTCCACTGCATTTTGTATTTCTCTAAGTGTGTCTTTCATTTCCAGAAGTTCTGATTGGCTTTTCTTTAAGTATCTATCTCTTTGAAAAATTTTTCATTCATACTCTGAAGTTTTTTTTGTTTGTTTTTATTTTTCTTTATATTGGTTTTCACTGGTATCTCTTTGAGTAGCTTAATAATCAAACTTCTAAATTCTTTATCTGGTATTTCAAACATTTCACCTTCATTTGGATCTATTGCTGGGAAGCTAGCACAATCTTTCTGGGGTGTTATAGAGCCCTGTTTTGCCTTTTTTTTTTTTAAATAGAATCTTGCTCTGTCACCCAGGCTGGAGTGCAGTAACATGATCTCAGCTCACTGTAACCTCTGCCTCTCAGGTTTAAGTGATTCTCCTGAGCTCAGCCTCCCAAGTAGTTGGGATTACAGGCATCTGTCACCATGCCTGGCTAATTATTGTATTTTTAGTAGAGACAGGGTTTCGCCATGTTGGACAGGCTGGTCTCAAACTCCTGACCTCAGGTGATCCACCCACCTCGGCCTCCTATAGTGTAGGGATTACAGGCATGAGCCACTGCACCTGGCCCCTGTTTTGCCATATTACTTTTCTGGTCCCTTCTCATTTGGGTAGACTATTTCTTCTAATTGTTCTTGAATTTATTTTGATTCACCTGTTTTTTAATTTTTTCCTCTCTTAAGGACGTGACTTTTATATAGTTTATTATAGCCTAATTTGGTTCTTAGTGCTTTTAAGGGTGAAGATTCTGTCTAAGTTCCTTGGTTATATAGAGTCTAAGTGTGATGATTCTCTCACTGATTGTAGTAGCTTTCTTACTGGTTATAGTTGCTATATACTCTGCATGTGGGCAAGTTCACTGTCTCCTATAGGGTTGGAATGGCAGGGGTCTCTTGAAGCTTATCTTATTCTACTGTGGTGTGCACTTTTTAATTTATTTAATTTTCCCCCAGGTCTTGGGTACCAGCTTTGGTGGTAGTAGCAGGTTGAGTGGGCCCATCCTCAGGCCGATGGTAGAAATCTTCAGGCACCGATGGTGGTAGAGAGGGCAGGGCAATACCCAGGCTCCAGACAGTAGGTTCAGGTACTCTGTGGTGTAAACATGGCCAGGTGGGTTTGTCCTCAGGCCCTGTTGTGACACATGTGTGTGCTAGCTGTGGTGCACAGGGAGTGAGTGACTCCTGTGCTCCCAGGAAAGTACTCAGGTGAAGGCAGCAATGACTGTGCTGTGCCCTGCTACTGGGGAGTGTGGGGTTCTTTTCAGTGGCAGCAGGTGTAGGTAGGCAGCTGAGGAGCACTTGCTTTGGCTCCAGATAGTGGTTGCAGGAGGAGAAGCCTGATCTCAAGGTACTTGTAAATAAGTGTTAGCCCCACTGCTGGAGGGCACTGGAGTCACTGCCAGTGGCTTGCACTTTGGCCCCAAGTGGTGGCAGCCATCAATAGCGGCAGGTGGAGAAACCTATCATTAAGATGCGTACAAATGTGCATTGGCCCCTCTGCTGGGGGTGGTGGGCTCAAAGCATCTGGCAGCAGCAGCTAGCAGCAGCAGCAGCTGTGGGCAGTGGATGTCAATAAAGCTGCAGGGATGTGGAGGAGGAAAATAGCAGAAGCTGTTGGGTCCCAGGTCAAGATGTAGTCTGTTGGGGGCTGGACTCTCAAAATGGTCCCTTGCTGTAGCTGCTTAGGACTCAAAGGGTGTGTAGGATCTGATGTGAGCACACTTTCTGCAGCAATACTGTCACATTATCTCCAGGTAGCTCTTTCTGTCAGTCTCAGGGCCCAGTGGGGTTGAGAAGCTCTCCCAGGCCTGAGATTACTGAAGTCTGCAGTGGAAATGTGGCCCACCTATCCTTTTTCTGCTTTAGGGAGCCTCTTCAGGCTTCCAGCAGATCCTGGCTGAGCAGGTTGCTTTGCTTACCTCTCCGTCCTTGCCTTGGGTATTTCCTGTCATTTCTATATTGAATTATCGTGTTCTCTTTTAGATGTATTTCTTTGTGGAGGAGGTGAGGAGTACCAATTACCCGTACTCAGCCATCCTGAAGCTCCTCTTCTTTCCTTGATTGTTGACGACTATGATAGGGCATTTATCTAGTAGCTTTCTCCAACTATTTTTGCAGAGACTGTATTTCTTGTCATGTGTAGTCATTGAAGATTTAGTTCATTACCTTGTGTTCTGATAGTATTTTGGCAGATATTTTCTAAAACATCACAAGCTACATAAACAATAAATCACCTCTCACACTCTTTGCAGATTAGTTCTGTACTAAATATTTTCTTTAATACTTACCTAGATTTGCACTGATTCTAGAGTTAAGCCCAAAGTGAAGGCATAAGGTCATCTCACATCTTTTCTAAGTGTATTTTCCTAGGTATGTCCATGGCTTTCTGCATTTCAGCTTATGTATGAGTGCCTTGGATTACCCTAACTTCTGGAAGGAAGTCTCCCCTAGGCTTTTCCTCTCAGACTGTAGTTGGTCTAGTCTATGTCTCAAATGCAATCTTTTCCTCAGGCATTTGCAGGTCACTTTTCTTTCTGCCTTACAATGTTTTAGAACAACAGCTACAGTGTTTCCTGCTTGCATAACTTCTGAGTTAAGCAAAACAGAACACTTTGTGTCAGACATTCGCCAGCTAGATTAGAACAGTACACAGTATCTTGCAAGTAATGTTTTCTCACTTTCCTCGGATGCCAGGGACCAACATTTCACAGTCTCCCACTGGGAGCAGTTTTCAAAACAGCATCCTGACTGCTACCAAAACAGGGAAGAAGCTGGGGCAAGTAAAAATGCTGATTGCTGAAGAGAATCTTGAGTTTTCTTCTCCAGTTTACAAATAACTGATGTTCACTAAAATAGATGCACATTCAAGTAAAAATACCACAAAGATCTTCTATTTTAAAGTTTCTTTTTTCTAGATTCACCATTCATTTGGTTGGTGTAAACCTTTCGCGATTTTTCAGAGCTCTAAAAGGGTGGGTTATGATCATTTCGGCTTGCTTTTTAATGTTTCTGCTGGGAGATGGGAGATTGGAGCTGCTTATTCTCCCATTTTGCTGATGTCGCTTCTTGGTTACTCTTGATATAATATTTTGTGCTTTTATAGGAAAGTTCCTTGAGATTAGTAGCTCTCTTTAAAGCTACAAATTTTCCTAAAGGACTTGATTTTAATGCTTGCATTTTGCCTTATCGTGGCAAACTTATGAGAAATCACCTCCAGAAATATGTGACAAACCCAGTGAATTAATACAACCTTCTATAATAACAATTTATCACCTCTGAGCCAGGTGAGCTCAGAGGATAAAAAACAAAAAAATCTCTTTCATCATTTCTCTCTTACCTAATCCCCAAACCTACATTCAGGGAGCAGCTTGCTAAAACTAAGGTTAATAAATGTCACTATCTACCTTAATGATTGGCAGGCTCAGAGTAGAAGGGCTGTTGGATTCTCATTCTCATCACTGCTGTCTCTTGCATCACTTAGTGTCAATTTCTTGATGATGATTTAAGAGTATTTTTATTTCAAATAATTAAAGTTATTTATTTCTCATCAGAAATAAACTTTAAAAATTATACAGAAACTGCTGGGTTAATATTGGAAGTCAAAGTTCACAGACGACCCTCAGCTCATACCCAATGCTATGGCAAAGCCAGGCTTAAAGGTCTTGAGAGTCTTAGTCTTAATCTTTGCTTTACAATCCCTCATACTTTCTGAAATGGACTTTCTTCCTCCTGTTGCTATTAGTTTTTAGACTGCAAAAGGAAAAAAAATGTGCCAAGTATCTCACAGAAATAATTTTTACTGGAACCAAAATCACTGGAGTTGACTTGTATAAGGAAAAACAAAACAAAACAAAAATGAAAACAAAAACTGAATTTGGAACAGGAGTAGGAAATAAGTTGACTCAAAAATAGATAAATGTTAGGACAAAAGGGAAATCATAAGGTGATAATTGCAAGGGCCTACAGAGAAAGTTAACATGACAGGTGATGACAGCGTGTCCTTCGGGATAAGACAGAGGCAATGAGATTAGAGAGATCTGAAATGAAACAGCTAAGGAAAGAGATTTATTCAAGGAAGTATTAAAAAATGGAAATATTTTTCTAAAATGTGTGGATGTATGTTAGCCAACATCAGATATTTCTAAACTAGAAATGGAAATTGAAGATTATGTCTAGCCATCAGCAAAAATCGTATACAAAATAGTGAAACACAGAGAGGTGACCTTTGCTTTAACAAGGTGAAGCTTATTAGTGGAAGAATTATACCCATAGAGCAGCCCTTGTAATAGCTTTTGCAGCATTATTCAAGCATATTTGGGTTTAAATGGCAAGCTTGGTAATAGTCGATGTCTTTAGACATATCATGTAATAGCACACATTTTGTTGAATGGCAGAAATATTCAAGGTTACAACATTTCAGACAAGAATAATATCTACAGGGCTGGTTCCTAGTCTTAAATTTTTTATATTTTATTTATTCTCAAAAGATAGGTTAGCTAGTTCCTTTACTCATTTTATACAGAAGAACCATTAATTAGCAGTCCTTATACCTCAAAAGGACCATTCTTTATGATGCTACTTGCCCGTCATTGTTTAAATATAATCCTGCCCTGAAGAAGAGAGTAGTTAAATAAGAAAATAGATGACCTATATTGCAAGCAAAGCACTGCCCTCCCAGTGTTAATTTGGAACAAAACTCTCCAAAGACAGCACACCAGAAGTAAATAAACTTAAGGAAAGATCTAATGGAAGAAAAAAATCCATTATTTTTAAAATAAAATTAGCTTAAAGAAGGAAATTATCTTTGTAAATGTAGAAAGCAATACTAGTAAAAATAATAATTTGTTAAGGTAACATTTCTCTCAAGTAAAGATAAAACTAAATCAGGAAGAACTCTTATAAATGAGAAGGGTAGAATCACTAAAAGGATTTGCTTTAAAGGTCAATATTCAATTAATGTAATTGCTAAGATTCCGGCATGGGACTTGATTTATGGATATTTGTGGGACTAAAATTTCCTGTTTTTAGAAACCAAAGTAGTTTTCATAGTTTACGTCATAAGCTACAACCTTATATATCCAAACTGATTAGGGTGGAAAGTGCTTGTGTGAACTGGAAATGCCAGGCTCCCATGAACAATGTATAATAGACTGTGCCCAACACCATGGAGCCTCTCCAGCTAAGCCCTGGAGGCATTTCATTTATTTCTATTTTTACTTTTATTTTTTTTTTTTATTTTTGAGACAGAATTTCGCTCTGTCACCCAGGCTGGAGTGCAGTGACACTATCTCGGCTCACTGCAACCTCCACCTCCCAGGTTCAAGCAATTCTCCTGCCTCAGCCTCCCAAGTAGCTGGCACTATAGGCATGCACCACCATGCCTGGTTAATTTTTTTTTATTTTTAGTAGAGACAGGTTTCACCGCGTTGTCCAGGCTAGTCTCAAACTCTTGACCTCAGGTGATCTGCCCTCCTCAGTCTCCCAAAGTGCTGGGATTACAGTTGTGAGCCACCACTCCCGGCCCCTGCAGGCATTTTATAGAAGACATGACACTAGAAAGCAACCCATCAGTGGTCTAATGTGCATGTTACATGCCACCCAAGAGTGGCTAGGATTTAGGGGAGAACTGACAGCTCTGAGATGTTAGTTAAAAGGTCATGTAATTGATAAGTTAATAGTGAGCTATTGTCACTGCAACTGGACCCAACAGCCACTTTAAGTCTATTGAACATTCAGCGAATCATCAAAAGTGTAAAAATAGTCATTTTTATTTTTCCCAAATTTGTTCTTATTGGATACTACTTCCAGCTTCCAAGTGTGGCCCAAGCTTCTCCCAATTTTTTCAACTGTAAGGATAACTCTGAGGTTATAGGATGCTCAAGAACAGACTTGAGTCATGGCACTACAGCTAAGGTGTTTGGTGGGGGTAAGATGAATTAGACTCTATAGAGCCAACTTAATAGTCTTCGATTCTCCTTAAACACACACACACACACACACACACACACACACACACACACACATATTTCATGCCTCATATTATAATTACAGGTATAAGAAATTGATGACTATAATCATGTTGTGGGGCTGGAGATTGAGAAAACCTACTTTTAGCTTTTGGACAGAGAAAAAAGTGAATGTATGTCTGCTCATGTGATAATCTAAAGTCTCTGGTTAAGGTAAGACTCTCCTCAGAAACTGTGAGCCTAATTCCTAAAACAGGGCTTTTAAAATATATTTAGCTGTGAAACAGTTTTTTCAATAAACTTGGCAGCATAATATTTAAAGCAGATAAAATAGGGCTGCTCCTGCTAAAGGGAGTCTGTGTGCCCCAGAGCTTTGTTTTTCCAGCAGACGACAGTTAGCATTCATTTTGTTTAATAGAGTTTGTTGCCAATTGGTGGTGTGTCCTTAAGCAGGCTGCAAGCTCTCTGGTCTTTGCTTTTAAAAATCTAATAGGATCAAGTACTAATCACTAGGTAATCTGAATTTTGTTTCTCAATTTTATTCTATTTTATTGGGCATAGTTTAATTGACTTTGACAAATTTAGACAAATTTGGCTATTTAGCTGCTTTCAAGTAAGGAAGTCTACTATAATCCTTATAAAAATATGGTTACCTTGTTTATTGACTAATCAGTATGAGTGCCTAATATGTGCAAATCACCATGCTCTAGTCCCCAAAACTAAGGATTTTCAGAGAAAATTAGTATATAACCACCCCCAACCCTGCTATTTTTTAAGCCCTCAGGAATCTTGCAAGAAAAGGACACAGAACTGTGTAAATAATTGACAACTCAAGCAAACCCAAATGTATATACTAAGATACAGGTACAAGCAAATTGCTTTGGACCACATCAGAAAAGCAATTGTTAACACAGCAGTTAAAATCATTGGCTTAGGAGCCAGTGGAACCAAGGATAAAACTGCACGTCTTAAACCTCTGTAAACTTCACTTGCCCCATCTGTGAAATGGCATAGCCATTTCCAATTCTGTGACTACTGTGAAGATCAAATGCAGTTTTCCTGATAACGTGCTTAGCTCATGATGTCTAGAAGAGAGGTAATTCTGGTGATTGAGAAAGTCTGTTAGAAGAGGCACAGTACATAATGTAGGGCTTTAAATTTTTGATTTTAAGGAATAATGCAACATCCACTTGGAAATCTCCAGAAGCCATATTTGTACATATTTTGGGACTGCCACGTGCAAAAAAAATTATACCATACCCCTATGTTTTTATTTTGATTCATGCTTCTACAGCTCCATTCTTTCTCCACTCCTGCCCGAGACACTGAGTGCAATGAATGGAGGGTATAAGTAAAGTCATGCATGTCTAGATACATAGGAATTCTAATTCTAATTTGTTTCATTCACTGCTCCATGATTTTCTTATCTGCAGCTTGCTTATTCTTTCTTGCCCATCCATATTTAATTAATACCCTCTCACTGCCAAATTCATTTTATCTCTCCCTAGTCTCTAGTTTTTCTTGCTCTGTTGGCATAATTCTCTTCTATCTGCAAATTTACACAAATATATCAGTTTAATTTAGTATACAATTATTGAATGATATCTATATACTAGGGACAGCGACTGAACCTGGATTACAAAGATAAGTAAGATTTAGTTTTTGCATCAACATATTTACCAGTTTTGACAACAACATATTTACCAAGCACACTTTGGATTTTTGTAAGCTATCTATTTCTTTACTATTTCTTGCTGAATACATTTCATACTAACTCTTTCTTCCATTCGCTAAGTATTGCCACACACACATCCAAGCCCATCTCAGTACACACAGAATGGACATTCCTCCCATCAGTTTTGTTGCTGAGAACACCAGGATATCGGTGGTATACGCCATAAGTTTGGATGGAAGGACCAGGGGTAACAGCAATCAATGAAATTCACTTATGAGTAGAGCTAGTCTGCAGAAATAGCCAGGAAGCCCAATGATGGTGTTGGAATGGTCACTGGTAGCCTCACCCTAGGTTTACATAATTGTCAATATCTAGAGAAGAACAATGTGGCCCAAAGAACAACCTGGCCCCAACCCACATGTCAGCAGCAGACAGTGCCTGATCAAGAAAGACTCACATATCTTCATATAAAGAAATCCCACTGGAAATAAGTCATCTTACAAGCTTCTCTATTCCAGTTTTCAGGTCTCCTGAACAGAGAGAGGACATCACTTCTTCATTTAATTCAACCACAGAAGCACTCTCCAGTAACACATGGTGTCATCTTCTGGGTCAGATACAGATTTGTTTACTGCCCTTGCATGCCCTTGTATCATAGCTCTAAAAGCACTACAGGCTTTCTGTTATTAAAAGACGTTTTTACGTATATTTAATTAATATACATAAAACATACATTATATATACATAAAACATCTTTTAATAACAGGAGGAACTTCATTATTACAAGAGCGTGATGGCCATGAGGCCCCCAAGTAGGCTGGAGCACGAATGAAAAGTGCTCAGGAAGGGTGAGTAACTGACAGAGGCACAGGCTGGGAAGGGAAGAGCCAGGATTCGGGAAGCCTCGTGTCTCATATACAGAAGGGATCCAGAGGTGAATCCGGTTCATCAATCAGGCCAACACCTCCCTGCTCATTCATCCCTGAGTTGGATATCAGGAATCTTCTCTCATTTAATAAAAGAGATCTATTCATATATGACACTTTTTCAGAAATTTCAGCATGTTAGAAGCTACTTCTAAATATTATAAGGATTGAGGCTAACAAACTGAAGAAGTTTAAATCAAAATAACAAAGTAATTGCCCCTTGAAAATTGAGAAACTGAGCATAGGAATATCTAATTCAGGATTAAGTACTAAAGAGAATTTCTTTTAATCATGGGAGAGGCATAAATATAAGAGTACATGACTCACCCAAAGCATTGAATGATTATATCTCTGGGAAATGAGCGTGCCTACATATCTTCTATCAATTACACTGGGAATTAAATGTGGGCTGAAATCTGATTACCCCTTTAAGGCCCAGACTCTCTGCAGTGTCCTCAAATATCTTCAGTCAGACTTGGCTATTTCTTCCCCCAAGCAAAACTAGCAGTGTTTGCTCACTTATTGTAACACATATGGAAGAGAGATTAAGAGCATAGACTTTGGAATCAGAAAGTATTTTATTCAAATTTCAGCTTCAACACTTTAGTTCTGTGACCAAAGAGAAATAACTTAGCCTCTTTAAGCCCCAAGTTTCTTCACCTGAAAAATGAGGAAAGCAATGCATCAGGTATTATCCAGGCTGTTATTCAGCTGTATCAGCTGTTAAAATATTGAACAGGTTCTGCCTGAGGGACCCTGACACTCCAGTAGTCCAGGACCCGCTTCACGCACGCTAGCCCAGCAACTAAAGCTTGAACACCTGGCAGGGAGCTCGGAGGTATCCAAATTTTAACCTTCTGACTGATCATTTGCTGGCCTTACAAGTTTTTAGCTATTTTACATATGACCCTTGCCTCTTGCAAACATTAATAAAATGTTTCCACAGTAATAAGCGCAGTGTATAATGGATAGGGAGGTAGTTTTTTTTTTGTTATACCAAAATATGACTTTTAATTTCTGATGAAGTCTGTAGTTTCTAGGTCTGTCCACTTCTTGTTTTTTTTGTGCCTTCGTTTAATGGCAAATTATGTTTCATTACCACAGACTGACTAACCCAGGTTTCTGCCCAGAGCAGGTACTCGATAAGTGAAAACAGAATTAAATAAAGGAAAAGCACATCCAGTTATCCTGTGTGTCGGGATGCTGTAGCTTGGTAAATAAATCATCTTTTGATTAACTAATTTCTTCAGATGAGTGGCTTAGTGTCCTGCAATAAAGGCCTTAAGATCATTAATGAGATAATATATGGTCTTACACACGGTAAAATCTTTCTGAGAACTGTATTTCAAATAGAAACTATCTTGACTGCTACGAAAATCTATACAAGATTGTTTATTTTGGTTTAGGGATTGTGAAATACAGAATTTAAGAATGTTCAGCTGAATTGGTTTATCTCTTGGCAGGTCTTCTCAGATTTGAGCTGGCTTGGTAACGTCAAACTAAGTCAAGGCCTGATCTCGGCCTTGAATAAACTCTTTATACCCCTACAACCAGGTGTATTGTCTATTGTAGATCAGTGCCCACAAGCAGAGGCTGAGACATCAACTATAATGGCAACATATTATATACAAAGCAATGTATAATTATAAGAAATTACTATTGATGACTGAAATATATTCTCTAGAAAATCTATTTTGGAAGCCAATAATCAGAAATTTGTTGAGAAAACACGGACAGAAAATGATGAAAGGTAACGTAGAATCATCTTTATCAGCCTCAACAATCACTATGTCAAGTGATGTGAAGTCAAAGATGTCACTGTAGAACTTACTTCCATTCCTCTTCAGGGCAATGATTCATTAAGTCCTCTCCACCATTGGCGGCTGGGTTCTAGAAGCATTCTAAAAAAGGAAGATGGCTTATACTTCATGGAAGTAATTTTTGCCGCTTTCACGTGGGCCATCCCTTTCACTCCAATGCGCCACTAAATTGGTCCCTATGGGCCCCTATTCCTCATACTTGCTCCTGTCTCTCTCCCAGACCCAACACTGGGTGACCTTCCGATTTGTTCTAGCTATAGTCAACACCCGCTATGAGGGTTTCTCACTGACCACCTTACCTACACACGCCCCATGGGCCCCATCTGACTCCATGGATGGAATACAACTTGTTCCTAATCTTTGAGTGGGAAAGACCCACCCCTCAAACTCAGCATTCCTTTATTAATATTTGGTCCAAGGGTAAAAACCAGAAGTCTGTACTACTTGTCTGCTCTCTTCCAAGCTTTCCCACCTAGAATTCAGAATTGATTATATTTTTAATTGAAAAACATTGTTCCAAATTCATGTGTATTACCTGTGCAAACACAATCATTACAATTATTCTATATTAAGAGAATTTTAGCTACCACAATGTCTATTTTTTGTTATGGGAAGTTGTTTTTGTTTTCTAAAGGAAAAATTAACTATGAAAGTGTTTATTTGGGATACGAAAGTGATTCCCCTTAATCAACACATTACTGTTTTTATTTTACAATTTTGAATGTGTTGAAAGTGTTCCATTTCAGAAACAAAAAATGGCATCTTCAATGTAATAGAGACTGTTCATAGGTCCCCAACCCTTTAAGTAGATGATGCATGGTGAATAGTTAATCAAGCAGTTGGCCCTAATTTAAACAAAATATGTGAATGAGTTTTATTATAACATCAAAAATGCATGCCCTATTGAGTTAGTGACATTTTCTATTATTTTCTATTTAATTTTCTTTGTTATCCATCAATCGATCTTTTTTAAAATGGAATAATCCATGCTCCTAAATAGATTTTTATTGTATTATCATTTATTATTACACAAATTGCCTTTAAATTGCTACCTGTCTGCTTGAAACACAATCACTTAAAGATCCATAGAACTCTGTATTTCACAGTTATATTTTTTTAATATACATGTCACAGATGTTTTAACAAGAGTGTGTCAATGCTAATTAGACTTATCACAGCTGGCAATCTCTAGTCATTTGTGCTGCCCATATCTTTCTTGGTATGTGAAACCTACTTCTAAAAACTGCTGATTGCTCTAATTTACTAAAATATTCTGACATCCACCTGTATCCATTTCCTGCTTTCTGTCCAAACTACATGATTTCTGGTTTTAATTAGACATCAGTGCTGATTCTCCCTTAATCCTCTCTTCATGACTCTTTCTAAATATCGAAATGAAAAAGTGGGCCCCAAAGCAAATATTCTTGACACTTATGATATACAAAGGTGGGAAAATAGCAGCTTCCTCTTGGGTGTTTAAATTCATTTAAAATATTCATTTATAGCACTAAAGTTATAGTAGGAGGGCATTGTCTTGCATTTGAGCTGAAAACTGGCTGAAGATTCCATCATATAATGTGTATTTTGCTCAGGATCTGCACAAAGCAGTGCAGTGCCTTAGGAAGTCATCTTGGGAACTACAAAGACTTGAAGTGTCACTGTTCCATCTGAAGATGATAGGAAGAGAGGTGATAGCCAAAACTTTGTTGTTTATGTCTAAAGGAAGTTTCAGAACTAAAATATAAACATTTGAAATTGGGCAGGTGTGGTGGCTCATGCCTGTAATCCCAGAAATTTGGGAGGCTGTGACAGGACGGCTCAAGCCCAGGAATTAAAGACCAGCCTCAGCAACAAAGCAAGACCCCATCTCTACAAAAAAATTAAAAATTAGCCAGGCATGGTGGTGCATGCCTGTACTCCCAGCTGCTTGGGAGGCTGGGATGGGAGAATCTCTTGAGCCCAGAAGTTTGAAGTTACAGTGAGCCATGATCATACTGCTGCACTCTGGCCTTGGTGACAGAGCAAGACCCTGCTTCTTCAAACAAAAAATAACAAACAAATTAACAAACAAAAAAGACTTAAAAAAACCCATTTAAAATCTAAACAATGAATTAGCATGATAGAATTGATTTCATCTTAAGTGGTTACATTTAATATTACATAAGTAAATAAAAGATCAGATTTTTTTTGAAAAAAAAATTATGTAATTTACAATGTTTTCTCACAATAGCTATTGAAGAATTATACCATTTTCATATTACTGTGTTTTGGTATATAGTAACTTTTCCATTCCAAAACACAATAAATAAATACATAAATAGAGTGTTATATGTGGCCATTATTTCACAAAAAGACACATTCACCAATGAACTCACTCTAACAATTTCCAGTGAGACCAAATCATATGAAAAAAGTTTTAATTTTTTCATTTTCATGACACACATAAAAATGTGGGAGGTGGAGGTGCAGCATTTCTGGAATCTTGTTGTAGGCATACACTCTTTCCACAAATTTCTAGGCCCTCTACTGTTTAGCCTCTAATTTACCCCCAGAGTGTTTTATATAAGTGCAGTTTGAGTGCAAGGTGACCACAGGCCTTAAAAAGGTTGTCACGTGGATTGAAAATGCCTTCACTTCTTCTGTGGCAGCTTCAGAATGGATCAGGACCATAAACAGATGACAAAAACAACTTTGATATTCCTGGTTTTCTGGGGGTTTTTGATTCAAATTTTTAAATCATTTGAAGATAGAAGGAACTTGCTTTTGTGTAAACGCCACAAAGAAAAAATCATCAAACAGATTTGAATTGAACCTAAAAAACAGATCACCCACTCTCTACTGCTTTTCTTGTATCCCTCCCACACCA
This sequence comes from Homo sapiens, assembly GCF_000001405.40. Lineage (NCBI taxonomy): Eukaryota > Metazoa > Chordata > Mammalia > Primates > Hominidae > Homo > Homo sapiens. The sequence continues at coordinate 52,853,261 of NC_000007.14, read as the reverse complement.
ATAAGCACACTCTGTCAACCCTCCTCTTTCTAATTTGATAAGCGTGGGAAACTACATTACATAAACAAACTCAGCTGAAGTTCCCTTTGAGTGGTTACTACTTATGTAAAACTCGTTTCACTGATAAAATTTTATCACTTGATTCAACTATTCATCCTAATTTTTTCTTTTAAGACTAACAGAAATAAATGTTCAGTTTAACAGCACATGACTTCGCAGGATTTTTGTGCACAAGTGAAAGTATTTTGTGTGTACATATACACATACCCACAAGAGAGAAGTTTCTCGGGGGCTCTGGAGACACTTGCTTTCTATTTGCAAATCCATGCCTCAGGAAGAAAGGGGGCTATTTTGCCTTAGTTCATTCTGTTTTATTATTCTCACGTCTTCTTTTGGAGTTCAGTTATTAATATTTTTCCTCCATATTTCTTGTTTTTCATTGTTTTAGCTCCACTGTACTCTTCTTTCAAATTTTAAGAATGTCTCATATCTCTTCCAGTTGTTGATAACGTTCTCATCGTATTGATCTTGCTCCCGTTTCCCTAGTGCAAACAGATTCTGCTCTTGTTTCTCAGCCACCTACTTTTCACTTTAAAAAGTCAACTTTTCATCACATTTTTCACTTTCTCTGTTCCATAAAATTAATTTAAATTCACACTGCAAATAGTAATTAAATTTATTTTTTCCTTAAAAAATAATTTCCCCAAAAATATGTCCTACTTCAGGAGTGCATATATAGTATTTCTTCTTTGATTTATTAGAGAATATTTTCACAAGTCCACACTGTTCTTGATTGCTTTGGAAGAAGAGAAGTTTATTTGATAACGGGTTCCAGCATAAACTCAGAGCTACTAAATTCTCTCTGAGTCTTCTTAACACCTCAAACTATGTCAAGAATTAATAAATAGTTATTCAAAGACAGATGGTGAGTATTGGAAGCAATTAAACAGAGAATTGGGCTTATTTTTCTGGTTTTCAATATAATTACGAAAAGAACTAATGCATAAAAATAAGAAGTAGAGGAAAAGGGGGAGTCAAATAATGCTCATTTAGTATTATCTTTGTTTTCAGAGGAGTAATAAGCATACTTTTTTAAAACTAGAAAATAGCTTTATTATTTCTTGGATAATAAAAATAATACATACTCATAAAACTGTTTAATACTAAAGAATGATATAAATAATCCCTTAAAAGCATAAAATCTAGATGATTTAGTAAATTTACTTCTGTCTCCTTCTGTCTTTCTATATCTATACACACACATACAGTCATATAATTTTAAATATATAGAATTATACATGCACCTAATAGATATTTTAAAATATATGTGTGCATATATGTGTGTGTGTATGTATATGGAATCTGTAATTAGAATGGAAAGATTAATAGTTTTATGCATACTTCAATTTTTCATTCTATTTGAATATTATTATTATTATTTTTAATTCTACATTTCAGGTGTTGGTTGATGATATATAGGAAAGCATATTAACCTTGTATCACGTGATTTGCTATAGTTGCTTATTAGTACCAGGACATTTTGTTTGATTCTTTGGAGGTTTCTAACTAGACAATCATGTTTTCTTCAAATCACGAAAATTTTGCTAATTTCTCTTTTATATGTATATATTTTCATTGCATTTTCTTATTTATTGCACTAGATAGCACTTCTGGTTTGATATTCAATAGGAATGGTGAGAAAGGACATCTTCACCTTGTTCCCAATCTTAGGAGAAAAATGTCAGTTTCACACAATAATTATGATATTACTTGTAAGTTTTAAGGATATATCCTTTATTGTGTTGAGTTTCTTTCTATTTCTATTAAATTTTTTTTTTCAGAAATGAGTGTTGAATGTTGTCAAATGCTTTTTCAGCATCTGTTGACAGGACATACTATTTTTCTCATTTGTAAATGATCTGTGTATGGAAAACTACAAAACACTGATAAAATAAATACAAAAAGAATATGTGTAAATGCTGAGATATTCAATGTTCAAGTATTTTAAAAGTCAACATTGATGACATGTCAATTTTTTCCATTTTCCATTTATAGATTCAATGCAATCTCAATCATAATTCCAGCAAGATATTTTGAAGATATTGACTAACTGATTTAAAAATTTATTCTGAAAGGTAAAAGGTACAGAATAGGCAAAATGATATCAAAGAATAATCAAGTTGGAGAAGTCACATTGATCTATGTATCTATTATTTTTCCAATACCACACTGTTTTGATTAGAGTAGCTTTAAAGCAAGTCTTGAAAAAAAAGATGTATTTATAGAAGCTATAATCAGAATGAAAAGGTTAATATTTTATGCATAAATATTTCAATTTGTGGTTCTATTTTAAATATTACTATTATTTCAAGACTTACTTTAAAGCTACTCTAATCAAAACAGTTTGGTATTGGCAAAAGAATAGATACACAGGTCAACAAACTGAATAATCCCAGAATTAGGTATGGTCTACTGATTTTTGACAAAAGAGCATGCTAATTTAATACAGAAAGTATTCTTTTTTTAACAAATGATACTGAGACAATTGCATGTTTCTGTACAAAAACTGAACTAGACACAGACCTTACATCCCACACAAAAATAACTAAAATGATTATAATCCTAAAAGTAAAATTAAAAACTATAAGACTTCTAAATGAAAGCATGGGATAAAATATTTATAACACTGGATTTGCTAAGAAAAACAACACTAAAAGCATTCTATCCTAGCCTTGTTCAAGCTCCTAAATAATTTTGCTAAGAAGATACAACACTAAAAGCATAATTCATTAAAGAAAATATAGATAATTTGGGCTTTTTTAATATTAAAAACTTTCCTGTGAAAGATGCTCTTAAGACAATACAAAGACTATTCATCACAAAATACATATTTAATCCAAATATACATAAAGAAGAAAACTTACAACTCAAAATTTTAGGAACAAGACAAGAAATAATTCAATTAAAAATAGACAAAGTTCTGAACAGATACTTCACTAAATAAAAAATATGGGTGACAAAATAAGCATATGGTAAGATGATCAACATTATGTTGAAGGAAATGCAAATTAAAGCAACAAGGAGATATCATTATACACATCTTACAGTGGTTCAAATAAAAAAACTGACAATACCTATTGCTGGTGAAGTTGCAGAAAAACAGGAATTCTCGTTTAATACTGGCAGGCATGCAAAGTGATTCCGCCACTTTAGATTTGCAGTTTTTACAAAGCTAAACATACTCTTACTTTAAGACCCACTATTTCTTCTCCTTTGTATTTAACTAACTGATGTGATTAATTTGGGTTACACAAGAACCTGCATACAAATGCTTATAGCACTTTACTTGTAATTGCCAAAAATAGGAAGCAATCAAAACACCCTTCAACACATGAATGAATAAATGAACCATGGTGCATCTATGAAAATGTATAGCATTTAAGGATAAAAAGGAATAAACTATCGAGCCATGAAAAACCATGGATGAATCTTAAATGTACGTTTCTAAGTGAAAGAAGCCATTCTTGAAAACACTACATGTTGTATGATTTTATTTATTTGACATTCTGAGAAAGGCAAAACTATAATGACAGAAAGAGATCAGTGATAGCCAGTGGTTTGCAAAAATGAATAGCTGAAGTGCAAGGAATTTTTGTTTTGATTTTTGTTTTTTAGGGTGATGAAGTTCTGTGTGACACCAAAATGGTAAATATATGATATTATGAATTTTTCAAAACCCATAGAACTTTATAGCACATATGAATGGACATTGATGTGTGAAATTTAAAGAAAATTATTTAGGAGCTTGAGCAAGGCTAGGATAGAATTCAGATTGTGACAAAATAATCTGATTGCATTATAAATGTAGAAAATAACCTCACTGAGAGAAATGGAGACATGATTTCTGACCCAAGCAACTCTGGAAGTGAGTAGAGACTGTAAAACTAGTGGCAAAATAAGTTAAATATAAACTCTGTAGTATAGTAGATCAAATTGTTTTTCATGGGATATTGATTAACAACTCTAACACTCGTATAATGAAATTGAAAAATAAGTAAACAATTGGCAGGTAATCCGAGCCAGGTTTCTCACTGATGGAGTTAAAGCTTACATAAAATCAAAAGGAAAAGAATGGAATGATCAATGAGGTATTGGATTAGAGTGAGAGACATCATTATGAACTCATGTTTAACTTAATATATATAGATCCACATAGAAATATTTATAGATATGTGCATATTCATGAGTTCGTATGTGTAAATTTATTTTTTTGTTGCCGGCTGATACATCCTAGAAACAATGAAAATAAGCACACCCTGTATCCAGATATTGGTTTCTAAATACCCTCTCCAGTCAAAGAACTAGAGAGATCCTGAAGAAATGGCTGATCCTAAATATGGGTCATGGAACATACACAGTAATTCTGAAGCATTTTGTAGCAATGGAAATAAGGATGTACCCAAAAGAAACAAAGCAAACATAACAGTGAGGGAATAATAACGGAGCCTGGGAAAAAAAGGTTTCACCTGCAACAGTTTGAGCAACAAAAGTATGTAATATTGGATTATAACACTAAGTATATAAATAAAAATCCACAAGTCCATATTGATATAAATAAATGCTTAACTAAATTAGTAAGTGAATGATAAAAGACAAATCTCATATAGAAAAACTCGATTTTGTTTTATTTTAGTTTTTAAGAGACAAGGTCTCACTATGTCACACAAGCTAGAGTGCAGTGGTGCAATTATGACTCACTGTAGCCTCGACTTCTGGGCTCAGGTGATCCTCCCACCTCAGCTTCCCAAGTAGCTGGGACTACAGGTGTAAGCCACCATGGCTGGCTAACTTTTATATTTTTGGTAGAGCTACAGTTTTATCATGTTGCCCAGGCTGCTTTCAAACTCCTGGGCTCAAGTGATCTACTTACCTTGGCCTTCCAAAGTGCTGGGATTACGGGTCTGAGCCACCATGACCAGCCCAGAAAAACTCTAAATAATATATGTAGACATTTTCCCTTCAAGGAGGTGAAGCATTATTCATCATCCCTTAATTTTGTGTTGGGTGCAGTAACTTCCTTCTGCCGTACAGAGTGGAAAGGTGGAAGTTAATCACTTCATAGTGGAGAAATCTGACAATCACTATGTCAGCCAGGTGATCAGTTTTACACCAACCATGATGAGTCATGCTTTTTTGTTTTGTTTTCCTAAGATGGAGTCTTGCTCTATCACCCAGGCTGGAGTGCAATGGCATGATCTTGGCTCACTGAAACCTCTGCCTCCTGGGTTCAGGTGATTCTCCTGCCTCAGCCTCCCAGGTAGCTGTGATTACAGGCGTCCACCACCACCCCTGGCTAATTTTTTTGTATTTTTAGTAGAGATGGGGTTCCACCATGTTGGCTGGGCTGGTGTCAAACTCCTGACCTCAGGTGATCCTCCCATCTCTGCCTCTCAAAGTGCTAGGATTACAGGTATGAGCCACGACGCCCGGCCTGAGTCATGTTGACAGTGCATAGCCTTGATGTGATGTGATGTGATGTGATGTGATGTCACTTGAATGGCACTTTATGCTTGTGGTCTTCCTTCCCTAAACGCAGAATCCCAGTGTAAGCATGAGAAAAAAAAAAAAAGAAAGAAAGAAAAAGAAAAGAAGTTGGAAAGTGACAAAGAAGGAAGGAAAGTCACCATTCCTGTCTTGTAAGTCATATATTGAAGTTTTTCTTTTTTTTTATTAGCAATGGGAAGATATTGAAAGACGTTTCAACAGAAGACGAGATAAACCCAAGTCTAGGAACATTCTACAACATAGCTCACCAGTAATCCTTAACAATATCAAGGTCAGCAAAAAAAGGGGAAAAATGTATCAAATTATGGAAATGAAGAAGAGGATTAACATGGAATTTAAGATGATCATCTCCTCTGATGGATGTGTCAGAGGGATGGGACAATAGGCTCCATAGTTTTTGTTGTAGGTAGTGGTTCTAGGGGTGACTATATTATTAAAAATAACTAACTATGTTAAAAATTTGCCAACTTATAACATTATAGCAGGACAGGCAAGCCCCAAAATGGGGCTTAGCTTGGGAAGGTTCTTGGCTTCCCCTAGGAAGGAATTCAAGGGCATGGAGGAGCAGGACAAACTCATAGGCAGTGTGCCCAGAGTCATCAGCCTATGGGCTCTTGGAAACTGTATTTATACTCACATTAACCAACTTTCAATTATATTCAAATTAAGGTGCAAGTCAATGCAAACTGAAGAGCAGTTTATTTAGAATTTTGTAGGGAAAGGGTGGTAACTTCCCAGTCATTGCCATGGCATTTGTAAATTGTCATGGCACTGGTGGGAGTGTCTTATACCAATGAGTAATGAGGGCAGCCTTCATGCGCATCTTCTGGTTCCTGCTAATATCTTCACTTCGTCCTTGGGAACAGACCCTGTTTGGGTCGGCAGAATTCTGGCCAGAACACAAGTCTTTGTAGTCTCCTAACTCAGTATATCTGTATAATTAAATACTTTGTAAACTTCAAAAATGATTTTTCCAACATATATTCTTTGACATACAAAGAGGCTGACAATCTGTTATGTCAGTAGTACATGTGTGTGGTTGGGAATTCAGCTGAGACTTTTGAGTGCTCTTTTTTGTGATTTGCACTGGATTTGGCACTAAGGACACAATGGATAATACAGTGCATCAATTATGTAAGTTATTTTGCTCTAGAGCAAGGGTCTCCCACCCCTGGGCTGTGGACCAGTACTGGTCTGTGGCCTGTTAGGAACCATGCCACACAGCAGGAGGTGAGTGGTGAGCAAGTAAGCATTACCACCTGAGGTCCACCTCCTGTCAGATCAGCGGCAGCATGAGATTCTCATAGGAGCGTGAAACCTATTGTGAATTGCACATGCGAGGGATCTAGGTTGCATGCTCATTATGAGAATCTCATTAATGCCTGATGATCTGAGGTGGAACAGTTTCTTCCCAAAACCAACCTCGACCCCCTGTCCATGGAATAATTGTCTTCCATGAAACTGGTTTCTGGTGCCAAAAAGTTTTGAGACCGCTGTCCTAGAAGATGCAAGTGTTTTTACAAACTACTTTCCTCAAATAATATGAAATGGACATGTGCGATACTACACAAACTCGAAACAAGTTGTGAACCAGACTCAGCTGTTTAGAGTGCCTCCTTAAAGAAAGGGATTTGACAGAGCTCTCAAGGAACAATGGGATTTAAATACTGAATAAAAGGAAGCTCACTGTCAGTTGAGGAAATGCAGCCCTATGGTGGAAAGCAGTATGGACTGTTGGACAAACTGAAAACAAAAAAAGGCGAATGTAGGTGCAACATAGAAAAGAAGTTGGACAGACGCGGTGGCTCACGCCTGTAATCCCAGCACTTTGGGAGGCTGAGGAGGGTGGATCACGAGGTCAAGAGATCGAGACCATCCTGGCTAACACGGTGAAACCCCGTCTCTACTAAAAATACAAAAACAAAATTAGCCAGGCATGTTGGCGGGTGCCTGTAGTCCCAGCCACTCAGCAGGCTGAGGCAGGAGGATGGTGTGAACCCAGGAGGTGGAGCTTGCAGTGAGCCGAGATCCGCCACTGCACTCCAGCCTGGGTGACAGAGCGAGACTCCGTCTCAAAAAAAAAAAAAAAAAAAAAAAAAAAAAGAGAAGAAGTTGTTGGAAAGTGACAAAGAAGGAAGGAAAGTCACCATTCCTGTCTTGTAAGTCATATATTGAAGTTTTTCTTTTTTTTATTAGCAATGGGAAGTTATTGAAAGACGTTTCAACAGAAGACAAGATCAAACTTGAACGGGAATAATTACTGAGGCCACAGTGTGTAGAAAGGTTAAGAAAGGGGCAAGAAAGAATGAGGAGTGAATGAGGAGCGACCATGAGGAGGCCTTGGCTACAAAACACAGAGCCCCCTCTAGCCACTTTGAGCAGAAAGAGAATGTATTCAATGCTATGATGGGGCAACCTATAGATGTCCGAGAAGGTCATAGAATCAGGAGTGGGGCCATCTAGCCAGGAAGCATATGTGATTTATGTTCTTGGAGGGCTCTAGAACAGGGCTTCTCAACATTTCTGTGGTGACATATATACAGATATGTTTCCAAAAAATTATATATGTATGTAAATATGTATTGGCATACATATATATCAGTAATGAACCCATACTTTTATAAAATACAATAAAAATACTTTGTAGAAAACAAAATATGAAAAGCATAAAAATATAATTTCAAAGCTTTTATTATTAGATCCAACAGACATATTGCATTTCAATAAATATAATCAGAATAAATATAATGCAGTCACACAGAAAAAATTTCAAAACGTATCTTTTCACTGCTGTTGTGCATATCAGTGATTAATTTAGAGAATCATTACTCTACTTGTAACTTTTTGTTTTTCCACAATCATAATTAAACAAAAAGTTTTGAAGGAACTAGCAATCATCATATTAAACACCTGCACTCACATCTGGAATGAACATCATGTATATCAATATTTAAGTTTTTAATGTGATGAATAATCTTGCTTCTTGCTAGTTAAATGAATTACTTTAGGTTGGTTGATGACAATCTTCCTCTTGAGGAATAATTTATATATAAACGGTTTCTGTATTCTGTTTTAATGAAAATCATACTAGAGAAAAAAGTCTCTCACAGAGGTAAATTAGAATAAAGAAAGACATTTTAGAGTAATTTTGGCAAACACAAAATATTCATTTATTAAGTTGGTCACCACTGAGACAATGCTGTAGTTTCAAAATTGAACTTTAGTCCTTCATCAGTAGCCAATTTCAATTTAATCTGTAAAGTTATAGTTGTCTTTAAAATATTTTCCAATGGAAGAAATTGATTTCAAGTGCATTTTTTGATGAAAAGGTTTTAAAAATTTAATCAATTTTGATGAAAATGTTTTAAAAATTTAATCCAATTTTGTTAGATATCCTAGCAATAACCTTTTTCAGTTGTACACTATCAATATCATCACCTAATTCAGGTAATTGTAGGTAAAGTATAGAACATATTACAACACTCTGTAGAAACAATTCTTTTCCAAACATCTATCTTTCATTAAAGACCCATTTTCTGGGATGGTTATACATTTCTTCATTATAGTTTATCTGAAAATGCAGCCCACATTGAACATGGTCCTGCCCACATAGAACCCACATACGCAGCCCACATAGAACATGTCTCGTTTACAGCTCTCACCACATGAAGCTCACCCTGTGAGTCTGATAAAATGCCAGTTGGTGTCCTGTTCAAGTAGTCATGTCGTAGGATGGTGTGAAGATACTAAATTACTCAAAATCTAAAGATTTCTCAGCTTTCCTTTCAACTTCTGCATCTGTGTCATCGTGGAGCAGTGGTGCTCTAAGGGCTCTGCCCACATGGACACATCACTGCAGCCACTGCTGGGCACAGAACAGGGTACACACCAGCTCTGCTAAGCAGCTGATTCTACTGCCAGAAACTCCCCAACCTTTGCCCTGAGAGAAGGAAGTCCCTCTGACCCCTGTGATAGAAGTGATCAATTGCCTGATATGCCTTCTTCTTCATGCCCTTCTACTTTGTACTGAAATGTCACAGTGATTTGTATCTGAGTGGCCAGACCAGCTCACCATCAGGCATCCAAGATGAGAAGCATCTGAAAATGTAGTTCCTGGCTTTTCTCAGAGAGGAGGTGTGCTCATAATGTGAGGAAAATGAAAATACAGGAGTGGTTTTCAAAAGATACTGTGTGCAGTCAAAATGGAGGATGAATCTCTACTGCAGAGCCTGTAAAAGGAATCCAGAAAAACGATTTCATTATCACCTTCACTGGACATTTAATTGATTTTCTCTTAGGCCAGCCCAAATAGTCATGTCCACCATTAATTAGAAGAACAGGCCACTGCCTAATTGCTTTAATTTCAAGACTGCCAGAAAATATCTCTGTCCAAATCTTTTCTCTGATTTGTTAAATAGCCTTTGTAAAAAGACAAAGGCTTGTATTTTATAGAGAGTAGTGGTTATAATTTTTAAAAAGTCATTTGAATGTAAATACTTCTCCTTAAGAAGGAGATTTCACTTAGTCAGAGTGGACAGTAGGGCCAGGCTTCTTAAAGGGGAGAGGAAAATTTTTTTCAGAAAGAAGCACAGCTTAGCCTGCTGTGCTATCCAGTGTCCTGTTCAGCCTCTCTCCCCAGTTTTCTATTGTCGATCAAAACCTAACTTATTCATGAGAGGGAGCAAAGGAAGGGTAAAAAGGCTGTGTTGTCCTTCCCTAAACAATGAAAATATAAGTGAAACTCAATGCTATATTTAATTCTAGAATCATTTACCTATCTGTCCTTCTCTTAATGACTTTGATTTGTTGCTTTTTCCTGTGTGGTAAGAGGAAATAACATACCTCTCTTCCTACCAGTCTTTCAAAGCAAACTCTAAAAATAAGCCTGCCTTAATTAAATTGCAAATGTAATCATCAGGGTTTGATCCAATAAAAACTACATGTGTTGGCATTATGTAAAAATCCCTTTAAACCTTGTATAAATTGATGGGAAGCAGCCCTGTGACCCACCTGTCAGGTCTGGCAATAACAGGCAACATGTGATGCAGACATGTGGAACATTGCACAGAGACCTCCCTGAGTGTTAAGCTTATTTATTTCTAAAAGTAAGGGGGTTAACATGCTCAGCTCAGCACTGTGTCTAACTGTTCCCAGTGCTTCCAAAAAAACTCTGTAAGCTGATATAAAAATGTGAAACTTCCCAAGAAAACCTTGAGAACACAAGCAATTCCTGAGGGCCTGCATTACCTCATTCGAGGCATCCTCAAAACAGGTCTGCCCGGAGGCGGAGGCTGCATCCGGGACTGGTTACATTCATGGTTCCATATCTGGGGTGCAATTTGAGATCTACACAATGTGCAGTGAAACAGGTTGTTGATTGAAGTAAGTAATAAAAACAGCAGCAAGTGTATTGCCTTAGGCTACCAACAAATAAAATTCCTGAAAGAGGCAATAAGAGATCAGTGTGGTGAATGTTCATTTTGCATCTTCTGCAAGTTGAGACGGTTGATCTGTCTCTTTCCTCTATTTGGCTAAACATATTCTGTGCTCATATATTTTTAAAGTAAAAAAATCCACTTGCTATAAGGGTCTCTTGACTTGCATCCGGCAAGTGAAGCCAATCAGGGACAGGAGGACTCTCAGGCTCCATGGAATGGAAAAGCTCATGCAGGAGAGGAACTGAAGTGATAGTTTACTATTTTATATGAAGATAAGGCAGATGCTAGTTATGTGATGGTAGACACATGTGTACAATAAGAGCCATGTTATTTTCTAGCTGAAATATTAAAAGCTAAGAGGAAGGAGGATACAATCTTTGTTTTACGAATCACGAAAAATTAGAGATGAGGACCCTTACAGCTTTCAGGAGACAGCATTATGCTAGAAAAAACAAAGATCAACTCATAATCTACATCGGTCACTTTTAAACTTGATGATCTTGAATAGTTTTTTAAAAAGCATTAAATGCTTTGCTAAATAAAATGTGCATGAATCAAGCTTATATTCCATACACCTAAGCATTTGTTGCATGCATTTCCCAGTGTCTCTACTGTGTTTTGTTATCAGATTTGGGTCAATGCTGACTGAAGCACAAGAAGAAGATAGAGAATATTCTGTGGACAGAAATCAAATCCATGCCAAATGACGAAGAAACCAAAGTGGTATTGATAACAGGTGATTCTACCCGTATGTGGGGCAGGAGATGCATAGACACTCTGTGTACCTTCCACTCAGTTTTGCTGTGAACCTAAAGCTGATCTTTAAAATAAAGTCTATTAAAATAAACAAGCAGAGTATTTATTTTGAATGAAAGGAGGGTGGGAGAGCTTTTTCGTGTATGTGCTCACTATCTTCAAGTGCCAGAAGGTAGATGGGATTAGTCTGATGTGGATGGTGTCCGATGGGCAGACCAGAGAAGAGAATTGTGGAGAAACACACACTTTTATTCATTCTCAGTAAATAATCATGGCCCATTCTTTACTTTGCCAGAAAACAGACAAAAATAATCTTATCATCATGGAGCTGACATGATCATGGGGAGAACAGAAAAAATTAAGTGAAACGGACAGTATGCCAGATCGACAGCAACAGGCCCTCCTACAACCCCAGGTCCCCTGGCAAAGTGGGGTAGAGAAGTGCCTATGTCCTGCCAGCTACAGCAGAGGGGGTCTGCCTGCTGGCAGTAGGCCACAACCCACCTGTGCTATCAATGCATTTTCTGCACGAAACCAAAAGCTGAACAGCCATTTTTGATGATCTTACAGAGGTTTGGTTATAAAATATTAATGCAGATGCTTCTTATGTAGCATAAAGACCTATGGCACTTACATTATCAGTGTCTAATGTAAGTTTTAGCTATCTAAATACGCTCCAGTTTTTCTTTATCTTGCTTTTTGTTTGGGGTTTAACTATAATATTAATCTTTTTTCCATTTTTCCCCACTTTCCCATTTCTCTTGCATTTCCCTGATTTATCATACCTTACCTTTTTACATTATCCTTGCTCATTTATTTTACATGTGGCTTTCACAACCAGCATACACCTGTCTTTTTAAAATTAGTTTTATGGGTCTGTCTTTTGTAGAGAAATTCAGTCTTGTTTTCTATCACCTAGGTCTATATTTTAGTTTTGTGTTTCTTTTCGATTTTTTAATTTTGTATTTTTTGATATATGAACCCTCTAGGAGTACTGTGTGTGTGTGTGTTTGTGTGTGTGCACATGTATAGGCATGTGTATATGTGTTTGGGTGTAATACACGTTGAAATCTTACAGTTAAAAATGCAAATTTATTATTAATCATTAATATTGGAATTAAGAGCATCTCTAGAGTCAATCTTGTAGTAAAATAAATAAATAACAACAGAAAGACAACATTCTACTTAAACAACCTCTGTTGGCCCAAATTTTGAATTTTGTTTGCATATCTTAGAATGTTAGAGGTCATTTATAAGTATTAAATTCTAGTGTGTTTACAGTGTCACATATTAGAAGTTATGTAAACATCTATGCAAATTACAAGAGAAATTTATTTGCCCCTCAAATTCCCGGGGCTATGAAGAGGTGAGAAAGAGCTCAGGCTCTTATGGTATCATACAGGGAGTTACCCAACAGGTTGGAGGACTTGTGGAGATGTTGATTGATTATGTGTATTTCCTGCAATTTTATTAAGGTTTAATAATGCAAATGTTAGCAACACCTTGCTTCAGTTTAATACATTATATTTTAAGCGTTTCCCCTTTTATGATGCAAAATCTTTCCATAACTCCACATTTAATTTGTTTATTTCTCTATTCATTTCTGTGTTCACATCTTTGACTAACAAGGGGTTATTTCCCATGAACAGGTTAAGCAGATTTTTCCTTGCAGATTTTTCACTAACTTACCCATTGCTGTTGGTCTTCACTCACTTGAAAGCTGGTTGCTAAACTTTTACATACCCCACTCCTCATCCAGGCAACCTGGAGGGAAGAAAGAAACATGGGTAGTGCCAGCAGTCTAGCTTCATGTCAGTGAGGTTGTCTGTGGATGAAACAGCCACCCTAGAGGTTACTGCTTTTGTTTTGTATACCTTTTGTTTCATTCAGCATTTGCTTTGCTCAGCATCCAAGAGAAGAGTCTAGTAAGGCTGTGTCTCATCTCCATTGACATACTGCTGCATATAATAAGAAAAAGGCTTTTCCATCAAGGAACAGACTACCACGGCTGGGCTGTGGTGTCTTCGTGGTTTTCTGAGTATCACCAGCAACTTCCCCAAGCCACTACTCCTGATTGCAGGAGATTCCCACAGCTGGAGGAATTTACTTTCTTTTTCTCTCAGTATCTTACATAGTTCCTCAGCCCCTCCAATATCAGGGTCTTGTCTAGATGCCACTAAACAGTGTATTCCCAGCCATTGGACAAGGAGAAACTACAAGTAAGAGCTCAGTAATCTTTTTAAAATTCCAAATACATTACTCATCACACATAAGTGAGCAATAATTCTTAGCTTAGCCTTTTTTATTATTTTTACTTTATCAGCTTGGTCCAGATGCCTTTATGAGAAATCTTTTTTGTTTCTTGCCCATGAGTATTCCTGTTTCCTAGTTTTGGAGATTATAATTGTATCTGGGCTTGGAGTTGGAGGGGAAAGAACGGCCAAAGGCCTTGGCTCAAATTCTCATGCTCACTAGAATGAACTATGAAATGAGGCTTTGAGATACACAGAAATGATAGCAGTTTATTCCAGGAGCTAGTACTGCTTAGCAAATTGTACAAGGAAAACCTCATTTTAAAAAACCCAGAGTAGTATTAACAGAATATAAGGGTACTGCCAGAGAAATAGGTTATTTTAATTTTTGGTAAAATAGACTTTCAGTTTATTTTAAGAGACTTATAACCCACTTAAAAATAGGTGAGCTGAAAAATAATTTAAAAAAATTTCTGATGATATGATTAATAGCAACTAGCAAGAAAAAATTAAGAAGTTTGCTTTAAGGTTGTCTTTGATTTACACTATGAAGATGTATTTATTTCCACTTGTATAAGGGAAAAATTGCAAAAAGCAATTGGAGTTGATAATTTGATCATGACTCTGTTATGTTAGATAGGGTGGGATTTAAAAATACATAAACACTTTGTTGTAAAGAGCAATATCTTAATAATAGTTAATAATGATAAACATAAATCCATACATTTGGCTTCAGGAAGAAAAACCAATAAATGAAGAAAACATTTAATTTAGAAAGAGGAGACATGTTTGTCCATGTGTCAGACACTGCACTAGGTGCTGGGATGACACCCCTTGTGCACATGCCCTGAGGGGTTTTGCAATTAGCTTGAGAGATGGATTGATACAGAATTTAAGATGACACAGGGGAATATGTAATACTGGGTATTTCTTCAAGATGCATCAGAAAGGAAGAGAATGGAGGAATTAACTGTGAGGGAGAGGGTAATCTGAGGAAGGCATTAATTTGGGACATAGTTTTATTGACTAAGTGGTGTCTAACTTTCCTACCTGCCCTGATCTTTATGATACAGTAAAAGAGATACCTGCTTTCTCACGTTTACTGCAGCATTATTCACAGCAGTCAAGATATTGAGGCAAACTGAGGGTCCATCAACAAATAAATGGATAAAAATGTGGTATACATACTAAATGGAATACTATTCAGCCTTAAAAGAGAAGGAAGTCCCATCATTTTTGACAACATGGGTGAACCTGGAGGACATTATGCTAAGAGGAATAAGACAGGCACAGAAATACAAATACTGCATGATGTCATTTACATGTGGAATCTAAAAGAGTTGAAATCATAGAAGTAGAGAGTAGAATAGCGGTTGCCAGAGGCTGGGAGGGCCTGGGTTGGGAAAGGGAGATGTTAGTCAAAGGGTACAGACTTTCAGATAGACAGGTATAAGTTTCAGTGATATATTGGACAGCATAGTGACTACAGTTAATAAGTTCTTGCTATCATCCTCCTACAGAAATTCCCTACGTCTCCCATCGGTGTGTGTTTTCCTTTGCTGTAACAAATAACAAACTCAAGTTATTCACCCTCAAGTGTGTTCCTGGTGGCCTTTGACTAGAAAACATAGGCATGCCATAGGAAAGGTATGACTGAGGCAGAGTAGAGGGTGATAATCCATTTCCATGTTTTGAATAGCACTTTCTGATTACATTAGTCAATGCGAGTACAGATTTCATTGCCATAATTTTGTGTGAGGGTCTTAACCCAGTATTTTGAGACAATATAATGGGTTCATAATTCTTCATACTTCCTCTTAAATCTGTGTAAATACCCAGGAGGCAGAGCTTGCAGTGAGCTGAGATCACACCACTGCACTCCAGCTTGGGTAACAGTGCAAGACTCCAGTCTCAAAAAAAAAAACCAAAAAACAAAAAACTGTATAAATAATAAATGGTGGATTTTTTTTTTCTTTTTTTTGATACGGAGTCTCGCTCTGTTGCCCAGGCTGGAGTGCCGTGGCGCAATCTCGGCTCACTGCAAACTCCGCCTCCCGCCTCCGGGGTTCACACCATTCTCCTGCCTCAGCCTCCTGAGTAACTGGGACTACAGGCGCCCACCACCACGCCCGGCTAATTTTTCTATTTTTTTAGTAGAGACGGGATTTCACCTTGTTAGCCAGGGTGGTCTCAATCTCCTGACCTAGTGATCCGCCCACCTTGGCCTCACAAAGTGCTGGGATTACAGGCATGAGCCACCATGCCCGGCTGGTGGAATTTGTTTTAAACACTGAGATAGAATTGTGGATGTGGCTACCACCTAACCTTTAAGATAGTTTATAAGATTTAATATTCATCTTGTTAAACCTGCCTTACTGTAACTGTATACCAACATAATTTGTTTCATGCATTGCAATCTAAAACTCTAATGATGGCCTCTAATCTAATCAGTATGTCCCTGGAACTTAATGAAGGTGCCCAATTCAAAAGAGCAAAGGGGAGAGCCTTGTTGGGCTCTTCCAGACACACTGCCTTCTACCCCACTGATTTTATGCAAGAAAATATAATGAACTTGGCCAAACACTTTGTAAAATGCATGTAAACCCATAACCCGATAATGCTCTTGGAAAGGAATTGATATCATTTGTATTTGGAGATCTCTTAAATTTCTTACATCTTTTACATTTGGTATAAAATAAAAAATTGTCAGAAGAAATAAAAGCATTCAAATGGAAAAAGTGAATATTAAGGGTAATATCAAATCAGTACTTAAGAAGAATGCTGGGAAAGGCCAGGAAATAAAGATTACAGAAATTGAAGAGAACACAAATTATCAGAAGCCAAAGTCCAGCCCTAGCCCACCCATCCTCTATACCCATTATCTAGGGGAAATATATGATCTTAGGGCAAGTGCAAGAAAGGTTACAATTAAAAACATCTCAGTGATGATTCTTGCCTTAAACTCCAGAAGAATCCTTGTCCAACTCTGCTGGATGAAGGATGAAGTAGAGAAATACACTTCTGCATCCCTGCCTTGCCCCAGCATGGACTAAAATACACCTCAGATGTAATTTTCTCTCTTTCCCCTTGCATTCAAACCAGTTAGTATGTGAGGATGTGGGCAGGAAAAAGCAGATAAAAGAAACACAGAATGTGTTTTCTATCAACTGGAGGAACAGGGTGCCTTGGTGACGCCTCTGCTTCATGTCTTCAGGCTGGACTCTCCGTGTCTTCACTCCTCCTCACCAGATTCCAGTCCTGAGGGGCAGACAGAGAGATTGGATGTTGGTTTTCCATAAGCGCTGATAGGGAAAAAATGAAATAAGAACTTAAAAATTAATATGAATGAAAAAATCATAAATACCTGAAATCATCAATTTATAATTGTGCTAATTAAAACTTGGATCTTCTAAGACATTTGTCACAACCCCAGTAGCTACATCATGGTATGGGACCAGTGGGTGGTATGGGACCAGTGGGCGGTGAAGCTCCATGAACCTGGCTGTCAGAGAGAGAGAAGAGATTATTTTCTCTTAATTTGCATGGCCTGAGACTCACTAAAAGCAAAGCCAACATAGTGAATACTTTCATTTTCTTTGGAAATCAAATGTATATGTCATTCAATTTTCTCATGTATAGATTAAGCTTAAAACATTAAAAAGCTTATACTTTATGCTGATTTAAATATATTATTAATTTGTATTATTTAGGCTTCTCATTAATACCTTAATAATACCCAGATATAAAGTTTTGACCTAATTATTATTTTTCTACTTGGAGTTAACAGTTCCTAGGTATATACAGGTGCATGTGTGTATAAGGGAGGAATTGGGGGAGCATGCCAAGTATGTAGAATATTTGCTGTTATGTGCAATGCAGTATATTACTTATTTATATATTTATATCTCATCTTATTTCCAAAATTATTTAAGGGAGGTTGTAAAAATACATGATCATTAAACATTCATTAATTTAGTAAATATTATTAAAAGCCTACATGTGAGAAGCCATTCTAGGATGTGGAGATATAGCACTAAACGAAGTAGAAATAACCCTTGCCCTCGTGTAGCTTACATTCTCATGTTGATTCAAGGGAGACTATGAAGACTAATTTTAGGTGTCCACTTGACTGGGCTAAGGGATGCCCAGACAGCTGATAAAACATACTTTATGGGTGTGTCTGTGAGAGTGTTTCCAGAAAAAACGAAAATTTGAATCAGTAGACAGAGTGAAGAGGATTGCCCTCACCAGCATGGGCAGGCATGATTCAATCCTTTTGGGGACTGAAGAAAACAAAAAGCAAGGAGAAGGGCACATTTCCTCTTTGCTTGATCTGGGCTATCCAGCTTCCCCTGTCATTGAACGTCAGCTCAGCTGGTCCTCAGACTTTTGGGCTTGGACTGTCACTGTAACATCCACTTTTCTGGGTCTCCTGCTTGCAGACAGTGGATAGTGGGACTTTTCTGTCTCCATAAGAGTGTGAGCCAATTGCTCATAATAAATCTCTTTCTATAGATCTCTAGTTATATTCTCTGGTTCTGTAGAATGCTGAATAATACAATAGCATAGATGAGAGGTTGAGAGGTTGATGAGGAAATACAACGGGACAAGTGTAGAGAAAAAAAGACCTGTACAAAATTGCATACTTCTCATCTGATATGCTTGAGATTTAATTTGAAAATTGCCATTGAAAGAAGGGAGAAGTAGGTCACTCTCTATGCGGATAGACCCTCCTCAGTTCAGTGTGCAGACTCCAAATGGATGCGGGAGATTAGTAAACAAGGGAAGGGGCACCTCTCATTCATAGGATAAGTCATGTCTGTCTCTTTTCCTGTGAGAAATGCTGCCAGATGGCCCTCAAGTATGAGCCCACACACCTCATATGGATTGAGCACAAATTTGTCTTTAATATTTATAGCCAAAAAAAGAGGGAGATATGGACATTCCACCATTTCTAATGAAATAAAATACAGAAAAAGAAAAAAAATAATTTTAGGAAAAGCACTGAAATTCTTCAGAGCCCTACCAGAAAAAAAAAGTTCTTGTAGGATTCTTAAAAATTAAAACATCTAATACTAATATAACAGACATATGTACACCGCCTTCTCAGTGCCTTACATCTATTAACTAATCGAAATTTCCCACCAGCCTGTGGAGTATCAAAGTTGTATCCAGTTTACATATGAGGAAGGGAAGACTAAGATTACTAGTGTGCCCAACACCCTACAGTTGTGAAAAGGGAAGTAGGACTGGAATCCTGGCACTGTTTAGTTGGTCCTCTTACTAACCTTACCAAACTGCCTCTCTGTACATTGTATTCAAAAGCATTGCAGAAATAGAAAAAAGAATACTAACACTTTTGTCCTTCATACAAATAAATCTTTGCCAATCCCTGTTTGGCTAACTGGGTTTCTCAGTATATTGTTGCTTGATACTTAAACAACTTCTGTGGTTTTAATTTCTAGTTTTCATCAGAGATTGTAGGCTTTCCCTTTCCCTCTCTTGTTGCTTACTCTTGCTCCAGTATAGTAAGGGGCTTTCTTTCACGTGGTGGGAAGTGATTGATAAGCCATGTTTTGCAATGATTATGAATATAGACTTTGGAATGGAAAAGTTTTATGCTTGAATCTAAATGCATGCTGTAGCATTAGTTATAATTTTGACAAGTTATGCAATTAATCTCTGCCTCAGTCTCCATTTCTCTGTGTTGAAAATAGTAGTACTTGATTTGTAGGGTTGTTTTATTCAAGGAAGCCATTGGTATAAAGCAATAGAACAATATTAGCATATTATCAATATATCCAAAATATGAGATATTGGGAAGATTTTGTCATATTCACCATTTGTATCATATTTATAGTAAATAATAATATTTAAAGTGATTAAATAATTACTTGGGGAGAGAGCATCTTCAAGCCTTTTCTTGTTTCTTTTTTCTTTACTTCATTTATTAACGTGCTAGAATATCTGTGTCACATGCTCATCATAATCTCAAATAAGAAATCTACAAAGTAAATATGCTTATCTGAAAAAGATGCAGGCATGGTGACTGAGCTAGATGAGGTGACTGTATTCTGCTAGACTGCGGTCTGGGGTGCAGCGCTGGTGTAAATGCTGCCCCTCCTTTCCTCCCTGTGCCACACACAGCTGCTCACGCATCTCAAGAATCTCAGCCATGGATAGGCTCAGGTAAAGCCTGGGCAGCATTTCCAGTTTCCACTTCATAATTAATGTGTACATAACAAAAGACCCCCTTGTTTACAGTAATATTTTTATTCAATTTATCTTCACAATCAAAGAAAGTGTTTAATTTGCCTTAATAATATTGGCCACCCAGCCTTTATTGCAACATAGGACATAATTACCCTGCTTTAACTTAATTTATAGACCTCATTAACACCCTTGTGTTTCCACTGTGATTAAAAATCTTCTAAGAATTGAGAACTTTCTGAACGGTAGGAGAATTATTATGATGTATTGTTCACCCTGGCAGTCTTGAGCACAGAGTGATTTATTATTGTGGATCCTCACTGAGGTGAGCAGAATATGGGGGGAAGAAGGCAGTGTTGCAGGGGAGGTGCATTTATTCCTCTTAGACTGAGGGTCACAGTTTAATATGGAGCCTGTTGCTTGCTGCACGAAAGCATGAAGGAATCTCGGAAGGACAAAACCTTCAGCAGTAACTAGCTTAGAAAATGTTGTTCCTGCCAAAGGGAAAGTAATTTTATCCCCTTATTGGAAATGAAAATCTAGGGCAATCTTAAATATTCCAGCTGGTATTCATTTTCCTCCCTCCTAGAGGGACGACTTCCACCGTGGTCTGAACAGTCAACCAGTTTCATGAAACAGAAGTTGCTTTTATATTCTTTCTCTGACAAAAGATCGCATCTCCACATTTTCCCAGCTTATTTGCTATAATGATTCTTAGATAGCAGATCAAAGGTACTGGCATCACAATTGCCCTCAAGTTCCCAGAAAAAGAACTGGGACTTTTGGAGCTCATGTTATCATTAACAATTACTGTTTATAGTTCATACACAGTGCATGGTATTATATGAAGTCTTACAGCATTTTCACAATAGGCTTTCAATATGAATTTTGAAGGTAATGATAGGAGACAGAATATTTTTTTAATGCAAAATAGGAATTCACTCCTGCCCAAATCCAGGTAATTTTTAGAGACAGAATGAACTGTTGCTGTTCTTTGGATTCATTGAAAGGAATTGTGACGTTGAGTCTGCAGAACCCTAGAAAACACACCACAGCTCTTGTAAAAGAAGTCAGACATCTTCAGAAAAATACCTATCCAAAGACTTTGGACAGGCAAACCATAAAGTGTTTTTTCCCTGCACTCTTACTACAGCTGCTGGAGGGGAGAGGGGCTTAATTTCCTACATAAATTGCTATTGACTTTATAACTTAAGTAAAAGCATTGGGAGATATGTAATTGTTTAATGCATTTTTATTGGTTGTTAAATGCCCAAAGTTGAGAGAGAAGAAAATAAAAGATTCTTGCTCTTGTTATCCCTTCATTTTTATACCAAAGAAAAGCACTCGTGACTCATTCCGGGTAAAGAGTTAATGGAGTGTGCACTGATTGAGAACAAATCTTGCACCCACCAGGAGCTTTGCTCCTGACACTCCTAGAAGCTTTGCACCTTGTTTCCAAAGCTCTTTACAAATCATCATAAAAGAGAAATGATCTCAGAAGCACTTAAAGCCTTTTCTACACCCACTTTTCCAATAAATCTCAAACATAACTTTCATTTTGATCACAGAAATGCAAATTTTCTGACAGGCAAACTACAGCATGACTAAGTCCAAATCGGGTACAGTACATTTACTCAAGTGGAAAGAATAATGCAATGAAACATAATGGAACTCACTCATCTCCAACTCTCAAACCGTGAATGCTTTACATCATCGGCTTACTGTTTGGCATTCGTTTTGCACATATTATTTTAAAACTATTTAACCAGTTAGAAAGAAAAATAATGTTTGCACATTGCAGGAAATTTAATGCACTTGTTTCTTCTTAAACACATTTTTTTTAATTTTTCCATAATGTTGATTCATAAGAAAGGTAGATTTGATAGAACTAAAATGATTCCAAACTAATAAGGGATGTAAGGTTTTATTTTTGTTAAGTTGAATCTCATAATACATAGAGAAATGGAAATAAATTTGTAGTCTAGTCTCTCCTCAGTGTGCAGGATAATGGTTGCTAGGCAGCCTCTTTTTTTGCAGAGAAAAGACAGAATTTCCTGCTCTATAGACTTCGTCAATAATGCCTCATCCTATATGTTTTCTACTGAATCTTTATGTGGGATTGGACCTGCTGAGCAGCATAATTGAATGTACAGTATAGACCTGTTCTATGTGTGAGGATCATATTTCCACACAAGTGTCAAAGTGGAAACAAGTGGACATTAGTGAAACAGATGGATGTTACCTAGAGAAGTCAGCCTGATAATACCTAAGAGGCTTAAAACCTGTATCATGAATATTATTTTAATTGAATTCTATTTTATCAAAGCAACATGTACACAATAGCATAAAAAGTTAAGTAGTAAATTAAAAGGATTAAAACTAAATGACTCTCTGCTGCATCACTTCCCTCCCTGACCAGTCTCCCTCTCCAAAACAAAACATTTGTGTCTTTTCGTTGTTTAGTTTCCATAGTTCTCAACATGTGAATAAATTGCTATCATTGGACTCATCAATTTTAGATACTATGGGCTTCCTGTTATGATAGATGAGGATTTACATCTATTATGTTGCTATCCTGTATCTTTTACGTTCCTCATTCTCTTATTATAATCTTGTTAAAATTTGGGGTTAAAGCAACATTAGGGTTCATGGTGTTTAAATTATTACCTTGCCATAAAAGGATCACATTTACTCCTTTCAGTTTGTTCTGAAATTTAGGATTCCTTGTTTGTTTGTTTAGTAGAGACAGAATCTCACTATGTTGCCCAGGCTGGTCTTGGACTTTTGGGCTCAAGTAATCCCGTCACCTCGGCCTCTTAAAGTGCTGGATTACAAGCATGAGCCACTGTGCTTGGCCTCTTGTTTGTTTTTATTTGCTTGGATTTTTGTGTGTTTACTAGATTGGTTTGTAGTTTTTATTATATTATCAGTGTCATTTTCTAAAAAATAATAAAGTTCAGTAAACTGTAAATCCAGATTTTCTTTGCAGGTCTTACTACTGGAGGTCTTTAATCCCCTGCATTGCCTAGGCATGTTGCCCTGTTGTCTACCTTTACCATCATCCTAAGTTGAATGCTTATTTCTTGTATACCAGGACTTCCCTTCCTTGGCTTACTCTATTATTTGGGTGAAGCGTATCCTCCAGTAGTTCTACCATGTTAAAAACATGGCACCAAGACAGAGGTTGTGATGAAAACTCTTAGCCTGTCTTTTGAATTTCACTGCTCCCAATGGACCAGTTGTCCTCTCTGCTTGGTGCAATTCCCTTCATATGTTCCTCTTTCATTATCCCCCCTCACATTTCCTTTCTCATCTCCTATGTTGAATCTTCCACTTTCATGTTCTTTAGCATGTCTGCCTCCTTCTCTGTATAATTCCTGATTTTGGGGGAAGTGTATCTCAAGTAGCTTTCTGAAAAATGTAGAGAGAAATTTGTCAGATTGTACCTGTCTGAAATGAGCTTGTGATATACTCGCATGTAACTGAGTTTGACGGGATAAGAAAGGTGGAAATAGCTCAAACAGACTAAGTAATAGAAGGTTTTACTCAGCAAATAGAGAACAAATGCAAAGTTTACACACAGTTCTGTCTGATTTCTTAACTTCCTGTCTTGTTTTTTAACAAACTTTCAAATAATATGAGATTGTGTTCAAATTGAAGAATGAAAAATAGATATTTACCAAGTTTTTAAATGATAAACATGTAGAAAGCTTTGCTTATAAATCCAGTGATACAATCTAGATTCAAACTTATGTTAGTTACAAGAGTTTTCCCAAACAAGTGGAATTTGATTTAAATGTGTGTAACGGGGTCATCCTGTGTTTGCTTTCCTGGTGTTTAGTCTCATAGATTTTATGGAGTCCTTTTTTATCATCATGGCAAATATCTTCTAATAAAATAGCTAAAAGAATAACATTTGTTTTCATTCTTAACTGTTCCACCATAGAGAAAAGATTGTTCACCAATTATCACCCATTAGAACCAGAAAAAACAAACAAACACAAAAACCTCTGTACATGTTGGTGTGAGGCCATACTGCTAATTCAGGAGCCTGAATGGATAGAGATGTTGAAACTCTGAAATACTCTTTCTGAAAATACTTACCCAAGAACCCTCTTCTCAGCCTTTCCTGAAACGGAATCAAGATTAATCAAGAAATTACATTGCAATGTGGAACTGTATAAAATAAAACTAGGAGCAATCATATCAACTGAGATCATAAATATTAAAATGGGCTTAGAGTTAAATTCAAGGCAATGCACAAAGATAAGAAAGGTTATTTCTTCTTCAGAACCCTAGACTTGGATACCAAAAAAACCCATCTATATATTTGATGTTTGATGTATGTTCTGCCTATAATACACTGACAAAGTACATATATAATATGCTGGCTAGCCACATAAAGAAGTTTGAAACTGGACCCCTTCCTTAGACAAAATACAAAAATTAACTCAAGATGGATTAAAGACTTAAATTTAAAACCAAAACTATAAAATCCCTGGAATACAATCTAGGCAATACCATTCAAGACATAGGCATGAGTAAAGATTTCATGAGGAAGATGCCAATGCAATTGCAAAAAAGTAAAATTGACAAATGGGATCTAATTAAACTAAAGAGCTTCTGCACAGCAATACAAATGATCATTGGAGTGAACAGACAACCTACGGAAAGGGAGAAAATCTTTGCAAGCTATGCATCCAACAAAGGTCTTATGTCCAGCATCTATATGGAAGTTATATTTACAAGAAAAATACAAACAAATCCATAAAAAGTGGGCAAAGGACATGAATAGGCACTTTTCAAAAGAAGACACACATGTGGCCAATAATCATATAAAAATACTCAATATCACTAATCATTAGAGAAATGCAAAAGAAAACAAAAATGAGATATCATCTTACAGCAGTCAGAATGGCTATTATTAAAAAGTCAATAAATAACAGATGCTGGTGAGGTTGTGGAGAAAAAGGAATGCTTACACACTGTTAGTGGGAGTGTAAATTAGTTCAACCATTGTGGAAGACAGTGTGGTGATTCCTCAAAGACCTAAAGGCAGAGATACCATTCGACCTAGCAATCCCATTACTGGGTGTATACCCGAAGGATGTAAATCATTCTGTTATAAAGACACATGCATGCATATGCTCATTGCAGCACTATGCACAATAGCAAAGACATGGAGTCAACCTAAATGTCCATCAATGATAGACTGGCTAAAGAAAATGTGGTATAGATACACCATGGAACGTTATGTAGCCATAAAAAAGAACAAGATCGTGTCCTTTGCAGGGACATGAATGGAGTTGAAGACCATTATCCTTAGCAAATTATTGCAGGAACAGAAAACCAAATACCGCGTTTTCACTTTTAAGTGGAAGCTAAGTGATGACAACACATGAACACATAGAAGGGCACAACACATACTGGGGCTCATCAGAGAGTGGAGGCTGGCAGGAGGGAGAGGATCAGAAAAAATAACTAATGGGTACTAGGCTTACTACCTGGGTGATAAAATAATCTGTACAACAAACACCCATGACACAAATTTACCTGTATAACAACCTGCACGTGTACACCCGAACTTAAAATAAAAGTTAAAAAAGCCAAAATTCCATTTAATATATAATACTATGATTGGAAAAGAACATTTGATGATAATTTAATTTTGAATAGACTTATAAAAATCCAAAAATTATAAAATCATTTTTTGTTAAAGTATTTTTCATTGATACTTAATATTTGTAGTTATGTGTGGGGCCCATGTGATATTTTGTTCCATGCATAGAACGTGCAAAGATTAAATGAGAGTATTTAGGATATGTGTATACACACACAAATACACACACACACACACACACAATTTTAATAGGTGAGCTTTTCTCAGTCCCTGAAGTTCAAAATGATGATCACGTAGGCACAGCAGGCACAGACCCTCTCATCATTGTCCCTTGTGTCCCCAGGGGGCTCAGGCAGCTGCTCGTTGCCAGAGTTGATTCGTCCATTACATGCACTCAACATCTGGCTCTTCCATACCCACGGCTCTTAACCACCCTCCCAGCCTCTTCTAATTCATTTTCCAAATCTCAGCCAGAGTGAAATTTCTAGGTTGTAAATGTCCTGTTCTCCCTTCTTTAAATGGTACATGGTAGTCCTCAGTCTCAATCCCAAGCCCAGTTCAGAGACTCAGAGACTCAGTGTGACAGGACCTGCTCTGCCTGCACCACTTCCTCTGGCCCTAGTTGAGCTGCTGGTTCCTGGCATGGCCTGCCTTCTGCAGGCACCATTGATGTGTCTCCATTGTAAGGAACTTGGAGGTACCTCTATTTGCTCATCCCACTTCCTCAAAACTTCTTCCATAATGACTAAACCAAAGCCCTGCTGTTATGCCCTCATGACTTACTCCGTCAAAGTGTTTATCACACTTGATTGAAATCACCTTCTTAACTGTCTATGCCTTTCATTAGATTTTAAACTCTACAGCCAATAGTGCCTGCTGTTTAGTTGGTACTACATAATTTTATTTTAAATTAAATGAATGACATAACTTTATTTTTTTTTCAATTGTAAGCTGTAATACAAAGTCTAGTGTAATCAAGTAGCTTTTTCTTTTTCTCAAGCATATGGTGCGTACAAGATAAAAAGAAAACATTCAGTTTGGGATTCAGGAAAAAATAACTTTATGTAGAGTGTTAAATAAGTCCTCAGGTCTGAGGCGTTTTTCACTTGCATTAATATAAATAATTTTCAAATGCAACTTTTCTCCTTCCTACTCTATTGAGCACAAGCATTCAAAGAAAACGGTCTGACTTTTCTGTCTGATTTTTGCGTTTCACTTATTTTTTACCTACCAAGAAGGTTTGGGACACATCAATCACTGTTGTGTGTTTTTATCTATCCTGCTGGTCAGTGATGAGAGAGCTTAAAGTAACATAAATCTGTTTTGTGGGTATTCATGAGATGGACTTCCAGAGTATAAAATTCAGCACACGTCTTATGGCAGACCTTCAGGCAAGCACTTGTATGAGCCTGTCCAAAATGAAATGAACTGTTCTTTTTGACAATCTACTTTTAGTAGAATATCTTACGAGTATTATCTAGAATTATAACTTCCCTTTCTGCTTTTACAAGTCCTGGTATTTTCCTGGCTAAAGGAGTTAAAAAAAAAAAGGTGCTATCTGCTGATTGCTGAAGTCAAGCGCAGAACTGAGTACTATACAAACAGCAGGAAGTGAAACTCTAACCCATCTATGAGAAAACCTAAATACCTATGTAAGCGTAACTGGCAGAAATCTGTTTCTATTACCTGACCTAGAAGTCTCACCATTTTTCAAAATCATCAAAACAAATGACATGAGGATAGCTTTACTTTGGCTCCAAACCAGAACAATGTATTTCCTTTAAAATGTATAAAATCTGCTTTTCCACTAATTTGTACTGACTTGACTCCTCATCATTTCTTGGTATGATTGCTGGATTTTGATGTAGTAATCTCAAGACATAAACTTGAAAGGATTCATGAAAAAATGAAGTCTAAAAATGAAAAATAAAAACATATCATTGCAGTAACTTCAAAATAAATAATTTCATCTTGGAGAAGTGAGATGTTATGTTGAATGCTTTAAAATGCCTCTATTTTGTTTCAATATGATCACCTAAAAAGAGCCTGACAGCAATACATAATTCATAGTATCATTAAAAATTGAATCATACTTTCACAGCTTTAATAGGAAATCAATACAAATCCACCTTTTACACGATAAATGTCTCTGAATGGTTATATTGGCAATTGATCTCATGTAAGACTTTTCTCCCCCTCTCTCTCTTTCTCTTTCCCTCTCTCAAAAGCTACAGTGACATTTCCCTTCCTGTTCTTTTATAGAACCAAAGAAAATCTTTAACAACAAATAAGATGATTTGACAGATGTGTTACAAAGTCTAAAGAGTTCTATTTCATATGTCAGATATTTCTATTTAAGCAATGGCACACATTTTGCTGATATACTTTGTGTGCTCAAAACCCCACAAGTACTACTATAAGAATGTGGAGCCTCTTGGAGCGCATCATTCTCTTAATGTAATCCTCAAATCCCACTTTCTAGTGGAAGCTACTATTTATATTAATCTCTATTCGGACCTTATATGAGAATTTATGTTCCTTTATGTAATTTGAAAACTGCAGGGATGTAAATAGTATTAATTATATAATTTTCACTTCTCTATCCTCATCTGGATTTAATGTACTGATTTAATATGTGTAAATATATTATAGATTTAATATATTTATTAAATATATTAAATATATTTTTAAAATATTTTTGCAAACATTTGTAAAAATATTTAATTTACAAATAGTATTGTATATATTCAAAGTATACAATGCAATGCTTTGATATACACACACACACACACACACATATATATATATAGTATATTGAATATCACAATCAAATTAATTAACACATCCATCACCACCCATACTGGACATTATATCCCTAGAACTAATTCATTGTATAAGTAAAATGTTGTGCCTTTGATCAACATCTCTCCATTCCCCCTACCCCTCAGCCCCTGGAAGCTATTGTTCTACTTCTGCTTCTATAAGTTTAACTTTTTTAGATACCACAAATAAGTGAGACCATGTTATATTTGTATTTCTGTGTCTGTCATATTTCACTAGGTGTAACGTCCTCTAGTTTCACCTATGTTGTCACAGATAACCAGATTTCTTTTATGGCTGAATAATATTCCATTGTATCTCCCTTTCTCTCTCTCTCTCCTCTCTCTCCTCTCTCTCTCTCTTTTTCTCTCTCTGTGTGTGTGTGTGTGTGTGCGTGCATACATACATATAGATTGCATTTTCTTTCTTCACTCATCCACTGATGGCCACTTTGCTTGTTTTCATATTTTGATTATTGTGAACAATGCTACAATGAACATGAGGGTGCAGACTCCTTGTATTAGTTCATTTTCATGCTGCTTATAAAGACATACCTGAGACTGGGCAATGTACAAAAGAAAGAAGTTTAATTGGACTCACAGTTCCTTGAGGCTGGGGAGGCCTCACAATCATGATGGTAGGCAAGGAGGAGCAAGTTACATCTTACGTGGATGCCAGCAGGGAAAGAGAGAGCTTGTGCTGGGCAACTGGTGCTTTTAAAACCATGAGATCTCCTGAGACCTATTCACTATCATGAGAACAACATGGGAAAAACCTGCCCTCATAATTCAATCATCTTCCACCAGGTCCCTCTCACAACATGTGGGAATTATGGGAGCTACAAGATGAAATTTGGGTGGGGACACAGAGCAAAACTATATCACACCTTTTCAATGTACATATTTCATTTCTTTTTTATTGCTTGATCATATGGTAGTCCTATTTTAAAAATTGTCAGCAGACCCTATACTGTTTCATAATGGATGTACCAATTTACATTACTACCAGAAGTGTACAAGGATCCCTTTTATCCACACTTTTGCTAACACTTATCCTTTTTTCATTTGGATAATAGCCATCCTAACAAGCATGACAAGTATGAAGTGATATTTTGTTTGATTTGCATATTCTTAATGATTAGCGATATTTAGTACCTTTTTCATATACCAGATCATTTATTTGCTTTCTTTGGGAAGCTGTCTATTCAGGACCTTTGCTCATTTTAAAATATTATTATTATTATTTTGTTACAAAGTTGTGTGAGTTCCATATGTATTTCGGATATTAATCCCTTGTCAGATATATGGTTTGCAAATATTTTCTCGCATATCTTAGGTGGCCTTTTAATTTTGTTTGTTTCTTTAGCTCTATAAAAGCTTTGTAGTTTAATGTAACCCTACTTGTTTACTTTTGCTTTTGTTTCCTGTGCTTTTGGTGTCATATACAAAAAAAGTTATTACCAAGACTGACACGCTTTGGATTTGTGTCCCTGCCAAAATCTCATGTCAAATTGGAGGAGGGGCCAAGTGTGAGGTGATTGGATTATGGGGACAGACTTCAGCCTTGCTGTTCTCCTGATAGTGAGTGAGTTCTCACAAGATCTGATGGCTTAAAACTGTGTGGCAGTTCTTGCTTCACTCTCTCTCTCTCCTGATGCCATATGAAGAAGATCCTTGCCTCTCCTCACCTTCCACCATGATTGAAAGTTTTGTGAGGCCTCACAGTCATGTTTCCTGGAAAGCCTGTGGAACTGTCAGTGAATTAAATTTTTCTTCACAAATTACCCAGTCTCAGGTAGTTCTTTACAGCAGTGTAAAAATGGACTAACACAGAAAATTGGTACCAGGGGAGTGTGGCACTGCTATAAAGACACCTGAAAATGTGAAAAGAAACTGTGAAACTGGGTAATGGGCAGAGGTTAGAAGGGTTTGGAGGGCTCTGAAAAAGACAGAAAGATGTGGGAAAGTTTGAAACTTCCCAGGGACTTGTTGAATGATTGTGACCAAATGCTAATGGTGATAAGGACAATAAAGTCCAGGCTGATGTGGTTTCAGATGGAGATGAGGAATTTACTGAGAACTGGAGTAAGGGTCACTCTTGCTATGCTTTAGCAAAGAGATTGGTGGCCTTGTGCCCCTGCCCCAGGAATCTGTGCAACTTTGAACTTGAGAGAGATGATTTAGGGTGTCTGGTGGAAGAAATCTTTGAGCAGCAAAGCATTCAAAATGTGCCCTGGCTGCTCATAACAGCATACAGTCATATGCATTCACAGAGAGATGTCTGAAATTGGAACTTATGTTTAAAAGGGAAGCAGAGCATAAAAGTTTGGAAAGTTTGTAGCCTGAGTATGTTTCAGAAAAGAAAAACCCATTTTCTGAAAAGAAATTCAAGCCTCCTGCAGAAACTTGCATAAGTAAATGAGGAGCTAAACGTTAATAGCCATGACAATGGGGAAAATGTCTCCAGGGCATTTCCGAGATCTTTGCAGCACCCTCTCCCATAACAGGCCTGGAGGCCTAGGAGGGAACAATGGTTTCGCAGGCCGGGCCCAGGTCCCTGCTTCTCTTTGCAGCCTTGGAACATGGCACACTGTGTCCCAGTTGCTCCAGCTCCATCCATGGCTAAAGGGGGCCAAGGTATATAGCTCAGGCCATTGCTTCAGAAGGTGCAAGCCCAAAGCTCTGACAGCTTCCATGTTGTATTGGGCCTGCAGGTGCACAGAAGGCAAGAGTTGAGG
Source organism: Homo sapiens (assembly GCF_000001405.40). Classification (NCBI taxonomy): domain Eukaryota; kingdom Metazoa; phylum Chordata; class Mammalia; order Primates; family Hominidae; genus Homo; species Homo sapiens. The sequence continues at coordinate 52,821,863 of NC_000007.14, read as the reverse complement.
CTTGGAAACCTATGCTTGGATTTCAGAGGATGTATGGAAAGACCTGGATGTCCAGGCAGAAGTCTGCGGCAGAGGTGGAACCCTCTTGGAGACCCTCTACTAGGGCAGTGCAGAGGGGAAATGTGGGGTTGGAGACCCCAAACATAGTCCCCCCTGGGGCATTGCCTAGTGGAGCTGTGAGAAGAGGGACACTGTTCTCCAGACCCCAGAATAGTAGGTCCACCAACAGCTTGCACCATGCACCTGGAAAAGCTGCAAGCACTCAACACCAACCCATGAAACAGCTGTGGGTGCTGTACCCTGTACAGCCACAGAGGCAGAGCTGCCAAAGGCCTTGGGAGCCTACCTCTTGCATCAACGTGCCCTGGATGTGAGACATGGAATCAGAGGAGATTATTTTTGAGCTTTAAGATTTAATGACTGCCTTCTGGGTTTCGGACTTGCATGGGCCCTGTAGAGCCTTTGTTTTGGCCAATTTCTCCCAGGTGGAATAGAAGCATTTATCCAATGCCTGTAACCCAGTTGTATCTTGGAAGTAACTAACTTGTTTATTTTTGCTATTGTTTCCTGTGCTATTGGTGTCATATACTAAAATATTATTACCAAGACCAATGGCAAAGAACTTCTTTCCTATATTTTCCCTGAAAATTTCACAATTTCTGATCTGACATTTAAGTCTTTAATCCATTTCAGGTTAACGTTTATATATGGTTTAAGAAAAGGGTCTAAATTTATTCTTTTCCACATGAACATCCATTTTTCAAAAATATTTATTGAAGAGGCTTTCTTCATTGTGTATTTGTAGCATCATTTTCAAAGATTAGTTTACTATATATGCATGGGTTTATTTCCGGGTTCTGTATTCTGTTTCATTTGTCTATATGTCTGCCCTTATGCCTGTACCACGCTGTTTTGATTACTATAGTTTTGCAGTATAGTTTGAAATTAGGGCGTGTCATCCCACTGACTTTGTTATATTTTCTTAAAATTGCTTTGACTGTTTGGGGTCCAATACAAATTTTGTTATTTTTTTCTATTTCTGTGAAAAATGTCATTGGAATTTTGATAGCAACTTCATTGAATCTATAAATTAAGAATTATGGATATTTTAACATTCTTAATCTAATTCATGTACATGGGATCTAGTTATTTATTTGTTTCTTCAATTTATTTTGTCAATATTTTCTAGTTTTAAGTACAGTTTTTTCACTTCCTTAGTTAAATTCATTTTTAAATATTTCATAATTTTCAATACTATCATAAATTGGATTGTTTTATTAATTTATTTTTTGAATAATCTACTGTTAATGTAAAGAAATGCAACTGATTTTTGTACGCTGATTTTGCATTCTGAAATTTTACTGAACTTTGTCGTTAATTCTGACAGTTTTTTGGTGGAGTCTTTAGGGTTTTCCCTATATAAGATTATTGCATCTTCAGAGACAGTTTAACTTTGTCTTCCTATTTGGATACCTTTTATTTCTATTTCTTGCCTAATCTTTCAAGCTAGGGCTTCCAATACCAGTTGAATAGAAGCTGTGAGAGTGAATTTCCTTGCCTTCTTCCTAATCTTAAAGGGAAAACTTTCAGCTTTAATCATGAAGTATGATGCTAGCTGTGGCCTTGTAATATGTGTCCATTATTATGTTGAGACAAATTCTTCTCTATCATATTTGCTGACAGTTGTAATCAGAAAAGAATGTTTAATTTTTACAAATGATTTTTCTGCATCTATTGAGATGATTATATGATTTTTATCATTCAGTCTGTTAATGTGATATATCACATTTATTGATTTGTATGTTGAAATAACCTTGCATTTCAGGGATAAATCCCACTTGATCATCATGAGTAATATTTTAAGTGAGCTACTGAATTTCATATTTTCTTGAGTTTTTTGCATCTGTGTTCATCGTAGATATTGGCTTCTAATTTCCTTATTTTGTATTATACATGTCTGGATATTGTAAGAGGATAATAAAATGAGTTTGAAAGCATTTCTACCTCTTCAATTTTTTGGAAGAGTTTGAGAAGGATTGAAGTGAATTATTTTTAAAATTTTAGCTAGACTTCAGCTGAGAAGCTCTCTGTTTCTAGGATTTTCTTTGTTGGGAGGTTTTTTATTATTGATTCAATTTCCTTACTAGTTATTATTCCACCCAGATTTTCTATTTCTTCATGATTTAGTCTTGGTAAGTTGTATATTTCTAGAAACTTATCCATTTCTTCTAGATAATCTAGTTTGTTGGCAAATAATTCTTCACAGCAGTCTCTTATGATCCTTTGTTTTTCTGTAATATCAGTTGTAATGTCTCTTTTTTACTTATAATTTTATTTGAGTCTGACTCTTTTTTGTTGGTTAGTATAACTAAAGTGTTGTTCATTTTTTAACCTTTTCAAGAAAAGCTATTTCATCCCATTAGTCTTTTCCATTGTCATTCTAGCCTCCATTTGATTTATTTTTGCTCTAATTTTTATTATTGTCGTTCTTCTGTTGACTTTGTGCTTAGTTTGTTTTTATTTTTCTACTTTTTAAGTTATAAATTTAGGTTGTTAATTTGAGATTATTCTTTTTTATTGATATAAGCCTTTATCGTTTTACATTTCCCTTGCGGTATTGCCTTTGCTGCATCACATCAATTTTGGTATGATGTTTTTATTTTTGTCTGTCTGAAGATATATTTTGATAGCTCTTTTGATTTATTCTTTTACCTATTGGTTGTTAAAAACTGTGCTATTTACTTTACACATATTTCTGAGATTTCCAAAATTCCTTCTATATTGATTTCTAGTATTGTATTATTGTGGTCAGAAACTATACTTGAGGTAGTTTCCATCTCTTAAATTTTTTACAACTTTTATTTGAGACCCAATATGTGATCTATTCTGGAGAATATTCTGTGACACTTTAGGAGAATATATATTCTGCTGCTGTCAGATATAATATTCTGTATATGACTTTTAAGTGTATTTGGGCTATAATGTCACTTTAGTCAGCTGTTTTTGTGTTGATTTTCTCTCTTCATGATATATCAATTGTTAAAATGGGATATTAAAGTCCCCTATCTGTTTCTCTTTTAAGTTCTGTTACTATTTGATTTATATATTTAGGTACTCTAATGTTGGGTGTATATAGGTATATTTACAATTGCTATATTTTCTTTATAAGTTGACCCCTTTATCATCATATAGTGACATTCTTTGTCTCTTGTGAGAGTATCAACTGAAAATCTAATTTTCTTGATAGAAGTATAGCCATCCCTGATCTCTTCTGGTTGTCAAATGTATGGAATATGGTTTTTTCATAACTTTACTTTTGATCTGTGTAGGTTGTTAAGGCTAGAGTGTTTCTTTTGTAGCCAGCATATTGTTTGATCTTGTTTACTATCTATTTGGATGCCTTGTGGTTTTAGATTAGATAATTTAATCCATTTACATTTAAATTAATTATTGATGTAATGACTTAGTATTTACATTTTGTTAATTGTTTATTAAATGTTCTGTAGTTTCTTTGTTACTTTCTTTCAATCTTGCTGTCTTTCTTTTTGACGTTTAGATTTTTGTAGTGATGTGTTTTAATTTTCTTCCTCTCTTTATCTTTTGTCTATCTACTAGTTATTTTGTCTTTTTCATATCATAGGGGGGCTTACATAAAACAACTTATGGTTATAACTCTCTATTTTAAGCTGATAACAAAGTAAATTTGATTGCATACAAAACTTTTATTTTATGCTATTGATAGTACACATGCTATTGATATTACACTTTACATCTTGTATTTTTTGTATTTATTAACAAATTATTGTAGTTATAGTTATTTTTATCACTTTTGTCATTTAACTTCCATATCAGTTAAAAATGAATAGCACATCACAATTACAGTATTAAAGTATTCTGAATTTTATTATATATTTATCTCCCTCAGTTTTTGTTTGTCTGTCTGGGAATGTCTATCTCTCTTTCATTGCTGAAGGACAGCTTTGATAGGTAGAATATTTTTAATTGTCAGGTTTTCTTTGCTTGTTTTAGCACTTTTTATATATCAGTCTATTCCTGCTAGGATATCAAGATATCTGTTGAGAAGTTTACTGACAGCCTTATGGAAGTTCCCTTGAGTATGATGAGTCTCTTTTCTCTTGCTGTTTTCAAGACATTATGGTTGTCTTCGACATCTAACAATGTAATGACAATGTGTATCAGACAATTCTCCTTTGGGTTGATCTTGCTTGGATCCTTTTATCTTCATGAATCTGGATGTCCACATTGCTCCCAATATTTGGGAAGTGTTCAGTTAGTATTACTTCAAATAAGCTCTCTTCCTCCGCTTTTCTTCCTCTTTTTCCTTTTTGGACTCCAATAATTCTTACATTTACACACTTGATGGTATTCCATAGGTCCCTTAAGCTTTCTTCGCTCTTTTTCGTTCTTTTTTTCTTTTTCTTCCTCTACATTGCTGATTTCAAATAACTTGTCTTCTAGTTCACTAATTCTTCCTTCCGCATAATTTAGTCTGCTGTTGAAGTTCTATATTTGTTTACACACAGCTCTAGCATTTTTGTTTGGTTCTTTTAAATGGTTTTCATTTCTTTATTAAATTTCTCATTTTGTTCATGTAGTTTTTGTAGTTTGGTTTAGTTGTTTATATGTATTTTTTTCTTGAATTTTATTGAGTTTCTTTACGATAATTGTTTTGAGTTCTTATTCAGGCAATTTGTAGACCTTTATTTCTTGGCGTCAGTTACTGGAACTTTATTAGTTTGTGTGTGTGTGTGTGTGTGTGTGTGTGTGTGTGTGTGTGTGTGTATGTGTGTGGTGTCATGTTTGCCTGTTATCAGTGTAGTCTTGTATTGATATCTGTGCATTTGAAGGAAAAAACACTACTTACAATATTTACAGCTTAATTGCAGCAGGTAAAAACCTTCTTCTGTTAGATCCCTAGGCTGATAGATTTACCTGGGGATAAAGGTTGAATGAGGTTAGAGCCGAATTATGTGACTGCTGCTGGGATCACAGTGTAGTCCAAAATAATGTGCCTGTAACCAGGGGTTCTAGTAGTCGTGGCTCTTCTTTGCTCCTCAGGTGGACTAAACTGCTCTCTGCATCTTGATCAGTAGGGCAGCTGGTAGGATGACGGTATGCTTCAGAGTCGGCAGATGATGGGACTGTTATCTAGTGAACACATAGGTGTGGCTTTCTCCAGGTCCTTAGGAGGGCTGGAAGTGCTTCTATTTCCATGGGCAGGCCATACTGGTCCTTAACCCGAGCTGAGAGTGGATGGAACTGAGTCACAGGGCTGCATCAGGGCCCATAGCCAAGACTGAGGTCTGTAGGCCCACCTCTGGGGGCACAGACAAGCAAGTCCCCTTCCAGGTCTTTTGGGGGTAGCACTGCTCTCAGATCACAGCTGAGAGGGGCAGAAACTGATTCTCATGGCCATTTCAGGGTGTGCTGTGGGACTGAGGTTGGCAAGCCTGTACCAGGGACTCAGATGGCACATCTTCCTTTGGGTCTCTGTACAGGAAGAACTGCTCTTAGACAGCAGTGGAGAAGGGTGGGAGCAGAGTCTCAGGGTTATATCAGGATCCACAGTTGGGACCAAAATCAGAAGGCCTGTCACTTGAGGCACAAGTGGGCATGAATCCTCCTCATTCCCCTTGATTGATGATTTTGGTGGCAGGACCAAGGAAAATGAAGCTTTATTCAAACACACAAAAGAATAGGGCTATTTTTAGGTCTGAAGCTGGTTTGGTGAATCTGCCATCTGAGCGTGGGCCTCCCCTCTCAAAACAGCCCTACTAGCTCTTGGACTTCCTGGGGTTTCACAGCCTTCTTCCTGAATCCCAAAGCTCCCACAAAGGCAGTTTTGTCTATGAATGGCTCGGAAATTATTGCTGCTATTAGGAGCATATGAGTGGGGGATCTTCTATTCTTCAACCTTGCTGACAACACTCCTCTTGAGTAGTTGCTGAACGTACAATCTTAAAACAACCTGTTCCTTAAAGTTAGCAAAACTCAGCTCCAAAATATTTGATCCTAGTGTTTTCTGAAGGCAATAATTTGTAGCTACTAATTCTGTTTTTTAATGGATATAGGACATTATCTGACAATTCTGTCAAAATTGTCAAATGTATTGGCATATGCTTTCGTATTGCAGTATTAATATCTGATAAGCCTATGCTATTTTTCATTCTTAGTAGTTAGTTATTTTTAACCTCTTTTTCCTCCTCCACTTCCTCTTCCTCATTTTCATCTCCTTCAATTTTAGAAGAGGTTTGTCTATGTTATTAATCTTTATTTTAAAGAAGTTTTTGTTTTCTTGATTTCCCTATTTTGACTAGTTTTTTTATTAGCACTTTTCATTTTCTCCTATTATCAACTGTTTTAAGATTTGTTCTGTTATTTTTTGAAACTTTAAAAATTTATGTTTACTTCATAGACTTTTTCTCTTTCTGATATACTATTTAATGCTGTTGCTTTTCGTAAGTATCACTTTAGATGAGCTCCACAACTATTGGTGTATTCTATTTTCATTATGGTTTAGCTGCAAGTAGGCATTTACTTTTCTATTATAATCTCTTTTTAAATCTAAGCTTTTCTTGAAGCATGTTTTTCCCTCTCCAATATGGAGATTTTTTTCTGTGTTTTATCTTTAATAGACATCTGGCTTAATTACATTATGGACTTATTAGTATCCCATTTGAAATGTTTTTCACTAGTCTTATTGCCTGGCAAGTATTTAAATTTCATAAATGTCTCATAGGCTTAAGGGTTCTATCTATATTATTTTAATAATCCAAGTATTGCTAATTTTGTTATTTTTGTTATCTGTTTTCTAACTAAAATTTAACCACTTTGAATTTTCAATAATTTAGAGAGAGGTTGAAAGCTCCCAATTTGATAGTGTATTTGTCAGTTTCGTTCACTAGCCGGATATTGCTTTATAGTAATTTATATGATGCCTTCATCTCAAGTCTTTTTCTTGTCTAAAATTAACATAATATAGCCCTAACATTAACATAGCTGTGCATTTATTTTTGTTTTATGCTCTTATGTTGTGACAGAAAATGCTTTTTAATGTTTTCTTGAAGTATAGCAGATATACAGACAAATTTAAAGCTGAATAAATTTTTACATACTGAACACATCCATGTAAACAGCACTCAGGTTAAAAACAAATGAACAAACACAACATACCAGCACCCCAGGGGTTCAATCTGCTTCCTATTTCAATCATCTGCACACTCCAGGATTAACACTGGGAATTCTAACACTTTAGTTTAGTTTGCAATCTAAATTTATGTAAATTTAACAATAAAATGTGTGTTCTTTTGTGTCTGGTTTATTTCACTCAATATTATGTTTGTGAGATTCCTCAATACTGTTGCACATTCTCTTTTTTATTGATGAGTCAAATTTCCTCTCGTGGGCCAGGCGCAGTGGCTCATGCCTGTAATCCCAGCACTTTGGGAGGCCGAGGAGGGCAGATCACGAGGTCAGGGGTTTGAGACCAGCCTGGCCAACATGGTGAAACCCGTCTCTACTAAAGATACAAAAAAATTAGCCGGGTGTGGTGGCGCGTGCCTGTAATTCCAGCTATGTGGGAGGCTGAGGCAGGAGAATCGCTTGAACCCATGAGGCAGAAGATGCAGTGAGCTGAGATCGCACCACTGTACTCCAGCCTGGTGACAGAGCAAGACTCTGTCTCAAAAAAAGAGTATAAAACATACTCTGTAATCTTGTAAAGTGTAAAGCATTGCTGAGATAAACTAAAAGAGATCCACATAAATGAAAAAATACCATGTTTATGTATCAGATTTATTATTGTTAAGATGACAATACTCCCTAAATGATCTACAAATTCAATGCAGTCGCTATTATAATTAAAGCTGTTTTCTTTGTAGAAATGGAAAATCTGACTATGGAATTCATATGGAATTGCAAGAGACCCAAGATAACCACAAGAATATTGAGAAAGAAGAATGAAGCAGGAGAATTCACACTTTGCAATTTCAATGCTTACTACAGGCAACGTAATCCAGGCAGTTGTATGTAGTACTGGCGCAAAAATAAACAGATAGATCAATGGAATAGAATTGAGAGTCCAGAAATAAACACATACACCCATGGCCAATTGATTTTCAACAGAAGTACCAAGACGATTTACTGAGAAAAGAAAAGTGTTTTTAACAAATGGTGCTGGGACAACTGAATACCCATCTGCAAAATAATAAAATTGGACTGTTATTTCATACCATGTACAAAACTAACAAAAATGGATCAAAGAACTATTTGTTCTTTATAAATCTATAAACTCTTAAACATTGTGATAAATCTTCATGACGTTAGATTTTGAAAAGGACTCTGATATGGCACCAAAACATGAGTAATAGAATAAAAATAGATATATTTGATTATCAAAATTTAAAGCTTCTGTATTGCAAAGAACAGTATTAAGAAAGTAAAAAGACAACTCACAGAATGGGAGAAAAATATTTACAGATCATATATGTGATAAGAAACTTGTATCTAAAATATATAAACAATTCTTACAACTCAATAATGAAATTTAAAAAAAAAACACACTTAAAATAGGCAAATGAGTTGAATAGATATTTCTCTAAGGATATACAAAAATAACCAATAATTATATAGAAAGATAACAAAAATAAACACAATGACATATCAATTCATACCCACAAGGATGGCTGAAACCTAAATGTCAGATAATAACAAGAATGATGTAAAGAAATTGGAACCTCATGAGTACTCATGAATCCTACCTCATACTCTGGTAGTAGAAATGTAAAATGGAGCAGATAGTTTGGAAAACAGCCTGGCAATTCTTTAAATATTTAAACATAGAGTTTATATAACCCAGCAATTCACTCTAAGTACATGTCCAAGAAAAATGAAAATTTGTACACACAACAACTTACACAAAATCTATTTGCATTACAACTTTATTCATAATTGCCAAAAGATGGAAGTAGCCTAACAATAGTTTAACAATAGATAAATGGATAAACGGATAAACAAAATTTGGTATATTCATACTATGGAATGTCATTCAGCCATAGAAAAAGAATGAATTACTATAATAATTGCTATAACATTCATGAACCTTGAAAATATTATGCTAAATGAATTAAGCCAGTCACAAAAGACTTCATATTTTATTCCCATGATAGTCTAGAAAAGAGAACTCTACAGAAACTAGAAGTAGATTAGTGGTTGCTTAGAGCTGGGAGTAGGGGCATAAGGATGTGATAGCTCTAGGTTATGGGTTTTCTTTTTGAGTTGATAAAAATGTTCTAAAGATGACTGTGGTGATGTTTTCACATATTTATGAATATACTAAAAACCACTAATTGTATACTTTAAATGAATAAAGAATATGAATATTTGTTATGTATCAATAAAGTTGGAGGTTGCAGTGAGCTGAGACCATGCCACTGTACTCCAGCCTGGGCAACAGAGAGAGACTCTGTCTCAAAAAAAAAAAAAAAAAAAAGTACAAGGATTGGGAGGCCGAGGTGGGAGGATCACCTTAGGTTGGGAGTTCAAGGCCAGCCTGAACAATATGGAGAAACCCCATCTCTACTAAAAATACAAAATTAGCCGGGCGTGGTGGCACATGCCTGTAATCCCAGCTACTTGGGAGGCTGAGGCAGGAGAATCGTTTGAACCTGGGAGACGGAGGTTGCAGTGAGCCAAGATAGCACCATTGCACTCCAGCCTGAGCAACAAGAGTGAAACTCCATCTCAAGAAAAAACAAACAAACAAACAAACAAAAAACAAGGACACAGAATAAAGGGAAACTACAGTGATGGTAAAAGGATCAGTGTTTGACTGAGATTTTTTTAGAAGTGAGGAAAAGTAGAATCCATCAATGTACGGGGATATTTTAGGGTGGAAAACTGTATGATACCATAATGGTAGATATATAACATTAAGCATTTGTCAAACCCCATAGAAATTTATAGCACAAAAAGCGAACCTTAATGGAATTAAAACTATTTATGAGACTGGGGTTCCTATGATGAAATGCAGAATTTGACAAAAACATCTAATGTATCTAAAATGTATTAACCTTAGTTACAGAAGAGGTAGACAAAAGTTGCTGACCTAAGTAACTTTGGAAATCAGTGGAGTCTGTTAGACTGAAGATGAAAGAAACTGTATATAACATTGGAGTCTAATTGATAAAGTTGTTCCTCACAACTGTAAGGTTAACAATTCTGATACTCTTCCATATGTACAACAACATTAAACATTAAATAAAGGTTTTGTGGATGGTGGGAATCACCTTCAATGCTGGAGTGAGAGTTTACAGATGAACAAGTAGAGCAGGCTAGAATCATCCATGTGGTAATATTTAGAATTGAAGGTATAGTAATTCCTCACTTAACATCAAAAATACATTTTTGGAAACATGACTTTAAGGGAAATAATATATAACAAAACCCATTTTTTTCTCAACAGTAGTGTAACGAAATTACATTGAACAAAGTGATATTATTCACGGACCAGCTATATATTGTTTTGCTTAAAGCTACAGTATCCAAGACCCTTTCAAGGATGTTAAGTAAGGAATTACTGTAGTATGTACTTATGTTAGGCTTCATGTGAGGGTTGAGAATGTTGTAGTTCCAAAAATCAAGGAAGTGCTGAAAAATACAAAACAAATAAAAACATCATTTGTAGTTATGTTAGTGGGGCCAGAGTTAACTGAAAGAGCTCTCAGTGACCATGGCTGGATCAATTTGAACAAGGAAGCAAAATAACGTTGGATTGTAATCCAAAATATAACATAAACATCCATGAGTCCATATTAGCATAAATAAATGATTGAATCAATTCATAATTGGGAGAGAATACACTGGACTTTTATGCAGAAAAAAAAATCCTAGTAATTTATGTATATAATTTGTCAGTGAGTTGAAGTTCACTTTGCCATTCCTTATTTGTAGATTGTGCAAAGTGACTTAATTCTAAGGATATAGTATGAAAAGGGGGGAAATAGATCCATTTTACAATGAAGAAACTTGAAAAATACTACCTCAACAAGGTGATCAAGGTCAATATCACCAGTGATAAATAATGTTACTAATTTTTATCTTTGATATAGTGCAACGAGAATCACATTTTACCTCATTGTTTTCTTCCCAAAATCCATAAGCAAAGTCTAACAACAAGAAAAACATTAGACAAATATCATTTGAGAGGCAAGCTATAAAACATTTGACTAGTCCTCCTCACAATTGTCAAGGTCATCAAAGTCAAGGAATATCTCAGAAACTTTCACAGCTAAGGAATGCCTAAGGAGACATGATCACTAAACATAATGTTATATACTAGATAAGATTCTGAAACATTAAGTAAAAATTTTAAAAATCTGAATAAAGTAAGGAATTTAATCCATAAAATATAACACTATCTATTCATTAATTGTATCAAATGTATTAAAGGTATAAATGTATTGTAGGTATAAAATATACCTATGATAGGGAAACTAGATACAAGTTATATAGGAACTCCTCTCTGTTCAATCTTCTTATTTTTCCACAAATCCAAAACTGTTCTAAAAAGTATAGTTTATTAAAGTAAAAACAAACAAACAAACAAACAAACTATCCAGTTACAAGCATCAATCCGCTAAATAATGATAAAGAAATTAAACATAACTGGCCGGGCATGGTGGCTCACACCTGTAATCCCAACACTTTGGGAGGCCGAGGCAGGTGGATCACCTGAGGTCACGAGTTGGAGACCAGCCTGGCCAACGTGGCGAAACCCCGTCTCTGCTAAAAATACAAAAATTAGCCAGGCGTAGTGGTGCATGCCTGTAATCCCAGCTACTGGGGAGGCTGAGGCAATCACTTCAAACCAGGAGGCAGAGGTTGCACTGAGCCGAGATCCCGCCACCGCCCTGCAGCTTGGGTAACAAGAGCAAAACTCCATCTCAAAAAAAAAAAAGAAATTAAACATAACTTTTTTCTATTTCTAATAGTTATTTTTCACCACCATTTTATTTTTTCGTTTTGTTCTTATTATTAAAACTTCTTTATCTTAAATTATCTAACATTTTTAGGTCAAGTGCCACTTTTCAGCGTGTGTTATCCCCACCCCACCACTCCTCCCTGTTTTTTTATCCCATCTATTTTTCTAGATCAAAGGATCCCCTTGCAACAGCACATGTTAGTTACCTATATCAGAGTCCTACAGACATCACTTTTGTCCAAATTCACTTTTAAACTTTCCAAAATTATGTCTTAGACTTTTTCTTTTTTTTTCTGTTCTCATGGAATCCATTCTTTTGTGAATGTTGCCCACAAATTTTTTTTAATCTGATCACTTTTCTTCTGCTTTATAAATCTTTAATGCCAGTCACTGATGAGAGAGTTGATATCAAAATCCTGCAGGTGGGAAAGATCCTTTCTTTCAATTGATTGTTTTTACTAGATTCTCCTCTAGACTCCCCAGGTCACGTGCCCTAAGTTGCCACTAGATCATATTTTTACATCCCTCCCAGATTCCATGACCTCTCACACCATTGTGCTTTTGCCTATGATGTTACCTCTGCTCAGTACTGTCTTCCTTTTGACTTATTTGGGAAGCCACATCTCATCCTAAAAGACACAATGAGAATGTGGCCTGTTCCATAAACATTTCTACCTCACCAGGAAGAATCATAGGCTTCCTCATCTAAATCTATACAGCAATTTATGCTGACCTCTAGAAGAACACTAGTCACATTGTGACATAAATATTTGCCAACATTTATCATTTTCTGAAGGAAGAAAAGTAAAACGATGGGGTGCGAGACAATGAAACTGAATGTGTGAGAAAAAGGTGTCCATTTTTAATAACATTAAAAATGTGCATTCTGGAATTTTCAATTTAAATTTTTTATTAATTTATTACTTAACAGTTTTTTTCTAGGTTTTATAATCCAAAATTAATGTAACATCCATTCAATAGGTAGATAGTGCTTTATGGACAATATTCTAGACCTTAGTACACAAAGGGTCTCAAGAAATGACCGTGATTATTATAAAATATTTAATAACATAATATTTCACAATAATAGTTTCCTTTTATTGAGTCTGCTGAATATATGCCACTCTGTTCGGTGCTTTACATATACTCAAGTTTCACAGCCTTGTTTTTACATTTGCATCATTAACCCTACATTATAAATGTGAAGTTGAGAATTAGGTAACTAACTACTCTGCCATCCATGCTCATTTTTGCCGGCCTTTAGAAGCTGCAGACCTCATCAATATGTGCTCTTTAAAATGAGATTAACTGGAGACTCTGATGCATATATTTTGCTACAAAATACTTTAAAAATAGCTATTAAAATGTTTTAGCATAATTAACACTTGTCCTATAATTACCTTTAAAATATTTGTGTGTAGCAAGGGTATGGTAAAAAACTTGTTAGATCTCATGGAATCAAAGGAAGAGAGGTACAAATGAGCACACTCCTATAACCCTCCAACATGGAACTCGGGAGGCTTCTCTCAGTCTCTTTCACTTGTTGGTAAATCTGCTATTTTCTTCCATAGATGGCTTTCTCCAGAATCAGAGACTATGTCCAGTGACAGTCCTGGAAGCATATTACTCAAGCTTAAATATCTCAGAGAAGAAACTTCTAGCTTGTAACTACTTTAAATAAAATTTCAAGGAAGTGTATTGGTTCAGCCTGGGTCACACATCCACTTCTTAGAACAAATACCAAGGCCGGTGGCATGGGAATAAAAATCTACCACCAGTAGCCTGGAGATAGGGCACTGAGAAGGGAACCCCCACTGACACCATACGCTTGGAATGGAAAAGAAAAATTTCCATAGGGATGAACAGTGCTGTTACCAGAACAAAGAGGTTAGGAAACGTGGGTTGATCAAAGAATACATCTCCCCTCTGAGCACCAGCTGGTGTAGGTCTGACCTAAGTGCCAGGTTCTGAAACCCAACAATGTGGACTCACACCCCCTTCTTCATTTATTACTCATGTGTTATTGTTCACATGACTTCCGTGCTGTATGCCTTGTTCTTTTCATGCACAAAAGGATTAGTATCTACTATTAGTATCTATTCTATAGATTCGTCATAATTAAATAACTTAAAGCATGTAATATACTTGATACATTGTGACACACTAAATTAAAGTCTTTAAGAATGTAGAATGGCAATAGCCCAGCTACTCCAGTGTTTAGAGGAATAGCTTAATAACAAAATTAAGTAAAACAAAAGCCTTATTTGTTCTTAACGCTCTCAAAGAAAGAAAAAAGTGCATTGACAAAGTTCGTTCTATGGATACTCTAAGTCCAAGACTTAGTGACATTCTCTAGACTTTGTGTCATTTTCTTTATATAATAAAATATAATACATTTTAAAATTAAAAGTATAAATGTCCAAAGGTAAAAGACTTAAAACTTATTTAGCTTAATTCTCAAAACACAGGTATGTCCCTTGAGTAACAACCTTAATAAGTGTTTCTTATGATTCCACTTGAAGAATTATTGTAATAAGAAACTCACTTTTTGACACAGCAACTTTCTTCCTTTCCACGCACTGTTCAGATTCCAGGGACTGTCAAATAATAGGGCCTTCTTTGTTTTGGCTTAAACTGTTTAGGTCAATGTCAGAAAGATCATGAAAGGTCCAAACCCAGCTTCCCTATTTCCCTTCCTGTGATGTCCGTCTAGTTACTGAAATACTACGGCAGAGTTAGAAGAGTGAGTTAGTGAATTTTCCTGCTGTTTTTGCTCCGAACGCCATGAGGAGCTTCTATGGCTGCTTTGACCTGCACTTTTCCAGTCTGAACGTTATCCACCCTTTTCATCCTTCTACACATGTTGTGCATTCCTAATATTTCAGCCTTCTGATCACCATTAAAACAAGTTTAGTTATTATTTTACCCCCGTGTGATTGGAAATAAACTCTGAGAGAAAAGAAGGGACTACAGTGTGTTCTGCTTAAACCTGTATTTCTTTGATGAACATTATCATGTACAATAATACGTAGGTAAGTAATGATCACATAAATGAAATTAGTATGTAATGTGACTGGTTTATGTCTTCAAGAGCCACTATCATTTCCAGTAACAACGGGGTAATGAAGGAGGCTACACCTTAATTTGGATCTTTAATCTACATGAAAACCTTTTCTCTTAAAAGCAAAAGTCCCCTCAGCCCTATGGGATTAGACTGGAGCCCCAGGAATAAAGTCTGGAAAGGACTGGCTCACTGTGATTCTAGGTGCAAATGCTGGGAAAGCTTGTATTCTTTTAGGACCTTTTTTTTTTTGAGATGGAGTTTCACTCTTGTTGCCCAGACTGGAGTGCAATGGCGTGATCTTGGCTAACCGCAACCACCTCCACCTCCCAAGTTCAAGCGATTCTCCTGCCTTAGCCTCCCAAGTAGCTGGGATTACAGGCATGTGCCCCTACGCCAAGCTCATTTTGTGTCTTTAGTAGAGATGGGGTTTCTCCATGTTTGTCAGGCTGGTCTCAAATTCCCAACCTCAGGTAATCCGTCCACCTCGGCCTCCCAAAGTGCTGGGATTACAGGCGTGAGCCACCACGCCCGGCCTCTTTGAGGATTTTTATTAGGGCTCCAGTTACAAAGTTCTATAAGCACTTTTATTTTTAGGGAGCATTTTGCACAACTTGCCTGTGTTGTTAACAAGGAAAAAAGAAACAATTGTAAGTTATTTCTTTTCTCAGTTGTTCAAATTTTATAATAGCTTGTTCAACACTAATGATTTAAGTAAAAATGCTCTATTATTTTGTGATAAACAAAGTCAGAACTTTTGTGACTAAAACCATTTAAACATAATTGATCCTAAATTATTACAGCAAAGTATTGTTTTAGAGATACCAGTTAAGACACACTGTCACAGACACCCTTATGTTTCAAATGACTCTCATCCCACAAGAATTACTGGGCTGGATTCACTCCTTTCTTGTCACCTTCCATATACACTTCTATATTTCTGCTATTCAACAGGAAAATAAGAGCCAATCTCTCCCCTTCATAATTTCACCTCTGTATGCCGGCCTCAAGCTCAGCCCCAACAACACCTTAAAAGGTGTTGGTAAGAATCTTAAAAGATGAGGTAAGAAACTTAAAAGATGAGGGAAGAACAACTGAAAAAGTGTAGAGCAGGGGCATCCAAGCATGTGGCTTTCCTGGGCCACATTGGAAGAAGAATTGTCTCAGACTACACAGAAAATACATTACCACTAAAGATAGCTAATGAACTAAAAAAAGTCACACAAAAAAATCTCATAATGTTTTAAGAAAGATTACAAATTTGTGTTGGGCCTTACTCAAAGCCATCCTGGGCTGCATGGAACCTGGGTTGGACAAGTAGAGTGTTCAATTAGATTTTAATCACTAAAATAAACAGGCTGATTAACCACCTTTTTTGCCTTAAAAATCACCTTTATCAAGGTTTTAGAAGTTTCATTCAAAGGAAAATTTGCTCCTGACTTTAAGGATATCACTTCATCATTTTATCTATCATGGAATAAAATATTGAGACACAATTCTGACATTCTGGTTTAGAACCGGTTGTCTTTTAGCTCAAGCTCTCACAATTTCTAGTTGTTTAGCAAGCATTTAAAACTATGAAGAAAAATGTTTACATAAATAAATGCTAACAAATATTCTCCCCTTCCACTGTGGCAACAATCTTTAAATTAATAATTAAGTAATTATATTTTTTCATCAACTCCTAGGGAATACTGATCAGTGGGTCTAATAAATAATCTCTCTGAATTACATACAAGTTTCCTCAGGACCCCCTCCCATGATATTCCCAACTCTTCAATTTTCTTATGAAATAATAATGAATAAAATGACTTGTCATACAAATAAAAAAGGTATTGAGGGTAAGAGAATTATTCAAAAACTTGGAAATCAAGTAAAAGTAAATAACAGTGTAGCCTTTCCTTGTCAAAGTGGAACAATATTTAACAGGCCCATCCAGGGATTATTTTATCTCTGTGTTTGACTTTGTTATTTTCTATTTTGATAGATTTTAGACTCTGTGAAGTTACACATTACCTTGTTGATTTTTGTTCTGCAGAAATGATAACACCAAAGGCTATGGGTTTATTGACCTATAAGACATTAATCAGTTTTGTATCTGTGAAATGTAGCAATCTTATTTTAATATTCTTTTGAAAAGAATATCCAATTCCTCAAATGCTGTCTTCACTCCATATCTGTATGACAGGAATCTTTCTAACTTTTTTGAAAATTACGCTTTGACAGTAATCACCATCATACAAATAGGCCTACTGTGATCAGGTCCACTGAATTGATTCTACAAGGCCTTAGGAAGGGAATTTGTAGTAATCTTAGCTCTGCTGTCAGGTTAGATTTATAGGGGGCGTGGGTTGGGGGGCTTCTATCAAGCTATGATATCCTGGCCCTCTCTATTTCTTCCTCCAAAACACAATAATCCTTTGCACAAACAGACATCAACGTTTCAGTTTCCTCATCATCCAGTAAACATGTATTTTGTACTTATTAAATAAACATTATATGCAATCTTGGGGAAGGAAAGCAACTATATATAGCAGATCTCAAGAGACTATCCAGTGAGTTCATTTTCAAATGCATCTATTCATTTGTCTTCATCATTGCCCTATTTAACACCTTTCCTCCACAGTGCCATCTTATTCATTCCTTACTTCTATTTATAAATAGAAGGAAGAGTATGCTTACTTTTCTACCCTCTCTAGCCAACCCTTTCAATGTCCTGTGTCTATAAGAGGAGAGGCTATAAAATGTCTCTCAGCATCCACTCCACTCAGACCATTCACTTCACTCCACTCACAAGCCTGGCTACAGAGATTAGAGGGAGCTGTGTTTCCTTATGTCATAGAAAGCACCCTTTGGGAATAGGAAGAAAAGTCATTGCAGTGTGAATCTTGGTTTTCCATGGGAAGTCTGACACTATTAGATATTATTTGTCTCATTATTTTCAATTTTTTTCAATGTACGTGAATTCATTGAAATTCATTGAAGTCATTGAAAATGACTGCTGACTATCCAGACTTCTCATTTACTTTGTCTGAGACTTGGTTTTGGTGGCCAGAACTGTAGTTTCACATTTATTGGAATCTTTTATCACTGCCTCCACATCTGATTCCAGGTATTTCTGTCTGCATGTTTTTTTCTCTTAGTTTTATCCTCTTCTGTCCACCTCACCACACTCCCTTTGTATTTAGATTCTGATTAGGAACTCAATATAATTTATCATTCATCCAAATTGACGGTGGGTGCCCTTTGGGTCAGACAATGATGTGTGTCCTGAGGATAAGGAAAGGGGATGGAAGATACAGCAAAGAACCAGAATGACAAGACCCACATTTCTGTGGTGCTTGGGATCAGGGTGAGAATGTAGATGGGTAATAAAAGCAAAATAAAGTTTTGAGTAAGGGTAAATAATATCTCAAACAAATTAAAACTGTAATTTAGATTGCGATAGGTGCTAAAAAGAAGGGTGTAGAGTCACAAGGGAAGCATGACCCCTGGAGTATCTTTCTGGTGAGGTGATCCTTGAACTGAGGCCTGCATTATGAAAAATAAGGCAGTCATATGGCATTCTTAGAAAAGAGGGGCATGGCAGGGATAGGGGAACTGCAAATTCAGATGTCCTAGAGCAAGAACAGACCAGGCAATTTCAGGAATGAGAAAGACCTGCTTGAAGAGGAGTGGTTGAGTGGAGAATGGCAGGAGATAGATTTGGAGATCGTATCATGTAGGGTTTTCAAGGTCAGAGTAATTTGATTCTAAGTTTAATGAGAAGACTAAAGGATTTTTCAACAAGTGCATAGCATAATCTGTTTTCTGTTAAAATAAAGACATATCATTCTGGTTCAGTATTGCCAGTTTTTTTATTTGCTACGGCAAATGTTTCTAAAGCAAATAAAAATAGCACAATTTATCCCGGTCAATATTTGGGGCATACTTTTACTAAAAACATATTATTTTTCTTCTGTCTTTCAATTTAACTGGTTGTCCTGTATGCTACCTGGTGGCTGTACTCTGATTCTGTTTAAAGTATATTATAGGAGAACAAGAGAAAAATTAATAAAAACAGTTTGAAGACTAGAATAATAACCCTGTGTGAAAAAAGCTGCGTAAAAATTGTGTTGACTTGGAGATAACAGTGGAATAGGAGAGAAGATGGAGAGATTCAAAAAATATTTTGTTACCACAACTGAGGGTCCCACTGATAAGACTATTCAAAGGTGACTCAGGTCAGATAAAAGTAGAGGTAAAGAGAATTCCAATGTTTAAGTCTTGATAAATGCAGATACCATGATAAATGCAGATACACTGAGATAGGGAATACTGAAGAAGGAACTGAATTGAAATGGTTTCTTACAGAATTTTGATTATTTTAACGTTTTCATGTTTTATTTGCTCATACAATGCTAGGTTGATCTATTTATATTTTAGCTTATCTTATTAATACTGATCCTTTATGGGTAGGGTTTTCAATAAAATAATAGTGCCTAGTCTAGAGTGTAGTACTTTTGTGCAAGATAGCAGAATATTGGAAGGTAGCCCCTACTGCAAAGAGAAGGATATTTGCCTAGGCAATGGAAGTGGAAGATGGTTAATGGATGTTCCATGTTATACTGGCGGCTGGTGGTGGTGGGGAGTTCCAGGGAGTGGAATAGTGATGATCAGAGACAAACAACAATCTAGAGAATAAAACAGGGGGTATGGAGAGATCCAAGCAGATGAAAGTAAGAATCACGGAGGCCTTTAAGCCATTAATAGAAGTAACCATTACACTTGTCTTCAAGAAGCAAGGTAGCTGCTCAGGTTTGGAGAAAGAGTAATGAATGATTCAGAACTGATGCCAAAAGTAATAGAGTTTTGGCCTAGGTGGACAAGTTTAGAGGCTGCACTGCTCCTCACTTCTGTGCCTGGACCAAGCACAAGCCCAAATAGAGACTGCAAATGACTGAATGTCTGTGTCACCTTAAATTCATATGCTGAATTCCTAACTTTCAAGGTGATTTATTATGAGATGGGACCTTTGGGAGGCGAATAGGTCATAAGGCTAGAGCCATCATTAATGGGATTAGTACCATTCTAATCCCATTATAAAAAAGGATTAAAATGCTTATAAAAGGTTACCCCACAGCACTCTCTCTCTCTCTCTCTCACTCTCTCTCTCTTTTTCTCTCTCCCTTCCCGTGTGAGGATATAATAAGAGATTGGCTGTCAGCAACTCAGAAGAGGGACCTCACCTGATCCCGACCATGCTGACACCCAGATCTTGGACTTCCAGCCTCCGTAACTGTGAGAAATCAATTTCTGTTTTTATAAGTCCCTGTTTTTAAAGTCTATGGTATCTTGTGAGCACAGCCCAAACTGACAGAGACCCATATAATAAGTGTCTAACACTGATAGAAGTCAAGCGAATACACTGATAAATAAAATATGTTCTGTCATTGTGTTCACCAGAAACATATTCTTAGCGACAAAATTAAATAATCTCTATTAAGCTACAGTCTGTTAAGACTCAAAATGGGTAAAATATAAAAAGATGACTAGACTATTGCTTATGTCTGGATCTTGCAATGAACTGACAATCATTGAATGAACAATAATTAAAACAAAGATATTCATAAATCATATGACTGTATCTTTATTCCACAAGATTTTTTTCTTTTCTCTCAACAAATTCACCAATTGTGTTTATAATCAAAGTGTTCACATAATCCCTGTGGTATTGTCAGTAATGATCTAAATAATTCTTAAAGTGAGTGTAACTATATTCAAAGTGAAAAGGATTAGAATACAATTCCATAAAAATCAAACTAAGTGGAGAAATAAAAAGTTAAAAATATTTATGTCTTTTCCAATTAATATTTGTTCTAAAATATTTGCAACTATCTACTAAAATTAAAAGGCAGACTTCTGTTTCTGGCTAAGATGGAGTAGCAGAGACTGGATAATTGCTCCTACTAAAACAAAGAAAAGCCAGAAGGCACCTGACACCAGACAGCAAGGACAGTAATCCCTGAGAGCTGAAGGACAGTGAGGTGCACCTGCCACTGCCCCAGCCGACTCAGGGACAGCGTCCAGGCTGTGAGCACCAGGGCCCGTATGAGGGGATCAGCAGGGTCCCTGGGGCAAGCAGCCTGCGAGAGAGCAAGAGGGCTCAGAAGCCAACCACAGAGGATCCCTGCCTTCCCTTCAGCTCAAATGTGAAGAAAGTACATGAAAACCAGGAAAGGACCATCCAGAAGGATGAAAGTAGCAGGACTTGTGCTCATGCAAGCCCGAGAATAGTGCCTTTTTCCAGTGACCAGATTGGAAAATGTCAGGGTTCATGGGTGTGGGGGTGGAAGGAATGAGTCTCATACGAGGAGGCATTTGATGGTGATGGATATGTTCTTGATAAAGATGATGTTTCTGTGGAGATAAACACACACACATATAAACTTTCAAGTTGTGCTTTAAGTATGTGCAGTTATTGTGTGTCAAGTATCCCTCACTTTTTGCCTTAAAATTAAAAGGCAAATACAAATTATCAATCAATATATTAATTTTAATTCAAAACATTTAAATGGAGCTGAAATTCAATTATGTTTTGAAAACAATTGAACTTTATTTAAAAAAAAAACTCATAAGAATAAAATGCTTGTGTCCATCTAGCTGTCAAAGAAAACCAGTTCCATAGTTCCTGTATGTAACATCTGAACTCACACATCTATGGGGGTTATGAGGAAGCATAACGGTGTAAGGTGACAGCGGCCTTCTGTGGCCACAAGCAACAACGCCACCCCAAACTGCCTCGCCAGTCACTGGAATAGGAAAAGAAGCAGCAATGGACTCTCCACGGGTCTGGGAAAGGCCGCCATGTCCTGAAGGGATGTGTGGCATGACTGCTTTCTGAGAGGGAGCTCTAGCAAGTTTTCCGAAGTGATTTTTACCCAGCTTCAACCTCCAGTCACGTTCTCCCCGCACTTGGAATCAGTGGTCTCCTTCAACATCAGCAGCTGCGCAGCCATACCCTTTATGATGGACTTTCAGCTGCCTTTTATTTCCAAGACCAAGCACCAAGTGATATGCAGAAGCTGTTCTCTGCTGTTCCCTTCTGACACTGTGTTCTGGTTCCCCAGTGTCAGCTCCCAGGGCTGGAGCCCGCGTGATGGAAACTGATGTGTCATTCAGTGCACTTATTTTGAGTGTGTTTATATCAAAGGAAACGCGTAAGACACAGAGCTTAGGCAGGACTGCTCTTGCTGGGCCGGATGGGCGAGCCAGACTCAAGGGCTTGCTGAACACCGTGCGGGACCACCTGTGGTATTTCACAAGGAGGGTATTTTAGATGTCCCCTCATTTTGGGCCAAAGCCTAGGATGGAAGCACACAGGTGAGGATCAAGGAGTTCCAGTTTTGGATAATGGATAGTTCCCACGGAAAGTGAGAGAGGGAAAGAGGGAAGGCAGATTATTCCAATAGCACATTAGCCTGGAATCTCACTGACTCCATCATGAAGACGTTCATATTGTAGCTCATTGCTTAAAATTATCAAAATAATGTGTTTTTCTTTTCAAAAGTGATTTCACAGAGGGTACACGTTTACCTGGAGCCACTAACAGAGAGATCGTGAGAATTGCTTCCTGATTAGAGAAATCCATTTCTGGACTCTCAAAGATGGCAATTATGCAGATTTATGTAAACTATATGCAAATCACCTTGAAAATAAAGGCTAAGAGGAATGCTCCCAAGCTGTGACTTGTCTGTCTAAAGTTGTTTAGTGGAAAAAGATGTAAACCCCAATGCAAACAGCAGCTGAATTATGGAGGAGAAACCTTACCTCCTACATTTCTTTTGAAAATAATTAGATTTAGGTGAGATAAGCAGTTATTCTGCCTAACAAGATCACAACGTCTCCTTGGTATCCTGAATACTAAGCAATACAAATTTTTCTAGTACACAAACAGCCAAGTCAGAGTGGCACTGAGCTTTTTGGCATAGCTTTAGGATGGTATTAATGAGTCTTCAAATTACCTTTCTGCCAGTTACGGGTCATGTCAACCCTGTGAACTTTCTCGACCTTTGAGTCTCAGTTTCCCCATTTCTATTATTGCAGAGAAGATGAAATGAGTCATTCATTATGGAGCAGCAAGGTCAGGGCCCCGAACCACCCCAAGCACTCCCTGTGTGGTCACAGCTCTTACTTGTATATATCTCCCTCTTGCTGTTTTTCTAAATGTGTTGCAAGCCTTCTGTTAACTTTATTGTTGACTGTACAGGGATGGTAAATAGAAGCGGTGCATAAGAAAAGTTGTATACAGACAGCCACAGCCTCTGAGAAAATCTTCACAAATACAAAATAGAATCAAATTGAAAAGGGAAGATAAAAAACAGAGCCCCAAATCCTGAAGTGAGTGCTCCAAGCCCACAAGGAGCAAATGTGAAAAACAGGAGAGGGCAATCAGAAAGACCTTTTTTTCTGTATTGTATACAAACATGATCACAATGGTTGGGCCCATAACATTGTTTCATTTTTCCTTTTCTGCTTCATCCCCACTGTCTGAGCTTCCTCCAGGAGAATCTGTGAACATCAGAGGTGGGTGGCCAGCCTAGTGAAGCGAGGTCCCCAGGGATCCAGAGTAGAGAGTCAGGTCAGGCCAGCCCCGTTAGACAGAAAGGGTAAAATCAATCAAACAAAGGCTGCCTTGCTTAAGACAGACAAACTTTTTTGAATCTAGAGTGGCTCTCCTTTTTTTAAAATGCACTGTTGGGAGACAGGATTGCCCCATTACGGAAATAACCTGTGCAGCTCCCTCCAGTATTCATTCACAAGTATGAATCAACAGTTAAGAATCAGTAGACAGAAAAGGAAACTTAAGAGCCTCAAGACAGGACCAACAGACCCTAGAGGACACAAAGATAGTTAGCATCCTAAGAGAGTTTTAAACATATTTCAATTAATAACCTAAAATACTCAGTCGTGTAAGACATCCAGAGCAGTGGATCCCAACCTGGGGGACGCAGGGGTTGTTCACCCCTTCCACCACACCCAGCAGCCATTTGGCAACACTTGGGAACATTCTTTCCTCTGGGCCTTCAGTTGGTAGAAGCCAGGGATACACCTAAACATCTTGTAGTGCACAAGATAGTCCCCAACAGCAAAGCGTGACCCCCAAATGTCTATTGTGCTGGTGGAGAAACATTGATTTTTTTTCTTTTGGTTAAAAAAAAGAGCAATCTAACAGAAAGAATTGGGAAAACCTCCTTTCTTAAAAGAAACATGAAGAAACCAAAGAAAAAGATAATGTATTGGTTACATGAGGCTAATAGTCAAGCCAGTACTTTGATAGTAAAAGTCAAGTAAATCTCTAATAACAGATTTGAAGAACAAGGAGATCAAAAATAATAGAGGAGAAAAGATAATGGCCATGAAGAATTGATTCCAGATGTTTCATGTCCATGTAAGGAGGAGACACAGAAAACTGAGGAGAAAAAGGAGATAATCCAGTAAATGCACAAGAATGTCTTCCTGAGGCGAAGTTGAAAAGGCCCATGGTATACCACACTGATTAATAAAAACGATCCATGTTTAGAAAGATCCTTCTGAAACTACAGATATACTATGATAATAAAAAAAAAAGAGACTCATAAAATGAACCAAATGTGGAAGAGATAGAACAGGATTAGATATGGTTTACTTCATAAAAATTCAAATAAAAAAGATATCAATCAAAAGACAATGCTTTTAAAATTCTGAGGGAAAATTAGAACTAAGTTTCAATAATCAACCTAATAAGTTTTTAAAACCAACAAAATTTGTTTTAAATGCACAAGATACAAAAATTATTAAGAAAAAAATGAATATATATTTAGAATAAGTAATCAAAGTAAATTATATTTTTAAAAGTTAATGAGACAAATATCACAAAATACTAAAAAATAATTTGTATTTACTACCAGAAATATATTTATAATATTGTTCCTATATCTTTTGACTACATAATTATTGTTCATTTCTTAAACAGCATCAAGACTTATTACAAAAGATAACTGAGTAGTTAAAGTTATATAAATGTGGATAAGTAGGACAATTTAAGAGATATAGAACTCTGAAATAGATTCCTATATATATATATATATATATATACACACACACACACACACACACACACACACATATATATCTATATGTAGACCCTTGATATGGGAAGAGGTAGCTCTGCAGAATAAAAATAAATAGCTTTTCAGTAAAAACTTTAGCGTCAATTGGATATCCATAGGAAAAAATTAATCTTAATCCATCCTTCATTCTATGTTTTAAAATTGTTATAAATGCATTAAAATTTAAAGGTGAAAGACAAAATAATAAAATTTTTAGAAAATATATTACCACAAAATATAAACGACAAATAAATTGGAGTCTTTTTATTTATTTATTTTTTTGAGATGAAGTCTCTCTCTATTGCCCAGGCTGGAGTGCAGTGGCATGATCTTGGCTCACTGCAAACTCCACCTCCTGGGTTCACGCATTCTCCTGCCTCAGCCTCCCGAGTAGCTTGGACTACAGGCACCCACCACTGCACCTGGCGAATTTTTTGTATTTTTAGTAGAGATGGGGTTTCACCATGTTAGCCAGGCTGGTCTCGATCTCCTGACCTCGTGATCCACCTGCCTCAGCCTCCCAAAGTGCTGGGATTACAGGCATGAGCCACTGCGCCCAGCCAAATTGGAGTCTTTTACAATGAAGAATTTTATTCATTTCTTGTTTAATTAATTTTTTAAAATTTCAATTGCTTTGGGCATACAAGTGGTTTTGGTTACATGGATGAATTCTATAGTAGAGAATTCCGAGATTTTAGTGCACATGTCATCTGAGAAGTGTACACTCTACCAAATACATAGTCCTTTTTCCCTCACCCCACTCCAACTGTCCCCCTACCTTGGGTCCCCAAAGTCCATTATATCATTCTGTATGCCTTTGCATCCTCATATCTTAGCTCCCACTTATAAATGAGAACGTATGGTATTTCATTTTCCATTCGAGTTACTTCACATAGAATAATGGCCTCCAGCTCCATCCAAGTTGCTGCAAAAGACATTATTGCTGAGTAGTATTCCATGGTGTATATATATCACATTTTCTTTATCCATTCATTGGTGGATGGGCACATGTTTTTGTAACTGTGAGTTGTGCTGCTGTAAACGTGTTCATGTGTCTTTTTCTTATAAAGACTTATTTTCCCTTGGGTAGTTACCTAGTAGTAGGATTGCTAGATCAAATGGTAAATCTACTTTTACTTTTTAAAGGAATCTCCATACTGTCTTGAATAGAAGATGTACTAATTTACATTCCTACCAGCAGTGTAAAAATGTTCCCTTTTCACTACATCCATGCCAACAGTTATTATTTTTTGACTTTTAAATTATGGCCATTCTTGCAGGAGTAAGGTGGTATCTCATTGTGGTTTTAATTTGCATTTCCCTGATGATCAGTAATGTTGAGGATTTTTTCAAATATTTGTTAGCCATTTGTATATCTTCTTTGTTGAAATGTCTATTCATGTCCTTTGTCCACTTTTTGAAGGAATCATTTTTTTCTTGATGTCTTGTTTCCGTTTGTTTGTAGATTCTGGATACTAGTTCTTTGTTGCATAGGTAGTTTGCAAATATCTTCTCCCATTTTGTAGATTGTCTGTTTACTCTGCTGATTATTACTTTTGCTGTGCAGAACCTTTTTTAGTTTAATTAGGTCTCATTTATTTATTTGTGTTTTTGTTGCATTTGCTTTTGGGGTCTTAGTTATGAATTCTTTGACTAAGCCAATATCCAGAAGAGTTCTCCCAATGTTATCTTCTAGAATTTTTATGGTTTCAGGTATTAGATTTAAGTTTTTGATCCATCTTAAGTTGACTGTTATATAAGGTGAGGATTGGGGATCCAATTTTATTCTTCTACAGGTGGCTTGGCAGTTTTCCCAGCACCATTTATTGAATATGATGTTGTTTGCCTAATTTATGTTTCCGCATGCTTTGTCAAATACCAGTCTGCTGTAAACATTTGGCTTTGTTTCTGGATTCTCTATTTTGTTCCATTGGTCTAAGTGTCCAGTTTTATATCAGTACTACACTGTTTTGATAATTATAGCCTTGTATAATTTGTAGTCAGGTAATGTGATGCCTTAGATATGTTCTTTTTGCTTACAATTGCTTTGACTATGAGAGCTCTTTTTGCTTCCATGTGACTTTTAGGATTATTTTTTCTGGTTCTATGAAAAATAATAATAGTTTTTCATGGGAATTGCATTGAATCTGTAGATTATTTTGGGTCGTATGGTCATTTTCACAATATTGATTCCTTCTATCCATGAGCATGGAATGTGTTTCCATTTGTTTGTGTCATCTATGATTTTTTTCAGCAGTGTCTTTTAGTTTTTCTTGTAGAGATCTTTAATCTCCTTCATTAAGTATATTCTTTGGTATTTTAATGTTTTTGCAACTGTTGTAAAAGAGATTGAGTTCTTCATTTGTTTGTCAGCTTGACCATTGTTGGTGTATAGCAGTGCTATTTATTTGTGTATATTGACTTTGTTACCTCAGAATTTACTGAATTTGTTTATCAGATCTGGTGAGAAAAGTATTGCCATTCGGATGGCATCTGAAGGCTTTGTATGGTATCTCATTGTATTTTTATTTTAGTGTGTATTTCTTGTTTATTAGTGATATTGAGTGCTAGGAATACTGTGGAACAACCTCATGCACTGCTGGAGGGACCATTAATTGGGGAATTAGTTTACATTATAAAGTTAAATATAAATGTAACTATTAGCCAGAAATTTCACTCCTAGTTTTGTACCCAACATGTTTGCATAGTAAGAGTCATGTCAATGAAATTCATAGTAACATTATTTACATAGTCAAAAATTGAAATCAAAACAATTACCTTCTATACTAGATTTAATAGGTAAATTTTTATAAAATCATATGATTGAAGACATTCATTTCAAAATTTTAAAATCAATACTTTTTCTTTCCTTTGCAAAATTCCTACAGCTCAACAATCCTCAGTTTTTATCAATAAGAATTCATTCATCTTACTGGGAATGTAATTTATCTCACTTAAGGTTTTGACTTCCTTTTGGATGACCTCTTCTCCCTATTGACCATGTTTGCTCTGACTTCATTCATTTTGTGCTTTGCACTGAACTTAACTAGGAAGCTATATTCTGGTGTCTTTGGCCCTTGTTGCAATCCTCAATTTTAATTTTACAATTTATTCTTGTATATTGTATTTTTAAGAATGCAAATACTTTCTTCCCATTCTTGATTGCCTGTATTTCTTTTAATCTTTTTGCTAGGCCCTTTAAAATAAATGCTTCTTTTTTTGTTTGTTTGTTTGTTTGGTTTTTTTGAGACGGAGTCTCGTTCTGTTGCCCAGGCTGGAGTGTGGAGTGCAGTGGTGCAATCTGGGCTCACTGCAAATTCCGCCTCCCGGGTTCACACCATTCTCCTGCCTCAGCCTCCTGAGTAGCTGGAACTACAGGCGCCTGCCACCATGCCCAGCTATTTTTTTGTATTTTTAGTAGAGACGGGGTTTCACCGTGTTATCCAGGATGGTTTCAATCTCCTGACCTCGTGATCCGCCCGCCTCGGCCTCCCAAAGTGCTGGGATTACAGGCGTGAGCCACCATGCCCGGCCCAATAAATGCTTCTTTCTGTCGCTTATTTTCTAACTTACAGTCATCTTTTAAGCTGGACATTGCAAATTTCACTTTTGAAAGCCTAGAATTTTGACATGCATCACAACTTTAAATCATAACATTGCCTTTGTTTTCTAAAACTTTTTGAAAACTGTCTTCCTGAAGTTCAAGAAATAGGTGACACATTTTCCCCCAAGCGACTTTTAATGTTTTCCCTTAACTCTGCCACTTTCATGACAGTTTCTCTTTGTTTTACCTACTCCTTTCACAATAGACAACCTTAAAACAAAATATGATAAATAGAAGAATAATAGAATGTTTTGCTCTTGAACACTGGATTTCACGTTGCTATCCCCACGTGCAGTTATTTCTACAGAAAGTTAAAGCCCTATCCTGCTTTCATATAAGCTATGTCTTATAAGAAAGCTCATGGAATGAAAAATTGACCTGTTTTCCAATAGCAGTCAATCTTTACAAGCTCTGCCGTGTCATTAAAAAGTCATATCATATTACCACTTCTAAATATCTGAACTCCAAGATACGAAAAGATTTTGCCATGCTGTAGTTGAATCGAAGGTGAAAGAACCATTATGAGAAGTTGGAGTGTGACAAGTCAAATCTCATACAAGTTTCAATTGACAAGAGGTAGTTGTCTTTCCTTTTTACAATTGGCAGGAAGACCTGTGTGGGGAGCACCTTTGATTTTTGCTTCACATTTAGGTATTTGGAAAGAAAGGCAAATGGATTGCAGTACTCATTCCCACACCTTTTCTCCCTTCTCTTTCTCTCTCTTGCTCCCGTTCTCCCCACCTCTTTCATTGCCACTGCCCTCTAATAAGGACTGCCTTTGCCTCTGCCTCAGACCTGGGGTGGTGATCATCCAGAGAAGCTCAGAATCCAGCCTGCAAGTTCTCTCAGGATTTCCCTACAGCCTGCCACACCTTGGTAAACAATCAGAGGATTAACCTCCTCTCTCATCTCCCATTTGAGTATGCCATCTGATTCCTGCCAGCATCCTGACTGCTTTTTGAAGGGAGGGAAAGATAAAGAATACGGCTCTCATAGATGGTGACTAAGGTGAAACAAAATATTACCAGTGCTGGAGATTAGCTGGTCATGACTGATTCCATGGTCTAGTGCCAGAGCACACGCACCAGGTAAATATTCCTCTTTATACAAATAACATTTTATGTTATGCAGCTAGTTAATGGCACAATCAGGCCTAGAAATAAAATATGCTCACTTAGCTCACAGACTATTAAATCATATATGTATTTTTTTCTTTTAGCATTTTTTTAGGTAGATCCTCTAAGTCACTTGAGATGTTTTACAATATGCACAATGCAATATGCTTATCTAGATGATTATTACTTCCCTAGGAGCTGGAATTTCTCTTTAAATTGTATAGAAAATTTTCAAGCATTTTTATTTAATTATTCAAGTGATTCCATTATTCCAAATACAAGAGCAATAGGCATGTAGAACTATACTGCCAGTCAAAAAGCTGCTTCAGCTATCAGGTAAGTAATAATATTATAAAAACAGCAGACCTTATAATCCATTTCAAGTTTAATATCTCCCAACTCTTGAGGGTGCTTGCCAAGGTTATTAAATTCTCTCAAAACCATTACTAACCTAGGATTACCTACGAAGGGAAAACAGAGTAAATATGTTTCGCCAGAGAGAACTACACTGTACCCTCATGTACAATGCAGTTTGCTTTCTAAATATAGCAAATATGCTTGCTTGGCTCTCTGAGATTGCTTTATGCTAACGGTCTTTTTTTTTAATTTTAAAGTATGTTCCATAAGAAACATAAAGTGAACCCAGCAATAGCTTTGGTTGACACATGCTGTAAAATATGGTCGATGACATACAGTCATCTCTTTGTGCTATAAAATAGGTTTTATAGCATTATTGTCTTTCACTAGGACCCTGTGTGTAAGAAAGAAAAATGACCAAACAAAAGAGAAGCTAATATTTTTTAATGTAAAAATCTAGTTGTTTCTATTAATCTAACTTTGGAAGATATCCCCTAAGTGTAGAAACTATAAGTTTATCTGCATATGTTTGTTCCATTGTTCTTTAGGTTTGCTCAGTAACTTCTATTATTACTGGCATCAGAACATCCCACTAGTATTGCTTTTATCCTGTAGGATGACATTACCTCCAAAAACATCTCTACCTGATTGTTTTCTTCATGTTTCATCTACTTTGGAGTTATTTTTTATTCTCTTAAGGGCATTTTTACTATTTCTCTGGGATAGTAAAATTCTAATGAAATAAACAGATCCTAATTCTCTTTGACCCATGAGTGATAATGAATGATTATGCAGTACCTTTGAAAAGCATTAATAAAAAGTCCCTAAAAGCATAATTTTACTTTCATTTTGCTGTATTTGTTCTCAGGCTAAGTTCAGAATGATGTTTAGGAAAAAAAAAAAAAGCATATCTTTCTGACCTCCTGAGTCAATCTATGCTTCAGCATTGGCTATTTGGGACACGACATTAAATCAGTGAAACAACCAACAACTTTGTGGAAATAGTACAGATTTAAATAATGTCATTTTCTTCCCTGAAGAATAAAAATAAGTCAACATAATACGATGACCATACTAAATACCTGTGGCAGTCACATTACATTTTTAAACAAGCCTTATGTGCCTATTTAACAATAATTTATCTTCTCTACATTTTCTAATTTAAAACTCAACATCTAGTTCAGTGTTTGCAACATAGAACTAACACTTTCTTTTTTCAGTAGTGAATAAATGTAAAAATATAATCCGTTTTTGCTATGAGAATTACAACAACAATCCTTAAAAAGTGTTTATCTACATGTAACTTATATCCCACAACGTGAGACTCAAAATTCTAAGTAAATATGGTTATTTAAATTGCTTGATAAGAGACCTGACAAGCTGTCACATGAGAAATTTTGGTAAAATTGGCCAAATGAGAAGACTCCAAAAGACTTGGGAATAATTATAAGGGACACTCACAGAAAATAACCTAGCAGTGGTTCAGGAACTGTGGTACAGGTGACCAACATTTGCTCATTAGGGAAAGTAAATGAAAAATATTTTTAAAAAGGGATAAAATATCTCACATATTTCAAAAAACTTTGGGTACTTAAAAATATAGAGGTATGGAGATATACAACCCATTTATCAACACAAATCCAATATTAACAATGAGTTAGAAAAGTATATATCAGCAAAATCTATACATGTCTATGGGAATTTGTGGCCCAATGAGTGCAAGAAGACATTATAGTTCCTGGGGTGGGCATCTGAGCCAGCCAGAGGGCTTGACACAATACAGAGTGCTGCATCTATCTTTGCAGTGTCTGATTTAATGCGTCTTGGGACCATACATTGAGAACCATTGCTGCACAATGGAAGGGCCAGCTTGGTTTTCTCTGTACTTGAGCATCTTGGTTCTAATTGTCACAGGCAGAGCCAGTTAAACTTTATGGGCCAGCTCAATGCTGGTTGAGGGCGAGGAACCAATTTTACTTCATAAATAAAATGAGAGGATTTATGAACCTATATGTCTGTGGTTAAACATAGTAGCTCAAAAGCATCATATGTTTATGTCTGTTTTTCCTCAGATCTCTACTGAAAGCAACAAGGAGTTAGTCCTCAGGGAAAAGAAATGCATATGAAGAAGACTACAGTCCTTAGGGGACAGTAAACTAGATGGATGATACAAATCTCTCTTGGAAAACTAAGGAAAAGTTACAGGGAAAGGAAGTAGGAAGTGAGCTGGTTCCTCTTGCAGAAGTTTAGCGAGACTTCCGAACTGGATGTCCCAGGTGCAGGTTCAGGGTGCTGACCAGCCCTTACAGAGGGAAGGTTGTCTTTAAGAGGGAATATTAGGCTCCTTTTCAAGCCATCAGCAGCCACGTAGCCTCTCTTTTCCCACACTGGCAGAAAAAGGGGACGTGACTTTCTTGGGAATTTAAATTTTAAAACTTCTGGGCTTTGACACACCAGCACAAGAAAAAATTAGGGAAAGAGGTGAACATCTGCATGTAAAATGACGACAACTTTAACCTTCCTGATTGCTTCTGGGGATAGTGGAAGCCAGGAATACAGCTGTCAGGAAATAGAGCAGAAGTTTCTACTCAGGGGTACTTAATTGTCACAGAAGAAAATACTCAAAACACACTAATAATTTGGATTTCCCTCAACAAAACAACATTGTCTTTGCCTAACTACACCATTGTGAAAACCAACCTTTGACCAGTGCAAACATGCACTCATTTTATGTATGCATGTTTCTTAGCAATTCTTTAATTAATATCCGAGAATGTGCAGTGATTACAAGATATTAGGAAACATTTCTAACATAAAGATAGGAAGGGGCCAAAACAAAAAATGAGAACAAAAAGCATTCCAGAGGAAGCAGAAAATTAGATGAAACTGAAAAAAACAAAGAACAAAATACTAAATTTATTGATTAGATACTTCATCTACGACACAAGAGGCTTCTAAATCTATCTATCTATCTATCTATCTATCTATCTATCTATCTATCTATCTATCTATTTATCTATGTCAATTCATAAAACACAAAAGGAGAGATTGAAAATTAAAATTACAGCAGAGTAATTTAAAATTTAGTAGAAAAAGATAGAGCTAAGGAAGTCTCCTAAAATTAGAAAATAAAGAAGACAATGAGAAGACGAAGAGTGAAGATATGAGAAAGAATCACTTCAGGAGATTGAATATCCAAATAATGGGAGTGCTGGGAGAAGGGAAATGAAAACAGTAAGAGGGGAGTTGTCTAAGAAATTATAGAAGAAAATAAATCAGAACAGAAAAATATGTGTGTATAGATGGACAGAATCCACGAGGTTCAGTATAAATAACATGAGAAGGATCCTACCAAAGCATTTAAGGACAGAGGAAAAGAAAATGTCTTCTCTAGGAAGAATGAAACAGGACGGCTGGGCTGCATGGAGTAGCCATTGGAGGGTGGTGAATTACAGCACAACAAGATGAACTGTGTCACTGTGAACTGTGTTTTATCTGGTGAGGACATGAGATACAGAGAGACAAGAAACATGAAGGAGTGTGGAAGGGAGCTATACGTCCATCATGACATGCAAGCTGTATTCTGATGAATGGGATTTTAGGAGGATGCTAAGGCATCCCAGAGGGATGACCCCCTGAGAGGCTGAAGGATGAGTGGTGAGGGTTTACAGAGCAAATGCACCTGAAGTATTGGCCTGAGAATAAGATGCTATAACTTACATATCTTTTTATTATTTTCATGAAAAAACAAGAAAAACAAAATGAAACAAAACACCACTTGTGTTACAGCATAGCAGTATGGAATTTCAGAACACAAGGAATTAAAAAAAATCCAAATTCTTCTAGAAAAGGGACAAAATCCTAAAATCCTATAGAGAGTATTGCTAATTTGATTGATATCAGGCTTTTCAATAGAAATACTGGAAGCCAGAAGACAATGGAGTGAATGAAGTCGTTAAAATAATGAGGGGAAATTACTTCTTCTAAAGAAATCAATTACCATAGGAACTTTATATGGAAAGAAAACATTTGCAAACCTATATAGATATCTAAAAAATTACATCTTGTGAGCTACTGAAGAATGCCTATCCTTCCTCTCCCTATCCCAGCCACCCACAGGAGTAAGCAAGGAGAGAAATAAATCACATCTAGAAAGAAGACATGGAACACAGGAGAGGATGATGGGCTGCCCAGGACAATGGTGAAGGGAAGATTAAGGAGAACACCAGGGCAGTCAATCTAGAGAGTCCCCAGTAAAGACTGTTAGAAAAGAATGGTTGGT
The DNA here is from genome assembly GCF_000001405.40 of Homo sapiens. Lineage (NCBI taxonomy): Eukaryota > Metazoa > Chordata > Mammalia > Primates > Hominidae > Homo > Homo sapiens. Next base: position 52,787,313 of record NC_000007.14, on the reverse strand, counting down.
TCCAGAGAAAAATTCCACAAATTAATTATTGAATTATTTGAAAACATGTAAATGCATTCTTTTTCCCCAGGTAGTCTAAAAAATAATAATTAAAGTAAAGGAAAACATAGTTATTTAAGTTAAAACATGTAAAAAGAAATGTAATTCTAGTATGTTATTTGCCAAAGCTGTGAAAAATATTCAGTCATAATATCATAGCCAATGACTTACCAACAACAACATAGGCTATAACTCCCTGGAGGTAGAGGGAATGAAGTGTGTGTGTGTGTGTGTGTGTGTGTGTGTGTGTGCATTCATGTTGCAGGTACATACATGTATATAAGACTTAGAACTTTAACTTTGGTATTAGGAAGACAATAAAATACGTCTAAAACTGAAAAAGTGGCTCTATAAGAGTTAAGTAAAAATATTAATGTAAATACATGGAAAGTTGGAAGGAAAGGAGAATTTGGTTAGAAAGTAGTGTAATTTGACTTTTTAGATTTGTTTATTATATTAAACTTTATATCTGATTTATATTTTTATTTAAAAATAGACAGCTATTTTATAAGTACAGCTATTTAATCCTTCTTTATGAAATTCTTATTTGAAATTTAAATAAGAAGCAAGCACTTTTCCTCATCCATTCATGTCATTTCTAAGAGCAAAAGAAAGTAAAGTAGAATTTCTTTAACTTTCCAGAAATGTAAATCCACCTAATACCTAAGTATGTTAAATGGCCAATGTCATTATAACAAGGAAGCTTGTTATTAATCATAAGACTAGGCTTTTGCCGTTATGAGAAATGAACTTCTCCTCCACAAGTAATTATTAACTGTTAAATCCTAGATGGCAGCTGCAAGAGAGAGAGAATGTGGGTGCCGTAAATAGAACAATTCTATGATTTCTCATTTAACCTATGAGCTGCTTATCTCCTGTGATCAACTGCCTATGGAAAAGACTGGCTAAGAGTTTCATTTAAAATAAATGGCATTTTCCAGATGGCTTTTGTTGCAAAGAAGCCAACAGTGGGCACAGGATTCATTAGCATTGAGAAAAAAAGTCAGGGAGTGGGGAAAAATGAGAGAAGACACTGGCAAACAAACTAATCTAAAGCCGAATGAATAAACAGCAATATTTATAAACTCTCATACTTTAATTTTTCCCATATATATATTTTTTATTTTTCTTAGAAAGCTTAATGACAGAAGAGAAAAAAATGAGCACAGACTGAAAAGGCTGTTCAATAGATAGGGATAATTTTATACATGATGTGAATTACCTTTGTTTCTTAAATATTCAGAAAATTCCTTTTGAGGTTTTTCTAACATGTATTGCTTGTGACACATTAGTAATTTGACTCTGAAGTCATGAGATATACTAATGGAAAATGTGATATATTAATTAGGCATAATTATTTTTAATATTTTTTGTAATTTGAAAATGTATTTTCAATATTAATTTCTCAATGTCAATTAGTTGTAATTTTCCATATCTAAGCAGGGCATCAGCAGGGTTTCTAAATCAATGGAATTCCCTTTACTAAATTATAGGGAATGCAACTAGATCTGTTCTTCCATTATTAAGTTCAGCTTGATCAAGCACATTCTTAATGGTTCAAATCAATGCTTTTTCAAAAACAGACATCCTACTTTGTGCATAATTCTAACCTAGATTTTCTGGGTCTAACTCACAAAGCAAAGTAACAAAAATAAAACTTGAAGGAAAGAAAAGGCCCTGTTGCAGTGAGATGTAGTAGTACTTAGGAAAGCTTAATGAAGTAGTATTTTAGCAGCATCCTGGAGAGTGCACAGAATCTGAGAAGTGAAAGGGAGGGAGGTTGTTTTAGACAGGCAAAGAAATGTGTCAGGAAAGCACAGATCTCATTGAGAACATGCATAGACTTGCATGTGTGGAGGGAAATGATTAGCACTGAGAATAAATATAGATGAAAAAATGGCATATATGGACTGCATTTTGCCAAGTAGATTGTCTATTCACCCCATCAAAGCACTTGGCCAGAAAATGCAAAGATTGGTTGGTTATCTCTCTTTTTAAGTTTTTTTTAAACCATATTTTAATTTACACTATCTTAAAGAAAAAAGAGGATTAATAAACTAGTATAGATGCCACACTAAATGCATTTAATAAAACAGAAAATTTCAGCATAGGGATGTAGGCCTGCAACTTTAGAAGTAACGTGATGTTATTAGCAATAGCGTTAGCTAACAAGTCTTCTGCTAGAACGTGGATGACACTTTCAGATGCTTTCATCATTGCATCATCCTAGATATATATTACATTTTGTATGACCTATCTTCTTTCACATTACGTTGGCCATGGCTATACTTCACAGCACACTTAGCAAGGTGTGAAGGTTTTCAAGTTTCCTTTTAGGATGCGCTCAAAGGTCAGATTTTATAGTATAGAGACCTTTCTACCAGCCTCACAGATGTCTGCTGATGCATATTGGATGCATCCCATCTTGCTAACACTCCAGCCCTCAAGATCCCTAATGCTCCTCATCTGGTCTCACATCTGGCCACCACACCCCAATCCTTACACAAGTTATTAATTTTCAACTTTCTTTCCAGAAGTCACCCCCTTTCCACTTAGCTCACTAATGGTCACTGTTCCCCTACTTTTCCTCTCAGGCTTCACTTTTTCAGTTTGATCCTCAACTGAACACAGATGCTTACTTGATGCCATACATTGACATCTATTTTTACAGCTCCTTGCTGTGGACGTCTTTACCAGCCTCGGATGCCAATCCTAACTACACTTCCAATCTAATCATACCCAGTGATCTCCACCTAGAACATGGGAAATTGTCAATTATCATGCAAACTCTGTAAACCATGGAAACTGAGGAAATGAGGATCTTCTCCAATGTGAAGGTCAACTACTAACGCTTTCTGCCTGAGAACATTTCCCCCAAAATGTCTTTTTCCTGTGCTCTTTTGCTGAAAAAGGTCTTTACATTCCCCTTTCCTTCAACTTCCAATCTTTTCCTGATTCTCCAGTATCTTCCATTTGGTATCAATGCAGTTACATCTGTATTTACTCTATTTAGATGACATATTAACCTTCTCCAAAAACATCGTTTTAGATAGGTTTTCCATCTTGTTCTTTTCTGCTTGTTTCATAAAATGGTACTTTTGTGCTTGTTTTAAAAAATGGTTTGGGCCAAAATCCATAATTTATAGGTCTATCAATATTTTCAAAGGTAGTCCTCTTAGCATGTGTTTCTTTGGTTATTTAAAAACCACTGACTATTCACATTTCATTTTATTGATAATATTTTCTAAGTTACATATTTCTTGGAGTGTGAGGATTCCTTTGAATTTTTGGGGAGAGTTTTGTGTGGTGTGTGTGGGAGCATAGGCCTCTGACTATAATAAATGGCTCTCCTAACTCTGTATCTTCCCATGTGTAAACCACAGTCAACACTCCTCTGTGAAAGGCAGTCCTGAAGTTCCATTGCAAATCACATTCAGATCCACGTCCAGGATTGTTCACTATGCCCAATTGGGGCTCTTTGTAAACAAGAAAACTAGATATTAAAATATAAATCTGCTTCCCTGCACAGACAATATGTAATTATGGAACATTAACAAAAAGTGTAACTTGACTCCTACTTACAAAAGAGAGAATGAGAAGCACCAGTTATCTGGATACCATAGGAGTCAGTATATCATTCCGGGCAGGAATGGTAAAGGCTCACATCTGGAATGGGTAGGATATTGAAGAATCCACGGCATAGTAACATTTAGATTGGGGTTTCTACCATTTTCCCAACATCCTGCAGAGTTAAAAGGGGAAAAAAAAAGCTATTAAAATTTCCAATGTGACTTAACAATGCCACACTTTCATTACCAAATTCTACATTAATTAAGATTGGATGCGGCACAGAGTGCCCAGAACCTCGGATGATAATGGCTAAACAACACTAGGCCTCACTCCTTGCCTGCATGGAAGCATGGAGCTATGCCGTCAGGACCCTGCAATGCCTTTGCTCCATGAACCCCAGTGGAGGCCAGGCTGCTTGGAGGTTGTCATCCCTGGAACATTTGTCTTCATTGCCCAGTGGGAATCCATGTTCATGCCACAAGCAGCAGGAAGAAAATGAGAAAAAAGGGACAAAGGTTGTGAGTGAGGCAGCTCTTGTTTAAGGAAATGTTTCAGAAAATGGCGCTTCACCTTCCCCTAATAGACCAGGACAGGATCACATCATCACACCTGGCTGGAAATGGGTCTGGGAAATGGACTTAAAGAAGGATCCGCCTAAAAACTGGATGCTTCTTTATGCCCTCCCGTTCCTGGATTCTCACTGCATAGAAATTTGGTCTTTCCGTCCTTATGTGACTGCTCGATTTCTGGCCTTTATACCTTTTCAAATATCTCAAACTCATTGTTACCACAATTTTTTTTAATGTCCTGTTATTTCTGCCTAAATACCTAACTTGTCTCTCCATCATCTCTCAGGTTAAATTACACTTATATACACCTCCACGGAATTGTATTTTCTTGCTAAAAATAATCTCAATCTTAGTATACCTTTGTGTCTGATTTTTTACCCTGTGTCATTCACTAGATTTTAAGTTCGATATGAAACCCAGAAACGAACAGTCCAAGAGCAAGAAGCACAGGGCCAGATGCTCAAAACTACTTGTTAAAGAAATAAATAAAAGCGACGTGTAAGAAACAGTCAAACAGGTTTGCAATGTAATATGTTGTTTATATCACCAAATGTAAGCTCCTCAAAAGCATGGACCTTGTCCAGTTTGTTCACTGCTGAATTTCAAGTTCTGTCAGAGTCCCTTTTACATATCAAAGCTAACTTGTTAAACCAGTAAAAAAAATGAATAAGTGCCACGTTATTTTGTCTTACTTTGTGTATGCCAAACAATTTAGGGCAGCCTTCTCAATCTAAGATGAACCACTTTTAGAGAATAATGTGTCCTCAGAGGAAGTTTACTTTATATTTAATGGTACGTTTGTTTGAAAAGCGCGCGTGTGTGTGTGTGTGTGTGTGCCTATACTCATATTTACTAATATACAAGGTTTGTAGATAAGGCTTGACTAAATCTGAAGGTAAGATTTACACCTGGAGCATCTTCGTACACCCAGCATAGAGACAACAGATCATTTACGTTTTCTGGTTTACCACATAAACTGCTGATTACTTTCCTATTTTGGACTGATACAGTTCAGAAAAAAATGTAACTCTTAATATTCCTCTGCCTGACTATTTGCTATTTTACTTATAAAGATTATGCCTTCCAGGTAATGATATGTTTTGATACCCCTTTCTATCTTTTTCCCGGATATTTTCTGAGATTTTTATCTTAGAATGGATTTACAGGGGTTAGAATAATGAGTGAACTGTTTGAAAGAACACTGCTTCCTCAGTAGAGAGCAGCTGCCTGGTTCTCTAGCTACATTTGACCCAGGATGCCTTAGACAATCCAAGAAGTGAGGACTCTGTTTTCTGCAGTGAAGACTAAGTAGGTCAGTAGGTCCCATTCTGTTCCTTGGCTTTGTACTTAGGGCAAATTCCTCTGAGTTTCTGGCGGTAGTATTTCCCTTAGTTAATTTTTAGATGTCTTGGTAGTTTTCATCTCTTAATAATTGTGGGCAATGGGAAGTGCATATATCGGAGGTTGTTCTCTAGAAGCCACTTGCTCTTAAAAGGCCATGGTGTTCTACTCCGTGCTGGCAGAGGAGTAGAACTGAGTTGTGACGGTGGACTTTGTCAGCTCAGTTTTTTTGTCTTACGAAGCTTTAAGTAGTTACTATGTGCCAGTGTTCTGAGCACTTTACAAACAGCAACTCATGCAATCCATATAACAATGCTGTGATGATTATTGACTCTGTTTTACAGATAAGAAAATTGAAGCACAGAGGAGTTAGGTGATTGGCTCCAGAGTCGAAGCTCCTGGCCATTCCACTCTGTTGCTTCTCCCTGCCTGCTTGTGAGGCACCTCTCTGCCCATTGCCAGTGCAACACCTTTTATTCACTAGCTCCCCCATCTTCAGCTTTACAGCATCTTCTTGTGTGTTATCATACATGTCAGATAAAAAGTAACAACTGAAAAGGTGTTCCTTCTAATAAAACATTTTTCACTTTTTCTTTTTTCTTTTTTTTTTTTAATTCGGGTTCTTCTGAGCTTAAAGTACACCATTCTACTCCAGTTTAAAAAAAAAATCAATCTCAGCCAATTTTTATGCTGCCATTACACAGGGTAAATTTAACTTTGCAGAACTAAAGAGAAAATGTTTGTCTCTGTTTCAACAATGCAGAGTGGTATCCCAGCTTTCACGTGACAAACTTAATTCACCACAACATTTTAATAGTTCTGTCTCAAGCATTATAATTAATAAATTATATTTAAAATTCTCTCTGCATGACTGTCTTCAAGCTGAGGCAGTGGTTTTCTCCTGCCTTCAGACTTGTAGCCCGACTGAAACTTATAAAACTGGCATTCCTGGTTCTCAGGCCTTCATACTTAAACTAGAATGATGCCATCAGCAGTCCTGGGTCTCTAGCTTTCCAGCTGCAGATTCAGGACATCTCAGCCTCCATAATTCATGTATATTACTAGTATATTACTAGTTCTGTTTTTCTGGTGAAATCTGACTAATGCAGATCAGTTTGTCAATTTCTGCAAAAAAAGCCCGTTGAGATTTTGATAGACAGTACGTTAAATCCATATTCATCATCATAATGATCATCTTCTTTGGTTATAGAATTTTGGGTTGAGAGTATTTGTTTTTCTTTTTAGTGTTTCTTCCTCCCAGCAATTCAAATATATTATTTCCTAATTTTATGGCTTTCACTGTTTTTGTTGAGAGGGCAGTTGCCAATCTTATACTTAGTCATTTGAAATTAGCTTCTCTTTTTTAAAAATTCCCACTTACTATGTCTAGAAATATTGTTTCTGCCCCAGGCTTTCTCTTGCCTCTTTTTCAGGGACCTCAATTGCATGTGCACTGGACTTCTTCACTGTGTTCTCTGTGTTTTTCATGTGATTTTCTACATTTTCATCTTCTTTACCTCTCCATTTTTTATTCTGGATATTTTCTGTCTTTGCCTATGTCTAATCTTTGTCCATGTCTAATCTTTGTCCAGCTTCATCCACTGAATTCTAGTTCTAGAATTTAAATAACTTCTTTTATAGTTCCCAGTTCTCTGCTGAAAGTCTTGTCTTTTATTTCCTTGCATATATTTTTCATAGCTACAGTAAAGCCTATATCTGATAACTCTATTATCTGCATTCCCTGCCTGTCTATTTCTACTGTTTGTTATTTTTCTTTGCAAAATAACATTATTTTTCACATTATCTTGTATCACATTACTTTGTCTCCTCATATATTGATTATTTCTCTTTCAGTTCCAGACATTGTATTTGAATAATTATAAAAATAATGTTAAGCTTAAATTAATATTATCTTCCTCTGAGATTGATTCATATTTGCTTCTGGAAAGAAGCTAGGGGATTAGTAATCCCATATGGCCTTGATCTAGTCATAGATTGAGATGATCCAAAGCTGGTTTTCAGTCCCTGCTATGACCAGTCTATTTATGAATTACTATCACTCCTGTTATTACCCAATGGGCTCTTTTTGCCTACTGTAAAGATAAAGTCAATTCACTGAGACAGCAATATTACAATAGAGAAAGAGTGTAATAATCTCAGGGCTATCCAAGTAAAAGGATGGGTGTAATTATTACTCAAATAAGTCTCCTCAAAACCTCAGAGGCTAGGGTTTATCAAGGATAGTTTGGCAGGCAGTAGGCTAGGGAATGGAGAATGCTGATTGGTTGGATCAGGGATAAAATTATAGCGGGTCAAAGCTGCCTTCTTGGGCTGAGTCAGTTCCTGGGTGGTGGGTCACAAAACCAGATGAGCCCATTTCTTAGCATTGGCTACTGGTTCAGGTGGACCACCAGCTAGTCCATCAAAATGCAGGGTCTAGAAAATACCTCTAATACCAACCTTAGGTTTTACAACAGTGATGTCATCTATAGGAGCAATTGGGAAGGTTACAAATCTTGTAACCTCTGGCTGCATGACTCCTGAACTATAATTCTACACTTGTTGCTAATTTTAGTTTTACACAGGTGGTTTTGATCCCTGAGCAAGGAGGCAGTTAGTTTCAGGAAGGAGCTGTTATCATCTTTGTTTTAAAGTTAAATTGTAAACTAAATTCCTCCTATAGTTAGCTTGGCTTATGCCCAGGAATGAACAAGGGCAGCTTGGAGGTTAGAAGCAGGACAGAGCCAGTTATGTCAGATTCATTTCACTGTCATAATTTTTATGTCAGATTTCTCTGACTATCGTAATTTTTGCAAGAGCAGTTTCACCCCTAGGTTGTAGCACTTTGAGATCCCAACCCAAATCCTGGGCAAGGAGGTTTGTAGGGCCTTGTTTAGCAGACTCTGAGCAAAATACTCTTATTCACAGCTTCTTAGTCTTCCAAACTTACGTTAACTTTTGTGAATTTAGATTACATCTCTAGGGGAGAAGCAGTCCTCAACACTGGGCTCACTTTCTGTGAGATTTCATCTCTGAAATCTTAGCCGTATAGTTATGCCTGTCTTCAGGCATATAGTTATGACCTCTCCAATGTCTTCAGATCTTTTTTTTTTTCATATTTCCTAATTTTTTGGCTTCTTTCTGAATTCTTCTTGGAGAAAAGATTCATTTTAAAGGACAGCAACTGTTCCCTCCTTCATGCAGGAGAAGAGGAAGCTACTCCGACATACTAACCACCTCCATAACAGCTCCAGAAAAACCACTGATCCCTGCCGTGGGTTGGAAAGACAGGCCCACTGTCTTTGGGGTATGTGAAGATTGAATGAGAGAACCTAGACAAAGTGTTTGATAAGTTATTGTTTCTTTGATCTTTTCCTTTTCCAAGTTCTTGATAAGAAATGCTTGATAAGTTTTGTAATGATCACACTTCTCTCTTTGCTCCAGCCTCCAGAAAGGTCAGAGCCATATTTTGATACTTCTACCAACTTATGATTTAGAACCTTATAATATATCCTTTGTGGAACATTCTTAGCTCAATTTCATTGTATTGTATGTATTCCAAGTGTTTCATCTATTTTCCTTAACTTTTGTTTTATTGCATGTGTCTATATAAGCCACTCTCAATCATTTTCATGGGAGGTGGAACATAAAGAAGCTAATTAAGTAATTTAAATAAAAGTATCTAGATAAAAAAATACAAATAAATTATATTTATTTTTGCATTTTTAAAATACACTGAACTCAAGACAAGGTAGATATTTTAAGCTAATGCCCATATGTTTGCATAAAGCACATTTTAATTTGTTACCTAATAAACTTTTTTCAGATACTGAGCATAATATTGCACAGTATCTGAAAAAAGTTTATTAGGTAACAATTACTTTTTATACACAATTTGTTCCGTGCCAGTATTTTTATCTAGGTATTTAAATATTTCAGTTGTTTTTTAGATTTATGGACTCTTTCAGTATATCTCAGTGTGTATTTAACCTATGTGACCAGAACTGAAATACTAAATCCAAAACTACCTGTTTTCTGATTTATGAATAACCAAAACTACTTATCATTCATCCGCCACTCCTAATCTCCCCTCTTTTCTGCATGGTGCAGTCTCCTTGCCTGTCTGTTTATTGTCTGTGGGTACAGTCTTCCCTATTATTTTATCATTCCTCTCGATCTTATCTATTCTCCACTGTCCCCCAAATCAAACCCTGCTGCATAAGATGCTGACATTTCCTTGTGATATCCTGCCACATCTGCCTCTTTATTTCTCTCCAACGTATCATGAGTTATCATGCAGGTTTTTATTTTATTTTATATAAAAAATAAGCTTTATGAAAATGAAAAGCTTTCCCACACTGTGCCTGGAGAGGAGGGTGCAGGGCAATCCATGCCAGTTGCAGGCTGCTGGGGAGCTGCTCATGGAGAGCCCTGGATCCAGTGCAGCCTGCACCTCACAGAGCTCGTCATTGTTTAAGGAAACTAGAGAGACTTAGAAAAATACCTGGGACACAATTCTGCACATGAGACATAGCATCAGAAGCAAGTATGTGAGTGCGCCAAGGTAGAACAGCTCATTCTGAGAACAGGGAAGTACTGAAAGGAAAATAAATTAGAGTAAATTCCAGGAGGATTCAGAATTTGAGTTGGACTCATAGAACTAGATAAAAAGCAGAAAGGACTATCAGAATAAAGCCACAGGTGCTGGAAGGCACAGGGCAGAGAAGAGCTCATTCTAGGTAAGGAATGGCGAGACATGATATTGAAAATGTGGGGTGGGTTTTCAGTAGAAAGCCTGAAAGACAGGCGGAGAAGTCAGGTTTCATTTGGCAGAAAATGAAGAAGTTTTTTCATGTGAAGTGAAGTGACACGATTGGGGGTTTTCTTCTAGGGAGCTCAACAGGCTGTTTTTGGGTGCTTCTCTGCCAGTTTCTGAGTGCACAGATTGAGTGCAATAGAACCATTAGAGACACATTGTAGTAGTCTCAAATAAAATGAGAAAGGAGCATGATAGACGAGGAGAAGTGGGAATGGAAGAAAAATGTAATAATCTCAAAGTAAATAAGGGAACTTGAAAGAATGGGAGAATTAGGAATGGAAAAAAAAGCCAAGTCTCTCTCCTTTTTTTTTTTTGAAACTATGACTTTTATATCATTTTTGTTCTATTCATTGACATCCACATAAAAGTTTATACTATGCATTCAGTAAGGATTATTTTCAAGCAGATCTAAATTAATAAAATAATTTCCAATAAAAAGTTGTCAGTGGCTAAGTTTTTCTTCCAAGTTTTGATCCATGGCCTTGAAAACAATGGTGACTTGTCTTATCATTTAAAAAGTGGCTTCCTTGTATTTCTTTGAGGTACAGGGAAGATAAAAGTAAGTGTGAAATGCCAAGAATGGTCAGTAATTTAAAGTGTTTCAGTGTATACACACTTATGAAGTATATTTCAGCTAAAAATGAAATAAAATTATTCTTTCTAGCCTTTTCAGGCCAACATGTGACATAGAAATCTAGACGCAAAGGGAGATCTTCAGAAATCTAGATGTTGTTTATAGAAAATCATGTTCTGTCCTTATTTATTTTGAACCAGCTTATCTTTCTTTTCAGGCTTGTTCTACTTAGGTTCATCTATCATACAGGACCATCTTTTAGTGTGATTGGTTTTGTTTGTTTGAGCTTGCCTTTAGCTTGGACACTTGGCCGAGATTCTTTCCATTCTGGCTTGGATTAAAGAAAATAGTCTCCCTACTGAGATCTGATTTTGAGCCTGGGTCAACTGGCTGGTACTCCAGCCAAAACAGTTTTAATAACTGTTGAATTTCAAATAAAAAGTGAGACTATTCCCAGACCAGTTAGAGAGTATGCCTTCTGGGTGTAGTAAATGAAACTATGCTACTGAATTTGGTTAATATATTTGAAAATGTTTAAGTTTTACATAATGCATACAGCTGTGCTCAGTTTACGACTATTAAGATGAGGTGATATTTTGGCTTGTAAAGTATATGAAAATTGTAAAACAAATGGTCCCCCCAAAATATTATGTACATTCTTTAGACTGATACAAAATGCAGTGTTGATCACACAACAGTAGCTTAGTAAATGTTTAGTGAATGAATAGATCAATGGATGTAATATCTCTTCCCCCAAATTTGTCTCGCTTGAAACACAAAGGAACAAACAAAAACTGTCTTGCCACCACACCATGTTACCTACATGCTGCAAAATGGAACAAAGATATAGGATTCTCTTAGGGATTCCCAGGTCTGATTTCCCCCATGACTTCCCGTCCTATTTCTTTGTCACTGAATAAACAGTCTTCTCTTCCTTTAAAACAATACTTAATAATTACGTGTCTTTAAAAGTATCCTAAATATTTCCATTTTATTTATCTTTTCTATTTTCATTTACCCACTATCTCTAGCATCTCAGAAAATGTTCAAAAGGAGATAACCTTATTTAAAAAATCAGTTATGTGATTACAAAATCACTGTTATAGGATTACAATAAAGACTCATCATCTTTTGGGCCACTCTTCTTCCTAAAAAACAAAACAAAACAAAACACACACACCACACAGACAAAATTGAAGTTTACATGGAATGCCTCTAAGTTCCTTCTCTGGTTTGAAATTACAGCTTGATAATTAAAGTAAAGTTAACATGGTTTGAGACTAATTTAGAATTTTAATTTTTATTATTGTTATTTTAATTAATTACCCCATTATACAGCAATTATCTTAAGATTTTTCAGTGGTAGTTTACAAAAACACAACATGAGATGCATACAAATCAAAAGTTTTCTTAATGAGGGACATCAAGTTTTTTCTTATTTTTAAAATATATTATAAATGAAATTAATTCAAGGACAGAACTTAAAGTAAATGTGAGGACATACTATGTTTAGAGCAAGAAAAATAAACGTTTACCAAAATGTGCTTCACTGTTATTTGTTTAATCTGTAATGACTTTAAAGAGTGATTATGCTGGTTCTTTCATAGCATGTGTAGAAGTGGTACCACTGTTGCAGCAATTGAGTTATGACAGAGATGACTGAGTGATGAATGAGTGCCTTCTATAACCATTATTTACTTTCATGATAAGTACCAGGTAGATAAAGAAGAAACCAGCTCCTAGAATGAAAGCAAAATTGAAAAAAATTCAATTATATCATATACCAGAAAAGAAGTACAGTTATGTGTACACATTCTTTTTCTGTTATTTTTATTTTTGAAAGTTCAATCACAAAATATTTTTAAATAAATCTCTTAATTTTTCCCAAATTGCAGACATTTTAGCATCTAACTGGAACACTCTTGAGACAAAAGAGATTGGAAAGTTGACAAAAGAGAAAGTGTAATAAAGAAATTCTAACAAACAGGAGTTTAATGTACATACTTTTCCCATTATTAAAAAAATAAAATAAATAAAAAGAAGAAGTTGTCACAGGAAATTTTGCAAAGAACAGCAATTACAAGTCCAAAATGCCCCTTTTTCCCTCTGTTTTTTAAGGTTTTCTTTTTCTTTTCTTTTTTTTTTTTTTTGAGATAGATTTTCGCTGTTGTCTCTCAGGCAGGATGGAGTGCAAAGGCATGTTCTCAGATCACTGCAAATTCTGCCTCCCGGGTTCAAGTGATTCTCCTGTCTCAGCTTCCCATGTAGCTGGGATTACAGGCATGCGCCAGCCTCCCAAGTAGCTTGGATTATAGGCATGCACCACCACACTTGGCTATTTTTTCTATTTTTAGTAAAGACAGGTTTTCACCATGTTTGCCAGGCTGGTCTCTAACTCCTGACCTCAGCTGATCCACCCTCCTCCGTCTCCCAAAGTGCTTGGCAAGGTTTTCTTTAAAAAGCTGTGCTACTACATTTGTCAGATCTCTCTGTGGATAAACATTGTTGTGGGCATAATTCTGGAATGCTCCCCTGTGACTCACACCCTTGTGGACTCCCCTGCCCAGGAAGGTGTACCTGACTGGGTTGGTCTGGGGTCCTGAGAACAACATGCAATGTCACTCTTGTAATTATGCACAGGATACGGCAAAAGTGGAGGCACTACAAGGTGCAGGATACCTAATCATTTGGTTTTGAATCAATCTAAGAAAGATAATCTTGGGTGGACCTGATCGATGCAAGTGAGTCTTTTAAAAGAGGGCTTCCTTTCCTGATGTCAGAAACTCAAAGCAGTAGAGGCTTTCCACTGCAGCTTAGAAGAAGCCAAAATGAACTCTACAGCTTCCAGGAAATGAATTCTGACAATATTTATGTGAGCCTAGAATCCCGAGCCTTAGATGAGATTGCAGCCCCACCTAACACCTTAATTGCATCTGTGAGACCCCGTTAGAGGACCCAGTTAAGCCATAGTCAGATGCCTGGTACGTAGAAAATATGAGAATATAAAATAGGCTATTTAAGCCTCTAAGTTTGTGGTAATCAGTTATCCAGCAAAAGAAATCTACACATAAACAAAGAAACATATAAGTCATTTGCTCATTTGTTTCAAATTTTAGGCACCCTTACAGGAATTAATTTCTTCAGAATTCATATTACATAAAACATAATTTTCTGCAGGTTAAATAAAATACTACATGCAGCAGTAGAGATGAATTCATAATCATTAGTACAAGGTGTTTCTCTTACCCAAACCTTCTCTGTCAAGCAAAACTTCTTTCTATGTTCATTGCCAGAAAACATAGCCTAAGGAGTGAAAAATATTCTTGAATCCACATTTTGTCTTTTGAAAATACTATATACTAAAAAATTCTAGCATGCATATTGGTCACAGACTTTTGACTTTTAGGACATCAACAAAGTGACTTGTTCTAACACACCACATTTTCAGTAAGATAGAAAGAATATCTTGTAAACTCCAGGAGTTATAAATTATATGTGTGCATTTTGGGGAGAGGATGTTCACAGGCTTAATTAGATAACCAGTGGGGTTTTCTCAGGGGGAAATTTAACATTCACACTCTACACCCCAAAAAGTCACCTTTTCATCTCCAGGGCCCAGCAGGTCCTCTGATTATAATAGAAGTCACAGTGTATGTGCTGGATCGTAAGTGATAAAGGAAACATTTAGCAAATTTGCATCTGCTTCTTGAATGTCAACTATCAGGAAATTCCATCCACAATGTTTTCTTTTTCTTAATTTCTTAGAACATTTATTTTATCTAAGTGACAATTTTATTCATATCTTCTTTGATCATCTTAATGTTTTTCAATTACTTAAAGTTATTAAAAATTCAGAGAATATGGTATCTTTTGTCTCTTGCTCCATTATTAGTACTTGAAATTTTTCTGCCCACTTATTTTTGATTCTAATCTTATCTCTTCTAAATGTACAACTATTAGGCCTGATATCAGCATCTAATGCTGCTTTTGCTTTTCATTTCAAGAGGTCTTCTTGCTGGGAAAGCAATAACAGAAAGAATAATTTGCTGAAAAGCAGAATTGGGTTTGACTCCTACACGGTTTGACATTTAACCAGTTGCTTGACTCTAGGCATTTAATTTAACTCCCCTAAGTCTTAGTTTCCTCATCTCTAAAGTGCAGATAATAACAACACTTCTGCAGGTGGATGAAGGATGAGGGAACATTGATGTAAAATGCTTCCCTAGCGGCTAATACCCCATTTAGTTGGATGACCCTAAACGTCAGGATTTTTTTCTTATCTAATATTCTATCACCAAAACACTGCCTGCCACGTAATGGTTATTGGGTGAATAATCAGAGGATTTTAATCTTAAAATGTTCAATAGGTTCCTGTCTCCTGTCTGCATCCTCAATGTTGTCAGTAGCAGGAATTTCTCTACTCTCATTATTTCATAATCCAAAACTCCTCTCTCTGGCCACAGCCTTTCACATTTCAGGATTTGGCCCGCTTATTTGATTTGTCCCTCATCTCACCTGTCCCCTGACTTATTATCCCTAAATCTGCCACCTGACAGGCAGGCGACCGCAAGCCTGGTTCCCACCTTCCCTGCTCTGCTGTCTGTAATGCGATGGCTTTGCCGTAATTTCAACTGCTGCAGACATTCGTTTATTTTTCTGCAGATACAGTCTGGAATAGTCCATCTATTTTCATAAAAGAAGATTTCCATTTCCTTCCCTTTTGCTACCAGACTACCTTGCACTGGAAACAAGGTCACATCAATGAAAAGTAGTTTAAGTAGAAGATCATATCTAGTAACCTAAGGCCCTTAATGTTTGTTGTGTAACAGTTTCTACACAACATTCATTTCTATGCAAGAATTACAAATGGAAACTATTAGCTCTACATTTTTTAACCTATCTGATTGACACTGAATGAATAATCAGTCATTCTGTGAAGGCTAAAAAGTCTTCATTTAGATAAACTGGACATCTCCCAAGCTACCTGTCATCTGGCACGGAGTAGGCATGGCCTGTTGTTGACGTCATCACACAGGGACGTGAACGCATGCAGAGCCTGATGCCATTTTTGATGTGACTCCCCATGCCCTTCTCATCTTCTTATTGTGCTTCACCATCTGAGCAGTTGATAAGAATGTCCCAGTGCTCTCTCCTTTGACACCAGTGAAAAGTTCAAATCACACAACCTCCTGCCACCACTTACATGAAAACGCTCACCCCAGCCCTAGCCCCTAAACCAACATAAACACCCCAAACCACCCTCCTTTCTCTGCCCTTTCAAGCCATTTTCAGACAAGCTTGGAAGATAATGCCCTCTTTTCTTCAGAAAACCTCATTATGTAAGATATAAAAATTTTCATGCCCTCTAGGTGGGTGTGTGGCTTCATTAATCTCAACATCTGAACCAAATTTTGGGTGGGAATATTTTGCTCTGTTTTGAGTAGTCATTACAGCATTTGTACATAATTTAAATTCAATTATTAATTATGACAGTTAAAAACAATGCCTAGAATTTTAAACTCGTATTACATGCACAATATTTTGTAGGCATTGAAAACAAAGCATACATTTCCCGGAAAACTTTTTGATCAAAAACCTAAATAAACTTGATTTAAGTAAAAAGGATCGTTCATTGGAATGGCAAAGTTTCTGAAACAAATTAGAGTGTGTGCATCCACTTGTGTATCTGTTGTGAATGAAAGACAAAAGGGAATGAATGCTAAATGTAATTTAAAATAGAAGTGAAAATCATTACAATAAGAATAGCTTTAAAAATTTTTGCTTTCTTTTTTCCTCACAACCAAATATGAAGGAACTTTCAATTTGCAAGACATTTAATTTCTATGATTTCCCTTAATTAGTATTCTAGTAATTCATGACAAGCTAGACATGGTAGACAAATGCTTTTCCTGTGTTTTGGTAGTCAGATGTGTCTTGTTTACCACAGTGCATGTTGCATGATTTGAATATCATCTTCTTCTATTGGCACCTGAGAATATAGAACCTGTTTTGGTAGATTTATTGACAAATTTTAGCATTTTGTCCGGAGTACATAGAGTCTAATTTATATCACATGCCCTTAGATAGAACTGAAATTAATAAATGCTGATCTGAATGCAAGTGTTTCACCTGAGTTACTGTGAAAGTCAGGAGACTTTAGAACTTCATTAACAGCTTCATTGAAGTATAATGACATATAATAAAGTGGACATATTCAAAGTATCTAAGTTCATAAATTTTGACATACATATACATCTATAAATCCATCACCACAATCAAACTAATGAACATTTTCATCAGGCAGAACATTTCCTTGTGCCCCTTACTAATCCTCACTCCTCCACGTCGGGTCACCACCATCCCCAGGCAATTACCAGTCTGCTTTCTGTTACTATAGATTAGCTGGCCTTTTCTAGAAGTTTATACAAATAAAAACATACACTATGGAATCTTTTTTGTTTCACTTCTTTCACTCAGCACAATTATTGTGAGACTCATCCATGTTGTTTCAAGGATCAATAGCTGATTCCTTTTCACTGCTAAGCAGTTTTGGAAAATGTGGACATAATACAATATGTTTATCATTTATGTGTTAATGGACATTTAAATTGTTTACAGTTTTGTGCCATAATGGCTAGTACTGCTAAGAACACTTTGTACAACTTTTTCATTTGTCTTCGTTAAACATCTAGGAATGGAATGTCTGTGTCATTTTGTAGGTGAATGTTTAACTTTTTAAGAAACTGAGGACCGGGTGCAGTGGCTCACACCTGTAATCCCAGCACTTAGGAGGCCAAGGCAGGTGCATCACAAGGTCAGGAGTTTGAGACCAGCCTGGCCATCATAGTAAAACCCCGTCTCTACTAAAAATACAAAAATTAGCTGGGCATGGTGGCAGGCGCCTGTCATCCCAGCTACTCAGGAGGCAGAGGCAGAATTGCTTGAACCCAGGAGGCAGAGGTTGCAGTGGGTCAAGATTGTGCCACTGCACTCCAACCTGAGAGACAGAGTGAGACTCCATCTTAAAAAACAAACAAACAAACAAAAGAAATGAAAAAAGAAACTGACAAACTATTTTCCAAAGTGATTTTAACATTTGATATTGCTATCTCCTGTGCATGGGTGCTAAAATTTATCTCCACACTTTTAAATCCATGTGTTTTTAATTTTAGCCATTATAGTATCTGCGTAGTGTCATCTAATTGCAGTTTTAATTTGCATTTCCCCAATAACTAATGATTTTTTCACATGCTCGTATGCCATCTGTATGTTTCTTTGGTGAAGTCTGTTCAAACCTTTTGATGACTTTTATTGGGTTTATTTCTTATTGATTTTTAGAGGTTTTATATATTTTAGATACAGATATTTAATCACATGTATGATTCGCAAATATTTTCTCCTATGCTGAGGTTTGTGTTTTTGTTTTCTTAACGGTGCTTCCAAAGAACCAAAGGTTTTAATTTTGATGTAGTCCAAACTATAAATTTGTTATATCTTGAATCATGTTTTAAAACACATCATATTCTATGTGTTCTATGTCTAATCCTAGATCACAAAGATTTTATTCTAAACATTTCATAGTTTCAGGCTCTATATTTAGGTCTATGGTGCATATTTTTTTGTTTGTTTGTTTGTTTGTTTTCGTATTGCACTAAGTATGTGGTCATGATTTTTTTTTTTTTTTGCAAATGTGTGTGAAAATTTTCCAGTAACATTTGTTGAAAAGCATATTCTTTCTCCACCCAATTATTTTTGTACCTTTATTAAAAATCAGTTTTACATACATGTGTGCGTCTACATTTGGACTTAATTTTTTTCCATTGATTCATTTCAGTAATTTTATGTTAATATCACGTTATTGATAACTGTAAGATTATATTAAATTGTGAAGTACTGTAATGTTATTCTTCCAATTTTGTTTCTTTCTAAAATTTGTTTTGGTTATTTAAAGTATTTTGCATTTCCATGTGATATTTATAATCAGTTTACCAATTTCTATGAGATAAATTCTGCTGATAATTTAATTGCTATTTTGTTGAAGCTATAGATCAATTTGGTGAGAAATGGTATCTTAACTGCTTTGATTCTACGACTCATGTGCCAATGTGCTCCTCCATTTATTTAAGCCTTCTTTAAATTATCTCAGACTTCTTGTACATCTTTTTGCCAAATAAAACTAATATCCCTAAGAGTTTTATATTTTGATAGTATTGTAAATGGCCTAAAATATTTAGTAGCCAATTATTTTGGTGTTAACATATAGAAATACTATTGGCTTTAATATACTTATCTTTAATGATATAAACTTGCTAAATTTTTTATCATTTATACATCTTTTTGTGGATTACATATGTTTCCCTGCACTGAGAGGAATGTTTCTCTGAATAAAGTCAGCCTTTCTTTTTGCAACAATGTTACAAGGAAACAAAGAGAAATATGAATATACTGCGTTTCATTGCCAATGTTTTTATTAAACCCAGATAAATGCTGGTTTATTAGCTACTGTTTTTATTATCATATGATGCACAATTTCAGATCTACCACTATTTTAGATTATAGTTAAAGTATCTGTTCATTACCTAAAATTGTGTTTAACTAATGCAGGTATGATATAAGCCCCTTAGGCAACACCTAGACAAGAGTATTGACATATATACTACATTGTTAGCCAATGTGTTTAGCGCTCTTGACTTGAGATCTTTGTGCAACACTGACTAGGTCTACTTCAACAATTAATGTGTCCATAATATCATCTTACATACGTGTTATTTAGTGTGGCCAGTCCACTTACCATGGGATATGAGCTCAGAAAAGCCAAAGCTGAAAACTGCTCCATGCTATTTTTCTTTTCCTGGAAACTGAGAAATATATCTCCTACCCCACAGGGTTGTTTGGAGAATGTCACAAGATGATATATGAAAAGAACCTAAGTCATAATAGTATTCAATCAATGAACCCTTCCATTTCACTCTGCTAAAGATAATCACCATCAATTCAGCAGTGGGCTTGGCCTCCTTCAGTTAGCTAAGGCTAAATTACAGTTTCTCCTATTTAAATTCCAGACACAACATTTAGATACTGCCAAGCATAAAATATTCTTTAAAAAAAAAGGAAGGAAAAGCACCATAAATATGGTGGGAAAAGATTGGTTATTGCCATCATGAAAAGCAGAAAATAAGCACCCTATATAGTTCATAAACAAAAGCAAACATCCAAGGTTGTGAGCATTTCAGGCTGTTATTTGTGTGTACTTGTTGCCACAATTCAGAAGTGTACAGCCACCCTCAACTCCTGTTTTCATTATTGTTTGCTTCATCTTCTAGTTTACTGCCTCTTATTTTATAAATACAAGCAAAGAAACAAAGAGAAGCTGTGGGAAGATTGATTAATATTTTTATTTCAAGATGATAAATTAGAAGAAAATTCATTTTATCAATGTATACTGCTGATCATAATGTTCTTATTCTTTAATGCTAAATTTTTAAAGTTATTTATCATTTCATCATATATTATACTCCTACTAGTATTCTTATAGTTATTGTATGTACATTTTGTACATTTAACAAACGTATAAAAAATTAAATTATTTAAAATTAATTATTAAATTAATTAAAATTGAACCCAAAGCTCCAATTATTTATATTTTCCACCCTTTTTTAGGTTCTTTTGTATACACATAAACATTTAAAGCAGCACTAATATTTAGTGCTTTACTTAGCACACTTAAGGTTAACACTGTCTACCTACATGGAATTTTTATGTACAGTATTTTTTTTATTTTTATCTTGCTCCAATGTGGAGGAATTTGAGCTTTTTTTTTTTTTTTTTTGAGATGTTGTCTTACTCTGTTGCCCAGGATGGAGTGCAGTGGCACGATCTCGGCTCACTGCAACCTCCGCCTCCTGGGTACAAGTGATTCTGCTGCCTCAGCCGCCCCAGCAGCTGGGACTACAGGCATGTGCCACCACGCCCGGCTCATTGTTTGTATTTTTAGTAGAAATGGGGTTTCACTGTGTTAACCAGGATTGTCTCGATCTCCTGACCTCATGATCCACCCACCTCGGCCTCCCCAAGTGCTGGGATTACAGGCATGAGCGAACATGCCCAGCCAACACATGTTTGTTAATGCATGATATCGTATGTACTATTTATAATGTGACAACATGTTATAGTTATGGAGTCTTGTCAATAGATACTCTTACTGAACACTATTTTCATAGATGTATGGTATTTCATTTTATGTAGTGTCTTCGTTTGTTAGCTATTTATATATGACATTATTAAATTACACAAATTTGAGGTAGTATAAATTGTGATTCAGTGAAAATTAATATCTAAATTAATACCTATGGATATTTGCATATATCCTTGATTAATTCCTTAGGGTAAATGGTTGTGTAAAATGGCTAAACTTTGTTGTAGTAGTGTTTTTCTTAGCAATTAAAATAGCACCACAATATCTCCAATATGTGCCCTGAGAAAGCCTTATATTGGCACACTCTGTTTTCTGAAACACAGAAGGCAGAAGGATTAATGGAAAAGTACTGCTTGCCCATTGCTTATTAGATTTGTCTGAAGTGGAAGCAGATCTCTATGTGTAACATGATGTTTATTGGTAAACATGGGCAATCATAACAAAATACCATATACCGTGTGCTTAAACATGAGAAATTCATTTTCTCCCAGTTCTGGCGGGTGGAAAGTCCAAGATCAAGGTCCAGAAAGGTTCAGTTTCTGATCAGGGCTGCCTTTCTGGCTTGCAGACAGTCTCCTTTCTCCTGTGCCCTCACATGGTAGAAAGAATGAGGGAAAGCTGCCTCTTTCTCTTTTTTATAAGGTCAAAGTTCTAAAGGATTAAGGTTTCATTCATATTACCTCATTTAACTTTAATTATCTCTTAAAGACCCCATCTCTAGATACAATCACACTGGGAGTTAGGGCTACAACATAAGAATTTTGAGGGGGTCGCAATTCAGTCCACAACATTCTAACCCTGGCCAACCAAAATTTGTGCTGTTATCACATGCAAACTACATTGATTCCAGCTCAATTCGGAAATCTAAGTCGAAATCTCACCTAAATATTGTCTAAATCAGATATGAATGGGACTCAAGGTATGGTTAATTCTGAGGAAAAATGTCTCTCCATCTGTGAGCCTATGCAATCAGACAAGTTACATCCTTCCAAAATACAACAGTGGCACATGCTTAAGACAATCTCATTCCAAAACAAAAAAGTCAGAAGAAAGAAAAGAGTGACAGATGTCAAGCTAATCCAGAAGCCAGCAAGATAAATTCCATTAGATCTTAATGCTCAAGAATAATCCTCTTTGGTTCCATGTTTTACCTTCCAAATCCACTAGGGTAGCAATCCCATTTTCAGATCCTCTTGGGCAATGGTCCTGGCCCTGAAGCTTTGGTCAGAGGCTGTCTGGCTTGAGCAATTGAGACAATGACCTCACTTTTTGAAATGAAGGAGGCAGTCCTGACAATCACTGAATCACAGTTGTGATCATTCTTAACTTTTCTTAAAAAATAACATGTTCACAGCCAAATAAATATTCTATGGCCTGGTCCTTTTGTATCTAAGTCCAACAGCCTTCCTTCAGTCCATCCTGCTTTCTCCACACTTTTCAGATCAAACTGCCTGTGTTTTCTGCTGGTGTAATCCCATCTTTATTCTAGGCTTCTGGTGACATGTCTGATTAAGCTTATGAGTCACAGTGATGATTTCATTTAACCTTATTTACTTTGAAATCTCCCTATCTACATACAGTCATATTGAGGGTTAGGGCATTAACACATAAATTTTGGGTGGAGCTGGCACAATACAATCCATAGCATATGATGTTTATCTTTTCTTTAAATTGTGGTCCTCTGCAATCTTCTTAATGGGTCCTCTATGACAGAAGGCAGAAGTCAAGGACATTGAAACCTTGTTCCCATTACTTTCTGTCAATAGAATCATGAGCAATCACATAATCTCTATACAACCTAATTATTGCATTTCTCAAAAGTCATATTAAAATGGCTACATCATAGGGATATTGTGAGAAACAAATGAAATATATATAAGAACATTTAAATACATTACTTAATATCTTTTTAAAAATACTGCCTATCATTCCATATCTCCTCCTTTTGTGTCTTCTTTCTTTACAAGATCTGCCTTATAGTATATGAGAGATATACTAAATTAAATAATACATATCCAGAGAGATGTTTAGGATTTGTTCTCTGTCTTTTTTAAAATCATACTTCTTTCTAAAATAAGACACAAATTAAGAGAAGAATACAGAGAAGGTAAGGAATGTATCTAATGATTTTTAATACTACTTTTGAAACTTAAACATAATAAGTTATAAAAAGTATCATTTAAAATAAATTTGAATTGTATATTCAAATCAATATTATATTTTTGTAATAAGATGGAAAAAATTCCAAGTTCAGCAGTAATGTTACCATATATGCTGCAATCTCCTACCCCATGGACTCTCATTTACATGTTAAAAAAAAGCAATTAAGATGCTTTTATGCTATAGTTACCATCAAAGAACATCCTAGTATCCTTGATGAGATAAAGGAAATTGTGGAACCTAGAGTAGGGTGAATGAAATCATCCTGCCATCATTTTAAGGAATGTTTCCTGGAGAGATTAAAGATGGTAAGACATTCTGAGTTAGATGAGAATTTCACCTACTGAGAAAGCATCATGATGCTATGAGCAGTATGCTAAGGAGTTCTTGGCCTGGATAGGCCTCTCTCATTCCAGTATGAATTCACAAAAACATAAATCTAGATAAATAACTTACATATATCAGTTATTGTCTGCTGTATAACAAGCCACATAGAAGCCTGGTGCTCACAGTCCTTGTGGGTAGTAATGTGGGCTCTGTTTAGCTGATAAGGCTCATCGATGCTCCCCATGGTGCACACTGGGCACATTCATAGGTCTGCAGTCAGCTGGTGTCCATGGTCTCACATGTTGGGTGGCTGATGCATGGTTGGCAGGGGAAACGGAAGAAATTGGGCTAGGTGAGGCCAAGTGCTTAGCAGGTTAATCTAACTTGTTACCAGCATGGTGGTGGCAGAGTTATTGACTGCAGCAAGAGAAAATCCAAACTCCTATGTGCAAGGACTTTCATAGTCCCTACTTGAATCACCTTGGCTTTTGTTCTGTTGGCCAAAACTGGTCATATGTGAAGCCCAGAGTCAATGTGGGAGGAGACTGTTCAAGTATCCAAGGACTGGGATTCTGAGGGGGACACGAAAGTGTGTGGCGATTGTGACCATTTCTATAAAAAAGTCCACCAAACTGGCCGAGCACGGTGGCTCATGCCTGTAATCTTAGCACTTTGGCAGGCTGAGGTGGGTGGATGAACTGAGGTCAGGGGTTCAAGATCAGCCTGGCCAACATGGCAAAATCCCATCTCTACTAAAAATAGAAAAATTAGCCGGGAGTGGTGGCACATGCCTGTAATCCCAGCTACTCAGGAGGCTGAGGCAGGAGAATCGCTTGAACCCAGGAGGTAGAGGTTACAGTGAGCTGAGATCACACCACTGCATTCTGGGTGACAGAGTGAGACTCAGTCTCAAAAAAAATAATATAAAAGTCCACCAAACTATGTACTGATTGTGACTTACACGTACCCACCTTGGCAATTTTCACCATTAGAATAGAGTGGCTAGAATATATTCGCCACTCAGTGCATACATGTTAAATTGATAATAGAGTAACAATAAATTACTAACAAATTTATAATAACAACAGAGCTGGGCACTTTTCTAGTTGCTTACTATGTATTTTTCCCATTAATTCTCACAACAGCTCATCTTGGTGACATCCTTTATGATCATCATGGATAATCATGGGCATGCAGAGAGTAAATGGTATGACAACATTCATGCAACTAATGCATGTGGAGCCAGCATTCAAACCAACACAATTAGCACACATTACATTGTACCCTAAAAATTTATCCCTTGAAGAAAAAAGAAAAGAAATACAATAGAATAAAGGGAAAAGGCAGGAAGGCAGGCAGGAAGGCAGGAAGGCCGGAAGGCAGGCAGGCAGGAAGGAAGGAAGGAAAGAAGGAAGGAAAAGGAAAGGAAAGAATAAAAAAGGAAAGAAGGAAGAAAGGAAGTCTCACACATTCTAGAGACCTATATGATATCTAGTACACATGTAAGAAATAATCTCATGATAGGGCTGGGAATGCAATCCATGAACATTAAATTTTAGCTTATGGTATGGCAATTGAGCATGATACTAAATTAAAACTGCTCAAAATGTAGAAAGGCTAAAACTACTATTACCACCCATGTAACTCTCAAGATTGCTCAACAAGTTCAACATCCAGGAATTAGGACCCCAAAATACAGAACAAATATTTTATTGATGCTAAGTCTCAGAAACCTTTATTTCTGAGAACTCAAATATATAAATTATAATTTCCTTCCCAGGCTGTAGCATAGGCATTTAGCACACATAAGCACATACGCATCCCCCAACCGTCACATACATTTAATGGCCTATCTATATCTTTTAGCAAGACAGCCAATCACCCTCAAGCCCAAATGGAACAATTTCAGTCCTCCTTATTTCTGTTTCATATGAGTTTAAAAGCATCTAAACAATATCTCCCTGGTGAGCAAAGAATGCTTGATATATAATTGGTATGTGCAGTTGAGATTAGGACACTTACAAATTAAAACTAAGCCAAAGCAAATTTTTTCTCCAGGCTGTTATTGACAATAAAACTGGCATGGGATAGCAAAATTACTCAGGCTGCATGATGGGGATTATAAATCCCATGAGAAAGCTAAGATTTATAATTATTTTCTATAGTGTTGAACAGGAGGAAAACAACTTCACAAAATAACTGGTGCACACGCGAATGATACTCGCCATATGAAATGTTCAACTATTGTTCTAAATTCTAGTCAAAATGCTGAAGAATTTAATATTTTGATTTCTTTACAAACACACCGTCCTACTATATGGGTGTAGTTTCATTTTGTAGCAATGGGAGTCCCCCAGACACAGTGGTTCAGAGGCTCTGGAACCAGACTGCCTGAGTTCAAAGCCTGGTTTTCCTTCCCACTGGTGCTCTAGGATGAGTCTCAGCTGTCTCATTTTTATAAAGAAAGAAAAAAGAGCTTATCTCATGTATAGCTTAGAAAATCCATAAGATGTGCGTGAATGTACAGAGCTTGGGACATCAGAAACAATACATTTTGACTCTATTAACTATTGCAAGGGTCAATATGATTATATGAACTCCTATAATGTAAAATTTGGCATCATCTCATATGAATAAATAGGGGATTACCAAAATTTCTCTATATGTCACTAACATTTTAAAAATAATATTTTCTCTATGACTGAAAAACAAACCTTTCAAATTCTGCTTCTCTAAAAAATATGGATAGTGTTTTTTAAAGTCAAATGTATTACTAAAACATTTTAGGCATTTTGCTATGCAAGTTTTTTTTTTTCATTTATAACTGTGTTCTACAGTATTGAAATGTAGATTTTGAGTCAACTTGAAGCCTGAATTTAATTTAAGACTTTGTCCAATCAAATTACAGTATATAGAAATTGTAATTAAAATGGAATTGCTGCTAGTCTGTTGGGTTACAATGAAAACTTATAAATATTTGTACATAGCTAATATGTTACTTGACCCTGGTTTGTTTTCTTCTTCTCTCAAATTAAAATTTTCACAAAGAACTCTGCTACTTCTTGAACCAGTGACTCAAACAGCTGAACTCACGAGAAAAAGGGAAGGAGTCAGGAAAAAAATGTACCCTTGCTTTTTAAGTTTCCAGTCGAAACCAAAATGCTTCTGGGATCTGTAGTAAGTGTGTGTGTGTGTGTGTGTGTGTGTGTGCACGCGCACACGTGTGTGATTGATTGAAGAAAATCTACACACAACAGTATGCTCATCTTAGATGGATATGAAAAAATGAAACCCACAACTAGTGACTCCTTTAAGAATTGCTTAGTAGCTTCTTTTTTCCCCACATAATTTCATTTTGAAGAAAACTATATACAACTACAGTTATTCTGGGAAAGGATGTTATTAATGATGCTTGCAATAGAGTCTCAGTCTGGAAGAATAATTTCATTAGAAATGAAACAGAAGCCTGTAAAGTCAAATGCTGTTTTGCTGATTTTGAATTACAATGTCCATTTTTTCCTTTTATATATATTTTTGGGCTAAAAGGAATCTTTTGCTGAACCAAATTTACAATTTTGCTTCCATTCCACAACAACTGGGATTAGTACATTTTCAGAGTGACATTTCAACCTCAGTATACCTCCCAACATGCTCTTCTAAATTTCTCCATCTCAGATCTTCACAGCAATGCTGACTGCACGGGGTAGGCTCATTTTAGTTTTTTCTCTCTCTCTTCCCTTCCTTTTCTCCCTTTTTCCTCCCTCCCTACCTCCTTCTTTCCTTCTCTCCCTCCTCCTTCCATTTCTTCTTCCTTCCTTTGTTCTTTCCTTTCTTTCTCTCTTCTTGGGTTGGTTGACATACTTAATACTGATGTGTTCCCACTCATTCTTATAATTTCATGTTTATAAATTGATCAACTCTCTCTCATTCATTTATTCACATTTGGTTGTCCATTTTCTTTAAGACTTAATAGTGAAACAATGTAATATACAGTGAAATCATATCCCTGTGGGATCACCAAATCACATTGAGAAAATGGCGTGTACATAATTTTGACCTGTAAAAGCCCCATGGGAAAAATAAACACACACACAGACATCCTATATAGAAAGACTAAGTATTAATTATTATTCATCATAATTACTATGCAAGAGAATATAAAAACACAGTCTAGGGGTCATTCCTTTTCCTCTGTTTCTCACTTCTCTTACATACGCCAGGTGCTGTTCAGATCAACATGAATGCTGGTGGTAAATGAAGTCTGGGCATGCAAATGCCTTCCTGATTGTCCAAAGAGGCTTCACCAACAAGTGTGGAAATGGTAAAAACAGGAAGAAGTTAACCAGTTTCTAATTGTTGCCTAATGAAATCCACATACTCTTCTTTTTCTATATTCTTTAGCATCTCGGAATTATGTGGGACAATCTGATTCCCTCTTAAAACTCAGTTGGAATTTAAGCAGAGCTGGGCTAGAATTTTTGTCCTTTTCTTTATTAGTATTAAAATTATGCAAAACTATTTAACTTTTCAATCTTAATAACTTTTATCTATAAAGTTGAAATATTTACCTAGATCACAAGATTATAGTGACAATTTAATAACAACAACAACAACAATAAAAGTGAGTATTTAGTAAGGTCAGTGTTCAATTATTAATTACTATTACTGTTTTACCTCATTTTACCTCAGGAATTATCTCAAGCTTTTTCCCTCTCCCTAGCTAGTGCATCTAGTTTCTCTAGAAAATGCTAATGGTTGCTAATTTAGAGGATGGTAGCACATTTTGCTAAATTAGTAATAGGCCTGACTGTCAAAACATCAACACACCAGTTTTTGATGGTATAATATTTTTGGCAACCTAATGGTATTTGAAAATAGTAACACTAATGGAAATTGTCTTTGGAAACCATATGGAAATGAAACAGGAAGCGATGCAGGAGGACAACATACAGCACAGCACAGTGCTCCAGAGGAAGAGCCCCTAAGCCCCAGGAGTTCATGCTGATTATCTGGGTACCTCTATTTATTTAGGGTGAAGCAGGATTACTGAGCATTAGTATCAGTCCCAGGAAAGGAGGCCAAACACCTCCCACACTGCACTTGGACTCTGCCAATTTCTATCACTTGCCTAAGTCCAGTGAGACAGAGCACTAGCACATAGCAAGTTACATGAAGCAGATGTGTTACTCCCAGACAGGCAGCAAGGGATGTGAGAAGCCCAGGATTTATGGCAAGCTGGAACACTGGCTTAGGAAAGCCGCCCAGGGAGAATGGAGTCCAGCATTCTCAACTTGCTCTGTGGTTGAGAGGCCTCAGAAAGCAGTCCACCCTGGGTTTTATAACCAGGGGCTACATGACATGCTGGACTAAAGTGTTCTACAATATCCTGTTCTCAAAGGGATAGGATAGGCTACTCCAGCCAGTTCCTCCTCGTCTTGGGATGTTGCATTCCCAGCATCTTCTGCAGTTACCCTTGAGAATTACAAGAAAAATGGGGGAAAGAACTGGGTTGGCCCAAGACCGTCCAAAGAGCTGTCCTGCAATGAGCATTTGAATTGTTGCTGTTCTTATTTCCAGCCTTTTCAATCTTCAATGTTCTTTTTCTTGTTTGTCATCTGAGCCTCATTTGTATCTATTAATTTATTCAATCTGTTCTCTGATGTTTTATTAACATTTCATCTGCAATTCTCAGGGTTCTTAAACATAGTTCAGTTATTTTTACACTTCTTAAAACTTTAAACTTCAATTAAACACTCAAAAATCTTTAAAATTGTGATTAACTGTAATAACTTAGAAATACACACTCTTGTAAACACTTTCATGCAACACATTAAGTTCAAATTAGGCAGCAGGTGTTTATCCTTCCACAAAGAAATCTGAAGATTTATTTTTTTAAAAGGATGTAAATAAATCCTTAGGAACAGGTACAGTTATTTTTAACAATTTCTATGTATTTGCCATGTAGTGGTGTGTTTTGTGGTTCTTGCTGTTGTCGTGTTGTTTAACAGGCATCTTTGTTACATAATTATCAGATACTTGTCTATGCACTGCATAATCTCAGCAGTTGCAACCAACTACATTTTGAGGAAATATAAGTAAAGGTGAGCAAGAAGAGAAATAAAGCCCTTCTAGGAGAATTTCTGCTATTTAAATATTTTCTCTCTCAACAAACTTAAAGGGGAGTCCCTTTCTTATTTTTATCCCTCGGCTCTCCTGTTGAAAACTGCCATCCGCAGGACTATTCCTCTAAAATAATAAAGTAGGTGAAATTTGTCCTTGGTGCCTCCTGTCACCTTTTGTCCTCTGTCATCATCTCCAACCTACAAGGCCTCGACTCCTGTCTCCTAGAGCCATAAATTTCCTGGAATCAGGACACATGAATCAGCAGCATTTCATGATCAGAACTTTCTTTTACCTCCTGATCCTTAAAATGTAACTACTAGTGCTTTTCTATGGAGGTCTCTAAAGTGCCTGAGACGGTATAGAAATGTTAGTGAACTTTTAGACAATCACAGGAAAGCCAACTCAGGTGGTTTCCCTGGGGACATTTTCCTCCACTCCTGTGTCGCGAGAGCAAAATGACCAAGTACAAAATTAGCTGAAAGGTAGTTCATAAAATTCAAAATCCCCAGGTGTTCTGTAGGTCCAGTGTACTTATACGCAAGTCAGGGAACAGAGACTACAGTTTTCTTTCTCAAGGCATATTAGTTGTTTTAGCCAGTGAACCAGAATTTGAATGATTTGTGTTTACATGTGTTTTAAACGGGGCGATAAACATACACATCCTCAAATTGTAGATTATCTGATGAGCATCATAAAGCCAGTTGTTTCATGTAATTTCGATGTGCTCATTTTCTTTTAAGTTTGTGATTGTGTCTGCACCAAGCAGTCTACGTGACATTGATGTTGCAACATACCAAAAAGGGGAGGACCTACCAGCAATCTGAATAGAGGATGAGGCAAAAGAATTGAGTCACCATGTGATAAACAATTTAAAGCATTCATTTCTATCTTCATTCACATTCTATTTATTTCCAAAATGCAACCAGTTTTCAATTAGCCAAAATAGAGTACCAAAAACGCAGGGAAATTTTTAATAAAATAATAAATGATTTTTTGGCTTCAAATTTTTGAAGTAAACAGTTAAATAAATCAACCCATAGGAAAGCGATAATCCCAGTTAAAAGACTTAGTTGCAAAATAGGAAAAAATAATATTGATAATGATGATGACTGCTATGCTTTTATGCTTATTCCCTCCAAAAGTCATACTGAAATTTAGTTACCATTGTAACAGTCTTGAGAAGAGGAGCTTTTGAGAGATGATTAGGCTATGAGAACTCTGCCTTAACAGGCAGAGGATAAATGCCTTCTTAAAGAAACAAGTTCAGCCTCCTCTTGCCTCCTTGCCTTTCTGTCTTCTGTCATGAGATTGTGCAGCAAGAAGGCTCTCACCAGATGCCAGTGCCTGGATCTCGAATGTACCAGCCCCCAGAACTGTGAGAAATACATTTCTGATTTTTTACATAAAATAGACAACCTGTAGTATTTTATTGCAGCACAAATGGACTAAAGCAATGACTCAGTCCGTAACTAATTATAATAAAAATTTTTTAAGGTTTGAAAGCAAAATATAAAACAAAGGCACCTTTTTTTCTGTTTAATGACTTAAGTATATTGATATCTGCAAGAAATATATGAGGAAATAGGAAATATTTGAATAACTTCAAAATAAGCTTCCTAATGTCAGTTTGTTGGTTTCTCATCAGACTACAATGGATATATGTGAGTGATGTGCACAATCTCTCCCCTGGACCCCAGGACTATGGAATTCACTCCTCCAGCTAATGGAGTTAGAAGCAGCTCACAGCTCTGAGCTTGGTCCCTCTCTTGGACTTGTCTTCAGCTCAAAATCTTGACCTTGAGCAAGTTCATGTTTCCTTCTTGGAGCAGCCTCATTCAGTGCTGGATTATGAGGGTATATCAAGGACAGGCCCCTTTCCATAATTGCAACAACTCTGAAGGACCATCTGGATCCAGAGCAAATGTAAGATCTTCTAAGATATCTGTGGTGATTTTATTTCAGCTCAACTTCTTGTTTTGTCTAATGTTGATGCTGAAGACATTGCCTAATACATATCCAATATGCAATTAACACTATAAATAACAAGCCTATGCAATGAAGCAAATCATATTTGTTTTTAATGAAAAATAACATCACTGTTTGTGTTCTTCAACGCAGTAGATAGGTCATGCTGAATGACCCTTTGAATTAAAAGAAAACAACTGAAAGTGTTCAATTATATATGAAATACTTTAAAATGTTCATCTAGCAATAAAATATACAATTCTCTCAAACCAAATGTTAAGTCAAAGTAAGAATTAAGAGAAAAATAAATAGAGTTATGAAGCAGAAACCTAGAGGATGCTGAGGCTTGTTTTTTATGGTGTTGCAGAATGCATGAAATAAAAGAGTGTAAGCACTGCAGAAGGTGGGGAGTTCTGCAGAGAAAGTTAACACAGCAGACCCAAAGCTGCTATCGTGAAAGCTTGGTCTATGACTGACATTTGGGAGCTTGGGTTTTAGAATGCCTCATGCCATTTCCAGAACTAATAAGAGTAGTTCATTGTGCCTAAACTGCACAGCAATGTTGTTTATGCTTTTGAGAGTCTGAAATTTTGGTATATGTTAAACAGAGATTACCAAAGTGACTAGTCCCCAATAAAATTCTTAGGGACTGAACCTCTAATGATCTTCCCTGGGCAATATTTCATAGGGGTTGCCATAATTCTTTACTGAAAGAGTTCAGTACATCCTTCGTGGTTGTGCTGGATGAGGACTCTTGGAAGCTTATGCTGATTTGCTCTGGACTTTGCTACATGTATTTGTCTGTTGCGGGAAGTCAGGGACTCCGAACGGAGGGACTGGCTGGAGCCGCGGCAGAGGAACATAAATTGTGAAGATTTCATTTTAATATGGACATATATCAGCTCCCAAAATTAATACTTTTGTAATTTCTTACGCCTGTCTTTACTGCAATCTCTGAACCTAAATTATGAAGATTTCATTTTCATATGGACATTTATCAGTTCCCAAAATTAAAACTTTTATAATTTATTATGCCTGTCTTTAATCTCTTAATTCTCTTCTCTTCGTAAGCTGAGGATGTACATCACCTCAGGACCACTATTGCATTAACTGTACAAATTGACTGTAGAACATGTGTGTTTGAACAATATGAAATCAGTGCACCTTGAAAACAGAGTAACAGCGATTGCAGGGAACAAGGGAAGACAACCATAAGGTCTGACTGCCTGTGGGGTCTGGCAGAGTAGAGCCATATTTTTTCTTCTTGCAGAGAGCCTATAAATGGACGTGCAAGTAGGAAAGATATCTTTGAATTCTTTTCCCAGCAAGGAATATTAATAATTAATACCCTGGGGAAGGAATGCATTCCTGGGGGAGGTCCTTGCCCTGCCCTTTACCTTGTGATCTTTATTGGCCTCAGAAGCATGTGATCTTTGTTCTCCTTTTTGCCCTATGAAGCATGTGATCTTTGTGACCTACTCCCTGTTCGTACACCCCCTCTCCTTTTGAAGCGCTTAATAAAAACCTGCTGGTTTTGTGGCTCAGGTGGGCATCATGGACCTACCGATACGTGACGTCACCCCGGCGGCCGAGCTGTAAAATTCCGCTCTTTGTACTCTTTCTCTTTATTTCTCAGATACTTAGGAAAAATAGAAAGAAGCTACGTTGAAATATTGGGGGCGGGTTCCCCTGATATTTGTCCCTTTGATGATTTTTCTCAATACCTTTTCATTATAATAAAACATAGCTCTGAGCATAACGACAGGCAGAGTCCATTGTTTTGGACTTAGGGTGGTCTTTAGGGTCTCCCAAAACAGGAGTTTACTTGAAATCTCTCAAAAATATATACTTTCTTGGTGTGAATATGATCTAGATGAAAATGACAAAAGGAACTGAAAGGTTAACATCTCTCTCAAACCTTAGCATTGGTAAAGAGATAGAATATGATGTGCTATGTGTGAGTATATATATATATATATATATGTATATATGTATATGTATGTGTGTGTATAATTGAAATTCTAGATACAGAAGAGAAAAATGTCAAAGAACAATATTCAAAAGGTTTTGGCTGAGAATTATCTAGAATCAACTTATGGATTTAGGAAACCTGAACAATCCCAAGCAGAATAATTTTTCTTCTCTAACTTCACAACGGACATTTTTAAACTTTTTTTTATTTACCTAAAGAAAAATAGATTTTTGTGTGTATGGTTCAGTGAATTTTATCATGTGTATGATTCTGTAACCACTTCTCCAAACAGGACTCATGACATTTCCTTCACCATAAAAATCTCACTTGTGTTATTCCTTCATAGTCACAACTCTCCCTCCTCCAAAGCTTTAGGAGCTACTTATCTGTTCTACATTGGTATAGCGTTGTCTTTTCAAGAATGTTATAGAATAAAATCTTATAGTATGTAAACTTTTGAGACAGGCTTCTTTCACGCCGCATAATGACTTCCAGATTGATCCAAGTTGCTGTGTATATCAATGGTTCATTCCATTTTACTGCTGTGTAGTACACTATTGAATATGTATATCACCTCTTGTTTAGCTATTCACCCTTTGACGCATATTTGGGTAGTTTCCATGTGTGTGAAGTTAAGAAAAGAGATGATATAAACATTCATGTGTGGGTTTTAGATGAACATATGTTTTTATTATTCCAGTGTAAATAACTATGCATGAGATTGAGTTTCATATTGATGTTTATTTAAATTTATAACTGCCAACTGTTTTATATGTTAACTGTGGCATTTGCAAATTCACCAATAATGTGTAAGAGTACCAATTGTTTATCAACACTGGTGTTATCATCCTTTCCAAGACTTATGTTTTATTGTGACCATTCTAATAGGTGTGCAGAGGTGTTTGGCCATTTAAATTTGTGTTCCCCAATGAGTAATGCAATTAACACCTTTTCATCTGCTTTAGCTCCCATATATCCTCTTTGATAAAAAGTCTATTCCAATCCTTTAGTCCAATAATTAATTTGATATTTTTCTTACTACTGAGATTTTATATACATATATAAGAAACTATATATATAAGACCAATAAAATAGTATACATATAGTATATATATTTGTGTATATATAGTATATACAATATATTTTTATGTATATAGTATACATGTAGTATATATTTTATGTATATATAATATACTATAATATATAGTATGTATATATATAATATATTGTATATAAGTCCTTTGTCAGATATGTGGTTGAAAATTGTCTCTTTAGTCTATAAATTGTCCTTTAATGTTTTACTCAGTGTCTTTCATGGAACAATTTTAAAATTTCTTATGAGTTACAATTTTATTATTATTAATTTTGATAATTTTATAATAGAACTTTTGATTCATGTGTAGGGAATATTTTTCTAACTTGAAGTCATAAAAATGTTTACAAAATTTTCTTCTGAATGTTTTATAGTTTTGTTTTATATTCAGACTTATGATTCATTCTGATTTAATTTTTGTTGAAAATGGAAGATTTATTTGAGGTATGTTTTTCTGCTTCTGGATGCCCAATAGTTCCAATACCATTTATTGAAGAAACTTTTTTCACTATTTAATTGTCTCTGCATTTTTGTTAAAAAAATCACTTGGCCATATTCGTATGGGTCTGTTTCTGGATTCACTGTTCTATTTTGTTGGTCTTTGTGTCTATGCTTTTGCCAATGCCATATTGTTTTAATTACTATCAAATTAATGTGTCTCAAAATAAAGTAGTATAATTCTTCTATTTCCCTTTTCCAAAATAATTTCAGCTGTTCTAGGTAATTTGTTTTTCAATATAAATTTTTAAATGTGCTTATCTATATCTACAAAGAATCCTGCTGGAAGTTTGATTTTATTATGAAAATCTATAGATCACTTAGGAGAAAAATAACATATTATATGCTGAGTCTCCCAATCTGTGGCCATGGTATATCTCTCCATTCATTTAGATCTTTTTGATTTTTTCATTAGTGATTTGCAGTTCTCACACAGAGATCTTGCATAAATTTCAATAAATTTTAAGATTGAAATCATAAAAATATGATATCTAATCACAATAGAATTAATTTAGGAACAAACAACAAAAAGAAACATACAGAATCTCCCAAATATTTGAATATGAAGCAAGTCATTTTAAGATTGAAATCATAAAAATATGATATCTAATCACAATAGAATTAATTTAGGAACAAACAACAAAAAGAAACATACAGAATCTCCCAAATATTTAAATATGGAGCAAGTCATTTTTTGATAGCTCATGGGTCAAAGAAGACATCCCAAAGGAAATTAGAAAAACATTAATTAGATCTGTTCATAACACTATGCAGGAAAATGAACTTATCATGAATCATAGAACCTAAAGCCTAGAACTAAAACTACAAAACCTTTAGAAAAAAAAAAAAAAAACAACAACAACACTGAAGAACATCTTTGAGATCCTAAGAGAGGAGTTTTAAGATACAAAACACAAAACACAATCTATAAAAGAAGCAATGATAAATTAGACATTGTCAAAATTAAAATTATTTATATATCAAAAATATAACTAAAAAAAAGATAACCTACAGACAGAAAATCAAATATCTGATAAAGATTTCCATCTGGAATATATAAAAAAGCCATTGCAAATCAGTAAGAAGAAAAAAAAGACCCAATTTTAAAAAGGACATAAATTTCTGAATACACATTGCACCAGATATAACATAGAAATAACTGATAAAGAGATAAAAAGACGGTCAACATCGTTAGTCATTAGAGATATGAAATTAAAACCACAATCACATAACACTTCACACACTGGAATGGGCATAATAATAAAGACAGCCTATAACAACTCTTGGTGAGGATAGGAAGAATAGTATGTTAGTGATTCTTCCTCATTCTATCATATTCCTAGAAATACTTCCTAAGATTTGTTTTTCTGATATCACTGCCCCTTGTTCTCTCTATTACTGATAAATGGGAGAAGGATTTTTTCCCTGCAGTTCTTTCACCTTTTCCTCCCTCACAAGGTTTAGAGCTATTTTCAATCAGGGGCCTTCTTTTAAGTCATCTAATGTGGGTGGTTTGTATGATGAGATGTGGAGGATCCACGGAGAGTAGAAGGACAAGACATATGGTTCAAAATACTTGACTCCTGGCAGGGTGAGCATGCTTCAGAGGGTAAGGGAAACTGGCCTTGGGAACAAGCACAACTTATAATTGGCTGTGCCTCTGGAGAAAAAGGATTTGATTTGTCTCTTTAGTCTATAAAATGTCCTTTAATATTCTTCTCAGTGTCTTTCATGGAATAATTTTAAAATTTCTTATGAGTTCCAATTTTATTATTAGTAGTGGTAATTTTGATAATTTTATACTACACCGTTCCCTGTCATAATGGTCAACATAAGTCATGGAGTTGTGAAATAAAGCACTAGCTAAGGATATACTACTACTACTTCAGTGGATAAAAAGAAAAACACAGAGCCAGGGAAATGAAGATTAAGTAGTAAAGTAGAACAGAG
The DNA here is from genome assembly GCF_000001405.40 of Homo sapiens. Taxonomy (NCBI): domain Eukaryota; kingdom Metazoa; phylum Chordata; class Mammalia; order Primates; family Hominidae; genus Homo; species Homo sapiens. Next base: position 52,750,118 of record NC_000007.14, on the reverse strand, counting down.
TGAAATCAGGAATCTCTGGCCAAATGGTGCTGGCAAGTGTTACCAAGGCTTAATTAGGCTAGAACCAGAGGCTTTCATGACCCCGGAACAGACAGACGCCCTCCAGTGGCGTGTGATGTGGATGGAGAGATATTCAAACTACACAACTGGTTGATACCTGTGATCTAAAAGTGGTGTATGTCTACAATATTAGTGTTGATATTTACTTATTATTATTATTCCCTTTTTACTTGACAAATAAAAATTGGATATATTAATGGTGTAGAGTATGATGTTTAAAAATATGTAGACACTGGCAGGGCGCAGTGGCTAATGCCTGTAATCCCAACACTTTGAGGAGGGTGGATCACCTGAGGTCAGGAGTTCAAGACCAGCTTGACCAACATGGAGAAACCCCATCTCTACTTAAAATACAAAATTAGCCAGGTGTGATGGCATGCCTGTAATCCCAGCTACTCAGGAGGCTGAGGCAGGAGAATTGCTTGAACTTGGGAGGCGGAGGTTGTGGTGAGCCGAGATCGTGCCATTGCCCTGCAGCCTGGGCAACGAAAGCAAAATTCTGTCTCAAAAAATATATATATATATATTTATATATACACACACATATATAAAAGTGTGTATATATATACACACATATATATGTATATGTATATATGTATATGTATATATATGTGTATATATATACACATATACATATGTATCATATTTTGGATATTATACCCTTTTCAGATGTGTGTTTTGTGAATATTTCCTTCAATTCCATAGGCTTTCTCTTTATTCTGTTGATTTTCTTTGCTGTTCAGAAGCTTTTTAGTTTGATGTGATCCCATTTGTCTAATTTTGCTTTTGTTGCCTGTGCTTTTTGAGTCATATCCAATAAATTATTGCACAGACCTTTGCCCTGGAGATTATCTCCTGTATTTTCCTAATAGTTTTACAATTTCTGATCTCTTGTTTAAGTCTTTAATTCGTTTTTAGTTGATTTTTATGTATGGTGTGAGATAAGGGTCTAATTTCATTTTTTTTGCATGTGGATATCAAGTTTACCCAACCTTCTACAGAAAAGACTGCCCTTTTTCCATAGTGTGTGCTTGGCATGTTTGTCAAAAATCAATTGCCAAAAAGATGTATACATTTAGTACCAGGTTTTCCACTCTTTTCCATTTTTCTATGTATCTGTTTTTATGCCAGGACGGTGGTGTTTTAATTATTGTAGCTTCATTGTGTATTTTGGGAACAGATACTGTAATGCTTCCAGCTTTGTTCTTTTTGCTCAAGATTGCTTTGGCTATTTGGGTCTTTTGTGGTTTCATATGAATTTTAGGATTGTTTTTAATATTTTTGTGAAAAATGTCATGGAATTATGGTAGGATTGCCTTGACTCGGTAGACTGCTTTAGGTAGTATTGACATTTTAACAATATTATTCTTCTGATCCATGAACACTGGATATTTTTCCATTAATTTGTATCTTCTTCCATTTATTTCAACATTTTTTATAGTTTTCAATATGCAGATATTTCAACCTCTTGGTTATAAATATATTCTTATTTATTTATTTTGGTAATTACTATAAATGGAATTGTTTTCTTGATTTCTTTTTCTGTCAGTTCATTGTTATTGTACAGAAACACTGATGATTTTTGTACATTGATTTTGTATTCTTTAACTTTACTGAATTCATTTATTTATTCTAACAGATTTTGGTGGAGTCTTTAGTGTTTTCTGTGTATAAGATCTTGTCATCTGAAAGCAGAGATAATTTAACTTCTTGCTTCTATATATGGATGCCTTTTATTTCTTTTCTGTGTCTAATTACTCTGGCTAGGATTCCCAGTATTATGTAGAATATAATTAGTAAGAGTGGGCACCCTTGTTTTGTTCCTGATCTTAGAGGAAAGGCTTTCAAGTGTCGACACTTTCTGTTCATTGAATCAGTTTTGCAAAGAATATGTCAAAAATGATGTGCTAGGTTAACTGGTGAAATGTTTGTTCCCAAGAATTGCTTGGAGAAGTATAACATTAGCAGCTACTTTGACCTTAACATATGTAGTAAGTAGGACTTCAGCACAAATTTTACAGTCTGAACTGATTTCCATGCTATTGTGCAATCCAAAAGCCAGTGACTGTCAAACACAATTATCATGCTGAGATACTATAATAAATATTCACACGTGTACAAAATCTGTTATGGCTGCAAACAAAACTTTGCTTGGCCTTGAAAACCTGCTTCCTTTTGTATAAACTATTTAATAATTGCCATGCAAATTATACGTGTTTTGATGTTTATAGGAAGGATTTTGAAACAGTCATATAAATTAGAAGAATATAATAATGAATCAAATATGGCTGTAAATTTTGGTTTTATACAACATATCTCAAGCCTGTTTACATATGGCTTTGAATTCACTTTTTCAAGATGTGATCTTCACTGTTGCAGGACTCATATTTGAACTTAGACACTGCAAGTCCTCAATCCTTAGGCACAGGTACTGGATTACGTACATGTCATTCAAATGCTTCAATGTGACTCCAAAATATGTTTCAGTTTTGTTAAATAAAAGGGCAAGAAAAAAGAAGAGAAGAGGAAAGGAAAAAAGAAGAGAGAAGAAAAGAGAAAAAAAAAACCTAGAACAGCAAAGAACCGATTCTACATCTGTATGAAATAATTGATAGCCACAGTTATCATCATCACTCAGTTTTTAAAAATAATGCGTAAAGAGATATAGCAAGTCAAAGTGTTGTATTTTGAAAAATTATTTTATTTGTTGAGGATCTTTTTCACCAAAGCCTTTTTCTGAGGGTTTTTACACTTAAAAATTTCTCTGTCTTCAGCTCATGTATATAATAAAATTCCTTTGGACTAATTTTGATGTCTGTGGAACCACTTTCACCTTCCCATAAGATTGTTCCTGTGGGATTCCAGGCTCAATTTCTCCTAGCTGGTTCTTCTGATGAGCCCACATGTTCAGTACTATCAAAAGCATCTCATTGCTGCCAGTACTTTATGAAGACAGCTGGGTCACGTGTGGGCAGATATGTGTGGCTTCAGTTTATTATAGTAATTATAACTAACACAAGGTAACTTCTCCTATCCAACTCAAACCACAGAGAACTCACAGTATTAAAAACCTGGAAATGTTCCAATTCTTTCTGTCAGGAAAATAGCTGTAAAATAAAACATCCAGATAATGACACAACTATTAAGAATAATTTGAGGAAACCAACAGACGTAATGAAAAGGTTCTTACTTAGGAGAACAAGAAAACAAAACCCAAATATGAAAATAATTCTGATTCGATTCCTTTTATTTCTCATAAAGAAACCATCCAGAAACTAAAGGATATTTAAAAATATACCTATACCCAACAAAACCACTTTATGTGTTTTTTCTTTAGAGTTTTAAAGTACGAAGTTTCAAACTCATTTACAAAGAGAATAGTTACAGTAAAATTCAAAGAGATAGTAATGAGAACATAAATTTTCTAAAATTCTCACAAATAACTCTTCAATCTCTGTGCAAAAGTAGGCTTCATAAAATAATTATGAAAACATTTTATTCCTTATGTTAATTTTGTTGGTTATACATACAAAATTTCTTAGATTCCTAAAGATGTTGATTTGTAATGTTATTTAAAATGTCATTATTGATCTTCTATGGCTGCTATTTGAAAACATACGTTCACATAAAAAAATGTACACACACATGTTTATAGGCATTACATTTGTAATTGCCAAAAACTAGATATAGCCAAAGTGTCCTTCAGAGGTAAAAAGATTAACTATAATACATTTCATACAATGGAATACTACTCAGTTGTTAAAAAGAGCAAACTATTGATATACATAGCAACTTAAATGGGTTTCACATGCATTACATTTATTGCATAAAGCCAATCTAAAAAAAATCACATGCCATAAGATTGTTCAAACATTTTCTCCTTTCAATTTTATTATTTTCCTCCCTCCAGGATTTTATTACATAGATATTAACACTTTTAAAATGTTTAGATATTATAAATATTAATCCATACCTTTATATTTAAAAATACCAGTTTTCTATTTTTTATTGTTTTTATAATTTTATGTTGTCTTCTGTTATAGATTCATAAACTACTATCCCTAATTCCTAATTTTATCAGTTATATCCATCTATTTATAGCACTTATAACGTTTTGTACAAATATTTTACTTTTCGTGTCTGAAATAGACAGCTATTTTGATGATCTCGGTTTTATATATATCACCTAAATCATCCATCTTCTTATGTATTGTTATTATATTAAAAATTCCTTTTCCTTTCAATATATTTTCATTTAAATTTTTTATATTCTGCACTTACTTATTAGTATTTTTTTTGTGTGTGTGTGATGGAGTCTTGCTCTCTCACCCAGGCTGGAGTGCAGTGGCACCACCTCAGCTCACTGCAACCTCTGCCTCCCGGGTTCAAGCAATTTTCCTGCTTCGGTCTCCCAAGTAGCTGGGATTACAGGCCTGCACCACCACGCCCAACTAGTTTTTTCATTAGAGATACGGTTTCATCATGTTGGTCAGGCTGGTCTTGAACTCCTGACCTCAAGCAATCCACCCGCCCTGGCCTCCCAAAGTGCTGGGATTGCAGGCATGAGCCACCACATCCGGCCTACTTATTAATCTTTTAAAGCAGTCCTATCTCTTAATCATCTAGCTATTTTGGTATGTTCATACTTCCCTTTTTATCACCACACAGTCTTACAATATGTAAGCAGCAAGGGCCAATGACCAGTACCTAGCCATTTAAAAATTCTTCAATTTAAGGAAAGGATGTGTTAATTGCTGTCCTTGCTATCAATGTGGCATGCCATCCTTTTGTGAAACTGTCCGCTTTAAGTTGTTTTTAAGGTAAAACAGCAGGAGCTAAAGTCGATCTCTATCTGTTGTGAACCAACTGTTTATTGGTGTAGGGAACATGAGTAGAGGAACGGTATAAGGCAGAAAGTCAGGTCAGGCCCATCTTTATCAACACTTCATCCATCCTCACGTTTCTCAGAAGGCCTGATGGTTCTCTTGGGACAGGAACACCCCAGTGTTCAGCCACTCTACAGATTTCCACAAGGAAAGATCAGACAATGATTTTCTCCTTGTGACATTGCGGAAGGACAAGAGTGAATGTTATTCGACTTTCCTTGTGTTGAATCTCACAGTGCTGCTCCAGGTTGCCTTTTACTTCACCATCTTCATCCCTGAGATCAAGGACACCTTTAATTCCTCATCTCTCAAGAATGTTCATTGGTTCACGGAATTCATTGTCTCCACCAGAATCTCTGGTTTCTTCAATGGATTCTGGCACCACAGCAACAGCCAGCTTGCCATCTTTGTGGGCACCAGAGTTCCGTGCTGCATTTGGCTCACAAGCAATAGGTTTTTAAAACTTGAGCTTGGTTTCTCTTGGTGGAGAGACATTTTTCACACTACCACTCATACTGTGTGCTCCCTCATCTACAGTGCCCATCTGCCTAGGATGGGCATCTGATCTTGGGCTAGAACATAGTGGAGATGTAATAAATGGTGAGAGATGAGACTGAAAACAGTTGGCCAAATAAAAATGTGAAGGAAATTGAATGATAGACTAAGGAGTGACTTTTGTCTTATGCGCCCTGTGGAAGCAACGGGAATGAGTGAGGAAAGAGTATGATCTGTATTTCAGTTAAGTGACTCTGGCGTCAGTGTTAGGGATGGGTTAGCTGGATGAACCTGCAAGCATTGAGGGTAACTAAACTGCCAGTGCTATATTTTAGAAGAGATTATGTGTAAACCAGAAATCAAAACTCTGTAAAAGATGAAATAGGTATAGGAGAAGAATTAGCAAGACTAGGTAAGGTATAGTGGAAGAAAATAATGAAAACTTCAGGAAATGCTTTAGAATTTTTCTGACTTGTTTGATGAGGGCTATCACCAAAGATGTTTGGAGATAATAAATGCTATAGAATTAATGAGCAGGCTGTTGCAATAGTGCAAGCAACCAATGGAATCACTTGAACCTCGAGCACTGGGTACAGTGTTAATGGAGGGATGAATTCAAGGTCCTACATGAATAGTGCAGGATGGGCACATTCAAGCACAAAATCCAAAGCTTATAACATGGCTCTTAGTGAACTGTGAAGTCAGCAACTTGCTTAAATTATTGCTTAAATAATAAATAAATAAATAATTTATTAAATAATTGCTTAAATTAAGCAATGCAGAAAGGGATTTCAGTGGGTTTTGCAGCCAGAGAAATATGCTGCTCTGAGGAGTGTATTTGAATGACAGCTCAGAGCTACCCATCTCAATTCTCTGCTGTGTTATCCTGCCCTGGCTGCTCCTGGCAGAGCTGTGAGCATGGGGTGGGGAAAGAGTTGCTCCTGCTGACCCATGTGAGGGCTGTGGGACCCGCACAGTCCCTTCAGCTCCAGGACTCCCCATTCTTAGAACCTCACTGCAGTCTGAAACTCTTCCTTCCTGATCCCCCGCTTTTCTCCCTGTGTCAGACCTGTGTCGAATCTGTTCACAGTTGCCAGACCTGTGTCGAATCTGAAGTTTCCCCTAACACTGCCTCTTTTCCTCCTTTATCTTTCACAGGTATTTCTCCCAGTAAATCTCTTGCATGTCAAACATGTCTTGGTGCCTGATTCTGAGAACCCAAACTAGTGCAGAAGGTCAAGGGAAGGGGGACTTCTAGGTCTGTTTGTGGATGTTGAAGTTGAGGTCATACTGGGGTTGGCAATTATCATACAAACAGGCTATGAGGAATCTGCATCTGAGGCTCGCTGTAACTTTGGGCACAGTTTATTATATTTATTTAAGTAAAATAATAACTTTCTTCTTTACAGTTATATGGTTTAAATGTATATGTGTGTTTTTAAAATGTAAACTTCAAGGTGCCATCTATATATAAGTGTTAATAATTTTCCTCCATCAAACTAGTTTTCTCTACTGAGACCCAACAAATACAAAGGGAGAAATTTTTAGAGTGAGATGCCTAATTCAGATTAAAAAAATGAGATTGCATATTTTCCTTTCAAGATTTTAGATAAATAATTGGTAGGCCTGGCACGGTGGCTCACGCCTATAATCCCAGCACTTTGGGAGGCTGAGGCGGGCGGATCACGAGGTCAGGAGATCGAGACCATCCTGGCTAACATGGTGAAACCCCGTCTCTGCTAAAAATACAAAAAATTAGCCAGGCGCGGTGGCGGGCGCCTGTAGTCCCAGCTACTCGGGAGGCTGAGGCAGGAGAATGACGTGAACCCGGGGAGACGGAGGTAGCAGTGAGCCAAGATCGCACCACTGCAGTCCGGCCTGGGGGAAAGAGCGAGACTCCGTCTCAAAAAAAAAAAAAAAAAAAAAATTGGTAATCTGTTACAAGAATATTTTCAGAATACTTGTGCTTGAGAAAGGACTAGAAAAATTATTCTCATTGTTACTTCTGAGAATTCTTTCCATTTCACTGGTACCTCAACTATATTAAGAAAACCATGGATATATTCATTTCTGTTTTAAAACTGAGCTGGATAATATTAATACTTCATATATTCATTGAAAACTTGTTCTGTCAAGCACTGCACCCTACACTTAAACTAATTATGTGCTTGATTGCTTGTTAGCTTCTGTATCTAAGGCTCACTGATTTCCCTTTTATCAATGAGGAAACACTGCTCAGATGTGGTGGTCTGGAGTGTAACCATGGTCTTTGGCTTGACATGGAATCTTTTACGTGTTCTTCTATTATTTACAGGGACCATTTATTTCCTTCATGAAATACTCTATTCACTCAGGATCCAAGATCCTAGATTTGCGTTCTGTGGTGGTCATGAAGGATGACAGCATGTGTTGTTTCCTACCCACTGGAGCTTGATAGGAATGTAATGCATTCTAGCCAATGAAATATGAGCAGGAGTTCCTGTGTCAGTTCCAGATCAAGCCACCTCCTAGACCATTGTCAATGTACCTTAATGACAAGCAACTTTTTGAAGCTTGGCTGTCTTTGCAGCATGGGTTTTGGAGTGAGCTGTTCCCTAGATCTGGGGAGAGTAAGAAGTAGCCCTTTGTGTATGTATATCACTACTGAGAGACTGTTATTTTGTTGTCGTTGCCATGCCATAACCTGGCCTCTTCTGACTCATAAGTAGGTGCTGCTGCAAACAAAAAAGCAAAGCAAAACAAAACAAAACAAAAAACAAACATAAAAAAATCAAAGTGCATGACATTGGCATTGTTTTAGAGACCCCGTAAAAGACAACAAACTAATCACCATTGAAGGCTGCAATACAGTGAGTCATGCTTTTGGTAATACTGTCACTTGCAATAATATGTCACACATACAATGGGTAATGTTAATAATTAGACTTCTAACTAATAAAATATAAAACTGAGGAGGCATTTAAGCAATAGTTCAATTAAAAGCTTTTAAGAGAAACTTAATGATGCAGAAGTGGGGATAATTTTATTCAATAAGTGACAAAAAGAGCTAACTTTAGGTTTTAAACTTTGAAGAAAAAGAAGACAACATCTAGAAAGTAAAAAGCAATCCTCAGTGTGATAGGATATTTTCAATACACACATCTGACAAAGTAATTGTATCCAGAATATATATTTTAAAAAGCTTCAACAGATCAACAAAAATGACAGACAACTGTACCAAAATATAAGCAAAATATTTGAACATGCCTTCCAAAGGAAACAACATATTCATATCATCAATAAACGTATAAAAATGTGTTAAATCTCATCATTCATTATATTCATTAGAAAATTACTTCACATACACAGAATAAGATGATATACAGGCCAGAATGATTTAAAAAAAGTTGTCGATACTGTTTTGGAAAGGATTTTTCTGAAGAAGAAATCTCATATGTTGCTGACAGAAATGTAATTCAACTCAACTGCTTTTGAAAACTAGCAGTACTAATAAAAATTGAATCATAATTTAATTATAAAGCCAACAAAAATAGCTGCATGCATTCAAAAAAAAAGAAATTCAAAAACTGTTTATAACAGTACTATTATAGCAGCAAAAATAGAAAACTACCCATATCAGCATAAGAAGGGATAAATGTATTACATTCATAGAACAGAACTTTAGAAAAATAGAATGAACAAACTACAGTGACGCCAATGATCTTGGAAAAATAATGTTGATGAAAAGAAGACATACAAAAAGGAGGGCTTACTGCATAATTCATTTATATAAATTTCAAACACAGGCAGAGCTTATCTATGGTGATAGAACTTGAGAGAATAGTTCCCTTCATAAGAAACAGTGATCGAAGGGGCAAGAGGGGGACTACTGGTAAGCTGGAAAAATGCAGTTTCTTAATGTGAGTGGTGGGACACAAGTGGGCACATCATGGAATGATCTAGCTGTAGAAATGGATTTGTGCATTTTGCTGTTTATATGTCTTACTAAAAAGAAATAAAAAACCAAAACCTCAGCTCTGTGTCAAGGTCAAGCCAAGGATATGAATATTATGCTTCTTATTATCATTTCTTAATGGAGTAATCCATGGTGTAACAGCAGACATAACATGCTTTGAATCCAAGTTTAGATTTTGAGCATATTTTTGAGTAGTTCAACTCTTTGTAAGGATTGCTATGTCATTATATTTTTTTCTTATGATCATTTAAAGATAGAGAAGGAAAAACATCACATTATATTTAACATAAAATATAATATTTCATGTTTCAAATAAAGTCATGAAAGTATTTTATTGATATAATTAATATCTAAAATTAGTTGACTTTAAATAAAAGATATTTTTAACATGAGTTGATTCGACAGTTTTTGAATCTAATGTACTTTACAAGAGCTTAGGAATCTTATTTTACCTGTATCTTGACATATTTTGCTTTGAATCACCTTAGAATGTTAATCATAAATTATTTCAAGCAACACCTAAGAGAGAATAAAATAAAAATGAAATTAAATCACTAGAATAATGCAGTGGTAATATAAATTATCAATATTACATCATCGTTCAGTTTTTTAGTGAGTTGTACAATTTTATCATTTTTCAGGAAGTTATAAAATAGTCTAATAGCATGATCTTGTAGCCTTCTTTAAAATAGCGTTAAACAAACATCAGAAATCAGAATTTTTATAAAGAATTCTACCAAAATGGCAAAAAGAATGATATCCTTAATTATTATGTGAATCAAAGTGTGAATGCAAAGAGATGTATAGTAGCACTTAAGATACTAGTGATAACAGTAAAACTCATTATGTTAGTGAAATTTCAGACTATAGGTCATCAGAAAGAATATTCTAGATGAATTTTCTCAAATTCAATAATCAATGAGTAAACCATAATATATTTCCAAGAATGAAAAATTAATACGTAATCTCCATGCAGTTATTCAACAGAAAGGATGTTATCACACAGTCTTTTAACACCATAACATATGATGGTGAAAATTCATGTCACAAATAAAATCTAGGTAATCTTGGGTTTGGTGACGACTCTGTAGATACAATCCCAAAGGCATGATCCATAGGGGAAAGAAAAAGAATTGACAAGCCAGATGTAATTAAAATATAAAATTTCTGCTTTGTGACACTGTCAAGTAAATGGAGACAAGACACAGAGTGGGAGAATATATTTGCAAAAGACATATCTGATAAAGAACTGTTATCCAAATAGAAATCTTAAGTCTCAGTAGTAATAAAACGAACAACACAATTAAAAAATTGGCCAAATACATTAATAGACATCTCACCAAAGAAGATATGCAGATGGCAAATAAGCACATTTAAAAGGTGTTCCATTCCATATGTCATCAGAAAAATGCAAACTAAAACAATAATAAAATACCACTACATTCCTATTAGAATGGCCAAAATCCATAACACTGACAACACCCAATGTTGAAGAGAATGTGGAGCAACAGGAACTCTCATTTATTGCTGATAAGAATGCAAAATTGTACAGCCACTATGGAAAACATTTTGGCTTTTTTGTTTATTTGTTTGTTTGTTTAAAAACTAAACAAAGTCTTACCATACGATTTTGCTATCACACTCTTTGGTATTTATCCAAAGGAGCTGAAAATTTATTCCCACACAAATACCTTCACACAAATGTTTATAGCAGCTGTATTCATAATTGCCAAAACTCAGAATTGACCAAGATGTCTTTCAGAAGGTGAATGGATACATAAACTGTTGTGTGCCTATACAATGGGATATTATGCTGAAAATAAATGAGCTGTCAAGCCTTAAAAAGCATGGGTGAAACTTAAATGCATATTACTAAGTCAAATAAGCCAATCTGAAAAGGCTACATGTGCTATTCCAACTATATGACATTCTGGAAAGGCAAATTTATGGAGACAGTGAATTAATCAGTGGTTTCCAGGGGTTGGAGGAAGGGAGGGATGAATAGGCAGAGCACAGAGCATTTTTAGGTCAGTGAAAATATTCTCTATGATATATGTCATTACACATTTGCCCAAATCCATAAAATTTAAAACAGCGGGTGTAAACTCTAATGTAAATTATGGACTTTGTGTGATGATGTATCACTGTGGTTATCAATTGTAACAAAGGTACTACTCTGGTGAATGTTGTCCATAGTTGGGGAGGCTCTGCATGTGGGGGGCAGGGGATATATGAGAATTCTCTGTACCTTCCTTCATATTTCGCTTTGAACCTTAAAGTATTCTAAAAATAAAGTCTTTATAAGAAAAGTTGATTGGCAGACCATGTGTTATGTAGAAATAATCTACAATATTAGCAGACCATTCTACTTGGTGTTTACAAATGTAAAAATGAAAAATATTTTACAATTAGGTCCAAAAGTGATGGCTAACCTCTCTGCAACAAAATTATGAGGTTTCACACCTTCAAAATCAATCGCATTTTGATGAAGAAAGAAAGAACATGCTGCACGTGAAGTAATCGTAAGATGGAATTGATGTGAATGTTTGAAGACAGGAATCAGTATTTACCAGATTGATATGGCCCAGTTTATTTCATGAGAGTTGATGAGCACGTGAGTTTCTTTCAAAGAACTTTGCTTATTTCACATGCATATACCCTTACCGCCAGGTAAATATGAAATTAAAAAAACATGGGTTTTCTGTTTAAATTCTTACTAAAGTTTTTTAATAGTTATTTTTCACTATTCCTTTACTCTTAATTCTGTAAATTATTTGAAAATAACTTTTTAAGATTTTGAAAACATAACAATGTCTATCCAGATAGCAGTGGTGACATCTGTTTTTTCTGGTGCAGAGAGTCAAGATGGTCCCTGTAAATAAATTTTTAGCAAAATTGCTCAAGAAAAAGAGACTAAAGGCTTCACTCTTCCTGTGGAGGCTGTTAGACTGAAAATATCTGGAATAAATAAGAGAGAGGAGGGCACGTCTTACATAAATTGGCACATGGAGCTCACTGGAATAAAAGATAAGAAGCAGGGAATGTTTGTGAGGCAACTGCGCTGCTGAAACACCATAAGCCTGGATTATAAACATGTTTGATTTTTCAAGATTTAAGACAATCCCTTGGGCAAAATCTTTCTATGGGTAAGAAGCAGACAGAAAAACCTGCTCAGTGTCCAAGGAGAACATATTGTCCAATGCTTGATTCGGATGTGTCCAAAGAGCATGATAAAGAAGGAACCAACTTACATAAGGGGAAGCCAAGGTCCTTGGAGAACTGTGCAATGGAGAGACCCTTCTAGGGAGAAGAATCAGACCCTAACCAGGAAGATTTTGCAGAGAATTTCCTATGAGTGTCTTTCCAAATGGGAGTTTTGAATGAGATTACCTATCCACTCGGCTCCATCAATGCATTGTAGGTTCCTTTGGGGTAGATAGGTTGTTTTGTTTCATAGGTCTCTGTATGAAAAGGACCCACACCTGAATGTGATGTAGTCCAATAATTACCAAACACTACCCACAGATCTGCTCTTTTATGCTATGACTGGTTGGGATTCTGGCTTGGTTGACTTCTTTAGTAAGAGTGAGAAATATCTGGCCATCAGAAAAGCAGATTCTTACTGACCTTAATATGGTTCACCAAATAGTTCAGTGCATGGCGAAATAGCTCTTGCGCAGTTGGGGACTAAGTGACTAGCAATGACTGATGACATTTGAGTAGAATTCAGACCTATAGCTGCCAGGCACCTACATTGAACTGTCCATTCAAAGCCTGCCCGGCTCTTTCCTCCTGCCATGGCAATAGGCAATATTGAAAACAGTGGCTTTCTCAGCCTTGATTTTGGGGTAATCCCTGAGCCAACCTGAGCAAATCACGTGGTTTGAGTGAGAAATCAAGCTCTGATTTTGTCAAGCACTAACATTCCTAGGCTGTTTGTTGCTATAACATGGCCTGATATGCTTCCTGTCTTTCCCTTCTCTAGTTCCCTTAGTTTCCTTTGCGGACTACTTTTCCTCAAACTAAATTCCACGTGGTAGCACCTGGGTCCCTTTCTCTTTCCTATCTCTGTTCTCTCCTTGGGGTATCTCATTCATTCCCATGCCTTAAGAGGTCATCTAAATGATGAACCCCAAATTTATGTTTCCAGTCTAGACCACTTATCTGATCTCCATATTATTTTTCATTCCATCTTGAACATCTGCACTTGGATATTTTATAGGCATCTCACCTATTAAGACTATCATAATGGAATTTTTGAACACACCTCTAAGCATGTGCCCTGGCCAGTTTCATCAACCGTTAATATCAATTCTTCCTTCTTTCTAGTTGCCTTAGCCAGAAACATGGTAATCAACTTGAATTGTTCTCTTTTCTCAACCCCTCACATTTAATTCATCGGTTGGGCTTCTGAGTTTTCCTCTAAAATGTATCTTACATGTGTGGCCACAACCTATGTGCACTGCCACTCACCTAGGGAAGTGTTCCCAACATCTTTCACCAAGAATTCCGCAAGGGGCTCCTGGTTGTTCCCTGCTGCCCCCTCTGACCCCCTCAGCCCATTCTCTACACAGCAGCCAGCATGCTTGGTAAATGGAAACCTAGTCATGATTTCTTCTTGATTTTGGAGTTTCCACAAAGTCATTCAATGCCCTCATTTTGCCCTTACAATAAAATCTACATCCCATATCTTTTAGGTCCCATCTACTTTTAAATCCTTACTCAGAATCCAGCCTCCCTGCCTTGCTATGTTCCAGACATACTGGCCTTTTTTCTGTTCACAAAACAGAGGCACCCCGGTCTGGTCAGTTTTGCTCATCAGTCAGCTTGTCACAAGGCTGTGCCTGCTTAGCTCCCCATTTCAGCTTCTGCATCTTCAGGGAGGAGTTTTCTGACCACTTAATTGAAAACAGAACCTCCTAAATAACCCCTTCATTATTTCTATTGCAAAACTCTGTTCATTTCCTTCTCCACGGGGATCACTGGCTTGTAAAGGTTTCTTTTCTTGCTTGTTGTCTTGTTCATTGTCTGTCCCGTCCAATGTCACTTAAGCTCCACAACGGTGTGGACTGATGATATCTGTCTTCTTACTTGCATCCATCCCCAAAATCTAGCATCGTGCGAAAGAGACAGGAATTGCTCAAGGAATACTTGTGGAATAAACATGTATGTTTGCTTTTGTTTGAATAAGTTACATGCATTTGCCATTGTAAACTAAACTGGTGTGGTGAATGGTTTGCACTTTATTTAAGAAAAATGAGGCCGGGCGCGGTGGCTCACGCCTGTAATCCCAGCACTTTGGGAGGCCGAGGCGGGTGGATCACGAGGTCAGGAGATCGAGACCATCCTGGCTAACACGGTGAAACCCCGTCTCTACTAAAAATACAAAAAATTAGCCGGGCGTGGTAGCGGGCGCCTGTAGTCCCAGCTACTCGGGAGGCTGAGGCAGGAGAATGGCGTGAACCCGGGAAGCGGAGCTTGCAGTGAGCCGAGATCGCGCCACTGCACTCCAGCCTGGGCGACAGAGCGAGACTCCGTCTCAAAAAAAAAAAAAAATGAATTAGGCTATTCGAATGTGAAGTTACAAAGGCAATTACCTTTTTCTGCTACAAGAAAAATTCCTTCATCCTTCTCTTATATATGATTGAAAATATATTAGTAAAGCCTTCTTCGCTTTTCCTTGCCCAATATGAAGGAAAAGTCTCATAACTGAATTCTAAGCAAATTTTTGCATATCCTTCAATTTGGAAGTTTCTCTCGTACATAGAATTGTAAACTGAATTGGGTTTGTTTTGTATTCTTAGACTGTAAATAAGGCCAGAAAATAATAAATAAGTAAATAATGAGGTGGAAAGAAACACACAAGTAAAAGGAAAATATGTGAGGATAGGTGTCTGGCATGAAAAATCCTGAATTTTGTAAAGGATAAGTGAGAATAGAGGGCATTTCTCAGCCTGACCTCTTTCTCCAGGAGATGGCACTTAAAAAGAAAACCTAGTTTGTTTGCTGTATTGTTATTCTGTTTATTCATTTACCTCCTGCCTGGAGTAGCAAGCACAGACACATCCATAAAGTATATGATTTAACACAAACTCACTTTCCTCCCTCTGAAATGCAAACACAGGAAAAGTGCAATAAACATTTCCTAAATTTGGTGTGAATATATTTTAAAAATAGCTTGTAAACACCTCTGCTTTTGCAAGAGTGGTATTGATTTCCAGTCCACAAACTCTAAAAACCTATGTCTACCTTCATTTGTATAATCCACATGAATTTATTCATATAATTATATGAATAAGATCTTGGGAAGTTGGAACAAATGTTTTATAAATTAAAATTAGACAATTCAGGTATATATAACTTCTGATGGGAAAACTTTATTCTATTGTTTTCACTATTTTCTTAACCTTTTAGTGCACCATAATTTCTCAGGGAGCTTTGAAAAAATTTGAAGTACAGACTCCATCCTAAGACACCATAATTGATAGGTTTGGAATCATGCTTTTAAGTTGCATTTTTTAAAAATACACCACACGGTATTTTAATTTACAGTCATGGTTGAAGATCATTATTGTGATAAAGTAATGAGTGTCTTGGGTATTGTCTATATAAAAGAGTATTTAGCACACTTTTATCTCTCTTCATCAGTATAAGAATGTTTGAGAGATTTCTAAACACTGAGGACTTCCCCAGTGTCAGCTCTCCTAGCAAGTGACATAAATGGTATTTAACTTCTGTTATGAACTGCAAGTTTGTGGTCCCCCTTAAATTCTTATTGGAAACCCTAGCCATGAATGGGGTGGTGCTAAAAGGGGGAGTCTTTGAGAGGTAATGGGGTCATGGGAGTGGAGCATTTCTGATCAGAGTAGTGTTCTTATGAGAAGAGATGAGAGAGAATGCCCTTGACTCTTCTGCCAAATGGGGACACAGCAGGAAGACAGCAGTCTATGAACCAGGAAGTGGGCCCTCACCAGACAAAGGACATGTCCGTGCTTTGATCTTGGACTTCCCAGCCTCCACAACTGTGAGAATAAATGTTTGTTGTTTAAGTCACCCAATCTATGGTTTTCTGTTATAAGAGCCCAAATGGACCAAGACAATTTTTCTGCCTGTTTACCTTGGAAACCAGCTGTGCTCATTTCAATGTTTACATTAAATTTTTTTTATTAATCTTCTAAAATGTTTTCTTAAATAAAATTGCAGGATTTTTTTTCCTACTTGTTCTCACTTTAGATGATTTTGTTCCTTGTTCATAGCAGACAAATACTGTGACACTCTGTTAAAAATAGCAGTTGTTTAAACAATTCTAGTATTTTCATAAAAGGTAATTTTTCTTATTAAACAGTTTAAATTGAGGTAGAAAAATGTAGTCATTAAAGATATGTTAAATTAAAAATAAAAATAAACATATTCCTATTACTTAAGCATGAATCTGTTGAGCCTGTGGTTACATTTGGTTCTTGTATTTTTTCTTGAGATATTTTACTATTATAATTATAATTTTCATGGTTTAGGCTTTTGAATAAGTTATCATCTCCTGTCTGAAAAGAAATACCTTCTCAGAGAATTTTTATGTCCTATTATGGTTTTCAACCATAATGAGAAATTAACTATAATTTTATATTAATTATAAAATAAAACATCAACCCTTTGACCACATTAGGGTAAGTAATTTAGTCAGGTGGAGCTTACTGACATGATTAATCTCTTCAGGTCTTTTTTGAAAGTTGTTATGGATGTTGAAAGTCCCAGAGGTTAATCCAGCATTTCAAGTACACCATCAGTTTTTTTCTGGCATTTTAATTTTTTGCATATTTATTGCTTTTTTTTCATACTTTGAAAAGCTGGATTCTCCTCCTTCTTTCCTACCTATTTTCCTTCTTCTCCTCCTGTCTTATTTTAGGTATATGAATATAATGTAGTTTTCCACATCTGAAAGTCTTTGTCTATTTTCTCCATGTGTAACAAAAACCTACCCAATATAATATTCTCAGATCATCTTATTCTTATATCTAAATTCTTTATCTGAACCCTAGCATTTAGTTTAGAACTAGTACCTGCTTGCTTTATAAATACCAAGTTGTTTTCCTTGAATATATGTATGCAATTTTAATTTTTTAATTAAAATTTCTATGAAGAAATTCCTAATACTGCAATTATTATTTAGACCCTTCAAAATGCATATAGCAGGATCTTGTTTTTCAGAACAATTTTATTCGCTTCCATGATTTTTCTTGGATTTATAATTTTCTACAATGCGTTCCATTTCACTAGACTGTTAGCCACACATTTGGTTCTGAATCAGATCCAGAGATAATTTTCTCTTCCTCCATTTTTAAAATTTCTGTGAAGTCTTTGATTACTGCATGTATTAGTCCATTCTCATGCTGCTAATACAAACATACCCAAGACTGGATAATTTATAAAGGACAGGGGTTTAATGGACTCACAGTTCCATGTGGCTGGGGAGGCCTCACAATTATAGTGGAAGGCAAAGAAGGAGCAAAGTCATGTATTACATGGCAGCAGGCAAACAGAGTGTGTACAAGGGAACTCCCCTTTATAAAACCATTAGATCTCATGAAACTTATTCACTGTGATGATAAAAGCATGGGAAAAACCTGCCCCTATGATTCAACTACCTCCCACCAGGTCCCTCCCATGACACGTGGAGATTATGAGAGCTACAATTTAAGATGAGATTTGGGTGGGGATGCAGCCAAACCATATTATTCTGCCCCGGCCCCTCCCAAATCTCATATCCTCACATTTCAAAACCAGTCATGCCTTCTCAACAGTCCCCTGAAGTCTTAAGTCATTTCAGCATTAACCCAAAGGTTCACAATCCAAAGTGTCATCTGAGACAAGGCAAGTCTCTTACACCTATCAGACTGTAAAATAAAAAGCAAGTTAGTTACTTCTTAGATACAACGGGAGTACAAGCATTGGGTAAATTCACCCATTCCAAATGGGAGAAATTGGACAAAACAAAGGGGCTACAGGTCCCATGAAAGTTCAAAATCCAGGAGGGCAGTCAAATCTGACGGCTCCAAAATGATCTCCTTTGACTCCATGGCTCATATGCAGGTCATGATACTGCAAGTAGTAGGTTCCCATGAAATTGGGCAGCTCCACCCCTGTGGCTTTGCAGGGTACAGCCTCTCTCCTGGTTGCTTTCAGGGGCTGGCATTCCCTGCAGCTTTTCCAGGCACACAGTGGAAGCTGATGGTGGGGGCCTCTGTGTGGGGGCTCACAGTCCACATTTCCCTTCTGAACTGCCCTAACACCTCTATGAGGGCTCTGTCCCTGCAGCATATCTCTACCTGGATATACAGGCATTTCCATACATCCTCTGAAATCTAGGTGGAGGTTCCAAACCTTAATTCTTGACCTCTGTGCAGTCACAAACTCAACACCATGTCGAAGCGGCCAAGTCTTGGGACTTGCACCCTCTGAAGCAATAGCCTGAGCTATACCTGGGCCCCTTTTTTGCCATGGCTGGAGTGGCTGGGACCCAGGGCACTAAGTCCTGAGCCTGCACACAGCAAGAGACCCTGGACCTGACCCAAGAAACTATTTTTACCTTCTAGGCCTCTGGGTCTGTGATGGGAGGGGCTGCCATTAAGGTCTCTGACATGCCACAGAGACTTTTTCCCTATTGTATTGGCAATTAGTATTTGGCTACTCGTTACTTATGCAAATTTCTGCTGGTGGCTTGAATTTCTCCCCATAAAATGGGTTTTTCTTTTCTACTATATCACCAGGCTGCAAATATTTCAAACTTTTATGCTCTGCTTCATCTTGAACTCTTTGTCACTTAGAAATTTCTTCCACCAGATACACTAAATCATCTCTCTCAAGCTCAAAGTTACACAGACCTCTAGGGTAGGGGCAAAATGCCACCAGTCTCTTTGCATAGCAAGAGTGACATTTACCTCAGTTCTCAACAACTTCCTCATCTCTATCTGAGATCACCTCAGCCTGGACTTTATTGTCCATATCACTATCAGCATTTTGAGCAAAGCCATTCAACAAGTCTCTAGGAAGTTTCTAACTTTCCCACATCTTCCTGTCTTCTGAGCCCTCCAAGTCTCTAAGAAGTTACAAACTTTCCCACATTTTTCTTCTTCTGAGCCCTAGCATGGTTGGTACTTTCTTCACTGCCATATTTAGCCGCCGGGACTCCATCAGATCCCTGAATGGAGATCAGCATTTAACCAGGAGACAGAGAGTGAAGACTGAAAAAAGGGAGACTATATTCTGATAGACATAACAAAAAAATGATTAGAAAGCAGAAGCAATGCTTTAGCTCTTGTTTCAGAGAGAAAAGAAATATAACAGTAAAAAAATGGAAAAATAATTTATAAAACAAAAGAGTTGTATTTGTTTCTGGATTATCCAGCTAATCTTTTCTTAAAATGTGTCTTGACATTACATTAATTCAATAAAGTATGGATTTGTTTGTGTGGTTTTCTATTTTTGTTTTATTTTGTAATAAAAGCAATAATGATTTTGAACAAAAATTAAAAAGATATATTTTTAAAAGGACTCATTGTACTCAGCCTAGTTACTCTTTTTCTTTTCCATTTTTAAAGTTGATAAAATCAAACTAATGTTCCAGGCAGCAAAGAACATTGGTTTTAAACAAATGCTTTTCAGGCCTACCTGGCATCCTGGCTCCAGATACTTTACAAGAAGTGTTAGATATTTTTATTCAACTTTCATCAAGTTCTCAACCATGACCTATATGGCACCAGGAAAGATAGATTATAAGAGATGATTTTGGTCCCCAAATACTTAACAATAGGGAAGTGACACCACCATTCATCAGAGTTTCATCACATGCACTGGTACTTTCAGAATTTCTAAACATTGCATCTTAGCATGTGAAAGCTCTAAGCAAACTTTACTTAATGCAGTTTCCCAAACTTATTTTGCTTTGAAAAACCTTTTTGAATACCTCATAATCTCATCTAAATATTTCTGTAGAACAGACTTTAGAAGTTCTCGAAGCCTGTGGGCTCTGTGTGCTTAGCCCTGCTGCTCAAGGGTAGGCAGACACCTCATCTGTATGAGAGGAAGGTCTCAGCCTCTCCTCTCCCCTGTTGCATCTTGCTGATGTTGCACACTCTTCCTGGAGTGCTCCTTGAAGTCCCCAAGAAGGCAGAGCCTCAGGCAACGTCACATATACCAGGATTCTCACTGTGTTCAAACAAGAAATATGCAATACAAGAAATATGCAAACAAGAAATATGCAATACAGCCTCACTCTGGAAATCTTCTAGGAAGATTTTTATCTTCTACATTTTATCTGCTAGGAAACTAAATTTCTTGGAAAAAAAGCTAACAGATATTTGTTTTCAAGATCATATAGTGGAAATTTAAATTCATGTATTGTAAATCCTGTGCTTATCTTAGTATTCATTGAACACTATATTTAAAATATTGTACAGGGAGAGAGGTCACACCTTGAAGCCAAGCTGGTGCCCACTCTCTGGCTGGAGATTGTGCCAAGGACGTGTTTTAGAACCAATTCTTCATATTGGGCAAAGAAAAACGAAGAAGGCTTTACTAATATATTTTCAATCATATATAAGAGAAGGATGAAGGAATTTTTCTTGTAGCAGAAAAAGGTAATTGCTTTGTAACTTCACATTCGAAAAGCCTAATTCATTTTTCTTAAATAAAATGCAAGCCGTTCACCAAACCAGTTTAGTTTACAATGGCAAATGCATGTAACTTATTCAAACAAAAGCAAACATACACGTTTATTCCACAAGTATTCCTTGAGCAATTCCTGTCTCTTTGGCACGATGCTAGATTTGGGGGATGGATGCAAGGAAGAAGACAGATATCATCAGTCCACACCATTGTGGAGCTTAAATGACATTGGATGGGACAGACAATGAACAAGACAACAAGCAAGAAAAGAAACCTTTACAAGCCAGTGATCCCCGTGGAGAAGGAGATGAACAGAGTTTTGCAATAGAAATAATGAAGGGGTTATTTAGGAGGTTCTGTTTTCAATTAAGTGGTCAGAAAACTCCTCTTCTGTGGCAAATTAGTAGACAATATTCAGTAGACATACTAATAATTCTCCAAACCTTGAGAATTGAGTTGGTTTTTCCATTTACGTTGGCATTCTTTGTATTTTGAATACATTTTGAGCAGCATGTAACTAGATATAACTTCATTACAAAGATATCATGTACTTAATGTGTTACAACATTCTTATAACAGGGTTATATGTAACCAAATAGGTTGTTATTATTCTTTATTAAAATTTTCAGGGCAGCCAGGTTCAATATTGTATACCCACTTAAACTAATAAACTTTTAATACATATATTTTAAATTATTCCTTCTTTATTTCAGCTCAATTTTCTTTCACTCAACCCTCTGTGGAAATGAGCAGCCAACTTCTCACCTCAGAAACTAGGCCCATATGACACCTGAACAATGTCACTTAATTATTTCTTCAACTAATTTTTTGAGAAATGGGATCTAAATTATTCATTTACCTAATAAAATACTTATTATTGAATAATTTTGTTGAAGTACGCTAAATTCCTCCTGCATTCCCTATCTCAATTTGATTATGAGGGAAGGGAGGACAGAGAATCTCATTACAATAGAAAGATGTGGTGGCTATGTAATCAACCACTCATCGGATATTTCAGTCTTCACCACGATATGCTCATCTGGTGGTCATCAGACCTACTTCAATATGTGTGGTAATAATGAACAAAATATTCCTCCTTTGAACAGCTCTAACTGCTGAAAAGTTATACTGAGATCAAATCCATTTACTTCTCTTTTTCCAATGTGCTCTGGATGAGACCTCAAAGCCACAGAGAAAAAGTCTCATGTGATTTTCCCAACTGCCCCCAAATGACTGCACTTATCAATATTTGCCTCCTGTTTACTTACATCCGCCCCATTTCCTGTAAGTATGTCTCATAGGGCATAATTTAAAGCCATTTCCATTTTTATTACCAATTCAGATTAAATCCCCAAGCTACTCGATTCCTTCTAATTATGAAGGGCTAATTGTAATGCAATAATGACAGAATTATTTGGCTTGGTCAGAAAATGGAATTTTTGTCCCCTCTCACCCATTCCACTTCACTAGACATGCAGTCCAACACGGTACTTAGCTTTCAATGACCACATCTGGCTGTTGTTGACAAAGACCTAGTTTGCTATTCAAAGAGATAAAATGATGTTCAGTGTGGAAAAGTAAGTGGTTCTTATTCACAGCTTTAAAATGCTACTTCATCTGTGTATCAGTCAGGCCATATGATATTTACATTTAGTGGTCAGACAACATGTTTGAAACAGTTTTAATCTTTTCTTTCATTAATTTGAGATCTTGCACCATCTTTAGCAAGTCCTTTGCTCTCCAATAACTTCTATCATTTATCTTCTTCTTACGTCTGTTACTTATTAAATTGTGATCGTTTTTTCAAGTACAAATGTCTGCATAGAAATGATGATGCATTTGTTCAGTAACATGCCCCAGGGTTGCTTCTCTCCTAATCAGTATATATTTAGCTTCCAGCAATGAGATCTCAGCCAGAGTCTACCCAAGTGTTTAGTTATGAAGAGTGGTTTAACAGGAATCCAGATTAAGTTACTAAATCTTGACAGAACTGCTGAAGGCACTTTGCTTACCAAGTTGTTTCATTTGAGTGCAAACATTAAATGGGGGTTGAATACAAGACAAGAACTACTCACTGAAATGTAATTTGAAATCTAGCAGATGTATTATGTTGAAAAATATATTAGAGATACACAATGGGATTACACTTCCAAACTAAATATGGCTGGAAAAGATGTGGAAATGAACATCCTTAGTAATAAGCGGCAAGTTAACTATTAGAAAATAGGCCTACATTATGCAAATTGGAGACAAAGAGGCTAAAACTTCTTGAAGGGTGTGTGTGTGTGTGTGTGTGTGCGTGCACGCATGTGTTTAAAGGTTTTCCAAGCTTCATCTGCCAAACTTGGAGGCTAATGATTCTTCTATGAACTAAGGCACAATTGTTGGTCAGACATGAGATAATGAGTCAGAGCTTGTGGTCATTATGTTTATGTATTTGTTGATTTTTCTATTTCCAGTGTGACCATGTGTACATCAGTTTGTACACCTGGGAAATGGCCAGTTTATCTCTGTTGCTCCACTGCAATTTAAAAAATCAGCTCACTTTATTCTCAAATATGCAGTCCAGTTTAGAGGAAATATAATTGGAATCACCCTCCTTACATCCCCCATGTGGCCTTAAAGCTTACAAGAGAAACATCAGGAAGGAGAGATTGATGCTCTCTTCCTTATTTGGCCTTATTTTTGCTTTGGCACTTGAGATGTTGTGATTTCTGTGATTTTGAGCGGCATGTGATGAAGGGTCACCTCTTGTGGCGCTAAGCCCCGCTGCAGCCTCCCCAGGATCAGGATCCAGGGATACCTCATGTGAGGCCCTGAAGTTAACATGGAAACTCTTCAAACAGATTCTGAGGACATAGGCAATGCCTCACAAAGCAGACAAGACCACTGCAGGCCTATTTATAGAGGTTTGAGCACAAAAGTATTCTATAAGATTTGGATCAAATACTTCCACATTTTCATAGAATAGCCATCCCCGTGTAAAATAGCGAAACAGAATACAACTGTGTAAAATAAATTATCAAAGGATGCTATGTTCCAGTGTCCCACCAAACATGTGATTAGATGCTTGAACATACTGCAAAGCAAAGATTTGTTTCTTCACATTAGAGGCTGAGGTTCATGAAGAAAGCCATGAGGAAATCAAAACAGTGAATAAAATCTGTCTACCTGAGGCAATTTACATTTTAGACATGAGGGCTGATATAGCAAAGTGGTTAGAAGCCTTAATGCAAATATTTTGTCTCTGTCAATTTTTAGCCATGTGACCTCAGTAAATATTTTATTGCCTCTCAAAGCTGTAGTTTCCTGATCTGTAAAATGAGGATAGCAATAGAACTTACCACATAGGGTAATGGTAAAGAGTAAACTAGTTAATGCATGCAAAGTCCTTTGAGAGTTACCTGGCACTGAGTAAATATCACATAAGCATTTGTTCTATGATCATTACCTAAACCACTACTATATTAAGAAGTCAGGTATGTGGTCATCAGTGTTCTGACATTCTTAACTCTCCAGAACACTGTGGAAAATCAGGAAATATTTTTCAGTAGGAGTCCATTTACCTTGTCTTTATTTGGAATCCATTAATGGATACTGTGGGAGCAAATTCTAAAAGCTTCAATATTGTTAAATTTTATCATTGTAAGCTGAGTTATATCAAATCTTGGAAAATTTAAGAAATTTGGAATTAGTGAAAATAACCATCGTAGCAAATATACAATAGCTGACCTTTCTGTAAAGAAGAAAAAAATATGAACTATGATTGATATGGTTTGGTTCTGTGTCCCCACCCAAATCTCATCTTGAATTGGATTCCCATAATTCCCATGTGTTGTGGGAGGGACTGGTGGGAGATAATTTGAATCATGGGGGTGGTTTTCCCCATACCCTTCTCATGGTAGTGAATAAGTCTCTTGAGATCTGATGGTTTTATCAGGAGGTTCCGCATTTTCACCTTCCTCATTTCTTCTCTCGCTGCCACTGGGTAAGAAGTGTCTTTCACCTCCCACCATGATTCTGAGGCCTCCCCAGCCACGTGGAACTGTAAGTCCAATTAAAGCTCTTTTTCTTCCCAGTCTCGGTTATGTCTTTATCAGCAGCATGAAAACAGACTAATACAATGATGTTTCAAAACAAAAAAACAAATCAAATCACATAAGCTAGAACAGTGTAAGGAGCAGAAAGAAAGTCCATTTATGTCCTGGTTTTCTGGAGGATGTTATGACATGTCAAAACACAATAATGAATTCTTACAGTGCATCAGAAAATCCCTAGAAGAAGTCAATGCCCTTCTTTAATTAGCAAGGCAGACTAGTGACAGTGTACTTTCCAAAGGTATCAATGAGATACTTATGCCAGGTTTAAACAAGGAATAGTCACTTATTTGAAAAATGGAATTTGGCTTTGGGTATGGCTAGGAGCATTACAGGAGAAGAGAGTAGATGTGAATACAATATGTAGTGAGATTTGACAGACACTGAAATATTTGTACTTAATTCTTACATGATCATGTATTTTTCAGGACTTGAATGGCATAATTGTTTTTATAAGTTGTCTCTTTCATCAGGGCATTATTCCAGTTGAAGAAGGCTTTGCTCTGATGATCTAATCACCCCTCAATGGCCCCATGCTCTAGTATCATTCTCCTGGTGGTTAGAATCTCCACATAGGAATTTGGGGCAGGGGCACAAATATTCAAACCATAGCAATTATTAATACAGATGGCAAAGACTAATGAAGAGGATCTAAACTAGGAAATCTGGCACTTACAGTGCAAAGTGGGGAAGAATACGGAGACATTGCTCAAATAGACGTAAGGAACCAAGATTGACTGTAGGTTTTTCAAGGCAGCT
The DNA here is from genome assembly GCF_000001405.40 of Homo sapiens. Classification (NCBI taxonomy): domain Eukaryota; kingdom Metazoa; phylum Chordata; class Mammalia; order Primates; family Hominidae; genus Homo; species Homo sapiens. The sequence goes on along the minus strand of NC_000007.14, from coordinate 52,724,205 downwards.
TAAGCCCATGACCTGGGTCTGCCTGAAGCTGTCATCAGCCCTTACTGTTTCTCAGTTTATTAATAAAATGTTTGCAGGTGAATTCACGGAGTCAAGGCTCCACACAGAGTGGAATCAGATGGCTCATTCAATGTGTCTTCAGTTAATCCACACAGTCCTGCCCTTTCCAGAAATCCTCCTTTCAGTATATGGCATCTTCCTCCATCCCTATATGGTTATTAGTTCTTACCTCAGTTTCTATTCGAGTTAAAAGGAAAAAGAAGGCCGGGGGGTAGGGGTAGGGGGGGAACTGTGTGTAGTCCAGCATCTGTTTTTCCTCAAGTATGACTCAGAAGTATTCTTTTCATCCTTCTACATGTGGTTTACTGGTGGTCACTGGTTGGAAGTGGAAAATCAAGGAAAAGGCGGAGTCATGGAAGAAGAAAATGAGGGAGGAAGCAAATGCTGGTGAACTGTCAGGGCTGCACATGCAGGAAAGACAGAGTCACCCTCAGCTGTGACGGCAGATCCAGGCACAGACCTAATTTGGGAGGATAGAGAAACAGTAAAAACTGTTGGAGATGTCGAACTGGGGAATTGATGGGGCATCCATAGGCTGAAGTCTGGACATTTTCTTTGCAATTTGGGACAAATATCAGGGTGAGAGATACTGAAGGACTAACCAAATGGAACACACTTTGGTCATAGCAGAAAAGGTTATTTTTCTAGGAGATCAGAGTGGGAAAAGCTAAGGCTGGGAGCTTAAGGGCTGATTAAAGAAGAGCAGTCAGGAAAGGGTCAAGAGACAAAAACATATTAATTAAAAAATGGACTTTTCAGAAACTAAACCATAGGAGGTTTATAATCAGGAGAGATTGGACAACAGTATGAGATAATTCCAGTGATTGCAGTAACATCAGTATAGGTGAGGGAAGATCATTTTGTTTTGGCAACTAGAAAGTCTTGTGAAATTTGAGAGGTAAAGTCCATATGTAATCCCAGCACTTTGGGAGGCTGAGGCAGGTGGATTACCTGAGGTCAGGAGTTTGAGACAAGCCTGGCCAACATGGTGAAACCCCATCTCTACTAAAAGAAATTAGCCAGGTGTGGTGGCAGATCCTGTAACTTGGGAGGCTGAGGAGGAGAATCGCTTGAACCTGGGAGGCGGAGGTTGCAGTGAGCTGAGATCGCACCACTGCACTCCAACCTGGGCAACAGAGTGAGACTCTGTCTTAAAATAAATAAACAAATAAATAAATAAGTGGTTAAGGAAGAAGTAGGAATAGATATTGCTTAAAATTAAAATAGTTTGTGACCAATTAATTTTTAAAAAAACATGTTTTGCCCAACAATTACTATGTGGTGTATGATATGATAGACACAATGGGAATTGTCTCTGCTATTGACTGCATGCAGAAAACTAAAGACAACAATATTAGGACTGCATTTAGCTTCCCAGGCCATCCATGCCAAGCAGATATTTGAGTTATATGTCTAAGACTTTCAATAAAGTTTATATAATCTATATTTGATTGAATCAAATTAAAGAGATCTTTGTGGATTATCAGCATAAATAAAATGAGTACACACAGGCTTAGTTACCAGGCTATGTGTGACACTAAGAAGGTAACTTAAAGTAATCATATTTCCAGATGTGAGGAGGAAAATGAATTCAACTGCTATGGTCTAAATGTTTGTGCCGCCCTCAAAATTCATATGTTGAAACCTAATCCGCAATGCAACGGCATTAAGAGGTAGGGCCTTTAGGAGGTGGTAAGGTCATGAGGGCAGAGCCTGAATGAATGGGACTAGTGCCCCTGTGAAACAGGCCTGGTGGAGCTTGATTACTCACTCATTGAGGGTGCAGACAGAGACATCATTTATAAAGCACAGAACAAGCCCTTATTGGAAAAGTATTTACTTTTTAAGTATTCTGTCTTTTCAAAAATATTGTTTCTCTTAAATCTCAAAGGAATGCATATTCATAAATAAAAAGTAAAATCAAACAAACACAACTAGAAAGGTAAAAAATACAAAGTAAAACCAGCTTTCTGTGGTTTGTTTTATCAACATTAAGCACATTTAGCTTGTAAATTTATTTGCTTCCTCAGTATGTCTCTCCCCACTTCACCTCTTAATTGGGAGGATTTGGGTTATTATTGTTGGTATTGTGGATGTTTTGCCATTTAATTGAGTGTCCCACAGTCTGTCTACTGGTATGTTCTAAAATCTCTACCTCCGTTAACAGTAGAACTCACACTTCACCAACTACAGAAAGAAGCAGTCTGACAGGATTTATATATAAATAATCCCCCGTGGTTAAAACTTAAGTGCCACTTAAGTGATAATCTCTCAAAGCTTAATCAAAGTATATTCCTTTAAAATTTATTTTCACAGCTATTGTTTCCTTTACATCATTCACAGTTTTTCCAACTGTGTGTGTTTTATTTTTTTGTTTTTTGTTTTTTGTTTTTGAAACAGAGTCTTGCTCTGTTGCCCAGGCTGGAGTGTAGTGGTGAGGTCTTGGCTCACTGCCATCTCTGCCCCCCGAGTTCAAGCCATTCTGCAGCCTCAGCCTTCTGAGTAGCTGGGATTACAGGAGCCTAACACCACGCCTGGCTAATTTTTGTATTTTTAGTAGACACGGGGTTTCACCATGTTGACCAGGCTAGTCATGAAATTCCCAACTTTTTCTATTATCTATGTAATTATTTATCATATATACATTTACATATCATCTATATGATTATATATCATATGCTTATATATCATCTATATGATTATATATCATCTGTACAATATATACAATTTTATATCATATATCTCTAATATATATATATAAACCTTAGGACAACATGGTGAAATTTTTTGGATATAATTGAAAGAAATTTGAAGTCTTCGAATAGCTAATAATATACTCATTTTATTGTCAGACTGGACTGACATTTCATCTGAGCATAGACATTTAACTCCCAAATCCTTTTCCTCAGAATATTGAGGGTACTTCTCCAGTGTTTTTCAGCATGCCTTATTGCTTGTGATAGATTTTTTGTTCTTTCTATTTTGTATACTTTTTGAAGAAAAATGTGTTGCTCTCTCTACTTGTATCGCTCTCTCCCTCTCTGGACACCTTGAGGACTTGCATTTCTGTATTTGGAGTTCTGTTGTGTCATCAGAACCTGTATATGTATGCGTTATCTTGTTTGGCATCTTATGAGTTATGTTAGTATAAAGGCTTGCTTGCTGTCAATACTGAGAAGTTTTATTTATTTCATGTATTATTTTCTTTTCTAAGTTTTTTATTCTGTGTTTCTGGAATTAAAGACACCCTGCTCTTTCTATATCTGTTTCTTATGCCCCTTAAACTTTCTTTTATTTGTTCCATACATTTTTTTCTTTTTCTTTTTCTTTTTTTTAAATAAATCATAATTTATTATGATTTAACATGATTGAACTTGAATACCTTAACATTTCTAAAACTGAGGAATTTTTATTTGAGAATCTAGAAAACTTTTGCCTGCTTTTTTTAAGTTAATAGTTATTGCCAGTCTGATATGTAACAAATTGAGAGTCCAGTCACTACCCAAATGTTAGTGATTAATGGAAATATTTGTATATGAATACATAGCCCCCTCAAAAATAATTCTCTCCATACATTTTTTTCTTTACATTTTAGTTGAATTTAGATCATTTCCATTTCAATATTGAATCTATCTGTTGTTTTAAGTTTACATGGAGTATTTAATTTACAATATACCTTTCTAATTTTCTTTCTTTTTTTTTTTTCGTAGCCCCTTCCTTCTGAGAGGATCACCTGAGATTTTAACAATTTTACTTCTATTTTATTATTTTTTTCTTTCATTTGGCTTAATTGCATTGTTTGTTCATCTTGGTCATTTCCTTTCACAGTATTTCTTTTCCTTAAATATATTTTCGTCTTCGGATTTCCCTTTGAATTTACAAGTAAAAAGAGGTCAGTAAACTATGGCCTGTGAACCAAACCTAGCCTGTATCTTTTTTGTGTGTAATTACAGTTTTATTTTTAATATAACAATGCCAATTTATTTACCTATTATCTATGACAGCTTTCCTAATACAACATCAAATTTGAGTAGTTGCAATAGTAGCCACATAATTCTAAAACCTTAAAATATGTAGTCTTTGGAGCTTTACAAATAAGTTTTTATACCTTGGGGCCACAAAGTATGTCTGTTTTGAGAGTCCTGCAGTGTTGGCAAGGGCCTGTTTTCAGGTAGTTGTCTATGTTTAGTGGAAGCTTTGTCAGCAGGCTCCGCAGAAAGGGAACTGCTTCAGCAACGTCTGCTTGCATCCTAGGCACAGGCAAACCAGAGTTGAGACCTCAATTCTAGTTGCCAAAATAAACATTCTTCTAAAAGATAATGACTTAAGTAAACTGTGCTTGTGGAAAGATCTAGATAGCATTTCTTCTTATTTGCATTTTCCCTTCCTGTTTATTATTATCATTGGGAAGCATCTCAAATTACTCTCTGCTTCTCTTTTGGATCAGAAAATACGTGTGTCAGGGGCCAGGCATTGTGGCTCACACATGTAATCCCAATGTTTTGGGAGGCTGAAGCAGGATTGCTTGAAGCTGGGAATTAGAGAACAGCCTAGGCAAGATAGCAAGACTTTGTCCATATATATATATATGTGTATATATATATGTGTGTATATATATGTATATATGTGTATATATATACACACATATATATGTATATACATATATAAGTGTATATATGTATATATATGTGTGTATATATGTATATACATATGTGTGTATATATGTATATACATATGTGTGTATATATGTATATGCATATATGTGTGTATATATGTATATGCATATATGTGTGTGTATATGTACATACATATATGTGTGTATATGTACATACATATATGTGTGTATATACGTACATACATATATGTGTGTATATACGTACATACATATATGTGTGTGTATACGTACATACATATATGTGTGTGTATATGTATATACATATATGTGTGTATATATGTATATACATATATGTGTGTATATATATACACACAATATATATGTGTATATATATTTAAAATGTACATTTTATATTTATCATTTATATTTGTCATATGTTTGTATATATTTTACTTATGTATAATATATATTTATAGATATATATTATATATAATATATATTTGTAGATATATATTATATATAATATATATTTATAGATATATTATATATAATATATATCTATAGATATATATTATATATAATATAAATAATTTTTCTAAGTGTGTCAAATGCAAATCACAGTACTTAGCTTGAGGAAAAGATGTATCCTTTGGTCCATGTATTAACAGTAGGTGAGATAATTAAAAATAAAGTTATTAGCTAATGGTTTTGAAAGCTATCCTATAGCCTATTGCTATTTTTTGCTGAATGAGGACTTGAAATGTTGATAGCATCTGATTAGAAGAAATCATGCTTAATCTGTAGAATGGTAGGCTGTGTTTCCCTCTTTTCACATTGATAATCAATCCAGTATCATGGGTTCCGAGCTTCCCAGGCTTTCTCAGAATCAATGGGCCCTCCTAGCTCCAATTTCTGTTTTCAAGTCTTGTTACAGGAACATTTCTTTTCTGAAATTCTTCCTGCTAAGCCAAAGATCCTGTCAGCTCAGACCTTGAACATAATCTGAAAGGCAAATCTTGTACTTTGAAAACAAAACACTTAAGTAGAAGAGAATTTCCTGCAAGAATCATTGTTAAAAATGTCAGTTACTATTGACTTCTTCTCCATAATGTTCTAGTCAAGTTTTCATCTGAACAATTGAGTTATTGCTTTCAATAACATCTCTTATTGTGTCAGCTCATCCGAGGCTCTGCAGTGTCTGATGCCTGGGCTCTGAAACATGGCAGTCTAGCCTCCAGTCTCAGCTCTGCCACTTACTTACTATGTGGCCTTTGGCAAGTTACTTCAACTCCTGTGTCTCACTTTCCAATCTGTGATATTAGGATAATAGCAACACCTATCTATCTAACTTATCTAAGACACTATGAAGTTTCAAAGCATATCTTTTAAATCATTCCTTCTCCTTAAGCCTGAATGGTAAAATGTCAGCACAATATTCTTTCCTGGGTGCTTATTTTAACAGCAGAAACATAGTAACTACATGACACTAGTGATTTCTGTCATTTTATTTTACTCAAAATATTATGGAACACAGATCTGTTGAAAGGAAAGAACTAGGGAAGCAAGAGTAGACCAGGGTTCAGCCCAAGAAAAATGATCTCCCAATCAGAAGGCAACCTCAGTAATCCTTTCAGAACCTGTCCTTGAGTCCTTTAAGACTCCTGTCTGCTGAGCTAGGGTGTCAAAGTGACAAACAACTGCTGTCTTCTTACATGTACGATTCATAACTTCCACGCTGCTCTCTGACCTTTCGCAATGCTAAGACTACTGGTATCGCATCTCATAGGCTTGATAGTATTACAGTTGGGTTCTATGAAGAAGGCTGACATTATGGTCATTAAGTAATATAGCACATGATGTATTTATGACTATTCTCCCCTTGTTATTTCATGATTTGCCTAGGCACTTCTAATTATCTGTGAGGATATTTAAACTTCTATCGATCGTGGGAGGTAAATCCAACTTCATGCATAATCCAGCTTCCTTTAATAGAAATCCAATATTTTATCAATACATATTAGCTTAATAAATATGCATATTAAATTACATGTAGGCTGAGCGCGGTGGCTCACGCCTGTAATCCCAGCACTTTGGGAGGCAGAGGCGGGCAGATCATGAGGTCAAGAGATCGAGACCATCCTGGCCAACATGGTGAAACCCCGTCTCTACTAAAAATACAGAAATTATTCTGGTGTTGGGAGGCACAGCTACTCGAGAGGCTGAGGCAAGAGAATAGCTTGAACCCAGGGGGCAGAGGTTTCAGTGAGCCAACATCGCGCCACTGCCCTCCAGCCTAGGCGGCTGAGCAAGACTCCATCTCAAAAAAAAAAAAAAAATTACATTTAAATGACTGAATATCTAACTCACTTTACTTAAGATTCAAATTGTTTTTAATATAAGTAGCATTAAAATTCTATAACTATATGTGACTCTATGCATGTGTGTATATGTGTGTGTGTATGACACTGTGTCAATGTGTGTTTTGTTCACAGAACACTTAACACTGAGCAGTCACATAGCTTCAATTTCTTGTCTTTAATGAAGGAATGTAATTGCACAGTTTCTAAAATCCTATAAGTCTTCACTCTATTCAAATTTGTTCAAATTGAGCAACTACACATTTGTAAATATGGCACTAATAATGTTGAAGCAATAAAAATCTCTAAACTTCTAAAAAAACCTATTTTTTAGATATGAAGATATAAAAGGTAAGAAGGAAGTTAATACAAAGTGGAAGTAAATAGAGGAGGAGAAAATTAAGATCCCACAGGCCATAAGAATGAGTTCATGTGGCTATAAGCAATGAAAAAAGAAAAAAGACAGAAAGCTTTCTCCCTTCTGGTACTAGAACCCCAGGAGTTGAAATCAGTTTCTGTGAGATGGTAGAAATTGCAATTCCATTATATTTCTAAGTTGATATCTTTAGCACAGTATAATAATTACTATAATTATCCCTGCTATACTTGGTCATTTTATATAATTTTTTATTTGATTATTTTCTAAAGTAAAAATTGTATTTTTCCTGCCTGACAGAACGCAATCCTTAAAATTTTCCTATCCATATGAAAAAAAAATCTCATTAAATATTTCATTTGGAGGCCTTCTTTCATTATACAATGAAATGCAAAACATTTTTAACTTTTATACACTGTGCACATTCTAGTACATTAGAGAAATCACAGTAAAGCTGAGAAGTTTTCCCAAATCACAACAAAAATAATGAAGCACGAATGAGGACAGGATCTGTTTTGTTCACTACTCAGTGCCTAACAGAGTACCTCAAACATAGTGATACAGGAGTTAAGAAGAAATTAGGCAGATAGTGAGGGTAAGGAAGTCCTCAGTAAGGTTTTCCATTTAATGAACAGCAGCCCCAAAATCATTTTCTTTTCTAACAAAGAGCGGCCTGTAAAATCGAGCTGCAGACATAGGCAAGCAAGCTGGAAGCTTGCATGGGTGAATGCCGGCAGCTATGCCAATAGGAAAAGGCTACCTGGGATTAGGCATGTTCAACATGGTGGCTCCATCGTCCCTTCTCTTTGCCAGCCAGTGTACAGTAAGGAGCAGGCAACACGACACCAGCCAGGAAAAGACTCTATTTGCATAATAAGATTAGGGTGGGGCTATCAGCTTGCTTGTGGGCTACGTAAACGTCACACCTGGTCCAACCAATCTGTGGGCCCTAGGTAAATCAGACACCACCTCCTCAAGCCTGTCTATAAAATCCGGTGCACTCTCCTGTGGGCTGGAAGTCCCATTCAGGAGCGCCTCTTTCTTGCAAGACAGAGCTGCTATCCTTTCTCTTTCTTTTGTTTATTAAACCTCCACTCCTAAACTCACTTCTTCTGTCCACATACTCGATTTCCTTGACACGAGACGACAAGTCTTGGGTATTTACCCCAGACAACAATGCTACTTCAATAGTAAATAGCAATAAATAGATACTTGCTGAATTAAATAACTAAGCTATTCATTATTTAATATCTGTCAAGTGGATAAACGTTGAAATGGCTAGTTTTCTGCTAATGTTATTTTATGAAGTAATCATTAACAGTCTAAGTTTAGCCATTAAAAATGAATGAAACAGAACAACTCCCCCCTAAAAAAGGCCAAAGTTTCTTAAACAATGACCACTTTAGATTGTATTTTTCTGCACTGTGTATAGAGAAAAGTTAAGTTTTGCAGGTCTTGACATTTTACATCAAAGGAAATGAAACCATCTTTGCAAAAATTGTAACTGAGGAAATTATGACAGTGAAAGAGACCAGACCTAACTGACTCCATCTTGCTTCCAACCTTTAAGCTGTCCTTGTTCATTCCTGGGAGGAGGCCAAACTAAGCTTGGGAAGGAATTTATGGCTCTGAAACAAAATTGATAATAGCCCTTTCCCAAAAAGACCCCTTTCTTGCCCGGGGAGCAGTTTGCCTTTGCAGAAGTAACAAATTGGCTACAAGGTTATAAATTACAGTTTAGGGGTCACGCAGCCTCTGGCTACAAGAGTCTGAACCTTCTCAAATTGTTCTTGGGGATAATATCACTATTGTAAAACCTAATATTAGTGCTTGAGACATTTTGCAGACCCTGCACCCAGACCTGTTATCTGGCTCAACCAGTTCTGTGATCCCACCTGGGAACAGAAAATAGCAAACAAAAACTCACTTCTACCCCACCTGTGAGTCCATCTCCAACCTGACCGATCAGTCCTCCCCACTTCCTGAGCTCCTACCTTCCAAATTATCTTTTAAAACTCTTATCCCCAAATGCTCAGACAGACTGATTTGAGTAATAATAAAATTCTGGTTTCCTGCACAGCTGGCTGTGTGTGAATTACTCTTTCTCCATTGCAATTCCCCTGTCTCGATAAATCAGCTCTGGCTAGAAAGAAAAGATTTTGGGACTGCTTTTTATTAAAAGGAAAACCTTACCGAGGACTCCTGTACCCTCACTAACTGCCTAAATAATTTCTTTTTAACTCCTATATCACTAGTAGTGTGGCTAGGCAGTGGGCAAGGCGAACCCATTGGGCGGTTACAAAAAGGCATGTTTCAAAATGTACCAGAGTTTTGTTTTAATCAGGAGCAGTAAAGTGACAGACAGAAAAGGGTCAAAGCCATTAAAAGAAGAATTGATTACTCATAGTTTCCAAGAGGAGAGGACACACCATGGCAATCCATGCAGGACCACACAAGAAAGTACCAGCCTTGGCCAGGGGCAGAGGAAACTGGGAGAAGCATGGACATAAGCATGTGGTTTCTGTGGAATGGAATCCATGAGGCACAGTGAGCAACTGAACAAGCTTGGAATTTGGCAAACCCTGGGTGATGGAGGTCGTCCCTCGTTATCTGGCATGTGGCTCTGGAGTGACTTAGGACAGGGGGAATATCTGCTTGGTGTATGAGAGTTAGATAAAGGAGGAGGATGAAGGGTATGGGGTCAGGGTTGGTTGGTTTGCATATGAAAGGTCTGCACTAAGTTGATTACTATCTCTAGGAATTAGCTCATGCTGAAACAGGCAGTTTCACCCCAGATCCCAAAGCCCCTTAGGTGTCAAAGTATAATTAAAAAAAAAAAAACATGATTAATACAAGGCATGAAGAGCAAGAGCCCAGAGGGTATCTTGGGAATCTTACACTTCTGGTTTTTATTTGAATCTACTTTACTCAATTTTTCACAAATAAAATACAGAAAAATATTAGCCGTAGTTAAATACATGGTGGTTGTGACAAAGTTGGGTATTCAGTGTGAACCTGCCTTATTGTATCTGTTGTTGAGTACAAGCCACTCCCTAGGTCTACTTCCTTTGATGTGTTAACCTATTGTTGACAGGTGCTTAGCTCACCACTCTGCCATGCTAGGTACTATCAATAATGGAGGGTAAGAAATAATCAAGAACATATGGGGGACCTCCAATTCCTGGGCCAGCATGTGAGGAACTTGGAAGTCATCATTTCTGTTCCCACAGGAAAAAAGCATAACAAAATAGAAACCAATGACTTTTCAGATCCATCAGATAATTGAAGTCACAGAGGAAGCTGGTGCTCCCCAAACTGGACAGACACACAGGAGGGTACAGAGAATCACAATTTACTGGAGCAGAAAGCTCTGCAGGAACTAGTGAAGCTGTGTCATTTGTCTGGGGAAATACCCGAGGTTTGTTGTCTCACTCTAAGGAAAACTAAGACAAGGACACACAAGGTGTGGGTTTAAGAGCGGAAGGTTTAATAGGTGAAAGAAGCAAGAGAAAAGCTCCCCAAGGTAGAGGGAGGGGAGTTCCAGTCAGATCTCCCCTTTTCGTGACAGTATGCAGTTGGTTTTATAGAGGGACTTGAGGAGGTGGTGTCTGATTTACATAAGGCCCAGGGATTGGTTGCACCAGGTGTGCCATTTACATAGCCCATGAAGAGGCTAGCCATCCTACCCTAATCTTTTATTATGCAGATGGTGTCTCTACCTGGCTGGTGCCATGACACCCTCACACATGGCAACAAAGAAAAGGGAAGAGAAATCCTCCATGTTAGATATATTCCTGGCACCTGGCACAGCAGCCAGCATTCACCTGTGCAAGCCTCCAGCTTGGTTTATCTGTGCTTGCTGCTTGATTTTTCAGGCTGCTTTTTGTTAGAAAAGAAAAGATTTTGGGACTGCTTTTTATTAAAAGGAAAACCTTACCGAGGACTCCTGTACCCTCACTAACTGCCTAAATAATTTCTTTTTAACTCCTATATCACTAGTAGTGTGGTAGGAAAACCTAAATAACAGTTGACAATTTGATAGCTGTTCATGGTGGATAAGTTTGAAAGTTAACAATTCCATGAGGGCCCTCACATTTTTGTGAGGTTTACCTCTAGGATTCTCTTAATAAAGACCAAAGAAAAATCCTCTCTTGCTTCCAGTTTTCCAAAAGTAGCCATTTTGAAGTAGAACCAGAGCATTCTGTTCTTAACTAGGCCTGCCCTCTACAGAAACTATTCCACCAGAGTCAAACGTACTGGGGGTTTCTGCAAAACCTGTGCTGCTGAGTTTTTACTACAGCCTTACTGACCTGAAAAGGGGAAAAATTCAACTGCATCCCTTTGTAGCCCTCCACATGGGGGAAATAAAATACCCAGGTCTAAGTCTTCCATGTGAGGGGAAGGTAGAACCCAATTCTAACTCCCTCCATCCTCTCCTTCTTAATTAGGAAGGGGTTAGGGAAATGAGAAGCAGTTACAAATGCCACAGTTCAGAGGCACAGGTGTAATACAATGGGGTAACAAGGGAATATAACTTAGAGAACTGCACATCTTAGTCCTTTTTAAGAAAAAAAAATGGGAAATCCCAAAGACAACAGGGGAGGCACAAACAAAGAAACCACAGGAAACCATAGCCTGATACTTACAGCTACAGCAAGCAATAAACCAGATAAACATAAACCACACACTAACAGGCCGTTTACCTCACTGAGTTCCTTTTACCCAGGATATCACTTCTGGCTTGCAACATGAAATTACAAAGCATACTAAAAGACAAAATCAGTTGGAAGAGACAGGTAAGCATCCAAACCAGACCCAGATATGACAGACATGTTGGGATTACTAGTCCTAGAATTTAAAACAACTATGATAAATATGCTAAGGGCTCTAATTTTAAAAGTCAAAAATCATGCAAAAACAGATAGATAATGTAAGAAGAGTGCCTGAAACTCTAAGAAAGAATAAAAAGGAAATACCAGAAATCAAATACATGTTAATAATGTTCATCAAAAGACTGTACGCAGCAGAAGAAAGAATCAGTGATCTCCAAGTAATGTCAATAGAAACTTCCAAAACAAAAAGGCAAAGAGAAAGAAGAATGAAATGGCAGGACAAAATGTTCAAGAATGAAGGAGAATCACAAAAGCTGTGAGGTATGCAGAAGAAGAATACAAGGAGGAGAAGAAAGGAAGAGAAAAAGTATTTGAAGTAATAATAAGTGAGAATTTCCCCCAAATTAATGATAAATATGAAACAACAGATCCAGGAATTTCAGAGAACAGAAAGCCGGCTAAATACCACAAAATTTACACATAGATATATAATTTTCAAACTGCAGAAAATCAAAGAAAATGACAAAATCTTGAAAACCAGAGGAGGGAAATAAAAAAGGAAAACAATACCTTACATATACAGGAGCAGAGATAAAAATTGCAGTGACCTGCTCTTCAGAAACCACGCAAGCAAGATGAGAGTAGAGTGAAAAGTTTAAAATGCTAAAAGGAAAAAAAAACTCACCAATCTAGAATTTTGTATCAGTGAAATTATACTTCAAAAGTGAGAGAGGAAAAAAGACTTTTCCAGACAAGCAAAAAAATGAGGAAATTTTGTTTCTAATAGAACTACCTTGACAGAAGTGGTAAGAAATTCTTCAGAAAGAAGAAAAAGACTATAGGTCAGACATTCAGTTTTACATAAAGAAAGGAAGAGCATTAGAGAAGGAATAAGTGGGGTAAAATAGCATCGTCTACTTTTTCTATTCTCATTCGTTTTAATAGTATTCAAACTCTCAGTAATGATAGTTTACGGAAAATGAAATAAATGACCGTAATGTTACAGGGGGATGCAAGAGAGAGATTAGGAATACTCTATTCCAAGGTACTTTCACGACTGGTGAAGTGATACAACATTATGTGAAATGAAACTTGGATTAATTGTAAATGTGTAGTTCGAAGGCATAGCAACCAATAAAAAATATTTTAAAATAAGTATAATTGATATCCTAAGAGAGGAGAAAAATAGAATCATATAAAATAATTAAAACTAGAGAAGGCAAGAAAAGAGTGGAAAACAAAAAAATAACAAGAGCGAAAAATAGAAAACAGAAAAAATAGTAACAAATAAGGGAGATGTAAACCAACTAAATTAATAATTACTCTAAACATCAGTTGTTACCAACAGAAAAACAGAACTTGTCAGAGTGAATGGAAAAAAAAAAAAAAACCAAAGGAAAAAAAAGACTTAATTCTATATTGTCTACAATAAACCCACTTTATAAAAACACAGATAGATTTAAAGTGAAAAAATAAAGAAAAAATATCTAGTGACACTAATAAAATGAAAGTGGGAGTAACTATATTCAGTACAGACAAAGCGGACTTCAGAGGAAGAATGATTTCAGTATCATTGTTGGAGACCTCAACACTCCTCTACAGAAATGGAAGATCCAGCAGACAGAAAATCAGTAAGGATATAGTTGAACTTAACAGCACCATCAATCAGCTGAATATAATTGATATTTATGTACTATTTCATCAAACAACAGTAGAATACACATTCTTCTCAGGCTGTCATGGAACATTCACCAACATAGACTATATTCTGGGACATAAAACACAACAAATTTACAAAGATAGAAATCATACAAAATAAATACTCAGATCATAACAAAAAAACTAGAAATCAATAACAAAAATAGCTGGAAAACCTATCTTGGAAATTAATAAACAAATTTCTAAATAACATATGGGTCAAAGAAGAAGTCTCAAGAATAAATTTAAAAAATATTTCAAACACAAAGAAAATGAAGATATAGCTTATCTAAACATGTCGAATGCAGTAAAAGCAGTGCTTAGAGGAAAATTTATAGTAATGAATTTGTTTGAAAACAACATATAGTTTGAAAACAATGTATGTACTTGGAAATGACATGCTAAAGCCCTAAGATTTGATCTTTTGTGTGGCTCTGTCTGCTCACTTCTGAATCTCCCTTGAGCTATTTTAATTGGCAAGGTCTACATCAATCAATCAAGAAAATGTTTACTGTCATGTGGGATGTGTATTATTCCAATGCCATTTCCCAGTAACATCAGTCCAGCATTCATCCAGTAACACTGACAGTCTTACAGAGGCTGTGTAGGCTGTGGTATCCAACACTCCACTCAACCTCCCATGGCTCACAGGTGTCTTGTAAGTTACTGCTCCCAGTATTCTGGCAACAGATGCCAAGATGAATCTTTCTTAACAGTTATTGTTACTCTCCTAACGCAAAAAATCAAACTTTCACATAATGGAGACCACAGGTGGGTAATTTTATTTTCCTTTATATATGGTTAGTGCCTAGAGCTAACCAGATAAAGGCATTATCCCTATTTTAACCTGATAAATACAGGAAAAAATAAGCCATTTTGCTGACAGGCCCCTTGTCAATCTGGAACTAGAGCTTTCTTGTAAGTGTAATTTCTTTGTCTTGCAGGCTGGGACCAATGCAGGGAAGCAGCATTTAATAGAAAACAGCACAAGTTATGGGTATTATGATCCTCACCATATAAATGAGAAACTGAGCCACAGATAGGTTAAGCATTTGCTCAGATTCTGGAGAGTAAATCACATTTCAGATCCACGTGCAGACCTGTTGGACTGTTTTTCTTTCACTGTGCCGTAATTCTGAATACATTTTCATGCAGCTGATGAAGACCCAGGTAGAATCACTTCCTTTAAACTCTAACAGCACCTCTCTGTTGGTTAAACTCGATAAGAGGTTTCTGGTTTCTGTTCCTTCATATTCCACTGGACAGGCAATTATCAGGCCCACAGGTGCACAGCACCTGTACTTTCAAGAGTCAAAAAACTAAAAACAAACAAAATACAACTGTGCTAGTTGGAGAGTAAAACTTACATAAAGACAAGTTATTTTCTGCAAGTACTTTTTAGCAATTGCCTCTTTCCAAAAATTAGCATCTTTTGTCTCTGAATTGCAGTGAAGTCCTGTGATTTCTATACTTATTTTAGACATTCCTTCTTCAAACCCTCATTTTCCATTTCCACCAGCAAAGATTAGTTTGAATTTTACTAGCTATTGCTAGTTATTTTTGAGATTAGTGATGTGTTTCAAGAATAAGAGAGTAAGAATCCAATTTTTATTTGCTTACCTAAAGCAGCTTATTTTCTGTTACTTCAGGGCTAGAGAATTATTCTTTATAGCCTAGAATATTACCATACTCTATAGCATAAACTATTATATTCAATTGAATAATGCATTTTTATTTCTGAACTATTTTCTATAGAAAAAATGACACTTATGCAGTATAAAACAATCATTTTATGATAAATACGTAATATAATGAATACATTATAGCTTTCTAATTAATGCAACTATAAGCATGTATTACAGTTGATATTCTTATAGATTTAAAAATCCTAAAATACATAAATTTTGGGTTTTTTCTTTTTCAATGTTGGTCTAACAATCTTTTTGCTACATATGCAGTTCAGAAATTGTTAGAAGCTTTTTCTGTATCTATGTGATAAAAGGGTTGTCACAGACCTGAATACTAGAGGCTTAGAAAACAGGCAGTCCTTTCATTTTTATGAGACACTAGTTGAACTTAAGAGTTTCTGTATGGATCTCCTAGTTATGTTTTGTTTGAGAATTATATTTATAAAAAGAAAAGTGCAAAAGGGAATCGAGATTTTCGTGAAACTCAACATTCTCTATTTCTTCATGCCCAGTTGGGCAAAGAGTTCTTTGAAATAGAAGTTTAAAGCTTAAAAACTATTCAAGTTCAATTGTATATTTGCAGATATGTCTATTAACTTTTTAAAGGCCTATATGTCTAATTGCAATAATTAAACCTTACTGAATTACTTAGCAGATAACTTTAGGATCAGGTACAAGGTAGGTAAAAAATGCCTATGTAAAATAATATTTTATGTAATAAATAGTAATTTTTCTAACCAGAGTTCTATAGAAAAACATATTTCATTTATTTATTGAGTTTATACAAGATTTGTCTTACTAAACTTTTGAAAACCTTTTTGGATGTTTGGAAAACTTTCTTTCTTAACTAAGCAATTTGTTAGAATGTAAATTAATGTTAACTGAAAAGACAATTTTAAAAGGTATATTGTGACAATCTTTTATTTTAACTGTTTTCAGCATGTAAAAATTTGTCCCGATGTGTGATGATTAAATAAACTTTCGACAGCTATTGGATTTTGTTTTTAAAAATGTAATTTAGTGTTGATATGTTTTTGTGTTGTCTTTATAAACGTGCTAAAATACAGCAGTTCTCATCTTAGGCAAAATTGAAAATTTTGAAAATCAGTAATTCTATGACTCTGAAGTCATACAGATCTTAATTCATTAATTGAATTTGGAAACATAAAGAACTATGTGTATGGCATTTCATATATATATATTTGTATATATGAAAAATATACACACAGTTTATACAGTATATATAATTTCAACCTGGTGCTCAATCCTGAGAAGAAAAACTTAACATAAATGTAAACAAATAGTTTGTCAGGCAAAGAGGAAATAATAATGCAGCTAGCTGATATAAAATTGAGGTTGGGGGTATTGATTCATATCTGCAATCCCAGCACTTTGAGAGGCCAAGGCAAGAGGATTGCTTGAGGCCAGGGTTCAAGACCTGCCTGGGCAGCATAGCAAGACCTCTGTCTCTAAAAAATAATTCTTTTAAAGAAAAAATTAGCTGGACTTGATGACCCAGGCCTATAGTCCCAGCTGCTGGTGAGGTTAAAGTGGGAGGATCTTCTGAGCCCAGGAGTTTGAGGCTGCAATGAGCTGTAATAGTGTCAATGCAATGCAGTCCGGGTGACAGAGTGAGGCCCCCATCTCTAAAAAAAAGAAAGTTGAAAATATGGTCACTAGTTGAATATATGTTACCAAATTTTATATTTTGAAGAAAATCTTGTCTCATCCAAACAATCTTAATTGGACTCTATTCAGAAATGTAGAGCCTTTTTAGTTAAGCAAGGATAGTTCCTAGTTTGTCAAATTCCATAAGATGTCATTCATTTCAAAACAGATGCTGGTTGAGTAAGAAGCAAAACTTCACCAGCATAGGTATGTTTTAAGAAGTATAACCTTGAACCCTCTCCTCTCAGTCTGTTTCTTGTACATACATATTTATCGTCAATTGAAAGGTTTTGAGCGGGAGGTGGTGATTAAATGAGACTATTAGCAAAGCTCAAGTCAGGACGGCCTGATTTCACTTCTACACCCTGTAAAATGACGGCTGTTGAACCGTGTGGTCTTTATGCCATTAGCCTATGTAAAGTATAGATAAAGAAACAGCCCACGAAATGCCATCTCCTATGGACTTGCATGATGCTCAGCCTCATCATTCAGTTGTGAAAAACATTGCAAAGGTAGTGTAGAGTTCCCATTTACCACACACTCGGTTCCCCCTTATTCACCGTTTAACATCAATATGAATATGGTACATATGCGTGATTTAAAAACCAATACCAATTTGTTAAGTATAATCAATTATATCTTTAGATTTTCTTAACATAATGTCCAGATAGCACATTACATTTAGTCACCATCTCTTCTTAGATGCCTCTGGGCTGTAACAGTTTCTCAGGGCTTCCTTGTTTTTGATGATCTTGACAGTTTTGACTTGTGCTAGTCTGGTATTTTGTAAAATGTTCTTCTATCGCCATTTGATGTTTTTCTCATGGTTACAGTGGAGTCATGTGTTCTGGGCAGCAAGACAACAGAGGTAAGCTGCTGTTTTCATCACATTATATCAAAGGTGCATACTAATCGCATGATTCATCACTGCTGATGTTGAAGTGATCACCTGGCTAAGGCAGTATTTTCCAGGTTTCTCCACTGTAAGGTGATTCCTCAGCCTTTTCATACTGTCCTCCTGGGAAGGAAGTCACTGTGCACAGCCCACATTGTAAGAATTGTAGAAAGTAGAGGGTTCTGCTCTACTCCCTTTGGAACTTTTTGTGTGGGAGATTTGTCTGTTCTCCTGCATTTATTATGCATTGAATCATTCATGCATATCAATATGGTTTTGTGGATATTTATTCTATCCCTTGAATTATAATCCAATACTACTTTATTTTTGCCCTAATTGTTGTAGATTTAGTCACTGGGAGTTTTTTTCAGTAAGGTCCTGAGTCCCATTCATATCTCTCTCTCCCAAATTCTAGAGGTTTCCTTTTTTGTTTGTTTTGTTTTTTTGTTGTTGTTGTTGTTGCTATGTGTTTTGAACATTTTCTTACTTTTTGGAACTACAAGAAGATCTAGGCTTATGTTGTATATTTCTTGCCTCATGCCAAGAATTTGCCAGTTTGCCAAGGAGCCAGCATCTGGTCATCTGGTGTTGTCATTGCTAGTGAGGTGCCTTTGCTTCCAGCCTTTCTCTGCTAACAAAAGGAGATATATGTTTGTATATTAACTTGTGTATGTACACACATCTATTAATATTTCTTTATACACATATCTGTACATATTTCTATGTTAAGTTAAACACACAATTATGCTGAATTACATAACTATAATCCTTACCATATAGATGACTCTGACCTATAGAATGAGTTAGAAATTGTTGCCACTTCTATTTTCTGAAAAAAATTACAGAGAAGTGGTATCACTTTTTCCTTAAATGTTTGGTAATTCACCAATAAAGTCACTGGGCTTTGTCATTTTGGTTTTGGAAAGTTGCTAATTATTGATTTAATAGACATAGGCTTACTCAGATTATATCTTTTTCCTTGTGTGACTTTTGGTAGTTTGTAGAACAAGGAATTTGTTCTATTCCGTCTAGTTCATCAACTTTGTGGGAATAGAGTTATTTGTGGTGTTCCTTCAACATCATTTTAATGTCCATGGGATCAATAGTTATTACCTCTTTTTCATTTCAGTATTGGCAATTGGTGTCTTTTGTCTTTTCTTTTTTGTTAGCCTAGATAGATATTTATCAGTTTTATTGATCTTTTCAAAAAAAATCTTTTAGTTACATTGATTTTCTCTGTAAATTCTTATTTTCAATTTTATTTATTTTTGCTCTAATTTTTGCTAATCCTTTTCATCTGCTTGCTTTAGACATAAATTTTTCTACTTTTTCTAGTTTTCCAAGATGGAAATTTAGGTTACTGATTTTAGATTTCTGCTTATATAACATATGCATTAATTGCTGTAAGTTTGCTTCTAAGTATTACTTCATCGCATCCCACAATTTTCATAAATTTGCATTTTCATTTAGTTCAAAATATTTTAATTGTTGTTGAAACTCCTGTGACCTATATATTACATGAAACTAAGTTGTTTAATTTCTAGGTATCTGAGGATTTTCCAGCTATATTATGTTATTATTTAATAATTTAATCCCATTGTGGTCTGAGAACATACTTTATTTTATTTCTATTTTTGTATAGTAGTTAGGATATATTTTATGGCCTTGAATGTGGCCTATATTGATGGATACTTCATGCAAGCTTGAGAAGAATTTGTGCTGTGGTGTTGTTGGAGGGAGTATTCTATAAATGTCAATTAAATGCAATTGATTGATGATGTTGTTCACATTAACTATATCTTTATTGATTTTCTGTCTTATCTATCAACTACTAAAAGAGGGTGTTGTGAGTCTCCAACTCTGTTAGCAGATTTCTATATTTCTCCTTTCACTTCTGTGTTTTGTTTCACATATTTTGACACCGTTGTTAGGCTCACACACATTTAGGACTGTTTTGTCTTCTTGGAGAATTGACTCCTTCATCAGTCTGTAATTTCCTCCTTTGTCTCTTATATTTTCCCTTGTTCTGACATCAACATGTCTAAAAATAATATAGCCACTCCAGCTTTCTTTTGATAGAGTTGGGTCTTTTTTTCTTAATTCACCCCAACAGTCTCCAACTTTTAATTGGTGAGATTATATCACTTACATTTAAAAAATTATTGATGTAGTTGGGTTAGTATCTACCATGTGTATGATTGTTTTCTATTTGCAGCACTTGTTTTTTGCTTTTATAATCTTTATTTTAACTTTATGTCTTTTCTAATACTCTTAGTTTCATTATGTATATCTGAGTTTTTGACAAATATTATTTTTTGTCTCCCTGAAGAAATTTTAGTGTTTCTTGAATAGCATTTCTGCGGGTGATGAATAATTACTTCTTAACTTTTGAAGATTTCTTTCTCTGGATAGAATTTTCAAGACTTTTTTTCTTCTTTCCACAATTTAAAGATTTCACTTCACTCTGATCTTGTTTGCATGGTTTGTGAAAGTCTGATGTAATTCTTATTCTTGTTCCTCAATAGTATTTTGTTTTCATTTTGTTTTGTTTTTCTGTCTTCTTTTAAGGATTTGTCTTTGTCTTTGGTTTTCCACAGGTTAAAAATGATATGCATAAGTGTAAATATTTTGGTACTTATCCTGCTTGGTGTTTTCTGAATATCCTGAATCTGTGGTTTTGTGTTTATCATTAATTTTGAGAAATTCTCTCTCATTATTGCTTCAAATATTTATTCTGCTCCTCACTTTCTTTCTTCCTCTGATGTTCCCATTATGCATACATTACATCTTTTGTAATTGGCCCACAGTTATTGAATATTCTGTTCTGTCTTTTTCATCCTTGTTTCTCTTTGCATTTCAATTTTGGAAGTTTCTATTGACATTTTTTCTTTTGGCATGTCCAATTTGGCAGTGAGCTCATCAAAACAACTCTTTATTTCTGTTACAGTGATTTTGATTTCTAGCATTTCTTTTTGCTTCCATATCCTTACTTAGATTAATCACCTGTCCTTGCATTTTCCACTCTTTCCATTAGAAATATTAGCATATTAATTATAGTTGTTTTAACTTCCAGGTCTTTTAAATCCAAAGTCTCTGCCCTCAGTCTTGTTCTGATGCTTACCCAGTATCTTCAAGTTGTGGGGTTTTTTCTTTGTCATTTAGTATGCCTTATAATTTGTTGTTAAAAGCCAGACATAATGTATTAAGAAATAGGAATTGAAATTAAAAGGCTGTTAGTATGAGATGTATTTGTTGTTTGTTTGTTTGCTTGTTTTTGCCAACTTGGCTAGGTTTCCGGCTGTATTTAATGTTTTCTGAAGCTATAGGTGCCAGATGCCTCCCAATTCTCTAGTGTCCTTGTAGTGTTTCCTCTCTTAACTCTGGGTTTCCTTTATCTTTTCTTAAATATCACATTTCTGTTATCGTGTGTTCTGATTTCCTCTATTGCTGAGATAGGTCTTTATCACAATCTACGCATTTTCTAATTATCCTTAAACACATGTTTAACACCGGAAAGACAGGTTTCTTGTTTTAATTTATTCCTTTATGTCTATATTTGTTCATGTTTATTTACTGAGTTGCTCCATCTATTTTAACTTAAGTCAACAAATAAATAAAAAAAGATTGAGGGCCACATTTAAAGGACAATCTGATATTCCTATACATTTTATTTTCTTTTTTATGATATGGAGTCTCACTCTGTTGCCCAGGCTGGAGTGCAGTGGCGTGATCTCGGCTCACTGCAACCTCCACCTCCCAGATTCAAGTGATTCTCCTGCCTCAGCCTCCTGAGTAGCTGAGATTACAGGCACCTGACACCATGCCTAATTTTTTTGTATTTTTAGTAGAGATGGGGTTTCACCTTGTTGGCAAGGCTGGTCTCAAACTCCTGACCTCATGTGATTGGCCTGCCTCAGCCACCCTAAGCATTTTCTAAAAAATTATTTGCTGGCTATACTTGCAAGTTCAACTGTTAATGTCTGTACTAACTGATTTTTGTCCTCAACATTATTAATAATTTTATTCAGCTTTATCGCATTTAATTGGTGATTTAATTTTTAACTTACTGATTAATGAATTTATTTACATTCTTTCCTTGTTCCTGCATTCACTGTGTCATATGATTCCATCAATGAAATTTTCTGAAGCTTTAATTATATTTTAATTTAAATCTTTGACTCAAATATTACAAAGAATAGTTACATATAATTACTGTTTTGCTTCTTATTAATATTAATATTTTAAAATTTAAGTCAAAGCACATTGCTGATTTATTTTTATATTATGAACTGTATTGATGTTTTTGCTTTTTGACCTAGTATATAGTAAATTTTTGTAATTTATGGGTAATTAAAATAATAGTTTGCTCTTTTTAAGTAGATAACATTCAGTTTCTATATCATCTAAATGTATATAGATGAGTGTGTCATTTAGAACATCTATATACCTATTTATTTTTTGCTATTTAAGCTTTATTTGACTTTAATTTGCATGCAATTGATATGATAATTCTGCTTTAATTTTCGTATATTTACTTTCAACTTTCAGGTAAATTTTATTTTTAGTAGAGTTAGTGTTTTTTTATGATCCAGTCTTAGTCTGTTTTGTTTATATTCGTCATAAACAACAAATTATTTTGATTATGCTCACATTTATTGAAACCTGAGATGTTTTTCTAAGATATTTTCTTCAATTATGTTGTGCTTTTGTTTTTTTATACTACTGCTCCCTTTATATATTATTTTTCAATATCTTTTTAAATTTTTCTTATGCTTACTTGATAATTCAAGTTATTTTTACTGAATCTAATGGCTACATTAATAAATATATTTAATTGGCTTTTTAATCTTCTTCTTAAATTAAAACTGAAGATACTCCCACTGTGTTAAATGGAAAATTAGCAAACCCACAATCCCTCTATCAGCCCTCATTTCTTCTCAAATCCTGAATCTAAAAATGTTATTTAGTTAGTTCATACTGAAAACATTTGTATTTTTACTTATTATGGTTTATGTTATTTGAAGTTTCCTCTCTAAACATATTTCCCATAGTTGTTTAATCTTATTTATTCATTTCAACAGCTTTGCTGCTGGCAGGTGCTTCTCTAGGATGGTTTCAGGGACAGGTTTAGCTCAGCTCCCCTTTCTTATTAAATTAAGAAACACTTAATACTTAAAGATGGTTAAGTAGCAAAGTGTCATTTGGGAATATGTCTTTGTCAATTGCTGATTCCAATGTTCAAAGAAATTTCTCTCTCCTGAGAAAGCAGCAACTACGGGAAGGCAGATGAGTGTCTGACTGCTTGATTTGTGGCTCTTTTTCTTTGAATCAGCACCAACAGTTCATTCATCATTCATTTGGAGACTTTTGTGAGATATTGACAAATTGAGAAGAGCAGCATATGTGACAGAACATTATCAAACTGGAGCAATCCTCATGGGGCCGACCACATAAATTCTGAAGATGCAGCTGGACAGGACTGTGAGGGGTGGATGCTGCCCCTGCCTGCTTGAGTACTGTTATAAAATCATGATAATATCCATGGCTTATTAAACAGTTATGTATCAGGCACAGATAACTTCTATAGATGATCAGAAAGCCTCAGAATTAGCATCAAGGCTAGCATGACAGATGAGGCAACCATAGATGATTTAAGTACATGTTTCAATGTGTAGTAAGTTAGTGGACTTAGTTAATTGCAAAACCTAGATTCAAAGTAGATTTGTGACTTTCCAAGTTCTGAGCTAATAATATTGTGATAATGTTTGCCTGTATCATCAATGTCCAAGGATGGCTGACCACTTCATCAGAATGAGTTGGGGAAACAAATATTTACCTGTTCTTGAGCAAGGAGTCTGAATTCTGTGGTGCTATCTTTGAAAAATAAATGATGTGCTTAAAAGCAGGTTGTAAAGTTCCATAATTTCTGAGAAGCTAAATGAAGTGTGCAAATATATTTCATTAAAATGAAGGTGTCACTAACGGATATAATATAAAATAATTATAACAAACTAGTAATGCAAGTTGGCAGGAGGCTCCTTATTTAAAAAATAACAGTGATGCTCAGCATTCAGCCAAATCTCAAATAACTTTTAAAAAATTTAGTTTATCTCTTAAGAAACCAATATAAATACATTTTCTCTGATAATACAAAATATATGAGAAAATGCTTATACTGAAAAACTAGTTTCTGAAAGCTAATTTTTTTCTTCATGGCCATTTCTTGATTCCCTAGGGTATTGGGTATTGGGGTGATGAATAAGTGAAGGAGTTTTTGAAAAGACAAGTTGTTGAGACGATTTTATTCTTAACTCTGTTATTGAAAAATTTAGATTTTTAAGGAAAGCACCAAACGATTCCGCATAATTTTAAAATTTTATTTAAATTTAAATCTAGAAAGAAAATTTAAGAGTGAAAGAAATTCTGGAAGATAAATAAAGAAAGGAGCAATATTGGCAATTAATTATTTATCTCTACTCTTGGATTTATTAGACTTTATTTTTACTGATAAACCCTTACTTAAGTAGAACAAGAGTGACAGTTGTTAATTTTATAAGCCTATTGAAAGTCTTTTTCTTGCTTTTACACTGCTGGTGGGAGTGTAAATTAGTTTAACCAATGTGGAAAGCAGTGAGGCAATTCCTCAAAGAACTAAAAACGGAAATGCCATTCAACCCAGCAATCTCATTACTGGGATTATATTCAAAGGAATGTAGATCATTCTACCATAAAGATACCTGCATGCATATGTTCATTGCAGCACTATTCACAATAGCAAAAACATGGAATCAACCTAAATGCCCATCAGTGATATACTGGATAAAGAAAATGTGGTACATATACACCATGGAATACTATGCAGCCATAAAAAGAACAAGATCATGTCCCTTGCAGGAACACAGATGCAGGAACAAGGAGCTGGAGGCTATTATCTTTAGCAAACTAATGCAGGAACAGAAAACCAAATACCACATGTACTCATTTATAAGTGAGAAGTGGGAGCTTCATGATGAGAACATGTGGACACATAAGAGGGGCAGACACAACAGACAGTGGGGCCTACAGGAGGTTGGAGGAAGGGAGAGGATCAGAAAAAAGAAATGCATTCTAGGATTGATACCTGGGTGACACAATAATCTGCACAATGATGAACCCTCAGACACAAGTTTACCTATATACCACACCTGCACATACACCTTTCAGCTAAAATGAAAGTTAAAATATTTTAAAAAATAGAGAGCAAAAAAGTAGATGATTTTCCAAAGAATGTTTGTCAGTAAAGTGTTGCCAAAGAACTACCTGCAATATTGGAAATATTGCCCCACTGTTTTGAATCTGTTCTAGGTCTCTCTAGGTGGACTCCCTTCCTTGCTCTCCTCCTAGTTACCTGTGATGTTTGTTGTTAATTGCCTGGGAGTGAAGACAGGGATTGGGATGAGGGAAGGGAATAGAAAAAAGAGTTATTGTAAATTTGTGTAAGTTCCTTGTAGATTACGATGGACTGGATAAAGAAAACGTAGCACGTATACACCATGGACTACTATGCAGCCATAAAAAAGAATGAATTCACATCCTTTGCAGGGACGTGGATGAAGCTGGAAATCTTCATTCTCGGCAAATTAACACAGAAACAGAAAACCAAACACCACATGTTCTCACTCATAAGTGGGAGTCAAACAGTGAGAACACATGGATACAGAGAGGGGAACATCACACACCGGGGCCTGTCAGGGGGTGGAGGGCAAGGGAAGGGAGAGCATTAGGACAAATACCTAATGCATGTGGGGCTTAAAACCTAGATGATGGGTTGATAGGTGCAGCAAACCACCATGGCACATGTATGCCTATGTAACAAACCTGCACGTTCTGCACATGTATCCTAGAACTTAAAGTAAAATTTTAAAAATAAAATAAAATAAAAAGAGGAAGTCAGGAGAAAAAAAAGAAAAAAGTGCTCTTCTTGCAAAAAATAAATTAAAAAATATTTTTATAAAAATGTCTGTTTCTAAAATTATGTATTCGTACAAAGGAGCTGTCCAAACTATAGAAATGAACAAGTTTTTATGGTTCATTATAAAAACTCCAATTTGTAATTTGATAGAGAATGTACCAGGATATATCAATTATCTATTGCTGAAAGAACAAAACATAGAGACAAAAACCTCGGTGGCTTATAACATCAATCATCGCATCAGCTCATGAGCCTTGTTCAGTGATTTAGGCCCAGATAAAAGGGGCAGCTCTTGGCTGTTCTGCCTGGGGTCGCTGCTGTGGTTGCAGTGCTGGTAAGTGGACTTGGGTTAGGTGGTCCACAGTGGTGTCTGTCATGTGCCTGGAGCTTGGCGCTGCCCATCCTCTGGCATTCTCACTTGCCACATGATCTTTTATCTTTAGGAGGCTAAGCAAGATTTCCTCATATCATGTTACCTACCATATAGGTAGGTAACGTGCAGGTAGGGAGAATGGAAGATTTAAGTCTTTTTGAGGTCAAGGTTCAGCCCTCCCAACATAGCACTTCTATTGTGTTCTGTTGGTCAAAACAAGTCGTGAGACCAGGGATAAAGCATGAGAATTAGACTCCATTCCTTGATGGGAGAAATCATATTGCAAAAGCCTGCATATGTGGGGCTGGAAGGAATTACTGTGGCCATCTTTGAAAACCGTCTGCCATAATCAGCAAGTGTTTGAGAATTATTTTTATATTTTACACACTTGGCCAGTTGTTCTGAACTCCCAAAATAGGCATTGAAAAACACAAGAAAAACTATTTTTTAAATAGACTTCATTTTTAAAGAAGTTTTTTTTAAGCAACTTTTAATTTAGAGCCCAGCAAAACTGAGCAGAAATTACAGAGATTTCCCATATACTCTGTACTCGCTCTCTCAGACAGCCTCCCTCACTATCAACATACCCTCCCAGGGTGGAAATCGAAGAACCTACACCAACACATTATTATCACCCAAAGTCCATAGTTTACAATAGGGTGCATTCTTGATTTTGTACATCCTATGAGTTTAGACAAATAAAATGACATTCATCCACCACTATGGTACATACAATATAGTTTCCCTGCCCTAAAAATCCTCAGTGCTCCACCTATTCCCTTATTTAAAATAGTTTTTTTTTATTATACTTTAAGTTCTAGGGTACATGTGGACAACATGCAGATTTAAAAATTATTTAAAATATATATGAATAGCATCATATAGTGCTAATCTAACTGCAAAGAAAATGATCCATATTGTGCATCATTTTTCAGGTTTCTCAAAACTAAGAGTTCAGAGAAACCTATAGTGAAAATTATTTCTTTAAACATACTACAAGACACTCACCCACTCCCTCTCCACAAACACTTGTTATGAAAAAATAAATTTAAACCATGCATTAAAAATGCTGAACCATGACCTTTCAGAAATATAAATTAGATGGTTTATACCACATGAAAAGCTCTTAATGTTTATTAATCATGCAGAGTCTCCCTGGAATGCCTCCTGTAGTTCAACAATCTATCACAAGCTATCAGAGCTGAGTGCTTGCATATTACAGCGCTGCAGATGTCGAGGTCGATTAAGGACATCCTCCCAGTATCCAGGGCCCACTGGCTGCATGGATCCCCCATACCACATTTTTTTTTCTGAATCAGAAACTAAAAAGAATTATGTCACTTTGGTCTGTCCATCAAACCACCCAAGCAGTTTGTCTGGGCACAGATTGCTTTGTCAGGGAAAGGCATTCTCATTTGGCATTTTAACAATAATTAATCACTATGCTCACCTTTGATGCATGCCAACTTTATATTCCCTGTGAGATACTGCAAACCACACACCCCGTGAATTATTTATACTTCCATGTGGAAGCTTATGCTAATGCTTTGACATTCCTAAATGCTAGCACTTAATGCAAAAATGTAGATCACTGGTCAGGTTTAGTTTTAAATCCAAGGAGAAAACCAACAAGCAAACAGATGAAACTGACTCTGCCACAAAAGCCAAAACAAAAAGCAATCTCTCTCAGTGAAAATTTATTCGACAGTCTTAATGAAGGAACTGCACAGATTTTGATGGTGTTTTCTGCTATATTCTCTTCTTTGAGATTGCTTTTATTTGTATGAAACATTCATTTTACCCTTGTTTCTTTGTATTTTAATGTATTACTTTTGCCTGTCAAGTATAAGCCTGTAATGACAGAGAGTAGCCTTAAATCCTATAATTTTCAATTTCTGTGAGTTACACTGTTGAGACTGGAAATTATTAGAGGACGATAAGATAGCTTTTTAGATTAAAAACAAAATTTGCTAAAACAACCTTTCTGTCCTTAGTTACAACCTTTCTATCACCTTTGAAAAGCCAAAACAATGAGTTGTAAATCCAATAAATGATAGAATAGGAAATATTAGAAACCAGGATTGATATATGTTTTATCAGTCAGAAGAAATTGTATTTATATGTTTTCTTTCTATATAAATGATCTAGCCTACACACATCTGTGAAACTGTACTCTGCAATGTCATTACACTGGACTTTTATTTTTATGAACCTCTTTGTTTCCTTCCACCACAAAATATTTGTTAATGCTTTTCCTCTTCCTGGAATATTCTCTTTCTTTCTTCCTTACCTAGTTAATAGTTTCTTTTTCTTCACACATCAAATTATTTTCCCCTTGACCCTTCTAGTTTCTTTCACCATACACATCTCTCACTCATAACTTTTAACCGAATAACAATTATTCATGTATTTATTATCTCATTTAATTAATGACAGTTTACCTATCTAGATCATAAATTGCTTTTTGCACAGTATCATATCCTAGTACCAAAAATGTAATCAATTATTAATTGAATGAATAGATGAGTAGAATCACCCATCAATTCCTGTATTTCTCTGGGTGTATTCTCCAGGTGGACACTTGGTTTTCCCCAGCTATGCAGAGTTGGTTGTCCCTTAAGGTCTGTGGATGTCCCTCACATCAGGCACCTCTTACCTGCTTTCTTCACCTCTGGGAGAGGAATTAGAGTTAAGAAGAGGGGTACTATGAAGAACTCTGCTCTCTGATTTTGTTGTATGTTTCATACGGTCATTTATTTCATGGTACCTTATCTTTTATTGGGTTCCTGGGAATTTACATTATATAGTGACCTTGTACAAACCGGTTTGAATTCTACACTATGGTAATGGCAGCTGGTGATGCCTAATCCATGTGGGATGCCCTAAACACAGTCCAGTCCAGACAAGGTGCTCCTGCCTGCACTGTGCACGTGGCAGCTCCTGGTCCCATGAGAATGCATGCACTCTCATTTCACCAAGTGGTAGACATGCAGCTACTTCCACAAATGTTCCCTCTCCCTGCTTTGCCATCTGAGGTAGCGACAGTTACAACCTTTCTCTATTTCTCTTCCTGTTAAGCATTGCTTAGGTGAGAAATATCAGGACCTTAGCAAACTTAGGGTAAAAAGCAAATGACTCCCCTGCACTCAAATCACTCAAACAACTTTCCCTAAAAGATAACTTCTCTCGATGTCACTGCTCAATGCTTTTGTATACTCAAGCTGATGATCAGCTAAGGGCCTCAAGAACAGGTTGGGCAGACCACCTTGCAAGGCGCACTTTGGTTGGGGAGCATGTCATTGGGAAATATGGAAGAAACTGGTAACCCTTGTTTTGCTTAATGTCCTTTAGGACCTCGGCTGAAAGTGAGGTATAAATAATTCCATGTGACCTCTTCTTAAACACACACATGTATGCATGCACGTGCACACACACACACACACACATCAATGTAGAATAAAAAATATAAGATTTTCTCCTGGTTTTAAGCTTTAGAACAGTGTGACAGTGTTATGTTTAAAAATCTAATCTTGAGAAGTACTCTGGAGGTATTCAAATTTTGCTCAATAAAAAATAAGTACTTTTTCCCTGAATTTTGAATTTGAAGTGTCTTAAAATTCATTAAACACTTTCAGGAAAGGTATAGAAACTAAGGAGTATATGTAAAAAGAAATTTACAGAAGGGTTCTTAGTTTAAAGTAAATAGCAGTACATGGAGAAGAATTATATTCCACTACTTCTAAATTTTTAAATAGCTCTAAATTCAGTGTTTTATTTTTGACTTACACTATCAAAGGAATAATAAATATTGGCTCAGTGTTTTAAGACCTAATAAGAATTTAAAGGAAGGTGGAGCTCTAACTGCTTTTAAAAGTAAATGGAAAGTGAGAACCGCACCAGTCAATTGCCTGCTTATTTGAAAGTGCATGTTAAATGATTACATTCATTAGCAATTTCGTTCCCAATGGACTTTAAGATGATTTGTAAAAGTTACAATCTTGACAGTAGAAAGTTTTTACTATTTTTCTTATTAGGTCAATGTGAGCACTATGCATGAAGTAAAAAAAAATCTAGTATTTTAAAAAATAACTGTTAATTATCTGTTTGTCTTTCTTGAGAAATGTCTATCCGGGTCCTTTGTTCAGTTTTTAACTGGGCTATTTATTTTCTTACTATTGAGTTATTTAGAGTCTTCATATTTTTGAATATTAACTCCTTATTAGATGTATACTTTACGAATACTTTTTCTTATGCCATAGGTTGTCTTGTTACTCTATGGATTGTTTGTTTCCTGTACAGATCTTTTTATTTGATATTATATCCAAAACATAGCCCAGATCAATGTCAAGAATCTTTTCTCCCTGTTTTCTTCTAGTATTTTTATGGTTCCAGGTCTTATGTTGAAGTCTTCAATCCATTTTAAGTTGGTTTTCATATATAGTGTGAGATAATGGTCCAAATTCATTCTTCCACATGTCTACGTCCAGTTTTTCCAACATCATTCATTGCTCAATGTCACTCAACCTCAGATAAACGCAAATCAAAAACAAAATGTCACATCTGTTAAAACAGTTAATAACGAAACAATAGAAGATTACAAATGTTGGCCAGGATATGGAGAAAATGGAACCCTTGTATATTCTTGATAAGAAAGTAAATGAGTACAGCCATTATAGAAAACAGTATGAAGATTTCTCAAATTAAAATAAAACTAACATGATCCAGAAATTTTACACTGGGTATATATACAAGGGAAATAAAATCAGTATATCAAAGAAATATTTTCATTCCCAAGTCCTTAGCAGCATTATTTACAAAAGCCAGGATATGAAATCAACCTAAATGTCCATCAATGGATAAATGGTTCAAGAAAATGTGGTACATTTACACAGTGGGATACTATTCAGCCTTTAGAAATAGCGAAATTCTGTCATTTTGCAACGATGTGAATGAACCTGGAAAACATTAAGCAAAATATGGCAAACAAAGAAAGGCAAATACTGTATGAGCTATTTATACATAGAATATTAACAGGTGAATTCATAGAAGCAGAGAATGGTGGTTGGGGAGGGAAGGGATTGAGGAGCATTGGTCGAAGGATACGAAATTTCTAGAAGATAGGAGGAATTAGTTCAAGAGCTCTATTGTATAACATGGTAACTATAGTTAATAACATATATTGTATACCAGAAATTATACTTAAAAATATATTTTTAAGTGTTTGCGGCAAAAAGAAAATGATAAGTATGTGGGGTATTGTGTTAAGTTAATTAGCTTAACTTAGCCATGTCCCATGAGCAACTTAGAAGTAAAATGTATAATTTTCTCTTATGTCATCAATCCATGTATATTTCTGAGCTCTGTCAGAATCTGTGTCAGGATAAGAAAGAGGTACATGCAGGTCAAAGAATCAAGTATCCATAGACTATATATATATATATATTTCTACCATATTTCCATGCTTAATTGAGAACTCATGTAACAAAAGACATAGTTTTCTAATTTTCTGTAATCATCAACCTCTTATTTTTCATTGATTTTACAAATTTCTTAACGTGCTGAAAAGTGTCAGATAAACTATCTTCAAAGCCTAATTTGCTCTTACAAGTGAGTGTGTGTTTGTATAGAATTATTTTTTTGTGGGGAGGGGAGAGGATAATCTTAGATTTAACAATTATCGTGATGTAAGGACTGAGTGGCATCACCTCTCATTGTAGGAGAGGATGCAATCTCCTAAGTTATGCTTCTAATGGTTTATAAAATGGTGGGACTTTTCCTCCTACAATGTGTTAGGATACCATAGGCTATGTATTACCATTCCATGTGAATGGTGTATGTATGTGCTTCCATCCAAGTTCACTGAAAGCCCCATATGTCATAAAATATTAATTTAATTTTTCTAGTCATGTGGGTATGCCAGGGCCTGAGATCTAAGTACAGGGAACGTCTGCAGAATGGTCTGGGTGAGGTGCTGCTGGCAGAAAGTCATGTGCAGGAGGCTCTGGTGGAGCAAGAGGCACCACAGGCCCTTAATCCCATCTGGTGCCATCCTCTGCCCTTCCCACCACCATGCTTCCTAACATACAACACAATACACACACATAGCAGGAGCCCCTGAATTTCTTAGCACTGGCGAGGGTGTGATATTAAGTGTCAGGTTTCAGTGGGGCTCACACACCACTTGTATCTGTTGATGTGCATGTCTGCAGTAAACAGAATACATGATTGCAATACAAATCCTCTCAAGTTCCAGGAAAATCAGAACTAAAAGGGTGCTCTGGGGAATCTGTAGGTCAAGGGCTGTGTTGGCCACAGCTGCAAAAACAATTCTGAGAAACACAGAGAACCCAGGATTGCTTGGAATTAGAAAAAAATCAATGAACATTATGTCAGGTGCTGTGTTTAAGGTAGCTCTATTCATTAGAAGCTTTAATAATGTATGGATAGTTGAAAAAACTTGCTTATTAGTTATGTGATCAGAAAATCATTTTAAAATCATATTTACTTCTGCACCATGCATTTAAAAATGGTAAGTAAAATATAAGAAAATGCACATTGGTGATTTATCACTATTTGTTTTTATAATTGTCAGCCCTAAAAATAATTTTTAGAAAATTAAAATATTTTGATGACTTTGAGAACTTTAGAAAAGTAATTTATGTTTAAAGATCATTCTTATTTCATCCAACAATAACGTAGACAACTAAGTTACACCAAATGTTCTTAAATGTTGTGTATTTTAAAAAGTATAAATTATAAATAGAAATTATAGGAATAAAGAGACATAAGAAACATATTACATAGATTCACCAAAATAATTGGGACTTTTAGTGTCAGAACTCAGAAAATGTAATTCAATACATAACTTGGGAAAATAATAAGAATACTTAAATATTATTTAAGATTTATAAAATATTATTTAAGATTTATAAAAGATTATATAAAGATTAAGAAAGCTAATGGAATTTGAAAATATGATTAAAAACATTATCTTCATCATCGTAGCTTAAGTGCAGGAGTTGATATCTTTTCTGTCTCAAATGCACCTCAAATTTAATCTATTCAAAACCAAAGGCACGGATTTAAGCCAATAACTTCCAGAGTTCTAATGTCAGGGGAACACCCACCATTCATTGAAGTTGCATATATCAGAAACTAGTATTAATGTTACCAGAAAGGAGTCCCCATCCAGATCCCAAAAGAGGGTTCTTAGATCTCATGCAGGAAAGAATTTGGAGGGAGTCTATACAGTAAAGAATTTGGAGGGAATCTATACAGTAAAGTGAAAGCGAGTTTACTAGAGAGGTAAAAAAACAAAAGAAGGGCTACTTCATAGACAGAGCAGCCCAGAGGGCTGCTTGTTGGCAATTTTTATGGTTATTTTTTGTTCATATGGTAAACCAAGGGTGAAATATTCATGAGTTCTCTGGGAAAGGGGCAGCCAGTTCCCAAGAACTGAGGGTTCCTCTCCTTTTTAGACCATATAAGGTAAATTCCAGACATTGCCAAGGCTTTTGTAAACTTTCATGGCACTGGTGGGAGTGTCTTTTAGCAGCCGATGCATTATAATTCTTGTATAATGAGCAGTGAGGATGACCAGAAGTCCCTTTCTTCACCATCTTGGTTTTGGTGGGTTTGGGCCAGCTTCTTTACCACATCCTGTTTCTCGGCAGGGTCTTTATGACCTGTGTCTTGTGATACCAGGCCTGCCAACCTCCATCCTGTGACTAAGAATGCCTAACCTCCTGGGAATCCAGCCCAGCAAGTCCCATCCTCATCTTCTCTAGCTGGTATTCAAGATGAAGTCGCTCTGGCTCAAACATCTTTGACATGAATATCTTAAAATGTCCTGTTTTAATGACCTTGCCACATCTTCTTCATCTCCAAATTCTAATGACTTTCTTGTATTGATATTTTTAAATTCCCCTTTTCACCATCCTTCATATCTTCTCCATCTCCAAATTCTATTGATTTCACCTAAACATTTTTAAGATCTACCCTAGTTATCTACATCTCCTCCACTCATAGTCTAGTCCCTGTTACAGTCATCCTGTGCCTTTTCATTAACGCGTTTTCACTTTGTCACCCTTTCAATTGATAGCCTTAAGCATTCCTTGAAAACATACACCAGACTGTGTCTTTCTGCAGCTTTACCCATCAATAGATTCCTCATGCTTATAGGATGAAGACATGAACCACAGGACCCCAGCATGCTTTCAATCTTAATTAACTCTCCATATTTATATAACCAATTTTTGATTTCTTTCCAACATACCAACCTTTATCTCTCTCATACTCACCATGCTTCCTTTCAGGCTAAAATCTCAAGACCCCTCATATACACCAATCTCTTCAAAAGCTTTGGGAGTGGGGGAGTAGTGATAGCCTTGTGTTCTCATGGCCATATGCATTTATATTTGCAACTGATATTTAAGCACAAATGGGTTAAGGTTATTATTTCATTTTCATTCCACTCCACTTACGTCATAAAGAATTAGGCTGGCCAAAAGCATCTTTGAAATCTTGAGAAAGGGAATCTGAGTTGGTATTATGCCATTCGACTATAATTTGGAAATATATATAGAAACTTTTTAATAAAACAAGTGATAAATTAGAACCCTCTAACTTGGAAGAATATGAAGATAACTTTTTCAACATTTTTAGATTTATGTACTATATTACTGAAAGGAAATTTATCTAAAAATTAATGATTTTTAAAGCACTTAAAAGGAGTAATTAATTGATTAATACTATTCTGACATAAAGAGCAAAATTACCACAATAATGAAAATACAGTTAAAGTAATAAGTGAATTTCAGACGTACATAATGAATAAGGTTGTGCCATATGAAATATTGGAAAATATTTAAATTTCTTCCTGAATTACATGAAGTAGTTATGTCAATGCAGACAACATAAAACTCACCATAGGCCACCTAACACAGACACTGATGTACTGACATCTTGAAGACAAGCTGGTTAATTAATATTATCAATGCTAGAAACATTTAGCATTAGTTACTACATAGGAAAACCTAAATTGACCTAAAATTAATCTGAAAGATATTTTGAAAAATATTCTAAACACTTTGAGGCTGAAAGAAACTCTTGTAAATTATTATATTAGAAACAAACTGTAAGCCAGGTGCGGTGGCTCACGCCTGTAATCTCAACACTTAAGGAGGCCTAGGAGGGCAGATCACCTGAGGCCAGGAATTCAATACTAACCTGGCAAACATGGTGAAACCCCGTCTCTACTAAAAATACAAAAATTAACCTGGTGTGGTGGTGCATCCTTGTAATCCAAGCTATTCAGAGGCTGAGGCAGGAGAATCATTTGAACCCGGGAGGCGGAGGTTGCAGTGAGCTGAGATCATGCCATTGCACTCCATCCTGGGTGACAAGAGGGAAAATATCTTAAAATATATACATATATATATATATATATATATACACACACACATATATATACACACACATATATATATACATACACACACTAATGTGTATGTATATATGATTATCTATATCCAGACTAAAGACTGTGTTAGTTTTCTTTTATCTTTGTAGAAAATTGAATTATGGCATTGTAGCTACATGAAGAAGTGATAAAAAAAAAAAAAAAAAGCACACAGTCACAAAGAAGTCAATCTGAAAAGCCTGTATACTGTAGGATTCCAAATATATGACATTCTGGAAAAGGCAAAACTATGCAGATGCTAGAAAGCTCAGTGGATGCCAGGGCATAGGAGAAAGAAGGATGAAAATGCGGAGCACAGGAGAAGTTTATGGCAGTGAGACATACTGTGTATGACAGTATAATGGAGGACATGTGTCATTATACTTCTGTCAAAAGTCACAGAATGTACAACACCAAGAGAGAACACCAATGTAAACTATTGGCTTTGGCTGATAATGATGTTTCAATGTAGTTTCATCCATTATAGCAAATGTGTCACTCTGGTGGGAGACATTGACATGGGGGAGGCGGTGTATGTGTAGGAGGTACGGGAGTAAATGGAAACTCTCTGATTTCTATTCAAGTTTTCTGTGAATCAGAAACTGATCTAAAACATAGAATTTATTTTAAGAAAGTATACAACTGCAAATGTGGGGAAAAGGTGGTATGGACAAATGTCAGGCAATTCATAAAAATGTTATGATATCCAATCTCGACAAGATAGAGTAGACTCATTACTCCCCGCTTTCTTCTGGCTAAGAACAGCCATAAATCCTGGAACTAATATGAGAAGAAGTCAGAGAAGTACTTTGTGGTGGAAAGAAAATGGACAATTTGTTAGGGACTATAGTACTGAAAATACAACGGGGCAATAGGGCAACTTACTTTCCCCTAGAAAACGTAATATGATCCAGGCCCAATGTAGCAACACAGGGTGACATAAGGAAGCTTGTTCCTTCCCTAGATTCAATGGAAGTCTCAAAAATAGCACCAGGCCACCCTAGCCTTCAAGCACTAACAACGGGAATAGATCAGGGGCTCATCAACAGCATACGGCTCAGCAATGCACTCTCCACACCACATGAGATACTCCTCTCTCAAAAGGAAGGCATACTAGCCAGGGAGTATGGACACGGGGGATCCAGCATCACCCATATTCCAGCCTGGGAAGTATTCTTCATTCCCCCAGTGTGGTGACTCCCTTTCCCCAACTAGAAGTACCAGATGTCCCAGGCTGCATAAACCACCCTCTAACCCCCAGTCACTACCAGCACTACACAGTGGGTATCACAGCAGAGCCAAATAAGCCAAACAGACAAATGGCGCTACAAAAGATCTGACAATTAAATTTTCACTGGAACCATGACATGAAGGCCAGCACCTATAAAGACTAAACCTAAAGAGAATAAGCATGTTAAAATAAAGATTTAATAAGATACAGAGTCTTCTAACATAATAACCAAAATGTCCAGGATACAGTTGAAAATCACCTATCACACCCAGGAACCAATACAATCACAAGTTCAGTGAAAAAAAAAGCAAGCAAATCATACCAATGTCAAGATGAATCAGACTTGAAAATATCTGACAACAATTTTAAAGTTTTAAAGTGGTTATTGTAAATACGTTTTAATAAAGCAGATACACGGCCGGGTGCGGTGGCTCATGCCTGTAATCCCAGCACTTTGGGAGGCCGAGGTGGGTGAATCATGACGTCAAGAGATCGAGACCATCCTGGCTAACACGGTGAAACCTCATCTCTACTAAAAATACAAAAAATTAGCCAGACATGGTGGCGGGAGCCTGTGGTCCCAGCTACTCGGGAGGCTGAGGCAGGAGAATGGCGTGAACCCAGGAGGCAGAGTTTGCAGTGAGCCGAGATGGCGCCACTGCACTCCAGCCTGGGCTACACAGCGAGACTCCATCTCAAAAAAAAAAAAAAAAGAAAAAAAAAAGAGAATGTCTTGAAAGTGGCCATAAAGCAAGGAAACATTACCTATAGCACAATGTTAATTCAAATGCTAACAGATTCTATATTTTCAATGCGGAAAGGAAAGTACTGTCAATTACAAAACCAATTCTAGCTTAAGTATCCCTCTAGACTAAAGGGGAAATAAAGATAGGCTCAGATGAAGAAAAACAAACAAAAATA
The DNA here is from genome assembly GCF_000001405.40 of Homo sapiens. Classification (NCBI taxonomy): domain Eukaryota; kingdom Metazoa; phylum Chordata; class Mammalia; order Primates; family Hominidae; genus Homo; species Homo sapiens. The sequence goes on along the minus strand of NC_000007.14, from coordinate 52,686,080 downwards.
AACCTATCCTGAAATAAGAGCTAAAGGAAATTCTTCAAACAAAAAAGAAGTGATAACATAAGTCACAGAACATTAGAATGTAAGAACGAACAATGGGAAACATAAAAACAAACAAACAAAAATCCATTCTTTATTATGATGTAGTAGAGCACCTATAACCTTACCCCTCTCATGCTAACATTTGCTAGCATAGTAGATAAATAATTATGCATCATGGTTATTTAAAATGCTGAATATTCTATCACAATTAACATTATGTTGTTATAATGGCATGGAAGTAGTGGTTTCCTGGATGATTCCAGATTTTTTTTTTTTTACAATAAAGGTATTCAATATGTTGCAAAGCCATCACAAAAAAATGACATAACTTACTATATTTTTACTATTTTTGCTTTGTGAGTTCCCTGATGGACAATGAGGCTTTACTTTTGACTGAAAGACTACTGACACTTACTACATTTGTAAGGTTTATTCACTGACAGTCTGATGGTCAGTGACAACTGGTACTTTAGAAAGCATTGCCACATGAGGAAGTTCATAGGATTTCCAGCTTGAGTTTTACTGGAAGGATGTCCCACATTCCTTAGGCATATGTTGTAATACATTTATTTGGTTTGCCTGCTGTGTGCGTGCTTGAATAAAAATGAGATATAATTTCTTCTGAATGCACATCTACATGAGAACAATCACGTGATTTCTAGCTTGCCTGTGCTCTCTGGCAGACAGGGAGGGTGTCTCCTTCGTTTTGGTGGAAAAATAAATTCTGAAAAACTCTTTTTTTCCTCATAGTCCTCTTATTTTAACTATGAGGTTTCCCTTAGGATAAATTTTCTCTTATTTTATTTTGAGGAGTGATTTCTCATATTCATATACTCATCAACTGTCTTTCTTGGAGGATATATTACATAATTATATGTGTACTAGTGTATTAACAATTAATAAATGGTTCTCAAAATATTTTTCTTTCTTTTTTTTTTTTTAATTTTTTAGACAGTCTTGCTTGGTTGTCCAGGCTGGAGTGCAGTGGTATGATTTTGGCTCACTGCAACCTCTGCCTTCTGGGTTCAAGAGATTCTCCTGCCTCAGCCTCCCTAATAGCTGGGATTACAGGCACATACCACCATGCCCAGCTAATTTTTGTATTTTTATTAGATATGGGGTTTTGTCTCTTTGGCCAGGCTAGTCTCAAACTCCTGACCTCAGGTGATCCGCCTGCCTCAGCCTCCCAAAGTGCTGGGATTATAGGCATGAGCCACCACGCCTGGCCTCAAAATATTTTTCATTGTATCCGTTGTGAATGTAAATTTGACTTTTACCTACAGAATCAAGGCTCAGACATCCTTGACAGTTTCTAGTTCTCTGCCTCCTCCCAGTTCCTCAATGTAGTCCATCCAGATATTTGCCTTGTACAACCACCTCCTGGTGACCACTTCCCTATAGGACAGCTGGATACAGCCTACTTGACTCAGCAGTGACCCTCATGCCTTGTGCGGGCTGCCTGAGAATGCCACAGAAACCACCTCTCAGACACAGTGTAACTCCGTGGAACTCATGTCTGTGGGCTCTAAACTACCAGTTAGAACTTCCCATGAAAAAGCAGGTGTGAGATAGCAACCTGCATCCCCCAAAAAAAGCTTCAGCCTACAGGTCCATCCCTCTCTTTTGCTTTCCACCCACTGGTTAAGCATGTATGTTCTAGATGGTTTCCCACTTTCTATCAGCCTTCGGAGGTGCCCTCTTCTCTTGAGGATCTGCAAGTAATGCTTCTTCTGTCATATAATCTATTTTGTTGAGCTGCCTCCTGTGTCTCATATGACTGATGCAGCCAAGCTAATCCCTTTCCTTGTCAGCATTCTTCTAGAGAGTGGCAGGAATGAACCGGCACAGATAAGGTAACAGACCCAAGGGCTTCTGCCACCAGAAACAAGTTTTTTAAAGGAGAAACACATGGTCATATGTCAGACACTTAGACATTTGGTTGTCTGCCAGAATAAAAATTATCCCATGTAAGGCACATTCTAAACACCAGTAACCAATGCCCTGGAGCCCTACCAGGGCTAGAGTTTATAGCCATTCTCTTGAAAGAGATCTTAAGACTACAGTAGGAAAAATCAAAACAAAACGAAACTCTCTTTCTCGCTCTCTCTCTCTCTGAATTATGTGATTTTGAAGGCTAAGAAGTCCAAGATCTGTAGTGGGAAAGCCAGAGACCCATGAGAGCTGATGATACAGCTGTAGTCCAAATCCAAAGGTCTGAGAACCAGAGGAGCTAATTGTGAGCTTGAGTCCAAGTCTTAAGGCAAAAGAAGATTCATAAACCAGACTGAAGACAGAAAGGCCGAAAGAAAAATTCTTTCTTACTCAGACTTTTATTTTATTTAGACCTTCAACAATTTGGATGAGGTCTGAATACACTGAGGAGGGCAAGCTTCTTGACTCAGTATACCTATTCAACTGCTAATCTCACCCAGAAACACCATCATAGACACACCCCAAAATTATGGTTAACCAAATATCTGGGCACCCTATGGCCTAATTAAGTAGACCCATAAAAGTAACACATTGCAGTGTCTTATCATATAGATTTTTTATAACTAAAATCACTAGAGCAATTTGTTCCCAAATATAGTATTCCTCTTCTTGACCACTATTTTTATGGATGATGAATGCAACTGATTTAGAAATCTTATTCAGGTGTAATTTGAACTTCTCTAAATGCTCTTTATGTCTCTAATCTTCTAGGTAGCTCTGACTAGAAAAAGAACCTTTTTTCTAGGGCTCTTCTCTAAATTCCAACTGGAGAATCTCATCAGGCTTGATTATGTGCAACCCCAGAGTGCTAGTTGCCATCATTTCCCAACATCACATATCTGAATAGAGTCTTCTGAGCCAACCCTAGTTGCTGTCATAGTACCCTGGAGAATTTCATAAACACCCTTAACTAACAAGTCACAATCCTGTTCATTCTGAGGCCCGGCTTCAGATCCGCAAGTATGACCAGTCTTTCTTTAGGCTCTTTTTCTGAAAAAGGGAGAAATTGAGAAAAGGAAAGAAAAATCGGACCCAGGCTATGCTTACCAAAAGCTATAACTTCCTCTATTTGATATTTAATTGATGGGTTTTTACAGTGTTAAAATTGCCATTCAAAATGATCCTTTAGAGATAAATTTCCTAGTTAATGTATATGCATTTTACCAACTGCTCCAGTGTTGTAAGTATCCAGTTTTTGGAATATGTCTAACTATTCCTCAAATCCTGAAAAAAACACAGTAGTATAAGTGTCCTAAAATGGTTTTCAAAGTATGCAGAAAAAAAACTCATTTGGTCATTGAATTTCAAAATAGTGCAATAAAAATCCAACATTACCCTCTAATCAGAAACATTTTTCTTTAATTCCCTGATTTATGTTAATGAGTATTAAACAAAGTATTCAAGGTATTTTTGTGCTCTTAAATAGACTGTGTTTATACTTAGGCATCAACATAATTTTGGAAAGAAAAGGTAAAACAAATGTTTATTTGATTCATATGATATTTAAACCATTTATTTTCAGTTTTGAGTAAACGCATAATTTTTAAGTACACATGAATGCAAACCAATTGATTTGATGAAATTGTTTTCAGCCTGATTGTCTATTTACTAAAATTAATTGACAGGTGTAGAATGTGAAATTAATTTTAGATCAACATTACTGAAATACGTAGTTTTAAATATAATTTGGCTATGTAAATATAGCGTGCAAGAATTTATATTGATAATACATTTTCTTATTTTGCCTCATGTAATATGATTGAAACACAAACTTAAAAGTTTTGGCCAGTCGTTGTGGCTCACATCTATAATCTGCACTGTGGGAGGCCGAGGTGGGAGAATTGCTTAAAGCCAGGAGTTTGAGACCAGCCTGGGCAACATAGGGAGACTCTGTCTATACAAAATAAAAAAATAAACAAAAATAGCTGGATGTGGTGGTGCATGCTTGTAATAATCTGTCCCAGCTACTCGGGACAGAGTTGGGAGGATCGCTTGTGCCTGGGAGGTTGAGGCTGCAGTGAGCTGGGGTCGTACCATTGCATTCTAGCTGTCCCTCTAGGTGACAGAGGGAGACCCTGCCTCAAAAAAAAAAAAAAAGTTAGCTTATTTTCATCATAGCAAAATTTTTCAAAATTATTCCATTGATAAATTTGTGTCAACTTTTTTATAATTAACAAGAATTTTTATTGTCATTTGACATGTAATACAACAAGCAGCATTAAAGTCATATCAGTTTTTAAATTCTCAATAGTAAAGGAAATGCTATTTCTTCCTGAGAATATTAAATACTTAATTCATGAAATCTGGAGAAAGAGCTTGTAATTTAACTCCAGCCTAAATTAATAAAAATATGTACTTTTCCATAATTTTAACCAAATTGCTAAGCATGATGTAGAGGGGCATTTATGAAGCTACTCCTGAGTCTGGAAAATTGAGCTTGTCCCTGAGAGTTAAAGTGTGATGTGAGCAAATTGAGGACACAGTCAAAAATGCTCAAAATTGGATTAAAATATTAGAAAAAATTCCAAGTCTGCCATACGAGGAAAGGATGTGTCAGTCATATAAAATATAAGAAAAAGGAGAGACAAGGGGTAAGTCCAGTCAACGTGAATTTGCAGAAAAAAAAAAACACCTATATTTCTGTTGTGTGTGTAGACATATCCCAACCGAACATCCCATCTCCCCACACCATCAAGCCTGCTACACTCACAGTTTCCTCCATCTTTCCAGTTGCTCAGGCGAACAACTTGGAGCCTATCTGACTTATTGCTTTCTCTGATTCTCTACATCCAATTTCTTTGTGTACCCAAACTATGATAACATATCAGGAATCTATTTTAAAGTTGCTTTATTTTTCATTTCACAAATTTAATTTAGTGGTTGCACTGGAAAATACAGCATTCATTCTTGATTAATAAAATTCAATATTTTTAAAATTCTTAAATAAAAAAAACCTAGAATTTCAGAACAGCTTATCTCCCTTAATATCCCATCATCTTTTGTTTCACTGGCATCTTCAGCTTAATTATTCACACATATAAATCATCAAAATAAGCCATCATGATTATGACTTTGTAGAAAAAAGAATATGTATGTTTTCTCACAATTTACTGTCCATATTACTCTACATTCCTTTTGTACTTCTACTTTTTTCATTTGTAATTATCTTTTTCTTTTCCCCTTAAAGACCTTCTTTGCGTATTTATTTCATGCATGACTGGTGATGACAAACACTTGTTATTTTATTTTATAAAACCATCTTTGTTTCCTTTTTTGTTGGATAATTTCATTAAATCTAAAAGAAGTAAATTAATTTATGTATTTTAGAGATGGCGTTTATTGTTTTTTCTAAATTCCATTACTTCTGTTACAAATGTTTCTTTTTCTCTGGCTGCTTATATTATTTTCTCTTGGTCTTTAGTCTTACAGCATTTCAACTGTGATTTGCTTAGACATGGTTTTCATTTAATTTATTTTTCTTTGCTCCCTTCTGATGGGTTGATGTCTTTTCTCAGCCTTAAAAACCTCTCAGTTATGCTTTCCCTCTCATCTTTTTGGCATTCATTACACAATTTAGATGCTTCTACTCCAGGCAACATATGTTTATTGTCTTTCCTGAATTTTCCTTCTTCTTTTCCTTTGTGGTTTTGTTTTAAAAGATTTTTTTTATGTTTCTTTTAACCCTTAAGTTTGCATTTTGATCTGTGTATTTGATCTGGCTATTAAAACAATCAATAATTTTTTTTTTTTTTTGAAACGGAGTCTTGCTCTGTCACCCAGGCTGGAGTGCAGTGGCGAGATCTCGGCTCCCTGCAATCTCTGCCTCCTGGGTTCACACCATTCTCCTGCCTCAGCCTCCCGAGTAGCTGGGACTATAGGTGCCTGCCACCATGTCCGGCTAATTTTTTGTATTTTTAGTAGAGACGAGGTTTCACCATGTTAACTAGGATGGTCTGGATCTCCTGACTTCGTGATCTGCCCACCTTGGCCTCCCAAGGTGCTTGTGATTACAGGTGTGAGCCACCACGCCTAGCCAATAATTTCTTAATTACAGAGATTGTAAACTTAAATGTTTTAATTTCTATTCAATTCTTTTTTATAAATTACAATTATTTGAGAAAGTTCTCCATCCTTTAATCTTTTCTCTTCTCTTTTCTCTAATTTTTGAATATATCAACCATGGTTATTTTAAAGACTTTGTATGCTTATTCTAACGTTTGTGTTACCTGTGATCTCTTTCTATGAATTTTTTCACTTCATTTGGAGGACACTGTCTTGTTCTTTATCATACCAGTAGATTTACAGTGTTGCAAAAGGCAGAAAAATATGGCCAAAGTGAAAAGAGGCTCTATATGGGATTATTTTTCTATTGAGAATTCATCTTAACCGGTTAAGGTTCTTGATTACAAAACTTCTCTGAGACTAAACTTAATCCCATCAAATTTGCCATTTTGTTAGGCTTAGTCTATCTCCTATTTGGCTCTGTTTCATAAAATCATACTCATACACTTGTGTTGTAGGTTCAGAATATTATGTGTTTATTAGGCTTCCCCTGTTTAGTAGATTTCTGAATCCTTAGCAACTTAAAATTTTACAAAATTCAGGTTGGCTTTTCATAGTTTTTTTGGATTGCTATTATTATTTTAGTATTATTATTGTTATTATTACTTTATTATTATTATTATTTTTATTATTTTGGCATCTGAATCTTCAGAGAATGTAAAGGTGACATCAGCTATGAAATAAGGCCATATGTATCTCAAATTTCTGTCTTACATACTTTCCTGCTATAGCAGAATACCAAAGATTGGATAGTTTTCAAACAATAGCAGTTTATTTGGCTCATGGTTCTGGAGGCTGGAAGTCCAAGGGCGTGGTGCTACCATCTGGCAAAGGCCTTCACACTGCATCATCTACTCTGTGCTGGGAGATGGAAGGTGGAAGGAAAAGTGAATACACATGACAGAGATGGCAAATTGGGCCAAACTCATTCTCCTTACCAGGAACCCACTCGTGCTCTAACCCACTCCCATGATAACAGCATTAATTTGTTTATGAGAGCTGTGTAATTATGACCTAATCTCCTCTTAAAGGTCCCACCTCTTAATGCTGTAACAGTGGCAATTAAATTTTAACATATAATTAGGAGTGGAAATGCAAACTCTAACAGTTAATTCCTTTTATGACTATTGAGAATAATGATAAAATGTAGGACACAAATTTAAATAATGAAAACTAGGTAAACAGTGATGACACTTACATGAAAATAAACACTAAGTTATTAAATGATATTATATAGCTATATTTCTGGGAATGCAATATAGTAGATGATATAGTTTGAATATTTGTCCCCTTGAAATCTCATGGCGAAATGTGATTCCCCATTGTTGAAAGTGGGGCCGAAAGGGAGGTGTTTGGGTCATGAGGGTAGGTTCTTCATGAGCGGCTTCATGACCTCCCCACAGTAATTAGTGAATTTTCTATTAGTTACTATGAGATCTGATTGTAAAAAAAAAAAAAAAAAAAGAGTGTGGCAACCCCCACCCCTTGCTTCCGCTCCTGCCAGAAGACATGCCTACTTTTACTTCACCTTCTGCCATGAGTAAAAGCTTCCTGAAGCCTCACGAGAAGCTAAGCATATACTGATGCCATTGCAGAATCATGAGCCTAAATAAACCTCTTTTATTTATAAATTACCCAGTCTCAGGTATTTAATTATAGCAACACAGAATGGATGAATAAAAACATATATCTAAAAACAGCCATGTTGGTATCAAAACACCAAATATTCTGAATAAAAATAAAATGGTTATTTTAATGTACAACCCTTAAAAAGAAAAATAAATACTCAGAGGCAAACAATTTTAAGAATTAATAATCCTAAACTTTTAACAAATTCAAAATTAGAAAGGTGCTCCCAGTGCTACTACATGATTCTGCTGAAATAATTTTTGTTTCTAAGTGGACATAAATGTTGATCAATAATTTAAATAAATTGCAGAATCAGAAAGCAAAGCATTTTAAGCACCGAAATTACCAGATAGATACTATAACAAAAATATGTTATACCAAAAAGAAAATGTAGAAGATTATGACAAATATTGTTAAAAAAAAAAGAGACCATCCACCTATGTGAAGTTTTAGGAATACAACAATATAGAACGACTAGAAATAAATTCTAACCAATTGTAACTATAGGTAAATATAGTTGAAATTTTAAGTTTTAAAAATTGATTAAATTGTTTAAAAACCTAGCAGAAAAAATAGCATTTGGGCAGATAGGTCTAAAGAAATTTTTTAAAATTCCTATATAATATCAATAGAATATTACTGTAACCTTAAATTTTACACCTACAAAAATTATTCTTCAAGTAACTGGGACAAATAAAGGTACTTTAGAATCAGAAAAAAAATCATTAATAAATGAATCTATATCTAATTTTTCTTTAGTAGTAGACTTTTAAAAGTTGCACTTCAGAAAGAAGAAAAACATTCTAAAGTAAAAGTCCTGAGTCAAATTAAATTACACAAATAGAGACTATCACGGTAGCATATGCCTGTAATCCCAGCTACTTAGGAGGCTAAGACAGGAAAATTGTTTGAGCCTAGGAGTTCAAGACCAGCTGGGAAGCACGGCAGGACCCCTATCTCAAATATATATATATATGTGTGTGTGTATATATATATATATATATATATATATATATATGTGTATATATATATGTGTATATATATATGTGTGTATATATATATATACACACACACATATGTATATATAAATACACAAGCACACACATATATAGATGTGTATATATACTGCATAAAATAATATCAGTAAGTAGCAGTAATGAGAAATTGAAAGGCTAATTCTTGTTTTATAAGAAAAAAGCAATTTAGAAAGTATAATAAATCACCAAAAACAGAAGGAATGAAAGGTAATTTTAATAGAATTGTACGCACAGAAGATGTTTTCAGAAGGAAATAATATTTGTGCACTATTAAGTTGTTTAGTTGTCAATAAGATGTTCTTAGAAGTGCTTTTTGTTGCTGTTATAATTGATATTTTAGTGAGCTTGGTAGTCTTTGTCAACTAGAGATATTTCAGGAAAATAGTAGAAATACACATCATGGGAGAACATATTTCTGTAGGTGGAAGAGTGAGCATGGAAATAGAACTGTGGAGGTGGGAATTTTGAAAGGTGATTAGGTTATGAAGTTGAAGCACTTGTGGGATTAGTGCCCTCCTTGATAAAAGGAGGCCCCAGAGAACTTCTTTGCCCCTTATGCCGTTTGAGAACACAGTGAGAAAATGGCCATCTATGAACCAGGAAGTGGTCTTTCAGCAAACACTAAAGCTACTGGCTCCTTGACTTGGACTTCCTAGCCTCCAGAACTGTGAGAAATACATTTCTTCTGTTTATAAACCACCTGGTCTGTGGTATTCTGTTATAGCAGCTCAGATGGATGAAGACATGAACAGATTACATAATTCTGCAATTTATATTTTTTAAAGAATAATAGCAATACAATAAATGATTTTTAAAAACCAAACAATCATAGACTATATATAAAAAAATGAATAAAAGCTAATGAATGCCAAAATTGCTTTTTAATTGCTTAAGATAATTATCAATAGCTTTCTCATTTTCCATGTGCCACTACTGGGATAGTATTCCAGTAATCGACTTCATTTGAAGTAGATTAATTCATAACTTTTCTCATATTATAAATGACTCCATAATTTGAATGTAGTAACTCAGGGTCATGAGAAGCTAAGCTGGAAATATTTCTAATAAATTCCTTCTAGGAGCCATGGTTCCTATATTTATTGACATTGATATGTACATTTGCGGTGACTCCAGAAATTCCTTGGGAATTAAATTGGGCAAGCATGTTGGGGAGGAGAAATCAGACTTGTCTTGACTTTATATTTTCAGAACCCGCAGGTTAGTTTTACTTAGAGTGTGTATTTCTTTGCATTGGCTGGGAAGGATACTGATAGAAATCATGGCGTCCAGATTGAAGTCATAGGAACCCTTCAAAGCCATCTATTGAGTCACCAGTGATAAAGTGCTCTCTTTTCAGTCATATTTTTAATTTCTTGTTAAAGAAAAAAACTTTTAGGAATGGATAAACATTAAACATGAAATTAGTTTGCCACTCATGTTAATTTATGGTCTCTGATGCCCTGATTAACTGTAATTCTATCATACATATTTGTTAACAAAGCATCATGCCATGTATTAAAGATATGAAATAAATAAGCATGTGTCTCATTCTAAAGGAGATAATAAGTTATTATAATAATACAAACTTCTGCAATGCTTACTATGTGATAGAAAATTATTTCTATTTCATCTACAATATGCCTGAAAACCCAGCATCACAGGTACTACTATCCACATAATTCTGTTAGGAGATATAAATCTTTATAAGTTGAAAGTATTGCCTAAAGTCTTACACATAGCAAAATAATAAAATTGAAATTAAACTCCTTTGTTATATTTCAAATTTTATGTCTTTCAATTATTGTATGTGGCTTTGGTGGCAATAACATTTTATAAGTTTTGTGTTGTTATTTCTTGTTTTTTTTTTTATAAGAGGTATAGTGAGGTTCGTTACAGTCTTTTTACTTTTTAAATACATGGAAGTAAAAATTCTGCTTGGCAAATAATCAAAATTCCTACTTTTCCTGTTTGCTCGTCACATAATTTTTTCAGTAACCTTTTGTTGGTTTTTATTTTCAAATATTTTTTACAGATGGGGCCTCACTATGCTTTTTTTTTTTTTTTTTTTTTTTTTTTTGAGACAGAGTCTCGCTCTATTGCCCAGGCTGGAGTGCAGTGGCTTGATCTTGGCTCACTGCAACCTCTGCCTCCCGGGTTCATGCCATTCTCCTACCTCAGCCTCCTGAGTAGCTGGGACTACAAGTGCCTGCCACCACGCCCGGCTAATTTATTGTATTTTTAGTAGAGACGGGGTTTCACCGTGTTAGCCAGGAAGGAGTCGATCTCCTGACTTCGTGTTCTGCCCAACTCAGTCTTCCAAAGTGCTGGGATTACAGGCTGGAGCCACTGCACCCAGCCAGGGGCCTCATTATGTTACCCAGGTTGGACTCAAACTCCTGGGTTCATCCTCCCGCCTCAACCCTCCCAAGTAGCTGGGACAACAGGCATGCAGAACTGTGTCCAAACTCATCATGTACATTTGAGCAAGCCAAGTTTTTGAGCCATTTTGCCTCAACTATGAAAATCAAACACAGCTGCATTACCTATCTCACGGAGATACTGCATGACTTATGTTGCAAATAATGTAAAATACTTAGTCTAATCAGAGGGACCTTGTGTACTCACCAATTTGGTTAAGCTTTAATGCTAGGGATAGTCAGTTAACACTACTGATGATCTGAAGAGCATATTTTAAAAAGCTTCCTTAGAGGGGGCTAAAACAAGAATTTCCGCTATCGGTATCTGCATCACTCAAAAAAGTTCACTAGTTTGTATAATGAAAGCAAAATGGATTTTTACGAGGAAATTTAGCTGTGTGTTAGTTAAAATGGTGGGTAAACAGATTTTCTTTTCTTTTTTTGAGACACAGTCTCACTCTGTCACCCAGGCTGGAGTGCAGTGGGGTGATCTCGGCTCACTGCAACCTCTGCCTCGCGGGTTCAAGGAATTCTCCTGCCTCAGCTTCCCAAGTAGCTGGGATTACAGCCATGTGCCACCATGCCTGGGTAATTTTTTTTTTTTTTTTTTTTTTTTTTTTTTTTTTTGAGACACAGTCTTGCTCCGTCGCCCAGGCTGGAGTGCAGTGGCGCCATCTTGACTCACTGCAACCTCTGCCTCTCAGGTTCAAGCTATTCTCTGCCTCAGCCTCCCGAGTAGCTGGGACTACAGGCACCTGCCACCACGCCTGGCTAATTTTTGTATGTTCAGTAGAGATGGGTTTTCACCATCTTGGCCAGGTTGTTCTTGAACTCCTGACATCATGTTCCACCCGCCTCGGCCTCCCAAAGTGCTGCGATTACAGGCATGAGCCACCGTGACCGGCCAATTTTTGTATTTTTTGTTAGTACAGAAGGGGTTTCACCATGCTGGTCAGGCTGGTCTCAAACTCCTGACCTCGTGATCCACCCGCCTCGGCCTCCCAAAGTGCTGGGATTACAGGCGTGAGCCAGCGCATCTGGCCTGACAGATTTTCACTGATAAAATTAAGCCTACTCAAGACATGGATTGGTGATTATAGTTTAGAAACATGCCCACTCTTCTCAAACAGGAGAATAGTCCACTGTAGCCTCTCTCATGCATCCCTTATGGATAAATATCCACAGCTTGGTTCCAGCCATTGGCTAAGAAGAATATCTGATTGTGTGATGCATGGAGAATGAGTGTCATTGTGTAAATACTTGAAAGGACAGGAGGCTGGTAAGTCATTGAGCTACGAAACAAGCGCATGGATTAGTTCCTGTTAACAGAACATTTGTTTAATAAATTTCTTTTGCTGTAGCCTATTTAATTAACTCTTATATCTCAAGTGCCTTTGATCATCATCATTATTGACCAAAAAATATTTATGATGCACTGCTAGGTATATATGAAAATAATTGAAAATAGATACTCAAATACACGTACACACATATTCAAAGCAGCAATATTTACAACAGCCAAAAGGTGGAAACAATTGAGATGCCTATTGATGGATGAATTAATAACCAAATTATGCCATATACATACAATGGGAAATTATTCAGCCATCAAAAAGAATAAAGTACTGATCAAGGAACACCTGCATGAACCTTGAAAGCATCATGTTAAGTTGAAAAAGATGCAAAAGATGACATATTTTATGATTCTACCAATATAGAATATGCAGAGTAGGTAAATCCATAGAAGTAAAAAATTGGTAGTCACCAGGGGCTGGAGGAAGGTGGGGGAGGAAAGGAATAACTGCTTGTAAGACACAGGGCTTCCTTAGAGGGTGATAAAATATTTTGTAATTAGATAGAGTTGATGGTTGCAAAATATTGTAAGTGTACTAAATGCAAGTGAATTTTCACTTTAAAATGGTTATTTTCATGTTATGTGAATTTTACTTTAATATATTTACTTTAATTAAATATATAAATGTATATTTTATATATAATACATATAATATATGATATGTACATAAATATATATTATATATTTCAAATATATATATTTAAAAGCATATATATGTATGCATATATATATATATATATATACTTTCTGTGCCCTAATTGGTTTAGGGCAGCTTACAGCAGCTCAAGTAACATCATGTGTCTTAAAATGCTTTGTAAGTATTAAAATACTCTGAAATTCAAAGTGTCTTTTTCTTGCAGGGGAACCTTGATATTTCCAAATTCACAAATCTTATTTTGAACTACTTTTAAATAATCCCTGCACATTCTGATTTACAACAAATTATAATGCAAATAAAAATAACTACCCAAGAACCTGTGAGAATAAATGTGCCCTGGGTGGCTTGTGCACTAGTCACTTAATTAGCTGGTTGCCTAGTATCCCTCAATTAGTGGTAGTACAGTAGTTGAGGACTGCAGAATACCTCTGGTTATTCCCAATTAAGGTGGCAAAGAACTACTCATGATTAGCATTGTTGCAGATGCAGTTATCACAAATGCCTCCTTGAATCCCATGTGACCTATTCTGTATGGGGAATACAGACAGGAAATGAACAAAGCAGCTACTTTGTTGAATATTTCCCAGGTAGTAAGCACCAGTTCAAGCTATGCATTTTACAGTGTATAACAACCTCTTGGAATAGCTATCTCATTGTCCTTTTACAGAAGTGGACATAGAAACACAGAGAGGTTAAGTAATATGTCTGTCCTCCCATTCTCAGTCAGTCATAGATCCATTAGTCAAATTCTGGAAGGCCAGCTCTAGGAATTGTAGTCACACATTGCTTCTCACGTCAAGATCTTCAGGAGTGGTGAGGTAACGCTCCTTGTGAACCAAGGTGTGTTAATACTCAGTGCAGCACAGGTATCCGACATCTTGAGGATAACCAGTTTAGTGAGAAAACTTTGCTCTTTCTTAGGTCACATGGCATTTTGAATGTCTGCTTTCTGCGACCACTGGAGAGGAAAGTAAATATGTGAAGATAATCAGAGAACTTGTGTTTAGCATCTAATGAGCAGTGAACAACAATCAAATGCATAAAGAGGAAAATGTTTAGACCCTTTAAGAGTATAGGACAAACCCTTGGGAAACAAAAGGTCCAGCACTGCCAGGATATCAAGAAGCAGAAAATGGGCCATTCCAGGGAGACTGGTGAATCTGAGAGATCATATTCCAGGACCACCTGCCCACTGTGGGACCTAGGTTAGCATGAGTCAAAACCAGTATGCAGCCGTAAGGTTATTGTAAAGATTAAATGAGATGATACATAAAAGGTGCTCAATAAATGAATAATAATTTAAATTGTGTTCAATAAGTAGCTATGATGATAATGAAGATGGTTTTTATGTAGTTTGACTGTTGTGTAGGCACCTGCAGATTCCTGTAACTGCAAAATGCCAGTGCACTCATTACATACCAAAATCCACCCAGAATGCAAAAAGCTAATGGGATGGCCATATTATGGATTGAGAGGGATTTAGTGTAGGTCAGCAGAACTTCAAAAGAAAGGAGAGTTTTAGGTATAATTTCTTCAAAACTCCTTCTCCCTGTTTTGAGCACTTTCTCTGCTGAAACAGAAAGTATTCTCCTTCTGCATTTGAATCACTCCCATGATTAACGAATCACTCCAGCGGAGTCAAATGTCCTCAGTTCAATTACCTTTCTCAAGGACACACAGGTCAATTGCTTCTCCTTCTCCATAAATAGTAAAGTCAAACGAGACTATTTCTTGGAATTTAACTCGAAATATCTTCAGCAAGATTAAGAGTTTCACATAGGGCCTATGACTAATGACAACAATCCATTCTGAGCTCATTACACAAACCCGTATACAGAACATTTATCCTTTCTGAAAAGAACAATGAAGTGCTTCAGGAGAGGGGTCCCTCAGGAGCTGTGCATAAACACCTGGAGATTTACAGTGAAGTCAAAGAAGAAATGGAAAAGGCCTTTGCCCTTTCTCTGCATTTGTTGATGGTTTCTCATAATATAAAATACTCCTTTAGCAAAGGCTAGTTCCAAGTCCTGGTCTCCAGAAACAGTGTGATTGATTGATTTGGATTGTTATAGAAAACAATGGTACAGGGAGAGCTGGAATGCTTCCTTTGTTTTCTAATGGATTTCTCATCCAGATTCATGGCAAGCCCTGAACTGAAGACATGATGTGCAGCATGCTCAACTGTAATTGTGAGTATTTGCAACACAACACAAACTTGCTTCATAACCAGTTTTCTGTTCTTTCTCGACAGACTGCATAAAGCATTCTCAGTTTGGGATTTTGGAAAATAGTGACATGGGTTACTCAAATCTGTTAACAGCACCACAGGCCAGTTGTGCTCTCCTGTGATCGCTTTGAGCCTTGCTTTTTTATTCCTGGGTTAGTAATGGAAACCATTAAAGCAAGGAGGAAAACTTATTCAAAGATGTGTGGGAGAAACAATGTGTTCTTCCCTCATAGGGATTTAATGCTTTTATTATATATTTTTCACTTCTCATTCCACAGAGTATATTATCCTTGGAGATACTTGGTTTTCGGTTTTTAAAAAATACCATGCAGCATATTTCCACCGCTGACTTTGGTTTGTATTTATGTTTATAAATTGTAGCCAAAAAAAGAAACTAGGCTTTATTCATGGCTTCACTATGCTTTTAATTTTGTTCAGTGCATTTTCACACATTAGTGCATTTCATACAAATCCACAAAATCGATTGCATTAGTTTATATTCAGATTATAGAGGTATCTCTGAATGAAATTTGTAACTAGGAAAGCACTTCACAAATATTATTTTTAATATGTTCACTTTCTTAGAAGAAATAGAAAAGGAATGCTGTGTAGAAAACATTTGATTTTTTTACAATCAACATTGGTGATGTCATCTATTTACCAAAACCCTGAAGGATCTGTCTGTGGTGGCTGCTGCCCTCCAGATCCCTGCTTGGGGGCCTGCCGGGCCTCTGCAGCTCAGCTCAGCTTTCTGGTCTTGACCCCTGGTGAAGTCACTGATTTGGTCATAGTGCAAGCCCATCTGAATCCCTGTAACCGTAGCTCTTCACCTCCAACGAATTGATCTTCTTAGCTAGTTTACTTTATATTTTTCTTCTCTCATTGCCTTTACCCTATTCCGTCAAAAGTGAAGCAGGGTGCCCATGTCTATGGAATTAAAAATAAACTAGGGTCTCTACAGAGAAAAAAAAAATTGCCAATAAAAAGCAAAGCTAATTTTGAAAATAAGCAAACAAAAATGTCCTATTTATCAGTTCTTAGTTAAAATCATGTATCTAGTAACAAATTCAAAATGAATGATGACTGCCAAGCCCATTGATGTATCTGCCTTCGTCCTTGGTCACCTCTAGAGGACATCCAAGGCGCCATCAGCCTTCATCTCCGCCTGGACTCTCATAGCAGGGACTGAAATTTCATTCCTTGCTGGACTCCTGAGGCTACTGTCAGCTCCCATTTTCCAGGGCAGGATTTCACTGTCCCATGCAAACATCCAGGGAATGTAATAAAGGTCTTTCGGTTCTTCCTTGCAGGCTTGGAGAGTGGCAGGAGCGCGCAGGCCTCTCGGGAGCTCCCCAGGGTGGAGCCTGCGCTGGAGGCGGGACTGGATCCCGGCAGCCTGGAGTCCCCAGGGCGCGGCTCGCCGTTGGTTCTGTCCATGCAAAGCCTCGCGGGCCAGAGGACACGGAAAGCGTGGCCTGGGCGGGGCCGCCTGCCCGACTCCTCAGGCATGGAATGGGAGGACAGGGGCAACAGAGGAGGGTGGCGGCAAGTCCTGACTTCACAGGTGTGAGTGCTCCGAGCCCTCTGTGGTTGGGGTGGGGTAAGGAATACAAAAGCGGTGGAGGTCCTTAGTGACATTTCCCGAAGAAGGCAGAAATCTGTGTGGACCAGGAGAGGCGTTTTGTGTCCTTTTTTTCTTTATAGATGCCTCACGTGCACTAGAGCTACGGCTGCCTCCCTGGGAATATTCCTCTGCAGGCCTGTCCCTCACACACCAGGCCACTTCTAACAGATGGGCCACTCCTCAACACGTGGCACCTGGGGCTGGCGTCAGTCCCAAGACGGAGGCCAAAGCTTAAACTCCCAGCATCAGGCACGGGGCGTGTCACCCGGATGCTAGGGACCAGCTCTCACTCCTCAGGGGTGCAAACATAAAGTGCTGCATTCTTGCATATGGACTAGTCACTGCAGCATCACCGTGTTAGTCTAAGGCATTAGGAGCTCCTCCTTGGCGCGGGTGTTTTGTAGCAGAGGCTGCCAGCTGGCGGGTCACCCAGAGCGGGTCGGGTCCCCAGCGACCCCACAGCCCCCGCCTTGGAACCCCCAGGCTGCCTGGGTCCTCAGGAAAGTCGCAAGGACTCCACTCAGGAACCCTGTGTGTGGTAGGCGCAGACCAGAGCAGAAACGCAGAGGGATTTAGAAGACGCTCAGAAGAACGCATGCAAATGAAGTGCATTTACCTTGCTTGGTTGTTTGGGTCTATATCCTAATTCCAATTCTTCTGAGTGATTTGCAGGAGACTGCCCTGCGAACCTAAGCAGAATTCCGAGAAAACCCCATCCAGGGGTCTCTGTTCCTCACTCAGTATCATCTTGACTAGTGTTCTTCTCTTCAGAGATTTACATTAAAACGGACTCTGATAAAGAACAGCAGCTCTGTGACAAAATTCCACAGTGCGTGGCGGTGGCACTCCCAGGTCTGGACTTTGTGTCCTCCCGGTGAGGACCGAGTTCCTGGTCCTGTGCTGGGCCGACTGTGGGCCTTGACAAAGACACCGCCTCCACTTCCACCCAGTGGAACATCTGTACCGTCCTGTGAAGATTGCCAGCCTCTCTGTGATAACAAACAAGGAAACCCTGAGGCTTAATACAAAATTATACTAATAACAGTATGCCTCACTCATGAGAGTCCTCTCCAGCAAGGACTCAGGGATCCGCCTGTTTCCAACTTCCGGCTCCAGCATCTCAACGCCAGGCTTCCACCATTATCAGGGTGAGCGGTGAAATCATTTGGAAAACTGTTCACTCTTCTGTGCTTCTCTTTGGAAGTCACGCGCTGCTTCTGCCTAAAGCCTGCTGAGCAGAACTGGCCATTCACTTGCGTGACTGAAGTGGGTTCAGAAATGAGGGAGAGTAAATGGATATCCCGTGGTCACTAAATACCTTTGCCAAACACAGCATATGCAACCTGTGTTAGTTTTCCATTGGTGTGTAACAAATTTCCCCCACTCCAAACAGCTTTAAACTGCAAACACTTTTTATTTCACACGGTCTCTGAGAGTCAGGAACCTGGAAGGAGTTTTCCGGGGTTTCTGAGTCAGGGTCTCTGATGGGAATGCAGTCAAGTTGTCCGCTGAAATTGCAGTTATCCGAATGCTTGCTTGGGCTAGGGGATCCTCATCCACGGTGGTACACACACACACACACACACACACACACACACACACACACACACGGTTGTTGGCAGGAGGCCTCCATTCCTCACCATGTGGTCTTATAGAGCTGTGTGTGTTCTCATGACATGGCAGTTGTCTTCCTCTAGAGGAAGTAATCTAGGAGAGCAAGTAGGAAGACAATTCCTTTTATGACCTTATCTGGGAAATTACACAGGCTACTTTCATCAAATTCTATTCTGCAGGGGCAAATGACTGCATCTAACCAACACTCAAGAGGAAGATAATCAAACTCCACCTTTTGAATGGAAAAGTATCAGTCAATTTGTGGACATTTATTTAAAGCACCAAAGAACTCCCCAATAGAGGACATCACAAAGTTCAACCCGATCTTTGTATTCTGCTTAAAGTTTAGGAACTTGGGGTGATATGAAGGCAACTCCATCAAGCCCAATATGGCTACTTTTAGTCCAGAAAACTAGATAACAAAAAGGTACGTTTTCTGAAATCTCTTACCTTACCCCCAACACACAATAAACAATATAGGGGAAACAGGAAATTTCCCTGGGAAAACTCTTTGAGGGCCACCTACCCATTGGGCAAAAGATGATGGTTCACTATACAATGTTTCTCCCTTTCTGAATATCATCCTTATCTTTTATTCTCTGTAGCAAAATCTTGTCCACTTTTGGGTGGTCGTTTTTTTACTATCCTCCTTGTCCATATCTGAAAAAAGCATAAAGGCATATACCGTCTTTGAGGGCTTCAAAACTTTCACAAATCACTTTCTGATAATAAATTATAGACCAAAGGGTTATTCCTAGGCTCAGCAAGTCTAGGATTTTTTTATATAAGGCTCACGATTTCTTTCTTCCGACATTCAACTTGCAAAAAAAAAAAAAAGAAAAGAAAAGAAAAGAAAACACCCAGTGGGCTTTTTTATGTCTTTGCCTGTGGTCGATCCATAACCTTAGTTTCTGTCAACTTCTAATTCTCAAAGATGTTTTTTGTTATTTTCTCTTACGTATACTCCTTACACACAGCTGTTTCTTCTAAGTTAATGGGCAATCTTGGGGTTTGCATAACCAGGAATAATAAGTAGAAAGCAATGCCCAAATCTGCAGTTACAGTCATTACAGGACACATACCCTCAGTCTCATGTTTAACCTAAATCACTTGAGCCTGTGTTTCAGAGGCTTTTTCAGAAATATCTCTTTATTTAGAGAACTATAGTTATTGGTCTTTCTCATATTTGAAAAAGTTAAATTGTTACACTTTTTCTAGAATCTTTTATTATTTCTGCTTGCATATTGACCGTTATTTGCAGAGCTCACATTTGTGTGTGTGTGTTGTACCTTGCAAAAAGCAGCCAAAACCAACTATATTATACAGTATTATACTATTGTTGGGATAATTTCTTTGTCCTTTCCCACAAAGAAGCCAGATTAACATATACATAATTCATGTCCCAAGACATGCAAGTGAGAGTTTTACCTTTTTAAAACATTTTAGGTGTCAAAGTTTGTACATTTGGGATTGTGTTTATCATATAGCCTAGCCTAGCCTAGATTAATGCAGCACTAGTACCAGGTGTCCTGTGCTGCTTTTTAAAATCCTAACACATGCATCCAAAGAAGATCTATAAACAGCCAACAAGCACACGGAAGGATTCTCAACGTTACTAGTCATGATGGAAATGCAAATCAAAACCACACAGAGACATCACTTCACACCTACTAGAATGGCTATATTTTTTAAAAATGGAATATTACCTGTGGGTGAGTATGTGAAGAAATTGGAACCTTCATGCTTCATACTTACTAGTGAAATTGTAAAATGTTTCAGCTGCTATGGCAGACATCTGGCAGATTCAGGTAAGGAATTAGAACTGGAACACTAGGGATCAGAGGCTCCCAGAGTGGAATGATCAATGGTGGCCGTGGCTAGGACTGTTGTGGCAATTATAGGAATGGCTGATTCTCTGAATGCCATATGGAGGAGGAGGGACCAGTTACTGGAAATGGGAAGGGAAGGGAGAATCTATCCAGAAACATTGTTTCCGGAACATGGTGCTTACAAATTTTTAATGGTGTAATTTCTAAAGATATGTGGTATTAGGGAAAAAAAAGAAAAAAAATAAGCTTTAGGAAATAATAACTAGAAACATATTAGTCTCACTATTACAGTGATTACTAGAAAATCACTGGAATCCTACCTCTTAATTACAACAAAAACATGGTAAGGCACTTTTCTAGGTTTAATTATTTCACCAACTTATGAAATCAACAAAATTTAAAGTATAATAATAAATATTGTCTACTCATACATATTGTTGAAGTTATGTTAATTTAATAATTAACATAAATGCTCATTTTATGGTCATAATGCAATATAATATTATTACTTTTTTCACTTAATATGTTTTATAATACACCAACTACAAGATTTTTTTTCACATTTATGCATTTCTGAAATTTAGATGCAATGTCAAGTTTTGGTGGTGTTGTGATTAAAAAATAAATTAAAATAAGTATTAGATTTTACTCAGATGGAAAGGACAATAGAAGGAAACTGACATAAATAGGATTGAATCCCACATTTCTAAATATGGAACAATTTCCATTTTGTTTTGTTTTTCTATAACAGATGATCAAGGAGATCTAGAGTATCATGAGTAACCTTAAACAGTGAAAGCAGAAACTGCAATTTCTCACTGAGGGTTTTCTTTTTGGTGAGAATTAAATTTTTCAGAATGATAGTCCATCTTGGATGCACTGCTTCCCTCTACTGCTACTTTAAATCCTGAGGGTGAAGAATATTCGTTCTCGGGCTGCTATAAAGAGATAACTGAGACTGGGTAATTTATAAAGGAAAAAGGTTTAATTGGCTCACAGTTCCACAGGCTATACAGGAAGCATGGCTGGGGAGGCATCAGGAAACTTACAATCATAGCAGATGACAAAGGGAAGCAGGCACATCTTATATGGCTGGAGTGGCTGGAGTGGCTGGAGCAGGAGGGAGAGGAAAAAGGGGAAGAGCCACACATTTTTAAACAACCAGATCCCGTGAGAACTCACTCACTATCAGGAGAACAGCAAGGGGGAAATCTGACCCCATGATCCAATCACCTCCCACCAGGTCCCTACTCCAACACCAGGGATTTACAATTCAACATGAGATTCGGGCAGGGACACACATCCAAACCATATCAAAGACTGAGTTTATCATCCCAGAAATTCAGCAAAATTTCATAAATAAATTTTGATCCTTGTATCATTCATCACATGAAAAATAGGGAAAGTAAAATAGATTTTGTAGCCATTGCTTGAAATGAGTGTGATGTGAAAGCCATGTCTGAGATATATTTCTCTGAAGGACTTTGATAATATATTGTAAGTTTTCATCTTAGAAGCAGTGAGCAATGTATTAATTAATAAAATTATTCAGCCAGATGGTGAGAAACATTATATTAGAGTTCAGAAGTGAGCTACTGCTATTAACTTTACCTAAAGCAACTGTCATAAGTGAAATGGACTAAATGAAAGTAACATAAAATTTAAGGTTCAATGATGTATTTGTGTAGGTGTTTATGTTTAAATAGCTACAAGTAAATGTGAAAGTTTGCAGTTTACGAAAAAAGCAGTGAAGGTAAATATTCACCATCATGCCACTTGAATAGGTTAATTCTAAACCAGAATAGGGTATGATATTGAGTTTTGAGCTGTGCGAAAGGTGAATATATTTGGGACATCTTGTTAAAAATAGATTCATTGTGAACCTATATGCTAACCACAGGTTGTCTTTTTATTATTTTCTTAATTTACTTTACCAACCTATGGATACATATATGAGTGAATTTACTCAATAGCACAAAAATCACTAAGTGTAACTGATATCAATATCCCTTGATCTTGGAAATTCTTTCCTAAAAAGATAGGGATTCTAAGAGATCATTTTCTTCAAATTTCTATTCACAATGAAGGAAACATAAATCAAGGGAGAAGTTAGCACATTTTAATATCATCCTTTTCAGGAAGATATATTTCACACTCTACATAAATGAATGAGTTCACAGCTTAGACAATATATCTCTGGAGGAAGCAGATGAAGGATAAGCATAAAAAGCTTACAATCCAGGGTAGAGAGGCATCAAATATACATATTTTGTCCAAATGTTAAATGGCAAAATATTGAAAATCAGTATTTATTTGAAGTCAGGACTGACAACAAAGAGCATAATCAAAAATGAAATTCTGCTTATGAGAATAAAACAGAAATTTTATGCAAAATTAATGCTTATTATTATACTAGTATTACCAAAGTTTTAGTTGTGTTTCTTAGTTTCTTTTTGCAGTAGGAATAATAATTTATTAGTACTGCCAGCTGTTCAATTGCTACTATGATAATAAATTGACTTTTACTTTCAAGTGAAGTTTTTGGAAGAGAAAGATACTTTTTGTCTACTTCAGCGTGTATGTATTACTGCTGCTGGTGAGGTTGCCACCAGGTTATTAAGCTTCTTATCCACTCTTTCTGTAATTCTACAAAGTAAAAATTTATCTCTTCTTCAACTGCTTTCAGATTTGAAGATTTGGTTGATGAAATTGATGGAATTTCATCAAGTCAATCACACAAACTGAACTGTGCTCACATCTTGGAGATGCTTGCTGAACATTTTCAAAAGCAAATTTAAAATTGTTGACTACACTGACATTTTTATTTCTGAACTTGTGGTTACTATAGATCAGTTTGGGGAGTATTGCCATTCAAACAATATCATCATCCAATTCATGACCCTGGGATGCCTTTCAATTTATTCAAGTATTTTAAAATATTTTTAAATGATATTTTATAGGTTTCAATGCAAAAGTAGGGCAATTCCTTTGTCAAATATATTGCTAAATATTTTCACGGTATTTTAAATTACTGCCTTAATTTAATATTCATATTTTTAATGCTAAAGGAAAGCAACTGAGTTTTGTACATTAAATTCTGAAACCTTGCTGAGCTAATTCAATTTAAACATTTTTTAGTGAATTCCGTATTTTTTTTAATATACAAAATCATGGCATCTGAAATACAACTGTGTTTACTTCTTCCTTTCTAATCTCAATGACTTTTTTCTCTTTTTCCTTTTCATCTTTCTTCTTTTCTTAATCACTTTTTAACTTTTTTTTTTTTTTGCTTTTGTTAAACTTCTCCATTTTTTCAAGGTCAGTCTGGCTAAAGATTTGCCAATTTTATTAACCTTTTCAAGAAATAACTTTGGCTCCATTTTTTTCTGCTTTTCTATTCTCTATTTTATTTATTTTTCTTTTTTTAAAAAAAATTATTTATTTATTTATTTATCTTTTGAGACAGGATCTCACTCTTTCACCCAGGCTGGAGTGTAGTGGCAGGATCTCGGCTCACTGCAACCTCCACCTCCCGGGTTCACGCCATTCTCCTGCCTCAGCCTCCCAAGTAGCTGGGACTACAGGTGCCTGCCACCACGCTTGGCTAATTTTTTGTATTTGTAGTAGAGACGGGGTTTCACCATGTTAGCCAGGATGGTCTCGATCTCCTGACCTCGTGATCCATCTGCCTCGGCCTCCCAAAGTGCTGGCATTACAGGCATGAGCCACCCCGTTCGGCCTTACTTTTCTTTAATATTTATTATTAACCCTTTTATACTTGATTTATGGTTAGCCTATTCTTTTTCTCCCCAGTGTCTTCATGATCGATAAGGTTATTGATTTTAATTGTTTCTATTTTTTAAAGCTATTGATTACCTTTCAACCACTGATTTTTTACTGTACTCCATATTTTAGCATGTCATGTTTTTTCTTTTAAATTTGTATTTTCATTTTATTGTATTTGAACAACATTCTCTATATATTTTATTTTAAATTTATTAATATTTATTTTATAGCCCAATATATGGTCTGTCCTAGAGAATGCTTCATGCGTACTTGAGAATAATTTTCATTCTGCTGTTGTTCAGTGCAACATTCTATAGACATGTGTTAGGTCTGGTTGGTAGACAGTGTATTTCAAATCTTCTATTTCCCTTTTGCCCATCAGCCTTGTTCTATCCATTACTGAAAGTAAACTATTGAAGTCTGTAACTATTATTGTTGTCTGCTTCTCTCTTAAATTATGTCAATTTTCCATCATATATTTTGTTGTTTTGTTTTTGTTAGCTAAATATGTATCCATAATTATTATGGTTCTTGATGAGTCTGTCTTTTTATTCATATAAAATATCCTTTTTGTGTCTGAAAACTGTCGATAATGCAGCCATTCAAGCTCTCTTTTAATGACTATTCACATGATATGATCTTGTTGTCCTTTTACATTTAAGCTATTTGTATTTTTTTAATCTAAAGTTACTTTTGTAGTGGTAAGGCAGTAAGGAGTAAAATTAACATCTATACATATAATGATAAACTTTGAATTTATACCAAGTTAATTTCAATAGTCTACAAAACTTTACTCCCATATGGTTCCTTTTCTGCTTTCCTCCTCTGTGTTTTTATTGTAATACCATCACAGATTTATACATTATAAGCCTTTGACTAAGTTGTATAATTATTGCTTCATGTAGTCATTTTTTAAAGTGGGTAGAAGATAAAAGAGAAGTCACAAACAAAAAAAAAATTATCCTGTATTCCATATTTACACAATTATTTACTTTTACTTGTGTTCTTTATTTCTTCATGTGAATTCAAGGTTTTGTGTAATATTATTTTATTTCGGTCTGAAGGACTTTAGTATTTTTTGTATGAAAGATGTGCTGGTGACAAATTCAATTTTTATTAGTCTATAAATTCTTACTTTCTTCTCTGTTTTCAAAGTGTAGTTTTGCTGGATATAGAATTCTTGACTGACACTATTTTTCTTCCAGCACATTGAATATACCATCCCACTGCCTTTTTGCCTCCATAGTTTCTGATGAAAAATGGACTCATTCTCTTTGAGAATCCCTTTATGTGATAAATTACTTCTATCTTCCCATTTTTAAGTATCTCTACTTGTTTTGGCTTTTGAAATTTTGATTATGATGTGGCTAGGTGTCGATCTCTTCAAGTTAATCTAATGGAGCTCATTCAACTTCTTTTAAGTGCTGACAAATGTTTATTTTTTTTAATCAAACTTGAATGTTTTGAGCCATTATTTTATCAAGTAGTGTTTCAGCTCTTTTCTGTCTATTTTCTCCTGGAAGTACCAACTGTGCACATGTTGGTAGCCTTCATGCTGTCCCTCAGGTCCCTAATGTTCTGTTATTTTTTCCTCATTCCTTTTCTTTACTTTCCTCAGACTGGATGATTCCAATTGACCTAATCCTAACCTAACCAATTCTGCTAGCTCAAACATGCCCTTGAGGCCTTCTAGTGAATATTTTATTTCTATTATTTTGTTTGTTTTCAACTCTAACGTTTATATTTGGCTCTTCAACATTACTTCTACATTTCTAAATTCATTCTTTTTTTAGCAATATATTATTCTCTTAATTTTCCTTAGTTCTTTACCATGATTTCTTTTAGTTATCTGAACATATTTTAAATTCCTGATTTAAAATTTTGTCCAATATATGTCCCCCACCACACACACACCAACCAAAATTGCTATTGATAGTTTGGTGTGTGTGGGGGGGTGGTGAAGCTTTCTTATTTCATTTTATTTTGTTATTGTTTAAATGTTGAAAACTTAATATTTTAAATATTATAAAGTATATCTGGAACTCAGATTTCCCCCAATCCAGGACTTAGTATTGTTTTGGTAATTAATGTTAATGCTGTTTGTTTAAAAGTACCTAAACAAACAAACAGCATTAACAATAATAACTGCTCTAAAGTATTTATTATTTATTATTTATTTTGTGCCTAATGAACTGTCCTCATGATTAGCTTGGTGGTCAGCTAATGATTGGACAGAGATTTCTTAAATGTCTTGAACAAATTAATCTCTTACCTGTACAGAGGGACACAATGTGTGTAATGAACCTTGATGTATAATAAAAAAGAATTCTGATATTTGTTCCAGGCTCATAAATGAAAAGAATGTTGTTCCCGGCTCATAAATGAAAGGAATGTCTTCGTTATTCATAAATCCCTTGGATCACACCTGAATATGCTGACTATGCTAACAAGACAATTCAGGACGGGGGCTGGTAAACAGAAAGACCACACACATGATTAGAAGGTTGGGAATTTGAGCAAACCTGATTTTCTGTGAGTGAATGGAGGGCTGGATGTTGAGTCTAAACTGATTGACCACAGTCATGCCCAATAAAATATCTGGACATAAGAGCATGGTGGGGCTTCCCAATGGGTGCTGCAAGGGGGATGCATCCTGATTTTATGAGGAGAGGTCATGGAAGCTCTCTATTTGGAACTCTCCCAGATTTCAACCCGTATGTCTTTTCATTTGGCAGTTCCTGATTTGCATTCTTTATAATAAAACTATGATCATACATATATATACTTTCTCTATTTCTGTGTGTTTTTCCAGTAATTTGTCAAAGTGTAGAGAGGGTCAAGGGGGCTCTCTGGACTTGTAGTCAGTTGGCCAGAAGTGTAGGTGTTCTGTGAAGACCATTTGCTGTTGGTGTCTGAAGTGGGGTCAGCCTTGTTGGGGACTCTACTCTTAAAGCTGCAGAGTTTGATGTTAACTCTGGGTAGTTGATGTCAGAATTGAATCACGATACAGGAACTGAAGTCAGAATAGGCACCCTTTCAATACTCCAGCCAGCAGTTTATAACTATGCCTTAACCTTTACTACTTTCCTGCACAGATCCTCAAGGTCAGCCAGTGGTGAGATATTAGGCTTTCTCAGGTATTTATTGGACATGCATACAGCTCTGCACATGAGTGTGATCCTCTAGATTCTCAGGAAAATATCAGCTTTTCAAAGACTTCTCTGGACATCTCATTTTCCATTTAAAATTTTTGGCCAGCTTTTTACTAGCCTTAACTGTTATTGCTGCTTCAGATACCTGCAATGTAAAACAATTGCTGCAGATTTTTTTTCTGTAAACACCCAGGTGAAAAGCTACTTGAGTGAGTGAATTCCAAATCATGTCAAATAAATACAAGGCCTCCAATGAGGAATTTCTAGGGAACTGCCAGAAAGGTCAGATACATTACAATTTTCTGGGGAGGGGGCTTTTGAGAACTCTAAGCCTTTTCTGCCTTGCTCAGCGGCTGAAAGGCTGGTCATATTCATGGATATTATGTTCCCTAGGCTGTTTTTTAAGGCTACTGTGGAACTAGGGAATAGGGCGAGTTGAAATGCTACAAAGCTCCATGTTCTTATCAACATTTGAAACTTTTACTTGAATAAATACACTTCTGACTGTTGCAAGCCTTTGGTTAATTTCTAGAGTTCTGATAAAGATGACTTTGACAATTTTTCTAAGGTTCTCATTATTTTATGGATAAGTTGATTTTTCAGAGATACTCAGCCATTTCAAGTTGTTTTTGTTTTCTGAAATTTTCAGTAAATGGACTACATTCTGTATGAGAAAGTGTAATTTTTAGAGGTCCTTCCTTGCTAGCTTTCTGACTCTTCTCTCTTCTCTCCCTATCATTCAATGTATCTAGCTCTATAGTTTTATTCACTGTTTATTTAACAAGGCAAGCAAAGTCTTACCTCAGAGGCTTACCAAATACTATACCTTCTGCCTGTAAAACACTTCTTTTACATATTCATGTAGGTAACTTAAATGCAACAGTTATTGGGATCCTACTCTGACCACTCTGTTTCACATTAATAGGTCTTTCTCCTCTCTTGATTTCCCAAGGAGAAACATGCTTTTATTATTGTTATTTTTTTTTAGCTATAGCACTAATGTCATTTTAACATACAGTTCATTCATTTAATTATGCATACTATTTGAGTCTGTCTTCTAAAATAAAAGCTCCATGGGCAGGGATGGCTGGCTGTTTTTGCTTTTGTTTTGTTTTATTCATCTTAATCCCCAGGGATACAACAGTGCCTCACACCATGAATGATGCAGTTAATACTCAGTTAGTAAAATAATAATAATTGGTTGACCCTTTATTATTTAATTCTATAAATACTTGATCAATTATAGTATGCTAAAAGAAGACACATCATTAGTTTGAACATTAAGCCATTTTGCCCTGAATGTTTTTTGATGATCCATTTTTAAAAATCACTAAACCTTTTAGAGTGTGTGTGTGTGTGTGTGTGTGTGTGTGTGTGTGTGGACATCATAACACAATTTCTAACCATGTTTTTCTGTTACTTTTTCAGGAGAAAACTTTTTGCTTAGATCCGTAATTTAGTCAAATTTCAAAAATCCTTTGCTTATAATAACTAAAAAAGTGAAAGTGTATAAAGCATTTTGATAAGCTTCCATTGACTCAAAACTATAAAGATTAATAGTTTAAAGTAATGTCAAAAGTCTAGTGTTTTTGAAGCTTGCAAGAAAAAAATTTCATTATTAATATTCTCTAACATTTCCTTCTCTCATTCATACAATGAATTCATTACTATGTTTGAATAATAAATAATTTATAATGGCCTTTATTAATAGATTTGCAGTTCTTTCCTTTGTAAATTCTTAAAATAGTAAGGTGAAAATTATTCTCTTTGTTGAGAATAGGACTTTTTATTTAAAAATAGATTGCCTAAGTAGAATTGAATAACTAAAATTTAGAGTTTCAAAATATTATCTCATGTAATTTTTTTATGCTAAAATACAAAACCATTTTACAAACATTGCAATTATGATTAATTTAATTGCTACTTTTCTGCCTTGTATTGCTTATGTTTTACACACATTTTGCTTAAATATTTAGTATTCTTCCATAACTTAGTTAGCTAATATCATGAGAAGAAAAGGCTTAGCAGCTGAACTACTATTCATTTTCTTGCTTTGCCAGATGTAACATAGCCAAGAAAGATAGAAAAAAGGTGATAGGATATATCTTCATGTAAACATATTAACACTCTGTTTGGTAAGTATACAAATAGTATTTGCTAGTAAGAGAGTTCTTACTTACGGAATGTTTTCAAAGGTATGTCCTTGAGTGTCTAGGATTGATTATAATAAACCAACCTGGAATCGATGGTTTTATGGAGAAAGATCCCCTAATAAAAATGCCACGTAAGTTCTGTAAATACCTGAGTATACAATGGTGAAATTTCATAGCTAAGACAGATTCACTTTATGTTAGTAATGTGGCTGCCAACATTACCTTTTCAAATAACCTCTTTATTTGAATCACTGAGAATTAATCCTAGGGCAACAGGAAAGGACCTGGGTTGCTATGCCAGCTAGATCTCTCCTGCTTCTTCTGTGCCTGTGTTTGCTTCTATCCTGGAAATTATTAGCCCAGCTTGGTATTGGTTGAGATCTTAGAATCTTGTGAATCCAATTTGGCAACGTGATCCTTTGTGTAATTTCACACACTCTCAATATTTGCAGTGACTCTAATCTGTTTCCCTAGTTAAGTGTTTGAAGATCTTAATGATCATTTTGAAGGTAAATTCACAGTTTTCACTATCTTCTTTAATTATTGAAGTATTTTACTCTTCTAGTAAATGTACTTTTACACTTCAACCAAATGAGAAGATGTTTACAAAAAGAAATGCACATAAGGAGAAATTCCATGGATGTTACATAAAAAGCCTATCTATTTTGTAAGTAAATATTCATGCAACTCCACCTCCAAATGGCATTCCTTGTTTGTATTATGGACATTTTACTCATTAGATATGATTGCAACCTACACGATGACTTAGTCATTGATCAAACAAAAGTGTGGAGGTGTTAGAAACATCTTCAGACTATGCAAACTGACCTTCAAAAGACAAAAGCTTTACCTACAAAAGCTGAACGTACGCAAGTCCCATGACCCTATCATTCCCTTCCTATGAATAAACCAAACAGAATTGTATATACATATATATAGGGTTTACTAAAATGCATGTGGAAAAATGGACATAGCAGCACTTTTTGTAATAACTGAAATCTGGAAATGAGTCAAATTCCCAATAAGAAGAGGATTATTAAATAAAATTTGTTATTTTAAAATGGAATATTATAGAAATATGAGCATGAATAAATAGTAATTATTTGCGACAATATGAATGAACCTCATAAACATTATATTGAGCAAAAGAAGTCAGATGAAAAATAGTACATTGTTTATTATTACATTTATTTAAAGATAGGTAGAAAGAGAAGTAGGACACCAAGCGAGTCTTCATGAAGTCAGAGATTTATTCATCTGTGCACCTCAACAGGTACATTGGAATGGTTGTAACTTGTTTGAAATGAACACTTCTGCACTGGTATAGTTTCTAGAGTAATGGCAAGATTTGGGATGTGACTAGGTAGTGAAGGAAAAGGACAAAAAAAGTTATTGAAAATAAAACAGTTGAGGAAGTGAGAGGCACCCAAATATATTTTTGAATAATCTGAAAGTTTGGCAATAATCAAAGTGGAGAAAAAGTTGGGAAGAAACGCCAAGGTCAGAACAGTGACCGGGCCTGGTCCTTTCTTAATGAACACCTCTGGGAGAAGGGCTATCAGACCCCCAAACTGGCCAAAATGTGCATTCCTTGAGTGGCATGATGTGTTTTGCAAACTGTGTATGCACAGTTTCAATGTGAACACCGAATATGTCACTGCCACAGACACTCTGTTCAACCATTTCAGTGGTTTTGGGTTCTGGTTAACAACCAAACCCCTGAGACACCATAGGCTCTGTGCAGTCTTAAGTTCATCAAGCTTTATGAAAGAATATGAGGCACTAACTAGAGCAGTACACTCAGCAACTGCATAACAGACATCTGTGACTCCAAGTGCTGTTTCTGATATCCCCGTCACCCTGTGTTTGGGACAGTGTGGCTGCCAGTGATGATGCAGAGGTGAGTGTGGGCTTGGAGGAGCCATGGGCTCTGACAGCCTTCAGCGTTCATGCCTGTTAGTCACACTCCCCTTAAGGTGAGCGATGGGTTTCCATTCCCTCATGCAGCTGCATCTCAGTTATTCATTCCTAAGTAAATAGACTCAACAGTGAGGTGCGAGGTCCTTGGTTGTATTCTCTTTCATCTTAGCCCTAGGATAAGAAAAATCCTCATAGCTTTGTGAGCTACCTTTGCCAAAAAGATTAGGCCAAGAGACAAATCCTGAGGTATGAGGCAACAGGCAAGGCCACAGAACCTGCTCCTAATCCCTTTCTTCTAGACACCAATAAAATTCCAAGGTCACATGCAATATCTTAAAAGTTACATAATGACAAATGCGTGAAGTTTTAGGTAAAACAGTATTTGTAAAACAGTAGCAACAATAACAACAACAATAGTAAACTTTACAAAGTGAAATTGAAAGTTGCAGTGAGGAATTCATCCAAGATTTGAAATTCCTTTTAGAGATAGCAGAGTGTAGTAGGAAGAACAAGAACTTCAGAGTCAAAGAGACCTGCTAGTGGATAATTATTTGATGTTGAAAAAATCACTTAGCGTAATTCTTTCCAATATGTTTACAGCTATACAATGCATTTTAAATGTGTTAAATAGTAACAATATGTTAATGAAACTGAAATGAACACTAACATATACATGACCCAGCATTCATCCAATGCTCAATAACTGTTTAACCTTTTCTATTTTCATGATATGGCTGATTTTTCAAATGAAATCTGATATACATGCCTTTCTTTCCTGAGTTTCTCTTCTGCATTCTACTGCCAGTAATATAAAACCAAAAAACCATCCTTCAACAAGTAACTGTTTGGCTTTCTCACTTTGTCCCACTCTCTTTCTTTCTAGCTCTTTCTTTTAAATTAAATATAATGTCTTCCTCATTGATTAAATATGTCTAGCTTATACAGAAACCATAGATATTAGTTAGAGAAAAACAACTAAGTGTGTATTGTGCTCTAATCATGACTGACTATCAGGTTCTTGTAGACCTAATCATACAGTGCTCTGTGCCTCAGATTTCTCATAGATAAAATGAAGGTTTTGGTCGTGATGAATACTCAATCTTTTTTAACTGTCAGATTTTAATGATTTTTTTTCATTTTGATATCTACTCACTTAGCAGTAAGATATTATCATACGGCTATCTCAGACTGGAAAAAAATGTAAGTCTTCAGTGATTTTCACTTAGTTTCAATATTGCTCAGAATATTTTACCAGGATATTACTTAGAAGGAGGACAACAAACCTACAGCAGCACTGGGCAGTGGGGGCATGGGAGAAAATCACAGCCTCCTCCCAATCCCACACGCATGGGACAGAGATTTCGGACAATTATCTACCAGGAAGGTGAGTTGTGCAGTATGGGAAGGGGTACAGAGTTAAGTTGAAGGAGGAAATATTTACAAAAGTGAACAGAACAGATTCTTAGCATGTGTGTAAGCCATTTTTATATTTTTTCTTTATTTTTAGTATTAAATTTAAATTAAGTTATATGTAGTTTAATTACATATTATTAAACTATAATTAGAATAATATAATTATAATTTAAATTAGGTTATATACATATATACACACACACACACATATATAATGTAAATAGTGTAGGGAAATGTCTGATATCTGGCCTTTAGTGTCTCAAAATCCAGATATTCCAATAAGCCTGTAGGTTTCCCTTCTAATCTCTGCTTGGCAGTGTGATGTGGAATGCTCCATGTCTTTTGAATATAATTATTTTTCAAGCTGCTGCATATGGTGATGAATGCCTGCAGATTCAAGATAAAGCAAATCTCTTAAAATATACAACTGAATATTCTAGTCCTCTAGGCAGAGAGGGGGAAAACAGGAGTTCCAGACAGACCCTGAGCATCTCACACACTTGTACTGTTCGGTGGGTAAGTGGCAGAAGCATGAGTAATGCAGGAATCCAATTGTCCTTAATATTCATATGCATTTGAAGGTTCAAAGGACCTCAAGCCTACTTTACTTGATAAGGAGAAAAGGACACATGAAGAGGTGCAGTAGGTTTGGAAGAAAGGTTTGATCCCCTACCGGACAAAGCTTGCTTGTGGGCATGTCCAGGCTTTCTTGAAGCAGAACCAGGTGAGGTGCAGGCGGTAAATGAACTCCGCTGGGCACTCAGTACCAGGTCACTGCTCATTGGCTTACTCCAATCCATTCTTGCCTCCATGAAGACAGAGGGAAAACCTGTTTGGGCAGGATTTTTAACCTCTTTGCCTTTGGTAGCACTTTTGTGGCAGAACAGAAGTGCCATGCGAAAAGCATTCCTGTCTGAATGGTCTCCAGGTGGACATGCCCTCACAAATCTCCCATCCCAAACACACACAGAAATCTCAGTCTTCGTTTTTGTTTTTGTTTTTCTTTTTCACCATGTCTAAAAAGTGTTTCTTCTCATTTCAAATGATTTATTCCAGGAAGATATGGCCTGGATTTTGACTTTCCATCTCAGCCTTTTTTAAGAATCCATAGCCTACACTGATGTCTCCCCTTTTTCTTAATTTCTGTTTCACAAACTGACCCTGCCACACAATTAGCAAGTAATCCTGAGCCATGCTGTCTTTCAATGTGCAAACCTTGTAAATGGTAGGCTTGGTAATGGTTGTTGATAGATGAATTGACTGTTACAATGACTGAGTTCATTTTAACACAATATAAGCAAAACAGACCATATATTATAAAATTCTGTAAGGCAAACAATAATTCAATATGTTACATTTTATTATGTAAAAGTGATTATATAGGTGAGCATTTGGAAAGGTATTTTTAGTGATTCTTCTAAAATGTCACGCATTTCTAAGTAAGTTGCAGGAGACAAATAAATAACATTATTGAAGTTTTATAGAGTTAAAGGTCAAAAACAAATGCTAAACTAAAAACTATTCTTATCAGTCACATGTTCCTATTTCTGGTGTTCACAGCAACTTTTATTCAGTGATGAGACCAGTACTTCTTGATTTATAAATTCTCTAAAATTATCAAATGACTAACTGAATAATGTGCAAGGAAGATTATGAACTCTCAAAACTCAAATGATGATAATGACTCTTTAGGTCTGTACAAGATTTAATGATTTGCCTTAATAATAATAATGATGATGATGATGATGATGATGATGTACAGGAGTTAGATTTTTGTAATTCTGTTTTAACAAAGGTCTGCCCTCAAACTCACTTTCTGTCCTACTACTTGATGTGTAATATATACAAAGAAAGTAGGAGAGAAATCTTATATTACATCACCCAAACCATTATACATAATATGGCCACATTTTGGTTCTGAAACATTTTAGAATACGCCCTATCAAACTGTTCAGTAGAGTACAATGTCTTAAATTGTTTGGTTTTCCACTGTATCTCCACCTTCTGTTTAAAACTTGATATAAATAGTCAATAATGTTTGTTAGTGACTAGTGAATAAATACTGAATTTAAGTAGTGACCCCAAAGGTGGCCTGTGGCAAACACTGATAGATGTAAGCCAAGGGCCTCTTCTTCCTCGCTATTTTGTTAACTTACTCTTTTCACAATGTACCCAGGTGCAGAGCATGAATCATGATTGATCTAAACTATGAGGTCATAACAGGATGAGATCAAACCCAAGGAGATGGTAATAGATTCTTGGGAAGAAAAAAAAATCTTACAATTTTTATTTATAAAACACAGATATATATAGTACAAAAACAAGTATATGATGAACAATGACATGAACATTTCATAGTGGAGGTAATTGGAAAAAATATCTACAAAGGCTTCTTGGGGAGTAATAAGATGTAGGTTGAGAAACAGTGGTTAAAATCAGTCATGTGATCTTGGTCCTTTTTGCTAGTAAGCCGCTGGGAAAGACGGAGTCCTGGCCAAAGAGATAAACCAGGACTAGAGAAAAGGTTTTGTGTTTTCCTGATATGCTAGTGTCCTACAAGGGCCTTTACCCAGCACTCTCTCAATTTCTACTTTGAATAATGCTATATGATGAATAAAATATAGAACTGTGGTGGTCATTTCATTACCAAATGGAGAAATTAACCATTTGGTAATTTCTCCAGTAATTACCAGTGTTTACTGGTTGAAAGTAAAGCAGGGCTAAGACTTCAGTTCAGGCATTATGGCTCTGAAGCAACAATGAATCTGCCTAACTACATGTTGTTCCCTTGTTAAGTAGAGAGCCTTATGGTTTTGCACCACAGTGTACCAGGATGGCTGTACTTGGTAACTTCCAATAAGAGTTGAGTCAGACTCAAGAACAAGGTCCAGGCCAATGTCCAGAAGAGTTTTTCCTTGGGTTTTGTCTAGGAATTTTATAGTTTCAGGTCTTATTTTTAGGTCGTTAATCCATCTTGGGTTAATTTTTGCATATGGTAAGAGACATGGGTCCAGATTAATTCTTCTGCATATGGCTGGCCAGTTTTCCCAGCACCATCTAGTGAATAGGGTGTTTTTTCTCCATTGTTTATTTTTGTCACCTTTATCAAAGATAAAGAGAAAATATTCTGGGGACTCCAAAAATGGGGAGGGAGGGATAGGAGTG
Source organism: Homo sapiens (assembly GCF_000001405.40). Taxonomy (NCBI): domain Eukaryota; kingdom Metazoa; phylum Chordata; class Mammalia; order Primates; family Hominidae; genus Homo; species Homo sapiens. The sequence continues at coordinate 52,650,009 of NC_000007.14, read as the reverse complement.
AGAGTAGAAAAATTACCTATTGGGCACACTGTCTAATACTTGGGTGATGGGTACACTAGAAACCCAACTCCCACCATTGTACATATAATACCCACATAACAAACAAGCATGTATACCCCCTGAAACTAAAGTTAACTTTGCCACAAATGAAAAGAACAAGGTCAAGGGCTCAGAGGTAAGAAATCCATGACAGAGTCAGGTATCATGTGTGGCTGACTTTTTAAACTCATCTCTCCTCAAGATACATTTCTGACAAGGGACTGTTCCCTAGGCAAAAGAATGGTGTGATTGAGAACCAAATGATAAACAATAGCAACAAATTTTAAACTTAAGAGCTGTATTTCTTTTGGGGACCAAAATATGGTGACCAATTAATCCTGATTGGCCCAAAATTTTGCCAGTTTTAGAACTGAATATTTTCTCCAGAAGTCACTCAGTCCTGAGGGGAAATTGGAAGGTTGTTAACTCTAGGATCAAAGACTGCTTTCTCTCAGTGACTGAACAAAATAAAATGGGCTTTAAGCCCTCCTTTACCTCCAACAAGAATGAGATGAGCTCTAGGTGCCTGGGTGTGTGAGGCTCAGGGCAGGCAGCAGCCATGAGTGGAGCTTGGTTGGTGGTTCTGAGAAATCCAGTAGAGAAACAACAGGTCCATGGTAGTGGTGAGCATGAACTTACTTTCAGTACTTTGAGTATATACATACAGTGGAATTACTGCATCATATGGTAATTCTATCTTTAACTTTTCAAGAGACTGATAAACTGTATTTCACAGTGGATGCACTATTTTATATTCTAACCAGTAATATACCAGGGTTCTGATTCTTTGACGTCATAGCCAGTACTTATTATTCTCTTTTTCATTTTGTTTTGTTTTTATGTAGCCATGCTATTAATAATAAGTATGAAGTAGTATCTCACTGTGGGTTTGATTTGCATTTTCCTCATGACTAGGATGTTAATCATCTCTTGTTGAATGAATACAGAGTTTCTGTTTGAAATGATGAATAAATCTGGAAATGGATAGTGGTGATAGATTCACAACATTGTGAACATACTTAATGCCACTGAATCATACCTTTAAAATGGTTAAAATGTTAAATTGTGGGTTATGTATATTTTACCATAATAAATGTACATTTAAGAGGAAAAACAAGGAGTAGGCATGTAAGAGAAGAACATAGGAGTCAAGAAGTATTTAGAGTAGGTCAAAGTCCCAGTTATTGTGCCATAGGTGTCTCCCAAACCAGGGTACTTTGGGGTCTGGAAGAATGGAGTGGCCTCCTTCAACTATGACCAATAAGGCCTGGGTACAATGGGAGGTGGGAAGAAAAATTCAAATTAACACTTGAGTCTTCTTCAGCATGGAGCTGTAATACCCACAGATAATTCCTCAATGCAAGTATTTCACAAATGCAGCAAATTGTGATCCATGAGATTTAGAATTACAAGTTTACCTAAGTTATCCCTACTGTATTTTTATCTCTAACTTTAGGTGTTTTCACTTGAAAGAACACATTAAGTAAAATTTGTTAAAAAAAATTAAAATACAACTTATAAAATCCCTCCATAAAAAATGGATCACTTTGTCTTAAGATTCTGAAAGCAATTTTTCAGGACAACGTCCCTGTAAATAAAGACAACTGTTAACCAAGGATCATTCACTAGTTTGCATTCTCTGTCTTGAGGTTCTAAGGGGATCAAGTGTACTTTGATGAGTAAAATACTTTGAAATAATGTATTAATAAGATGTCTGAGGTCAGACGTGGTGGTTCCTGCTTGTAATCCGAGCACTTTGGGAGGCCGAGGTGAGTGGACCACCTGAGGTCAGGAGTTTGAGACCAGCCTGACCAACATGGAGAAACTCCGTCTCTACTAAAAATACAAAATTAGCTGGGCATGGTGGCGCATGCCTGTAATCCCAACTACTTAGGAGGCTGAGGCAGGAGAATCACTTGAACCTGGGAGGCGAAGTTTGCAGTGAGCCGAGATTACGCCATTGCACTCCAGCCTGGGCAACAAGAGCCAAACTCTGTCTCAAAAAGAAGAAAATAATTATTAAAAAAAAATAAGGTGTCTGAAAATTGACCTTCATAAACTGAAGATAAAAGTTACATCTGCCATCTGCAAACTTTTGCTGTTTTTAAATAATGAAGTTGAAAATAACCTTTATTCACCTATTCACCGCAAAAGTAAAACTGTCATGCATAAACATTGCATTCATTTGTTTTTCACCACAACTGTTTCAGTCAGGCATTTCAAGTACACCTATTTTTATTTTCATTTTTCACAGATTTAACCTCAGTGGGAAACTTGCCCAGGGTCACATAGCCAATGTGTGGAGGACAAAATATCAACAAATTTTCAATCTTGACTTTGTCCTAAGTTTTATTACACTTGCTTCTGTTCACCATGTTGTATCTTTTCTGTTTGTGTTTTGAGACAGGGTCTACCTCTGTTGCCTAGGCTGGAGTGCAGTGGCATGATCTCGGCTCACTGCAACATCTGCCTCCTGGGTTCAAGCAATTCTCCTGCCTCAGCCTCCTGAGAAGCTGGGACTACAGGCATGCACCACAACACCAGGCTATTTTTTTTATTTTCAGTGGAGATGAGATTCTGCCACGTTGACTAGGCTGGCCTCAAACTCCTGGCCTCAAGTGATCCAACTCAGCCTTCCAAAGTGCTGCCATTACAGATGTGAGCCATCACACCCTGCCCCATGTTGTATCTTTGATTAATATCCTGGCTTTATCTGTGTGACTCTGCCCATATGATTCATAAAACTAAATGAAGATAAATCCCTCTTCTTGACATTGATAAAAATGTGGACAATGATGTCATTGGGAAGAATTTGATCACTTGTTGCTACCCCATTGATGAATAATTAAAAACAGATTACTTTTCAACCTCCAAAACTCCACTGCTAAAGCAACAAAGGTGGGGCTGATTAATAGGTCCAAGTGGAAAATATTACAGTCATGCCACAGTTCAACCAAAGGTGCAAAAAAAGGATATGAGATACTGCACTGTCCAATATGACAGCTACTACCTCCATGAGGTCATTGAGCACCTACAATGTGACCAGTTCAAAATGATAGTTGTGGCAAATATAAAGTAAATAACACATTTCAAGGCAAAAGACAAAATCAATTATATGTTAAAATGATAATACTTTGAACATATTGGATTAAATGAAATATATTATTTAAATTAACTTTAACTATTTTGTTTTCTTTTACTGTTTTAACGTGGCTACTAGAGCATTTAAAATACATTCATAACTTGCTTCTATTGGAAAGTGCTACTTTAGAGAAAGGAGGGTTTGAAAATACATCAAGGATCAAACTCACAAAAAGCATTTTATATATATATAATATATATATATAATATATATAGATAAGCTTCTATGACATCTGCAAAGACTTTCACTTCCCTAGGTTATATCCCTAATAAATATAGTGACCATAGAGTTTAATATCAAATGATGGACATTTTGAGAGATAATGGTGGTGCTATCATTTACCTGGGAACTTAGGCACAAACTGCAAATGTTCTTGGGAATGAGAGCATGCATTCGTTTCACAGACGTATACCCATCCATCATGATCTCCTTTAGCCATAGTGCAGTTTCCCAGTTCCTTGACTGCTCTTCCCTGCTTCAGGTCCTTCATGTGTGCCCTTCTATCCATACGGAACACACTCTGCACGCTCGTGTGCCTAGTTAACATCCACCATGCCAAGCCTCTATTGAGCACACTGAATTAGTTAGGCACTGCTATCTTATACTATACTGACAACACAAACCTCTCCATCCTGAAACTACACACAAGTTAATTCTTGTTCAGTGTCTGTTTTCCTATTAAAATGCAAAGTTCATTAGAGCAGAAGTGAAATGTGTCTGTATCTACACCAATACCTAGGCAGGTTCAAGTGTGTAGTAAGCACTAAAGAAATATGATCCACATGAATGAATAATCATATGGTCCTTAAATATCTATATGTACCTGATGGCTCTCTTATTCCTAACGTACAGAGTAATTCCTGAATACCCACGTATATTCTCCTCCAAAGGATTATCATAAAGCTTTAGATTTTTTTTCTTTAAAAAGCAATTTTAAAGTAGTTTTTTCCAATTCTGTGAAGAAAGTCATTGGTAGCTTGATGGGGATGGCATTGAATCTATAAATTACCTTGGGAAGTATAGCCATTTTAACAATATTGATTCTTCCTACCCATGAGCATGGAATGTTCTTCCATTTGTTTGTATCCTCTTTTATTTCATTGAGCAGTGGTTTGTAGTTCTCCTTGAAGAGGTCCTTCACATCCCTTGTAAGTTGGATTCCTAGGTATTTTATTCTCTTTGAAGCAATTGTGAATTGGAATTCACTCATGATTTGGCTCTCTGTTTGTCTGTTATTGGTGTATAAGAATGCTTGTGTACCAAAAAAGAGCCCGCATTGCCAAGTCAACCCTAAGCCAAAAGAACAAAGCTGGAGGCATCATGCTACCTGACTTCAAACTATACTACAAGGCTACAGTAACCAAAACAGCATGGTACTGGTACCAAAACAGAGATATAGATCAATGGAACAGAACAGAGCCCTCAGAAATAATGCCACATATCTACAACTCTCTGATCTTTCACAAACCTGACAAAAAGAAGAAATGGGGAAAGGATTCCCTATTTAATAAATGGTGCTGGGAAAACTGGCTAGCCATATGTAGAAAGATGAAATTGGATCCCTTCCTTACACCTTATACAAAAATTAATTCAAGATGGATTAAAGACTTAAATGTTAGACCTAAAACCATAAAAACCCTAGAAGAAAACCTAGGCATTACCATTCAGGACATAGGCATGGGCAAGGACTTCATGTCTAAAACACCAAAAGCAATGGCAACAAAAGCCAAAATTGACAAATGGGATCTAATTAAACTGAAGAGCTTCTGCACAGCAAAAGAAACCACCATCAGAATGAACAGGGAACCTACAGAATGGGAGAAAAATTTTGCAACCTACTCATCTGACAAAGGGCTAATATCCAGAATCTACAATGAACTCAAACAAATTTACAAGAAAAAAACAAACAACCCCATCAAAAAGTGGGTGAAGGATATGAACAGACACTTCTCAAAAGAAGACATTTATGCAGCCAAAAAACACATGAAAAAATGCTCATCATCACTGGTCATTAGAGAAATGCAAATCAAAACCACAATGAGATACCATCTCACACCAGTTAGAATGGCGATCATTGAAAAGTCAGGAAACAACAGGCGCTGGAGAGGATGTGGAGAAATAGGAACACTTTTACACTGTTGGTGGGACTGTAAACTAGTTCAACCATTGTGGAAGTTGGTGTGGCGATTCCTCAGGGATCTAGAACCAGAAATACCATTTGACTCAGCCATCCCATTAGTGGGTATATACCCAAAGGATTATAAATCATGCTGCTATAAAGACACATTCACACGTATGTTTATTGTGGCACTATTCACAATAGCAAAGACTTGGAACCAACCCAAATGTCCAATAGTGATAGACTGGATTAAGAAAATGTGGCACATATACACCATGGAATACTATGCAGCCATAAAAAAGGATGAGTTCATGTCCTTTGTAGGGACATGGATGAAGCTGGAAACCATCATTCTCAGCAAACTATCGCAAGGACAAAAAACCAAACACCGCATGTTCTCACTCATAGGTGGGAATTGAACAATGAGAACACATGGACACAGGAAGGGGAACATCACACACCGAGGACTGTTGTGGGGTGGGAGGAGGGGGGAGGGATAGCATTAGGAGATATACCTAATGCTAAATGGCCAGTTAATGGGTGCAGCACACCAGGATGGCACATGTATACACATGTAACAAACCTGCACGTTGTGCACATGTACCCTAAAACTTAAAGTATAATAATAAAAAAAGCAATTTTAATTTGATATTATGTAAGTAAACTGCATTTTAAGAAGTAAAATTTACATTGATAGTAATTTTTTTTTGATACAGTGGAACTGGTCACATTATCTTCCATGGGTTTTGTCAAAAATAATGTATGCGTATATATTGAGTTTAGAGAGTTTCTAACTACGGAATGTTCCACTTATAAGAATTTAAATAAAAAAAGAAAATCAGGAAAATAAAGAATAAGGAGTTTCTTCATATGCCTTTACTTTGGGTCTCAATTCATTAGACACCAAACTAATTAATAGCATGGGACAAAGCCAATATGTTGGCTTTATTCAAAATACAAGTAAGGTTTTTATATTAAATTGTCTTGTACCTTAGTAAAATGCTCCTGTACTTTGATACATCCTGGAAGAGCCTTGGAGGAAATATATATTCCCTAACAACAAAATCACATAAGTTAGGAGAAACAATCACCTTCCGATTTAAATATATATCTATATATATGTATGTAGATAGATAGATAGATACTTAAATAAAAGATACTGTTGCCCTTTAAGAGTAGTGAGTTTTCAGCAACAAAGCAGGAATTATCAGTTATCTAAGAGATATATTTTAAAGGTTAAGTATGTTTTAGAACAAGTAATTTTATACATTAGAAACTGTTTCTTACTGTTCATAGAATGGTAAGGAAATGGAGAGCATATGTACAATTATAGCAGCTTCGAAAATATAATGTCACTGCTAAATTATATTATTTCTCTTCTTCAGTATTTTTTAATGCTCTGAAAAGAGCTGATCTGAATAAAGAGATATTTTCATAGCTATAAAATAATTCTTACTCTACCCTGCCCTAGCTTTTATCAAGATATGGAATTTTAAAATTAAAATATCTAACATAAATAGCCAACATTTCTTGAGTGTTTGCTGTGGGCCAGATACTATTTACACCATCTGTACATCTTTAATCTGTGAATAATTCTGTGCAGTAGTTTTACTGTTACACCTATTGCTGGATGACAAGAATGGGGTAAGTAACTGTCTCATAGATGTAGAAACCCATACAGTAACATTTTGGATCTACACATAAACATTTAAATAAGATGTTAGGGTTCAAATAGAAATTTTATTGTTTACATATTGTATTGTATTGAAATCAGGGAATAGAAATTTTGAAGTCACACTACAGAGTATTTAGGGAAAGGTCATTTCCTACATTGGAAAAAGCCACAAATCATAATATTTTTAAAAATTACATCAGACTTGTTTTAATTATATCCAAGATTTCCTTGGAATCTCATCATATACCTTCAGTCTGACCAAAATTGAAGCTCAGTAAATGCAATGTAAGTGAATGACTGGAAACATGTCTCAATGTTTACTTCACTGTTACCTGTATCAGTTAGTTGTCTGGATTATAGAGTCTCTAATAAATGAGCTCTCCTCCCACTTGATAAAACGCTGATAAAATTGCTATATCAAATGGTAAGACAGCTCATTTATGTCATTTATATGTTATCACTGAGCTGGGGGTCTTCACACCACTTATAAGGTATATTCATATAGAACATATACAATATAAAAAATGCATTAATACTATACTCCAAAGACCTAGCGCTTACCAGGAGATGGGTCTATCCCCTCACAAGCGTAATTCCATAATCACTTCTTTCTGCTTTCAAACTAGGTCTTCTTTCAAACTGTCGATGACTTTAAACATGTTTCCTGGCTTTGATTATGCAGTGGCTGAATATCTACCCTTCCAGAATCAGTATACAATCAATGATGAAACATTTTATTTGGATATATAAATTCTAAAATTAATACATATGGAAAAAGATGACATAGGGCAAACATTTTTCTGAAAATCTCTTAGGAAGGTACCATTTTAGATAACAACATACTTTCTCCTCAGTAAGTCCAGCAAAGTAAGGTTTCCTACAAGTTTAGAATTGACCATTGTTTTTGCTGCTTACAAACTGAAGGTTTACTTGAGGGGATTTTGTATGAAAAAACACTTTAAGTATTAGACTTCTTAAGACTGGTTAGAAGCACAGATTTTGAAAGGCCCATGGAAGCTGAAACCAGTTGCGACAACAGCAACTTCACACTGTACACCTTAATGTCACTGAGCAATCATCTCCACTATCTGCATCTCTATCTCTAGCTAACTCTACCTGTCTCTATACTTTTTGTGATTGTTTTAGATTGTATAAAGTATACTCAAAATATGTCATTCCAACTCATCAATTTCCACGTGATCCTTTTCCCTACCTTACCTGGAATAATCGAGCCCTTTTTCTTTATACTCTTATTGTAGCACTACCAAGTATTCCTCATCAACTGCATCCACTGCCACCCGAGAGGCAGTGTAGCTGCACCTGCTCCTGATGTATGCATCAAGGCCCATGGGACTTAGGAAGTTAACAATATTTTTCGTGAGTTGCAAACTTTCCTCTACACCTTAGACTAGGAGTCAGCAAACTATCAACCTTAATTTGTAGACCCGTGAGCTAAGAATGGATTTTACATTTTTAAAGAGTTGTAAGTGTGTGGGCATACATGTGAGTATATAACAGAGGCCATACATGATCACAAAGTCAAAACCCTTTACTATCGCGACATTTAAGAAAAAGTTTGCTGACCCTTACCTTAGACCACTATCTTCACAATTTGATTTAATTGTTCAAATATTTGGCATTCCTGTGAGAAAATATTTGATTTCAGGTGTGATGAACAGTTTTGTTATTTATTTTTACCCTTGACTGACAGCAGGGGTGGGTAGACAACCCTGAAGACCCCAATGGCCTGGAAAATATTGCTTATGGGCTGCCCCAAAGCACCTTCAGGAAGCTCTAGTTACCATTTATTTATATATAAATTCTTGCCCTTAACTTATTGTTTTCATGTTTTCCTGTTTCACTGAGAGTCCCTTGAAGGTACAGATTGTAATGAAATGGAACACTTCCAACATGGCTCACTCTAAAATGAGCCTTCCTTTCCACCTAACATTGTTTAGGGGTAAGATTACTATACCACTTAGTGTCTCAAAAACATGTCATAGGCAATGCCAAAGTCAGAAAACAAAAAGAAAATAATTTTCCTACCACATGAAGATAAAGTGACATATGTCAAAATGCACTAATTAAAAATTTTAGAATTGAGAAAGAACCAGGTGGAAATGTCTGTAGTAAGACAGAAAGAGTATCTTAACATTTGTTGTGAGTGGTTTCTCTACCCACAGATATAAGTGTGTGAAAAGTAAAAATGAATTTTTCTAGAATCCAGTTTTAACACCTGTGCTGCATGTGTGATGGAAATCTATGCTCCATCATTTGGGGAATTGTCCTTTCTTTGAAGGATGGTTGTTTCTCAGGTGCTGGGGCTTATGCAGTGCCAGTGCAGTGTAGATCCCGGTGCAGACACACACAGTCCTCCCTTGCAGGTGCCCTCAGCCCAAGGTGCCTTCTGCTGTTCTGGATCAGGAGTGTCCACGGGAGCCCTTTGTGCAACTTGTGACCTGTTTGTGACCTGGAAATATGGAAACCACTGGTTTTAATTTTACTTGTTTGATCGTTAAACTTTTTCAATAGGAACACATTTAACATGATTATCTGTGGCCTGCTGTGATAGTACCCTTGATTTATTTTGTAGGTTTTTTTTTCTATTTTCTAACTATTTTCATTAAAAACATTGCTTAATAAGAACATTAGAGCTAAGAAAAGCAAAAGGCAGAATAATAACTCCTCCCATATGAGGAAGAGCTCAGGCATCTTGCCTTTTTCCCACCTCAGAGGAGACTGCAGTACTGTGTGTTCAAAGCCCTCTTAACTGCACAGTCTTGCGAATTAGAGGGACAGGAAGTCTCAAGGCACAAGTAATGCCCAGTTCGTGTGAATCATAGTCCTGAAGCATCACCTTACTCAGTGTGGGCCTGTTCAAATGGTTATTCTGTGGTCGCATTCCCCACTGATCCCTGGATCTTTCTCTAGCCATGCTTCTCGGAGTCATTCAACTTTCTTGCTGATTCATCCTTCTCCAAACCTCAGATTCAGATGAGTTCCATTTGTCAATTTCCTAAATCTTTAGAAAACCAAGTTCTTCCAGATACTCAAATTTACCTATTTAGGTCACAATTGCTTTCTATAATCACTCTCAGAAGATAATTTATCTGTAAAGGTAGCGATCCACGCGCAACAGAAACAGGAGCCAGTGAGATGCCCTTCAATGTCATTAACATTTGTCTCTTTTCATCTCATTGTTCTGTTCTTATAACATTTCTCTCATGGAAAATGGGAATAATGTCTAATTTAAGAATATATTTTACATATTAGTCACACTTTAATCAATCACGGTTTCTAACACAGTTAAGTTATTGATGCTGACATAAAAAATAAAATCTGTATCGCCAAGAATGACCAAGGCATTGCAGGTTCTGGTTAAACTTGCTTTGCTCTAATCAGATAGAAAGTTTCGTCAGAGATGTACCATCTCAAGAGTGTGAATTTTGGTAGTTTTCTTAAAGTGAGGTCATGAGGACAGAATGTCATAATTCAGATACTATATTGTGTTGTGAATGGTTTGAATTTTCTCTGTAGATTATGATGTTTTGACATCTTTAAAAAGCTCCTTCTGGCTGGGGAGAGACTGACTCTTTTGGAGCTGGAAACCTTTGATATGTAAACTAAACAATCCTCAGCCCTCCCTCCTCTCTCTGGCCCTTACACCCCAGGGAGCAACATTCCTCTGCTTTAGTCATCCCAGGATCAGGTACCAGGCAATCATGAATCCCCTCTATAATCTAAAGCCCACCACAATTACTCAGACTAGCCATTTCTAAGCTCTTCAGCCTCCTTGCCTTCCCTTTCCCATGAAAACCCAATGAAGCACTGACCTAAGCCTTCTCATCCTGTCTTTCAGCTGCTGACCACACCTGTGCCTTCCCTGTGAGGAACTGCATGGTGCTGTTCCTGCTGTTCCGAGGACCTGTGAGCATAACAAACTTTGTTTTTTCCCTCAGTCTATTTTGTTTCTCCTCCTGTGGCTACATCTGACTCTCTCATAAAATAATATAGAGCATATCTAAATTATTTGCATTTTTTTGTTAAATATTGAAGAAGTTCTACCTGAAAAATCTCTGAAGTTGTTATGGCCAAACACTTAAGGTGCCCTCCCTAAAAATATATGTAAGCACATATTTGTATTGCAGTGTTTACAGACGTTAAACTCGTGTAAGATTATGTATCACTGATTGATTTACTGAACATAAATTTAATATAAGTGAAGAGAGAAGTGCTAACTCCCTGGCAGATAATGCACTGTGCCTAGGATGGGGTGCTGGATGAGACACAGTCATGCCCTCATTAAGTTCACAGTGGAGCAGGTGCTATACATTGAATGTATAATTCTGAGTGTAGTGAGTACTTCAAAGGAGCAGCTCAAGGCATCATTGACAAGAACATGCAAATATCCTATATTCCACATATGAGTGAGTCCACATAGGTGTTCTGTGTGGTCCAGCTTCCGCTTCCCAAGGTCTCACATGTTCCTGGTTCTTGCCAATAGCCATTACCCTCCAGTTCTACTTTAGGTAGTTTATTAGTTTCAGAGGTGGCTTAATGCTTCTGTTTCTTATTGATCTTCTCATCTCTTTGATCTTCTCATCAGCTGATAGGTTTACTTCTATTTCAAAGTAAAAACAAAGGAAAAAAATAAAGTCATTTTGTTTTGGGTGGTGATTACTGAAGTCAAGCATCTTTTCCCATACCTGTGAGCCATCTGTATGTCTTCTTTATAGAAACATCTATTCAGCTCCTTGGCTCCTGTTTTCTTAATAGAGTTATTTCACTTAGCATAATGTCCTCAAGGTTCTTCCATGTTATAAGTGTCTTTTTCTAAGGCTAAATAATATTCCAGTGTACATACACATCACATTTAAAAAATCTATCTGTCAAGGGACATTTGTTATTTCCTTATTTAGCTATTGTGAATAATGCTGAAATGATTGGAGTGAAGATATCTCTTTGAGATCCTCATTTCATTCCCTCAGGATATATACCCAGAAGTGAGATTTCTAGATCATAAAATATTTATATTTTTAGTTTTTTAAGGAATCTCCACACTGTTTTCCATAATGGCTGTACCAGTTGACATTTTTTCACCAACAGTGTACAAGCATCTTTCACTACCATATCTTAGCAGAAAAACTTCAGTATTGTTCAGTTTTTTCCATTGATTATGATGATAGCGGTGGGATTTTCACATGTGACCTTTATTATGTTGAGATAGTTTCCTTCTATGCCTATTTTTTGAGAGTTTTATTCATTAATAGATGCTAAGCTTTGCAGATGCTTTTCCTTTATCTATTGAAGTGATTGTGTATTTTTTCATCTTGTTAATGTGCTATATCACATTGATTGGTTGAAGTGTGTGGAATCATCTTTGAATCCAAGGGATAAATCCCACTTGGGGCTGGTGAATGATCCTTCTAATGTGCTGCTAAATGTGGTTTGCTAGTATTTACTGAGGATTTTTCATCTATATTTATAAGGGCTGGTGTACTGCAGTTTTCTTTTTGTGTGCTGTCATTGGCTATGTTTGATATGAGACTAATGCTAACCTCATAAATGAGACAGACAAATGATCAGATAAAAAAATGTAAATTTACATGTCTGGATTAAAAACAATACAAACAAACAAAACAAATAGATTTTAAATGGAGAATATGTTAGTCCAGTGGCATATAAATATGTATGTAAGTCCAGCCCTACGCATGAATCATCCTTTGTCCAGTGTGTCTGTGCTGTGTGCACTACCTGCCCGTTCTTCATTGACATCGTCTGTCCCTGACATCCAGCCATCCACATCATCACAGCTTGATGATCTGGGATCTCCCTAAGCAGATTATCCTGCTTCTGACCCATCCTATGAAGGTCAATAGTAGCTTAATACCACATCACAGTACGTGCACCATTCACCCCACTTGTTCACATCACACAGGCATTTTGTTATCTCATATCATCACCAAAATAAAAGGGAGAGCACAGTACAATACATATTTAGAGAGAAAGAGAGGGAGAGAGAGACCACATTCACATAAGTCTTATTAGAGTATATTCTTATAATTCTTCTATTAGCTATTGTTGTTAACCTGCTACGATGCTAATTTTCAATCACACCTTGTCATAGATATGTATGTATAGAAAAAACTAAAGTATATATTGAGTTCTGTACTCTCTACAGTTGCAGACATCTACGGGGGGTCTTAAGACATACTCCCTGTGGATAAGGGGGAACTACTGTATTCCAGTTGCTAAAATATGATTAGGTTGATATTGAGTGTTATTGTTACCGAGTGCTTGCAGGAAAATGTAATTTATCCTAGTTTGACATATATAAAACCTGTTTTACAAATACAATCTCATCTAAAAATAAAAAGTAGTAAAGTATAAGGGGAGCATCAACACACCCTGCAGAAACACCAAATGAAACAAAACCGCAAGAGACTCTGGGTATAGGGATTGTCAATAAAGGCTTTAGTATGAGCATGCTTCCTACTTACAAAGAGACAGGGAAAATTTTAGAGTTTTGGTAGATAACTGGAAGGTATGAAAATGAAATGAAATTAAGAACTTAATGGAAAGGTTTATAGCAGATGGAGCAAAGCTGGAAGAAGAATTAGTAAACTGGAAAACAGATCACAAAAATATTCAGAAAAAATTATAAGGATTAAAAAGAATGGAAAATTGAAGAGGAAGTAAGAAACATAGAATAAGCAGGTTAACAAACATGGAATTGGAAAGAGAGGAGAGAGCCGGAGATTCAAGCAATATACATTTTAAATTATTCACAATTCATCAAAGTAAAACTTTTGATAACCAAAGAGAATTAGGAAAGTCCTAACAGCAAGCAGAGGATGTGAAAAACAAAAAGAATTGTCTTCAAAGGAGTAGTGATTAGAATGACTACTTCCTTTTTAACAGAAATATTACAAGTATAAAGATAAAAGAAATTTAAAGTGCTGAAAGAAAATAACTGTCAATTTAGTATATCTATATCCATAAAAAATGTCCTCCATGAATGTGAAACAGATATCTTTTCAGAAATTAAGAGCATTCTCCACTGGCAAACACATACTAACATTCAGAAAGAACAAAAGAACATCAGTGTACATCCCTCAGCTGTTTAAATGATAAGATAATATACATGCAAATAAGCATGAAAATTTAGTTAAAATTGAAAAAGTTCTAAAATAATAAAACTTCATCAAAGTGACATAAGAAATACTTGAAAACTTAATGAAGGTAATTGCATACATTATTATTTTTTCATATAAATTAAAGTTTATAACTCATTGAAAACTGCATAGATAGCATTTAAAGAAGAAATAACAATAAAAAGAAGCTGTCAAAAAGAAACATTGAAGGTGTTATAAGGTTAGCATAAATGTGACAAGAAAATCTGACAACAATAGTATTAGAAGGCATATGTCCTCAATTATGAACATGGCAGAAATTTACAACCCTCTCCCAAAAATATTCAGGTCCTGAAATCTAAAATCTGTGTATATACTACTTTTCACGGCAAAATTAACTTTACAGACGTAAGTAAAGTTATAGATCTTAAAATAGATTTTCCTGGGCTATCTAGCTGGACTTTATCTAATCACATACGTCTTTAGAAGCAGATAAATTCCTCCAGCTGGAGTCAGAGAGATTTGGCAGAAGGTGAAGTCAGAGAGATGTGAAGTGAGAGACTCAACCTGCTGTTACAGGATCACGGCCACACGGAAAGCATGAGAAGGAATCAGGCAGATTCCAGAACAAAGACTGGGCCCCTGCTGTCTATCAGCATAGCAACAAGCACCTCTATCCTACAACTGCAAGAAACTGAGTGGGCCTACAGCCTGAGTCAGCTTGAAAATGAATTCATCCACAGAGACTGCAGAAGAGACTGCTGCGCCAACACCTTGATTTCAATAGCTTGAGACTCAGGAAGACACAGCAGCTGAGTCACACTGTACCTGGACTTCTGACCTACTGGACTATGAGATAACAAGTGGGTGTTGTTTTAAGCCAGTGAATTTTGGTCACTTGTTATGGCAACAGTAGAAAACTAATACAGAGACTCATGCATATATATGGATGCTAGATTTAAGACAAGGATGGCCTTGCAGATCAGTGGTTTGGAAGTTATTTCAAATAAATGTTGCTGATGTAACGGTAAATCTATATAGAAGAAAGAAATGAAAATATGTTTCCAATCTCATACCATGCATACAATTCCACTGAGACTGCAGATCTAAAGGTGAAAGCAAAACAATAAAGCATCTCAAAGATAATGTGAAAATACACCCATCATTTGCAGACATGAAAGACTTTTTAAAAAGACACAAAATCGGCTGGGCGTGGTGGCTCATGCCTGTAATCCCAGCACTTTGGGAGGCCAAGGTGGGTGTATCACAAGGTCAGGAGATCGAGACCATCCTGCCCAACATGGTGAAAACCAGTCTCTACTAAAAACACAAAAATTAGCTGCGCATGGTGGCACGTGCATGTAATCCCAACTATTCAGGAGGCTGAGGCAGGAGAATTGCTTGAACCCAGGAGGCAGAAGTTGTAGTGAGCCAAGATGGCGCCACTGCACCCCAGACTGGTGACAGAGCAAGACTCCATCTCAAAAAAAAAAAAAAAAGGAAGAAGAAAACCACAAAATCTATAACTGCAAAGGAAAAGATTGATATGTTAAGAATTTCTGCACATTAAGAGGAAGCAAAAAGGAAAGATGCAGACAGGAAGAAAATAATGGTAACTCATATAAGAGACAAAGGACCAAGACAAAAGTCCTACAAATCAACAGGGAAAGACAAAATACTCAATAGAACAAAAAAAGGGGGCATAGACTTGGATAGAAAATTAACACAAAGAAACTACACCCCAGGGATCAATAACTATTTGACAAGGTGCTCAATCTCAGCTGTAATCAGAGAAAAGTTAAATCATACTACATTGAGTTGCCAATATATATACCCTGCAGAATGGCTTGAAATATGTAAAGTGGCGATCTGATATGTTGGAAAGGAATTTGATTGTCATAAATTGCTGGAGGGAATACACCTTTATGCAATCCCTTATGAAGAAGAACAATTAAGAGGGCAAGAAAAGTGTTACCAAAGATGCCAGGTAGTGGTGCCTTTGTGGGTGGCTTAGGAGTGGTTCCAGGGGGGGGTTTGTGGTGCTATCAATATTCTATTTTTTAAGTTAATTCATGATTACAGAATTGCTTGCTTCTTGGTGAATCTTTAAGCTTTTGATTTTTGTTCTGCACTGTTGTCTGTAGGCATATATTACTTCACAATTAAATAGAAGAGAAAAGTTCTTTCACATGACCTGCAAATAATTTATGCAAATTTCAAAGCATAATATCACTTAGTATATCTGTGCTTATTTCCTTTGGAAATAAGATGGTATGATATAAATTGGTCACTAATATGATACATATTTTATCTCCAAGTTGTTTGGGGATCTTTAGTTATAACTAAAATTTGGGGTCACATTGATGTGACGGTAATCATCACTGTTAAAGAAAAATCTCTTTAAAAGAAGATCTCCACTTTAATCCACAGTCTCACTGGAAGGTTTTGTAAAGATCACACTGGGCAACAGCTTCCAGGCCCTAGATCAGTGGATGAGAAGTTAAGTTTAGTTAATCTAGAAGAAAAGTTTCCTCTCAATTTATAAAAACAGAATTACCAAAGGCTTAGGTAAATGGGAATGACTTTACTAATTTGAACTGGGACTGTTGTTAAAGATAATGGTGATTCACACTAAATCAAAGTAAAAAGAAAAATACAGCAAATTTTGTTTTCTTGTAATATCAAGATATTTTTGCTAAAACTGCAAAGAGGTATATTTAAAATACTTGACCTCCAAGTCTCCAGGCTCATGCATTATTTTTATTGATGATTGGGTTGTGACTACAGCTTCCTAATTTGTGTTATTGTCTTTAGTCTTTCCTTCCTTCAGTTCACTTTTTTGTCTATGTAAAACATAAAACATTGACAAAAGTGAATTTATACACACACACACACACACACAGTTTAACAAATATTTATAAATGGTCACCTGTATAACACTCACCCATGGTAAAATACAATAGTTTAAGCTCCTGAGAAGACTCTTGTTTCCTTCTCCAATCTCAATTTATTCATCAGTACAAATATAGTAATTCTTATTACTTTCACAGAAAATATTTCCTCTATTTTCTTCACAGTTTTACTACCTGCATATGATGTATTTTTCAGGGTTCTCTAGAGACAGAAGCATTGGGAGGTAACCACAAAGATATAGTTATAGATGTAGATGTAGACATGGATATAGATATACATGTAGATGATACAGATAATGTAGATATATACAGATAATGTAGATATATATAGATGATAGCTATAGATACATATAGATATACATACAGATATAGATGTAGATATAGATATCTAGATAACATAGACATAGATTAAAGATGTAGATGGTAAGACAGGTGATATAGATGATATGGAAGGGAAATCACTAACAGAATTGGTTCACATGATTACGGAGGCGGGAAGTTCCATGACAGGCCGTTTTCAAGCTGTAGACCCAGGGAGCCAATGGTGTAACTCTCAGACTGAGGTTGAAGGTTGGAGAACCTGGGGTCTGCTGATGCTCCTCCCAGAGTCCAAAGACCAGAGAACCTGGAATGCTCATCTACAAGGATAAGAGAAGAAGGGCAGCTTCAGAAGAGAGAAAAACTTTGCCTTTTCCCCCACCTTTTTCTTCTGTCTGGGCCCTCCGCTGATTGGATGCTGCCTGCCCACACTGTTGAGGATGGATCTTCCGTACTCAGTCTACTGATTCAAATGCCAGCCTCTTCCAGAAACAACCTTACAGACACACCCAGCAATCTTCGTTTATCAGCTACTTGGGTCTCGCCTAAGCTAGTCAAGTTGACACCTAAAGTTAACCATCACATATGGCTATATCCCTGAACAATATAGCTTAGATTTGCTTGTTTTCAAGCTTGATATAAGTATTATCATACTCTATGTATTCCTTTGGATCTTCTTTTTCTTTTTTGATGTGTTTGTATGATTTATACATGCTTTTACTTATAGTTGTAGCTCATTCATTTTCATTGATATATAATATTCTATCACATAAATATATAAAAATTTAATTATCTGTGTTATTGTTGATGACTATGTGTTGTTTTTCCATTTTGAGAAACTCTGAAGAGTGTTTCTGTGAGTCTTTTCACACATGTATCCTGCCATAGGTAAAATCAGTCTTTGTAAAGAATAAACCTAATATTTGAATCTCTAGGCATAGAGTACAGATGTCTTTAATCTAATAAATAATAACACACTGCTTTTGAAGTGGTTCAACAAATTTTTCTCCCAGCAGCAGTCTATGGGAGCACCTGGTTCTCCAAATCTTTGCCATCACTTGGTATTGTATAACATTTAAACATTTATCACTCTGAAAAGGATGTAGAGGTATTTGTCGTTTTATTTGTACATCCATGAAGATCGTGATGTTTATATGCTTATTAATTATTTGGCTTTCCTTTTCATAAAGTGCCTGTTTATGTCATTAACCTATTTTCTTTTTCTTCTTTTTTATTCTTATTTCTGTTTCATTCTGTCACCCAGCCTGGAATTCAGTGATGCAATCATAGCTCATTGCAGCTTCAAACTCCTGGGCTCCAGTGTTCCTTGGGCTACAGCCTCTTGAGTAGCTGCAACCATAGACATATGCCATGATGCTCAGCTATTTTTTTAAGTTTTTATAGAAATGGGGTCTTGCTATGTTGCCCAGGCTGGTCTCAAGCTCCTGGTCTCAAGGGATCCTCCTGCCTCAGCCTCCTAAAGTGCTTGGTTTATGGGCATAAGCCACTGAGCCTGGCCATTAGCCTATTTTCTTATGGGATATGTTAACTTCTTCTTACTGATTGGTTGTGGTTCTTTTTTACATACCAGCTATGAGTTATCATTGTCAGTAAATACTACAAAATCATTTTCTGACTGTGTAGGTTACCTTTCACTTTACTAAAACTATATTTTTACAAGCAGACATTCTTTCAAGTTGTTCAATTTATGAGTAGTTTATTTTTAGTAGTTTTGTATTTTCTTTTAAAAATGTTTCTACTTACCAGAATATATCAAGAATATATTCTCAGATATTTCCAGCAAAGAAGAATGGGAATTCCTGTGTACAGGAGGATGGCACGAATGTACTTTTCACCCTACCACTAAAAACAACTTTAAACCCTTGAAATTTTATATAAAGCCTAGGACAGAAGACTCTGAGAGGTGGAGAGAAGAAGACAGGCAAGCTAGGGACCTCAGCACCCTACAAATGGCTGGTGGTGAATTCTGTTTTATTTGTTGTTGTTGTAACACTGCTGGGTGCAGACAGGAAAGCCCCAACAAAGCCTCATCTTTGTATTAAAGAAGGCAAGGGACAGCCCAGCAACACAGAGCGCTTTAGATAATAACCGCTCTACTACAACTAAACCGTGACTACACACTTAGGCACAATAGTGGAAGAGGAGTGGGGAGGCTAGATATCTCCCATGCCAGGCTGCAACAAGGGACCCTAATCCTCCTGCCAGGATGGTGTCAAGAGAAGGCCAAACGGGGTTCTGAGCCTTCCTCCCCTCTAGCCACAATGGAGCCACTTTCATTCATGGTGTCCGTGGAGACCATGTGGGAGCATTGCTGCAGTGGCCTCGGGCAGGGCCAGAGAAGGCCAAGTGGAGAGTCAGGGTTTTCACCACTGCCAAGTGCTAAAAAGCTCATTTGGGCCGCAGTGGTTTTGTTGGAGAATTTTACCAGATGTTTATGTTGCATGTGCAGAGCAGGCAAACACACTCGACATACTTACAGACAGTTGTAATGTGTAGCTTCCATCACATTTTATTGTTTTTGATTGAGGCTTATGTACATAAACTAAATTTTATCCACGTAATTATCATCTTTCATCATATACAAAATTCCTTGTCTTGTGGTAGGAACATGGTAGGTCATCAAACAGGATTTTTCCCAATTATTAATCAATATATTAATTTCTAGAACACTTTTTGAGTGCTCCCCATGTGCAGGCATTGTTCTAGGAGCTTGGTAAACATTCATGAAGAAAACAGACGGAGATCTCTCTCTCTCTTCATGAGGCTCTTAGTCTAATGGAGAGAGGTAGGAAATATTCAATACAATTACATTCGTAATAGAGAATGATAAAAGAGCACGATTGATATGGCAAAGCAAACCCATAGACAAGGGGCCAGGTGGCAGTGCCTCAGTGTGAGGAGGCCTCCTGGGCATAGGCGCCAAGCTGGAAAGGAATTCCGCCCTGAGGATGTGCAGATGAGGACGGCTGGCAGTGAAGACAGGGATTTGGCCTGAGGATGTGCCGATGAGGACGGCTGGCAGTGAAGACAGGGATTCGGCCTGAGGACGTGCAGATGAGGATGACTAGCAGTGAAGACAGGGATTCAGCCCTGAGGATGTGCGGATTAGGATGGCTCGCAGTGAAGACAGGGAATCGGCCCTGAGGATGTGCAGATTACGACAGCTCGCAGTGAAGACAGGCACTCAAAGACCCCAAAGAGGGAGGAACAAAGGCTAGTTTGGTCTTGTGATGAAGGGAGCAAGGGCTGGGGTAGCAGGTGATTTGGTAGAAGGATGACTAGGGCCAGATCCCAATGGACAGGTGAGTTCTTCAGCTTTTATTGCAGGAAATAAAGTCATGGCAAGGTGTGCACAGAGGAATGATGTCATCTGGCTTCCTCTGCGAAAGTGAGCAGAGGAAAAGGACAACCAGGTGAGAAGCACTTAGAGTTATCCAGGCAACATTTCAGGCCAGATTGAAATGATGTGGGATGCTTTTGGCCATCACTTCTCAGAAATTAACAGCAGGTATGGGCTGGCTTTTGATAATGGCAATGGCAGCCCCCTGCAGGCATAGGTATTATGACTCTCTGTGTCTTTGAGGTTAGTCAGTGGGGGTATTTCCTCTCAGACTAAGCCACTGATCTCATATTTAAATGAGACTTATTATCCACCCCTGGAGTGTGTACTGCACTAACTATGAACAGATCGCCCACATATTATATTGATTTCACTTCATAATGTCATCAAGAGCAAGTAGACCAATATTTAAGTATTTACAACTGCCTGCTACAGAGATTTTTCTCCTGATTCCAAGTTTCAGAATGCACACCTGCCTTTTGTGTGACATGTGTTTACTTGCAGCCTGTGGACTTGCAGGTGCAATCTCAGAACTGGAAAGAGTGCAGTAGAGTTCACTAGTCTATGGGATACTTGGTCAGATCTCTACCTTCTCTGCCTGGCCATCCTCCAGTTTCTGCTTTGGCTTTTAATGTGACAGAGGCTTGAGGTCTTTGCTATGCAGTGCATCCTATTTACCGATTATTCCAGTAGTTGGACATAATTTTTTATTGGTCCTAATTCTGAGCTCTGGAATCATGTGGAGTATTCAAGCACTTCCTGTTTGAAGGCAATAGCTCTCTTATCCCCCAAGTAATTAAAGTGTTTGTTTAGAAATCATGTTGAAAAAACTTCTATGGCCTGGTCGTGTCCTCGAATGCCCCTCTTAAGTACTTTGAATAGACTGGAGCCAGCCAGACCTCTGAGGGTGGAGTCCCATAGAGCCTTACTGCCAGGTCTTGCATTCACCCCCCTTAGGACTGAGGCCCCATGGGCCCCCTGTTGGC
Source organism: Homo sapiens (assembly GCF_000001405.40). Lineage (NCBI taxonomy): Eukaryota > Metazoa > Chordata > Mammalia > Primates > Hominidae > Homo > Homo sapiens. Next base: position 52,628,324 of record NC_000007.14, on the reverse strand, counting down.
TGGGCTAACAGCCAAGTCCATCAGATGGTCCCAAGAAGGGACATGGGACCTTACTGAATCTCTGCACCGTGGCTTAGGACTCAGGCCTCTTTGGTTAGATCTATCCCTCTAGAGAGTCCACAAGGAGAGGCCCTACTCATGTTTTGTGTTGTCTCCCATTCAGAGCAAACATTAAATAAAATCCTGTAGTTTCTGAGTATTTTTGAGGTTCCTACTCAATATTATACCTATTTTTTAAATGAGAGAAGAAAGTTATTGAGTTGTTACATATAGAAACCAAGTTTTAATTTCATTCTGCATAATTGCAAAGGTTGTGTTATTATTCTATCCCTGTGCCTACCACTCCTAAATTGTCCTGCCAGCATTTGCAAAGTATTTCATATTTATTGTCTACCTCTTTCTTATTTCGCAAACCTCTTTAATATAGGAGTAGATACTTTGTATAGTATCATCGTTTATAACTTTTGGAAAACAATTGTGTATTCTGATGTTAAAAATACCTAGTCATTGTTATATATGTGGGAAAATAAGAAAAGTCTATCAATACTGGGGGGAAAGGAGACCTTCTGGCCCCTGAAAGCGCTCCCACCTCCAGCTCCAGACTTCTTGTCCTTCATAGCCACCTCTCAAAAGAGCTGCCCATACTCACTGTTCATTGCTTCACCTCATCCCTGCTCACCCGACCCTGGAGGCTTTCCAAATTCAACAGTGTTGCCAAAACCAACATTTTATTTTGTCATGATCCTTGATTGAACTACTGATTCAAAACATCTGACCTTTAAGAAACATACACTTATTTTGTCTGTGCCTCTCTTCTGTTGATTTCTCCTTGTCCAGTTTCACCCTCTCTTGTCTGATCCCTCCTTTTTCTCCTCTGTGGGCTTTTTCTCCTGAAGTTTTGGTAGTAGTCAACCTTGCTAACCTTTATTCTCTCCTCGGGCCATCTCATGCATGGCTTAAATTTCAGTTATTACATGTATTTAAAGAACTATTATAAAACGTGGTGACTTCAGTGAACAACAGTGTATTTTGAAAATCACTAAAAGTGTAGATTGTAAGTGTTCTTACCACAAAAATGATGAGTATGTGAGGTAATATGTATGTTAATCAGCTCAATTGTAACATTCCAAAATTTATGCATATTTCAAAATATCATGTTGTACATGGTAAATATATACAATCCTTATATCAAGCTATGAGACAAAGATTAACCAAAACATAAAAAAAAGAATTAAAAGAAATGAACAAAGTCTCCAAGGAATATGAGATTATGCAAAATGGCCAAATATAAGACTCATTGGTGTTCATGAGGGTGAACAAAGAGCAAAAATTTGGAAAATGTATTTGAGGGAATAATTGAGGAAAACATCCCTGGCCTTGCTACAGATTTAGACAACCATATACAAAGAGTTCAAAGAACTCCTGGGAGATTCATTGCAAAAAGGAAATCACCAAGGCATAGAGTCATAAGTCTATCTAAAGTCAACATGAAGGAAAGAATTCTAAGAGCAGTGAGACTAAAGCATCAGGTAACCTATAAAGGAAAACCTACCAGACTAACAGCCGACTTCTCAGCAGAAATTTTACAAGCCAGAAGGGATTGAGGTCTGATCTTTAGCTGCCTTAAGCAGAATAACAGTCAGCTAAGAATTTTGTATCCAGCAAAACTAAGTTTCATAAATGAAGTAGAAATAAAGTCTTTCTCAGACAAGCAAATGCTGAGAGTATTTGTCGATACCAGAAAAACTCTGCAAGAAATGCCAAAAGTAGGGTCGGGCGCGGTGGCTTATGCCTGTAATCCCAGCACTTTGGGAGGCCGAAGTGGGCATATCACGAGGTCAGGAGATTGAGACCATCCCAGCTAACATGGTGAAACCCCATCTCTATTAAAAATACAAAAAATTAGCCGGGTGTAGTGGTGAGCGCCTGCAGTCCCCGGTACTCAGGAGGCTGAGGCAGGAGAATGGCATGAACCCAGGAAACGGAGCTTGCAGTGGGCCGAGATCATGCCACTGCATTCCAGCCTGGGTGACAGAGTGAGACTCCATCTCAAAAAAATGATAATAATAAAATAAAAATAAAAAAATTAATAAAAATAAAATAAAATAAAATAATAAAAATAAAATTGCCTCCAAAAGAAAAAAAAATAGCCCAGAACCAGGTGGATTAACAACTGAATTAACCAGACATCCAAAGAAGAATTGGTACCAATCCTACTGAATCTATTCCAAAAGATTGAAAAAGAGGAAATTCTCTCTAACTCATTCCGTGAAACCAGTATCGCCTTGATACCAAAGCCAGGAAAGGACATAACAAAAGAAGTAAACCACAGACCAATATCTCTGATGAACAGAGATGCAAAAGTCCTCAACAAAATGCTATCAAACTGAATCCAACAGCAGATCAAAAAGATAATTCACTGTGACGAAGTAGTTTTCATCCCAGGGACGTAGAAATGGTTCAACATATGGCTGTCAATAAATATGGTTTATCACATAAAATTTTAAAAAAACATATGATCATCTCAATAGATGCAGAAAAAGCATTCCATAACATGGAGCATTGATTTATTGCTCAACAAACTAGGAATAGAAGGAGCATACTTCAAAATAATAAGAGCCATATATGACAAATCCACAACCAACATGATACTAAATGGAGAAAATTTGAAAGCATTTCCCTTAAAAACTAGAACAAGACAAGGACGTCCACTTCCACCACTTCTATTCAACATGGTAATGGAAGTCCTAACCAGAGCAATCAGGCAAAAGGAAAAAACAAAGGGCATCCAAATTGGAAAAGACATAGTCAAACTATCTCTGTTTGCTGATGATATTGTCATATATCTAGAAAACCTTAAAGAATCCTCCAAAAGAATCCTTAAATCTGATAAATGAATTTATTAAAGTCTTCAATTCCAAAATCAAAATACACAAATTAGCAGCACTGCTATTCATCAGTAACAACCAAGCTGAAAATCAAATCAAGAACTCAATCCCTTTTAAAACAGCTGTGAAAAATAAAAACCTAGGAATATGCTTAACTAAGGAGGTAAAGTATTTCTACAAGGAGAACTAAAAAACATTGCTGAAAGAAATAATAGATGACACAAACAAATGGGAATACATCACATGCTTATTGACTGGAAGAATCAATATCATAAAAATAACTATACTGCCCAAAGCAATCTATAGATTCAATGCAGTTTCTATCAAAATACCTGTAATTTTTTTTCAGAATTAGAAAAAAATACTACAATTCACATGGAAACAAAAAAGAGCCTGAATAGGCAAAGCATTCATAAGCAAAAAGAATAAATCTAGAGGTATCACATTACCTGACTTCAAGTTATACTACAAAGCTATAGTTATCAAAAAAGCACAGTACTGGTATAAAAGTAGATACATAGACCAATGGAACACAATAGAGAACCCAGAAATAAAGCAAATGCTTACAGCCAATTGATCTTTAATAAAACATACAAAAGCATAAACTGAGGAAAGACTACCCTACTAGATGAATAATGTTGGAAAAACTGGATAGCCACATGTAGAAGAATAAAACTGGATCCCTATCTCTCACTGTATACAAAAATCAACCCAAGATAGATTAAAGACTTAAATCTAAGACCCGAAATCATAAAAATTCTAGAAGCAAATCTAGGAAAAACTTTCAGACATTGGCATAGGTGAAGAATTTATGACTAAGACTCCAAAAGCAAATGCAAAAATAAATAAATAAATAAATAAATAAATACATGGGACCACTATACAATTCATTCATGTAACCAAAAATCACTCCTTCTCCTAAAGCTAATGAAATAAAAACTAATAATAAAAATAAAATCTAAATAACCTACCACTTTAAATATTTACAAGTATACACACAAGTATGCACATCACTTTGGACATATCTTGTTAGTTAAACCCTGAATTAGCATGTCTATTATATTTAATAAAACATTTCACATTTCACATATAATTATGTATGTATTACATATTAATGGCTGCAGTATTTTTATTCTACATATATATACACACACACATATAGATATATACACACATGATAGTTGATATCACACAATTCCTTATTAGGCGCACTTAGGATGCTTATAGTTTTTCCCATTATGAAATAACACAGCAATTGAAAAATAATTGTCTTAAAATTTTGCGTATGTCTCTGATAATCATAGAAGTTGAAAACTTTGTCAAAGAATGTAAACATCTTCAGAGATTGAGGATACTGCCAAAGTGACCTTTCAAATATTTACACTAAATAAAAGATATTTTATTCTTTCAAATTATTTCAAATATTTACACTTATAAAAGATGAAGGTCTATGTCTTCCAAAATGTTTCCATCTCTGGTTGATAAAATTTGTCTTCATTTTTTTCTAATTTAATAAATAAATGATAATTTTTGTTGTTCTAAACTTTATGTGCTTCAATCACCAGTTACGTTTTTTTTTTTTTTTTTTTTGAGACGGAGTCTCACTCTGTTGCCCAGGCTGGAGTGCAGTGGTGTGGTCTCTGCTCACTGCAAGCTCCGCCTCCTGGGTCCACGCCATTCTCCTGCCTCAGCCTCCTGAGTAGCTGGGACCACAGGCGCCCGCCACCATGGCCGGCCAATTTTTTGTATCTGTAGTAGAGGCGGGGTTTCACCGTGTTAGCCAGGATGGTCTCGATCTCCTGACCTCGTGATCCACTCGCCTTGGCCTCCCAAAGTGCTGGGATTACAGATGTGAGCCACCGCGCCTGGCCAAATCACCAGTTATGTTAAATATGTTTCCTTTTTAAATTAAAATTGTAATTTTTTAGATGTATTTTTCATTATTAGGTAATTTTGTTTTTATTAATTAAAATCAATTTATTAAGGATATTAGCCCTACACACACACACACATACATACACACATTTAAAGTCATTATTTGTCTTCACAATCTTTTCTTGTTTATTTATTTATTGAAGTTTTTATACTGTTTGCATTTTAATTGGCTTGGGTATTTTTGCCATTATTTTCTTTATGGAACTAATTATGTATAACATTATGTAGGGGCTGTAGGCTATAAAGACAAATAAATGAGCCTTTTTATACCTGAGGCAAGAAACTAGGGAAGATGATGAAAATATACCCAGCATCATTTGCTAGTGAAAGTGTGGGAAAAGTGCCAGTTCAAAAGCTTTACAATGGCACCAGACCTTGACATCTCTTGTAGAGAGACTCATTGAAGAGTACTGCTGCAAAAGTGCCCTGCTGCCCCAGCAGGCAAATCCCAAGTGTTTATCAACTTTGAATTTTGTGCTTAAAGGAAATATTGCACAAACATACTGAGAGTCTGTTGAATAAACAAACAGAAGTGTATTATATTTGATATAATTCAAGCTATGGCCCTTATCCCAGCCTGCATTAATTACCTACCTCCAGTCTAAACTTAGTTCATTTGTTTTTGTAATGTAGTGCTTGTAAAAATCTGATCTTGTTTATAACACATTTTGTTTATCCATTCATCCACTGATGAACATTTGGGTTGTTTCCACCTTTTGGCAATTGTGAAAAATGCTGTTACGAACATGGTGTATAAATATAAGGTAAATGTGTTCAAAAAATCCCTGTAATAGGTATACTTGGCAACTTCCATCCATTTTTTAAATGTAAGTAACCCATAGATAGATTTGTGTTCTTAAAGATTTAAATGACATAACGTATAGACTGCAAAACATAAAATTTCCATTCATTCTCTTACCCCACACCCATCTTCAATAATTAAAGTTAAATTTGCCATATTGCTTTCCACCTGTTTAATATATACTTTTTTATATTATTTATTTTAATGGATCACACAGCACATCTTGTTCTACACTTTCCTGTCTTTTATTCAGTAATGTCTTGGAGATCTTTCCAATCTTATTTTTGTTTTCGGTTTTTAACAAATGTGCGTATTCCACAATGCTGTGTTAACTAACCATGTGGTTATATATTTACACACATTGGACTCTTTCTGCAGATTAGATTCCTAGAAGTAGAATCCCAGGCCCAAAACTTTCTTAAACTGTCTATCAGATTTTCTTCCTTAAGATCCCTTGTGGTTTGATTATTATTTTTCTTCAAAATGTATTATACAGTTCTATAAATTTGGAAAATTTTTGGAAATTGTGTTCTGAAAAATTTTTCTGACTGTGTATCTGTTTCTGTTGGCCAACACATTGTAAACCATGAGTTTAATAATCTGAATGAATTTATTAGTGTTAATGCAAATTATTTCTTACCCCAGGCACTTTAGCTAGCACATGGGAGATATGACCCTTATCTATGGGACAAACTGGGATGTTTTTGAAGGTATAATGAGAAATGACTCTTGAGAAATGTATTATAATGAAGAGGCTATTTTTACAGTGGAAACAGCACGTTATCAAGTGAACAAGTTAACATCACATGTAATAATCTTGTTGATCTAGTGCAGGGAGATGGGGCATGAGCTCTGTGATATTTATTCCCCAGAACCTATAACCCCAGTTTAATCATGAGAAAGCATCAGGGAAGCCTATTTGAGGGACATTCTAGAAAATACTTGACCAGTACTCTTCAAAAGCACAAAGGTCAGCCAAGACAAGTAAAGACACAGTAACTTTCACAGATTGCAGCACATTAACGAGCTAATGAGAACTAAAGTCACCATGATAACCTGGGTTGGATTCTGGGACAGAAAAAAAAATGCTAGTGAAAAAGGTGATGAAATAGGAAAGCAGTCTGTAGTTTAATACTGTATCAATGTTAAATCATTAGTTTTGTTAATATACCATGGTTATATAAGATGCTAACATTTCCTTTGCTTTTATTTTATTTATTTTTTACCTATCTTTCTATTTATTTATTTCGAGACAAGATCTCATTCTGTTGCCCAGGCTGGAGTACAGTGGCGTGATCATAGCTCACTGCAGCTTGGACTCTTGGGCTCAAGCAATTCTCCCGCCTCAGCCTCTCAAAGAGCTAGGGTTACAGGCATGATCCACCATGCCTGGCCTGCTTTATTTTTAGAAAGAACTTTCACTAGAATGAAATTGGACAGGTATCTATATTTTTCTGATATTTTAATCTAGTTTTCTTTTTATTTGTTCTTACAGTTAGCTCTTCTAAACATCTAGACAAGCAGTGGCGAGTCAATATAAATGTGCACAAATATATTTTCATTTTCCTGGAATAGAAAAGGGAAAGTGTGATGTAGAAGGGAAAGAGAATTGATTCTCAAAAAATTAGGCATTTAGAAAGCTATTAAATAAATTGATTTAAAAAATCCAAATTTAAATAACAAATAAAAAATACATTTAATTCAAACTAAATGCAAATTACTATTTTTTGCTCTAAATATGTTAATACAACAAGGATTTATTAAAAATTTCTAAGGCTCAGTGTGATGCAGTTAGTGTACAAAAATATAAGGCTCAGTATTGCCCCAAAAGTGTCAGAACATGTTGGGAAAACATAATTAATATTTGAATAGTTTGCTGTATTATACAAAACTGAATTTGCACATATTATCTCTGCTAATTTTGTTGGTTTGTTTGTTTGTTTTTTGTTTTGCGACAGAGTCTCACTCTGTTGCCCAGGCTGGAGTGCAGTGGTGCGATCTCGGCTCACTGCAAGCTCCACCTCCCGGTTCACGCCATTCTCCTGTCTCAGCCTCCCAAGAAGCTGGGACTACAGGCGCCCACCACCATGCCCGGCTAATTTTTTTTTTTTTTTTTTTTTTTTGTATTTTTAGTAGAGATGGGGTTTCACCATGTTAGCCAAGATGGTCTCCATCTCCTGACCTCATGATCCGCCCCCCTCAGCCTCCCAAAGTGCTGGGATTACAGGCGAGAGCCACCATGCCCGGCCTGTTAATTTGTATAAAAAATACTTGACACATTAATGTTTTTAGGATTACTTTTACAGATGAAATTGAGGCTTGGAGACATTCTAAGTGATTCACTTACGCTAGTTAATTAGTATAAGAATTGAAGCACAGGTTACATTTTTAACCAAATTACATAATTCTAGTTCTGCAGACAGAAGCTTCTCCTAAATATTAAATGTATTCATAATATTATTTTTGAGATTAATTAATACTATGATAATTAGGTATTTCTAAATAACTAAAAAAATCAAATATGCAAATACTCTGATGGGGCATATTCCAATAATGCAACGACTAATCAAGGCTCCTGAAAGAGAACTTTGCCAGCAGTGATTATGGCAGAGGACTTTGAATACTGGAATCAGTATTCTCTGAAAGACTTGCTTTTTAAAATGAAATAATTCTTGCTATAGATATATTGGAAATACTTGTCTGTCTAACTTTCAGTTCAATTTGATGCTTGTCAGTGTTTCCAGGTCAGGTAAAGCTAAGCCAGAATGTTCCTGGGGGTGCCAATTTGGGGGATAATTCATGGAAAAAATTATTTTGTTATTTCGGTGAGAATAAGTCCCCACCTGTATATTTCTGACAGGAAAATATGAGAGTATACAAATAGCTGAGTTGTGTCTTTGTCCATCTTCACAGCCAAATTGGATCAACTGCACAGCTTGTCTGATTGATTAGGCAGGGATTGTTTAAGACAGCCAAAAAAACCAATTTGGCAAAAACATATCAATTTAATGGCCATGGGGCAAGACAGGTGAGAAGGATGGAATCACTAGAAGATGTGAGAAGCCCTGCATTCCAAGGTGCTCCCTTAAATCTTTGTGAAAGTGTGCCATGTTGGTCTCCCTACAAAGATAAATTATGGCTGCATTGATCTGTTGCCAAAACAATGGCTGGAAAATAAAAATAAGTTTAGTTACTTGAAGCCAACTAACTTTTTACACGGATTTTCTTACAGAGCTCTTTGACATTTTGAGGGGATAGGGTGTGGGACTCTCCTGTGTTTCTGTCTGATAGTGAGGGTTAGGAGATCCGGCTTCAGGCTCCCCAGGATCCCCCAACCTGGCTCCCTGTACATAGGGCCCTGGGAAAAGGAGCGGATGCATTTTCCTAGTCCACAGCCCCTTTGTACTGATAATGGTGATTGGTGCGAACATAAGCCCCGTGTCCACTCTCCCTACCCTAGCCCCGGTCTTTTTCATAGTAACGGCTTTTGCTGGTATTACCGTGCATTCTATTATGGGGACTTTATTAGATCTGTTACTTTTCCTTTTCCTTCGATTGTTGTGCTGTTATCACCTGGGAAGCAGTCTGCTTTCCCAGGAATACTTCCTTGCTTGGAACGCCAACAGTAATGGTTTCCTTCAAACATGTAGAAGTCATTTTCAAAGCACATTGTTGTATGCCCCATATTCCATTTTTTAAAGGTAAATTTTCTCCTTTCATCTTGTAAGACTTAACGTTTCTTCAAGCGTACACTTTCTCACCCTGTTGTAAGGAGACCTTCTGTATATCTTTAAGACCACGGGATCTCCAAATTGTTAACTACTGGTAGATGAATCGCTGAAGAGATAGAAGAAAGAAAAGAGACGCCAATTAGATAAAGAAGGAGCAAAATATAGGAATCTAGAAAAATTGTTTTTTAAATAAAATTGGACTGTAAAACACTGATAAGAAAAAGGGCATAACCCAAATTCAGTTACCAATAAAGGTGTTTCTTAAATATTGTCTGTAAAAGCAAAACAAAAAAGCAAAACATCTTTTTGAGACATCTTAGCTTCAATACCCTATGAGACACTACTTATTTTGCATATTTTGTGAGCTTAGAGACAGTGTAGTAAAGTATTTGCAAGGTTATTTGCATTCAGTGAACTCACAAAGCCTATTACCTATTATTATTTGAATTATTATTATATTTCTGTCTCAGCAATGTTTTCAGTTTATAATGGAATAACTTTTTGTTTACAGAATTAGTGGCCCAGAGAAAGGAAACCCAGAGAAGTTAAGGAAGTGCAGGAATGTGTTCAGACTAGGGCAAGTTCCATCTTTCAACTCTGTTGCGCTCAAATGTTGGTCTTGTGCTAAGGATTGTTGCTTCTTGGTATCAAGAAAGCTTCCACAGTCCCAGAAATCAACTTCTAAAATGAATGTGTCCAGTATGAGAAGGGAGGCAGAAAGGCAAACGGGCTTTCTTATTGCACATCTCTCTCTTATACGGGAGGAAATTATTCTCAGAAATGGAATTTATGGGCACCCGTAGGATTTTGGAAAATCAGTTCGCAGTACTTTAAAGACTCTAGCCACGATGTCAGCAGCTTGAAAAAGGAAAAATAAGTTGAGACTGGCAATTGTATAATCATCCAGCAATGTTTATATTTCATCAGAAGTAAACAAATTTTATCTTCAAAAATCATTTACCTTATCTTCCATCTTTCTATTGTCTTCATTTCGGTTAATAAATTGTTAGTGTCTTTTAAAATGTTTTTCATTCTGATTGTTGCAAACTCATGTGAATTAGATGAAGTGGGTACCACACGTTATTAGAATACAGAATAAGTCTTATCTACTGAGCAAGGCCAGATGGTAGTTCATTGCAAAGCCAGGGATATACTCTTTAGGGTACAGAGGTTTCAATATTAGGCAAATTGACACATTGGACACTTCTCTGCCAAAGCGTGCATGGAGAAGTGTTGCAATAAATTTGAATGATCTAGGAAACAATAAAGTCTATCACTTGCCCTTATTCGCATTGAGTAAGGAACTCTCAATATTCCAGGCTGACAAAATAATATAAACTGAATTATGTACAAGGAAACCATACTTTTAGCAATGCTTCCAAGTGCTGTTTATATCCTAAACATACCTCTCACATACCTATTTTGTCAAAGACACTTAACACATAGTGAGGGCTCAACAAAAATTGTTTAATAAAAGAATGGTAGATTTTGACATAAAAATATTTTTTCTTCAATGATTATAGAGTAAAAATAATTAATAATTGTTTTTAAAAATCGAATTTTGTAATTTCCTCTGTTTTGGCATATGCTGTGTATGTACAATGTACAGTTTATTTTTCTATAGCCAAGTGTTCCAAGTGATCTTAAATGAGAGGTTTGGTTTTTCGGTTTTTGGGTTTGTTTAGGTCTGCTTTCCTGGTAGACTTTGCCACTTTAGGACACTTATTTCATGAATTGATTGGAAGCTAGGAAAAATGAAAGACAAGAGTGAGAGAATTTTAGGAACAACACAGAAATAAAGAACATGCTACTGTTGGTTTCCTAGGTTGGTCCCTGGCATTATTTTTTACCCACATAGAGAAAAAGTAATAATAAGGGTTCTGTATGAAAGCTGTCTGGCTTCAGTGGCTTTAGGTGGCAAAAGAGAACGCTGGGCATAGAGTAGTCCCCATTTCTATTAAAAGTATGGTGCATAAACAAAGATAAGACTGAGGCATGCTGCACCTTTTCATGGCTCAGAGTCTGTAGCTTTGAATTATTTTTGATAGGAGACAAGATGTTCTCTGCCATTGCAAAATACAACTATCAAGCGGATTTGATAATGTAGATACCAAAAAAGTGAATGAAATTGACAGGAATGGTTGTTCATATAGAGAACAATTTTGATACTTCCAGAAATGAATGTACACGCTTTGATGCTGTGCTGTGGCCTGACTCATAGGTGTGCACTATACATAGTCAACTTTGGATTACTGCTTATTGACATGCTAGATTTGAACATGTTTAGTGAACTTAGAACATGAAGTTAGAATAATACAGTAACATCTCAGTGTATTATTTCCTATTTCATATTTTTTGAGTTACATTAATTTATATGTTTTGAGGCTATGCTGTTTGACCTACTAAGATTCATACCTATTTAACTTTCTTGCACACCCATTATAAAATAAAACAACGATTTAAGACTCTGGAGTCAAACTCTTCTACCCCAGAGAAGCCCTGGGTAAGTTTCTTCATATCTATGTCTCACATGTTTCATGCATGTAAATTGGAGCTAATACAATTTCCTTCACAGACTAAGAAATGAGCAAAGTCTTAGCATAATTCTTGTAATGTCTAAACACAAAATAGAAGTTAGCAATGATTCATATTACTATTATTAATGTTAAAATTAGTATGACATGATAAAAGCAAACATTATCTCAAGATAAACCTGGCATTCTTATTTCAAAGACAATTTTCCCATGAGACAGGTGAAAAAACATCTTGTCACATACAAATAAAAGTCAAGGTAGTGGTGTGAGACTCAGGTTGCCTCCTAGTGATTGCCTTAGTTGATGAACCTGGTTTACCGTGCTGTGTACCAGCAGTATTCTGTACAATTATGTGAAAAGACCCAGGATGTTGACTATGCAAAATCTTAACTTTATAATGATGAGCTATGTTTGGCAGTACTTTTTCAATTGTGCAGGTACACATTCTCTTTACCTAGAATAATGTTCATGAGCCTTCTCTACACTCTTCTGATCTTCTGGGGGGAATCAACTGTTTATATCAAGGAGACATCAAATAACAGATTTCAATTTCAGAAGATGTGTCAAAATGGCTAAGATTACTTTGCTCTTCAGAGACTTGAAAAATAAGACATGAGAGTTACTTTGATGAGCATAAACAACTCAACAGTATATGTTCAAATAAATATAACATCAGTACTCTGTGGATCACCATTGAAGACGAGCTCCATCTGATTGCACTTCTCATACGGCCATCTGGGGGGCTGCAGGAGTAGAGCCCATGACAGCATATAATGGACCAAAAGAGAAAAATAAAAAGAAAGAAATAAAACAAAAAGGGAAAAAGCCTGTGGGCTAATATGATGAAACATTCATTACTTTGTGGGAAAGCAGCCAAAGTGATTTATACTTCAACACTCCATGCTGAAATCAAAGAGAATGGGATAGAAATGTCGATGAAACTCTGCATGGGGAGCTCTTTGAAATAGGGCTGTGCAAAAGAATATTTTGATTGAGACACTTAATGGCAATTCAAACAGACTAATTATGAATTAAGGTACTAAAAATGCATGTGATTTCACTTCTGAGGCAAACAGCTGAATTTTTATTTCTAGATGCGGTATTTGGCTACTCATCCTAGTATGATTGGGACAATATAACTTTATTGTGTAAGTGATTTTGAGCCAACAATGTGAAAACTGATTTTCAGAGCCTGCTTATATACAAAATGGAACACATTCAAGATATTAGTTATTCTCTTTTGGCTCTTTAGCATTTAGAAACAAATCACAAGAGAATTAAAGTTTTTTATGGTTTTCCAAAAATATTGTTATTAGAGAACATCATTCTCACAAAAGTAAACATTTTAATCTTGACTACATGCACATAATTCCTCATGTTCAAATTTAGTTCCCTTTGTTGAGAATGTTTAAGGAACAATTGTGATTATACACCAAGTCTAGGGCAATAATAGAAACTGAAGTTACTGGAAATTTATATTTGAAAATCCCTTGTTATCATTTATTTATCTGTAATTTATCTTTAACATAAATACATAAATTCACATATTGTATAATATAGTTATACAGTTGTATATTTAGTTTGTGTCAGTGAGGTAGAAAGTACATGTGTATGCTTGAGGTGTGATGATTCTGTCTGTGAAATGCTAGTTGTCAGAACAGCCAGATAGAGTCTTAATCATGTTCATTCTAAAAATATCTCTTGGCCTTCATATATAAGTAATTCTTGATGTTATTCTAGTTTCCTCTCTTTATTTTTCAAATTATGTTCTCATCAGTCCTTTCTAGATTTCCACTTCTTCCTGAGTTATGGAAGAGAAAATGTCCAAATTGAAATTATTGCATATCAACTTTTGTCTCATTACATTATGAAGACAGAAATGAACCATAGGTTGTACAGCTATTCAAACAAAATAAAAATACTCTGAAATTGGTTTAGATACTAATTTGAATATATTTTGCCACTGACTTGAAAATAACTAACTTTAATTTGGATCATGATGTCACTTTTAAAGAAAATGCTATGTTAATAGAATAAAAATGTAGTCAGTATTCTAATAAAGGTAACATTTTTTAAATGACCCCATTAATGGGCCTTTTGTGTCAAATAATGGACATTTTATATTATTTAGTTGTTTAGATATTCATAATACATATTAATGTTATATAATACATATTAGTATTATGTATCAAACAAAGAAACGAATGCCAATTTTAGGGAGGATTTAAATTTATCTTTTCATGATGAATAGAAGCATTTCAGTATGTATTAGATTACATAGCTAACTCCAAACTTGTATTCATGTGTCAAAATTTAATAGAGATAAATCTAATTACAACAGAATATTTCCCATGTAAACAATAAATGTATTTATGTATTTATAGGTGTTTGGAACTTACTAACTTGAAAATTTTTACAAGTATTTGTCAACAGCTAAACCTACAGAAGGTCACAGATATTTTAATCCTCAAAGTTTGGTTATTAAGAAATACTATTTTAATAAAGTATATTTTAAAAAACTTTTCTTAATACTACCTATGAAGATAATCATGAAGACTAAAAATAAATCATAGTTCTAAATAACATAAAACATTTAAGTGTAAATTTTAAAAATCCAATTAAACATGAGTTAATAATATTTTGAATCACCTGGCTTTAGCATTGGAATTTCATTGAAAACTCTTTTCTTGAAATCTTCCTCGACACCAGACAATACTGAAGATAATAAAATATCATCACAAATATGGAAGTTTTTGGAATCAAAAGACCCCATCTTAGTATCTTAGGATTCCTTTACATGGGTAAATGAAATGCCTTTTCTGTCTTGTTTACCTGATGGAATCCTATTGATCCTCTAATATTTTACTTGAATATCATTTACTCAAAGACACTTTCCCTTATCATCATCTCCCTGCTTGTACATCAAACATTTTTTATCACATTCTCTGTTGAGCTACAAATGTACCTTATTCGAAACACCACTCTTGCATTTTATGGCATTAGCATAATTTTTATGCATATCTGCTCCCCTGATTAGACTTCATTTTGAAGAAAGCAAGAATTATGACTCCTTCAACATCGTATTTTGTTTCTTTAATATAATACCCAGCACAGTGTAAATGCTTCAGTAAATACTTGTGAATTAATTAAAGGCTAAGAGGGCAGGAGTGGTGGCTAATGCCTGTAATCCCAGCACTTAGGGAAGCTGAGGTGGGCAGATCACCTGAGGTCAGGAGTTTGAGATCAGCCTGGCCAACAAGGCAAAACCCTGTCTCTACTAAAAAATACAAAAATTAGCTGGGCATGGTGGCACGCACCGGTAATCCCAGCTACTTAGGAGGCTGAGGCACGAGAATCACTTGAACCTGGAAGGTGGAGTTTACAGTAAGCCAAGATCATGCCACTGTACTCCAGCTTCGGTGACACAGCAAGATTCCATCTCAAAAGAAAAAAAAAAATAATTAAAGGCTAAATTAGCTCTTTCCACAGACATTTGTCTTTGAAGAGAGCATTTCCACTAAGCAAAATGACTATATTCCCCAGATTCCCTAGTGTTTAAATGCTGCTATGGGACTAAATTCTGATCAATAAGGTAAAATAGGAGTGGTTTTTTCAACTTTTAGAAAGCCCTTTAAACAAAAAAAGGGGATGTATAATTATTTATACTCTCTTCTTAGAGCAGGACTTAAATTGGTGCTAAATATGTGGTTTGTAATAACTAGAAATCCAGCTGTCATCATGTACCATGAAGAAAAGGGATCTACTCTAAGAATATTGGAGAATTGAGCTTGAAAGATTGTGTGTGTTTGGAACCAACACACTAGGCCCATGTCATGGGCTGAATCATGTCTTCCAAAAATTCATGGGTAGGCCCCTACCCCCAGCACTTCAGAATTTATTTGAACATAAAGTCTTTACAGAGGTAATTAGGAGGAAATGAGGTCAATAGAGTGGCCCTAATCTGATATGACTGCTATTTGTATAAGAAGAGGGAATGAGGAGACAGACACATACTGGGAGAAGACCAGTGAAGACACAGGGATAAAATGACCACCTGCAAGCCAAGAAGAGAGGCCTCAGAAGAAACCCTGCTTGTGGTGACAACTTGATTGGAAACTTCCAGCCTCCAGAACTGTGAGAAAAGAAACTTTTGATGTTTAAGCCACCCAGTCTGTTGAACTTTGTTTTAACAGCCCTAGCAAACTACCATGGATTTTGGTGCAGGGGAGTCCATGTGGCTGCTGCAAACACCTACCATGTGGGTGTGGCTTTGGAACTGGGTGATGGGTAAAGGCTGGAAGAATTTTGAGATGTATCATAGAAAATGCTTAGATTGCCTTCAAGAAACTGTTGGTATAAATATGGAAATTAAAGATAATTCTGGTGAGGGTTCATACAGAAAAGAGAAGAGCTACAGATAAATCTTCTATGGTCTTAGGATACGTATGTATCATCATGAAAAGAGTGTTGGTAGAAATCTAAGCATTAAAGATATTTCTGGTGATGTCTCAGACTCAAATAAAAAGAACATGCTTGTGGAAAGAAGAGAAAAGATTATTCTTGTTATTATAAAGTGCAAAGAACTTGGCCAAACTGTGTTCTAGTGCTCTGTGTAAAGTAGAACTTGTAAAGGATAAACTTGGAAATTTAGCTCAGAATATCTCTAAGCAAAGTGTTGAAGGACATCCTGGTTTCTCCTTGCTTCTTATAATAAAATATGAGAGAGGGGAAGTAAAGAAGAAATGATTAAGCAAAAAAGAATTAGAACTAGAATATTTGAAAAATTCTCAGCTTAGCTGTGTTTCAAAACAAAGGGAGAGAAAGTGTGTTCTGGAAAGAACATCAGTGGTGTGGATGGACAACCATTTGCTAAAGAGATTGTGGTGCATGATGTAATGAAACAATCAGCCATCTCAGCAGAAGTCAGGAATAGAGATGGGGGGGTATGTAGGACAGATGCGTGGAGGACCCTCTTTGATGGCTTAGACCCTGTGAATTGCATGGGAGGCCATCAGGGGTTTCAGCCAGCAGAAATCTGCTGGCTTGAACTAAAGGAGATATAAATGGAATGAAATGGAGGCAGGTTTTCAGACTTCTGGGATTCTACATAATGGATCAGTGGAGAACTCCCCAGTTACAAACATGTATTATCCTTCAAGACTGGAGAAGAATGACCCCAAACTTAGTTCAGAGGTTGACAGAGCTGCCAATGGCACTACAGGATGTACAGGCCTGGAGGGACATGATTGCTTCCTCCTTGGTTCCAGGGAGGTTGGTCATCTCTTTAACTAACGAGGGCAAGAACAACTGGCCCATGGCCAGAGAGTCAGGGCCACCTGCTGGGCCCAGAGGACAGATTATGGAAGCAATGAGGTTTATTCTTAAGTCTTAAAATCTAATGCAATTTGCCCTGCTAGTTTTCAGACCTACTTGGGACCTATGATCCTTTTCTTTTTTCTATTTTTTTTCTTTTTGGATAGAAATGTCTATCCTATGTCTGTCCCACAATCATATTTTGAAAGCACACAACTTGTCTGGTTTCACACTTTTACAGATGAAGAGAAATTTTGCCCCAGATGAATCACATCTTGAGTCTCACTCATATCTGATTTAGAAGATAGTAAGATGAAACTTTAGAGATGATGCTGAGATGAGTTAATACTTGGAATATATTGTGATGGAGTGAATATATTTGCATGAAAAAATACTTGGGGGACAGAATGAAGAATGTGGTGGGCTTACCTGTATCCTCCAAAAACTCATATATTAAAGTCCTTACACCCGGTAACTCAGAATGTGATTTATTTAAATATAGTGACTTTATACAGGCAATTATGATTAAATGAGTTTATCAGAGTGGGTCCTAATTTGATATGATTGATATTCTTACAAGAAAAGAAGCTTAGAGCATGGACATAGTGACTGAAGATCATGTAAAAACATGGGAAGAAGATGGCCCTCTGCAAGCCAAGGAGCCAGGCCTCAGGAGAACCAACCCTGCCTGCACTTTGATCTTGGACTTTCAGCCTCCGGAACTGTGAGACAACACATTTCTGTTGTTTAAGCTACCCTGTCTGTTGTACTTTGTTATAACAGCCCTGACAAACTAACACTGCTCACCTCTGTAGTTTTGTTATGTGAAAGAGAAATGCAATTATATCCTGTTGAGGCCACTAGTGTTTTGTTTTGTTTTCAGTGTTAGACAAGTAAACAAAACATATACTCCTGGGAGTTGGAGAATGAGCAAATCACAAAAAATGTCATCAGACTTCTCAATGAAAACTGAAAGTCAAAGGAAAGATTGCATTCAAAATAATAAGAGAAAATATTTTCTTTTTCTAAATTATACTTTAAGTTCTAGGGTACATGAGAAAATATTTTCTAACCTAGAAACCTATATCAACCAAGTAAGAGTTAATCACAATCAAAATAGACATAAGATAATAATGTTTTAAAGTATGCCAATGTACCCTTCCTCAAGGACTCTTGGAGGCAATCGTCCACAGAACTAGGGACTAAACAAGAAACAAGTCATTAGATAAGCAAGAGAGGGTTTCTATCTTGATGCTGAAGAGGAGCTCCATGGCAGAACACAAGACTTGGTTTGTAAAGCCATGGGAAGAGTGTAGCTACAGAATGAAAGGACATTTAGCGAGGTATTCAAACAACTTAACAAGTTGCATGTCATTGGCATTGAGCAATCAGAAGCAATGGCAGCCCAATCCCAATGCATGCGGGCTGTAAACACGATGAATAAGTAGATTGTTCTAAATGAGTAGATTTTAGTCCTAGTCAGGGTGGCTTCTCGTGCTTGTGATTGCGCACTCTCTTAAGGCTCCAATTCTGGAAGGCCCTGCAACTGCTTTAGTGCTCTGTTTTTCAGTCAATCAATTCTTCAGAATTTTCGCTCTGAATTTGTGTTTTGCAAGGGAAGTTCAACAGAACGGTGGAGCATGTGTGACAGCAGAAGAGGTACAGGCAAGGGGGGCCACATGTGAACACTCAGCATTGGCCTCTCAGGCATGGCAGGGAGCCAGAGCAGAGGCCAGTGTGCACACCGAGGCATTGGACTGGAGGCCCTGCAGGCACATGTAGGAGCAGCCTGGGACATTGGACCTAAGTCCAGACTGGTAGTAGTAGCAGCAGCAGCAGTAGCACAAGCAGCATTAGCAGAGGTAGCAGCCTTGCCTGGAGAGAGAGGGCCAATCTTGGAAATAGAGATTAAATTAAAAGACTGTTGTTACATTTGAGGGAAAAAATCAGAGTTTTCATACTGAAGCATTCTTGTAGTGGGAGATACAGCAATAAATACAAAAGAACAAATTTTGAATTATTTAAAAATCATAAAGCCGTTTTCCATTTTTTGTGAAACCACCAAAAGTTAAGGAAATAACAAAAAATATTAAAATGTCATTATATAAATTTACATTTAGAATTAAACTCAGACTTACATTAAACTGGTTTAATAAGAAGAGTTAAATCTTTTTAGAAAAATTGTTCCATAAGAATCATCCACTCTAGATATATTAAAACTTACATCTAAATTAATTTATCAGAATATATTAATGTATTTAATGTTCTTGAAGTCTATAAAAGATTCTTAGCTCCCATAGTAGTTGCATCAGCAGAAAGAACTTTTCAAAATTAAAAATTACCAAAAATTATTGGGATCTTATATTTGACAAGACTGACTAAAGTAACTTCTAAATAAATTGACTGAAAATAAAATGCTAAAAGAATTGTTTTTTAATTAATAAGTGAATTTACAGGGAAAAGAAGCCATAGAATTTTATGATTAATCATGTTATCAGGTTAATAAAATAATATTATTAATTATACTATTTTAAGTTATATTCTAGAAAACTTATTTTTGTAATTTGTAAGTTTAAGTCTTTATTACTTCTACCCCTACCTTGTTTCATAAGTAGTAAAATCTCTTCTCGTGTAAAGGCTCAATATTTTAGTACCTTTAATCGTACTTTTCATATTTTTTAACAAAGGGACTTGAATTTTCATTTTGCACTGGGCCTAAGAAGTTATACAGCCAGCCTTAGACTAGCTGCCAAACAAGCAAACAAAAAACAAAACACTACCAACGTTCAGATGCTTTTCTACATATTAAAAAAGGGTTATAATTGTGTTAAAGTACTTGGAGATGCTTTAATAAAAGATAAGTAGAAAACTAAGCAAACAATAAAAACAAGGCAAAGAGGAAACTGAAATGCACTAGGAAGAAAATGTGGACTACAGTTCATGCTTACCATGAACTTGGTTTATATTGTCTTAATAGTGAGAAGATTGGGTATGAAAACCAAAAATTTTGTATAGCTATAAAAAGGACATTATAATCATAAAAGTGAGAGGTAAAAGTGTGTGTGTGTGTGTGTGTGTGAATGAATGAATGTATAGGTAAGCTAGATCATCATTTCATTTTTCAAAGTAACAAGTTAATAAATACATAACTGAAAAACTAACGATATTTTTAGTAGAAGCATATGCTAATTAAAATTAGAAGTTTAGATACTGGAAAACATTTCTAACAGTGTTGAAAATTATACCTCTATGGAGCAGGCAGGAGAGAGGGTTGAAGATATTATGATATTGCTTTTTTGTGCGTTGTCTTAAGTTTTTTTTTAAAGAAAATGTAACTGTAATATCTATTACTTTAATAAAAACTTAAATTGAAAAATAAGTACCACAAGATAACATGGAAAATTGCTAAGTAAATATTCAGTGAAAATATAACAGTCAACTGTTAAACAAAAAACATATTAATATTTGTAGGTAGGAATATAGAAAAATAAAGTTTAATATGTTTAGGGGCCACTAAAAACAAAAGTGACTCATTTGTAATTTACTCTTTTTCACTCTTCTCTGTTATGTTTTCTTTTTTCACCAATGTTATCAACAATTGTTAAGTTTTTAAGGCTGCAGTCTTCCTTTATTTCTAGAGTACCCCAAAATGTCCTCACTCAGTGTCTTGTTCAAGGGTACAGAAGAGTTCCTAAGCACAGAAAGCCCCTCTCAGTCCCATCACTGTGTTTTATAGCAAAAATAACTTTGCTCAGATATGCTTCAAAAAAAAAAAAAAAAAAAAAAAAACATCGAACATCCGTGGATTTAGGGTATTCATTACGTTTAGGAGATAAGTTTGTACACATCCGTGAAAATTTTACAAATTGTAAAAAGCTGAAAACAATTTTTGAAGAAGTCCATGGATTGACAGTAAACAATCTGTTTGTTGTATTTTTATATGCATTTTGTTGAATTTCTCCCTCTTAAGTGAATAATTAGAAATAATACAAATCAGTTTATATGCATCCAACTTGATATTAATTAAATCCACGGTTCACAATAATTGCCAAGAACGCATTTAATCCCTGAAGTTTAATTACATAAGGTTGTTCTATATCTCCAAAAAGACAGAACTGGTCAATTAGGTCTTCAAGGGAACCAGTTCCTCTAAATAGTGTTCAGATGCATTCTCTTCCCAGACGTTAGAGTAAAAACAAACCAAAAAAATTAAATTGTTATTAATAATAAATTTTAGAAAAAAATTATGGTCTAGTTAATGGCTTTATAGAGAATTCTCTGTTGAGGGTGAAACATGGCACTCTGTAGTTTCATGCCAGCAAGCCCACCCTTACATCTTTTCAATGTTAGCCAAGGGGAATTTCCACAGATATGGTGGAAAGGATGCAATACATCACTCTTCCCCCTAAAGACCATTAAAATGCCCAGTAAATTAGTTATAAAAGAAAAATAATAGAAAAACCAACACCAGTGAAAAATAATTAGCTCTAACTCATATAATAAGTTTATGTATCTTCCAGAGTCTTAGAAAATAGTCGCACTAAAGCAGAAATTCTTTATATATATATTAAAGCATCTAAAAGTAAGTTGTTCATTTTTCCCTGAAAAAATTCATACAACTGAAGAATACATGGGAATTCTGAAGTACATTTGACCAAAATATAAGGCTCAGTGTGGAGAAAGGTATAATGTTAGTGTCATTATGATAGTGTTATGATATCCTTTGATTGTATAAATGTTTGATAAAATATATACCTCTGAAATACCTTTGTAAAAGGTTGACTGAAGAGGTGGAAATGACTAATATGGGTTGTGTTCATTAATATTTTTTTCTTTCAGTCTCATTTTTTCAAACTAAGTATATTAAAAGGGTTATAAAATTTGCATTGCAGATAGAGGTTATGGAATGTTTTGTATTACATTTCCATTGCTACTGTAACTAATTACCCTAAGCTTAGTGGTTTAAAACAGCATAAATGTGCTGTTTCATACTACTGGAGATTGGAAGTATGAAATGGATCACATAGGGCTAAAATCATGATGTTGGCAGGGCTGCTTTACTTTCTGGAGCCTCTGGGAGAGAATTCAGTTCCTGCCTTTTTTGGCTCCTAGAGACCGGGTGCTTTCTTCAGCACCTGGATCTTTTCTTTCATGTTCAAAAGCAGCAATGGTGGTTTAAACGAATCCCTTTCATATCACATCCTTCCTAGCAAGCTGGGATAAGTTCTCTGCACTTAATAATTTTTTTGACTAGATTGGGCTCACTCAATAATCCAAAATAGTTTCTTATTTTCAAGGTCCTCAGCCTTAATCATATCTGCAAGTCCCTTTTGCCACATAAGGTAACATATTCATTGGGTCTGTGGATTAGGACATGGACTTTTTGTGTGGGTCATTATTCTGATACCACATACATAAATATATAGAATAAAACCATATGCCCACTTACATGTTTTAAATATAATGCAAGCATTAGAAGAAACTGTTATAATAGCAAATGGTAAAAGGAACGCATGCATTTATTTCACTCTTCTTTATATCAGTGGTCTTTCAATTATAATTATTGTACAGCAACATCAGTTCCATTGGGAATTACATTAAAGCAATTTGAGCACCACGCCACACCAAAATTACTGTAACAAAAATTAGAAGTGAAGCTCAGTAACCTGTGTTTTACTAATACCACAAGGGAATGCAAATGCAGGCTAAAGTTTAGGGCCAAACTCTCTATCTTGTGCAGTTGCAGGTTAGGAGAAGTACTTTGATACAATCTTTCTCAAAATAGTTTGTAAAGCCCCTTATTAATATCTCTGATTGAAGAACATCAACACACTAAATGTTGCATAGTTTTTAATTGTGTGGTTATTAAAATAATTATTAATCACTGATTATTTATTTTTAAATATTAAAATAATTTATAATCATGTATTAGTCATATATATTATGCCTAATATGATAATAACATATTGCATGTATCTCTTTCCAGCTCTCTCTTCTGATAATAACATATTATAAGCTTCTCTTCCTAACTAACCAAAGAAATTCATTCATGAAGACTAGTAAGATGTTCAAAGAAATGCAGATTTCACTCAAAATATAATGAGATGTCCAGAAAAGTGAAAGCAGCCAAGAAATAGAAAACAAAATATAGAAAGAAATATAAATAATTAGAAATTGATGCATTATATGCATTTACACACACACACACACACACACACACACACACACACACACACACACATAGTTGTCCTTCAGTATCCATGGGGGATTGGCTCCAGAATCTATGTCAGATACCAAAAACCCCAGTGCTCAAGTTCCTTATAAAAATTGTGTAGTATTTGCACATAACATGTGCACATCCTCCTGTGTACTTTAAATCATCTCTAGATTATGTATAGTGACTAATATAATGTAAATGTTACATAAATAGTGCTAATACTGTATTGTTCAAGTAACAATTACAAGGACAAAATCTCTACATGTTATATACAGACACAATGTTTTTTTTTTCAAATATTTTTGATCTATGGTTGGTTAAATGCACAGGTGTGAAACACTTGAGCAAACTTTATATATTCTAACTTTATATAAATAGATAAATAGATTGTGTGTGTGTGTGTGTACATATAAACACACTTATAGGCAAACTTATAGGCAAAGATGATTCAATATAACTGTAATTGGAGCCATGGAGAAAGAAGACTAAAACAATGGAGCAGAACAAATATACTAATATTTTATCACTATAAGCCATGATACCATGGAAGATGACAGAGCAGAAAGCTCCAGAACCCATCCTTTCATCCAGAAGCTACTGTGCTGTTGAAAGCTGTCTGAAGTAACTACTCTGGAACTCTTGTAGAATGTGGTTGAAACACATCCAGCATCCAGGGGAGAATGTGATGAAGAGGCTAGTTAAGTTTCAGTTACTGTCAGCCTTTTGCATAAAAGCTACCCCATGTCATATATATGATAAGAGACTAATATTTAGAATATGTAAGAACTTCCTACAACTCAACAGTAGAGAAACAAACAACCCAATAAGAAATGGGCACAGAACTCGAAAAATAGATATTTCTCCAAAGAAGATACACAAATGGACAATAAGAACATGAAAAGATGCTCAGCATCTTAGTTATTATAGAACTGAAAATAAAAACCACAATGAGATACCTCTTCACTTCTATTACGATGATCATTATTTTTAACAAAGGCAATAACGTGAGTTGGTGAGGATGTGCAGAAATTGGATTATTTGTGTATTTTTGGTAGGAATGCAAAATGGCATGTACAGCTGCTATGGGAAACAGGCAGTTCCTCAACAAGTTAGGATTACCATACAACCCCGCAATTCCACTCCTTGGTATATACCCAAAAGAACTAAACTCAGGGACTCAAGCAGATATATCTGGACCAGTGTTTATAACAATATTGAAAATGCAAAAGGTAGAAACAACTTATTTGTTCATTAAAATACAAATGAAGAAACAAAATGTGATATATAGAAATAGTGGAATACTATTCAGTCTTAAAAATAAATGAAATTCCAATATATGCTACAACATGATTTATCTTGAAAATATTATGCTAAGGGAAGTAAGCCAGACAAAAAAGACAAATATTGTATAATTCCAATTATAAGATGAACCTAGCATAGTCTATTTCTTAGAGACATACAGCATAATAGAAGTTACCAGGGCTGAGAGTAGATTAGGGTGGGGATTCTTCTGTAAAAAGTACAGGGTTTCTGTTTGAGATGATGAATAATTCTCGAAATATGTAGTGGTGATGGTTACACAAAATTGTGAATGTATTTTACACCACTGAATTCTACACTTAAAATGATTATGTATATATTGACACATTAAAAATGCAAAAGATACTATCACACAAAAAATTTCTATAAATAAAACTGTTGGACTTCTGCTTCAGATCAGACATGCAAATCGATGGCCTTTGTTATTCACATCCTTACAACAGGGAGAAAAGTGAAAACAACAAGACAAAACAGAGCACACTAAAAGTTCATGGCTTTTTATGAACCCATCAGAAAACTGAGATGGCAGGGCATCTGCTCTCCAGAAATCTGGAGACACAGGTGTATCCAAAGAGTCATGTAGAACAGCAGTCCCAACATTTTTGGCACCAGGGTCCAGTTTCATGGAAAACAATTTTTCCACCGACCAAGGAGGGGGAATGTTTCAGGACGAAAGGGTTCCACCTCAGATCATCAGGCATTACATTTTCATAAAAAGTGCACAACCTAGATATCTTGCATGCACAGTTCACAGTCGGGTTCATGGTCTTATGAGGATCTAACGCCACTGCTGATCTGACAGCAGGCGGAGCTTCAGTGGTAATGCTCACTTGCTGCCACTCACCTCCTGCTGTGCCGCCCAGGTCCTAACAAGCCATGGACCTGTACTGGTCCACTGCCTAGTGGTTGGGGACCTGTGATGTACAAGATCCACATATTTGGAGCTGTAACTACTCAAGTCATGCACTGGTAAAACACTTAAAGTTTTATTTTGATTAATTTCTGGAAGCTGAATGTGGACTAGTGTAAGTGAGAATCTACTAGGGTCTTCAGTCTATTTCTGAGGCTTTACTTCCAGGCTTTTTAAAAGCATTTATAGTAAAAGGGCTGGGATGAACCCTTTATGGCTCTAGCACAGAAGGAGTATGCTTCACATTGAAGACATTTTGAAACATGCCCATTCTGTTTCTAATCTCCAGAGGAAAAGACTTAGGTGGCTAAGAAAATGAATTTTTCCCCACTGCAGTCCCCTGTAGTATTCTTGTTTCCACTAAGGTGAAGGCAGGGTGAGGGGAAGCTATAGCATTGGAGAAACTCTCATGAAACCTGTAATGCCTTGAGATACAAATCTTCTGAAAGACTGAGATTTGATCATAACATTATGGAATAATTAACCTCCACTGCAACTTACCACCAAACCAGCAAGACTCCAATATAATAATAATGAATAAAACTGAAAAAGTGGTAAGACAGAGACTAAATCTGAAAACAATACTTAGGCTAAACTAAACATAGAGGGTAGATAAAAACAACAATAGAGACATAATATCTTCAGTCACTTAGAGCTACAGCAAATATTTAACAAGCCTGGCTCCTCAGCAGAGTAACATACCTCCTTACTGTAATGAGGTTTTTTCTCTGTTGTTTTTTTTTTACCTAAGTTTCTATTTTGTGATACACTATGCCTTGCTTTCAACAAAATATTACAAGATATGCCAAAAGGCAAGACAAAGAAGATGGAATAGATAAAGCAAGCATCAGAACCAAACTCAGATATGAGATAAATGTGGGAAATATTGAATAAAAATTAAAATAACTATAAATATGTTAAGGTATCTAAAGGAAAAAAGTAGACAACACAAAAAAGATATGTAATGAAAGCAACTATATGAAAATTCTAAGAGAGAATCAAAGGGGAAATGCTAGAACTCAAAACACTGGAACAAAAGACTACCTTTGATAAACTCATAAATAGATTAGACATAATCAAGGGAAGAATCAGTGAGCTTAAAGACAGGTCAACACAAACTTCCCAGGCTGAAATGCAAAGGGAAAAAAAAGAACAGAATGATTTTTTTTTAAAGAACAAAAAATTCAAGAACTGTGTGATGATTTTTAAAGGTACAACATGAGAATACTTGGAATAGGAGAAGGGAACAAAAAAATAGTAAAACAAAAATATTTGAAATTATAATTGGTGAAAGCTTTGTAAAATTAATAACAATCACCATCTACAGATCAAGAATACCTGAAGAACACTGATTCAGTTAAAAAAAACTTGCACATAAATATATCATATTTAAACTGCAGAAAATCAAAGGCAAAAAATATATACATTGAAATTGAGGGGATATGTTGCTGTATTCGTCCATCCTTACACTGCTATAAAGAACTGCCTGAGACTGAGTAATTTATAAAGAAAAGAGGTTTAATTGACTTAGAGTTCCACATAGCTAGCGAGGCCTAGGGAAACTTACAATCATGGTGGAAGGTACCTCTTCCCAGGGTGGCAGGAGAGAGAATAAGAGCTGAGTGAAGGGGGAAACTTCTTATAAAACCATTAGATTTTATGAAAACTCACTTGCTATCAAGAGAACAGTATGGGAGAAAACCACTGATGATTCAGTTATCTCCACCTGGTCCCACGCTTGACACATGGGGATTATTACAATTCAATGTGAGACTTGGCTGTGGACACAGAGCCAAACCATATTAGTTGCCTACAGAGGAACAAAATTAAGAAGTAGAGTGAACTTTTCTTCAGAAACAAAGTACACAAGAAGAGAGTGGAATGAATTATTGCAAACACACACACACACCCCCCCACACTCCCCACCCCTACACACACAGCAACCTTAAATGCTATATGAAATAAAATTATCCTTTAAATGCAAATGAATATGAAAAAAACCTTCTCAAAGAAAAATGTAAGAAACTCATTACAAAAAAAAAATCTTTCCTGTAAGAAATGTTAAAGAAGTTTGTCAGGGAGAATAAAAATAATATAGGTAAAAAACCTGGATTTACATATTTTTTTAAAAGTAAGGCATTGAAAAATTAAATTAAAAAAATAAATCCTCATTTGTATTCTTAATTGATATAAAGGGTTATCGAGATTAAATTAATAATAGTAACAATACATCGGGTGATTATATCACATGAGTGAGTATAATGAACAAAACAATGTCATAAAAGTTAGAAAAAGGAAGCAGTAGGAATACTGTTACAAGGTCCCTGCACTACATGAAAGCAGCACAGTATTATTTGAAGGTATACTTAGATGATGTGAAAACATATATTTGATGTTCTGGATAAGTCAGTAAATTTTTAAAAGATGTATAATTGATAACAGAAAAAATATATAAAAGGCTCAAATAAAACCTGGGAAGGGAGAAAAAAGAGGAAAAAAATGAAAAAAGTACAAAAAATAGAAAAGTTATAAACATGGTAGATATTAATTTTAATATTCGATAATCTAAATTGGACAGTCTATACACACTACTTAATAGGCAAAGATTATCAATGTGAATAAAAATAACAAGACCCAATGATATGTTTTCTATAAGTAAACCCACTTTAAATATAAAGACTCATATAGGTTATAGTTTAACAGATGAGGAAAGATAAGCCATGCTAACACTGATCAAATGAGAACTGGAGTTAGCTATATTAATTATAGACAAAGTTGACTTTAGGATAAAGAAAATTGTCAAGGATACAGAGGGACATTACATAACAAGAAAAAGTGTCAAATCCCCAAGATAGTATAGAACATAATGATTCTTAGAGTGCATGTGCCTAAAAATAGTGTGTAAAAATATGAGGCAAAAAGAGATAAAAATCACAGAAGAAACATACAAACCACTAATATAGTTAGAGATTTTGAGACCACTCTTTCAGTAATTATATTCCCACATAATTATTCACAGTGACTGCTTAATCTCCAAGTGTCCTATTTGGACCATATGGTCATTCCACAAAAGAGCAATTGCAGACATTTAAAAGAACATTAGATCTATCTTGCAAGAATTTTATAGCTAAATATGGAACAAATGAGCAGCAACATTTCTGATAATAATAAAAGATATTATATATTATGCAATATATTAAAGAAAAAATCAAGAGAAGTTAAATCTTTCTCAAAAAGAGAAAAGAGAGAAAAAAATAAAGTCTTGTTAAAGAATGTCAGCTTAGAAAAAATAATAAAAGTAGAAAATCACCATTTTGTAACCACAAAGATACCACAGATTCTATTAAGGATCATCAGTATATTATACAACCACTGGGTTAATGCTATTGGATAACAAAATATTTGTACAGATTCAAAATATTTGTACAGATTCAAAATATCTCCCAGGAGATTACTTCATAATTTCCTTTGTAGTGAAGATATCTCACAATTGCTACAGAAATACATCAGAGTATTGGGATTTGGTTTCTGAACATAGCAATAAAGCAAATATGGCTATACAGTGAGTCACATTTTTCAAAATTACCAAGTGCTTATAAAATTCTGTTTACACTGTACTTAACAGACTACAGTCTACTAAGTGTGTGATAACATTGTCTGAAAAATATACATACCTAAATAAAAAAATACTTCATTGGTAGAAAAGCACTATCATCTGAGCCTCCAGCAAGTTGTAATCTTTTTGCTGGCAGAAAATCTTGCCTTGTTGGGAGAAAAATATTCAAAACACAGTAAAAGGATTTTCTTTACATTTGAGGAAGACAACTCATGTATTGGAAGAAAAAGAAAGAACGGGTGGTATGCAAATGCAAATATGTTTGTGAAACTGACCCAAAAGTCCCATTGGCTGTTCTTTCAGATAAACATAAAAATTAACATTTCTGATCTTAAAGCTTGAAGCTTACATTTGTTTTATCTGAGTTCCTTCCTCAAGAAAGGAGCTTCAGGCCTCTCAAAAAAAAGTATCGAAGAACTGACTCACCAGATCACCATATCCAGACAATGAGATGCTGCCCCCCTCATTCAACATGATTGATTCCTTATCTCTTCCTAGTTCCTGTTTTCTTACACATTGTTACATTTCTTCCTTGCTATATAAACCCCTAGTGTTAGTCAGGGAGATGGATTTCAGGCTAAGCTCTCGAGATCTCTGCTTCAGCACCCGATTAAAGCCTTATTCCTTGGCAGTACTTGTCTTCTCAGTGATTGGCTTTCTGTGCGGGGAGCAACAAAACTTATACAGAACCCCTGGTGTTTTGGTAACAGATTTTGGTTCCCTGACCAGGAACGTGTTGCTTGTGGTTCAGCTGCTACAGGCTGGGCATCTCAGAAGATCTCCTAAGCAGCTGCCCACCCAGTTTTGGCTGGAGGTGAGTTTCCGTCTCTCTCTGGCCCCACCACAGCCGACCCCAACTATGTTCCTGACTGCCTTGGAAGAACTGCTTTTGAAATATGATGTCTGCATATGGATAGGTGAGTGTCCTTTGCAGACCCAGATGGCAGAATCTGCTCCTCTCAATTTGGGACATTTTTAAATGAATTTCCATTTGCAGGTTGAACAAGCCCAACTGACTGAGAGTGGGAAGCACCTTGACTGTTTCCGTATGGACACTCTTGGGGGCTTGCTTGTAATTGTGTGTTGTGTCTGGGCAAGTGACTATCCTTTGTGGGTACCAGGGGTGGGATCAGTTCCTTTCAATTTGGGAAATTCCTAAGAAATTTTTGTTTCTCATTTGATCAAACCCAACCATTGGAGAGAGGCGCCCTGACTGTTTCAGTTTGGACACTCTTGAGGCTTGTCGCTGCAGCAGTTGGATTTTGTTTTGGTGATTGTGTGTGTTTGATATAGTCATGAGGAATTATAATTCAGTAAACTTGTTAGTTTTGGAATACTGTTTGTCCTCAGTATTGTTCGGAATCTGGAGTTTGCTATTGAATGGGAAAGTGGGATGGAGTTGCATGTATCCAGGCTTTTTGTGCTGCTGTTCTAAGCAGGGTCAGGCCTGGTTAGTATGTGATATTCTTCTTTGGTGCTATTTGGTCCCAGTGTTTTTTTTTTTGTTTTTTTTTTTTTTGAGATGGAGTCTCGCTGTGTAGCCCAGGCTGGAGTGCAGTGGCGCAATCTCAGCTCACTGCAAGCTCCGCCTCCTGGGTTCACGCCATTCCCCTGCCTCAGCCTCCCAAATAGCTGGGACTACAGCAGCCCGCCCCCCGTGCAGGGGTTTCACCATGTTATCCAGGATGGTCTCGATCTCCTGACCTCGTGATCTGCCTGATTCGGCCTCCCAAAGTGCTGGGATTAAAGGTGTGTGCCACCGCACCCGGCCCCCAGTGTTCTTTTGAGTCTGGGGAGGTTTGGCCTTTAAAAATCAAACTGCCATGAAAACTGCTTTACCCAAAATTTTATTTCACAGCCTTCATTGGATTACCTATCAGGGCAAACAAAGTGTAAACATGTAAACCCAGCTAGTTTGTATTGCTATCTCATGGCTAGAGTTCCAAGGTAAAAGCTATTGGATTTTCGTTTGTGCATATGTATTCAATCCCTCTAGGCCCAGGGACCGTTGCAGAAAAGGTGGGCACGTGAGACTGTAAAGACCAATTTTTGAGTGATAAGAGTAGTTCAGAGTTTTTCTATAAATTAAACATGAGTATCAAACGCACTCTGATGCAAGGCCAGCATCTGGACCATATGTCAGAATAACAGGGTTTTCTTGGAGCATTGATCTGCTGTTTAATAGAAAATTGAAAAAGGTTATAAAAAGCTTATGGAAATCTTATGTATACCTACCTGATTAAAATTAGGTAGATTTGTTCACAAGGTTTTATTAAGATTAGCTTCACATTAATAATACTCATATAAAAATAAGCTTTGGTTTCCTTTTTTGAACAAAATATTTGTGTAATATTGAGAGATAAAAGATTTGTTGACCTACTGAGTAAACTGCAGGGAGAAAGAGGACTAGGGAGAGACAGATATAGTTGGCCTCCTGCTGTTTGTATTAGATCTTACTGTTTGGGAAACTAAGGCTTCTCTCTGTCAAAAGGTAAACATTTTTGTTTTATCATTTGGGCTAAATGAATGACTATTTTGTAGTGACCTGTGATCCTATTTTGTGGTATCAAATGTCTTAAAATGTTGATATTTGACAGAACTTCCAATAGCAAAACTTAAAGTTCTAAATTCAGTCTTTTTGACCTTAAAATCACTTTTTTGAATATTATGTTCCCTGAAGTCTGAGAGAGACATATTAGGCTTATGGGATTTGTTATGTTTGTTACCATTATGCAGCAAACATTGTCAAATCTGAAGTGGCATGTAGCTTCCTTTTGGTTTTATTTTATACATTTGTTAGTATGTGTTTCAGGATTCTATGACATTCCTGAAATTCTGATATGTCTTAAACAAATGTTGTAATTACTGTTATGTTAAATTGCTGCGTGCTACAGCAAAACCAAATTTCCTTGTCTACTGTGTCTTTAACTAAGGCTGTCATAAGACTTTTGTCATTCACAATTGGTGTTTTGCTTTGATCCTTCTGAAAAAAAGAGCAACATAATCTGCCACGGTCCATGAAAAAGACTCTTGCATGAAAGTTTCTAATAACTTTGGAGATGGTGCCACTGGATTACAGAGAAAACTTCCAGGGCACTAATTGAAAGGATGATGTGTTCATAAAGATTGCTAACTCAGTATGAAGCAGAGCAGGAGTTGATTACATGGACTGAACCAATAGAAGACTAAGATAATTTGTATGGCTTCTTAAAATTTGAAATATTGCTGATTCATTTTGTTTTTTAAAGTCTGAAGAGATGTTTTCTTTTGAGTTATTTATAGCCTTGAAATATACTTTAAGTGTATTGAGTAGAGCATATTTTTGTAAACAGAATTTTAGTCATATTTCTCTCTCTCTCCCTGCCTAATTTCTCCAGAATTTGTAAACTATTTGTGAATAGTCTTAATTCATGGCATGTATATGTTTGCATACAGCTAATAACAACACATTTTTGTAATGGGATACACTGAAGAAACTGGTTATTTTCCCAGGGCTTTGACTGAAACAGCCATGTGAGAGGTTCCAGAAAAGCCAATTTGGAAAAGTCTATATGGACAATGATTCTTGTTGCACTTTGTGTGGGTAATCAGGCCAATTATATGGGACTGAAGTTTATTTTGCAAGTAGATTGATCCTGCTGTGATTTGTCTTTGATGGAAGTGGAGGACTAGAGGGATGAATATTATGTGTCAGAAGAAAACTCTATGTTAGATTAACCTTTGACTCCTGGGTGGCCACATGATCACTCATGGTATGTAGCTGCCTATGAGACCCTTCCTCAGCATAAAACAGCCAGAGAGATTGATGACTGGATTCCTTATGATAAAGGGACTGATAAATAGAAAAGGGTGACTGAAATCCACCCAAAATCCCCATAGGCTGTTCTTTTGTATAAACATAAAAATTGACCCAGCCGGGCATGGTGGCTCCCAGCACTTTTGTGTAATCCCAGCAATTTGGGAGGCTGAGGCGGGTGGATCACGAGGTCAGGAGATCGAGACCATCCTGGCTAACACCATGAAACCCCATCTCTACTAAAATACAAAAAAATAGCCAGGCATGGTGGTGGGTGCCTGTAGTCCCAGCTACTTGGGAGGCTGAGGCAGGATAATGGCATGAACCTGGGAAGCAGAGGTTGCAGTGAGCCAAGATTGCACCACTGCACTCCAGCCTGGGTGACAGAGCAAGACTCCATCTCAAAAAAAAAAAAAAAAAAGATTGGTGGCCTATAAACAACAGAAATTTATATCTCACAGTTCTGGCAGCTGGAACATCCAAGATCAAGGGACTGGCAGGCTTGGTGCCTAGTGGGGTCCTGTTTTCTGGTTCATAGAGGGTAATATGTCACTGTGTCCTCACATGGTGGAAAGGGCAAACAGGCTCCCTCAGGCCTATGTTATAAAGGCACTAATCCCCAAGGCCATATCTCTAAAAGGCTCCACTTCCTAATATCATCATCTTGTGGATTAGGTTTTTAACATATGAATTTGGGGATACACAAACATTCAGACATAGCATTCCGCCCATGGTACCCCCAATTCATGCCCTTCTTGCATGCAAAATACATACATTCCATACCAATAGCTACAAAAGTTTTCACTTGTACCACCATCAACTCAAAAGTCCAAAGTCTCATCTAAACAGCATCTAAATCAGATATGGGTGACTTAATGTAAAATTCATTCAAAGGCAAGCGCTCTCCAGCTGATAACCTGTGAAATCAAACGTTATGTACTTCCAAAATACAATTGTGGGCAGAGATAGACTAAATATTCCCATTCCAAAGGGGAGCAACAGGAAAGTAGCAAGAACCAGCAAGTCCTGAGCAAGTCAGAAACCCAAGAGGGCAAACAATATTAACAATATTTTTGAGAATAATCTTCTTTGGTTTGATGCTCTGCCCTCCAGTCTCATTGGGGCAGGCTTCCTGCCTTCCAGACACTCTAGGGTGATGGCCCTATCCCTATAGTTTTGAGAAGCCCAGTATAGTGGGTAATTCTGTGCCTGGAGACAACCTCGAAGGCAGTTCTCTGAGTTGGCCCCATCTCTGCAGTGGCTCTGTGCCTGGGCTGCATGCCCCTGGCCTCCTGTGGCTGGAATCACACACTAGTAGCTCTTCTTGTTCATGGTCAGTGGGAGTGGCTCCATCCCCATGGCTCCACTGGGCACTGCCCTAATGAGAGCTCTTTTTGGTAGTCCTTCCCTTATGGCATTTCTCTGCTTGGGCCTCACAGTTCTTTGGGACATCTTTTGAAACCTAAGTGGAGGTAATCACGCCCCCACAGCTTTGCTGGGTTCTGCAAATGCTGCTCTGGGGCCCATCAAAGCTGCACTTGAGGTGAGCAAGGAGAGCGGTGATGGTGTACAGGGGGAGTACAGAGGGCTCAGCCTGGGATGTGTGCTGGTGTCTGTCAGTGAAAACCCTCTTTGAAATTCTGCTCCCCCAGGTCTTTGCACTCTAGGGTGGGATGAGAGAGGCAGCCCTGATGATCAGAAAAGCCTTCAAGGTCATTCTTCCATTATCTTGGACAATAGGTCCTGGTTTCTCTTTACATTATGGACTCATTTCTTTATCAGATGGTTGCCCAGCCCCTGCCTGTTATCCATTCCTTTGTTTTCTCTAATTTTTCTCAAATAATTTATTTTTAGTGACACTATATAATAAACATTTTTGCATGTAGACATATTGTTTAGAATAACACAAAGATACAAGAGGAATTACCGTTGTCCCCTCTTAACCATGGTTTCATTTTCTCTGGTTTGTTACCAGTGTTCAACTTCGGTCTGAAAATACTCAGTAGAAAACTCTAGAAATAAACAACTCATGTTGAAGTTGCACACTCTTCTGAGTAACGTGATAAAATCTGGTGCCATCCTGCTCCCTCTTGCCAGGGATGTGAATCCTCCTTTTGTTTAGTGGATACATGCTGTAGATCTATGGTAACCACAAATCTTCCACTGTGAAATTGTGGAAGAAGGCAAAAGAAATTTATGCTAGTTTTGCTGTCACACTACAAGCTGCAAAAGTTACAGCCATAGTGTGTGATAGGGCTTAGTTAAGATGCAGACGACATTGCATTTGTAGGTGGAAGACATGAACAGAAATGTCTTCCAATTGCTGCAATTCGGTTCAGTGCTACCTGCAGTTTCAGGCATCCACTAGGGGTCTTAAACTTGCTAGGATAAGAAGGGACTAACGTATAGTGTGAGAAGAGAAATGAGCTGAAGACAAATCTCTAGATAGCACCATATTATGTGAGAGAGAACTAAAAGTCACAAAGAGGAGTTTCAGTGATAGAATTTCACAGCTGAACATCTATTTTAGAAGATAACCAATTGATAACATATACATATTTAATCTCCTGGGAGTCCCTTAATTATTTATAGTGATAGTGGTGGTGCTGTATGTGTGTGTGTGTGTGTGCACGCGCACGTGCATTTGGGTATTAGATTGGGGAATAATATGAAAGAAGTGACTTACTGGCTGTATAAATTCATCAAAAATAAGTTAAAAATATACAAAATAAATAACATGATAGAGAGCATGACATTCAAAGTGCTCCTACAAATTACATTGAGGATAGAAGCAAGAGACTGCATAGCTTCAGAGTTCAGATGGGACTGGCCAGCCAAAATCTAGATTTTCTTTTAGAAAACAGAAAATTACATTATCTTCTATATTAAATGTATTTAACACTTAATTATTTCATACTTTACAATAATGGTTGTTCCAGGAAGTGCACCACATTAACATACGGCAGTGGGAACCTCCTGGAAGTCAGCCACCTATCCAACATTGGAGATAGGCATACCTCAGGTTTGGGAGTTTGGGCTAACTGCAAATGTAGATACATGAACTATCCTATGCACAAACCTAATGATCCTCATTCAACTTAGAATAGTAATCGCTAGAAAAATAGAAAAGTAGTTAATCTGTCAG
Organism: Homo sapiens; assembly: GCF_000001405.40. Lineage (NCBI taxonomy): Eukaryota > Metazoa > Chordata > Mammalia > Primates > Hominidae > Homo > Homo sapiens. Next base: position 52,592,117 of record NC_000007.14, on the reverse strand, counting down.
TGACTGTCATTGTCAAATTCTGTGTGCTGCTAATGAATTGCTTCTAGAACATTGCAGCATATAGAAGAGCTCCTCAAAGTGTGTGTCCTCCAAGAATTAAAATTCCAAATGACACTTGCTTTGACATAATGCATCAATGTGCATTTGTATGAATGCAGGTATTTATAGCTATTATTAGTCAATCATTGTATTAAGTGTAAGCTAAAAGTAAAGTTCACATAGATTGTTTTTTATATAATCTCAGATAGTGTATATATCAAATACCTCTAACCTATAGTCAAACACAAGAAAATAAAGGATAGGGTGAGTAGATGTTACTGATATTTGAAAGATCCTTCCTATAGCAGCTAAGGACATTTTCTAAAATGAAGGGAAAACATTCCTAACATCAAACTCTTACCTGAAAATATATGGACTGGGATGGGGGCAGGGAGGAATCACCATGATGTATATCAGAGTGTCATTTCTTCTTCCGAGTTCCAAGGTAAGTTAACTTATACATTGAAAAGTTAGCAATTTACATGCTAAAACTTTGACAATATTTATCTTGCTGAGCTTTGAGGCCATCTTGTTCCACGGTAGCTCCCAGTCTCCCTGGGAAAGCCAGGTGGGACTTTCTCTTCTGATAGACTTGAAGCCACCTTGAGTGGCTTGGAAAACAGCTATGCTGTTTAACACATACGTTGTTCCCTTCTTCAAGTATGCAGTTTTATGTGAAACTCTTTTTTCTACTCTCCAGCTTGTTTTTTACTCCTTATTTTGTCCTTCTCTTTTCTTCTAATTCTCATGTTTCATCAACAAGCACTAAAGCTTTTGACTTCACACTATCTTGGCCATCTGGCACTTAGTGCCACCAGATACACCAGGCCCCTGAACTACTGCCTTCAGCTCTGAGTTCCTTCATTTTAATAGACTCAATCCCTGACTACCAACAGAACAAAGCATATGAGTGTGCCAGGCACGCCCCCTTTAAACTGATAGTCTTCAAACATTTGTTCAACACATTGAGGAGAGGCAGGTGAGAGGATGGAAAACAGAAGGGGCCCACGGTCACAGAGCAGTTTCATATCCATCCATGCTTTTGGATATTCTAGCTCTGGCCCCAAACTTACTGCCACTTAGAAGACAATCCCCTGGAAATACACGTCTTTTCTCATGGAATAAAAGACAAAGTTCATCCACAGAAGATTAGAAGTGGGAGAATATATTAAGAGGAGAATGGTTGGAAAATGTGCTTGCATAGATCCCACTCATACAGATTCATTGTTGATTTTCTTCTACCTTCCTATAATGAAGGCCATTATCATGTGAGCCTTAAGGAAAACATGTCTAGCATTTTGTTTAACCAATCAATGGTGTTTAATTTAGGGAAATAGAGTAGACTTTTATAAAATGTTTTTTATTCCACTGGGTGGTTCTCGTGAAACCTTGAGCAGTTTTTTTTTTCTTTCCCATAGTGATTAAAGCAGCTGTAGAGAGATGTTGGAAGGGCCAGAGCAAGCCTTTTGAGTGATTTTAGTGCTCACTGTGCATTGACTAAGCACCCACTCTTGTTGCACTTTCCAGATAGGAACTTGCTTTATCTTTATAACAATCCTAGGCATTTTATTGCTCTCCCCATTTCACAGATAAGGAAAAATCAGGAGTGAAATGTTAATTAAAACTTGCCCAGAGTCACAGAAACCACAGGTAAGGACCAGTTTCAAATCCACAATGTGGCCTGTGAGTCCAGAGTTAAATCTAATCAAAGTGATTTAACTTTTTGGAAAAAAATTTAAAAACTCCATTTTACTCTTTATAATCAGATGATCCTCAAAGTAATATGGTGTCCCATGCTTATATGACATACATTCTTTGATTCTTCAGTATTTTTCAGTGTTTGGGCTAAGCTATCGATTTTAACAATGTGTCATGGAATCCAGTGCTTGTGCCACCTGCAACTATATTTCCTCCTGTCAAACATAGCCATTGTTTACCTCAGTGACTTATAAAAACTTCTCATAAATTCATTTTTAAAGCTATCAAACTCCTCTAAAAACTACTGTCTTTAAAACTGAGGGGATTCGCTTTGTCAAAATAATTATAGAAGTTGAAGGTAGAAAGAATTGCTACATCTTTCTTTATGTGCTGAGATCCTTTCCACAGTGCCAATTTCATTTGTACCTATAAACTTTAAATGATACTTAGTTCACCTAAACTTTCTGGCTGACACAAAATAGAATTCTCAACCCCTGAATTGCAATCTCAGAAGATAACAGGCTCACTCTGTGCACCTTGTACTGTGATTGATTTTCAGATGCTCTTCCGCAATCCACTTGCTGTTTAATTGAAAAAAAATTCTCCATTTTTTCAGACTGTGTACGGTGCGAACTTAGAGCAAAGTAGATTTTCTCCTGATTAGAAAGAATCCAAATGCGTTAGAGAATGGGTGTGAACAAGAAGCACTGGCTAAATGCAAACAGTCTAGCCCCTCTGGGTAGCTGAGATCATATTTTTTTGTAGCACAGTGGTTTCCAGAGTTAGGGATTCAAAATCAGTAAAGCTTCATTAAAATATTTAGGACTTATATAGAACTGTCAACTTTTTATTTTCAAGTAAGAACACTTCAATACATGCAAACACACATGCCCAGACTGAGTCCACCACCACTATACCACATACACAAATATTACCATTTACTATGACCTTCTTTTTGTAAGTGAACAGCTCTTCTAAACAAACAAGCTTGAAAGGACATAATTTCTGAGAACATAATAATTTTTTAAATAAAGCAATCTAGCTTCATGGAAATTTTACTACAAAGCTTTTATTTTCTTATTTTTCCATGAATACATGACAGTGTCTTAATAGAATAGGAATGATCACAAGAATGATTATTTTGTAGATCACAGAATCTCAAATGGAATTCCAAATTCTGCTACAAAGAGCAATCCAATACCTGGATATCATATTTTGAACATATCAGACATACAGATGTTTAAACATCTTTTCCTTCAAGAAATATTTGTTAAATTTCTCATCTGTGTCAAATTTCTATCTCTAAGCCAAGAAATGACAGCTATATACACAAATAAGCAACAAAATATTATAGGCATACACATATGAGCATTACATATATTCTATGTGCATAATCTATTGTGCAACAAAAACATCAATTCAATACAAAATAAAATCACTGCAATAAATTTGTCAAAGATTACACTTCATATTTAATTAGAATCTTGAGGCTGGAATAAATCTGGGAGAAAATAGCAAGAAAGAGAAGTGGTAAGATAGGATATTATATAGCTTACTAGGTATTAGATGAGAAATACGTTCAGATTCTGGTGTTGAAAAATCCTAGTCTAGCAGTTATTAGGAATCAAGGAGAGACCAATATCAATTAATTATGTCATCTAAATGGACAGGAAGGTACAAGGAGCACTATACTAAAGAAATACTTTTGGATCTGAGATGGTTTAGGAAACATGGTATAAGGTCTCAAGAAGAGAGAAAGGGGAGAAATGTTTGCCTTTAGTATATGTGTTTATATCTTGCAGAAAAAGTGTTGCGTTGGTTATCAACAGATATAAATTCTAGTTCCAGATGTCTTCTGTGTAAGTTAATCTGCTTCAATTTCCCTTTCTGTATAAAGAATAATGTTTACCCCTTAGTCTGTCTTTTAGAGACACCATGTTAATAAAAATGTCTAATAGAAAAGTATAGCCAAATACACACGTAGGTATCAATTTGTGTTGTGCTCAGAGCAGGTGTAGCAAATGGATTTCAACCTGCGTGTGACCACCAATATTCTGAATAGTAATCGTCTCTGGGAGCAACATAGTGAGGCAGCAATTTAGGAGCTAAACAACATACCAAATAGCTTGGAATCTATTCCCATTATTATTAAAAACAACTCATAATTGTGGAATCCACTGCAGAGGTCAACAATACCATTTTCATATGCAAAAATCATATGCAATTCCTTTCAAATACTTTCTATTTGCTTCCCCTTTGCTCTGGTTGTAATAGCAGTGGTCCATAAGTACCTTTTATTTTTTTAATGATATGATGAAACCTGATTACCTTCTATTTAGGTTTATTTTTCAATGGTTCTTTTGAACCATCTACTTGAGATCTAACAAAGGGAGAACTAACTGTTGCTAAGGGCAACCCAAAGAAATGAGTTTTGTGGTGAAACAGGCTCTCCCCTTGAAAAGACTGTCAATAATGACTTCCAGTGTGGTCATCTCCAGCAAGTAGCTAGTGAGCCATCAATAGCTTTATCATTCCTGTGCTCCAATTTCAGGCTTCCATGTGGCACCCCTTTCCACCAGCTGAACAGATACAAGTGTGCCAGATTCCCCATTTCCCTACCCTCCCAACACTCTACGGGTAGTTAGGTTAACAAGAGCAAAACTGACTCTGTGCCAGGAGTCACTTCAAGCACTTCACAAATATTAGCTAATTAATCCACATGACAACTGCATAAAGGAGGGACTACTATTATCTCTATGTTACAGAAGATAAATGTAAGAAACAAAGCATCTGAATTTGTCTAGGACTGTACACCTAATAATGAGCAGAGCTGGGACCTGAACCCAGGTGATGTAGACGTATTGTGCCTATCCACCCCACTAGGCTGACACCCAAGACTTGGAGTGAAGATTTATGTAAAATGAGTAATAAATGCATGTGATTATATTTAAAGTTCTTTAAAAATTATCTGATGAAGTAAGTTTCTATAATTTCCATTTTTGCTTAAATTGAACTCTTTTGTTTAAGCTTACTGTATTTGATATACCTACATGATGTCAAATCCAGTAAGGATTGAGTGTGCAGCAGCAGATAAGGTCAGGAGAAGCTTGGGGACTTGCTTGTAGCAAGTAGCACCCTAGGATGCTGCTGTTATCTGGACACAACACACCTTCAACTCTAGGAGAGCTTTTAGATTACTAAATAACAAACCCTAATGCTAAATCTGTAAACTTGTGAAGATCATTAAAATATCCCTTTGTGGCTAAAGGTAAATTTTAGGGGACTTGTCCTCATCTTCCAACATGGAGGAGACACGTGTTCCTGTACTGCAATTGACTTGATTGATAGTATGCAGAAATGCAAGACAGGCCGACCTGGCCATCTTCCCTAACCTCTCACACCTCCCTCTCCTTGAGCTTCCTTGAACCAGCAGTGCTCATTTGCTGGGATTAGAGCCACCGACTTAGCTTGCCATTTGTTTACCTCAAGCAAACTGTGATCAAAAGCCCCTAACACGAGCTAGAAAGCTGGCTTAGTGGAATCAACATCTGGTAGATAATACTTAAATTCCTTGCAATCCTGCTTTCACTTACTAGTAGGGTAAAATCAATCTTCCCTTTACTGGGAAAAATGCAATAAATTATAACTTTCTCACTGTCAGTTTGTTGGTTTTGAGATTTTTAAAACTAAATCATAGTTATTTTTCCCAGAGACATGTAGTAACTTTTGAAGTGGTTTGTCACATTATCTTCAGAAAAACTGGGAATATGATGAAAATCTGTCAATATCATTTTATGACTGCTGGATCAAACATACCTTTTAAATTGAGAAACAGTACCTCAATAAACTTTTAAAGTATATTTATTTTTGTTACAAAATGATGAACATGATGCAATGTTCATGTTCTAGTTCATGAAAAAACTAGAAAGTAAAGCAGTATTTGTTCCCTAACATAGGTGTAAAGAAAGTTTTATCAAAAATTGTAAATAAGAAAAATAAGAAAATAAAATGATATTTTAATCTGTATTTTCCAAAATTAAGGATTTGACTTTAAAGGATTTTTTTTAAACAACATGGGCCTTTCATATTTTGAAATGAATCTCAGCAAATAAGAGTTATTATCGTAGCAAGTCACTGCTACTGATGAAACTGTGCTAATTTGGTGTCTTTGGATAGAAAATATTTGAGAACCACTGATTTGAATATCATATGTCTTCATTATAGGTTATTGATATACCTTTTGTAACTTTATCTATTGTACCTGGATAAAGATACAAGTAACTAGGAAATATTACATGGGAAGAAAATAGAACCTTATGATTTTCTATAAAAATAATCTTGTACTCAGTATTTTAAGGCATGTATGATTACATGAATATATAATTTGGAGTGCAGATTCCAAAGAGAAACCAAACTAAATATCCTTAAGATGTGAGTATTGAAATCGATGTAGCATAATTGGTAAATGGTAGATACAATTATTTAAACCAAAATTTATTATCTTTGTAACTTTCAGTTGTAAAATAAAGTTGATTGAACCCCCTACACCAACATAGCACACCTGCACTTAGATTGTTAATTGAACAAATATTACCTGTACAGTCACTATGTGCAAAACAACTTATTAGGTTAACAGATGGTGTTACCACACCATATAAACCCACGGTTTTAGAAAACATTTTTGCGTTTGGTCACCCTTCTTGGAGAAACAAGATCTTCATGCAGTTTCTGAATAGGAACTAAATGATCGGCCCAATTATTTATCTATCTAAATTCCGACAGTATTTCAGTAATTTTGGATTTTATATAGGAAACACACATTATTTGGGGATAACTGGACTTGTATAATGGAATGAGAACTACATACAATTACAATGTAGTTAAAGTATAATTATATTAAACACAAACCCAGTACAAGCCTGTTATGGCATGTAACAACTACACCACCATGTACTACATATTAGGATTCCAGTACTAACTTCTAATACATCCAGAGTTTGGTGAAAACCTTGGGGAAACATGGCCTTTGGCCAAGAAAACCTCTGTTTTTCACTCTTGTTTTGTCAACTTTATTCTTTGTAACCTGCTTCCCATATCCCAGTGGAAGGACAAGGTCTTTCTGCATCGTTTATGACTAACTATAGGGAATTCTTTATCATTTGGATTACAGTTGCTCCATATGTGACCTTAATAAAATCCTTATCAAGTGTATTTCTATGCAAGATTTCTTTCTGAACATGTTTTGAAAGTACTTGTGACCTATTGCTTAGAATATGCTATTGCCAGCCTATCTAGGTATACCAATTTCATGGAAAACCTCACCTATCTGTGTATGTTTATCTTTCTCTAAATTGTAGGGCAAGAAACAAAATGTTCAAAAATATTGGATTCCATAACACTTCTTGAAGAAGTCAAATACTGCTTCACCCCTTACCTGCAGCCTGGCTGCCCACTGGGTAAAGGTCATAATCTCTGAATCAGCAGGAATCTGGTGAGAAAGGTAAGATTTCTGGGTGCACTTCTTACACCCTGGTGCTCACTACACTGCCTTCACTGCCTTAGCTGATGATTGTCCCCTTGCTGCCCTCGAAGGCCCGTATGTCTCACCTGAAGCAAAATAATTTGAAGAGTATAATTTTGTCACATTGTACTTCAGTAGAGTGAGAAGTAGGTAGTACCTTCTGGTACTTGCCCAAAACCTCAGTTTTCTGTTTGACAGCACAGTTGCTGCATTAATTTCTCTCCGCCTAATTAAAAACAGATGAAGGTAACCATGTGCTATTAGGGACTATCTGTGAGGGAAGTAAACCAGTATGGGAAACTCAGGCCTGTACCAAGACACACTCCATTAAAAAAATGAATATCTGGGGACCATGAGGTTGACACTTAAAATTAAAATGGCCTGAAGGGTCACAACTTGGAAGCTAAGTCAGACAGGAAGGAAAATAAGTTTAGTGCTGAAAAGAAGTAAATATGGTGAGGTCTAGAAGAGGGCAATCAAGTGACAGCAGAAGTATGTGTGGGATGATGACATGTTTGGCAATTAATCTAATGACGATAGAACTTTCATTGGTTCTTACTCAAGAATGATATATTATTATGCAAAATCTTCTTAAGACTGCCAAAACATTCCAACTATTCCAGACACCACTCTGTCAGCTCTGGAAGGAACAGGGTCACGTTGGATTCTTTAATAAAATGATGACACATACCTGAGGTGATGCTAAAAATGACTGACCATTTATCAAGCACTTATGTGCTATGTACACTACTGTGTTATCAAATTTAATGCAATCTGGCTGACAATCCTATGAAGTAGGTTTAATGATCTCCATTTTACAGATCATGAATATGAGGGTAAAAACAGATAAATACTTTTATCTGGTAGTTAATGGTGGAGATAGATTAAAGCTTCCTGACTCTAAAGCCTCAGGATGTTCTTTGCTATAATGTAATGGAATGCTTCCAGTCCTTCCTCTTTTTCTTCTCCTTCTGGTATTTCCATTATGTGTATATTATACCTTTTGTGATTGTCTTGTTCCACAGGACTTGGATATTCTGCTCTTTTTTCTTCTTTGTCTATTTTTCCTCTTTGCTTTTTAGTTTTGTAAATTTCTATTGACAGATCCTTCAGCTTTGAGATTCTGTCCTCAGCTATTCCCAGTCTACTATTTAGCTCATCAAAGGCATTCTTTATTTCTGTTACAGTGCTTTTTATCTCAAGCATTTCTTCTTGCTTCTTTCTTAAAATATCCATATCACTATTTACGTTATCCTTTTGATCTTGCATGTTGTCTGCTTTTCTCTTTAAAGGTCTTTGCATATTAATCACAGCTGTTTTAAATTCACAGTTTGAAACTTTCAACATCACAGCCATATCTGAGGCTGGTTCTGATGTTTGCTGTATCTCTTCAAACTGTGTTTTTGTTTTGTTTTGCTTTGTTTGTTTGTTGCTTTTTAGTATGCCTTGTAATTGTTACTGTTGTACTAAGTTAAAGTAAGTCCTCTAAAAACGGTTTTAGTGAAGTAGTGGTAAGGTATGGGAAAAGGGAAAGCATACTGTAGTCCTATGATAGGTCTCAGTCTTTTAATGAGTCTGTGCCTGTGAGCTGTGAACTCACAACTGCTGCCAGTCCACCACCGCTCCTCCCACCCCTGCCCCCCCCACCGCCACACACACATACTTAGGTGAAGAGGATGGCTGGAGACAGCTGGAGTTGTGTGTTTTCCTTCCCCGATGTGGAAGGCTAGAGCAGCCAGAGGTGGATGTTTACATCCCCCAGGTCAGTTAGGCTCTGATACAACCCGAATAGCTTAGGTTCTGGTAAAATAATTTCTTTCAACAGCAGGCCTTCTTAAGAAGAGCAAAATGCTCTGGCATGTTTTAAAATAGTTCATTTTCCCCTCCCCCTGCCCAAAGCACAAAGTTAACTGTGAGAATTTGTTAGAACTTCAGAAGGCAAAACTTACCAAGGTGTGGTGTCCCCTGGAGTTTTCAACTCTCAGAGTCATCCACATTGAGTGTCCAGCAATTCCTCAATTACAGTTCACGTTTCCCTATGCAGGCACTGGGTTTCTGCTGTAGTAAGTTTTGATTTTTTTATATCTGCCAGTTTGGTGGGCAGCAGTTTACTCTGGAATCTCATTTCTCTAATGAATTTAAGAAGAGTTGAGTTTTCAGTGTGTTCTGTATTTTATTTATTGGTACAATGAAGGGAGGAATTTCAGTCTCCTTGTATGCCATCCAGAACTAAGAAGTCCTGAATTTATTTTTATTTTAGAAAAAAAGTACAATTAAACATAAAGTTCCATCAAAAGTTATACTTAAACCATTTTTTAATTATACTTTAAGTTCTGGGGTACATGTGCAGAGCAGGTTTGTTACATAGCTATACACGTGCCATGGTGGTTTGCTGCACCCATCAACCCGTCATCTACATTAGGTATTTCTCCTAATGCTATTCCTCCCCTAGCTCCCCACCCCCCTACAGGCCCCGGTGTGTGATGTTCCGCTCCCTGTGTCCATGGGTTCTCATTGTTCAACTCCCACTTATAAGTGAGAATATGCAGTGTTTGGTTTTCTGTTCTTGTGTCAGTTTGCTGAGAATGATGGTTTCCAGCTTCATCCATGTCCCTGCAAAGGACATGAACTCATCCTTTTTATGGCTGCACAGTATTCCATGGTGTATATGTGCCACATTTTCTTTATCCAGTCTTTCATCAGTGGGCATTTGGGTTGGTTCCAAGTCTTTGCTATTGTGAATAGTGCCACAATAAACATACCTGTGCATGTGTCTTTATAGCAGCATGATTTATAATCCTTTGGGTATATACCCAGTAATGGGATTGCTGGGTCAAATGGTATTTCTCGTTCTAGATCCTTGAGGAATCACCACACTGTCTTCCACAATGGTTGAATTAATTTTACACTCCCACCAACAGTGTAAAAGCATTCCTACTTCTCCACATCCTCTCCAGAATCTGTTGTTTCCTGACTTTTTAATGATCACCATTCTAACTGGCTTGAGATGGTATCTCATTATGGTTTTGATTTGCATTTCTCTAATGACCAGTGATGATGAGCTTTTTTTCATATGTTTGTTGGCTGCATAAATGTCTTCTTTTGAGAAGTGTCTGTTCATATCCTTTGCCCAGTTTTTGATGTTTTTTTTCTTGTAAATTTGTTTAAGTTCTTTATAGATTCTGGATATTAGCCAAAGGGCTAATATCAGATGGATAGATTAGAAAAATGTTCTCCCATCCTGTAGGTTGCCTGTTCACTCTGATGATAGCTTCTTTTGCTGTGCAGAAGCTCTTTAGTTTAATTAGATTCTATTTGTCTATTTTGGCTTTTGTTGCTATTGCTTTTGGTGTGTTAGTCATGAAGTCTTTGCCCATGCCTATGTCCTGAATGGTATTGCCTAGGTTTTCTTCTAGGGTTTTTATGGTTTTAGGTTTTATGTTTAAGTCTTTAAGATGTCTTGAGTTAATTTTTGTATAAGGTGTAAGGAAGGGGTCCAGTTTCGGTTTTCTGCATATAGCTAGCCAGTTTTCCCAACCCATTTATTAAATAGGGAATCCTTTCCCTATTGCTTGTTTGTGTCAGGTTTGTCAAAGATCAGATGGTTGTAGATGTGTGGTGTTATTTCTGAGGCCTCTGTTCTGTTCCATTGGTCTATATAACTGTTTTGGTACCAGTATCATGCTGTTTTGGTTACTGTAGCCTTGTAGTGTAGTTTGAAGTCAAGTAGAGTGATGCCTCCAGCTTTGTTCTTTTTGCTTAGGATCCTCTTGGCTATGCGGTCTCTTTTTTGGTTCCATATGAAATTTAAAGTAGTTTTCTCTAATTCCATGAAGAAAGTCAATGGTAACTTGATGGGGATAGCATTGAATCTATAAATTACTTTGGGCAGTATGGCCATTTTCACAATATTGATTCTTCCTATCCATGAGCATGTAATGTTTTTCCATTTGTTTGTGTCCTCTCTTACACCCTTGAGCAGTGGTTTGTAGTTCTCCTTGAAGAGGTCCTTCACATCCCTTGTAAGTTGTATTCCTAGGTATTTTATTCTCTTTGTAGCAATTGTGAATGGGAGTTCTACTTTAACCATTTTGAAAAACAAAGCAATAGTATTAATAACAAAGACAGGAAAGAAGTAACAACTTTAAAATGAACAAAATTAACATTGTTCTTTTTAAAAATCACTAATAAACAGCAATAATATATGTAACAAATACGTACAGAACTTTTTGTAGCTTAAAATGATAAAAATGAGAGGAACCAGACTTTTGAAATTATACAGTGAGGTTGCTTTTTTTTTTTCTTTTCGTTGAGACGGCGTCTTGCTCTGTCATGATCTCGGCTCACTGCAACCTCCACCCTCCCGGGTTCAAACGATTCTCCTGCCTTAGCCTCGTGAGTAGCTGTGACTACAGGCGTGTGCCACCATGCCCAGCTAATTGTTGTATTTTTAGTAGAGATGGGGTTTCACCATGTTGGCCAGGATGGTCACCCTCTCTTGACCTCGTGGTCTGCCCGCCTCAGCCTCCCAAAGTGCTAGGATTATAGGCACGAGCCACCACACCAAGCTGTGAGGATGCTTTTGCTCTGCCCCACAAAGGCATGAAAATATTTTTAAAAAACTAATGAAATCAATTATTTCTGAACTCTGGAAATTAACCAAAAGCACAGAACAAACTAGAAACCATTTCATTTTCAAGGAAAATGATTAAATCTTTGTAAGACTATGGAGCATGTGGTGTTTTAACGTAGGCTACTCTAATTTCTCCCTCCAGCACTATGCTGTGTTAATCAAGAAAAGAGAGGGGTGACCTGTTTTGGAAATCCTTGTAAAGTCCCAAATCCAAATCCAGAACCTTGTCAATATTTTAACAATACTTCTAGCATCTCGCTCAAGAAACCTTATTCCCAAAATAATATAACTATTTGACATGACTCATATCTCAGCTTCATAGAAAAAACTCTTATTTCAGGGTGTTGATAAATCACAACAATATTCTGGAATTATTAGCACCACAATTCTCTAAGGTTGTGAAAATAGAGACTCTCAATAAAGAGATACAGAGCATAAATATAAAGAACCAAGTAGAAGCTTCAGAATTTAAAAATATAACTGAAATGAAAAATAACAACATTGAATAAAGAGGCAGAATAAAGATTAGGGAACATAAAATATATTATATAAACAGAATATTTAGTATGAGGCACAGAAATAAGTGAAAAAAGATGAGCAGAGACTCATATAATTGTGGAACACTATCAAACATACCAAAATACATGTAATAGGAGTTTCTGAGGAAAGATGAGAATGACATGGGAGAAAAAAGTATTGGAAAAATAATGGACAAAATTTCTCAAATGTTATGGAAAATATTAATTTACAATTCCAAGAAGCTCAAAAAACTCCAATTGAATAAACTCAGATGCCCAACTGAAAACATAATAGTCAAACTATCAAAAATCAAAGAGAAAATATTTTAATGCAGCAAGAGAAAAATAATTTACCACATACAAGGGATCTTTAATAAGAAAAATGGTTGAGTTCTCATCAGAAACCATGGAAGGCAGACATAAGCAGTCTGACATACACAAAGTGTTGAAAGAACATACTTTCAGCTAGGAATTGTAATTGCATCAAAACTATCTTTTAAAAAATGGACACAGAGCGACTGCGCCAGATAAAATACATACATTCCTAAATACATACATACACTCATAAGTCACTGAAAGAATTTGTCATCAAGAGATTTTCCCTAAAAGAAATACTAAAAGATAACTGCATAAAACAAAAATTACAAAACAACATTGATAAGCTTATAATGTATAAAGATGTAATTTGTGTGACAATAATAGCACAAAAAGCACGAGGGATAGAGACTATATTGCAACAGTTTCTAAGCACTACTGGAATGAAATTAGTATTAAACTGAACTAGATTATTTTAGGTTGAGTTTCATGTTGTAATATCTAGAACACTACTTAAAAACATAACTCACAAAAATGTGTTACTTTAAAATGAATTTAAATTGCACACAAGGAGATACCTGTTTAAAAAAAGGAAGATGGCAATAATGGAGAAATGAAGAAACAGACAATATAAAACATATAGAAAGCAAACCACTACTATACCAATAATTACTGTAAACATAAATGGATTAAACACTTCAATCTAAAGTCAAAAGGTGTCATATTGGATTAAAAAACAGAATCCAACTACAGGCTGTATACAACAGACACACTTTAGACTCAACGAAACATACAGCTCAGAAGAAAAAGGATAAAAACAGATACTCTGTACAAATGAGAAACAATAGAGAGCTGTAGTAGTTCTTCTAATATTATAAAAAAGATTTTAAGACAAAAAATAATATAAAAAGTATTACTAAAACAAAAAAGTATATTTTATAAAGATGAAAACTTTATTCTGCAGGAAGCAGTTACAAATATGTATTCATCTAACAATAGATCCCCAAAATACATGAAAGCAAAATGGACATAAATGAAGAGAGAAATACAGAATTCAGCAACAATAGTAGTAGATTTCAATATTGCATTCTCAATAGTTGACAAAATATGTAGTTAGAAAAAATATAAGAGCAAGTTAATTAACAAAATAAATACGTCCACATGCATACCAGATACTCACTTCAAGGAAGAATGAGTTCCTATAATTAATAGGCAAAGCAAAAGGATTGGATCTGTGGAAAGTCCAGGGAAAGGGGAAGAGCAGTGCTGTGCAGCTTCTGCAGAGTACTCGATGGCAAAGGTGCAACACCAGAATATTACTGGAGTAGTGAAAGAATCATGTTCAAATATCATTCCAAATACTGTAAATTTTTAATAAGTTGAAAAACCAGTTTTAAAATTTTCAGCAGTATTAAACATTTACAAGCATTGCTATCTTTTGGCTCACCAGGAGCACCCTGTTGGGAATTCTGGTGCAGAGTAACTTATTTTCAAACTCACAAATTACTAATCCCCATGCTATGATCCAATAGCTTCCATGCAATTCAAATGAACTTTAAGTATACATAATCCAATACTGATGATCACTCCACCAGCTTGACAAGACTCCAGCTAAGAAAGAAGTAAGGAATGTTCCTCCTAGAATTCATCATTAGGTAAACTCTGTGAGTTTGTTACTGATGTCGGACTTTTATAAACCTGGATTAAAAACAAAACAAAACAAAAAAACCTGGACCAAAATATCATGGCGAGATGCCTTTCTAAGAGATAGGTTTTTATTCTCAAATAGGGTCATTGCTAGCCACAACTGACTTTATCCTTAACTTATTTTGAAATACTGTAAATAGAATGGTTTCTTCTCAATGGAATATACATCTCCTGCTTTAGAAAGCATAGAGCCAAACCTATTTTCATATTCTGATGACACTAATTAAAATAAAGTCAGCTGTGCCTAGAATGGAGCAAATAGTGGCTTCAAAAAGTATGTAATCATATTATCTGTTTTTGTCATTAAAAATATGAAAATAGCCAAAAACATCGGGTAGGCACACCTTTCTCAATATTCAAATGAATAAATAAACCCATAGATGAGGCCAGCTTGTTCTTTCATTAGGGCTACTCCGGTCCTCTGGCAGGACCACCAGAAAACAGCATCATATAAAACTGACGTTTTAGGCTTAAGGCAAGCAACTGTTAGATAAATGATATTTGTTACATTTTTGTCCTCAAATAATGTTCTCCAACCTCTAACAAGGCATTGCTGACGTTTTGGATTTATCTAAAGTTGCTCTTTCAAAAAACCTTTGGTCTTCTCTAAAAGATACATTAAATACCACACAAGTCTTAAAAATAGTATTTTCACTGACCCCTTAAAAACCGATATTTAATAACTACAAACCTCAATTTGATTAGCAATGTACATTCTCAAGTTGAATTCTGAATATTGTCAATTATTAAAGGGATGGTTGCCTACTTTTTTCTCAAAACCTGACCAAGACTATTTGTGCTTGGGTCAGACATTCCCTCTGAGGAAAATTCTGAAACCGGAAGCAGTCTACTACGTAAAATATAGCCTGCTGGCAGATGCTGGTCTTCAAATGATGTTTTCTTTCTGACCTCAAGCACAGTCAAGTTGAAACTTTTATGGCAATTTGAATCTTATAATTAAAAGGTGGGACTTTGAGCTGCATGTTATTTATTTTTGATGTATTAATTTTTATTTCATTTTATAAAATTATAAGTCTGACACATACAGGAAAAAATGTTCTTTCACCACAGAAAACAGATCGAGAAAGGATCTGAGGTCTTGGTAACAATAATTTCCTGTTTGCAGATGACATTGTGGATGTGCAAATGAAATGAGAAATTTGTCTTATATTAATAATGCCTCAAGGTAGAACATCTCTTTGCTTGATTGTAACAGTGGTTAAAATTAAAACCACAGCTGCTGTGAAACTGTGAAGATGTAAACCTCTTGGCAAGAGGTCCCAAGCATATGAACTGGATGCAGTAAGTGTGGATTGTAACAGAGGACTTTACGGGAGGTGTAATATGGCCCCAGGGAAAAAGAACCAATAGATTATAGTAGATTATATATAGAACTTTGTAAAAGGAGATTTATTATGGGAATTGTCTTAGGCAATTATGGAGGGAAAAAGTGTCCCACAATATGCTGTCTGCAAACCAGAGAACCAGGAAGGCTGCTGGTAATTCAGGCTGCGTCCACTGGCCTGAGAACCAGGGGAGTTAATGATGTAACTCCACTCCGAGGCCACAGGCCTGGGGTGCATGGGTAGGGGCTCTGATGTAAGTCCCGGAGTGCAAAGGCCCAAGAACCAGGAGTTCCATTGTCTCAGGGCAGGAGAGGTGGATGTCACAGCTCAAGGAGAGAGAGAATTCACCCAGCCTCAGCGTTTTTGTTTAATTAAGGCCCTCGACAGATGGGAAGACGCCAACACACATGGGTGAGGGTGGCCTTTAGTCAGTCTGTGGTTCAAATGCCAATCTTTCATGGAAATACCTCACAGACACACCCAGAAATAATGTTTTACCAGCTATCTGGGAGTCCCTTAGTCCAGTCAAGTTGACACATAAAATTAACCATCATAGGGTGCTGGCGGGAGAAAAGGTTAAGGGTCCAGAGGTTAAGTGGAAGAGGTCAAGGAACACCTGTGGTTCTGAAGATAGCTATCCAAATGACCAATTCCCCTAATGGCTAATTTGCCTGAAGTATAACTGTCTTTGAGTGCTTTACTATATACTTTTGTGTTCCACTTACTTTATGGGATTTTTAAAAATATTTTTAGCAACCACATTTGTTAAATATGTATTTCTATAAAGCATTTTAAAATGGTTAGATTTTAGGAACGATAAATGTATTTTGTACGATTGGAATTTTCTTTTTGAACACTGTATCTTCTTATAGCTTTTAGAAAAATGTTGTTTACATAAAGGCTTGCATTAAACATTTTATTCTGTTTTAAAATTCATTCACATTTCAGATCAATAAGTATTTTTAAATTACATTAAAAGTTGTTTCTTTTGTACCAAAACTATCGTTGAATGATTCTTTCATTTGGAAACTGGCTGTAGGTAAAGAGGTCTACATAGAGATGAATGGAAATTAAGCTCCTCTGAGTAAATTTAAATTTCTCTTTAACATTTTTTTTTTGAATTTGCTTTAGCTCCATGACTTGTTTGCTTAACCACATTGAAAATTGTGTTTGTGACTTTTCAGGTAGATTTACTACTGTCTAAGAATTATTATTGATTGTGATTTTGCCTCATTCTTCACCAGGGCAGAGGGCATTTTGTCAGAGAGTAGTGATAGTAATGATGGTGGTGTGGGGTTTGGGGGTCATTTTATTTTATTTTCCCTTTGCCAGTTAAAAATATTAAATCATAAAACAGTATAACTTCCCCCATGCCAATATATACACGAGGGAAAGTAAATGGTATCAGTGACTGATGAGCTCTGTCACTGGAAGTTGAAAATTAATGGTTGCATTCTATTTATTCATTCCAACACATTTTAAGCTGTCCTTTGCTCAGGTTAGATGCTCAGTCTCATCTAATTAGCTCCTCTTCAGTCAGCAATAGCATCAGAAATGCTTAGGTTTTTTTGGAAGGTAGATATGTTACTAATATTTGAAGACTGCCAGCTCTGTGCCCCGTCTTAAGTTTGTCCAATTTCTTGTTCAGTGGCCATATGGTAATGTCATCTAGGTAATTAGTCTGAGTGACTAGTTTCAGGGAATAAATTAATAGTATTTTCTTGTATCAGGCATTAAGAACACATACAACTTTTTATTTTCTGATGTATAGGAAGCTTATAGCCAAATTTTCTATAATACTAAAATAATAATAATCACAGTTTATGTATTATATATATATAAAATAAAACCCTGGGGTTGAGAAGTTTTGTTTTACTTTTATTCTGATCATCTGAGGGCAATGCTTCTTTTATATTTAGAATTCTTCAAGCTTTGGCAATTAATCATACATTGTAATTGAATATGTTATTATTGTACTTTCCATGCTATTTTTTCTAAATTAACTATAATTTCACAGTATAATTTTTCACTTAATTCTCTCCAAACAAAAAAAAACTCCAAGTTTTTCACCTGAAAATACTTCTAGTTTAAATAGGTAGGTTTTATATCAAAGATGTGTGTGTGTATGTGTGTGTGTGTGTGATGTATAACCTTCCCTACACACACAACAAAAATTATCAAACAGGCATTTTGAACAGGGTCAAAAACATAATGATGTACTCAACTGTGACAGGATCTGTCCTATACTCCAAATATTTGTTAAGGATTACACTTGACTTTCTAACACTGGTTGTCAGAGAGTCACTGCAATTTCCACAGAACATTGCTATGGAGGTTCTATGAATACTTAAAGCACTTCTTTAAATTTGAATTATGAAAATACAAAAATGCTCTACAAAATTATCAAATCTATACTACAAATAAAATTTTATAAAAATTTACATTAAAATCTTACACAGGAAGGCTATATTTTATACATATATATAATGTGCATATAGTCACACACACTCACCTATATATATATTATTTATAGAAATGTCATGCTAGAGATTATAGAATCTATATATGTGTGTGTATCTAAATCTAATATCTAAATCTCTACACACACACACACACACACACATAGAGAGAGACAGAGAGAGAGACAGAGAGAGATTCTATAACATGGCTTTTCTACATGGAATTGGTTAAATCCTGAGAAATACGTGCTTGAGTCATTGCCTTCTTCTGATTTCTGTGTCTCAAAATGTGATTCTCATTCTATCTTCCCTGCCCCATACTTGTCTAAGAATTTTCAATAATTAAGGAAGAGGAGCTTTAGTTTTTTGTTTCTTGGGTTTTATTTCTAACTCTACCCATTCCTGATTCTTGTTGCATAGATATTAATCCATTCCTGTAACTCATTTTTGCATGTGGTGTTTCTTTGTTTTGTTTTGAGATGGAGTTTCACTCTTGTTGCCCAGGCCTGAGTGCAATGGCGCAATCTCGGCTCACTGCAGCTTCCACCTCCCGGTTTCAAGCGATTGTCCTGCCTCAGCCCCCTGAGCAGCTGGGATTACAGGCATGCTCCACCATGCCCAGCTAATTTTGCATTTTTAGTAGAGACGGGGTTTCTCCATGTTGGTCAGGCTGGTCACAAACTCCTGACCTGAGGTGGTCCACCTGCCTCGGCCTCCTAAAGTGCTGGGATTACAGGCATGAGCCACCACGCCCGGCCGTGTTTCTTTGTCTATAAGGTGTTGCATCTCTTTATCTTTCTGTCCTTACAATTCCATAATCTATCCCACCAAGTAGAGGGATTTCTAATAGTGACTTTCACAGTAAGAGCTTTCAGATTGACACTTGTTTGCAATTGTTTTTCTGATGGATAGAGTTTAGGATGCTATAAATTTCTCTCTATTATTCCTAAACCTTGTCCATCTTTTAATATAAATTTTGGACAGACTCAAACATGAACTGATCATAGGAAGTAATCTACTCTTTTTTAACTTACTGTTTTTTAACTTTATTGGCCTATGCAGTATTTAGCAAAATCAGGTCTAATTCCCTCATTGCTACTGAGCTTTACACTATTCCTAACCTTACAAGGTTTGAAACTCCTCCTAGATAGAGCCACTATTGTGAGCCACATGCTTCTTTAGGTCCATAAAACACTCCCAAAGAGATAAGAAAACTGTATCCTCAGTATCTGACCTCTCTGACTGGAAGGGATTGCAGTTTGGATGAAAATGTCCATAACTACTGTGCCAAACTCTGAAGTTAGAATCAAAGATGGCAAGCAATCTGTGACTGGTTGGCTGATGTTATAAATAATCCTGCAAGTCTTCGGAGCTGAACAATATAGAGAGTTTTTTCTTACTTACGTAAAACCAAAAGCTAGCTCTGAGTGGGGGGCAGGGGCTTTGCCCATGGCCACTCAGGAACCCAGGCACCTGCAATTTGTGTTCTGCGTTCTTTAGTGCCTGGGACTCCTTGCCATTCAGCCAAAGCATGGGACAGTGGAGGTGTAAATCTACTTTTATATGACTTTGGACATAGATGAAGCAAAAAGATTCCACTCGCACCGTATTTGAAAGAACAGATCTCATGGCTTCAACAGATGTATGGAAGCCTGGGGAACAGCCCAATATGGACAGGCCCCTCTTCAGAACTCTGCACAACTGAAAGTGAATGGAAATGGTGGCAGTTAGATGCTGTTTCAGCCACACATGGAAAATAATTTTTGGTTTTTTTCCTTAATGTTATAGGTAGGAAAACTGAGGCCTAGATATATAAATTGTATGTTCGATGTCAGCAAAGAAAGTGGTTGCAGATAGAACTGGGAGTGTCTTATTCTCTCAGTGCTGCATTCTGTGAATCTCATCATGATGCCTGACCTCAGGGAGTGCTTAGACTCCACCATCAATATAACACAGATTTCTCTTGAAAAGATAAAATGACTGAGAATTGTGGCTTTTACTAAGGCTGAGAACTGTGATAAAAAAATACATGTCATGACTAGGATGAGTATATAATATATATTGCAACCAGAAATATTTTTAAGATTATCATGAGCAAACCAGAAAAAATATAGTTTCTTTAAGTTCGACTTTCTTGGCAAAAATTTCCTGGGAAGTGTTTGTAGCAAAGACCTCAAGGAAATAATTGGCAATTTATAGAAATGTTTTTCAGTTTCTAGTCCTAATTTAATCATTATTATATATTTTATATTTTCTTGGGAAGAAATTCTTTCCTGTTGACATATCGATTGATTTTAGAAAAGACAAAAAATGTAATTTTAAAAATTCTGAAAAGAGCATGAAAGAGAACAGGCAACTCAAATTGAACATAATTCCAAAGAAGTTGCTTCCCTATAGTGTTGAAAATTTCAAAATGATCTATTACTAAGAGATGGTGGGAAGGCAGAAGATGACAGGCAAGGCTAGGGATGGGGAAAACATTTTATCTTCAGTCTCCAAATCACTCCAAATATAAAGTCTTATAAATATGGAGGAATACTACAGAAAAATAGACTTGATAAAATATGCTTTCATGTCATCTTTTCTTGGCAAACTTCTCCACATGCCAAATGCTACAACACAAAGAATCTTTCCCTCAGAGTAACTGTAAACATTTGCAATTCCTTGTAGAATGCCAACTGTAGCTAACATATGGTACTATCAACGGAGCAGTCCAAAATGACTGCCCACACAGATAACTTCGCTTTAGCTGTCTCGTTATTCAGTTTAATGATGTGGTGTTGGCTAACTCTTCTGATATCTTCTAGCAGGAGAGAAGATGATACAGTTTTAAAATCCTGTTTTAAGAACATCCTTAAAGTAAGCAGATCATACTACCATCTGTATTGGTTTCATGATGCTATAACTAGTTCTGATCAGTTCTCAGATATAATTTCTCCTTGTAGCTGTTGACCCTGTATGGGTGAATATGCCATGGAGACATCATCTGCAGACAAGCTGGGCATAACACCAACTGAGGAGAGATGGAGAAACTCAAGTCTCCATTCCGCAGTGGAAGGGGCAGTGACTTTACTTAGAAAAGTCATTTTTTTCTTGTTTCATACATTTTATTACTTAATTTTTGTAATTTTTAAATTAATAATTCCTAGAATAAAGGCAGAGGATGCTTAGAAATGTTGGAATTTGCAATTTATTGTATAGGAAAATTATTGTGAGCATGACCTGGCACAGTGTAATGACAGCAGTGATAATAACAACATGGACTTCACTTTGTGGGCTTACTCGAGATCAGAGAGTGGTTTTAGTGCTTCACTCAAGCTTCCCAACAAAACCCTACAGTTAACGTGCTATTACCAGCCCCATTTAACTGATGAGAGAAATGGAGGTTAAGTAAATTTTCCAAGGTTATTTATTAAGTAATGGATTAAGATAGACACATTTATGTATGCATGAATATATATGTATGTGTAGCATATGCATTTATATAGACTATATATATTATGCATGTCAGTGTCTAGTGTATAGATAGATACATGTGTCTAGTGTATAGAGAGATATACTATATATATAATACATACTTTTTTATAATATGTATCTGCCCTACTTAGATGAAACTTTTATATAATCCTAACGTTAATTCAATCTTATCTTCTTGTTTTTATTCCTTAAACTTTTTTCTGCATACTATTTGGACAGTCACCACTCTTTATGCTTTTTTTTTTTTGCATTAAACTATAGCCAGCAAGTCTGTCTTATGGCACCTTAAATCCCATAGTGGTAGGCACAGCATCTCTAGAATGTAGATTCCACTGGTAGTAGGATCCTTGTCCAGTTCATTTCTGACAGCATCTATAAGAGTGCCTGACATACAAAAAGCATTCAATATTCAATTAACATGATTTGAACAAACTCATAACCATTATTGTCTCCAAATACTCTCCCCACCCTGCCACCACTCCAGTGCCTGGACTTACTCATTGCAGAGAGAAAAAGCATCAATCTCTTGAAAATCAGTAGAGAAAGTTTCAGTGAGAGTGATTCTGGCTAAGCCCCTCAGATTTTTCAGGATTCTTATCTGTAAGTCAGGGTTACAACCAACCTCACAATGCTTATTGAATCATTTGTCATTATGTAATGAATCTGAAAATATTCTGTAAACTGAATCATATCAATACTTTCATATTATTTTATAATCATACCTTCTGTGGCTAATTTTAGATATTTCCTGCCAAAGAATATCATTGGCATTGTTAATACCCAACACAAACCCTTAAAATATTTTTATTCTAATAAAGAAAAAGGCATAAGCAAAGCATATGAAAATACAAGCAGTAAAAGAGTTGCATGATGAAAAGTGACCCCAAAGGGAAGAGGCCACAGGCAGGGTCTGCTGAAGAGCGGGACCCAGCCCCTGCTCCTGAGGATGCATGCTCAAGGACATCACCTTGTCTTGCGGGGAGGAACTGGGGACATCTATCTCTGGTTCTCAGTTACAGAGCTTTCAGCAATTTGCTTCTGTGGTTCTCTGCTCTCAGCTGCAGTCTTGTAGACTGAAAGTAAGGAAGTGAAAAAGAAATGTCAGCAATATTCCTGTTACGTCTAACTTTATGATGCTGAAACTTCCTAATTTCCACCATGATTTCAACATGAATGACTGTCTTGCCTTTATTTTGTTAGGATAGTAGCTCCCAAAATTTCAATCATGCATTTAAAACAGGTAGATACAAAGTCAATTTTTCTTTCCCAAGCCAGGAGGGCAGTTAAACTTATGTCCAAAGGGGAAGCAAAGCCTCTGGATGTCAGCATCCCATCAGAATTTGTGCCTGCACCACAGGCACCACTAGCAAACTATTCCTATGCTGTCTGGAGAAGGGGAGAGTGAGAACAGTGGGTATAGCATTCTCCCAGTGGATGCTTTCAAGGTTTTCATTTGATTTTATGAAGTTCACAAACAATGTAACAGGAAGTACTATTTATTGGGTATCTATTTCTCAGGCACTGCACTAACTGTATTATGTATATTTCTTGAACACTCATGGCATTTTGGAAATGAATAAATCTGTTAGAACATGCTAAACCGATGCTAAGAGGGTTTAATACATTGGTTACAATTCACATCACAAGAAAAAGAGAGGACTGTGGTGCACACAAGTCAGTCTCAAATGACAGAATGAGGATCATTCAATCCCCAGGCAGACACTGGCCAAAGTTGGTAGATTCCATAGCACTATGAACTAAATGTCTGTACCCCCATCAGATTTATACATTGAAGCCTAAATGTCCAATGTGATGATATTTGGAGGTGGGGCTTTGAGGAGGTAATCAGGTCATGAGGGCGCAACCCCCATGCATGGGGGGGATTAGTGCCCTCAGAAGGGAGTAAAGAGATTGGAACTCTCCTTCTCTGTGTGCCATGTGAGGACATAACCAGAGGACAGGCATCTCTGAAGCATGAAAAGAATCTTCACCAGGATGCAACCATGCTGACACCCTCTGATCACACTTCCAGCCTCCAGACCTAGGAGAAGGTCATGTTTTTAAGCCACCCTAGTCTATATGGTATTCTGTGATAGTGGCCTGATTTGACTAAGACGTGACATGAATGACATTTAAACAGCATTGTCCTCTACACCAGGGGTCCCCAAACTGTGGGTCACAGACTGGGACTGGTGTCCATGGTCTGTTAGGAACCGGGCTGCACAGCAGAAGGTGGGCAGCTGCGAGGGAGTGTTACGCCAGAGCTCTGCTTCTCTCAGATCAGCTGAGGCATTCGATTCTCATAGGAGCATAGACCGTATTGTGAACTGCACAGGCGAGGGATCTAGATCATGTGCCCCTTATAAGAATCTCACTAATGCCTGATGATCTGAGGTGGAACAGTTTCATCCTGACACCATCCCTGCCTCCTCAGTTCATGAAAAAATTGTCCCTGGTCAATTGTCCCTGCACCAGTCCCTGGTCCTAAAATGGTTGGGGACCGCTGATCTACATGACCACTCCATCTTGCTGGGATGGGCCTTAGCAATATGTTTCCATGGTTATACATATTTGTAATATACACATGAGATTCTTTTTACTAACGTGTGTCTCCTCTTCAAATTTTAAAAGCTTCGGAGTCCACAAATGGATGTGCTCCTGCTGACTGGTGCTTCAATTCAGTCTTTTTATGCCTGCCTCATATACCCTTAAAACCTGGGAAAGCAGTTCCTGATGGCTTGCACGTGAGTTTAATTTAGTCTTCTTTCAGTATCTGTTTCACTGTCTCTCTCTCTCTAATGTACACATGCACACACACCACTTACACACTCACACATACATATGGTCTAGCTAAGCAAAATACATGGAGTACTTAGCGTATATTAACGTTTGGTGTAGTTTTGTGCTAATGTTAATTACATTCAAAGAACTTTAGTCAGTGAGATTCAACCAATGTAGACATACATGGGAAGATAGTATGCAATCATACCTCAAGTATTCAGGTAAAATTCTTGGATATTTGGATTATTTGTGGATTAGTCTATCATGTGGATTATTACAAGGTATGGATATAGTATTTTACATTCTAATTAAGCAAGAATGAGTTATGGATTTAACTGAACGCTGATTTTTTGTTTGCAAGGAAAGACATTACTTTCACATATCACACCTTTTCAAAGTCGAATACTTAGGTATATTTTAAAAGAATATTCATTAAATTTAATATTCTTATTAACTAGTATAACACTGTACTATGTATAGAAATTTTAATTTTATTTTTAACTGTTTAACTCTTTAACAAGGTAAGTGAATCTATTACGTGAGTTGTGTTAATGAATTTATTCCCTCAGGGTAACATTTAACTATGATTACAAAAAAATAAAATTATCTTAAAACTTACACATGTGGTGGTGAAAAAAAGAGATCTGTCCCAGCACTTTGGGAGGCTGAGGCGGGCGGATCACGAGGTCAGGAGTTCGAGACCAGCCTGACCAACATGGTGAAACACCATATCTACTAAAAATACAAAAATTAGCCGGGCCTGGTGGTGCGCTCCTGTAATCCCAGCTACTTGGGAGGCTGAGACAGGAGAATCACTTGAACCCGGGAGGCAGAGGTTACAGGAGCCGAGATCGTGCCATTGCACTCCAGCCTGGGCAACAGAGTGAGACTCCATCTCAAATAAAAAAAAAAAGAAATCTGGTTTAAAAGTTTCTGCAATCAAGCAACAGAGTGTGATAGAGAGATTTCCTGGGTTAATAATTGCACTCCTGCCAGAAACAATAATTGTACAGAAACCTTCCATTTTCCATGTTAGGACAAAATTATCTGAGTCTTAGACACTTTGAACTTGCTCTTCTACTGCCACTATTGCTAGCTTAGCATGAAATATGAGCCTATGGTTGACATTTATATCTGCTTAATATGTGGTTTCCACATATTAAGAGAAAGGGTAGCCATATAGCAAATATTGACTGCACTAGAAAAACCCTCAACAGTTTTGTTTCTGAGAATCTCTCAGTTGCGGTGTTTAGATCCCAAAAACCACCACATATCTGGTTCTAATGCAAAGAATTCCTATTGCTGTCAGAGAATATTATAGGAGAGATATTAAACCCATCATTGCGGAGTTCTCACAGTAAGGTGACAAATGAAAATTAGAGTTGGAAGAGCTGTCTGTTTTCCTTATGAGACACGTAGCACAACATCTGTAATGGGATTAACATGATTCCTCCCTGTCTGAGTCAGGAGCATGCCTGCTTTATCAGCAGGGACGTATCCCTGTACTCCACTTAATTTGTTTTCCCTGTGATGTATGATCCGATTTAAGAATATCCATAGACTCAAATATGCATACTCATAGTGGAAGGGCAGGTTAAAGAACTATGGGTATAATGTTACCAAAGTAATATTTTCGCTGGAGTCATGTGGACAAGACAGAAAAAGCAAGTGATATAAAATAAACCTGCATTGCTCTTAAAACAGAATCATGCAGCTGTGACCTGTTGGTTTTGCTGGTCCCTAAGAAATGAGAGCTTGACACTTAAATTAGGACAAGCTATGATAAAACACGAATACTCTTTCTGCCAAATAGAGGATCAAATGATCTTTAGACCCCTAATAACAGCATTCTCTGCTTCTCAGAGACATGTTTCTATTAACCATGAATTACAATTTCCTTTTATAGCATTGTTAAAATATAGTGGTACCATAAAAAATAATACATATAGCCCTTTGTGACTAGTGTACAAGATGAAGTTAGCTCCTATACTTCGTAGTATGCCTTGGTTACCAATTCATTATTATAAAATAGACATGAGAAATGTATTAACATCTGAGATATTACCTATTCCTCAAATCTTAGCAGCCATTTACTTTGTGGAGACAGGATGATAAATAATATTAATCAGCTTAATTTAAATGCTACGGGGTAAATATTTTAGGTCACATGTATTGGTGCACTATTTTTACAAATGTTGCCAGAGATAGATGAGTGTATTTTACCTATACAAAGTGTGCATAAATTTTTTAAGCAGTGATATATGATTAAATCATTTGTAACCTAAATATGAACATTTTAAAATCTTACTAACAAGTCCTGTGATTTTCAGATACTTCTAAGAAAATTAGTTTACCGGCTCCTAATAAACTGAATTTGACAGAAAAAAATCATATCTCCTTAAAAATATAATACAGAGCCAGGTGCAGTGGTGCGCGCCTGTAATCCCAGCACTTTGGGAGGTCAAGGTGGGCAGATCACGAGGTCAAGAGTTTAAGGCCATCCTGCCCAACATGGAGGCTAAGGCAGGAGAATCATTTGAACGTGGGAGGCAGAGGTTGCAGAGAGCCGAGATCGCTTTATTACATTACATATAATATTATATATTAAATATATTATTTTACATATACATTTTATATGTAATATAATATATATTACATATAAAATATATAATATATAAATATGTATTACATATAAAATATATAATATATAAATATGTATTATATATAAAATATATAATATATAAATATGTATTATATATAAACATATATGTATATGTATATAATATACAAATATTTTTATTTTTAATATATATTTATACATTATATATTACTTATATATCTATATATGTATATATAATATATATTATACATATGTATACATGTATATATGTAATACATATATACCTTATGTATTATACATACATATTATATATACATATAAAATATATAATATAAAATATATGTATATATAATATATATTATATGTATATATAATATAGAAAATCTAGGATATATCGGTATATATAGTCTTGCTTTTGTTTATCAAAATGTAAATAATAAATGTGAATATTTAAAATGTAACAATTATCATAAAATCTATTGTTGGAGTCCTACAGTTTTGGTGACAATTGTATTGAAAAACTTCTCATTTTTTGATTGTATTGAAAAACTTCTCATCCCTCCAACCTCAGCTTCAAGTACGTCAAATTCAGTCTTTGATTCTCTTTTCTGAGACTTTCCTGAGTCACTTGGCCTGATTCAGCTGCTCGTTTTATGGGTCACGATAGCAGGGTGGACCTATCAGTCACATAGCACTTTAACATCCCATAGTTGATCCTTTTCAATTGCAGTCTTCTCATCCTTTCTGGGTCCCTCCCAGTGTAGGTATACGGGGGTCATGTCTATTGAAGAACCTGAAATAGACACTTCATACGTGGGAGGTGAATAACTAAATGGGCACTGAATGAATGAACACACGCATATAAATAAATTAATGCAGAGGAGAGGCATAATATGGTCACTATTCCCACCTCTTCTTGCAATTTTATTCATGTCTAAATTTTAAAAGGTAATAATGTACTGCAAAACAAAGTAAGTTAAAGTGTTACAAAATATCCAAATATTCATCAATTCTAAACATTGCGTAAATCTTTCTGACTAATGGAAGGAAAGTACGAGTATCTGGGTCTTTCATTGAAAGGCCTCTAAAGGCCCTGAAAAGCCTCCCTACTCAGGCTAGCAATTCAGATTTTGACATATTTTCATTTTTTTCTCTCAACAGTCTTATGTCCTGTCTTCTCTTTCCACATATACAAGCTCAAACTGCTTGCTCCTTTCAAACTTTATCATACACAACTGACTCAACTTCAACCCTGGGTAAATGCAGCTATCTACCAGCCCTGCACACATCCACATAGCTCCTGATGGCTTCCTGTTTAATTTACAAAAAGTGAGCAATGTACAAAGAATATCCACATATATTTTTTTCCATCACATCTGCTCACTTGCCAATTATTCCTTACACTTTGCTTTCTCTACAGTTATTGTGAATAAACTGTTCATATAGGTGGCTTAAGACAACACAAATTTATAATCATACAGTTGTGGAAGTATTTTCTAAAGTCAAGATGTTGGCATGGCTGTTCATTTATGGAGGCCTCAGTGGAGAATCCATTTACTTGCCTCTTCCAGCTTCCAGGAGCTGCCTACAAATGGATCATTGGTCCCCTCCTCAGGTTACTCCCACCTCTGCTTCTGTTATCACATTTATGACTGACTGACCCTTCTACTCCCTCTTACAGGACCTTTGTGATTACATTGGATGCACCCAGATAATCCAGAATAATCTCTCCATCTAAAGACCTTTCACTTTATCAACATGCAAGGTCTTTTGCTGTTGCTGTTGTTACTGTTTTGCCATGTTAGGTAGCATGTTCACAGGCTCCTGGACTTAAGACTTGGACATCTTTGGAGGACCATCCTTCAGCACACATCTCTCATTAAAAATAAAAGACTCTCTTGGTCTTGCTTCTCTAGTCACAGTCTAATCTCCATGTCATCCTTGACATGGAAACTCCTCAAAAAAGTTGTCACTGCTTTTTGTCTCTAATTCTTTTCTTACTGTCTCTTGAACCCTTTCGGAAGCATTCTTTCATTCCCACCACTCCTCTGCTAAGGTTTTTGTTTGTTTGTTTGTTTTTGAGATGGAATCTCGCTCTGTCACCCAGGCTGGAGTGCAGTGGTGCGATCCCGCCTCACTACAAGCTCCGCCTCCCAGGTTAAAGCCAGTCTCCTGCCTCAGCCTCCCAGTAGCTGGGACTACAGGCGCCCGCCACCACGGCCGGTTAACTTTTTTTTTTTTTTTTTTTTTTGTATTTTTAGTAGAGACGGGTTTCACAGTGTTAGCCAGATGGTCTCGATCCCCTGACCTCATGATCCACCCGACTCGGCCTCCCTGCTAAGGTTCTTTCATTCCCTCAAGCATTGCCAGTTCCTTAGATCAACGTGTCTTCTGACTAAATCCATCCACAGCATCTAACAGAGACTGAATATCTTCCTTGATATCTTGTTTTAGGAGTTTGCATTCTCCTGTCTCTTTTTCAATCTTCTTCGTTTCCTGTAGTGGTTCCTCTCTTTATCCCATTATGTTTACAAAAGTATTTCTGGGCTCAATCTTTGAATCATTCATCTTCTCAGTCTACACTCATTCCCTTGGTGATTTCATCTGGTCTTTTGACTATGAACACTAGTTGTATGAGAGGCTATGCATTTTCCCCAAACATCCCCATGTGATCTGGACTCTTCTTTGACTAATAGACATTATACATAGAATTTCCAAAACATAAATGCCTCTTCTTCCCCTCTAAACACCCCCTATGCTCAGTGCTAACTCCATTTTTCTGATTTATTAAACAAATCCTTATACTCACTGTTGACTTCTCTTTTTCTTTCACATCCCCAGTGCAATCATGTAGTAGATCCTCTGGTTTCCACCTTAAAATTATAGCCAATATCTGGACATGCCAACACTCCTTCCAAGCCTCCCTCATCCCTTGCCTGAGTTATTGCAATAGCCTCTGAACCTGTCTCTATGCATCCACCCATTTTCCCTGCAGGATATTCTCAACCCTGCTATGAGAAGATCATTTTAAAATGTAAAGTCAGATCCTGAACCTCATCCACTGAAATGTCTAAGCTCTCCCTATATTATGCAAATTATAAGTTAAAAATTTCACTATGGTCTACAAGGCTCAAATATATGTAAATAAATTTAAAAAATCTGTCTGCAGTTACTTTTCTTACTTTACCTCCTTCCCTTTTCTCATTTGCTCATTATTTTATGGCCACAATGAATGGGACAGAGCTGTTCCCACCTTTGAGTCTCACCCACCCCTAGGTGTCTGTAGATACTGACCCACTGTTTCCAGAGATTTGTCCAGATAACTCCTTCTCAATGATACCTATCCTGACTGCCCTACTTGAAATCTCACCCTGCTCTCATCTTTACTCTCTTTCTTAATATTTACCACTATAGACTGTACTACATTTAATTTCACTTATTTTGTTTCTTGTCTATTTTAGTGAGGCTAGAGAGTTTTATTGGTTGTGATAACTGCTTATTCCTGGTACTTGAAACTTTCTGGCATATTTAGTGGTTGCTCAATAAATATTTGTTGACTTGAAAAGAAAACTAGTGGCAAAGGCAGACACATAAACAGATACTATACAATGTAGTAATCTGCAAAAAAAGATATTTTTGTGAATTAGTAGATGCCTCCAAGAAAGGCATTGTTTGTGACTGTGACTATGGGATATGCAGTTAACTAAGACAACTTTACTGCCTTCCGTGACTATCACGGACATGAAATAAGTACATTTACTTTTATCAATCATGACAGACTATGTCCCAGTGAGAAGGAGTGAAAAGCGTGCTTTGTTGCTATGCAGAATAGACCACATAGAAGTGGAAGGCTATTGAAATGTGCATGGAGAAGATGTACCTCAAAACTGTCATTCATCAGATTAGGAATGTTGAACACTTTTGGCATAGTATTTAGTATCAGCACAAGTAGGGATAAGAAAATTATGAGTATGATACTTTGGTTGTAGCATAAAATAAATGTAAGATGATAAGAGGGAAATAGTTTATATGTAAAATTTAGGGCCAGAATATAAGAGTATACCTAAACCAGTAGATCATAGAAAGAGAATCAAAAGAATACTAACAATGGCAATACTTCACTCTATTCCATAAAAACAAGATTTATTTAACCCTCATAAAGATTCACAAGAAGGTAATATTATTAAGTGAATGGTCATTGAGTCCTTTGTCCAAGGTCTATAGCCAGCAAATGGTTGAGATTTGTTTCTCTTTTGCTAAAGGTCAGGCACTTCCCTGATTCTCATTAGCAAAGAGATACACTGAAAAATGTTCTATGGGTTGGTGTACTACTTGTAATGGTGCTTTAGAAAGATTAATTTAACAGGAGAGGGCAGGAGTCCATGATAAGAGGTGAGAACACAAATCAAAAGGTAATAATGTTCAACTGAGCTGCTATAAACAGCTCAAAAGAAAATGGTGGCAGGAATGGGGTTGATTGAAAAAGAAAAAATACATTCAGTTGAAAGGACGTTGTCAAAAATAAAGATTTTTTAGTCTCCAAGTATTTCAGAGAGGATGTCCCTGAAAGGGTTCTATAACACCATAAATTTAATTCAAGTCCAATAATACAAACCAAAGGTATCACTTCAGGATATAGTATAGTTTATGCATATATGTCAAGACAGTGACTGTAGGTTTAGCCCCCAAGCTGACAAATCTTAACATCATTGATGTGGTTTTTTAAACTTCCCACAAATCTTGTCACTCACTTTCATCCATCAGTGCTTAAAAACAATGATTTATATGCACCTTCTTAATCTAAATTTTATTTTTGAAAAATTCCCAAGTGCCTGATATTATTACTTCCAATTTAAATATTTGAAAACTGAAACTCTAGAAACATAAATGATTTACACAAGAAAACACTGCTTAATATTGTAGATCTGAAAACGCATGTTTCTTAATTTAAAGTTGGGTTTTTTTTTTTTTGTTTTTTTTTTTTTTGTACCTAACCATGGTGCCTTAGATGATACCTAAACTTGGCAGAGTGTCTCCACTGACTTATTCCAAATTTCAGCCTTACCACTACTTCAGCTTTACCACATGAACTTTATATGCTGGGATTTACACAACATGGTGGTAAACAATTCCCTTAACTTGTTGATTTGATTATTACAGGGAACAGGTAAAGTATTTAGGATGCTGCCAATAACATAAATATGGCAGTAATGAACTATTTAAATTTACTTTAAATATTTAAATATTCCCAAGTGTCAACGTAAATAATTTTATTATCTGCTGCTTACAAGCAACCCTAGAAGAGTAGAATATTTCAGGTGGATAGAAGATATTTTTCTAATCATCCATGTGAGAAGACAGGCCAAACGCAACAATGACAGAATTCCCCAATGATGGATACCTAGAGTAGCAATTATGGCAACAGCAACATCCCACATGCACCCCCTACACACACACACACACACACGCGTGTGCACTGAAAAAGATTTGTTCTGGATGCTGAAGGTGGTGGAGTATTTTGGACAATAAGGCAAACTAGCTGCTCAATAAAGGACATCAGCAAATCTGATTTTCAGAGAACTGACTTACTATCTTTATACTCTCCGATGTCTAGGGGAGTAAAACGCAATCTGACAAGACACTGTCAGTGGGCAGTTCTGACGAAGTTGATCTAGCCTGCTTAAGCAGGTGACCCTTTTGCTTTTGCAATGTGCATCTCAAGAGAAGGCTGCAGGCTGTTGCCACCTGAAAAAAAGAGCTACCTGGGAATGTGAATATTTATATAATTTCTTTATAAGTCAGTAATAATTGTCATAACCTATAAACTAATACATATATAAGAATATATACCAAAATATAATTTTTAAAAACATGCTTCTGTAGTGCCTCTTTTCTCAGCTGTGATTACAATATCAGTGTGTTCCTTTTAAGTGATGGATAGAGGAATTATTTTTCACATTTGTTGGGCGAAGTGAGTTTTGCACCTCTAGCAATATTTTATTTTAATATAATCATGTCATTGCTGTGAAGAGGTATAAAGTTTGCTCTTTTTATGATTTAAGGGAAGTTGTTTTCTAAAACTCAGGCATTGTAGTGCATCTGCTATAATTACAGTTCCACAATTATAGTTTAATAAGCTGTGAAACACCTACAGGTCCTACACATGGTAATTTTTGTGACAGCACAGACAGTGGGTAGACACTGTCATATGTACTTACAGGATTCAAAACTGTGGCAAGTGTTTTGATGGTTCATATTAGTAATGGTTGACTGCACACATATCTCATACATTTAAAAATATTTAAAACCTGATTAAAAGCTATCCAACTGAATTTTCATCTTCCAGACAAATAAATGACAGGGTATTCCTCATTTTTGAGTTCCCTGAAGCGCCCTCTTCTCATGGTTTTTGAACTCCAAAGCAGAAATTATTTCTCTTTTTTTATTCAAAGTAAGAAAATCTCTTTGCCCTCTTATGGACTTAAAATTTATTGACTTAACCATTTGAATAAATACATTTGGGCAAGAAATTTGAACTCTTAAAACTCTGTTTCCTGTCTTGTAAAAGTATAATTATATAAATATTATGGGATTAGTTTAAGAATATGTGAATTAAAGATTGTAAAATAATTAACAAGGCAGAGTAAAGTGGCTCAGTATTATTTGTGCTCCTGATGGCATCTCAGCATACCTGCTCACTGTTTCCAGTATGCCCACCTCACTTGCTTTGGCTTTTTGTTTGTTTGTTTGAGACAAAGTTTTGCTCTTTGTGCCAGGCTGGAGTGCAATGGCATGATCTCGGCTCACTGCAACCTCTGCCTCCTGGGTTCAAGCAATTCTGCTGCCTCATCCTCCCAAGCAGCTGGGATTACAGGCGCCCACCACCATGCCCAGCTAATTTTTGTATTTTTAGTACAAACAAGAGTTTCACCATGTAGGCCAGGCTGGTCTCGAACTCCTGACCTCAGGTGATCCCCCTGCCTCAGCCTCCCAAAGTGCTGGGATTACAGGCGTGAGCCACCACGCCCGTCCTTGCTTTTGCTTTTGCTTATCCTATTACCTTACTTATGTACAATAATGTCATGTATGTGAGTCTGTGTGTTTTTTAAAATGGCAATAATACCAGTTATTACGTAGGTATACTTTTAGCTGCTCTGTCGATTCCACCTAGAAGATAGCTCTCTAGACAACTGCCAGATAAATATAATGGTATCCACTGTGTATATGACATAGTCCACTTCATTCACTTGCACATAAATGGCTAGCTGTTGACCAAGGCAATGGCTCAGAAAATCCATGCCATCACAGATTCTGGGTCTTTGTAAATCTAGATAAAGTACTTGAAAGAAGGCTTGGGAATTAGTGACTGAATGTTTGTGAACATGTTGGGTTTTATGCTCTCTTCACGTCCCATAGAAACAGGACAGTTTCTGTATGTGTTCCATCTACTATTCATGGGGAGTTATTTCAAGCAGTCATGTCAGCTGAGACAAGAGCACGAAGGAAGTGCCTCAGGAGTGAATGTTTTAGAGTTTGTTTAGACTAAACAAGTCTGCAGATGCAAACATTTGCTTGCATCCGTCAGAAGCTCCAACACCCTGAATCTCAAAGGAAAGTCAAAATATTCCATACAAATTAGTAGAAAAAAAGTTTTGTTTTGTTTTTTTAAAAAAACCCTCACTAGTAGGTTTAGATAATGTCAAATTTCCTTCCATGGTGAGAAGGCCTCTGTGTCCCTGCACTCTTTTTACTGACATCTCATGGGTGAGGGCACAGAGGACATGAGCTCCTGATTATTGACAGGGATTTACTGCATGGGACACAGAGCAGGAAGAAGTGGAGAGCACGCCAACTTCGGCTCCATGAGTTCGTGTAGATCACTAACAGGCAAAGTTCTCTACCCAACAGGACAGTAGGGATATTCCTTTATTTGTTATATTCTCTTTCAGCCTAACAGCCATTTCTTCTTTGGAAATTTATAGAATGTTTGCTTGTTAGTTTTCAATTTAGAAAATGAAACTTTCACTTTAGGGAACTAAGATCAATCTCCATATGAACTATTATAAATTACGTGAATCTGTATCCATTCTCTTTCAGCTAAAAGAGAAACTCCTATGACATAAATGTTATCTCAGTTTTTCTCCACCTTTCTATTTCAATCCCTCAGGAAAAATATCTCAAATACTCAAAAACCACTAGAATAGTATTTCCCTAACTTTGCATAGCCTGTGAGTGAAAACTGATGTGAAATGAAATCACCAAGATAAGACTGTTGTAAATAACATGCATAGATAGGCTCGGTTTCTATGACTGAGTATGAAAAACACACTATGTATTTCAAGAGAACAGCTTCAGATGACCCATTTTCTTATCCTGTGGTTTACACTCAAGGAAACAATATTTTTAAGGTGTTTTTCATTAGAATTTTAGGCAAAATCTGATTATAAATACTACGCATGGTTATAGCTGGTAAATCGCATACCTTCAAATTCTGACCTAACATTTAAATTTTCACAAGGGCTGCTGTATTGGTTTGCTCCGGCTGCTGTAACAAAGTACCACTGACTTGGTGGCTTAAACAACAGACATTTATTTTCCCACAGTTACAGAGGCTGCAAGTATAAGATCAAGGTATTGATGGTCATATCCTCCCTGCGTCCTCACGTCATCATCTCCTTGTGGTATTCATGCCCTAATCTCTTCTTATAAGGACACCAGTTGTATTGGATTAGGGCTCATCTATGAGACCTCATTTTAAGGTAGTTACTTCTGTTAAGCCCCTGTCTCCAAACACAGTCACATTCTGAGTTTACCAGGCATTAAACTTTCACATGTGAATTTTGGCAAGACAAAATTCAGCCCATAACAGCTAGCTACAAGTACACAAAATTTAAAATAACAAAACAAGTATTTTGTGTGTAGCCCTTTTCTGGTACCAAGATGACTCATTCATTGCTCGACTTAGCCCCATCTCCGCTGCACTGCTCCTGCCACGGCTCTGCACCTGCAGGTTTGCTGTCCAACATTACTGAAAGTCTGGTTCCCTTGGCCTCATTTCCTATTTTCCATTCTGCATCTTTAGGTGTTGTGTTCATGAGAGGCTTTCTGCTTCTTCTGCTTTCTCTGAGCTGACGTTTTAATGACTTGATATCTCCTTCACATTTTGAGACCAACCTTCTCTAACCTGGCTATAGTATCATTGAAAAGAGTGAGAGACCAGAAGAATAAGAAAAGATGATATGAGATCTTTTCCCAGATTCAGGCAAGGTTGGTTCCTGTAATGAACGTTTTGAAAGGTTTCCATATTATGCACCTTTATACAAGTAGCTGGATTTATAAGGCACTATTTTAAAAAATGTGTGGCAGTCATTCTGATTGTTTTGATGCAAGATAACCAGGCATATGAATGGGGTTCTGGTTGATTTGTCTGGATAGTTAGATATTGTGTAAAGAGTTTAATCAACTCTATTTCTCAGATACACTGTAAATATTTAGATTTTAAAAGTTTGAGCTATTTGATTCATAGAAGGCAGTATTACCTTTTAGTTTATGTGCACTGATTTTTTAATCACACAGAAGTATGCTTTATTTTTCAAAACCTAAGTAAAGGTGTAATGTAATACAACTTGGTACAACTGTAACTTCCATTTCTAGGGAAGTATTTCTGTTAAGGTAATTGATGGTTATACCAATGCCAACATGTATCTCTTATGAAAGAATTAAATAAGAGAGGGCAGTAATTTTCTGGAAAGGCTCTGGCCTCATCATTTAAATATTGTGACTTTCTCTCTGCATGAAAATATCTCCATAAGAATTCTTCCATACGTGCTTCAAAATTACCGACAATCTCTGAACCAACTACATTTTTTTCAATGAATTTGATCAAGGTCCAGCACAAATTCTGCCCCATTAGGAGGGTTTGAACATGACTTGAAACACAAAATTCCCTCTATCATTTGATTTCTATTACATTTTCTAATAGCACTTTTCAGTTTAACATTCCTAAGCTATTATTATTCTCTAAATGATCAATGTTTTATTGTTACATTTTCCCCAAAGAGAAGCAGTTGTCATATTTGTAGAAACCCAAACTGCACTCCAAGTCCATAAAACTTGTTCCATAAATACCTGTTCATTGCCTGATTAAATCATATGATTTTAACTAAAGCTACTTTGCCTTGTAATTATGCTTTATTTATTCCATTATGAAGATGAGTTCTAATTTTCTCATTGAATAATGGAGATATATTTCCTAGGAAATGATCAGGGAACAGATTGGAATACAAGGTGATGCCTGTGGGGAAGAAAAACTGCCTTTGAGAAGTGCTCAGTCAAATAATCTGCCCAGAGTTGAGCAAGAGATGATAGCATTATTCAAGTTGTTTCTTGCAGAAAAAAGAGAGTTGCATTTTTTAAAGCCCTCATGGTCTTCCAGTCAGTATGAGGTACTTAAGTGTGTAATCCCTTGTAAAGCTGATGAACATTATAAAATTTATGGTTGAAGCGTGAGGACTTATTCACATAATATTTATGCCTTCATATTTGGATTTTTGAAAATCTGGAATACAATAGAGATTCTGCAAATTAACCACTTAGCCTGTAAGTAGCAAATAATTAATCCATCTGAGGACTTGATATCTTTATATATTTTGTAAATTTGACTTTCATTTGAGAATCTATGGGATAAATTATTTTAAATATCCTCCTGGAAGTATCTGGAAAACAAAAACAGGACTAAACAAAACAATGACCCTATAATCTAACTAAAGATCATGATCTCCTCTAAGTGATCTTTTACTGATACACAACATCTCTAAAACATCAAATTTATCAAATTGTATTCTAAATTGGTATTTTGACTAAAAGTTTTGGAAGTATGTCAAACCAAGTTGAATTCAAGGAAGAAAGCTTTGAAAGATGTATTAATGGTTGTCTTAATATGATTAAAGACACAGCTACAATTAACTTATATCATCCATGACCCACTAACATGTCAAATAAGCTCCCATTGAAGTACACAAGCAATGATATACACAACGAAAATGTCAGCAAAACAATGTTACATGAAAAGTAACCAAAACAGAAAATGTAAAACCAATAGCCCTATTGTCTATAGTAGCAAAGATAAAATGTATCATTTTCTTTGTTTTTTGTCTGAATTAGTCAGCAGACAATAAATACCAATAAAGAAAAGCCTAGCTTATTTCTACCTAATATATAAGAGCTTAAAAGTTCTAGAAGAAAATATTTATACAGCAAATTGTGTAGCCTTGGGGAGAGACAGGCCTTGCCATGTGGGACATTAAAAGAAGAAAGCTTGCAGGAAAATGATACAATGATTCAAGTAAATGAGATTTATAAAAGTTTGCATTGTGAAAAAATAACAATTAAAAGATACACTTAGAAATATGGATAATTGGTATGACAGACAAATGGTGAATAAACTTAATATCTTTGAAGTTAGCAATTATAGGAAAAAATTTTACAGAATTTGAGGAAAGGTCATCAATGGTTAATTGAGAAAATAATTGTATATCATTAATAGACATAAGAAAACACATTCAAAATTTCTACTCTTCCAAACCTGGGTTATGTCAGAGTGTCCCCCATATATGTCTAGGGAAGGTCCCATGGTCCACCCTTGGCAATAGGCTCTTAAGGCTTCCACGGCCTCAGAGTCATTGCCTGAGGTTGCTGCAAGGGTCAGTCACTGGTCCATCTAGATGGCAGATACGAGATGACCTCGATATTAAAAAATACCTTGGAACAGCAGGCTCCAGAAAAAGCATTATTGATTTCTTAAAATAAACTCCCAACTTATTTTGTAGCACAATATTCCTCCACGTTTTTCATTCAGGAGTCCCACCAGTGTATTCATCTAAGTCTTGTAGTTGAGGAACCCATCTAACTTGGCCTGAGTGTTTCCCACGCACGAGTGAAGGACTTTCCCTGGGCATTGCCCCAGGGACATCCTTGGGATAAGGTAAATGCCTGTTAGAGGCAAGTCTGGAAAGAGCTCCTCCAGTCACAGCAAAAGACCAAGTGAACATTGACTTACATTGCCCCATGTACACTTCCATAAGAGCTGTCTAGTGACAGGCGAAAGCATCATCCATGTTGCCCTTCAACAGCCAGGAGTTGCTAACACTCAGCTTACCCAGTAACAGAAGGAACTTCTCCAACATTGTTGGGAGGAGGGGTTTTGTTGAATAGCAATTACAGGAAGTGACATGTGCTGAGGACATAGTACTTTATCTCAGCTATGCAGGTATCAGGCATAGAGCAGGCTACTTTCTCATTCAGCATCCACTCTGTCTTAGGAAGACATACACACCATCATGTATGTTGTGGAGATAAACACATGATTTCCATTTCTGTTACTGTTCATTAATTAGAAATTTATAGAACAGGTTTCTTTTTTTGCTTTTTGAGATGCTAAGTATTTTAATATGATGCTGTCTTCAAAAAGGCAGTGTCAATGAGTGTGCGTGGGCACATAAATGTAGCCTGAATTGCGCACAAACCTACATGAGTGTATTAGTTCGTTTTCACCCCGCTAGGGGAATTTATAAAGGAAAGAGGTTTAATTGACTCATGGTTCCACAGGGCTGGGGAAGCTGCAGGAAACTTGTAATCATGGTGGAAGGGGAAGCAAACACATCCTTCTTCACATAGTGGCAGGAGACAGAAGAGTGAGAGCTGAGCGAAGAGGGAAGCCCTTTATAAAACCATCACATCTTGTGAGAACTTACTATCATGAGAACAGCATGGGGGAACCGCCCCCATGATTCAGTTATTTCCCACCAGTCCCTCCCACTACACATGGGGATTATAGGAACTGCAATTCAAGATGAGATTTGAGACAAAGACTAACCATATCAGTGAGCAAACAGCACTCTACCAAAACACTTCGTTTCAGATGCAGATGCTCTATAACTTAATGTTTATAATGTTCAACACAAAGTTATTTAAAAAGGCCCAATTCAATATTAGCTCAAGGATATATGTGTTTTACTCTTTACTTGAAAAGGGAGGTGAAGACTAAATGCAATATCATAGGTTTAAAGAATTACAAATATTTGTTGTAAAATGCTTCTGTACCCTACTACTTTGAAATATAATCTCAGAACAGTAATATACAAGCAATAAAAACTTTCCATAAGTCTGCTGAATATTGACAACAAATGCTTTTTTTATCGTCATTTTGCAGTAGGAACAAAATAAAACATAAGTCTTAAATAAATTGAGTACATATACATTCCTCTTTTCCTGAATTTTCTTTTCTTTTCTTTTCTTTTTGAGAGGGAGTCTTGCTCTGTCGCCCAGCCTGGAGTGCAGTGGTGCAATCTCAGCTCACTGCAAGCTCCACCTCCCAGGTTCACACCATTCTCCTGCTTCAGCCTCCCAAGTAGCTGGGACTACAGGCACCCACCACCACGCCAGGCTAATTTTTTGTATTTTTAGTAGAGATGGGGTTTCATTGTGTTAGCCAGGATGGTCTCAATCTCCTGACCTTGTGATCCGCCCACCTCAGCCTCCCAAAGTGCTGGGATTACAGGCGTGAGCCACCACAACCAGCTTTTCCTTCATTTTCAATGTTAAGTCTAAAGCACATTTTTGAAAGAGACCACATTTGCTCAACCATAACACACACGCATACACACACACACATATATATACACATACACACGTATATTCACTTTACATATCTATGCTCAATATTACATATTAATTACTGTATAGAGTATAAAATACAGCTTATATTATTAAATTTTGATTAAAGACCATAATTTAACCACAATACTCACTTGCTGACTTTCTATTTCATTCATTTGCAAATGGAGAATAAGTGATTCAATTATTAACCTATAAAGTTGCTGTGTAACCTGCAAAATTTTTCAAAAAACAAAATATTTCAAGAATTGTTGATATGAATTTTGTAGATTTTGATCAGATAAAAAATGTGATACTTGTTTGTATTAACTACACTTAATTATTTCATTACGTTTTTAGAGATATTTTTCTATATATATTTAAACTATAAATAATATATAATTAAACTAAAAGACTGTCTTGGAAAAATGGAATTCTCTGGGCTGTATTTGAAAATTCAGGCTGCAGAAAAGGAGCTCAAAAAGTGGACATTATGAATCACTTTAGCAAAACTTCAAAACATTTTCATTAGACGTTCTATATGTTCAATATTAAAAGCAAAACAATGGGTGAACAATTACTATTTAGGGAAAATGGATACATTAGTTTAGATTAAGGTAGGCTCAAGATAGGAAAATAAAACCTAAACAATTATTTTGGTCACTCATACTTTGAAGTCCCTGTGTTACCTCATGGACAATATATTTTGAGAATTCCAATTTAAATTAAAATATTTGAATATCTTAATTTAATAGAAACAAAAATAGCAAATTATTAAGTTGAGCCCACTTTTATTCAGCTTAAGGATTTAAATATGTTCTGCTTATTTTATTCAGTACTTTCTTTAAAAGAAAAGGTTTAAGAAAATGTTTAGTATTCTGGAAACAGATAACTATCTTTAATTCTTTAATTTATCCTATTATTTAATTACAACAATATTTTGCTCACAAATGTGCTTGAACAAGTTCTCCTTCCATATTCAGTTGGATATTTTATTAATTTATAACTGATTTGTTGAACATGATAAACTCACTGGCCAGTTATAATGCAGTACTCTCTCTCTCTCTCTCTCTGTCTCTTGTGGTGCACGCATTGTCACTTTAAATTGTATTCAATAGAGATATTCTTTCTCTGCCTCTAGGCATGTTCTAACAGATCCCATTACTTTTTTGCTGATTTTGCTAATAGACAATCTCATGGCTACTTTTACATCACAAGTGTTTTGGTTCATTAACAAAACTGTCCACTGCTCTGAAACTCACAAGACTTCATGCCTGTCTTATGGTTAAGTCTCATTCTCACAGGCAACCCATGCGGAGGAGGCCAGGCTCTCTGCTGTCTCCTCTCACGAGTACCTTCTCCGCCCTTGCTTGTAACTGCTGTCCAGGGTCAAAGCTGGCAGAGTGAGGAAACATAGGAACATCATTGCTCTCATCAGAATTGATGACTGATGGTTATGGTTCCAGCAAAGATAGAGTAGCTCCATTGCTGCCAGCTCCTCCCTCTTAAAACTAAAATACCTGTGTATAACACAACAAACAAGCATGAAAAAATCTGAAAAGTGAAAAGAAAAGAAGGAGGACCTCTTCAGGACCTCAGGAAATGAGGAAAGATA
Source organism: Homo sapiens (assembly GCF_000001405.40). Lineage (NCBI taxonomy): Eukaryota > Metazoa > Chordata > Mammalia > Primates > Hominidae > Homo > Homo sapiens. Next base: position 52,549,735 of record NC_000007.14, on the reverse strand, counting down.
CCATGATGACCCCTTTGTGTTTCCTTATTGCCTCCTTTATCTTGGACAGTACTCTACAGAGCCTGGGGCCACCAACAGGCACAAACAAAAACTGGTCCAAGAACAGTCTGTTGTCCCTAGCCAAAGAACAGGGAAGAGGGTGGACCAACAAAATAGAAACCTTTCTGGCAATACCTCACAGATTCCCATCAAAGCAGGAGAGTCACAATTTGAATGAAATAAAACAGTCAAAAGACACCAATACCAAGATTAATTAGATGTTGGAATTATCAGATGAAGACTTGTAAACAGCCAACATAAAAATGCTTCATTAAGCCGTTACTAGTGGCCATGAAACCTATGAGGGAAAAAAAAACTCAGCAAAAAATAATAAATTAGAAGAAAGAAATGGAAGTTATAAAACATAAAAATAAAATTATTAAAATTAAAATTAGAAAACTTAATAGATGGTTGCTATAGCACAGTGAAGAAGACACAAGATACAATCAGTGAATTTGAAAATAGGAAAGAGGATTTATCCAATATGAACAACAGAAAGAAAACACAATAAGAAACAGAGTTTTATGGACTTTGGGACAAAGCTAAAGAATTAACATTTGCATAATGAAAGTCCAAGGAAACAAGGAAAGAAGATAATTGAAAATGTTCCTTCAAATTATGGCTAAAATTTTTCCAAAGGAGAAAAAAGGTATAAACCTGTGGATTCAAGAACCTGACTGAACCACAAATAGCATAAACCCAACACATTCAGGCCAAGAAGCATCACAGTTGAACTTTCTAAAGATAAAAGGCAACAAAATGACTTAAAAGTAGCCAGAGAGAAACACCAATTCAAATTTCATACTTGAAACAGTGGAGACCAGCTGGAAGTGTCACACCATTTTGCAGAAGTAAACAAAAGAGAACTGAAGCGGGTATGCTAATATCAGACAAAATGGACTTTAAAACAAAAATGTTACTAAACAAGGACATTTTATAATGCCATGAGAGTGTCAACCCATTAATAAGATATAGCAAGGCATAAAGAGAAACTAATGCAATTTTCTGAAGGAAGAAATATAGAATTAAAAAAAATTGTATTACTTCAAACCACACTTTCGTAATGGGTAGGTAATTATACAGATCAATGAGGAAATAGAAAATTTGAATAACATTATAAACTAACAACCACTTATTGAGCATTCCACCCAAAAATAACAGAACACACATTCTTCTCACCTGTATATTAAATACTCTCACAGATAGGCTGTATGCTATACCATAAAACAAGTCTCAATGGATTTAAAATAATTGATATTTTACAAAGTATATTTTCTGATCACAACTGAATGAGAAATCAATAACAAAATTTGAAAAGTCCACAAATACGTGAAAATTAAATAATACTATTCTAAATAGCAAATAGGACAAAGAAAAAGTTACACAGGAAATTAGAAAATTCTTTGAGATAAATGAACGTGAAGTAGTGAAGGTAGAAAAGTACTATCTTCATTCAGATAAAGCAATGCTTAGAAGAAAATTTGTAGCTATAAACAACAATATTACGAAAGATGGAAAGTCTCAGATCAATCACCTAAGCTTCTTCCATTAGACACTAGAAATCTAAGAGCAAACTAAACACAATTATTCAACAAAAGGTAATAATAAAGATTAGAATAGAAATTAGTATTTTTAAGATAGTAAAACAGTAGAAGAAATCAAAAAAACCAAAAATTGGGTCTTTGAAAAGATCAACAAAATTGAAAAGCCTTTATCAAAACTGACCAAAAAAATAGAAGACTAATATTATTAAAATCAGAAATACAAGAGAGTCTTTAACATGAACCATAGAGAAAATTAAAAATGATGACTTTAAAAGTGGCAAGGATAATTGTAGGAGATGGGTCAGAGTGGTGGGAGAAACTAAAGGGAAAGGAGCAGGACTTCTGAAAGGTTGGAAGGCTCTGCATAGCTTCAGGGGAGAATAAGCTGAAGGCAGCTGCTCTCTGACCCTGAGGCAGAGGGCAAGGAGTAGGTACGAGGAAGTATAGGGGAATTTTTCATAAACAGGCTTGTTTACTTATGTTAACCAGGAGCTGACTTTTGATCATCCGAGCTCCTGACTGCTCCCTGAATAGGGGAACAATAATGTTAATTACCCACAGATTGTGTTGGCTCCAGGCTTTCGGCATTATGTCTGTACTGAATAAAAGCAAGCAGCTCCAGCTGTTCAGGACTGCTCATTCTTCCACCGCTAAGTGCTGGACAGTCCCCTAGCTGCTCTCGTACTGCATACGTGTGTCTGAGTACGCCTTTCATACCTCACTCAGACACCGTCTGTGGGACAGACCCAGCAGGTAATTGTATGTCAGAAATTTAGATAATCTACAAAAAAATAAATAAATTCCAAGAGTGACATAAACTGATAAAAATGACTTAAGAAAAAATAGAAAATCTAAATAGGTCAATAAGTAAAAAAGGTGTTAAATTAACAATTAAATATCTTTCCACAAAGGGAAGCCCAAACCCAAATAATTTCACTAATGAATTGTACCAAATAGTTAAAGAAGATTAAATACTAATTATTTACAAAATTTTCCTAACCAGATAAAAACATCACATGAAAGCTTCAGACAAACATCTCTTCTATATAAAGATGTACATGTCCTCAGTGCAATACTAGCAAACTGATTCAAAGCACATTAAAGAAAGGATTATACACCATGACCAAGTGAAATTCATCCCAGGAAGTAAAGTTTGTTTAACATCCAAAAGCCAATTAACATAAAACACAATAGCAATAGAAAAATTAAATAACAAAATAATCAAAACAACAAAATAAAGGGCAAAGAGCACATGATCATCTCAGTATACAGGAGGAGAATTTGACCAAATCCAATGCTGCTTTATGATAAAAACAACCTGGTAGAGAATCTATAAAAAGCCTTCAACTACCATCATACTTAATGGTGAAAAACTCTATTAATTTATTCTAATGTCACAAAAAATACAATATGCCCACTCTCACCTCTTCTTTTTAACATTGAACTGGAGGTTTCAGTCAGGGCACCAGGACAGGAAAACGAAACAAAAGGCATCCACATGGTAAAGGAAGACACGAAATGACCTGTATTCACAAGTAACATGATCTTATATAGAAAGTACATGCACCTGTAGTCCCAGCTACTCAGGAGACTGAGGCAGGAGAATCGCTTGAACCCAGGAGGCAGAGGTTGCAGTGAGCTGAGATCGTGCCATTATGCCCAGCCTGGGTGTCTCAGGGAGATATCATCTTAAAAAAAAAAAAAGTAATTCATAAGGTAGAGGAACACAAGATACTATGATAGCAATAAAAAATCCAAATATGAAATTAAGAAAACAATTCCATTCAAAATAGCATCAAAACCAATAAATTACTTTGGAGTGAATTTACAAAAGAAGTCCAAGACTTTACCCTGAAAACTACAAAACATTGTTGAATTAAAGAAAACCTAAATTAATGGAAAGATAGCCAATATTCATAGATTAGAAAATGTAATATTGTTAAGTTGGCAATATTCAGGTAAATAATCTACAGGTTAAATAGAATATCTAAGTTTTAGTTACTCCCTTTACAGAAATTGACAAGCTGCTCCCAAAATTAATATGGAAATGCAAGGGACCTGAAATGTCACAACAGTTTTGAAAAAAACACAATGTTCCAGGGCAAACACTTTTCAATTTCAAAAGTTAGCACAAAGCTACATAATTTTAAAATGTTCAGTTAAAGCTAAAAATTGAGAAAAAAACATGAATAAGAATAAAATAATTTGGAAAAAAAGAAAAAATAATAATGTGACACTGGTATAAATGTGGATGTTTAGATAATTGAAATAGAATTGAGAATCTAAAAATAAACTCATACATTTATGGACAGCTGATTTTCAACGATAAAGCCAAGATTATTTTTTCTCCATTGAATGGTCTTGGTACACTGGTGGGATTTTTTGCTAAAATCTGGGCTCAGCAAGGACTTGCAGGAGGCAAGGCCCAAAGGCCTCATTGAAAAGAAGCCTCAGAGAAGCCTGACTAAAGTGTGGTCAAAGAGAGAGTTCAATCAAATTCAGTCATTACAATTATTAAATTATTCAAGTTATTCAAGTATTTCAATTACAGAGTGACTAAACAAGTAGATTCTATTAGGCTACAAAGCATTTAAATTTTTTTTTGATTTAAGTCATACAGTAGATTCTACTTTTGCTTTGTAATATTGTGAGAGTATTTTTTTCTTTATGCATGCAAACATATACAGAGTAAGACATTTTACAGGCACATGAAGATTTCACTGAGATAAATTTATAAAATTTCTCTTCCCTATTATAGCCAGGAGGTTTCTCAATTTTCACTTTCATCTTGTCAACTTGGCCTGTAAGAGTTATATCAGACTTTGTTATTCTTTATATTACACAAGTGGTCAAGTGATGTCTTTGTCTTATTTCTTACAACTGGATGTGAAACTACTATTATCTCAGAAATAACTTTTAAATAACAGCAACAATAATTGCACGTTGTATTCAACACATTTAAGGTGATTAAATGTGATTGCAGGATTATGGTACTATAATGCCGATAACAATTTTAATCAAATTTTGGAACCTGTGGTGGAGTCAGGACACTGTTTTCATTTTATGTTTGTTCTTCGTGGCAAGTAACATGTATTTTTGTCTCAAGTTCATATAAAAAGCCCTTCTGGGTTTATTTCTGTCTATTTTGCATGTTTATTCTTCCTATGCCTGATCCAAGAAAAGTTTTAAGCAGCACAAAATAAAAGGCAATTGCATAATGAAAAAAATATGGAAACAGAGAACAGATCAATGGTTGGCAAGGGTAAGGGGAGGGGCTCCATGAGGAATTTTGGTGTGCCGCAATTGTTCTTATCCTTTCTTTGGTGTTATTGACACAAATCTCTGCATTTGTAACGCTTAATAGAACTGTGTGCCAAAAACATAATTTTTCCTGCATATAAATGACAAAATTTTCTTAAAACATTGAAAAGATATAATAGAAATCTGGAAAAACAATCCCCAAAAATGAGCATATTATAAATCTAGGATAATTCTATTGAGTTCTGTTTTAAGGAATTGTGTACAAGGTACATATGGAATCGAAGTCAGCATGTTTTCACACTATAGAACTCTGTGACTGAAGTCAAGGTCAAAAATGCTGTCATCGGTCATGGAAAGTTTTCCAAATTTTCCTGAATTATAATTTATCAAATAATCCAGTTAAGTCGCTTAGCATATAATTATATGAAGTCATGTAATTATGGGTACATGAGAAATGTTTTTTTGTATCAACAAAGGATTTTAAAATATAAATGACAAATCACACGTTCAGGAATAACAACTTCCCTCTCTGACGACCATACATAATTTTGTTAAATTGAATTAAAACTTTGAGGAAATATATTTATGTCCTTGAAATTAAGCTGAATGACTATAAATCATTTAGCAAAGGTGTTTTCCTATAGCTAAAGTCCTCCTCTGATCGAATAGGAGCAAGACCTTTCCTATACGCCAGCCAAGGCCCGAGTGAGAACATTCACATGGGCAAGGGCCCTTCCATGGTCCTCTTCAGCCCTGGGACTTTCAATTATAATCAGAGCCAAACTGAAACACAAGTAGTAGGTACCTGCCTGGCTGCTGGCTATCTTCAGCAGAAAATATTTAAACACTTATTTTAAATAAACGAAGCTCTCCTCACAGTAGAAGTATTGAGCAGGACTGCTACAGTAATTAATCAAAACTTTGCCCAAGAAAAAAGTCCTTATATTAACTATTCATCTTCTCACACACTTTAGAAATGTCTTTCTACAACAAAAAGTTGGGGTTTATGGCTCATTTTTTGTAGATTTTTAAAATTGAGATAAAACGCTCATTTATTTTAAAGTAATTTTCATTTGATATGTTGATATTAGAATAAATACATGTCCATTATAATGAATTTAGAATATACAAAGAAGAATAAAAATACTTTAAATATTCTTAATCCCTTCGATAGAGAGATAATGTCTCTTAACATTTCTGCATTTTAATTTAATAAAACTTTGTAACCTGTATTACGATTTAAAAATCTATTGTGAATATTTTCCCTTGTCAGTATATGTTCTTATAAAAGGCAGTTCTAACAAGATTCTAGATGCTAGAGCTTACAGCCAGTGTTAAAATCTTGCTACTTTTATTTATTAGCTTCATACATTGGCCAACTTACTTAACCTCTCTAGGTTAACTTCACTTGCCAGGTCTGTAAAACAGGGATGAGTATCATAACTCTGCAAAACCAATTTGACTGGCATAAGTCTTGGTTTTCCTGGTAAATAATGTTAGCTGCCAGATTGTGGTGCACATGAGTGATCCAATACCCATGATTTCAATTTTTGGTTAAAATAAGAGCAAATCTCAGTCTGAGTGCATCTGCACAGTATATACAGGTGTATGCTATTGCCAAGTAGACATAAACAATTCATATAACCTAATGCATACATATTGCAAAGTGCCAACTCTGTCTTTTCATGTGCTACAACCACAATCTTGCACAAAAGATAATGGAAATACTATCCACAATACTCCAGATTCTGTTTTCCTTGGATTCAGCATCAATGAAGCAGAAATCTTCTGACCTGTTATCTAGATAGGTCCTGTAATGTTGAATTTTATTTATCCACTTGGCTTGGCCACTCTGACCAGATATTTGGTCAAAAATTTTTCTGGATGTTTCTCTGAAAATGTTTTTGAATGAGATTAACATTTAAATACACTTTGAGTAAAGCAGATTACCCTCCAGTGTGTAAGTGGGCTTCATCCAATCAGGTGAAGGCCTGTCTAGAACCAAGGCTGGACTACCCCTGAGCCAAGAGAAATTCTGCCAGCAGATGGCCTCTGGACTCCGACATCAACTCTTCCCCGGTTCTCCAGCCTTCAGGACCATCCTGCTGGTTTTGGATCTGCCAAGCCTCCACAATTGAATAAACTAATTTCTTAATAAATCTCTCTATCTCTCTCTCCCACTCTATCTATCTATCTATCATCTATCTATCTATCTATCTATCTATCTATCTATCTACCTACCTACTTACCTACGTAACATCTATATCTGGTTCATGATTGGTTCTCTGGAGAACCCTGACTAATACGGACCCCAGACTGAGGGGACAGACAGATATTAGGCCTTACTATCTTACTAGTTTCTTATACTCTACTCATGTAATGGCGAAGAACATTTTTGTCCAATTCTCATAACTGGAGTGTCATAAAGTTACTACTAAGATCACCAATTCAAACATTCATTGGGCTGATAACCACAAAAATTCTACTTCTCACAGTCAGTTCATTAACTAGTAAATCCTGGTGTTGACCAAGGTAAGGAAAGCTGAGCAACTTGTAACAACCACACCCTGATGTAGTAATTTTCATCATTTTCGTGGGCATTTCCAGCACTTTCAATCAAGATTTCTGGTGTAGGAAGAGAACTGAGCCCTAGGAGTATGGTTTAATTTAAGGAAAATTCTTTTTTATATCATGTCCATATAAAGTTTTAAAGGTAGTTTACAGAAAAATAAATAACGATAGCACATCTTGTACAACGTTATTAAAAGGATGAATGAGTTAGGAGATAAAATCCTTAGGCCAGGTGTTTCGGAAGTCAGGGATCCCAAATGGAGGGACTGGCTGAAGCCACGGCAGAAGAACATAAATTGTGAGGATTTCATGGACATTTATCACTTCCCCAATCAATACTCTTATAATTTCCTATGCCTGTCTTTACTTTAATCTCTTAACCCTGTTATCTTCCTAAACTGAGGATGTATGTTGCCTCATGACCATGTGATGATTGTGTTAACTGCACAAATTGTTCATAAAGCGTGTATGTTTGAACAATATGAAATCTGGGCACCTTGAAAAAAGAACAGGATAACAGAGATGTTCAGGGAACAAAGGAGATAACCATTAGGTCTGACTGTCTGGGAGCCAGGCAGGACAGAGTCATATTTCTCTTATTACCAAAAACGGGTAAGAAAAATATCACTGAATTCTTTCCCCAGTAAGGAATATTAATAATTAACAGCCCTGGGAAAAGAATGCATTCCCAGGGTGGGGGCCTCTAAAATGGCTGCTCTGGTAGTGTCTGTCTTATGTAGTTGTAGATAAGGATGAAACACACCCGGGTCTCCTGCAGTGCCCCCAGGCTTGCTAGGATTAGGAAATTCCAGCCTGGCGAATTCTAGTCAGACCGGTTCTCTGCTCTTGAACCCTGTTTCCTGTTAAGATGTTTATCAATGACAATGCATGCACAGTGGGACATGAAACTTCATCAGCAATTCTACTTTCACCCTGGCCTTGTGACCTTGCCCTTCCCATTTGCCTTGTGATATTTTATTGCCTTTGAAGCATGTGATCTCTGTGACCCACACCCTATTCATACACTCCCTCCCCTTTGAAAATTGCTAATAACAACTTGCTGGTTTTGCAGCTCAGGGGGCGTCATGGAAGCTGCTGACCTGTGATGTCTCCCCCAGACACCCAGCTTTAAAATTTCTCTCTTTTGTACTCTTTCCCTTTATTTCTCAGACCAGTCGACACTTCGGGAAAATAGAAAAGAACCTACGTTGAAATACTGGGGGCTGGTTCCCCCAATACCAAGGGTCTGGCATGTAGGAAGCAGTTAGTCAATATTAGCACTGATTGTATTTCTCAACTACATGGACATGTCATCAGTTATTTAAACAACCAACTTCCTACATAAGAAAATATTCTTAACAAAAAGCACTAAGGATGATGAGACTATAAGGCTATGTTTCCTATTAGCACTTGGTAATTTAGATTTTAAAATCATAAGGGATATATGTGATTATCAGTGGAGTGCTTCTCTTTTTAAGAAGAAAAGAGAATCATTCTATAGAATGACATTCAACCACAAGATGTAGGATCAGGAGGCATTTGCTACTTTTCTACGCTAGTTTGTATTATTACTACTTTTCCGTGATTACTCTTTTTCTTAGATAAATCATAGCATAGCAGTTAACTGGGATACATTTAAATTCAGAATATGTAGCTCACGTGGAATGCTGTGAGGACTAAGAAATCAATTTTGACAGTTTGGGGAAATCTCGGGAATATATTGCATTAAAAAATGTTTCATTAATTAAATTAATTCATGTTCTAATGTCATAGAATTACCTTTCAAAAAATATAAAAATGTTAATAGTACTCTTTTTCTTAGACTTGAACTTGTTACTTTAAATTAAATTTGGCCTAAAGCTACCATCATACATAGTAAACTGCATCTTTAATATGTAAACAACGTTCTACCTAATGTAAGAGTATATTCTTATAACAAGTAGCTGAGTCTCAGCCAATCACAGCAGCTGAGCTTCAGCCAATCACAGGCTGCTAACTGATCAGGCCTTATCCATATGAAGCCACTGCCTCACCACAACATGCCCTCATCAGGCAAGTGCTGAATCATAACCAATCAAGCCTTTCTGCATCACACTTTTTTTTTTTTTGTCTGTAAATACTGCCTGCCCATGTGAAAGGGTGGAGCTGTCTGAAGCTCTCCTGGTTCTCAGTGCTGCCTGACTTATGAATCATTCTTTGCTCAGATAAATTTTGCTAAATTTAATTTGTCTAAAGTTTCCAGTTAACAGCCTTTAGGACTTATATTTTACGTCTTTGATTTTCATATATGGAAAATTTCCCATATGTAGAAAATTTTTCCATGTTTTCTGCCATAATGGGGGATATTAAGATTTCAGAAACACAACTTTCAGAGAATTTGGCCTCACAATCTATAACTATTGTACAAATCTGCTTTCTCAGATGCCTGTAGGATGTCTGATAGAGCCCTGCCTCGGAATCAGTAACGCCATGGAGAGCTGGCTAGGGTCCTCAACTCCAACTCTTTCTGTTCAAGATGCCCAACTGCCGAATGGAATGGGTCATTGAACCTCTTCATTCTCTCATTCTCAACAGAGCTATTTGTCGCTGCATACTGGATAACAGAATTGGCAGAGATACCATGTTAAACCCAAATCCTTAGATAATCAGAGATCCTCTGTTTCACCCTGCTAAAAATTTCACTGATATTCCAAGTGTGATTGTGCAATGATTTGATAATGGAGACTAAGACAAATATCACTAGTGCTTCCCTGCTGGTGACCCTAACACACAAGGCATCCCACAGAACTGGTTTTTGTTCCCCTCTATGTTTATTTTTTTCTGTGCAGAATTTAATGTTCAACTATACACACGGGCAATTCTATATTTTCATAAATGGGAAATAACTAAAATATGTCTACACCTCTTAATTTGCACTTTAGAATAAAAAGGAATTTTCTGGCAGGCATTACTCCAACTATATGGGCGTCTTTTGGTAGAATGCTTCTCCCTGGCTCCTTTACATAAATGTAAAGGAGAATGGAAATCAGTCTCAAACATTATCTACTATAACAGCGTGTACTTCAAAGGCTATAGTTGCTCAGCAAACTTTTTCAAATTCTCTGGCAGAAGTTGTTTTAGAAAAAGTGATTGCTTTAGACTCTTTTTTGGCTAAAGAGAGGGAGTGCATGCAATACCTCACCTCTGGCTACACTGGGAGAAATATGTCTGATATGGTAGAAACTCAGTTGTGAGAAAACTGGATCATTGTTATTATATTTGGATCATATATTAATCTGATCCTGAAAACCTTGCGACTTAATCCAGATTATATTATTGTAATCTAGATCATTGATAATATATTTGATTTTAACTTTTGACTCTTGAGGACTCCTAATGAGTATATTTTAGTCTCTTAGTAGCATACTCCTGATAGTCATCATAATAGTCACATGGTGTGCCTATCCTCTCAAGAATTTTAAGTGCTCATATGTGGCCATCTGTTATACATTAAATGGTTTTGCTAAGGTTACAGTAATGAAAACATGACAAGAACATACAGGGATTGGATTAGCAATGTATTATAAAGAATAGGCTTAGACAATTATGAAGCCTGGCAAGTCCCAAGCTCTACAGGGTGAGCTGGCAAGCTGGAGACCCAGGAAAGCTGAAGGTGTTGGTGCAGTCTGTGTCCCAAGGCTAAGAACCAGGAGAGCCAATGGTGAAGTTACTGCCTGAATGCCCAAAGACTCATCCCTGGAAGAGCCAATGTTTCTGTTTGAATCTAATGGCAGGAAGAAAGTTGATGTTCCGATTCAAAGGCTGTCATCAAGAAGAATTCTCTCTTCGTGGGAGACAGTCAATCTTTTCGCTCTATTCAGTTCTTCAAATGATTGGATGAGGCCCACCCACATTCAGGACAATCTGCTCTACATAGTCTACCTATTTAAATGTTAATCTCATCCTCAAATACCCTTACAGAAACATCGAGAAAAATATTTGACTAAATATCTGGGCACTTGGTGACCCAATCAACTTGACATAAAATTAGCCATCACAGACACTTACTTACCAACATAAATTTCAGAGTTGGCATTTATTTATTACTCTAAAAACATGCATCAAATGCCTGCTATATCTAATAAATAGTCTGTGCCCTGGATTACATAGCAATATTGTTAGCATTCCACCCAAATCTCTTTGGATTGCTTTTGACCATCCTGTGAATGCCTCCTCTAGTTTTGGGGTCATTTTATTTCTCAAGGCCTGCATGTGCAATTGTCATTAAAGGAAGGTCTGTAGGTTACTGGAGAGATTTTGCAGTTCATGTAAGTAGAGATTCAAAAATGCTTGGAAACTTATCTATTCCCCTTTCCATCTCACCACCATGGTCTTTAGTCAATGTCATGTTTATGTGATAATATGAAAACACAGATCTCTTTCTTTGAGTTGTGCCACACTTTCAGGTAGAATTTACAGCCCAGAGTTCACCAGTGGGAAATGGTTCAGACAGAGACTTTGGCAAAAACTGCATGTTTTCTTGGCTTCTTCTCTTCCCTGGCCACTCTTACTAGCTCGTCCTGTGAGCACTTTCTTATGAAACTTTCTTGAAAGTATTGTTCCTTGAATAAGGAAGATGTGGGTGGTTAACCTTATGGAGCTTCTAAGCAAGGGAAAATAGCATCTTCTGTCTGCTCCCAGCCTAATGTGAGTTTATCAATATTATTTCAGGTCATTTTGGCAGTTATTTGCATTACCTTGCGGAATCTCAACTCAATAAGTAAATATTTCCTACTAATTCATCAGTAAACTAAATTCCCATATTAAGCTTTGTTTCCATCCTATTTTTCTGGGGTTAGTTGAGGACAAGGAGAAGATATTTTTAATTAGAAATTTTCGTTTTTTCTCTTAGAGACCTTAATGTAGCAGTTGCTCAGCCTGTGGAACTGTTAGCCTATGCTGTGCTGCACAAACTCATTAGCACCCAGAAACCCTGCACTCTGACAGGCTGATGTTCCCCAAATAAACTAGAGAACTGCCACGTAAAGATCACCTCTGCTTTACTTTCTCTTCCTTTCTGGCACACTGGAAGTACAAAGTGAATGCCTGTGCATAATCATATTTAAAATAGGTGACATTACCAATTACAGCGTTCTAAATGTCACACAGTTCTTTCCACTCCTCCTCAGCTCCACACTTTAGACGCCTGCTCTCAAAATGTTCTTGTCCTCATAACAATGTGGAAAATAGCTGAGAATCTAGAATGTTAAGAGGTACAAGGGACATTAAAATTTATCCAATTTTACACCTCATTTCACAGTTTGTTGCAGGCATGGGAAAATAAGCCACTGATGGAATTAGATGTCTAACTTTAGTCTTGTGTAAATTATGGAAATTACAGTTTTGCTATATAAAGTGAGTTGTCACAGGCTCACATAGATATAGGGAAATAAAAGTTTCCATGTGACCTTGTCTTGACTTACTGACTTAAAGCTGAGAGTTTAAGGACCAGGCTTATTCCTCCAAAGTTAACATCCAGAGTAAGTCTTAAAGTGGTGTGTGGCACAAATTGGTGTGGAAGAGGTTCAAGGAACTCATCATGAGAAGAATGTGCACTAGGAGTGAAGAAGGCTAAGTAGCAGGGTTTTCAGGACAGACTGGAACCTGATCATGGGTCCATTTCTGCAGAGTAGAACTTCCATTATTAAGTGGGAAGTGGAGATTTTTGACAGCTATGCAGAAAGGAAACAGCATGATCACATTCGTGTTTTAGATCACATTCGTTTCTCACATGTTCTGAGAACTTACAAAGTTCAATGAATTTGAGGTGTTTAACACAGATTAGCATGAAATTTCAGAGGCAGAAGATATTATTTCCAGTTGGCAGAAACCAGGAAAGAACTGTGGATTATTAAAAGGCTCTTATAATGGGCCTTGTAGTTGAAAGGACAAAATTTTGAAATAGCAATTTGAGTAAAGACAGATCTTCTCTGGCTGGCTTGTGGTGTTGAAGAGAAGTGAAGATTCTTGTAAGATGAGTTGATGGCAGGTTTCCTGGCAGCCTACTATATAAACAAGCAAACAAAAATATATGTAATCCTTGAAAAATTAGCATGGAAAGCAGCTATATTATAATAGTAAATTTATAACAGGCAAGGTCACATGTATTGCAGAAACAGCTTTTATTTAATGTCGTACTTTGCTTTCCCCACTCTACGTAATAAGTAAATAAAAACCAAGGTTAATCTTTTCATCCTTTTTGATCTATCATGTAAATATAGGCTGTATTGTTCAATTTTCTCTGTAAAAAATACTAAAGTAAAACCATTCTTCCAATTCTTGATTTCCTGCAAGCCCAATTTGTCTGAAAAGATACCCTAATTTTACCTCAAATATCAGATCAACTAAAAGCCTGTTAACCCCTCTTGGACTCCTTTCAGTCACTGATGGAGTAAGATTCTTTTCCATATTCTCTCCTCAAGAAACAAGCAGGACACACTATTGATTAGTGGAATAATTCCTTAAAAGCACAATGTCATTTTTACCTTTAAATCCCAGCTCCTAGCATATTCCCATAATAAATCAATTAAAGTTAATTCTTAATAAATATACTTGTTAATTATGGGGTAGAGATACTAAACATTAACTGAGTTTTAATGTTTCACACTTTACTATGGCTTGGCTATTTTTCCTCCTGACTGTGAGAACTTCCAGGGCTCTACACTACATTTAATATTATAGTATATAGTTATATACTGAGGATACAGGAATTTCCCAAAATCATCACACACTACCCATCTTTTCAAATCACATAATATTTTACTCTACAGAAGCAAATCTATTAGAACTCCCTCAAAAAATAAAAACTAAGAAATAAAATCATATCAGCAGAAACAAGCAAATTATTCTTTCTTCAAATGAGGCCTGAATCACATTCTGAGTGTTTTGATAACCAAGAAAACACATACCACACACACACACACACACACACACACACACACACACACAATTTGATCATTTTGGGGGACTTTAATCAAAGAAGAAAATTTGGTGCATTGGATTAGACAAATTTTTTCCCAGCATTGAGTTAAAAGCACTTTCAGTGATTCTTAAAATAAGATGTACTTGGACAATTGTGCTTTGTACAATAGAACATGATCTTTAATTAAGTTTCGTATTAAGTGGGATTGATTATTCAGTGCATACTTTCATATTTTTATCTGTCTCAGTTTTCTGGATACAATGCCAACCATGGCATATGTAGATTTCTCTTAATAGATCTATAATGGAGCTTTAGTATAAACCCTAAATAGTTTTGCTTTCTGTGGTAATTGTCAATTAGAATGTCCAAATCACTTTGTATTTTTAATTGAATTTTTTTATTTTAGCCTCTGATCTGTGGAGCTTATAAACTACAGTGTGATATTGAATAGTTTAATTGAAATAGGATGAGATTTATTTCTTGAATAATATAAAAAATTGTTAGTTTTAGGAGAATTAAAAATGACTCAACACAATTTATTGACAAAAGCAAAATTGAAACTATTATATTCATGGTTTTGCTTTGTTTACCAAGTCTAGAATATTTTATTGCATTGTCAATACATAATATAGACAAATATGATAATGAATAATAACTTTAATTCCTTGCACCATCAGTTATCTAAGTCATTTCCTCTTCCCAAATACGAGATTTAGTAACAAATGGCTATATGTGAACTTGATGTTAAAAAATATTAATAGTTAATGTCATTTCTAAATGAGAAGTAAATACAAGAACTTATGGAGAAAAAAGATAAGTAGAAGATGAATTTTAATATTCATGTGAAGTTCAGTTACAAATTTACAATTAAAGAACACATGCTGTAAATTAATACAATATGTGTTTCATTGAATAACCTTTGAAAGAGATCTTAATGTTGGTGCTATATAGAATCGATTGGACAAGAATATTTTAGTTTCCTCTTTTACACTAAGCACTGACTTTGCTGAGAGGAATTTCTTATCTGAGTGTTCATGTTAGGATATACTGTAAAATTAATTGGTAAACATTTTCACTTGATGGATGATGAACAGCATAGATTGGTGATTAAGAGCATGAACTCTTGAACCAGGCTGCCTACAGCCACATGTTGTTCTGCTACTTATAAGCTACAGGGCCACCATGGGAGTTTTATTTTAGCTCACTGCCGTCTCAGATTCGAATTCATGAAATTTTGTGAAGACAGTACATTGAAGAAAATATGTAGTCTTTAAATACTTATATTAGTAAAGCTAGAAGACTAATTTTAATGATTTAATCATCCAACTTTGAAAGATAAAAAATAATTTACTTAACCCCAAAAAGTAAAGACATGGAAATGTATAAACTAAAATTAATAATATTGACAATAATGATATAATAGAGGGGATCAACACAGTAAATGTATGTTCTTTTATTTTTGAAAATACAAATAGCAATGACAAGTCTGTAGAAAACTTCCCAAAAGAAGAAGAGAGAAAGAAGGAACAAATTAACACATAATATGTAGTGAAAAAAGAGGATAGAAATACAAATAATGTGTATATTAAAAATGATTATAAGATGTTATGAACAACTCTGGGCTAAATTCTAATCTTCTGTTATTTACTAAAAATAACTTCAGAAAATATAGAAATGCTGAATCAACTAGTAACCATGGAAGGCATTGAATTTTTAAAATTAATAGAAAATCTTCCCAGAAAGAAGTCACCAGATCATACAGTTCTTTAAGTAAGTTCCAAAAAGTTTGAAGAAATAAATTACTCCTAATAAAAAATTGCAGAATATAAAGATGCTCTTCAGCTTACTGTGGGGTTGCTTCTCGATAAACCCATCATGAATTGAAAATATCATAAGTTGAAAGAGCATTTAATCCACCTTGTCTGCTGAGTATCACAGCTTGGCCTAGTCTGCCTTGAAACACTCAGAACACTCACAGTAGTGCACAGTACCCTGGAGAGCATCAGGCATCTGGGCTTCTGACCATATGGCTGAATAAGCTGTGGCTCACTTTGGGAGAGTGTTAGCCTTCAGCTTATCACTAGCTGCCAAAAATATCAAAATTCAAAATTCAAAGTACAATTTCTAATTCATGTTTTTAAACCATCTTAAAGTCCAAAAATGGTAAGTCAAGGACCATCTGTACTTAAATACAAAATACAAACAAACTTAAGTCACAATCTAAATAGCAAAACCACAGGTATTATTTTTTAATGGATAATTATAGAAAAAAATCCTAAAAGAAAGATTACCAAATAAATTCCAGATTAATATATTTTTTCAGATTGTAAAGTTTAGAAAATAATTTCTAAATATTACGTTAATCATTTAAAATACAGTATAGTTTTCTACATAGAAGAAAAAAATATTCAACACGGTGCCATTTAAATTCATGATGTCCATTTTGAGCAAAATAGGAACAAAGAAAAATACTTTAACCTGATAATGGACATTTACAGTATAGCTTGTAGT
This sequence comes from Homo sapiens, assembly GCF_000001405.40. NCBI lineage: Eukaryota > Metazoa > Chordata > Mammalia > Primates > Hominidae > Homo > Homo sapiens. The sequence continues at coordinate 52,532,848 of NC_000007.14, read as the reverse complement.
CAGCACCATATTTACTGATGAGTGTTAATGCATTCCTTTTAAGATCTGGAAATTACAAATATGACTGCCCTTATCCTTTTGATTAAACACTGCAATAGCACTCCAGCTATACAGTAAGAGAAGGGAAAAAAAAAACAGTGCAAGGATTGAGAAATTGTTACCAAAACACCTAGGTCCTGCTACTCACCTCACAGAAAGCCAATCACTAAGACAACAAGTATTGCTGGAGAAGAATGCTTTAATCTGGTGCTGCATCCAAGTAGATGGGAGATCAGTCTCAAATCCACCTCCCTGACCAACTAAAATTGGGGGTTTATATAGCAAGGAAGAAATGTAACTACATGCAGGTAAAGAGGAATTTGGGAGGGGTAAAAGAATCATGAGGGATGTGGGGTCTGTCTTCTGGTCTGGATGTGATGATCTGGAGAGTTTCAGTTCTTTGATATGGTCTGGGAGCCTTAGGGTCAGCTTCCTGAGGAAGGAATTCAGTTAAGAAAAATGTAAGTTTCAGGCTTTAAGACTGGGAAGGCCAAATTATATGCTTATCTTAACAAACTGTAAACACAATTTTATGGGACAATTGGAACAGCCTCAAAATGACAAATAAAATAGCTCAACTATTGTTTTCATATATTCTTAAAATAATTATTAGTAACCAATGTATTTATTCCATTGCTCATTAAATCAAAAAATAATTGTGGAGCACCTTTTATAATAGCAAGCACACAGCAAACAAAGTAGAATAGCCACCTTTATGAGGACTATATTATTTATAGACTTAAATAATAAAGTCACTTAAATTTTATATTAGAAGATAATAAATATAGTGAAGAAAACCAAACAAAACATCAATAACAAAACAGACAACAGAGTAGGGTAATGGGATCATGAATGTCACGGAGTGAGGTAGGGATTTTAAATAGGTAACAACTCAGTGAATAACAACATTCAAACAAATGTGTGAACAAAGTGAGGGAAATAGAAATGAAGTCTTCTGGGGAAATAATGTGCCAAACAGAAACAAAAGAACTAAAAGACCCTGAGCCAAACTGGATCAAGCCCCCATCATAATGAAGAAAAAGAAAGACAGTAAAAGAGGAGGGAGGGGAAGAGAATAGTATGTGTTGAAGAATTCCCCAGGGCCATGCATGTGCAGCCTTCTAGATGATAGGAACTTGGCATTCTTTCAGAGTGAAATAGGGTACCCTTGAAAATTTGGACTAGGTAAAATGACACAATCTAACATTGCAGTAAAAGGAACAAGTTCACCATAGAAACTGGAAGAAAAGTCAGAAAAACATTGTCATAATGTTGGTGTGGGGTAATGGTAGCTTAGAACAGGGTAACTGCTACAGTTTGTGATAGATTTTGAAATTAGAACCAATAGAATTTCTTGATACATTAGGTGTGGCAGTGATGTACAGGGAGATACAGTATTTTAAAATATAAAGTTTTCCAAAATTAATTGATACATTCAACAAAATTCCAATTAAAATAACAAGAGAACTTTTGGGAGACTGGAAATTACAAGCTGCTTCTGGATAATGTAGAAGAACTAAAAGCCTAGAAGGAAAAACTTAGTCCTGAAGCAGAAGCACAAGGTGAGTGAAGGGGGTGTGCTACAATGCAATGAGAATCGTAATAGTTCTAGAAATGCAGAGTGTTACTGGCTGAGTGATAACAAAGCCATTGGAACAGAAAAGTGAGCCTCAAAGAGACCAGTGAAAATTAGTTAATAATGAAGCTAGCATTGCATCTTAGGAGAAAGCAAGAATAATTAATGAATAATGTTAGAGCAATTGGTTCTCAATATGGAAAATGAATTAAAACAATTCTATCATGTACAATATAAAAAATAAATTTACAGTGCATTAGAGACTTATAGGTAAAAAGAAAACCTATAAATATTTTAAAAATGTCATTTGACCTTAGGGTGAGAGATTTATTAAATAAAACTTGAAGAATATAAATCATTGAGAAGATTAATAAACTCAGCACCATAAAATCAAGTACTACTGCTTATTAAAAGATACCATAATGCAAACGAAAAGATAATATACAAACGTGGAGACTATAAATATAAAGCAGAAAAAACCAGTATCCAAAATACGTAAATAGCATTTACAAAACATTAAGAAGCAAATAATCCAATAGAAATAAAAATAATTAGGCATTTTACTGAAAACAAAACATAAGTGACTTTATTAGTCCCTGGAATTCTGGTTAACTTTTGTGAGTCTTATAGAAGAATATGAATATTACATTATCATATGACGGAGAGTATAAATCTTATTCACTGCTGGTAAGAATGTAAATAATAACCACTTTGAGAAGCTTTTAGGCATTTCCATAAAGTTCAGGGGCATGTATCTTGCCACTCAGTAAATCAGCTCTTAATATGCCTTAGAACTGGGTTTCTAAATAGTGGTCCCAGTGACATTTTGGGCTGGAGAATTCTTTGCTGGGGTAGAGGCTGTTGTGTGTATTGAATGATGTTTAGCAGTATCCCTTCTCTCCAGCAACTAGATGCCAGCCACACTCTCCAGACAGGACAATCTGGAATGCCTTACACATATTGCCAAATGTCCCTGGATGGATGAAATTGCCCCAACTTAAGGACCACTACTCTAGATAAACTTAAAAATATTTAAGATATAAAGACAAAATTGTTTCTTGCAACAACACTACTTATAACACCAAAAACCTAGAATCAAACCAAGTGTCTATTACAGCACAAGTAATTGTGGTATTTTCGTACAGTGTAAAACTACGCAAAAGTACAAATGAGTGACATCCAGCTACGCTCGTCATGTTGCTACATTTCAGGAAGAGTATTAACTGAAGAAAGGCAGTCACAGAGTAATACAATTAATATGATTCAATATGTATACATTATAAAAACACACACAATTAGAAAATATATTCAAAAATTTTTAAATGTACAGAAAAATAAAAAGAAACCCCAAGCAACTATGGACAAAATTAAGGTATTAAAGACAATTCAAGAATATGGTTTATTATTTTTGAGGAAGACTAAGGGTGGGTGGGAGAGACACAAGTGATGGCATTGGTAATTTTCTTAGGCTGGGGTAGGGAGGGGAAGATACTGCTGTACATTTTATCATTTTCTTCATACCAGTGGTTCTAAACTGGGCAAAATTTAATCCCCCAAATGAATACTTGGAAATCTCTAAAACCGTCTCAGGTTATCACAACTAGGTGTAGGGGAGTGCTATTGGCAGCTAGTGGAAAGAGGCTAGGGAATGCACCAATCACACACAATGCAAAATGTCAATAATGTTGAGGCTGAGAGACTCTTTTAGATTTTACAAATATGTTGTACTGTGTTGAAACTAATCATATTTAATAAAAGTACATATTGCACAATATATTATGAAACAGATTTGCTGGCTTATTTAAAGTACTATAGAAGTAAAAAAAAATCCACAGTGAGATTTTTCTGGCCCTCTGATTTCAGGAAACGATCTAAGAGAAAATTTTATATAATTATTGTTCCATATAAGTTTGCATCTTTAATTGCAGAGGACATAAAGCAAGAAAATTTCTGCCAGCAGCAAACTTACTGTAGAGCCCCAAAAGATGCCACAGCAAGCCATTGGGTCCTGGCATTCTGCATTGGCTTAGAAATTACTTAGAATTATAGAAAAGTGCCCATAGATTATTTGAACAATAATTTTCTCTTTTCTTTCTTAACAACTTCAACATTGAGAAGCCTGGAAATTCAGAAAACAGACTGTTTTAAAACAATGAATTTTTCTGTGGTAATTTAGATAAGTCGATTTTATTTTGAATATCTGCTGTTTAAATAAAACTCATCAAGGTTCAAGTCAAGTCCACAATGAATCGTGTCTCCACATCATCTATAAAAAGCCATGCAATTGAAGGCCAGCACTGTGATCTGTTGTTTTCAAGGTCTACTTTGCCAGCTTGTTTGAATCCCCGCTACCCATGGGTGCCTCAAAGATCAACTCTATCCCTTTTTATTCCACTGAGACTCCGTAGAAAATTTATTTTGCCTCCACAGCTTCAGTGATATACCCGGAACTAACTATGTAAATCACTAAACCAGGCCTATCATGAGATCTCTGCTTGAATACACAAGTCTATCTAACATCTCACTTGAATTTTTAACAAATATCACAGTCCATTAGGTTTAAAGTGGAACTTTTCAGTAAATCTTCATTCTTGAACTTGATAAATCTCCATCTAACAGAAAGACCTAGAAATATGAGAAATCCATTCCCACGTTCCTATGTTGAGACCATATTCTTCCAACTGCAGTCACTAAATTTCATTCTAAACTCTTTCTTCTTTCCAGTTTTTTTTTAAGTCCAAATTCTTTTGCCTCAACTACTGCAAAAGCATCCCAACTCCCCTTCTTGAGTCCACTGTTGCATCTAATTCTTTGATGGTTTAAAGAGGATGTATTTTTGTTTCACTTTATTAATAAATGACCTGATGCTGCTTAATTGTTTTCACATATTTGCATTGCTATAATGCCACAGCATAAAGCACAATGTTCTCAGCTTCACCTTAAAGGCTATGCAGGATGTGACCCTGACCATCTTTGTGCCATTCCTGGTTTCCAGGTCAACCTCCAGGTCTGTGTTCCAGCCACATTGACTGTTATTCAGCTATTATATTGTGCTATGCTTTTTCATGCCTTCTTCCATTTTTGTTTCTTTTGTATATGCCTTCATGTACCTCCCCCCATCACAAATATAAATGTATAAATTATTTTGATGCCTGTCCTTCCTCTGTTAGAATTTAAGATCCATAAAGACAGGCATCACAGATACTCTATTCACCACTGAGTTTTTAGCATTTAACATAGTTTCTTGCACTATCAGGAACTTGCAAACATTTATTGATATATGAATGAATGAATAAAAGTCAACCTGCAAGCTCTGCATTGGGAAAAAATTTCAAAAAGTACATCAAACTCAGCCTAGGAAAAGCTGGTGAGTGACGTGAAGTTTGTTTATGGAAACTGAAACATGCCTTTAATTTGAATTTTCAGAAAGCTTTTGAATAACAGATGTTCACCACATTTGCTCATTCATCCACTTTTTCAGGTAACAAGCATTTTCTGAGCCCCTGCTATATGCTAAGTACCCTCATGAATACGGGAAATGGGTTGTCACATGAAATAGCCTGTATTTGATCAGTTGACAATTGGCTGGGATTGCTATATTGCTGAAGGTAAACTTCCCTTTGTGGAAATTAGAAAGTACCATGCCATTATGTTCTTTTTGCTGAAATTAGTGAGCTGTTTCTCCTGATTTTTCCCCAGAAAGAAAGAGTATGGTATTTCTGAAATATCATAAGTACTTTCTTTCTACTTGAATATAAGTGGAGACATACAGAAGGTGGAGCAGTTAGAACATCCATTTAGTCTCCATGGAGGACTCCATTAGCCAAGGAACCCTTCACTGGTAGCTTGAAAGAATTTCATTCTGTGTATATAAATCTAAACAATGCACCTCAAGGAAAGTTCATACCGACTGTAAATAAAATCCAGTTATGTGTCATGCTGCAAGTTAATCCCCAACAATCTGAGATCTTGCAGTACACTAAGATGTTTCATTAGGACTTTTCTTGCATTAAAGACAGTGAAAAAAATATGAACAATTATACTCAATTGTGGCACATCTATATACAAATGATCAAAAACTAAGACTGTTGGTGACAGCACTCTGCTTCAGATTGAAAAACAGCAGAAACCCTCTTATTGGATAACAACAAAAAAAGGATACGCTGTGATAATCAAAATCCATATGAAGTAAATATACTTGAGCAACCCAGACATGCCAAATTAATCAAATTACAACTAAAAACATTTCTGTGACTTTTACAGTGGTCTAGGAAAGTACTTTTGTTTTACTTTTTAGAAATCCTAGTGAAAGAAATTTTTAAAATTCATCTGATATTATTAAATACTTTGGAAAGCTGGGATTATTGTTTATTATTTCATTTGAAGAAAGCTATTAATGCTAATGATGTGTGTTGAGGCTAAGTAAATCATTTTGTAACAGCAAAAGTGCAATTTCCTATAGTGGAAGATTTACAATTTGATCCCAATTTCCATTTTTGACATGAAGAGACTTTTCTTTATTTCTGGGCTTTTAGAAACTGTGACCCTGTGATTTTCCAACCTTCGGGGACACTTAAAATGAAAGCACAAAAGTAGTTTCTTATTCAACCTAGTCAAATCATCCAAGTGTCGTCGTGGGTCTCCCATGATCCTTGAAATGGATTTGTCAGTGGTAGAATCTATTACCAGAAGTCACTCTGGATCCCCAGTGAAATGAGGCTATTGTTGCTCAAATACATTTATTTCCTAAGAGAAAATTTAACATGTATCTTTAGTAGTAACACAGCACATATAAGCCTTTGTTTAATGTTTTTGTATGAACGTTACATGCCAACTTCTCTTTGAAAATATCACACTATGATCTATATCTAGAACTGTTTATATATTTCTTCCAAAATGAGAAGTTAAAATTCCAGGAAATAAAATAGAATTAGAAAGAGAATGTTACAATTTTAAGATGAGAAATGAAACCACCATTGCGAATTATGGACTCTTTCATTTAAGAAATGTGAAGTGATTCATCGTGGCCACCAAGCCTTTTGCTGGTCTCACTGCTGAGCCAGGCATTCTGTGAGCCAGGAGCCAGTGTAGTCACCTGTGCAGCACCCTCCATGCTCTTGTGCAGGGAGGCCTGCCAGCAGCCCTCTGGGCTTCATCTCAGAGCTATTAGAAAGCAATCAGGGAAATGATTAGACCTCAGTCGAGAGCCAAGTTGGGACTTCAGATAGTTGTCAAATACTGATTCCTCTGGAATGGAACTGTTCCCTGAATCATCTTATTAGGCCACCTCCAGACTTCAGGCATAACCCTTAAAGAGCTAGTTCTCTAGCAGGCAGGCTTTTGACAATGCCTTACATAACTGTTGTCAGATCAGGTATTTTAAAATTAAGCCATTTTAGAGGGGAAATGACAGACTCTGCCTCTATTAAATGTTTGGAGAAATGTCTTTATTCAGGACTGAATATGTCGCCTCCAGTTTAAAGGGCCAGCCCATTAACTCTAGGAAGGAGACAAGCTGGCTGTGGTGCTTCCACCACATCCATTTATAGAATAATAATACAATAACAATAGTAACAATGACTACATTTTATGTAGAGCTTGCTATATGAGAGTCATTGTACTCTGAGGCTATGATACATCAACTCATTTATTCTTCACAGGTCTGTGAAGCATTATTATTGTTCCTAATCAACTACGTGTGACCTTGAAGAGGTTGAATCATCTTCAAAAGATTTTACATGGCACAATATGTTAGCTGATACTCACATTCAAGTGTGAATTATATCTAACATTCTATCCATGAGCACCGCATTTTATTTTACTTCCTTTGCAGTTCTCATCCTTGAGAGCTTCTCTTATCCTTCCCCAGAATCTCTCCTTTTTTTTTTTTTTTTTGAGACAAAGTCTCGCTCTGTCACTGAGGCTGGAATGCAGTGGCGCAATCTCGGCTCACTGCAAGCTCTGCCTCCTGGGTTCACGCCATTCTCCTGCCTCAGCCTCCCGAGTAGCTGGGAAAACAGGCGCCTGCCACCACACCTGGCTTTTTTTTTTTTTTTTCTGTATTTTTAGTAGAGACGGGGTTTCACTGTGTTAGCCAGGATGGTCTCGATCTCCTGACCTCGTGATCCGCCTGCCTGGGCCTCCCAGAGTTCTGGGATTATAGGCGTGAGCCACCACGGCCGGCCCCCTTCCCCTGAATCTCTTATGCACAGAGATCTGCCAGGATTCTCCTCCTCCTCATCCCTCCCTGCACACCCAACATCATTTCCCCCCAGAACAGAAATGTCATGTCTTTAGGCCAGTTACACCTTGGACATTTCTGACTGTTTTGTATTCTAGAAGATCATGCATGAGCTCCTATGCCTCACTTGTGAACAAACCAAGGAGATGTCTCCTTGAAAACCTTTATAGTTAAAAAATTCATCACCCTTCTAAACTTTCTTTAGAACTCAGAAGACTATAAACACAAATTATGAAAACTCTGTCATCAAGCTGCTTCCAATTCCTATACCTTTGTGTGATGGATCCTCTCTGCCATCTGTGTAATCATGTTTGACACTTGGTGATGAATCTTTCAGTGCTCTCCACCACTCTTTACTCAATTTCAACTATGGAATCACACCCTATCATTTGTAATTTACATTAGACTTTATTTCTTTTCTGGGGTTTTGTGATTGGTAGCATTTTCTAGCTCGATGTTTATAATAAATAGGAAAGCTGTGATTCAAGATGTGTGAGAATGATATTTTTTGACCTTCTTGATTTCATTTTCTTTGGAGCATACGAATCACATAGGAATGATATTTCAAGATGCAAGACATTTATTCATGTCAGAGTAAGTTAACTAAATTGTATGCAATGCATTGGATCTTGCTGGAGACAAAACAGCTGCTGCCACCCGCCCACATATTCATGGCCTTTCCAATATCAAATCGTTTCTTTTCCATTTAGACCAAGATGTGAAGGAAACAAGAGGGAAAATAAAATGTTGCTTTACATGTTTTAGACAAGATTGGAAATTTATTTTCTAATTTTCATGTTATTATTATGAGTGTTATCTTGTGACATTTCAGAGATTCCTTTGAATAATAACAGGATTTATGAACACTACTATATTCTTGGATGGACTTAAGCACTTCACATATATTACCTGGTTTAAGTTTTGAAATAAACCCTTGAAATGTTTACTTTCATCAGTGAAACACAAAAGAGATTAAATCCCTTGCCAAAGGTTACACAGCTAGTAATTATTAGAGACAACTCAAATACTCCAGGAATCCAAATTTAAAGCCTCACCAATAACCCTATGCTATTTAGATATTGTAAGAGTGATTTGAAATTATCTTGATCTAATACAAAATAGAAACTTTTGACGAGACCTAAATATTTATAAAATTATTAAACCATTTACTTACTTATTTCTAACTTCTCTGTCTCCCTACTGGAATAAAAGGAACAATAGGTCATGGATATGTCCATCTTATACCCTCTTCTATTCCCATTACTTAAAATAGTGCCATACATATAGCAGGGGCTTGATGAATATTTGTGGACTGAATGAATGAGCAAATGAAAGAGACACATTTCAAATTCAGGTAGGTGTCTATGAGGCTGATCATCCTCAGTCAATTTCAGTAATAGCCTCTGTTGAAATGAAAGATCCAGAACAGACAAGACAACTTTCATCAAGAGTGAAATGTTTATATTTCACTTTTGTATATAAAAAACTTGAAATACTTTAGAAAATTAGAAGACATCTTCTCCCTGCTTATTCTATAAATGTTGATTCATATACATCTGATGTTGAATGGGGGAGAATTTCGTAGCAAACCTGATATAAATTTGTCTGAAAAGATATTCAAGGAGCCCCTTTTTATCCTTGAAATTAAATATATATATATGAATCTTTTTTATTAAGTTTGCCTGAAAATATTTCTTTGTTTTTGAAACCAATTTCTTTATTCAATTCTACAAAGTACTCTTCAAATATGTATTTGATTATACTTCTTTTTCTTTCAAAACATATACTATTTAAAAGTTTTTACATTATAAATATTGATTCTCTTTTCTACTTTCCTAACATATCTGAATTTCTGCTAGAGTAATTTTTTATATTGCAGCTTTGTTCTTCTTTTTCTTCTAAATGTCTGATAAGCCATTTAATTCTAAAAAATTAAAAACAAATTTCAAATAAGACAAATAATTCAATCCTACTTACATAAAAAACAAGAGCATCAAAACAATAAGGAAAATACATTAGCAATATAGACTAAAATGACATAAAAATAGTAAAAACTACATGAGGACAATGATAAAGTACATCAATTATTATAAAGTAAGCTTTGGAAAAGTGCAATATAATTTTGTTTAGAATTAAAATAACAAAAAACCCTGAGTTTCTTTTTCTAGGTAAAAACCATCACTAATATTTTGAAGTATTTTATCATCTATCTCTCACTCTCTCTCTCTATCTTCACACCCATATATACAATTTTGAACCTGCAATACCGATAAATCTTGTTCCTGCATTATTTGACATTATGAAATGAGGTATTCTTCAAAATCTCTAAAAATTATTTGAGAGCTGAATCTTAGTGGTGTTTCGTATGCGAATGTGTGAATGTATCATTTTGCATAGCCTGGCTTCTCTTGTTAGATATTTATGTAGCTTTACAGTGTACTATCATAAATGATGATACATATCCTTGATGTAATTTTGACATAGATTATTCCTCAGGATAAATTTTGATAAATTATATTGCCAAGTCAATAAGTATACATGTATTTTATGCTTTTGATTCATATAGCCAAATTTTCTCAAAGGAAGTCATGACAACGATTTCAAAGCCTCGTAAATGACTAAATCACAGTACTCCAAATTTTTCTGTGTTATTCTGTCTATAATGGTCTCCAGTACGAACTGCTACAGTCTGAATGTTTGTGTCCACCCAGCACTTGTAGGTTGAAATCCTAATCCCTAAGGTGATTATAGTAAGAGCTAAGACCTTTGGAAGCTGTGATTGAGATCAGTGCCCTTATAAGAGACCCTGGAGGGCAGGCTAGTCCCTTTGCCATGTGAGGTCACAGTGAGAAGACATCCATATATGAAGGAAGTGGGCTGTCACCAGAACCATGCTTATCCTGGACATTCCAGACTCTAGGATTGTAAGAAATAAATTTCAGTTGTTTATAAGTTACCCAGCTTAGTATATGTTGTTATAGTACACAGGTAGACTGAGGCAAATACTTAGGTCTCATTAGAAATAAGCTGACCCTACTCAGCTAGAGTCTGTGTGGGGCAGCTTCCATTAACTTCTGCTGTTCAGCATAGGTTAAAACATACTTGAATATAGTCATCCTATCTTCCATCCATCCCATGCTCATCCCCAGCTCTTCTTCTCTGAAATGGTAGGTGTTTGTAAGAGATCTTGCCAGTGTCTTCTGCACTTAATTTTATTTCCAATAAAAGCTGCTGATATACCTTACCAAAAAACCTCTAGGGAACGAACTGGAGAGAAGAAGAGAGTCCAAGTGATGGGCTGCTTGTGAGTCTGTTTACACTTTGCCTTTACTCCTTAACTTCTACTTTCTCATTACTCCTATTCCGAAAACAATCTACATAAAATATAAAAGCCAAACAAGAACCTGTTTGCCAAAAATTTAATGTTCTTCAAAAAAAAAAAAACCTTACTTAGTATCAAGACAACAAACAAACCATAAGAAATCAAAATTAGTATTTCACAACCACGTTTACCATACACCCTTAGCTGCTTTATTTGTGAAGCTTCTCACAATTATTGTTTAATGATGTATTTGATTTCTCCTGATCCTGTGACATCTATAATTATTTCCAGGCCCACTATCAGAGTACTCGTATAGCAGTCTCTTCATTATAGTTTCATATAAAAATAAATAACTTTATTACATCCCCAGAAATATTTCATAATAGATTTATTTATTTATGGGTTTTGTTTGATTTTCTTTCAAAGACATCACCTACTTCCCATTATCATTACTCAAGGAACAAAATATCTATTTAATATGCAAAAGCTATTACTATTACAAGTGTATTTGTTACTATCCTATAACAAAAATCCCCTTCAGTGTAAAAATGCCACATATACACAGAAGTCCAGGTGAGAAGCAATTAACCCTTGAGGTAATATTGGAAATGGAGGGGAAGAATGAATTCGAGATGCAAGATCCAACATGGTTTAACACATAAGCAGACATATGAAAATGGGAGGAATGAGCCAAGAAAACTTCAATGTTAACAGAATTAGAGAAATGAGAAGAAAGAGATGGTTATGCAAATCATTTAATGACTATTTTGCAGACATGATGAGTTAAGGAAACTGCAGAATATGTGGTTATAAACGTAAATGGAATAGAAAATGTGACACTGATCAGAAAAGCTGTAAAGATGAAGATTTAATTATGAGCTTATGAATTAATAACAAAAACAGATTTTTTGTAGGTACGTAGGAGATAATATATCCAACTGATAATACCAATGCTATAGTGGGCTTTGGAAGGAGTGGGTGGAGAAGATTTAGTTAGGCAGTGGAGAAAGCAATGGAAGTTGTTACTATTTACATTAGGAAAATCATGAAAACTGAAAATAATGAACATTTAGTTTGACAGTGTGCAGAGCATCCTTAACAAAAATAAATTAGGTATATAAGGAGTTGAATAGAAAGTAAATGAGTATGCTAAAATTAATTTCTACTATAAATAAATTGATAGATGTTAGTAAAAATACAAAAACAAATTTAAGATGGCAAAGAAAATGACAAACTGAGAAAATGCTTTGGGTAAAGAAGGAGTGGTGTTCCTTATTTTGTTTTGTTTTAAACAGAGAAAATTGGATATGTCTGGAAAAAAGCAGTTAATGAGAATATTAGTGAGAGAAAATTATTCTAAAAGAAAATAATTAACAGAAACATAGAGGAGGCAAGAATCATTGGATCAAGAAAACACAGAGAAAACTACCCTCTTGTCACACATCTTTTTCCTCATGATTGAAAGGAACAAAGCAAGATGGAGTGATAGAACTTTTGAAATAGAAAACTTTATGAGATCACATGTAAAGTTGTGTTTTCTCATCACAGGATAAGCATAGTCTATACCAATTTAGCAAGTGATATGATTTGTATCTGTGTCTCCACCCAAATCTCATGTTCATTTGTAATCCCCTGTATTGGAGGTGGGGCCTGGTGGGAGGTGATTGGATCATGGGGGTGGATCCTTCATGAATGGTTTAGTGCCATCCCTTTGGTGGTGTTCTCATGACAGAGTTCTCACAAGATCTGGATGTTTAAAAGTGTATGGCATCCCTCACCTCCTTCTCTTCCTTCTGCTCTGGAAATGTAAGATGTACCTGCTTCCCCCTTCACCTTCCACATTGATTGTAGGCTTCCTGAGGCCCTTTCGGAAGTGAAGCAGATGCTGCCATGTTTCCTGTACAACCTACAGAATTACCAGCCAATTAAACATCTTTTCTTTATAAATTACACAGTGTCAGGTATTTCTTAATAGAAGGGCAAGAATGGAATATACTGAAAATTTGTACCAAGGAGTAGGGTATTGCTAGAAAGACACCTGAAAATGTGGATGCAGCTTTGGAATTGGGAACAGGCAAACATTGGTTCATAAGAAGACAGGAAAATGAGAGAAAATTTGGAACTTCCTAGAGACTTGTTGAATGGTTATGACCAAATGCCAATAGTAGAAGAGCAAGCTGAGGAGGTCTCAGATGGAGATGGGGAACCAATTGGGAACTGGAATAAAGGTCACTTTTGCTATGCATTAGCAAAGAGGTTGGAGGCATTGTGCCTCTGCCCTAGGAATCTGTGGAAGTTTCAACTTCAGAATGATAATTTAGGGTATCTGGTAGAAGAAATTTCTAAGGACAAAACTTTCAGGATTTGGCTTGGCTACTTCTAACAATCTGTGCTCATACTTGAGCAAAGAAATGATATAAAAGTGTAGCTTATATTTAAAAGGGAAGTAGAACATAAAGTTTGAAACATTTGCAGCCTGGCTATGTGGTAGAAAAGAAAAGACAATATTCAGAGGGAGGAATTCAGGCAGGCTGCAGATATGTGCATATGTGAAAAGGAGCCAACTACCTCAAAGGCATTTCAGAGACCTTTATGGCAGCCCCTCCCATCATAGGCTTGGAAGGCTAGGAGGGAAGAATGGTTTTATGGGAGGAGCCCAGAGCCCTACTGGTCTGCACAGCCTTGGGGAACTTTGTCTCACATCCCGGCTGCTCCAGCTCCAGTCATGGCTCAAAGAGGCTCAGGTAGGGTCACTGCTTCAGAAAGTGCAAACTGTAAATTTTGGCCATTTCCATATGGTGTTAAGCCTGTGGGTTCATAGTGTGAAATAGTTGAGGCTTGGGAGCCTCTACCTAGATTTCAGAGGATATGTGGAAAAGATTCAATGTCCCAGAAGAAGCCTGCTGCAGGAATGGAGCCCTCTTGGAAAACCTATCCTAGGGCAGTGCTGAAGGAAAATATGGGCTGGAGCCTGCACACAGAGTTCCTGCTGGGGTACCACCTAGTGGAGCCAAGAGAAGAGAGCCACCATTCCCCAAATCCTGGAATGGTAGAACCACTGGCAGCTCGCATCCTGCACCTGGAAAAGCCATAGGCTCTCAATACCAGCCCATGAGAGTAGCCACGGGTACTGACCCCTACAAAGCCACAGGAGAAGAGCTGTCCAAGGCCTTGGAAGCCCCACTTCTTACACCAGTGTGCCCTGGATATGAGGAATGAAGTCGAAGGAGATTATTTTGAAGAGCTAAGATTTAACGACCACCCTACTGGGTTTTTGATGTGCATGGGGCCTGATTCCCCCTTCTTTTGGCCAATTTCTCCTTTTTGGAATGGGAGTATTTACTAAATGCCTATATTGCCATTGTATCCTGATAGGAACTAACTTGTTTTTTTTATTTTAACAGGCTCATAGGTGGAAGGGACTAGCCTTGTCTCAGATGAGACCTTGGACTTTGGACTTCTTAGTTAATGCTAGAATGAGTTAAGAGTTTGGGAACTGTTGAGAAGGGATGATTGCATTTTGCAATGTGAGTACATGAGATTTTAGAGGGGCCAGGGACAGAATGATACAGTTTGGATCTGTGTCCATACCCAAATCTCATGTTAAATTGCATACTCAGTATTGAAGGTAGAGCCTAGTTTGGGGATGGGGTGATTGGATCATGGGGGTGAATCCTTCATGAATGTTTAAGCACCATCCCTTTGGTGATGTTCTTGTGATAGAGTTCCCATTAGGTCTGGGTGTTTGAAACTGTGTGGCACTACCCTTTCTCTGTCTTCCTCCTGTTCTGGCCTTGCAGATGTGCCTACTTCCCCCTTCATCCTCTACCATGATTGTAGCTTTCCTATGGCCTTCCCAGAAGCTGGGCAGATAGTGCCATGCTTCCTGTACAGCCTAAAGAATCATGAGCCAATTAAATCTCTTTTCCTTATAAATTACTCATCTCAGGTATTTCTTTATAGTAGTGCAAGAATGGACTAATACAGCAAGGGCACGAGGTCAAGGCCTGGTAAAAGGAGGGAAAATTGCTGCCACTACTGTGAACACAAGATGAAGAAAAGATGACCATGTTAAGTTTAATGGTTACAATACAAGTTACATGACTTTTTAAGTTACTGATGCATGTGGAAGACAATGTTATTATGTTGGTAGCCCTTTAAAATAGCTATTTAAATTTTTTTTTCTTAATTTTTTTTCAAAAAGGTGAGACAACATATTATAATGTGTCTCAGTGTAGACCTCTTTATGTCCAAACTAACTGGGAATCTTCAGGCTTCTTAAATTTGATATCTGTTTTCTTCCCAAGATTTAGGATGTTTTCTGTCATTATTTCTTTATTTTTTCAATTTTTTTCCTTTTTTTATTTCAATAGGTTTTTTAAGAACAGGTGGTGTTTGTTACATGGATAAGTTATTTAGCGGTGATTTCGGAGTTATCAGTGCACCTATCACCCGAGCAGTGTACACTATACTCAATGTGTCATCCTTAAATAAGCATTCTTTACCTTTTACTCTCTTTCTCCTTCTTCTGTAAGTCCCATAATGTGTAGATCAGTTTGATTAATGGTGTCCTATAAATCTCATGGGTGTTCTTTCCTTTTATATATATATTTTTTTATTTTCTATCCTCTAGATATTTCAAATAATTTGGCTTCAGGTTCACTGATTCTTCTTGATCAAGTATGATGTAATTCTATTGCATTTTTTATTTCAGTCACTGTTTTCTTTAGCTTCAGAATTTTTATGATGTCTATTTCTTTGTTGCACTTCTTCTCTTGTTCATTTATTGTTTTCCTGATTTCATTGATTTATCTATTTGTGTTTTCTTGTATCTTATGAGCATTTTACAAATAATTCTATTGAATTATTTATTAGGCAATTTACATATTTCTATTTATTTGAGGTCAGTTACCGGAAGTTTATTTTGGCCTTTTGATTGCACCGTTTTTCTGTTATTTTGTGTTTCTTGTAACCTTGTATTACTGTCTACACATTTGAAGAAGCAATCACCTCTTCCAAACTTTAGTCTGGCTTTTCTAGGAAAAGACCTTTATTGATGAGTGTGTGTGAGGGCAAAGGCTGTCTGGTGTGTATAGTGGAACTGAGTCTGGTAATGTGCAGGAATGCTGGTTCCAGGATGCATGATGGTGCCTGATCCAGATGACATAAGTGTGAAAAATTCCTTGTCCAAGGAGGTACGTTGATATTGAATCTGGTGGATGCAAGGTAGCTCTGGCTCCAGGGAGGTGCTGCAGCATGGGCTCTGAGCAACTCTAGCAGCTGGAGTTTGTTTTGGCAAA
The DNA here is from genome assembly GCF_000001405.40 of Homo sapiens. Lineage (NCBI taxonomy): Eukaryota > Metazoa > Chordata > Mammalia > Primates > Hominidae > Homo > Homo sapiens. The sequence goes on along the minus strand of NC_000007.14, from coordinate 52,516,370 downwards.
GACTGCAGGCATCCTTGGTGGCAAAGCTTGTGTGGGTTTGTGGTGGCAGCAAAGGCTGCTGTAGTTCTTGGTAGCAAATGCTGCTGCTGTCTTCCTACTCTCCTTTTCCCCCCACAAGGAAACTTGTGGCTTAGGGGATTCTTTCTGGCACTGAAGTTTGCCAGCCTGGGGAATGCAGCCATGCAGATAAAATGCTTCTCACCCTTTTCCATACAGCCATTTTTGTTTTATTGTGTTTCACTGAGCTGCTACACCATCTTAATTATACTTTGGAGCTCCCTCAGAGCTATTTTTTATCCATGGATAATTCCTAAATATTTTTGTCTGTGTGCATGGGAGGAATTTGGGACCTGCTATTTTGCCATGTTGCTGATATCACTCCCTAAACTCTCCAACTTAATGTTTTTATTCCCACTTGATCCAGCACTCTCAAGATACAATCTCAAAACTACTTCCCCTGCCACTGCCAATACTTATTGGATATGTCCTGAAGCTTCTGCAGAACATAGGCCCCTTCGTCTTTGGCAAACCTAGAACATTCACTCCAGGACCATGGTCTGACTTCACATTAGTCATTATTCTGCATGTTGGATGGAAATGTATAGACCTCAGGGGCTTGTGAGTTGTAACAAGGCAGGGTGCATCTACTTCTATGTCAAGGAAACTGCACTAGCCATTGACAGGGAGGTGCAGATGGCTCCCTCAAGCCCAGAGAGTTCAGCAGAATCTGAAGATTCAGGACTTCTCAAGTGTGTCATTCCAGATATTCTATCACAAGTCTCAGTGTTCCACTGCCTCCCAGTCATGGTCCCGACAGGAGTATAGCAGACCATCTTGTTTTGAGAATGCTGATTTCTCTAGAGCATCACAAACATTAAATTACCTCCTGGATTCCTTCTTTATTTTCTTCTGAATGTTGCAGAAAGATTTTATATCCTCTTAAAAACTCACTGGCTTTCGCATTTATTTTTTAGTTTGTGATTTATTAGCCTCAGCTTTTCATAGTTGTTTTTTCCTGTATTTCTGTAGCCCCAAAGAAATACCAGTTTAATAGTCCTTATAATCACTACAACCCAGAACCTTTGAAATGCATGAGATATGAGTGCATTTCCCTTCACCTTCATTCCATATGAATTCACCACAGTGAACTTCTGTAACATGCCAAGGGCTATCTGCTCCCACCAGTAATGGGGTTGTCACTGTGAATTATCTGGTCTGTGATACAGCTCCAATATTCCATGTAAGTATTTGTTTCCTGGAACCCCTTTTATTATAAAGTCTGAATTGCCAGAAACAGATACCAATAGAGAGATTTGAGTGCAGATGTTTATTGAGAATTTTGCTAAAAATATCGATAAATAAGTAAAGAGAAGAGGCTTTGTTAGAAGTGGAAGTTGGGCTTTGATGTAGTTGCAACAGAAGCCTCAGTCAACCACATGTAGGATTTTAAGAGTGTGATAACCCTTATTACTTGTCCTCTTGAGACAAGGGAACTGGGACCTTTTATTCCCACAGTTATCAGTTATTAAAGTTCAGCTGCTTCCAGCAAGGGTGTTACAACTTTGGCTAAGGCAGCTATCTTTGGCCAGATAAATTTTGGGGAAGGAACTCAGCTACACGCCATTGGTAGCCAATACTCCCAGAAGAAATAAATATTTCAGTCCTGATCTGATTGTACAACACAGTATCTGTTAATTAACTACCTGCACCCTAACAAATTCAAAGTGCATTTCTACTCCATAGTTTTCTTAAAATTATTATAAAGCTATGCTACATGAAAATTTGTATTTGTGTTGCCACCACAAAAAAATAATTTTACCTTTAACTTGTGACTGAATTTACAGAAACATTCAGTATAATGTCAGATATTTTGTATTTTATAGAGTGAACTTCTATTCTATGAATTTGGTGAAAAATGGAACCCATTACTATTGGAACTCACTTCACTGATTTTCTATTTGAAACATCAATTGGAACTAGTGTAAAACAGGTAGCACTGATTATTGTTGGAGTTTTTATTTGCTAATAGTGCCTTTGCACTAAAATACTCACCTGTATTTTAGTTAAACACATTAAAATGAGTAAAATTATTTTGGAAAAATATTTGATCTAAATAAAATGTCATTCTTCCTAGTGGTGTGTAAAGGCACCCGCTGCAATCGCTCAGCTTAATTCATTATCATTACATCCAAAACAATTTCTGATATTCAGTAGATACTAATGATTCTTGTACAGATTTCTTTTCTAACTGATTGCATATATCAACAATCTTTGTGCAAATACTACTTTTATTGGGAAATTTCTGTAGAAAATTAAAATTTGGAACTCAACTTTTAATTAAATGTTAACTTTCTTTTTATGTGATTTATTGTCACTGAAATAGTTGATTGCAAAATAAAAGAATATTATCAAATAAGAAAATGAAAAGTTTCAAATTTATACAATACGATAAATGGCAAAATCCCTGTAGCAAGAGCTTCCAGTCTACTCTATATGTGTGATAGCCTCTATATCAAATACTTATACACACCTAACCTGTAATTCCCATAGATCCCCTGGTAGTTTCAGGCATCTTGCCAGCCTTGATAGGTCACATCGAAGCTGACTGGTATTTCAAGTATCCCCTAGGGCAACAGCATCTTATACTACTGCCATGGCCATCCCAAACCATAAGAGCGACCCGTCCCCTCCCCTCACTGCTCGTGCTGGGTCCACTTTTATTCATCATGTGTCTTGCTTGCTAGTCATTACTTACATAGCGTTGGTAAAGATTGGCAAAGAAATACAGGATATCACTGATTTCCTTTACAATTTGGACAGGTATCAATTGTGAGAACCCTGTTCAATGCACTTGAGTCACACATGCCACTAGATGACACCATGTTGGAAGCTAACAGTTCAAAATAGAGATCCAAAATCTAATCCAGTTATTTCAGTGTAAATAACATTTCATCAAACATTAAAATATCGGGAACACAACCCAAACTAGGTGGAAAGCTGGGAAAGTGGGCATTTATTGGGATTGTTTTAAGAGATGAATAAATTTGAGAAGAATCAGGAAAAGCCCATATCTGCCATTAATTTGTAGAGAAACAGATAAGTAGACTAGTTGTGGCCTTCCTAACCAGATGTGGCCATCAAAAAGATTATACAGAAAAAGCAGTGAAGGAAAGCAATCCAAGACTGACAAGGGTATGGTGAGAAGAGTGGAGAACTCCAGGGTCAAGAAAAGCAAAATTGGCAGAGACTCCATTGCTGACATAGCTCTTTCTGAAGTGCTCACAGAATGGGAATTTAAATGAAGTAGCCAAAAACCACTGGACTGGGAGAATTAGAATATCCCCCAAATACATGCAAGAGCTGTCCTCCTCTGAAATAATTACAGAGGGTTTAAATGTTAAGTGAGACAAGGATCCATTTTTTCTGAGACACACGTCTGACTCAGGGAGATTCACACATATTGTGACCCAGGTCCTTACTGAATATTCCATGCACATATCTCACATAATCCTTAAAAAGCTTAGCCTATGATGACGCCTTTTCACTGATGTTGTATTTTACTTCCTTGGTAACTTCTAAATGCTGCCACATGCCTGCTATTTTACCTTCTGCACACTGTGGGTGATGTGATGAGAGGGCATAACCAATTGCATTGAAACTGGTAAAAGGGAAAGCTTGGAGTTGGAAGCTATGACTTCCTCCCTGTCCATATTGAGCACATGAAGGCTCTGTCTTTAGTGAATCCTGTGGTCCAGTTGTGTAAAAAGAGCTTTCACTTTCCACACACAGGGCCACAGACATTTCAGCTCCTTCTCACTTTGGTAAGCCTTGCATTGTCATTCTACGTTTCTAAATGTCAGAAATGTGTGTCCAACCCGTACTCAGGCAGAGCCATCACAGACCAAATGGTTGAAACTCGTCTGTCTATACAGGTGATCCGGTCAGCATAGCAGGTCTAGATGCTGCTCCACAGTGAGCAAATTTAACTATAAAAGAGGAGGGTCTCTGGGTGTTTTCGGTACCCCACTGTCTTTCACATTGAGAGAAAAAATACTTTCACCATGTTTTCAAGTTATAAGTTAAGTTAGGGTCTTATTTTCAGTAGTACTTTACTGTGGGCTACAGGGCAAAACCAGACAGTTAAACATATTTTCTCACTGTTGTAAACCATCTGGTCTGATTCTTATCCTTCCAACCTGCAAAGATATGTATTAAGTCTAAATATTTGGGGCAGAGAGTTAGAGCTGGGAAAATTTGTAACTGATGGCTTACTTCTGCTCTGTTTATGATACCATTTTCTGCCTTTGACTACTGGTTCAATAGTTTTCGTTCTCTTTGTATTTTACTGTGCAGAATTATATATCATTATTTGTTTCCATTCTTGATCCCTTCTTGTTCAAAGACCACTCCTATGTTGGTAAATTTGGAATAAACTGGCAACTTTAGTTTGTAATAGGGCCCGATACTTAGGTAACATGAAGAAAGTAGATGAAAGTTTAGATGATTTTGTTGAGGCAGGTAATGTCTCTAGCATTGAAAGAAGTGATTATATTTACAGATCTATCTATCTATCTATCTATCTATCTATCTATCTATCTATATAATTTATCATCATCATCTATCAGTAAGGAAGAAGGAGAAGGAAGAAGAGGAGGAAGAAAAGGAGGAAGAGGAGAAAAGATTAAACAAGCAAATGAAGGAAATCCTCATAATATTTGAAGTAACAGAACGTTGAGCATCAAAACAGTATGTTACAGAAACAACGGGACACGAAACAGTAATATTCTGAGTTAGGTGAAGAAGAATTAAATTAAAAAAAAATAGGCTGGGCACGGTGGCTCATGCCTGTAAGCCCAGCATTTTGGGAGGCCGAGGTGGGTGGATTATCTGAGGTCAGGAGTTCGAGACCAGCCTGGCCAACATGGTGAAACCCTGTCTCTACTGAAAATACAGCCTGGTAGATAGAGCAAGACTCTGTCTCAAAAATAAATAAATAAATAAAACAAAAAGTAGACTTTTGCCAGGAGTCAAGAGTTGATTTTCATCTTCACATATTAAATACAGTCACATGTTAAATATTGCAAGTACAAGGTATGCAATTTATGAAAGTCAGTAACACTTGACATGTAAAATTCACTAGAAAACCTAAACGTTAGTTAGTTTGTTTTTTCCTGTGGCTAATGGTCATCATTCATATTTCACTTACTGAATGGTGGCATTAAAAATTTACAGATTTTAATTTTCCAGTTTTTCCCCGACACTCACTCCCTGTTAGTAGCCCTGACTATTGTACTTCCTCATGGCTGTTATTAATATGCTTTCCACCAATGGTTCTCAAATGTTTTTTCCACATGGATCAGTAAATTTATGGGAGGGGTACATATTGATAACAAAAGAAGATTTCCAATTTCTTATTGTATCAAGTAATAGTATTACAATAAAACATCACCATAATTTTCAAAAAGAATGTACTGTTTTGCCAAATTTAGAAAAGACATAAGCTTAGAATAACATTCTGAATAAATATATGGAACAAGTTTACAATAAATATTAAAAGCAAGAAGGGAATATGTAAACTTGTTTGAAGTAGAAAAAGCAACATATGTGCAATGTTAGTGTATATATAAAACTTTTATGTCACATCTTAAATATACAGAATATATTCAGTAAATATTAACTTTCTTCCATAACTTTTATTTTTAAAAAGTAATGTTAAAATGTTATAAAATGTTGCAGTACCATTGATGTTAGTGAATCCTTTGTACCCTCACCAAACCCATTCCTCATTTTTGGAATCATTTTACTGAGATTGGGTAAAAATCCTCCCCTTTCATTTACACACACACACACACACACACACACAGAGCACACATTCATAAAAAATAGTGATTTTCTTGAGTGCAAAAAATCTTCACGTAAATGTAATATTTGGAAATCTGTCTGGGGGAAGTTTGCCCAAGGTATTATTTTCTTTGGATTTACCATTATTGATAGATGGAAATTAGGTTCACGTAATTTTCTTACACCTTTACATTATATACCTTTAGACAGTTTACAGCTATATCCTCTTTTTAATAAATATCTGGGGCTTTTACATTGTGTTTACAATGTGCTGTGTTTATACTGCACTGAAATGTTAGGTATGTGTCCTCATCACGAGTATGAATATTTCCATATAGTGTGTATTTAGAGGGGAAATTCCTGGATGGTTGAGTATCCGCATTTTCAACCTCCTTGATAATGCAAAGTTTTCACCAAAGTAGATGTGTCAATTTACATTCCCTAATATAGTGTATGAGAGTTTTCACTTGCCATTATCTTTATAAACTTCTATTATTGCCAGATTTTACACTATTTTTTGTTCATATGATTTTTTTTGGTTTAATTTATATTCATTATGTTATTAAATTGATTATAGTATGAAATTTAATTATGATTATGAAATTTAATTATATTAAAATTGATAGTCAACTCTAAAAGATCATTTAAAAATAGAATTTGGAAATTTGTAAAGAATTATAAATATACTTCAATGTCAAATTTGGCTCTAGTGCTATAATCCCTATAATTGTTATTGGACAATGATAGAAAAATACATGAGTTGTCAAGTTTCACAAAAGCAAAGTTTTAGTTTTTTCTCCAGAATTAGATTGCTTTTATAGAATGCTCTGTAGGAATCACCATTTTAACTACATTTATTGTTCCCATAAATGAGTAAGTTACTTCAATTCACTTTTTAAAAAAATTCAATCCTATATTTTTTAATATAATCCTGTATTTTTAAAATATTTTAATATTTTTAATATTAAAATAAAATTTAAATATTTTAATATTAAAAATATTAAAGTTTTAATATTAAATATTAAGTTTTAATATTATTAGTATTAAATATTTATTATATTACATATTATATAATTATTAATAATATTAGTTAATATTAATAATAAAATATTGTTTTAATATTAAAATAAAATGAAAAATTTGAAATATTTTTAATATTTTAAATATTTAATATTAATCCTATATTTTTAACTCAATCCTATAAAGTCATAACTGTTTTTCTATCTTCATGTATTTTTAAGTTTTATTCCCAGGCATCTTATGTACTTTATTGATACATGAATGCAATTTATTTAAAAAGTATTTTAATTAATTGTTGCTAATGAATTGAGACAATTATTTTTATAGAACAAGTAGTCCTAAATTTCTTTTATTAGTTTCAATTATTATTTGTAGATCTAAAGAAAAGGAATATTTATAAAGCCTTCAAATGACAATTTGTTTCTTCCTTTCTGGTCTCAGGGACAGTTTTGTGGTAGAACAGGGGAAATTTTGTAGATATTCTAACTTATTTACTTGGCATTGCTTCTGACAGCCTCTTTTTTTCTTTCTTTAAGCAAATTTCTTCCTTTTAAATTATATATTTCACAGTTCTTTCAATAACAATTACTTGTCTATTGGAAGAAAAATGTCTGAGTAGTTGTTTACCTGAATATTACCTTTAATTTGACCTACCTCATGAAAGAGAATTAGTGAGCAGATGATGGAGAATCCTCAGTAATTAGCCATTCTTTCGAAATGACTTGGTAGTATTCCTCTGGCATTTACTTGGCTGTTTGCTGGTGAGACCTATGCTTAACTTGCTTTTAATACTGCTGTTTGTTTAACTTTTGAAGCCTGTCCACCTTGTCTTTTTGTTTACGTATAAGATTTTTTTTCTTTGTTTTCCAATCTTACGTCTTTTCTCTGAGAGTTCCTTTTATTTATCCAGTTTAGGCATTTGGTGTATTTCCTGAACTTGATGATCATGCCGTTTATCAAGTTTGAAAAAAATTTACCCTTTTTTTCTCTTTGAATTTTGTCTCTCTCTACTTAATTTCCAGACTTCCCATTAAATATATGTCAGAGCTTCTCATTCTGTTCCCCATTTCTCTTGTATTTCATTCATTTTTTTATATCTTTATTTCTTTATGCTATCTTCTGAGTAATTTTTTTGTTCTCATATTTAGTGTTCACTTTACATCCTCATTAGCATTAACAGAATTATAACTTAACCCTATTGGTTCAATTTATTTCCTTGTATTTCTATCTTGTATTAGTAACTTCAGGAACACAACATGGAAATAGTAAAAATTCCCTTTGCATGCCACACTCTTGTTACTGAAATATGGTTGGTTTGCTTTTTTTTTTTTAACTTTAATTTTGATGTCGCAAACTCATACAAACCTAAAATCTGAACATGAAGTAGGACCATGGAAATATTCTGTTAGAACCACAGCAGGCATGCCAGCCACGTGATCTCCTGCTTATCACTCCTCTGGCGTCACCTTACTCTTATTTTTTCCTCATACCTCTTAATTCCTTTGTTTCACTGTCTCTGAGGTTCTTTCAGTGAACAAAGCTATTTATTTTAATTGTGAGATAGCAAAATATATTGAGCTTTATTTTTGTTGCAAATAATTTTTTGTATCGCAGTTATGAATTGTTTTAGTTTGTTTTTCTGATTAGACTCTCATGCCCCGGGAGTTTAGGAGAGATTTTCAATGTAATATTTCTGTCTTTGTTTTTGTTACTGTTGAGATGAAGTCTCGCTCTGTCACCCAGGCTGGAGTACAGTGGCGTGATCTTGGCTCACCACAACTTCCTCCTTTTAGGTTCAAGCAATTCTCCTGCTTCAGCCTTCTGAGTAGCTGGGATTACAGGTGCCCACCACCATGCTGGGATAAATTTTTGTATGTTTTACTGGAGACAGGGTTTCACCATGTTGGCCAGGCTGGTCTCAAACTCATGACCCCAGATATTCTGCCATCCTCAGCCTCTCAAAGTGCTGGAATTACAGGCATGAGCCACCGTGCCTGGCCTCAATGTAATGTTTCTTTCCCCCACTAGCAATTAAATAGTATATCCCTTTCCCAAAGCCAGATATACAGATATATAAATACACACTCCCCATTTATAACTTTACTTCTGTGGGATTCACTTTCCTAAATTCTACTTTCCTTTTGCTACTCATCATTTAGAATTGTGAAAAGTCAACTACTTTTCTCTCTCGTTTTACCTTCACTGTGCCTTTAGGAAAAATATGAAAATATCCCATGAGGGGAAAGAAAATCCTTACCTCAAGTTTCCTCATTTAACTTCAGGCTAAAGTCTCTGCTTGTAGCAAGTGACATTGCAGTTTATACCAGGATTAAATACTTGCCAACTCGATCAAGTATCTATATTGTTCTACAATGTGGAATTATATCCAGATAGATATAATGCTAAAATTTTTCTAAATCTTGGGTTTCTCAGGGCAGGTTTTATATAATTCATACTGAGTATTCTTATGTCAGATAAAGGTAAGTATGTAGTGGCCTCTGTCAGATATCCCAACATTTTTAATAAAATGAGATTTATAACAATGAGTATAAATATATTTGCATTATGTTTTAAAGATTTTAGAAGCATAAGAACTTTTATCTGTCAGAGAAACTCTAAAAAAGAAATCATGGTGTTCCAAGAAAATAACCTACTTTCCGTTATCAGATTTTTTATTGTTAAACATAATTGGTTGTCTCATATCCTGATTTTAGAAAATATATATTTTTACTAACATTAAATGTACTCTGGGGAAGGGTTAGAGTATAAATCATCAAGATGTAGGACACTTAAAATTATAGAATTTTCTATTCTTATCTAGAAGCATGCCTTTAACTGAGTTGAATTTAAATGTGCACACACACACACACACACAATCTTAAATCAGTTTTATTTTTAGTCTGTGGGATAGACATGCAACGAGGTTGTGTTTGGACTAGAATCCCAGAATTTGCATTGAAAAACAACATGTTTTGCACCTGCATGCTCCCCTAGAGTAATTTAATGTTACAATTTCTGACAAGATAATTCCATCTTCACTGTAGTTGACTTTGCAATAAGCCGTAGAGAGAAAATAAATGTGAATGTACATTGGGGTAGGAAAAATATATTTAACAAAACAGAACTTAGCACATAAGCTACAAAACTAAAAATTGGAAAATAATGACAAAAGGAGATACAGAATCCAAATCATAATTTTGTCTTTCTCTCCCTTCGAAAGACCTGCACTGTGTGCGTGCAGCTGTGTGTGCACAGTATGTCTGCATCGTGCACCCATTACTTAACACTCTGCACAAAAAGTGACTTTGCTGTTGGAGGAATATTCTGCAGCGGCACACCAGCATTTTAGGACAAAAACAAGGATGGCACAATCTTTTCTGGGAGCATTTAGGAACAGAGAAAAAAAAAATTTCTCGCTTCAAGCAAGCTGAGAGATAAAGGTTAAACTTTAGCTGTTGAAGTCCTGGAGGTAGATTTATAGGCAGGCACATGGACTCACACTTCTACCCATATTCCTGTTCACCATTTGGGATCCATTTTATTTTTCTCTTATGTATTTTTACAAAAATTTCAGTGGAATCCCCAGTCCATGTAGGAAAGTGTCCGTCTGAAATCCTTCTCAAAATTGAACTCACATTTGGTTTCCCAACAGGAGATGAGGTTAGGTAACCTAAATGAGCAGTAGAAAGATTTCTCTGTGGCTGTGGACTAACTGTTATTTTTCACTTTTAGAGAGCAAAGTATGACTTGTCACATCTTGCTACTCTGCTTTGTGATTTTTCTTTAATTAACCCGTTTCTGAGGCAATGGTCATAAGTGGACAATTTGCAAATAATTTTGAAATATTATTTAAGTATTTTATAGTATACTAAGCCTTACAGTTCTGAAAAGGAGACAAGTCAATTAAATAAGATTAGCTAGGTGAGAAAAATACTATGCTCAAATACTCAAACAATATTCCATCCTCAATATTCTTTTTTCAAAGGTGTGCCAAAAAGCTGTGATTAAACTGGGTCAAATTCAGTGTTGTTTGAAGACTCATGAGTGTACAGAATAGAAATTAATCTAATAACCTATGTTCAACCCCAGAGGAAAAAAGTTATCAAAGACTAAACAGTCTGAATACAAATTCAAAATTATATGACCCACACTCCACCCTTCAAAGGACAGACAATTTGTTGAGAAATGGAAACATTTTATGGGTTTATATTTCAGTATATAACTCTTCTTAGAATCACAGAATCAGAAGCTTTGATAAGATTCTTGTCATTATTTTATCCAACTCAATCAAAGTTAGAGTAGCTGTTGCATCCTTACTCCCTGAGACAATAGTTCTCATTATAGGGCATTTCTAATTATTAGAATACTTACATTTTGAGAGCCAAGAGTCATGAGAAACAATAAACGGGTTTGACAGACTAAATTCTAACAACAAATAAAGAAAAAAAATTAGAAATTTTTGCAAAAACAAAGGTGTGGTCAGTAGAAAAATGTCCCCCTCCTCTGACAACCCCCGCCATGCCCTCAGGATTCTGTCCAGATCCCCACAACCTGCGAATACTTTATGCTACATAGCAAATGAGACTTGAGATTGCTAATCAGCTAACCTTATCAAGAAGAGTATCTTAGCTTAGATTTTCTGGGTGGACCCAATGTGAAACAAGGGCTTTAAAAGTGGGAGAGAAGGCAAGGGAAACAGAATGGGAGGTATGAGGACAGGAGCAATACCAGAGAGATGAAGTGTGCGAGATACTGAATCAGCATTGCTGATTTTGTGGGTGGAAAAATGGGCCATCAGCCAGCCATTGTGGCAGCCTGTGGAAGTTGGTAAATGCAAGAAAAAAAATTGTCCCTGAGAGCTTCCAGGAAGAAGCACAGCTCTACCAATACCTTGATTTCAGCCCAGTGACACCAATGTCCACCATCTGAGTCCCCAGAACTGTAAAATATTAAATTTGTGCTGCGTTTTTATCAGTTTTGTAAGTTTGTATGCAAATATAGCCTATTCTTCAAGATGATGTACATCACTAGTAAATGAGATTTGCTTGATGTATCCATATCCATATCTATTACGTTAAACTAATGTCAAACCACTCTGGAGCAGCCTTCATATTACAGGCCAAAGAGCCTGTCACTAGCAGGGCAAATGGTAATAGGAAACCAACTTACGTGGGCTTAACATGGCATTCGTGTGTTTTTTCTTTTGAAGTACTTCATACTATGTTAGGGATAACAGTAATGTTCTTCATTTTTCGTCTTGCATGAAACATCAATGCCTTTCAAGAACTGCTTTATTTTGATGGAATTAGAAAGGTACTATGATTTGACTTTAATTTTTTCTAATTATTGACTACCTTAGTAGCTTTTAGCCAGGAAATTTCCGGTAATTTGTTATAGCAACAATAAACTAATACAAACGAATTCTAAAACAAATCATGGTACAATATGATGCGTAGGACAATGATTAATAGAAATAAAGGGAGAAAATTTTATCTGTCTCCCGTGACAGTGTTGTTCCTCTCGGGATGGGTCAAGATTCATGATTTGAACTTATAGATATTAAAAATAAGTCCAGTACTCTCCATGGTCTAGAATTGGACCTGGCCAACGTGGTCTCTAAAATGTAAATGAGTCCAGGCTTGGTTATAGTGCAAGGGACAAAGATATCGTCACAGCCTAGCAAGGGAGTTAACGTGGGAGATGGAAGACACGGTGGGTACAGCAATAGCCCTCTGAAAGATGGGAATTCAGACACACACTATGGAAATGATGGCCTGGAAATAGAGGATCATGTGCACTGCTTAAAGAAATCCCACAAATGGTGAAGTAACATAAACATTACCTCTGGCAGAAAGGGTTTGAATGAAGTAAATAGCTGTGGAAACTATTAGAAGACTGAAAAAGGAGCTGAAGGACTTGCCGCTGCATGATGGAACACGGGGAAGGAGACAGCTGACTGCTGCTTTTCTGCACATGCTTTCCCATCGGATTTGATATAGAAAAAAGTTTATGCATTCATTTTATTAAAATTCAATATTTGTTTATAAATAAAATTCTGATTTATGCTTTTTGACAGTATTTTTTCGAACCAGAAAGTGAATAAGGATGAATTTGAGTCTCTCTGATAGCACTTACTATTAGTTTTAGCTTACATAAAGTATTATTTATTTTCCAAAAATGGGGACAAATAGGACTGACATAAATCACAGATATTTATATATCAAGCTATTATTCCGCATTGTGGCCAAACAATTGATGAAGGCGAAAGTCAAATCACAACACTTCTCTAATTCCATCAAAATAAAGCTGCATTTGAAAGGTATAGATGTTTCATGTAATAGGAAAAATGAAGAACATTACTGTGATCCATGATCTAGTATGAAGTACTCCAAAGGAAAGACCACATGAATGCCATGTGAAGCCCACATACGTTAATGCCCTGTTGCCATTTGCCTTGCTAGTGACAGGCCCTTTGGTGTATGATCAGTAATATGGAGGCTGCTCCAAGGGGTTTGTCATCAGTTTAACATGATACATATAGATATAGTTATAGATATATCATGCAAATCTGATTTACCTAGTAATGTAGATAATCTTGAAGGATAGTCTAAATTTGCACATAAAGTTAGAGAAATGGAAAAAAATCATATAACTTCAACTTTCCTTGGAGAGTAATAGGCCCTTGTAAATATTGATGACTGGACAAAGTACTGATGCTAATGAATTCAACACACTATTCTATACTGTGGCAATATAAAAGTGAATTTTGAACAATCTTTCATTAGGATATGCAATCTATGTCTCATGTTCTTGACTCTGGGTAGGCGTGTGACTGCTTTGATTAATTGAGAGTGACAGAAACGGTGCTCTGTGATTATGAGGATAACTGATAAAATACCCTACATCTTCTTCCTGTAACTCTGGGAGTTTTCTCTGGAAGGATCCCGTTCACATGAAGCAAGTGCAGCAACTCTGACATTGCTGCTGTGGTTGTGAGTCCATAAGAACCTCTTCTGTTTCACGCACTCCTGGCTGAGCTCCAGCCTGCCAGGCAGCATCATTTGGATACCAGATCAACAAGCCATTGTGGTTCAGCCCAGTTTAGCTTTCAGATAATTGTAGCCCCAGCCAATATCTAACTACAATTATGTGAGAGATCTTAAGCAGAATTTTCCAGCTGAGCCTTTCATCACTGACGAAAATTTATCACTGAAAAAATTATGGATGAAGAAAGATGGCTATGTTGAGCTTGCTGTGTATAATTGGTGAAACAGTATTAATACCTAGAATATGAATGTACTCAGGAGTTTATTTATTTGTATGTGTTGATATGGATGAGGGAAGCAGAAGAACTCCAGGCAACCACACAACTTCACATTTTATTCCTTATTTATAGTATCACTTTTAAAAAAGTACCATAGGTCTTCATTTTCCTCATTTCCATATCTTCAAACAGGAGTTCATAATAATAAGCAACTCTCCAGATTTTTATAATAATGAAATAGGATAGAACAAAATAAAACTCTTGGCCTTAGCAAAAGTCTAACACAGCCAGCCTCTATGAGAAGTTAATCAGGGCTCATGAAACTTGCAATTCTGTACCACGTGCTCACCAGATGCACAGAAGCTTCAGTGTTCTGCATTCAGAGAGGTGGAGAGAGGGAAGGCATTTTCCTTGACATCCCTTCTGATTCTGAGGGCTTGTGATTTTGCATTTTATTATGGTTATATGTCTTTGATTCTGCACTTGAAATCCTTGGAATAAGAAAGACATGAAAAATTCAAGGTTACGTATTATTTTCTTCCTTTCATTAATACAGTTATTGAAAATGATTATACATTAAGAACAACTTTCTTCTTTACCAAATAAGACAAAGTATCTCATTTAATAGATATGGGCAGTGCTTTTTATAAACATTTACTGTGAGATTTTTCAACATAGATGAACAGTTAATGGTACTTTTTCCTGTGCAATAAAGAGTAATTATTCACTGCAACATGGTCCTCTGACATTTTCATTCAGAAAAAAATAGGTAGGAAATTAGAATAGAAAAACTAAATTATAGTTATGAAATCACCTGGTAACAAAAACAAAGGGAAAATTCCAAGGAAAAAATAATTGTCATTTATTGAAAGAAATATTTTAATTTTAACCACTTTTTTCATTGATACTTAAGAAAGCATCCATCTCAATTTGTTCTAAGATAGGTTTTGTGTGTGAGTTTTTTTTTAAGTTAGTAGAAAATAGGTCAACTGTCAGTTCTTCTACGACTGTGTTTATAACGACACACAGGAAAAGATTTTCTCTTTGCTTCCCCTATGATAAGATATAAAGTAAACCATGCATATAAAGTACAGAAGTTACCCTCTAAAGAGCTTAAAGTATTAGCAAAACAGATTGTTTTTCCCAGTGGCATGTTTCAACAAGCCAGGTACTTGCAAAATGTTAGCGTAAAGAACAGGAATTCACTTATATGTGCATTTGTGATGCCAAATACAAGCTTTTAAAATGTCTTGTAGATGACTCTTTATTAGTCAGAAGCACTCACTGGGACAGTAACGCAATGCACCCTCTCTCAGAGCCAGATGGTTTAAGCTCCTCTTGGAAAATGAAAGGGAGTGAAGGGAAAGTCACAGTGGGCAGAGCTTGATAAAACATAAACAACCTCATAAAGAAGCATAAACCTCTTCGAAAAAGTAATTGGGGCAATGCAACGAAGAAAATGTCAACCTGGTGTGATTTTTATGATGCAAAAAATAGGATTCTTTAATCATCATAATATTATAACATGCAATCAACTGGCAATGACCTGATATTTTGGAAGGTTAAGCATCTATTTGGACAACGATTCACTCATCTGGTTTAAAATTTGATGATCTGTTTTGTTAAGAATTAAATAAGTAGCTGAATTGATATAGGCCTAGTTAGAAATGTATCTAAATTAGATTAGCACCTGGCATATTCAAAGTGGTTAAATCATTAGACCAAGTCCCTAGAGAAAGCGGACTCATCTTTCCAAATCCAATTCAGATGCCAGCTCCTCTGGGAAGCTTTCCTCCCCTCTACAAACAAAACACTTTCAGCAATTCCATTGTGGCAATTAAATGCATGATACCTCTTATTTAATAATTATAACTTGCTTTCTCTATCTCAGAAGTACTTTCTTGTATAATCTCACTAACCCTACAGAATTCTATTTCTCAGAGTTTTTATTTTCTAATAGATTTCCCAGCCTTTCTGTAGCATGACCTCTCTCCCACAGCTTATTTCTTCTACTTTGAATATTCTCCAGCAAATATTATGTTAAGCTTATTTTGCCAGTAGTTCATAACATGAAAGAGTCAATGTATTTAAATAACTGGTAAAAGTACACACACTCTTTCTTCCTTACATATTGTGACACTGCAGCAAGAGAGAGCAGGGGAGAGCAGCTGAAGGAGTCAGATGGGTAGACAGCACACACAGCATGGTGGCTGCAGTGTGGAGGGACTGAGTGACCAGAGGGCCACAAGAAAAGGGAGGTAGAGGACAGGCAGGTAGGTAGATCAACAGATAGAAAATAATAATTCACAATTCATTCATAATTCATAACTAAATCATGGATCAGCCTACACATAGTCTGGAAGAAATATTCTTCATACAGACCATGGCCAAACTGAGTAAATTATGTTTTCTAAAGGATAATTGTCAACTTTGCTAACTATAACTCCCACATCATTAATGTAAAAATGAGAACATGAGGAAATTTTAAAACAATGAAACAAAAACTGCATAAAATAAGATCAGAGAAGTAACACCAAACATATTGCTCATGACAACACGTGTCAGAGGGCTAATCTGAGAATAGGTCAAATTAGCTACTTTTAAAGAACATTCAAATAGTAAAAACAAAATAACAGTGTCAGGTAAAAAATGAAACATTGATAATAGATGTAATAGACAATTACAAAGAATATTACCATAGATATGAACATATTTTAAGCATAAATATACTGATGCTTTAACCAGATAAAATAACAAATGAGACAAAATAGTTATGAAAATATACAAACAGAGTGATCTAATTAAATGGATAGAGAGAAAGAGACAGAAGACAGTGAAGGAAATTTAACATTTTTTTTTAGGATTTCTTGCTTTGTTCAAACTCCAGTTCTTTATTTAATCCCTGCATGACTTGGATGAGTTATTAAAATTCTTTTTGTCTAATTTTTCTTCTATCAGACTTGAAAATAACTTCTACTTTATAATTATAAATATTTTAAGGAATAAATGTGATAACTCATAAATTCTGAGTTAGTAAAATCATAGCGCATATTGTTTAATAAATGCTAGCTAGTCATAACTATATATATATATATAGAGAGAGAGAGAGAGAGAGAGAGAGAGCCATAAACGTGTTTGTGTGTGTGTATATATAGGCACTGTTAATGCCCAAGTCATTAACAATGTTTATCTCTTGATATGGGGATTTGGTTAAAGTTTTCAAAATTATTTGTGTAAATTTTGAGAAAAAGTTTAAAAAACAAAGATGTATTTTTTATTTCTAATTTTTGCCATATAGGGATTATGGAGGAAACCATTAAAAATGACATATGTATAGAAAATTATCGAGAAAGTCAATTAATTTTGTTCCATGTTAAAAACAAAGCAAAAAAAAGATAAGATTAGGCAGACTTCTATAGAACTTTGTACCTTATATGAATTGTCATGCTTTAAGCCCCAGTAAAATTTCCCACAGAACAGAAATCTTTTTTTTTTTTTTTTTTTTGCCTAGCACTTAGGATAGGAGTTCATAACGGATGTGTCTGGGACTTCACTGCTGTTTCCTGTTACATTTCAGAACTAATCATCCTTTCCATATATCTTAAGTTGAAAAGTCTGCAAAGGAAGCACACATTTTTTTCCATTAACTTTTTCCTTAAGAGTTTCTGAAGCTCTATATGTGTTCAGCATGCTTGCCTCTGCTTTCAGTACTTCAGGCCAGCTGCCACTAGGACAAATGAAGTGCATTCTTTGGAAGCAGTAGAGACCAAATGTAGCTTTCATTGCCAAATACAGTAGAGCATTTTATATGGAGCTTGCAGTGAAAATGCTCTTGTTAATGCATACATTGTAATTCTATCAATCAGCTGAAGTATATATGTGGTGTTTTACGTATGATTTCAAGAGAAAATTGCAGCAATAATTAATGATGCTATTTTTAGCTCTAAATTTTGTATACAAAACAGTCATCATGAATTTGTATGTAGGTTAAAATACAGAATTAGGTTGTTATATATAGGGTGGTATATATAAGGAATTGTCAAAAATATTTATGAAGATTTAAATAATAATATAAGCAAGAATAATAGATATTATACTGTTAAAAGAGCTGGATGATAGATTTATACACAACTACATTACTAATTGCATTAAACATAAATAAATCTAAGAGTTAAAGACCAAGATTGTCATACTAGAATTTTAAAAATTTAACTGTCAATTTGCATACAAAACCCACTCCAAATACAAGGAATCCAGTCATATATGTTGAAAATGAAGAGAAGGTCGAGACATATGCCATAAACATTCTCTCCCAAAGTAGACCTCAGGGCAACTCATTACCATAATTGAAGAGAGATATTTCATAATGATTAATTATCAATTTAATAAGAGAAAGATATGCTAATCCTAAACGTTGGTATGTTTAAAACTATAACATAACTTTAACATACAAATCAAATATTACGTACTCAAGAAATAGACACATTTGCTACCATAATAACTGACAAAATGAGAAGAAAAAATTTGTAAGAATGTAGAAGATTTGAATGTTTTGAGCAACATGCCTTAACATGCTTTAACAACTTGACTTTATTGTTAAAAAAAAAATAGGGAAAATAGTACCTCCAGAACAAATACACACTTTTTTCAATGCACATGAAAAATTTAACAATGTTATGTTCTGGGAAAGAAAGCAAGCTTTCATTAATTTAAAACATTTAAAATCATAAAATGTATATTTCTGACCTCTATGGAAATTAATGTCCAAAAATAGCAAGCAAAATTTTCTAACTGTATGCAAAATTATATATATATGTATATATATTCCTTGGCTGGCTGTAGTGGCTCATGCCTGTAATCTCAGAACTTTGGGAGGCCAAGACAAGATGATTGCTTGCATCCAGGAGTTCAAGACCAGCCTGTGAAACATAGTGAGATCTCATCTTTACAAAGAATTAAAAATTAGCCAGGCTTGTTGGTGGATGCCTGTAGTCCCAGCTACCCAGGAGGCTGAGGCAGGAGGATGGCTTGAGTGTCAGAGGTTGAGGCTGCAGTGAGCTGTGATCACACTACTACACTGCAGCCTGGGCAACAGAGTGGGACATTGTCTCAAAAAACACAAAATGATAATAATAATACATACATACATACACTTCTCAATAACCCTTATGTCAGTTAGAGTGTCACAGTTGACAGATGCTATCTCAGCTGAATAAAAATGAAAATAAGACATATCAAAATTCATGCAATTCATTTAGGCAGCCCTTAAAGAAATGAATAATTGTTTCAAGGGCATGTGTTAGATAAAAGAAGATAAAAAACAATAATTCAGATTCCATCTAAAGAAGCTAATAAAGGAACAGCAAATTGAACTCTAAGAACAAAGAAACAAATAAAAATAGAAACTCAAGTAATAATTCAAAAACAATAAAATAAAATAAATAGAAAAGAGACAGATAATGGACAATATTCTAACAATAAAATAGTTTTGTTCTTTGAAAGCTGAATCATATTGAGAATCCCCTAGCAATTCCAAAAGGAATAAGAGAAAAAATTCAAATTAGCAATATCAGCAAAGATTAGAAAATCTCTGCAAATACTAAAGATGTTAAAAAGACAATAATACTATCAACAACTTTATACAAATTTTAGACAAACCTAAAAAATTTCTTGAAGAACACAGTTTCCTACAGTTGATAAGTGATGAATGAGAAAATCTTAAATTGAATAAGTAACAGAAAAATATTCTCACAAAAAGGAATCCAGTCCTAGTGACTTCTTTGGTGAATTTTCACAAATATATAAGAAAGAAATAAGAAAAATCTTACATAAATTCTGTCATAGAATAGAAATACTAAGGCAAGCCCAGAAATATGCACAAATATTATGTCAATTAAAAATAAAAGTAATAATAATAAAGAAATGATGAAGAAATATTTCCCAATTCATTTATAAGGACATATTAATTCTAAAACCTGACAAGAACATCATAATACAGGAAAGTTATGGACTAGTATCTCTTATAATTTAGATGAAAAAATCTAAAAACCTATATATTGAATTAAGAAATATACAAAAAGTAAAATATATTATGATAATTTAGGGTTATACCCCAGAAATGCAAGATTACAAGATTGTTGCAACATATAAAAACTATAAACAAAAGAAAAACAGGCCGAGCACGGTGGCTCACATCTGTAATCCCAACACTTTGGGAGGCAGAGAAGGGTGGATCACAAGGTCAGGAGATGGAGATCATCTTGGCTAACCCAGTGAAACCCCATCTCTATTAAAAGCAATGGCAACAAAAGCCAAAATTGACAAATGGGATCTAATTAAACTGAAGAGTTTCTGCACAGCAAAAGAAACTACCATCAGAGTGAACAGGCAGCCTACAGAATGGGAGAAAAATTTTGCAATCTACTCATCTGACAAAGGGCTAATATCCAGAATCTACAAAAAACTGAAACAAACTTACAAGAAAAAAAAAAACCATCAGAAAGTGGGCAAAGGATATGAACAAACACGTCTCAAAAGAAGACATCTATGCAGCCAACAGACACCTGAAAAAATGTTCATCATCACTGGCTATCGGAGAAATACAAATCAAAACCACAATGAGATACCATCTCATACCAGTTAGAGTGGTGATCATTAAAAAGTAAGGAAACAACAGCTGCTGGAGAGGATGTGGAGAAATAGGAACACTTTTACAATGTTGGTGGGATTGTAAACTAGTTCAACCATTGTGGAAGACAGTGTGGCGATTCCTCAAGGATCTAGAACTAGAAATACCATTTGACCCAGCCATCCCATTACTGGGTATGTATACCCAAAGGATTATAAATCATGCTGCTATAAAGACACATGCATGCGTATGTTTATTGCAGCACTACTCACAATAGCAAAGACTTGAAACCAACCCAAATGTCCATCAATGATAGACTGGATTAAGAAAATGTGGCACATATACACCATGGAATACTATGCAGCCATAAAAAAAGGATGAGTTCATGTCCTTTGTAGGGACATAGATGAAGGTGGAAACCATCATTCTCAGCAAACTATGGCAAGGACAAAAAACCAAACACCGCATGTTCTCACTCATAGGTGGGAGTTGAACAATGGGAACACTTGGACACAGGAAGGGGAACATCACACACTGGGGCCTGTGGTGGGGTAGGGGGAGAGGGAGAGATAGCATTAGGAGTTATACCTAATGTAAATGATGAGTTAATGGGTGCAGCACACCAACATGACTCATGTATACATATGTAACAAACCTGCACATTGTGCACATGTACCCTAGAACTTAAAGTATAATAAAAAAAAAATACAAAAAATTAGCTGGGCATGGTGGCAGGCGCCCATAGTCCCAGATACTCGGGAGGCTGAGGCAGGAGAATCCCTTGAACCCGGGAGGCAGAAGTTAGCAGTGAGCCAGCCAAGATCACACCATTGCACTCCAGCTTGGGCCACAGAGCAAGACTGTCTCAAAAAAAAAGGAAAAAAAGAAAAGAAAAAGAAAAACATATTTGACTCAATAAGTGCAGAAAAATATCATACAATAACATTTCTCAAGTAAACACTTTAAAAACTCTCCACAAGCTATGAATACAAGAACACTCTCTAAATATGATAAATGTCATTTACACAGAAGTTTCTAGAGATAAAATTATACCAAATAGCAAAGTAGTGAATATGTTCCCCCTGAATAAGAAAAGATGTCCACTATCATCTATATCTATACATTGTCTCGGAGGTTCTAGCCGATTCAGTAAGGCAAGAAAACAGTATAAAATTAGAGTGTAAATAATGCAGATATTTTTTACAGATGATAATATTGCGTATGTAGAAAATCAAAAACAATGCACAAAACTTCAAACTAGTACACATAGTAAGTGATTTTGCAAGTTTGCTGAATACAGATTCAATATACTAAAATAAATTGTATTCCTATATGTTAGCAGCAAACAACTGAAAATGATGTATTTTAAAATACTATTTACAGTAGTATAAAAATGCAGCTACTTAGGAATAAATCTAATTAAGAATTTATAATACCTCCACACTGAAAACTACAAAACATCAGTTAGAGAAATAAAAAACCTAAATAAATGAAGGCATGCATTTATGTTCACAGAATAAAAACTCAGTACTAAAATGCAATTTATACTCAAACTGGTCTATTGATTCAGTACAACTCCCAAAAAAATCTCAGCAGGTATATTTTTGTAAACTGATGACCTGATTCTCAAATATATATGAAAATGCAATGACCTACTGTAGGTAAAGCAATATCACAGAAGATAAAAAGCCCTAAAGACCTTATCTCCCACATATCACCACTTGCTGTAAAGCTTAAGTAGTTTTTTGATATTGATGCAAAAAAAAAAAAAAGAGAGGTCAGAAGAATAGAATAAAGAATTCAGAAATAAACTCACAAATGTTTGATGACCTGATTTAAGACAACAACTTTGCTGCATTTCAGTAAGAGGATAGCCTTTTCAATAAATGGTGCTGGGTCAATTGAATACCTATATGAAAGGAAAACAATTACCTTAATTTTAAGCATGCAAATAATTAATTTGAGATAAATCACATACCTGAAACAATCAAGCTTGAAAAACAAATTGGAAAATGCTCCCAAGAAATCAGAGAGGCTATGATTTTTAACAGAATATAAAACAATTGCAAAAGCTATAAATTGCACAGAATTAAAAATCAGTCTTTTGTTCAGGAAATAAGAAAGAACGAAAGAAAATCTATAAGCCATAGACTGAAAGAAGATATGCATAATGAATACCTGACAAAAGAACTCACAGCTAGGCTACACGAAGGAATCCTACAAATGGTTTTTTAGTTACACATAACCGAATTAAAAAAAAAAACAACAACAAGAAACGACTTGAATAGACACTTCACAAAGTGAGTTTAAAAATGTTGAATAAATGCAAAGATGCTCACTGTCACTAGTTCTTAGAGAAATGCAAATTAAACACGGTGAAATACCATGACCCACCAACTAGAATAACTAAATGTAAAAACACTTACCATAGCAAGTGCCGGTGTGGATATAGAGCTACTTGTACTCTCTTACACTGATGATGGAAGATTTTAGTTGGAAACTATCTTGCAGTACCCAGTATAGCTAAACATAAGTATACCCTATCACCTTGCAACTCAGCTTCTTGGTATGTAATGAGGTTTATGTCCACCAAAAGACATGTTCATAGAATCTTTATTTTTTATAGCGCCGAACTGGAAACAATCCAAACATCCATCAACTGTAGAATGAGTATATAAATTATAATATGTTCATTCAATAAAATTCAATAAACAAAGTTTTAAAAGTTGAAACCTGTAGCAGCTCTCTGCTTAAGTACTACAGATTGCATATCCCTTATCTGAAATGCTTAGCACCAGAAGTGTTTCAAAATTTTTAGTTTTTTCAGATTTTAGAATATTTACATTATACTTACTGGTTGAGCATCCCAAATCTGAACATCTAAAACCTGAAATGCTCCAAAGAGCATTTCCTTTGAACAAGTTTGAAGAAATACTCATTAGAGCATTTCAGATTTTTGACTTTTAGGTTTGGGATGCTCAACCTGTATATCAATATACCTGTATCTCTATCTATGTATCCATTTGTCTCTCTACCATATTTATCTATATGTGTATACAGATGTTCCTCAACTTATAAGAAATTTACATCCTGATCAGCTCCATTGTAAGTTGAAAATATCCTAAGTCAAAAATGCATATAATACTCCTAACCTACCAAACATCATAGCTTAGCCTAGCCTAGCTTAAAAGTGCTCAGAACACTTACATTAGCCTACAGTTGAAAAAACTATCTAACACAATGCCTATTTTGCAATCAAGTGTTGAATTTATTGTGTACTGCATCTCAATGGCCCAGGAAAAGATCAAAATTTAGAATCTGGAGTACAGCAAAATTACAATGGTTGCACCATCATAAAGTTGAAAAGGTCTAAGTTTAACCATTGTAAATAAGGCACCTTCTGTATATAAGTATACAGATGTGTGTATAAATGTCTATGTATCTATATGTGCTTATTTATTTGAGATTATTATTTTTAAAATGAGCTTCTAAAAATATTAAGGAGAGAATATCCCTTTAGATAATATACTAGTCTTATAACGTGAAAGAGCACTGGATTTAGGATTTCGAACTATTACAAACTATTTGTGGTTAATTTGGAAATTCACTACACAATCACCAACAGTTACTTTGAAAAAAATAACTGACATTTGACAGAAACTTGAGGTTGAGACAAAGAAAATAAAGACTTACAGAATTATGCATTTGTTTTCTTCACTCGATCTTCATTATTGATATTAATTAGTGAATCAAACTCTTGTCAGAAAATAAAAACTAATTATTAGATCTAAATAATCTCTTTTCCTACGGAGAGTAACAGTTTTAGAGAAGTGATTTAGTACAAATACAAACTTTTTACAGTATTTCTCTCAGTGAAAATATTCCAAAGCTACTAGTAATTAAAGCATATGTCATAGGAAAAGTGAATGTTAAAACCTAATTAAAATGTTTGTGCCGAACATAACTATCTCTCGTAGAGCATTTCTGTGCAATGCAGATATTTCCTTGACATGCTTTCTTTATGATCAAGAGGATGTGTAATTAAAGTGAAAAAACACTGTGGTCTTCCTCACTAATTTTAATGATTGTTCCCAAGTGAGCAGGCTAAATGAGTGACACTATTTGTAGACAGGGTAAATAGATTATGGATTTGCAATCGTATAACTGGCAGTGCTATTTGGGAGGTGTAGCCAGATCTTCATTTATTTGTGATAAGTCAGAGAACACTAAGATTCTTTGATAAAATTATCTTAATTCTTATCTCCTAACCTCTCATTTGACAAACAAGGAAATGAATCCAGAAATGTGAAACATATTTCATAAGGTACCCTATTTTCCAGTATGGTGGATTATAGAGACCAAAAATTGTGAGTCTTTTCAAATAGTAATGGTAGACAACACAAGACCCACCTCTCTCTCTCTCGCTAGCACACCCCAGAACCAGTCAGCTATCCCTTCTGAAGGAATTCTAAAAAGTCATTTGCTAAAAATACAAAGAATTTTAGTTAGGGGGAAAAGATCTTTAATAATTTTATTACACTATTGGTCTTGCTGGCTATGTTGCTAATCAAGGTAGCTCTATCTCTTCAGGTTGAAATTTTAAACAAGGTTGTAGAGGAATTGTTTCTGAATTGCAATTCACAGGCAATTTCTCCATTCTACAAATGTAGCAATTGTGCCACTGTCTTGGTTAGAATAGGATGCACAAAGAGAAGAGCCCTGTAAGAACAAGAACTCTTAAGCGCAACTTCGCAGCAATAGAGATGCAGGATTACCAATCCATGCTTGTATCTAACCATGGATACCTTACCTATGGAGGCTGTCTTACATGCAAAGACCATGGGAATTTCTACCCACAAATCAAATAAATGATAAAGTTAGAGGTGGGATACTGTTATGAAGACACACTTTGTTGTACTTATAGTTATTTATATCATCTACTGAATGACTGCTTTATGTAACATCAGGAATAAGTACATGTACATTTGTAATCCTTAAACACTGAAATCATTTGTAGAGGTCACAAAAAATCATAAAAGGAGATGATCAATGTCTTCACTTTGCAGATTCCACTGGAATCAACTTTAAAGTTCCTTCACCTTATTTATAAAATGAAAATACTTGAGTTTTCTTGCAGTTCAGTAATTTTCATTAAGGAATATAAATATCTGTATGCCATCACATTCTCTTTCTGCAGGCAAATGAATACAAGAAGCCTAATTTGTTGTGTGAGAAAGCGACACCCACTTATGAAACTCTTTTTCTGTATATCCTGCAGTTAGCTAAGCCTTAAGTAAGTTTTCTCCTTAAATATTAAAAACAACCCCATGAGGACACTATTACTACAGTTACTATCCCAAGTTATAACTTCTGAGGACTCTATGACTTCTGTTATTATCCCCAGTTTGCAGATGAGGAATAGTATGCTAAGTACCCAAGGGCCAGGCAACTAGTGGGAGTCTGAACTGAAATTCCCACCCACCATACCTGACTGCAAGGCCCAAGGTGTTCATCACTATTTGACATTGTGATACCACAGAAAACTTATAAGCAAAACAAATGCAGGTTTTACCAAATACTGCTGTGTTGTGCATCAACTGAGCTAGGATTGCAATGCTTGAGCTCCACCACTCAATATTATGTTGTCCCTACCGGAACATGAATTCCAATGACCACCTTCATCTCAGTGACTGCACTTGCTGTGCCTTTAGGATGGTCCAAGTCCCTTCTGATGAATATATCTTCCTTCATATTTATTAGTACGGTCATTCCTGTGTGGCTAAGCTGAGGGACTAGTCTGTCTGTTTAAGTTAATCATGAATATCTCTCTCCTTTAATCCATGTGGTTCGTTTTTTGTTTTAGATCTCCAAGTTCAAGCTTTTTTCTAAATTCTCACTGGCCCCTTGATGTAGCTACTGCATACCTGCTAGAGGATTTACTGTGCTTCAGTGAATGTGATAGCAGAGGTAGAAACCCCATGCAGGGGAATACAATGCTCGGCATCATTTTATTGTACTGGGCTTCCTTCCAATTCATTGACTAATTAATAACGCTATTAAGCTTTATTTTCAGATTTATCTTGAACGTTACGATCTTACGAATATGGTCTATGTTATATAAAAGCTAGTATTTGTATCATCTTACTTATATCATAAGGCACACTCACACGTATGTTCTCATTTATTCTCTCAACAATTTTTTGAGAGAGGTACCACCATTTCAGTTTTACAGGTGATGAATGGAGCCCCAGACAATACCTGAGAGATGATGTGCTGCCTTCTTTAAGCCCTGTCTTCCCCAGCCTTCCCAACTTCAGTCTCGTCTTCTATGCAGTGGGAATAATATTGTCAGATGGAGTTGTTGACAGCCCTTAGTAAAATATGTCTATAGCGTGCCCAGCACATTGCATTCAAACAGAACCTGGCAGATAGTATATGCAAAATAGATATTAACTGTTATCATTGTGATCAAATTAAATCTATTATCCTAATAAACAGCAAGGAAAGACTAAAACTCAGGTTTTTCAGCTCCAAACCTAAAATGCACTATGCTATGCTCGTGAAGCCCTTTAAAAATGAAACGGTCTGCTATTTCAAACATATAAATTTTAGAGACAATAGGAAATGGTAATTTGAAAGTTACATATTTTTAGTTTCTGATATAATTAACGAGTGTTGTGATGCATTATTCAATCTGAATTATTCCACAATGAGAACATTCGGAGTCCCTGTGACTGTTTTCATTAACTTTGTTAATGACCCTGCCCTTAAATTTCTACAGAGAATGTGGTCTTGATGAGCAGTGATTCCATCATGGCCTAATAAAAATAATCTTAGACGAAGTTGATAGATGTTAAGGTTATACAATGATTCTCTATATAATCTACCTTTTGTTTTGTTAACTACAAGTATTTTGGGGAATATATCATTCTCAGCAACATGATCTATTAGTATCTGTCTGGGCTTCCTTGACATTACAATGAGTCCAATGTGATGGATCCTTTGTATAATGTGATTTTAAGCAGGTTGATGTAAATTCATGTATAGCTGCTATCTTTATGAATATCTAGTGAAAAATATTTACATTCCATAATGTCTACACATGGAATGGTATCTACTGTTCTTTCCTTTGATGTTTCCCTAAGCATTATTTGGAAAATACTAAGATTTCATTAGCTTGAAAAATGATCTTTGCTTACAGAAATTTGTAGAGAAAAACTTTCTTCTTTTCTGCAAATGCTTTGGATAATATATTTGATATTCTTTAAGAACAAAGCATTCAAAATATGGCATACTAAATAAGGGCTGGTAAGCAGTTGAAAGATATTTTTAAAAACTCATTGGAAGTCCACAGCATTCAAAATCAGACTAAATTAGATTGGATTTATCATTCAGAAAATGGAAGTAATTCCAGCATATTGCATTATGCAGTACTTTATACCCAGTACTGTTACTATTGAACATATCAACTGCCATGAAATTCATGGTGTGTGTATATATATATATATATATATATATATACACACACACACACACGTGAAATTTTTTAAAATAACCATTTATCAACTATTTTAACCAGGCTAGGAAAATAATACATTTGGGAATATTTCTCCTATATCTCACAAGATTTTCATTTTCATTGCAGAGATTTTTTTTTAAGAGTAACTATTGAAAATTTAATGTAGCAAGTATGACTAATCAAACAGATAGCTTTTCTCCTTTTGGAAGAAGTGTGTTATTCATATTTCAGAAATGGAAAGCTAGCTATTGCATTTCTAAGGATGCTCTTTTCCTAAATCCAAAGTCTGAAGGTGTCCCTGAAGCTGAACTGACAAGAAATTCTCCACAGTCAATTCATCTGTCAAATAAAATTCAGGAAGGCAGGGATGCTCTTTCTAAGGATGCTCTTTTCCTAAATCCAAAGTCTGAAGGTGTCCCTGAAGCTGAACTGACAAGAAATTCTCCACAGTCAATTCATCTGTCAAATAAAATTCAGGAAGGCAGGGATGAGCAGACAGGGAAGGCTGTGGGAGCAGCAGTGCGCTAGGACAATGCTGTTGTCCCAGGACAGAGACGCAGGCACCGTTGGCCACACAGGAGCAGTGTCAGTCACAGGATGCCCATGGGGCTGCCTGGGGCAAATGGCATTATACTGCCCTAACCAGCTCTTCTACCCAACCTACACAATCCCAAGGCTGAGCAAGAGAATCTCATCTTGGCTTCACAGCATAAAACAGGTAAAGAGTGCCAAAACTGGCAGTGACACCATTCAACATCAAGGGAAAAGCTGAGAAACATCCACACAATGAGGTGGGGTCATTTCTTTGGCTCCCCACACGACCCTCATCGTCAGCATCTTCACTCTCTCTGAAAGAAGAGAAATGGGACTTTTCACTTAAAGCCACACCTACTTTGATTAAAAAGATATGACATTTCTTATAAACGGCATTAGGCAATGTATGTGGCTTATATATCATAAGGAATTCTGAGAATGGAAAAGGGAACCCTGGGGATCCCCTTAGCCCTCATGTCCTCATATGCACTTTATGTTTTCACTGGGGCCTGAGCACGGAGACATTCAGTGAGAAGAAGAAAAGAGGAAACAACCAATAAACAGAAATGATTTTCAGTTGACGGTGCTGGATTTTCAAGGAATTGCGAAGTACTCTAAGTTACTGAAAGAGCAGTGCTACTATCTAATGTCCATAAGAAATTTAAAATAAAGGACAATATAACTTTATAGAGTTCAACTTTATTTATTGTTGTTGTTGTTGTTTCATAGTTTCAGGTTTTCTATGAGGTGTTTAGGCAAGGGTATATGAAAATATCTTTCAGATTGTTCTGATTTTAATGCTCCCATTTGCTGGGACCGAGAACTTTCTTGGTCTTTGTCTAAATGTGCAGCTGGGTCCTGGAGGTAGCTCTGATATTTGTCTCTGATCCCTCCTTGCAGGTTCTCCTGCGAAGCCCCACTCGGGCCCCAGGCTTTGAGGTTTCCCTGTGCTTTCTCACAGTTGCTTCCATCTGTGTCCTGCAGGCTGACCAGTTCCTACTGATGCTGAGGTTGCTCTGGCATAAAAACCTTCTGTTTAGTGCACGTACCTACAAATAGTACTGGATTCTGATTCTCTCCTGCTAGGAATTCTGCTTTCATCTCTGACCATGGACAGCAGCTCACTTCTTGCCACAAGATCAGTGAGCTGAATTTTTCTGATTCCTTTTCATCCAAGATAAAGCAACAGCTCCCTTATTCTAAGATCTAGGCCAGGATCACAATTTCTAGTGCCCAGGAAGGGACCTATATCCCCATCTGTCCTACTAATTACATAATGTGTGTGTGTCTGTGTATATGTATGTACATAGGCACATATGAATGCATGTGTGTGTGTGTGCGTGTGTAGAGGATCTTCAACCAATTAGAGCAATTTGGCTTCAGCTACACAACTGCTATGCATCCCCCATATTTTTCAATCATCTGGAAATTCCCCTTCTTGCTTTCAACTTTAGTTATGACCTATTTGTCCAAATGTTGTAGAATAGGACGTATATACTCTGATGGGTTATATTCCTCTGTCTTTTCAGCATAAATGACCAGAGCTCTATTAAGCATGTTTACATCTATTTAATGTGAGAATGATTCAGAATTCTCTACTTAGGACCTGTCCTCTGCTTTTCAGTTAGGGCCATGGTAGCTTCACACATGAGTTAGGAAGCCTAAGGTGCTATCTTTTTCCTTGTTGTTCATTTTATGACAGACTATAGCTAAAAATGATTTATTTCTTGAAAATTTGCCTGGAAAACTATGAGCTTGACACAATTTTCTAGGAAAAATATCTTTGGCTAATGTGTCTATTTTTCTCTAATTAATAGTCTATTCAAATTGCCTATTTGGAGTCGAGTTATACAATGATTCATTTTGCTCAGATTTCTAAAACTTTTGGCATAATGGTGTACGTATTTCATTGCAATTTTTCAAACATCCCCTGTAATTGCTGTTTTCTCATTTCTAATTTTTCCATAAATAATTTTTCTTTCTGTGCAGCAACTCATTTTTATTTTAAAATGTATATATTTTTCTTTTGATTATGCTTTTCTTTAAAATTTGATAACCAATTTTAATGTAAGTATTAAAGTAAAAACTAAATAACATCAAATGAAAGTATGTACATAATAATGTAAATGCCTTCTCTGTAATACAGCAAGCCTCTACTTTTATATTATTACATGTATACTTTTAATACAAACATATAAAATATAAAAAGCTTTTCATATAAATGTACCAAATATAAAGAAAAATAAAAGCCAAATATATAGGAGTATATGTATATCTCTTAATTTTTCTATTCTTGAAAAGATATGATAAAGCTACTCCTTATGGCCAAATTATCAATTTCTCAATTCATTTCTAGTTGTTTCCACGTATGATTTGAAGCTCTTATTTGAAATCATTAAAGATCCTGAATATTATATCATCTTGAGGAATCAAACATTTTTTCAATATGAATATATTTCTTTTTGCCTTTTCACTTTAAGCTTGGATTCTGTTTTCTCTACATTAATTTAACTACATTTACTCCTGCTATTAGCATTTGACATTATATATCTCTTCCATTCCTCCACTTTTAAACTGTTTGTGTGGTTTATAGTATGTCTCTAAAACACAGAAAGCAGCTAGATATTTATTTTTATCAAAATCAGTGATTATCTTGGCTGGGCACGGTGGCTCATGCCTGTAATCCCAGCACTTTGGGAGGCCAAGGTAGATGGATCACGAGGTCAGGAGTTTGAGACCATCATGGCCAACAAGGTGAAACCCAGTCTCTACTAAAAATACAAAAATTAGCTGGGCGTGGTGGCGGGCACCTATAG
The DNA here is from genome assembly GCF_000001405.40 of Homo sapiens. Classification (NCBI taxonomy): domain Eukaryota; kingdom Metazoa; phylum Chordata; class Mammalia; order Primates; family Hominidae; genus Homo; species Homo sapiens. The sequence continues at coordinate 52,484,748 of NC_000007.14, read as the reverse complement.
TCCCAGCTACTCAGGAAGCTAATACAGGAGAATTGCTTGAACCCAGGAGGCAGAGGGTGCAGTGAGCCAAGATCGCACCACTGCACTCCAGTCTGGGAAAGAATAGTGAGACTCCATCTCAAAAAAAAAAAAATCAGTGATTATCTTTTAAAAGGAAGGGTTAATCTATCACATACTTGTGTTAGCTTATCTTACTTGATATTTTACTTTATGTGTTACATTTTATATGTTTTATTTAATATCCATTTCCTCCTTTTTCCTGTCTTTTTGAGTGTCTTGACAATTATTGACCTTTCTCCCCCAATTTTTTTCTAAAAGTATGAACATTTTTCACTTTGGTTAGTGTTTATTCTTAAATATTAACACATCTTTACATATACTTCATATTTCTAGATAGAATTCGTGTTTGCATTTTTTAAATAGATAGCCCTATCAGGTTGTACTCCCTGTCACCATTCTCCACCATACTCGCCCACGAGCTACATCACACATATTTGTATTCCAAATTCCTATCTGCCATTCATATACTAGTATGTACCAATCAAGCACAAGTTCTACACAGCAGCAGAGATACATGTGTATATTTAGTGCACATTTTCACTCTAAATTTCACATCTTGAAGTTTTAAATGTTCCTCCCTTTCTTTGTGTCTTTTGCCCGTTTTCTGTGTTTCTTCCTTCTGGAATTCCTAACAAATGCTGTACTTTCTGAATATACTACCTATGTGGTATATATTCTAAGTCACACTGCACCTTTGCTCTGTATTAAATAATCAGCTTAATCACCACACAAATCCTAGTTGTCTTTGCTCCTTCATCTATTAAGCTAATCAGCTCATCTACTGAGGTTTTTTAAATCAAATGATTAAATTTATAATGTGCAAATTTAATTTTTGACTTATGTTCAATTTATTTAAATATATAACATGAATTTCTTAAAAGCATAAATGTTAATCATATCAGTTTTCTGATTCCTTCATCAAATCTGTTTCTTCAGGTGTTAGTTCTCTTTACTGACTTGTTTTCATTTCTCATGGTATACACGTTCCTCAAATACTGAGTGATCTATATGGTTGTCTGCTCAACTTTTTATTTAAGGATCACCATTCCACTTCCTGCTATGTTAGTTTATCCTCTTTCCAGTATTTGCATTTAGGCAGTGAAGAGAGTGAAGCTGACTTCTTCTCTGGCATGACAGGTTTTCTGCTCCCTGTAAGGTGTGAGTCCCTGCCGGCCTTTGTTGTCCCTGTACATGTTGTTCTATTTGCACACAAAAGCCACTCTTTAGCATCAGTGGCTGACGAGGCTAATAGACCTCTGCACTGGAAATTGATTTTTTTTCCTCAAAAAATATCTCAAAGCTCCCTTCGGTATCTTTTAACTCTGAGCCTGTGGCTCCCTAGCATCACTCCTGTAGTTGGGGTGGGATTATTTTTTCTACATTTATTTTTGTCTATAAATACATTTTTATTGTTGCCGTTTTCTCCTGAAGTCTGATACCCTCTCCTTTCTGCCTTAGGATACTGAGGCAGGAGAATAAGGTCTGGAGGCAGGCAACCTAAGGCTGATTTACGCTGACTTTCTAGAGCTAAATCAAAAGGAAAACTCCAACTTTCCACATCTAAGTAACAAAAGGACCAGAGACTACTCCCTTTGCAAACCCCCTCCCCATCTGGAAAATTGAACGTACCTCTGATTGGTTGCAGAAAGCAGAAAGTACCTCTGATTGGTTGCTTTTTGCGTAGGAGTGTAAATTTGTAACTTCACTTCAGCCTCTGATTGGTTGCTTTCCACAACCAATCAGCCTAATTGTGAGACCACAACTTCATTTGCATGAGGTGTACACCAAGTGGCCAATGGGAAACCCCTAGAGGGTATTTAAGCCCCAGAAAATTCTCTAACTGAGGCTTTGAGCCTTGCTCAGCTGGCTCCCACCCTGTGGAGTGCATTTTCGTTTTCAATACATTTCTGCTTTTGTTGCTTCTTGTCTCCTTGCTTTGATTGTGCACTTTGTCCAGTTCTTTGTTCAAAATACCAAGAACCTGTACATCCTTCACCAGTAACAATATCACCCAACGTTTAAAGTATTTCAAAGTATTTGAGTTTTTTATTGATCCACAAAAATAAAACCTAATGTGAAATTAGAAAAGTCACAATATAATACTGAGAAAGAAACTCTTCTTCTTAGTTGGCTTAAAGATATGTACTAGTATGTTGTTCTCTGTAAATACTATGATCAGGTATACTTATTTTGGGAATAACAGTGAGTACCTTTAAAAATGAGCTCAAATACTAACATTAAGCAGAGTAAATATAATGTTACCTGCCTTTTTGAGAATTATAAGAGATGAAATGATGAAGGATTCCTTTTAAGTAAACATATTTGAGGTCATTAAAAAATACTGATGAAATCATGGCAGAGCCTTTCTTAAGAGGCCAACGTTATCTTAACAATGATTACTTCATGTCACAAAATTGTGGTTGCTGGGTCTTGAGTGTTTTGCAACTTACTGTTAGGAGCAATTAGCCTGTCAGAAAAAATGGAACTATTTTTGGATTAACAGCAATGATGTTCGGCCATCTGGGTGGACCTTGGTTGATGGCAGATATACCTGCAGTATTGGTCTCTGCAATGATTGTCAGGGTTGATTTAACTGATGATAGGTTCTGATAGACCGGTGTTACTTTCCTCACTCAGAATTTTGACTCTGAAAAAAGAGGTGAATTCTTTTAAAAGAAAAGCTATTTTAAAAGAAGGTGGATTTCAGATATAAGGGGGAGCCTGAGAGTATGAGGCAGTCATTGTGCTCCATATATATCACCTGATGGGGCATGGCTGAGTCCTCATTAATTCAGCCATTCAGTGACAGAGGCAGTCAGCAAATATCTATTGAGAACTTAACAACGATATAGACACTGACTATATTGGGCTCTGGAGATTTTCTTTTAAGTTGAATAAGCCACAGATTTCTGACAGTTAGAGTGGACAGAGGACGTATCATTAAATGCATGTGATAAATGTTAGTGGGGCTATGAAACAGTGGCCTTTAGGGAGATAATGGATTGAGGCAAATAGCAGTCTCTTGCAAAACTGCTGATCTGGACACTTAATAAAGTGTCCCAAACCCAGGTCACAAGTAATTTTTTATAAATAATTTTGAAATACAAAGTACTTCCTATGTGAATTAACTACCAGTTCTCTCTGATTGAGTCTCCAACACGTAAAAGCAACCATTATAAAACAATGCATTTCCAAGATATGCAGAAATAACTGCCATCAAGAGATTGAGAAAAATAAACTTCAGTGTTTCTTCTGTGGGTTTCTCTCTTCTGGACACCAGGCCTGCGACTTCAGCAAAGAAAAATCCCTGTTTAAATTAGGAATTCAGGAATATTTTGACTATCATATGCTTTATTTAGTCTTACTTGGTTCCATATGTTTTCCAGTAGAGAGTAAATATAAGGGACACCAAGTTTACAGAAATCAAGGATAACAACGTGAGGAATATAAAAATATTTACCTCCAGCCATTTAACTATACCTCAGTTATCCACACAACAATAACAGCAAAATACTATTAACCTATGGTTTTATTGAAGTAATAACCAGGTACTTATTATAAAATTTCCTAATAGGAATTCATAAATGTATATATTTCAGAGAAGAGAGCTCAATGCATGCATATCTATAAAAATGCCATCCATATACACATAATATACACTGCCTGTGGCAATGAAAGAAAATCTTTAGTGTTGACTAATGAGGAAAAACCAAAACGAATCAACATTTTTAAAAATACACAAAAAACCAAAGCACCCCCAAAATTCTCAACCTAGAATTCCAGAGATAGCTAAAGTATCTCCTAAAATACTAATTTAAATGTTATGCAAATAATTTTAAAAATGGATTAAAGGACAGTTTTTTTTTGAAAAGGTAAACAAAACAAAAAAAGTAATAGTGAGCAAAGCAATTGTTACTGAAGTGGTAAATCTAAGAAAATATTGATTATATGTGGCAATTATAAATAATTTAGAAGTTTAAAAACATATAGCACATGAATATTACTCAAAAGTAATATAAGAGATGAGAAAGAATATATTAAAACTTTCTAAGAGGCTCATCTTGTTCAGAAATAGAAATATTGATTAACTTTACAGTGTTAAATAAGATGAATTTTATATGGCAAATCTAAGAAGAACCAATTAATAGAAATAGAACATCTATTTGTTAAAGAGCCAGGCATAAGGTAACTAGTATAAAATATCTAACAAACAATAGGATCTAGAATATTTTTAAATTTTTACAAAGCAATAAAATAAGCAACCAAATTAATAGGAAGATAGGCAAAATATATTAAAAGGATATTAACAGAAAAATAAAGTAAAATGTGAGTAAATCTGCAAATAAATCTCAATAATCATTAAAATGAGAATTAAATGAAATACTATTTGTGCCTATTATAATGGAAAAATTAAAGCTAAACAAGTGTGGCATGTATATGAAAGAACAGGAATGTTTGCATAAGACTAGCAAGGGTTTAAATTGTATTAATCCCTTTTGGAAGCAAACAATTTATATTCCTCTTTATGGAAGACAATGGGCTGCCCATTCTTGGAGTGAGCAGCAGCCACATGGAAGCATTGCAGTAGAGGCTTTCTTACCCAGATGCAAATTGAGATAGAAGTATATGTATTGTATTTGCTATTCTGACAAATCAAAGATGAACTAACCAGTATGAAAAGGAAATAAGTAAAATAAGTTATTCTTGGCAAATTCTTACAATTAAACTCTACCCATACTAACAATAATAGTGTATATTTTATTGATACACCAGTTAGCACAAGTAAGTATTTATATCTACAAAAATATGAAGCAAATGTGTGAACAACAGTTGATAATCTGTGTGATGACTGCAGGCTTTTTATGCTAATCATTGAAGTTTTCTGCCTTTTGAAGTATTTCCAAATTTATTTCAATAAAAATACTTTTCTACTATCTTATTTACTCTTCACACTTTTCCTCTGTCTGCGTACTTACTCGAAGTATCTTAAATGTATACTACTTACAGAAATATAAATTTAGAATAAGAACTATTGTTCTGGGTATATATAAAACAAAAATAAGTTACTTTGTACTATTTAATTTTTTCACCTTAAATAAACACAATAAAAATCCCTTCTTTCAAAAAAAAAAAAAAACAGATACACATGTTTACTATTTTTTGTATTTTTAAGGAAAAAAAGGGTATTCAAAGGAAATGTTTCTGAATCTTAAGTTATCTATTGATTACTGCAAAAAACTATTAAATACACTTTTCTCTTATGCATAACTTATAGTGTTATAAAATATATGCAAATATAACATTTTTTTCTCTCCTATAGTATAAAATCAGAACTTGGTTTAGAGAAGTATTTGCTGTGCTCTGACTTATTTTGAGAGCCTCTTTTTATTCTTCCATACTTTACTGACCATAAAACTCCAGAGCTGGTGATACCTTTTCTAACCACTTCTTTTCTTGCTCTTGGTTGCTTGGCAGCAGGTGATAGATTGTGTTAGTTGCTAGGGTCAAGCTGTTGTCTATAGGAAAAAATAAATCATAACATTTGCAGCAATTATCCCAAGTACAATATCACCATTTAAATTACTGTTTAAACCCTCGTAGCTCAGATTTGTATACATGAGTGGCACCTCTGGATATAGGACTTACAGTGAAAACAATGCCCAGAGCACCAGCAAATGAAGAAATAGAAAAACAGGACTGTGGTAAAAGGGATCAGGGGAAGATGCAAATTCTGTAATTAAAAGAAAACCCACTTTATAGATTTTAGATTTCCTACAATACAGCATATATTATTATGCCACGATATTTTTAATGAGTATTTTTTCCCATCAGCCATAGCGATATAGGAGTTAAAAAGAAATTTAGGCAGATAGTGAGGGTAAGGAAGTCCTGGGTAAGATTTTCCTTTTAATGAAAAACAGCCCCCAAATCATTTTCTTTTCTAATAAAGAGGAGCCTGTAAAATTGAGCTGCAGACACAGACAAGCAAGCTGGAAGCTTGCAAAGGTGAATGCTGGCAGTTGTGCCAATAGACAAAGGCCACCTAGGACTAGGCATGTTCAAAAGGACAGCTCCATCTTCCCTTCTCTTTAACAGCCACATGTACAGTAAGGAGCAGGCAATGTGGCACCAGCCAGGCAACAACCTCATTTGCATAATGATTAGGGTGGGGCAGCCAGCTTCCCCAAGCATTATGTAAACGTCACACCTGGTTCAACCAATCTTTGGGCCCTATATAAATCAGACACTGCCTTCTCAAACCTGTCTGTAAAATCCAGTGCACAACACAGGCCAAAAGTCCCATTTGGGCATCCCTCTCTCTCCCAGGAGTGAGAGCTATTCTCCTTTCTCTTTCTTTTGCCTATTAAAACGTCCACTCTTAAACTCAATCCTTGTGTGTGCCAGAGTCCTTAATTTTCTTGCCATGAGGCAATGAACCTCAGCTATCACCCCAGACAGCAATGTCGCTCAATAACAGATTTGTAGTTAGCTCTGATGATGGTGGTAAGTGGCAGAATAAAAGCAATGACAGAACTGGAGAGCGTTACCCGAATGTACACAGGTCCCCCGATCGTCACGTGTGTGACCTTGGACAAACATTTGCATCTCAGGACTCGCTTCCCCCCATCAACTTGAAATTGGGATGTTAGATTCATAATTGCTCTTGTTCTTTTTAGCTGTATTTGCATATGATTCTCTCACACTAATTTTTTTATGTAATGGATGTGAATAAGTAGATAGTAATGATCTACTGATAAACATTTAATCTCTCTGTGATGTTAGTTTTTAAACTTTTGCTCATATGAACAGTAAGAAGTACATTTTATGCTTAGTATAAACACACATAATCTAATCTGTCATCTATTATAAAACAAATATTTCACAAACCAGCTTTCATTCTTACTGTTTGTGACAAACCCTGATTGTTCTATTACAATTTATTTAATTTAAGAAAATCTTGATTGTAACCAGCTAAACTGATTTCGTTACACCCTAATTTGGGGCAAATTCATTTTGAAGCACATTCTCCTAATGATTAAGATTCAAGCCCATTTGCATGGATATGTGTTCTTTCCTGTAATGACCCTTCCTAACTTTTCATTCTTATCTGCAGAATCTCCTTCATAATATCTCAGGTCTCCAGCTGTGTTCAACAAACATACATGCATGTGCTAACACACACACACACATACATATATGCACATACACAATGCTATTTCTCTGATTTTGCATATAGATGGGATTTCTTCTGTAGCAAATTTTGATAAATGAACATTTCTTAAAGTTCTATTGTTCAGTACATAAAAGTAAAGAAGGCTGGGCGCAGTGGCTCATGCCTGTAATCCCAGCACTTTGGGAGGCTGAGGCAGGTGGAGCACGAGGTCAGGAGATCGAGACCATCCTGGCTAACATGGTGAAACCCTGTCTTTACTAAATATACAAAAAATATTTAGCTGGGCGTGGTGGCGGGTGCCTGTAATCCCAGCTACTCGGGAGGCTGAGGCAGGAGAATGGTGTGAACCCAGGAGGCAGAGCTTGCAGTGAGCCGAGATCGTGCCACTGCACTCCAGCCTGGGCGACAGAGCAAGATTCCGTCTCAGAAAAAAAAAAAAAAAAAAAAAAAAAAAGGTAAAGAAGTTGGGATTAAGCAAAGAAAGCTGAGTTACAAGCTGTTTAGGGAAATTTAAGATTTTTATCCTTTGGGGAAAAAATGGTATTAAGGCACTGCTAAGGTAGTGATTATGTCTGGCTCAAAATTATTAACCCCAACAATATATTGTCAATTGGACTTTTTCATAAGAGTGTTTCCATTCATTAAATTATCTAACTAGGTGAGGTAATGTCATTGAACCATCCTCCAAAACACACACACACACACACACACACACACACACACACACACACACACAACAAAAAACAAAACGACAACAACAAAAAACTTAGAGAAAAATAAGCCAGTGAATAATCTTCACCCCCACCCCCTGTGAGATACTACAGGCCTGAGGGAATGAGAATATGAAGATACAGTTCTGTTTTGGTGAACAGAAAATGAAGAGCACTTATGAATATCTAGGGTGTGGGAGATAGACAGACAGCTGCCATTAGCATTACAACTATCCCCACACAAGTATATCCTAACAGCCACCTCTATTCCATGCTCCTGTACAAGTGTCCATTGTAAACTCATAGGCATGTCAAGCATGGAAGAATGGCAGCTTTTAGGCATGGATAATTGTAAGATTAGGTGACCGTTGCCACTCATATCTGTTCTGTTTGTCCTTTGCTTAATGTAAATGCTATTAAAGAGTATTTAATTCAGTCAATGAAAGAAAAATTGAAATAGACTAAATGTTTAAAGTCAGCCAATAAAGTTAATTACGTAAGACTTTAAAGTGCCTAATTCAGATAACAACATCTCTAAAAAAAATTCTATCTTGAAATGTCCTATAGAGTTTCCCGTTTTAATGAGATTCCTACAGATAGAAGTATTCAGTGCTTTTCCTCAGCTATTTCTGATCCTTACACACATGCTTCCAATGCTGTGTTCATTATATTGAATTGTAATTTACAGAGTAATTTGTGTGTGGCAATCAGGATGACCAACTCCTATTAGACTCCCTTGCATTACACAAAATATAATGTAATAATAATAGTACTTAGTTCTGCATGCAGTTTTACAATTGAATGGCATATAAGAAGGAGTCTACCTATCACTTCCCATGTTTCCATCCTGTAAAGAACTAAGAACATGGAATTTGTGCATGTGGTCTTTCATTGGGAACTTTTAGAGGGAATGTTTTGTTTTGTTTTTGCCATAGAGATGACGAGTGGATCAGAGCTTCCATGAGGCTTAGGACTTTGTGCCTCAATAACAAAAGCTGAGCACATCCTCCATCCTTCATGTCTAATGCCCGGACATGTCTAATGCAGTGCACCGCTGGCATTATCACCTAAGTGCACAACAAGGCAAGACCACCTTTGACAAACTCTCCCTCTCTTCTGCCTGCCACTGAGAGTGTGGGAGAGGCCTGTCCTCACTCTGGTCTTTGTGTCTGCAATAAGAGTGGCTGATCTACTATCTTTCTTTCTCTTCTTATGTAGCTGTTTTATATTTTTGGTGCACTTAGTACTCTGCCTCTCCTTGTGAGCATACCTTTTTATGTGACCCAAGACCTCTGCTTTAGCCCCAGGCCTGGACAAATTTCCTATTTAAGTTGCTTACTGCAGTTATCATGTGCTTGCACAGACAACCCAAATTGTCATCTGTTTTCTATTAGGTTACCAAATACAGGGCCATGCTCATCAGTCAGATCTTTGAGGGGGAAGTGGAACAAGTGAAAAGCCAGACCCCTATCAATTGCCAGCATTTATTTATGTATCTCTGTTCCTTAGAGCAGTGAGCCCTGTTCTAGCCTATCACAGGCATTGCACATAGAATTCCATTAATATCTGTTGTACTGAGTTAAACAGAATGCACAGAGAAAATGTTACTTACCATCTCATCCATAATGCAAATGTTACACCAGCAGTGTTTTTCAATTGCTGCTTATCTCTAATGACTTTCTTAGCTCTGCTACACACTGAGAAGACACAAATCACAAGAAAGGAGGACAAAATCCTGCCATGTAGAGGTGGGTTATTCTCCATTATGTCTGTCCTTGAGAAAACTGTTAGGATCACCATAAAAAGTACATTGTAGAGACTCCAATACACTGTGAATAAAGGAGTTAGAGGAGGTGGATGAGCAGAATCATTGGTGGAGAAATAATTATTTGGCTGATGCAGTGAAATATCTGAGTCCCTCTTTGCTGACCAACAATTGACCTCAGAAAAGTATAGCGTCCCTTCACCTAAGTGTGTGTAGGATGGACTAGAGTGAGGTGGTCCTCGACTCAAATTTAGCTTACATGTTAATGGTTAGTGATGCCAAAATAAAAATTAAGTGGGAAAAGTGAAGCTCATGGGGTTATGCTTCGTGCACTTGTTGTAAAGAATGTTCCTATGGATAATTTTTGCTGAAGAAACAAATCACTCTCTGTAATTCATTGTCAACTAAGGATGTGACTGAGAACAACATAGTTTATCATAATTTTCAATAATAATTAAGGACTTTGATTATTGGAAGAATTTTAACTATCTACATTCATAAATCTTACTGATGAATTTCTTTTAAAAATATCCCTATGTTATTCCAGTAGGTCCAGATTAAACTGACACATGCCTTTTTAAGGTTCCGTGCCTGTTGTATTTGTATGTGTGAATGATGGCTGGTGCGCTGAAAATATGTTCCATGGATCAGTAGTGCCTCCAAATATATTACTGTGTATCTACTGTATTGAAAAAGGTGAAACAATTTCGTTTACATTAGGATGTCTTATTTCTCCAAATGTGAATCTCACTGAGGGCAATAGAGCATGGAGTGAATCCAAAATTCATTTGTCTGGAGAACATTTTACCACAGTACATCCAGTAGCATCTGGAATGGGATAAATGGTATCCCTACCCCCAAAACATATGCCTGTGTCCTAATCCTTGGAACCTGTGAATGTTACCTTATCTGGAATAAAGATTTTCATAGCTGTACTAAAGGTTCTGAAAAATGGGAGATCATCCTGGGTTAACCAATAGGTTCTAATCCAATGACAAATATCTTTGTAAGACAGATACATAGTGGAAACACACCCAGGAAAGGTCACAGAGCAGAGAGATGCACAAGTCAAAGAATGTGAATAGCTGCCAGCAGCTGGGAGAGGGAGAGGAGGGATTGGTCGCCAGAACAGCTGCAGGACATGCATCTCCACCATTAATTAGACTCTGTACTGCTGATGGCAACAATTGGGAGAGAATATACTTCTTTGTTTTAAGCCACACAGTTTGAGGTAATTTGTTACAACAGTCCTAGAAACTGTTATAGCATCTTTGGCAAACATTGCCATAGACATCTTTAAACATAGATACTGATTTTAAAATATGTTCAATATTTAATTTATCTTTAAATAGTTAAATATATTCCTTGATAAATAACATCTTGAAAATAATTCTGCCAGAAATTTTTTCCAGAATGTGTTCCATATTTCCTATGGAATGTGCTGATTCCTATGTTGATTTCTATATGTAATAAAGGTAATTACAGAACTACATATAATTTCTATCCATAACTCTTCTAATAACTGTTTATCTGCATAATATGCCATCCCATAATGGTTATTTATTCTATTTTCTAGAAAAATACAGCAGATACAAAAGACCTTAACGTTCTGGTAATCAGAATATATTTCAGAATGTAGTAGTAGATTAAGGAGAATTGTAATTATTTTTAGCAGAAGGACAACAGTTTAAAAATATCTGCAAATCTTTAAAAAGCTGTCTTTCATAAGTCAGGGGGATCGTTTTTACTCTTTTGCCTATTTGGAAGGGAGCTTCCTTGCTTAAAACACAAATGGAAGTTTTTCATCCTGTGAAAACAATTGCTATCACTTATTGAGTGTCTGTCATGTGACTGGTACTATGTTAGTATTTTACATGTATAAAACACAAAAACATCTGTAAAATGTTACCGTCTTCATTTTCTGATCAGAAGTCAGAACCTCCAAGAAATTAAATCATTTTCCTAAGTTTAAACATCTAGTATATACCCAAGCAGAGACCCAAGATTTTATACAGAATGTTTACAAGTCTGCATTTTTATTCCCTTTCTTATTTGGAAAAGACCTGTATTCTCACACTGAAATTACAGATAGGTTTTAGTGATGACTATTTGCACACAAAATAACAGAAGAAACCAACATATATGGTTTACTCACAGAAAAAAGGATGTTTATAAAATCAAATGTAGGCAGTTGGTAGGCAGTGTGTCACTTCCATGCCTGGGATGTTCTCTGGGTGGAGACAATCTTTATAGGTAGCTGCTCCCACACACTCTGACTATATTAGTTCATTGTTGCTTGGACTTGATATGGGCTTTCTCTATAATAGGGGTGTAATGCACAATAGATGCATTTGACAAAAAATGAAATGCTTCCATCTTTTCTTTAAAAACAAGCAACACATAGGTGACCAACTTTTTTCTGTTTAACATAATATTTAAATAGGAGTCAAAAAGAACTTATCTTTCTCATTTGCAAGCAACTTTTAGGAAATAAGCGATTTCCTGTGGACACATAAAGGGCAATGATCCACTTCTGCCGTCAGTATCCTCTGCTGATTCAAGGCTCCCTCCCATTTGGAATCATCCCATTTTAATAGCTATTGAAGATAAGTTCAAATTCCCCAGCACGCATTTTTCCAATAAAGTGAAAGAAGGAAATATTCTCATTTTCTTTCCATTTAGACAGAGTTTTCATGGCATTTGTGAGACTTTCACCAGGCTGTGCAATAAGTCAATGTTGGCTTCTTAGGTGTTGTTTCCAATGGGCAAAACAGAACAGATAATCCCCAGATCATATAACTTGTGAGGGGTAAGTAAATAAAACATGATGAATGTACTAATTCCACACTGATAGCTCACAGTGGTGCAATTACTCTTATAGTCTTTCCAGAATCCGCAGAATCTTGGGTACACCCTATATTCTGACAACACTACTTAGTTCATTCTGCAAGAATGACTGAATATTTTTTCTTTACTGGCTTTTTTTCACATTGACCTAGTCCATATTATCTGAAATATTCTTATGACTTGAACTCTGTGACACCACACTCCTATGTTTCATTTGCTTCTCTACTTATTACTTCTTATTCTGTTTTACAGATCTATCATCCTTCATCCAGCATTGTAATGGTGAAGTGCCCAAGCACACTCGCCTACATTCTCTCCCTAGGTTATTGTAGCCACATGCCAATGGCCGTCTGTTCAGTGTTGCCTATCATAAGGATGTAGCCTGACATCTTCATCAGAGAAGATAAAGCAATGGTTATTCTACGTGTACTGTTGCCATTTTCACAGTCACTTCAAACTTAACACTTGAATTGAGTTCATTACAGTCCACCACTGTATCATTCTTCCTCACTAACCAACGCCTTCTCCAATGTTCTATCTTAGTAAATAACACCAATACCTATCATACTTAAAGATGTTGGAAATTGGGTGCCAGTGATAACTCTTTCTCCAGCACCCTGTCTCATTTCTAACTGATTAAAAGTATGGTATCACTTCCATTCACCCTCAAAATATCTTGCTAATCTCTTCACGTCTCTCTATATTCATTGCTGTCACTCTAGGGCAACCCATCATACTTTCTTACAATCTTTCTGAACAAGCTTTTTTAAAGTCTGTGTGTCCCTTCATTCATCATTTTTTTCTCCACAGTGCATTAGGAGTGACCTTTAAAAAAATGTAAATTTGATTGAGCATTTTTAAATTTTATTTAAATTCTTCAGTATATACCCTGAAGTCTTTATTTTGCCTTGTAACCAGCATGGTTTGGCCCCTCTTGACATCCAGTCTACATACATTTCTCTTTCACTTACAATGTAGTCTTTGCTTGTTGTATTAAAATTGCCATTTCTTTCACGAATATAACGCTTCTCATCAATCACATCTGAACTCAGTCTCACCATATAAAAGAGGCCTTGTTAGAGTAGATCAGTTTCCCTGTCACTAATCTCATGGTAGCCTGTGCTTCAACTCTATGGCTCTTAAAATTGTTAGTCATTGTATTTGCATGCTTACTTCAGTATTGCTGTATCACACACTCTATCCAAGTTCCATGAATACAGGTAAAATACCTATTTTTGATCAGCATTGTTTTCCCACTGTCTGGGGCAATTTAAATACATACTCAATAACTGTTGAATGAATGAATGAATAAATGAATTCCATCAACAAAAATGGCACTCCTTCCAAGTGAGCTGTTACTCTGGGCACACCCTTCGTTGCTCAACTCCAACACCAGCCTTTTCAAATGCTGCAGGAATATTGTGACAGTGAATAAGTCTCATGAGATTTGATGGTTTTATAAAGGGGAGTTCCCCCTATACAAGCTCTCTTGCCTGCCACCATGTAAGACATGACTTTGTTCCTCCTTTGTCTTCCACTATGTGGAACTGTTAAATTTCTTTCCTTTATAAATCACCCAGGCTCAGATATGTCTTTATTAACTGTGAGAACAGACAGTCTCTCTCCTTTGTTCATTACTGGCAGAATTAATTGCTCTCTCTTACAAGTTCCTAGTAGGCTTTATTGATACCACTCAAGCTTTTTGTGGAACATAACAGGCTATTTATTGGTTTTGTCAAGAGGCTGGTGAAGAAAAGATAGACAGTCTTTACTTTCTGGAAGCCAAAATTAAGGAAATGCCTTTATTGCTGATGCCATGGTGTTTATATTAACCTCCTCCTCACTTTCTCTATCACTATCTCCCCTCATCTCTGTCTCTTTTACTCCATTTGTATCCCCCTGCCTCTCTCTCTCTCCCCGTCTGAACACTCCACATTTAGACAGACAAGTGTCAAGTGGAAGAGAGGGGACATTGAGGACAGATATCCTGAGGAGGCGGAGGTATAAGCCTCAACAAGTAAGAAAATCATTTATTTTACATGGAAGCAGAGCAAAGCAAATAGAAGGAAGTGGAAGGCGTTTTTCAACCCAATGCTTCACCATATTGTTCTTTATATCACTTGGGTATCAGCTTCCATACTCACTGATTCTGGGCTATTTCTCAGGTATATGATTCTTTTCTATATTTTGACATGTGTTATTGTCATTGGTGGAAAAAGATAAAGTCTTTGGAAAAACCTGAGCATCCCTGTAAATTTTAGTTGGCATGAATTTATTTGTGTGTTTGGTGCTACTGCTGATCTTCCATCATGATTTTCAGAGCCTCATAATTCCTCCCCTTGATTCAGAGATGGAAATCTTGGAGGATGAGATACTACCAACCAGTAATTTCCTTCTACCATCACTCCTGCCAGCCCTCCGCATCTAAGTGAGCAGAGCAAGACTTCTAGTATTACCAGTTTGTGTAGGATCTTTATTTCAAAAGAAGACAGGAATAAACAGACTGAATAGGCTGTTATATAAGACTGGATACACAGTATCAAAAACAACAAGGAAAAACAAGACAGAACAAAACTATCCCTATGACATGGACTATAATAGAATGTTTGATAAGTTGACTCCTGTAAGCAAACAAGACTGATTATGCTTTGATTTAAGAAGAAATCTGGGGAGACTTCATGAAATATTTATATCTGGAGTAAGAATATATTCTCTTAACCTTTTATAGTATTAGCATATTATCCCAAAACACGCATTTACCTTTCCCTTACAGGTGTCACTCCTAATCTAGTTGCATTCCTCACAAGATGTTATCTCCCAAACATCAACACGTATCTTGACAAGAAAGTTTCAACTTAATATGGAATAAATAATTCTGCAACTTATTTGTTATTCTTATTTTGGGCAAAGAAAAGAACAAATTCACATATTCATGCAAACGTAAGATTGAATTAGGAAAAATATACAGAGATACATTCTCTCAGACTTCTGCTTCTTTTCAGGATGAAGTACCAGAACAAGACTCTCCCTCCTGCAACAAACAAATATATAACTGGACAAAATATATGAAGCGAGTGTTTTCATGCATTAAATAATAAGCATTTCAAGACGACAGCCCTCAAAGAGAAAGGAACTCACATCATGAGTCCCATGACCACCAGCTTTCTGCTGAGGGAAAATTTACTGACTCTATGGCAAAAAGCAAATCACAGAGATCCTGTTAAACTGAAAATGCAGAGATCAGACTATATTGCAGCTGAAGCAGTTGGAATTTTTGTGGGGCAGCCTGGGGGAGGTATCAAAGAAAAGATCTTTGTAGAAAGCCCCAGAAGCCCATGTGTAGATCCCCTACAAGTTCATGTTAAGGAGGTATGCATATGTGCACACATGCCATGCAAGCCACCCAAGGTATTCCAGATAGCAGGTGCCACCGATTTGAGAAACAGTAAACTTAGGGTAAGGCTGGGCTCATTGTAGATCTCATTAACACCCATAGCAACCATGAGTGACTAAAAAGGTAGTATGGATCATGCCCTACAGCAAAATCTACTCTACACCCACTCTAACAAACCTAAAATAAAGTTTAAAGAGATCTCTTTAACATTTGGAGTTTAAGTCTCTTAAAGTTAGAAAGGCTTGTAAAACACTTGAAGTTTGTACAGATTTTCACAAACCAAGCATAAAAGTTCAAGGTGATTGAATAGTAATTGACTAACTGATCTGATTGCTAAAACAAGAATTTTTTGAGGATGGGTAGCAGGGTTCCAATTATCTACACTTGATTGTGTTACCCAAAATGTTTCACATATTTTTAATCACCAGAATTACAAAGAAAAAAGAAAATGTAACTCATGGTCAAGAAAAAATAATATAAAGCAAACTCTAAACTCTTCATAGATAAACACAAAGTGGTTGCTATAAACGTTTTAAAGAACTATAAGAAAATACAGTTTTAATACGTGAAGACAAAGTCTTATCAGATATACAGAAACTATAAAAAGAATGACACTGCAACTTTTAGAATAGAAAATTACCGTAACTGAAATGAAACAGTTTCTGGATGTTCCCAACAAGAGTTTTGGGATAGATTCAAAATTTCCCTAAGAAAGAAGTCAGTGCACAGTTTGGTTTCCCTGGGAAGAAGACTCTGCTGTGGAGATTAGCTAGCAGGGTCTTTTTATGGAGTGCTCTTAGGACTAATACCCTAAAGAAAGAAGAGAAGGAATCAAGACTGGCAAGAGGGAAAAGTTGAACTGCTATGTGGTGCTATGAAGTCCTCAGCCAATCACATAGGGATCTCTGGAGCTGGGGATGGAATTTCAGAATTCCTCAAGTTGAGGTGATAAGACAGGGCTTTCATATCCCTGTGATCATCAGTTGTTGACTCCTGGCTGTCTTTGGAAGAAGAAATGAGCTTGAGTGAGGCTGTTATCTTCAGCAGAGTCCATTTCTTTCTGTGGAGGGCTTACAGCTGAAGGCTGCCTTTTGCTAGCACTCCCTGAACCTGGATGAGGAAGTCCTGCAGAGGGATCTGTCTGATGGACCATAGTCCCCATCACAGTGGACAATGTGCACCTTCTTACTCACTTCTTTGTGTAAGACCTGGGAGCACACTCCCAAGAATTCTGCAAGCCTTTCTTTCTCTTGGTCATTTATCAGAGGAAGGTCACTGGAAAGAGCTCCAGGCCCTGCCTCTGTATTTGGTGTCAAGGCTGCACTGGATCCTCAGGGTCTTCCTCCTCTAATATCCAATCTAGACTACCTTCACCTTCCACCAGCATCTCTGTTTATCTTGGTGGTTCATCTGGTGATGTGATCTAGATTTTAACCCCTATTCCCCTAGGCATCCAAGCCCCTGGTCACCATGTATTCTTCAGTTAGATAAGGACTTGCCAAGAGAAGCCAAAGTAAACCACCTAGGTGTCGGGTGTACTCCTACCTGCCCTCCAGTAGCTGTCTCCTCCTGAGAGTCAAGATCAACTACACCCCATCATATTACTGACTCTTTTTGCCTACTGGTTCTCTGGCACGAAAAGTCTGAAATGCTTAGACCATGACTTTAGCTTTTAGGTCAAGGGGACTCTTAAGGTCTCCCTGGTAGAGGCAAACCCGCTTTGGTAACAAAAAGCTCTAAGTCTACGGAATACAGAGCTGCAAAGATAAAATGCATAAGTCCCCAAATAAATCACTTGAAGTGATGGTGAGTAGGGAGACTTTTATTTTGATCTCTTGTTTGTTGGATCCATGCATTCTACTTGTTCAGGGAGCAGTGCCATATAGCTGCCACTGATTTAAAGGACATGCTACATTCTCAAAGATAGTGCCCCATTCTGGTAAAACATTGTCTCCTTGCTGGAGCATGAACTGTGCCTTTAAACAGACCATTCAATCATGTTACCAGATGACAGCTGCTGTTATTTGATACAAACAGCTTGGTTTTGTTGTAAATTAACCCTCCTGGCTGCCAGGAGAAGAAGTAGGGACCTGTGATATGTTCATGGTGTCTTTCAAAACAAAGACTTCTCTATCAAGCAATGGAGAGTTCCTGGCCCCACTAGGAAGCACTCTTTTCCTAAGAAGGAGCATGCCACTTTTGCAAAGTCAGAGGATTAAGGAAAACCTGGGGATTCAAAATATTTAGAGCATCAACCCAGATAGGCTCATTCTACATGTCAGGGTCATTGTTTCCCAACAAGGCTCCTGCACTTGGCATGGCATAGCTGCCGTGGTGAGGATTTTTCTTCTTTGAAGCGCAGCTACTTTTCCCACTAAGCTCTAGGTCTGGTCCTCAGCTTTCTCTGCCTTCCAGTTTTAAGAGAGTAGAGTCTCTTTATATGCAATCAGTGAGGCCTTCTGGTCTCCACATTTAGTTTTTAATTATCAATCAATCAATCACTCTCAAGCTTAGCAATAGGCACTCAATCCCACTGCCCTATGGTTACTGTTTACTACATCTCTCTTCAACACCAGGTTGTACCAGCTAATGCAGTTTTTGCCAGTGGTATAACATTGATCCACAGCCAGTGAATGTTTTAGTAATTGTGCTGTTAGCTCCTGCCAGGGCCTCTCTGTGCTCCACCTGCCACCAGTGGAGTTTTTATCGCCAGCTGGTTGGCAGCTGGTCCAACTCCAGAATTCCATTTTAGCCTCTCCTTTATTTGGACCGTTCTTGGCACCAAGTGTCATGGGTTAGGTCCTTCAGGTAGCAAAATCTGAGATTAAAATTAGTGTGCAGTATGCTTATGAGGAAGCATGATTGGGATCACTGCCTTGTGAGAGACAGGAGGCTTTGGCATGGGGAGATAGTGCATTGTGGTGCAGTGGAAAATGACCCAGGACACACCCATGGGGAGTGCTGAGTGAGCCACAGGTGAGTGGTCTGGAGTAGGTGAAGCATCTGGTTCTTGATCTCACGTGTTGATCAGACACTGAATGTAGGCTGCTTGTGAAAGAAATTGTGAGCTTGGAATTGTGCATTCCCAAAAACAGACTGTACCTGAGGACAGTCATCTGGTAACACACCCAGAAGCTGAGGGGAGAACTGGGTGGCACATAACAGCTTTCATCATAAAGCCCTTAAATCCGCTTGAACAGTGTCTAAAATTAAATAGGCATCTCTTATGTGGTAGACATATTGACACTAGCTATGAACACCACATATTGTTTCAATTTTGCACATCCTGAAGTATCAGGCAAGCAAGTAACATGACTTCACTTTGGACTTGCCTTTTTTTTCTTATGAGAATTCCACTAATTTTAGAAGAGTTTATATAGCAAGATGGAGGCACAGACTGGAGGTTATCCAGTACCATCTGCATTTGCATGTTCCAAAATTCCTCTTCAACAGAGAAGAGTGCTAGCAATTTCATCTTTACAATTCATATGTCATGATGTGGGAAAAGTATATCTAGTATATGAAAATTGTTAAGCCACAGTTCATTGTGCTATTAATTGGGAAATACTACTGCTTTTTTAAGTTTACTCGGGTTAGGTTATCATCAGATACTCTTATTCAGTCTTAGACATCGTTAAAAATTATTGTAATAAAACCATCTCTCAATGTTGACTTAAAATTAACAAGCATAAGTTATTACTAACATGTTTGGTAAAACATTTATCTCCAAAATACTAACTTTTAAAGGGAATATATTAAATTTGAACTTTGTATTTAAGATGATTTATTGGATTTTTATGAGTCAGTTTTCTTACCTGTGAAATCTCCTGGGTTCAGTTTAACACTGTGACTGACTTACACAAGGCTTCATCGCAGACTTCCTCCAAAGATGGGGATGTACCAATCCAAGTGATGCTTATAGTCCTATCTTCTAGGAGGCTGAGGCAGGAGGATTGTTTGAGCTTAGGAATTCGAGGCCAGCCTGGGTACCAAAGGGAGATTCTGTCTCTAAAGGCAAACAAACCAACCAAACAATCAATACTAAAAATAACACATCTCCAGTGATAGCGTAAGTTAGTGGGAAAAGAGCCTTCTATTTACCTAATTGCATTTAGAAGGACTGAGTATGCACTTGTTTCAAATTTAACAATGAAGTAAAAAAAAACCCACTTCCTAGTTTCTAATAAAAGCATGACATTAAAATAAACTAAATGTCTGAATTGCTGCTTACAAAGGTTTTAAACCTTTGTAAAATGTTATTTCAAACCTGGTTTATTTTTCCAGCCTTCCCCCTGCCTCCTTTTTGAATAAAAGTAGATTGGCAAAGTTTAGGCACTACTGATGGACAATGGGTTTCTAGGAAATCGTGACTAGAAAACATTTAGGAATACCATTCTAAGTTAACTTTCAGACTTGCTTCAAATGTGAATTGAACCATCAGCAACTGAAGTTATAGAACACTTTGAACTGAAAATAAAGTCAATTAATTGTAAAAAAAAAAAAATGTAAAATTCGATCTTGCATTCCAGGTTGCACTGATTTTCTTTCTTGGTTTCAGATTCCCTGCATGCTAAGTGTGCACAATGAAAATGTTCAGCAAAATAGTCCAGATCGTTACCAACCAAGCCATCCCTTCAGCAGCGGTGAAAAGTGTAGTTAGTTCTCTGGTACGAAACAGTAATATTAACCCAATTACAAACATTTATCACAATGTCAAAACCTGCAAATACCATTTCCTGCTCTTAAGAACTGCAGTGACAAGTAGTACCTAATTTCTTTTGAAAATGACTTTCTGTGATTATAACCTTTGGAGAAGTAAGTGAATTTTGAGGTATCCTAAACATTGAAGAATGTCTTAAACATGAGAACTTCACTATTTGTCTTTGATTTCAAAAGTTCTATCCAAAGCCTGAAAGGTTTGGATAAACTTCCTTTTCCAAGCATTTGTTGAAGTTGGTCATTGTTACTTCAATATCCAAAGCCTTGTATTAAGCTTTTGTTAAAACCTCTTTCAAGTGAACTTTAGAGATTTTCAGTTCCAAG
Organism: Homo sapiens; assembly: GCF_000001405.40. NCBI lineage: Eukaryota > Metazoa > Chordata > Mammalia > Primates > Hominidae > Homo > Homo sapiens. The sequence goes on along the minus strand of NC_000007.14, from coordinate 52,463,755 downwards.
GAACATGGAAGGAAAGGGACACCTATGGGGACTCTCATTAACTGAAAACTCAAGTGTTCAGCACGCCTGGCTATCCTGCAGAAAAGACAACAGGCAAAGATTTCTGAGAAGGACCTCACAATCTCTGTATTCTACATGCATCAACTAACTTCCGTGACACCCAATTGTTCTTATCTATAAACTCCCAACTTTCCTCTTCCTGATGCCAAAGAGCATGTGTCATGTATTCATCACATGGGTATTATTGTGTTAACTCAGTAAGTAATCCAGCCTAAAGGTTAAGCATACAAAGATTTTAGAACCTGAAATTTGAGTTTCAAACATCAGCTCTGCCACTTTTCTTGCCATATATCAATTTTCCTCATCCGTCAAAGGGTAATATGAATGGCTCCTTCCTGAAAGGATGTTACATGATTAATATTTATAAAACACTAACAACAATGAAAATAATATCAACAATATTTATAAGACATTAACAACTACTATAATTGAGTGTAATTTCCAACATTTTACTTTTATAAAAATATTAAACTTTTATTTATTAATTTAAACAATCATGCATGTGATAATATAATTTTGAATATCTTGATGAATATGTGGACACATTAAGCACTTTAAGACTTGAATAATGTCCTCTGCTGTACAAAGTTGGATTCAGACCTATTATCTCACTTTTATAAGTGAAGAAACTACAGACCTGCTGAGTAACTTTAGCCACTAGCTAAAAATGAGGCAACTCTGTAAAGCAATTGGAAAATAGATGAAATAAGTGATTAATAATAGAAACTGACGAAGCCTGAGCAAACAGAGCTTGATGGATGGAAAATAGGCTTTGGAGTGCACCACAACCCTCTATACATCTGGTGAGATGCAGAATGCCCAATTCAAGCCACTTCCAACAGTGACAATGACTAATCAGAAACTGCCATGGTTAAGTACAGGAGAATACTGAGAGATGAAAACTGCATTTCATTTACCATCTCTCTGGAGAGCTGGAAAGAGTATTCGTATTCCACAGTACGTCTTTCAGTCACGCAGCCCTGAGTTACTACCCAGGTTAAAGTTGTAGGGAGGCATACATTGACTAAATATAGGATGCTCTTAAGGCTAGTCAACAATGGGATTTGCTGCCTCCTGAGTTATGGAGCACTCTGTCACTGCAGAAATACACTCAAAGGTTGCACAGCCATTTTTCAGGGGTGATTGAAAGAAATTTTCTGTATTGGGTTCAACTGGGTATTCCCATGGGTCCATGTGAGTGATGAGGTTCTGTGATTCTAAATCTTGTCAAGGTCATGCAGTGATTAAAGACAGGTTATACTTGTAAGAGATGTAACTAGAAAAAAGAGCTGTGCTAGAACAGAAACGTAACTTTTGAAGCTTCCTCAAAGGGGAGGTTTTTCACAGTGCACCTCCTGATATGAGACAGAAAGAAAAATGTCAGCAGAGATGAAGGAAGTCAAATGGGTCCAAGGCACTGGTGTGAGGCACTGAAGACAAACAGCACAGGAAGAAGGGGGCGCACCGAGGTATGCGCCCTGACTTGTAATTAGGACACCTCTTCACATCCTTAAGAGGAAACGCTGGCGGGGAAGAAGGGGATTTGAAACCAGGAGGGAATGCCTGGACAACGCAAGGCTCTCTCTAGATACTAAATATCAACAAACTAAACACAAATAATTATTTATATAGTTTATATATTATATGTATGTACACAAAGGAAACCGTTAAACACAAAATACTTAAGTGAAAAATGCTTAATTGTGCTATCTGAATTGTATATTCAGCAAAATAATTCATTTTAGCTAAAGAAGTCACTGTGATTTTAGCTCAAAACAGATGCACTGATTACAAGGTAAGGAGTTACAGTATTAATAATATTTCAATATACATTAATCACTTACTTTAGGTGGAGCCAATGCTAGGAAGGTGCTTTAAGGGCATTAATTAATCTTCCAATAACTCAATGAACTGGCTGCTATCATTACCCCCATCTGCAGGTGAGGTGCAGCGCTATAGCTAAGCGACGTTCACAAAGGTTTGAAATGGAGAAGTGAAAAGCGAAGCTCCATTGGTCTGATTTGAAATCCCATGCTCTGGGTCATGTTTCAGCACTGTTTCTCCGCTAAGAGTGGTCAGAGAAAAAATAAAATCAGACTCAAGGAGACTGATTCTTATTTAAGGTATTCTCCATGCTTCACGAATCCTGTTCTTCTCTTACCAGTGCCAGTGTCCTCTCGTGTGTCACGTGCCCCCATCTTCAGGCCTCAGCGAAGTTCCCATTTATTCCACGTATCTCCCATACATTCCCTCCAAAAATGGCCTTTCCTTCTTCCAAGTGAAATGGCAAACTATGCATGCAAGTTTGTCAGGAAATGGCAAACTTAGATTTTTGTCTATTATACATGACCTGTTTCTCTAAAGACAATTTAAGCAATTTGGGAGTAGAACGTTGTTTTTAAATATGGTCGGATTACACTGTCTCCAGAAAAAAAAAAATCAAAATTATATTTCAGAGTTTCTGGAACCATTTGAGGACCACTAGACTAAAGAAACCCACCTGAAAATCTGATTCCTAGTGGTTAAATTTGGATAAGGCTGCATGCTATATACCCTTTCTTGAAAATTCACAATAGCATCACATTATAGGTACAGAAATGTTCTACATAATGGAGCCAATTTCTTTTTTTTTTTGTGGGCGGGGGATGGAGTCGTGCTCTGTTGCCGGCCAGAGTGCAGTGACGCGATCTCGGCTCACTGCAACCTCTGCCTCCCGGGTTCAAGCAATTCTCCTGCCTCAGCCTCCCGAGTAGCTGGGACTACAGCCCTGCACCACCGTGCCCAGCTAATTTCTGTATTTTTAGTAGAGATGGGGTTTCACCATCTTGGCCAGGATGGTCTTGATCTCTTGACCTCATGATCTGCCCGCCTCGGCCTCCCAAAATGCTGGGATTACAGGTGTGAGCCACCCCCACCCCAGCCTGCTAATTTTAATATATTTAAATTGTACACACAGTTAAAATGTATTCTCAATGTAATATAATAATTTCCAGAAACATTTGACCTTGAAACCATTCAAAAACTTTTATCTGCTCTCAACATTTTCTAGAGTATGTTTGGATCTTCACTGATAGTAAATATACTCTTAAGTCTAAAAGCAAATGATCTCAGGTTGGTATCAAACCACTAACTGTCACTATCAAATTATAGGGGACTGTGAGATTTTCTCAGGGTATAAATGCTAATCCTCTTCCACTGAACCTTTGAATATCTTCACACAATTTTAAGAACTCATTGATTATAATTTTTCCTATTAATTTCAGAAAAGTAATTGGAATTTCTTCTAATCTTAAATAATCTTTCTGTTTCTAAATGTTGTTATCTCCTCTCATCTTTTTTCCTTGTTAAGATGAAATGTCACATAGAGTCTGCTTCTTTTTACTCTGGTCTCATTGTAATTTGAAAAATTATAGAATCGTAATGTCTATCTTTATTTTACCAGGCATTTCTAGTGTCGTGATATATATGTATTTTTAAATTTCCTATTATATCTTTGCAAGATATATGTGTGTTTCTAAAATAATAATGATTTATTCTCATCATTAGACAAGAATGTTAAAAAGTGATAGAAAAATGAAACATCTAGGTGTTACTCCTTCCACGTGCCATTGTGGGCTTTTCTGTCTCATACGCTAAAACCCTTGATATGGGCTGAATTGTGAAATTCCCTCCCTCAAAGCCCACCTCTGCCAAAATTCCTATGTCAAAATCCTCACTCTCAGTGTGGCTATATTTAGAGAACTGGACTTTTTGGGGGTAAGTGGCTTAAAGTCATAAGGAAGAGGCTCTAATCTGATAGAATCGATGTCCTTATAAGAAAAGGAAAAGGTGATTGCTCACTCTCCATGCACACACCAAGGCGAGGTCACGTGGGACACAGAGAGGAGGCAGCCTCTGTGAGCCCAGAAGAGGGCCCTCTTCAGACCCTGACCATGCTGGCATCCAAATCCCAGATGTCCAGCCCCCTGAACTGTGAGGAAATGAATACCTGTATTGAAACCAGCAATTTGTACTATTTTGTTATGGCAGCCCCTGCGGACAGAAAACCCCCTGTCAGAACCTCTGTGAATGAATCTGTTATCTAGCTTAGAGCTTTCCTGTTTCAGTACTTCCCAGCACTCTTCCACCCAACCCTCTTCCTTTTTCATTTTATCTCCTTGGAGTTCTCAGAATAAAAGACTCTTATATTTTAGGATATTTACTACTAATCAGTATAGGAAAGAGAAAAAATAAAATAAAACAAAATAGATGCACTGTGGAAGCCATCGTCTTCCAGAATCTTTGCAGTTAGTTCTCTTTTCAATTGTAAAGAAACTGTCTCAATCGAGGATGCAAAAAAAAAATAGTTCTTTCTATCCTCATCACCTTATTGAAAAAGATTACCACAATTTCTTCTAAGCATGTTATACTCACTATCCAAATTTAACCTTGTACTCAATGAAAATCAAACGTCTTCTCCCTCCTCATGTCTCAAGTATGAAAATGGAGTTGAAATTAAGGGGAAACAATAGTTTCTTTTCATGTTGTTTTGCTTAGAAGGAAAATTTGCATTTTTGTTCCATCCAAGCAGATTAAGAGCTAGTTAACTAGGCTTGCTCTGCCATGAATGATCCAGTTTAATGATGGTACTATTTTAAAGAAGGCCAAGACTTCTCTCAGAAATTATATTAACTGGTGATGTGCTTAGAGGAAACATTTAAGAAGCAGCAGCCATCTTAGGGAAGGCCCAAGTGTGTCCATTCCCATAGGTGCTGGGGATGGTCACAAGACTAGAACTTCTCAAGGCTCATGTTTGAAGAACCCCTTTTACTCTCTTATAATTCCCAATTTGTTTGCACAACTTGTACTAGTATTTCACAGGATACATTTCATCTGGGCAGTTAGTTAAACTCATAAGGCAAAAGTGTAGCTCATAAAGTTTCCTGGTAAGCAAGTTAGAGCAAAGCAAGTTAGAAGAGCTTAAATATATTGAGTTCATTATCAGTTTATTTGGGGGAGTACCACTCCATTTTCATTAATATACTGCATGTTTGCCTAATTACCAAAACAAAAACCATGAGATTAAGCTTAAAACCATAGAAATAATGACATATTGGAAGAGGAAATAGAAGAGTTTGGGTAGCAAGGACACAGTTGGATGTAAGACTTCACTATATTTGTATTTCTATATGTATGTAATCCCACGGGCTTAAAATAACACATTTATTGCCTTTTCACTGGGCTGCAGGTCAGGTATGTCTTGTATACAGTGGGCCCTGAGGCTGAAGAGACAGCCAGTAAGAAAGGTATGATGTTCCCCTGATAGAGGAAAGAGTAAAAAGGCAAGGCCTCTTCTCTCCCCAACAGTGGCTCATGACACGTCCACTGGCAGATCAATTCACAGAGCCACACCTAACCACAGAGTTGTAGAATTACTGTGTTTCCACAGGGAGAAACTGCAAGTCACACAACAACTGGAGGAGGTATGTGATTATCTCACAATAATGGGGAGTGGAGGAAGACAATCACTGGGAACCATAACAAGATCAGCTGCATAAATCAACCCAGCTATTTATGAAATTATTTGCAAAACCACTCTAAGAAAAGATTAATTCATGGAACTTTCTAACAAAGTATTTTCACCGTATATTCTTACTGTGATGCATTAAAGAATAAATAAAAGAATAAATTTTAAATTTTATTTATTTGGCTTTTTTGTAGAAGTATCACCTATTATAGGTATTATGTAAATGGAGTTAGTAGTCAATGTTGTAAGAAAAACTGTTAAAATTATAACATCATAGAAACAGAGACACTGTTATGTCTCACATTGAACTGAATTGTAAATATCACTATGACCTCAAGATTTGTAAATAAATATAGAAATAGATATAGAGATAGATATACATTAGAGATGTTTCTAGCTCTTCTCTTTGAAATAGCCTGAAGACAATGTCATGTCAGTAGTAATGAGCACACCAGCAATAAACGGTACCCAAATTGGAGCCTATAATACCTTTTCCCAATAAGTTTAATGTAAGCTCCTTTGAGAAATGATTGATTTCCAGTTGGGGGAATAGAATGAGACCCTGGTGTACCTTTTACCACAAAGTAAATGTGCTTTTAAGTAGTAATGGGATAATAGCAAAGAACCTAATATCCAGTTTGAAGGAGCTCTCAACAGAAAATTTATGAAAATTTGAGCATTTAAAAAATACAGTGGATCCAAACTCATTGAATCACTGAAAATCCATGAAAAATCCTGAAAAGAAAGATTAATAACTCTATAATTCAGAAATTCTATTCAATTAATAAGACTAGGGTTAGAGGAGACCTTGGCCAATATAAATTAAACCCACTCAGTTCCTCCTATGCATAATTGTCCAAAAATGCCCTATCTTTGCTCCTAAATAATGTACAAGGTTGTGTCAGAAAAAAATAGTGGAACAATAAAGATTTATTGTGCCACTTTTCCACTTCTCTGTTTTCTAGCCACTATGGGTTAATTAGAGCATACACAAAGTATATTTTGATTTTCCTCTTTGTACCAGAAGGATCTGCCATAGGTTTAATTGTGATTCAATGATAATTAAACACAGATATTTTCCACAGAACTATGAGAACAATGGTTAGTAATAGATATTACTCTGTTTTCATCATTTATTTCTGATAGCTTAAAGCTTCCACAACATTTAACTAAACTTACTACCAGAATATTGAAATCTTATGAGGATTGTCTACATACATATTTAATGAATTACCATAAATATCACCTATAGGACGTTTGGGTTACATTATTCCTAGAAACCGCCTCCTGATAGAGCTTCTCCGGCACCTACTAAATGTATTTTAAGACAAAGGAAACAAACAAAACTTACAACTCACTAAATTAAGATTGACAGCCAAGCTATTGCTAAAACTTACAATTTACCTTATTAATGAGATATTTGAAGATAGACAGAAAAACTAAAGAAAAAGATGTGTGTGCTGTCCCTGTTAGCCTACATAAAGGAACAGCTCCAGCTGAACCCAACGCAGTAAAGAGACAGATTTGACATCGTGTATTCTCTGAAATTGAATCAAAGATGCAGCAGAATACCACAGTAGAAAACTGTGTTTGGATTATGTCTTTTTTGATACAATTTCTTCTTCATTCTAAGGCTGCAAGCCAAACAAACATACGAACGGAGAATTGTTTGTATGGAGGGCAGGGAGAAGGCTGTCCTGGGAACACTGTGTGTTGGGAAATTGAGAGCTGACAGTCAGTGCACAGAAGATGCAGGTACTGAAAGTCAGAGTCTTTGAAACAGTAAAGTGTGGGGTGGAGAACAATGTGGAGTGGCTCATTCAGCTCAATTTTGGCCTTTGTTTGTTTGTTTTTGTTTGTTTTTTTGAAACAGAGTCTCGCTCTGTTGCCCAGGCTGGAGTGGAGTGGTGTGATCTTGGCTCACTGCAACCTCTGCCTCCCGGTTTCAAGCGGTCCTCCTGCCTCAGCCTCCCTAGTAGCTGGGACTACAGGCACCCGCCACCACACACAGCTAATTTTTTGTATTTTTAGTAGAGACAGGGTTTCACCATATTGGCCAGGATGGTCTCGATCTCCTGACTTCGTGATCCCTCGGCCTCCTAAAGTGCTGGGATTACAGGAGTGAAGTTTGGCCTTCTGTAGTGGAGTGTTCTTGTACAATGAAAGATGGAAAGATAAAATCTGCTTTTTCTATATAGACCTCTTTGCAGGTTAAGTTCAGGATGAAAACCCTATTTGTCAGCTAGAAGCACTGGCATGAGATACAGACGGCAGACAGGAGGTTTTCTTCCAGCTGCTCTTTCTGCCAGCAAGCATGACCATAGAGGTGCAACTGTCCAGTAGCAGCAAGGAGTCAGTCTGAGTAAGACAAGACGACTCTTGTAAGGCGAGCGTCAGCAGGGACGTGTGGCTGCGCCAGGGCAGCGGAAGTGGCAGGGCTCCATCCATGCCTCCCTGCCACTTGGTGTGATCCTGAGCACGGAGTGGCTGCCTGCCTCCCACTCTTCTATTCCTTCCAGATGTCTTGTATGGACCTAATTCTGTGAATTGAACCCACTTCCCTTAAAATATATGGAGTTAATTTTGCTTTCTACAGGAATAACTGGCACATTATATGTCAGCATTTTTTGTCTTGCATTGGTTTATGTGAAGATGACAAAAACATTGGTCCTGGAACTATCTTCAGCCTCTGGAAGTGTTTTGAGTTTCCTGTTAAATAAATAAATAAATAAATAACTTCAGACAGAACATGAGGTTTCCAGGGCTCCACCTTCTCAGAAACAACTTGCCCCTGGGTTACATCACCATGGCCGAGCCCGTTAGTCTCAGGAAGGGTTCTGGGGTGGATGGACACCTCCTCTAGCCCAGCCAGAGCTGGTCGGAAACGGTGGCCACCACTGAAAATAAAATATCAGACAGTAGAGATATAAGAGAGCCACAGACGTTTTCTGTTGGGGTAAAACAAAGAAGAGATACATTGTCCTCATTCAGGAATGCATGATAATGGAAAATAACAACTTGAAACTATTAAAATTCACTTTAGAATTAGGTAAAGGGAACAGCTTCTTCACAATCTAGTACGTAACTCCATGTGTGTGTTTGTGTGTGTGTGTGTTATGTTTACGTATGTGTAATTTTTTTTTGTTTTTTTTGAGATGGAGCCTCACTCTGTTGCCCAGGCTGGACTGCAGTGGCGCCATCTCGGCTCACTGCAAGCTCTGCCTCCCTCATTCATGCCGTTCTCCTGCCTCAGCCTCCCGAGAAGCTGGGACTACAGGCTCCCGTCACCACGCCCGGCTAATTTTTTGTAGTTTTAGTAGAGACAGGGTTTCACCACGTTAGCCAGGATGGTCTCGATCTCCTGACCTCATGATCCACCCGCCTCGGCCTCCCAAAGTGCTGCCACCACGCCCCGCCTTTTTTTTTTTTTTTTTTTTTTTTTTTTGAGACGGAGTCTTGCTCTGTCGCCCAGGCTGGAGTGCAGTGGCGCGATCTTGGCTCACTGCAAGCTCTGCCTCCGGGGTTCATGCCTTTCTCCTGCCTCAGCCTCCCGAGTAGCTGGGACTACAGGCGCCTGCCACAACGCCCAGCTAATTTTTTTTGTATTTTTAGTAGAGACAGAGTTTCACTGTGTTAGCCAGGATGGTCTCGATCTCCTGACCTCGTGATCCACCTGCCTCAGCCTCCCAAAGTGCTGGGATTACAGGCGTGAGCCACCGGGCCTGGCCATGTATGTGTAATTTTTTACATAGTGAGAGGTAAGGAAAATAAAACAAACAAAAATCAATAAGTCAATTTGAAATCTGAAGCACAGAAACCATTTTCCCAAACTGGGATTAATGGTTGACTAAATAACCAGGGGACAGAAATCTTGGAGGAAGGAGTGCACCTTTAGGAATCCTTCCTACTAGAGACGTTAATACAGGAGAACCCTGCCCCAAGTCTTAGAAGACATGAACCTCTTTTTTGTTCATTTCCTGGGTTCAATCTTTAACTGGTAAACAGATGAGGTACTTTCTGGTTTCGTAGGACAGGTAGTTTTCGTTCCCTGCCTTCCACAAGTCCTTTTTGTATGTATTTGGGTAAATTATTTGTTATTACCACTTTCTTTCAAGCATCTTCATAAATAGGCTTAAAATCTTCCCTTGCAAGGCCTGTTAGCCAATGGGATTGCTCTAACTCTTCTGTTCCTCGCTTAATGATTTCTGAGATGAGCATGAGTTGCTTTAGACACATGAAACAAGAGTCAGCATTTCTACCTAAATATGCAGTCAGAAACACCACTTGCTCATATTTAAATGCAGATATTAATGGTACCTTTATAATATATTTGTGAATAATTAGCAGATTGCTCGACATAAAATTTATGTTCTATGAATATTAGTTATTTGTATAATAATTGTTGCTGGTTTAATAAAAATCGTTATTTGGGGAGGACTCAAAATAATAATAATAATAATGATCTGCTGAAGAATAATCTGCTGAAGCAGACAGTAGCAGATTTGGGGGTGTACCAATATGAAGAAAGAACATTTGTTTTGTCTTTGAGAATGGTTCTTCCAAGACCTCATGTTTAACAACGAGCCATTGGATCTTGACTAAAGATAGAGATGTCATTTCAAGCCAGATAATATTTCTTCAAAGACTGTGGTATGGCTCAGAGAATTCCATTACTCTCTGTCAAATGGTAAACTTTTAGTATTTTGGTGTTAATGTGGATATTGGTGTATGGCACCAGATTAGCCACCTGATTGTAATCTTCTGCTTTCTCTTTAATATCATTTTCTTAAATTTACATTTTCTCATTAACCTATTTTCAGTTGAGGATGAAAAAGTAGCACACCAAATATTGAAACGAGAAAGTAGTTGGGAACCATAATTTTTGTATAGTCATTGGAGTAAGCCAGGACTCGGTAATGCAATAGCTGAGGAAGGGCATGGTTTTGGCAAGAAATAAAGATCGGAGGGAGTCTAACAGCATGTAGTTGGAAATGCCAGTGGCAAGATAGAACTAAAAGAAGTACATTTGGGGCCAGGTGACGGGAGCTCATGCCTGTAATCCCAGCACTTTGGGAGGCCGAGGAAGGTGGGTCACCTAAAGTCAGCAGTTCAAGACCAGCCTGCCAAAATGGTAAAACCTCGTCTCTACTAAAAATACAAAAAAAAATTAGCCAGGCACAGTGGTGTGCACCTGTAATCCCAGCTACTTGGGAGGTTGAGGCAGGAGAATCACTTGAACCCAGGAGACAGAGGTTGCAGTGAGCTGAGATCATGCAACTGCACTCCAGCCTGGGCAACAAAAGTGTGAGTCCATCTGAAAAAAAAAGAAAAAAGAAGTACATTTGGAAACCATGATACTTATTGGACTTCAAAAGAAGCAGCAGAGCAATTCTGGGCAAAGAATGCTTTAGTTGATAGAATATTTGAGTGTGAACACATGGTAACACAAATAATTTTATGAATTTATGTTTCTGTTAACTCACTAGGTGTTGCTGGATTCTGGAGAATTGATGGGGACAAAATGGCATCTTGCTGTCTCTGAGCCCAGAACAATATCATTATCTCTTCCTTCATTACTCAGAAGTGGGCTGAAATTTGAATCCATCATAATTTCAGTTCATCCCACTAAGTTTCTGACGTGGTTCTCTCCTCTGGCCCCAGCATTGTGAAACAGTGTGGACAATGAGCCTCAACAGCATTATCGATATCTTCATACTAATGAAGATGAATGCTCTGTTGACCCTCTGGGACTTTGGAGAAAGTGAAGAAGTAGGATACTTGTGGGGCAGAGACAGCGAATTTCGTACTACTCTTTTAATGGAAGTGTTGTTGCTAGGAAATGGTTGCCCACCCAGGGCCTACATGTCCTAGTCCGTGCTTCTTTGGTGTGGGGCTGTTTGACAAATTGTCAAAATGGAACATGAACGATGCAAAATGAGTTGCTTCTGGGATGTGCCTTCACCCACTCTTTCCTGTTCTGCTCTCTGGAAGCTCAGGAATTTATGGCACAAGAGGATGGTAGAACCTCAAATGCCTACTTGGAAAAGAAGTGTCTGTTGATCAAGAATATCATTGGCTCACAATAGTGACTTTATTAAGTCAGTAAAAATTTGGGTCTAACCTCACAAATATCCAGACTTTGAAAAATGGATGGCTAATTAAACTATGGAGGTTAAGATGGAACTATACAAATTCCTGCTCGAGAAAGCACGCTCTTTGGATGTTAAAAATTATAAAGTGTATAATTTTCATATGTCCTAAAGTTCCAGACTGCCCAAATGTTTTAATCAGAAAAACACTGTATCAAGAGAGGAAATGATTAGCACTAAAATAAACATGAACACTGAAGCTTCTCTGGATAACACCTAATTATTTTAGGTATTACAAGTTTATTTTTGGATTGCATATTATCAGAAACCAATATTTAATTAGGATACTTATCTTTTTTTTTTAACATGAACAGCTATCACTATACTTGTAAAGCCACCATGTAAATAAACAAAATAATTTGTTATAGAGAACACAACTTTTCTAGGCTTACTCAGCCAAAAGATATGAAGTGAACTAAGTTAGTTGTAATTACTCAAATTTAACTTTCACTCTACAAAACCTCATTGCTCTGAAAAACGCCAGGTGTCACCAAACTGTCTTTAAATATCACCCAAACTGACCTTGCAATTTCAGTCCACTTTATCTAATCCCACGAATTGATGTCACAGGTTGCAAAGCATACATGAAAATGATATTTTTGCCAATGTTTATGTGGACTACTGTCCTGAACGGGTTAAATCCAGAAGTTTTAAGGTGATCTTGCCTTCCTGCTATCTTCACCTAGGTGGTACCAGGGGGCGCATAAAGTAAGAAGAAAGCCTCCATTCCCAGCTCTGAACAGGCCTCAGGCAAGAAATCACTCATGGGCATTTCTGTCTGTCTTGGCTTTTGTCTGCTGTTTGTCTCTGTATATACACAAGTCCCCAGAAGAAGGCCAGCTAAGCAGCATTTGAGTCAGAGTCCATGCTGTACACTTCTAAGACCAAGATGTCCTCTTAGAGCTCCATAAAACCACCTTCACATTGCATTTCAATAAAACGAACACACAGAATCACACTAGCCTCATCTGGTAGATCACACTAGACCCATGAATAGATTTCACAAGACTTTTGGGTGAATTCCCACTTTTAGTTCAGCAACTTGTTTTTCCAGAAATAGTGCTGAGATGATATAGCACTGGATTTGTATCACAAACGTTTAAGTCCTCAGTCATTTTTAAATATGCTCAGTGTAGCGCAAACCATGATGTTGTGTTGGTAAGAATGGCTAGAAGAGCAGGGCAAGAAAAAGTGCCTATGCATTATACTACAGTTAACTCTTGAACAACAGGGTTGGTACTGCATGGATCCGCTTGTACATGGATTTTCTTTCTCTGCCACCTCTGAGATAGTGAGACCAACCTCTCCTCTTCCTCCTCCTCCTCAGCCTACACCATGTGAAGACAAGGAGAATTAAGACTTACTGTGGCCCACTTCCACTTATTGTCTAGTAAATATGTTTTCTGTTCCTTATAACTTTCTTAAGAACATTTTCTTTTCTCTAGATTACTGTATTTTACAAATACAGTATACGATGCATGTAACATTAAAATATTTGTTAATCAACTATTTATATTATCGATAAGGCTTCTTGTCCACAGTAAGCTATTAGTATTTAAGTTCTGGGGAGTCAAAATTATACATGGATTTTAAACAGCGGGGGAGACTGCCACCCCAACACCTCGTGTTGTTCAAAGGCCAACTGCAATTTTGAGAAAATGTCATGTGGACATTTTCTCAAGCAATTTGCTTGAGGATATAAGCAATTTGCTAAAATCTGAAAAACGGAAATTAGTGAAAGGGTGTTAAGGGACTGGGGAGAAGGAGGCATTTCAAGGAAAAGGGCATGGCATTTAAATCCAGCAAGGACTAGTTTTAATAAAATGCTTAAAGTGATAGAGTTACATAATACCAAAATTTTTGGAGATTCTGCCTTGGAAGAAAATAAAAGTACACCAAGTTTTTCTGAAAAATATAAGGTGGTTAAAGAGGACAGTTACTGGTAGAACCTGGTTTGTAACATGAATTATGTCTTGTTCGTTTTGGAAGCAGCTGCCTTCTGAAACTAAATTTCTCTGCGTGTGTAGGTGCACTTATATATGTAACGCCTTTATTACTTCCCACCAAACCTCCTATTTTATGATACGTTGTTCTTGCCAAACACAGACAGATTTTTTTTTCTCAACCATGCTAATTTCTAGGAGCATAGCCCCACATTTGGGGAGAGACTCCTGCAGCTCTGACTGCAGTAAGATTATACAATTGAATAGTGTGCAGCTTAAACAGTATATAAGAGGATATTTTCCATGATATTAAGTAATCTGTGAAGAAAATAAAAGACCTACCGATAGATTCCTGAAAATGGAGTAGACCAATTATTTAAAACAACGTTGACAAACATTAAGCATAATGGAAGTGTTGGATCCATAGAATGTTGCTTAGTTTTTAGTTTTGCATAGTTTGAGATCCAGAGACCTGTGAGATGGGAGTTCTGTGTGGTATTATCTTGCTGTTGATGTTTTTAGACCTCAATCTCAAAGCTACTCTGTAAGATTTAAGACACGTTAACAATAAGCACTTAAATAGTTCCCTAAAGAGTTTCCAGAAGAAAAACATTATTGCTTACTCTAGCATGTATGATGATGCCTGACTCAATGAGTGTAAAAAGTTTATAATTCAATGTTACAATCCAATATTAAGTAACTGATATTTTTTAAATGAAGAATGTACCCATATACTTTATCTCAGATAGTTCTCTTAGTGACCCTGTGAAAAGCCCAGCTAATTCTTAGTCAGCGTTTACAATGTTATCTTTAACATGAGGGAATTGCTACTTAACAACGTAACCACTCAGTGGGTTCCTCTTGCCCCTCCCCAGATGGAGCTGATTTACCAAGGCAGGGGAATTGCAATAAAGAGTTTTACACAGGTAGGGCTAACTAAATAAAAGACTGGAGTTTTATTATCACTTAAATCAGTCTCCCAAGAAATTTGGGGGCTAGAGTTTTTCAAAGGTAGTTTGGAGGAAGTGGTAGGGGTGGCTAGACAATGGGTGCTTGCTGTTGATTGGTTGAACGTGCAATCACAGGGGTGTGGGAAATGGTCCTCCTGTGAGCTAAGTCATTACTGGGTGAGGCCATAAGAGTGGCTGGCGGGTCCAGATAGAGCCATTGGTAGCTAGACATAAAAAAAACCTGAAAAAGTATCTCAAAAAGCCAATCTTAGGTTCTACAATAGCGATGTTATCTGTAGAAGCAACTGGGGAAGCTGCATATCTTGTGATCTCCAGAATAATGGCTGGCAATTACCTATGTCTACACCTTAGCAGAATTCAGCCTCCTCTATCATCCTAGTCTGGTGGTCTCTCATTAGCTTTACAAAGGCAGTTGAGTTTTGGGGAAGTGCTACTATCGTTTAAACTACAAATTGAATGTCTCCCTAAGTTAGCATGCATAAACCCAGGAGTAATTAAGGGCAGCTTGAAGGCTAAAGACAAGATGAGGATTGGCTAGATCAGATCTCCTCCACTGGCATAATTTTTTCACTGATGCAATTTTTGCAAAAGCAGTTTCAAAATCATACTTTATTTTATAAATGTAAATTACTTATACTTGGAGACAGTCTAATCACCTGGCTGACATCATGCTACTTCATCTACTTGGCAGCAGGCAACATAACTATATGCATATTGCCTACAAGGACATTATATGCTTCAACAGATACGCATCAAAAGTTTGTGAGAATACCATCAAATATCTAAAGACATCTAGTCCAGTGGTGCTACTTATAAGAATTATTAATGTCTCGTGAAAACTAGACATTCTTAGTATCAATGAAATAATTCAATGACTCTCCATTTTCATCTCTCATAAAATTATTTACTTAATAGTGAAGTTCCAAGATCAACAGATAAAACTAATTTTAAATTTTGGAATATTCAATTATTCAATATTTAATTATAATACGAAGACTGTTTTGTATTACAATTGCCACCAAATGTAGCAATATTTTGCCAAAGGCATTCAAACCAGAGTGAAAAAATGAGAATGAGACCTGTTGGGTTGCCTTCCTGGGACGTTAGACATTCTTAGTCACAGGATAAGACAGGAGATTGGTAGCACTGATGTCACAAGATACAGGTCATAAAGAGCCTACTGATAAAACAGGTTGTGGTAAAGAAGCTGGCCAAATCCTGCCAAATCCAAGTAGGCAACAAAAGTGACCTCTGGTCATACTCATTGCTCATTATATGCTAATTGCAATCCGTTAGCATGTTAAAAGACACTCCCACTATCACCATGACAGTTTACAAATGTCCAGAAGTTACCTTAGACAGTCTAAAAAGGGGAGGAACCCTCAGCTCCAGAAATTGCCTGCCTCTTGTGGAAAACTCATGAATACTCCACCCCTTGTTTAGCATATTATCAAGAAAAAAACATAAAAATAGCCAACCAGCAGTCCTCAGGAGTGCTCTGCCTATGGAGTAGCCACCCTTTTATTCCTTTACTTTTTTAATAATCTCACTTTCACTTTATTCTTTGGTCACACCTTGAATTCTTTCTTACACAACATCCAAGACCCTCTCTTGGAGTCTGAATCAGGACTTCTTTCTGGTAATAATTTTGTTTCCAAAATCTGAAGTTAATTTTTTGACATAAGTATGAGAATGAGTTACTTCCTTTTGGACACACTGTTAAAATAAACTTCAGTTACCAAATTCACGTTTTGAATATTCAAAGAAGCTTTAGCATGTATATGCATTTGACAAAAATAAGGAAATATGACTAACCTTGGTTTGTTCAAATTAAATTAAATTAATTGTCAGAATAACTTGATTTATAATTTTCTTTATATATTATTATTTATTGATTAATATTCATTAAGTGGAATTCAGGCATTGGCAGAATCACAAGATATTTCTGACCAATGTTTTTATTGAATAAGAAAAGCTATATTTCTGTATTAAAAATGAAGTGAAACAAGAAAACATTCTGAAGACAATAAAGAGTTTTCAAAATAATGTGAATTTGTAGGAATATAATCGATGAGATAAGGAAAGACAGGAGAAGAGAGTAGAGGATTCGATAATGCTTTTCTCCTTGAGGAAAAAGTAGCAGCTGACAGGTTAAAAATTCAGGAAAGGTTTCTAAGTCCCAGGGACCTGCTCAGGCCAAAAAAATAATAATAATAATTCAGGGCCTTCCCAGGCAAGGTGAATATCAAAGGCTTTGTTGGATACCTAAAGAATGGTATCTTTCAAATAAAAGTGACCTGGAAATAGACATGTCCTAACATGTACTGAAATGCATATATAGAATGTTGCAATCTTGAATAAATTAAGATCTGCCTTGCCCTGGCTGCCTACAAGAAGCATAAATAAATACTGCAAAAGTATCCAGGACCTCAGTATATCTCTACAATTTATAAATACTGCATCAATTTTTAAGAAAGCCATACAAGAAGGCAAAAACATCAGGAGGAAAACTGACAATTGAAAATGAATAACAAGGCATAAAAAAATAAAGTTGACAGAAATGGACTTCAGTATTGCAAGATGAATGATATCTGCAAGTATTTAAAACACAATAGGAAGGGTTAAACAAAATGGAAAAAATATATAATTAAAGCTTGTGCATATTAGTATTAAAAATAGTTTACTGTAACTTCCAATTTCTAATTCAACATGTAAAAAGTTTGGAAATCATGACCCCCATCCTCACAAAGAGAAAAATAAAACTAAAATCAACAAATCTTAGATCCATTGGATAATTGATAGCACGGGGCAAATTGCTGCTCCAAAAACTAGAGTGATAGAGGGATACCAAGAATCACAGTTTATTGGGAGCAGGAGCAGATTCCTGCTACTGAAACACAGCAGAGCTGATGAATTGTTGGAGGCTCAGTGTGGATTAGCATGAGAATTAATAACTCTACCAGGAGGGGCACTCTTGAGTGGGGGTCAGCCCAAATTTTGTAAGTTTTACCTGCAGGAGCTCAAAAGGTTCCCATTGTGAAAAATGAATAAAAATCTTCTCATGTTTCCAGCAGGGATAGGAAAAAAGTAACACTTAAAAAAAAAAAAAAAAAAAAAAAAAAAAAAAAAATCACAGTTGTGGCCAGGCGCAGTGGCTCACGCCTGTAATCCCAGCACTTTGAGAGGCCGAGGCGGGCGGATCATGGGGTCAGGAGATCCAGACCATCCTGGTTAACACGGTGAAACCCCGTCTCTACTAAAAATACAAAAAAATTAGCTGGGCGTGGTGGTGGGGGCCTGTAGTCCCAGCTACTCAGGAGGCTGAGGCAGGAGGATGGTGTGAACCCGGGAGGTGGAGCTTGCAGTGAGCCAAGATCGCGCCACTGCACTCCAGCCTGGGTGACAGAGCGAGACTTCGTCTCAAAAAAAAAAAAAAAAAGAAAAAGAAAAAAAAAAGCACAGTTTTTTTATTCTCCTTAGCAAGGTTTGTCCAAAAGAGTAAGAATTTTGCCAGAGCCTAAGAGACTTGGGTGTTACCTAAGCGTGAGTGAGGTAAGAAAATTACCCAGCACCAGGCCCTACCACTCCTTGAAATGAGGAAAGGAAAATAATCAAATCAAGCCTCTTCTACCTTTCCTGTCTTAAAGAGAAAGAGGGCAGAAAAATCTGAGAAGCCATTTGAAAGTCAAACTTAGGGACATACATTCAATAAAACCAATACTTAGTCACAGGTATTCAGAACACTTTCCCTTCCCCCAAAGATGACCACCACATCAACAGATCCTGTTAAATAATAGGGGATTACAGTTATAAGAACTACAAGCCTCAGACGCTATTATTTAGGAACAAATCTCTAGGAAAATCCAAAGACATTAGAGGAGACACCAGTGGAAATTTAACCTCCAACACTACAGCTACAGCAAAGAGTAAACACAGACTAACCCCAGCCAGATAAACAAAACAAACAAACACAAACCCTTATATTAAAGTCCTAACTAAGTCCATTTTATCATGTACATCATA
The DNA here is from genome assembly GCF_000001405.40 of Homo sapiens. Classification (NCBI taxonomy): domain Eukaryota; kingdom Metazoa; phylum Chordata; class Mammalia; order Primates; family Hominidae; genus Homo; species Homo sapiens. Next base: position 52,445,103 of record NC_000007.14, on the reverse strand, counting down.
TCTAGATTTCAACCAAAAATTATAAGGCATAATAAAAGCAACAAGCATAGTTGTAAACGTCAAAGCAACCACCAGATCCAGATTTACATAAAACATAAATTTTGTAACTATAATACCAGGAATATAAAAATAAAATAACTATAATTAATAGGCTAAGAGCTTTAATGTAAAAAGTGAAAAACTTACAAAAAGAGATGGATAATGTAAGTAGAGAGATTGAAAATCTAAAAAATAAAATGCTAGAAATTAAAAAAAAACTTTAAGAGAAATGAAGAAAGCTTTTGATGGGCTCATTAGTAGAATCGACATGACCAAGGAAAGAATTAAATTTAAAGCCTCTTAAACTAAGAGACAAAGTGAAATAAGAATAATATAAAACTATACAAAATCATCAAGGACTAAGGACAATTACAAAAGGTATAACTTATGAGCTATAGTATGAAATACTAATAGAAAAAAAAGAATAATGAAAAGACCACAATAAATATTTGAAGTAATGATGGATAAGAATATTTAAAAAATGAATGACAGACACTAAACTGCAGATACAGTAAACTCTGAGAACACCAAGTAGAATAAATACCAAAAAATCAACACCTAAGCATATTATATTTAATCTGCAGAACACCAAAGACAAAGAGAAAATCTTGAAAGAAACCAGAAGTAAAAACACCTTACATTTGGAGGAGCAAAGATCAGAATCATATTGAACTTCTCATCAGAAATTATGCAAGCAAGAAGAAAACAGAACAAAATATTGACTGTTGAAAGTAAAACAAACAAAAAACCAACCAAACAAAAAACCTCCCACTATGAAATCCTGTACTGAGTAAAATTATCCCATAAAAATGAAGGAGAAATGAAGAATTTCTCTAACAAAAAAATGTGAGAAAATGCTGGTGGTAGAACAGCAAAAAATGTTAAAAGAAATTATTCTGAAAGAAGTAAAATAATATAGGTAAGAAAGTATAATGAAAGAAAGAGTATAAAGAAGGACTAGATGAAGGTATTAAACTTTTATTTTTCTCATTTTTAATTGCTCTATAGATAATTTATTCAAAATACTAATAGAAACAAAGTACAATTATAGTTTATGGATAAGTGAAATGAATGACTACAACATTTTAAGGGATGGGTGGGAGGAATTAGGAATACTCTGTTGTAAGGACTGCACTGACTATGAAGCAGTAGAGTATTATTTGAAAATGGACTTGGATAAATCACAAATATACATAGCAAACTGTAGGATAATCACTAAGAAAATTGTTTAAAGAATTATAATTGATATGCTCAGAAAGAATACAAAATTGTATTGCATAAAATGCTCAGTTAAAACCAGAGAAAGCAGAAAACATAAATAAAAATGAAAAGTATACAGATTGGGAAGAAATAAATTAAACAGTCTTCTTTTGCAGATCATGCAATTATCTATGTAGAATATCCCAAAGAATTGCTTACCTCCACCAACAAGAAAACATGGAACTAGTAAATTATTATATCAAGATTTCAAAATAAAATGTTAATATACATTAGTTAATTGATTTCCTGTATACCAATAATGAACATCTTGAATTTGCTATTAAAACACAATACCATTTAAATTACCACCCAAAAATAAATAATTATAAATCTAACAAAATATGTACAGAATCTATATGAGGAAAACTACACAATTCTGTTGAAAGAAATCAAAGAAGATTTAAACAAGTACAGAGATACCCCATGTACATGGATAGGAACACTCAATGTGGTCATGCTATCAGTTCTTCCTAACTGGATCTATGGATTCAAAGCAAAGCTAACCAAAATCACAGCAAGTTACTTTGCAGATGTCAACAAACTAATTATAAGCTTATATATAATATTCAGAGTAACCAACACAATAAGTAAAGACAATCTAATATAGAAAGCATAACCTTTTGAACACATGGTGATGGACCACCTAGATATTCATATGCAAAAAAAAAAAAATCTAGACACATTCTATTCCTTTCCCAAAAATTAACTCAAAATGGATCATTGGACTCAAAGTAAAATGCAAAACTATAAAACTTCTAGATGATTACATGATAAAAAATCAGGGTGACTTTGGGCTTGGTAATGACGTTTTAGATATAACAACAACAAAATAAACATAGTCCATGCAAGAAAAACTTGAAAATTCACTTCGTTAAAATGTATAACTTCTCCTCTTTATAAAACAGTGTTAAGAGAATAAAAAGACAAGCCAAAGACTATGGGAAATATTTATAAAATATATATCTGATAAAAGATTGGTATCCAAAATGCAAAACTACTAAAACTCAGCAATAACAAAACAAGCAACCCAATTAACAAGTAGACAAAGTATGTGAACAGAAGCCTCACCAAAGAAGAGATGCAAATGAGAAATAAGCACATAAAACGATTCTCAACATTGTGTGTCATTAGGGAATAGCAAATCAAAACAACCATGAGATGTTACTAAATAGCTATTAAAATAATTAAAATCCCAAATATTGATAGCATTAAATGCTGGTAAATATGTGAAGAAAAGCAACCTTTCATTCATTGCTGGTGGGAAGACAAAACTGTACAGCCAGTTTGGAAGACAGCTGGCATTTTATTACAAAACTAAATGTATTCCTATCACTGTGCACTTAGTTATTTACCCAATAAATATTATTGGTATATATTTATATTGACTTGAAAACTTATTTCCAGTTGAAGGAAGCCAGTCCGAAAATATTTTATACTCTATGATTCCAAATGTATGATGTTCTGGGTAAAGTATAACGTTAGAAACAGTGCTGCATGGGGATCAGTTGTTGCATGGGGATTGGCAGGAGGAAAAACCAAAAAATACGTGAAGCACAAGGGATTTTTAGGACAATGAAACAAATGTGCATAATACTGTAATGGTAGTACATGAGATTGTGCATTTGTCAAAACCCAGAGGACTGTTCAACACCAACAATAAACCCTAATGCAAACTATGGTCTTCAGTTAATAATAACTATATATATTTGTTCACCAATTATAACAACTGCACCATACCAACACAAGATGTCAATTATGGGAGAAACTGTACACAGATTTAGAGAGAATATATGGTAACTTTGTATACTCTACTCAATATTTCTGTAAACCTGAAATTTCTCTTAAAATACAAAAATAGATTACAGGGAGATAGAACAAAAAAATTACTAGATCGAAGCTTGGAGATATAAAAGGATGGACAATACATACGATACTTTAAAGAGTGAAAGAGATACACAGAATGTGAAAAAAAATATGATAATGTATTTGCAATTCAGAACAATTTAAATAATGAGACAGAAGTAATAGGTAATGTGACAACCATTTTAAAATATCCAAAATTTATAAAATTTCAGCAGCCACAAATTCATGACTTAAACATAATATAGAACAACTAACGAACCCTACCAAGACAAAATAAACAAAATAATCTTAAAAATTGTTAAAGATAAGCCATACTAGCTTCTAAGAAGCAACAAAATGGCTAACAGTTGGGTTATGAAGCAAAGCAATGAAACCAGAAGACAATAGAATTTTATATTAAAATAATAAAAGAAAAATAATTTCAAGAACTCGATATTCAGTAAAATACCTTTCAAAAACGAAGGGAAAGTACAAAATATTGAAAAAAAAAAACCAAAACTGATAGAATTCTTCACCAGCAGAATGACATCAAAATAATAATGGGCCGGGCGCGGCGGCTCACGCCTGTAATCCCAGCACTTTGGGAGACCGAGGTGGGCGGATCACGAGGTCAGGAGATCGAGACCATCCTGGCTAACACGGTGAAACCCCTTCTCTACTAACAATATAAAAAATTAGCCGGGCGTGGTGGCCAGCTCCTGTAGTCCCAGCTACTCGGGATGCTGAGGCAGGAGAATGGCGTGAACCTGGGAGGTGGAGCTTGCAGTGAGCCGAGATTGCCCCACTGCACTCCAGCCTGGGCGACAGAGCAAGACTCCGTCTCAAAAAACAAAAAACAAAACAAAAAAATAAAATAATAATAATGACAATGATAATACTAATAGTAATGAAACATTTTAAACAGAAGGAAAATTATACCAAATAGCAGGTTATAGATGCAGTCTGAAATGAAGAACAAATAAAACGTTAAATATGCTACAAATTGAGAGGATAAAACAGTAAACATAATATCTTGTGGAGTTACATAAGTATATAACTTTAACAGAACTAAGAAATAAATCCATAATCATAGAACATTTTGACATGTTTCTTCATAACTGATAGATGAAGCAGTTTAAAAATCATTAAATGTTTATTGTTCAAGATATTAACAAAATGAAAATAAAAATAAAGATTCTCTGTACCAAAAAATGTCCATTAATTTTTACTTTCTAAAAATATTTTCTCCAAATTGCCCTTCTGATGCTTCATAAAGCAAATTTCAAAAATTTCAGAAAATTAAAATTAAATAGCAACAAGTTAAATCCAAAGAAAATAGACGGAAGGAAATAATAAAGATAAGAACTGAAATAATAAAGGAGAAAATATGTGTCAATAGGTAAAACAAACAAAAGCCAAAAATCCATTCTTGTAAAGACTGTCATTGTGTTACATATCCTCAATATTAGGAATGAAAAATAGGATATCACTAAAGAGCCTCCAGATACAAAACATGAGAAAAATAATAAACAACTATATATAAATACATTTGAAAGTTTAGGGCCAGCTGCGGTGGCTCACGCCTGTAATCCTAGCACTTTGGGAGGCCAAAGCGGACAGATCACCTGAGTTCAAGACCAGCCTGGCCAACAATTTTGTTAGCCTGGCTAACAAAAATTAGCCAGGCTGTGGTGGCATGCACCTGTAATCCCAGCTACTCAGAAGGCTGAGGCAGGGAGAATTGCTTGAACCCAGGAGCCAGAGGTTGCAGTGAGCTGAGATCACGCCACTGCACTCCAGCCTGGGTGACAGAGTAATACTCCATCTCAAAAAAGAAAAAAAAAAATTAGATAACATGGAGAAATGTCTTGAAATATTACAAACTGATGTCACAAGAAGAAAATCTCAATAATCCTATATCTATTAAAGAAACACAAAGCTTCACATAATTTTCCTAATATATTTTACCAAGTATTTGGGAAAAAACAATCACCAAACCTAAGCAACGTCCTCCGGAAGTCACCATCACTCTTTGAAAAAGCATTACTAAAAGGTAAATTACTGATCTATCTCCAATGATAAAATTTAAAATAAAATATTTTCAAACTAAATCCATTGATCTGTACAAACATCACAAGCAATTATAATTTATTTTTGAATTGCAAACCTGGTTTCAAATTTAAAAGTTAAACAATTCTATTAATCATATGAGTAGAATGAAGGAGAAAATTCTTGTGCTCATCTCAATAGATTCATGAAAAGCAATTGATTAAATTTATATCAATTTATAATTTTAAAAAATAGCAAAATAGGGAAAAAGGATCTTCCTTATTCTGGTAAAAAGGAATCTAAACATAGCTACAGGAAACAAATGAGGAAATAAAACAAGGTTGCCCACTAACACCACTTTCATTCAATATTTTGCTTCAACAAATGTAAGCTAAATGTGAAAGGCAAATAAAGCACATACGAAATCAAACAGTGGCATGGGATGGGGCCTGACTGGTGTGTGATTCTGCAATTTAGATAGACAGCCGGAAAATGCCACTCAGTGGAAAATAATGAGCTGAGTTTCATTGATGTGGGGAAGTAGCCCATCAAGGCTGTTAAAGGGTTCTAGACACAGGGAACAACAAATGCAAATTCCTTGAAGTGAGAGTGTGCTCTGCAGATTTTCTGAAAACCGTCCATACTGGATGTTTGGAGGACCAGGCTAAAAGTCACAGGCAAATCTAACCATACCAGTAGTCACTTTTGATGGAAATTGTCTAAATAGAACAATTTAAAATAGAGATTTTCAGATTACTGTGAAAAATCAAGACACAACTATATGTTGTCAATAAAAACTCTACATTAAAGAGCCAGTTAAAAGTAAGTGAAAAGTAAGTTAAAAAGTAAAAATCAGTTAAAAGTAAAAGTAAGTTAAAGTTAAAAGTAAGGTGACAGAGAAAGAAATATCATTGACATTAATCAAAAGAAAGCTGGAGTAGCAATATTAATTTCAGACAAACCTATTTCAGAACAAGGAATATTATCAGAGTTAAAATGTAGCATTATACTATGATAAAGTATGCAGTTAATTCTTAAAGGAGATAAAACAATCCTAAACGTATATTCACCTAATGATAGAATGTCAAAATACATGAGGCAAAAACTGATAAAATTTAAAGGAGAAATAAAAAAATTATTATTATAGTTGGAGACCTCAACAACCTTCTGCCCATAACTAACAAATCAAGCAGGTGGAAAATTAGTAAGGATACAGGTTCCCTGAACTGCATTATCAATCAACTTGACGTAGATGACATGTACAGTATTCACCACCCAAAGACAATACACTTTTCTCAAGCTCACGTGGGACATTCAACAAAATAGATCACATTCTGTGTTATTAAAACCACCTTAATATATTTAAGAGAATAAAAATCTCACCAGGTATATTTTCAAGCCACAAAAGTATTAAGTTTTAAAAAATAAGAGAAGGATAGCCAGGTAATTCTGCAATATTTAGAAATTAAACAGGGTTTCCCATGGGTCAAAGAAGGAGTCTCTGAAGATAATTTTTTAAATAAACTAAACCAAAATACAATTTACCAAAATTATGGGTATGTGGACAAAAGCAGCACTTAGTGGAGAATTTATAGCGTTTACATCCCTGCATTAGAGGAAAAAGATGGGCAATAATATGAACAGATCATTCACGAAAGAGGGCATACGGGTGGCAAATAAGAACATGAAATGATGCTCAACATTACTGATCACTAGTCAAACATGAAATAAAACCATAAAGAGATACCACTACCCACCTATGAACTTGCAAAAATTGAGTAGAATGAATATCCCCAGTATTGGGGAGGTTGTAGAGGAACTGAAACTGTCATACAGTGCTCATGGGAATATAAAAGCCCAACCATTTTGGAAAACCATTTGACAGTGTCAAAACATTACATATACAACTATTGTGTGATTAATTCCATCCTTAAGTATTTATCTAATATTAAAAAAGAATATGGTCTATACAGAGAATTTTAGATAAACATTCATAGCAACTTTATTTGTAATATCCCAAAACCCCTAAAACAGCCCAAAATATTCATCACCAGCTAAACTGATAAATTATCATACATTAACACCGTGCAGTACTACTTGGCAACAAAAATGGAAATATGGAGACCCATGAACATAACTATGCTGAGTGAAAGAAGCTAGGTGGAAAAGAGTATATTTTACATGATTATTTTTACTTATAAGTATAAAATGCAAATATACAGTAAAAGAAAGTATATGAGTATGTGCCTGGGGAGGAGGGTATAAGTGAGGCAGAATTACAAAAGAGCATAAGAAATCTTTTGGAACGATGAGTGTGTTCATTTCCTTGAGTGTGGTGATTTTACAGGTGTTCCATATATCAAAACTTATCAAACTCTACACTTTAGAGATATGCATTTTATTGCATGTGAATTATACCCCTATGAAGCTGTTAAAAAGAAAAATAGTTACCTGCATACAGGGTTCCTTTTCTACAGAGGCACACCTCCAGCCTGTGGGTTCAGGCAGGTTGCATTTCCTCATCTCTGAGTCCCATCCTCAGAACTCCACTTCCATCTCAATGGTCTGAGTATCTTCTAACAGCAGTTACATTCTAGTTTTTATTGAGCAATTCTAATATCTCTAGAAGCAGCCTCTGGGTGAAGCAAGCTGCCTGCTTGTTTATGTTACTGCTCTGGTTACAAAGTTTCATGTTTTACCTTTAAATCAACTTAGGAATCTGTTCTTTTTAGTGTGCAATTTTTACAGACTCAATAGTGTTCTGAAATGTATAGAGCAGAAATCAAGCATTATTATTATCCCTGTTTTTACAGAAGGGATTAATTGGAGATTAAGTTAATTAATCAAATATATATATATATCTCCCTAGGGATTTATATATATTGCAAGTTATATATAATGGAATTTTATATATAATAGAACATAGAACCGAAGTTTGAACCAAGATGTTCCAATTTAGGGATCGCATTCAGCATCATCCCCCAACTCAGAAAATGCCTTGGACAGCATGTGTTTAATCTGGGAAACCTTTTTTATGTGGCCACTTCTTTCCTCCTTTATCACCTCAATGGCATGCCTCTCAAGTTCCACTGCATCTTTCATAAAGGGCACCAGAAATAGGACACATATTTGTAGAGGTTACTTTAGAGGTGTGTGATACACTTTTACTTTGGTTTTCAAAGTATTTCTACTGAAGTTAGCATTCTGAAAGGTTTTGACCACTGAAATATTTTGTGCGAAAATAGCCACAATAGTGATTTTCTTTTTTCTTATTTTTGTTCTTCGGCAATAGATTTAAAAAAAAATAGAATTGTACCTACTATCCCAGTATGCAAAACAGAGAATGCATTGGTTTTCTTTCAGCAGAATAGTGTCCAGAACCACCCCCTGGTTGCCTTTTGTTCAAACCACTGAAATGATGTGAAATGCTCCCAAGGCGTCACCTTGGAAACCCCAAGTTACTGGAAGCACTATTTTCAAGCCACTTTTCTCCAATGAGGCCTAGCCTCCTCTCCTGGGTCAGATGTGAAGACTCAGCTCCCCTCTGAGCCCACTGTGGATGACTTTTGCAAATGCCGGAGTTCAAATATTGAGTTTCCATATTGAAGTCCACCTGTGAGGCTTCTGTTTTCTCATAGCCTTTGGTGATATTTCCAAAGAAAACAACAATTTGAGATATTAATTATTTTAAAAGCTACAATCTCCATATTTTGATACAATGCTAGTGCATTTTTATTTCTCTTTTATTCTCTCCCTACCTTCATACTCACTTTATGCCTTTTTAAAAAAAAAACCTGATACATTAAAAAAGAATATCAAGTTTAGGCCAATTAATATAATTGTAGACTTCTAAAGAGTCTTTTCATTTTTTTAAGTTTATTATGTTTTTTGTTTTTTACTGCTGATTTTTATTTAGCACAAAATGACATTTTTATTTGGTGGGGAGGTCCTGCAGTACAGCCCACATAACGACTTGTTAATTTAAAAAAATACTTTTTAATGAAATAGTTGACAGTGGGTTATTAATATATTTAAGTATGTCAATACCACAGCCATAGCAAAAGATACTGAACTGTTTTGCAATTAACCTTTCAACTAGTAGTTCCTCTTACACACACACACACACACACACACACAAAACCCACAGAATTCACACAAATGTTACCCACTATATAGAACAGTAACATTAACGACCGTAATCTTAGGCAAACCAATCTGGAGGTTTTACTATTTACCATTTCCACTCATTTATTTTACTATTTACTTTTATATTTCTTTTACTATTTTCATTCAGTAATATTAAAAGTATACTGAAAAATACTTGTAATTAGATTATTAAAATTTTGCTTGGAATGGTTTCATTAATCCTCTGAAATTCACTTGAATAAGTTGTGTTTTTTATGTTACAGGAAAAAATTCCTGTATTTTTTACGTTTGTTAATTTTATGTATTTTATAATATTGAAGAAAAATATGAGCTCAGTATCTTTAATCAATATTCTGGATAAAAGTTTGGAACTCTAATTGAAAATATTATTATAAATTTTAGGCTTTTTATTGTAACATATACATATATATGCAATAAATATTTTTTCAAATTTTCAAATATATGTTAAAGCATAATAGTAGAAACTGAATAGTTTTGTTATAATATTTTTAACTGTTTCTCTTAATAAATTTCTATGTGTTATCTCACAAACTTAGGTACTTCATATTTTTTCACAAAACTAAGGTTCTCAATATTCCCATTATATTTGAAATAAATTCCCATTTCATTATATTTGAAATTCCCATTATATTTGCAATAAATGGTGATGTCTTTGCTCATTTAAACCTCCATGAATTTTCTCAGCATCAACTAATTTTGACATTTTTGTCCAGAAGCATCAACAACCATACAGCAAATATTATGAGCTATTTCATTAGATATTTATAAGCATTTACCTTTCAGTTAAGCAATAAAAGATTAATTCAATGCCCTGAGGATGTTTTATGTTTTATTGCAAAGATAAATAACTTGCTGAAATTTACACAGCTACTGGGTGTCAGAACTAATGATAAAACATAGGATTCTAAATCCACCTTATTATGTTTTGGGATACATCTGATTAGAAACCAGGACACATACACATTCAAAATAATTTTCTACCCAGTATCCAAAGTAATTGAGTTTAATGCCAATTACGTAGTCAGAAAGAGTGGCGCAGGATTGTTAATTCATTTCTTACCATCCCACACACATACACAAGGTCAAAGCAGCAGCAGCCCTTCTGACCTGACAGGGCCTCCCTCACAAACATTCAGGTACAAGCACTCTTCCTCCTCTCCCGTGGGAACTTAGCAAATACCTGTTCGTATTATGGTCACTGGCTCTTTAGACTTTATGTGGTTCTTTTATAATCAAGTCTGTGATGATATCTGTTAGGAAATACTACCCTACTCAACAACCCCATTTTTCTGTTCTCACTAATAACAATTTGAAAGAATTCCTTGCACTATTTTCCTGGAGTTCACTATACGCAAATTCACCTCAAAAACCCTGGGCAGAATGTCTGATAAGGACATGAATATGAAGACAAATCACATCACAGAATCTTCTTTACTAGCAATTAAAATGAAGACGAAAAAAATTAGTGAAACAGTAAGCAAAACAAGCAAACAAAGCCTGGAAAAATTGGCCAGGTAAGGTGGCTCAGCCTGTAATCCCAGCACTTTGGGACCGAGGTAGGTGGATCACCTGAGCTCAGGAGTTGGAGACCAGCCTGGCCAATATGGTGAAACTCCATCTCTTAAAAATATAAAAATTAGCCGAGCATGGTGGCACACGTCTGTAGTCCCAGGTACTCAGGAGGCTGAGGCAGGAGAATCGCTTGAACCCGGGAGGCGGAGGTTGTAGTGAGCCGAGATTGTGCCACTGCACCCCAGCCTGGGTGATAAAGCAAGACTCCGTCTCAAGGGAAAAAAAAAAAAAAAAGCCTAGAAAAATTAAAAATAAAAAACCTGGCAAAGAGAATGAATAAGTCAGTTATGCCATAGCCACACAATGGAATACTACACAACAATGAAACTTAAAAATCTACAACTATATCCAAAAATATGGGTGAACATCATAAACATATTGTTGAGCAAATGAAGCTAGGCCATCCAAAAATAAACTATGATTCCATTTACATAATGTACAAAAAAGCATTTATATAATGTGGAAACATTCATATGATGTACAACAGAATCTATACTGTATCTGTTGGAGCTGTGACTATCTTTCTGAGATGGTGAAAACTGTCAGAAAGTGAAGGGCACTCCAAAAATGTCCTCTGGGAAGTCAGTAGAGATCTTACTGGATGTTGTTTACATGGGTGAGTTCATAGTATAAAAATTCATTGAGCTGTACACTTGTTATATTACATTTTATACATGTAAGACTTCAACAAAATCCTTTTAAGGTGATTAAGTTAGTTGGGTGGGAGAACACATTATTTGTTTTTGCTTTAAGATTCTCTTGTTTAAATAATTTGTCTATGCAGTAAATTAAAATGTGAGGACAAAAATCTTTCTTGAGCATCCACTAATAAGAGAACAGATCAAATATCATGTACAAAGAAGACAAAGTAGAAAATGAGTGCTCCATTTTCTGCCCTCTCTCTTTCCTTAGATTCTACAAATGATATACCATGAATACTGGACTTTTAAAATATAGGAGAGGAATATCCCTAAAGACATCATCTTATGAAATGGAAAGACACATTCTTCCAAGGGACACCAGGGACATGGCAAGAACACACGCAACTTCATCACTATTTTATTTTGGCCTAGAGATACAACCACATCAATTGGACGACAGCAAACAATTAGAAAGGAGTAAGTCTACTCCTCTCTGCAGATCCTATAGCTGGAAAATCAGAAGAATCAGTGATACCATGAATAAAATATAATTAAAAAGCTTAACGTAATATAAAATTAAATTTTTTTATATACAAAGCTGCAAGAGAGAAAAATAATAACGATAGAAAGAACTCCACCCATAATAGCAATGAATAAATAAAGGAAAAAGAAGAATAGAAATTTAGGAAAAACTTTAAAAACCTATATTAAGGAAAAACTTTATGTATGTTTTTAGGAAAAACTTTAAAAGCCTAGGAGAATTCTAGGACAGTCCTGAAAACCATGAAAGTAGATTTGAAGTGTCTTTTTTCCTTGATAGAATAACACAACATCAGGTACATCTGATACAAATAAGAACCCAAAAATATTTTTGTGGAGTTATAAAGTCTGATTTCAAAGCACACTTCAAAGAATAAATAATAAATTTAGCATAATTTGAACACTAAAAGCAGAAGGAGTGTAATGTATTGAATTGAAACATTCAGTTAAAAAGAAACAAGCATGAGCACATGGTTGTAAGAAGACAGACTGTTACAGCAAATCACCAAGTCCCATTGCCCAACTTTGGTGATCACCAGCTCATGCCAAACTGCTTTTTTATTTTCTTTAATGACATCTAATTCCCTCCTTTCCATATCATGCGAAGCTACTTTCGTAGAAAATTCTCACCTCGGCCAGGTGCAGTGGCGCATGCCTGTTATCTCAGCACACTGGGAGGCTGAGGTGGACAGATCACAAGGTCAAGAAATCGAGATCATCCTGGCCAACATGGTGAAACCCCATCTCTACTAAAAATACAAAAAATTAGCTGGGCATGGTGGTGTGCGCCTATACTCCCAGCTACTCGGGAGGCGGAGACAGGAGAATCACTTGAACCCAAGAGGCATGGTTGCAGTGAGCCAAGATCATGCCACTGCACTCCAGCCTGGCCACAGAGTGAGACTCCATCTCAAAAAGAAAAAAAGAAAAGAAAAAAGAAAATTTTCACCTTATGGGAAGTATAGAGTTAGAAAGCTCCCTTCTTACATGCAATGTGATATGTTTCTAATCTGCAACATCATATAGTAATGGAGACAGGGAGGCTACAAGGTTCGTTGGGTGAAAATGTGCTGTCAGCCGGAGAGTCTCAGATTCTGAATGTATTATGCCACAGACCAGTGCTTAATTACAAGAAGAAACGTTACCTCAATATCACGGATCATGGAGCAAACTGATAACATGCACCTCTTATTGCAACACTGAGAGGTGACAGCGTGCTGGCAGCCCTTGCTCCCTCTCAGCGCCTCCTCAGCCTCAGCGCCCACTCTGGCCACTCTTGAGGAGCTCTTCAGCCTGCCGCTGCACTGTTGGAGCCCCTCTCTTGGCTGGCCGAGGCTGGAGCCAGATCCCTCTGCTTGTGGGAAGTGTGGAGGGAAAGGCGCAGACGGGAACAGAGGCTGCGTGTGACCCTCGTGGGCCAGCACGAGTTTCAGGTGGGCGTGGGCTTGGTGGCCCTGCTCTTGGAGCCCCAGGCTGATTCCGCAGGCCCTGGGCAGTGAGGGGCTTAGCACCTGGGCCAGCAGCTGTGGAGGATGCGCCCAGTCCCCCAGCACTGCCAGCCCGCCCGTGCTGTGCTTGAATTCTTGCTGGGCCTCAGCCCCCTCCACAGGGCAGGGCTCAGGACCTGCAGCCTGCCATGGGCAAGCCCAACCCCCAACCCCGTGGGCTCCTGCACGGCCGAAGGCTCCCTGACGGGCGCCACCCCCTGCTCCACGGCGCCTGGTCCCATCGACCGCCCAAGGGCTGAGGAGTGCGGGCGCATGGCGCGGGAATGACGGGCAGCTCCGCCTGCGGCCCCGGCGCGGGATCCACCAGGCGGAGCCAGCTGGGCTCTTGAGTTGGGTGCGGACTTGGAGAACTTTTATGTCTAGCTAGAGGATTGTATATGCACCAATCAGCACTCTGTGTCTAGCTCGGGGTTTGTGGATGCACCAATCAGCACTCTGTATCTACCTAATCTGGTGGGGACTTGGAGAACTTTTATGTCTAGCTAGAGGATTGTAAATGCACGAATGCACCAATCAGTGCTCTGTGTCTAGCTAATCTGGTGGGGACTTGGAGAACTTTTGTGTCCAGCTAAAGGATTGTAAATGCACCAATCAGCACTCTGTGTCTAGTTCAAGGTTTGTAAACACACCAATCAGTGCTCTGTGTCTAGCTAATCTAGTAGGGACTTGGAGAACTTTTGTGTCTAGCTCAAGGTTTGTTAATGCACCAATCAGCACCCTGTCAAAACGGACCAATCAGCTCTCTGTAAAATGGGCCAATCAGCTCTCTGTAAAATGGACCAATCAGCAGGATGTGGGTGGGGTCAGATAAGGAAATAAAAGCAGGCTGCCCGAGCTAGCAGCAGCAACCTGCTGGGTCCCCATGGATGCTGTGGAAGGTTTGTTCTTTTGCTTTTTTCAATAAATCTTGCTGCTGCTCCCTCTTTGGCTCCGTGCCACCTTTATGAGCTGTAACAATCACTGTGAAGGTCTGTAGCTTCACTCCTGAAGCCAGGAAGGCCACGAACTCACTGGAAGGAATAAATAACTCCAGACGCACCGCCTTTAAGAGCCGTAACACCCACTGCGAAGGTCTGTTGCTTCACTCCTGAAGTCAGCCTGAGACCACGAACCCACCAGGAGGAAGGAACTCTAGACACATCTGAATATCTGAAGGAACAAACTCCAGACACGCCTTCTTTAAGAACTGTAACACTCACCGCGAGGGTCCGCGGCTTCATTCTTGAAGTCAGCGAGACCAAGAACCCACCAATTCCAGACACAACACTATGGAAAAATCCACAAGTGATACTGTCATTTATTGTTAAAAATGATTAACATGAATTTAAACTTTGCAAAACACTGTAATCTGAACTGTGTGCTATTTCACACTAAAACTAGCCAGGATTCATTTAAAATATCAATGTCATGAAAGGCAAAAAAAAAGTGGTGGAGTATAAACTTCATGAAAGGAGACTAAATCGCCACACCATTCACACACAATGAATGAACACTAATCAGATTCCGGTGCCACATAGAAGATAGCTATGGAGGACGGACACTCTGGAACAACTTGGGACATTCAATCATAGACTACTATTTGTGGTATTATTGACTCTATAAATATCTTGGGTGTGACAATAATAGGTGTTTATACAGGAGGACCTTCTTTTACTTGAGAAATACTTGAGATTTAAGTAGTATGTTACCAGCAGTTTTCAACAAAGTATTTCAGCAAAAAAGTGTGTGTGTGTGTGTGTGTGTGTGTGTAAGGAGAGGGAAGAAGACTGAAAAGAGGAAGGGAAATGGAAGGAACAAGGAAAGAAGGAAAGGAAAAATGAAGGAAGAGAGAACTGGGGAAAACAAAGCAAATGGGTCTCTGCACAAAAAGGTAAGAAAGTTAAGAAAAACTTGATCTATTGAAACAAATAACTTCCCATATCAAACAAAAACAAAAGAATTAAAAGGCATGAAAAAGAGTAAAAGATACCTCAGAAGGAAAAAAAAACAGGATTCAACATGTAAGGGTGAGAGGCAGATGAAAAAATGCCATCTGAAGAAGAGAAATACAATTCTAACACAAGCATCAAGTAATAGAAATGCTTAGGATTAAACACATTTAAAAGAAAACAAATGTGGAAGATAAAAGAAACCTGACAAAACAATTGAATTAGATTAAAAAGGAAATTGGGGAAATAAGAATGACTGAGAAGCAAGTAGCATAATTTCAAAACTTCAGAATTAATTGGAAACAAAGAGTAGACCAAGCAAAACCCACAATCTCCTCAACGAAAAAATAATGCCATGGATATAATAGATGTTATTTCTTCTTATTTTTATTTTTTGAGATGGAGTCTGCACTCAGGCTGGAGTGCAATGCAGTGGCATGATCTCGGCTCACTGCAACTTCAGCCTCCCGGGTTCAAGTGATTGCCCTGCCTCAGCCTCCCGAGTAGCTGGGATTACAGGTGCCCACCACCACACCCAGCTAATTTTTGTATTTTTAGTAGAGACAGGGTTTCACCATGTTGGGCAGGCTGTTCTCGAACTCCTGACTTCAAGTGTTCAGGTGATCCACCCGCCTTGGCCTTCCAAAGTGCTGGGATTACAGGTGTGAACCACCGCGTCTGGCAATAGACGTTATTTCTGAAAAGCATATACCACAGATTTAAAATAAATAAATAAAAAGGCTGGGCATGTGGCTCACGCCTGTGATCCCAGCACTTTGGGAGGCCGAGGCGGGCAGATCACGAGGTCAGGAAATCGAGACCATCCTGACTAGCACATTGAAACCCCTTCTCTACCAAAAAAAAAAAAAAAAACAACGAAAAATTAGCCGGGCATGGTGGTGGGTGCCTGTAGTCCCAGCTGCTCTGGAGGCTGAGGCAGGAGAATGGCATGAACCCTGGGGGTGGAAGTTGCAGTGAGCCGAGATCATGCCACTGCACTCCCCTGGGCGACAGAGCGAGGACTCCGTCTCAAAAAACAAACAGAAAGCAGAAGGAGCACCTGGTAGTTCAGAAACAGTAAGTGGACAATCATGACAACTGGAAGCATGGTAAGGAGAAGGACAGGGGTAAGACAGGTGCCTGACTGTGTGTCCTGCAGGGACGGACTCCACTGTGGGCCTGGAAGGGAGGGCTGGGACACTGGGCTCCAGAGCGGAATCCTGAGTGAAGGTTTGGATGGAGAAGCTGCCATGATACCCAAGGGCCAGCCACTCTCAGGAGTTGCAGTGAGTTATTGTGGGGGCCAAAGACAGCCTTAATTTTGAAATTCTAGATTCCAGAACTGGGAGAGAATAACAACTGTTGTTTTAAGCCACCCAGTATGTGGCACTTTGCTATGTAGCCCTAGGAAACATACATGGCAAATATTAAAACATTCCATCATATCGTGTTTAGAAAATGTTTGTTTTGTTTTTTTGTAGAGACAGGGTCTCATTATGTTGCACAAGCTGGTCTCAAACTCCTGGCCTAAACATTCCTCCTTCCTTAGCCTCCCAAAGTGCTGAGATTATGGGCATGAGCCACAGCACCCAGCCTATATAATTGTTTGATACAAAGTTATCTTGTGGCAGTAATAAAATTTGTTAGTTGCACTTGGAATATAATTTTGGAAATCTATTGAAATTTAAAGTTTCCATAACACAGTAATCCCAGAGGTGTGTTTTTATCATAATCCCCGCCTATTTACATGCTTATTAAGTGTCATTATAGCAAAGACTGAAAAGTGCTAAATAATAAATAAACTGATATGTCAAAATATATCATACTATATAGCAGTTCAAAGGCCTGAGTTAGATGTACTTGTACTAAGGAAGTAGGACAGGCAAGCCCCCAAATTGAGGCTTAGCTTGGGAGGTTTCTTGGATTCACCCAGGGAAGAATTCAAGGGCAAACAGGAGGTGGTAGACAACAACCTTGTATTGAAGGTGCCACTCCTTGTGAAGCAGGGCTGACTTGCAAACATTGCAACCAGAGTTAACATATGTGCTCAGCCAGGCACGGCGGCTCATGCCTATAATCCCAGCACTTCAGGAGGCTGAGGAGGGCGGATCATGAGGTCAGGAGTTCCAGACCAGCCTGACCAACAAAAATTAGCTGGGCGTGGTGGCCAGCACCTGTAATCCCAGCTACTCAGGAGGCTGAGGCAGGAGAATCGCTTGAACCTGGGAGGCAGGGGTTGCAGTGAGCTGATATTGCACCAGTGTACTCTAGCCTGGGCGATAGAGCAAGACTCTAAAAAAAAAAAAAAAATGTGTTCTTGGCATCTGTATTTATACCCACTTTTATACCGACTTACAATTACATGCAAATTAAAGGGTGGGTTAATGCAAATTGAGGGGTTGGATTATTCAGAACTTTCTAGGAAATGGGCAGTAACTTCCAGATTATTGACAAGGAAAGGGGTGGTAACTTCCGGGTCATTGCCATGGCATTTCTAAAGTGTCATGGAGCTGGTGGGAGCAATGAGAGCAGCCAGGGCTCACCTTCCTCCCATCTGCTGGTTCCTACTGGTGTCTTCACTTCATCCTGTCTGGACTGGATCTTGTTTTGGTCAGGAGGGTTGGGACAGGAAAACAAGCCTTGCTGACCTCTTACCTCACCAACATGTGTAAAGAAGGTCTCATAAAGATGACAGGACTCTTCAAATGTAATAAAATAGAAATCAAAAAATACTATATATTTGCATGTATGCACTGAAAATAAATAAGAGGAAATGTGGAAGGATAAACATGGAACTGATAATAGTGTCTTCTATAGGGGTGGGAGGGAGAAGGTGAGAGGAAGAGACTTTGGTTGGTCTTCAACAGAACTTATTTTATTCATAATGTTTATATTTTCAAGAACTATATAACCGTGGTTTACCATTTTTAAAATATGCTATTACCATCCTGATGGAAAAATTAGTGAAGAGATAAACAGAAAGCACACGAAATGGGTCACAGAAACTTCAAGGTTAGGATCATTTTCCCGATATGAATACAGTTTTTAAAATAGTTTTTCTTTTTAGTTAATGTTTTAGTTTCCATTTTTATGAACACATAATTTTTGTATAAGGTA
The DNA here is from genome assembly GCF_000001405.40 of Homo sapiens. Classification (NCBI taxonomy): domain Eukaryota; kingdom Metazoa; phylum Chordata; class Mammalia; order Primates; family Hominidae; genus Homo; species Homo sapiens. The sequence continues at coordinate 52,426,440 of NC_000007.14, read as the reverse complement.
CATACGATATTTTGTTACAAGTGTAGAATATGTAATGACCAATTCAGGGTCATTGGGCCATCACCTCAATATCTATTATTTGTTTATGTTGGGAACATTCCATATCCACTCCTGTAGCTATTTTGAAATATACAATAAAATTTAACTATAGTCATCCTACTGTGTGGAAAAAGTTTTGAATCCATAGGTGGAATAAGCACACATACTGATCAAGAAATTTTTTTTAATCTGAGTAATAGCCAAGTTATTTAATATTAAAATTACAGAAGTAGAAATAATTCTGTAGGTAACTAGAGCAAAAAGGAAGCCTACATGTAAGACAGAATCACCACTTAGAGTTCTCCTCAGTAATATCTCGTATCAGAAGAGCCAGCCAGATATCGAAGCTAAGTTTGGCACCCAGCTTTTATCCCTAGCCGAAGATATTACCAAACACAATAAAATTCAGGAAGTATAACACTGATGAATGCTCCTTTTAAAAAAAATCCAGTAAAGAAGTCCAATTCAATTAAATAGAATTTCAAATAAAGTTAGCCACTGTCTCAGCTTCCCTCACATTTGTCATTAATAGAATACAAACCAATTCACCATGGTGCCTTTCTTCACTCCTTCATTTTTTCTTTTTTCTGTGTCTATATCTCTCTTTACATGGATCTATATATCTACATATATATATGTATTTATGTCTCCATCTCTGTATACCTCTACCTATATCTAGATAATTGATAGGTAGATATGTTTCTTTTAGGTAGATATGTTTCTTTTATTCTTTACCTTTAAAGTTTTTTCTTCTTTTCTACAATTGGCTATCTTCTGTGTCTCCTTGAAACTTGAAATGTGAACTCCTCCAGTCTCTACTATATTCACATCTTCCTTTCTTCTTACGTAATACAGTCTCCGTATGCTCACTGGTGCCCCCCGCCTTTTTTGTTTGTTTGTTTTCAAATATTTTTGTCCAGATTAGATGACGTTTTAAACATTATCCCTGGGATGAGGAGACATTTGATGGAGTCATCCAAGTCCCTTCAATACGATTTCAATTCATCTTCTTCTGTTAAAATAAATTTAAATTAAATTTAACAGATGCATTACTCGGCTCAGGCTACCATAACATGATACCATAATTGGGGGGGTATAAACAACAAAAATGTATTTTCTCACAATTCTGGAGGCCATAAGTTCAAGGTCAAGGTGCCAGCATGGAAGGGTTTTGGTGAAGGCTCTCTTCTTGGTTTGCAGATGGACACCTCCTTTATGTGTGTCTACACATGGCCTTTCCTCAGTATGTGTGCCTAGACAGAGAGAGATCTATCAATTCTATAAAACCCCACCCTAATTTAATTACCTCCTAAAACCCCCATTCGCTAAATGCAGTTATATTGGTGATTAGGGATTTAACACATAAATTCAGTCCATAGCACTAGATTATATTTAAAATAAATATTTGGGACCAGGAGCAGTAGCTCACGCCTATAATCCCAGCACTTTGGGAGGCTGAGGAGGGTGGATCACCTGAGGTCAGGAGTTCGAGACCATCCTGGCCAACATGACAAAACCCTGTCTCTACTGAAAACACAAAAATTAGCTGGGCGTGGTGACAGGCACCTGTAATCCCAGCTACTCGGAAGTCTGAGACAGGAAAATCACTTGAACCCAGGAGGCAGAGGTTACAGTGAGCGGAGATTGTGCCACTGCACTCCAGCCTAAGGTGACAGAGCAAGACTCTGTCTCAAAAAAATAAATAAATAAATAAAATAAAATGGCTGGGTGCGGTGACTTACGCCTGTAGTCCCGGCACTTTGGGAGGCTGAGGCAGGCGGATCACAAGGTCAGGAGATTGAGACCATCCTGGCTAACACGGTGGAACCCCATCTCTACTAAAAATACAAATAATTAGCCAGGCGTGGTGGCGGGCACATGTGGTACCAGCTACTCGGAAGGCTGAGGCAGGAGAATGGCGTGAACCTGGGAGGCAGAGCTTGCAGTGAGCCGAGATCACGTCACTTCACTCCAGCCTGGACGACAGAGTGAGACTCCGTCTCAAAAAATAAATAAATAAATAAAAATAAAAATAAAATAAATATTTGGTGAGATTTCTTTATATATAACAATATATCTGTCAACCTGTTTCTCTGAAGAGTTTTCCGATTTCTCTGAACGTTTATCCAAATCATTGTAATAAAAGATTTATGGAAAGTTATTCACCAAAAGATAATGATATTCATTTCTGATGGTGAGATTATTTCTACATTGTGTTACTTTTTACTTTCTGCTCTGTATTGATTCAGTTATTTAAAATTAGTAGGTAACATTATGACAAATTTAAAATGTCAATAATATAAAATTATAGCTTGTCAAAATAACCGTATCAATGATACAGAGTTTGCTAATGCAATGTTTCATCAAGTAAAGATGTATTATGTCAATTATGAATTGACTATTTTTGTGTATTAGACTTTGGGAATAATTGATGAAGACCTTGATCCCAGAGAGCATCTAGAAGGTGAGACTGAAAAAGAAAAAAAAAAAAAAAGTAAATTAATACAAAAAAACCCCAGAAACTTTGCTAAGTATAAAGAAAGAAGAAAAAGTAATATTCCATTAGAAGAAAATGGTTTGATAGACTAGAGAGCCAATTGAAATAAAGAGGGTGCTATAAAATTATCCCTTGATGACTCTGTCCAGAAACAGAGGAGGAAAAGGAGGAATGAATGTGGAGTGGACCCCAGGCAAGGCATGGCCTCTGTTAAAATCTTGAGACCCAGAGGAAATCTGAAGGCAAGAGAAATAGCGGAGGTTTGAGATGTTATTAGCCCAAACTATGATAGGTGAGAAACACAAATTTGTATGAATTTTCTAATATCACTTCATGATTTTATAGAATCATTCAGGGAGGAAACTTACAAAATTTTCCTTTAATCATTTTTGACTGATGTAATGAGTCCTCAACCAAGTCAGGCATAGAATCCTGCCAACAATGTGCCTGCCTAAAAATATCCAAGCAGTTGGTGCCTCCTTGCATATATTAACAAAGGCATTGAGAAGTGCAGAAGCTCAGCCTTGCTTCATCCACTATCCTTGGAATGCAAAGGGTAAATGGATGTCTACTCACTTATGAAAACTCATTTATTTCATGATGCATTATAAAATAGAGTTCTTTCCCTTCCTGACAGTTTCTGATTATTAGAATGTAGTTTTATTTTCTTTTTGGAGTTCCAGTCTCCCTGCAAAATAAGAAAGCCCTTGGAGCAGGGTACTTGACCTTCAGAGTCTGTTCTTGGAAGATGTGAAGTTCTAGAAGTGATTAATTTAAAATAGAATTGTGTCTTCTCATACAGCCCTTTGTCTTTGAAATGTTTTCTGGCAATATCTATAAAGAGTAATAAAATTGTTATAGTTTTGCCTTAATGACCTCACTGCTAGACAAAACATCTAAATAGTAATCCAGTGCACAAGACTGACGTATAATGATATTTGTTGCAATGTTATCATATTGGCTCAACAATTATAAATAATGTAATTTACTGACAAGGAATCAATATTGTATATAAAGCATGATCTCAACTTTATAATATATTAATTCTATGTAAATAAATTCATAGAAAGAATAACATTAGGAAATGCATCAAAATGTTGATGTTAATTGTTAGAATTTTATATCATTTTTTCTTTTCAATAGTTGCTTATTGTCCACATTTCAGTAAATAGCATGTGCTATTTAACATTAAGAAATATAAGAGCTTACAAGCAGAATAATTTGCACTAAATATGTAGATACGTTAAAAATAGTATAGGGACTCAGAACCATAAGTGCATACGTTCGGAATAATCCCATTGTGATGGTTAATACTGAGTGTCAAGTTGATTGGATTGAAGGATGCAAAATAGTGTTCCTGCCTGTGTCTGTAAGGGTGTTGGCAAAGGAGATTAACATCTGAGTCAGTGGGTGGGGAAAGGCAGACCCACCCTCAATCTGGGTGGGCACCATCTAATCAGCTGCCAGTGCAGCCAGAATAAAAAGCAGACAGAAGAACTTGAAAAGACTAGACTGGCTTAGCCTCTCAGCCTACATCTCTCTCCAGTGCTGCATGCTTCCTGCCCTCAAACATTGGACAAGTTATTCAGCTTTGGGACTCAGACTGGCTTCCTTTCCCCTCAGCTTGCAGGCAGCCTATTGTGGGACCTTGTGATTGTGTGAGTTAATACTACTTAATAAGCTCCCCTTTATTATATGCATATATAATAATGCATTAGATATATGTAACATATATAGAATATATATAATGAACTATTATATATATCCTATTAGTTCTGTCCCTCTAGAGAACCCTGACTAATACACCTATAGTACAGATTAATTTTGGAACCTACCATTCCATCCAGAGGAAATGAGAAAAAAATAGAAGCCAGAGTTTGTCTATTGGGGAACACAATAAGAGTTTGTTAGCTCCTCATAAAGAAGCAGGTGTTTGACAACACCCAGGGTGTTGGAGCATACACATGTGTGTAATTAGATACAGAACTCCACTGTCAAATTTGAAAAGACAAACTCCTTTTCTGTATACCTTTCTCCATAATCTTGTCTCTATTTAGGTTTAGTGTCTACACCACTGTAACCTTACAGAAGTTGTATTTTCCAGCAGTAAAATTCATTGTTTGTTTGTTTTTTTCTTAAAGGATCCATTCTCATTCTCACCTTATGCTTGTGGTGTTTTCGCACAGATTTCCCTTTAAAATGTAGTCCATGTTATGTTTTGAACATCTTTTGGTGGCCATAACTCTGGGGGACAAATTTTAGCTTCAGCCAATGTGGCATAAAGGTAAAGATGTTCATTTGCTTAAATTTCTGAAGTGCCTGTTCTGCCTGGGGCTGGCTTCCTTCCACTCGCTCAGCCCCTATAAAGGGGGCTCAGGGATTCAGCACTTATAGAGATGCTATCACTTGTTTGGATAACTTTCTTTAGCTCCTAGGAATTTCCAGATGCTTGGTTTTTAAATGGATTGCATGTAAAATACTGCCTGTTTTACTAGGACTCTGCTTACCTGCAATATTTGTTATTGCTACCAATAACAACACACCTCTCTAAAGCATAAAGAGTCTTGTACTCTTTCTCTAGTGACTTTATAAAGATAATATGAGTCATTGGGAATAAGGGAATTAAACATAGCAGAAGCATGTAGTATGAAATTCATGTATGCATCATTCTAGAATAACTACAGATACACGTGAGAAATCGGCATTGTTGCATTTCTAGCTTCAGTAAGGTAGTCAAACAAACTTTTCCTTGGGAAAGAACCTTTAAGCTGTAATGAGCCTCTTCTGTGAACCACACAGTGTATTGGACCCAGACTCTGATATTGGGGAAGTTGATTATTTTTGCATGACAAAAAAAATATTTTCTTTCTGTCTGCAGTTTCCCGGGATCAGAGTGAAAATACAGAGTTCCCATCAATGCTCCGTCCTTGGGCTGGAGTGACTTAGTCTAAAAGGCAGCCAATTCCCATACAACGGGGGGGGGGTAAAAATTGCACTCAGAAATTTCTCCCTCCATTTTTACTGAATTTCTAAGAATATTGGTAGAGATCACAGAGCAAAAGGAGCTGTGAGACTGCCATGGAGGTCAATACCAAAAAGCACAAAATCTCATCTCCTGGTTCCTGTCAGAGACACTGAAGACTGGAGGTAATTTTAAACAGGAATTAATTCATGTGTGGTGAGTTTCCCAATCATGAGATCTAGAGCAGGAATGGAATGCTTCTTCCTCACTTCAAACCTAGAGAAAGTTTTCCAAAAGGAACCAGAACTAGATGAATGTCTTGTGGTACCTGAGAGACTCAGAGCCCGGTTGGGCTCCCCCTAACTACTGAAAAATCTAAAAAAGCAAGATGCTGTGGCTTAGGAGAAAGACTGCAATAGTGGGATGGCCTAATGGCCCTGCCTAAGGGCCTGGAACCTCTCCATCTCGTTGCCTTAACTATATACTTCGCATGCATCACTAGCTGACATGTTTAGATGTATTTATTCACTCATGTACTCTCTCCCTCCTACCAGAATGCAAGCTCCATGAGAACAGGCCTCACTGGCCTTGTTTACTGCTTCGCTCCTCATCTGGACTAGAAACTGACTTTCAGACCTTGTTCCAGAGCAACCCACTGAAGGGACATCTGCATGTTTACTAAAATGGGGACATATGGAGATATATTTTCAGAGCAGTTCCGGGGCTTCTTTGAAGTTTCTGTAGATCAATGTAGGACAAGAGTAACACAAATGTGACCTATTTTATTCTCACTAGAATTTGAAAATACAAGTAAGAAAACTGAGAGTATTAATAAATGTTGTTCTGAGAGAAAAGGCATGGGAATAATGTCTCCTCCATTTGATATGAGAAATTTAAATGATGACATTCTGTATAAAGAAATCTAACATATCCTATCATCATGCTGCCAAAATAATAGCTAAGGCTTATTGTCCTTCAAGCTTGTTGTTCATTAATTTCATTAGACTTCATAGCAAAACTAGAAGGAAGCTACTCTTTTTAAACCCATTTTTTAGAAGATAAACTAATGTAACAGAATTAAGATTAAGTGATTTTCTTAAGATCATAAAGCTAAGTCAAAACAACTTGGCTTATGCAGTCATAACAGCTATAATACCCAGAAAAGCAGAGTGAGGAAAAATTCTTGGTAAGAGAAAAATGTCTCTCTCAGGAGAAGTAATTTACAATCTTTAATTGAAAAAAAACCATTAAAACTTGTTGCAAGTATGTAACCACCTTATATTTTTTAGAATTGCAGTAACATTTTCCTTAAATCATATAACTTAAAAAATATGCCATCTAACTTTAAAAATGTGCTGATTTTATTTAAGTCAATTTGAAATAAGAAAACATTAAAAAGGCAGTTACTATAAAGATGAAATAAAGAAGTCAGAAGTAAAGGTATGTGAGAAAATTGGGTCTTGTCTGATGTATAATGTTCATTTACAAAGCTCAGATCTCAACCACCTTAGAGGGAAGGCAAAAGTAGAAGGATGATTTATGTTTAAAGATAAACGTAGACACATTAAAATTTTAAAGAGTTCATTTGAGCAGACAGCAATTCATGAATTAGGCAGCTCCAGACCACAAGTGGTTTGGGGCTCCTTGGAAAGGGCATGAAAGGAAAGTATATATAAGGTGAACATAGTATCAAGACAAAGAAAACATAACTGGTTACAGTGGAACAGTAGCCTTATTTGGATCATTCCCGTGAAAGGTTCCTAGCTAGAGGTTAGTTGGTGGCTTCAAATTGGTTAAGCTTATATTTCATTATCCCAGACTATGACCATTTACACTGAGCTGGGTTTTGATTTGCTTACGTGAAATCCAGGGCACAGGACACTCCTCAGTCTAATAGCTCCTGTGCCCTGGATTCTGAATTAATTGTTTTAACACGTTTTCATCTCCTCTTCTGATATAGAGTATCCCAAACTAGCTGCACAAAATGGGCTTCCTCTGACATAATGGAGGCATACATTTTTTTTCTTTCATTATTATGTAAAAGAAAATAAGTCAGTGTCTAATAAGGTCCAGATTTCAGCAAATTCAAGTGGCTTTTGGTGCATTCTGAAGACACATAAATCTCCCTAATTTTCAGTTTAGTTTAATATATACTTCCATAAAGGCATTATTCTGTAATGGCCATACAGAGACAACCTGACCCAGCGAAGGGAGGTAGCCCAGCATGCTGCATTAAAAGACCTTCTTAGCTAAATTTGTTCGTGCATCTTCTTAGCACCCAGAATACAGCACTTTTTCTTATTTTAATGGTAATTTAAATTTAAAATGAAATGATACATCCTCTCTCATTTTAAAAACATGTCCCTTTAAATTTTTCAATGGAAATGCCCTAATGAATAAAGAGACATAAGTTAAAAATATGAAAGATGTACATCAATTAACCAGTGAGTGAAATACAGAGGATAAGAGAGTTGCTGGCCAAAAGTCACTAGGGAGTATGTGCAGAGACCCTACCTCCAATGGGTAGCCTGAGGAACATGTTGGACTTCCTCCACCATACCCCAGATATTAACGAGAGGTGTGTGTGGCAAGGTTTTTCAATATCTACTAAGGCTACTGCTAAGCTCTTAAGATGTTTTCTCCTTATTACTAGACTAAATATTTACTCCATATTTATCTCAAATACTAACAACTTTCAATAACATTCTAGCTGAAAGGCTAAATTGTACTGAGAAATTTAACTTGTGTCAGACTTCCAAGGAAGTTACTTTTTTGGTCACAACAAAGCAAAACTGAAATTAAGGAAGCAACACAAAATGTCAGAAGATCACAGATCATGTCAGAAGCCTAAAAGGGAAGTTGTTTAAGGAGAACAATCAATTGCAAGTGGCTTCCTCTGCATCTGATGGCCCTTAGGTTTGCAGTGAGCGTCTACCTGGTCCTCAAACGCCTCGTTGATGAAATGTCAAGTGTCCTCATCAGCGGAGGAGAGCGGTCAGGATGAGTGCATCATCTGCATGGTCCTAGAGTATGTGCTGCAGGCTGAATTTATCTGAAATGCCACATTTTGCAAATGAAGTTTCAAGGATTTATAAAATGGGAGAATGTTCAGCAAATTTGAAAGACTTAAGGGCAATGATAATTCAAAAATGATTAATAATTTATATACTTGGGAATGCATTTTATTATTTTGTTGGTGACCACAAAACACTGTATTCCTGGTCTTCTGCACATGTCCTTAACTCATAAGCAGTAGTTATAACACGGCTATAATGCCACACATTCTTTCCAATTGAGAATATGTAACATATAAATTGCTATTAAATTTTATGGAACTATGCTGTCATTTTTATTAAATAAAAGTTTTCTTATGACTAGGTACATTTTTAAGTAATTGATATTTTGAGGTGTCTTCTAATAGTTCATTCATCAAATGTAATAATTTTATAAAAAGTTGAATGTAATTAAAACTATATGAATTTAAATTCTGATTACAATGATTCAGCTGAAAGACACAATTTATATCTTCTCTGCCAAAAGGAGATAATGATATGATGCTAATCCTTACAGTAACTCTGCCATAGATAAATGCAAATTTCATTTTTATAGTAAGAAGTTTATAATAGCTTTAAAAATCAGTGGTTCATTTGTATTATTTTCTATTTGCCTTCAGGCAACCTTCAGGTGCCAATGTCAATGTAATTTCTTTAACTGTGAAAATTCATTGAAGAAACCATTTATTTATTTATTTATTTATTTATTTATTTATTTATTGAGATGGAGTCTCGCTCTGTCACCCAGGCTGGAGTGCAGTGGTGCATCTCGGCTCACTGCAAGCTCTGCCTCCCAGGTTTTACGCCATTCTCCTGCCTCAGCCTCCCAAGTAGCTGGGACTACAGGCGCCCGCCACCACGCCCGGCTAATTTTTTGTATTTTTTTAGTAGAGGCGGGGTTTCACCATGTTAGCCAGGATGGTCTCGATCTCCTGACCTCGTGATCCATCCGCCTCGGCCTCCCAAAGTGCTGGGATTACAGGCGTGATCCATCGTGCCCAGCCGAAACCATTTATTATAGTTGATGATCGTGATGACAGTGATAATAGCTGCCACTTATTGAAAATGAACTATGTACTAGTTTTCCCATTAAGATTTCTCTACTAACTGCATAATAAATATCTGGAGAAAATTTAAAAACAGAAACAAAAAACATGAAATATATGCCTGGGTCTCCCCTGAGACCAACTGAAAATCGAAGTCGGGAGTGGGCCTTTGATTCTACATTTTAGGTTCTTGGGTGATTGTGCCGCACAGGTGGAGAACACTGAACGTCCTACCCTGAACGTTTTACATGAATTCTCTCACTCAATCTTCAAGTCATCGCGAGTTAGCTCCATTGAATGATTCGAGAAATTAGGCTGCGAAGAGTTTAAATAATGTGCTCAGCTTTTCACACAGTCATTCATATGTGAGGCCTGAATTTGATACAAGTTATTCTAACCAAAAGCTTTGAGAACTACTTCGGTGAGATAGGCAACTGAAGAGGCTTGATTTTTTCCTCCATATTTATATTTATTTTTGGTAATTCACATTCACACTAGATAGAAGATAGCTGAGAGTTACGTAAATGTATACATAAATATGCACATAAAAACTCACAGTACATTCATGAATTAGACAGATAGGTAGAAAATGTCTATAAATAGTATGGAAACTTATTTACTCTGTCTGTGAAAGTACTTATTTTCTCATTTGGAATATGCTTCACTAGAATTACTATAGCCATGGCACCATGTTAAGACTCAACTGACCTCTTTCTTCCTCTCTCTTTTCTTGGATCATTCCCATTAAAAGTTGTTCACCACCACCACCTCTTCCAAACACTTCTTCTCTATGGGTTCTGCTACTCTTCTCAGGGTTTTCTTACCACGTTTTTGGCATCTTCTGTTCAGTCTCCCTGAATGTTCTTTGCCTCTTTTATTTCAGAGTTTCTTGTGGTTTCGTCCTTGACAAACTTTTCAGGTAAAAAGAAAGGATTATTTAGAATTATGGTATTTGACATTAATTTTCAATTTATTAAAGTTAAAAATTTAAAAATATGGGCTCCTCTAGCCTTAAAGTTCAACTTTTGAAATTCATTATACATTGTTTTCATCTGAGGAATAAAGAAAAAAATAGCACCTTTGCTTGTGGTTGCAGTAAGGTTCAATTAACCTAGGTTGAACAGATTAAATTCCCTTTAAACCCTTGTAAAACCAAGTTAATTAAATTTCTTTTAATGTATTGAACTATATGAATTTTTATATTCTTTGTGTTTTCACATGTCTTACAGGGAGAATTTACATGCTTAACAAAAAGTGATCTTCAAAAGCATTTAAACAACTTTTGTAAATACAATATACTAAATTTAGAAATACAGTAAATGACATTATGTCAAACCACAGTACAATAATGCACTTAAGGAAATTGTCTTTTGCTTTGCTGCTTAAAATGAAAGCCTAACTTCTACATTTCCCTTAAACTTTAAGAAAATCTTGTTTTTTTAAAAAAAAAATTTAAGCATAATTACTTACATTAAAATGCACAGATCAAAAGGGCCTATTTCCGTAGAAAGTTTTTGACAAATGTAATATACAACCTACATAAAATATAGGACATTTTCATTACCTCCAGAAAGTTACCTTGTATTAAGATTCTTGAAAAAAAATGAACATTTACTAACCAAACAAACAATATACAGTGATATTAGTATCATGGCTTTGATATACATTGCAAAATCTATACCTAATTATTTAGCTTTCCAAGCTTAAAAAATCACCTACCCTTAGCAGTGTTTCTCAATTCAATGCAGTGTTACCCCACAGGGTTACAGCAGTGTAGGGAGACATTTCTGGTTGTCACAACTGGGAGATGCTACTTGCATCTAGTGAGCGCAGGCCAGGGATGCTGTTAAACATCTTATTATGCAAAGACTATTCCCATTCCCCAATGAAGCATTATCCAACCTAATATATCAGTAATGCTGATATGGAAAAGCGTTGTTCTAAAGGAGGCAGATTCATCATCCCAGACTGCTAAACTGTGTCCAAATCTATCCATGTTATGTTTGCTTATTTAAAAGAGATGTAACCCTATCATATGTCCAGGATATTTCTGCACTAACCAGAAAAACACATATTAAACTCTTTAGATAGTTGACATATCTACAAGGGACTCCTCCCTCTCACCATGAACATACTTATCTGAGATAATTCTGAAAACACATCACCTTTGATCAAGATATACCATAATCAATTGCTTGGTATTATATTTTAAAAATTGTATCACTTGACTCAAGCTTTACCCACAACTCAAAATATATTTTTATGTCTTCCCCTTTTATTGTGAGTAACTTTCAAATATATATTTTGGGTCACAATTCTAAAATCAGTATGATGGCAACTCTCCCAAGATAATTTAATTTATTCTTATTTTTGAGAACCATCTATAATTATATTATTTCTGCTATTACAACCTTTAACTCCTTTAGTATCTTTGTTTTAGTAAAACATACAAGCCAGAAGCATATGTTTCATCGCTGAATGTCAATGTAGCATACACAAAATATACCAATCTATTGATTCTTCCTATGCCTCAAATATCTTCCAAATCGATGCCTCTCTATGCATTTGTCCCCAGTCACCCCCATTTTATTCTAAACCTCAGACTGGTGACTTACTTTCTTATCTTTTCTTTTATTTTATTTTGCTTTTTCTTTCTTTTTCTTCCCCTCTTCCTGTCTCCTTCCTTCCTTCTTTTCTTTTGCTTTTTCTTCCTTTTTCTTCCCCCTTCCTCTCTCCTTCCTTCCTTCCTTCTTTCTCTCTTTCTTTCTCTTTCTTTCTCCTTCTCTTTCCCTCCCTCCCTCCCTTCCTCTCCTTGCTTCCTTCCTTTCTTCCTCCCTCCCTCCCTTTCTCTTTTTCTTTCTTTCTTTGTTTCCCTCCCTCCCTTTCCTTCCTTCCTTCCTCTCTCTTCCTTTCTTCCTTTCTTTCTTTCCTTCTTTCTTTCTTTCTTTTTTCTTCTGTTTTATTTGCATTATTGTATCAAAAATTATATTGTAAAAGTGAAAAATGTTTGTATCTGTCTGGATTCAAAGCCCTCAGTGTTTTCTATCACTGCATGCCGAAACTCTCAAACCTTCATTATCCTAGAGGGGGTAGAATTGTGTTTTTCATACATCTGTAGTATTTAGCTGATATAGGCAGGGCTTGGCTGGATGGCATATGCGGAAAAGGCTACTTTTGCTCATGTATAGTCCGATCAGCTGGTTCACTTTATGCATCAGTGGATGTCTTGTGATCTTCTCTAGGTGGAATTTGTCTAAGGTTGCTCAGCTGGGATGCTTAGCTAGAAAAAATCTATTCCCAGTGATTTTCATCACCTCCTGTCACCAGAAGGTTCATCTCTCTCACAGTTTTGACAGAGGTACAAGAGTATAAGAAGCTTGTAAGACGTGTTGAGGCCTATATTCAGAAACTGGTACTGTTTTTTTTTTTTTGTTTTCATTTCAGTCTATTGTCCAAAGCAAGTATATGCCTGAAAAGCGAAGGAAACTTTTTTATGGGAGCTTGTTATTACACAAAGAACAAAGAGCTTCTGTGTTGGACCCTGTCTGCTTATCTGTCTGCAGGAGTGGCCTGAGTTTTTTCCCAGGTTGTTTTATGTGCTATGGCTGGTCCCAGGGATAGAGAGAGTGGCCACTATGAAGTCATATGGCAAAGGGCATGGACACAGGAACGTAAAGAATCAGTGCCATGCATGCATCTACGCATCTTCCCATTGCTTTTACTGCACATGGCAAATTCCCTCACATGGCTGCTACCACCTGCCCCGAGCTTGCCTCACGTACTGTACCACACTTACTTACAATTATTCCTCCTTTCTCACCTTTCATCCCAGACAAACTTAACTTTCAGCTTTTCAAATTCACCATTCTCTCAACTGAGCCTTTGCACATCCTGGGGTTTAATTATAGTTTGCTTTTGTCTGCATATTCTTCAGTCTTCAGTTTCAGTATTACTTATTTAAGAACACTAGTGCAAATCCCTAGGTTGCTTAAAATTTTCCTTATTTGATTTTTATTGCTCCTTGAATTTTTCTCATGCACTCACTTGTAATTACTTTGCTAATACTTTTATCTCTAGTAGATCATAGGCCTTATGGTTGCAAAAGCTGTGTGTGATTATAACTTTATTACCCAATGGATTAATTTTGTTAAAACTGCCTCCAAACATTTATTATTTTTATAGCCTGTTATAACTCTGTTACTTAATGGGTTTTGCTTATTTGTCTATTTTATGATGAAAATTTGTATCAAGGAAAGGACAAGAAAAGAAAAAGAAATCAATATTTACTGAATGCCTATGGTGTACTGAGCTGTTTTACATTCTATCATATTTGATTGTGAGAGGTATTTAGACTACTGTTTAACTGATTTTGAACTGAAATTTTGAGAGGTTAAATCACCAATGCAAGTAACACAGAATTAACTTGCTGACCTGGAAAGCAACCCAGATGTAAAAGGCTCTTTCCTTTACTGTAATTTTAATTTTCAATGTTATCAGAAGAGCTCGTATTACTCTTCTCTCTTGCTTCCAATATAGAAAACGCAACTTTTCCTTCAATTCTTTCTTTGCATAATTCAATATTATTCTCACACAGTTTATTGATTAGTCAGGTTTTTGCTCTTTTAAAAAAATTATGTTCCTTGGTTACAATTAAATAAAGTTTTTAACCTAACCATAAGAAAAATAGCTTATAAAGTAAATGCAAACAACATTATTTCCGTAGATTAATAAAATTCTCTCAAAATCATTTAAAGGATAAAGAAGAGAATTTGGGTGCCCTCAAATAAAACTCAGGTGATCAATATTCATAAGTCAGCTTATAATCAACTTTTTAAATTAATTTTTTGCCTCAATGGTATTTGCTTAATTGAAAATGACATGTTTCACAATCTCAAAAGAAGAAATATTATATTAGTCAAGAGACACCAATTACTATTAAAAAATTACTGCATGGATTAAGCAGGGAACACGTTTCTTCCTCAGTTAAGATTAATGGGTGAAATTATAGCTATGCAGCTTCCAAGTGGCAAATTCAGGAACTAGAGCTCCTTCTATCCTGTGACCACCATTTTTTAGCCCTTGACCTCTAGCCTCATGAACAAGGAAGAGAGCCTGGGAAACCCCGCTTGGCACTTCAGCATCAAAGTCCATTGGCCAGAATTAGACACATGGACTCATCTCCTTGCAAGTGGACCAGGAAATAAGTGAAACACTAAAATGTGGAATAGTCCTCATAAGTCAGATGACTACATATTGAAACCCAGAAAATTTCTGGAAGCCAGAGTATGTTCCCAAAGTTTGAACTGGGGCATGGATTTTATCATGCTTCTTCAAAATTATCTGGACATGATTTTTCTAAGTTTCCCCAATTATCAGCTAAACTTGGTCTTCACTCGATCACTTACTGTAGTCAACTGACGTGCCCTGTTCCAGTGATCAGGTAAAGGTTTCACTTGGATGAAGCTTAGTGCAGCACTCTTGCACAAGATATCTGTAGACCAGGATGAGGTACAGGTTGTGATATGAGGTCCCCAGAAACTTCTGCTCTCCAATAGTGATGGAGAAGGAAAGGAAAAATCAGTTGGGGAAAACTTAGACTGCAGAAGTGGCCTGCCTGAAAAGTCACAGCAATAGGTAAAAATAAAACAACCTGGGAAAAAACTCAGGCTGCACCTACACACAGATAAGCAGACAGGGTCCAGTACAGAAGCCCTTTGTTCTTTGTATAATTACAGAGCTCCCAAGAAAAAGTTTCCTTCCATTTTCAGGCATATACACGGTGGGCTCCATGTAAACAGGCACAGGGAGGAGGGGTCTTAACTAAAACAAACCCACAGTTATACCTACAAGAGAAGTAGTGCTTTGTGCTTGCCTAGAGACATACCCACAGCTGTATAAGATAAGGGGAGTTGCACAGACAGCTTTACTAATAAAAAGTTACTCAAACAGTTACATGGAGGAGAACAGTTTCTTATAAAAGTTTCTTGCATTCAGCTGTAACCCGGCAATCCACTCGGACTCCCCTCTCTGCTGCAGAGAGCTTTCTTTTTTCACTTATTAAACTTTTGCTCCAACCTCACCCTTGTGTCTGTGTTCCTTAATTTTCTTGGACATAGGACAAGGAACCCCAGGTACTAGCTCAGACAATGAGAAACTGCTACACTAAGGTGCATTGACAAGACAACAATAGCATTGATAACGGAACCATTCCTCCCCAAACACAATCTTTCAGCTACTCATAACATCTCAGCAATAACTATGCAACCAAAGTAGTCCCACTTCTTCAAGGATATTATTGCACATGGCAGTCATTGTAAATTCCCTATCCATACCACCTACCCAAGCAAATTCCTGCTTCTAATTTCCTCATGTATAGGCTTATTATTTATTATAATCTTATATGCTCTAAAGTATTATTGCTATGGGTTTTGGTAAATGGGCATGACAGACTGGAGCAGAGGTATGATGGGTGAGACACGGACAAAGGAATGTCTACCGTAATCTTGCTGGTGACTACAAAGGTTGACTCCTCTAGATACAATGATGTCATATTGACTAAATTAAACACAGTGACAAAATTCTGGCCAGCAAAGGATGAGCTCACTGTCCCAGGCATTCTGACCATCCAGGAAACATCAATCACTCCAGCACACAGGTACAATGAGCTCAATGAGCTCACTGGGATTGAGATTCTCTCTCTCTCTGTCTGTCTCTCTCTCCCTCCCTCCATCCCTCTCTTTTTCAAGCACCCATGGCAGCTGGAACAGCCTCAAGATTTCGGATTTCTTACCGCCTTCAGTGGGCATCAAATGCCTTTCTGAACAATTCTTCACTTACTTGATCTTTAGAAGCAATATTAGAATTTCTACAATATTTAAGTTTGAGTGTCTGTTTTTAATCATTATAGTTGTTATAAGAATTGTATATACTTTTGTTATCTCATAGGATCAACATTCTACAGACTCTTTTTACACTTTCTAAATTGTGAATTAAATCAAAGGTTTGCTCTCTCTTTAACATGTGTCTCTCTTAATGTTATCTTTGGGTGACTTATATGATAAGCCTAAAAAAATCGTAGTTAGTTTTGTTTGCCATTGATTATAAAAATCAATAAGTAAATTATGTTCATCTTTTATGAGTTAGCAGAATTATATATGTCATATACAGTGTTTTTACTATAATATTAAATACATTTTGTTCACATCAACAAAAAAAACATGAGAACTCAAAATGGTTTTATCCGAAATGGCAAATGCTGAAATAACCATTGATATTTTTCATAGGGTTATTAGATTTTTTTAAAAAAAAGTTCTGCCTTTTTTGATTTCAGCAAACAAGTGGCAATGTTTTTTATGCCAAGAAGATCAAATTAGTCTTGGTGGCTGTACTATTAGACATTACCCTTTGTATGAACAACTATGCCAATTGGTTTACTCTTGCAACATGAAGGCCAGGTTCACACCACTATTTGAAGCCTAGAGTGTTTTATATGACTCTAGCAGAGACAAGATCCTGGGAATTTACAGTAGAAAGATTCTTTTTTGTCAGTTGGTCAACTGTTGCTTAATTATGTCATTTAACCAAGTCATTTTTTGGACTTTAGTTCTTTCGGCTGTATTTTCAGTATTGTATTACCGGATAGTTCTTGATATTTTGTGATTATTTATCCTACAACTTTAATAACCTAAAATTTATTAACCTGTAGCCTGTGAGCCCCCAGGTAAGGAGGCTGTGTCTACTTTAACAGTCATAATTGTCTGAAATGGCAGGTAAGCATTCTTATATTCATATAATCGTATTTCTGATGATTAGTGTTAATGCATACAAATGCCATCAGAAAAATAATGTTGGTAGAAATATGGATATTAAAGGCTATTCTGATGAGGTCTGACACTGAAATAATGAGCTGTTTATTTAGAAAATGGAGCAGAGGTGATTCTTCTTATAAAGTGGAAAAGAACTTGGTTGAATTTATTTTCAGTGTTTTGGGGAAAGTAATACAAACAAGGGATAAAATTGTATATTTAGATGAGGGGATTTCTACGCAAACTGTACAAAGAGCAACTGGGCTTCTCCATGCTGTTTCTAGTAAAATGTGAGATAAGAGATTAAAATGAAGAGATATTTAAGCTTAAAGAAAATGTATCTTAAAGATTTGAAAAAGATAAGCCTATTCATATTGCAAAAACCTGAGGAAGACTGTTCAAGAGAAAACCAAGGGTGTGGTTGGACAATCACTCCTAAAAGAGATTATCCATGATGTTAACCAGCCCTATAGGCAGAAGCCAGGAATATAGATGGAATTATTATGCAAGCAGAGATGCAGTCAGTTTGGACCAAAGGCACAGGACTGGACTATAGAGCTCTTCAGCACTGACTATGATTTATTCCTCAAGATAAGGGAAGAGTGACTCTGAAGGTAATTCAGAGATCACCAGGCCCACCAAAGGCCCTGGGAGCAAGGCTGCCTCCACTTTAGTTTCAAAAAGGTTGAGCCATCTCTGTGGTTTCAACAGGTCCGGCTGCTGCCCCAGCCCAGCAAAGCTTGTGGGACAAGACCATCACCCAGCAGGCCCAGAAGTGGGGGCACCAAGCCAGAGAGGGCTACCTTCATGTCTTTAGTTCCAACAGAAGTTGTTTTGCTAGGTCTTGGACTTGCCTGCAGCCTCTCACCCCTTTGTTCCTTTTGATGTATCCCTCTTAGAATGAAAAAGTTTCATTCTAAACTTTTATGCCTGCTCCTCCATCATATTTTGGAAGTGGATAAGTTGTCTAGTTTCACAGGTTCACAGCTGGAGAGAAACTTCCTCAAGATGAATTGTACCTACATTTTCAAACATCTGTGACCTAGATATTTAGATGATACTTTTGACTTTAGAGTTGATGCTAGAATGATTTAAGATATGGGGGACTGTTGGGATGGAATAAATGCAAGACATGAATTTTGGAAAGCCAGGGTGGAGGTATTGGATTGAATGTTTGTGCCCCTCGTAAAATTCATATGTTGAAACCCTAACTCCCTGTGTGGCTGTATTTGGAGATGGCGCCTCTACAGAAGTACTGTAGGTTAAATGAGGTCATGAGGTTGGGGCCCTCCTCTGGTAGGATTATAAGAAAAGACACCAAACATATCTGTTGTTCTCTCTCTCCCTAATGTACCCAGAGGAAAGGCCTTATGATGACAAAGCAGCTGTCTACAGACCAAGAAGAGAGCCCTCACTTTAAATGAAACACACCAGACCTTGATCTGGGATTTCCAGCCTGCAGAACTATGAGAAATAAATTTCTGTCATTTAAGCCACCCAGTCTATGGTATTCTGTTATGGCAGCCTGAGAAGACTACATAGTTATGAAAGAATGGCAAAACTAATTCTAAACACTGGTCATAAACATAGGCATTTCCATATTATGTGATTTAAATGATTTAGAGAGCATTCGTGTTCTAAAATTTCTTGTGCACTTTGGTGCCTAAATGACTTAAATTCCACAAGTAAGAATTATCTCCTTTTGGTTTATTTTCTTCCTTTCTCATAAGCAAATATTTAAGAGGCAAAGCCAAGATTCTAAATATTTTCTAGAGGTGAGGTGACTGGAAGGCTATTGTGAGGGAGAGAAAAGGAGCAGATAGCGTGGTAGAGACTTATTGAAGGTTCCTTACAGCCACTTCACTATCTGCCTTCCCCGACCTTCGAGAGTGGCATGCTGACAAATTAAAACCGCAAGTATCTCTTTATTTTCTGTTTGTCATTACAGTACATCTCACTCTATTGCCAACAGTTTGAATGTGACATAACTGCATTCTAAAATGATAACTCAAACTGGCCTTCAGAAATGCAATTACACAGCTGCTTGTCAACAAAGATTAATATACTACTACATTCCCAATGCAAACACATACCCCATCACCACTGCCACTGCCGCCGTAACACACCTTATGTATAAACCAAGAACGTTGGCTTTAAATATCTCCTAGTAAAATCTGTGTTTGTTAAATGAAGAACCCACATTCCCTATTCCCCAGTGAAAATAATAATTCAGCATTAGTCAAAATAAAATGTTTGATGTTTTATAACAATAAATATTTGCTTCCAGAATCTCTTATTATTTTATCTATTTGTTTTGGGACAAATGAAGACAAACTAATTTCAAACTGGATTAATAAAGTAGAGAAAGCTGTTCAAGTTTAGACTCCATAAGCAAGAGAAAATATTATGATTGCATTGAGGCAATTGTTACATAGAATCTAAAATAATATGCAGAAAGCATAATAAAATCTAGAGATGAAAAGTTTAAAATTCCATCAAAATACAAAGTTGGTTTTTGAGTTTAATAAAAAGGTAGGTAAATAATTTCTACAAATCTTTATACCCAAATTATAGGATATTAGAAATGAATAAAAACACACAACTAAATGTTGATATAAGGGAAAGTTGAAATATTTAGTATGGTTCAAAAAAGAGCTCCTTTTAGGTATGGAAAGTTTGAAGCCTGCTCTTAGATGTATCTCTGTCATTATAAAACCATCTGTTGTGGAAATGTCGTTTGGTTGTAAATAATCTCAGAGAAAACATAAATCTGGTAAGAGGCCTAGCACTGCAGATTCATCATTCTGATTCTATAAACACTTCTTGAATGCCCACTGTGCACAGTTCTGGGCATCTCTGGCAAACTCTGGACCCCTGGCACCAGGTAAAGGGCAGAGCCAAACCCTGCTCCTTTGCCTTCTAAGAAGGCCCATTTTAAAGTGCATAGAGGAAAACATATATTGTTTTAAAGACACTGAGGAAAGTGAAAGGAGTTGTAAAATCTCCCTCTGTAATGCGTTTCAATGTTAATACGGTAAAGTTTTTCTGAAATGAATAGATGAATTCAACCTTGACTGGCAGCTTTCACAGTGCTTTCATTTTGAAAACAATCTAATCCTATAGCCCCAGAGTTACTACCAAATGCAACTTAATACTGTATGTGGCACACAAAATCCATTTTTTATTCTTTTATCTCAGAAGACAAGACATGGAGAAACCTGGCCAAAACACTCTGTGAGAATGCTTCATGTACTCACAGATATTAGAGATAGTATTATGATTACAAAATCATAGCTGTGGATAAAAATTCTTCTGAATCCCAGGGTAGAGAAGAATGACTCATGAAAATAGATGCATTCAAGAGACTCAGTATTATAAACTACTTTGCATTGCTTTATTTTTTTAAGAATGTCTTCCATCACTTTTGGAACAGTAACATTTAATTTTTTGTGATCTTAAAAACTTTTGGTGTAAGAGACTTAATTCAATGGTTCTAAGGTACATGTCATATAATACTGTACTTTGACTCCCTTCTCTGATCCACAATTCCCTCCAGGGGTGACTGCTCTAAGTTGTATATACCGCTTTAAGCTATAAAATCATTATTTTGAGCTCTTTATGCAATAAAACTCAGAGCAGTGCATCCCAGATTATAAATATATTAAAATTCCTGGGCCGTACTTTTGGAGATTCTGATTTAACGGGACTAGAGGTTGGGGGAGGAATCTGAATGTTAAGTTCATCTTTACCCCTCAAGTGTTTCTGAAGCAAGTGGCTTACTGAGCACCTGCTCTAGAAGCACTAACCTATAGGAAACGACAAAAGAATGTTTTTGTTCTTGTTCTTATGAAATGTACACTGAAGTATCATGGAAATGGAGCACACCCCCTCCAAATTTCTCTCAAATGTTTCAGAGAGGGAGAGGGAGGGGTAAGACAAACAGGACAAGACCTAAATGATTGCTGAATCTTAGTAACCCACATATGAGAATTCATTGTATTGTTTTGCAACTTTACGCTAAGTTTTAAATTATATCCAAAATACAAGAAGTCCCTGTTGGGATGGAGTTTGTAATTGATATAGGAAAAAGAGAAGAGGGGAATAGGGGAACTCAGGGTATCTTAGGATTACAGTGTAGAAACTGGAGGGTGGTTACTACTATAGGAGAAACAAAAGCATAAATGTACATTAAATAGCTTTTGTGTGTGCATGTGTGTTCACAGTCATATGTATCTTAATGTGTGTTATATTCCTATATATAATACACACATACGCAAAATTCACGTAATAATGCAATCCTTAAACTCTATTAGATTTGTACTGTAATTACCTTTATCAGATGAGGAGATAAACTCACCATCTTAATTAGTTTTATGCATGTTTTTATGAATATTTATTTTTCATATTTATATATCTTAGTCTTTTCAGGCTGCTATAACAAACTACCCTGGACTACATGGCTTATAAACAGAAATTGATTTCTTTTATTTTTTTTTTTTGAGACAGAGTCTCGCTCTATCGCCCATGCTGGAGTGCAGTGGTGTGACTTCAGCTCACTGCAATCTCCACCTCTCGGGTTCAAGTGATTCTCCTGCCTCAGCCTTCCGAGTAGCTGGGACTACAGGCACGTGCCACCACGCCCAGCTAAATTTTTTGTATTTTTAGTAGAGACAGGGTTTCGCCATGTTGGCCAGGCAGCTCTCAAACTCCTGACCTCAGGTGATCCACCTGCCTGGGCCTCCCAAAGTGCTGGGATTACAGACGTGAGCCATTGTGCCCGGCCCCCAGAAATTGATTTCTTACGGTTCTGGGAGCTGGGAAGGCCAAGGTGAAGTCACCAGCAGATTCAGTATCTGGTGCCTGTCACCTAGTTCACAGAGGGCACCTTCTAGCTCTGCCCTCACATGATGGAAAAGGCAGTGTTTTTTGGCAGCCTCTCGCATAAGGGCAGTAATCTCATTGCTTAGTATCACTTTCAGCCATTTGTTCTTCAAATGTTTATTTCTGTCCCCATCCCTCTATTTTCCCCTTTAAAAATTCAACTATACATGTCTTAGGCTGCTTTAAGTTATTTCATAGCTCACTGATGTTCTCTTCATGTATTTTTCTAGGCTTGTTTTTCCTATGAGGTTCTTTTTGGATAGTTTTTACTGGTATGTCCTCAAGTTCACTAATCTTCTGCAATATCTAATCAGCCATTTATCTCCTCTACTGGATTTTTCATCTCAGACACTGTAGTTTTCATCTAGTATTTTGAAGATACAGTTTTCCCTATATCTTCCATGTCCATTCTTGATGTGTCCAGTCTTTCACTTTCCAAACACATTGAATATAGTCAGATTCACTGCATTAACTGTTTTAATGTCCTAGTCTGCTAATGCTATCATCTTGTCAGCTCTGGGATGGTTTTAATTGATTGGTTTTCTTCTCTTTATGTGTCATATTCCACCAATGATGAGTTATATTTTATGATAGTACCTGATGCAAGTTTTAACTTGCAGGGTGCTGGATATTTTTGTATTCCTACAAATCATCAGAAACTTTGCTCTGATGTACAATTAAGTTCCATGGAAACAATTTCATCTTTCCAAGAATTATTTGGTTGGACCAGAGGAATACGTAGCCTAGGGCTAATTTTGCCTAACTAATGAGACACTTCCTAGTAGCCTACTTTTCACCTTGTTAAGTTTTCCAGTTGGGGACTGGGGAAGAAAACTAATACAGGTCCTGTGAATGCTTTAGGTGTCATTCAATGCAATATTTTCAGATGAATCTTTCTCCAGTCTTGGGTCTTTTCCTAACATGAATATGCTGCCCTGTACTCAGTTTAGGACTCAAGGGTGGTCCTATTCAGGTCACATGTTTTTTCTTCGTACATCTCCCATTTTTGGAGCTTTGTCCTATGAACTCTAGACACCTTTGCCTCCTCAGACTTCCAAGAGTGTCTTCCGAACTTAGAGAGACCACTTGGCTCTCTCTCTGAGTCCCTTCTCCTGTATTGTGACCTGGAGAATATTCTCTGACAGAAAGCTAGGAAAATTTCAGTCCACTTTTTTCTCCCCCTCATTTTTGGGGGATGACTTTCCTTCTTTGCTTAATGTCCAAGTACTTGAAAAACATTGTATCATGTATTTGTCCAGACTTATTGTGTCATTTCAGGTGGGATGAAAATCCAGTGTTATTTCATCTTCGCCAAAAGCGGAACACTCCAGATTATTTTTGAATTTTGAGTTTTGATTTTTTTTGTCTCCCAATATTTTAGTTGGGGACAGAGAATTTTTCTGTACCTTTCAAATTCTATTAAATAGGAAACAAATATCAATCTTTTGAATCCCTTATGTAAATATACAACATTTGTGTCTTCTAAAACCAAGATAAGATATATTAGATTTTGTTTCATTATCACTATCCTTTATCAAAAAAATTGCTTTATATTCCTGTCTACTTTTTTTCCAGTTCCAGAATTACTTTGTTGATTAGAAATTCAGAGCACTCTGCCCTACTCAGAATGTTCCCAATTTGTGAATTTCTTTAAAAATCTGACTTAATTTACATGAGGCATTCTTTTTAATCACTATCTTCAAAATTATCACCATTTTATCACCTTAACCTGGTTTGAGATTTAACCTTCTGCTTATTACTCTTCAGAAATTCTTCAGTAAAATTCTTTTGGTGTACTGCAAATAATTAATACAATTTAAGTTAATAATAAATGTTTCAAAATATTTATTCTCTATATGAATCATACTACTTCCTCAAATTTCAACTTCATCAATGGTATTCTCATTGTCATTCTTTACTCTCGTAACAGCTAAACACATTAATTTGAAGATATTCGAAGGCTACATTTTACCTCCATATTATAATCATTTTGCTTAAAACACTTTCTGTTTAGTCTGTTTTCTCTTTTTCTTCTGTGAAATATTTATATCTCTGTTTGTAAGTATTCACTACAATTTTTTCCCTGTGTTTTATTAAGAACAACAGAAAATTTTCACAAGAGCGTAGGCATATACATTAGAATGACACGAAGGGCATCAATAAAGACAATGGGCTCCATCTTGTGCCAATAACAAAATTTTGTGCAATTTCAATAAGGCAGGACCCTGATGATTCCTGTCTATCAGGAAAAAACTATTTGTTTCAAAAATATGTTTGGGAGGCTGAGGCAGGTGGATCACCTGAGGTCAGGAGATCAAGACCAACTTGGCCAACATGGTGAAACTCTGTCTCTACTAAAAATACAAAAAATTAGCAGCCGGGTGTGGTGGTGGGCACCTGTAATCCCAGCTACCCAGGAGGCTGAGGCAGGAGAACTGCTTGAACCCAGGAGGCGGAGGTTGTAGTGAGCCGGATTGCATCACTGCACTCCAGCCTGGGAGACAGAGTGAGACTCCATCTCAAAAAAAAAAAATTATATATATATATAATATATATATATATATAAAGTATGTATGTTCAATCTACCTTGTAACCTCTATGTTATCACCTTGCCACCATCCATTTAACAAATAATTTAAGTACCTGCTATTAAGTTGGCACAATTCTAAAATACTGATTAAGATACCGATACTTAGCTGATTCCAAAATTCTAATACTTAGCATTAAGACACAAAATGGTCTACTTTAAAACATTTAATATATCTTGAAAGATATAGAGCATTAAAATGAAAAAGGAAAAACGAGCTCCAAAAAATTTTTCCTGCAGGCTTTATTCCAAATCTCCTAGAGATGACTTCTTTAAGGTAGGGTTGCTAGATAAAATATAAGACATTCACTTAAATTTGAATTTTAGATAAATAATACATTATTTTTTGTACCAATATTTCTCAAATATTGCATGGGACACAAACTAAAACAAGCAAGCAAGCATGCATTTGTTATTTAACTTTAAATTGAGCTCATCAATCTGTATTTTTATTTGATAAAGAGAGATAGGGTTATGTAACTTGCCCAAGGTTACAGAGCCAATAAGTGATGGAGCAGAATTCCAACTCAGAAGCCCAGCTTAGTGTCTACACATGCATCCAATGTAGTTTACTGTTTCTCCTTTAGCAGTCGATGGGTGTTATCCCAATGTTATACGATACTCTTTAAAACAACAATCAAATGTATATGTTCAAATCCCTTGTGAGTTCTAAAATTCAACTTCTATTGCTTTACATTATTTTTACAGAGAATTTATATTCATAAGTTTCTAATCATGCCTTTATTTTCTTATATTGGATTTCTACTATCATTACTAGTGTCTTAAAACACTTCTAAGGCTCTGACAGACAGAGCGGAGTACCGAGGCTTGCACTGTGAATTCTAGCTCTAAATCAATGGCAAGAACAAACTGGCAATCCAGAGAGGACCCACAGACCCTCTGAAGGAAGTGGATTGCTTCTGCAGGACCCAGGAGACTTCTCAAATACTTTGAGTGCCCCAACTGCAGAAGTGGAAAAGGGAGATCCTCTCCCAAAGATACCCCCACTGGAGGAACTGAAGGTCTGTTTTCGAGAGAAGTTTCCAATCTTACCTGGACCTAAGTCAATTTAGAAAACCAAGCGAAACATGGGAGTAGAGGAACCAGAAAGAAAGGCTCTAGGAGCTTGCTGGGACCCCAAGCAGCCCATTCCTGCCTAGCACCACAGGGATCCATTGGGAGGGCGGCCAGAGGAGCTGGGGGTAAAACTCCACAGGGAGGAGGAAATCTCCAGATGAACTTCTTAACAATTTGAACTGGGTGAGAAGCTTCCTGGCCAGAACTCAGGGGAAGGCATGAATCCGGTGTGCAGACTCCACAGGCCAGGGAAGAACCAAACCCTTTTCTTTCGCAGATCGGAAAACCAGCCTGGGGCAAGTTCTCAAGCCTGGCTTGCCCACCTGGAAACAGACGTAGGGTGCTGTTAGGGGGAAACAGTGGGCTTGAGACCGGCCCTTTGGTTTGCATGGGAGCTGGGTGAGGCCTGTGACTGCCAGCTTTCCTCCACTTCCCTGACAATCTGCATGACTCAGCAGAGGAAGACATAATCCTTCTAGGTACACAACTCATTGACCTGGGAACCTCACTGCCAACCCCCATAGCGGCTGCAGCAAGACCTGCCCAAGGAGAGTCTGAGTTCAGATATGCCTAGCCCCACCCCCACCTGATGATCCTTCCCTACCCACCCTGGTAGCTGATGACAAAGGGCATATAATTTTGGGAGTTCCATGGTCCCCCCAACCACTGGTTCCTCTCCATACTGTCAAAGCTGATGCTCTCTGGAAAGCACCATCTCCCAGCAGGAGGCCAACCAGCACAAAAGTAGAGCATTAAACCATGAAGGCTAAGAACCCTCACAGAGTCCATTTCAGCCCCCTGCCACCTCCAACGGAACCGGTGATAGTATCCACAGGTGAGAGACCCACAGAGGGTTCACATCACAGGACTCTGTGGAGACAATTCCCAGCATGAGCCCAGAGCCAGGTAGACTTGCTGGGTGACTAGACTCAGAAGAGAGACAACAATCACTGCAGTTCGGCTAACAAAAAGCCACATCCATAGGAAAAGGGGAAGAGTACTACATCAAGGGAACATTCCATGGGACAAAAGATTCTGAACAACAGTCTTCAGCCCTAGACTTTCATTCTGACAGAGGCTACCCAAAAGAATAGGAACCAGAAAACCAACTCTGGTAATATGACAATACAAGGCTATTTAACACCCCCCAACAAATCACACTAGTTCACCAGCAAAGGATCCAAACAAAGAAGAAATTCCCAATTTACCTGAAAAAGAATTCAGGAGGTTAGTTATTAAGCCAATCAGGGAGGCACCAGAGAAAGGTGAAGCCCAATGCAAGGAAATCCAAAAAATGATACTAGAAGTGAAGTGAGAAATACTCAAGGAAATAGATAGCATAACGAAAAAACAATCAAAAATTCAGGAAACATTGGACACACTTATAGAAATGCAAAATGCTTTGGAAAGTCTCAGCTATAGAATTCAACAAGTAGAAGAAAGAAATTCAGAGCTCAAAGACAAGGTGTTCAAATTAACCCAATCCAACAGAGTCAAAGAATAAGAAAATATGAACAAAGCCTCAAAGAAGTCTGGGATTATGTTAAATGACCAAACCTAAAAATAGTTGGTGTTTCTGATGAAAAGAGAAATCTAAAAGTCTGGAAAACATATTTGGGGAAATAATACAGGGAAATTGCCCCAGCCTTGCTACAGACCTAGACATCCAAATACAAAAACCACAAAGAACATCTGGGAAATTCCTTACAAAAAGATCATTGCCTAGGCATGTCGTCGACAGGTTATCTAAAGTTAAAATGAAGGGAAGAATTTTAAGAGCTATGAGACAGGAGCACCAGGTAACCTATAAAGAAAAACCTGCCAAATTAACAACAGATTTCCCAGCAGAAACTCTACAAGCTAGAAGAGATTGGGGCCCTATCCTAAGCCTCCTCAACCAAAACAATTATCAGCCAAGAATTTTGTATCCAGCAAAAATAAGCATCTTATATGAAGGAAAGACACAGTCTTTTTCAGACAAACAAATGCTGAGAGAATTTGACACTAACAAGCCACCGCTACCAGAATTGCTAAAAAGAGCTCTAAATCTTGAAACAAATCCTGAAAACACATCAAAACAAAACCTCTTTAAAGCATAAATCATGCAAGACCTATAAAACAAAACTACAAGTTAAAAAGCAAAAACAACCAAAAAAAAAACAAAAACAAAAAACAAAAAAGCACGGTACACAGGTAACAAATAGCATGATAAATGTAACAGTACCTCACATCTCAATACTTACATTAAACGTAAATGGCCTCAATGCTCCACTTAAAAGATACAGAACTGCAGAATGGATAAGAATTCATCAACCAACTATCTGCTGCCTTCAGGAAACTCACCTAACACATAAGGACTCACATAAACTTAAAATAAAGGGATGGAAAAAGGCATTTCTTGCAAATGGACACCAAAAGCAAACAGGGGAAGCTATTCTTATACCAGACAAAACAAAATTTAAAGCAACAGCAGTTAAAAGAGACAAAGAAGGGGATTATATAATGGTAAAAGGCCTTGTCCCACAGGAAAATATCACAATCCTAAACACATACGCATCTAACACTGAAGCTCCCAAATTTATAAAACAATTACTAATAGACCTAAGAAATGAGATAGACAGCAACATAGTAATAGTGGGGAACTTCAATACTCCAGTGACAGCAATAGACAGGTCATCAAAACCAAAAGTCAACAAAGAAACAATGGATTTAAACTATACCCTGGAACAAATGGACTTAACGGATATATACAGAACATTTCATCCAACAACTGCAGAATACACATTCTATTCAACAGTGCATGAAACTATCTCCAAGATAGACCATATGATAGGTCATAAAATGAGCATCAATACGTTTAAGAAAATTGAAATTATGTCAAGCACTCTGACAGACCACAGTGGAATAAAACTGAAAATAAACTCCGAAAGGAACCTTCAAAACCATGCAAATACATGGAAATTAAATAACCTGTTCCTGAGTGAGCATTGGGTCAAAAACGAAATCAAGATGGAAATTTAAAAATTCTTCAAACTGAACAATAATAATGACACTACCTACCAAAACCTCTGGGATACATCAAAGGTGGTGCTAAAAGGAAATTCTATAGCCCCAAATGCCTCCATCAAAAAGACTGAAAGAGCACGAACTGACATTCTAAGGTCACACTTTAAGGAACTAGAGAAACAAGAACAAACCAAACCCAAACCCAACAGAAGGAAGGAAATAACCAAGATCAGAGCAGAGCTAAATGACATTGAAACAAACAAACAAACCAACAAGATAAATAAAACAAAAAGCTGGTTCTTTTCTTTTTTTATTTTACTTTAAGTTTTAGGGTACATGTGCACAACAGGCAGGTGTTACATATGTATGCATGTGCCATGTTGGTGGTTCTTTGAAAAGATAAATAAAATTTATAGACCATTAGCAACATGAACCAAGGAAAGAAGAGAGAAAATCCAAATAACCTCATTAAGAAATGAAACAGGAGAGATATTACAACTGACACCACTGAAATACAAAAGATAATCCAAGGCTACTATGAACACCCTTACACACATAAACTAGAAAACCTAGAAAAGATGAATGAATTCCTGGAAAAATACAACCCTTCTAGCTTAAATCAGGAAGAATTAGATACCCTGAACAGACCAATAACAAGCAGTGACATTGAAATGGTAATTAAAAAATTACCAACAAAACAAAGTCCAGGACCAGTTGGATTCACAGCAGAATTCTACCAGACATTCAAAGAATTTGTACCAACTCCTTTGACACTATTGCACAAGACGGAGAAAGAAGGAACCCTCCCTAATTCATTCTATGAAGCCAGCATCACCCTGATACCAAAACCAGGAAAGGACATAACCAAAAGAGAAAACTATAGACCAATACCTTTGATGAACATAGATGCTAAAATCCTCAAAATACTAGCTAACTGAATATAACAACATATCAAAAAGATAACCCACCATGATCAAGTGGATTTCATACCAGGGATGCAGGGATGGTTTAACATATGCAAGTCAATAAATGTGATACACCACATAAACAGAATTGAAAACAAAAATCACATGATGATCTCAATAGATGCAGAAAAAGCATTCCACAAAATCCAGTATCGCTTTATGATTAAAACTCTAAACAAAATCGGCATACCTTAATATAATAAAAACCGTCTGTGACAAACCCACAGCCAACATAATACTGAATGCGGAAAAGTTGAAAGCATTCCCTCTGAGAACTGGAACAAGACATGGATGCCCAGACTCACCACTCCTCTTCAGCATAGAACTGGAAGTCCTAGCCAGAGCAATCAGAAAAGAGAAAGAAATAGTGAACATCCAAACTGGTAAAGTGGAAGTCAAACTGTCACTGTTTGCTGATGATATGATCATTTACCTTGAAAACCCCAGAGATTCCTTCAGAAAGCTCCTAAAACTGATAAAAGAATTCAGCAAAGTTTCCAGATACAACATTAATGTACACTAATCAGTAGCTCTTCTATACACCAACAGTGACCAAATGGAGAATCAAATCAAGAACTCAACCCCTTTAACAATAGCTGCAAAAAATAAAATAAAATACTTAGGAATATACATAACCAAAGAGGTGAAATGCCTCTAAAAGGAAAACTACAAAATACTGCTAAAAGAAATCATAGATGAGACAAATAAATGGAAATACATCCCATGCTCATGGATGGGTAGAATCAATATTGTGAAAATAACCACACTGCTGAAAGCAATCTACAAATTCAATGCAGTCTCCATCAAAATACCACCATCATCCTTCACAGAATTAGAAAAAAATAATTCTAAAATTAATATGGATAAAAAAGAGCCGGCATAGCCAAAGCAAGACTAAGCAAAGAGAACAAATCTGGAGGCTTCACACTACCTGATTTCAAACTACACAATAAGGCTATAGTCATCAAAACAGCATGGTACTGGTATAAAAACAGGCACATAGACCAATGGAACAGAATACAGAACCCAGAACTAAACCCAAATACTTAATAGCCAACTGATCTTTGACAAAGCAAACAAAAACATAGACAGAACCCTTTTCAATAAATGGTGCTGGGATAACAAAAACAAAAACATAACCTTTTTCAATAAATGGTGCTGGGATAATTGGCTAGCCACATGTAGCAGAATGAAACTGGATTTTCGTCTCTCACCTTATACAAAAATCAACTCAAGATGATTAAGGACTTAAATCTAAGACATGAAACTATAAAAATTCTAGAAGATAACACTGGAAAAACCCTTCCAGACTTTGGCTTAGGCAAGGATTTCAAGACCAAGAACCCAAAAGCAAATGGAATAAAAACGAAGATAAATAGTTGGAACTTAATTAAACGAAAGAGTTTTTCCATGGCAAAAGGAACAGTTGGCAGAGTAAACAGACAACCCACAGAGTGGGAGAAAATCTTCACAATCTATACGTCTGACAAAGGACTAATATCCAAAATGTATAACCAACTCAAATCAATAAGAAAAAATAAAACAATCCCATCAAAAAGTGGGCAAAGAACATAAATAGACAATTCTCAAAAGAAGATATACAAATGGCTAACAAACATATGAAAAAATGCTCAACATCACTAATGATCAGGGAAATGCAAATCAAAACCAGAATGCAGTATCACCTTACTCCTGCAAGAATGGCCATAATCAAAACATCAAACAACAGTAGATGTTGGCGTGGGAACACTTCTACACTGTGGGAGGGAATGTAAACTAGTACAACCACTATGGAAAACAGTGTGGAGATTCCTTAACCAACTGAAAGTAGAACTACCATTTGAACCAGCAATCCCACCACTGCGTATCTATCCAGAGGAAAAGAAGTCATTATATGAAAAATACTCACACATGCATGTTTTTAACAGTACAATTGGCAATGGCAAAATTGTGGAACCAACACAAATGTCCATCAGTCAACGAGTAGATAAAGTAATTGGTATATTTATACAATGGAATACTACTTAGTCATAAAAAGGAATGAATTAGTGGCATTTGCAATGAGCTGGATGAGATTGGAGACTATTATTCTAAGTGAAGTAACTCAGGAATGGAAAACCAAACACTGTATGCTCTCACTGACATGTGGGAGCTAAGCTATGAGGAAATAAAGGTATAAGAATGATATAATGGACTTTGGAGACTTAGGGGGAAAGAGGGAGGGGGCGAGGGATAAAAGACTACAAATCTGGTGCAGTGTATACTGCTCGGGGTTGATGGGTGCACCAGAATCTCACAAATCACCACTAAAGAACTTATTCATTTAACCAAATACCACCTGTACCCCCAATAACTTATGGAAAAATTAAAAAATAATTTTAAAAAGCACTTTTAAGCAATTGTAACATTCTGGTAACTCTTTTCCAATCAGTGGTGCCAAACTACACTATTATGCCCTCCAGAGAAAGGCCACCAGGAACACACCTACGGCGAGGCAGGTTAGGCTTGGCACTCATTGTAGGGAGACCACACTGGGGTATCTCTGTGAAAGGGAGGAAGAAAGAATCTATTACAAGTTTGAGGTTATGATCAGTTGACTAGAGGAGTCTAGGAAACAGGGAATTGCTTTAGATTGGATGTTGTCATAAAGCGAGGGCAATGGTTGCGTATTTCAATAAATCTTATTTCTCTATAGGGGAAACTGTAATGGGGATAAGGTTGTAACTTGTGAAGGAGTAGCATTCACTCATTTTGGCTAAGAGAGGGGATGTATGGTATTCTGTAGAAGGCATAGTTAACTTGTGTTTATCCTTGATGAGACAAAATTATGAAGTAGCCTTACTCTGTCTCATTTTGTCGTGATCTAAAAGTAACCTTGTCTGAGGTTAGTATTCTGTGAGATTGTTTAAGTGTAATAAAAGAAAAATGACCTCGCTGTGGATGCCAGGTCAGTTTCTGCATTTCAGGAATTGGGATCTTTAAAATATTGGTATTTTTTAAATATACCAATTAAAATACCAATTTTAACATATCAATTTAAAATGTTGATTTTAAAAAATATATCAATTAATATAACAATTTTTTAAATATACCACTATTTTAAAGTTATTGGATACATACCATTAAATTTTTCAGTAGTAAAAAATCATACTTCTATCAACAGATAAGTACTCAATTTAGTGCAGCTTTTTCATGAATGTATGATTTATCAACCTATAACCATGCTCTGGAACTAAACTGTCTATTTAACTAAACTAAACTGTCTATTTAACCTTTCACGTGGGTGTCTAACAAGAACACACCTGGCAAGCCTTAAGCTCAGCTCCTCATCTTCCCTCCCCTCCCCCAGCCCTTGTTACTCCTGCTGTTTTTATTACCAATTCAGGAAAGAGTAACCACATTTTTCACTTGCTTGAGACCAAAGCTTTGGACTTGACCTTTGACCCTGTTCTTTTACTCGTACCCTTCTAATCTCTGCATCCTGTTAGTGCCACTTTAAATTGTACTGGAAGAGGAGCACTGCTCCCTATTTCCACTGCAACCACCTTGTCCAAGACACCAGCCCCTCTCCCGGGGTTAAAGCAATTGCTTTTCCTGCTTTTGTCCTTGCCATCTCATATCCCAATATCTTTACAACAGGTAGGTTGAATCTTTAAGTTTGTAAGTCACATAGACCACTTTATCTCAGTCCCTGTAACCCAAATACAATTGACCCCAAGGACCTACCCAATCTAACCCTCACTTAGCTGTCTTCCTCATCTTCCAGAGTCCACCCCTTTTCCACCACACTTAGCCATGTTAGCTCCTTCCTATTCTTTTGACATTTAAGACTGGCATATTAAAATTATAAGACAATGTAATATAGTATAATATATGTCATGAAATAATGTTATAATAATTATGTTATGAATTATATAACACATTCTATACCATATATTTCCTAATATTTTACATATGCACAGTGATAATATATAATATACTACATACACAGTCATATAACCCATCATGGCATTTTGGTAAATGGACCACATGTAAGACAGTTGTCCCAGAAGATTGTTATAATAGATTTTTTTCCTGTATCTTTTCTATGTTTAGATATGTTTAGATACATACATACTTACTGTTGTGTTTTAGTTGCCTACAGTATTCAGTACAATAATATACTGAACAGGTTTGCAGCCTAGGAGCAATAGATATACCATATAGCCCAGGTGTGCAGTGGACTCTACCATCTAGTTTGTGTAAACACACTCTATGATGTTTTCACAATGACAAAATCACCAGACATGAAATTCATAGGACAAGCTGGAAGTCTGGAAATGCCCACAGGATTTCCATGTAACAATCTTGATGCATAATTCCAGGAAACCTCAGCTTTTGCTCTTTTAGACTTCTACCGATTGGATGAGACCTACTCTCATTATAAAGGACAATCTCCTTTACATAAGGTCAATGATTGCAGTTATTAATCACAACTGCAAAGTTGCTTCACAGCAATATCTAAAGTGGTGTTTGAGTAAAAACCTGGGCATCATAATCTTGCCAAGTTGACATATATGCTTAACCATCACAATTATTCCCTACTGCTCATTTTTAAAATCTACTGTTCCAGGAAAACATGGCAATATCCCTTTAGACAATCTGCAACATTTTTTTTCCTTTATGTTATGGCTCTGTCATTTATCTAGATTCCTAGGTTGGCAGCTCCTTTCCGAGTAAGGATTCTATTCCTGTTGCTGTGTTCCTACTGTTTCTTACTGATTGTGGCTGTTACTTGTGTACCTTACAGCATAAAGTCATCCAGGTGGTGCCATTGTAGCACGTACTGAAGTTCTAGCCCACTATCAAACTCCCTATGTGGAAGTGGGAAAGAATGTTGTATTAGTCAGGGTTCCTTACAGAGACAGAACTAATAGGATAGATGTATATATGAAAGGGAGTTTATTAAGGAGTATTGACTCACAGGATCACAAGGTGAAGTCCCACAATAAGCCATCTGCAAGCTGAGGAACAAGGAAGCCACTTTGAGTCCCAAAACCTCAAAAGTAGGGAAGCTGACAGTGCAGCCTTCAGTCTGTGGCAGAAGGCCTGAGATCCCCTGGCAAACCACTTGCGTAATCCCAAGAGTCCAAACACTGAAGAACTTGGAGTCTGATGTTCGAGGGCAGGAAGCATCCAGCATGGAAGAAAGATAAAGGCCAGAAGACTCAGCAAGTCAGCTTCTCCCACCTTCATCCACCTGCTTTATTCCAGCTGCACTGACAGTTGATTAGATGGTGCCCACCCACATTAAGAGTTGGTCTGCCTCTCCCAGTCCACTGACTCAAATGTTTACTTCCTTTAGCAACACCCTCATAGACACACCCAGGAACAATACTTTGTATCCTTCAATCCAGTTAAGTTGACACTTAATATTAACCATCACAAGTCCACCCCTTGTCAACTTGAGCCCGTACACATCTCCTGAAATCATACATAATTTCCAATTAAAGAAAATAATAGGCCAGGTGTGGTGGCTCACGCCTGTAATCCTAACACTTTGGGAGGCCAAGGTGGGTGGATCACCTGAGGTCAAGAGTTCAAGACCAGCCTGGCCAACATGGTGAAACCCCATTTCTACCAAAAATAAAAAAGTTAGCTGGGCATGATGGTGGGCGCCTGTAATCCCAGCTACTCAGGAGGCTGAGGCAGGAGAATCTCTTGAACTCAGGAGGCGGAGGTTGCAGTGAGCCGAGATCGCGCCACTGCACTTCAGCCTGGGTGACAAGAGTGAAACACCGACTCAATAATAATAAGAAGAATAATAAGATCATAATTAGGCCTAACATAATACAGCTATCCCTTGTGCAACTGGAAGCACACTAATCCTTAACCTAAATGCTATTACATAAAGTTAACAACACTTAAATGCTGATATGAAGTCAATAAATCTTATGTCACATGATAAAGGAAAAAGAAAGAAAATTAAATGAAGATATTTTCTTATTACAAGTATATTCATGCACGAACATATTCCTAACAAAATAAGGAAAAAATACTCATGATAATTATAGTACTCATTTCGGCAGCTGGTCATGTGGTCGTAGCTAGTACTGATGACTACCTTCTTCTACTACCCATTCTGTATTCCCTTTGCCTTCAGCAAGCATCTCAGCAGGTCATGGTTTTTCTCCTGGTGGAGTGACCCAAACCTTCATTCCTGAAGAGTCTGGGCCATTTCTAGTCCTGCCTGGATTGGGCTGTTGTAGTTTCCCATTGACCTTAATCACAAGGCATGGTAATACTAAGAGACACTCTAAGGGATTGCCTGTATTCCACTCATACTCTTCCTCACCTCCACTGTGGAGTAGTAGGCTGATTTTATCTTCATAGTTGAGGTCAGTCACCCCAGCAAACACTGTAACTCCCTTCTTAACCTGTTGACTTAGAGGTAGGAGGAGCCCAAAGTGTCCAGGTGGCAAACTTAACTTCCAGTTTAATTTTATTGTTGTTGTGTCTCCTGGTGGCAGCACTCCTCCTTCTGAAACTAAGACCTCTGGAGCAGCAGAATGTAATGTCACAGGAACAGGAAGCAAAAGTTTTGCCAATGGATCACTAGGGATGATGGTGAGTGGTGCCACTTCTACTTCCACCCCTTGATTCCTGGACCCCTGAATCCTGGTTATGGGAGAAACAGTACGATATATTAGATGCTCATTCAGAGCATACACAGCCTTTTAGAGAACTTTGCCCTAGCCCTGCAAAGTATTGTACCTAATTGGCATTGTAATTGTGACTTCAAAAGGCCATTCCACCATTCTATCAATCCACCTGCTTCCAGATGATGGGGAACATGGTAAGACCAGTGAATTCCATGAGCATGAGCCCACTGCCACACTTCTTAAGCTGTAAAGTGAGTGCTTTGGTCAGCGGCAATGCTGTGTGGAATACTGTGACGGTGGATAAGGTATTCCATGAGTCCATGGATGATAGTGTTGGCAGAAACATTGCCTGCAGGATAGGCAAACCCATTATCTATAGAAAGTGCCTATTCCAGTGAGGACAAACCTCTGCCCTTTCCATTATAGAAGAAGTCCAATATAATCCACCTGCCACCAAGCAGCTGGCTGATCACCCCAAGGAATGGTGCCATATCAAGGGCTTGGTTTTGGTCTGTGCTGCTGGTAAATTGGGCACTCAGCAATAGCCGTAGCCAGGTCAGCCTTGATGAATGTAAGTCCATGTTGCTGAGACCATGCATAACCTCCATCCCTCCCACCATGGCCAATTTGTTCATGCGCCCATTGGGTGATGACAGGGGCAGCTGGGGTAAGAGGCTGAGTGGTGT
The DNA here is from genome assembly GCF_000001405.40 of Homo sapiens. Lineage (NCBI taxonomy): Eukaryota > Metazoa > Chordata > Mammalia > Primates > Hominidae > Homo > Homo sapiens. The sequence goes on along the minus strand of NC_000007.14, from coordinate 52,389,195 downwards.
CCACAGAATGAGTCATCCTATCCACTTGACTATCAAAATCCTCCTCTGCTGAGGTCACCCTTTGGTGAACACTCACAAGGGATACAAATATCTTCACAGTTTTTGACCACTCAGAGAGGTCCATCCACATACCTCTTCCCCGGATTTCCTTGTCACCAATTTTCCAATCATGCTTCTTCCAAGTCCCTGACCATCCAACCAAACCACTGGCTACAGCCCAGAACCAATATATAATCACACATCTGGCCATTTCTCCTTACAAGTGAAGTGCACAACCAGGCACACTGCTCGAAGTTCTGCCCACTGGGAAGATCTTCCTTCACCACTGTCCTTCAAGGATGTCCTAGAAAGGGGCTGTAGTGCTGCAGCTGTCTACTTTTGGGTGGTGTTGACATATTGTGCAGAACCACCTATGAACCAGGCCGTAGTCTTCTCTTCCTCTGTCAATTGATTGTAGGGAACTCCCTATGAGGCCATTGGTGCAGGCTGGTGGAGAGAAGGCAGGGTGGCAGGAGTGGAGGCCATGGGCACTTGAGCCACTTCCTCATGTAACTTACTTGTGCCTTCAGGATCTGCTCAAATCCGATCACGTATATACCACTTCTATTTGATCATGGAAGGCTGCTGTTCATGACCCACTTTGTGGGTAGGTGGGTCAGAAAGCACCCAGTTCATGATAGACAGCTCAGGTCACATGGTGACTTCAGTTTCCACCAAAGCCCAGTAACAGGCCAAGAGCTGTCTCTCAAAAAGGAGAGAAGAGTAGTTATCTTCAGAAGATGGCAGAGCCTTGCTTCAAAATCCTGGGGGCCTCCAGTGTGATTCACACATGAGGGCCTGCCAAAGCCTCCAAGCAGCATCCCTATCTACCACTGACACCTCAAGCACCATTGGATCTGCTGGGTCATGTGGTCTCAGTGGCAGAGCAGCTTGCATGGCAGCCTGGGCCTGTTGCGGAGCCTTCTCCTATTCTGGACCCCACTCAAAACCGGCAGCCTTTTGAGTCACTTGATAAATGGGCCAGAGTAACACACCCAAATAAGGAATGTGTTGCCTCCAAAATCCAAATAGGCCCACTAGGCATTGTGGCTCTTTCTTGGTTGTAGGAGGGGCCAAATTCAGCAACTTACCCTTCAGCTTAGAAGGAATATCTTGACAGGCCCCACACCACTGGACCCCTAGAAATTTCACTGAGGTAAAAGTTCCCTGAATTTTAGTCAGATTTATTTCCCATCCCTTGATATGCAAATGTCTCACCATAAGTCCAGGGTGTTTGCTACTTATTGCTCACTGGATCCAATCAACATAATGTCGTCAATGTGATGGACCAGTGTAATATCTTGTGAAAGGCAAAAGTGATCAAGATCTCTGTGAACAAGATTGTGACACAAAGCCAGAGAGTTTACACACCCCTGAGGTAGGACAGTAAAGGTATATTACTGGCCTCGACAGCTGAAGGCAAATTGCTTCTGGTGGGCCTTATGGACAGGAATGGAAAAAAAGGCATTTGCCAGGTTAATGCCTGCATATCAGGTACCAGGAGATAGGTTATACTCTGGAATGAGGTCAAGTGAAAGTGACGGAGCTCTGTTTTCCTTTCAGGTTTTACTGTAGTGTTTCCAGCAAGTATTTTGTCCTCTGGTTGCCCTTTCTTTGATATAGTAGAAAGAGCATACTCTATATTTTTAATGGTAAACACCTGCCAGTATTTACTAAATTACTGACCTTAGGTGAGTAACTTAAAATTTCTGAGACACAATTTCCCCATGTGTCAGTTGGGAAGAATGATACCTAGCACTGCTGTTTGGATTAAATGGGTTATGATACAGGTTTAAATGGAGACAAACTCACTTCAGGAAGCTGCTAGTCATCATTGCATGTCCAAGTCTCCCAAGGAACCTCAAACCAGATCCTGGCAATCCAAGCAGTGAGTCTAGTAAGGGCAAATGAACTACCCGGGGTTCAAAATCATCTCTCTTCCACAGAGCATGGTTTCAGACAATGCTGAATATGTTTACTTTCTTTATAGTAACGTTTAAATTAACAGTATGGTAAACTGCAGTTGGCTCTTTTCCCATGCAATTGGTTTTTATTTAATCCTTTCCTAATCTTGGTTATGACTTTTGCTAAAAGATTTTCAGGAAATGTCTGGCACATTTGCCACTACTCCATCTCCCTTACAAATACTAGGGAGGGCTCAGTGATTATTGAACTCTTTGACTTAGATCCAAGAACAGGGGCACAGACTCAGAATCCTTCACTACATGACCATTCAGGCAGCCACACCCACACCATCAGCATCCTCATTTTAAATATGTCACATGGATCAATCTCAGAGTTGAATGTAAAATGTTCAGGCAGACTGTGCTATCTCCCTTATAGAGCAGTACTGAGTGTGCACACAATGTGGTGAATACTTATGCAGTACTTAGAATCATGGTGAAGTCCTCCAAAGATGATTCTTAACAACCAAATTGGAAATCTTATGAGTATGATGATAAAAGGCCCTAAACTATGAGAAAAAAAGATTCATTAAAATTTTTTGGAAACAACTTGTTTCAACATAGATATTATATAACACATGAAATTAAAGCATATATCTCATCAAGAATACAGAACAACTATAGGCTGCTTTGTAATCTCCAGTCCTGCTAAGTCAGTGTAGACTTGCTTCCTACAGAGCATAAGGCAGATGTCACTTAGGGGCAGGTCCATTTGCCTGCACATGAAGGTGAAAACTTATATAAATTAATTCCAGGAAACAATATAGTATTAAAGCATTGTTAAATCTTGATCATTTACATAGAAGTGCAGAGCAGGTGTGTGTGATTCAGAGAATTCAGGACACAATTCCTTTGGTTGTAGGGGTATTTTCCAGAGAATTCACTGATGAGCATAATTGGAGGCAATTCTGATTGCACGAACATCACAATAATTTATATGTTAAATATTGTGGATGGTCATTTTATAAGGTTTAAATGAACAAAGCAAATCACTTAGGGTTAAAAGACATCAAGTTCTGACATTTTCTATTAAAAACAAATATTATGGATCTCTTGAACTTATTCCTCCTACTTAACTGCAATTTTCTATCCTTTAACCAACATCTCCCCTCTCCACCCACCCCCATCCCCCTTCCCTCCCAGTCTTTGGTAACCACCATTCTATTGTATGGCATGGTGACTATTGTTAATGATGATACACTGTATTCTTAAATATGCTAACAGCCTGGATGTTAACAGTTATCACCAAAAAGTTGATAACTATGAGAGGTAATGCAAGTGTTAATTAGCTACGTGTAACCATTCCACAATGTGTATCTACTTCAAAACATCATGTTGTAAGTGATAAATACATACAATTTATCTGTCAATTTAAATAAATAAATAGATAAATTTGAAAAAAGCAAATAATATGGTTCTTTACATTTATTTTGTTTTAGATTTATAGTAACTTTTAATCTGTAACTTGTTATATTTCATCAGTCTAGGAAAATTGTTAATGGATATATCTTAAAATATTGTGTCTATCCCTTTTTTTGGTACAGTAGGCTTTTTTTAAGATAGGGTCTTGCACTGTTGCCAGGCTGGAGTATAGTGGCATGATCATGGTTCCCTGCAGCCTCAACCTCCCAGACTCAGGCAATCCTCCTACCTCAGTCTCCCAAGTAGCAGGGACCACAGGTGCACACCACCATGCCCAGATAATTTTTTTTTTTTTTTGTAAAGACAAGTTCTCACTATGTTGCCAGGCTGGTGTTGAACTACTGGGCTCAAGCGATCCTCCTTCCTCAGCCCCACAAAGTGCTGGGATTACAGACATAAGCCACTGCACCTGGTCTCTGTCCCACTTTCTATCTCTGTTAGAGTAGGTGGAGACATAGACGTGAGCAGGAAAGGCAGCCCTGGAAACGCTGCTACACTAGCAATCAGAGAAAAACAATAGTCACATCTTTAGCTGGGTGTGGTGGTGGGTGCATGTAATTCCAGCTACTCGGGAGGCTGAGGCAGGAGAATCAGTTGAACCCAGGAGGTGGAGGTTGCAGTGAGCTGAAATCATGCCACTGCACTCCAGCCTAAGCAACAGAGCAAGACTCTGTCTAAAAAAAAAAAAAAAAAAAAAAAAAAGAACAAAACAAACAAACAAAAAAATTGCTACATCTGGAATCACGATTAGGCTTCTCTGGCTCTAACTGGGACTTACCTGACCCTAACAGAAGAAAGCTTCAATAGGGACTTTCCCCACTAGTGAGCATGCACACTTTTGATTTGGCTTGCACTAAAGCTAACCTATTGCTTATTATATTTGATGCTAATGAGACATACAATGTATGTACTAGCATGTACAGTCACAAGGCATGCATACCCAGTGGACCATCCAAAACATGCTTGTAAGTAACACCTCTTCACACTCCTTTCATAAATAATCTTGTAAGACCTCCATAAAGGGGGTTCCTCAGTGTCAACCCAGTCTGTCTGTTTGTCAGAGCAGCCCACTGTGACTCAGTTTTCAGAGTGTACTGTCACTTTAACAAAACCCTGCTACTGTTTCACTGTGTCTGTGTGTCACTTGGCTGAATTCTTCCCTCTGAGAAGACAAGAACCAAGGACCCTACACTTCCCAGTATCATCTCCACTTATTTGGGGGCTTCAATTGACCCTACACTTCCCAGTATTATCTCCACTTATGTTGGGGCTTCAATTATATATAATATTCATTCATATGCTAAACCTTGGCTCCATGTCTCTTTTGTATTTTACACCTTTGTTTCGCTTTCACTCCACCTTTACTGCCAGTGCTTCAGTTGCCATAATTTTCTTACGACCTGCTCCCTAATTCTATCCAACTCTACCTAATCTGCCCATAATTCTATCTGTGGCATTTATCAAGTTAAGAATTATATCTATAAAGGTAAAAATTATATTTCAGCTTTAGAATTTTACTTCTATTTTTAAATGTATATTCTGCTAAATTTCTCAGTTTTATATTTATTTCCTCACACCTACTAATCACAGTTTTTGAAGTTTATGTCTAATAACTTTGATATCAAAAACCATGATTATATTAATAGTTTCTCCATCTTCTTGTTCTTCTTCTCCTTCTCCTTGTTCTTCTTCATTTTCACACATTTGGTCTTTTTTTGAAAATGTTCCTGATGATCCAACTGAAACAGATACTTTGTATTAAAAAAAGGTGGACAGATAATTGCGTCTGTAGTAATACTTTACTTTCCCAGAGAGGATTCACTTTAATCCAGTAAAGTATGGAACTGATTTAAGGCTACATTGTGGTCTTTATGAGGTAAATTTATGGCTCTAGATTATCATCCTTCAGAAACAACTGGAAATCTGATTTTTTTTTTTAAACCCAGGGCCCTGCCCCTTTGGAGGATGTAGCTGAATTAGTCTAATTACGCTTCTTGCAGGTTTTTGGTCTCTTGACCACTGCTTATGCTAGAAGCTGATACTCATAATACACACTTGGACTGAGTTTATTTAAGCCTGGGTTTCAAGCTTTCATTAACATAGTAAAAGCCAGCCTAACTTTCCTGGAAGTGAAAGCCAAAGTATGATACTCAAGAGATAATTTTTCAGTTGGCATATAAACGTATTAATAATTAATTGGCTTGGAATTTTTATAATTTGCTTAGGGTGCTTAAGGGGCCTGATTATGAGAAACTATAACCTCAAATTATTCACTGCATAATGGTAATACATATTGGGGATTGCATTTTAGAGAGAAAAAGGTTCATGTGATCCTCTCTAATGTGATTATTGAATGAATGTTCTAATAATCCTACACTGTACCTTCAACTGCAAGTGTGGAGGTTGGAGGATGGGGAGAGTAGGGGAGACAGGGTGCTAGAGAACAAGTAGATTGAACCTCCAATTAAACAAACTGAATCGAAACATGGCACACACATACAGCACAATTTGAAAATCTTTTCAAGGGATGTGCTTTATTGGTTTCTCTGCGTTCCCTTGACAAAGAAAGCAGATCATGTGAACTATTTGGGTATTTCCACTGCAATGTAAGGGAAGTGAAGACACCACAGTGAGAAAAGCAGGAGGCAGAGAACTCTCCTAGGCAGATGGGGAGGGTCCCCGGAGAACTTCTGACCACCCAGGTCATTGTGCACAGGGAGCTTGCCTAAACATGCTCACAGTGAAAAATTCCGTCCCTTAACACATGTGCAGTAAGGGAATTAAATCAGTGTAGAGTGGCTCAGACTCAAGAGCCCGCATATGCACTGGAAGGGCAGGATATGCAAGGGAGGAGCCTGGCCTCTTCAGCTCATGTGTGGAAATCCTGGTATGCCACTGTGAGGGAGAGAATCCTTCTCTTTGCTGAGTGCTTTCCTTTTGCTTAATAAATTCTGCCCTCCTCACCCTTCAATGTGTCTGCATGCCTAATTTTTCCTGGTCATGAGACAAGAACCCAGACTTGGACTTAGCTGAACTAAGAAGCAAAAATCCTACATCAACAGGGCAAGGAAGCAACAACATCTCCAGTAGGAATGCCACCAAAAATACTGCAATCAGCCTTGAAGAACCTTGGGGTTATTGGGGAAAAGGTTGTACGGCAGCAGAATCACGTTAGACACAGGAAGGGACAGTCAGCATTATCCTGGTGCAGGACCTATTTGTTTCATACACCTAAATACTCCCATATAAAACAGCCTTCATTACTCTCCTAAGCATTAAGAATTTGAAGAGTTAAGGGAGGGACAGGCTGAAGCCCCAGTAGTGACAATTCCATAGAGTAAAACTCCTTAATTGTATGGCTATGACTTCAAAAAGTGGGGGCATTTTATAAGCCTCATTCTCAGATAATACTTCTGAAATCTACTATATGAAAATCAAAGTTTACTTGTGTTAATATATAATAAGATTGTCTCAAGTACATTAACAACTTATTTTTTAAAAAAATCTTATTTTTCTCATATTTAAAAGCCATTTACTATGCAGCCTATTTTCCTTGTTTTGTGCACATGTGCAGGTGTGTTTTTGTTGATATTTGGTGTCATGGTTAATTTTATGTGTCAACTGGAGCTAGGCCACGGTGCCCAACTATGTAGTCAAGCATTATTCTAAATGCTTTTCTGATGGTGTGTTGGATTAGTTTAACACTTAAGTTGGTGGAAGTTGAATAAGTAGATTACACTCCATAATGTTAGTGGGTCTCACACAATCATTTGAAGACCTGAATAAAACAAAAGACTGACCTCCCTTGAGCAAGAAGGAATTCTCCAGCATTCTGCCTTCATACCTCAACTGCATCATCAGTGCTCCCTGGATCTCCATCCTGCCAACCCCCATCAGATTTTGGAGTCACAAATCCTCCACAATTTCATAAGCCAACTTCTTAAAATAAATCTCTGTCTCTTTCTCTGCCTGTATGTATGTCTCTCACAATGGATACAATATACATGCATACACACACACACACACACACACACACACACACACACACACAGACACCACATTAACCCTCTCCTCTTTAACTTCCTATCCACTATTAATCTACTGAAAACAATGACAAAATTACTGTTTCCTTTCATTCTTCCTCCCCACTCCCTCTACAATAATGTTACAGTGGTTAATAAAGTATTTATTGACATTTTCATTTCAATAGTTAAATATGAGTATATCTTATTTGCTAAATTAAACAATACAGTTTTTCTCCCAGCTTTCAAATGGAGCTATTAGGTTGGTATCTTTGTGGGAATATAAAGAATTTATACCACTACCCATTTTCTTTATGTCATTCTTTGCCAAATGTTATTAGTTACATCTTTTCTTTTTGCCAGGATTATATAATATTTACAATCTGTTTTTCACCCTAATCTTCACATTTATTTTCACCTTAATTCAATAGCTAATTCACCACCATTTTTTTGTGGATAAGTCATTTCCTTTTTGTCTTCATTAATTAATTTTTTAAACAGCTTTACTGAAGTATAACTGGCAAACAATAAACTCCATATATTTAAAATTGTAATTTGTTAAGCTATTTTTTGAAGGTGTCTAATTTATTTTTTTCATGTGCCTGATAGTTGTTGTTTAGTATAAAATCTTTGCCTAGCCTAAGATCACATATATTTTCTCCTATATTTTCTTCTAGGAGATTTATAATTTTAGGTATTCATCTAGGTATACAATGCTTTCTGAGTTAAATATTTTTGTTTGACAATATTTAATTTTAAAATATTTAATGTAAATATTTACATGAAATTAAGTATATATTTTCCTTTTTTATTTTTCAAAAATAGTACAGAATTTTATCCACTTGCCTTCCTCTAATGTTAATGTCTTACATAGTGTGTTGGTTAATTGTAGATGTCAGTTTGGCTAGCTGAAGGGTTATCTAGGTAGCTGGTGAAGCACTATCACTGGGTGTGTCTGTGAAGGTGTTTCTGGAAGAGAAATCAGTGGACTAAAGAAGATCCACCCTCACCAATGTGGGCAGGCACAATACAATCAGCTGAGGTCCCAGATTAAAAAAAAAAAGTCAGGAAAAAAAGGCAAATTCTCTTTGTCTTTTCTGGAGCTGCCCCCCTCTCCTGCCCTTGCACATCAGAACTCCACATTCTCTGGCCTGTGGACTCTGGAACTTGCACCAGTGGGCCCCCAGTTTCTCAGGCCTTCAGCCTCAGCTGAGAGTTACACCATTGTCTCCCCTGGCTCTGAGACTTTCAGACTTAGACTAAGCCACATTATCAGCTTCTCTGGATCTCCAGTTTGTAGATTGCCCATTGTGGGACTTCTCAGCCTCAATAATCATGTGAGCCAATTCCCCTAATAAATTCTTTCTTATATATCTATATCTATGTCTAAACCTATATCCATATCCATATCCATATCCATGTCTATCTCATTGGTTCTTTTTCTTTGAAGAATCTTGACTAATACACATAGCCATAGTATAATTTAAAAAGCTAAGAAATTAACTTGGGTGCAATGCTATTAGTTAAGCTACATATGTGGATTTCACCAATATTTTAAATCATGTAATTTTAAAATATTCTAATAAAATTAATTAAGTGTGGTAAAAACAACATAAAATTTACCAGCTTCACAATTTTTAACTTGACGGTTCAATGTTGTTAAGAATATTTCCATTGCTGTGCAACCAATTTCCAAAAACCTTTTCATCTTGTAAAACTAAATCTATACTCATTAAGGAACATCCCATTTCCCCTCTACCACATTCCCAGCGACAACCATTCTACTTTCTGTTTATATGATTGACTACTCTACATAACTCATATAATAGAATCATACAGTTTCTGTCCTTTTGTATGAGATTATTTCACTTAGCATAATGTCCTCAAGGTTCACCCATGTTGTAGCATATGTCAGGATTTCCATCCTTTTTATGGCTGAATAATATTTCATTGTGTATATACAACACGTTTTGTTTATTCATTCCTCCATAGATTGACATTCGGGTTGTTTTTACCTATTGGCTACTGTGAATAATACTGCAATTAACCTGGGTATGAAAATACCTCTTCAAGATTCTGCTTTCAATTATTTTGGATATATACCAAGAATTGGGATTGCTAGACAACACAGTAATTACAAAAAGACTTTTTTAAGGAACAAACCACATGTTTTCAATTGCAACCTACTTTACATTCTGATTAACAGTACACAAGGATTCCAATTCCTCTATATCCTCATCAACCATCTTTAAAATAGTAACAATGCTAGTAGGTATGAGGTAATATCTCATTGTGGTTTTGATTTGCATTTTATTTGTGATTTTGAGTATTTTTTCATATGCTTGTTAGTCATTAGAAAACATTTTTGGATAAATGTCTATTCAAGTCCTTTGTCCATTTTCTTAATTTACTTGATTGGTTGTTTTGTGTTGTTTATTTGTAAATTTTTGTCTATTTTGGATATTAATCATTATCATATTTGTGAAGTACAAATATTTACTCCCATTTTGAAGGCTGGCTTTTTGCTTTGTTGATTGTGTCCTTTGTTGTGCAGAAGTTTTAAGTTTGACTTAGTCCTATTTGTCTATTTTTGCTTTTGTTACCTGTATTTTTGGTGTCATAGTTAAGAAACTATCATCAAATCCAATGTCATGAAGCTTTGTCCCTGGTGTTTTCTTCTAGGTGTTTTATGATTTAATCTTTGATCCATTTGGAGTTTTTTTTTTTTTGTATATGATGTAAGGTAAGGGCCCAACCATTCTTTTGCCTGTTTTCCCATTATGATTATTCAGTTATCCCATTATAATTTCTTGAAGAGTCTGTCCTTTTGCCATTCGTTGTCCCGGAACCCTTGTCAAACATCATTTTCCCATATATAAGAGGGTTTATTTGGGGACTTCTATTCTATTCCACTGGCCTAGATGTCTGCTTTATATCAATATCATACTATTTTGATAACTTTAGCTTAGTGCTTTTTGATTTTTAAATACATTTTATTTTATTTTAGTAGGCAAATAATAATTATATATATATTTGTGGAGTACAATGTGATGTTTCCATACATTTATACATGGTGGAATGATCAAATCAGGCTAATTAACATATCCATCACCTCACATACTTATCATTTATTTGTGGTGAGAACATTTAAGTTCCACTCTTTTAGCAAATTTTAAATATATAATACATTGTTATTGACTATAGTAACCATGATGCTCAATAGATCATTAGAACTTACACCTCCTATCTAGCAAAAACTTTGTACCCCCGACCATCATTCTCCTTTCTCACCCACCATGCCCCACCACAGCCTCTGTTAACAACAATTCCACTCTCTATGAGTTTAATGTTTCTAGATTTCTTGTGTGAGTAAAGAAGATAAACCCGTGAGTTGAGAAAAATATAGTAGTATTAATGAGCAGTTTGTCATTGTTGACATTTGGGGCTGGTCCTACTGGTTACTCTCAGAAGAACCACAGAGAATGGAGGGATGGGTTAACTGACATGAGTACCCATCAATTCCAGCCTGTTATTGCTTGAAGGTTGCTCCTATGGGTGTTAATTACCCAGCAACTCTGGGCTTTCAAAGAAAAAATCTGTGCAAGATCCCAAGGCAACCTCCCAAGCCCTATGGAAGAGAAGCAGAAATACGCAGGTGATCAATTTATTCTGCTAGAAACTGAAGTGCTGAGAATAGGCTACTTTTTGCAGAAAACTCAGATGTGGGCCAGGTGTACATGTGGTTGTGTGTCAATTGTGTGTGCTACCATACACTTCTGTCCTACTCAGGATTACTCATGCCCACTGTGAATCTACTTTGTTACTACACCTCAAGTTGGTAGCCAACTGTCATCTCTGAAAGTAAGTGTTTAAAATATGAGAATCTGCAAGACATGCCATAGTTTTACCGCTGTGGCTGGTCCTCTGGCTACAGATTATTTCCATCATTTCTCTTCTACTAGTATAACAGGCACTGTCAAATCCTACTTTTTAGCCAGTTTTTCCACTCATTTAGTTTTTTTGTCCAGTTCAAACATACTATCTTGAGAAATATGAGTACCTCATTAACCTGACTTCATCAAGTTCCTGTTGCTCTAAATTCCATTTTACTATTCTCACCTATCATGGGACGAGTAAAAGTTACCCAACTGAATCCCTGGGTTCCACACAAACTCATCCAGTCCCCCATATGTAGCAGTAATCTTAAGTCCTCTGATTATTCCCACTAGGATATAATTTTTGTTTGTTTGTTTTTTTGTTTGTTTGTTTTTTGCTTAGTGGTTTACCAATAAGACCAGGTGTCCACTGTGGTTTTAGAGCTGGTGGAGCACTTACTGTATACTCTTGGAAAAACACCCTCCCTCAGCATAGGCACTTCTAATCATACTCAGCCTAAAAGTGTGGATGGGATAAGAGAAATTCCCCACATGGCTCACTTGGAGTGAAAGTGGAAGGAGTCAATTATCTTTCCACCCTCTTGGTTCCCAAACCAAGGAGACCCTTGAATACTCAAACCCATATAATGGACTTATGTTCAATATATATACTGCATCCTGAAAGAGCACTATACTTCACAAGAAGACATCTTTGGACGGGCATGATGGCTCATGCCTGTAATCCCAGCACTTTAGGAGGCCAAGGCGGGTGGCTCATGAGGTCAGGAGATCGAGACCATCCTGGCTAACACGGTGAAACCCCATCTCTACTAAAAACACAAAAAATCAGCTGGGCGTGGTGACACGCACCTGTAGTCCCAGCTATTCAGGAGGCTGAGGCAAGAGAATCTCTTGAATCAGGGAGGCGGAGGTTGCAGTGAGCTGAGATTGTGTCACTGCACTCCAGCCTGGGTGACAGAGCAAGACTCCATCTCAAAAAAATAAAACAATAAAATAAAGACATCCTCAAGAAGACACCCTCACTGAGACTTGACTACATTTCCACATTTAACCCTGACAGCTGTTTCTGGAGGATGGAAGGAGATTCTATCATCACACTTCCATTGTTCATACCTATGTCACCATAAAATGAGCCCCTCATTCAAAGATAATGTTGTTATTTAATGTCAGTAACGAAGAATGTCTGTAGCTCTTTTAACACTGGTAGAGGTACTACTGACAATAGATAGAATCCCTTATTCACATTAAGAATCAGTTGTATTAGGGGCAAAATATTGCCCTCCCCATGATTGAACAGGTCTGAGGAAACCAACACCTCAAGCATTGTTTTTGGTCTCTTTGAAGTAGGGCACTATATATATAGCTCAGCATTCATCTTGATGGTGTGTTGGATATTCAGCAGAGGCAGTAGCTATGTCAGCCATGTGGAGGAAAAGTCTATGCTGTTAAATTTGCATGTAGACAGAGACTGGCTCACATCCACTGGGAGTATTCTGTGTGATACTTGCTTGTGACTTCTTTGCACTAATGGTTTACGATGAGCATTGGTGTCAGATACAAAGACCCTTACACTTTGTGTGAATTCCAGAGGTCCATCCACACGCCTCTTACTCAGGCAACTTCTTCTCTGATAGTCTAATCTTTCTCCTTCCACGATTTTCACCAAGAAGCCAAGCCATTTACGACTACCATTGATTCTCTATCTGCACCTCAGACCACTTTGTCATCATATTGTATAAAGCTCTACGAGAGCTTGAGTGTATTACCCAAGCTCTGAACACTGAAAGAACGTATCCTTACTGCCTTTAAGGTCATCCATGAACCCAGCCCTAAATAATAAAGAGTCGTGGGATTCTTCCTCAAAGGTATCCAGTTTTCCCTTCATTTGATGGGCTCAGAATCTGAGAGCTGGTTCAGGATAACAAACAGGCCAAGGATCATATATTCCTTATTAGGGAGACTGAAAACGTCACTTTATCTATCAAGTACGGATCTCCTTTGTCATATAAGTCAAGCAATATCCTCATTGACTCACCCATAGGCACACTATCCTATATTAGCTAAATTCAATGATCCTTGCATTTTAATGTTCCCTGAATCATCTTCTGACCTTGATATCCACCAGTTCTTCACTGTTTTTAGGGATAGGTGCCATCTCTTAAAAAGTAGCTTTCTTTGATAGTTTGAGTAGTCTTATCTCCTCTGCTTCTCTGAACCAAACTTTCTCTAAGAGGGCTTCTGCTGCCAATCACCCAGAGACTCTCTCAAAATTGCTATGTATGATTTATATGGCTTCTTGTCAAGTGAGCTTTCACCTTAAAAAGTGTGTGTGTACAGAGACTTTCTGAGATCTTCCACCTCTGGGCTGAGAGGCACTATGTCTCTACTCCCTTTTTGTTTTAATGTTTTATTGTTGTTGTTTCAGTGTATTTCCTTCCTCATAGGTGCTGCTTCTTCTCTGTTTGCCCCATTCCTAAGACAGGACCTGGAACTTTGGAGGAAGCACCTCATCTCTATATTACCAGCACATTTGCTCATTCTTTCTCAGATGGACCATCTTAGCAGGCACCATCTTCTTTGGTACACCCCCTTCCTGGGAGATGTGCCCAATTGCAGCAGGCTTTGAAAGTAATTAAACATATTTTGGAGTGGCTAAATTGTACAGTTCTTTGACTTTTGCTGCAAATGGGATTTGTGGACCTTTCTCCCTCACTCATTCACCTTGTTGCTGTAGTGATGTCCTGGAGGACAGGAAAAATACTGTCTCATATCACATTGCTTGTATAAGAATGTGCAGATTAGGACAATTGAAAAGAGAGAACCAGAACTTCTTGCCTGACTACAAAACTTTAATATAGAGATTTCAAAAGTTGAAATTCTAGGAGTGTATAGGAAACTAGTTTATAATAATAAGCGATTCATATAGTAGACATGAAAACTCTCACTTTATGTGTGCTTGCATGATCTTATTTAAATGGTAATATGCATAGGTATTATAGTTTCACTATCTTGAATTTATTACAGGACACTGCAGCTCATGGAGAAAGGCAACTGACCAGCATTACTCAGTTATTAGTTTGTAGAGCTAGGTTTTGAGTCCCTAGACAACTAGTTCTAAATGTATTATTTTCAATTTTTTTTCTGTTCCCTTCTCCTGTCCTACTACACTATTATGAGAGTTACACACAGAAGTGATTGAAGTCTCACTGACAGAGTAAATGTAGAAGTTGTTTACTACATCCAGCAAGGAGTTTCTCATTGTCGGAAAAGCTGTACTTTAAGCCAAACCAACCAAATGATAAGTTATTATCACAGAGAGTCCAAATGATAAGTTATTATCATAATTTATTTTTTATATGAAAGTCCACAAAAATTCCACATATTTAGATGAAATGATAAAATATACTATTAAAAATTGTGTTAAAAATAAATTAATATTAAACCATAACCAAGCCACAGTTTGGATTTGTGTACCTATCCAAATCTCATGTCAAATTGTAATCCCCAATGTTGGAGGCGGGGCCTGGTGGGAGTTTATTGGATCATGGGGGCAGAGTCCCCCTTTGGTGCTGTTCTTGTGATAGTGAGTGAGTTTTCATAAGATCTGGTTTTTTAAAAGTGTGTGGCACCTCCCCACTCGCTCTCTCTTCCTCCTGCTCAGGCCAAGTAAGACATGCCTGCTTCCCCTTTGACTTCCACCATGACTGTAAGTTTCCTGAGGCCTCTCCAGCCATGCTTCCTGTGCAGCCTACAGAACCATGAGCCAATTAAACCTCTTTTCCATATAAATTACCCAGTCTCAGGTATTTACTTATAGCAGTGTGAGAACAGACTAATACACATCTGAAATATTTGTTAAAGAGGGCGTGGTTTGACATATGTCTGATATTTGTAATCATATCTGAACTGGAAAGAGCTGAATAGTCCAATTAGTGTTTTTAGAAACGTTATGCTTTGCTTTACTCTGGTTTGTATATTCTCACTCATCATATTAGCTTTCTTTGTCCCTTTGCCTCTGTGATGTTAAACCTCGAAGCTACTATCAATCATGTCTTCACCTTTTGCACTTTTCCATTCTTAAGCTTCCAAATGCTATTGGTGTTCATCAGAGCTGAGGTATGAATTGGGTTAAAGAACATTTTACTTCTTCAATATCCATGATCTATTAATTCCTGTCCTCTCTAATCTCTCCACCTCATTTAGAGGATTACAGAGAGTCAATTTGAGCATGACATTGCTTTTTAGTTACGGATTGGAAATCAGGCTTACATTAAAAAGGCTCTTCTTTCATTTGTGGAAAGGTTAAACTACAATTGATAATTCAAAATCAGGTACTTCTGACACCACTGGATTAGAAAATAAGTAGCTCGAAAGGAAATTGAAACAATATTCACTAGATTGCTTGGATAGGTAGATGTGTGTGGAAAATGGCAAGAAAGAGGAGTAATCTTTTTTAATGACTAAAAAGTGCCAAATACTGAACTAGGGAGAAAGAGACAAATAGAAAGACCTTGAATAAATGAGTGAGAGAAACAGACAGAGAAAAGAGAGTTGATGAGGCCGTTCATTTGGCACATGCCCTCAAAATCCATTACCCAAGCTTAAAAAGTATTTCCAAGAATGATTTTATCATTTCATTATTTTCTCTCCACTTTAGCCGAATCTTCATGAACTTTCTCTTAAACCTAGAAGTGCTTGTCCTCTACAACATCGGCCCATCCCCACTGGGGGCTTTTCCAAGTTGGAGCTGCAAAGCTAGCTTCAGCTTGTCTTCCTCCAAGAAGCACGGCTCCATCCTTCTCCAGGCCCCTTAAGGGGCGACCTCCGTGAGCCAGGGCAGGGCTCTATACAAGGGCTGGCACTGGGAGAAGGGCAAAACTTCAGAGGCAACAAATGTACACTAATCAGGCTGGTATCTTTACGTTGCTAGAGAAAGAAGCCTCCTGCAAAATCTAGGTCAATCTTTGTAAGACGGATTTCACTAATCTGAAGCAATGGGAAGTAAGGGGGGATGGAGAAAGGCACAGTGGACAATTGGAGCAGAGGTATGGGGCGTCCAAATGGGGAAGTTAGGCTGGATGTGGTGGCTCACTCCTGTCATCCTAACACTTTGGAAGGCCAAAGTAAGAAGAACACTTGAATCCAGGGGTTTGAGACCAGCCTGGGCAAGGTAGTATGACCTTATCTCTGTAAGCAAGCAAACAAACACAAAATAAAATAAGAAAGTTGCTTTCTATTGTGTAGCCCAAGAGGTAAAATCAGGACTAAATAAGTGAAGAAAATAGGAATCACCTAGACATTAGAAAAGGGAACTAGGGAATGGGTGCGGTTGCAGGGGTTGGGATAAGAACAAAGAATAAGAGAAGACACACAGAGGATGCAAAGGACCATGGTGACAGCAGACTTGGTCAAATCCAGCCACAAGATGGTGGCTAGGTCTTCTTAATGATGGAGGAAGGCTCTCAGCATCTCCATCTCCCCTCCACCTCAGCATCCCTGCTTGAAGTTAGAGGGCTTAGGATAAGACAATCCAGTTGGACATTTTCTCCTACTGCAATGCTTTGCAAATGCACAGTTTGTAAGCAAGGACAGGTTGTAAAATGAGGATCATTGCAAGGCCATTCTCCCCACAGAAATAAGAAAGCTCACAGGGACTGTCTCTAGTAAGGCCTAAGCTTCTTTTTAGGATAATAAGGCATTTGGTCTATAGTCATGACTCATATCCCATTTGGGATTCTCTTACTGCCTTGCCTCACAGGGGTAAGACTTTAAAAGAATTTGATAGCTTGAATGCCCAGGTCATCATGACTTATGTATAGCATCTTAAAAAGGCTGAAAGCAAATTTACAAAGTCTGAAAGGTGGTCAGCATTTCAAGCATGCAAAACCTCTATTGCCAGAGCTCTAAGGAAAGCATAATATTAACCTGTCTGTGCAATACAAGGAGTCATGAATATTTTACAAACTACCGTTACTGTATAAATAAATGTTCATTGAATCGAATGGGAACAGTGGTAATAAATGTTAAGGAAGAAGGTAATGTTTACAGAGTACTAAATTTGGTCCTATGAATTAAACAAAACTCCTCTTGCCTAGCAGGGCAAGGCATCAACATAACCAGGTAGAAATTGTTAAATAAATTAAACAGAATGCTGGACTCCTCCTGTATACTTTTTTCTCTTGCGGAATTAAGGCTACTCATGGGAGAGCATTTGTTTCCCATCTAGGCTTCCTACACCATCATTAAGAGTTTCGGGCAGGATGGCAGCCAGAGGTTGACATGCTCAGGCCACCTTCACATAGCTGCTCTCCTCATTCCATCAATATTTGCTGATGAAGTCTAGATAAAGGGCATTTAACAGCAAGTATTCATATCGAAGAAAGGAGCAGGCCATCAAGAATCTATTCATGGACAGTGAGAAGCAGATGGCTCTGGAAATGAGAGGGTGGCTTGTCTGATGCAGATAGTGATGAATTACATTTGATATTGCCCTGCAAACCCATGCATTCTGAGCATAAGACAGAACCGTAGCCTCTTCTCATGGTTGCTCTTGAGGATAATCCCTTGTATCTCATGGAAAGCGAGTGCAGTGAGAGGCCACATATCCTCTCAACACAAGAATGTAACAATGCCCAGGCTCACCCACGAGAGGCGAAGTCAGTGAACAGAACTGCTTCAGACACCTACACTGACACCAAAATCTCATCCCTGGATAGATGTCCTGGTCTCTGGCCTTCCCATATTCCTCAGTGAGTGGTGGGAAGAGATTTCTAGACTTTGATTCATTTCCAATATTATATTTTAGTTTCAGAGTGGGTCCAGCCCCCAGAAATGCTCAGTTGCTGTCTTCAGATGACTTAGGGAATGGATTGAAGAACATTCTGAACTTATACTGAGTGCATGCTAAAACAGAAGGATGACTGCTATGTCTTTACTGCTTTCGGGCTGGTAGGATGGAAGAAGCACAGCTCGGGCAACAAAGGGAATGTGGGTTTGGGTCCCAATTCAGTGCCCAGTTTTAGTTATGTGATTTGGGGCAAACTATTTTATCTCATGGCATCGGTTTACTCACCGGCAAGGTATATAATTATTCATATCATTATTAATATTGTTAGAATTTTAGAAAGAGAAGTAAAGCATCCAGTGAGTCTCTACCTCCTAGATAACAAGCAGTAAGCCTTCCACCCCATACCACTTTTCCCTTCACCCTTCCCTTTTCTCACCCTCCTTTCTTTGTGACCACTAATAGATCTAACACAAGACAGTGAGACCCCAGGTAAGAAAAAACATGCGGCCAGAGTGCAGATCATCACGTGCCCGAATACTGTTCTCTAAGAATAATCAGGACGTATTGTAATCTAATAAGATCTAACGTACTGAGAAATCCAAACTTTCTTCAACTTTCTGCTTTTTTCTCTCAACAAGACTTCTTTTCAATATATTCTTCAACACATTACTTATCAAACTTTTCCCATTCTCAGGAGACAAGTGTTTTTGAGTGAAGACTCTTTATTTTTAGTCAAATTACCACAACTACCAAAGGTATGATGTTTTTTCAAGTTCTATTGATTCTAAAGAAGTCACAAGAATAACTCGGATTATGTCATGTGTAGTCTAACAATCTCCTTGAAATGTCTACATCCTCATCCCCAGAACCTGGGACTATGTTGGGTTATGTGGCAAAGGCAAACTAAGGTTGCAGATGGAACTGAGATTTCTAATCACGTGACCTTAAGACAGGAAGATAATACTCGCCTCTCCAGGTGGGCTTAATGTACTCACAGGGGTCCTTAAAAGTGGAAGAGACATTCTGAAGAGAATCTCCAGGAGAGAAGGTCACCTCTGGAAGCTGCAAAAAGCCAAGAGGTAGATTCTCAGCTAGAGCCTTCAGAAAGAAATGTACGCTTTCCACACCTGGATCTTTACCCAGTCAGATCCATGGCAGAATCCTGATCTACAGAACTGTAAGAAAATGAATTTGTGTTGTTTCAAGCCACTATGTTTGTAGTAATTTGCAGTAGAAAACTTACACAGAATACAATGTATGAGCAGGAGGTACAGAAAACTTAGAACTACTGTAATGATTTCACGAAATGACATTATTGACTGAGAAATCTTAGTATTTGAGAAAACTATTGATTTTGTGTTGTGCATGCCAACTCAGGTGCTGAGTCTGTTACTGACAGAAGATCTCCATTGACATCACAGTTATTTCTTTCTTTGTCAATAGGCAGCCCGTGCACCCTTTTATGACACATTTCCAATATACAATGAGAAAAATCTTTGTATAGTTATGATTAGAATGAATTACTATTAGGACTAATAAGGCATACATAGAATTATAAAATAATTATAATTTATATTTATATTGAGATGTTTACATTTATATAAGTATATATTATATAATATACTAATAATGCATATTTATATATGACGTTATTCATATTTTAAAGTGGCATAAAATATATAACCATAATTATTTTATATCATAGCCAAAAATATTTGTGGAGAGTACATATTCAGTCGAGGAGGCAAATGAAACTACATCATAGGCAAGTAAACATCCATTATAAGGTAAAAATGAGGCCTACAGTAGGATAACAAATTTTTTTTTTGCTGGATATATTTCCAGAATATTTTAGGCTAAAAAAGAGCATCTTGGCCAGGCGCAGTGGCTCACACCTGTAATCCCAGCACTTTGGGAGGCCGAGGTGGGTGGATCACGAGGTCAGGAGATCAAGACCAGTCTGGTCAACATGGTGAAACCCTGTCCCTACTAAAAATACAAAAATTAGCTGGGTATGGTTGTGTGTGCCTGTAATCCCAGCTATTTGGGAGCCTGAGGCAGGAGAATTGCTTGAACCAGGTAGTCAGAGATTACAGTGAGCCAAGATCGTGCGGCTGCACTCCAGCCTGGCGACAGAGTGAGGCTCCATTGCAAACAAACAAACAAAAAGAACACATCTTCATACATTAAGATACTTTTAGAGAACATGATTAAAAAACTTTGGTTGAGCAATTCTTTGTGGCAGCACATTGCCACAAATTGAAGACTATTAGATAAATTGTTTTAACTTTTCATTTATGGACCACCACAAATCTCTATACACTTCACTTTTTAATCTAAGAGCCTGGATTAAGTAGATAAACCTATGAAAACAGAATACATAAAAAGCTTCAGTTTCATGGTGTGAGTCCAAAATAATAAACCTTCCTAATGTCATCTAAGTGTTCAATCCAAAGTAAAGAGAAGAATCCAGATTTATTTCTGGAAGTAATTCCACTAAGAGTAAAGCCAAGAGTCAATCCTAGAAGAGTGATAGCTGTGCATTTCATTATTGGGTCTTTTTCCATGGAATCCAGACAATCATTTTTAATTTCCCATTAGTATTCAAATACAAACAATATGTATTCATTACATTTAACTCATAAGTTTTCACAGTTGAACATATTAGGGTCAAGATATGTACTTTGAGATGAAAAAAAATTAAGTTTGTATGACTACGCCTTGTATATCAATTGGTAGAAAGTTACCTGGATCATTTGTTTTAATTTACTATTTATCACTATATGAATTGAATGTTTGATGTAGACAATGTCAAAACACAGGATAAACAGCAGAAAAAAGTAGAAAATACTATAATTCTGCAACTGAAATGTAATGAATTTCAATATTTGGATGCATATTGTATGTTTTTGATGTACATCATACTGAAACTTCTACATCTTAACCAATGCAATTAATCATCGGGGTTTTTGTTAGACATTTGGGTTGTTTTTTCTAAAAGAGAAAAGCTATTATAAATAACAGTGTATGTTGGTGGGAGTGTAAATTAGTTCAACCACTGTGGAAGACAGTGTGGTGATTCCTCAAGGATCTAGAACCAGAAATACCATTTGACCCAGCAATCCCTTACTGGGTATACACCCAAAGGATTATAAATCATTCTTTAAAGACACATGCACACATATGTTTATTGCAGCACTGTTTACAAAAGCAAAGACTTGGAACCAACCCAAATGCTCATCAGTGATAGACTAGATAAAGAAAACGTGGCACATACACACCATGGAATACTCTGCAGCCATGAAAAACCACGAGTTCATGTCCTTTGCAGGGACATGGATGAAGCTGGAAACTATCATTCTCAGCAAAATAACACAGGAACAGAAAACCAAACACAGCATGTTCTCACTCATAAGTAGGAGTTGAACAATGAGAACACATGGACACAGGGAGGGGAACATCACACACCGGGACCTGTAGGGGCATGGGGAGCAAGGGGAGGGAGAGCATTAGGACAAAGAGCTAACGCATGTGCGGCTTAAAACCTAGATGAGGCCGGGCGCGGTGGCGCACGCTTGTAATCCCAGCAGTTTGGGAAGCTGAGGTGGGTGGATCACGAGGTCAGGAGATCGAGACCGTGGTTAAACCCCATCTCTACTAAAAATACAAAAAAATTAGCGGGTTGTGGTGGTGGGTGCCTGTAGTCCCAGCTACTTGGGAGGCTGAGGCAGGAGAATGGCGTGAACCTGGGAGGTGCAGGTTGCAGTGAGCCAAGATCGTGCCACTGTACTCCAGCCTGGGCGACAGAGCAAGACTCTGTCTCAAAAAAAAAAAAACCTAGATGGAGTTGATGGGTGCAGCAAACCACCATGGCACATGTATACCTATGTAACTAACCTACATGTTCTGCACATGTATCCCAGAACTTAAAGTAAAATTAAAAATAAATAAATAAATAAACAGCAGTGTAAAAACCTCATTTAGATAAATCTTTGTCATTGGCAAAATGCTTCCATATGACTGGTTTCAAATTTCTAGTGAAACTGCTGAGCCAGAGAAAATATACAATTAAAAATTTTAGCAGGTAAATTCAAGCTATTTTTCACTAGAAATAAGAATGCATATCCAAATATCTGTAAATCAAAGAATAGTAAAATATTAATTTCCCTTTTATGTTGTTTTATTTTGTGAATTGCTTTCTCACATTCCCATGTCCATTTTTCTACTGGGATTTTTCATGCTTTTTGTTAGAAATTTTAATAATTATGTATGTTAATGGATATTGCAAGTGTTTTCTAAGGTATTAAACATATATGTGTTTTGGGTGATTTAAAATATATAATTTGACATCATTATATACAACTGTTAACTAAAATGATAATTCTGATCTTTGCCTTTTTTGTTATTTTTGTGTGTGTGTGTGTGTGTGTGTGTGTGTGTGTGTGTGTGTGTGTGTGTAGAGACAGAGAGAGACAGGGAGATAGAGACAGAGCCTTTAATCAGAGCCAAGCCTGATGAGTAAAACAGACCTACCATCTAGAAACTTATTAATACATTCTACTGGGCCTATTCTTTATTTCTGGACCCTGAAGTCCACTTTGTTTTTTAAGTAATTCAGATATTAGATTTATACAGTTATAAACTTGTCTTTTGAATCATGCATTATTCCTCATTGTCAATATTTTCACAACTCTGCTCAAATATTTACTCTTCAAAATGGATTTTGCAATCATTTTATCAAGAACAAAAAAAACATGCTATTGAAAGTTTGGCTGAAAAAGTAACAATACGGAAAATATAAATTTAAGGAGCATTGACATGTTTGAAATGGTGATGCTTTCTCATAGGAACATAACGTGTCTCTCTTTTAAATCAATCCTCCTTTCAGTCCTTTGCCAAGTTCTATAGTCTTCGTACACTATTGTTTTTGAATACTGTAAGCAGTCCTTCTCTGCATGAAGCAAAACAAATTCATTTAGCAGGAGGAACTTACTACCGAGTGCCCCACACATAGTTACCAAGACCTTCTGTCTTCAGCAGACACCTCCCAAGTATGTCACTGGTCCTGTTGCTGGGACAGGGTCCACTGTGCTCGCATCCTGAGGCTCTGCTGGTTGCCTTCCCCCTTCTGCCTGCAGGATTGGGTCTGCACAATTGCTTGTGTTGCTGCCAATCATCTCCAAATCCCTGAACTCCATTAGTGACCTGCCAGTGAGGGCCTGTCCCATACTCAACCTCCCCTAATCTCTTGGTTCGCCACCCTCTGCAGTCACCACAAGTCAGCAGAAACTTTCTCTCCACCTCTGGTAGTAGTCCTTTCAGAAGGGGGTCCCACAGCAAAGGTGATGCAATTTGTTTCCTTATAACATAAGGTTCCAACCACTGGTAGGGACATGGAGGAGTGGGTAAAAGTTGTTCAGGAATGCATGAAAACAGTTGCCCAGGCCCTGGTGGCCTTTCCCTCTGACAACAAGGCCTGTGGTGCAATCTGTCTCAAAGGGCAGGGTAATGGCCCTCACCCCTGCTGACTGCCTTCCTCCTTTGCTCA
This sequence comes from Homo sapiens, assembly GCF_000001405.40. Taxonomy (NCBI): domain Eukaryota; kingdom Metazoa; phylum Chordata; class Mammalia; order Primates; family Hominidae; genus Homo; species Homo sapiens. The sequence continues at coordinate 52,365,517 of NC_000007.14, read as the reverse complement.
TATTGTGGCTTGCAGGGAATCATAGTCCATCTTGGTGGTTCCATATTCAGGTTCTACCTCCTGCCCCAGCCAAAGTCCTCTCCCCAGTTTTCTGCCCCAGGGAGCAACCATTGTTAGTTAATGTTCTTCAAAAGATATTCATCACACACACAATCTTCTATGTGAATTTTCATACATAAAATGTTTCCAATCAGATTGTTCTTAGGTTTATATTAGCCTGCTACTCCCCATTTTGTGTTTTGCTATTTTGTGAAAATACAAGTCTCTCAGAGATGATAACTGCATTTAGGTCCATAGGATAAAAAGTGATATCATTTGTAAACTCCTGAATATTGTTTCATGGTATAAATATATTTATTCATCAATCCCATGTTGAGAAGATTTTATGTTCTTTCCGTACTTCACTGCTATAGACAAAGCAACACCTTTAGGGACATGTGCTTTTTTTCCACATTTAAATCCCCATCTATGGGATGCTGTGAAACTGGCCTCCAAAATGATCACTCTGCTCACCCTCCAATCAACAGGCAGTTACTTGTACACCAGGCACTTGAAGATGATTCTCATTAAACCTTTAACTTGGATTTTCCTTATTATGAGTGGTATTGCTGCTGTTTTCATATTTAGTAGGCCATTAAGAATTCCTTTTCTATAAGATGTCAGTTCATATCATTGGCCTATTTTTCTACTAGTATCTTTCTTCTTACTGTCTTACAGCTTATTATTTAGGAGAATTACAATTTTATCTGAGATCAAATATTTAAAAATTTCAGTTTGTTATTTTTGTTTCAACTTTAAAGAGTGATATTGACCAATTATCTCTGTCAGTTGTGTTTTAGTTTCACATTGTAAAATATATTGACATTGGAGTGGTTTGGAGATTTGTGTCATGGTAAGAAAAACATTTCATAATTTTAGTAATGCAAACAAAATCCCATGGTTCTAGTAATTTGTGTGTGCATTTCTTTTTTACTCCACATGATGCTACTTTGAAAGTTTGTATATTATACGTATACGAGATAGCTATTTTTGTTTGTCAAGGAACAAAGATAGTCAATTTTGTATGGTTGACCATAAAACACACACACACACGTTACAGGCCAAATTAGCATCATGTTAAATAGGGTAAAAATGAGACTAAATATGAATGTGCACATATCTATTATTATTTTTCATTGAGCACTTTTTTTTTTTTGAGACGGAGTCTCGCTCTGTCGCCCAGGCTGGAGTGCAGTGGTGCCATCTCGGCTCACTGCAAGCTCCGCCTCCCAGATTCACGCCATTCTACTGCCTCAGCCTCCCGAGTAGCTGGGACTACAGGTGCCCGCCACCACGCCCGGCTGGTTTTTTTGTATTTTTAGTAGAGACAGGGTTTCACCATGTTAGCCAGGATGGTCTCCATCTCCTGACCTCGTGATCAGCCTGCCTTGGCATCCCAAAGTGCTGGGATTACATGCGTGAGCCACCGCGCCTGGTCCGTTGAGCACTTTTAAATAAAAAGTAGGTATTGAATTGACTCAATGCTTTCTCAGCATTGAACATAATCAGATTTTTTTCTTGTTTGATTATGACTATAATGAATAATTTTCTGACATTTTTTATTTTTTTCGTGCTGGTTATAAGCTCCATCTGTTCTTGGCAAATTACTCCCCTGATATTGTGTCCGGAATTGGTGGGTTCTTGGTCTCACTGACTTCAAGAATGAAGCTGCAGACCCTCACGGTGAGAGTTACAGTTCTTAAAGGCGGCATGTCCAGAGTTTGTTCCTTCTGATATTCGGATGTGTTGGGAGTTTCTTCCTTCTGGTGGGGTTCATGGTCTCGCTGGCTCAGGAATGAAGCTGCGGACCTTCGCAGTGAGTGTTACAGCTCTTAAGGCAGAGAGCGTCTGGAGTTGTTCATTCCTCCCAGTGGGTTCGTGGTCTCGCTGGCTTCAGGAGTGAAGCTGCAGACCTTCGCAGTGAGTGTTACAGCTCATAAAGGCAGTGTGGACCCAAAGAGTGAGCAGCACCAAGATTTATTGCAAAGAGCGAAAGAACAAAGCTTCTACAGTGTGGACAGGGACCTGAGCGGGTTGCCACTGCTGGTTCGGGCAGCCTGCTTTTACTCTCTTATCTGGCCCCACCCACATCCTGCTGATTGGTAGAGCCAAGTGGTCTGTTTTGACAGGGAGCTGATTGGTGCGTTTACAATCCCTGAGCTAGACACAAAGGTTCTCCACCTCCCCACCAGATTAGCTAGATACAGAGTGTCCACACAAAGGTTCTCCAAGTCCCCACCAGAGTAGCTAGATACAAAGTGTCGATTGGTGCATTCACAGACCCTGAGCTAGACACAGGGTGCTGACTGGTGTGTTTACAAACCTTGAGCTAGATACAGAGTGCCGATTGGTGTATTTACAATCCCTGAGCTAGACATAAAGGTTCTCCAAGTCCCCACCAGACTCAGGAGCCCAGCTGGCTTCACCCAGTGGGTCCCGCACCTGGGCTGCAGGTGGAGCTGCCTGCCAGTCCTGCGCCGTGCACCCGCACTCCTCAGCCCTTGGGTGATCTCATGGGACTGGGCACTGTGGAGCAGGGGGCAGAGCTCCTTGGGGAGGCTCGGGCGCACAGGAGCCCACGGAGTGGAGGGGAGGCTCAGGCATGGCGGGCTGCAGGTCCCGAGCCCTGCCCCACGGGAAGGCAGCTAAGGCCCAGCAGGAAACTGAACACAGCAGCTGCTGGCCCAGGTGCTAAGCCCCTCACTGCCCTGGGCGGCGGGGCCGGCTGGCGGCTCGCAGCATGGGGTCCGGTAAGCCCAAGCCCACCCGGAACTAGAGCTGGCAGGCAAGCACCGCCGGCAGCCCTGGTTCCCACCTGCGCCTCTCCTTCCACACCTCCCCGCAAGCTGAGGGAGCCGGCTCCAGGCTTGGCCAGCCCAGAAAGGGGCTCCACAGTGCAGCGGCAGGCTGAACTGCTCCTCAGTATGCTGCTTGTTTATGTCTACCAACATTTTATTTGGAATTTTTAATCAATGGTCATAATTAAGATTTTACTACAGTTTTTATGAATTTGAACACTTACGTATTTTGCTTTTCATATCAAAATCATGCCTCTTTCATGAAAACAACTTGGAGCAAAAATGTGGAAGCTATCTCTGCACACTCTAGAGCAGTTTAGAAAGATTAAGGCCGGCCAGGAGCTGTGGCTCACACCTGTAATCCCAGCACTTTGGGAGGCCGAGGTGGGCGGATCTCCTGAGGTAAGGAGTTTGAGACCAGCCTGGCCAACATGGTGAAACTCCGTCTCTACTAAAAATACAAAAATTATCAGGGTGTGGTGGCAGGCACCTGTAATCCCAGCTACTCGGGAGGCTGAGGCAGGAGAATAGCTTGAACCCAGGAGGCGGAGGTTGCAGTGAGCCGAGATTGCACCATTGCACTCCAGCCTGGGGGAAAAGAGCAAGATTTCATCTCAGAAAAAAGAAAGATTACGGCCATGTGGCTCTAATTCATCTGTGAAATGTGGATCTTTTGCATATTTTTTCTTTGATTAAATTATTGCTTTTATTATTAATTTTGATACTTCAGCAGTAGCTTTTGACCATTTTCACTTTGCTAGAAAACTGACCTATTAAACCAGCTTTTGAATTATTTTTGAAAATATATTTCCATTTTCAAAGTGTCAATGTGTCTTATTTGGAGTATTTTGCTTATTTGTACTTAAAAAATATTTTTCTCACTAGTTTCCCTCAGAGTGTATTTTATTTTAATTTTCAAAGAACAAGCTCTCATATTAATATTTATCAGCTTTATTTTTCTAAAATGGCATCCTTATATTCTTCCAGAGGGTGGCACACAGGGTCTGAATTCACAGAACCCACCAATCTCAAGCCTGGTTCTAGAACATGAAATTTTCCCTCTCTTTCTCTGTCTTCTTCACCCCTTCTCTTACTGTCTTTTAAACTATTCCTCTTTAGTATAATTACTGAAATTAATTTAGACTTTTACAAGAGAGCCCAGGAGTTGTCAATTTGGCCTTCAGCCCTAGACGTATCTTTGAAACAAGGAAACAAAAAAGGTCTAACTACTTTACTAGATTGAAAGAACAGTACTCAAATGTATAGGTGAAAGAAAAATTAACATCTCACTAAGATAATCTTGCACATTAACTTCGTCACAACACATTAGAAAAATATCCACATTTATTTTATTCTCTAGGTCAATTTATATTCCTTGAAATTATCGGGTTCCTATAAATCAGAATTACTCTTTTTACAAATCTGTATTATCAATGTTTTTAAAGACAATTTGTGAACATTTGTGATTTGCATCTTCTGTACTTAATGATGTCTCATTTTTCATAGTTCTTGGCAAATATTTGGTAGTTTGTATTTTTCTAGAAGAGTCTTTCAATATGTTATAAGCTAAGGAAGTAGACATAGTACTTTTTAGTTCAATAAAAAATCACTTATTTATATTTACATCTTCTCTTTAAAAAGAGTAGTAATGCAATTCAAATGTTATAAATCCATGAGAACAACAAATATATTTGTATAGGTCTTGCTGTGGATAAAAGGCAGAAAGCAGAGGAAGGAATGGTAATTAGTGAAGCAGGACAGAGGAAGCTTAGGTGAGAATAGATGCATAACAGAGTGCCTGCTGCAGATGAGAAGGAGAGAAGGTGGCTTGCAGAGACGGAGGATTGAGGCTTAGAGAGGTTGTTATAAATGTGTATAAGAATGAGGCAGGACTATAAAAAGCGAGTTCATAGCAACTCAGTATTACACACTGGCATCAACCCTGGCCCTGGCTCCAGCCTACTCAAAGCAGAGTGGATTGCAAGCTTATGATTTACTGCATAGGCAACACATTGAAAGATGTTTCTCTAAAGGAAACAAATCAACTCTTTGGGGGCCAGTCCTAGGAAAGATATTGAGGCACTGGTACCCTAAATCAAAGATTGTCACTCTCAACGAGTTTTTTTTAAAAGCCAGACACTAGTTAAAGGTGATAAAAACAGATTTTATTTAGTGATAACTACTGCAATAGAGGTTAAAGCCCACTGTATGCCTGTAATCTCAGTGACTAGAGAGGCTGAGGTGGAAGCATCACTTGGGCCTGGCAGTTTGAGACCAGCCTAGAAACATAGTGAGACCTTTTCTAAGAAAAAAGCAAAAGAACAAAACAAAGACACAACCCCAAAAAAACCCACTGTAGCCTGAGGTGAATTCTGCCAAAACAAAAGGCAAGAGAGTTTTTAAATGCTATGATATACAAGACAAACAAACAAACAAAAAAACAAAAAAGGCAATGAAGGGCATTATGATGGACTTGATCCCTGAGACTAGCCAATCTGGGTTTGTGATATGGTTTGGCTCAGTGTCCCCACCCAAATCTCATCTGGAATTGTAATCCCCATATGTCAGGGGAGGGACTTGGTGGGAGGTGATTGGATCATGGGGGCAGATTTCCCCCATGCTGTTCTCATGATAGTGAGTGAGTTCTCATGAGAGCTGATGGTTTAAAAGTATGGCACCTCCCCTCTTGCTCTCTCTCTCCTGCTGCCTTCATTCCCTTTTGCCCTCCGTCATGATTTTAAGTTTCCTGAGACCTCCCCAGCCATGTGGAACTATGAGTCAATTAAACCTCTTTTCATCATAATTACTCAGTTTCACATAGTTCTTTGTAGCAGTATGAGAACGGACTAATATAGTTTGCTAATTGGTGCTTTATAGAGGAGAAACAAACATCTCATACCTTCATGACAGGAGGTAGTGATGCAAGTTGGAACAAGGTGACCTCTGAGATTAGGCCCTTCCCCTCCCTCAGGGACTGGGAGAGAGAGTGAGAGCTACTTTTTGAGTGTTTGCATTTCAAAGAGGTGGCTCCCAGGTCCTTGAGGAGACAGTTCTGGGCAGTAGAAGATTTATATCTCCAAGGGGTAGAGAAAGGATTTAGAACTGTAAGCTTTCTAAACTAACTGCTCTGAGAGGTGGTCCAGGGGTTTATCTGGCCATCACTGGGTTTTGGCTAAAACCAACAGTAAATTCTTCTGGCAATGTTGAGGTTTCTCAATTGGGCATTGAAAGGCAGATAGGGTCATCCTGAGGACGTGACCCGAAGCTGCTAGAAGTCATGCTATAGTTTGGTCAGGTCTCTTAGTGTGGCATTTGGGCACAGTCGTTATGTATTAAATGTGAATGGTGACCAACACATTCGAGGAGAGCTGGCAACTGGAAAGAGAAAGATGAGTTAAAAACAATGAGGAGAAAATAGGCTTAGAACAAAATAATGATGCAGATTCAGGGTACAGAGGAGAATTAAGCAACAACACAGTGAAACTAGGCCAAATCAATCTTACAAACCACTCATTGACAACCTTGTAGGCAGACATCTATATATTTATACGAGTACACAAACACATCAATGTGTGTATGTATATATATAAAACAAATCAATTTAATTCAATAGAATACCTTTAAAATAATGTTGAAGATTATTATCTCAAAAAAACAAAATAATGAGGTAAAGATTTAAATATTTAGAAACATTTACACATATAAGAGAATAGAGGAAGAGTCCAAAAGGGAATATCAGTGCTGCCAAGGTCAACAGGCAGCAGATTGCATGGGTACAGTGAATGCCCAGCACATTTAGTGAAACGAAGATCCACAACTAAATCCATCAGTATGAAACTTTAATACATCCTAAAAGCTTTTAGAATGTAAATAAAATATCCTAAGAAGGAATAAAGAGTATTTGAATAAACAGGCTTCTCTTTAGCACTCAGTTCACCAGAGGTTGATTGAAGAAGGCCTTTACATACTGGGGAAAAGTTTCAAACCTAAAAGACTAAAATCATCTCTGAAAATAGAAAATAAATGCAAAGACAGGATAAACAAATTTGCAACTCATCTATTAATTCTAATTAGAGCACACTTATAGAGGAGTCCAGAAAGACTCTTGGGAATGAGAGAAATAAAATGTTCCAACTAATTGAACTTTAATCAGCCCAGAGGTTATGAGGAATGGCAGAGTGCAGTACAGGAAGCCGTTCACATTTGCATCCAGAGTAGTCTCATCTGAAAGTCATGGGGGTCATGACTTTAGGCCTAGAGAAAGGAAAGCATAATCATAGTATGCAATTTGTGTATTAAACCATATTAAGTAGTGATAATTATGTACCAATTGTTTATTTTTAGAATCAATCTGCAAAATCAAATATCGTTATGCTTAGTAATATGAACAGTACAAAAGAAAAGATTCAGAGTTTGGGAGGTGGAGGTGATGGGAAGCATAAGATGATCTAATATGAAATAGAAATTTGGGCTGGGCGCAGTGGCTCATGCCTGTAATCCCAGCACTTTGGGAGGCCAAGGTGGGGGGATCACTTGAGGTCAGCAGTTTGAGACCAGCCTGGCCAACATGGTGAAACCCCATCTTTACTAAAAATACAAAATTAGCTGGGTGTGGTGGCGGGTGCCTGTAATCCCAGCTACTTGGGAGGCTGAGGCGTTAGAATTGCTTGAACCCTGGAGATGGAGGTTGCAGTGAGCAGAGATCGTGCCACTGCCCTCCAGCCTGGGCAACAGAATGAGACTCTGCCTCAAAAAAAAATGAAAATAGAAATTTGTTCTCTGACTTTTCTATTGGGATCTCCTGAAGAGCTAGAAGTATCCTAAATTGTGGAAAGAAAATGATGGTGGAGAGGAGGCTGGAGGAGGTGGTGAGAATGCACAACTCTCACATCAGTGTCTCAGAGATACAGAAATTGTTGTTCTGTGTATTGGCCTCAGCTTTATGAGGTGAAGCCCAGCCGTATTAGGGCATAAGTAGGGCAGCTTTTCATCCATTTTGTTCCATCTGCTGAAGAGTGAAGACGGGGCCAATATTCTGCCATTAGAATAACTGGCAAGTTTATTTTTTAGAGTTTTATTTTCCAAAATTTTCTCTTGATTGGCCTGTTTTATTTGGAAATTGGAAGAGGTTTTATAAAGGCTGTTTGCCAGCTGACATTTTGTACTAGAATTCTTTTGATGGATCTGAATCAGTTGAGAGTGCTGGCCTTTCCAGAGATCTTTTCCTGGCATGAAAGAATTACACTCAAATAACATATTTAACATATTTTTTGCTGCTGAGGTTCTAGATAAAGACACAGTTGCAGACCAGTAGAGAGGTATTATTCATGCATTTCTTCTTTCTACTCTTCTAGAATTTGTCTTATGCTATTAAGACTACTCATTTTCTGTGTTTTTCTTTAATCTTTGCAATTTTGAAAGTAAGCATAAAAATTTGCTACTCAGAAAAGCTACAATATGTTTTGTAAAGTTTTCACACACAGTGTCTATATTATTGTCCAAAAGCTTAGTAATTGGGCTTGAATTTCCTCTTTGATTCAAAACAATTTCAGGAATGTACATTCAAGTTTTCAGCAGTTGCATTTGTTCTTACATTTTTATTAGTAATATGTAGGTTAACCAATTGCTACCTCCACCCATGACTTCTCTAAACATCTCCACCTAGATGCCTGAGTGGCATTTCAGGTTTGATGTGGCTGGAGTAGAACTCTAAATTCCTCTGCCCCTCCACAATCTTTTCCTCTTCCAGTCTTGTCCAAACAGAACTGCAAATGGTACGACAAGCCATTTATCACTCCGAATGCTCATGCCAAAATCATAAACACTATCTTTAATTCTTACTGTGTGTACCTCCAATGTCAAATCCATCAGCCAGTTCCATCTTACCTGTCTGCACTCCTATTATGCCCACTTCTCTCCCTCTACCTCCTTGCTCCACCCATAGCCACCTCTTCCTTGTGCTACTGCATAGTATTGTCATTTGTATTCTCACTTCTATTATTTTGTTCTTATAATAAAATCACACAGCAGCCAGTGTGATCTTAAAATAGAAAACATAGCTTGTCATCCTTTCCATTGTATTTGACATAAAATCCACGCTCTTTGCAATGGAATAAAAGCCTGCACATGAACTGGTGCCTGTGTAATTTGGAGGTCTTGGCTCTTCCCACTGTCTCCCTCATTTACTAAGCTTCTTTCTGTGCATGCACTTCACAAGCTCATTTTGACTTCACGACTACTGGGAGTTCTCTGTGGCTGGAAACTCTGTCCCATTTCTTTGCACACCTGGCTCTCCACACAGAGACATCCCTTCATCACCCAGCATAAATCAGTCCTCCCCATCTCTGCTTAGTCACTTTCTGTCCTAACATCCTATTTTTTTCCTTCTTATATTGTTTCCTACCTTTTGCAACCAAATAAAGTTCATATTATTTAAGGTGTTAATCCCGTTTTAATTATAATATTGGTTACTTCAAATAATATTTAATTGTCTAATGGCAATCTAATATTTAAGTCTGGAATTATTAGCATTTAAAATGCCTAACACAACTCCATTAATAATTTTAGTAATTTATAAAAAGCATTAAATGAGTCTCTTTAAGAAAATACCGATAAAATTGTTCACATATTCTCAAAAACAAATCTTCAAAAAAAAGTAGATCAGGACTATTAAAGCAACTATAAAGACTTGAATGGAAATTTCACTCATCACAAAGATCTACATGGGTAACGCCAAAAACCTTAGACCAGTTTTGCATGGAAAAGTTTCTATTTTAATGGCAGTACTAACAGTATTCTAGGGCAGAAATGATACCCCAGTTACAACAGAGACATAAAGCTGGAGATGGAAAGCTGACAGGCATTGTTTGTTTCTTATTGTTGCCTGTTGCTCCTTGCTTTGAAAATACAAAGCAAAACAAGAAAACAAATATCTCATTCACTTTGGTCCAATTCATGAAATGAAGGCCACAAATTGATTATTCTGACACCATGGCCATCTTAAAAGTGAAGTGTAGAATAAACTGCAACCAAGTGCAACATCTGCATAAAATTAATGGGAAGGAGATGAGCTGTGTGATGGTCAGGAAGCAATCAGAATTTTAGTAGGCACAGAATATCAGGTATGCTTTATTAGGCAATTGGAATGCTGTGTGTGTACATACACACACATACACATACACCTACATAGGGTTTAACTTACACACACACACACACGAGAGAGAGAGAAAGAGAGAGAGAGAGAGAAAGTCTAACTTAAAAATGCAAAGATTAAATCAAATGCCTTATAGTTTGGGTGTTGGCAACTAAAGATCACTTCCCACCCTCATATTAGAGACCCATCCCCAGAAGAAATCCTCTGCCCCAGGATCCAGCTGGCATGAAGAAGTGAGCTGTATGGCAGAGGCGCTCTCCAGGGTGCTGCAGTTGACCCACACATTTTCCTTCTCCACCAATGATTTCATCATCTATCTTTAGCGCACCTCTAGGGGATTTCAAACATCTTTCTACAGTTTCTCATGCCACCAATATAGCAGCGGATGTCAGTATTTTAAGCATTTGTCATTTTAGACAATCTTAGTCTTGACATTTTCTCTTGGTAAGCATGTATTTATCAATAGGCACAGGTATTTTCTCTTAATCTTTGATAAGTAATTTATCAAGGTAATGTAATATGAGAAATGTAGGCATTTGTATTGTATTTTCTCCATAAATTATGTCTGTTGTTGCCCATGGAATCACCACTATCATTTCTGTTCAGTTTCTCACTGGGACTTACTTGGGATATTTTGAAATAAACACAATCAATCAGGCTTTTATTATGCAAGTGCCATAAATGAATACACATATCATGTTTTTAAAAAATTGACTTGGAGGCTGGGTGCAGTGGCTTAGGCCTGTAATCCCAGCAATTTGGGAGGCCCAGGCAGGTGGGTCACCTGAGATCAGGAGTTCAAGACCAGCCTAGCCAACATGGTGAAACTCCATCTATACTAAAAATAGAAAAATTAGCCAGGCGTGGTGGCAGGTGCATGTAATCCCAGCTACTTGGGAGACTGAGGCAGGAGAATGGCTTGAACTCAGAAGGCAGAACTTGGAGTGAGCTGAGATTGTGCCATTGCACTCCAGCCTGGGCAACAAGAATGAAACCCAGTCTCAAAAAACAAAAAACAAAAAACAAAAAACAAAAAGAAAAAGAAAAGAAAAGAAAAAAGAAAACATTGACTTAGAGCAGAACATATATCTTTATGTATTTAATGAAGTACAAATTAAGGCAACAGGCATGTCTGGATGAAGCAAAATCTTTTTTTTTTCTAGCCTGCTGTTAGAAGGGGAAATAAAGCAAAATCTGGACTCACATAGGAACTCTGGTAAAAAAGGTGCTGCAGTAACAGACCACGCTTTAGCAAGGGGATGAACATTACCACTGCAGAGGAGAAAGTTGCCCACATTACACTGTGTGACCAGTGTCAACCTGACCATGGAACTGATATTTTTACCTCCAGAGACAGGTCTCTAAACATTTTGTCACTCTGAACCAGTGTCTTTCAATCTTGTCTACACAGTAGATTTATCTTGGGGTGGTGTGTGTGTGTGTGTGTGTGTGTGTGTTTAATGCCAGTGTCCTATCTTTAAAATTTAATTGTGTCAAAGCCCCATATTGTGAATAGCTTCCCTGTGATTCCAATGTGAAGTCAAGTTTAAGAAGTTGAGAATTATGCTGATTTTTGTGATGGTGAATCAAAAAGAGCCATCCATGCCCACAGACAATGCTTAAGACCTACAGATACTATTCTCAAATTTTGATCCAGTCTTTGGAATCCTGGAGTTGTACTGGTTGCTCCAACAGTCAAAACTTGTACTTCCTGGCTGGGTGCGGTGGTTCACGCCTGTAATCCCAGCACTTTGGGAGGCTGAGGCGGGTGGATCACCTGAGGTCAGGAGTTCTAGACCAGCCTGGCAAACATGGTGAAACCCTGTCTCTACTAAAAATACAAAAATTAGCCAGATGTGGTGGCAAGCACCTGTAGTCCCAGCTACTCAGGAGGCTAAAGCAGGAGAATCACTTGAACCCGGGAGGCAGAGGTTGCAGTGAGCTGAGATTGCACCATCGCACTCCAGCCTGGGGGATGAGAACGAGACTTCATCTCAAAAAAAAACAAAAACAAAAACAAAAACAAAACAAAACAAACAAAAAAAAAACTTGTACTTCCTGAAAAGACACAGACTGGGCTGTCTTAAGCCAGATAACCAGCTTTTAGTCTTTCTCTGCTTGATATAGAAATATTTACCCACATTTATTCTGATGCCACATAATCCAACCCATCACTACTAACTTGACAAGCAAGAGCAGATACACATGGAATCTAGAAGGAACAGGATCAGATATACGTAGCCAGGGGATTTACATGTCAGGAGATAGAAGAGACTGGGCATGGCAGTTGTTCAGGAGGCTCAAAGACCATCTTACGCAGTAATTGGAGCACAGCATTGTTATTTATCATCGTGCACATGTAGTCCAGCGTAGACAGGGAAATCAGAGGCAAAGCTCTGTCTGGAACTGGTTGTACAGGTGAATTCCCCTGGCTCTGGCTTTGGCAAATGGTTTATTTTTTTCAAATGGTTTTTTTTTAGCTTGGGTATGTGAGTGTGCTAGTACAAGACCACTACTCAAAATGATTACCTGATAATTGTGCATGTGTCAATTTAGTTTTGGGCTGTAGTTGTTCTGTTGGATTATGGGAGAAAAAAAATATCAGTTTAGTGAATGGTTGGACTTTAGGCAGAGTGAATCACCCAGGACTGGCTGCAGCCATGGCAGTATGGACCTCTGCTGTCTGGGTAACTAGGGATTGAGATTGTTGTCTAAGGGGATAAAGCACTCTTCTTTATCTTGGAGGCATGTCTTCATTAGTGCTAGGTGCTATGTTTCTGGTAACAGAAGCTGAGTTCCTAGGTCACAGGCCAGAATGAATAGGATTCCTCATTCATCCCCAAGTGCAGCTGGTGACTTTTGTCTGTTTATCTGTTGAAACCTGTTTTGTGGACTTTAGCACTCGTGTGCTAAATTCTTGATTTTCTGGTGCTAGCCACGGCCTTTTTCCATCTTCAAATAAGTCCGTCTCCCTCCCCAGCAGAAAAATAAATTCTGGTTATGACAAAATAATCAACCATAAGGCCTCTTTCTATCCAGGAAATACATGTGTGAGCTAAGAGCATCCTGCCTGGCAATGATAAATGACCCAGGAATTGCATTCATCATAATAGCAATTATGCCAGACTTGCACTGATATTGTATCCAATTTTTAACCCTCATTTAGGATCTATGTCTGACTGAACTTAATACTTTACAGGAGTAACGCTAATTTTTCATTTGACTATAGATGATATTTATTAACAGGTACACTGGTGTTTATTTCAGTGTAAGATCTTGACTCCTGATTTCCTACAATGCAATTTGCTCTCTTGTGCCTCTGGCAAATAGTACCATCCACAACTCCTGGAATCAGATAATAAAATGACCTGTGGGTCAGTGCAGTAAAGACATTTTGACATTGACTGATGTTTTAATAGCTTGTGATGACTTCTTGTGAACAGGATCCCTTGGAAATGGTCTTTCTTCTAGCACTTTCCACTCTTCTTTTTCAGTTTAAGGTAGTGAATTAATGGTGCTTTCACTATTGTTTAACTTTGAGCTTTCCTTTCAGTTAAGTGGTGTTTTATGATGTTTTGCCATAAAGGATATTGTATGAACTATCCCTACAACATTCACAGGGCTTGGAAAGAAAATTTCTCGTTTGGGATTTATTAAAATAAAATCTTCCGAAATGACAAACTATATTAAACCTATTAATTGCCTCCCCTACCATGAACAAAGTTTACTCCTCCCTTAACACAAATTTTATATGCTACACTCCACATGAGATGTTCCACAGGGGGTTCTGGTCTACCTAGAAGAGCTACCCTCTCCCACATGCTTTTATAGCACTCTTGGGGTCTCTCTTGTCTGGGAATTAGGGAATTCGGCATGGACTGGATATTACCTTCCTATTTCTTCCCATCTAGCTCAGTAGCTAGCACTCAGTGAGTGCTCCTGAGCTCCAGCCACCTATAGTTTTCTTTTTCACTTGGATTAAAGCATGTCTAATGTTGAATTACTTACATCATATAAATTTTAAATCAGTAAGATGACTTATATTTTGACTTCAGTATTTATGAAGGTGCATTATTAAACTTTTTAATAACTCAATAAATGACAAAAATACATCAGTATAGGCTGAATTCATTGTATATATAATCTACATGTATAATGAGTATATATTTACTTCAGCATGCTTTCCCTCTAAATATGGAAATATTTATATTATTTTAATTAATTCTTCAATATAACTAGAATTTCAGTAATAGACCATGTTCACTTTTGAGGCTGAATTTTCACATATTTTGATTTTCTCAGATATTAGTCCTGTTGGGCCAGCTTTTCAAAGGGGGCCAGCTGGCTAAGATAATCCTTGTGTCCTTTAAAAAAAAACAGAGTTTAAATTTGTAATTCCAATGATGGCATCAAATTATTTTACCCAATCTATTTGCAACACATAAGTTTACTGACTCTAACACCATTACTTCTCACTTTTAAACTTTTTAAACTCTAATTTTGTCTTCTAGAATGTGTCATTTTTCCAAATATAATTATGTCATTCTGAGTCCCCTCTACTGGAAACCATACTTGGCTGTTTTTCTTTGTAGGACTCTCCCTGGATGTCTTCTTTCTCTATGATCAAATTTCTTGAAAGATGCCATAATCCTGAACCTTTAGCTCCCATAGCTTCCAAGGCTACCTGTCTCCCCAGTGCGTCTCTCATCTGTGCAGAGTCATTCATTTGTGCACACCTGCATGTTTTCATTCTCTAAGTCAGGAATTATGTTAGAACATCTCAATTTTCTTCTTTCTTTCCTTCCTTCCCTTCCTTCCTTCTTTCTTTTTCTTTCTTTCTTTCTTTCTTTCTTTCTTTCTTTCTTTCTTTCTTTCTTTCTTTCTTTCTTTCTTTCTTTCCTTCCTTCTTTCTTTCTTTCTTTCTTTTCTTTCTTTTCCTTCCTTCCTTCCTTCATTTCTTCTTTTCCTTTCTTTTCTTTTTTCTTGCTCCCACCAGGCTGAAGTACAGTGGTGCAATCTCAGCTCACTGCAACCTCCACCTCCCAGATTCAAGCAATTCTCCTGCCTCAGCCTCCTGAGTAGCTGGGACTACAGGTGCATGCCACCACACCCACCTGACTTTTGTATTTTTAATAGAGATGGGGTTTCGCCATGTTGGCCAGGCTGGTCTCGAACTCCTGACTTCAGATGATCCACCTACCTCAGCTTCCCAAAGTGCTGGGATAACAGGTGTGAGCCACTGCACCTGGCAAGAACATCTCAATTTTCAATGATATTTCAGTATTTATTATTAGCCATGTATAAAAAATATTACTCTCTCTGCTTAAGTTCTGTATGTTGGAAATGTTCTAAATTAACTTTTTAATTGTTGATTTCATGATTCTTTTCAAGATAATAAAGGATCTGGCAACTTCCCACTGGTTTACATGGAAGAATAATTTACTTTTCTCTTTCTCATTTAAAGAAAGAATTTTTTTGTTAAGTTTCCAAGGGTTTGGAAGAAAAAGCCTGGGCTCTGACAATAAATTTTCAGGTGCTATTTTCTCCTGAAATATTTGTAGGGATACTTATCATAGTAAAAAAGTGAATGCAATTCCCCTTTGGGAAATACAGCCCAATTCCCTGGGGTCCTGTACATTACAGGTATTAATATGCTCAAGCAATATAAAATGATCTTGAAAACCCAGTGAAATTAAAATGGCTGTATTTTATTTTTATGTGTGTGCAGGGAATGCTTTCTGGCCTACAGAGTTGACACCAATCTCTGTGTGTGTGCTGGTGTGATTTTTCTGTGTGTGTGTGTGTGTATGCATCTTTGTGCAAAAAACAAATATAAACACATTTTCATTTATAACTGTCTGTTCTTGGTGCCCCAGAGGCAGGTGCTCTGGCCTAGAGAAGCCCACTCAGCAGCCATCTCATCTCTCCTGAGTTCTCTCTTTCCTGGCAGTAGCACCAGACCTACTGGCCACCTCAGTTCTTTGCTCCAGTTAAATATGTTGCTGTCCTTTTCCATGACCTTCTCAAAAAATTTGACCTTCAATAAATCATGATTATTACCTACTCAGCCTATCTTCATGGTTGTGTCTATCAAATCTTTTATTCTGCCTTTGCCAACTCATAACAACCACTGGGAAATAAAATTTTTTTATAATTGTCTTTAGCAAGAATTAAAAAATGAGATTCTATTACAATATTAGGACCTCCTTGCCATTACCTTTGCATGGTACTCCCAACGGGGAGCCTGAAAGACACAGGATGAGGTTTTCTGTATTCAGAGTTTATATAAATAACCATGCATTTCAAAAATATCTCCAAATATACTCTTCCAATTAAGTCATATCTTTTGACAAGCTCATCTTTTGAAATTATCACCTTCCTATGAATAATTTAATCAAGTAATCAGATTGTCTAAAACCTAATTTAATTCTACCATGTTCAGTAGGAGCCAGAGGCAGTTCTGGTGCATTGGAAAATTCCTAGAACAGACTCCCCGCACATTCGCAGTAGACTTTCCCAAAGAGGCTCCAAGGTTGAGTCATAGATGAGCTGCCCTTCCTTCTCTAAACTGAGTCACACCAGATTGGATGGGAAGGGACTACAGAGGACACACAGTGAAACAGGTCCCCACCATTCAATTTCTAGAGATGGAGGAGCACAGCCCCTGGGTTTTGCATTTTGCCTCTTGTCTCTTCTTTCTTGTGACACCCAGGCACTCAGGACTTCAGAAATTGAATTGATGTAATCACTCATTCATTCATATTTCCAACCATCCAACAAGCATTAATTGTCACTCTATAGCAGGCTCCCATTTTGTTGCTTAGTGGCCAGGATGCTCTAACTTCAGCATCTGTCTTAGAATTGGCTCATAATTGTTTGAGGAAAAGGATCACCACCTTGCCCTGTTTTCCTGTGTTATTTTCATTTAGATATTTGTCTTGCCAAGAGATACTTTGAGATTTCATTTTTAACTCCTGTTCTTTATTTTAGGGGCATTTTATATTACCTTGATTAATAAGATTTTATATAATATTAACAGTAATACTGTTGCAGTTTTATTTTACCATCCTCATCTCTAAGTTTCAATCTTTTGTATTGGAAATGTGTTGATAATCCAACTAACGAGTGATTAATAGAGACACTGAGGAAATGGAAAAGCGTTGGTTGTGAGAGAGAGAAAGCAGGTCTCCTTGACTTTCTGGTTTCTGATCCAGGTATCTAAGAGGATGGTGATCATGATGAATTTGCTGTGGATATGCTGCATTTAAGGAACCATCCATCAAAAGATGTTAGGCAATTTGTGACAAACTGGGACTCTGGCAAGACCCCTGGACTATAGATGTGGGTTTCTACCTTGCCAAGATTCTTCCTCTCCCCATCTTCTAAAATATCCCTCCCAAACTGCTGCCACAGATGGTTTTTTCATAGATTTTAGGGGGAAGATATAGCCCTGGTTATAATACATCTTAAACATTACATAGTAAACAAAATAATAAGATAAAATTTAAAAATAATAATAGTATTGCATTATAGCACAAATAATAAAATAAATGCCACAAGTCTATATGGGTATAAGTACATGATTAAATACATAAACAAAGAGAGAAAAAAGGACAAATCCTTTTTATAGAAGAATTTCAAATATTAAATGTAAAAGGAAGGAGTGAAAAAGAAAATCACTGTTAGAATGCCACCATAATAATTGCAGCAGATCCACAGATGAATACAAAAATTAGTAGGTAAAGCCTTAAGGAGAAACAAGAAAATAGCATAGCCTCAGAGTGCTTCCCCCCAAATATTTAGTGGCTTTAAGATATGTCTCCAAGTTCTAAGGTCAGGCATAGTTGCTCATGCCTTTAATCCCAGCACTTTGGGAGGCCAAGGCGGGTGGATCACGAAGTCAGGAGATCGAGATCATCCTGGCTAACATGGTGAAACCCTGTCTCTACTAAAAGTACAAAAAATTAGCCAGGCTTGGTGGTACATGCCTATAGTCCCAGCTACTCGGGAGGCTGAGGCAGGAGATTCGCTTGAACTTGGGAGGCAGAGGTTGCAGTGAGCCAAGATCATGCCACTGCACTCCAGCCTGGGCGACAGAGCGAGACTCCATCTCAAAAAAAAAAAAAAAAAAAGAAGATATGTCGCCCAAGTTCTTTAATATTCTTCCTTCTGGGAGGTAGAACTTCATTCCACCCCCGTTGAGTGTGGACTGGACTTAGTGACTCACTTCGAAAACAGAAGACACAGAAAAAGATGAAAATGGTAACTTTGCATGGAGAAACCTGGAAAACATCACCAAATAACCAAGGTTAACCTTACAAGGAATAACTCGTGCTGATATGATGTATCCCATTATATGATTCAATGAGAAGAGCAATTTGATTTTATCTGATATTTGCTCATGATTAGACTGGGATTATATATTTTTTGGAAGAATATCAGATAAAACCAAATTGAATGACATGCTACAAAATATCTGATCCATACTCTGCAAGACTGTCAAGGGCAAGCAGACGTACAGAGTGGACTGAGAAGACATGACAGTGAAATGCAAATCGGTGTCCTGGATTGAATCCTGGAACAGAAAAGGCTTCTTAGTACAAAGACTTATGAATACTTTCTGTAGTTTTGTTAATGGTATTCTACCAATGTTAATTCTTTAATTTTGATAAATCTACCATGGTTATACAAATTATTAACATTAGGGGAAGGGGAGTGAAGAGTAAACAAGGCCTCTCTCTATTATCTTTGCAACTCTTCTGTAAATCTAAAATTATTTCAAATAAAAAGTTTTTAAAATGTTATAGAGTAAGCATTACTCCTGTTGATTATTGTAAGTTCAACAGACATGCAATTTAAGATCCCATAGCACCCATCAAATTAACATATGAAATGAGAGTTAAAGCCTTGCTGTCCCTACAAAAATTAAACCTTACGAAAGTCATTCAAAATCATTTACTCTTTGCTGCTTTTGGAGGAACTGTGATAAACAAACAGACAAGGGGAGGTGAAGTAGGTAATGTAGCAGAAATGGTTGCTTTTGGCACCGCAGACTTCGTTAGGATGAAACAGTTAAAGACACCAGCCACCAGGACCTTAGAATAGCCCTGCTGACACTTATGAGGGTTAATTGGTAGCTGAAACTCTGGTAAGAAGAGAGATGTCTTGTTGACTCTCTTGAGCACTGAGCTGACCCCACCATGCACAGCACTGTGGCTACTTAATCTCATCAGCCTAGAGGAGGCAGCACGGCCTGCTGCATGGGGCAGAGTATGGAGAGAAGGTCAGAGCGTGAAGATCACAGCTTTCGAACTAAACTGCAGGACAACTATAGGCAAGAGATGAGTGTAACAATGGGACTGTGAACAACGATCCAAAACAGAGAAGGCCACATTGGACTTTTGACATCAGAAACACCCAAATCAACTTCTCTCTCAGAAACACAGATACAAAAAGATCAATCCTCACATCTATAGGTAGAAGAAATTCAATGCATGGGAAACATACATAATGTGTTTGTCATGGTTTATGTTATTCTGAAATTCTATGACTATGTACCCTTTGTTTTATTCTTGTCGTGGGTCCATTTTGTCTTTAATGAAAGAATTTCCATTCAGTACTCTATCTCAGTGTCCTCTGTTCAGAGACACTTTAGGTTAATAATAAATTTTCTATGAAAGAAGTTTCATCAACATCTCAGAAGAATGCTTATTATATATATCTCAAATATCTGTCAGATCACCCACAAAAGATGTTCTGAATTAAATTCTTATTCCTAACTCTTGGTGGTCCTGTAGCTAACATAAAATATTTTCCTATTCAGAGGAGCAGAGTGGCTATTTCCTTTCCTTTCCCTTTCTTCTTTCCCCCCTTCTGTTCTTATCTTTTATTTTATTTCCTTCCTTCCTTCCTTCATTTTTCATCTATGAGAAGCTTTATTGTTGTTATTGTGATTATTATATACTGGGAAAAAACAAGTGTTGCAAATGGAAATGAATTCTGGTTTAAAAATTGCTGATTGATACTCAATGAGTTATTCAGCCTTTGGTGTGTGGACTACGTAGGACTTTGAGTAATACACTCTTGATTGTTTAGCTAGAAGTTGAAGATGCAATCATGAAATTGAATCAGTTTGAGCTCTCCTTCTTGTTGGTCTATTTTTATCTTAACATTTTATATGAGAAATAGTTGGAGTGCATCAAAATGAATACGCAGGAGAACATCACAAGTTAAAAACTAGAAGACATTCAAAGCAATTACCCCAGTATGACAATCATGATTGTCTTATAAATAAAAGTTTCTATGATGTCTAATGCCCTTTTCTGACAGAAGGTGAAGTTCATTTATATCCCTGCTTCTTTGCTTCAATATATTCTCAGTAATTCCTATTAACTGACACTAAAGGAGCTTATAAGTTGTTTCATTAGTCACCATTTCCCAGGGTAGAAAAGTGATTAAGACATATGAAATACAGTCATTGATTATGAGGAGGAAAGCTGGATTTGAAATAAAGCCTGGAATTGAAGGACCAGATAAACTGCCTAAGTAGGAGAAAACAGTTCAGACAGAGCTGAACAGGTAAGCCCTAGGAATGTAGACAACTAAAGGCAGAGAGTTTCAACCAAAGAGCAGCACTAGCCTCACTCCACGTAGTTTACAGACACTGGCAGCCCTTTCCGACCCTAGCCTCCTGCATCAGGGCTGCTGCTGCCGTTCTCATTCTTTGTCAGTTACCTACTGCTCTGTTCCTCTCTCTGGCAGTAGGCATTCAATGTGGACACCTGGAGAGATCCCAAGAGAGTCAGGAGAACAAGTATTGTTGTCTCTTTCATTTTGAATGCCACAGAATTACTGGTGGAATACAAAGCAACTCTCAGGAGCACTGCACTTTTCTGTTACATGATTGCTGCCTCTACGCATCCTCTGAGGTGCTCGAGTTAGCCCCCAATTCTCTGGCGTAGACAGATGAAAAGTTGATGAGAACCGACAGGTGAAAATTTACCTGCAGAGCAGGTCATTTCTCTGTCCTGTCACCCTCCTCTTTAAAACTTGGTTGCAATGTTCCATCAGTAGGTAGAAGCCTAGGTTTGTCAGCCGAGTCCCAGAGCCATCATACTCTGTCCCTATGCATACATTCTGTTGTTTTCCTACCTAACATTCACCGCAGTTTCCAGTCTCCACGTCTTTGCTTGTCCTGTGTTTTCTGCCTTCTCCATCACTCTCAGAATTCTAATCATCTGAAATGTTGGAAGTCAACTGTTAGCCTCTTAATCAAAGGCTCCCCTGCACTACTCTCCACAACATAAATAAATGAATGCATTCCTGCTGTCCATTCTCTTTGTCATGATGCCCTGCTGTACATAATTACAGGCACATCATCCATTCTGACCTCTAATATTATAAATTCTTTATTCATTACATCTTAAGCTCTTTAAAAAAAAAGCCACATGTGACTCATCTGTGTAACCTTTTTAGTATTTATCACACTTCTTGACACATAAGCATCTCCTAACATTCATCATGAAAGTCATCACAATGACACTGATAATATTTTACCTTCAAAATGTGTTTTCTCCTATCTGGAATCAAGGAACATATTTTTTCTTTTCCATTGTGTGGAGGAAACAAGAACTGCAAATATGTGCCAGACATAGCAGGATTCTCTGGATGAAGAAGGGGCCAGGCATAATGCCTGCCCTTAAAATGTTCATAGTCTAAGAGCTGGGGCAGACATGCGGCGTGGCCAACACAGTGCCCAGGTGTCAAGGGAGAGATTTGTTCTCAGTGTTTTGGAAACACAAAGAGGAGTTGATTGGTTTTACTGGAGGAAAAGAGGCAACAGGACAAAATATTTTAGGGAAGAAATTATGGGTGCAGATCTGGCCCAACTGAGAAATAAGAAAAGGGAAATCCAGGCAAGAGAAGAGTCCACGCATGGCATGGAGTTGAACTGCAAAGATGATCATAGACCGAGATGACAAAGAGAAATTCCAGTAACAATACAAAGTGGATTGATAACACTGATGTCTCCATACACTGACAGCCACACACATTGACCAACAAAATGACTTGGCATAAGACATTAAAGGAAGGATATCTCACCTTAGATTTGGGTGGACAGAGGTATTTTGGTGGAGGGGGTGGACTTTGAGCAGAGCAGAGTCTCCAGTGACTAATATAAACCAGGTAAGGAAACAGAGGAGAGCCTTATAGAATGGGACTTTGGTTTGACCAAAAACATGGATATAACAGTATATTTAAACACTGCAGAAATAAATTTGGCTAGAACAGAAGATATGGCAAGTGACATTAGGAGATAAGCTTGATAAGACATTGAGAGTTTGAAAATTATCCCAAGATCTTGGATTGTATTCTGTTTAAAAAAATTGAAGGTTTCTGAGGAAGGAAATTATGTGTTAGAAGAGATGTTAGATGAATAGATACACAAAATATGGTAGAAACATAGGATAGAATTATCGTTCAGCATTCAAAAGAAAGGAAGTTCTGACATACATTACAGCATGGATTAACCTTGAGAACATCAGGCCAAGTGAAACAAGCCAGTCACCAAAGGGCAAATACTGTATGATTCCACTTACATAAGGTACCTGGAGTAGTCACCCTCATAGAAATACAAAGTGGAATGCGGTTGCCAGTGGCTGGGGAGGGGGTAATGAGGAACGGCTGCTTCAGGAGCACAGAGTTTTGGTTTTACAAGATGAAAGGAGTTAGGAAGATGGGGGTGGTGATGGTTGCACAGTATTATGGACATAATATCACTGAATTGTGCACTTAATATGGTTGATAAATTGTATATGGATTTTACCACAGTATAAGATAATAATAATAAAGTAACTTATTTTCAGTGAGAACTTGCAGTGGGTAAGTCCTCAGCATCATGTTATTAGCAAGGGTGATGTGATGCCCTGAGGATGGAGGACTGTGGCAGGATCCCATCTTCAGCTCTCTGGGCATCAGTTTTCTTATGACCTGCCCCACAGTGTTGAGAGTTTAATTTTTCAAAAACAAACTTAGGCCGGGCACGGTGGCTCACACCTGTAATCCCAAAACTTTGGGAGGCCAAGGTGGGTGGATCACCTGAGGGCAGGAGTTCGAGACCAGCCTGGCCAACATGGCGAAATACCATCTTTACTAAAAATACAAAAATTTGGCAGGTGTGGTGGTGGGCACTTGTAGTCCCAGCTACTTGGGAGGCTGAGGTAGGAGAATGCTTCGAACCTAGGGGAAGGAGGTTGCAGTGAGCTATGATTGCACAACTGCACTGTAGCCTGGGCAACAGAGTGAGACATGGTCAAACAAAAACACAAACAAACAAGCAAACAAAAAACAAAG
Source organism: Homo sapiens (assembly GCF_000001405.40). Taxonomy (NCBI): domain Eukaryota; kingdom Metazoa; phylum Chordata; class Mammalia; order Primates; family Hominidae; genus Homo; species Homo sapiens. The sequence goes on along the minus strand of NC_000007.14, from coordinate 52,342,174 downwards.
AGAAGAAGACATGCTAAATAAGATTAATCCTGAAGCAGTAGGCTTCATTCCATGTTAAATTATAAAAACATTTTAGGGCTGGGCATGGTGGCTCATGCCTGTGATCCCAGCACTTTGAGAGGCTGAGGCGGGTAGATCGCACGGTCAGGAGTTCGAGCCCAGCCTGGCCAACATGGTGAAACCCCATCTCTACTAAAAATACAAAAATTATCTGGGCGTGGAGGTGCACACCTGCTACTCGGGAGGCTGAGGCAGAGGCAGGAGAATCACTTGAACCTAGGAGGCGGAGGTTGCAGTGAGGAAAGATTCACACCATCGCACTCCATCCTGGGTGACAGGGTGAGACTCCGTCTCAAAACAAAACAAAAAAACATTTTGGGTAATGGGTCCTATGGGACAAGTCCTATGCTTGTGTGCCGGAGAGAGTGCACTGAGGAGTAGCGGGGCCTGGCAGGACCAGCAGCATGAGGTGAGGAACGTGTCTGGGCAGATGTGTAAATATTGTGGACGTGCATGTGCCACAGTTCCCCATGCTGTGCCTGCCTGGGCAATAGCAGGGAAACTCTGATGGCGTGGACAACATGTCCCTTGATTGTTTTGTGGGACGACCACAACCCTAAGTAAGCCATTCCTGTCCCACACACTATTGTCAGGAAACTGTAGCATGTGCCAGCATGTGAGGTGAACACACAACGTAAAGGGCATCTCTTTTTTGGCCAGCCTGGCTGTTTCTTGCCCATGTCCCCCTGAAGAGCACTGTCCCCCACAATGCAGCTGCCTCACCAAAGTGCCTGCTGAAGCTCTTACTGTGTACACTGCCATGGGGTACTGGTACGTTGCTGTTCTCAAAATTGACTATAGTGTGCCAAGCTACTAATGTCCACAGGACATCGATGCAGCAAAACTATTGAGGATTTGCTGGAGAAGTGGAGGAGAGTCCATTCTCTGACTTTAATGTCAATTGTTTTCCACTGGCCTTCACACAATGCCTTCTTGTAATATAACATCTCACAATGATTTTTGTGAAAAGTGACCTGAAATTTCTCTCAAAGCCTCTTTCCCTCAAACCCAGGTAAATGTTCACAAGGGTCTTGGCAGGAGGTCCATCTGCTGAGACAGTGCTGGCCTGAGAGCAGCCTTTCCCTTTGATTTTATAGGTCAAATGCACTTGCCTGACTTTTAGTTCCCTTCAGAAGGGTCTTTAAAAATAAGTCTTTGTGCATGCAGACAGACCCTTGCGAGCTTGCACCTCCTCCAGAAGTGCTCAGACATTTGTTCATCCCAGGATGACCCTGGTTGAAATTCAAATTTGGACAATCTCTACCTCTGGTTGAGAGAATAAACACGTATGGCAAAACCTAGAGCTGGAGGTCCCATGAGGAATGACCCATATTTGCTAATGTAAGAAAGCACCCAGTATGTAACCACTGCTATCCACACTTCCACTGACACCATAAGCACAATTGACCTCAACTGCAATATTGTACTTTTAAATATTTATTTAATTTTAATATCTAAGAAACAAGTTAAAATCAAAAGAAAATGGTATGCAATATTGCAGTTGTAACTAAATAATCAACAAGACCCTCTCATTAGACCATTCATCTTGAATAAGCATAAGTGGGCAGCTAGCTAATGTTGCTTAGCCCTGCATATCTGAGGGTAGAAGGATTGAGTGATCTTTTGGTCACCAAAGTGCAAACTGATCTCCAGAAATAATTTAATAAAGGCAATGTTAATAACCTTCAAGTTGGTCTCACTGCAGATTCGTATTTTTAACTGTCTCAGGTGCTGTTACATACTTAACCAGCGATCGTCCCAACAGACTGTCATCCATAATGTAAGGACCACTCTGCAGGACAGTGGCTCTGGTGCTGCCCTGCTCACAGCCCTGAGGCACTGTGGAGCGCTTCCAGGGCTGCCTGGGGAAAGGGGAGGCTGAGCTCACAAGGCAGGATGATTTCACCTGCACTGCGAGTCACTCTCCTATTTTTTCTTATATTTCATTTCTGCAGAAGATTTTTTTAATACAAAAAATGCTGTTTGAACAAAAGTAATGCAATGTTTGTATCTAATAAACGAAGAAAAAACTAGTAAGTTGACATTTGGACACTGTGTCATAGAATAAAAGGCCTTTTGTCAAAAAAGGAAGGAAGGAAGGAAGGAAGGAAGGAAAGAAAGGAAGGAGGGAGGGAAGGAAAGAAGGGAGAGAAAGGAAGAAAAGAAAAGAAAGAAAAGAGAAAAGGAAAGGAAAGAAAAGAAAAAAGAAAAGAAAAGAAAAGAAAAGAAACCAGCAGCCCAAGAGCTCTCTGCTGCAGAGTTAACCTGGAGGACTGCAATCCATGTGCTAGCCCACATGGCCATTCATCGACTCCAGCACTAGGAATAAAAACTTTGTTTTTTCTGATTAATCCATGGGCCATAGGTTTTATGTCATGAGACACCCGTTTAGTTCATTATTAATGACTGTACTTCATTATTTAAAAAAACTTTTTTTATTAGAATTCATTTTTTTTCTTCATCAACTACACTCCCTTATATGTTATAGGGACAAAAACATCCTCCTACAGAACCAAAAGCATCTGTTTTACATCATTTACATCATCCTGTCTAGTATTTTTTTCTTTTTTTAGTGGAAAATAAATTAATTCTTATATGTTTTTGATTTACTGGGGTTTATATTAACAGAAAAAGTCATGCTAGCTATAAAATGTTGCTGTATATGACATTTATAGACCAGTTTATGGCAGAGTTCTTTGTTCCTCTTGTTATTTAATTGGACACATTAGATTCACCATTTTCACACAAGACATTATATAATCAAGGGCCCGGGTGCCATGGCTCACACCTGTAATCCCACCATTTTGGGAGGCCGAGGTGGGCTGATCACCTGAGGTCAGGAGTTCAAGACCAGCTTGGCCAACATGGTGAAACCCCGTCTCTACTAAAAATACAAAAATTAGCTGGGTGTGGTGGTGTGTGCCTGTAATCCCAGCTACTCAGGAGGCTGAGACAGGAGAATCACTTGAAGCCAGGAGGGTGGAGGTTTTAGTCAGCCAAGACTGCACCACTGCACTCCAGCCTGGGCAACAGAGCAAGACACCATCTCAAAAATAATAATTATTATCATCATTGTCAGGCCTCTGAGCCCAAGCCTGCACGTATACATCCAGATGGCCTGAAGCAACTGAAGAATCACAAAAGAAGTGAAAATGGCCAGTTCCTGCATTAACTGATCACATTTTCTTGTGAAATTCCTTCTCCTGGACAATGAATCTCAGAAGCTCCCCACCAAGCACCTTGTGACCCCCACCCCTGCCTGCCAGAGAACCACCCCTTTGACTGTATTTTCCACTACATACACAAATCCTGTAAAACTGCCCCACCCTTATCTGCCTTCACTGACTCTTTTGGGACTCAGCCCACCTGCACCCAGGTGATTAAAAAGCTTTATTGCTCACACAAAGCCTGTTGGTGGTCTCTTCACACAGACATACATGATATTTGGTGCTGTGACTCGGATGGGGGAACCTCCCTTGTGAGATTAATCCGCTGTCCTCCTCCTCTTTGCTCCATGAGAAAGATTCACCTACAACCTTGGGTCCTCACACCAATCAGCCCAAGGAACATTTCACCAATTTTAAATTAGTTAAGTGGCCTCTTTTTACTCTCTTCTCAACCTCTCTCACTATCCCTCAACCTCTTTATCCTTTCAATTTTGCTGCCACCCTTCAATTTCTCTCTTCTCTTAATTTCAGTTCCTTTCCTTTGCTGGTAGAGACAGAGGAGATATGTTTTATCCATGAACCCAAAACTCTGATACTGGTCACGGACTTGGGAAGACAGTCTTCCCTTGGTGTTTAATCACTGTGGGGACACCTGCCTGATTATTCACTCACATTTCAGAGGTGTCTGATCACTGCGGGGACAACTGCCTTGACTCTTCACCTTGATGGCAAGCACCAACCCCCTGGGGGGCAAGTACCACCCCCCCATTCTGTGTCTCTACCCTCTCTTTTCTTTGGGCTTGCCTCCTTCACTATGGGCAAACTTCCACCCTCCATTCCTCCTTCTTCTCCCTTAGCCTGTGTTCTCAAGAGCTTAAAACCTCTTCAAGTCACACCTGATCTAAAACCTAAATGCCTTACTTTCTTCTGCAACACTGCTTCACCCCAATACAAACTCAACAATGGTTCCAAATAGCCAGAAAATGGCACTTTTGATTTCTCCATCCTACAAGACCTAGATAATGCTTGCCATAAAATGGGCAAATGGTCTGAGGTGCCTGATATCCAGGCATTGTTTTACACATCAGTCCCTCTCTAGTCTCTGCTCCCAGTGTGACTCATCCCAAATCTTTCTTATTTCTCTCCTGTCTATTCCTTCAGTATCTACCCCAAGCTCTCAGTCCTTTGAATCCTCCTTTTCTACAGACCCATCTGACCTCTCCCCTCCTCCCCAGGCTGCTCCTCACCAGGCCGAGCCAGGTCCCAATTCTTCCTCAGCCTCCACTCCCCCACCCTATAATCCTTTTATCACCTCCCCTCCTCACACCCGGTCCGGCTTACAGTTTCGTTCAGTGACTAGCCCTCCCTCACCTGCCCAACAATTTCCTTTTAAAGAGGTGGCTGGAGCTGAAGGCACAGTCAAAGTTAATGCTCCTTTTTCTTAATCCGACCTCTCCCAAATCAGTTAGTGTTTAGGCTCTTTTTCATCAAATATAAAAACCCTGCCCAGTTCATAGCCTGTTTGGCAACAACCCTTAGACGCTTTACTGCCCTAGACCCAGAGGGTCCAGAAGGCAGTCTTATTCTCAATATACATTTTATTACCCAGTCTGCTCTGGACATTACAGAAAGCTCCAAAAATTAGACTCCAGCCCTCAAACCCCATAACAGGACTTAATTAACCTCACCTTCAAGGTGTACAGTGATAGAGGAGAGTTGCAATTACTTGCCTCCACTGTGAGACAAACCCCAGCCACATCTCCAGCACACAAGAACTTCAAAACACCTGAACTGCAGTGGCCAGGCATTCCTTCAGGACCTCCTCCCCCAGGATCTTGCTTCAAGTGCTGGAAATCTGGCCACTGGGCCAAGGAATGCCCACAGCCTGGGATTCCTCCTAAGCCATGTCCCATCTGTGTGGGACCCCACTGGAAATCGGACCATCCAACTCACCCAGCAGTCACTCCCAGAGCCCCTGGAACTCTGGCCCAAGGCTCTCTGACTGACTCCTTCCTTCCCAGATCTTTTTGGCTTAGCGGCTGAAGACTGACACTGCCCGATTGCCTCAAAAGCCTCCTGGACCATCATAGATGCTTTGAGTAACTCTTACAGTGGAGGGTAAGTCCATCCCCTTCTTAATTGATACAGGGGCTATCCACTCCATATTACCTTCTTTTCAAGGACCTGTTTCCCTTGCCTCCATAACTGTTGTGGGTATTGACGGCCAGGCTTCTAAACCTCTTAAAACTCCCCAACTCTGGTGCCAACTTGGAAAATATTATTTTATGCACTCCTTTTTAGTTATCCCCACCTGCCCAGCTCCCTTATTAGGTTGAGACATTTTAACTAAATTATCTACTTCCCTGACTATTCCTGGGCTACAGCCACACCTCATTGCTGCCCTTTTCCCCAGTTCAAAGCCTCCTTTGCGTCCTCCCCTTGTGTCTCCCCACCTTAATCCACAAGCATAAGACACCTCTACTCCTACCTTGGCAACTGATCATGCACCCCTTATCATCCCATTAAAACCTAATCACCCTTACCCCACTTAATGCCAATATTCCATCCCACAGCAGGCTTTAAAAAGGTTAAAGCCCATTATCACTCACCTGCTACAACATGGGCTTCTAAAGCCTATAAACTCTCCTTACAATTCCCCTATTTTACCTGTCTAAAAACCAGACAAGTCTTACAGGTTATTTCAGGATCTGCACCTTATCAATAAAGTTGTTTTGCCTATCCACCCCATGGTGCCAAACCCATATACTTTCCTATCCTCAATACCTCCCTCCACAACCCATTATTCTGTTCTAGATCTCAAAGATGCTTTCTTTACTATCCTTTGCACCCTTCATCCCAGCCTCTCTTCACTTTCACTTGGACTGACTCTGACACCCATCAGTCTCAGCAACTTACCTAGGCTGCATTGCTGCAAGGCTTCACGGACAGCCCCCATTACTTCAGTCAAGCCCTTTCTCATGATTTACTTTCTTTCCATCCATCTGCTTCTCACCCTATTGAATATTTTGATGACCTTCTACTATATACCCCTCCTACAAATCTTCCCAACAAGATATCTCCTGCTCCTTCAACATTTATTCTCCAAAGGATATCAGGTACCCACCTCCAAAGCTCAAATTTCTTCCCCATCCATTACCTACCTCGGCATAATTCTTCATGAAAACACACGTGTTCTCCCTGCCGATCGTGTCTGGCTGATCTCTCAAACCCCAACCCCTTCTACAAAGCAACAACTCCTTTCCTTCCTGGGCATGGTTGGATACTTTTGCCTTTAGATACCTGGTTTTACCATCCTGACTAAACCATTATATAAACTCACAAAAGGAAACCTAGCTGACCCCATAGATCCTAAATCCTTTCCCCACTCCTCTTTCCATTCCTTAAAAACAGCTCTAAAAGCTGCTCCCACACTAGCTCTCCCTAACTCATCCCAACCCTTTTTCATTACACACAGCCAAAGTGCAGGGCTGTGCAGTTGGAATTTTTACACAAGAGCTGGGACCATGCCCTGTAGCCTTTCTGTCCAAACAACTTGACCTTACTGTTTTAGGCTGGCCCCCACATTATTTCTGATACCACACCTGACCTCCATAACTGTATCTCTCTGATCCACCACACATTCACTCCATTTCCCCATATTTCCTTTTTCCTGTTCCTCACCCTGATCATACTTGGTTTATTCATGGCAGTTCCACCAGGCCTAATCGCCACTCACTAGCAAAGGCACGCTATGCTATAGTATCTTCCACATCTATCAATCATTGAGGTTACTGCTCTGCCCCACTCCACTACCTCTCATCAAGCCAAACTCACTGCCTTAACTCGAGCCCTTACTCTTGCAAAAGGACTGTGTGTCAATATTTATACTGACTCTAAATATGCCTTCCACATCCCACACCACCATGCTGTTATATAGGCTGAAATAGGTTTCCTCACTATGCAAAGGTCCTCCATCATTAATGCCTCTTTAATAGAAACTCTTCTCAAGTCCGCTTTACTTCCAAAAAAAAAAAGCTGGAGTCATTCACTGCAAAGGCCATCAAAGGGCCCCAGGCCCCATTGCTCAAGGCAACAATTATGCTGATAAGACATCTAAAAAAGCAGCCAGTATTCCTACTTCTGTCCCTCATGGCCAGTTTTTCTCCTTCTCATCAGTCACTTCTATTTACTCTTCCACTGAAGTTTCCATCTATCAGTTCCTCCCCACTCAAGGCAGATGGTTCTTACACCCAAAAAAAAAATCTCCTTCCAGCCTCACAGGCCCATTCTATTCTGTTGAATTTTCATAACCTTGTTCATGTAGGTTACAAGCTGCTAGCCCACCTCTTAAAACCTCTAATTTCCTTTCCATCATGAAAATCTATCCTCAAAAAATCACTTCTCAGTGTTCCATCTGCTATTCTTCTACTCCTCAGGGATTTCTCAGGCCCCCTCCTTTCCCTACACATGAAGCTTGGGGATTTGCCCCTGCCCAGGACTGGCAAATTGACTTTGCTCACATGCCCCAAGTCAGGAAATTAATATACCTCTTGGTCCCAGTAGACACTTTCACTGGATGGGTAGAGGCCTTTCCCATAGGGTCTGAGAAGGCCACTGCAGTCATTTTTTCCCTTCTGTCAGACATAATTCCTAAGTTTGGCCTTCTCACCTCTATACAGACCAATAATGGACCAGCCATTATTAGTCAAATCACCCAAGCAGTTTCTCAGGCTCTTGGTATTCAGTAGAACCTTCATACCCCTTACTGTCCTCAATCTTCAGGAAAGGTAGAACAGACGAATGGTCTTTTAAAGACACACCTCACCAAGCTCAGCCTCCAACTTAAAAAGGACAGGACAGTACTTTTACCTATTGCCCTTCTCAGAATTACAGCCTGCCCTCAAGATGCTACAGGTTACAGTCTATTTCAACTTTTATATAGACGCACTTTCTTGCTCAGCCCCAACCTTGTTCCAGACACCTGCCCTCTGGGCGACTATCTTCCAGTCCTCCAGCAGGCTAGACAGGAAATTTACCAGGCTGCCAATCTTCTCTTGCCTACTCCAGATTCCCAGCCATATGAAGACACCCTAGCTGGATCCCTAGGAGTCTGGGTGCAGGACACATCTTTTAGTACTCTTTCTCATCTTTTCACTTTTCATTTCCAGTTTTGCCTTGCACAAGGTCTCTTCTTCCTCTGTGGCTCCTCTACTTACTTGTGTCTACCTGCTAATTGGACAGGCACATGCACACTAGTTTTCCTTACTCCCAAAATTCAATTTGCAAATGGGACCAGTTTCCTGTTCCCCTCATGACACCAACACTTCACTACTATTTTGTTTTGTTTTTCTTATTATTAATATAAAAAGACAGGAATAGGCCTCAAATTACTCACTGCTGAAAAAGGAGGACTTTGCATATTTCTAAATGAAGAATGTTGTTTTTACCTAAATCAATCTGGCCTGGTATATGACAACATAAAAAAACTCAAGGATAGAGCCCAAAAACTCACCAACCAAGCAAATAATTACACTGAACCCGCTTGGACACTCTAATTGGATGGCCTAGGTCCTCTCAATTCTTAGTCCTTTAATACCTGTTTTTCTTTTTCTCTTATTCAGACCTTGTGTCTATCGTTTATTTTCTCAATTCATACAAAACTGCATCCAGGCCATCACCAGTCATTCTATATGACAAATGCTCCTTCTAACAACCCCACAATGTCACCCCCTACCCCGAAACTTTTCTTCAGTTTAATCTCTCCAACTCTAGGTTCCCACGCCACCCCTCATCCTGCTTGAAGCAGCCCTGAGAAACATCACCCATGATCTCTCCATACCACGCCCAAACATTTTCACTGCCCCAACACTTCACCACTATTTTGTTTTATTTTTCTTATTAATATAAGAACACAGGAATGTCAGGCCTGTGAGCCCAAGCCTGCATGTGTTCATCCAGATGGCCTGAAGCAACTGAAGAATCACAAAAGAAGTGAAAATGGTCAATTCCTGCCTGAACTGATGGCATTTATTTATTTATTTATTTATTTATTTATTTATTTATTTTACTTTAAGTTCTAGGATACATGTGCACGATGTGCAGGTTTGTTACATATGTATACATGTGCCATGTTGGTGTGCTGCACCCATTAACTCATCATTTACATTAGGTATTTCTCCTAATGCTATCCCTCCCCCCTCCCCCCACCCCATGACAGGCCCCGGTGTGTGGTGTTCCCCACCCTGTGTCCAAGTGTTCTCATTGTTCAATTCCCACCTAAGAGTGAGAACATGCAGTGTTTGGTTTTCTGTCCTTGCGATAGTTTGCTCAAAATGATGGTTTCCAGTTTCATCCATGTCCCTACAAAGGACATGAACTCATCCTTTTTCATGGCTGCATGGTATTCCATCGTGTATATGTGCCACATTTTCTTAATCCAGTCTATCATTGTTGGACATTTTGGTTGGTTCCAAGTCTTTGCTATTGTGAATAGTGCCACAATAAACATACTTGTGCATGTGTCTTTACAGTAGCATGATTTATACTCCTTTGGGTATATACCACAGTAATGGGATGTCTGGGTCAAATGGTATTTCTAGTTCTAGATCCTTGAGGAATTGCCACATTGTCTTCCACAATGGTTGAACTAGTTTACACTCCCATCAACAGCATAAAAGTTTTCCTATTTCTCCACATCCTCTCCAGCATCTGTTGTTTCCTTTTTAATGATCACCATTCTAATTGGTGTGAGAAGGTATTTCATTGTGGTTTTGATTTGCGTTTCTCTGATGGCCAGTGATGATGAGCATTTTTTCATGTGTCTGTTGGCTGCATAAATGTCTTCTTTTGAGAAGTGGCTGTTCATATCCTTTGCCCACTTTTTGATGGGATTGTTTGATTTTTTTTCTTGTAAAGTTGTTTAAGTTCTTTGTAGATTCTGGATATTAGCCCTTGGTCAGATGGGTAGATTGCAAAAATTTTCTCCCATTCTGTAGGTTGCCTGTTCACTCTGATGGTAGTTTCTTCTGCGGTGCAGAAGATCTTTAGTTTAATTAGATCCCATTTGTCAATTTTGGCTTTTGTTGCCATTGCTTTTGGTGTTTTAGTCATGAAGTCCTTGCCCATGCCTATGTCCTGAATGGTAATGCCTAGGTTTTCTTCTAGGGTTTTCATGGTTTTAGGTCTAACATTTAAGTCTTTAATCCATCTTGAATTAATTTTTGTATAAAGGGTAAGGAAGGGATCCAGTTTCAGCTTTCTACATATGGCTAGCCAGTTTTCCCAGCACCATTTATTAAATAGGGAATCCTTTCCCCATTTCTTGTTTTTGTCAGGTTTGTCAAAGATCAGACAGTTGTAGATGTGTGGTATTATTTCTTAGGGCTCTGTTCTGTTAAATTGGTCTATATCTCTGTTTTGGTACCAGTACCGTGCTTTTTGGTTACTGTAGCCCTGTAGTATAGTTTGAAGTCAGGTAGCGTGATGCCTCCAGCTTTGTTCTTTTGGCTTAGGATTGACTTGGCAATGCGGGCTCTTTTTTGGTTCCATATGAACTTTAAAGTAGTTTTTTCCAATTCTTTGAAGAAAGTCATTGGTAGCTTGATGAGGATGGCATTGAATCTATAAATTACCTTGGGCAGTATGGCCATTTTCACGATATTGATTCTTCCTACCCATGAGCATGGAATGTTCTTCCATTGTTTGTATCCTCTTTTATGCCATTGAGCAGTGGTTTGTAGTTCTCCTTGAAGAGGTCCTTCATGTCCCTTGTAAGTTGAATTCCCAGGTATTTTATTCTCTTTCAAGCAATTGTGAATAGGAGTTCACTCATGATTTGGCTCTCTGTTTGTCTGTTTTTGGTGTATAGGAATGCTTGTTATTTTTGCACATTGATTTTGTATACTGAGACTTTGCTGAAGTTGCTTATCAGTTTAAGGAGATTTTGGGCTGAGACGTTGGGGTTTTCTAAACATACAATCATGTCATCTGCAAACAGGGACAATTTGACTTCATCTTTTCCTAATAGAATACCCTTTATTTCTTTCTCCTGCCTGATTGCCCTGGCCAGAACTTCCAACACTATGTTGAATAGTAGTAGTGAGAGAGGGCATCCCTGTCTTGTGCCAGTTTTCAAAGGGAATGCTTCCAGTTTTTGCCCATTCAGTATGATATTGGCTGTGGGTTTGTCACAAATAGCTCTTATTATTTTGAGATATGTCCCATCAATACCTAGCTTACTGAGAGTTTTTAGCATGAAGGGCTGTTGAATTTTGTCAAAGGCCTTTTCTGCATCTATTGAGATAATCCTGTGGTTTTTGTTTTTGGTTCTGTTTATATGCTGGATTACATTTATTGATTTGTGTATGTTGAACCAGCCTTGCATCCCAGGGATGAAGCCAACTTGATCATGGTGGATAAGCTTTTTGAGGTGCTGCTGGATTCAGTTTGCCAGTATTTTACTGAGGATTTTTGCACTGATGTTCATCATGGTTATTGGTCTAAAATTCTCTTTGTTTGTTGTGTCTCTGCCAGGCTTTGGTATCAGGATGATGCTGGCCTTATAAAATGAGTTAGGGAGAAATCCCTCTTTTTCTATTGATTGGAATAGCTTCAGAAGGAATGGTACCAGCTCCTCTTTGTACCTCTGGTAGAATTCAGCTGTGAGTCCATCTGGTCCTGGACTCTTTGGTTGGTAAGCTATTAATTATTGCCTCAATTTCAGAGCCTGTTATATGCCTATTCAGGGGATTCAACTTCTTCCTGGCTTAGTCTTGGGAGTGTGTATGTGTCCAGGAATTTATCTATTTCTTTTAGATTTTCTAGTTTATTTGCATAGAGGCATTTTTAGTATTCTCTGATGGTAGTTTGTATTTCTGTGGGATTGGTGGTGATATCCCCTTTATCATTTTTTATTGTGTCTATTTGATTCTTCTTTTATTCTTTATTAGTCTTGCTAGCAGTCTATCTATTTTATTGATCTTTTCAAAAAAACCAGCTCCTGGATTCATTGATTTTTTGAAGGGTTTTTTCTGTCTCTAACTCCTTCAGTTCTGCTCTGATCTTAGTTATTTCTTGTCTTCTGCTAGCTTATGAACGTGTTTGCTCTTGCTTCTCTAGTTCTTTCAAATGTGATGTTAGGGTGTCAATTTTAGATCTTTCCTGCTTTCTCTTGCAGAGAAATGTCTGTGGGCATTTAGTGCTATAAATTTCCCTCTACACACTGCTTTAAATGTGTCCCAGAGATTCTGGTATGTTGTGTCTTTGTTCTCATTGGTTTCAAAGAACATCTTTATTTATGCCTTCATTTCATTATTTACCCAGTAGTCATTCAGGAGCAGGTTGTTCAGTTTCCATGTAGTTGTGTGGTTTTTTTCTTTTTCTTTTTTTTTTGAGACGGAGTCTCTCTCTGACATCCAGGCTGGAGTGCAGTGGCGCAATCTCGGCTCACTGCAGGCTCCGCCTCCTGGGCTCATGACATTCTGCCTCAGCCTCTGGAGTAGCTGGGACTACAGGCGCCCAACACTACGCCCAGCTAATTCTTTTTTTTTTTTTTTTTGTATTTTTAGTAGAGACAGGGTTTCACCACGTTAGCCAGGATGGTCTCCGTCTCCTGACCTCTTGATCTGTCCTCCTCGGCCTCCCAAAGTGCTGGAATGACAGGCGTGAGCCACTGCGCCCTGCCAGTTGTACAGTTTTGAGTGAGTTCCTTCATCCTGAGTTCTAATTTGATTGCACTGTGCTCGGAGAGACAGTTGGTTAAGATTTCTGTTCTTTTACATTCGCTGAGGAGTGCTTTACTTCCAACTATGTGGTCAATTTTGGAATAAGTGCGATGTGGTGCTGAGAAGAATGTGTATTCTGTTGATTTGTGGTGGAGAGTTCTGTAGATGTCTATTAGATCTGCTTGGTGCGGAGCTGAGTTCAAGTCCTGGATATCCTTGTTAACTTTCTGTCTCATTGATCTGTATAATGTTGACAGCGAGGTGTTAAAGTCTCCTGTTATTATTGTGTGGGAGTCTAAGTCTCTTCGTAGGTCTCTAAGGACTTGCTTTATGAATCTGCATCCTCCTGTATTGTCTGCATTTCCAACTGAGGTACCAGGTTCATCTCATTGTGACTGGTTAGACAGTGGGTGCAGCCCAAAGAGTGTGAGCCAAAGCAGGGTGGGGCTTCACCTCACCCAGGAAGCACAAGGGGTGGGGGAATTCCCTTTCCTAGCCAAGGGAAGCCATGACAGAGGGTACCTGGAAAATCGGGACCCTACTGCCCTAATATTGCACTTTTCCAATGGTCTTAGTAAACGGCACACCAGGAGATTATATCCTACACGTGGCTCGGCAGGTCCTACGCCCACAGAGCCTTGCTCACTGCTAGCACAGCAGTCCAAGATCAAACTGCAAGGAGGCAGTGAGGCTGGGGGAGGGGCGCCTACCATTGCTGAGGCTTGGCTAGGTAAACAAAGCAGCCAGGAAGCTTGAACTGGGTGGAGCCCACCGCTGCTCAAGGAGGCCTGCCTGCCTCTGTAGACTCCACCTCTGGGGGCAGGGAATAGCTAAACAAAAGGCAGCAGAAACTTCTGCAGACTTAAACCTCCCTGTCTGACAGCTTTGAAGGGAGCAGTGGTTCTCCCAGCACAGAGTTTGAGATCTGAGAATGGAAAGACTGCCTCCTCAAGTGGGTCCCTCACCCCTGAGTCACCTAACTGGGAGAAACCTCCCAGTAGGGGCCGACTGACACCTCATACAGCTGGATACACCTCATACAGTGGATCTCTCAGCAGAAACTCTACAAACCAGAAGAGAGTGGGGCCAATATTCAACATTCTTAAAGAAAAAATTTTCAACCTGGAATTTCATATCCAGCCAAACTAAGCTTCATAAGTGAAGGAGAAATAAAATCCTTTAGACAAGCAAATGCTGAGAGATTTCATCATCATCAGGCCTGCCTTACAAGAGCTCCTGAAGGAAGCACTAAACATGGAAAGGAACAACCAGTACCAGCCTCTGCAAAAACATGCCAAATTGTAAAGGCCATCGATGCAGGAAGAAACTGCACCAACTAACAAGCAAAATAACCAGCTAACATCATAATGACAGGATCAAATTCACACATAACAGTATTAACCTTAAATGTAAATGGGCTAAATGCCCCAATTAAAAGACACAGACTGCCAAATTGGATTGAGTCAAGACCCATAGTGTGCTGCATTCAGGAGACCCATCTCATGTGCAGAGACACACATAGGCTCAAAATAAAGGGATGGAGGAAGATCTACCAAGCAAATGGAAAACAAAAAAAAAAAGCAGGGGTTGCAATCCTAGTCTCTGATAAAACAGACTTTAAACCAACAAAGATCAAAAGAGACAAAGAAAGCCATTACATAATGCTAAAGGGATCAATTCAACAAGAAGAGCTAACTAAACTGATGACATTATCTCATGAAATTCGTTCTCCTGGACAATGAGTCTCAGAAGCTCCCCACCAAGCACCTTGTGACCCCGTCCTGCCCGCCAGAGAACAACCCCTTGACTATAATTTTCCACTACCTACACAAATCCTATAAAACTGCCCCACCCCTATCTCCCTTTGCTGACTCTCTTTTCAGACTCAGCCAGTCAGCAGCATCATCGTCAAGGGCCCAGGGTTCAGAGGATTAATCATCAGGTGGACTAATTGAAGAAAAGACATGTCCTCCCCTCATGTGATTGTTGGTTCAGTTTTTCTCAGCATCAAACCCACCCTGGTGTATTCTGTGAGGCTGGGTTTGGGTGCCGCAAGCTCCACTTCCCACACCCCCTGCCAACTGACTTCTTGCTGCCTATGGGAGACCTGAGAGGGAGACTCAGAGCTGGGAGAAGGGAAGAAGGCACTTCTTTCCTGTGTCTTAGTTCCTGGCAAGGATACCTCAGTGGCAGATTCCTATGCCTGTTTTTTGACCTTCTGAGTACTTGATGCAAAATGGGTCTCCTTAAAGGTCCAAGCCTCAGCTGTGCAGTCCCCTTGTTGAGTGTTCAGCCTTTCAAAACCTGCGTCTCTATGCCCTGCACTCAACATCTCCTGTGAATAATCTATAATGCCAGTTCTGCTGTCCTGACTAGATCTGGACACACACGGCCTTCAATCTTGGAAAAACAAACTCATAGAAGTTAAATTGTCTAGAGTCTCACAGATAGCAAACAGATTATAGAATTCTAAGGTTGGAATGATCCTCACAGATTATGGAATCATCAATTTATAGATGAGTTTTGCATTGTTTTAAAAGTTAGGCAATTTATACAATATGATTCAGCTACTAAATGGCAGAATTAAAACTAGAGTTGATTTTTTTTGTATATACTTCCATTTGAATTTAATTTTTATGTTCAGAATGCATTGTGGAAGATCCGAAATAACATGCTTTAAATAAAGCTATTGTCAATGAGAGGTAAGTTGAGAGTTTTCAATGGAGAAAAAGGAACCAGTTTCTTTTAATGCCTGTCATTTTGTACATAGAAATTAATTAACTCTCCTAGTCAATTTTCCTTTCAACATGGCCACAACAGACTTTTTTTAGTGCAGAGATACATAGACACATTCTCCAGAATCCCCCAGATGGAAGAGAAGAACTGAAGAGATCAAACTGCATTAAAAATGAATCCATCTCTGTATTGAACTTCTGACAAAATGTTTCCATGTCTCGTCAATTAGACCTCTTGACTGGTGCACTTTTAATGCTTAACATAAGCTCCCTGAAATTCATTGCTCATTAAGCATGTCTAATCACCCCAAAGTCTTGAACAGACAATTCACATGAACAGATTGCCTGTAAGTTTTTGATGTTAAGCACCACTAAACATATGCTTAATGTCTCAACATTTCAAACTAATTCATAATAAGCAACTTTCCATGGTAAAGTTTATATTTTTGACAGGTAAGTTAAATCTTCCTTCTTTGCAGTTCTGCTAATATTTTTGACCTTGAATACTAATAGCAAAATTGACTTAAATCACTATATTATTATTTTTAACAAAAAATGTTTTGTATTGAAAATAAGCTTTTTTTCAGCTTTTTAAAATAAATTCATTTGAGTGTCTTTATTACCTAGTTGAAAGAAAAAAAATAATGCTTTGATTTTCTCAAGAAAAGAAGTACCTCTCATTTTTAATGGATATTTCAGCAGTTTTAGCTCACTTTTAATTTATTTATGTCCAGAAAGCCAAGACATGATTTTTATTTGATGCCATAATTTTCACTTAAAAGGAATACAACTATTGCAAACCAAATTCATGCCAAAATCATAATGAAATTGAGATCATAGTTTTGCTTTCTAATTTTGTTTTGTTTTTATATATGAGAGACTATGTCAGCTTAAAAAACATAATTCAAATATTTGAAATTTCAGATGAAGTAAATTCATTGAAAGATTTCCAGGAGAGAAAAACTGTCATTAGTTTCTGTCTTAGTAATAAAAGCATGCTTATCATGCAAGAAGAAGAAAGTATCAAAATGACTTGAGCCTGAAAGCCCCTGTCAGTGAACAGCCACAAAGGCTTGACTAGAAACTCAATGCAAAATAAAGTAACTCACTGGGTAACTGGTGGTGTTTTCCTTCCCTAAAACGTACAGGATAAGAATATCAGCAACCCCCTTAACAAATCATCACTCTCTCATTCTACCTCTTACATTTTGTCCTCTGAGAAAACAAGTCTTTCATTGGATGACAATTGTACTCTAATTTTAAACACATTCGTGAAGGTCTATGTGGAAGGGCCATAGGATTTTGAGTTCAGGAGCTCTGACTCGGAAGCCACACCACCTGCCTCCTGTGCCTCAGTTTCCACCTTCATGAAAGCAAGATAATAGCGCCTCACTAACGGAAGTGTTGTGAATAGTGAGTTAATATACATAAAACTTAGGATAGTGTCTAACACTACCCCCCAGTCTCTTAAAAAGACTAAATTCTTTCTGAATATTAGCAATTCTATTATTTCATTATTATTCTTATTTTTCTATTTTGTGCAAGATTTCTAAAAGATTGATTTATTCAGTATGAATTTTGTAATCTGGAAAATAAAAACACCTAAGTTTATTTTTCATGAGAATTTTGGGGTGTATTGGGGCATAAAATCTTGGTTAAAGATTATATCTTTTTAGAAAAAAATAGTTACACTTTCTATCCTAAATATGATTTATTCAACATATAATTAGTCACATTGCTGTCTTCCTATCCCAAAGTGTTTAATCTCAGGTCTGGAGTTACTTACTACATGGTCATAATGTTAAGTTATTTCAATGAATATCAATTCTTATTCTGCAAAACAATATTATGGTTCTAATTGTTTTATACAATGTCATGAGTTTCTTTTAAATGTGGGGTGGTGTTCTAAAAATATGTCCAAAACACTGTGGAAATAAGTTATTCAAAATCTAAGCTGTAGCCGGGCGCAGTGGCTTATGCCTATAATTCCAGCACTGTGGGAGGCTGAGGCAATTGGATCACCAGAGGTCAGGAGTTCGAGACCAGCCTGGCCAACATGGCAAAATCCCATCTCTACTAAAAATACAAAAACTCTCTGGGCGTGGTGTCATGCCCCTGTAGTCCCAGCTACTCAGGAGGCTGAGGCAGGAGAGAGAGCTCCTTGAACATGGGAGGCAGAGGTTGCAGTGAGTTGAGACTGCACCACTGCACTCTAACCTGGGGATCAGAGTGAGACTCCATCTCAAAAAAAAGAAAAAAAATCTAAGCTATTAGAACTCATTATTTTCAGCCTTAAAGGAATATAAGTATGGGTTCTGTGTGAGGTGGCAGGCAGCTATACCTTAGGCAGCTGTAACCTTTTTTCTCTGATTATAAGTTAGTCTTCTTCCTTATCTGCATTGTTATCTAACTGTTGTAAAGGACTCAAGGATGCCAGGGAAGACCCCTTTTCATGTCACTGCTGATCGTCATTATAGATGAACTTCTCTCTTACCTTTCTTACATAGACTTCATGGCTACCATATTGTCTTAAGATGGAATATTGATACACCTTTTTAAGTTGAAAAGAAAATAGAAATCACCTGCAAAGAAAAGAAAATGACCCTTTTGTAGTTCATAAGCAGGATGACTGAGTTTTCATGCACTTGTGTGAGATGCGCCTCCCTCAATGTTGGCACATTACCTATCTGATGTGAAAAAAAAAAAGAAGAGGAAAGGAAAATAAAAGAAAGAAAAGGAAAAGGAAAAGGAAAGTAAAAGAGAAATGGAAAGGAAAAAGGAAGAGAAGGGAAGGGAAGCGAAGGAGGAAGGGAAGGGGGAAGGGAAGGGAAAGGGAAAGGGAAAGGGAAAGGGGAAGGGAAGGGAAAGGGGAAGGGAAGGGAAGGGAGAAGGGAAGGGAAGGGGGGAGGAAAGGGAAGGGGGAAAGGAAGGGAGAAGGAAAGGGAGAAGGGAAGTGGGAAGGGAAGGGGAAAAGGAAGGAAAGGGGGAAGGGAAGGGAAGTGGGAAGGGAAGGGGAAAAAGAAGGGAAGCAGGAAGGGAACAGAATGGGGAAGGGAAGGGGGAAGGGAAGGGAGAAGGGAAAGGGGAAGGGAAGGGGAAGGAAAGGGAAGGGAGAAGGGAAAGGGGAAGGGAAGGGGAAAGGAAAAGGGAAGGGGAAAAGAAAGGGAAGGGGAAAGGGAAGGGAAAGGGAAGGGGAAGCAAAGGGAAAATGGAAAGGAAAGGAAAAGGAAAAGGGAAGGAAAAATGAAAGAAGAAGGCCTGGCATGCTGGCTCATGCCTGTAATCCCAGAACTTTGGGAGGCCGAAGTAGGTGGATCACTTGAGGTCAGGAGTTTGAGACCAGCCTGGCCAAAATGGTGAAACCCCATCTCTACTAAAAATAAAAATACAAAAATTACCTGGGCGTGATGACTGGTGCCTGTAATCCCAGCTGCTCAGGAGGCTGAGGCAGGAGAATCATTTGAACCCAGGAGGCAGAGGTTACAGTGAGCCAAGATAATGCCACTACATTGCAGCCTGGGCAATAGAGCAAGATTCCATCTCAAAAAAAAAAAGAAAAGGGAAAAGGAAAAGGAAAGGGAAGCAAAGGAGAGGAGAGGAGAGGAGAGAAAGCCATGGGGAAAAGGAAACAAACTGTAGCTCATTAATTTGCTGTTAACTCTCAAACCATCCTTGCATAGAAAATATTGAAATCCTGTAACATTTGTTTTTTCTGCCTACAAGCAAGAATGTAACTTTTAACTTCAGAGCACGGAACCCCTTTCTCTGTAGTCCATGTGTCCCAAATGGACATTCTCAGCTTTTTGCTTGAATAAACTCTTTAAAAGTAGATTCTGATTTTTAAAAAAACATTTCTGGTTTACAGTGCTATGCTTAATATATTATGTTAAAAAATAAAACTGTATACTAGACAGAAAAGGGAAGAAAGATTAGAAAATTAGGAAGTCTCTTTTAGTATTTCCTAATTACTCACAGAGGTTGGCATTAGGGTGGTAGTAACTGTATAATACCTGCCTTTTAATGGACACTAAAGTCTTTTTCAGTGTGTGTATGACAGGAACACTTAACATGAAGCCTATCCTCTTAACATATTTTTAAGTGTACAGTACGTTATTGTTTACTATAGGTGCAATGTTGTATAGTAGATTTCTAGAGCTTACTCATCTTTCTTAGGGTTCAGAAAAAAATATTCCAAAATATGGCACCTGGGCATACTGAGTATTCTAAGCTGAGGAAATTGAGAAAACCATAGAACCAGAAGGTAATTCTCTGACTTTCTCTCAGCTTTCTCCTTTAAGGCCATGAAAAGAATTCTCTGACCTAGCTTATCTGGAAGTAGATCTTAAGACACTCATTCCCCAGCGATCTCACTGTATACTCAAAAGTCAAGAAGAATCTGGACAAAGAGGCCTTGCTAAGTTCCCTCCAGCTTATTAGTACTAGGTCACATGCCCTTTTTGCAAGAGGGTTGCAAAAATAGTTTATCAATCAGATGTACCCAAACATATTATTTCCAACTCTGTGTGCTGTTACTAACTCAGGTGAAAATCTTGCTAGATTTGCATGTAAATGCTGATTAGTAAGCATTACTCGTGTATTGATTGATCATTTCTGCGTGTGCAAAATATTATTTCTAAAAGAAAAACTGACTGTTGCACCTTTCCTTTTCTAAGATTTTGGGGATACTGGTGGTAGCATAGTTCTATACATCTTGAAACTCTCAGCAGAACAGGGTTTTCTTCCACTTACAGAGACTTCAAAATGAGGAAACAGTATGAAAGTTTTATATTTCAAAGCTACTGACATTCCTTCTTTGCTGCTCAAAAGTGAGGCCCAGAACCCATAGCCTTTGTTTTAGCAGAAACTTTAGAGTCTTTTGATATATAAAGGCAGACACAATACAAGTACAAAGAGAAGAGCTAAATTTCTCTGTATAATAAAGTAAAGAGAATTGACAGCCAACTGAAATAAAGCAAGAGCGAGATTAAGAGGAATGGAGGAGAGTCAGAAATGACCACGAAACATAGAAAGCACAAAGGAACTGGGTAATAGAACCAATTTGATTTAAATTGCAAAGAACAGGGTGACCTTAGGTAATACCTAGGTTATATTAATACAATTGAACGATCTTATCATGATATGTACAGGCTAAGCAAAACTTCCTCTCCATAGACTAAAAAACTGGGAATTGAGACAATTTGTCTTGATGTGGTGAAAGTCATAGGCTCTTGGTCCCCTAAAGTTTCACTACAAATCACTGACATGAAACAGATTGATTACCAGAAGAAAAGGCATACAAATTTATTTAATGTGTATACACAGGAGCCTTCAGAATTAAGACCCAACTTCCCAGTGAGTTACATAATCTTACAAACCATTTTGAGGTCACAAAAAAAGGGGCTTAGATTCTGGTAAAACAGGTCATGGGAGAAGGGAGAAGAGGCTTGGCTAGCAAAGGTGGCCTTGTAATGTAGATGAAGCCTTCCTTAGAGGGAATAGAGGATAAATGTTTCATTTTGGACTTTTAAAGGTGTCAGACTGAATCTCTCCTAGATCCAGGAAAATTATAAAAAGGGAGAGAACTGGCTGCATTAATGCAGATTCCCTACAGATGCAAATTTTCCCCTCAAAAGACAGCTTTGCAGGGCCATTTCTGCCTGCTGCCCAAGTGGCAGCTATGTCAAAATATGTCAAAGAAATGTATTTTGAGGTGAAATATTTTAATTTCTCTCAGTGTTTAGTAGGAATAGGTTCACTAGAAAGTGGCTGGGAGTTAATGCATTTCTTTTCCATTACTTATTCATATATGTGTAATGGCCCAGTGGGTACGTCTTGCCTGTTTCACAGATAAAACTGGTTCACTGAAATAGCGGTATTGCAGTAGAGAAAGGGTTTAATTAGCACAGGGCTAGCCAAGCAGTAGATGGAAGGATATTACTCAAATCAGCCTCAGAGTGCTCAGAGGCTAGAGTTTTTCAAGGATTTTTTGGTAGGCAAGAGGCTAGGGAGTGGAAAATGCTGATTGGTTGAGTTGGGGATGAAACCTCAGGAGCTCAAAGCTGGCCTCTTGCACTGAGTCATTTCCTGGGTAAGAGGTCACAAGACCAGTTGAGCCTATTTCTCGACATGAGTGACCAGTCCAGGTGGCAAAAGCTGGTCTGTCAGAGTGCAAGGTCTGAAAAATACCTCAAGCACCAGTCCTAGGTTTTACAATAGTGATGTTTTCATATTACGGCCTGTGGACATGAGGAAGCAAGCTGTGAGACATCCCAGCCCCACCCCAGGGAAAATTGCTCATGTCTATCCTAATCATTTTCTGCTGTCAGTTTGTAGGTGTGTGTCCTTGGGGAAGAGGTGGACATTGTTCCCAATATTTCTGTTTCTGTAATTGGCTGAGAGCCTGAGGTGTGCATAAAGTTCCTCCCTAGTTGGTGTCCTTTCGACTAACTTTGATTGGGTCAGTTACCAACACCTTATGAAGGCACTGTGTGTTGTCTGTGAGCTCCCAGTCCCGAGTCCTACCACCTCGCTGAGTTTCCATCTACTGAAAATCAGTGTGTTGCTTCTGTGATTGGTGGAAGCAGATGATAGATGGGGGTCTGAAACCAAGATACACCAACAATGTTTTCCTCAAACTGTTAACAACATTATTACAGGTTTTCTTAGTCTAAACCTAAACCCATAACTCCTTTGGGCTGAATCCCTGTCTCTTACATGAATTTATACCATAATTTGAATTTAGGTTACTATCTTTTCAAATAACTTTGATACACCAAGAATTTTCTCTTTTTTTTCTCTCTTTTTTTTTTTTTTTTTTTTTGAGACAGGGTCTCATTCTGCTGGCCAGGCTGGAGTGAAGTGACACAGTCATGGCTCATTGCAACCTCCACCTCCTAGGCTCAAGTGATCCTCCCATTTTAGCCTCCTGAGTAGCTGGGACTACAGGAGTGCACCACCATGCACAGCTAACTTTTCTATTTTTTTGTAGAGACATATGTTGCCCAGGTTGGTCTCAAACTCCTGAACTCAGGTGATCTGTCCACCTCAGCCTCCCAAAGTGCTGAGTTTATAGACATGAGCCATAGTGCCTGGCCAAGAAAATTTTAAATATCACAGTGCTACTCAGGAAAACTTTTGATAAAAATAAAATTGTTCAGAGGAGAGGTCTTTTAGGACAGAATGGGAATAAAATTACATTCATTAATCTGCATTATTTTTATTGAAATGAGGAAACTCCCAAATGAAATTCAGATACCAAAATCACTTTCTTATAAAATTATTTAAGTAAAATAAAGATGTAAAATATTTTAAATTTTTTTTTGGATTAGGCCAAATGACAAGTTGAAATTAGTGGTCTTTAGCCTACTATCCATCCTCCTCAGTCTTATCTGTATCACTTTTCCTCTGTCTCTACCTTTTTTCCAATCCATTTCCTCCTTTCAACACAGCTGGGAATCCCTAAAGTTTAATTGGTCCTTATATTTAAATCCCTTTATAACAGGCCAAGTCCCTCAGGGAGTTTTTCAGCCCTGGTCTCACCCTGGGCTGACATATATAATCACATATAATCTCTGGCTACCAGAGATGATTTTAGATATCACTAGGCAAGAAAGAGAGAGAGAGAGAAATAAGGAAGGAAGGAAGGAAGGAAGGAAGGAAGGAAGGAAGGAAGGAAGGAAGGAAGGAGGGAGAAAGAAAAAGAAAGAGAGAAAAAGAGAAAAGGATGGAAAATCTGAGTGAGAAAATGCTGAGAAATTGCAAAGAAGGTCAGAGAGATTTGGAAAAACTGTAGGTAGTGGCCAATATTTTGGAGGCTACTTTCAAAGTCTTCTTGTACAAATTGACTGGGCACTAATCCAAATGCTTTAGAGGCTTTAAGGATAGGGCCTTTCACAACTTTATAGCAACATCTAATAATAGATCCTGAAGCAAATGTGACCCCGGCTCTTTCTTACTTTTATTGAAAGACCTTAAGTCAGAAATTGGGTATTTAATATGTAAACATATACAGAAATATAAAACAGCCCTGTTGCCAATCTCTTCACAGAACTCTTTCATAGGATTTTACAACAAAGGCCATAAAACAATCAAATAACAACAAAAAACTTCTCAATATACTAATGGCCTTACAAAGACAGCAACTAGATGCTCCAACCCAAGCCATTCAGTACCTGAGGAGAGAAATGCTTGATTCTGTGAATACTGTAACTAAATAAAAAAGAACATTAGCAAAACAATTGTCCTATACTGCTAAAAAACAAAAAGAGAAAAAAAAATGAAGCAGGTAATGATTAATGAAGGTTTATTATCCTCTGAGCAGGAAACAAAGTTCAATTTCATATTTTACCCTTAATTCTTATTACTAAGAGTGCTACACCAGTCTTGCACCATGTTACATTCAGAGCCCTTGACTGTCACCACTGAACTGTCTCTGGGAACCTTTGCTCCTGTGGTCCCATGGCTGCTCTCTTCATAGCTCGGGGTTTACTATGTAGATGGAGTCTCCAAAAGAAATGCTCCACCAATGGCATTTTTGCCATTTAAATGACAATTTAAGATCTCCATGAAATTTGAGATGTTCTGTAGGGGAAAAAATTTATGATTTCAACTTCAGTGCTACCGAAGGCTGAATATTTTATTGTTATAGATCTTTTGACTGCTTTCTTCAGTTGCTCTAGATCAAGAGAATCAGGACTTGACTTTTTCTACAAAATTCAACACTTTACCTGAACAGTGATGCCTCAGAGGCTCACTGAGGCAAAGATTACTAACCAGGACTACCAGGACCTTAAATTCAAATTTATCTGTGACTCTACCTTTAAGTTATACATGGGTGAAATATCATATTCCAAAAATAAAGTGACCACTGAGATTGACTCTTCCTATTTACTCATGTTTTAATACTGTTTCAAAGGAAAATTTACATTTTTTGGGGAAAAATATATTAGATGGGCCATGATTAATTCCAAAGAATTAAATACCTCCATCCTGAGAGATTATAAGCCACTCAAAATTTTTCTTGAATGCTGATCAAGAGACAATTTAGAGATTTTCTAGATTTTGCTGCCTACTGTAGCCAGCAGGTACCCAATTTATTTATAATCACCACATATGAATGGCATTGCAAATTTCTGGGAATTTAACCTCCCCCTAGAGCCTAAATATGGAGAGTATTTGGTGACTTAAAATCAAGTCTTCATGCCGGGTGTGGTGGCTCACACCTGCAATCCCAGCACTTTGGGAGGCTGAGGCAGGCAGATCACAAGATCAGGAGTTCAAGACCAGCCTGAACAGCATGGTGAAACCCCATCCCTACTAAAAATACAAAATTTATCTGGGCATGGTGGCACATGCCTGCAATCCCAGCTACTCAGGAAGCTGAGGCAGGAGAATTGCTTGAACCCGGGAGGCGGAAGTTGCAGTGAGACAAGATTGCGCCACTGCACTCCAGCCTGAGTGACAGAGCGAGACTCCATCTCAAAAATTAAATAAATAAATAAATAAATAAATAAATAAATAAATAAATAAAATCTTCAGTGTCTCCCCACTCTGGACATTTCTAATTATCATAAATCTTTACACTTGTTTGTACATGAGCGATCCGGGCCAAATTTTGGTGTTCTGACTTTTTTCAAAGGAATATTGATAGACTAGATTCTTACTTCAGCCTTTCTTTAGGTCTAGAGGGAATCCTGCTCACCAGGTCTATGCAGCCAGACCCAAGTAAGTGAAGACCTCTACTGACTTAAAGTGTCTTTGACGCTGGTACCTTAGGCTGTGCGATCCTTGTTCACGTTTTTCTGTATTCAGGCTTAGCTCTTAAGGAATTGAATTACTTTATTCTGAGTACATTTCTATCAATTGTGACAACACTTCAAATTGTGATACTCTTCTTCTTTTACCCTAAGAAAGGAAATCTATGACTCTTTTCTCTAACTGAGAATTGACTATCTCAAAAAACTATTAAAAATTCCAGATTTAATCATGCTTGTTGACAGGTCATATCTTAAGACTAAAATGGAAAATTCTTGGGCAGATAAACCTTAACAGATTTCAATTCATTTCTAAATTATAGCCCCAACCTGAGTAAAAGTTGCCCATATGGCAAAACCTATTTCACTCACAACAGAGGACAGCCAAATGAGAAGAGATAAAAGAGTTATAGTAAACACAGATAACAAGTATGACTTTGAAGCAGTCCAAGGTTTTGAAATGCTATGGAAACAAGAGTTTTCAGCCTCAGCAAGAAACAAATTAAAAATGGTCAACATATTAATGAACTGTGGAATGTTCTAATGCTTTTTAAGATGGTAACTATCATAAAAGCCTAGACAAAAAAGGATAGCATTTAGGTAAAAGAAAATGCCCTAGTTTATCTTCTACAAGTAGGAAACTCCTGACCCAACTCCCCAGGATCCCATGATATATTAAGAAGTCAGATATTTGAAGTTCAAGAAGTTATTAGAAAGTACCAGTTATTGACTCTGGAATCTGAAGAGTTATTGGAACTTTTGGTTGAAAGCTATTTGACAATAATTTCTGAAACTTTCCTGAAAGCTACTAGCTTGTGTCAGAGAATCCCAAATCAAACTTGCCAAAGATTCCCCATGAAATATGCCAATCAAGTAATGACAAATTGTCTACTATTGTTGATATTAATGGAAACATTTTACAAAGATTGCTGAAAATGTCTCTGCCTCAAAGCTCATCTATCATTAGCACTTGATAAAACTAAGAAAGTGGGAAGTAAATAAGAGCCTCAGTTGCCTCTACGAACACTTCCACATTTCTTCTTTCTATGGATCTTCATTCTTTTTTTTTTTTTAATTATACTTTAAGTTCTAGGATACATGTGCAGAATGTGCAGGTTTGTTACATAGGTATACACATGCCATGGTGGTTTGCTGCACCCATCAACCCATCATTTATATTAGGTATTTCTCCTAATGCTATCCCTCTCCTAGCCCCCCACCCACCGACAGGCCCCGGTGTGTGATGTTCCCCTCCTTGTGTACATGTGTTCTCATTGTTTAACTTGTTTAACTCTCACAGGTGAGAACATGTGGTGTTTGGTTTTCCGTTCCTGTGTTAGTTTGCTGAGAATGATGGTTTCCAGCTTCATCCATGTCCAAAGGACATGAACTCATTCTTTTTTATGGCTGCATAGTATTCCATGGTGTATATGTGCCACGTTTTCTTTAACAGTTTATCTTGTTGACTTATTCTCAAGGTGGATAGAAGCTTTTCCTTGCTGAAGAGGTACAGCTGTGACACCAGGGAAAAAACAAACATAACAAAAAATTATATTTTATTTCTAACATGGGGATTCCAACCTCTATCTAGTGATATAGCCACTCTTTTGGCTGACACTAGTATTACAGAACTTTTCAAAGCCTTGCCACTTACTCAGAAACTGTTTTCTGCTATGACCCCATCACCCTCAATCCTCAGGGGGAGTACAGACAGCCAAGTCATTTTAAAACTCAAGTGATCAGAATGAGAAGATGATCTAGAACTCTCTGGCTTTGTCAACTAAGAGTGTAATTTCTCGCTCTCAGGACCCTGGAAACAACACTCCAGCCTGCATGAATTTGTTTCAGGTTATCCTGTAAGGTTAGATATTTCTCTCCTGATCTTCAACTCCACCTCATTTCAGTCAGATATGGCAAAGCACTGCAACCAACTGATAGAACATATCAGTATTATTACCAATAAGCACAAGATGTCTTTCCTTTACATCCTCTCAAGAAGTCTTCTGCCCTGAAATCATGTGGAAAAAGACCTTGTTTATTTTTATCCTTAGTACAGTAATTAAATGTGAAGGTGTACCTTCCTGGATTCATGTCTCTAAGGTAAAAAGATATGATGTTATAACCTTCAACACTGGGAGTACCATTTTGTTGTTGTTGTTGTTGTTAGGGAAGGATATATAACTAAAAAGTCTAAGAATACTTCAGAAGCATACAATCTTCAAACAAAGACAGCTTCCAACATATCTTCAGGTCAAGAGGTTCCATGACACAAACAGCTTCCCCCTAAAATCTATAGAACAAGATCTAGACAACTAACTAGAGCCAAAGATTGTCATCTGTGTTTTTCTTGTTTGTTTCTGTTTTTTGTTTTTCATGCTTTTGTTCTTGATTTTCTTAGCTATTTTCTTTAATCTTTACTGAATTAAGGTTTTGGATTGCAAATAAACTTTATGTTTCAACTGTAATCCTTACAAGATCTTTATCCTTCATATTGTTTTTTCCCTTCTTAGTTATTACTTAGTATGAGTTCAAAATTTAACTGCAATTTCCTTGCAGTTTGGTTAAAATAACTAATTAAGATGTGCTTGGCATGATGGCTCATTCCTGTAATCTCAGCACTTTGGGAGGCTGAGGTGGGCAGATCACTTGAGTCCAGGAGATTGAGACCAGCCTGGGTGATATGGGGAAACTCTGTCTCTATGAAAAATACAAAAAAAAAAAAAATCCCCAAACATTAGCCAGGCATGGCGGCATGCACCTGTGGTCCCAGCTACTCAGGAGGCTGAGGTGGGAGGATTACTTGAGCCCGGGAGGTGGAAGTTGCAGTGAGCTGAGATCATGCCATTGTAGACCAAAAAGAAAGAAAGAGAGAGAGAGAGAGAGAGAGAGAGAGAGAGAGAGAGAAAGGAAGGAAGG
Source organism: Homo sapiens (assembly GCF_000001405.40). Taxonomy (NCBI): domain Eukaryota; kingdom Metazoa; phylum Chordata; class Mammalia; order Primates; family Hominidae; genus Homo; species Homo sapiens. The sequence goes on along the minus strand of NC_000007.14, from coordinate 52,313,822 downwards.
AAGGAAGGAAGGAAGGAAGGAAGGAAGGAAAGAAAGAAAGAAAGAAAGAAAGAAAGAAAGAAAGAAAGAAAGAAAGAAAGAAAGAAAGAAAGAAAAAGAAAGAAAGAAAGAAAGAAGAAAAGAAAAGAAAAGAAGGAGAAGGAAGGAAGGAAGGAAGGAAATTAGTAATTAAGATGAGTCATGTGGACACATTTTCCTCTAATGCCCAAAAAATTTTTATATTATCAGTGCTTTATAATTAAATATTTGACTTTATCAGTGTATTAGTTGGTTTGAGTTGCCATAACAAAACACCATGGACTATGCAGCTTAAAGAGTTGTATTTCTCATAGTTCTGGGTGTTGGAAAGTCTAAGATCAAGGTTGTGGTCAGCAGTTTCTGATGAGGGCTCTCTTCTTGGCTTGTGAATAGCCACCTTCTCACTGTGTACTCACTTGGCTTTTCCACAGCAGGTGTGAGGAGAGAAAGAAAGAAGATGCTCTCTGGTGTCTCCTCTTATAAGAACATTAGTCTTCTCAGATAAGGGCCCCACACTTATGACCTCATTTAACATTAATTGCCTCATAAAGGCCCTGTCTCCAAATACAGGCATATTTGAGTTAGAGCTTCAACATGTAAACTGATGGAGTAAAGGGAAACAATTCAAATAATCACTGAATAAGCTCATGAATAAAGTAACCATGATGACAGATATGGAAGGTATTTATCAACTCAGAAATTCAGACTTTAACTCACCTAGGCCAACCTGCATATGGTCAATGCTGAGTGCCCAATCTGCCAGCAGCAGAGACCAACACTGAGTCCCATATATAGCACCATGCCCCAGGGTGAGCAGCCCACTATTTGGTGGCAGGTTGACTACACTGGACTATTTCCATCATGAAAGGGACAGTGTTTTCTTCTTATTGAAATAGACACTCTGCATACAGATTTTCCTTCCCTGCATGCAATGCTTTTGCCATGGGCTTATGGAATGCTTTATCCATTGTCATGGTATCCCTATATCATTGCTTATTGATCAAGGAACTCATTTCACAGCAAAAGATGTATGGCAACAGGCACATGCTTACATATTTCAATGATCTTACTATGTTCCCCACCATTCTGAAGCAGCTGGTTTGCTAGAAGGGTGGAACAGTCTTTTGGCTAGTTTGCCCTACTTAGGTGGCAATAACTTGCATGGCTGGAGCAAGCTCCAGAAGGTCGTATATGATCTCAATCAGCTTCCAATATCTGGTGTTGTTTCTCCAGGATTCTCAGGTCCAGTAATGAAGGGGTAGAAATGGGAGTGGTACCACTCACAATTTTCCTGAGTGTCCCACTAGCAAAATTTTGCTTCCTGTTTCTATCTGAGGACAGACCTTATGCTCTGCTATTGGTTTCAAGATCTTAGTTTCAAAGGGAGGAATGTTTCCATCAGGAAAGGCAACAGTGATTCCATTGAGCTGGAAGTTAACACCTTCCCCAGCCACTTTGGGTTCCTTGTGCCTCTGAGCCAAGTAGCAAAGAAGAGAGCTATAGTGCTGGATGGGGTAAATGATGCTGACAAAGGAAAATTCCACAATGGACTCCTATTCCACAATAGAAGTAAGGAACAGAATGTCTGGAATGCAGGACATCCCTAAGAGTATCTCTTAGTATGAGCATGCCTTGTGATTAAGGTCAATAAAATACTACAGCAACCCAATCTAGGCATTTGCACTATTGGCCCACATCCTTCAGATGTGGCTTGTGTCACATCCCCAGATAAAAGAACCATGACTAAATCAAGTGCTTGCTGAAGGCAAAGGTCATATAGAATGGGTCATGGAATGAAAGGTTGCTATAAATACCATGTGACCAGTTCCAGCAATTAGGGCAATAATTATCAGTAGTATTTCCTCTTTACTTTGTTATAAACATGTAGGTGTGTGTATATAATGTTTTTGTTTTCTTTCCAATCATATTTCTTTATCATATGACATAGGATGTATTGAATTCATATCATAGTATTTAAGTACTGTTAACTTTATGCAGTAGTATGTAAGTTATACGATAGCAAGATAAAGAGTAAACATCATGCAAGTGTTTTGCCTTTTCTTCTGGGAGAAGGGTTAGTGAGTTTGGGGATGTGTGCAGAAAGGTTTTGTGCTGTGAAGTAGAATTACAACCTTGTGTTTTCTTCAGTTGGATATTAAGTATGGTTTTAAAAATGCATATGCATGTCACGTTGATGGGTAGCGAACTTGTGATGGTTAATTTTTTGTGTCAAATTGACTAGGCCACAGGTTGACTAAATATTTCATCAAACATTATTCTGGATATTTCTGTGAAGATATTTTGATGAATTTAATATTTAAATCAATAGGCCGAGTAAAGCAGATGGCCCTCCCTAATGGAGGTGAGCCTCATCCGATGAACTGAAGGCCGAAAGGAACGAAAAATTTGACTCTGCCTTGAAAAAAAAGAGGCAGTTCTTTCTACCTGACTGCCTTTGGGCAGGGAAGTGGTTTTATCTCTGAACTCTTAGCTGAAACATCCACTCTTCCTCGCTCTGGTTCACAAGCCTGCCAGCCTTTGGACTGGAACTACACCTTCAGGTCTCCTGGGCCTCCAGCTTGCCGACTGCCAATCCGGGGACTTGATAGCTTACATAATGCTGTAGGCCAATACCTTCTCCTCTGTGTGTGTCCATGTGTTTGTGTGTGTGTGTGTCCACATGTATCCCACTTATTCTGTTTCTCTGGAGAACCCTGAATAACGCAATCAGTAATTGGGCTTAATTTAATTACTAATTCACTTTTTATATGGCAGATAATACCATAGGCCAGATACCCAGAGATCTAAAGCTACCTGTAACATCATATCTAAGGAAAAGTGGTTTCTGGATCCTCCAAAGCAATGCTTAGAAACCATTTCTAGAAATGAGACTCTGCAAAGAGACTTTGAAAGAGCAAGGGTCAGAAGGGGACAGAAAATAAATACCATATATTTAATACTTGACTATGTGTATAGAACTTACAAGGAATGCTCACTATGTAGGTGAATCTTCTGCTTCACTATAAAATCTAAACTTTCATCTATGTTCATCTATTTCATTTTTCTACTTTATGTTCTCTCATCTGACACTTGGGTAACTTTGAGTAACACCATAATTATTAACATTAGAATTTTAAAACTTCATGGTGGATATGGAGGTATTTTTGCCAAGAGAGGTCATTGAAGAGCCCCAATGACTTTACTGAATTTGTGGTGCAAAAGTTACATCTGAATTTGTGGTGCAAAAGTACAAATAAGATCTTTGTACTTCTAACTTGATATGTATCTTTGGGATGGTTTCTGATATCACTCAGGGTACATTTTAGCTTACACTTTCCTCCTTATGGGAAAATAAAGTCACTGGAAAAATTGATGCAAGAAAGGAAAAAAACTGGACCTAATTTTGATCCACACACTTAACCTTTCAAGGAGATTTTCAGATGATGCTCCACTTTTTAAAAAATCACTTGACACTGTAAGAGTCATAGAAAATCAAGACAATCCTAGCTAGCAGAGAAGTTAGACCACAATGTGAGTAGGGCCATAGAAATACCATCTGAGAAGTTAATGAGATTTTATAGGTATTTGTTCAAAATAGAGGATTGCTAGACACCTATCAAGAATCACTCTTCATTTTTAATGGGAAAATGTGTATTTACAATGTTAGTAATTTTTTCAAGATATTTAATATTCCTAGAAAGTTCAAAAAATAAATTCAAAAATTATAAAATTAGTATATTACTCCTATATTTGTTTCTTTGAGCTTTTTGAATTGGGGATGGAATCTTCTTTTGTTTTTTTTTGCCCATTTGTTTAATTTGGAAACTCCAGGCCTATAAATAGGAAGTGGAAGAAAGCTCTGATTATTGCTTCCTTTTTGTATTTGTTGATGTTACTATATCTATGTGTGATATCCAGATTCTTAAATACTGTTGTACAACCATAGATTGGTGAAGTAAGTGAAAAAATGATTACTCAACAAAAACAACAGGAAAATCTAGTGTTTATATCAGCTGAAATTGCCACCACTAGAAACCAGACATACCATAATGGTTTTCCAAACAAAAGTGCTGTCTGTTAGGGCTGCCATAACAAAATACTATGGATTTGGTGTCTCAAACAACAGAAAATTATTTTCTTACTATTATGGAGCCTGACTTAAGCAAGGTGCCATGATGGTTGGTTACAGGGGAGGCCTCTCTTCTGGTTTGTCGATGGCTGACCTCTTATCCTCAGGGCCTCCTCTCTGTGCATGTGTGGAAAGGGAGACAGAGATCCCAGGTGGTTCTCCCTTTTCTATTGGACCTATTGGATTAGAGTCCCATCCTTATGACTTCCCTTAGCCTTTATTACCTCCTGAAAGGTCCTGTCTCCCATTATAGGCATACTGGGAGTTGAAGCTTCAACATAGGAATGTGGAGGGCACAATTCTATTCATAACAAGTATGGATATGAATTGATCAGGTCTCCAGGGACAACAATTCATAAATCAACATAAGCTGAAAAATGACTGAAAGGGAGCATTAAGAACTGAGACCATCTGTGTCAACAGGGCTGAGTTCTAGGAATAATAAGACTTATGTCAACATTTTTTTCCAGAAAGCATGTGTTTATGAAAGAAAAGGATAAACAAATAAGTAACTTTATTATTTGCTTCAGAAATTTTCTGTAGATAAATTTATTGGACAAAACAATTTACCCACCTGAGTAAACCACTCACAAATCAAACAACAGTCTATTTCATAAACTCGTTTCAAGTCTCCCTCAATTCATTACCAAAACACCAGGGGTTTGGTCTCTGTCCTACTGCTCGCCCCACAGAAAACCAGTAACTGAGACAAGTACTGCCAAGGAAGTGGCTTTAATTTGGTGCTACAGCCAAGGAGATGGGCGCTCAGCCTCAAATCCATCTCCCTGATTGACTAAAACTAGGGGTTTGTATAGTAGGGAAGAAATGTAACAAAGTATGAGAAAATAGGAACTAGGGAAGGGCAAGGAAGTAGTCATGATAAATGAGGGCCCCCCACCCCCCACCGCATCTGGTGCAGTGATCTGGTGATTTTTAGTTCTTTGATACTTTTTTGTGAGTCCTGAAGGTTGTTTCCTGATGAAGGAACTCAGATAAAACAAATATAAGTTTCAAGCCTTAAGAAGTGTCCGTTTCTATGTTTATTAAAAAAAACTATCTATAGGACTATCAAATTCAGTGTGCCCAACAATCCTAAACTACTATATCATGAAATTGTTCGAGTTCTAGTTATTAATTCTCTGGACCAAAATACGTGTCTTAAACCACTTTAGCCCAGATGCCCAAAGCCTTACAAATTCTCTATGGTTGACTTTCCACTCCTAAGACCCAGGTTAACTCTCTGTTTAGGTGGTGTCACCCCTTATTGTTTTACTAATGGATTGCCTGGAACTATTTGGGTTGGGGGGAATTCTAATCCTTTAAGAGTATTTTGACATTTTTCCATTATATAGTTTAGTATCTAGTTCAATTAAAATTTCCAAATCATGAGCTTTTCTTCACAGCATATGACAAGAGCATATTGTCATGACAACAACATATCTATCACTATCCATTAGTAGCTTTCAACTCTCTTTTTATGGCCCACAATCCAGAGGATTATGGATACTGTCTGAGATTACTGCACACCAGACAATAAAAAGTTTTTCACTTCGACTTCTCCTCATCCCTCAGTTCAAAATACTTGTAATTCAATCTTGAAATGCTGAACTTGGGAAGTGCATATTGCCATACTATACTTATTTACAGCCAATTGAAAAATCCATAACTTACTTTGAAGTTCAAAGTAATTTATAATGACCTAAATTACAGTTTATTTATAGTTTAAAAAGTAATTAACTTACCAATAGGAGCTGGGCCTCCAACTTCATGCAAAATTAATGAGGAGAAAGTGGGTGGTGGGAGGCTGGATTAGTCAAAATTCCAATTTTACCCTCACCTGCCCTCATGGGGCCTTATCTAATAACACCTCCACTCAGAGGCAAAGAGGTGGTGAGAGTTGGAGTCCCACATTTACCATGAAGGTATCAGTGCAAACAAGCAGGGGAGCTAAACCTCCATCCCACTCATCCACTGAAAGCTGCCATTAATTAAAGCCCCATTTTTGCCTGGGTGGCATCACTGGAGCCCAGTAAAAGATGAGCATAAAGCACCACCCTCAAAGTCTTGGGCAACACCTCAGTAGAGGACTATTTGTCAAAAAATTTTAAGAAAAATGTTTAAAAGATTCAACAGACTATAAAGTTTTATAACATATACAAAAAGTTCAGGATAAAATTGAATAAAATTTATCATTGTATCAAGAATCAGGAAACCACAACTTTAGTGAGAAAAGATAGCCAACGGATGTCAAGAATAAGATGACATATTGGAACCATGTCAAAAGTATTTCAAAGAAGCCATCATGCCAATGGTTAAGTAATCAATTACAAATCTTCTTGAAACAAATAAAAAAAGATGAAATGTCAGCAAAGAAATAGAAGTTATAAAAATTAAATAAATAAAATGGAACTTATATACTAGCCAAAATTTAATTTAAATAATGAAAAAACCTCACAGATGGGGCTAATTGTAGAGTGGAAATGACAAAAAAAGAGAGTCATTAAACTTGAGGACAGATCAATACAATTTACTCAAATTGAACAACACAAAGAAAATAGAGGGGAAAGCCAGGTGCGTTGGCACACGCCTGTAATCCCAGCACTTTGGGAGGCCGAGATGGGCAGATCATGAGGTCAAGAGATGGAGACCATCCTGGCTAACATGGTGAAACCCCGTCTCTACTAAAAATACAAAAAAAATTAGCTGGGCGTGGTGGTGGGCACCTGTAGTCCCAGCTACTCGGGTGGCTGAGGCCAGAGAATGGTGTGAACTCAGGAGGCGGAGCTTGTAGTGAGCCCAGATTGTGCCACTGCACTCCAGCCTGGGCGACAGAGCAAGACTCTGTCTCAAAAAAAAAAAAAAAAAAAAAAGAATACAGAGGGGGAAAATAGTCTCAGGAACCTGTAAAGAATTAATATTCATATCATAAGAATTCAACGAGGAGAAAGAAAATGAGACTATTTTAAAAGTATATAAAGAAATTTTGCAAACATCCCCAATTTGGCAGATGACAAAAATCTGTAGGTTCAAGAGGTTGACTATACCCTGAATAGGATTAACCTAAATAAGTCCATACTAAAAAATCACAATTGATATGCATAAAGTAGACAAATGAAACTCATGAAAGTATTCAGAGAGAAATGAGGCATTACTTATAGGGGAATATTAATTTGTATGACTACTGATTTTTCATCTAAACTATTGAAGCCAAAAGGAAGTAGCACAGTATTTTTCAAATGCTGAAACAAAATTGTAAAGCACAAAGTCAATATTCAGTTGCAGTACCTATCAGGCATTAAGAAGAAATAAATACATTCTCAGACAAAGGAAACTTAGGGGAATTTATAGTTAGCAAACCTACCCTAAATGAAAGGCTAAAGCAAGTTAAACAAACAGAATGCAATGGTAACAGTAGAATTCTTAGATCTTCAGAAATGAAAGAAGAATATGAGAATGTATAAAAATTGGTGCAAAAATATAATAAATGTATCTTTCTCATGATTTATTAAATTATATTTGATGGGTAAATCAAAAACTATACTACTATCTGATGTGGGTCTCTATATATGTAAAGAAAAGATGCAAGAGAGTTATGTTTTACAAATACAGATGATAAAGAGAACTAAATGGAAGTAAATTTTCTACACTTCATATGAAATTGTAAACATAGGTACAATAGGCTATGCTAAATTACACAGATACAATAAAATACCTATCTAAATTGCAGTTCATTTATAGAGTTTAAAGCAACCACTAAGAAAATTATACAAAGCAATAGACTTAAAAAAACATTCTTCATAAGTCAACAAGCGGCTAAAATGTATTTATGCAACTATTGGAAAGTAAAAGAACTTTTTAAAATGTGAAACAGATAATAAAAGAAAACCAACATAATAAGCAATAAAGTGACACACCAAAGCCATATTTTAAGAATTACCTTAAATTTAAATGGTCTAAGTATGCCAGTTAAAAAATATATATGAGCAGAGTAGGTTAAAAAAAGTAGACTGACTTTATGTTGTTTACAAGAAATTCACTTAAAGCACAATGACAGCCCGGGCGCGGCAGTTCACGCCTCTTATCCCAGCACTTTGGGAGGCCGAGACAGGTGGATCACAAGGTCAGGAGACCGAGACCATCCTGGCTAACATGGTGAAACCCCATCTCTACTAAAAATAATTTTTAAAAAATTAGCCAGGTGTGGTGACAGGCACCTGTAGTCCCAGCTACTTGGGAGGCTGAGGCAGGAGAACGGCGTGAACCCGGGAGGCAGAGCTTGCAGTGAGCCGAGATCACGCCTCTGCACTGCAGCCTGGGTGACAGAGCAAGATTCTGTCTCAAAAAAAAAAAAAAATGCACAATGACATAGATAAGTTTAAAGTAAAAAGACAAAGTATACTGTGCAAAAATTAGTTAAAAAATACACAGAAGTGGCTATGTATTTTTTTAAAATTCACAAGAGTGGCCATATTAATATCAAGTACCATAGACTCTGAAACAAAGAAAAGGAGTATAGAAAAAAATTACATGTAATTATAAAAAGATGAAACCAGCAAGAAGGCATAATGAAATCATTCTATTATAAATGTCTTTGCGATGAACTACAGAGCTTCAAAACACTTAAGACAAAACTTGATAGAGATGAAAATAGAAATAGATAAATCCTTAGTTATTGTTGAGGATGTCAACATCTCACTGTCAGCATTTAAAAGCACCAGTATTCAGAAAATCAGCAAGGATATAGAAGCAAACAGCACAATCAACCAATAGGTTTAAACACACTTATAAACCCTCCACACAACCACACCAGAATGCACATTTTTCTCAAAATACATAACATTCACCAAGTTGGACCATATCCTGAACTGTAAAATGAACCTCAATAAATTATGGAAAACTAAAATTGTACTAAGAATGTTCTTTGACCATTATGGAATGAAACTGGAAATCAAACATAAACAAAAAATAAACACTAGAACATTAACAAAAATATAGATCAAAAAGGCAGTCTCAAATACATTTTAAAATATACAAAACTGAATGAAAATAAATATATAGCATATTAAAATATGTATGATACAGATAAAGCATTGTTGAGAAGAAAAGTTACACACCAAATGCTTACATTGCAAAAGAGGACAGTTCTCAAGTTAATAATCTAATTTCCTGCCTCAATAACTTTGAAAAGTAGAAAAAATATGCGCTAAGCAAAGAAAAAAATGGAAATAATAAAGAACAGAAATCAGTGAAATTAAGAAAAGGAAAATAATAAAGAAAACAAATGTACCCAAAAGATCATTTTTAAAAATCAGTAAAATAGATAAAGCTTTAGTAACATTGGCAAAGATTAAAAGAAGACAGAAATAGCTATTTTCGGGAATGAAATGGAGGCTATCACTACATCCTGCAGCTACTGAAAGAATAGTAAGGAAATACTATAAATAACCATATGCTTATAAATTTGACATCTTCAAAAATTTGACATCTTCAAAAATTTGACCAATTTGTCAAAACTCATGAAGTACCAAAACTCAATGAAGATGAAAGAGGCAATCAGCTAAGTAATTGGTCAAGCAATAAAACCACATCTAGTAGAGCCACTGCAATTGGAGTCACCACCTGGTTAAACTCATGATAATACACTGTCATTCTCCAAGACCAATCTGTCTTCTGCACAAGCCAGACAGAAACACTCAGTGGGAATGTAGAGGGAATCACCACCCCTGTGTCTTTCAAGTCCTTGATATGGCACTAATTTCTATCATCCCTCTGAGAATGCACAATTGCTCCTGATTTACTATGTATATTCCTAGGTAGAGGCAGTTCTAGGGGTTTCCACTTGGCCTCTCCCACCATAGTACCCTTCACTTTAGAGGCCAAGAGACCCATGCAAGGGTTCTGCCAGCTGCTAAATATGTCTGCTCCAGTTGTGCATCTAGAACTCGAGAAATGACCACAGGATGAGAATGGCGACCCACTGGACTGGACCCACTGTGAGGTGCACTGGAGCTAAAATTGTACTGATTACCTGCCCCCCTTTCTTTTCCAAAGAGTCACCTCACATTAACAGTAGATAGACATCCTGCGAGGCTGGGAATTTAACTTGCAAGTCTGGGAATTTAATTCATCCAATCACAAGCTGTAGTACTCTATTTGATTTTTCATTAATTTTAATCCTGTAGCTACAGAAGATAATGAGAGGTGACAGCATGCTGGCAGCCCTCGCAGCCCTCGCTTGCTCTCAGCGCCTCCTCGGCCTTGGCGCCCACTCTGGCCGTGCTTGAGGAGCCCTTCAGCCCACCGCTGCACTGTGGGAACCCCGTTCTGGGCTGGCCAAGGCCAGAGCCGGCTCCCTCAGCTTGTGGGAAGGTGTGGAGGGAGAGGTGCGGGCGTGAACCGGGGCTGCAGGCAGCGCTTGCTTGTGGGCCAGCGCGAGTTCTGGGTGGGCGTGGGCTCCGTGGGCCCTGCACTTGGAGCGGCTGACGGCCCGCAAGCCCAGGGAAGTGATGGGCTTAGCACCTGGGCCAGCAGCTGCTGTGCTGGATTTCTCGGTGGGCCTTAGCTGCCTCCCCGCAGGGCAGGGCTTTGGACCTGCAGCCCACCGTGCATGAGCCTCCCACCACCACCACCACCACCACCACCTCCCTGCCCCCACCACCACCCTTCCCACTGCACCCCCCTCCCCGCCACCGTGGGCTCCTGTGTGGCCTGAGCCTCCCCGACGACCACTGCCCCCTGCTCCATGGCGCCCAGTCCCATTAACCGCTCAAGGGCTGAGGAGTGCAGGCGCAGGGCATGGGACTGGCAGGCAGCTCCACCTGTGGCCCTTGTGCGGGATCCACTGGGTGAAGCCAGCTGGGCTCCTGAGTCTGGTGGGGACTTGGAGAATCTTTATGTCTAGCTAAGGGATTGTAAACACACCAATCAGCACCCTGTGTCTAGCTCAGGGTTTGTGAATGCACCAATCGACACTCTGTATCTAGCTACTCTGGTGGGGACTTGGAGAACCTTTATGTCTAGCTCAGGGATTGTAAATACACCAATTGGCAGTCTGTAAATAGCTCAAGGTTTGTAAACACACGAATCAGCACCCTGTGTCTAGCTCAGAGTTTGTGAATGCACCAATCGACACTCTGTATCTAGCTATTCTGATGGGGACTTGGAGAACCTTTGTGTGGACACTCTGTATCTAGCTAATCTGGTGGGAATGTGGAGAACTTTTGTGCCTAGCTCAGGGATTGTAAACACACCAGTCAGCACCCTGTCAAAACAGACTACTCAGCTCTACCAAACAGCAGGATGTGGGTGGGGCCAAATAAGAGAATAAAAGCAGGCTGCTGGAGCCAGCAGTGGCAACCAGCTGGGGTCCCCTTCCACACTGTGGATGCTTTGTTCTTTCGCTCTTTGCAATAAATCTTGCTACTGCTCACTCTTTGGGTCTACGCTGCCTTTATGAGCTGTAACTCTCACCGCAAAGGTCTGCAGCTTCACTCCTGAAGCCAGCGAGACCACGAACTCACCAGGAGGAACGAACAACTCCAGACGCGCTGCCTTAAGAGCTGTAACACTCACCGCGAAGGTCTGCAGCTTCGCTCCTGAGCCAGCGAGACCACGAAGCCCACCAGAAGGAAGAAACTCCGAACACATCCGAACATCAGAAGGAACAAACTCCAGACACGCGGCCTTTAAGAACTGTAACACTCACCACGAGGGTCCGCGGCTTCATTCTGGAAGTCAGTGAGACCAAGAACCCACCAATTCCGGACACAGTAACACTCACCACAAAGGTCTGCAGCTTCACTCCTGAGCCAGCGAGACCACGAACCCACCAGAAGGAAGAAACTCTGAACACATCCGAACATCAGAAGTAACAAACTCTGGACACACCGCCTTTAAGAACTGTAACACTCACCGCGAGGGTCCGCGGCTTCATTCTTGAAGTCAGTGAGACCAAGAACCCACCAATTCCGGACACAATAAGACTCTCAATCAAAACACACCTAGAAGATCTTAGGTTATTTATGTGGCACTTGAGCTGAGAATCTGATTCCTTGAGCTTATCCTTTTCTTTCACCACCTTGTCCAGTAACACTAGGAGCAACCAAGCAATGTCATCATCATTGTATTTCTTAGTTTTGAAAAAAAAATTCGAAAGTATTATAGGCAGAGTCACTTAGCTCTTTGATTCTTTTAATAGTTGATTATTAGAGTGTTCAATGTGGATATTTTAATATCTCTATAAACATTTTATATCATGGACTATTAGTGTTCTCTTCACTATGAGAAATAGAGTTATTGATGCATTTAAATCTAATTAGATTGGAGAGTCAATTCCAGAAACCCCAGAGCCAACTAAGATGCATTTTTACAATTCTGTTTCTTTATAACCACTCTTGGTACCAATATCTGTATTAGTAAGGTTTCTTCACAGAAACATAAATCACACTAGATATATATGTATGTTTTTTTTTTAACTTATAATGGGAATTGGTTCATATGGTGATGCAGGCTGAGAAGTCCCACGATCTGCACGTGTAACGTAGAGAGCCAGGGGAGTCAGTGGTGTAATTTGATGTAAAGTCCAGAGTCTAAGTCTGAAGGACTGGGATTCATGAAAGCTGGTGGTGTAATTCAGTCTGAATCTGAAGGCCAGAGAACCGGAAGTGCCAGTGTCTGAGGCTAGGAGAAGACAGACATTTCAGCTCAAACACAGAGAGTGAATTCACCTTTCCTCCCTGCCTATTACCTCTATTTGAGTCCTCAGCACATCGGATGATGCCTGTCCTCGTTGGTGAGGGCAATCTTCTTTACTTGGTCTATTGCTGGTCAAATGCTAATCTCTTCCGAAAACGCCCTCACAAATACACCCAGAAATAATGTTATACCAACTATCTGGGCATTCCTTAACCCAGTCAGGTTGACACACAGAAATCACCATCACAACAGATTTAAGACATGAAGGGACAATTCACTGAACAGTTTTTACAGATGACAACATTGTTAGTCATCAAAGAAATGCAAATCAAAACAACAATAAAATACCACTGCACATCTATCAGAATGGTAAAATATAAAATAAGGATTAACACCACATGCCAGTTGTAGAGAAACTGGGTCACTTACACATTGCTGTTGGGAATACAACCAGTGTAAAAAAAAATTAGGGTAGTTTTTTGTTTTGTTTTGTTTTTTTGAGACAGAGTCTTCCTCTGTTGCCCAGGCTGGAGTGCAGTGAAGCGAACTCAGCTCACTGCAAGCTCTGCCTCCCAGGTTCACACCATTCTCCTGCCTCAGCCTCCCAAGTAGCTGGGACTACAGGCACCCACCACCACGCCTGGCTAATTTTTTGTTTATTTTTGTATTTTTAGTAGAGATGGGGTTTCACCGTGTTAACCAGGATGGTCTCAATCTCCTGACCTCATGATCCGCCCATCTTGGCCTCCCAAAGTTCTGGAGTGACAGGTGTAAGCCACTGCACCTGGCCAAATTAGGGTAGTTTTTAAGCAAAACTAACCATATGCTTACTATATGTCCCATAAATTTTCGCATCATCTCAGATAAGTGAAAGTTTGTTTTTAAAAATATGTTTATCAATATATATAGCACCTTTTTAAAAAATGGCCAAAACCTGGAAATGAAATGTTTCTCAATGGGTGAATGGTTAAACAAACTGTGGTCCATTAATTCCAAGAAATACTACTCAGAAATAAAATAAACTTCACTTTATATACATAACAACTTGGATGCATCTCAAAGGAATTATTCTGAGTGAAAAGACTGAATATCAAAATGTGACTCATTGTATGATCGCAGTTATATTGAGTTCTCAAAACGACAAAATTATAGAGTAGGAGAACAATTTAGCAGTGAACACAGGCTGGGGAGGAAGGTAGGAAGGGAGACGGATGGGAGAAGACAAGGAGGCAGAAGGGAGCTGTGACTAAAATGGTGGCATTAGAAATCTGTGTGATGGAACTCTGGTGTGTCTTGACTATGTTTGTGGTTACATGAATCTACACACATACAAATGAGTACATGTAAAGGTGGCAAAATTTAAAGGTAAATGGATTTTATTAACATCAATTTCCTGGTTATGATGTACTACATTTTTGCAAGATGTTGTCATTTGGGGAAGTTGAGTGAAAGGCACATAGGATCTTTCTGTATTATTTCCTACAAATACATGTGAATCTACAATTCTTTAAAAAAAAAAAACCTCGGCATTAAATATCAAATCAAAGATTTGACTGGCATCCAGTGTTAAATTCTCAGAATGAGTAAGGCTGTTGAAGAAAGAAGAATTAATTAGATTGTGGCTTTTTTTTTTTTTTTTTTTTTGAGACGAAGTCTCACTCTATTGCTCAGGCTGGAGTTCAGTGATGCAATTTTGACTCACTGCAATGTCTGCCTCCTGGGTTCAAGTGATTCTCCTGACTCAGCCTCTGGAATGAGACTCAGTAGCTGGAATTACAGGTGCCCACCACCATGCCCGGCTAATTTTTGTATTTTTAGTAGAGACGGGGTTTCACCATGTTGGCTAGGCTGGTCTCGAACTCCTGACCTCAGGTGATCTGCCCGCCTTGGCCTCCCAAAGTGCTGGGATTACAGGCACGAGTCACTGCATCTGGCCAGATTGTGGCATCCTTTAGACTTCTATTTCATTAGTCATCAGTTGGTATCCACAGTTATCCCTAACTCCTGGGGAATCTAGGGGGTAGATATTTACCTAGCCATAGTGATACTCTCAACAATAACAACAAAAACTGAGGAGAAAAATCAATTCCATAATTCTCATTAGAAACACTACATTTGACCAATAAACCCTATAGGTTATTCATAAATAAAGCCTATCAAAGCAGCATTAATAATAATAATAAACTAGAGCTCATTAAAGAAAGCAATAGCATTCTAACTACAGTTTTCAGTGATTGTGTGCTACTAATTAGCATGAATTGTGGTAACATAAAACAGTACCTCCCAATGCACCTGATACATTTATTTTATGTATATATATAGTATATATATCATATATATAGACATTTATATATATATATGTGTATATACACAGACATTTGCTTGCAATCATTCAAAGTTTACAGAAAAAAAGCCTACCAGATGGTGGAGTTTAATTTTTAAAAATGTATTTTTATCTTGATAAATTAGATATTTAAAATCCATTTCACAAACTCCCATATAAATTTTAGAAATTATATAAAGTAGGTAAAATACTAGTAAATACTCTCGCAACAGTAAGCAAGCAAACATACAAACAATAAAATTAGAAAATGTTCAGAAAACCTGATGAGACATTTCACCAAAGAGGATATACATAAGTAAACATGAAAATATGTTCACAATCATTTGCTATTTTGAAAAATCAAAATTAAAACAATTTGATGAATTTAAAACATTAAAATTGTATTAGATATCACAACATACCTAATCAGAATGCTAACATATAAAGTATTTTGATCAAAATACCATAATTCTGTCAAGGATGCTGAGAAACTGGATAACCCATATGTTTACAGCCACTCTGAAAGAGTGTATGGTACTTTCTGACAAAGTAAATGAGCAACCCAGAAATTTCCCACTTGGACATTTATCTCAGTGAAATGAAAAATTATATTTATACAAAAACCTGTGCATAATGTTCACAATACCTTTACGTTTAATAACTAAAAGTGGCAACAACTCACATATCCTACAAGATATGATTACTTGTTGAACAGTGGTACATTCATACCACGAAAACCCACTTGGCAATAAAAGCAAGTAACAATTGATAGACAAAAAAACTTAGATGTATCTCAAGGGAATTATGCCAAGTTAAAAATAAGTGCAAATTTCTAAAAGGTTACATACTATGTGATTCTATCTACATAACATTCTAGAAATGACAAAATTATAGACATAGAGAAAAGATTATGGGTTGCCAGGGTTGACGGAAGCATGGGAGACTGTTGATGATGGAAATATTCTGTTTCTTAACTGTGGTAATCAAAGGAATCTACACATTTGATAAAATTGCACAGAACACAGGTACACCAAAACACAAACTACATACACAGAAGTATTTGAAAGATTGGTACAATCTAAAAAAGGCAAGAAAAGTGTTTCAATATCAATTTCCTGTGAGCACTATTGTATTATGGTTTGTGAAATATTACATTAGGAGAAACTGGGTAAAGACTACATGTGATCCCTCAATGTTATTTCTTGTGACCACCTGAATCTACAATTATCTCAAAGTGAAAACCGAGAAGTGAAAAACAATCTTAAAAACTATTTTTAAAAAATCCTCAGCCAGGTGCGGTGGCTCATGCATGTAATCCCAGCACTTTGGGAGGCTGGACGGTGGATCACCTGAGGTCAGGAGTTCGAGACAAGCCTGGCCAACATAGCAACTAAGATACCAAGTATCTCCAAACTCTCAGGCTGCAGCTAAAGCCACATTCTTTTCACTAAAGGCCAGGATTTGATCTAACAATAGCATGACATCTCTCCAAGTGAGATCGAAGGTTTGTCCTAGACCCTGTAGGACATCTATGTACCTATCAGGATCATCTGAAAACTTCCCCAGGTCTTCCCTGATCTGCTTTAAATCAGAGAGGGAGAAGGGGACATGTACCCAGGTTGGGCCAAATTCCTCTCCCCTTACAGCTTGAAGGGGACATAACTGATAGCCCAGGGGGTTTTGTGGTCCTTTGGAGATTTCTTTGCTTATTTCCATCTGGGTGGGGGAGATTAGAGGATTATCATTAATAAGAAGGGGAGCCATAGGGAGGCTAGGATATGGGGGTAAGCTGAGAGGTCCTCCTGTGGGATGTAAATTGCAAGCTTTGCATAGTTGTGTATTCTCCTTCAGTGAAAAGAAAGCTTGTACATAAGGTATTTCATTCCATTTGCCTTCCCTCTTACAGAAAACATCAAGCTGCAGGATAGTATTATAATTTGTACTTCCCTCAGGTGGCCCTTTTTCCCCATCAGAGAGAGAATATTGGGGCCAGGCCATAGTGCAGAAAAAAATGAGCTGCCTGTTTTTCAGGGCTTGCAGGTCAAATTTCTCCCAGTGGCTTAGGATGCATTTCAAGGGTGAGCCTGTTGATGCCTGAGTATATCCCATCTGAAAGACAAAACCGCCCATGATTTTGGTCTGTTTTGCTTCTCCCCCTGCCCAAGAACCCGCAACGCTCCCTGAACCCTGCTGATCAGAAAAGTTGCGCTCACCAACGCAGCAGCAGCAGAAATACCAGTTTTCCTCCCAGACCGCAGGGAGGACTGAGGAAGGTCAGATTTAGTGGCCCTTACTGACGCATTCTCAAAACCCTGCACCCTTGCCTGTCCTCCTAGACCACAAAGAGGACTGAGAAAAATTGGATTTAGTGGCCTTTACCAATGCATTCTTGAAAGCCTGTTAGAATCCTAAGCATTCTCCTGTTAGTACTGGGACCTTATCCATGTCCTACAAAGATGTTATGCCCCAAAAATGAAGTGGAGGGCCATAACCTGAGGGAGGGGAGGGATCTCCAGAGTTGGAAGAGTGACACCTTTTGTCCTCAGTTATATGAATAGGAAGGATATGATATCTGAGGCTCCCCATATCCTAGCTTCAGGAATAGCTTTTGTTAGGCCTGCTTGTCTGAGGAGGGACCCTAAAATTCCAAATAGTCCCCCCTACAATGGGGCTTTGGGCAAAAATTATGTCTTTCTGATTGGTGAGCCCAGGTGCCTAAAGAAGGTAACAGAATCCTGAAGTTTATACTAGAAATCATTCTTATAAGAGAAACTAGAAAAGCACCAGAGACAGGGAGCGGTTTCTAGAAGTGGGGCTAGTCTTGGAGGAGAGAGGCAAGAGGAAGTTTGTCTGGCAGGCATTAGGACCCAGGAGGCAAGGGTCTGGATAGATAGGATAGATGGGAAGTCTCACTTGGGTGACATGCCTTTGAGAGTTCCACTCATGGCCACAGGGTCAACCAACTTATTGTTGGGACCCCGGAGCTGAATGGCTTTCCTCTCTGTCGACTCTCGGCTCAGCCCAAAAGTACAGGAAAAGCAGAAGCTGGTTCCAGGCAAACCAACGCTCCCAACTCTGAAGAGTCGGGGGTTGTTAGAGAGCCCTTTGCCAGAAAGCCTGATACCCATGTCTTTAGTCTGGCAGCCATGCTAGTTGCTTTTAACTGGCAGACAGGTGCCCAGTATTCAGCCCCCAAATTCTAAGGAAAAATAGGACAGAATAGTAAGCAAAAAGGGTCCAGTGATACTCACCACTTGGCGATAGGTGATGGTCCCATTTGGGTCACCAAAATGTGTCCGGAATTGGTGGGTTCTTGGTCTCACTGACTTCAAGAAGGTAGCCACGGACCCTCGCGGTCAGTGTTACAACTCTTAAAGGCAGCATGGACCCAAAGAGTGAGCAGCGGCAAGATTTACCGCAAAGAGCGAAAGAACAAAGCTCCCACAGCATGGAAGAGGACCCAAGCACATTGCTGCTGCTGGCTCAGGTGGCCTGCTTTTATTCCCTTATTTGGCCCCACCCACATCCTGCTGATTGGTCCATTTTGCAGAATGCTGATTGGTCCATTTGATAGAGTGCTGATTGGTCCGTTTGACAGAGTGCTGATTGGTCCATTTTGACAGAGTGCTGATTGGTCCATTTTACAGAGTGCTGATAGGTCTGTTTTGACAGAGTGTGGATTGGTCCATTTACAAACCTTTAGCTAGACACAGAGCACTGACTGGTGCATTTACAATCCTTTAGCTAGACAGAAAAGTTCTCCAAGTCCCCACCCCACTCAGAAGCCCAGCAGGCTTCACCTCTCAACATCCTGCAGAAACATTCCTATGGATTCTCCACACACATGATTACTTGGATTTTTTTTTTTTTTTTGAGATGGAGTTTCGCTCTGTCGCCCAGGCTGGAGTGCAGTGGTGTGATCTCAGCTCACTGCAAGCTCCACCTCCCAGGTTCACACCATTTTTCTGCCTCAGCCTCCCAAGTAGCTGGGACTACAGGCGCCCGCCACCAGGCCTAGCTAATTTTTTGTATTTTTAGTAAAGATGGGGTCTCACCATGTTAGCCAGGATGGTCTCGATCTCCTGACCTTGTGATCCACCCACCTTGGCATCCCAAAGTGCTGGGATTACAGGCATGAGCCAGCACACCTGGCCAATTCCTTGGATTTTATGGTTTGACTTCCCAGATTTGACTGCATTCATACACTCTCCTGCAAAATATGAAGGGCCAGTACTAATCTAAGTTACAAGTTTTTTTAACTACATAGAAGGATTCTGACCAACATTAAGAGTTACTTGTTAACTACATAATATGTCAGTATATTGTCTGACTTCCAATAACTCAAAAACTACAAATTAAAATTTCTGTACTAAAAAGGGTCGTGTCTCCTTGGATTGGAAACAAATAAAATAAAAGTTTGCAAATACTAAATGATACCTGCGTTTGGGAAAGACAAGGTGATTTTATTCTAATATCTGCTTATTTATTTTTAATACCAAAATGTAATAACTGCACATTAGCAAGGATAATTATTTGTTGATTTACTTGAAAAATATGCTACATCCATAAGCAGATATTGGAAAGAATGATGAAGAGCAGTAATTCTCAAAGTTTAGTGCATATTGAAAACCCTTATTTCCCTCTCAAAAATCCTCAGGCCTTTTCACATCCCAGACTAATTACATTTGATTTTCTTGGGGTGAGATCCAGCCATCAGTATTTTTCAAACCGCAATGTGACTGTAAAGTTCAGCAATGTTTTAGAACTACTGAAATAGAGCATGCTGTTTTAAGAAGTGATTTTAATTTCAGAGTAACCAGAAATCAGCTTCTTATTCAAATTAATGAGAAAAGAAAAACAGGTGCCAATTTCTCCTCATTTAAAAAACAAAGGAATGATATCATACTAGAAATGCAAGAGAAGAGTCTTGGCCAGGAATGACCAGTAATTGAAAAACTCAATAAAGCATTAAATGTAATTAATTTCAAAGTTGAGGAGATTGAGACTCTGGATTGGAAAGTGTTATATATGCCAGAGGCTGATATAATTCAATGTTAGTGCCTTTGGGCTTCTGAACTTGTAAGAAGCAGGCTTGCCCAGGCTACTTCTGTAGAAATACAGAGCTCTTTTAATTACTGAAAACCACTCTCTTCTTTGTCTTCTTATTACTGCAATAATATGCCACGAAAGGTTCTGCAAATTTAGATCTTCCTTACCTGAAAGACTCATGGAATAAGTGGAAAAAAATTGTTCTACCGAAAGAAAGGACCAATGCATGTTTTCAGATGCTGATAACAAAAGACAAAGAAACAAAACCAATTCTACAAAATTTATTTTCAAACCAACTTTAAATGTGATTATATGCTTTTGTTCACTTGTCACTAAATTTTTCCTTCGATGTGTTTTTGTTGAAAAAAAAAATCTTGTTTACAATCGTAGGTATCCATACACAAAGAGAAAAACACACAGCCATCTAGTTTGAGATACAGATTAGGAGCCATGTCTTAATTGACTCCTGTATGAGATTCTGCTATTGCTACTTCATGTCCCCAGCAATCGTTTTCTGAAATCAGTGGTAATCATTTTATTTTATTGAGAGTGTTTTTGTAGCTGTAACTGTATTGCTCAGTTTTGCCTGCCCTAGAACTTTAAAAATGAAACTGTAACATATATATTATTCTGTGACTGGTTTCTTCTGTTCAGGGCTGTATTTATGGTGTTTATCCATTGATTCTTTTTGAAATAGTTCATCAATTTGCACTTTTGTGCAGTATTTCATTGTACAAACAGCAAAATTTATTTCCAAATTTTACCATTAATAAATGTACTGCCATTGTTTTTGTCATTATGAAAAATCCTACTTTATACCACACACACACACACACAATTAGACATGGATCATAGACTTAACGGTGAAAGGTCAAAATATTATTTTGAGAGACTACAGAGGATGATATCCTCATGACCTAGAGTTAGAAAAATGTTTATTAAACAGGACATAAAAGTCATAAACTATAAGATATATTAAATATAAATTAAACATAAACATTTCACCATTAAAAAATTAAAGAAAAAATTGATAAATTAGACTACATTTAAACTAATAAGTTTCAAATATTTTTTTCTTTTTCATTACAAGCCACAAGGCTAATAAACTAATAAATTTTGCTCATCAATGGACACCATAAAGACTTTAGCTTTTGGCCAAGAGGGAGCAACTGATGACCCTCT
Source organism: Homo sapiens (assembly GCF_000001405.40). NCBI lineage: Eukaryota > Metazoa > Chordata > Mammalia > Primates > Hominidae > Homo > Homo sapiens. The sequence goes on along the minus strand of NC_000007.14, from coordinate 52,292,427 downwards.
TTCCTGACAAAGAACTACAAAACTGGGAAAAATATTCTATACCTTGATCTGGGTGGAGATAGGTAGGTAGATCATAGATGGATAAGTGGGTAGGTAGGTGGGTGAAGAGAGAGATATGTAGATAGATAGATAGGTAGATAGATAGATAGATATAGGGCCGGGTGTGGTGGCTCACGCCTGTAATCCCAGCACTTTGGGGGGCCGAGGCAGGTGGATCACAAGGTTAAGAGATTGAGACCATCCTGGCTAACACAGTGAAACCCTGTCTCTACTAAAAATACAAAAAATTAGCTGGGCGTGGCAGCGGGTGCCTGTAGTCCCAGCTACTTGGGAGACTGAGGCAGGAGAATAGCGTGAACCTGGGAGGCAGAGCTTGCAGTGAGCCGAGATCATGCCACTGCACTCCAGCCTGGGCGACAGAGAGAGACTCCATCTCAAAAAAAAAAAATAGATAGATAGATAGATAGAAAGATAGAGACACTCCCACCCAACAATGCTAAGTTATTCATTTCACTCTGTGTAAATAATAACTAAATAAAATCTTTTTAACAACAACAAAAAAAATGCTTTTCACTTTTTACCATGAAATGTCATTTTGTTAGAGTATTCTTTATGGAGAGAGATATTCTTTATCAAATTTTAAAAGGTGTCTTCCCTTACTATTTAGCTGCTTTTTTATCATTAAGATATGTTGCACCTCATTAAATGTTTCTTCTGCCTTTGTTCATACCATCATTCCTGCTAATAAGGCAAATTATATACATTTACTTTCAAGTGTTAAGCCAACCTTGCAATCTTGAGGTAAATCTAATTTGGTCTTTATGTTTGATCTTTCTTAACACACTATGGAACTTGGTGTGATACTATTTTATTCAAGATTTTCTTCTCCATGTTCATAAGGGTGATCAGATTGTTATTTTCTTCCTTATGCCTTTGCGAGTTACCATATCAAGAGTATGCCAGTCTCATAAAATGAGTGAGAAAATGTTACCCCATTTTTCTCAAATATAAAATAATTTTGGGAATTTTAATTTACTTGTGTCTTGAATGTTTCATAGAATTGCCCAGAAAATTATTTCAGTTTGAAATAAATTTTTGTGGGAAAATTTTAACAAATTTCTTATTTTTTGAACAAACTACTTTTCAAATTTCTCTTCTTTTTGAGATAATTTTAGTGAGTTTTGAACTTTATTTATTTATTTTTTTGAGATGGAGTCTCGCTCTGTCACCCAGGCTGGAGTGCAGTGGCACCTTGGCTCACTGCAACCTCCACCTCTCTGGTTGAAGCAATTCCCCTGCCTCAGCCTCCTGAGTAGCTGGGATTACATGTGCACGCCAACATGTCTGGCTAATTTTTTAATATTTTTAGTAGAGAGGGAGTTTCACCATGTTGGCCAGACTGGTCTCAAACTCCTACAAACTTAGTATAGCTAAGTTGGTAGCTGTTTCTGTGGAATCTTGAGAAGATGGAAACAACATAGTAGTAAGAAATTTATTAAACACCTGCTAAGCAAGACACACCACAGTTGCACATAAACAGAGATGGCAGAAGCCCATTGAAACATGGACCTTGGAGCCAAATGGACAAGTGTGTGCATTAGGGTTCTTCTACTCACTGTTAGAAGGTAGCCATGGAGAAGTTAATTACAGGCTCTGGTCCCAGTTTCCTCATATATTAAATGAGAATACTACTACTAATACTTACTGTTAAGTCTAGCCTATGTCTGCCCAAGTCTTATCGGTATTAGTGTGCAAAAATTCTTAACATTAGCAATAGTTCCCTAAATTCCATAAATTGTTACCACCTGATTTCAAACTATAGTGCTTCTAAAGGCCCTCAACTTTTACTCTGCCCTTTCTTGGAATGTGCAGGGTTGTATGATATGAGCCAGGAAACAGACTTCTCAAATTCTCTTCTTGCCCTGTCTTTGGTATTTTTTGCCTTTCAGACAGATAAGTTTAGTGCCCAACAACTGCTGCTTAGTGACTGACGTGTCAATTTTAAAATTTGCAACAAGTGCTTATTTTTCAGAGCTGCTGAGGAGGTAAAAAACCTTCAGGGTACAAACAGGGAACTGTGTCCCTGGAGATTCTCATTGTGCTGAAACCGTATGAATTTTCATAGAGAAATGGGAAGAATGTGTCTTTTTTACTTAAATCAATGCAGCCATAACACACCTCTGGGTTTCCCAGAGGCTTTAGATAAACAGATTGTTCAATTATTCTCAGAAGCACCCTCTTTATAGGGCTAGCTTTAGTATCAGGCCCCTGAAAGAGCACACGCTGCCTCCCCTCTCCTTTCCTATATCTCTTAAGATACTAATTAACAGAAAGCCAAACACGACAAAAACAAACATTCTATAGTCAAAAAACCCTAAACAAAATGAATTTCCAACTGGGACTCATACGTGCACTAAAATAAGCCTAAATCACACTTCAGGTTCCAACTTGTACTCTACTGCATAATAGGAACCTTGCAAAAGGAGCACATCAAGTGGCTGACCTAATAAGGGACCCCAATCAATGTTTATTATTAAGGACTTTGGCACGAAATTCAAAACATGAAAGTCAAGTAAAGCCTTTTTTTTCATTTAAGAATTATAGTTGAGGTAGTTTGGAAGAAGACAAGATAGATGGAAATTTGTCAAACTACGCCACCCCAAATGATGTTTGCAATTTCTATTCAATCATTCCCATCCTTCAGGGCATCAATTAAAACCATTTTAATCTATTTTAATTTCAGGTCTGCTTTAATCTACTGTTTATTTACAGAAGTTCAAATGTCACAGGCTCATTGGAAAGCAATCATTTTGTCAAAAATTCATTCAGATTGAGAACATGGAATGATGCTAAATCATTAGTGATAATGTCGTTGGACATTGTTGGAATGTAACTACTGGGACCAGTATAGTGAGTTTTCTCTCCAAAATAACTCATTAGCTTCACACAGAGAGAGCTCTAGTCCTCAGGTTGCAGACTGGACTGTTGACCTCAGCCAGCCGCCTGACAAACATCTGCCATGAGGCATGAAGGCACAGACTGGGAGAGGTCAGCTCCATCCAAACAACTATATGAAAAGTAATTTGCTGCATTTGATTTACAGGTGGCATTGAAGCTTGTTATTTATTATTTTTTGTATTAAAAACATAGAATTTCAGGTCTCTAGTTTATTTAATTCATAGAGGGAAAACACTATAAATGTGGTAGTATGTCTTTCTAAGTAACAAGTTTTGCTGATTTTGATGAAGATTAAAAGTTAAATTTTGGAATAAAATTTTTGCCTCTAATGATAAATCCGCAGACTGTTCTAGACAATATAGGGTATTGGAACAGATTAGAGATCTAACCCTAAAATAAGAAAAAGGAATTTGATATTAGGTAAACAGAGAATACAAATAGCCTCAATGAAGCAGTTGAGCACATGCAGTGGCTGACATTTAATTCATAGTCCACCCCTTATGCTCCACGGACAGGTACACTGCTCTGTGTACTTCTCCACCATCTGCAATGCCCTAGGGGTCCCTGGCTTCAACTCTTAGCTGTGAGGACTGTCTGAAATTTGAAAGGGCTAGCCAGGGTTCCCGTGGAGAGCACATGTATGGTGTGAAGGGCAGTTGTCCAAACGTGTGAATATTTAAATAGAATTAAAGGCATTCAGTCAACGTTGAGCCTGTGTTCTGCCCATATTAATTGTGACAAATAAAGTTGCTTTCTGTTAATTTTGTAAAATAAAATACACTGGAGAAAAATGAGATACATCATCGACTTTGTGACTTATTGCAAATACTCAATAATACCTAATATATAATGCCCACCAAGTACAGCAATGGAATAGCAATTTTCATATATTTTTAAGAATACAAATTGGTAGATGGCTGGCTGCAGTGGCTCCCGCCTGTAATCCCAGCACTTTGGGAGGCCAAGGGGGGAAGATCACAAGGTCAGGAGGTCGAGACCATCCTGGCCAACACAGTGAAACCCCGTCTCTACTAAAAATACAAAAAAAATTAGCTGGGTATGATGGCGGGCACCTGTAGTCCCAGCTACTCGGGAGGGTGAGACAGGAGAATGGAATGAACCCGGGAGGTGGAGCTGGCAGTGAGCCAAGATCCTGCCACTGCACTACAGCCTGGGTGACAGAGCGAGACTACGTCCCCCACCCCACCCCAAAAAAAAAAGTTGTATTCCTATGGCATAAAACAAGAAGAAAAAGTAAGTAGAACACAGAAAATTTCAACATTCTTAAGTAGGTATAATTACTAAATACTTCAAAATGCTTAGGTAGAATATATATGTAATTCTTTGAAATGAAAATGGAATATTTATGAAAGCTGGACACCTAACAAACCAAAAAAAATTTAATAGTTATATCATTAGAAATGCATTCTACAAATCTCAAAAAATAACTATTATTAACCACTCGTAATTATTAATCAATTTTATGTTGTAAGGTTAGCATTTAAATTAAATTGCATTTAATCATAATATTAAATAAATAGCATTAACAATTAGTTAATTAATTAATCTTCAATTAATAATTAATGACAAGAAGGTTTTATTAACTCCTGTGAACCACAATGTTCAGTGGTCATTGGTGAAGCCAAGAACCAAGAATGTAATCATAATCACAATAATAACACATTAGACAATAACAGTAATCACTACCACTATTAGTAATCACTTTAGAATAAGCATCACTACTTATTCTAAAGACCAAAACCTAAACAATTTTGAGAAAAAGTCAAAGACTTAAATATTTTTCCTTAAGAAGGAAGAAAACATGGCCAGGCGAGGTGGTTCACACCTGTAATCCCAGCACTTTGGGAGGCCGAGGCGGATGGACCACTTAAACTGCTATATAATATGGTGGTTTAAGGGTTAGGTTCAGTAATCATGGAGTTTTTTTTTGCTGGTTTGTTTTTAATCCTAGCTCCTTTATTAATTTTGGCAAAAATCTTAATCTTTCTGGGCCTTAAATTTCTATAACTACATAATGGTGACAATAATATATACCTTACTGTGTTATTGCTTTAATTAAATTATATGTTACATAGTGTTCATAACCCAATACTAATAAATAGACGAAATAGGCCAAGTGTAGTCGCTCATGCCTGTAATCCCAGCACTTTAGCAGGCCAAGGAAGGCAGATCACTTGAGGTCAGGAGTTCAAGACCAGCCAAGCCAACATGGTGAAACCCCATCTCTACTAAAAATACAAAAATTAGCCAGGCGGGATGGTGGGCGCCTATAATCCCAGCTACTTGGGAGGCTGAGGCAGGGGAATCGCTTGAGCCTGGGAGGCAGAGGTTGCAGTGAGCCATGATGACACAACTACAAGCCAGCCTGGGTGATAGAGTGAGACTCCCCTCTCACACTAAAGAAAAAAAAGAACGTAAAAGTGAATAGCTTAGTACTTCTTCTTTTTTTTCTTTTTTTTTGAGAGGGAGTCTCGCACTGTCTCCCAGGCTGGAGTGCAGTGGCACTATCTCTGCTCACTGCAAGCTCCGCGTCCCGGGTTCACACCATTCTCCTGCCTCAGCCTCCCCAGTAGCTGGGACTACAGGCGCCCGCCACCACGCCCAGCTAATTTTTTGTATTTTTAGTAGATATGGGGTTTCACCGTGTTAGCCGGGATGGTCTCGATCTCCTGACCTCATGATCCGCCCCCCTCAGCCTCCCAAAGAGCTGGGATTACAGGTGTGAGCCACCGCACCCGGCTATGAATAGATTAATACTTCTAAGCACAGGAAGAACATATTTTAAAAGAAGATTAAGATTGAAGAAATTAGAAAATAAGAAATAAATTAGAAAAATGGGCACAGTGGAATTTATAAAGAAAAGTAAGAAATAGATCCCTTAAAATTTTATCAAATAGATAAGACATAATGAACTTGATAAAAAATAATAACCATAAAGAAACAGATATAAGAAATGTGAAACTGTTCCTTGAGAAGTTAAAATATGAAATAAATTGAAGATTAATTATGAGAAGTGCTATTTATATGGTAAGATATTAAAAAGCCTAAATCTAAAATACATTTTAAAATTGTGGTAGTGTTTTCAAATAATTATGAAGATGTAGTTTTACCTTGGTAAGTAAGCTATTTCAAACTTCAAATTAAGAAACAAAGACCTTGAACATACACAAAGCAAAGCTTCCTATGACATTCTACAAATTAAATATAGCAGTGATTCTAAAATATGATAAACGTGCCACAGAAAGAAAACTACTTGCCAGCAAAATAGCAAAGGAAAATATCAACAACCAATAGAAAGCACTTAATTGAATAAATAATTCATTGTGACCAAAAAGGTCCAAGTTCAGAGATGCAATGATAGTGTTCAAAGGCATTCAGGGGCCACCCTGCACAGGTTGAGTAGGATGGGATAGTGGGACAGTGAACAAAATGGGCCGGTACAATCCCATGACATGGGTAGACAAGGTAGAGAGAAAGAAAGGTGTATTGCAGTTGATACACTTCACACACCAGTACAGGAAATGGGGTTAAGAGACAAAGACCAGTTTTGTGTGAACACTGGGCACTGTTCTGCAGTGTCAGCACGTGATTTTAGGCAAACATGGGTCAATACTTTCCTCAGAATGGTGTGAGACTAGGCACAGAATTTAAAATGTATTCCAGACTCTAACTTGCCATGAATTAGAGCATTTAAATTTAGCTATGCTGAGATGTTCAAAACTTCCTGTGCTTGCTATTTATTTTAAAACCCCAAGTTTTTACAAGCTTTCATAAAGTCTTAAGCTTTTATTTTTACTCAAATATCTTCTCTGCCACCTCTCCACAAGCTGTCCCTTCTGTGGACTCCCACTGTGTTTTGTCATCTGAAAAAAACATTTCACTGAAAACAAAGGAACAGCAACAAGAACACACTCTGTTGTTATAAAGCATGATCTAGGTATGTAGCTTACTGGAAGATTAGGGCATGCATTTTGAATGTTCTCACCACAAATAAATGATACATGTTTGAAGTGGTAACATACTAATTACTCTGATTTGATCATTTCACAATGTGTATGTATATCAAAACATCACATTATATCCCATAAATATGTACAACTATTATGTGTGAATTAAAAATGAAATAAAACTTTAAAGGACTCAGGCATTAAGTAGAAAATTGTTTATTGTCTCTTGTAAGCAGAAAAATCCATGATTATCTAATTGTAACTTGAAAGAATACAAGAAGATATGACAACTCTTCCCAAGTTAAGTTATAGATTTAACACATTTCCAATTAATAGCCTAATGAGATACTGTATGAAAGCTGACAAAATGATTCTAAGACTCATTAAAAAATAAATGAGTAAGACTGCTTAATAGATTCTGGAATAAAACGAATAGTAACAAAGGGATGAAGATCTTACCAGATATTAGAACCCATCATATATCAAAAATATTAAACTTGTAGTGAAGGAACATAAAACTCATAGAAAAAAATCACTGAAACAATGTAAAATATAAACCTAGGATGATATGTGCAGGAAATAGTTTGAATAATTCTTAAACTGAGCAAACAGTTCAAAAAGGAGACAATTAACAGTGTTTGTTCTTCATACAACTGGGTAGCAATACACTTCTAAACTACAGTACAGTACAGAATGTAAAACTTCATCTTCCCTTTATGAAGCTACAGAGTTTGATGTAGTTCATTATTTTACAAGGATGAGCTACATATTGTGGTCCTGGGAAGACAGTCAGAAAAATGTGAATTGTGACCAGTACTGAGCTATCTATCTATTATCTGAAAAAGTAATCGTGATCTACAAAGACCAATAACCAGTATTTGTATTAATTTCCTACTTAATGGAAATAAGGAAATGCAATCAGTTTTCTTGGAGTATTTTAATACCATTTCAGTGACATTAGTCTTTTTGTATATACATTATATCCAGAAATCAATGGATGTGTGCAAAAAGTAATATATGCAGATTTAATCATAGCTTCAAGGCCAACAGTACTCTTTGTTATAAATATGCTTTCACTGGACTTTACATATACTGCATCATTCTTAATATTTACTTTTTTTCCCTCAGGCAATAGCCAAATGGGAAAATATATGCAAATACATACATAATCATCATGCTGTAATTCCTGGCATTAAAATTTTTCTATGTGCAACCAAAGTGAAAAAATGGTGGTGAAAGTTTGTGAATATGAACCCAAAAAATAAAACAGTCAAATTACTGAGGCTGGGCGTGGTGGCTCATGCCTGTAATCCTAGCACTTTGGGAGGCTGAGGCGGGCAGATCACAAGGTTGGGAGTTCGAGACCAGCCTGGCCAAAATGGTGAAACCCTGTCTCTACTAAATATACAAAAATTAGCTGGGCATGGTGGAGGGCGCCTGTAGTCCTAGCTACTCAGAAGGCTGAGGCAGGAAAATCGCTTGAACCTGGGAGGTAGAGGTTGCAGTGAGACAAGATTATGCCACTGCACTCTAGCCTGGGTGACAAAGCGAGACTGTCTTAAAAAAAAAAAATTACTGAGTGCTACAAAATAGTGAGACAATGGGATGAGAGGCCAACAGATGCATGTCTGCTGCCATAAACACATAGCACAGAGACCTCCTAGTTCCACTTCCCACACGTTCACTCACAGGTCATGTAGGCCCTGGTCCTACCTCTCCTCCCACTCTTTGCAGCCTTGCTAATCAGAGAGGATCTATGGAGCACCCGGTCCTATCTCTCTTCCCACTCATTGGAGCCTCTCTAATCAGTCAGAGAGGATCTACACCCCTAAATAAACTTGAGGCAGGAGCCTCTCAGGTCTGTTTTATGCTCGAAGTCAAACCACAATATGCTCTAAGTCAAACCACAACTGAGTCCTTCCAGGGAGACCAAGGTCGTCACATGTTTAAGAACACTGAATAACTGTAATTGCTGAATGTAACATGCATGCCTCTAGGCTCATGGCATTATACTAATCTTGTGCATTTGCCTTATATCATCTCTGTGACATTTCGGTGTCATTTATATCAACCCTCACATAAATTGCATGTGAATCATGAAGGAATGAACTCAAGAAATACAGAAGTGCTGGGCCAGTTGAATACATGTAAGAAGAAAATGGTTTGTAAGAAAGAATGAAAATAGTCAAGGAGTGTTAAGGCAGACAAGATCGCTGCATTTTATCACACAAGAATTTGTTTTGGCAACTCAGTGAAAAGTATCTGGGGTATTAGTGCACATGTGAAAAGAGAATGTAGAAGGTTCTGCCAGCTACCAATTAGATGACACAGGTAGAAATGTTAAACAAAACCACAGGGAGGAAATCAACAACATCTAGACTGTAAGAAATTCTACAGCAATGCTACCTACTGTGGGAAGGACCAGTTTGTTTGGGTACTTAGTTGTAATTTCCAATTCATTTTACATTTCCAGTAATTTAAAATATAAACACACACACACACATAATCACATACTTAAATTGTAAAACAGCTAAAAAAAGGTTTTTAAATCCTAATTCTTTTTTACTGTTATTTTTGAAATTTTACACATAGCAAATTCTAAATATTGCATGGGGATAATGGAACAACAAACTTATATAAAGTTTGAATTGTGCTGTACCATCTAAGAAACAAAAAACAAACACATATGCTAAAAAGTATCAAAAATGCCTTGTATAAAACATATACTATTAACATTGTTTCCCAAAGAAATAATACTAACTTATTATTTCTAATATATATTAATTATATTGATATAATAATATTTTAAAGTATAGATATATATATATTCAATTAGTATTTTTCCAAGGAAAATGTACTGTTTTTTACAGCATTCCTACCTTTTCACTGAAATAGATGTATAAACATTAATCAGAAGTCAAACTATCCCTAGTTGCAGACAATATGATTCTATACCTAGAAAACCTCATAGTCTCAGATCTGATAAACAACTTCAGCGAAGTTTCAGGATACAAAATAAATGTACAAAAATCAGTAGCATTCCTATACACCAACAATAGACAAGCTGAGAGCCAAATCAAGAACACAGTCCCATTCACAATAGCCACAAAAAGAATAAAACACCTAGGAGTACAGCTAACCAGGGAGGTCAAAGATCCTACAATGAGAATTACAAAATACTGCTCAAAAAATCAGAGAAGACAGAAACAAATGGAAAAACATTCCATGCTCATAGGTAGGAAGAATCAATATTAGCAGAATAGCCATGCTTCCCAAAGCAATTTACAGATTCAATGCTATTCCTATTAAACTACCAATGATATTCTGCACAGAATTAGAGAAAATTATTTTAAAATTCACATGCAACCTAAAAAGAGCTCAAATAGCCAAGACGATCCTAAGTAAAAGAACAAAGATAGAGGCATCATGCTACCTGACTTCAAACTATGTGACAAGACTGCAGTAACCAAAACAGCATGGTACTGGTACAAAAACAGACATATGGATCAATGGTACAGAATAGAGAGCCCCGAAATAATGTGGCACCCCTACAACTATCTGATCTTTGACAAACCTGATAGAAAGAACCAATGGGGTGAAAAGGACTCCCTACATAATAAGCAGTGCTGGGATAACTGGCTAGCCATATGCAGAAAGTTGACACTGGACCCCTTCCTTCACCATATACAACAAATCAACTCAAGACAGATTAAATCTTAAATTTAAAACCTACAACTATAAAAACCCTGGAAGATAACCTAGGGTATACCATTCAGGGCATAGAAACAGGCAAAGATTTCACAATGAAGATGCCAAAAGCAGTTGCAAAAAAGCCCCACAAAAATTGACAAGTGTGACCTAATTAAACTTAGGAGCTTCTGCACAGCAAAAGAAACTATCAACAGAGTAAACAGAGTAAACAGACAACCTACAACAGAGTAAACAGAATGCAAGAAAATATTTGCAAACTATGTATCCAACAATGGTCTAATACCCAGCATCTATAAGGAACCTAAACAAATGTACAAGCAAAAAACAAACAACCCCATTAAAAAGTGGGCAAATGACATGAACAAACACTTTTCAAAGGAAGACATACACGGCCAACAGCATATGAAAAAAATGCATGACATCACTGATCATTAAAGAAATGCAAATCAAAACCACAGTGAGATACCCATCTCTGGCTTTAATAATAAGCCAGAATGGTTTTTATTGAACTGTCAAAAAATAACAGATACTGACAAGATTGTGAAGGAAAGAGAATGCTTACACACTGCTAGAGGGAATGTAAATTAGTTCACCCACTGTGGAAAGCATTTTGGCAATTCCTCAAAGAACTTAAAACAGAAATGTCATTTGATATGGCAATCCTTTTATTGGGTATCCATCCAAAGGAATATAAATTATTTTACCATAAAGACACACACACATATATGTTAACTGCAGCACTATTCACAATACCAATGACATGGAAACAACCTGAATGCCCATCAATAGAGCACTGGATAAAGAAAATGTGGTACATATACACTGAGGAATACTATGCAACCATAAAAATGAATGAGATCATGTCCTTTGCAGCAACATGGATGGAGCTGGAGGCCATTATCTTAAGCAAACTAACACAGCAACAGAAAACCAAATATACATGTTCCCACTTATAAGTGGGAGCTAAATGATGAAAACCCATGGACACAAAGAAGGGAACCAAAGACACTGAGTCTTACTTGAGGGTTGAGGGTGGGAGGAGGGAGAAGATAAAAAATCTTCCTATTGGGTATTGGCTTATTACCCAGATGATGACATAATCTATACACCAAAACCCTGTGACACACACTTTACCTACATAACAAACTTGCACATGTACCTGTGAACCTAAAATAAAAGCTAAATGAGATTTTTTTAAATTAAAAATAAACATCAAAAAGATGACTCTAAATTTATGCAGCTGTGTCTATGATATTGTAATTTTGTCTCTTTATTTTTAATCTGTTGAATAAATATCTTGAGATAAATTCCTTTGAGTAAGATTACTAAAAAAATGAAGCAAATTTTTTACTGGAATTTGAGAAATGTTATTTCTATTCTGTTCTCTGAAAGAATGGGAAAATTTTATAATGACAGTAAAGATTTGTCCATTTACCTAGAGTTTGACTAAAAGTGGATTTTATAACACTTTTGAAAACTTAACTAATTAAAGATTTAATAAACATTTATTTTGAAATGTTATGTACAAATTAGTAAGTTAGGTGTTGAGGAAGTGCTGTATCTCCACATAGGTGCATCATCACCATGCCTGTTGATCTCTACTAAATCATTAAATTTGGAAATTCTTAAGGATCGATCTTCGTCTCTCTTCTTTGATCAATGTATAATCTCCTCCAATGCAAACTTACCTGTACACATGGATTCTCTGGCATATATACATACATGGTTGATTCTCTCTCTCTCTTTTCTTTTTTGCAGTAGCTATGTTCTACAGACTTGCTGTAAACACTGAATTAGTGAATGCACTGAATTAGTGATGCGTGGCTTTGAAGGGAAACATGGGGTTAAGTACTTGTGAGCCTCTGATCATAGCATTTCCATCAACCAATCAATACAAAACCTTGTTTTACGTATCTGTTTATGGACAACGTATTTATTATATGCTGTTGATTAATTAGCATGGAACCTGCAGCCAACAGCACTGTAACTCATGCCTTCACTAAGTTTCTCTAACACTTGTATTTTCTTCATAAGGCATATCACAGTCATACTCTGCAGGTATTCTAAATAGCAAAATCACCAACAAAAGCAGAAAATGCAAAAATATGCCACTAAATAGACTGTGACAAGGCCCCTTGCTACCATTATGAGAGCTTAGACAAGAAGGCAGAGCATGGCTTGGTTGCCCTCAGCAGGTAATATCTGTACCAGGAGACACAAGAGCTTTTGCTGCTCTGGGCATGTCCATGAACGACCACAAAAGCACCACGGGTATTGACTTGAGGGGTTACAAGCAAATTTTAGCAAATAGGTAAATTGAAAAATGTGAAATCTGATAATAATGAAGATTGATTATGTTGAAAAAAATAAAAATTCTCTCTACTTCAGATTATCATCTACTGGGTATTTTGTAAGTGTGGAATACTCTGTTGTCTAAAATTAGAATCATGGCTTTCCATCATACACATTTCCATTGTAAGTGACAGGTAACATCCTCCACCCCTCATGGCAAGCAGGAACCTGGCAGTCACCCTTGGTAACTCCTGTGACTGACCCCCACACCTTCGATCACTCCCCAAGGCCAGTTGCTTATACCTCCTAACTACTGCTAGAGATTGTCTGCTCTCCATCACCACTGATGAAACTGATATTCACGCCAAGATGATCTCACCTGGTTACTTGCAATGGCCATATTGACTTTTTCAATTTGTTATCTACCCTGGTAACAGAGTAACATTTTAAAGCCCAAATCAGACATATCACCTACTTTAAACTATTCAGTTTTCCATTGCTTTTCACTGTAAAAAAAAATCATGTCAATAGCATGGATTTTGAAATCATGTACATTTTAAAAAGCATGCAAGTACTTTAGATACAATTGGAGTAGATACAAATCCGATCAGATGCTTGGAGCTGCTATAATCATTATGCAAAAAATGAAAGAAAAACCGAAAAGCACAGCCAAAAATCTGAGGATGACAAAGCAAAAAAATGGATAATTTGGTGTGAATGTGTGTATGTATGTTACTGTGTGTGCTGTAGAGATTTACTGAATTATTCACATGCTACAAAAAGGCACCTAGATTTTCCCTTCCAAGGGCAATAACTGCTTCCTGTTTCTTGATTTCTTTCCAGGAGTATTCTGGGTGGCTATATAAACACATCTTCCTTTTCAGTTGCTGATATGAACATTGTAATACATCTTGCTTTGTTCACTTCATATTCAACTTTTGGAGTTACTCCACCTCAGGATAGTTAGGTCTATTTAATTTTTTTTTAATTGGACACATAGCATTACACAGAATGGCTGACACCATTTATTTTACTAGTTCTTTTTTGTTGTTGCTGTTGTTGTTTTTGAGACAGAGTCTCACCCTGTCTCCAGGCTGGAGTGCAGTGGCGCGATCTCAGCTCACTGCAACCTCCGCCTCCCAGGTTCAAGCGATTCTCCTGCCTCAGCCTTCTGAGTAGCTGGGAATACAGGCACCGGCCACCACACCCAGCAATTTTTGTATTTTTAGTAGAGTTTCACCATGTTGGTCAGGATGGTCTTGACCTCATGATCCACCTGCCTTGGCCTCCCAAAGGGCTGGGATTACAGGAGTGACCCACTGTGCCCTGCGACTAGTCCTTTACTGAAAGACATTTGTATAGTTTACATAATTTTGTCATTACAGACAGCAATGCAGGGAGCATCCTTGTACATATGCTCTCATTTAGCACAGCAAATATACCTGTGGCAATGCTGGATCAATATAGGCATGTGGTTGTTGATTTTGTCAGGTGAACTAAGAATCCTTCTGGAAAAGTCCTGCCAGTGAGCAGCACGGGCTTGTGGTACTGAGTAAGAGTGCCTCAATGCCACGCATTACCTGGCCCACCCCCTACCAAGACTGGCCAACCATAGAAAAAGCATGGCAGCCACGCTGGAAGAGTCAACACAGGCATTAGCTGGAGTCACAACCTCACACCCTGTGAAATTTACAACCTGTCAGCCACTCATGGATCAACTCGGCAATGTCCCGATGGGTCCATGTTTCTAACCTCTCCAGTTTCTTGGACTTGTCCCTCCTGAGGACCCATCCTGGCTTCCAGGGGGCAAATGGACAGGGTCACTTCCAGGATGAAGACTCCACCTAGCTGGCGTCCACTGGGTAGAGTCTGGCTGATGCCCCATCTCTTCCAGGACTTGGTTCTGTAGTCAGGCCACCCTGTGTCTATGTTTCTACATTTCTCTTAGATACTTGATCTTTGGCTTTTTATTTTCCTTGTCCTTGCTTTCTGTCCTTTTCTAGGAAATCTTCATCCACAGATCCTCTTCCTCCAGCTTCGAGTTTGCTGAGCTAGCTGGATCTAAAACTGTTTTGTCTGTATCTCCTTGCTCTATGAAAGAATAACCACTTCATTATTCAAGTCAATGTTAATAGGGGTTTCTGATATTTGCAGTGGCAGCCATCCTGAAACCTAATATCAAGAGTTGGAAAGAGGGTTTTGAAGTAAGTTATCAGCAGACTGAGGTCATGACACCAGGATGATGTTAACCTAAATTAAGCCCTGGGGGAAAGTGGATCCTGATTGAGCCAGTAAGGGTGAGGGATCACATTAAATTCCCTTCCATGTAACAAGGGCCTGCTTCTAGAGCAGTGTGCAAGACACAGGGCTGTGCCCAGTGCTGTGCATTCAAACTTCTGCGAAAAACCAGATTTGAAGAGCAGTTTTCAAAACAACAGCAACAAAGTTAGCTCCAGCGGGGCTGAAAGATTTCCTTCTGTGGAAGGAGTCATGAGATAAAAATGCTTCACAGCTTTGTGGCTGCAAAAAAAGCGCTCACTGATGGCAGAGATGTTAGGACTGAGCAGAGTGGAGACCAGAAGTAAGAAAGGCAGGATTGTTCCGGGGAATCTGGCCCCTGACGCCCTGACCACCCTCATGAGTGGCGACGCTCCCTGACTCTCTGAAAGCAGGGAAGATCTAATAGAATGAATATCTCAAGGAAAGGAAAATTTACAGTTTCCACAGGTCTGGAGATGCAACGTTTCTTGGGTAATGTTCAGGCATTCTCATGGTGTTGAGTTGG
The DNA here is from genome assembly GCF_000001405.40 of Homo sapiens. Taxonomy (NCBI): domain Eukaryota; kingdom Metazoa; phylum Chordata; class Mammalia; order Primates; family Hominidae; genus Homo; species Homo sapiens. The sequence continues at coordinate 52,276,713 of NC_000007.14, read as the reverse complement.
AGAATAGTTCTTATAAGAGTCTAGAAGAAAAGGCTTCAATTATTTGTATTATGATTACTAAATGTTATTCATTTATTTTCTGAGGAATAGATGCTTTTAAAAATCCACAGCAGGCACAGCACGGTGGCTCACGCCTGTAATCCCAGCACTTTGGGAGGCCGAGGTGGGCGGATCACGAGGTCAAGAAATCGAGACCATCCTGGCCAACATGGTGAAAGCCTGTCTCTACTAAAAATACAAAAATTAGCTGGGCGTGGTGGCATGTGCCTGTAATCCCAGCTACTTGGGAGGCTGAGATAGGAGAATCACTTGAACCCCAGAGGCGGAGGTTGCTGTGAGCCAAGATCATGCCACTGCTCCCCAGCCTGGTGACAGGGTGAGAATCCATCTCAAAAAAAAAAAAAAGAAAAAGAAAGAAAAAAGGAAAAAAAAATCCACAGCAACACTTATTCTGAAGTATAACTTTAAAAAATGTATGATAATAACCTAAGGCTTTATATTGAAGGAAATTGTCATTTGACCGTAAATTATGGATCATAATTTTATATTTATTATGGGAAGAAAATATAATAACAAGAATATTTACAAAATTTTCTCTAAGTTCTCCACCTTTATACACAGTTTCTTTCTTTTCCTGTTAATATCAATTCACCACTAATATGCAATTTACAGACCTGTAGTCACATTATATGATAAAGGTCGTTAGTACTTTTTTTTCAACTAGCCTTGCAATAAATTACATATTGACAACTGTCCATGATTTCCAAACTTACATCAGGTAACAGGTATAAGATATTAAATCATTTCTTATTCCTCACTCTTCCAAAAATGTGCTTTTAAAACTTCTCTTTCTATAGTGTTTGCCTCTGAGGAATGAATTCTTCATGGAAATTCCAAGATGGAAGTCATTAACTTATCTAATGTGATATAATCTTTCCCAATTAAGTATTCTAACCCTGGCATGACAAATGTGGTCAATTGTTTCAAAACTTTTCCAGCAACAGATGTTACATTTTGAAATATTGGCTAATTAAATTTATGTGAAGGTTTAAACTAATAGGATATGGAAGAAATGATACCTCACTGTCGTTTCAATGTGTAGCTCTTTATGAATGAGGCTGAGTATTTTACATTTGCACTCCATATTTGTATTTCTGTGTCTGTGAAATGTTTGGTCATATCATTTGTATATATTTTTGGTACTGAGTGATAGTGACTTTTACAATTAATTTATAAGACTTCTTAGTATATTAAAAGATTTAAACTTTTGGCTGTGTTATGAACTGCTGATAATTTTTTCATTTTTGCATTTATCTTTTGAATCTGTGTATACATCTATAAATTAGGCTTAGTCAAATTTATCAACCTTTATTCTTCTAATTAGGGCTTGAAGTTTTATTAATATATTTGGAAAGATAAATGTTTTATTGATTTTTTATGTAATGTGTTTCATTTTACAGTAACAAGTCAAAAAAAAAAAAAACCATAAGCAAAGTTAAAAGATAAACTGGGAAAAAATATTTATATCTCATATTACAAACAAAGTACCAATTCCCCCAAACATAGAGATTGCTGTAAAGATTAACATCCCAGGAGAAAAATGAAGCAAGTTCCCAGAACAGGAAACACAAGTGGTCCTTCAACAAATGAAGAGGGGCTCGGCCTATCCTGGTGAGATAAGAACCTGGAAGGTCTAGCCTAGAGTTCCCTTAAAAATCTACGCTAGGGCCGAGTGCGGTGGCTCACACCTTGGGAGGCTGAGGTGGGAGGATCACTTGAGGTCAAGAGTTGGAAACTGGCCTGGGAAACATGGGGTAACCCCTCTCTACTAAAAATACAAAAATTACCCGGGCGTGGTGGCACATTCCTGTAGAAGTCCCAGCTACTCAGGAGGCTGAGACAGGAGAATCACTTGAACCTGGTAGGCGGAGGCTGCAGTGAGCCGAGATCGTGCCACTGCACTCCAGCCTGGGTGACAGAGTTAGACTGCGTCACAAAAAAAAAAAAAAAAATTGTAGACCAGATTGTTTTCACTTCCCGGTTTAGCCCTTGCCAAGGGCCGCCCATGGACTTGGGCCTTTGTGTTTTTGTTGACTATAATCTTGGTGTCCTAACCTGTCAGACGAACATGGTTTTCCCCTGGCGCAAAGTGGGGCTGCGCACTCCTCCCCGTCCTTCCTTCCCGTGGCCCGCAAGACCCGCCGTCCGCATGCAGCCCTGTGGTGCCAGAGGAGGCGCTGCAGCTAAGCACGAACGCGCCCCACGGGAGCGTGCTGTGGGGCCGCGGCCTAAGTAGGGGTTTCAAAGCGGTGGCTGTCAACACTCCTCAGTCCACCTCCGCGAACTTCGCACCTAACCACTGGGGACACTCCAGCACAGGGATGCGGAGGGGGCCTTGGCTGGGGTGGGGCAGGGCCAGGGTTGTGTGTGAAGGAGAAGGCAGGGATGAAGCAGCCGCATCCCAGACCTGCTGTGTCCCACCCCGCCTCTGCACGCCTGCTGGCAGCTCGGGCGCCACGTACCTCAGTTTCTCCCGGAGCCCAGGAGCTGGCTTGGACCGCAGCTCCTGCAGTTCTGGAGGCTGGAGAAGCCTGCGGGCGCTGCAAGCCATCCCAGGAGCCGGCTGGGGGCTGCCGTAGACCATCGGGGGCCAGGATTCCCCGCCAGGTCAGGGAATGCCGGGGCCTCGCAGGGATCTGGCTCTGGGGTCCTTGTGGAGTCCTTGCGTCTAGCGGGGCGCCAGCTCCGCCGAGTACTGGGCGCCTGCGCTCAGCACACTGAGGCTCTGGAGTCCGTCCTGGCCTCGCCGGCATGGAGCTGACCTTCGCGCTAGTGCAGGACCCCAGCATCAGCCGCGGCCTGGCGGGCTAGCGCCTCCTTCCCAGAGTGACAGAGCGCTGCGCCAGGTCCCCGAGCCCGCTCCGCCTGCAGGGCCCAAGCGCTATGTGCATTCCTGTCTCAGGAGGCCTCAGCTGCCTGCTTGCCTTATGAGTTCTTACTACATCAAGGGCTCTTTATGGAACTCCATGTAAACAAAAACTTTCCTGCCAAATTTCATAAAAAAGTGTATTTTCTAACAAGAATAATTTGTGGTTAACTGTGATTTATGACACTATAAAATAGTAACAATAAAAATTAATAAAATTAGTTTTAATTTATTATTTTGTTTGTTTATTTTTGAGACACAGCCTCATTCCGTCACCCAGGCTGGAGTACAGTTGTTCCCAGACCAAACTGAGGGTTGGGCTGCTGTTTCTCGCGGCCCAATAAGGAGAAGCAGATGAGCTGGGAAGAGAGTTTTTATTTCTGCAACTGGTTACAGGGAGAAGGCCTGGAAATTATCGCCAGACCAACTCAAAATCACAAAATTTTCCAGAGCTTATATACCTTCTAAGCTATATGTCTATCTGTAAGTGTGCATTCATCTGAAGACATAAGTGATTAACTTCTGCTGATCTATAATTAAGGTCTGAGTCCTGAGGACCTTCCCCTGGAGCCTCAGTAAATTTACTTAATCTATATGGATCCAGGTGCTGGGGTGATTACCCTTGTCTCCTACTAAATCAGGGAGGTTTGGGGAGTTTCTTCAGACCCCAGACCCCCAATAAACTTGTCTATGGAGGCCTGGGGAATTTCTTCAGACCCACAATACACCTCATTTAATCCTAAATGGGTCCTGTTATGAATTCCTTCGTTATTTTGTCATGGTTTAAGGCCCAGAAAAGGCCTAGGCAAAACACTTGGTGGGCTTTTGTTATATCCCAAGACTTTGTATAAGGGGACTGGCTTTTAATATTTAACTTAACCACTCAGTCAGTACTGAAACAGTTGTTATGGAGGCCTGTGTCAGTGAGACCTGGCCTACCACACTGCAACACTATCTCGGATTACTGCAACCTCTGACTCCCAGGTTCAAGCGACTCTCCTGCCTCAGCCTCCAGAGTGGCTGGGATTACAGGCACCCGCCACCACGCCCGGTTAATTTTTGTAGTATTAGTAGAGACAAGGTTTTGCCATGTTGGCCAGGCTGGTCTCGAACTCCTGATCTCAAGTAATCTGCCTTCCTCAGCCTCCCAAAGCGCTGGAATTACAGGCGTGAGCCACCGCACCTGGCCTGTTTCATTTATTTATTAATATTGGGCTATGAACATTATGTAACATGTAATTTAACTAAAGCAATAACACAGTAAGGTATATATTAGTGTCACCATTACACAGTTATAGAAATTTAAGGCCCAGAAAAACTAAGATTTTTGCCAAATTAATAAAGGAACTAGGATTAAAAACAAACAAGCAAACAAAAAACTACTGGACTGCTGAACCTAACCCTTAAACTGACATTATATAGCACAGCTCTTATTGTGTAATTAAATTTTGTGATATGTTTATGTTTATTGTAGATGTCTAAGGGGAGATACACATTGCAAGTTGGTTCAAACTTATCTGGTAAACACTTTGTTAACAGTATTGAGGAATTTCCATAGAACACACACAGCTGAGTGCCATTGTCATCAGGCACAAAGTGTAGCCAAACATTAATTCACTTAGTAAATATTTACTGAAAGCCAAGAACTGGGATATGGTGATGGCAAAAAGAAATATATTTTTAAATAAAATAGCTTAAGGGATTAAAAAATAAGTGCCATGTTGGCTCAGGAAACAGTTCTTCCATTTGTAGGAGATGTTGAATAATGTATGAGCTGGAGAAATAAAGCCTTGTGAGTTAAGGGGAAATTCATCTGTGACTCTGAAGCAGGGTCTCCATCTAGTCATTACTGGGATTCCCGCTGTCTACCTCTTGTTTCCACCCAGCGCACTGAATACTGAACACCTGCTCTTGTGGCTGGGTAGGGCGGTGTGACCAGTTCTGGTCAGAGGATTGTGAACACAGAGGAACATATTTTCACCAAGCTAAAGCATGTAATTGCTGCTCTGAGACTTTGCATAATTCTGGTCCCACTGCCTAGCCTATGTCCCTAAGTGATTAGGGGCAGAGACTCCTGCTGACCTAGGATGAACCTGTATAAGGATTGTACAGTAACTTTCTGTTATATTAATCAGCCGAAATGTGGGAGTTGTTTGTTTATCTTTACTGTATCTTTACTATTCTGACTGATAAAACCTGCCAGCCTCTAAGAACTTGGGGTTATTGTCAGTTTCATCACTATGCCCTTGCCCTTTTGTAACTCATCCCACTGGTCATCACTGGCCTTTGTCACACGTTTTGGAATACCATGAAAGCAGGGATCATAGAGGAGTATTGTGTTGCTGTGTCCCCAGCATATATATTACATGAAGATTAGCACAATGTAAGTGTAAAATATACATTTATAGATGAATTAATGAATATATAATCCAAAGTGTTACGTACTTTCTTTACTGAATGAAATCACACATCATATAAGGAAATAACTCCTTAGACATTACCAGGACTTAAATTTTGACATAAAATATATAAATAATGGTGTTATATAATCTTACAGTTCTAAATTACACATGCCTTTTGTTTTACCAGACTTTCTGAGAATAAAGCATGAGGCAGGCTCTTCTTAGGATATGACACGGGAGCGGTAAATGCCTTGTGTTGAGGATGTGTTTGAGCGCACTGGTCTGGTAGCTCTGTTCCTGTTGAAATACCATCAGGAACATCAAAATTATCATCTAAATGCCCATGTTCACAACCATAACATTAAACGGTATTTTTCATTATGTATCCCTCCATTTCCATCACACCTTCTTCTCTACTAAAATCAATTTCCCAAACTAAATGTAAACTGCCTCATCCCTGATCCAGATTGAAGGCTGAGGCTGCAGAGCTGTCTACAGCATGTCAGGAGACCTCTGGAATACTAATTGCAGCAGCTCCATCGGAGGAGCACAGGGCTCTGGGCTCTGCGGACGCTCCTTCCCCTAATGTTCCGGGAGAGAGGTCGTGCATGCACCTCACCACAGGTGGGGAAGCAAGGGCATAATGACACCAATTGAAGCTTTCCCAGCTGACACAACACTGCGACAATTTCAGAGTTATGTTATCTCTGTATTAAAAGTCTATCCTCCTCCTATTATTTGGGACAAGCAGGGCAACTTGCCAGTAACTTTGGGCCTGTGGCATGGGCTTTGTGAGGAAAAGGAAAAGCAAGATTGATTGCCTAATGGAAACTCGGGTGGATGCCACAATCCTGCCCACCAGTTGGTCACTTACTTTCCATGGTGAGCACTTCTTTTGGATAAGTAACCCTGCACCTTGTAGATAGGAAAAAAGAAAGACCATACGCTCTTAAACTAGACTCATATCCGAGTTACTCATAGCATATGTTAGCATCATGATTTTGGCTAATCTGTACTGTTTCCTGTGAAGCAAAATAAATAGCTCTAGTCCTAGCTTAGAAAAGGTTACCATTTCCTGTGAAGGGCTTTGAAAATATATTTGTTTTAATATCTATAATTCAATATATCTTGTGAGATTTTCTCTTTTAAACATACAAAAAGATTATTTAAGAAATAACTTTTGCAGGTTAAAATTGTTCTCATTTTGACCAAAGAAAAGTCTGGTTATTTTGAGCCTAAACTAGGAAACACTGTAGATATGTATTTCATTAAGTAATAATTGGCCAATTATGGTTTTAGAAAGGTTACCTCAGTCACTTACTCTTCAGTCAGAGGAGTGTATGCACGTTCCACCATAAGATACATCTGTTAACGTTGTATTTTACTAGAATAGTAAATAAAGAGAAAACTAGCAGTCTTGTAATTTATCCCCCAATGTCCAGATATTTGTGGTGATTCAAAATTCCTCTAAAGACTGAATAAATAATGACACATTACAGGAAGCTAAAGGAGTAATAGGTCATACTGAGTGATCTGATGTCTTCTAGAAAATATATAAAGCAAGCTGCTGTGAAAGTAATATTTTGATTGGGAAAAAAACTTTCTCATTAATTTATTTATTTAGCAAATATTTGTGCATCTTCTGTGTTCATATTTTGCTGGGCCTAGAAGGGAAACACACAGTAGACCCCTTGCTTACTATAAGCTTATGATATCCACAGACACATTATATTCTCTTCATACCACAGGATTTGGTGACAAAAGATAAGTAGCATTAAAAAAAAAAAAACCAGGATGCAGTAAGTTGGAGAGTAAATCCATCTGTTTGGCAGACCTGGAGCAGTTAGTGTCTGCTGCTAAGGTTTCCATTACAGATGTGAGAAAAAAAAGTGTTCTTCTGCTTTCTGTCTGTCTCAGTGGCAACCAAGATTGAATGGGGGATATGAGAGAAGAACATGGTAATACAGGAAAAAACATGGACAGAGAATTTTCACAACTCAGAAATAATCTTGTAACCAGAAAAAGCCCAACTACCGTAACTTACTGTTGAAAAAAAGTTATCATATGTCTTTAGTAATGGTTGTATTTTGAAAAGACATTTAGCTCTGCAATCTCATTCCTTGAGAAAAACATTTATCATATATATATACATATGTATATATTATATATATATAATTTTGTTGCAGGTATGATAAAAAATGCTACAAGGAAGCTTTCAGAATCTTACAATCTAATTAGTATTTGGATGCAACAGTTAAGATTTTAAAAATGGGAAAATATAACTTTCAGAAGCTTTTTTAGTAAGGGTCTCTGTGTGGTCTTGTTTCTAAAGTATATAGATTTTTATTATTTAGATTATAAAGACAAAGTAAAACTTAGCTTATTTGCCCAGATTTGTTTCTTTTCTTGGGGAGAATTTATGATGCTTGAAAGGATCAATAGTTCTTGCAACAAAAATCCCATATTTATCCAGCGAACAGTAACAGAATGTCACAATAAATAAGAAGTGCTACTATAAGGCTCGACCTCCTTCTGCTGCAGAGAGCTGCGGCCAGTGCTTGCCTATGGCAGGATTGAGGAGTAGCTGCATTCTGTGCCTGGTGTCCCTGCTTCTCCAGCTGAGGCTTTTGCTCTCCTAGCTTGCCTTCCTAGGGCACTGCCTGCCCTTACCCTACCGACACACAGAGACACATAGAACGGACTCTCAGAGAGGCTGTACAATGCAGTACGTGATACTCCAGATAGTCCTCCCTTTAGTCTACACTGTGAGCCATGCCCAGCTCCCTATATGACAATACCTTGGAAAACCTCTGACAAGGGCCTACTTACCTGCTCTTCTCAGGGGAGTTCGCATTTGGCAGAAAAATCCTCAAACTTTAAGTTTGTCAGTACTTTATAAAGTACTGAGAAATGGATATCAGTGGGTGATTTTCAGTGAACTGAATAAAGGAAGTACTCAAAAGAATTGCTGTGAGCCAAACTGGACCTCCCTCTGAATGCTGAGGGAGATAAGGTGGGTGGACACCTCCGTGCCTCCTTGCAGGAAAAAGCACATCCTTCTCTTTTTGTCCTCTGAGATATTCCTTTATTCAATGTGACATTTCTGGTGATATGCTATACTTCCTTTTATCTCATAACTCCATAGATATGCACAGAGATTTTAAAATTTGCTCCCTCATCAGTGCTCAAGTAAGTTTTGGAAACTAAATTAGATAAACCGGTTTCTTCACTGCAGGAATGTTCAGAAGACTCAAAAGAATAAAGCACTATGCAAAGGAATTATATTGCTCACGCCTGTAATCCCAGCACTTTGGGAGGCCAAGGCAGGAGGATGACTTGAGGTCAGGAGTTTGAGACCAGCATGGCCAACATGGCGAAACCCTGTCTCCACTAAAAATACAAAAATTGGCCGGGCGTGTTGGCACGTGCCTGTAATCCCAGCTACTCAGGGGGGCTGAGGCAGGAGAATAGCTTGAACTTGAGAGGCGGAGGTTGCAGTGAGCAAATATCGTGTCACTGCACTCCAGTCTGGGCAGCAGAATGAGATTCCATCTCAAAATATATATATGTATATATATATTTTGTATATAATATTTTTTGTATTATACAAAATATATTTTGTATATAAATATATATAAATATATAAATATATATAAATATATAAATATATATAAATATATAAATATATAAATATATATAAATATATAAATATATATAAATATATAAATATATAAATATATATAAATATATAACTATATAAATATATAAATATATATAACTATATAAATATATATAACTATATAAATATATATATAAATATATATAACTATATAAATATATATATTTTTTTCCATCTTCATATTTACTTTTTATGATCTGTGCTGTCTTTGTATTTGCTCACTCACTGATGATGAAAGTGGCAGAAAACACATGGCTCTAAGCAATATCTCTGCCAGCAGGACCTCAGGAGAGCCCTGATCCAAATGCAGATTTTCAAGGGAGGATTCCATGGAATTAAGAAGTGCAGAAAACTGAGAGCTTCCAAGAAAATCACATAGGAGTCCTGAGAACAAACCTCCCTGAATCGTAGGTGACATTCATATTGTAGAGGTGTGTCTGCTGCCTTTCTTGATGATGGTGTCTCTGTTTATTGCAGACTATGGGTTGTTATGGTGATGTACTCTGGAGTAGGCCAGGGAGAATAGAGTAATATGGATAGGGATTTGGGGCTGTGAATACTCACATTTTTGGGTTGGGCTTACGGCAGCACAGTTCACAACCAATTCGCTGATGTAGGAACTATAAACAAAAGAACTTCCGGCTGGGCATGGTGGCTCATGCCTGTAATACCAGCACTTTGGAAGGCCAAGGCCGGCAGATCACCTGAGGTCAGGAGTTTGAGACCAGCCTGCCCAGCATGACGAAACCCGGTCTCTACTAAAAATACAAAAAATTAGCCAGGCATGGTGGTGGGTGCCTGTAATCCCAGCTACTCAGGAGGCTGAGACAGGAGAATCACTTGAACCCGGGAGGCAGAGGTTGCAGTGAGCTGAGATGGCACCATTTCACTCTAGACTGGGTGACAAGAGTGAGACTCCCCGTCTCCAAAAAAAAAAAAAGGAACTTCCTAGAATGATATACACTAGACCACTAGACTGGCTTCTGTCTTCAATTTATCACTTTGTATCCCCAGGGAGGTCCTGATTAGAAAGTCAAACATCCCTCTACTAAGAGTAGAACACTGAACTTCAGGAAATGCAAAACAGGGCCAGAGATTTGGTTTGGCAGATGGGACAGTTTTGCATTTTTCAAATCACAGCACATGAACAACATCACCAGCATAACTCTACTTCCATTCTTTTTTACCTTGACTTGTGTTATGCTGTGTGGTGATTATGTAAATTAAGGACAAGCTAAATTAACATTTGTTGGTGCGAAGGCATTCCACAGGAATAGGCTGAAAGGGCTAATGAATTTCTTGAAATGTTAGAGATGATGATATCTTTGAATTTCAAAAAATTCAATTAAGTTTGACTTTGTTATATTTGGCCATGGACACGAAAAACCTTTAGATACAGTAATCAGAAATAACATCTACTTAACATTTAAATATATACTAGTTTTGATTAGAGGCAATTGAATGTCCTCTAAAAAAAGACCATGAGTATTCATAGGTTCTATAGAGGTTAAACCCACCTAGATAAAGAACATGGCAAATGTAATGTGAATAATTTGTGGCCTGTCCATCAAGAAAAAATAAAATCAAAGCACGATATCACAATTTCATCATCTATATATGCAGAATAAGCACATCTAAATAGAAAGTATTGAAATTTGTTTCATTCTCGATACTAACAAAACTTTTACTAAGCGAAGAATATGAGCAGAACGTAAACTTAACCTATAACTTTGAAAACATCTGTCTAGCTGACTAGCAAGCATGAATTTTATATCATGCAACTGTTCCATGCATGTTAAATGGAAAACAATGTAAATTAACAAGATATGATTTCTTTTTACAAGAAATTCAGTCTGTGAAGTGAATAATACATATTCAATTAATTACAGTACTGGAAGACCTATATGTAGCATGCTTTGTTGGAAAAAAAGAAAATGGGCTCTACCACTTGCTAGTTGAATAGCTTCTCTTATGTTTCCTTTGTTCATCAGCACAATGAGAACATTTTATTTGTTTTAGTCTCAGTAGCTGGGACTAGAGGCACACGCCACCACACACAGCTAATTTTTATGTGTGTGTGTTTTTTTTTAAATATAGAGATGGAGTTTTGCTCTGTTGCCCAGGCCGATCTTAAACTCTTGAACTCAAGCGATCTACCAGCCTTGGCCTCCCAAAGTGCTGGGATTACGTGCATGAGCCACCATGCCTGGCCAAGAATATATTTTAAAGTGTTGATATATAAGTGTAGTTCCAAATACCAATTGCCACTACTTTTACTCGAATAAATGTCGATATGCAAGGATGCTATAGGAGTGCCAATAATAGAATTCCTTATTAGGCAAAGAATTTTGAGGAGCTATATCAAAGAAAGCTTCACAGAGGAGAGGATGTTTAAGCTAAATCAACAAAGATAAAACTAGAAGGAGTTTGCCACATAAGTAAGGATTTGGAGCAGAAAATCTCTTGTATACAAATGAAGAATCACAATTCCTCGGTATTTTCCTATTTTGCTAATTCAAGTTAAGCAAATACATGTGGAAAACCTTCACTAAGCTCTCTAAAGAGGAATGCAGTGAAGAGATGCCTGGCAGCAGTCCGCTTGGCCATGGCTACAGCTGAGCCTAGTAATACCCTGGGAAAAGGAGATGAGCAGGGAGCTGCTCCATATGACCCTTGAGATGCAGCCATGAGGCCAATCTCAGACAAGAAGCAGGAGCCCAGCGGAGGGGTGACTGGAGTAAGGAAAGCCTGTGTGCTGAGCAAATCTTGACCCTAGCTCAGAACTCCAGTTGCCCTTGAACTATAAAGCTATATGGGGGACTTGCTCTCCAGTGGGGGACCACATGCTTATGATCGACTTGGTTGAATGTGATGTGTTATAAAGGCAAAAGATAGCTCTAGCTGTATGTCTGCCTATACAAGAGCTGCTAGTGGTGGGAAGGGGGTTGGGAGAACATGTGTAGATGTCACAAACTCCTTTTCTGAATTCATTTACTTCTTAATTCTGTTTCTTGAAGATGTTTACTTCTTTTAAGATGTATCTTGGATCAAACAAATGTGACCAATGGCAGTGAAACTGCCTGGAAGATCTGTTACTGTGGCTTCCCCACCTTTTCTGGATAACCCTAGTGTGTATCACTATCTTTGAAAAAGTTAGATACAATGAAAATAGTTAAATTTTTTATTTTTTATTTTTTTAAGACTGAGTCTCACTCTGTCGCCCAGGCTGGAGTTCAATGGCACAATCTCACCTCACTGCAATCTCCACCTCCTGGGTTGAACTAATTCTCATGCCTCAGCCTCCCAAGTAGCTGGGACTACAGGCATGCACCACCACACCTGGCTAATTTTTGTATTTGTAGTAGAGATGCGGTTTCACCACATTGACCAAGCTGGTCTCCAAATTTTTTTTTTTTTTTTTGAGACGGAATCTCATTCTGTCCCCAGACTGGAGTGCAGTGGCACGATCTCGGCTCACTGCAAGCTCCACCTCCCGGGTTCACGCCATTTTCCTGCCTCAGCCGCCTAAGTAGCTGGGACTACAGGTGCCCACCACCACACCCAGCTAATTTTTTGTATTTTTAGTAGAGATGGGGTTTCACCATGTTAGCCAGGATGGTCTCTATCTCCTGACTTCGTGATCCGCCCGCCTCAGCCTCCCAAATGCTGGGATTACAGGCGTGAGCCTCCGCGCCCAGCCACTGGTCTCGAACTCTTGACCTCAGGTGATCCACCACCATCAGCCTCCCAAAATGCTGGGATTACAGGCGTCAGCCACTGTGCCCTGCCTACTTGAATGTTTTGATCAACCAATTTTCCAACTTCAGCTTTAGAACAGTTTGCACTACTGGATGTTCACATTTATTCTGCAAGCTCTGCAAACCTCTCATCTCCAGGTTGTAAGTAAGTTACAATATTTAGCTAGTAAGAACCATGTCAAATAACTACTTTCTTCTGGAATGTTCCAAGTTATGAGCCTATCAATTTTTTAGGAATTACTTCCAACAAAGGGAAGGATCCTTCAATAGTAATTCCAGCCTCCATAGCTATTACCCTTGTGTTGCATTTTCTAATCAAGTTATATAAGACACCATCACACACTTCCTATAGAGAAATTGCTTGTAACAGTTCCTTTACGTTTTTAAGAAATTCATTGTCTCCTAACCATCCTCCATTTACTACCTGGCCCCAACTACAATGCCACATGTTTTTTTAAAACTGCATGGTAGCATCCAATTCTAGGGTCAGATTTCTGTTTCAGTTATCTATTGCCTAAAGAAAACCTCCAAAACTACTGACTTAAAACAACAGTGACTTACAATTTCTCAGTTCGTTGGGTTGACTTGTGGTACATCACCTGAGCTTGAAGATTCTACATGGAGATGCTGACTCAGTTCTTCTTGGGCAGGCCTCTTATCCTAGAAATCCAGTAGCCTAGACCTGCCACCGTGCAGGACTCCAGGGTTCCCTGGCTTGCAAATGGACCAAGGAGAAAATTCTACGGCAGCGGGTAACTGTGTAATGGGTCACAACAGGAAACCTATGGGACAGATTCTTAAAATGCTGTGGCAGAAAGTCACCTCACACAGAGCCTATACAGATACAAGAGTGATTTCCAGTAACTGAGGCAAGGCTAAGTACCTGAAATGTAGCAGTCGGACCAGGAAGAGAGAAAAACAAACAAACAAAACAAAAACAACCACTTCCCCAGCTTTTGTCTCTCTGTAGGTAGAGAAGCACTCTACAGTGATCAAAAGGCTGGAGAAATGCTCCATGAACCAAAGTTATTTAACCAAATAATTTTCCTCAACATTTATTCTAAGACCAAGTTTCACCACAGTATGACAGTGCTGGGGAAGGAGGGGGACAATAATGGAATCTGCAGCAGAATGGGGCTGTGACTGAGAATGTGGCTGAGAACAGGAGCCCCAGGTGCTCACACCTCACATTTCTGGGCTTATGTTTCTCCTTCCTAGATAGAAGAGTGTGAGAAAGGAGTGATAGCTGAGGTCAGGAGTTTGAGGCCAACCTGACCAACATGGCAAAACCCCGTCTCTAGTAAAAATACAAAAATTAGCCGGGTGTGGTGGCAGGAGCCTGTAATCCCAGCTACTTGGGAGGCTGAGACAGGAGAATCGCTTGAACCTGGAAGGCGGAGGTTGCAGTGAGCCGAGATTGTGCCATTGCACTCCAGCCTGGGGACAGAGCGAGACTCTGTCTCAAAAAAAAAAAAAGAAGAAGAAAAAGAAAAGAAAGTAATGGTGGCAAACAAGTGCCAAAAGGAAGTCAGTGGAAAAACCACAATCTTGCAAATTACTTTATTTATTAATAATTAAATAAAATAATAATGAAGCAATTTTTCGTTTTGCTTTGTTTTGTTTTGAGATGGAGTCTCGCTCTGTTGCCCAGGCTGGAGTGTGGTGCAATGTCTGCTGACTGCAAGCTCCACCTCCAGGGTTCACACCATTCTACTGCCTCAGCCTCCTGAGTAGCTGGGACTGCAGGTGCCCACCACCACGCCTGGCTAATTTTTTTGTACTTTTAGTAGAGATGGGGTTTCATCGTGTTAGCCAGGATGGTCTCCATCTCCTGACCTCATGATCCACCCGCCTCGGCCTCCCAAAGTGCTGGGATTACAAACGTGAGCCACCGCGCCCGGCCTGAAGTAAGTTTTTAAAGAAACAATTTAGAAAAACTCAAAAACAATAAAGGATACCTGGAGAGATAAAAGAAAAGAGAAAATTTTCTTTTAGAAAATAGTTAACATAAAACTTTAAATTTAACAAATGCTAATCTTTAAAAATAAGATAAAGTAGGTCAACCTCAACTAAATCTAATCAGAAATATGGAAAACATACTAAACATTGAATAAGAAAGAAAATCTAAGTAAATATAAAGAGGGCATTAAAATTTAAGAGATTGTTATGCAGAAGTATTTGCCAATAAATTTAAAAACGGACCATTTTCTGAGCAATTAATTTAGTTAAATTAGCAACAAAATGAATAAGCTTGATTAGACCAATAACCATGGAAATGCATAAGACATGTTAACAACTTAACTCTAAAAATGCTACATGTACATTCCATAGTTAATGTCCATCAAGCAGAGACATCAAGAATAAAAGTGCTGACCAATTCTTTCCATTAATATAGAAGTAAGAAGACTAAATACAATCCTGGCATGTGATTTCCAGTATACATTAGGGATTAATGCAGCAGAGCTGGCCGAGTGGGCAAAGTAGCTCCAGAGTGGACAGCTGCATGGTTCAAAGATGTCAGTCGAGAGGCCGGTAGTTGGCGTTTTCCCCTCTCCTGTGAAAATCAAACTTGGCGTAAATCTGAGCCCTTTTGCTGATGGAAAGTGGATGCCAGGAGGAAGTAGGGGGATGCGTTTCCTTTTTGATGTCCAGAAAGAAGAGGAGGGCTGGCTCTATAACTGTCAACTGTGATTAAAGAATGTATTTAGTTTTCAGCAAACCTTTCCTCACTTCCGTTTGGCCAGAATTGGGTCACATGTCCACTTCTGACCTAAGAATTCATGGAATGTGTGGAACTCTCCTTAGCCCAGCTAGAGTCACACCTACATGAGATTATTGTGTTTGGGATGTGAATTAAATAATAAAATACAGTTTCCTTACAAAGAAAAGAAGCAAGTTTGATGCTCATTGGGCAAGTTACCAACATTGGGCTTGTTTATCTTTTTATTTTTTATTTTTTATTATTATCATTATTTTGAGACGGAGTCTCGCTTTGTCGCCCAGGCTGGAGTGCAGTGGCGCGATCTCGGCTCACTGCAAGCTCCGCCTCCCGGGTTCACGCCATTCTCCTGCCTCAGCCTCCCAAGTAGCTGGGACTACAGGCGCCCACCACCATACCCGGCTAAATTTTTTGTATTTTTAGTAGAGATGGGGTTTCACTGTGTTAGCCAGGATGGTCTCAATCTCCTGACCTCATGATCCGCCTACCTCGGCCTCCCAAAGTGCTGGGATTACAGGCGTGAGCCACAGCGCCGGGCCTATTTTTATTTTTTTTAACCGCCTGCATCGTAGTCCCAGCTGTTCTCTCTCTGAGCTTTGATCAACCATTACCTGGAAAAGAGCTCTCAAAAGTACAACAGAAGTTATCAAATAAGGCCACTTTTATAGATTATGTTATGTAGTGGAGAGAAATTGGAGTGAAGCACAGTTCAAACCCAGTGGAACTGTATACTCGAGATGGACTTCCTGAAATGTCTTTGAAAAATCCCTGACAATGGAGATTTCTCATCTAAGACATTTCATGGCACCACATTCCTCTGTTATTTTGATATCTCTCTTTTTTACTCTCAAATCTATTCTAGAAAATTCAGCTACCTCAAATCCCCTTTGTGACTCCCTCTTCTTTCAGGACATGCACTGGAGGCGTCTAAGGAAGTGTTGTTAAACATCTACTCGTGAAGGCAGATGGCGCTCTTCCCCTAAGAGGCTTAGCAGAGATGACTAAGAATTTGTGCTGCTGTTTTGTTTGTTAACACATAAATACCTCAGAAAAGAAAACTGCGAAGAAGGGCATGGACACTTCAGCAGTGGTTCATTTGTGGTGGTGGAACTGACAGTCATATTTATTTTCTTCTTTGAGTGCTTCCACACATAGTAGGTATGAAACTCTGTTGACAACTTGGATGTGGAAAACACGATTTTAATTTTCTAAGATTAAACTTAATTTACATTTTTCTGAGACAGAGTCTCACTCTGTCACCCAGTCTGGAGTGCAGTGGCACAATCTCTGCTCATGGCAACCTCTACCTCCTGAGCTCAAGTGATCCTCCTGCCTCAGCCTCCCAAGTGGCTGGGATTACAGGCACACGCCACTAATCCCAGATAATTATTATATTTTTAGTAGAGATAGAGTTTCACCGTGTTTGGCCAAGCTGGTCTCAAACTCCTGACCTCAAGTGATCCATCCACCTCGGTCTCCCAAAGTGCTGGGATTACAGGCGTGAGCCACTGCACCCAGACTTAATTTACATTTTAAATTCCCACTTCTCCAGAGTAGTTACAAACCTGTTCTTTAGTAAAGAGTCCCTCCAACCTCTCCCCATTATACAAGATTTTATCTAATTTTTAGAATATTATGGATGGAGGCCAAAACTCTTTCTCAAATGTATACGTCAACACAAGCATCTGACATTTGGTCACGTGCCCACGGTCCTGTCTGTTCTTTGACTCTTATTCTGGTCTACCAGACCCTTCCAGGTACAGCTTGTGCTCACCTGCTCCTGTGCTTATCTGAAGAACTAGAAAGAGAATTATGCTGAGAATTCTGGGAGATCTCTGCATAGACTCACTAAGCAGCACTTTTCCCATAACTGGGGTCTCTTACCCTGGATACAATTTTGCCTGAGAAACGAAGGGTAGGCCCTTTAGCTGTGACACCCGACAGACCCATTCCATTTGCTTGGTTATCTCTTCTCCCTCTTCTGGGCCTGAAGTATTCATTTATTAATTTTTTTTCTCACTAGTAAGTGAAGCATATTCTCAAATACTCAGTTTGTGCTATTTAATCTGTAAGGATGTACACATTATGGAAAATAAAAGCTGGGCCGAGATCTCAAGATGATGTGCCTCCCACCTGCTGTATGTCACACCTCCCTTGACAAAGTGAGGAAATGGGAACTTGTCCCCAAGAAGCTACAAGTTATTTAGAGAAGTAGTTATATTTGTAATGCAGTTTTGTAGAAAGTTAGATGTAAATAGAGTGTGAAAAATGTGACCCAATGAGGAATTGTGGGAGTCTGTAAGGCATATCAGCTTTCCCTCAGAACTAAGCTTCCTGGGTCCTGGGATGGGGAGAAGATATATTTTGCATATTTCTTTGAAATAAATAGGTTATGCAAATTATCTGCTTTTTCTGTCTGTATACATTAGGTCAATTCCTATGGGCCAGTTACTGTCCCTTACTTTTCTAGTCATTAGTACTTCTTTGTTTTTAATTAATTGTATTCTCTTAAGAAATATACTGAGTCCCTTCACTATGCAACTTCAACTTAATTTAGTCTGTCCCTGAAATCCATTGTTCATTTTCTGCCAGATTAATGACCCTGAAACAGTTAACCATTTTTAATATCACTGACAGTTTCCATGACCCTAAGAAAGAGTTCTATTAAATAGATGATTAAACTTAAATATTATCACCCTGATTTTAATGTCTTCTACACAACCCTGTCTTATGTCAAAATACCTCTTGCTTCAAGGCACTCAAATTTGTTTGAGTGACGTTAGGAAGATTTGCTAGAAGGAAAAAAAAAAAAGAAAGCGTTCACCCTTGGGTAGATTAGAAAAGGTGTTCACCCTTGGCTAGATTAGAAAAGATGCACAAAGAAGGAGAAGGAATTTTAGTTACAACTTGAAAGTGGGTCCATGACTTATCGAGGTGAAGGAGATCACAGGCTGTGAACTACCTTAGCAAAGGCATGGAGTGGGAAAGGAATTGGATAGGAGCGAGGATCTGCTTGGCATTGGCTGCTGGGAAGGCTCTAGCAGAGAAAGGTTTAGTGGACAGCTTCAATCCTGATTCTGGCAAGTGCCCAATCCTGGCACATTTTCTGAAATTCCATTCTCAAGAGCAGCAGGGACTGATAAAGCCCTAATTGACTTGCTTTTGGAGAGGCAGTTTACTATAGTGGCTAAGATCCAGGGTTCAGGAGTTAGAACTCTGAGGCACTTATCCCACTCTGTCAACTGCTAGCCATTACCTTGGATAAGGTTCCTAACAACTTACCTCGGCTTCCACATCTGGAGAAGAGGATACTAATAGTGCCTGCTTCCTAAGATTGTTATGATGAGTAAAGAAGTTCCTATACCAAAGCACTCAAAACAGTGCCCAGCCTGTTATTCAGTAAGTGTATTAGTATGTTCTTTCACTGCTTTAAAGAAATACCTGAGACTGGATAATTTATAAAGAAAAGAGGTTTAATAGGCTTGCAGTTCCACAGGCTGTACAGGAAGCATGGCTGGAGGCCTCAGGAAATTTATAATCATGGCAGAAGGCAAAGAAGAAGAAGGCATGTCTTCACATGGCCGGAGCAGGAGGAAGAGAGTGAAGGAAGAGGTGCCACACACTTTTAGACAACCAGATGTCATGAGAACTTACTACTCAGAGAACAGCCAGGGGGACGTCTGCCCCTGTGATTCCATCACCTACCACCACGCCCCTTCTCCAACACTGGGGATTATAATTTGACATGAGATTTGGGTAGGGACATAAACCCAAATCATATCAATAGGTGTTAGCTATGATGATGGAACTTTCATCTCCCCAACAGGCTATAATGACCCTCAGGATACAGCCTATGTGTATATGTTTTCTTCAACCTAATGCATTACATAAGTGGGGCATAGAATACATGTACCAGAAATGCGTGCTTGTCTTATTTATAACATGGTGATGCAAGTCAAAGCAAAATGCATCATAGAGGAGAATATGGCATTTGTCCAAGTTGGCTCAGATTATTTTTTAATATCCAGATAAAAAACAGAATTAAGACTCATGAGAAAAGAAAAGAAAGAGTTGGGGAAAGAAATAGCGCCTAGATGATCTCACAACTTGATGAGATAGGCACTTCAATTGTATTTGGCTCCTGCTGAACTACTTTCCCTTAAGAAGATACTTAAGAAGCTAAATTTAAGCGCAAGTTAAATCAGAAACTGGAGAGCCACCTACTGAAGTATTTTCATACCACTTGACTTCCCTAAAGATATTCAGAAATTTTATGGCTATGGATACCCAGACTGGGAATTCAAAGCTGAATTCTAACTTGAGGTCAATAAAGGTAAGGAGGTCATTCTCCCTGTTTAGGGAATGATGGGGATTCCAATCTCAGGGTCGATATTACTAACTTTGATTTTCTCCTGATGTAGATGCCTTAGAGATAACTGTGATGTTAGGAGGTAACATAAATGGCACATTCAAGAAAGAAATGTTATCTGTTAGTACTGTGAGGCTAAGAAATATTTATGTTCTATAAATGGAATGAGCAAAGGCTACAATATGGTCTGTAAATCAAAATCAGCAAAGCAGTCTGAAGGGACCAGACAGGCTCTCATTCTCTTTGTCTCTATGTTCATGAGTGAGTGTGTGTGTGTGTGTGTGTGTGTAGACTCCATGGGCTTGGGCTGGGGGGAATTGTATGCCTACCCTTCAGGGCAAGGGTGTGGGGAAGGCAGAGTTCTTAAGAATGCCCTAGGAGGGGTGAAGAACCTAGCTCACCTTTCTCACTAACTCCAGTGGGAAACAGACACATATCAAAATCAAAAAAGATCACTTACAATTGGAGAAACCTTTGAATTTCAATGCTGCTGTTAATTCCTTTCTGGTGTTTCAGGCAGCCTGCTGAGTAAGTGAGGTCCTTAGCAAAGCAGCAAGCTGGATTTTCTTCAGTCCAAAAAAAGCCATTCACGGCCGGGCGCGGTGGCTCACGCCTGTAATCCCAGCACTTTGGGAGGCCGAGACGGGCGGATCACGAGGTCAGGAGATCGAGACCATCCTGGCTAACACGGTGAAACCCCGTCTCTACTAAAAATACAAAAATTAGCCGGGCATGGTGGCGCGCGCCTGTAGTCCCAGCTACACGGGAGGCTGAGGCAGGAGAATGGCGTGAACCCGGGAGGCGGAGCTTGCAGTGAGTCGAGATCGCGCCACTGCACTCCAGCCTGGGCGACAGAGCGAAACTCCGTCTCACAAAAAAAAAAAAAAAAAAAAAAGAAAAAAGCCATTCACCTGCTGCAGAGAACCTAAAGTTCTTTTCCTTTCACTATACAGTAACTCAAAACTGAGTAAAATTCCTGACATGCTCTAGGATTTCAGCCCATCAGCTTCAAAACAAATGATGCAACTTTAGCCTAAAGCTCTGGACATTTTCTAGAAAGAATTGAATTTTTCACACTTAATCCTCAAACCCTGTTGTTGCTTGTTCTGGTGACAATTTCAATCAGTTATTCCCACAGTTTTTTACAGGAAGAATGAAGGACCTTTCGAGGATAAAGAGTATTTACAGATTCAGTTAGTGGATATACTCATGAAAGCATTTCTGGTCATGATACTGCCAGAGAGTCCCATGGAGAGCCTCTGGGGGCAAAAGTATAAATACATTAGCTCTCTACCACTGTGTAACAAACTACCTGCAAAATACTCAATCAGTTTCTGTGGATCAGAAATTTGGGAGCAGATTGGCTGGGTGGCTCTGACTTAACTATCTCTCATGCGGTTGCAATGAAGATATTCTCTGGAGCCAGCAGTCATTGAAGGTTTGACTGGGGCTGGAGGATCCACTCCTAAGGTAGTTTTTTCATAGGCCTGGCAAGTTAATGTCAGTGCTTTGCAGGAAGCCTTAGTTCCTGCTAATGAGCATCTCCAAACGGCCACTTTGGGGTTCCCAGAGGAAAAACTGGAAGCTGAGATATCTTTTATTATGTAACCCTGTATGGCTGTCAGCTTTTCGAATGGCTCCTAATCATCATCACCTGCTGGTATTTACCTCTGATGTGATCCCTTCTCGTGTGTGGACTGGACCTTGTGACTTGCTTTAGTGGATAGACTAGAATGATGGGATGCCACTTCTTAGGTTAGATTACAAAATAGTCTTGTGTCCTGCTTACATATTACATACATTCTCTCTCTCGCTCACTTCCTTCTCCTTTTTCTCCTCTTTCTCTTTTGCTCTGTTTCTCCCTCTTTCTTCTCCTTTTTCTTTCTACCCCTCCATCTCCTTCTCACTTGCTTGTTTTGATAAAACACACTGCCATGTTGTTAGCTGCCCTGTAGAGAGGACAACAGGACACAGAACTGCCAGACGCCTTAGACATTTGGCCCCAGCCAAACAGCTTGTGAGATAATGAATACTAACAGCAAAGCCTGGGTGAGCTTAGAAATGAACCCTCCCAGCTCAGTCAAGTCTTAACTCGACTTCAGCTTTTTGAGGGACTCAGCCATAAGAACCAGTTAAGACACTCTTGATCCCTGACCTACAAAAATAGGGAGATAATCTGTATTTGTTATGCAAAAATGGACAACAATAAAACTTGAACAGTCGTTTTTGCTATATTCTATAACTTACACAGCTCAGCTCTATTCACTGTGGGAGAGGAACACAGAGGCCTAAATGACAGGCAGTGAGATTCTGGGAGCAGGGTAGGGCCTGCCTACCACAGTACACATCATGTCTTTTCACTCATCTGCTCTGAGGGAAAACCATGAGAAGAAAAGGTGACTGTGGTTTACTTCTGTCCAAAGACGACATGGCAAGGCACTACAGGGCCTAGCTCCCTCTTCAATTAGCTAGAGAGAAAAACACACCATAATTCTAAGCTGGATTGTAACCCACTTGCATGGGAAGGAAGAAAGGAACAACTTCAGTGAGGCTCTGGGGCTCTCTCTGTGGGGGTCAACAAACAGCAAGACTATGGCAGATGTTTCCAGAGCTCTCAGAGAACACATTTCCCGTACTCCAGTGAAATGATGGTGGACAAACATTAGCAGTTTCTTGAGAGCTAAGTGCACCCCATGAGCTCCTGTCGCTAAGTGACAGTCAGAACTGGCCTTTGGAGAGATTGTAAAGGCAAAGGACCGTGCATACTGACGCCAGGAGCAACTTGGAGTTATGCAGGCTTTCCTAAATAAGGTTCCTGTTAAGTAATTCCTTTGTCATGAAATACAAAGCTTTAATAATTGTTCACCTTTCGTATGAGCTTCACAATATTTATTATTTGTAGATTTGGGGTTTTGTTTTGCTGTGTTTTGTTTGGTTTGTTGGTGTTTAGTATTATCAATTAGATGTGTCAATGTTCTCCAAACCAAAAGTGCTCTTGGCGAGATCCCCAGTGGCCTCGACATGTGAACCTTGGTGGACAGAAACTGGTCCTCATCTCCCTTGATTGTCAGCACTGTTGCTCTTTACACCAACCTTCCAGAAACACCTTTGCTACCTTTCTTCCAAGACAACATACTCTGCTGGTTTTAATTTTAGCTTGCTGAATGTTCTTTTTCATTTTTTTCTTTTCTTTTCTTTTTTTTTTTTTTTTTTGAGACAGAATCTCGTTCTGTCACCAGGCGGCAGTGCAGTGGCGCGATCTCAGCTCACTGCAACCTCCGCCTCCCAGGTTCAAGCAATTCTCCTGCCTCAGCCTCCTGAGTAGCTGGGACTACAGGCACGCGCCACCATGCACAGCTAATTTTTTTGTGTGTTTTTAGTAGAAATGGGGTTTCACCATGTTCGCCAGGATGGTCTCGATCTCCTGACCTCGTGATCTGCCCACTCAGCCTCCCAAAGTGCTGGGATTACAGGTGTGAGCCACCGCGCCTGGCCAGAATGTTCCTTTTCAATTTTCTTCTCTGCATCTGCACATCTCCCAGCCTCTAAAACTTGGAATACCCAGCAGCTCAATCCTTGGACTACACTCTGGCTTCATATACATCCTCTGGTTTCATATACATTCATCTATATACTGATGAATCCATATGCATATCTAAAGCATAGACGTTACCCTAAACTCTGGTCTTGTTTACCCACCCTGCTTCCTTAATATATTCATTTAGATAGTTACAAGTGTCATGAACTCCACAATGCTAAATTCATTTGCTGATCTCCCTCTCCTAGCTTACCCCTGAATCCCTTTTCCTTCCATTGTTCCTATCTCACTGCAATGCCATATCCCCATTGCTCAGTTTCTGCCCTTGGCAGTGATCTATAGTTCTCTGTCTGTCATCCATTCCATTAATAAAACACCTTCCATTTTACCTTCAGAGTAGATTCAGATGCTGACCAGGTATCACCACCTCTTATCCCACTGCCCTGCCATAGCCACGTTCCGCATTCCCCTGGACTATTGTGATCAACCTCTGAACTGGTTTCTCTAAGTCTACCCCAATGACCCTACAGTGTATCCTCAAAAGTGCAGTGAGTAATCCTTGTAAAATATTCTGTATCATATCAGTTTGCAGACCACACCTCCTCTGTGGCTCCCATCATACTCAGGGTAATCCTGAAAGCACTTCAATGACTGTAATACCTCACAGTCCAGCCCTCCAACACTTCTCCAAGTTCAATCAGTTAGATTTCCCTCCCTGCTTTTCCTCCAGAACGCTAATTATGCTCTCATCTCAGGGCCTTGATCTCACACCTGTATCTCCTCTGGCAGACATACTTGCATCACCTTCTTCTGGCCATTACATAAATGTTTCTGTGAAATTTTACCTCCTGATCCCTCATTCTCTTTACCAGTTTTATCTATACCATGTAATTTACATTTTTTTTTCTTATTTGCTTCTTTTCTTTTCCACTCACTACAATGTAAACTACATTAAAAACAGTTTTGTCTATTTTGCTTGATTGATGTTTATATTATTTGAATAGAATAGACTCGATTTCACGTATTGCATTCAGATGTTTCAAGGTAAGCATCACCTTAGCAGTGTTGATGAGACAACCAATTTATACATACATATAAGTATATGTATACATTTATACATACATATTTGTATATGTATATGTATAAAATTTATACATGTAAACATATATATGTATAAATGTATACATATATGTATAAATTGGTTAAATCTCATCAACACTGATAAATATATGTGTATATGTGTATATGTGTGTCTATACATATATATATATCCACAAAATGTTCACAAGTGTCTACTGATCACCAATATTTCGTTGGGCAAATAACCATGAGTCCCCTCACAGGCCAGCAGCAAAGACTCCAGCTAAGAATAGTTTATTCTTTTACGTCACTCTCTTTGGGCCAAGAGTTATCACACCTGTGGGGTCTGGTCCATAAAAAGTCACTCATCTGGAATTATAGGTGGCAGGAGAAAGGTAAAGGAGGCCTTTTTTCTTCCACTTCTGCTAGTATTGCCAGTGCTTTTGTTTTAAAAGCCTAGACATCAAGTTTGGTTAATTTAGGTGGCCTCTTGCAGTTTGGGAAATAGAAGAAATCTCAGTGTGCCAGGGGAGAATCAGAGGAGAAGCTTCCAGCATCAGGTGATCACCAAAGAACCCAGAACATTTGCCACTGAGATTCTACTACAAGAGACGGGCTGTTAGCCCATACCCATGTTCAGGCTTCCTATGCCTTTGGGCACATGTGGGGACAGGGACAGCTAATGAAAATGGCATCAAGCCAGTTGGTGGGCCAGCAAGTTGGCTGGCAGGGTGGAGGCCATCCAAGCAGCTCCCAGCCACGCCCAGTTGGGGTTTACCAGAATTGAGTCAGCCAGGACAGCAGGGAGAACGAGGGCTTGGGCAGCACCTATTTAGTGATTGCAATAACCAGAGCTAGTATGGGTGTATTTCAACAGCTGGTTCAGATGATTACTAGCCCAGGTCATAGGGATCATAGTAGATAACAGTATGGACAGTATGCATCCTGAGCCTTCTCCCCTCCAACAGCCTACAAAGAGTGACAAGAGGACTGCATTGGTAGGCTTGAGAGCTAGTGCACATCCAGCCTGGCCTCCTGGATCTCAAGGCCCAAGACATGCTAGCACTCATGAAAATCCATGTGGCTGAAAGGAATGAAACAGAGAATGAGTGAGATTTGTGTGGGGCTTGGACTTTCTTTCCGATGAGATTCCTGGTATAAAAGTCTAATGAGCCACACTCCTGCATTACTCTCTTCTATCTTCGTTGGTCCAAGCGGCACAGCCTGCATCAATATAAGTCCCCTGGAGGGCTCATGCTGGGTAGGAAACTGACTTTAGAGAAGAAACAGGTCCTGTGCAGACTGAATGAAGGGTGGACTCACACCATTTCCAGCTGGTTTAGGAATTAATGAGCTAAAATGGAGTTCTGAAGGCTCATCCTATATTTTTCTTCTGAATCACAGCATGCTCTCTTTGATGCTTATGAGAAATTCCCAGATAAGATATTTATGACGGGGTCTGAATATTGGCGATTTTTAAAAATCACTGAAGAATAGAAGATAGTAAAAAAAAAAAAAAAATCACGGCTTGGATAGTTCTCCTTGTCATTGACTCCGTTCAGGAACAAGCCATACTTTTACAGCTTTTTGGAAAATACGCGGTCTCAGAGGATTTTGCTCCATTTTCAAAGGAGGCTGCACTATCTTTCCTATCCTTAAAAAATAAATGAATACAAACAACAGAGCTTGACTTTCCAAAGCACTACCTTAACTGATAAATGCCCAGTTTTCTAACAGTGTTGACTTTACCACTCACAAATCTAAACCTATCCCTATAGCTTACTATCTTTCGCCTACAATCTTAAAAATGGCAAAGTAAAATAAATTTTAAAAGTATTTATCATTGATCAGCTCTGTGTCTAGAGGAAAATAATATATGCATTTATCTTCCTGAACATGAGTTTTTCAGGTGGGAAAATAACTTACCTATTATCTTTCAAGGTCATTTTAAGAGTTAAATAAAATATTAAGTGTTAAATTACTTGTGACCCCCAAAATATTGAGCAAGAAAACATATTGGACTTTTATTGAGCAAGAAAACATATAGGAAATGCACATAGTTACAAGTAAAGGAGGGAAAACTAGGAACTTCAGTATGGAGGTAAAGCTAATAGATAGGCAGCAATTGTAGGAGTCTGGGCAAGAAATGGTAAACTGTGAGCTGGGCACCAGCGATACGAATGCAATGTACTTGTCTGAGATGATAGCTGCCCTTGACTGTCAGCAAGTCTCAATTACCCAAATCCCCAGCCGTTCTCTTCAGGGTGATGTTTCTGTTTAGGGTGATGTTCTCTGGCATGCAAGGGGAGAGAGGCACAGCAGTGTGACATGTGACATTTCACTCTCATCAGATGTTCCTCGTAAATGGATCACAACAGCTGCAATGCCCCGTAATGACATTAAAATGACTGCAAATCCTAAATTGTTTCCTTCCACATTTAGGAGTCTTCTCCTAGACATTTTCTGGCGATCCCACTGGGTTTTCTAATATTGCATTTGCTTCTCTCCACTGTCAGACACTGGTTGAGAAGAGCCAGAGGGCTTTTCACACTAAATATAGTCTTTTAAAAAATTCATGACACTTGACAAATTGGTTAAAATTAAAGTCCTTTCTATATTTTAGGGGAGAATATTTAGCCAATTATATACTGTAGCCTAAACAAATGCTTCAAGACCTTGAGTTGGGCGTATGGAAAGAAATCATTCTCGTCTCTTCTACATTTAATAACAGGATAGAGAGCTGGCAAGTAAATGATGGCAAATCTGAGAGAAACCACATAATGAGAATGAACTAACCCATGGGACATAATGAATTGTGCAGAGCTTCCTCCAGGAAGGACACATGGCAAAGTAGTGGCAGTCATTGCTATGAACAACTTGGTTTGTGACTTTGCTTCCCCAGACAAAAGGAGAGGCTGTTAGCAAGGCTGCCGCCGATGCCATTTATAATCTCAGTACTCAGGCCTGCTGCAATTTCCTCACTTTTCCCATAATCCCAGCATCTTCCATTTGTCATTCTTCACAATTATTATTTGATGTCATGAATTTTGACACATTACAGAGAAACCCTCTCTTCCTGCTCTGCGTTGTCTTATGAGTGAAGGTTGCAGCTCTCTTACTTTTTGGTGTCAGATTTAGTTGATTAAACATAGCATTATTTTAACAACCTGTGACAGGTTACATAGAGAGGATTTATAGAATATATCCTGGGATTGCATCCTCCATCCTTAAAAATGGTGCCTGGTGTGAGGCTATTAGTCAACAACATGGTAGAAGTACTAGCAACAGCACTTACAATGTAGTAAGTTAATTTACAATAGTCTTAATGCAGCAAAATTGTTTTAGAAGATAGATTACGTTATCATGTTATTTTTATCAATATTGCTAATGTTCTGACGTGTGTTGTTCATCTTTGGATGCCAGTATTCTAGAAAATAGCTGCAAGCAAGTGAGTCCAGAAAAAGAGATAACTATCTTGGGTTATAAAGATCTCAACTTCCCAATCCTAAGAGTAACCAGTGACATGTCCTCCAGAAGATGGTACAAAGCTTTAAAGTGTGACCCCTGCTCTTTTGCAAATGTTCTAATTAAAATGAAGGGAGATTTATGACCTTAAGGTATTTAAAATGACTCAAGTGGCATTTTTCATAAGGTAAAGCAATAATGACAAGAAAATCAAACAATGGACATTGAAATACACAGTGAGCCCTGTGCTTGGAGGAAAGGCTGGGCCATGCCTGGTACATTCTTGTCAGTTACACGTCCACCTCTGCAACCACATGCATAAACCCTGGGATTATAAGATTAACCTTTCTTTTCATCCGAGTTACCAGCAGTTAGGTTGACAAGAAAATTAAGAAACCCATCCTTTTGAAAGGCCTTTGCATTTTGCTTCTATTCTCTCCTCAAGTTTCTTCATTTATGAAGAAGGCAGTCATTCCTGTCAATCCTTAAAATTGGGGGTGGTGAACATAATGCATTAATCAAAATTGTTTCCATTGCAACTTTAAAGACTCCTTTTAAGGGAGTTTGCTTGATATGTTCAACAGCAGATTGATAATCAATTTTCATCTCTTGCTATTCTGTGATTTATGATTTGTTTTTCTAATGCATTTTGAATTCTAGGTCTCATCAGCTAAATTATATTTTTGGATCCTAACAAAGCATTAAATTACATCTTAAGAATAAAACTGCTCTCTCCTTTAATCATATTATGACTCATGGTCACTTTTATTTTGTTTTGTTTTTGAGGGGTGGGTGGTGAAAACAAAATGAAAAGAGCCAAAATGTTCACCTTCCTGAGAATCCCTTACACTAGAGACACACCATTTTCTTTGTATCTGAAACAGAGCAGGTATCAGGGCTCCATGTGCACACCAGTTGGAGAGGTTTGTAATTGACAGGAGAGGGGCTCAGACACTGTTCTCCTACCCTGTCACGGTCTCATAGCAAGCTCTCAGAGGAAGCCTATGTATTTGGCTGGCTCTGCCTTCTTACATGGAGTCTATGAGAGCAAATTTACAGGCAGAGGTATTCTTTTGCAAGCCTTCAACATCCACAGAGATCTACTCTAAAGCAGGAGTCTGAGTTAATTAAGAATAAAAGGCATCCGTGACTCTACAGAATGGAACTTGCCCTGTTTCTGACAGGTTCGTTCCAGTAGATTTGTTTGGTAATTTTGCCTTGCATGGCTCTGACGGCTCATTGTGGCCCCTTTAGTGCATTTTTTCTTTTATTCACATATGTTTTAAATCTGTTTGAAATTAATTTTCTAAAATTTGGAATAAATTTTCTGAGGAAAGGTAAAAACAGATCCTTACAATCAGCTCCTGGTTTGTTACTCAGATGCATCTGCCTGAGCAACATTAGGATGAGAAGCTGCAGTCCATGATCAGAGTTTTCCATTTTGCCTTTTCTCCATGTATTGCTCTCTGGTTTGTCCTCAGCAGTTAAATATCTCAGCCATTGGAACTGTCACCTCGACCTCCACCTGACCTGCTTCCCATGCCACCAGCGTGATAATTAAACTGCAGCCATCACATAGCATCATTTACCCATTTTCCATCCTCCCTCAAGATGATTCCCCATATAGGACCATATAATATGTTCTTTGATTATATGTGATTACATATGATCTCAGAATTTCATTTTGAGCATTCATATTGTGGGATACTCTCTCATAGCAATTATTATATTAGTGAAAGGCTCAAGACAAAGCATGCGGTATATGAAAAATATAATACTTTGAGGAGTGTTTGCATATGAAGAGACTCCCTACAAATCCTGGAGTACAGAGTACACAATGATAGTGCAACAACCTGGAACTCATAGTGGCCTAGCTGTAGTCACACCTGAGACCAGAGAGATGATGGAATGGAGCAGCTGCTGGAACCCAGCAGAGAGCCACTGCTATGATTAATTTTATGTGTCAACTGGGCTGGGCCATGGTACCCAGTTTTTTATCAGACACCAGTCCAAATGTCACTATGAAGGTGTTGTTCAGATGAAATTAACATTTAAAGCAGTAGCTTTGGGTAAAGCAGATGACCCTTCATAATGTGGGTGCTCCTCCAATCAGCTGAAGGCCTTAAAAGTAAAGACTGAGGCTCCCCAAGGCAGAAGAAATTCTGCCTCCACATAGCCTTCAGATGTGAGACTGCAAGATCAAGTCTCCCTAGGCCACCAGCCTGCCAGCCTGCCCTGCAGATTTCAGACCCGAATGCCCCCACATTCACATAAACCAATTCCTTACAATGAATTAGTCTCTCTCTTCCTCCTCTCTCTCTGTTTATATAATATACACTATAATATCTATATCATTATATAGTGTGTTATATATTAATATATTATATATAAGACAACATAATATATTAATAAGATTAAATTATATATAAACA
This sequence comes from Homo sapiens, assembly GCF_000001405.40. Lineage (NCBI taxonomy): Eukaryota > Metazoa > Chordata > Mammalia > Primates > Hominidae > Homo > Homo sapiens. Next base: position 52,246,345 of record NC_000007.14, on the reverse strand, counting down.
CAATGATATATAAAATATTAATATATTATATATTATCAATTATATAATATATGCAATTTTATATAATATAGCACATACTTTTATATTTTATTACATTTTACATTTTATATATAACAACAATATATACATTGTACATACCATATTATATATGGTAAATATATATGTACATACTTGTGTGTATGTGTGTGTACCTATTTCTTCTGTCTTTCTGGAGACCCTGACTAATACAGTGCTGATAATGAATCTCTTCCTAAAGAAGAGCAGTGACTTTCTGTCTCAGATAGCCCAGGTGAAGGGACTCAGGTAACCTCCTCAGGAGGAAGCCAGGCTTATGAATACTCTGGCATCTCTCTACTCCCTCCTTAAATTCCTGGTAGAGCTTGCCATTGGCTAAACTCAATGAGGAAGAGAGACAGCCTTCAGTTCATTCACCTCAGCTTCCCAGGCTGACCAGGGGAGAAATGGGTAAAAAGAATCTAGGGGGAAGTCTATGATCGGGGAAACACTATCACTTGTTCTCTACCCTTCACTTGTGCAACTGTGAAACTCACTGGTAGACTTTAGAAGAAAAACCTGGATACACTGGGTCTCCCTTTATTCCCTAGGGGAAAGCAGCATTTTTTGGGAGCAAGTGCCCTCTGCTCCTCATGCCAGAATCTGCCATATGCACTGAACTGGCACATCCTTAATAATATTAACACAACCCTAACAATACCAGTGGGGGTATGTTCATTTCCCTTACCACTCACTTGACTTATTTCTCTATTTATTTACAACTTGTATAGGAAAAAGTAGTCCTGTTAGTAATGATAATAATAATGACAATAATGAGATATTGGTCATTTTGGTCTGCTAATTATTATTCAAATGTTGTTTATGTAATTATTCTACAGCTATATGTGGTCACTTTATTTCCATTTGACTAATGGCAACTTGAAACTTGCAGTGTGATGGTGATTTCCCTTGAATATTAATTAGAACCCATCATTTTCTAATTCCAAAGTCAAGCTTTTCCCAATAATATAGCACTCCTTCAACTTATAACACAAAAGCAAAACCAAGGAAATAAAATAAGTTATATTTAGAAATTGTAGCATTGACTGGGATTCCTAAATTGAATCAAGTACATTCTACTATTGATATAGTTTGGCTCTGTGTCCCCACCCAAATCTTATCTTATAGCTCCCATAATTCCCACATGTTGTTGGAGTGACCTGCTGGGAGATAATTGAATCATGGGGAAGGGTCTTTCCCATGCTATTCTCTTGGTAGTGAGTAAGTCTTATGAGATCTGATAGTTTTAAAAATGGGAGTTTCCCTGCATGCACTCTTTTCTCTTGTTTGCCCCCATTTGAGATGTGCCTTTCACCTTCCGCCATGATTATGGGGCCTCCCCTGCCATGTGGAACTCTAAGTCCAATAAACCTATTTCTTTTGTAAATTGCCCATCTCAGGTATGATTTGTCAGCAGCGTGAAAACAAACTAATACAAATATGTTCCTTTACATACAAATTATACAAAAAAAAGTAACCTATATTTTCCATGGAGACTACAGTGAAGCATCTGATGAACTGAATATTGAAGATAGAACTAGGTCTATACTGTCTTCACATTATATCTAAATTCCAGTGGAATAATCATGACTTGTTTATTATCTTCACATGCAGTTTTTCAGAAGGAAAATAGTGACATCTCAGAAACATGTGAAAACTGAGGGTACATGCTGAACTCAGTGCAAACTGACCACACAAAACTGATTTTACCTGGGGCCTGTCTATACATTCCTCTCCAACTCCTACTTTCTTCACCTGGGGTAAAGCATGACTCACAATCATGGCGGAAGGTGAAAGGCACATCTCACATGGTGGCAAACAAGAGAAGAGAGAGCTTGTGCAGGGAAACTCTTGTTTTGAAAACTATCAGATCTCGTGAGACTTATTCACTACCACAAGAACAGCCCAGGAAAGACCCACCCCTATGATTCAATTATCTCTGTGGTAAGGTAATAGTAGAGGACTGTGCCACACCGTGGATGAATTTCTGATGATGTCTTTAAACTTATTCCCATGAATGTTTTGACCAAATCCCCAAAAGGATGGGTGGCACTGTTCAGATGGAAATGCTGTGAGATAAGGGACACAGGAAGGACATCTTTGGAAGAAGCCCAGCCCTCTGCAGAATTGCCAGATTTAGGAGGAATAGGCACAAGATGTCCAGAAAAATCTGAATTTTAGGTAAACAACAAATAGCATTTTGATATCAGTATGTTTAATGCAATATGTAACTGAAAAACATTTGTTATTCATCTAAAGTCCAAATGTAACAAGCATCTTGTATTTTCTCTGGCGTCTCCAGTTCTGCGGCAATGACAAAGTAATGATGATCTCTCTTTAAATGAAAATAATCATCAGCCTGTTAGAGGGCGGCTTCACATGAGCTTATGGCTTTCAGAGATCTGCAATGCAAAAATGGCTCACTAGTCAGAATAAGGCCTTGGCCCCAATCTGTCTAACTATGTGTCCCAGTTGGAGCATGGGTTCATACTGTGGTTGTTTTCTCAGTCCCAGGTTGCAGAATTCCCATATCAGCTCTCTGGCCCTGGGGATGAAGGTTGTTGTGATAAGGAAAACTAAATGGAAGCCCTCTGCCATATCACAATAAGAAAGCAAAAGCAAAATTACATCCCTGGAGAATGTCCAGAAATTAGTGTTGCCTTAAAGACTCATTCCCGCCACATCCTCATTTACTGGATTAACCACTATAAACCCGAGGTGTGTGGTGAAGTATGGCTGTGGATGGTCATAAACTGAACCAGGGACTGATGATCATGAAGGCGGTCTTATTGGATATGTTTACTGGAGAAACCAACAATCCGCCCCCATCATGCACACACACACTTGGCAGGGCTATTGGCCTAGAAAGTCTTGTCAGGAAGGGAATTCAAAAGCAAGTTTCAATTACATAGCAGGGACAAAAATGTAGCTTCATTGTTTTGCTTCAAGACTGTAACCACTATCCTGCTAGTTCCTAAAATATAGTTCAGAGGGACTTTGGTTAGCTTCACATCCCATATCATTTATTTCTGGCTTACTATATTGTAGACATTATTCTACCTTGATCCAGTGAATAGCAAGTAATAAGCACCAGATACTGTAATAAGCCTGCCAGAGGTGTGAGATTAACTCTACAAAATTTTAGGGTTTGTCATACTGTGACATTTCTAGAGGGATAGTGTATTAGGATATCTATTCTAACCAAATGGGAGGTGGGTGACTTTACCTTGTATCCTCCACAAAATATAAAGATGCAGCAAACTTGGGGAGAGTTTGGGGTGTGTTTCTTCCACTCACTTGCCCTGGGAAGCAGTAGCCTGGTGGTTTTGAATGAGAAAAGGAACAGCACCAAAGAACTTCTAGGCAGCTGTGCAACGTGCCCTGGGACTTAGGCCTTGGGACCTGGCAGGACTGTTAGTCTTAGCAGTGTCTGGAGCAGACACAAAATGCTATTTGGTGTCTGAAAAATGGCAACAGGAGAAAGGGCAAAGCACAAGGATTATGGAGTCAGGCTCTGGCGTTCTATGTTGCCAGAAGTTCTCTAATTGAAAACCAGCTCCTTACTTGTAACTGGGCCTTGGTAGAGACTGACCGTAGACCCCAAAACACTGCAGGACCCCAACTGTCTGCCATACAATGGGTGTGGCTGAAGTGACAAACTGCACAAGTGGATGTTCAGAGCAGCACGCCCTATGACATCATATTTAAAAGGCATGTATCTGAGAGCAGTCCCAGGCAGGCCCTAAAGAAGGAATAATCTGCATGAGGAGGCAGGAGGCACCCCAGCGTCCTGCTTCTCTGCTTTGCTACCCCATGGAGCACCCACTCTGTGTCCTCAACGGTGTTCCCTACAGCAGGCATTAGCGGGGGGAAAGGCACGGAGCTGTTTCCCCATGCTGGAAGGCAGCCAGGCCAGCAGCCACGCTTTCAACCCCACCCCAAGGTAGAAAGAAGTCTGCTCAGTGGGCAGGATTTGGGGCTGCAAATTCAGTGGTTCACTTTTTGTGGAAGGATACGTTAATCGATATTAATTACCAGAGGAAGATTGAATTGCTGTTAAGCTAAGTTTTAAATCTAGTGGAACACCTTCTAGTACTTCCTTACCTGATCATAATTTTGATAGAAAACTACAGCCATCTAAGAATTAATGCAGCAGGGACTCAGGAAGTGGTTGACTTTGGACCCAGAACTTACCTTTGTCTGAGAGGAAATTTCCACTACATGCTATCTCCTTTCTACAGGAAAAGCACTGGACTCTTTGCCGCTTTCTTTTGACATTGATAAGTATGCAAAGTGGCAGCAGATTTTGTTGGAATGGCCTCTTTCCCTGATATATTCAAGACCAGTTAGTTTCTGTCTCTTCAAGGCATGTATTTCTGGCAACCAAGTTCTCAGCTATTAACAAAGCATGATGACTTCCTTGGGGGACAGAGTGCTATGTCACAGGACTCTTGCTATAGATCTGTCTAGGGAATCTAGGGAATTGCCATGGAACAGTCTAGGGCAAAGACATCTACATACTAACGAATGCTTCTCAAAACTACATGATTAAGCAACTCAGAAATAAGTAGAAACCCTCCCCTGTCATGTGGACAGGCCATGGGAATCCCGAGTTAGTATTTCCTTCCTTGCTGTAACCACATGATGGAGTTTGAGTTGACTGTACAGTCAACACCAGCTTATTTAGCCTGGGCAGAAGAGAACTTTAGTTGGTACTCTGAAGTTTAAAAAGAGTAAATATTCTCTTCTGGATATATATCGAAAGGAAATGACATCAGTTTGTGGAAGTGACATTTGCACCTCCATGTTTCTTGTGGCATTATTCACAAAAGCTAAGATATGGAATCAACCTAAGTGTCCATCAATGGACCAAAAACATCTGTTCCAATAGAATATGATTCCGCCTTATAAAAGAAGGAAATCCTGTCATTTGAAACAACATGGATGGACATGGAGGACATTAGGTTAAGTGAAATAAACCAGGAATAGAAAGACACATCCTGCATGATCTCACTAATATGTGGAATCTAAACAGTTGAACTCATAGGATCAGAAAGTAGAATGGTGGTTGTGAGGAACAGGGGTAGGGGTTAGGGAAATGTTAGCCAAGATACAGAGTTTCAGTTAGATAGGAAGAAGAAGCTCTGGAGATCTATTGTACAGCATGGTAACTACAGTTAACAATAGTGTACCCTTTACTGGAAAATTGCTAAGATAGTAGGTCGTAAATGTTTGCACCACACCAAAATGATAAGTATGTGAGATGATGTATATGTTTATTAGTTAGATTTAGTCATTTCCCATGTACCTATATGAAGATATCATGTTGTATAGCATAAATATATACAATTTTAATTTGTGAATTAGACCTTAATAAAGCTGAGGAAAAACAGTAAATATTCTGTTCCTTGATATGTATGAGGCTAGTATAAGACAGTATCTTCAGTCTATAAACTGAGACATCACTTCTGATGTTCCTGCTTAGGTAAGCCTCCATCTGCACAGGAAGTCTTAGTTCTGAGGCTGCCTGCATCTGCAGAACCCAACTCAGAAGCCACAGCACAAAGAGGTCCAAGAGCTTTCAGGGCCAGGATGGCTATAAAGCCAGAATGTTGGAGGCACTCACACAGCCTGCATTAAATAAGAAAAACTCTCCTGATCTGTACCTTTGCAGAAGCCCCTAAAACTAGGCTTGTTTGCTGAGGTCTGAAGCTTATCTCTTATACACATTTGATTCAACAGGATTTGCAACCACATCACTAAAGAACAACCACTTGTCTTTGGGCAAAGCTGTAGTCTGGTATCAAGGTCATTTGACTATGTCTTTGGGCTTGAGATCTTGTACCAAAGCTAAAATAGAGAAACTCAGTCCAATATTAGCCTGCCTAATCCCCCAGTGTGAAAATATCCTGTCCATACACTAAGTCAAATACACAATCACCTGAGATCAGCAGAAATCTCAGTAATTCCATGTATTATTTTGACTCCTCTACACTCTATTGTATTCCTTGATTCTCCTGCTGCATATACCAGGTATGCACCAAGGGTCTTTGAGGGGCTAGATAAGTAACACATCTCATTTGCATCTGCATTATGAAAAAATTCAGTAATAAAACCATTGACTGCCTGATGGACAAAATAAAACTGTACTTGTATTCTTTGCCTCTTTTTCCTTTCCCTAGTTATTTTCTGAAATTATATACTCTACCAGTGAAATGGATCTCAATTCCTCTTAATATTTGATGATCCAAAACTTGCATCCTCTGTCTTCTGCACTTATCCATTGTCTTAGTCTGCTTTGTGTTGCTGTAACAGAATACCTGAGACTGGGTAATTTATAAAGAAAAAGGTGGCCGGGTGCAGTGGTTCATGCCTATAATCCCAGCACTTTGGGAGGCTGACGCAGGCAGATCACTTGAGGTCAGGAGTTCCAGACCAGCCTGGCCAACATGGTGAAAACCCCGTCTATACTAAAAATACAAAAATTAGCCAGGCATCGTGGCGGGCACCCATAATCCCAGCTACTCTGGACCCTGAGGCAGGAGAATTGCTTGAACCTGGGAGGCAGAGGTTGCAGTGAGTGAAGACTGTGCCAGTGCATTTCAGCCTGGGCAACAGAGCAAGACTCTGCCAAAAAAAAAAAAAAGAAAGAAAAAAAGAAAAGGGTATTTAGCTAGGGATTTTGCAGGTTGGCCATCAGCATCGGCTCAGCCTCTTGTGAGGACCTCAGACTCCTTTCACTCACTGCCAAAAGCGGAAAAAGAGCAGACACCTGAAAAACAAAGATATCACATGGCAAGAGGGAAAGCGAGAGAGAAAAACTGAGGAAGCCAGATTCTTTTTTTTAACAGCCCACTCTTGCTGGAATTAATCCATTCCAGCAAGAGTGTGAATTCATGCACCCCCAAGGGAAGGCAATCTATTCATGAAGAATCCATCCCCATGAACGAAACATCTCCTACTGGGCCACACCTCTCAACACTGCCACACTGGGGATCCAATTTCAACATGAGTTTTGATGGGGTCAAACCAGGTATAAACCATAGCATTCATTCATTGAAAATATTTATGACGGACCTATATACACTAACAGCTAAGTGTTAGGTATACAGAGTAAGCATGTTTAGGAGAAAGCACTGCCCTCATGGGATTTGCATTTTAGTGGGGAAGATACAGATAAAAAGGAAATAGGTAATTGCATTAAATATTAACAAGACATTTTGTCTGGAGAGGTATACAGTAGAGATTTGGACCGATGAATGCCGAGGAATATTTATCTATAAATAGAATGTCAGTGTAGCCCCACTCAGAGTGTGACATTTCATCAGAAATGTGTTGAACCATATGTGGTTATTGGGGTTTTTCAATCCCAATATATTGGCTATGAGAATGCTCCAGGGAGAGTGATAGTCCTACCTGGTGTGTTTGAGGCAGGGCGAGAACACAGGTGTGCCTGGGGAAGGGTGGGGAGGACAGAGGGCAGATAAGACAGGGACAACAAGGGCAGGTCGCATCAGGCCTCCTTGGCTTTTACTCTGAGTGACATGTGTAGCTATTGGATCCTGCTGCAGAGAAGATCGACAAGCTGACACATTTTCGAAAGAAGATTCTGGCTCCTAGGTGAAGAAGAGACTGCACTGTCAGGTTGGAAGCCAGGGTCCAATTAAGTGGCTCTTGAAATAATCGAGAAAAGAAATGATCATGGCTAGTGGCAGTAGAAATGATGAGATATCATTGGATGGAATTTGTACTCAGAAGCGTAGAGAATATTCTAGTGTTTCCTATGCTCACCTGCAGTCATTGACACATAGACATTGGTGTGTGCAGCCATGGCATGCTCTTGTTCAGGCTCTCAGTTGCATAATGCTGGGCCATGATACTACATACACATGCTCCACCAGAGAACCACAGCCCAGCACAGTCTCCAGCTCCCTCTATGCTCTATATAATTTATGGACACTAAATAACAGTCAGCACTTTGCTAGTCCAAAATTCTTCCAGATTTAAATAACAAATTTATATGTAAATATAGATAAAAACATTAACTTACATATCTATTACGGTAGGACCCTCCATATAGTGTGAGTTAATTCAGTTTTGTCATTTGAAAAATTTAATTGCATGCATTTTCCTTTTAGTTTGATATGTAAACATATTTCGCAAATAATTGCATCAATTTTTCAAATCCCAATATACTGGATTAGATTCTTTTCCTAATTTTGCCTATCATAAAAGCAACTATTTATTTATAGAATCTGCCTAGTTAAATTCCCCATTCCATGAAGTCAGTTTGTATTTTTCATCTTTCCTAATGTCATCATCCCTCATTACCTATCAACAGAAAGCTGCATTTACTTGAAGCTTATCCCTCCATCATATAATTAATTAAGAAGTTAATTAATAGCAGTCATATTGTTGGCCTTTGTGACACTTCATTAAATGCTTCCTTCCTAAAGACACTGTCACTTATTTCAGTTGTTATTAATGGTCTTCCAACTTCAGTTCTTTTTAATGTCAAAACTCATATTTAACCCATATTGAATTAATTTTGCAGGTGAAACTTCATTGAACGGTTATTCTATTAATTCTTGACCTAAAGCATTGTATTACCTTCTAATACGTGGGCTGAGCTTGTTTTTGACTACCTTCAAATTCCAGACACGTGAATGACAGTTCCAAATTTGCCAGGCACTTTCTTTCTTAGCTATTATTATATATTTTATAATTTTTTATTTAATGCAATGAGCACAGCAAACTCCCCTTCAGTTATGACAGGTTTAGCGGAAATTCCCACTACCTCCTTGACTTTACAGAAACTTGATTTCTAGGTATACCACTTCTATATACTTCTCTTTATACTTTATACATATATAATATTTGATATACAATTAAATATTGTTTATCTTTCATTGGCTTCCTATCTCTTGAAATTTGGGGCAAAATTTTCCTTGTTCCCTATTGCTTCTTCTAGCAAATACATGTTTCTCCTTCATCTCTAATTCATTACCACACTAAGACTTACACTTGCCTACCATTCCAATTCCCCTGCTGTAGATCAATGGCCCTAAATGAATCACCTCCTGTATTAGTCTGTTCACACACTGCTATAAAGAACTCCTTGTGACTAGATAATTTATAAATAAAAGAGGTTTAATTGGCTCATGGTTCCATAGGCTGTACAGGAAGCATAGCTGGGGAGGCCTCAGGAAACATTCAATCATGGTGGAAAGCAAAAAGAGGCAGACATATTTTCATGTGGTTGATGAGGAGAGAGAGAGAGAAGGGGAAAGTGCTGCACACTTTTAAAAAACAAGATATCATAAGAATTCACTCACTATCATGAGAACAGCAAAGAGGAAATGTGCTCCCATGATCCAATCATTTCCCACCAAGCCCCACCTTTAACACTGGGCACTATAATTCAACATGAGATTTGAGTGGGAACACAAATCCAAACCATATTATTCTGCCTCTGGCCCTTCCCAAATCTCATGTTCTTCTTATATTGCAAAATATAATCCTCCCTTTTCAACAGTCCCCCAAGTCTTATTTCAACATTAACTCAAATGTCCAGAGTCCAAACTCTCATCTGACACAAGACAAGTCACTTCTGCCTATAAGCCCGTAAAATCAAAAGCAAGTTAGTTACTGCCTAGATACAATGGGAGTACAGGTACTGAATCAACACATCCATTCCAAGAGGGAGAAATCAGTCAAAACAAAGGGGCTACAGACTCCATGCAAGTCCAAAATCCATCAGGGCAGTCATTAAATTTTAAAGCTCCAAAAGAATCTTTTTTGACTTCATGTCTCAGATCCAGGTCACACTGATGCAAGAAGTGGGTTCCAAAGGCTTGGCCATTTCCACCCCTGTGGCTTGGCAGAATACAGCTCCCTCAGCTGTTTTCATGTGCTGATGTTGAGTGCTTGTGGCTTTTCCAGGTACTTGTGGCTTTTAAGCTGTTGATGATCGACCATTCTGGGGTCTGGAGGGCAGTGGCCCTCTTTGCACTTTTCTCAGAACTCCACTAGGTAGTGCCCCAGTGCGGACACTGTGTTGGGGCTCTGACCCCACATTTCCCTTTTGCACTACCCTAGCAGAGGTTCTCCATGAAGGCTCCAGTCCTGCAGCAAACTTCTGCCTGGACATCTAGGTGTTTCCATACATCCTCTGAAATGTAGGCAGATCTATCATTCTGGGGTCTGAAGGATAGCAGCCCTCTTCACAGCTCCACTTGGCAGTGCCCCAGTGGAGACTCTGTGTGGGAGCTCCAACCCCACATTTTCCTTCTGCACTCCCCTAGTAGAGGTTGTCCATGAGGGCTCTGCCCCTGCAGCAGATTTCTGCCTGGATATCCATGTATTTCCATACAACCTCCAAAATATAGGTGGAGGCCCATAAGCCTCAACTCTTGCCCGCTGCACACATGGAGGCTAACACCACATGGAAGCCACCAATGCTTACATCTTGCATCCTGTGGAGCAGCAGTCTGAGATGTTTCTGGAGCCCTTTTAGTCATGGCTGGAGCTGGAGCAGCTGGGACACAGGGAACAGTGTCCTGAGGTTGTGCAGGGTAGCAGGGTCCTTGGTCCAGCCCACAAAACCATTCTTGCCTCCTCTGCCTCTGGGACTGTGATGGGAAGGGCTGCCATGAAGGTCTCTGAAACTCCTTTTGTTGTGGCTGTTAACATTTGGCTCCATTCTCACACTCCTATAAAGAACTGCCCAAGACTGGGTAATTTATAGAGGAAAGAGGTTTAATTGATTCACAGCTCTACATGGCTGGGGAGGCCTCAGGAAATGTACAATAATGGCAGAAGATGAAGCAAACATGTCCTTCTTCATATGGTGACTGGAGACAGAAGTGCAGGGCAAAAGGGTGAAAAGCCCCTTATAAAACCATCAGATCTCATGAGAACTCACTCACTATCATGAGAACAGTATAGGGGGAGCACACCCATGATCTAATTACCTCCCACGAGGTTCCTGCACCAACACAAGGAAATATTTGGATTGCAATTTGAGATAAGATTTGGGTGGTGATACAGAGCCAGACTGTATCAGGCTCCTCTTTACTTATGCGAATTTCTTCAGCCAGCTCGAATTCCTTATAAGAAAATGAGTTTTTCTTTTCTACCACACAGTAAGGCTGCAAATTTTCTAAACTTTTATGTTCTGCTTTCCTTTTAAATATAAGTCCCAGTTTCAGATCATCTCTTTGCTTACACATATGATGATATGCTGTTAGAAGCAGTCGGGCCATATCTTGAATGTTGTGCTGCCCTAGGAATTTCTTCTGCAAGATACCCTAAATCATCATTCTCAAGTTCAAAGATCCACAGATCTCTAGGGCAGAAGGACGATGCCTCCAGCCTCTTTGTTAACAAATAACAAAAGTGACCTTTGCTGCAGTTCCCGATAGGTTCCTCATCTCCATCTGAGACCACTTCAGCCTGGACCTCATTGTCGATATCACTATGACCATTTGGTCACAACAATTTAACAAGTTGCTGTGAAGTTCCAAACTTCCCTCATTTTCCTGTCTTCTTCTGAGCCCTCCAAACTGGTCCAACCTCTGCCTGTTACACAGTTCCAAAGCTCCAAAGCTGCTTCTACATTTTCAGGTATCTTTACAGGAATGCCCCACTCCCAATACCAATTTTCTGTTCTCCCATTGCTATAAAGAACTACCTGAGACTGGGTAATTTATAAAGGAAAGAGGTTTAATTGACTTATGGTTCTCTAGGCTGTACAGGAAGCACTGCTAGAGTGGCTTCTGAAAACTTCCATGCTTGGTGGAAGGTGAAGGGGAAACAGGTACATCTTCACATGGCAGAGCAGGAAAGAGAGAGAGAGAAGCGGGAGGTGCTGCACACTTTAAACTGGATCTCATGATAACTCACTATCAGTAGAACAGCAAGGGGGATATCCAACCCCATAAGCACCTGCTCATAGGGGCTTGTTCTGTCTCCTGCTGCTCTTAGAATCAGGTTGCCATATGAAAAAGCCAGCACTAGCCTGCTGGAGGTATGTGGCCCCCAGCACAGCTGTAACAGCTCATTACATAGTCAATCATGTAAGTAAGGCTACTACCACATTCACTCCAATTAATTGACCTTCCAGACAGTTGTATCTGCACATTGACTCCAGATAAGACTAACAGAAGAACAGCCTAGAGGAGCCCAGCCCAATTTGCTTACTCACAGAAATATGAACTAATAAAATAGTTAGTTGTTATGAGACACCAAGTTTTCCCACTTATCTGCTAACGGCCAGGTTTCATATTTTAATGGAAAACAGAGGCAACAAATAAAAACTACCTTTTTTTCCCTCCATCAAAATGAGTGAGGTCCCTGGTGTCTGTAGCACCCTTTTCTGTGTGTCAAAATGGAGATAAGCCTAATTGCTCATCTAAAAATTTGCTTCTCTGTGAATTCTATGCATCCCTTCCTCTATTGCCTTCTCTCAATCTTCACATTTTTAGTGAAACTAAACCTTTCTTCTATATCATCATGGTCTCTTATTCTACTTAATACATTCTGGAATCTTATACATGCATAGTTAGTACCCACTTCCTTAAATAACATTCCTGCCGTTACCCTTCTTGCCCTTGTACCTGCTACCCATTTTTTGTTAATCTTTAGAGTAACCTCCTTTAAAGAGCTGCCTTAAATAATCTTGGAACTTTCTGATTCACTGATTTCTTAAAGCACCACAACTGGCTTCTTTTCCACCACATAACCAAAACTGCTTCTTTTTATATCACCAACAACTGTGCTGGCAGGTCTACAGCACAGTCCATTGTGTTCATCTACCAAAACTGCAGCTTCAGCGTAGTGGACACGTGCTCTTTTCCACAACAGCAACTCTACTGGTTTCTCCTGGATTCCTTCCAAGCTCCCTGGATCTTGATCAATCTCTTCTTCTGGCTACTGGGTCCCACTGCTAAATGTTGCACATTCCAAAGCCTAACCCAGTGCCTCCATCCTCTTTCTCTTTTTATTCTTTCCATAGGTTTTTTTGGCCATTTTCTTGGCTTAATTAGCAGCTTGTTTTGGTGTCCTGATTTCTCTCTCTTATGTATGTTCAACTTCTACTTAACACATCCTCTTTGATGTCCATGGGCATATAAAAATAGCATATCCAGAAGATAATTCCTCCATCCTACCCTTGATCCTAACCCATTCTTATCCGTGCCTTCTCTAATTCAGTTCTCAGGAAATCAAAGTCTGATCTGCTAAGCTAGTTAAGCACAAAACACAGACATAATCCTTCATGTCTTTTTTCTCTTACTTCACAGTCAATTCTTCAAGTCCATTCATTTCATAAGATTAAGAATATCTCATTTTGTAAGTTATGTAAATCCATCTACTATCAAATTTTCCAAATACACCACCATCTCTCAGTGAATTGCCACAATAACCTTACTGGACTCAGTTTCCTCTGTGTCTTTCTCAAATCTACTCTCCACATAGACAACAGAGCAAGTGCAATTGTTTTAATTAATAAATTGAACAGTGATGTTTCTACTTAAGTTCTTCAAGGGATATCATTATATTAATAAAACCCAAAGTGATTATTGAGACTTACAGATATTTCTTTGTTATCTGACTCTTGATGAAACCCACAACTTCATCTCATATCACTTCTCATCTGGTGGTCTTCTCCTATGTGGCCTGGTTTCAGATGCATCTCCCCTCTCATTTCTTCATCCATTTCTTTATCTTTGTCTGGAAGATCCCTTCTCATCCTTTAGACTTCAGCTTGCAGGCCATGTTATCAGAGAGCTCTTTAGCCACTTTAGACCCTTTCGTTATCCCTTATAGACACTCTTTTTGGAGGGAATATATATTCCAAAGGTTGTCATGAAAATATTTGTGCTTTTCTTGGTACGCTTTTTACTGTGTATCACTCTCACAGAGTGCAAACTTCATAAGAACATTGGCTGTGTTTCTACAATCTACCACTGCATTTTCAGTGCAGAGTGCGGTGCCTGGCACATCACAGGTAGTCATAAAACAACTGTTCAATGAGTGAAGAAAAGTATTGTAATTATAACTTTAGAGATGTTAAAATTTAGAGAAGGTTAAAATTTAGAAAAACATAAGAAATGCCATGTTCTAGCAACATTCTTTGCATTTATCTCATTTAATTTTCATAATAATTTTGGGGAGTTGTGTGGTTAATCCCTTCTGAAGACGTAGGCCTATTACTCAATGCTTACCTTGGGGAGAGCAGGCATAGTCCCCACCACTTTACGTATGTTCGCTCAGTTTTTTTATGACCTGGGCTTGGCTATTCCCATTTTACAGAAGTAGCCTTGAGGAGGTCATGTTAATTATTAAAGTATATCCTCAGTGACAAAATGGTACAGTCAAACTTGAAATATACTCAAGCTTTCATCCATGACCTACCCAGCCTCCCATTCATAGAAAACTTCTGGGACCCTACATCTGTTTCCTAGAATTGTTGTAACAAATTACCATAAACTGAGTGGCTTAAAACAACAGAAATGTATTCTTTTACAGTTCTGGAGTCTAGAGGTCCAAAATCAAGGTGCTGGCAGGGTCATCCTCCCTCTGCAGGCTTCTCGGAAGAATCCTTCCTTGCTTCTTCCAGCTTCTGGTGGCTCCATGAGTTCCCTGGTTTGTGGCAGTGTCACTTCTTTCTCTGCCTCCATCCTCCCATGGCTGTCTTCTGCCTGTGTTCTCCAAACATCTCTCTCTTTACAAGGACACCAGTCATTGGATTTAAAGTCTAATCTAAAATGACCTCATATTAACTTGATTGCATCTGCAAATAACCTATTTCTAAATGAAGTCATAATCACAGATGCCAGAGGTTAGGAATTCAACGTATCTTTTTAGAGAGACACAATTAAACTTAGAACAAAACCCTCAAAAACAGAAAGGATCCAGAAATGCAGACAGTGCTCTAACAGGAAAACTTCTTTCAGCAGGAGTTTCCTTGACCTGTGTAGATCCATGTCAGAACAGGCAGGACTCAGGATTCACAGAAAAGTCCCAAATGCCATTAATTCCTAACATTCTCAACCTCCAGACCAAAGGCAGCCCTGGTACAAATGTGGAACATTTTTAGTTAAAGACAGAAACACAAGATTCAAGCAGGATCATCCCCACTTCTCCAGTTGCTATTCTTGGGATAATACTTGAGATGTCAATACTTATGAATTCTCATTGATACACCCTAATACAGGAGTCCCCAACCCTGGGGCCACACAGCAGGAGGTGAGGAACAAGGAAGTGAGATATACTGCCTGAGCTCCGCCTCCTGTCAGATCAACAGAGGCATTAGTTGCTCATAGGAGTGTGAACTGTATTGTAAACTGAGCATGCAAAGGATCTAGGTTGCACACTCCTTATGAGAATCTAATGCCTGATGATCTGAGGTGGAACAGTTTCATCTGGAAACCATCTTTCCATCCCCACCAGTCTGTGGAAAAATTGGCTTCCTTGAAACTGGTCTCTGGTGCCAAAATTGTTGGGGACCGTTGCTCTAATAGGAAGGTAAGCAGATTGAGATAAAGGCATGTAGATCAGGAAAAATTTAACATAGAATTTTTCAAAATAAGAGCACAGAAAAACTCTGGAAGCACTCAGGGTCTCAGAAGGGGAAAAATGGCCAAGCTCCACTCCTATTATGTGAGTGAAAGGATCAAAAGCCCATGTCACCCTTTCACAGGAAAAGGATACCCCATAAGGAGATGGAGTCACCTGAGGCAAGACACTTCTCTAAATTGCCAAAAGGTGGTTCAAACACTATTTTTCTTTTCTTTTCTTTTCCTTTTGGAGACAGAGTCCCGCTCTTGTCGCCCAGGCTGGAGTGCAGTGGCCTCATCTCGGCTCACTGCAACCTCTGCCTCCCGGCTTCAAGTGATTCTCCTGCCTCAGCTTCCTGAGTAGCTGGAACTATAGGCACCTGCCACCATACCTGGCTAATTTTTGTACTTTTTAGCAGAGGCGGGGTTTCACCATGTTGGCCAGGTTGGTCTCAAACTTCTGACTTCAGGTGATCAGCCCACCTCGGCCTCCCAAAGTGCTGCGATTACAGGCGTAAGCCACTGTGCTGGGCCTCAAACACAATTTTTCTAACAAATGATGAAGGCAGGGGAGCGCTCACCCATCTGCCCATTTGTGACAAATATTAGGACATGAAGATGGTGCCTAGCTGTCATACTGCAGTTGGGAGAAGAACAGGCCTCAGCAAAATGAGAAGAGAGCAAATTAAAGTACGTAAAATGTCTAAAAGGAGCTGCGAACATGAAGCATGAACAAGATGTAAAGAAACAGCTTTGTAATTATGCACATATATTACAACCAAAAGGAAAGCAGCTTAGCAGGCACACAACAATTAAACAATCCATTCTGTACTCCCTCTATATATACTCTGAGTGAAAGAAAAAGATGCGTAATAAGTCCTTTTTAATTTAGGAGTCCTGAAGAAGACATGACTTCAATAAGAATAAGATAAAAAGGTGAAATAGTCTAAGAATATTAAAAGGGAGACCAAAAGGGATTTCATAAGAAAATAATTTGAGGACCAAGGCAAATCATGAGTTAGAAAAAACTCAGAAACATTAAAAAACAGACTAGACAAAGCTTAAAATTGAAACGCTCTCGTAGCTTGAATTAATTCCATTAAATAAAATACATGAAGCAAAAAAAGAAAATATAGGGAGAGGGTATTTTAAGTGGAGGGATATTCAACATAAGTTTAATGATGTTATATGGCTTCAATTCAATATAAGTTTAAGCCCTGAAGCGAAGAAACCAATGAATGAAAGGTAAAATATTTTTAAAAGTATAAAAAGATATTTTTTTCCTAAAACAAAGAAATAATGAAATCTAAAAATCAAACCAGTCTCATCTATTCCCAGAACGAAAACAATTCAATATTCAATATTATGAATTGGTGACCAAACTTCAAGAACAAGCATAGAGTTCTTCGGGTTTACAGAAATAACTTCCACAGGAAGAACATACTCAGACCGAGCTGAGACTTTTCAAGGCAGTTTTGGATCCATCGAAAATATACCTCCCTTCCTAAAGCTTGGTGTGTGAGTGCTAGCAGAGGAGATCACAGTGTGGACTGTTGCCATTATCAATCTTTCATCGGCAACCTCAGCTGAGCCTGGCTCCTCTTTCTTTATCTCTTTCTCTGCTCTCATCTCTTCCCTCTCCTTTCCAACATTCCCCTTCCCTTGTCTCCTCTTTCCTTCTCTCTCTCTGTCTTTTTCTGAAGAGGTATGATCATGTCACCTCCTTCACAGAGAAAAACTAAGGCCAGTAGGATTTAAGAGATCTCAACTTCCTATCCCTAAACATGCAGATGTTCCAATAGCTGCATTTATCCTTAAGATATCCACTTCCCTGTTCAAGGCTACTGTGCCTTCACGTATCCCTGAACCCACAATTTCTTTGGTTCCTAAATGCTATAGAGCAATGCTTTCCCCATGCTCTTTAGTCTGGAATGAAAAAACTCCATCATCTCATTCCCACCTTTCTCTCCCTGCCATTCACCAACTTCACCCTCTCCCCTTCCCACACCCACAGAATCCCATCCTCCAGCAAATCAATCCACCTAAAGATGCCTTAACAAGCAATTTCTTTGCTAACCCTGCTTTCTCTCCTTGGAAGTCCACCTCATATTTATTTTCATAATTTAATTCGAGGGTCATAACTCTATGAAAACTCTTTTCATCCTTCTGGTTGGTATCACTTTTATTCATTGTATCCTACTGAACTGATACATAAGTGTATCATACAGCACTAGTTTTTACTACGAACAGCACATTTTTGTCTGAAAATCTAACCTGTCCTACTGACATCTGCAGCCATAAGGGTAGGGGCTATTTGGTGTTCTTTGATTCCCCGAGGTCTGTCATTATGGAGGCAACCTGCAGGACGTCATTAGGTGTTCGTTGAATTGAGTGAATTGACTGAGATAAAGGTAAGCTAAGTAGCAGGATCACAAATCTAATGTGTGAAAATTCCCACGTTCCAAGTTAGGCTTCTCAGCCTGTAAAGTAAGGGTTCCTTACACTGTGCTGTGATCTCACGGAAAGAAATGTATTTCTTAATACTTGTGGTTTCTTGTCTAAGTACAATTCAAATACAAGTGTTAGGGAAAAATTGAAACCAAAAGGCATGAGGAGGCGTGAATCTTACTCAATGCAGAGTGGTTCAAGACCTTCCTTGGGCATCAGCGTCTGTGCCAGGCACAATCCACTCTCCAAACAAAGGTGATTTTTGTTTTCCTTTCTGAAGGTGATAGATTCAGGGGGGCAGAAAGGTATATGTTCACACACTTTCCAATGTCTTTTTGTTTAGGGAGTTCACAGATGTTTTATTGCTCATAACTGGCAAAAAAAAAAAAAAATTTCAAGGAAAGCTTATATCAATATCCACTGAGTTATAAGCCATGAGATTTAAATCTCTGTTTGATGAAAACAAAAATAAGCTCTGAGTGATAGATACTAGAATATTCAGAATATTTGTTCAACAAAGATTTACTGGTTGAGGAGGTAAAATATGAACCCAAAATAAAAAGATAATTGTTTCTGATTTATCAAAATTAGGTGATAATTCATCTTTGCTTTTTCTAGTGTTTTATTTAAAAAATATTTGGTGAATATCTTACATATTTCATTTGTTTCCTTATTTTTTTCTCCTCCCACAAAATCTTTCTATTATCAAATATTCTGGTTAGCTACACAATAAGCAAATTGATCTTTGCTCTGTTGCATAGAGTAGAAAAGCCTGATGCTACTATTGAAACAATTGTTTTTAAACAATTCTTGTTTATTATCCAATTTACCCTGATACTGGATGCAAAATGGGATTGTGAGGCATAGAGATTTATCCAAAACTGTATTTTTTTCACTCCAGACATTGATATTCTCAAGCCTCAGGTAGTGGTTTAAAGAGGGTTTCAGCAAACCTAGGTTCAAAGCTTGATTTCACCAGATGCTTTTTCTGTGATATCACAAGTGTTTCTAAACACTTGAGCTCTGATTTCTACAGAGTTTTTAAAGCGTTATCTCCCACACAGTGTTGTCATGCAGATTAAGTGAGATGCAGACAGGTGGGTGAATAGCAAAAACAAGACACACACTGGACTTCTAGGGTAAGTTTGTGTGCAAGTGTATAAGGTAAACGTGTGGGTAATTAGAGGCAGCAAGCTGTTAATTTGTTTTTCACCCAGCCCCTTACGGACTGTGTCTCAATAAATTTATATATCTATTCAATATGTTACAGGTTCATTCATCTTTAAAACACAGCTATCATTAGTACTCTCATAGGACCAAATCGGAAGCACACAATTTTGAATACAATAGATGTTCCCCAATCACTGGTTGTATCTCTATTCATTCAAAATCTTTAATTCCCTTACAGTTAATACGTGAGCAATGCATTATTTAGGCCTTTCAGAAAAATTTAATTTTTATTGTATCTGATTAATGATATATACTGTTCATAAAAGCCCTATGCGTATTTATAAAATAAAGACTTCTTTATATCAAAATTCAAGATAGGTATTTTTTGAAGACAAAAATAATGACTTTGAAGAAACAAATGAGATTTTTGAGGCTGAATTTACTAATAATGGTGGAATATCTCTCACAAAATAGGTGCTCCATAAATAGTTGCTGAATAAATGAATACTAAATTAATATATGCATTCAAATTTTACATTTAAATTTTTGAGGGGAAAAGGTCAGAAAAGTGGTGAAATATCATTTTATTCCTGAATTATTAGTAAGTCATCTAAGCTGAACCTAAGCTTCCAGCTGCCAATATCAGAAGGTAGATTCACATAAAGAGAAGGCGAACAAGGTCATTCTGATGAGACAAATTTCTACGCTCACCGTTAACCGAGCTAACAGAATATGGTCTTACAAGCACTTGACCGTCAGCCCCATTGCTTGTTTCTGAATTCCTCAAGAACAGGAAATATGATGATGTCCATGACCTGTGAGATGTCCAGAACATACTCAAGAGATGCTGTTGTAGAAATTGCTGAAATAATGTGACATAAGGAAATGCATGAACTGTTAATTAAATACTTAATATGATCTTGTGCATGTTGGTCTTAGCTGCTCAAGCAAGGGCAAGAAGTGTTTCCGTATGCCTTGAATACACTCTTGTGCCTAGAGAGCGGCTTTTTTATGACCACTCTCGTTGTAAAGACATGTATAACTTATATTCTACATTTACTTTTAAGTAAAAAGAAGGTAACATTTTATGCTTGACCATTCAGAAGAGGTAAAGGAACAAATCATTGTGATTGTATCATTGTTTTCCTAGAGGATAGATATTTTACTTAATTCCAGGTAGTAATATTTCAGTTAATTACAAACTTCTGAAGTTTATTGAAGTGAGATCTTTACAAAGTAGATTTTAAGCATCCAACTTAAATTTAAAAAATTGTCTTTTAAATTCCACCATAGATGGCCCTTTCTCCATACTTTCATTTCGCTGATTGAAATTTAAAGTCTAGGTATTTTATACATGCTGATTATGAATATATCAAAGAACTTGAGGACTATGTTTTTATATGAGCAAAATCCGGGCTTGATTGGTATCGCACAATCATTAAAAATTAAATTTAGTTAGAGTGCTACTGCTTTCTTTAATGAGCTCTATTTTTTTATTAATTTTGCTTTGATATACTTTATTCATGAAATAACCTATAGGGTTGGTTGACCAAATTAAGTGTTTCTAATGAGAACTGTGGTATAAATTTCTACCTTATTCCTTTAAAACATTTTTTTTGGAGACCAGTAATATGCCCAGATAAAAATATCCTCTTAACCGACCTTCTCTAGTAGTTAAGAACAGCTCTGGATACTGCTGCTGACTAATAAGGTAAAATAGAAGCCTAGGGCATGCCACAACTTAAGTTTTGGTCTTGAAATGGCTTTACTGATTTAGAGGATTTTATAGCGGATATCAGTGAAACCCTCAAATTAATTCCTAATGCAAATTTTAAAGAGTTTTTGTGATGATTGTAGCGTCAAATGCAGTAGTGAGAAGTAATAAACAGAGACTGTGTATACTCTGAGACAGCTTATCCCAGTAGTAACATCTTGCATCCCTATAGTAAAATATTACAGTCAGGAAATTAACAGTGATACAGTCCATCTACCTTCTTCTGGTTTCACCAGTTTTACATGTATTTATTTGTATATCTTTGTGTGTATGTGTGTGTATTTCATTCTATGCAAATTTATCACGTGTGTAGTTGTGTGACCAACCAACACAGTCAAGATACAGAATAATTACATTTCGGATGTTTCTCATGCTGTGCTTGTATAGTCTCAACCACTTCCCTCCCTTTCCACCTGCCTAGCCACTGGCCGTCATTAAACTGTCTTCCAACTCTATAATTTTGTCACTTTAAGAATGCAATGTAAATGGAATGATATAGTGTATAAACTTCTGATTTCTGGTATTGTCTTTTTTTTTTTTTTTTTTTTTTTTGAGATGTAGTCTCGCTCTGTTGCCAGGCTGGAGTATAGTGGTGCAATCTCTGCTCACTGCAACCTCCGCCTCCCCCGGGTTCAAATGATTCTCCTGCCTTAGCCTCCTGAGAAGCTGGGACTAAAGGCACGCGCCACCACGCCCCGCTAATTTTTGTGTTTTTAGTAAAGACGGGGTTTCACCATGTTGGCCAGGATGGTCTCGATCTCTTGACCTCAAGATCGGCCTGCCTTGGCCTCACAAAGTGTGGGATTACAGGAGTGAGTGATCGTGCCCAGCCGATATTGTCTCTTTTTGTTCAGAGTAATGCCTTTGAGTTGTTGTGTATATCAATAGTCCATCCGTATCATTGCTGAGCAGCATTCCATGGTATAGGTGTACCACAGTTTAAGTGTTCACTACTTGAAGAGGATTTTGTTTGTTTCCAGTATGGCTATTAAAAATAAATCTGCCATAAGCATTTGCATATTTGTTCCCTGTGGGAAGATAAGTTTTCATTTCTCTGGTATAAATGTTGAACTGTGCAAAAACTAGGTCAGAGGTAAGTGCATGTTTAGGTTTGTAAAAAAAAAAAAACAAAACAAACAAACAAAAAAAAGGCAAAATCTTTTCCAGAGGAGCTGTACTATGTTATATCCCAACAAGCAATGTATGAGTGACCCAGTCTCTCCACATCCTGAACAGCATGTGGTGTTAGACTATTAGCTATTCTGATAGGTGTATAATGGTATCTCAATGTGGTTTGAATTTGCATTTCTCTAATAGCTATTGATAACAAACATATTTTCCTGAGCTTATTTGCCATCTGCATATCCTTTTGGTGAAATGTTACCATGCTCCTTGCCCATTTCCTAACTGAATTGTTTTTGATGTTGAATGATGAGTGTTCTTAATGTATTCTAGATACTATTTCTTTGTTATTTATGTGGTTTTCAAATACTTTCTCCCAGTCTGTATTGTGTCTTTTTATCCTTATATGCTTTCTCAGAACAAGCATTTTTTAATGAAGCCAAATTGACCATTTTTTCCACTTATGGATAATGCTTTGTTGTCAAGTCTAAAAACTTTCTCTATTATCTTCTAAAAGTTTTATAGTTTTATTTTTTTCATTGAAGTCCATAATCTATTTTGAGTTAAGTTTTTTTTTTATGTTGTTGGGTTTCAGTCATGGTTCATTGTTTTGTCTGTGGATATCCAAACACTCCAGCATCATTTGTAGAAAGGGCAATCCTGCATCTTTGTCAAAAATCAATTTGACACATTAATGGGAGCCTATCTGAGTTCACTGCTTTGTTGCATTGATTTATATGATTTTTTCTACACAAATAACACATTTTCTTGATTACTGTAATGTAACTTTATGTTAACCCTTAACATACAGTAGAATGATTTGTCCTATTGTCCCATTTAATCCTTTTTCTTTCTTTCTTTCTTTCTTTTTTTTTTTTTTTTTTTTTTTTGTAAGACAAGGTCTCACTCTTATCAGTCAGGCTGGAATGCAGTGGCACAGTCTCAGCTCACTGCAACCTCCACCTCCTGGGCTCAAGCAATACTACCACATCAGCCACCCAAGTAACTGGGACTACCAGCATGCTCCACCATGCCCAGCTAATTTTTGTATTTTTTGTAGAGATGGGGTTTTATCATGTTGCCTAGTCTGGTCTTGAACCTGTAGGCTCAAGTAATCCACCCACTTCAGCCTCCCAAAGTGTTGGGACTACAGGTGTAAGCTACCATCCCTGGCCTCACTTCATTCTTCTTTGTCAACATTTTTTATAGCTATATAGAACATGTGTATCTCCAAGTAAATTTTAGAATAAGTGTGTCTATAAAATTCTTACTAGGATTTTGATACTAATTGTATTATACTTAAAGAGCAATTTGGAGAGAATTGGCACTTTTACTATGCTGAGTTATCCACTCCATGAAAATGATATCCATCATCATTTATTTATGTTTTCTCTAATTTGTGTCATTGGTGTTTTATAGTTTGTAGTATGTAGATAGTGCAAATGGCATCATAGATTTAAACCTATTTATTTTGTTTTCTTAGAAGCTATTGTAAAATGGTATTGTCTTCTGATTTCAGTCACCATGTTTGCTATTTATATATAATATTGTGATTACTTTGCATGTGTTGAGTTTGTAGCCAGTAATGACCAATTCTTTTATTAGTTCTAGAATTTTTGGCTAGAGCTTTTGAAGTTTTTTATGTAGCAATCATGTTATCTAAAAATGACAACAATTTTATTTCTTCCTTTCCAATCTACATGACTTTTATTTAATTTTTTTTCTTACTTTAACATGCTGGCAAGAATTTCAGTACTATATTGAAAGATTGATAAGAGCATATATCCTTTTCTTATTCCTAATCTTAGGGGAAAACATTCAGTCTTTCATTATTAACTCATATTGTTATAGTTTGTTTAGATGTTCTTTATTATGTTAATGAAATCTATTTTTTCTAGTGTATTTAAAGTTTTTATTTTATTTTATTTCATTATAGTTGGGTTTGGATTTTGCAAAAAGTTTTGACATTAATAGATTTGTTTATGTAATCTTTCTTTTTTAGCCTATTGACCAAAATATTCAGATTGTCATTTTTATCTTGGGCAATTTTTGATAGCTTGCAGTTTTAAGGAATTGGTCTATTTTTAATAAGCTGATGAATTTATGATAATAAGGTATTTATAGTAACCTCATTTTTTATGAAAGCAGGATCTGTAGAGATGTCTCATATTCCTGATAATGGTGCTTTGTGCGTTTACCTTTATATTTGCTAGGCTTGCTAGAGTTGTATCAATTTTATTGCAAAAATAGTTTTTATAGTACTTTCTCAATTGTTTTCCTGTATTTTAAAGAATTTTGTTGATTCTCTAACCTTTAGGTTTTTTTCCTTTGTGCTTTACAATGGTTTATTTTGCTTTTCTTTTTCTATTTCCTCACCATAAAAACTTAGATGATTGCTTTGAGACCTTTCCTTTTTTGAATATAAGGACTTAGAGCTATAAAAAATCCCTCTCAGCACTGCTTCGGCTGCTTCCCTTATATTTGATATAATTTATTTTCATTTTCATTAAGTCCTATATTTCTTTAAAATCCCTTTAAGTTTTTTTTTTTAAACCCATGGATTATTTGGATGTGCGTCAGTTAATTCCAAGTGTTTGGGTTTTATTGTTTATTTTCTTCTATTATTGATTCCTACATTGTTGATTCCATTTTGGTCAGATAGTATATTCTGTGTGATTTCTAATCTTTTGAATTTTGTTTTGTGGAGAAAGGTATGGTCTTGCTTGGTAAATGTTGCATGGGCTTTTGAAAAAAACGTGTACCTGCTGTGACGGTCTGTTCTATATGTGTGCTAATATCGTGTTGGCTGACTGTATTGCTCAAGGGTTCTATATCCTTGCTGATTTTCTGTTCATTAGTTCCTCTAAATGCTGTGAAGCCCCTAACTCTTACTGTAGATGTGTTTACTTCTCCTTTTATCTTTTAGTTTATGTCCATCTTTCTATTGGGCACTCCAGATACTACTATGTGAGAGCGTTGTGTGCCCACTATTCTATGGGACCAGGGCCTGGGGTGAAAAATCCCCTTTCCATATGGTCACAAAAAACTTTGGCAGAGGCAGTTTTTATTCCATTGGTACTTGTTTTGAGTTAATCAAATATTGCAAAAAAAAAAAAATCTGTATTTTTGTCTACTATTCCCGTCCTTTTGCTAGAGGAACAGGATTTTGTGGAACAATCTTTGTATATGCCTTCTGGCTGTTCCAGTTTGGAGGCTTTTGTTGTACCTGCCTGGGATATAGGAGAAGCAATGAGGAAACCCAGGAACTCAATGTGAGGACATTTCTCAAGTCCCAAGACCTTCAGGTGGCTTACTTTCTTCTTCCTGCTTTTCTGTCTTCCTATGGCGGCTTACTGCATTGTGCTCAGGGCTTTTTATTTGTAAGAGGGAAGACTGGGGAGGAATAGAGCTACTCCATCTTGGCCTGAAAAACTATGCTTTTAATCTACCTTGCTTAATTTTGTTTTTTATAGGTTAGGGGTTACGATGTAACTAGCATATGAAGTTCTGTAATTCTGCACCTGTTTGACTTGCTCTGTCCCAAGCTTGTCCAACCCATGCCTGCAGGTCGCATGCAGCCCAAGATGGCTTTGAATGCAGCCCAACACAAATTCGTCAACTTTCTTAAAACATGAGATTTTTCTGTGATTTATTATTATTATTATTATTTTACCTCATCAGCTATTGTTAGTGTTAGTGTATTTTATGTGTGGCCCAAAACAATTCTTCTTCTAATGTGACCCAGGGAAGCCAAAAGATTGATCTACCCCTGCTCTATCCCTTCTCAGTCCTTCTTATAAACCAGCCACCCCTTCTTTGAGCTTGTATATTACAGTTTCTTTTCAATTGCAATTTGTTGTAATCAACTCTTTCCATGTATGTTCTATGTGTTCAACCTCTTACTTAAAATTACAGATTAATTGAATACATTATCAGCCTTCCAAGGTATCCCAGGAAAGAGTTTTAGCAAATGTTTCCCACTGCAGAAAAAGGTCATCATCAGGCCAGCCTCCAATATACCTTTCTTTATTATCTGCCACTGAGCATGAAGCCAGTGTCTCACATTTTAGGCCTCTATTACAGGCACACAAGTCATCCAAAGCCAACTTCTAAATTAATCAGGTAACAATTCCCAAAAGTCTGTGTCTGAGAACAACACAAACTATATCTTTTTGTTTTCACATAGCCAGCACCACCATCAGGGAACTCTGCTTCATGCCGCCTTCCTTTTAGACCCAGGCTGATGCACTAACCACCCTCTTGAAAGTCCCCTTTCTTATAAATGAAAACAGGCAGAGTTTGGTTTTCTGTTCCTGATTTATTTTGCTGAGAATGTTGGCTTCCAGCTTCATCCGTGTACCTGCAAAGGACATGAACTCATTCTTTTTTATGGCTGCATAGTGTTCCATGGAGTATATGTGCCACATTGAAGAATGAGAACACATGGACACAGGGAGGGGAACATCACAAACCAGTGCCTGTCGAGGGGTGGGAGGCAAGGGGAGGGAGAGCATTAGGACAAATACCTAATGCATGTGGGGCTTAAAACCCAGGCAACAGGCTGATGGGTGCAGCAAACCACCATGGCACGTGTATACCTGTGTAACAAACCAGCATGTTCTGCACATGTATCCCAGAACTTGAAGTTAAAAAAAAAGTCCCCTTCCTTGTTGTGACAGAGGGAAAAGGAGTACATGGTGAAACATGTACTGGCTTTTAAGGCTTTAATCCAGAAGTAACACGTTACATGTCCTCACATGTCCTTGGTCACACAAAGCTTGGGTGGAGAAGTTCAATCCTACCACGTTTGTCAGAGGAAAAAAAAATTACTATGAAAAGGCTTAGTGATTTGACTTCCACAGTAATGTTTCAGAAAAGGCTTCCATGATCCAGACATGTATTTTAAGCTATATGCAGTATGCAAATGAGATTAGAGGGCGTTATCTTTGGGGCCAGAATGACTTTGTACTGTGTATGAGAAGAACGCTGGTGGTGGGCATTGGCTGATCCAAGGGTTGAGGTAGGCTAAACACTGTTACTTGTTTGAAAATAAGTATTCTTCTCTGGTTTCTTATTACACAAAATTTCAATTTGGGTTAGAAAACTAATGTCCTAGTTAATAAGAATGGGGAGATTATGTGTGCTGATATTAGATGGTGCTGTTTTCAGAATCATCATTGCTATCTTGATGAAAAGGGTCTAATAAGCCTATCAAGCAACCACTGATTTTCCCATATGCTTCTTTTTGCCTGACAATGGAACAATCATATGTGATCATGAATATAAAAATATTAATCTGCAACATATAGTAGATCAGAAACATAGAAGAGCCTAGGTACATAATAGTACTGCAGAGGCATACATTTAATCCTGGACTGCCAAAATTGAGACTTTTATTGACATATGAAAAAAATAAAAATCTAAATGATTAAGCCATCTTCTCTCAATTTCAGTAACATGCACCTAATATAATGTAAGTTTAACTGATACAACAATTCAGAGGCATCTGTATCTAATATTTAGTCAATCCAATAATATACATGAATAGAATCTATCTATCTATCTATCTACCTACCTACCTATCTATTGAAAGACACAAAGAGACAGAGACAGAGATTATGCAATTTGTCAAAAATCAACATCTAGGAAATGGCAGACCTGAGAAACATATTTCAGTTCAAGTCTATAAAGCTGTAAGTTATGTTCTTTCTGTTAACAATTAATTGCTTTCTGTGATTTTATTTTCAAATATCTGCTTTCTATTTTCCTATGAAAAATTTTCCTAAAGTATTTGAAATGTTATAGAAATACATAAAGTACAGACAAGCTCTTTGTTATCTATAACCCCTCAATGTTCCCTTTTAGTTTCAAACAGCTAAATATTAAATTGTAAAGAGTATGTGAATGCAACATCTAAAATGGGAACTATTCCCCAAATAAATGCCATTAAACATTAGAAACAATGAGAATGTTTAAGCCTCTCCTCTATGCCTACTACTGTGCTACATGGAGGATAAATTGTCATGAAATAATACAGACTTAATAACTCATTTTAAACAGCAACAATTTATCTAATCATAAATTTTCTACATAAACAGTCATATCATTGGCAAATAATGGCAGTTTTTTTTAATCATTTTTATCTCTCATTTCTTTTCTTTGCCTCACTGAATAAAAGAGATGGGAAAGACAGCTTTTTTATATGGTTGACCATTTAAAAGAGCATTTTAAATGTTTTTCCATTAAATATCTTGATTATTACAGGTATTTTATGAATACTGTTTATTCACTAAAGAAGTGTCTAGCTATTTCTATGTTGCTAAATATGTGCTTTTTTCTTTATCAAATTTATTTTATAGTAGTTTTAGGTTCACAGAAAAATTGAATGAAAAGTACATGTTCAGATATATGTTCATAGCTTCCTTTATTATTATTTTAATTATTTCTTCTGCCTACTTTGGATTTAACTTACTCTTCTTTTACTAGTTTTAGATCTTTCTTCTTTATGCATGCATTTGATGTTATAAAATTTCCTCTAAGCACTGCTTTTGCTACATTCTACAAAGTTTGTCAAGTTCTATTTTCATTTTTACTTATTTCAAAATATTTCTTCTTTAACCCATGTGTTACTTAGATGTGTATTGTTTAATAATCAAGTATTTGGGGATTTTCCCACTATCTTTCTGTCAGAACTTCCAGCTTAATTTCACCGTGGTCTGAGAGCAGACACTTTATGTTGAGCCATCTTCTGTGGCCAGGAACATGGCAGTCTCTGTTAGTGAGTGTTCTGTGTGAGCTTAAAGAAGAGATGTGTAATCTACTGTTGTTGAATGAAATCATTTATAGATGTCGATCATAACCAGTTGATTGACGGCGATGTTGAATTTAAATATTTCTTTATTGATTTTCTGCCTTTGGATCTGTCCATTTCTGAGAGAGGGATGTTGAAGTCTCCAACTATGACAGTTGATTCATCCATTTCTCTTTGCAGTTCTATCACCCTTTGTCTCTTGTATTTGGACGCTGTTGTTAGGCATGTACACATTAAAAATTGTATGTCTTCTTGGAGCATTTACTCCTTTATTATATTATAATGTCCCTGTTTATACCTAATAGATAATATTCCTTCCTGTGAAATCTTCTCTGTTAGAAATTAATATAGCTACTTTCACTTTCTTTTGATAAGTATAAGCATGGTATATTTTTTCTTCATTCACTTTTGATTCATATGTTTCTTTATATTTAAAGTAGGTTCCCTGTAGACAACATATAATTGAATCTTGTTTTTCAATCCACTCTGACAATCTGTCTTATAATTAGCATATTTGGACTACTGGTGTTTGAAATGATTATTGATATAGTTAGAATTTTATTTATCATAATTGCTAGTGTTTTTATTTGTTGCCCTTTTTGGTGGTTGCCCTAGTGTGTGCAAGATACTTTTACAACTGATCCAAGTCCACTTTCAAATAATACTAGACCACAACACATGGAGTGCAAGTACCTTATTATAAAACAAAATATTCCTAATTTCTCCCTCTGGCCCCTTGTGTCATTGTTGTCATTCATTTTATTTATATGTAAAATATGTATGTTCATTTTATTTTATCATATAAATATATATAAAGTTTATGTATGCAATCAAATAAATTGTGGTTATTACTATTTTGAATGCACAGTTATCTGTTAGATAAATTACAAATAAGAGGAATAAAAGTTATTTTGCATTCTTTTGTTCATTTCCTGATGCTCTTCTTTTCCTTATGTAGATCTGTTTCTGACCTGTATCATTTTCCTCCAGTCTGAAGGACTTTTTAAATATTTCTTGCAAGACAGGTCTGATCTCCACAAATTTCCTCAATTTTTGATTATCTTAGAAAGCATTTCTCCTTCACTATTGAAGAAAAATTTTGCAAGGCAAAGAATTCTAGGTTAGTGGAATTTTTTTACTCTCAATGATTAAAATATCCACTCTCTTCTTGCTTACATTATTCCTAGGGAGAAGTCAGATTGCTCCTCAAGATAAAGTGTTCATTTTCCTCTGGTTTCTTTTAAGATTTTTTTCTTTATCTTTGTTTTCTGAAATTTGGATATAATACTTGTATGTGTAGATTTTTTTGACATTTATTCTGCTTGGTGTTCTCTGAGCTCCCTGGATCTGCAGTCTGGTGTCAGAAATTAAACTGGGGAAGTTAGTAGTCACTGTTTCTTCTACTGTTACTTCTATTTTTTTCTCTCTTTTTCTGATATTCCAATTGTGTGTATGTTACACGTTTGGTAGTTGTCTCACAGCTTTTGGATATTTTGTTGTTTTTTATTTCACTTTTTTTCTCTTTGCTTTTTAGTTTTAAAATATCCTTAAGATTATTGGGATAACCTCAAGCTCAAGGATTCATGCTTCAGCGGTGTCCAGTCTACTAGTGCACCTACTACAGGCAGTCTTCATTTCTGTACAGTGATTTGATCTCAAGCAGTTTTCAAATTCCTTTAAAGAATTTTCACCTCTCTGCTTCCATTGTCCATCTGTTTTTAGATGGTGTCTAATTTTTGCATTAAAGCCCTTAGCATATTGATTACAGTCTTTAAAAATCTGTGGTCTCATAAAGCCAACATTCTTGCCATATTTGACTTTGGTTCTGATGCTTGATCAGTCTGTTAAACTGGCTAGTTTGTCCAGTTGGTTGGTTATTTTTACCTTATGGTTTACCTTATGCCTTATGGTTTTTCCTTGATAGCAAGGCATGATGAAATGGGTGAAAGAAACTGTATAAATAGGGCTCTAGTGCTGTGGTAATGAGGCATGGAGCAGGAGAAGCATTCTACAGTCCTACGAGCAGGTCTCATCCTGTGGCGAGCCTGTGCCCCTGTGTTGTAAACTTCAAGCATGTGTCTAATGTTTGCTTCCCATTAAGGTGGGACAGAAGGGCTAGAGGAGGCTGGTTTGGGGGGTGTTTTCCTTCCCCCAGCAGGTTATGCTCTGAGTTTCACCTGAGGTAGGCCTTGTTAAGAACAGAATGTTCCGGGGGATTTAAAAATTATTGACTGGGTGTGGTGGTTCACACATGTAATCCCAGCACTTTGGAAGGCCAAGGCAGTTGGATCATTTGAGATCAGAAATTTGAGACCAGCCTGGCCAACATGATGAAACCTTGTCTCTACTAAAAATACAAAAATTAGCCAGATCTGGTGGCAGGATCCTGTAATCCCAGCTACTCGGGAGGCTGAGGCAGGAGAATTGCTTGAGCCTAGGAGGTGGAGGTTGCAGTGAGCTGAGATTGTGCCACTGCACTCCAGCCTGGGCTACAGAATAAGACCATGTCTCAAAAAAAAAAAAAAGTTATTTTTTTTTCTCTTTATCAGAAGCAAAGAAAGAATTTTTTCTTAGGTATTTACTATGTGGTCCTGGTAGGCCTCCTATGGGTAAAATTCACAAAAGCAGGGATACTCTTATGGCTGGGCCCCTTAGAATTTTAAATCTGAGACTTGCCCAACATATGTCTGCAGCAATTCATCAAATGCGAGTCAGGATTTTCTGCCCCAGCACTGATCCCCATGGAGGTTTGTGCTCAGGGGTTCCTGCTCCAATAAGCTAATTCCCTGTATCTGCCTGCGTCTCCAGTCTTTGGGACAGGGTTTTATGTTGTGTTCTTACTTATTTGATGGCTCAACAGTTGTTGATTTTTTTGACTTGTTCAATCTGTGTCCTTTAATGTTAAATGCATCTTTTTTATCATTTTGTTGATACTTCATTGATAATATGTACATATTAATATATTTTATAATATACTCTCTTGACCTTACATTAGAAAAGATTCAATATTAAGTATCATAATCTTTCTGTTAAGCACAATGCTTAGATACTTGAACTTGAAAAGCCACTTATCTATTGTCTTTTATTGTTCTCCATTCTTTTCTGTACATCTGTATTAGTCACAGCTCTCCAGAACCAGTAAGGGATGGCATGGATAGATAGATAGATAGATAGATAGATAGATAGATAGATAGATAAGAAATTGGCTATGTCATTTTAGAAGCTGAGAAGTACCAAGATCTGCAGTCAGCTAGTGGAGACCCAGGAGAGCAGATGATATAGTTCTAGTCCAAAAGCCTGCAGGCTTGAGGCCTAAGAAAGGTCAGTGTTTCTGTTGGAATTCACAACCAAATAGAGACTTATATCCCAGCTCAAGATCATCAGACAGGGGGAATTTCCTTTTACTTGTGGAAGTGTCAGTCTTTTTGTTCTATTCAGGCCTTCAACTGATTAGATAAGGGCCACTTGCATTAGGGAAGGCAATCTTCTTTACTCAGTCCACCAATTCAAATGTTTATCTCATCTATGAAAAGCCTCGCAGACACACAATAATGTTTGACCAAATAGCTGGGCAGTCCATGGCTCAGTCAAGGTAACACATAAAATTAACCATCACAATATCCATGATTCTCTCTGAGATATTTCTTGCTTCAAAATTACCTTTTAGTCATTCTTGTAGTGTAAGTTTTGCAAGTCATAAATTTTTTTAAGCACTTGAAAATATCATTTTATTGCCTTCTTGCTTTCATTCTTTATATTAAATAGTCAGTTCCCAGCGTAATTTGGAAAAATTCTGTGATTTTCTTCAAAATTTACTTCTTCCTCTATTTAGAGGCTACTCAATCTTATAATTACTACCTCTGCATTATATAGTGTTTCCATCTCTACATTTTAAAGTAATTTTTAAATTATTGTATTTTTATTTGCTTTAAAAGAATTCATAATTGTTTGTTAAAGCATTTTAATCATGGCTGTTTTAAAATCTTTGAATATTCTAACATCTGATTCATCTCAGTGTTGACGTCTTATTTTTAATAATTGCAACTTTTATTTTAGATTCAGGGAGTACATGTGCAGGTTTGTTACGTGGGTATGTCATGTGATGCTGAGGTGTGGGGTACAATTGATCCTGTCACCCGGGTAATGAGCATGGTATGCAATAGGTAGTTTTTCAACCATTGCTCCCTTCCTCCCTTTTCTCTCTAGACGTGCCCAGTGTCTGTTGTTGCCATCTTTATGCCCATGAGTACCCAAAGCTTACGCCCATGAGTACCAAAGCTTAGCTACCACTTATAAGTGAGAACATACAATATTGGTTTTCTCTTCCTGTGTTAATTCACTTTGTATAATGGCCTCCAGCTGCATTAATGGCTGCACAGGACATGATTTTACTCTTTTTTATGGCCGCATAATATTCCATGGTGTATAGGTACCACATTTGTTTCATCCATTCCACCACTGATGGGAACCTAGGTTCACTCCACGTCTTTGCTATTGTGAATAGTGCTGCGATAAACATGTGAGTGCATGTGTCTTTTTGGTAGAATGATTTATTTCCTTGTGGCTATATAGCCAGCAATGGGATTGCTGGGTCAAATAGTTCCATTTTTAGTTCTTTGAGAAATCTCAAAATTGTTTTCAACAGTGGCCAAACTAATTTACATTCTCACCAGCAGTGTATAAACAGTCTCTTTTCTTCACAGCCTCACCAGTATCTGTTGTTTTTAGACTTTTTAGTAATAGCCATTCTGACTACTGTGAAATGGTACCTCATTGTGGTCTTGGTTTGCATTTCTCCAATGATTAGTGATGTTAAGCATTTTTTTCAGATATCTGTTGCCCACTTGTATGTTTTCTTTTGAGAAGTATCAGTTCATATGTTGGCATCTTTTGATTATTATTTTTTTCTGTTTAGAATTTTGATTCATCTTTTTAGTATAGCAAGAAAACTCTTTTAGTACAATAAGAGGTGTGTTTTTTTTTTATTTTTATCCCAGATATTTTGGATCTTATAAAAAACCCTGATATTATTTAATCTTTATTCTTGGCAGACAGTCTTCCTGTTAAGTTCTAGCAAGAAAGTCAGGTGGTTGTATGTGTGTAGGTTTCTGCTGGCCCTGCCAAAACTACCTAAACAAAAGTGGGGCACTGAGTCCCACTGCCTCATTGCTGATGAGAACGGTGGACCTTGATCTTCCTCCTGTGCCCCATTAGTGCCAAGGAGGGGGGACGCTGAGGGCTGACTCACACTTTCTTGTTGCTACAGGGTGAGGAGATAAGCCCAGCTCCCCACTGATTCTATAAAAAAGGAGAGGTGGAAGTGGTTCACATACCAGCCCCAAATCCCATGACCTTTGTTGTTTTTTTTAACTCATTGATTGCTGAGTGAGGCTGGAGGCTCAGCTTCTCAGTGAGCCCTGCTGACATCAGGTAGTTGAGGGGAAATAGTCTTGCTGAACCCAGCCGCCCACTGCCCCATTCAGTCTTATTGCTGCCTACGAGTGTGGAAGCTCAGCTCCCACTGGCCCCATAGCACTGGGGAGTTGGTGTGCTCTGAGTGGCGACTGTCGTTCCTTGCGCTGCTTTGTTACTGTTGTTGCCATCAGGTGGGTGTAGAAGCTGAGATTCTAACAAGATTCTGTTGACCCTATCCTGGTAGGAGAATCAGAGAACCACGTGCCTCTGCCAAGCATGGGTGGAACATTACCTTCCTACTTGGCCCCACTGACACTACTTCAGCAGCTGAATTAAACCGTTGTCTGCTTCCACTGGGCGGAGGAGGAAGATCAGCTCTCTGGTCTGCCCTTCTGATATTACTCTCCCAGAAAGGTTGGAGGACTGCTCATGCCCGCTGAGTGAGGATAAAAGAATACGACGTGCCGATTCCTGGTGAGGGCACTGGAGGGAGAACTCTGAGGGCTGCTTCCCACTCCCATGGCGCAAGGATTGGATTAAAAAAAAAAAATTGCTTCTCCTCTCAGGCCTGTTGGAACCACAGTGGTGGTAGAGGGTAGTTTTCCATTAGTGCTTGTATACAATGGAGTGGATACTAATAAAAAGCCTTTGCGTTCTGTGATAGACACTACCCTTTTCCGAGTTCTTTGGCTAGAAAAGGGAGACTTTTCTTGGACCTTTTTTGTCCGCGCTTGTTTGTGGTTCCAATTTGAAGGCTTCTGGTGTATTCGAGAGGCACAAAGAAAGCCAAGTGAACATGCTTTCATGTTGTTCCTCAAGTCCTGAGCCCCCTAAACAGCTATCTTCTCCTTGTCACCTTTCAGAGTCTTTCTATGTTTGTTGTTATGTCCAGGGACTTTTACTTGTAAGAGCGAGACCTGGGAGAAATAAGACAATTTCACATTGGCTGGAACCGGAAGTCCTCATTTTTTCTTAAAAGAGAGAGAAAGAGAGACAGAGAGAGAGAGTGAGAGAGAGAGAGAGAGAGAGAGAGAGATCTGTCTCCTCTGTAATTGTAGTTTTTATTGCATCCATCTTTGGCATGGAGACATTTTGGGTTTTGGAACCTCTGCAACATTCACTTTTGCATGTTCTATATGGCTTCCACATTATGAAAATTTAGCAAATAAGTTTTGAATGAATTTACAATGTCATCCTAATGCTATCTGAATTTGATGAAATTTACAAAGCTTCTTTTAAATGGTAACTTTACTATGATATTTTTAACGTGCACACACACACACATTTGGGTAACAAGCATAAAGCTATAGATGCTTATTGATAATTAGATTCTCATACAGAATCAAACAAATAATTCACTTGTAAGATGAAGATTTGCAGTTAGTAACATTCATAACTCAAAATTAAACTGGAAATATTAAAAATATTCCACATTCTTGGAAGGAGGACAGCAGGGAGCCAGGGGCAGGGTGTGCAGAGAGGTGGAGATACCTGTAGAACTAGAAAGCAAGGTGCACATGGGCCAATGCCGGAAATATGGACTTCAGAATCAGGAGGGTCTGGGTTTGAATCCATCTTTACTGCACTTAGTTAAGTGCAGTAAAGGCATTTAGGCACTGCGTATAGGCATTTTATTAGACCCTTCACTTCGTTTTCTTTATTTGTAGAATGAGAATAATAATTTGAAACACTTTGCATATAGCAATGTTTTCTTTCCCAAATCCATACTCTCCTCATGAATTCACTGTTGCATTATGGAGAAAGATGGGTTACCTCTGATTTAAGGTCCTGCTCTCATTCCATCTACTCTTCCACCTCCACTCAATCCTACTATTGGACAAAAGATACTGGCAGCAGCATTACTTGGAAATCAGCACTCGCAAAGAAGGGAGAACATAAATATGTAAAGCATCTTCCTGCAATATGCAAATTGCACCTAACATAAATTCCTCCCTTTCCAAGATTCTCCCTTCAACCAGTTTGGGAATGAAAAACATCTTGTGTTTTATAACTACATTTGTTATTACAAAAACATGCGACTCTATAAAAAATGAGTGCCACACAGCCCTTTCTTTAACAGTTCTTTCCTGCAGTCCGGGAGGCTTTATCACAGCACTGATAATAAAGGCAGAGCTAGGCTCATTTCCAGTAACTTAATGAGTTTTCCCAGCTGCTATGACTAGCAAAATACCCTTAAATGGAAGATAGAGTTACTTTAAAAGTCTATGCTGATTTTTATCTTCTGACTACTCTTCTGCAGTGCACACTAACACATTTTCTCAGATGGCTCCTTTATAGCATGTAAATTATGACCATTGAAAATAAATGCTCACTTATAGTGCTATTGGCTTTCCTATGTTTAAACTAGCCCTCTTGCATCTAATACTGTGATGGTTTTGAATAACCACCTACATGTCATCTTACAAAGTTACACTTGCTACATTATTACCAGTTGCAGGGGTCATTTTTCAAATGCTTTTCTGGTTTAACATTCTTTCCTCTTCCCTTAAAAATGCCCAAACATAAAAAGGAACAATAAGTACTCCAGGCTATAATAAAAACTTAATTTGCTCATTCTAAATGTAAATGTACATAGATTACTGAGATAAAATTGACATTTTAATTATAGATTGCAAAGGAAAAAGGCCATATTTCATTGAATATTTTCAAGTTATTGCTTTTAAATGGCATTGCACATAGGGTAGCCCAATCAGTCATTGCTGGAGGCTTGATGATCTTGGATAAATGTGGAAATTTGCACTTCTAAATAACTAGTTTAAGTATCATTAAGCCTTTTAAAACTCATTTCTGCTTATTATAGTTTACATATTTAAATGTATTTACTGAGGTTTTGGATTATCTCACGTGTGAGAGGCGATAGACTAAAATATATTAAACTACCATTCTCTCAACTGATGCAAGCTTCCAACTGTCCGCCTGTGTGATTGTGCTGCCTTTCCTCTGGCCCCTGCGGCCACTCTTCCATTGTACTACGGTATAAAGATAGCAGTTAGCATATAAGATATATAATACAGAGTCTATATAATTTCTGGGCATGTGGTCATGTTCCTGTTCAACACTTGAGACATGACGAAACAAACTCTGTGAAGAGATTCCGTAGGTCCGTATGTGTTCAAGAGTGCTGACTGTAGGCCAGGCGCAGTCACTCACGCCTGTAATCCCAGCACTTTGGGCAGCTGAGGTGGTAGGATCACAAGGTCAGGAGTTCGAGACCAGCCTGGCCAATATGGTGAAACCCCGTCTCTGCTAAAAATACAAAAAAAATTAGCCAGGCATGGTGGTGCACACCTGTAATCCCAGCTACTCAGGAGGCTGATGCAGGAGAATGGCTTGAACCTGGGAGGTGGAGGTTGCAGTGAGCCAAGATTGAGCCATTGCACACCAACCTGGGAGACAGAGCAAGACTCTAACTCAAAAAAAAAAAAAGAATGCTGTAGTTGAGTCTCCTCCACTGGCTGAGGTTTATTTGCATATCATCATGTATGTTCGCATTTGCTGAGTACTGAACCAATACTGTTCCCCAAAATTTAATCACTTCTAACTCAAAATAGTATCTGGTTAAAAATGTCAATTCCAGTTCTCTACATTTTCACTAAAATAGCCAGGAAAATAATCAAAAATGTAAAAACTCACTTGAAAATATGGACTGGCACTATCTGGCATGAATAAACATTCATAAGACAGATGAAAATAATAAAACTTCAGATTTTAAATCATAAAAATTATACTTCTATGATACTATGAAATGATATTATAAAATGATTTGTATATTTCTATCATCAATGCTGTAATTATGAAATTTGAAACCAGTATCAGCAGTACTCAACATGTTACACTCAGATACTTTAGGGACCCAAGACCATCTCAAGCGAGTTCACAGGTCAAAATTATTCCTTTTTTTAAATTATTTTATTTTATTTTATTTTTTGAGACGGAGTTGCGCTCTGTCGCCCAAGCTGGAGTGCAGTGGTGTGATCTAGGCTCACTGCAAGCTGCGCCTCCCGGGTTCACGCCATTCTCCTGCCTGAGCCTCCCCAGCAGCTGGAACTACAGGCACCCGCCACCACGCCTGGCTAATTTTTTTGTATTTTCAGTAGAGACGGGTTTCACCATGTTAGCCAGGACGGTCTCCATCTCCTGATCTCGTGATCCGCCCACCTCGGCCTCCCAAAGTGCTGGGATTACAGGCTGAGCCACCGTGCCCGGCGGGTTAAAATTATTTCTATATCAATACTAAGTGTTTGCCATTTTCCTGTGTTGACATTTTCTCTGATGTTACCAAAGCAATAGTGCGTGATTTGTACATCTTAGCATAAATCATGGCAGTGGCAACAAGCTCTACAAATAGTCACTATTTTCTTAACTGCTATCTACTTGGAATTTAAAAAATAAAAAAAAAAGATGCCAATTTCATTTAGGAATATTTTCAATCTTGATGAAGCAGTGAAAGTTATTATTTTTAAGAAACATCCCCAAGTATATGTCTTTTTTTTTTTTTTTTTTTTTTTTTTTGAGACGGAGTCTCGCTCTGTCACCCAGGCCGGACTGCGGACTGCAGTGGCGCAATCTCGGCTCACTGCAAGCTCCGCTTCCCGGGTTCACGCCATTCTCCTGCCTCAGCCTCCCGAGTAGCTGGGACTACAGGCGCCCGCCACCGCGCCCGGCTAATTTTTTGTATTTTTAGTAGAGACGGGGTTTCACCTTGTTAGCCAGGATGGTCTCGATCTCCTGACCTCATGATCCACCCGCCTCGGCCTCCCAAAGTGCTGGGATTACAGGCTTGAGCCACCGCGCCCGGCCGTATATGTCTTTTTATATATTTGGTTTGACAAAATGGGACTACAGATAAAACACTTCTGCTGCTCAATGTTTATTTCCATGAAAACACATGTAGACTGAGTTGTAAACTAGACTGGTTGCTTTTTTCATGGAATACTATTTTTAATTGAAAGAAAAAAATGGCAGACAAAATAAGGCCATTCAGACTTGGATATTTAGAAAGATTTTTTTTTTGAGAATAAAAAAAGAGGTTGTCACTTCCAGGAAAACAACTGACAGTATTTTATTATTATTATTTTTTGCAAATGATAAAATTATTAACTATCAAGGTAAAATTGTAGAAGTTTTCAAAATTTGAATTGGCTGCCTTGAAGTAGGCAGCTTTCTAAAACTTACACCTTTCTGATGATATTGGTAATGATATTAATAACCATAATATTTTATACACATATTTTTATGTGTCAAGATTTCAGAGATGAATAAATCAGTAAATCCATATTTTCCAAATCATTAATGAATGAAATTACCTAGTTGTACATGAGTAAAATAATCCATTCAAAATGCAAAATATACACTGAATTTCAATGTAACAGAGTGTGAAAAAGTTATTAATACGGATTTAGATTCTACAATACACCTTTTAAAAAACTACCACCTGCTGTGTTTTAGTAAAATCTCAAAGAAGAGCTGAAATATTAGAGAAAGCCAATAAAATATTCTTCCCCCTTTCAACTACACATCTGTGTGAAGCCAGTATTTCTTCCTATACATCAGTGAAAACAATACATAGTAACAATCTGAATGCAGGAACAGTTATCAGAATCCAGCTCTACTATTTAGCCAGACATTAAAGAGACTTGCAAAAATGTAAAAAAAAAAAAAAAAAAAAAAACAGTAAAAATTATATTACTTTTCTTCAGGATAATATTGAAAATATGGACTGGAGCTATCTGGCATGAATAAACATCCATAAGACACTTATGATAAGACAGATGAAAATAATATAATCAAACTCGAGATTTTAAATAAAAACAATTACACTTCTATGATACTATAAAATGATTTGTATATCATCAGTTTATTATTTATTTTCATTTAAAACATGCTAACATTAACATGTAATCAGTTTATTATAATTTTTAGTGAATTAATACATATTTTAAAATTTCTATCATAATTTTATATACAGTCAATATCAGCACTATAATTCATGTAAACAAAATCTCTATAGGTCCTTAATAATTTTAGGAATGTAAAGTTTGAGGACTACTAGCTTATAACAGGGCTGGCCATAAAAACGAGTAAGAGAATTTACTTAACATTCAATTGAGATGAGAAGAATTATGTTTGCCATATTAGTGTACATGCTACCATTTGGTCATATTCTTACATATTGGTAGAGACTCTGCACAATAAAACTGTCACAAAATGATCAAATCAGAATAAAGTTATTTTTAGAAATAGGCTTCAAACTTTTGTTTATATTTCACAAGGCTAGCAGAAATGATGTTCGGCCAAAATAAGACAGTGTGCAAGTCTGAAGAAAATATTGTCCTGTTGGGAGGAGTTCTAGAAAGCACCAGAAGAAATTTTATCAAGTGGAAGGAAATGACAGAATGTCTGATATATTTGAATACATCTGTAGAGAACACTAGTAATTGGGAGGGGATTCGATAATTAACTAATAAGTTATTTAAAAAGTGAAACAAATTCTCAAAAATGATTACTAACACTAGAGAAAATTAAAAGAGCAGGAATGAAAATCGTTAAACCCTAAAATATGCCTCTTTTACTATTAGTATTTCATAGTCCTGATGAAATAGAGAGAACATGAAATTCCTCTTGGTTTCTCTGTCTCTCTCTTTTTCTCTCTCTCTCTCTCCTCCAACCATCTCTTTCTCTCTCCCTCTCTCTCTCTGTCACTCTTCTATATGGGTGGTCAATGGAAAACACCAAAAACAAAAACAAAAAAATTAAAATTTGCACCAGTTTCAGCATGTCATTTAGAAATGTAGTAATAAATGTATATTTTTAAATTTACAGCATCTAAAAGAATTGAGCAGATTTGCTCTGTGGAATATAGAATACAGGATGGTATTGAGAGATTTCTGTTTTTTATTGTTTTGTTTTTTTTTTTTATTCTTGTGAAAACTCTTTAATTCTAAATTGTAGGTAGGTATGGCTTAAATTAAAAATTTTAATTAAAGTTGAGTAAGTGAAGATAAAACAGAAACTCCTTTATTTCATGGAAAGAACTCACTCGATCATATAACGAGAGAAAGAAAATAGCTGTCAAAAAATGATTTTGGAAAAAAATACATTTAGCCATCAGTATCTATAAAAAATACTCTATACCTTCTCCAACTCTGGGGAAAAAAATGAAGGCAAATAAAACAATCAGCAATGCCTTAAAAATGGGAAATTTAAAAATGCTGATTATTGAATTGTCTGTTGCAAAAATAAATTTTAAATAAATTATATTAAGAAACTAAAGAATCTTTTGATTTTTTAAAAGATAACAAAATTCAAGCACA
The DNA here is from genome assembly GCF_000001405.40 of Homo sapiens. Classification (NCBI taxonomy): domain Eukaryota; kingdom Metazoa; phylum Chordata; class Mammalia; order Primates; family Hominidae; genus Homo; species Homo sapiens. The sequence continues at coordinate 52,204,657 of NC_000007.14, read as the reverse complement.
TGATATTTGTAAGACTTTCTTCTAAAGTTATATAAAATATTTTCTTAAATATGCAAAATTAAAACTCTATCTTAGGCTTACACCTCTAATTCCAGCACTTTGGGAGGCCGAGGCGAGTGGACAGCTTGAGCTCAGGAGATAGAGACCAGCCTGGCAAACATGGTGAAATCCAGTCTCTACTAAAAATGCAAAATTAGCCAGGCGTTGGGGCGGGTGCCTGTAATCCCAGCTACTCAAGGGAAGATGGCTAGAGCCCAGGAAGCAGAGGTTGCAGTGAGCAAAGATTGCACACTGCACTTCGGCCTGGGCAACAGAGCCAGACTCTGCCTTAAACAAAAAAGAAAACAAACCAACAAACAAACAACAAAAAACCAACTCTATCTTCCATATTGTAAGGAAAATATGGTATTATGATTATAATACCCTTCAAACAAAATAAAACTTTAGAAATAACCAAAAATTGTTGTTTTATGTTGGTGGAGAAGTCTTGAAGTGAAATCAAAGGAACTAATAGAAAGTATCATGGCATTGCATGTATATTTCAAAATTGTTAAAAGAGGAAGATGGGGGCACGGTGGGCTCATGCCTATAATCTCAGTAATTCGAGAAGCCAAGACAGGCAGATCGCCTAAGGTCAGGAGTTCAAGACCAGCCTGGCCAACATGGTGAAACCCCATCTCTACTAAAAATACAAAAATTGGCCCAATGTGATGGCGGGCACCTGTAATCCCAGCTACTAGGGAGGCTGAGGAGGGAGAATTGTCTGAGTCCCGGAGGTTGCAGTGAGCAGAGATCGTGCCACTGCACTCCAGCCTGGGCGACAAAGTGACACTCTGTCTCAAAAAAAGAAAAAAAAAAGAGGAAGATGTAATGCAAGACTGTAATATGTATCACTTAAGCATTAAACTGGTAGATAGAAGATCTGAGTAATATAGAAAATAATCATGTAAATCTACTACATTTATATGTTTTATTATGCATAATATAAGCAAATAATACATTTCTTTTACAAAACCCACAGCACATTTACAAATTGATAATATGTTGGCTTCATAGTTGCACAAAGTAGACAACCATTACTTATCTTAAGAATATTTGGCATTTGATATAACTAAATAAATGTTATACGTTGGAATTGGCCACAGGATCTGGCCAGAGAAATATCTTTATTTCTAATGTCAAAGTCTACGTAAGGAAGGTAAAATGGTCAAGACAAAAATGACTAACTACCCACTTTTCTTCCAGAACCTTAGAAAGAAAAGGGCTAAAGAAACATGTTTCATTTTCGAATAGATGAGTTTGAGGGCTATGAACCAGTCAGCTAGGGAGCTGTTTCTAGTAGACAGTGGCATGCATGTGTGTCAGGGGCAGGTGCCTGATGGTGGAAGAAAAGAGAACACTGTCAAGAAGTGGGTCTGTAGTAATCACACTTTTTGGTTTCCACAACAATATAGATTCTTTCCCCATTCTAAAAGAATCTAGGAACCAAGAGTGCAGAGGCCAGCATGGTCAGGTGGTACTAGAGACATCACCCACACTATGTCCACATGGAAACAAAATGCTCAGATCAGTGCAAGGCCTCTAATGTGAAACGAGTTTGCAAGGAAGAAAAGCAGATGAACAACTGTTACAATTTCTCCTTTCTTTTCCTTTATTTTTCTCCTACAAAATAAAGATAACTATCGTTATTTTTCTATTTCTCTTTTGCCTGTAAAAGTTGATGCCTTGTATTAGCGTGGTACATTTATAGCAATTGATGAGACAATTGAATACATTATTATTAATTGAAATCCATAGTTTACATAAATGTTCACTCTCGGTGTACAATCTGTGAGATATGACAAATGTATAATGACTTGTATCCAACATTACAGTGTTGGGCAGAATAGTTCCACTGCCTTAAAAATGCCCTATTTACCTCTTCCTTCAACTCCTGGAACTCCTGGAAAGTACTGATGATTTTATTGTCTCCATAGATTTTTTTCTATTCCACAGAGTCAAATAGTTGAAATCATACAGTATGTAGTCTTTTTTTAAACTGAGGATTTCACTAAGCCATATGCATTTAAAATTCCTGCATGGTTTTTTTGTGCCCCTTTATTTTTTAATCACCAAATAGTATTATATATTATGAATATACTAGTTATTTTATCCATTCACCTGTTGAGGAACATCTTTGTTGCTTTAAAGTTTTGGCAATTATGAATAAAACTGCTATAAATGTCCATGTTCAGCTTTTTGTGAGGACACAACTTTTCAACTCATCTGGGTAAATACCAGAGTATGACTACTGCATCACATGGTAAGAGTATGTTAGTTATGAAAGAAACTGCAAACTATGTCACAAAGCAGCTGTGCCATTTTGCATTCACACCAGAAGTAAATGGAAAGTTCCTGGTGAACTGTATCCTCACCAGCCTTTCACAGTGTTCGTGTTTTGTTTTAAGCCATGCTAAGAGGTATGTAGTGTGATATCTCTATCATAATTTGCAATTCCCAAATTGTATTTGATGTTGAACACTTTTTCATATGCTTATTTGCCATCTGTATATCTTCTTTGGTGCAGTGTATATTCAAATTTTTGCCCATTTTTAAAGTTGGATTTTTGTTTGCTTATTGTTTAATTTTAAAGGCTTCTGTATATTTTTGATAGTCCTTTGTCAGATATGTTTTTTGCAACAATCTTTTTTTTCTCTTAAGGAATGCTTTTGCAAAGCAGAAGTTTTTAATTTTAATAAAGTTCAACTTATGTATTTTTCCTTTCATGAACTGTGTTTTTGATATTGTATCCAAAATGTCATCACCAAAACCAAGTCCACTTAGATTTCCTTCTGTTTTCATCTAGTAGGCTTTATGGTTTTGCATTTCACTTTTAGGCTGACAATCCATTTCGAGTTAGTTTTTGTGAAAGGTATAAGGTCTGTGTCCAGATTTTTTTTCAGTTTTGGTATGTGTATGCCCAGTTTATTCAGAAACATCACCATTTATTAAAAGTATTGGCTGAATGCAGTGGCTCACACCACATTTTGGTAGGCCAAGGTGGGAGGATCACTTGAGCCAGGCAGTTTGAGACTAGCCTGGGCAACATAAGTCTATCCCATTCTCTACAAAAAATAAAAAATTTAAAGATTAGCTGGTCTTGGTGGTGAATGCTGGTAGTCTCAGATACTCAAGTTGGCTGAGGTGGGTGGATTGGGCGAGCCTGGGAGATCAAGGCTGCAGTGAGTTGTGATCATGCCACAGCACTCCAACCTCGGCAACAGAGCAAGAAACTGTCTCAAAAAAAAAAAAAAAATACCCATCTTTATTGAATTCTCATTGCCCCTTTGTCAAGGATTGACTGAGAGTAATTGCATAGGTCAACTTCTGGGTTCTCTATTCTGTTCCATTGATCTATTTGTCTTTTTAAAAAACTAATACTGGCTGGGCGCGTTGGCTCACGTATGTAATTCCAGCACTTTGGAAGGCTGAGGCAGGCGGATCACGAGGTCAGGAGATCAAGACCATCCTGGCTAACACAGTGAAACCTCGTCTGTACTGAAAAATACGAAAAATTAGCCGGGCGTGGTGGCGGGCGCCGGTAGTCCCAGCTACTGGGGATGCTGAGGTAGGAGAATGGTGTGAACCCGGGAGGTGGAGCTTGCAGTGAGCCGAGATCACTGCCACTGCACTCCCGCCCCGGGGACAGAGCGAGACTCCGTCTCAAACAAACAAACGAACAAACAAACAAAAACTAATACTATACTGTCTTGATGTCAGATAGTGTCAGCCTACTGACTTTGTTTTTCCTCCTTCAATGTTGTTGACTATTCTTAGTCTTTTACCTTTTACTTAAATAAACTTCAGAATAAATTCACCAATATCCATCCACAAAATAACTTGCTGGAACTTTTATTGGGATTACATTGACTTTATAGATGAATTTGGAAAAAAATAGATTACTGGCAATATAAAGTCTTCCTTTGCATGTACATGGAATGTTTTTCCATTTATTAAATCTTTTAAATTCATTTCATTAGATTCTTGTAGCTTTTTTCATATAAATGTTGTGCACATTTTCTTAGGTTGCCAATATATTTTTATGTAAGAATGAAAAGATAAAGCACATTTAAACTGCAGTAGTTATAACTGCTAACTGCTAATATGAAGACAGTACAATGCTATGTGCCAGCAAGCCTAGATACATATTTAAATTACTTATAAGAATTTACAATAAATTGATAAACATATAAGTTTAAATATATAAAGAAAAGTTGCTTTTATTAAATACGATTTTTTTAGTTTGTTTTTTGACTTTTCATTTTTTTTTTTTTCTTGCCAACTTTCATTTTAGGTCCAGGTGGTTCACGTGCAAGTTTGTTACATGGGGAAATTGTCCTGGAGTTTTGTGTACAGATTATTTTGTCTCCTAGGTAATAAGCATAGTAGGGATAGTTTTCTTTTTTCTTTTTTTCTTTTTTTTTTTTGAGACAGTCTCGCTCTGCAGCCCAGGCTGGAGTTCAGTGGCGCGATCTTGGCTCACTGCAAGCTCCGCCTCCCGGGTTCAAGCCATTCTCCTGTCTCAGCCTCCCGTAGTATGGATAGTTTCTAAATCCTCACCCTACCCCTACCCTCCACCCTCAAGTAGGCCCCGGTGTCTATTGCTCCCTTCTCTGTGTCCATTTGTACTGAATGTTTAGCTCCCACTTACAAGTGAGAACATGCAGGAAAAAAATGGTATTGTTAAAGGTGGAAAATTGTGTAGAAAGATTTTATCCCAAACTCTGTAACACAAAATATGTGAATTAATTTTTTTTAATTAAATGTTTTAAATAAAAACAAGATATGGACAACAACAAAATACAGTCTTCCCAAATGCACTTGAAACATTCTCCAGGATAGACAATATATAATGACAAATAAAATCTCAATCAATTTTTAAAAGATATATATGATTAAATTATCTTCTCCAACCACAATAAGATAAAGTTATAAATTAATAACAGAAAGAAAACTGGAAAATTCAAAAATTTTTGAAAATTAAACAACAGACGCTTTTTTTTTTTTGAGACAGAGTCTTGCTCTGTCGCCCAGACTAGAGTGCAGTGGTGTGATCTCAGCTTACTACAACCTCCGCCTCCCAGGTTTAAGCAATTCTCCAGCCTCAGCCTCCTGAGCAGCTGGGATTACAGACACGCACCATCACTCCTGGCTAATTTTTGGATTTTTTAGTAGAGACGGTGTTTCACCATGTTGGCCAGGCTGGTCTCGAACCGCTGACCTCGTGGTCTGCCTGCCACCAAACCCGGCCAACAACAGACACTTAAACAATCAATGCATCAAAGGGGAAATCACAACGAAAAATAGAAAATACTTAGAGATGAATGAAAATGAAAGCACAACATATTAAAACTTATGGCACACGGTAAAAGCAGTGCTAAATAGTAATTTATAATAGTACATGCTTAAACTAAAAACAAAAAAAGAAAGATCTCAAATCAACAACATACTTATGTTTACAACTAAAGAAAAAAGAAAAAAAAAAACTAAACCCAAATCTAGCAGAAGGAAATAACAAAGGTAAGAGCAGCAGTAAATAAAAGAGATGATAGACAAATAATAAAAAAATTTATTAAAACCAAAGTTTGTTCTTTGAAAGATCAAAAAAATTGACGAACATTTAGTTATATTGACTACAACAAAATAAACAGTAAAGACTTATTTTTGATTACTAAATCCAAAATGAAACTGAGGATTATCACTGAGTCTATAGATATTTTAAAAAAGATTCTGAGACGGTACTAAGAAGAATTATACACCAAGAAAAAAAATAACCTAGATAAAATGGACAAATCCCTAGAAATGCAAAACCTATTAAGACTGAATAATAAGTAGATACAAATTCTTAATAGGCCTATAACTAGTTAGGAGACTAAATCAGTTATCAACATTATCCTGACAATAAAAGGCCCTGGACCTGATAGCTGCACTGCTGAATGCTATCAAACATTTAAAGAACTAATACCATTCTTCTCAAATTTTTTTTTTTAAATTGAAGGGAAGGGAATACTTCCTAACTCAATCTATGGAACCAGCATTATGCTAATACCAATGCCAAACAAGGACATTGTAAGAGTAGAAAACTACAGACCAATTTTCATTATGAACATCAATGTAAAAGTCTTCAGCAAAATATTAGTAAACAGAATTCAATGGCATCTTAAAATGATCCTACAGCATGGCCAATTGAGACTTATTCCTGAAATGCAAGCGTGGTACAACATATGGAAATTGATTGGTATAATACATCACATTTAACCGAATGAAAGGAAAAAAACCCACAATCATCTCAATTAATACAGAAAGAGCATTTGATAATATTGAACACGCTTTTGTGACAAAAACACTCAACAAGTTGAGAGTAGAAGGAAGTTGCCTCAACATAATAAAAGCCATATATGAAAAACCCACCATGAACATCATACTCAATGGTAAAAGACATGAAACATTTCCTCTCAGATCAGGAACAAGGTAAAGATACTTATTTTCACCACTTCTATTCAACACAGTACTGGAATTCCTAGCTGGAACAATTAAGCATGAAAAAGAAATAAAAAGCATATAGATGGAAAAGGAATAATTAAAACCACCTACATTCACAGATGACATAATCTTATATGTAGAAAACTCTAAAGATCACACACACACACACAAGGGGGGTGAAGAGAAACTGTTAGAACTGATGACTGAATTTAGCAAAGTAGCAGGAAACAAAGTCACATGCAAAAATCAGATGCATTTCTACACACTAGCAATGAACAATCTAAAAAAGAAATAAAGAAAACAACTCCATTTTCATAACATCAAAAAGAATAAAATCCTGTGAAAGTAACCTTGGAAATAAAAGTGTTGTACAATGAAAACTAAATATTGCCAACAGAAATTAAAGAAGAGATAAATAAATGGAAACACATCTTATTTTCATGGTTGGGAATACTTAATATTGTTAAAATGCCAATATTGCCTAAAGAATTATACAGATTCAATGTAATCCCTATCAAAATCCCAATGATGATTGTCAAAGGTTTAGAAAAATCTATCATAATATTTGTACAGAGTATCAAGGGACCCTGAATAGCCAAACAAATATTGAAGAAGTAAGGAAAACTTGAACTTGGAAGACTTACATTTCCTGATTCCAAAACTTGTTACAAATCTCGAGTAATGTAAACAGTGAAGCACAAGTACAAAGACAGACACATAGACTAACAGAGCAGAACAGAGAGCCAAGAAATATGTGATTAAATAATTTTCAACAAGAATGCCAAGACCATTCAGCAAAGAAAGGTCAGTATTTTCCACAAATTGTGCAGGAAAACTGGATATGCACTTACTAGAAAATGAAGTTGAACATTTACCTAACAAACCACACACAAAAATTAAGTCAAAATGAATCAAAGACCTAAACATATGAGCTAAACTATGAAAGTCTTAGAACAGGGGTGTCCAATCTTTTGGCTTCCCTGGGCCACATTGGAAGAAAAAGTATTGTCTTGGGCCACGAATAAAATACACTAACACTAACAATAGCTGATGAGAAAAAAAAAACTGCAAAAAAAAATCTCATAATGTTTTAAGAAAGTTTACAAATTTGCTTTGGGTCACATTCAAAGCCATCCTGGGCTGCATGTGGCCACAGGATGGAGAATCTTGTCTTGGAAGAAAACATAGGGAGAAAGCTTCACTACATTGGATTTGGCAATGATTTGTTAGATATGGCACTAAAGGCACAAGCAGCAAAAGAAAAAATATTTGATTTCATGAAAATAAAAAACCTCTGTGCATTATAGGACATTATCAGCAGAATAAAAATGCAACCTTTGAAACAGCAAAATGTATTTTCAAATCGTATATCTGACGAGGGATTAATGTTTAGGATATAGAAAGGACTCCTCAAATTCAACAGCAGCAACAACCACAAAAATCCTGATTCAAAAACTGGCAAATTACTGAATAGACATTTCTTCAAAAAAGGTATATAAGTAGCCAATAAGCACATGAAAAGATGTTCAACATCACTAATCATTAGGAAACTGCAAATCAAAACCACAATGAGATATCTATCATTCCATACCTATTAGTATGACTACTATCAAAAAAAACAGAAAATGACAAATATTGGTGAAGATGTGAAGAAATTGGAAACCCTGTGCACTGTCGATGAGAATGTAAATTGTTATAGCCGCTGTGGAAAACGGTATGGCCATTTCTAAAAAAACTGAAAATTTAATTGCTATATGATCCAGCAATTTCACTTCTGGGTATGTACTCTGTGTTAGTCTGTTTTCATATTTCTATGAAGAACCGCCCAAGACTGAGTAATTTGTAAAGGAAAGAGGATTAATTGACTCATAGTTCCACATTGCTGGGGAGGCCTCAGGAAACTTACAATCGTGGCAGAAGGCAAAGGAGATGCAGGCACCTTCTTCACAGTGTGGCAGGCCAAAGTGAGTGCCAGCAGGGGAAATGCCAGATGCTTATAAAACCATCAGATCCCTTGAGACTCACTCACTATCACAATAACAAGATGGGGAAAACCATGCCCATGATCTGATTACCTGCATCTGGTCCCACCCTTGACACGTGGGGATTATGGAGATTACAATTCGAGATGAGATTTGGGGTGGGGGAAACAGCCAAACAAATATTATACTCCAAAGAGCCTTAAGCAAGGTCTCCAGAAGATATTTGCATACCAGGGTATGTTAAATCCATTCATTTTAATAGATGAATAATGTTCCATTGTATGCATACAACACATTTTGCTTACTCTTCATCTGTCTTGGACACTTGCGTTGCTCCCACGCTTTAGCCATTGTGAATAATGCTGCTTTGCATTAGGATATAGAAAGGACCCAAGATGAGATTTAGGGTGGGGACACAGCCAAACCATATCATACTCCAAAGAGTGGAGTTTCCTCACATCTTCACCAATATTTGTCATTTTCTGTTTTTTGATAGTAGCCATGCTAATAGGTATGAGATGATATCTCATTGTGGTTTTGATTTGCATTTCCCTAATGATTAGTGATACTGAACATCTTTTCATGTGCTAATTGGCCATGTATATACCTTTTTTGAAGAAATGTCTATTCAGTAATTTGCCAGTTTTTGAATCAGGTTTTTTGTGGTTGTTGTTGTTATTGAATTTGAGGAGTCCTTTCTATATCCTAATGCATAGCAGAATTATTCACAATAGCTAAAGCATGGGAGAAACGCAAGTGTCCATGACAGATGAAGAATAAGCAAAATGTGTTGTATGCATACAATGAAATGTCATTCATCCTTTAAAATGAATGTATTTAACATACCCTACAAAAAGCTTGTCCAACCCGTGGCTCAAAATAGCTTTGAATGTGGCCCACCAAAAATTCATAAACATTCTTAAAGCATTATGAGATTTTTTTGTGCGTAATTTTTTTTCTTTTTATCTCATCAGCTATCGTTAGTGTTAGTTCTTGCAATGTGGCCCAGGGAAGCCAAAAGATTGGACTCCCCTGCCCTACATGGATGAACTTTGAGGACATTACATTAAGTGAAATAAGTCAGTTACAAAAAACAAATATTGAATGCTTCTATTTTATATGAGATATTTAGAGTAGCCAAAGTCATAGAGAGAGAAAGTAGAATGGTGATTGTCAGGAACTCGGGGAGGGTGAAGGAGGGGTTATTGCTTAATGTCTGCAGAGTTTCATTTGTGCAAAATGAAAAGAGTTCTGGAGATGGATGTGTGTTGGTTGTATAACAATGTGAATGAACTCAATATCACCAAACTGTATACTTTAAAATGGTTAAGGTTGCAAATGTTATACTGTGTTTATTTTATCACAATAAAAAGTAGAAAAATACCAAAGCTATGGTATTCATATAAAATTGCACATAAACATCTGTTTGATTCTGGGGATGGAATAAATGTTACTGATAATAAAATAAAGTAAAATGAGAAAAAATATTGATACATTAACTATGAAAAATATTTTATTCTGCATATCAAAGTGTATTATTTTTTGTATAAAAACAGATTTTATAAATAAGTAAGAAACAATACATACTTCTATAAAAATAAGTAGCAAAGAAAACTGGTAAATTCATAGAAAATAAAAAGATTATCAATTGAACAAGCAGAATATTCTAGATATATAAATTCTCTGGGCAATAACAGAAATACAAATTATAATCAAGCATTGCTATTTTAGCTGAAAACAGTAAATTGGAAACCAATGAAATATACAAGGTTATTAAAGTCTTAGACAATCTGGGAGTAATTGTGAATATAGATTCACAAAACCTTTATCAGTGCAGTAGCATTTTATGTCAAAAGTCTTTAAATTTTACTTCCCCTTGACCATTCAATTATACTACAAAGATTATAAGCCAAATAAATATTTAAAGATTTGTCTGCCACTTACATGCAAAAATGTGTAGTTCAACCCTTTTACAACAGCAAATACTTGAAAAATCCTGAATGTTGATTGATCAGGATTGAAAAATAAATTATGCTAATGCTTTGTAATATATCATCTATGCTTTACAAATAATGTTTCCAATAATAGTGTTTATATGGCGTGAAATTCAGAACTAAGCAAAAAATGCCATTTTGAAGCAATATTTGAGTAGATCCCATTTTAAAAGTGGTATATAGAAGCACACCGAGTATGAAGACATTTGTTGACATTAGTATTCTCCAAATATTGAGATCGTGTTATTCATCTTTCTTGCTTTTGCTCATCTTTAGCTTGATATTACATTTATCATTACAAAATTGTCATTTCATAATAAGAAAATAACAAAATTTTTTATAATGGAAAATAAATTAAACTAAGGTAGATACAATTTGCCTTCCCAAAATGTCATATGAAAATTTAACTGTATTATGGTTGCTTTATATTGCTGCTGGTATTACTCTTAGAAGCAGTGCTGTTTCACAGTGTATATTCTAATGGTTGCATTTATGTTAATAGTCTTTGAAGATACAATTATTTTCAATATATTGTTTTTCTAAATGGTTTTTTTGGAAATAATTCTCGAGTTCGTAAGAAGGTTGAAATTTCCTTATCAAGATGCATTTTAAGTTGTAGAGAATTTAATGCAAGTGTCTGTATTCTGACCAGACTTATCATATTTGTCTCTCACTATTCTAATTGAGATACTTTTTTGGTAGCTGACTCATAATTCGTTAGATTGCTTCAGGTGAAGATAAAGGAAAGCCCTAAAATTTAATATTGACTCTTAGCTCTTACTAACGTGTTTCAAACTAGTGTGAAATAAAAGGATCTGGATATCCTACAAATGCTATTTTTATATTCAATGTTATAAATGTAATTGGAAATATAAGGTTATATAGTGTAATATAAACAGTGAAATAGAGTCAAAATATTTTCAAGAGTTTAATGTTTCCTAAACTTTCTTCTATGGAACACTAATTGTGAGGAAGGCTAATAGGTTATATTGGAGATGGAAGAGATGCATGTTTTGGCTATGTATTCTCTGAAAACAAACTACCCAAAATCTTAGTGGCTGAAAACAGCAACCATTTTATGGTGCTTCTTGATTTCATGGGTCAGGCATTTGGGCAGGGTTCCGCAGGATCATTTCTTGGTTCCAAGTTGTGTCAACTGAAGTCACTCAGTGGTATCAATGACAGAACAATGCCAGGATTGCTTCAGTCACACACTCAGCACCTTAGCTTGAAGAACCTGAAGTTTGGGTTCAACAGGGACCATCCCTCAGAACACCTACAAGTGGCTTCTCTAGCATGGAGCCTCAGACTTCTGTATCTCAGGGATCCCAGGAAGATGATTCTATGAGTGAAAGTTGTAAGCCCTTCCTATGAGATAGTTTCAGATTCTGTTCTTTTGTGACATTGCATTAATCAACAAGTCATCAAGTTCAACTCAAACTCAAAGGGAGAGGAATTCTATTCCACCTCTTAGTGAGACAAGTACCAAGGAATTTGTGGCCATCTTTAATCTATTACATAGATTTCTAAGTCAAAATGTTTTGACCAAAGGTAACTGTGATTTTCATGTTTGTGGGTTTTTTAGATATATTAATTCATGTGTAAGACATTGTAGATAAGTGGCCATTGGGGTATGCAACTTACACAGACTTCTTTGAGAAAAATGTATTTTCCTGAAAATCTTTTCTGGAATGTTTCCTTTCTTTTTTTGTCTTTTTTTTTTTTTTTTGAAACGGAGTCTCGCTCTGTTGCCCAGGCTGGAGTGCAGTGGTGCGATCTCAGCTCACTGCAAGCTCCACCTCCTAGGTTCATGCCATTCTCCTGCCTCAGCCTCCCAAGTAGCTGGCTGGGACTACAGGCGCCCACCACCACGCCCAGTTATTTTTTTGTATTTTTAGTAGAGACAGGGTTTCACTGTGTTAGCCAGGATGGTCTTGATCTCCTGACCTTGTGATCTGCCCTCCTCAGCCTCCCAAAGTGCTGGGATTACAGGCGTGAACCACCACGCCCAGCCTGGAATGTTTTCTGCTTTCTTAAGCGTACATTTGTAAGTATTACTTTTAATACTATTTGTCAGTGACACTCTTTCTTAACCAGATGGCCATTTAGTCTCTATTACCAGGTTATTTGTTCATTAATTTATACTCATTTACAAATGTAGTAAATTAGTAAATTTGCTTTGTGCATTGCTTTTTAAAAGCAGATTTAAATATAATTTACATATTGTAAATTCAACCATTTAAAATGTCATTCACCCATTTAAACCAATTCCATGGATTTTAATATATTCACAAATATTTACAACCATGACCAAAATTTTAGAATAGTTTGTCTTCTCAAAAAGAAACACTATACTCTTTAGCCATCACACTCTTGTCACCCCTCCCACCCAGCCCTAAGAAACCAGCAATCTATGTTCTGTCTCTATGAATTTCCCTGTTCTGTATATTTCCTGTGACTTGATTCATATATCATATGGCTTCTCTTGTTTAGCATAATGTTTTCAAGGTTTGTCCATGTGGTTGCATATATCAGTATTTCATTCATTTTAATGAGCAAATAACAATGCATTGTATAAATATAGCACATTTTTCATTCATTTTTTTATTGATGGAAAATTGCATTGTTTCCAGTTTTCAGTCATTATAAATAATGCTGCTATAAACAGTCACATACTCCAGGGGTGTCCAATCTTTTGGTTTCCCTGGGCCACATTGGAAGAAGAAGAATTGTCTTAGGCTACACATAACATACACTAACACTAACAATAGCTGATGAGCTAAAAACTAAAATTGCACAAAAATATCAAAATGTTTTAAGAAAGTTTACAAATTTCTGTTGGGCTGCATTCAAAGCCATCCTGGGCCACGTGTAGCCCATGGGCTGTGGGTTTGGCTAGCTTGACATAGATGTTTTGAGTGGATATATGTTGTCATTTATCTTGGGTATGTACCTCAGAGTGAATTTGCTGGTTCATATGGTGGCCATATATTTAATTGTTTAAGAGACTGCCAGACTGTTTTTCAAAGTGGTTGGACCATCTTACATAGCCATCAGCAGTATATGAGTATCCTGATTTCTCTAAATTCTCACCAACACTTGTTGCTATCTGACCTTTTGTTTCTAGCCATTCTAATGGGTATAAACTGGTATTTTATTATTGTTTAGATTTGCATTTTTATAACTCATGATATCAAACATTGTTTCAAGTGTATATCTTCATTTGTATATTTTCTTGGAAAAACATCTATTCAGCTATTTTGCCTATTTCTTGGAATTGGGTAACATCTTTATTATTAAACGGTAAGAATTCTTTATATATTCTGGATGCAAAACCCTTTTAAGATATATGATTTGTAAATATTTTCTACTATTTAGTGAGTTGTCTTTTCACTTTCTTGATGTTCTTTGAGGCACAAAATTTGTAATTTTGATGAAGTTCAATTTACCTATTTTATTCTATTGTTACTTATGATTTTGGTGTCATATCTAAGAATCCTCTGTGAAATCCAAAGTCTTAAAGATTTACTTATGTTTTCTTCTAAAGTTTTATACTTTTAGCTCCCACGTTTAGGTCTTTAACACATTTTTACTTAAATTTGTATATGGTGCAATACAAGGGCCCAAATTTATTATTTTATCTGTTGTCTATCCAGTTGGCCCAGTACCACCTATTGAAAGGGTTCCTCCTTCCTTCACTGAATGGTTTTGGCACCCTTGTTGAAAATCAGTTGCCCATGGATGGATGAATTTACATCTAGACTCTCCATTCTATTCCATTTATCTACATAAATCCCTGTGCCAGTATCACACTGTCTTGATTACTGTTGCTTTGTAGTAAGATTTGAGATCAGGAAGTGTGAGTCCACTTACTTGGTTCTTCATTTTTAGAATTGTTTTGGCTGTTCTGAGTTCCTTCCATTCCATATGAATTATGGAATCAGCTTGTCAATTTTTACAAATTAGTCAGCTAAGATTCTGATAGGGACTGTGTTGGATTTGAAGATCATTTGGGGGAGAATTGCACTGAAGCTCTCCATGCTCTGTTCAAATGAAATTGCTTCTGTTGTGAAGTAATTTATGGCTGGCTTCTCCTCTTGGGTAACATCTCTGAGCCAGAGCCCTGGAGCTGGGAAATCTTTCTGAGTGACACCTTGCTCTGGGAGCTCAGCACTTGGTGGAGAAGGTAGGAGAGATATCAAGCAACATGAGATTATCTCAGCTTGCATAGAACTACTCCTTTATGAGACAAGAAAGGGCTGTAAGGGCCCCAGTATTCTCAGCAGTGTGCACTGGGCAGAAAAATGGTGTTTCCCTCTCCATGCACTCACCCAGTGCTTGCCTCAGTAACGGCAGGATGAGAAACACTGAAATTCTGCTATTTCTGGGAGAAAAGATCTGAAACTTGGAGGTAGTAAGGGAAGCCTTGTGCGCTTGGCTGCAGCAATCCAGGACGGAGTCTCCCATTCAGGAACTGGGAGGGGTGAGGAAAGGAGTGTTTTTGTTTAAATACCACTGATTCTACCTTTCTTACTGAATTTTATAGGTTTTCTTGAATAAATGCTTCTTATGCTGTCTGCTCTTAGGATTGTTTCAAGATGCTTTAAATTTTTCCCTTCCCTCCCCTCCCCTCCCCTTCCCTCCCCTCCCCTCCCCTTCCCTCCTGTTCCCTTCCCTTCTCTTCCCTTCCCTTTCCCTCCCCTCTCCCTTCCCTTTCCCTCTCCCTTCCCCTCCCCTCTCCCTTCTCCTCCCCCTCCCCTCCCCTCCCCTCTCCTTTCCCCTCTCCCTTCCCTTCCCTTTCCCTCTCCCTTCCCTTCCCCTCTCCCTTCCCTTCCCCTCTCCCTTCCCTTCCCCTCTTCCTTCCCTTCTTCCCCTACTCCCTTCCCTTCCCTCCTTCCTTCTTTCCTTCCTTCTCTCTCTTTCTTTCTTTCTCTCTCTCTTTCTGTCTCTCTCTCTTTCTCTTTTCACCAGATTCACTGGGGAGTGGGTCAACAAAGCTCCTCACACTGTAATGCCAGAAGAAAATCTGAGAACTTGGGAGATTTCATTTTACAAGTGCACTCCACACTCCTGACAATGAAAAGTCTTGAACATGGAGGAGACACTGAAACAGTGAAATCTCAGACCTTCTCGCCTTTAGCGGGTGTAGAAGCTGGGGTGGGATGGGAACAGGCCCTCCCCACACTCCCTGAACTGCCCAGTTGGGTGTGACCACGCCCACCCCGGCTAGTGTCAGTTCCAGTTTTCCCACCAGTGTAATTAGTTAGATTTTTTACTTGAACTTGTTTTTTTGAAAAATAGATGAACAGCCTGTTAAATGAAAAAGCACATTCATTTACAGGGAAGGGTTACAAATGCATGACATGCCCAGACATAAGAAAGTTTCCAAATCTAAGTTTTATAAAGCTGCTTTGCAGTAAGTAGTTCATGATTTTTATAACAAGATGCTTTTGAGCCTATCATAAGTTACTTTATCTTTCCATTTATTCATTTTCACCTGCTAAATACTCTCAGCTTCCCCACATTACTATTGTATCATGGTACCAAATTGTATATATCATGAAGAAAAAGGAAAGCTCTTTAATGAATTCCTCAATGAATTTGATTATGAACTGTGATTTCTTAATATATTCTTTTCTGCAGAAGGACTTGTCAAGTTAAAAATAACTGAGCCTTACATTATGTTCTTATCTTCTATTCATATGAACTCAAAAATAAGTTCTATCATTTTACAGTAAAGCTAAAGAAAAAATGAGTCTGGCATCAAATATGTGGAAAAAACATTGACCTTTTAAATGACTACTTGTGTTTCAGAAAGCGGCCAAAGATTTGAAATATAATATTAAACTACTTGTGGAAAATCTTCAGACAATCAGGAAATAAATATAGAAATTATGTAAAAATTACTGGAGGTAAATGATATTTTTATTAGTAGTTGCAAAATAGACTATATTTATTATATAAAACCTGACAATATAAAATGCTAAACTTCTACCTCTGGAACCAGAAAGATAGCAGTTTAACCTGGTTGTTCAGGCAATGATTTTATGCATTTACATAAAGGTTTATGTGAAGTGTCTTAATCAACCACAAAGGTATATAACAATTTAAAATATGCACTCAACCAATAAACTGTGTTTCATATTCAAAAAATCTAAAGCAATCCAGAGAATGAGAGAAAATATTTGCAAATCAAATATCTGATTAGAGATTAATATTCTGAATATATGGAAAATCCCTAAAACTCAACTATAAAAGACCCAGTGTCACTCAAAAATGGGAAAAGGACTTAAATGGACATTTCACCAAAGACCGTAGACAAGAAAGCACATAAAAAGATGATTAACACCACTAATCATTAGGGAAATACAAATAAAAGCCACAATGAGATAGCATTTCACACCCATTAGGAGGGCTATTATCAAAACGAACGCATGAACAGACAAATAGAAAATACATGTTGGTGAGAACTTGAAGAAATTGAACCCTTGTGCATTGCTAGTAGACATGCCAAATGGTACAGCTATTATGAAAAAGAGTATAACGGTTCCATAAAAAGTTAAAAATGTGGTCCAGCAATTCCACTTTTGGGTACATACCCAAACAAATGAAAGCAGGGGTTCAAAGACATATTGTACATTATGTTCATAGCAGCATTATTCACAATAGCCAAAAAATAAAAGCAGCCCAAGTGTCCACCAGTGGAGGAATAAATAAGCAAAATTACGTGTGTGTGTGTGTGTCTGTGTGTGTGTATATATGTATATACAAAGACATATTGGTATGTATGTGTGTATATACATAAATATATGTGTATATGTATACACACATGAATATATGTGTATAGACATATTTACACATACGTGTGTATGTGTATACACACGTATGTGCATATATGTCTGCATGTATGCATACACGTGTTTACATAGACATATGTATACATACATACATGTGTATATGTGTATATACATATGTGTATATGTATGTATACACATCTGTATACACATGTGTGTATATCTATACATACATATGTGTTTGTCTATATTTATTATAATTTTGCTTAGAATAAGCAAATATATATACATATAATATTTATCCTAATTTTTCTTAGTATAAATGAGCAAAATTATATTATTTATTTATACATTTATTATGCATATATACATAAATTATACTTGTATAAATATATGTATACATTTATTATAATTTGGCTTAGAATAAGCAACATTAGGTGTATATATACATATACGTATATGCGTATATGTATACATACATATGTATATACGTATATGTATACATACATATGTATATACGTATATGTATACATACATACGTATATACGTGAGGCAGAATAGGGTCTGGGGGCAGGGAACTTAAGGCCAATTCTTGCTGAATCAAGGAAAAACACCAAGGTCTGGGTCCAGGGAATCTAAGGCCAATTACCACAAACTTTCTAAAGTTAATCCAAAAGGAAAAACCCCATCTCCCCACGCTGAGTAACAAAGGATCAAAGGCTACTCTCCCTACAGCCTTCCCCTGCCATCGCGTCTCAGAGGGAAAGGGAGAGTGCCTTGGATTAGCTGTGGCCAAGCAGGGACCATCCCTTCGTCTGCACGGGGCACCAATTCACCTCAGCCTTAAATTAGCCACAGACCAAATCCTTCATCCACATAAGAAGTAGCTGACAATAACTTCAAAGGGAGTACTTAAGACCCAGAAAACTTTCTAACTTGGCCCTTGAGCCACTTGCAGTGGTCCACTCACAGCTTGTGGAGTGCTTTCTCACTTTAATAAATCCCTGCTTTTGCTGGTTTGTTCCTGCATTTCATTCCTCTGCTACTTTGTGTATTTTGCTCAGTTCTTTCTTCAAAACACCAAGGACCTGGACAACTCATAGTCAAGACCTGGTAACATATTTATGCATATACGAATATATGTATATGTGTGTATATATATTTTGCTTCTGCACATACATGTATGTATACATATATATGTATATATGTGTCTATTAGAGACCTAATTTTGCTGGTTGATTATAAGCAAAATTATTATATATATGTGTGTGTGTGCATATATAGCTAAAGGAAGGAGATTCTGACATATGTTATAGCATGGCCATGGCATGAAGACATTATATTAAGTTGTATCAATCAGGGTTCTCTAGAGGGACAGAACTAATAGGATAGAGAGATATGTATAAAGGGGGATTTACTAAGTATTAACGCACACAATCACAAGGTCCTACAACAGGCCATCACAAGCTGAGGAGCAAGGAGAGCCAGTCTGAGTCCCAAAACTAAAGAACTTGGAGTCTGATGTTCAAGGGCAGGAAGCATCCAGCAGGGGAGAAAGATGTAGGCTGGGAGGCTAGGCCAGTCTAATTTTTCACGTTTTTCTGCCTGCTTTATATTCACTGGCAACTCATTAGATGGTGCTCATCCAGATTAAGGGTGGGTCTGCCTTCCCCAGTCCACTGACTCAAATGTTAATCACCTTTGGCAACATCCTCACAGACACACCCTGGATCAATACTTCCCATTCTGCAATCAAGTTGACACTCAGTATTAACCATCATATAAGTGAAATAAGCCAATCACAGGAGGACTTGTACTGTGTGTTTTCACTCATACGAGGTACTGAGAGTAGTCAAATTCATACACACAGGCTGGTCACCAGGGGCTGGCATGAAGGGAGAATGGGGTGTTATTGTTTAGTGAATACAGAGCTTCAGTATTGCAAAGATGAAAAAGTTCTGTGGATAGGTGGTGGTAATAATTGCTCAACAAAGTGAACATACTTAATGCCACTGAATTGTACATTTTAAAATGGTTAAAATGCTTAATTTAATGTTATAAATATTTTACCACAATTTCAAAAATAAATTTAAACTCAGCTTATTGGAGATTTTAGCACGTATATCTAAGTGATAAAGTAGCAGACAAAACATTAAGATGTGAACAACCCAATTAAGAAATGAGACCTACCTGACAGAATTTTTCTGTACATTGGCCCAACAATGACAGAATATACATTTTTCTCTGCTGCACACAAATATGAAATTTGGCTCACATTACATGGTGACATAATCTGGGTCACAAAGTATCAACACAGTTAAAAGAATTGAAAACAAATATACAGCACTTTCTCTAACACAATAGTACAGAGATAAAATCAGTAACATATAAATAAAAAAGCACTTTAAATCTTTTCTTTGGAAGCTAAGTGATATCTTGTAAAATAATCCATGGATCATAAAGGAAATCACAAAGGAAGTTTGAAAACATTTTAAAGTTAATGATAAGGAAGTACCAACTTATCAGTTCCATAAGCTAAAGGTTTTCTCAGAGGGAATTTTATAGAGTAAAAAAATCTATGATCTAACTATTGTGAGGGACCAGAATATGCCACCCCTACATGTGTTTCATTGGCTTGAGGATTGTTGAGCTTAAGGCAATAAGAGGAAATAAATGCAGGAAAGTTCTCTGCACTCTCTCTACTTGCCCAAAATCAAGACATAAAGTAAAGACAAAGATCCTCTCCCTCCCCTCACTACCAGTGTGAACCAAGGGTCACCACTGCTACAAATTAATTTTTGGTGCCACAAAGGAAATAGCACTTGAATATGAATTTTCTTGGCAAGACAATTTTACTTTCTGCAGAAAGGGTGCTTCTCGGAAGCTTGATTGTCATGAAAGCACCACAAACAAAGAAAGGCAGAGGTTTTTATCCCTGACGCATTGGGTCCTTACTGCTGTGTCCTATCTTCACTGGCTAGAGCTGGACCGCACAATCTAGACTGATCCCGATTGGCTAAAAACTTAAAACTTTCCTAAATAGGTAAATGCGTGATGGAGAACAAAGAAAGGATGGAGGTTGTTTATAGAAAACTATGAGAATAATAACATTTCCAAATAAGGAAGAGGCATAGGTTGTAAGCCGGGAAATGCCTGGGCATGTTTGGACACGTCTGAGGAGGCTAAAGGTCTGAACAAATAACTTGGTTAAAGTACAAGGACATAGAACGTACTTATTCCCTTACTATATTTAACTACATAGGGCTTAACAGTTATTAGCAAAAAGCAAGGAAACTTGAAGGAAGTTAGTTTTTAAAAGAAACTATTATTTCTAACACTTACTATTTATTCTTTAACAAAAGGGAAACTTTGAAGAGGAACTTTTAACTTTTCACACCACTAAACAGCTTTAGGCCTTTCTGGGTCCAGCCTTTGTCTGCCACTTACTTGCCTTGTCCCAAGTTGCCAGCCCTAGACCTCAAAGTCCTTTTCCTTGTTTTTGTCACTTCTCTAAACATGTCCTGTTCTTTGATAAAGATGCCACATCAGCTGGAAATAAATACCACCTTTTTGAGCACTACTCATTCCCTGAGTTTGTCCCAAACTTCTTTTTGTTTTTCTTTTATTAATGTCTTTTGTTACATGGGTCCATTTCAACTAAGAACTCAAGAGGGCAGAGGAAAAAAATATTTTTCTTCCGCTCTAGTAACCATTTTTAAAAATTAGGAAAAAATATCATGAAACTGACTCCAAAAATCACTAATGAATGAAGCTACGGATTGATAGGTATAAATCTGAGAAAAATGCTGAAGTCTATTAAAGATACTAAATGTGAAAACGGGCAAATATGTTCAAAAATTTCTTAGAATAAAAAGATAATTCCATATTTATATTTGTGCAAATAATATAAAAATAGCTGTCCAAAATAAATAGTGCAATTAATCAGACATAAAAGAACATAACTCATTTACTATAAAGCCAATAAAATCAATTCATAAATCTTTTATGAGGAATACTTAAAGATATCAACAAGCATGTAAAAAAGAACTTGAAAATCAAAAGAAACACTATCTTTGTTAAATACAAAGCTTCCATAGACAATAGAAAAATATTGTCTCTGAATAATCTATTAATTTAATATGATCTTAAAAGAACTTCTAGTCCTAGACAAGCTGATATAAATGTCATATAGAATATTTACAAAAATTCTGAAAATAGGGAAGAATAAAGAGAGTAGCTCACTAAATATATACATATACATATATATATATATATATATATATATATATATATATATACTATATATATCATCAGTATATATGTGTGGGGATTGGAACAGTATGCTTTGTATAGTACTACAACAGGAGTAGACAAATCTATCAAAGGAATCATATTTTACATTTAGTAATGTATTAGAACAACTATGTGTCAGTATTTTTAAAAAATAAGCATTTGACTTTTGCGACACTTTTCATACCAGAGTGAATTCCAGAAAGCTCAAGACTCTAATTTATGTAATATATAATTAACTTCATGAGAAAAAAAAATAACTCGATAGAAAATATGAACAAAGAGTAAGGACATATATTCACAGAATGAGAACTATGAATGGCTCTTAAACATTACTTAGATGTGACTCATTATAATGAGGCCTCATTACAATTATGAGACACATTAAATAAACTCAGTGGACGGCTCTCTCACCTACCGTATTGGGAAATGTCAAAAAGTCTAAGAACACCCTCTGTTGATTGCTGCATAGGCAGTCAATTTTACATCTTTACTTTGGGAGTACAATTTGGAACGCAACCTATGAAGGGTGATTTTATAATAAAAGAACTCATTTACTATAACTAAGAGACAATTTGCAAATTTTATCTGAAAAATGCTTAAATATACCAATAGGCACAGTGATGTCAGGAAGGAAAATTAGGGTCTACTTTTAGGTATCAAAATTTTAAATGTACACATCCTTTGCCCCCCACATAATTCCAATTGTAAGCATTCATTTACAAATAAAAATCAAGATCACATGCATAAAGATTATTTTTAGTCAGTATGTGTCATTGAAAAGGTTGGAAATATCATAAATATGTCAAATCACTTAATTAAATTATGATATATCCAAATGAAATAATATGCAGCTGTAGGAAAAAAATGAACTTTACATAGTCATATAAAGTGACCTCAAAGATATTTATACAGATGAATAAGCAAAGTATAGAATAGTGTGTGGGGTGATTATATGCACCTATTAGTTTAAATATTTAAAAAAATTGTCTACACAAACACAACAATCTGTACCCACTGGCTCCCTCTTGGAGAGGGGAAAATGGAGGACAAATTATCTTGTGTTATTCTGTAGTAACAAAGAACTCCAAAAGCTCAGTGCATCAACACGCAGAAACATTGCTCCTTGCATATACAAAGTCCATAGTGGCTATCAGGGCAGTTTCCTCCATGGAGGCCAATTTAATCTTGTTGCTTTTCTGCCTAACAAGGAAGCCTTCTCCACAACCATGCCAGCAGAAAAAAGCCTAGAGAATTTGACAAGAGTGTTTCGCTCCCTCAGCTTGGAAGGGATCCACATCACATTTCATTGTCCTGAAACAGTTCCATCTGCTATCCATGTGGAGAAGGCTGGGTCACCTGGCCTCTGCATCTGTGAAGGGAAGAATAGACATCGGGCAGCACCAGCAATGTCTGCCATGATCCTTTTGCTAATTTTTAGGTTTGACCAAGAGAATTTATTACTCTCTCAAAAGACAAGTATGTACACATTTAATGAAGATACAAGTGAACAGAAATGAACAAAGTCTTTGATTGTACTCACATGCAGCTCTGCATCCATCTATTCACAGTACTACTCATCATAATAGTAGACAATAGGATTGGGCAATTTATTCTATCACAACTCAGGGAAGATTCCCAACGTATTTAGAATGATAAATAATTACATTGAATACTGACCTGTTTATCAACATAATGTTTTTATCCCCATAAGACTATGATAATTCCAAATATTATTTTATATGATTAACATCATAAAAGTGATATTTAAAATAATACACACAATTTAAAATAATAATATTTAAAAATGGTACCTATGTGTATTCTACTTCAAAGGGTAAAAAAGAAATTTGTAACTACCAAAGAAAGGTAAATTCAAAGAAGATGAAGAAGAGGTAATGCTGCTGTCTACTGTCCACATTTTGTACATTTCAAACTTTCTACTACAAACTTACCTTAATTATTTTTAAATAAATCAATTAATTAGTAATGAAAATGTGAACTAGTCCCATTATCAGTTGAAAACAAAAACACCACAATCAGAAGAATAAAAAGAAAGAAAACATAACCTAGTAAAATATGAAAATTAACACATAGAACATTTTATAATTTGTATTGCATGAAATTATATATGAGGTAAAGGATATTTGGGGAAGAAACAAATTATATTTATTGCAATACTTATGATAAAAATAGAAAGTAGAGACGTACTTTTTCCTGTCTAATTAAATATTTTGAATAATTTTAATATTAAGCTTTTTCCAGTTGTCAAACACATTCACCTGTAAAGTATCAGTCATCATCGCTGATGCAGTTAAAATGCAAGAGACATTTTCAAATATGCTTTCAAGCCATGTAAAATGTGGTTATCATATTCCATACTGGCTTTTCTTTTAAAAGCACTTAAGATACTTTAAATCACTTTTTAAAGCGTCAACTAAGAACATATATCAAACATTTTATATGTGATCACATTAAGGGATTTTTGTTAACAAAGTTAGATGTATTTCATGTTTAAAAGCTGGCATATAACTATCTGGATATGAATCCCCATTTAATATCTTCACCTAGAATACAAGTTCTTTCTTATCTACATGTTACTCAGGGAAGAAGAGAGCAATAGGGGTCTTTTTTCTTAGTTCTGGAATAATTTTTTCATTATTTCTTTGTTTTTTTGCTCCCACATCCAAAGAAGCAGATTTGCTCAACTGTGATTTTTAAAATAAAATTTTACCAAAGTGGCATAGACTTAAAGTACCACAGATCTTAAGTGTACATTGTGACATACTTGACAAAGTGAGCCAAGCTCCAGAATATCAGTACCCAGATCACAAGATAGACTGAGACTCCCTACCCCCTAAACCCTCCCTGGCGCTCACCCTTCATCTGCAGTATGAGGCTCTAGATGCCCTGGGTGCAGCCGCCGCCCTCCACCTACTGCTCCAGTCACGCCCCTGGCTGCTGTCAGCACTACCTTCTCTGTGTGTCCACCACATCACTGGCGGGGTTTCGCCAAGGATGGTATGGACATCAAAATCCCAATGTGGATTTTAATTTCCTTTATTTCATTACTAGTTCCTCGGAAATCTAGCTGAAATCATAATTGTATCTTTCTGCCTCATATTTCACGTCACCTTTATCTTCCTATTATGACTCTATGCTTCTATTTCATAGAGTTAAAATCTCCTTGCATTTTCTTAAGGATGACAGCTTCCTAGAATTTTCATCTCATGCCTATAAAATTTAGATATCCTTCTAACCTGACTCTTTAGAATAAAGTTTCTTTTGGGTTTCTACAGTGTCTTCTTTTTGGCTCCCATCTGGAGGCTGTTGCACCACTCCCTGGAGAGAGTCTATCCAGACCAGATGATCTCCAACAGGCATAATGCTGGCTGTGCACACGTTAGTGTTTTTCTCCTCTTGCCAGACAGAGGCCTTCGTGGAAGACTGGCGTGCACAGCCTTAAATCTGTTCTCCACATCTAACAGGCTTTCATTTACCAGAATTCTGCGGGGCTGATTCCTCCCCTCTTGACTGCCTGTTTCCCTAACACTGTAGATTGATGTCATACACGAAAACCTGCAGGCCCTCCTGTGGGATGCTGCCAGACTTCCTCTTTCTTCTGCCATCATTTTATTTCTAGCGAATTTACCTCTCAGTGTATAATACTATCGCTGTTCTGCCTCTCATCTCTCTACTTTCTGATTTCAGGTATTCAGAGATTTGAAGTTTTCTCAGCAGGAGAAATGCACTATATATATGTGTATATATATAGTATATTTATATAGTATATATATTTATATACTATGTATGTGTATAGATGCATATATGTGTATATAGTATAAAATGTATATCTAGTATATAGAAAATATTATATTTATTATTATATATAATTACTATATATTATAAATATATAGTATATACATATATAGTGTATTTCTACATATATACATAGTCTATATGTACATATAGTGTATTTCTATATATATACATAGTCTATAAGTATATATAGTGTATTTCTATACATATATACACCTAGGTACAGTTATGTGTATGTATATATACACATATGTCTATATAATGTATAGACATATGTAATGTATATACATGTAGGTGTGTGTGTATACACACACACACACACACACCAACCAATGAAGGAAACTGGGGCAGACAGAACCATATAGGCCTTTCCCATCCATACAGAGATGTTAACTCCTTGCCTTCGAGATGTCCTAACACTAAATTTTCATTCTACGTGCATTTTGTGTTAAGAAGAAATTCTCTTAGATTCTGCAATTTTTTTTTTGTCAATCCCAGTAATAACTAGTCATGTCTATGAGTTAGGTTTTATATTTCCTTACTTTATAGGTATTTGTTACATATGAAAATGATAACTGGGTAACTTGGCCAACTGTGTGAATCTGACTAGACCTGTTTTTCCTCCTCATGTTCAGCCACATTTGCCAGATATTGGGAGATACCACTGCTCTCACTCAGAAGCCTGAATCTCAAGGGGTCCAAGATGTCAGTGCTGCTGGAATTTTGGACAGGTCATTCAACTCACTCCTTTGCCATCTCTAGAATGGGAATAGTAATTACCACATCTACCTCAAGGCCTGTGGTCAAGATTAAACTTAATAACTAAAAAAACTACTTAGGAGACTAGATAGCAATAAGTCAATACCCACTAAAGTTTGTTGTTTTTGTTTGCTGTGGTGAAAATTGCCTGACGTCTTCTAATACAAGGTTCTTCACTTTCCCTCAGCCCTTGAACCCCTGAATGCTCTCTTTGCATGTGTCAACCCAGAAAAACAAAAATGTTGGCCACCCTCTTTGGAGCTGGCTATACGCTGTGGTCACAATGTGTGTGTTCCCCCAAAGGCATGCATTGAAACCTGATCCCCAGCATGATGATATTAGACACTATCAGGCCATCAGGGCTCTGCTCTCATGAATGGGTCTCAGTGTTCTCATAAATGAGACCCTAAATTACTGGCTAGCCCCTTCCACTATGTGAGGATATAGAGAGACTACACCATCTGTGAACTGTAGAATGAGCCCCCACAAGAGACTGAATCTGCCAGTGCCTTGATTTTGAACTTTCCAGCATCCGGAACTGTGAATGAGAAAGATTTGTTGTTTATAAGCCATTTAGTTTATGATAAATTTGTTGTAGTGGCCCAAATGGACTAAGAGAGTATGTGACTAAATTCTGGCCGATAATATCATGTGCATGGAAATAGTACATGAGAGTTTTTGGAATTGGCCTTAATTAGAAGAAGGTTACACTTATCTCCATTCTTCTACCTGCTGGTTGGAATGTGAACTTAATGGCTGGAGCTCCAGTAGCCATCTTGGACCACACTTGGAGCTTTTGGATGCAGTGAAGCAGTGAGATCAAAGCGGCTTAAGACTGCTGCACCTGCATTGCACTTCAGGTCTGACAGCATATTTTCCATGGAAGAATACAATCTTCTGTGTTTAAGCAATGTGTTATGTTGGTTTTTGATCACATGTAGTAGCTAACCTAATAAGATATAATAGGACTTTGCTATAGGCTCTCCGGTCTTTGTACTCATGCCATAATTTTCATCTAAAGGCTGATGACTCAGTATTTTTTTAACCCCAATCCAGGCCTCTCTACTCAGTTCCAAGCCCATGCAACCTCAACAAACTTGGCGTGTTCATGTACATAAACATATACAACACTCAACTCATGATTTCCTTTTGTGTTCCCAAATCTAGTGTTGTTCCAGGTCCCCTATCTTAGTTTATGGCATTCGATCATCCTCAAGAAGCTAGACATCTAGGAATCCCCTTGAACACCACCCTTTATTTCTCTATATTCAAGCCTTTACGAAGTCTTGTTGATTCTATATGCAAAACATCCTCACCTTCTCTACAAATTACCGTGAATTACAACTATCATGAATTGCCCTTTAGATCTCCGATCCTTTCTGTTCATAATCCTATTCTCTACAGTGTAGTTAGTTGCCATTTGTAATAAGGAAATGCATTTCCAAGGTTCACAAGGTAGACAAGTACCATTGTCCTAGGCTAAACCACCCTGCATTCTTTGGCACCCCACTCTTGGTCTGACTCACCAGGTGCCCTGTTTTGCCTCACCCAGTGCCCTGCTTTGCCTCACCCTCATACACGTGAACCTACTGGCCTCTTTTTTCCCAGAAAATGTCATGTTTCTTGTAGTTACGGTTGTTTTGCAACTGTTCACTTTCCCTATGGGGAATCTTTCCAGCCTATTACTACAGAAATGTGTTGAAACATAATATAAATCAGAAAGGAACAAATATAGCCAGCATACAAGAATGAGGGGAGAAGAGAGTGGGAGTCACCTGCCCAAGAGAACACAGGAGAGTCCTGAGGTTCCCGTGCTGAAGAAATTGATCAATCTATTCAGGTAGGAATCTAAATGCTGGAGGGTAAAAGGGCTCCCCAGAGCAAAACCCTTGTGCTATTTGGGGAGGTCACACTGAAATCCATAAACAAGCCATGCCCATATTCACAGGGGTCTCAGGGAGTTATCTCAATCAAGATCCAGCACAAAACAAATCTATGTCCCCAGCAGCAAAAGGACCAATAACTGTGACCTGTATAAATACATAAACAATGACCAGCAACCACATGAACAAATTTAGCAAGTGAGAGAGAAAGACCAAATCAACAGATGATAGTGGAGATCAATAGAAAATTCAGAGAGCAGAGAGGCACTTCATGGGAGACTTGATATTGTTCACCTCTGGGCCCCACAAGGCACCTGGAGAGTCAGGCAGTCGCAAGCCCAGGCTTGGATAGAATTTTGCCAGGAATGAGTAGGATTTTTCTCACAACAATATACTAAAAGTATAGTTTTCTTCTTTAGAGTTTATGAAAAATTGACATTCAAGCAGGTTTTCCTATCATGGTCCATTAAATCCCAAGCCCAGCCTTTGGGTTTCAGTTATTGAGCAAAATACACACCAACGCTGTTGACTCTCCTAGCCCTCAGCCAAACCATTTCCTTTTGATTCTTCTACTGGAAAAAGAGATTGTGGTAAAGGGCAGGACTGACAAGACCACTTCCCTCCAGGAAGATGCAATTGGTGCACTTATAATAGGGGTTATTGTTATCTGGCCAACCAGGGTGTACTTAGCAGTCATTGGGAGGGGCAGTGCTGCTGGTGAGAGTTCACTAATTACTCCCAGGGCCATGGCTAACTACCATGCTCCATTCCACTCACCTACGTCTCTGCATTTTCTTATACTAACTTTAGCTAAAGGCCAACACTTTGCTTCCTATAATAACCAAAGTCTTATTTTAGATGCCCTGCTCCTTGCAGATGTAGTCAATATGAGTTACACTTTATGTTGTTTTATTTCTGCTGTCACTATGTTCCAGTTGTCCTTACAACTTGCCTCTGTCTTATGGAATGCAATTTATATCCTCAGCAAATAGGCACCTTAGTCTAGCAACCTGATATTTTTCCTATTGTATCCCTGAAGCTTCAGCTTTGGTAGACACCAGTTGGAGGCCCAAGTCACAAACGGCTACAAATTAAACAACTAATCTCCTTCAAGAATCCTCTGCCTTGTCCTACTGCAATTAAGTCACTCCCATGTGAATTTTGCCACTTGCAAATACACAATAGTAGTTCCAGTTTCTGCTTAGCCAGGAGTTGTTCAGTTGCAAGTAAGAGAAATCCATTACAAACTAGCTTATGCAAAATGAGAATGTTGAGCTCATGTAACTGAAAAAACCAAAGATGTCTAGTTTTCTGTCCCAGTGATCCTGAGTGCTCCCCAGATGTCATCACAGGACTGGGAGAACTGAGATCCCATCGCTTGACCTTCTGCTCCTCTGTTGTCCTGCTGACTTGTTATCACTCTCTGCTGGGAAAATGGCCCTGAGCAGATTCAGGTGAGGGGTCCTTGTAGTTTATGAGGCCAGAAGGGCAGAGGCAGAGACCTTCCTGCTTCTAGCTGTCATATTAGCCCTTCCAAAAGGACTCTGCTGTAGTTGGAATCACACAAACTAATTTCCCTTTATCAGTCACACTCCTGTGGGTATTGGAGTATTTGGTCCAGCCTGCTCATTTGCACCCCTTCCCAGAGTGGGACCCATCTCCACAGTGATCACATCTACCAAGTGAGAAGCATGCCCCCAAATTGTGAGGCAAAGGACATGAATTGTGAGAATTACAGTACAAGTGGGGAAATTTACTTCTAGAGTTATAGGGACATCTACATAAATAAGAACTACAAAAAAAAATTTTAAATGTTTCCTCTGGAGACTAGGAAAAAAAATGCAAGAGACAGATGAGGGGCTTTGCTTTACAAGTCCATCTAGTGATATTTGATGTATTACTATGTGCATAGGCTACCTCTAAAACATTTAAAAGTAGAAACAATAAATGGGAGATTTGGGAGATGTATGTATTTGCAGGATCAAATAGGCATTCATATGGTGCCAATCCACGTAAGGACATACTCTTCTATTTCCCAATGCTAAATTTGATCAATGTTGGAGGAATTTAAGACCTATGTAATTTAAGGCAAAATGTAAATTTGAATTTTGACTTTGGCTTTTAGTTTTACCAGGAGCAGCACATTAATATAAAGCAAAGCTCATTCTAAACCCTGATCAAGAAAGTATGATAGTAGAAAATGATGAATCAATCCCAATTAGGATTACAGTTGTGAAAAAAATGACTAAATTTAAATACAAAAAAATTAAATTCAATGATACATTAAAAATAATATGCAGATACTAAGTAGTATTTAGGTCAAGAATGCAAGGTTAATGTTATATTTAGAAATCTTTTTCTATAATACAACAAAATGACAGACATTGTACTGTCTCAGAAGTCATCCAATTCTATTAAATGCTTTCCCTGATTTTTAAAAACATGGAAAAATCTTTCAAAGGCAGAACACAATGATACTTCCCTTTCAAAACAAGGAATATATACCTTCAGTTATTATCATTTTATGGCAAGATGTTGGAGATAATAGTACTTTTACATTTTAGTACCAATAATGATTGCGTACATCATTATAATTTTAAATGGTTCTGGAATATATAGTCAATTAATAAGATATGAAATTAATATAGGACATATGACCATTACAAAAAGAAAGAAAAAATAATAGATTCAGATAATGCAATTTTGTCTGCAAAACCCAGAAAATTAACAAAAATGTGATAAAATTTAAATTTTAAAATATACAAACTATACAGATTATTTTAAGTTGGAGCTCATTGTCTAAAATAGGTCATTTGTTAGAAATTAATTTAGAATTTTAGTACTTTTATTATAGTTCTAATTATTTTTGTTTTCAGTTCTGCATCAAAAAATCCATATAAATGCTGTAATTCGAGGCAGTTCACATCCTTAATGAAGCTGCCTGGGGTACTTGTTAATAGGATTTTTATTTTCTCAATAGAAGCTGCATTTGTCTACATTTCCTGGACTATTTTTTTATACTAGTTTAAGTAACAAAAATTCTTTGAAGAACTCAAGCTCAAAATCTTACATCCTTTCTAAATATTTTATGAATGTATTTTGAAATGCAAGGTCAAACACCCTATTCCCTCATATTCCTCCTCTCTTTTCCTTGGGTGTAAGATGCTGAAATTTTGCTGTTTAAATGTTTCATGAACATTCATGTAATAAATAGTCTAGTTAAAACATGTTCCAGAGCTGTAGACAGTCTTTTTTGCTAGTCTAATAGAAGCTAATACAGGGATACAGTTAACTAAAGTTATGATATGCCTTCGTAAATGCAGCATTTTTAAATGATAAAGTATATTTTTAAAGGTCTCCTTTTTACATGACCTGAATTGTGATATTTAGAAATTTCTAGTGTGGCCTGTATGGCTTGCTCTTTAAACTGGTAAATTTGAGTTGAGCAGTAATAGATATTTTAAAACTCTGACAGAAAACCTATAAGAAGCAGCATTCTGGAAGCTGCAAGTGTGATAAGAAAAAACAGGCATCAAAACAGACTGCTTCAGAAAGCAGGGATTGCCATGCTGCAAAGGTTGGCTGCAGCCACCGCTTGTGCAGAAATACCAGATTGGCTCCAGTGCACCTGCAAAAATGTCAAGGGGCAATTCTAGGGGGATCTTACCATTACATTTAGAACTCAATGCTGGATTTCATGAGGAGAGAGGGGAAAAGCTATTTCCAACTGGCTGGATAACAGAGGGGTGTGCCTGCCCTAGAGCATGTCACTCACTTGAAGGTCATGACTTTGGATTGATGGTCAAAGAAAAAAAGGAGGTTACCCATAAAGAGAAATTATAAACCAGCATTACCCAGGCTTGATAAGAAAAGGACAACAGACATGATAAAGCCTTAGCAAAACTATTCAAACAGCTTCTCAATATGCACTTTCTAGTTGTGCACTGCAGGGAGAATCTACTGCCACTGTTATGCCGAAGCTCTTTTAAAAGAAACTTGTAGATTTAAGAAGAAGTAAAAGAAAAACTGTGAGCAGTTAAAGGAATATTTGAATATTCAAGTAGGTATCCACTGGCTTGCTTACTATGTGCCCGCTATTGAGCTACTTACTGAATTGGATACTAAAGAATCTGAGGACCCCTCAGTGTGGCAGAAACACATTGTTATTTGGAAACACAAGTTATTTCTGAAGCAATGAAGTAAAAATGCAAGATGAGCAATGGGAACAATAATTAAATCCAGAGGTGGGAAAATGAATCTGGAGTGTGGGAGGCTCTAGGAGACAGTGCCTAAAAGAGGACTGCTGTGAGGATGTTTTCATGAAAAGCTTATTTGTTCGTGGGTTAACTTTATTGCTTTTAGGAATTTGTTTTAATATATTCTTTTTTGCAGTAAAATTATCAGTTGACTATATAAGAAAACACAGAAATGTTTAGTGTTAAAATATTTACATATCAAATAATATGATATGTTTTGTATATTTTAGTAAACTTTTATTTTAGAACTCTTAAGGCTTACAGAAATATTACAAAGATAGTGGAGAAAGTTTCCATGTACTCTAGATCCACTTCCCCTTATTAACATCTCACTTTGGTATGGTGCATTTGTCACAAGTAGGGAACAACTATTGACACATTATTGTTACCAAAAGTCTACACTTTATTCAGATTTCCCGCTTTTTCCTGATACCCTTTTTCAGCTTCAGAACCCCATCCAGGATCCCACATCACATTCACATTCACATCATGTCTCCTTAAGCTTCTCTTAGCTGTGACAGTTTTTCAGACTTGCCTTGTTTTGATGGCCTGGACACTTTTGAGGAGGACTGGTCAGGCATCTTGCAGGATGCCCCTCTATTGGAATTTGTCTGGCGTTTTTCTCATGATTAGAATGTGGTTATGGATTCTGGTGAAAAGATGTCTGAGGTTAAATGCCATTTCCATTACATTGCATCAAAGTTATGTACTATCAGCCCTCTGTGTGACTGTGATTTCACCCTTTAACACCCAGCTGCAGTAGGGTTCCTCAGGATTCTCCACTGTAAAGTTAATCTTTGCTTCTCCCTTTCAATTCCGCACTCTCTGCAAAGACATCACTATACACAGCCCACACCTAAGGAGTGGTAATGCGCTCCTCTTCTTGTGGGTAGAGTATCTACACACATTGTTTGGACTTCTGTGCAGAAACTTTATCTATTCTGGCCCATGCCCATTTATTTCTTGATGCAATCTTTTTTTTTTTTTTTTTTTTTTTTCAGATGGAGTCTGGCTCTGTCACCCAGGCTGGAGTGCAGTGGCGCGATCTCGGCTCACTGCAAGCTCTGCCTCCTGGGTTCATGCCATTCTCCTGCCTCAACCTCCCGAGTAGCTGGGACTACAGGCGCCCGCCATCACGCCTAGCTGATTTTTTGTATTTTTAGTAGAGATGCGGTTTCACCGTGTTAGCCAGGATGGTCTCGATCTCCTGACTTCGTGTTCTGCCCGCCTCGGCCTCCCAAAGTGCTGGGATTGCAGGCCTGAGTCACCGCGCCCAGCCGCAATCTTTTATTTATTTAAGTACGTAGACAATTTTAGTCCATTGTATTAAACTCATCACGATTTTTTTTTTTTTTTTTTTGCTCCGATTATTTCAGCTTTGGCCATTGGGAGTTCTTTCTATTGGATCCCATGTCCATTTAACACGTCCCCATCATTGTGGGGGGCTGTTTTGTTTTGTATAGCTATAGATACATAGAAGAAGGTATAGATACTGCTGTAAAGTTCAATGGGTTTTGACAAATTCATGTCCCATATAGGCACCATTATAATATGATAGGGAATATTTTCTCTTACATAAAAAATCCTAGCTGTGTGCTTGAGCTGTTTATTCATCTATCTCCCTGCTCTAGACTTCTGAAAACCACTGATCTGTTTACCATCTATTTTGCCTTTTCGAGAACTTCATATAAACGGAATAATATAGTAAACTGCCTTTTTCAGAATGATTTCTTTTACTTAGCAATACGCTTTTACAATTCATCCATATCTTTGTGTAGCTTGATAACTCATCCCACCTTTGTCGCAGAGTAGTATCTCGCTGCATTGATTTATCACAACTTGTTTATCCATTCACATCTTAGTTGTTTCTAGTTTTTGGAGATTATGAATAAAGCCGCCAGAAACATTCACATATGGGTTTTTGTGGGGACATACATTTTCAAATCAATTAGGTAAAGGCCTAGGAACACAATTGCTGAATTGTATGGTAAAACTACATTTAGCTTTGTGAAAAACCACCAGACTTTCTTCCAAAGTGGCTGTACCATTTTGCAGTCAGATGAGCAATGAATGAGAGTTTGTGTTGCTTCCCATCCTTGCTATTATTTGGTATTTTAGAAATCCCTATCCACCTCTTTTGGCCATTCCAATAAATGTGTAGTGGTATCTCAGTGTTGTTTAATTTGGATTTTCCTAATGACATATGATCTCAGGTGTACTTTCATGTCCTTATTTATCTGTACATCTTCTTTGATGAGGTATCTGTTCAGATCTATTGCTCACATAATAATTGTGTTGTTTTATTTCTTAACTGTTGAGGCTTATGAGATCTGTGCATATTTCGGACACAAACCCTATACCAGGTAGGGTTTTGCAAATATTTTCTCCTATATATTTATTCTCGTATCACTCTGTATAACAGATATGTTATAATTTAGTGAATGGTTTCCATTAATCAATGCACAAACTTCTACCACTTGATTACCTGTAAGGCAAGCCCAGTTCAAGGTCAAACTATTGATAAATATTTTGGCAGAAAGGAGAGGAGGAAAGAAAGAGGAAATCAGCAGATACATTGCATTTTTTAATGCCTTGGGATTATGACCCACATATCTCACCAGGCCTTCTTACAGGAGCCTGCAGGAGCCAGTGGCAGATAAAGTTGAATAGGACCCAAATGAACCATTCTTAGCATCTAAATAAACAATTAATTGACAATGCCACAACCCCAAAAGGGACTGGCTTCACCCAGGTGCTGCAAGATGGTGGACATGGCTCCTAAGAAAACTTGACTACATGATCCGAGAACAGAAAGACAACACAGGAAGACCTTTGCCTATGTTCAAATTTGGGGCATAGGCTCCAAGGCTCCAAGCCTGCACCAAGTGAGGCCTGGACTGATGGAGAAGCAAGACCTCTGTGTGTGCACTTTCTGACTCTAATGGTGTGCCTGTGTCCCCTGGGTCATTCCAATATTACCTATATATCCATGACCTAAGTTTTCTCTGGGGTTGGTAAGCTTCTGTTAGGATGAGTAGCTGCTAGTGGGATATAAGAAAAGGCTAACGGGAAAGGCAGAGTGTGTCTTTTCTGGATTTGATTATTATACTGCGTCAATTTTCCCAGTTCTTGGTAACCCAAATGTCACAGCGATGTCCTGCCACTTACTATCTAGAAAATATTGGCTTGATCCATATTTTATGAAATATTAAAGCTCAAAAGATATTCTCACATTCTAGGAGCCTTGTCACTGAGCTCCTTCTTCTACTGAATTGAGGGTTGGATCATTTTGGCATCCAGCACATTCATTCTTGCTTCATACAAGCAGAGCTCAGGTGGGGAGCGAAACCCCTTTCCCTGATTTCATACAAGGGAAAAATAAACGGGCAATAAGCAGCACCACAAACACATACAAACTAAGCATTCTGAAGAGGACCCATTTTTTTTGAAGGTGGCAGGACTTGGAGTGAATTTATACAACAGCAAGAAAAACAACTTAAGTATCAGACATCCTTTGCGTTTACAGCCCTTTTAACACCCAAGACCCAGGATATTTCACTATCATGTCAGCTAACATGTAGCCTCCCCAGTCTCTTAATATAGTGCTGGCTTCCCATGCCTGCTTCTCTTTTCTTTGATTTTCCTTCTCCCTCTCTACCCACACCTTCCCATGGGTCTCCACCAACTCTACTAAATTTTTCATCTTCTATTATGTAGCAAAAGCCAGCTCGCACCTCTAAGATCATGCTTTCATCTCTAAATCACTCGAATAAGCTCAGCAGAACAAAAACGCCTTTTATTCATTATGTCAGGATCATAAAGAACCAGCAGAAACTCAAAGTTACCTCTAACTGGCTACTTCAACAGGATCCTTCCTCCTTGGGAGGCATTTGTGGGTTTGAATATGTTTTCTTCGCAGCATACTTGTGTTGGCAGTGGCAGCTTGTGTTTAAAGTGAATTGAGATGCACCTCCACTTCCTCTCTGCCTCTGTCCTCTGATGGAAGATCCTAAAGGTAATAAGCAAGAATGCTCTTTGGAAAGCTTGGGTGAGGGTGCTGTTCTCTGTTCCTCCCTGAGGGGGCACTAGATCAGTTCTTGGCACTCTTGATTTTCCTGTGATCTCCTGGGTGTCCAGAAACCCACACATTTATTTCCAAGGCAAAAATATCCTCACACTGTTTTTTCTGGTTGCCTTCTCTCATGAATGAAACCATATCCGTTTCTAATAATCCAAGAACGGCTCAAAGATTCAGGTTACTGATGACAATGTGCTGTGATTTCCAAAACACCCATACAATTACACACACACACACACACACACACACACACACGCTTACACACATATTTCAGTTATTTCAATGAAAGTGCTAAAGAAAGGTAAACCTGTGAGGTGAAATTGCTTTTTATTAAAAGCAAAAGGAAGTTTTGACAATAGTGTACAGTAACAGTACAATTTTCAATCATATAAGTTGAAGCAACTGTGTACAGTAACAGTACAATTTTTAATCATATAAATGAAGAAGTCTTCATTTTAGTTCTAAAATATTCATGGGTGTATAACTTTAAACAGTGCTATGAAGTTAA
This sequence comes from Homo sapiens, assembly GCF_000001405.40. Lineage (NCBI taxonomy): Eukaryota > Metazoa > Chordata > Mammalia > Primates > Hominidae > Homo > Homo sapiens. The sequence continues at coordinate 52,167,772 of NC_000007.14, read as the reverse complement.
AATATTTATTAGATTTCTAAATTTAAATTATTACTTGGTTCCAGGATCCAAATTCTTGCACAGAGTAAGGTATGACTGTGTAATATATCACATGACAATTCAAAGAAAAACAAAATGTTGTAACATCTGCCGTAGTGCTTGCTCTGAAAATTATAATACAAAGAAGGTGTTACCAAAGAATATTTACGGATGGGAAAACAACATAAAGCTTTCAGGACGGTCAACTTTCGCCAGAGACTCTATTTACACATATACATCTACTATTTACACATATAAATCTACTATTAACACCAGCTAAGAGCAGCTAGATCCATGAGGATAAAGTCTGTATCCTTTCCTGTTTCTCTTGCATAACCAGTGAATTTGAATGTTCCCTGAGAGGAAGCAATCTGTGAGATATTGTCACCTTTTCCTGTTACTGTGTACTGAAAGGCAGAATATATAGCAAGTATTTGTAAATATTTCTATACTTATTATCCTATTAGGTTAGAGATGTGAAAAAGCAAAAACAAATTTCAAAATATATTTAAAAAGGCATAATTGAATGTTATAATCCTGTTAAAATCTTATGTTTGACAGAAGGTTCACAATTTTCCAAATATAAACATCAGGAACAACTTAACTATTAACCTAACAAGTAAACTATTGCATCAAAAGAAAATTAGGCTGGACGCGGTGGCTCATGCCTGTAATCCCAGCATTTTGGGAGGACAAGGAAGGCAGATCACTTGAGATCAGGAGCTCGAGACTAGCCTGGACAATACGGTGAAACCCCGTCTCTACTGAAACTACAAAAATTAGCCAGGCGTGGTGCTGTACGTACGCCTGTAATCCCAGCTACTCAGGAGGCTGAGGCGGGAGAATCTCGTGAACCCAGGAGACGGGGGTTGCAGTGAGCCAAGATTGCGCCACTGCACTCCAGCCTGGGCGACAGAGTAAGACTCGGTCTCAAAATTTTTTAAAAAATTAAAAAATAAAGAAAATTAGCACAATTACAGCACATTACAAGTGAAATTCATTGGGGGGATAAAACCAATTACGCCAGAACAAAAATTAAGATTTCTACAGAAGTCGGGAAGAAAATAAAATCATTGAAGGAAGCTGAAAAAAGTTCCCAGTTAGTGGTCTTTATAACGGCCACTTTGCTGACCACCTGTAGTAATTATGAAATACTACTGAACATGCAGCTATGTCAGTGGGAGCATCGTGTAATTGTTTAAGCACATATACTAGAGCCTGAGTATTCATTGCAAATCGTGGCTCTGACACTTACTAGTTTTCAACATTGAGTAAGCTGTACATCCCCTTGTATCCTTACTTTAGTGTAGGAGATAACAATGCCCCTCACTGGAGGCTGGGGCACAGATGGGATAATGTAATGTATGTAAAATAATTGTCATAATACCTGGCTCCTGGTAGCATATGCTTAAAACTATTTTTATTTTTGTGGAAATGCAATGTTTTCTACTTGCAATTGACATAAAATGCCTCAAGCAATTTAACAAATGACTTTTCATTAAAAATCTAGTCATCATTTTTTCTTGTTTGGTAGTTCTCGTTACTTATGAATGGCTCTTTCATTCATTCCCAGATGTTTACTGAGAGCACTTGCTAGGTTGTGTGAACACCAACGAACTGGAACACTGAATTTATCTCAAAACAAGACACATTACAAGATTGAGGATAAAAAGGAAAAACAGGGCCAGGCACGGTGGCTCACGCCTGTAATTCCAGCACTTTGGGAGGCCGACTCGGGCGGATCACGAGGTCAGGAGTCCAAGACTAGCCTGACCAATATGGTGAAATCCCGTCTCTACTAAAAATACAAAAATTAGCTGGACGTGGTGGCGTGTGCCTGTAATCCCAGCTACTCAAAAGGCTGAGGCAAGAGAATCACTTGAACTCAGGAGGCGGAGGTTACAGTGAGCTGAGATTGCGCCACTGCACTTCAGCCTGGGCAAAAGAGCGAGATTTGATGTCAAAAAAAAAAAAAAAAAAAAAAAAAGGAAAAACAGGTCTAATACAAGAGTTCATCCAATTGATCATGACCTAAAGAAGGCAGTTTACTCTAGCAACCTCAATCTCATGAATAAAACCACTCACATACAGAAATAGCAATTGATTTGAAGATTGTAGAAACTACAAATACAATATTCCAGCTGCTTCGCCTTTCAAGGGTTCGTATTTTAATTTGAACCACAGTACCACAGTATAATTCGGTTTTGTTTATCTCCTTTACATATAAATGATATTTGTTAAAAATATAATATATATAATATAGATATATGTTCTTGGACCACTCTGTTAAACCAAAATTTCCATCTTAAAAACCTTCTAAGCTTCCTAATGCCCCTTCTTGACAGGAAACAGCTATCAGTTGGACATTCCTAAGGGAAAACTGCAGGAGAGTGGGACCTTCTGCTGATATGGAAATACTATATAGAGCTCTCGGGCTGCTGCTGAAGAAGAAAGATTTGCTAAATTTTAATAGTTATTCTCACCTTCTTATGAAGTTAATTGTAGAAGGAAGATTATGACATTTTACACTGCAGAGGTTTCGACAGGAAATAGATTCCATGTGCTTGATAGTAGGCATCAGGAGATGGTCAGGACAGAATGTGGTAAGTAGCAACAGTGCTGGGTCGCAGGGTGAATGGAGAAAACATGATTCCATCTTAGTGCATTTTAAATGAAGCTACATTAGAAGTACTGGTAAAGTGATATCCAAAAAGACTATCAGCTTGTTAACATATGTACATTTGGGATGATTTCAAAAACAAATCTAAATTCCTTTAGATGTCAAAGGCAGGAAAAGCTAAAATATAAATATTCTCATTCTTCTGGTTATGTCTTCGTATCATAAAGACAAATGATTGTTACTTTTAACAAAAATAGAACTACTTAGAGAAATAAGTGAGCTAATAGTGATTAATGATAATTTATTTCTTTTTTTAGGATTTTAAAAAATATTTTTATTAGAGACAGGGTCTTACTACATTGCCCAGGCTGGACTGGAACTTCTGGGCCCAAGTGATCTTCTTGCCTCAGCCTTCTAGGTAGCTGGGACTATAGGTGCATACCACCATGCCCAGATATTAGTTTATTTTATGGATGAAGAAAATAAAATAGAGAAAAAAATAGAAAAAGTAAACAGAGGGTGTCATAACTTGAATTTCTTTCAAATATTCATTTCATAGCAAACCACTGACACCATCATGAAATTTGCATATTTGGTATTTTAATTTTGTTGATATTTATTGCTCAATTAATTTATACTTTTGCTTATTTCTAAAATTGGCACTGTGTTTTATACGCAATTGAATTACATAAAAACAAAATTTTTGGTAACTATATTTACTTTAATGTCATTGCCATTGTAGGCCCTCTATTAGATTATATCTTATGCCTTTTGCTATTTTTGAAATTCTATTTTTATTTTTACTTAAAAATATAAAGATCAGACATATCTTGCCTAATAGAGGAATATTTAATTCATAAGTATTTAATAATAGTTATAGCAAAATAGTTAATATTTAATGTATCCCTGGTAACTATAAATGAGGCCTGACATGATACATGCTATAAAAATTTGTACACTTCAGAATAAACTCAGACTATGTACAGTACTTGAAAACACTAAAGAATTCAAGACATCAGTAAAAGTGCTTACTTTATCATGACAAATAGGTATGTCACATCATGTCATAACCTTAAAGGCTTGATGGCTATAAGGAAATATATCATTTATATCCCCTTTCTATTAGACTTGACATTTGGGAAGTGGCAAATATATCTTTCATGTGAAAACTATGATGGCAAAGATTTTCCATCATAAAACAAGTGTGAGGTTGACACTGTTATTTCTTTTGAGAGGACTAAAGACATCTATTCATCTGGATCCAGCAAATGTTAAGATACAAATATGAAAAGCATCAAAGCCACTGACAAATTGCTGGGCAGTGATTTCCCTCTCCATTACACCAAATGAATTTGAGATGAGTGTCATTGTAGCTCAGCAAGCATAACTATAAAAGAAATAATAATTAATTAAAAATTAAACAATTATTTTTTACAAAGACTGTTCCAGGGGGAAACAAACAAAAAAAAAACTTTGAAAGAATTTTGAAGTGGCCACCAGACCCCCCTCAGAGAAGCATCCCAGGAAGTGCAGGATGGCAGGGACTGCTGCTGTCCAGGCACGTTCAACCTTGACCTCTGCCTTAATGGGGCCATCTTCATTTGTCTGATGATTTCTGAATCTGGCTTGTCTCTGTGTATTGGTGGCTGCGTCTGGCACCTGCCAGACACATCCTATATATGATTAAGAATTTCATTCAGAGCTTTTCTATAGGACTCTCTGTTAAATAGGTCACCAAATTGAAAAGACAAGCAAGGAGAAGAAAAGCCAGGAAACAACAAAGTAAAGCAACAGAAGTCATCCAGAAACAGATCAAATTGTGACTTAATAGATTTTGATTAAGAAAGTCTTTCATGTTCCAGCAAAATTGATCAAGTGTGCTACTTCTGTTGGCTTTAATACACCACATTGGGACAGAGTTTTTCTCTAATTTTTATCTTTAACAATATAATTTATTTAAAAAGCTAAATATTACAAAGAGTATACAAAGTGAAGCTTCAAATTCCATGCATTTACATTGTGGTTAATTTATATATGGATAAAGATATCAAATACAAAGTAAAATTTACCTGAAATATCACAACCAGACAAAAGTGTTAGTAATTTTTGTATGATTACCCACAAATACACACAAACAGAGTAGGACTGGAACTCACAATCAGAACCTCAATGTGCAGAAATATGTATAATTTCATCATTATGTTCAACTTTCTCATGAGCTCCTATAACTTCTCAATAGTGAAACTAGCTAATTTTCTTCAAGCTAACTTAGTCATTTCCAAATTAAATCTTAGTCTTTCACAGGTTAATTTGCCTGTTGACTAAACAGCCAATTTTCCCTGATTTTCTTCTTTCTCTTTTTCTCCTTTTGGCCTTATCTCCTGGTGCATTCTAGGGAGGGTCATTCTAAGAGAGCAAAGGGTGTGGAGCTCACGCAGCCTCCGTGCGGGAACGCACATGTGTTCTCAGAGGTGCTGGTGCCCTGGCTGCAGGGGCAGTCTTTCCCTCAGCTGTTGTGGCAATAAGAACTGGAGCTGAGGTTGAGAAACTGGCTGATCAGCCGGAAGATGGGCAGAGCATCACAGGCTTGTTCTTTTGCAGAAGCAGGACAAATATAGCTGGCCACAGCTGTGGCTCTCTGCTTAACCTGCTGAGCAGGTATGGATCTCATCTGTATTCACTGGCCCAGAGTCGCGTCACCAACGACTGTCCAGTTTAAGACCTTGTGATCACCAAGTCCTCATCAACCTTCAGTGGCTTAAGAATACACTTTCTCTTGGTGCTCTCATCCCTTCCTATGTTCCACACGCTGACGTTCCACTTAATTTACGTACACATCTCATGGATTATTATATAATTTTCCATTTACTGCCTACATTTAACACGTCTTATGAGTTTCATCCATACTATTTATTTTTGCTTGTCTTTCTTTGATGGCCAAGGTGAACTTTCTCAACTAGTTCAACAAACATACATGATGATTAGCTTCTTAGCTAAATGTGTCTCTGATACTAGCCCACTGATATATTTCTGAAGATTGTAAGGTTTAAAACATGTTCTCACTATTTTTAATCTGTTTTTGGAAAAATATCTGCAATCCTCTTCAAAGTTACAATTTATGATAAATGGTGACACAATGTCAAAATATATCGAAATTGAAAATGTTGACAGCTTTATTGACTCACCTCTTTAGCCCACAGGAAAAGTGTTTTCTTTATGAAGGCTGAGACAACTCATGAGCTCAGGAAATAAAAGCTACTAAATGGAGGACATTGTCAATTCAAATGCTTTTCTTATTGAAATGTCTAAATATTTCAGCCCAAATGTTTTTACAGATATATTTGGTTATCCCCTTCCAGAAAACCTATTTTTCACATATACTCCTATTTCACAATAAACTTTACCAGAAATGTTATCTATTTGTTTTTCAGTTGGCTGATTCAGCAAATTTTTAGATTTTGTAAAATTATAGACCTCTCAAATTAATTATATTTAGCCACAAAACACAAATGATTATGAGCATTCTATCAGAAGATTTTTCCTACAGATTCCAAAGTCTTCTTTAAAAAAAAGTAATGCTTGTCTATCACTTGTGCTATATAATTTGATTTAATTTGCTCAGTTCCTCCAGTGCCTTTTTTTTTCTTTTTTTTTTTTTTTTTTGAGACAGGGTTTTGCTCTGTCACCCAGGCTGGGGTGCAGCACTGTGATCATGGCTCACTGCAGCCTTGACCTTCTAGGCTCAGGTGATCCTCCCACCTCAGCCTCACAAGTAACTGGGACTACAGGCACACATCACCATGCCAAATTTTTTTTTTAATTTTTTTTTGTAGGGAACTCCTGGACTCAAGTGATCCACTCTCCTCGGCCTCCCAAAGTGCTGAGATTACAGGGGTGAGCCACGGCGCCTGGCCTTCTGCTGCTTTCTTATTTCAGGCAAATTTTAGTGCTTCCTCTTTTTAGAATTTGTTTTCAATAATTACACCTTTCTAAAGCTGAAAGTATATGGGCTTTTAGTTATTTAATAATGTTACTACAGTTTTCCCATAGAATTTAAATAGTATGAAACTAAATTTTGGAGGACTCTCATTAAATACTGTCCAATGCCATTGCAGACACCTATACATGAATAGATAAGTCATTATCTATCTATCTATCTATCTATCTATTCATCTATATGACAACGTAAGTTTCATTATGCATTTGGTAGTTGTGGAGTTGAACTACAATAAATGTGTGTGTGTAACATATTTATATCAACTGCAGGTTTTATTTTTATTGGTAGAATTGTGTAGCTGGTTTGGACACAGAATGAATTGTATCATTATAACAACCAATTCAAGTGCATTTCTGCTCCAGAGGTTTTTTTTAATATAATAAGGAAAACATTTATTTTAGGATGATTTGAATAACCAAGAAATATTTGTTTTTAAAAATATATATATATAGAACTTTTTATCTGAATTTATAATTGCAACACCATTCACAATAATATTAATTATTTCACTTTAGACAGAATAAACACCAAAAAGCTTTCTTGAATCACCTGAGAAAAAAACGAAAACATTATTAGAATTAGTTGACTCCCTATTTGAAGCAACTGATGACACTGGTATAAAAGTTATCACTTAACTCTGATATTTTTATAGTAGTGGAGACTGCACAATAACAGGCCCTGTTTTTCTTTCATACATGCCCAGCAACACTTAGAATAAAAAATCAGCAACATTAATCTAGAAGAATACTGAACAGGCCCCAGCAAACATGTCTCTTATAAGAAGAACACCCTGGGGCCTTTCTCATACACCTAAGTGTGCTCAGGCATACGCAGAGGGAATGGGTGGCACCTAACTGCACATGACTGCCTCCCTTGGTAAACAGCCTATAACAACTTACTTGAATTCAACAACAACAAAACACAGTATTTTATTTTTTTAAATTTACAACAAGTGCTAATCTGAATAGAACCTGGAATATCAAGGGTAAACCATGATATAGAGTCACTCTAGTTTTAATGAACATGAGCAGATATTGTATCTGGGACCCCACGTAAAGATGCCATTTTGATAAGAACTGAAATACAAATAAGACTAATAAGAGAAATAGTAATAATCCCACCAAGAGAGGGATCAGGGAAACCTGCCCATCTCAGCCTTGGCCCTGGGTGGAGGAGGGGAAACAATCTCGACTGGGAAGCCACACCACAACCTTATGCAAGGTTGGAGCCGGAATTCACAACACTTGCGTGATCTCAACAAGCAAACAAACAAAAAACAAGCAAAACAAATAAACAATTGAATGTGAAAACAGTTCCAAATTATTATTTTCCAAATCTAGCTGACAAAAAGAAATTTTCTTAACCCTTTTCCTTTTTTTTTTTTTTTTTTGTTTTTTTTTTTTGAGATGGAGTCTCCCTCTGTCGCTCAGGCTGGATTACAGTGGCCCGATCTCGGCTCCCTGCAAGCTCCGCCTCCCTGCAAGTTCCGCCTCCCTGCAAGCTCCACCTCCCTGCAAGCTCCGCCTCCCTGCAAGCTCCACCTCCCGCGTTCACGCCATTCTCCTGCCTCAGCCTTCCGAGTAGCGCGGACTACAGGCGCCCGCCACCACCCCTGGCTAATTTTTTGTATTTTTTAGTAGAGACAGTGTTTCACCGTGTTAGCCAGGATGGTCTCTATCTCCTGACCCCGTGATCTGCCCACCTCGGCCTCCCAAAGTGCTGGGATTACAGGCATGAGCCACTGTGCCTGGCCCTTAACTCATTTCTTAAACCATTCCTACATAAAAATGATACAGCTTATGAGTTTGCAATTAAAATCACAGAAATTATAAATCAGATATTGAGAGTCATCGTAAACAGCGAAATCCAGCTTTTCTAATGCCCACTGATTTTGGAATTATAAAATATAGAATAAAATATATATTATATATATTTATATATACACATATAAATATATATTATATATATTTATTTATATACACATATAAATATATATTATATATATTTATTTATATACACATATAAATATATATTATATATATTTATTTATATACACATATAAATATATATTATATATATTTATTTATATACACATATAAATATATATTATATATATTTATTTATATACACATATAAATATATTTATTTATATACACATATAAATATATTTATTTATATACACATATAAATATATTTATTTATATACACATATAAATATATTTATTTATATACACATATAAATATATTTATTTATATACACATATAAATATATTTATTTATATACACATATAAATATATTTATTTATATACACATATAAATATATATTTGTAAATAAAAAAGAATGAAAACTTTAAGTAAGAGGTAATAAAAGATGCCCAGGAATAGTGAAAAAAATCACCAAATAAAATGTATAGAAATGGAAAATGTGACAATGGACATTGTATTCTCAATGGACGTTTTAAAAAGCAAGAATACATACATATAAGAAAAATCAATGGGCAGGAATATACATCCATTGAGGAAAAATACCTGGAATGTAATATAGAGAGACAAGGAGATGAAATAGAAGGCAGAATACAAAAATATAACATCTAACTTATCAAATCTCCTGCAAAAAGGGACACAAGCACTGAAGGGGGGTAGGGGGCAAAGAAATAATGACTAAACTTTTTCTAGAAGTAAATATGGAAAAAATCACCTTTGCAGATATTAAATATGTTAAAATTTATATATTTGAAAACTTGGAGTAGTTGCAGGAATAGGTAGACAGACCATTGAAACAATTCAAAAATAGCCTCATTCTTGTATGAAAACATGAAATATAACAGAGAGGGCTTTGCAGATCAGTAGGGACAGGATGGACCACTTCAGTAATAATGTGACAATTACTTCTCCATTAAATCAGAAACAGGTCACAAGCATTAGACTGTCACAATTACTTAACTTCATAGGAAAAGAGAAAGTGAATGTAGACCCATCACTAACAAAATACCCAAAAATATATTCAGAGGAATAATAGCCAGAAAGGTAATTATACCATTATGCATTTTACTACTATTCTGAGAAGTGAGATAGGAAAACATATAAAGGGTTATGTAAAGCATACCTAGAAATGGGCAAGGTGCAGATGTTCCCTTAAGGTAAGACTTCAAGGTTGACAGGGCATTAGCCTAGCAGGGACGGCAGAGCAGGGTGCAGAGTCTTCCTGGGAGAGGGACGGACATGTGCAAAAGTTGTCACTGGGGAGGAGTGAAACACATACATGAACCAGGAAGTGTTTATTTCTTAAATGTTGTGTCAATTTGATAAACTGTAAGAACTGAATGATTTTATTTGCACTTCACTGATTCCTAATACTTTTCATATTCCTCTGAGTCATTAACACTTCTTTTTTGATTCTGAAATATCTCCTCCTGATTCTACTCTTTTTCCAATACTTCAAGCAGAAGACAAACCTTTAATATAACAGTCGATATAAGAAGGGATGCCCTTTTTTTGAGAGTTTGGAGTTGACCTCTAAAGAGGTCAGGACACTCTGCTGGCATTACTCACATCTCTAAGCGTGAAGGACCAGGAAGAGAAGGTCATTTCCAGAAACTCTAACAAACAAAGGTTTAACAAACAGATGGTTCTCCGGGTTTGAGTTTATGACATAGAAGGTGGTCACCAAACTAGGAAATTCAACTTGAAATGCTAGTTAGGTATGTGAGATTTGAATGGGGCATTGAGAACTAGAAAAAGTTAAAACATGTTTTGAGCTTCGATTATTAGTTTCACCAATATTTTGTCATTGTTGTCTTCCTATTATTCTAGACTTGCTTGATTTCAAAACATGGTAACATGTTCTAAAAGAACATTGTGTTGGGCAAGTGTATTAGTTGGCTAGGGCTGCTTTTAAAATATACTGTAAGTTGGATGGCTTAAACAACAGAAATTTATTTCTCATAATTCTAGAGGCTGAAAGTCTGAGCTCAAAGTATTGGCAGAGTGGGTGTTCTCTGGACAGCCAAAATCAACAGAAGCAGTTACAATAGAAATTGGAGTCTAAGCCCCAGATTTCATGTGGCGGGGGGTAACCCCAAGTATGCCAGTATTTGTACACTAGTTAATGTGTTTTTGGATAAGTTTTATTCTTTTATAGATTTATCGTTTTATATACCGGCATCCATTTTTTTATGTTGGTCTATGTTCTCTTCAGTAGGTACACTTTGAGTAATTTAATACTAAACTTCTCCACTTCCAAAAATTCATCTGCTATAGCATTAAAGAAAACACAAGTGTTTATCGTGTACTTTTAGAAAAAAAATCTTGCCAGGCACCATGGCTCATGCCTGTAATTCTAGCACTTTAGGAGGAAGAGGTGGGTGGAATGCTTGCCCATCCTAGGCAAGATGGCAAAACCCCATCTCTACCAAAAAGGCAAAAAAATAACCAGGGCTGGTGGTGTGTGCCTGTAATCCCAGTCCCACTTATTTGGAAGGCTGAGGTGGGAGGATCAATGGAGCCCAAGAATTTGAGGCCGCAGTGAGCCATGATAGCACTACTACATTCCAGCCTGGGTGACAGAGCAAGACTCTGTCTCAGGGAAAAAAAGAAAAGAAAGAAAGAGAAAGAAAGAAAAAGAAAGAAAGAGAGAAAGAGAAAGAAAGACTTATATTATGAAGTTGGTGCAGTTATTATAATTATATACCTCAGAAGTTCCTGTAGATTATACATCCCTTTCTGATTCAATAGGTAATATAAATGTTTTCCATGAGTTTACTCAACAAATACATATTCAGATTCTAAATTCCATGTTAAATTTGCTCTTGAATAATTCAGCCCCTTAAAATTTTTTATATTAACAAATGCAGAGCTGCAGAACCAATTCTTAATTATTCCATTCACACTACCTTTTCTTCATTAGTTGGGGAAAAACAGTGAAAATAACAGAAATACTTCAAAAATATTTCCTTCTGCTAAGTATTATATTTGTGGATGGAAACGTGGCATAGACAGCTAATGGGTTAATCTGTAAAAACTCTTTTTTGTTAAAGAAACTACAAAGTCAGAACAAGCAGAGGAATCAGTAACATTATCACAGGAAAGGGAAAAGCTTCCTGGTTCAAAATCTTTCACCAGCAGGAGCACAATATGGATGACAATAGCATAACTGTCCTCTCCAGGCCCAGTCCTTTCTGCATAGGTTTGGAGCTGACCATCATGGCCCATTGTCCAGATACGTGCTAGAATTCCTCACCTGCCCAGGAGCATGCATCCATTATGGACTTAGCCAATGCAAGGCTCAGTGCTGTGGTAGCATCCACAGGATACTCAAGGCTAAGCATACCTGCTCCACAGCACTCTGACCCCAGGGTACACACCAGAACAGAGGCTATAACATGGACATTGTTGACATCCCTGGAAGGGACCTTAGACCATCTACAGTTGTTCATCTTTTACTTCCCAGTACAACTCTTGAAGAAAATGTCATGCCATTGGATGTATGTACCCTAATGTGTTCACGTTAAAAATTCTCATTACTTGGTATTTATAGTTTATAGTATATTACCTCTGAAACTGGCTGCACATAAACAAGTTTTACTTCATTACCTTGTTAATTGACTAGAAGACTCATCAATTAAGATATTAAGCCATTACTTGTTCATAACTTCAGACTGTACCTGGGAAGCCCTTGGAAATGCTGAAGTCTCCCAGGCAAACCATTGCCATTTATAAATCCTGTATTTTGTCACATTTCAAGATTCTATTTACAGAATCAGCAGTGTGCCCTGGAAGAGCATTAAAAAAAAATCATAGTTTACAACATTAATCCAAGTTAGTTTATCTAGCCTGTTTTTGGCAATAATTTGATTACTGATTGCTGGCTATAGAGACTTCCAATACCAATCCCCAGACATATTATTTTCTCTCTGGTATATTCTTTTGCCTACATAAATACATCACTTTCATGGGAGCATACCATTTTTAAAGCATTTAATCAATTACCCAATCTTCACTATATCAAAGTACTCCTTATAAAATAAGTATACCAACACTAATAACTCCTGACACAAAATTTATGATGTTGCATTTGAAGAAAAATGTGGTGAACTAGTTGGTTAAGGAAGGTGGTATTTTACAAAATATTTTTAAAGAATTTATAGATTATTTCTAATACCTGACTATATTTACCATAATTTACACCTACCACCCTTTGATTGTATGTTAAGTATGGAAAGCCTGAGTAGTTGTTATCTGTTCTAATACACCATCCAAATGCCTAAAAACTGGAAATAATAATTTGAGCCTCTTATATAATCATGCTTTTTTTCTAAATTGTAACAGAATTTATGCTCATGCTCAATGTGAACTTACTGCCATTTGTAAATAAATTAATTTCAGAAATGTCTTCTTAATAGTATCTAGAATATTCCCTGTTGCATGTAGACATATGTGCAATTGTCTTCTCTGTTAGTGGATCAGAAACGAACCCATCCCTCAGTGGATTGAAAGCACACCATGAGTTAGCAGAATGTAGTTCATAGTATAGACCAGCAGGAGGGCAACAAGGTGACCAGCGCAATGCTTGTAAGTATCAACCACAAAGCAGTCAGCAATGTTGACACTTACAGAGAGAAAAGATATATTCAGGTACTTGATGAAATACACCTTGCCTCCCAAAATAGTAAAAGACTAACAAAGCATGTATGTCAAGGAAATTATTCTTGCAAATATCTAAGGTGACTAGGTAAGAGGTAACAACTCTTCTAAGATGTAGCCTCCATCTTCTCCCCCAGAACCAATGACTATATGGCAAAGATACAGTCCTGATACCCTTCTTAGCACACTGAGTAAAATAACAGTTTTTAAAGTTTAATAGAAAACATATACTTAGTAGGTGCCATGCATTCAAAGTGAAGATTACATAGTTTTTTAAAAACATACTCTCTGGGGGAGAATTTTATTCTTTGCCATAATTTGCCAGGCCATGAAGATTGAAAATGTGGTGTCTCCGCCCTCTTAGATTCCAGGGTTTCTGTAGCATCGACTGCCTAATAATACTTGTGGGCTACAGGGTAATCAGTGAGTGCTTTAAGGTTTAATGATTACACCTTAAAGAACTTTAGATTGTTCAGATACGATGCATCATCTAACAGGATAAACAATCCCTGACACTCATCACAGAAACAACCATATTTCTTTCCCTTTGACATAATTTCCAGATTACTTTCTGTTTTTAAAATTTTGGGCAGTATGTGTTGACAGAAACTTATTTGATCTTGATTCCAACAAAACAACCTTTTCTATGTAGAGGGACCCTATCCCTATCAATATCCATGTTTTTAACTTCTCTTTTAAAACAGGACATTGTACTAACTTTCAAACATAATACCCATGGGATAAATATATTGCTTCATATGATTTTGCATAATGTGTTATTCATTTATAAATGTAACTCTCAAACTGTTAACAAATTATTCCCTTATACACATTTAGAAAATAACCTAATAAAGTTATATTTAGTGAGTGTTATGTTTTTAAAAGGAGGATTATATTGTTAGTACCGTATACCTCCTTAACTTTCTGGAAACAGGGATTATGAACGCTGCATATTTGAATCCCAGAATTGTTTAGAACAAAGTTTTGCATAAGTGAAAATATCAGCCCTTGTCAATAATAAAACTGTATTTGTTCATTCCATAAGTACTTTCTGAACATCTGATATAAGGCAGGCACTCTGTTCTGGTGAAATAGCACTGGGCAAAATAGAAAAATTCCTTTATCCTGTGGATTTTGCAATATCACGGGAAATGGGTTATACAGTAAGTACTATTTATTGTGTGCATATTTTGTGCCAAACACAGTTTTCAACATTCTATAAGTGACTGACTTATTTAATTCCCACAACAGGAATATGACGTGAGTACTACTTTATCGCCAGCATTCGGTCAAGGGAATAGAGAGGAGGTCCATGACTTGCCCAAACTAATGTGTTATGGAGCGTGGCTTTGTAGGTAGGCAGCTTGATTTCTGAGGTTGACTCCTGACCAACTGCTCTATCGTGTCTCTTCTTTAGAAAAACATTGCTTATTGATACCCAGGCCGGCCTGCCTATTTGAAGAATTTCCCTCGGTATTTAGTAAAGAAGGCTTTACCTGCTGAATTGTGATAGGTACAGGAGTAGACAGTGTTGGATTCTGCCTGCTGCTTATTTTAATGGCACTTAAATGGTGACAGGTATGGGCAGAAGGAACTATTGAAATTGAAAGTACACTTGCTGAACAAATAGAGTGTTAGTGGTTGATAGATGAATTGGAATGCTGAGGTGAAACCTCATGGCAGGAAGTTAGCCAGGTCTGTGATGCTGTTCCTGAGAGTTGTATGACCGTGGGTACCAATCAAGCATCTTGTGCTCAGACTGCCCAGAGAAGAAGACACTTATTGGTATGGTATTGACATTTACTGGGGAATATAATAATTTTCTTTGAATAAAGCATCAGTGATTAACCAAGGAGAAGGTCTTCAAGCAGGGACACTGGACATACATTTTCCTTTCCTATCTCACTCTTGATGGGCATGGATTGTTACTGAATTATAAAGTTTTTAAACTTTGTTCTTAACTCAATTTTCTTTTATGCAGTGCAATACAGTGCATTTTCATAATTCAGGAAGGCATCTGAGGATTGAAGAAATATAAGTTCTCTTTCCTATCTTTGTGCCCTGGAGCAATATATATACCTTCAAATTCCATAGTAAATATCAGACATCCAAAACCATTTGGGGCACCACAAAATTACTATTGCATCAATATGGTCCTTTATGATACTTTGGAAACAATACTAAGCCAGGAGTAATAAAAATCCCAGCAAGGAATTACTGTTGTGTAGGCATACTTTTACAGCAGAGTCCTTAACAATGAGGATGCAGTCCCAGGTAGGTGGTAGAGAAGATCCCAGGAGCAATGTGGGGTAGATGGGATGGGGTAGTGAGTTCAGCCCTCAGAACATCAATTTGGAGCTTAATTCTTCATTGACACAATGTCCTACCTTCAATGTCTTTGGCAAATGCAGCTCTCTGCCTAGTCATTAATGAATACTCTCTTCCATTAAAATATCCCCATTATTATCAAACTTCCCTATCACCTAGCAACTTATTGTTTGTCTCTGACTTCCACTTAGTTGGACAGAAGCTGAGTAACGATGTGCATTTGTCCAAAATGTAAAAGAAAACAAGATGAACATTTCATAATTTCTCTATTTAATTGTTTACTTGGGCTGTTTTGCACAAGAGATTACAGATGCTTCCCAGCAGGCTGTGGGTGTACCTGTCTGGACCTCTATCCCAGGGGCACTGAATCCATATTATAAAACTGGAGAGTAAGCAGACAGTTCACCCCTGATGATTTACAGCTGCCAAGGGAACTAGGAGGTAAGAGTGTGTTTGCTAAACAATTCTGCCTCCATGAACTCTTAAGTCTCTGAATAGATGATCATGGTCTGTAACTTCTAATTTTGTCACAGAATTGATTAACAATCACTTTGAGTGCACTGAATCATAAGCTTTATAGCATGCTTCACTCAGCACCTGACTTGTTATTAGTCAGATTGTCATGAGACCTCCAAGTTCCAGAGAGTAATTGCAAAGGAAAATTTAATATATGAATTACCTTGTATTAATTTATTTGAATGTATCACAGGTTTTAAAGTACAGTTGAACAGAAATTGATTCTCAGAGTTGGCAAATGTGATAATCCTCAAATGCTTAAAGTGAGAAAATAGTGGACTTTATATTCAAGCTGGAAAAATCTTATTTTTAAAATGGCAACTGTTCACAGGGGCTGATAAAATAACTATAAAACAACAAAAAAGAGAATCTGAACTCAAAATGTCACGGAAAAGTTGCATGAACTGCTGAGTGGGTGACACAGAGGTCTTTCTGTGGAGCTTAGTGTTTTCAATATTTGCACAAACTCAAAAGAAAGAGATTGCCTCTCTCGTTTGCCAAGGCTTGACACATTCATCCAGATGAACTCTCTCTGGAGTCTATATCTAGAATCCAAATATCTATCACTCCTACTGTTCAAAAGGTCCTAGCTGTCCTATTCAAATTGAAACCTGTGTCCTACTCTGTACTACAAAATCTCTCTAGCCATCACTATATTTTATCTGAGCATTTATGGTCTTCTATAGTACTGTATAGTTGATATATCTATTATAATTATTGTTTATCATTTATTCCCCTGCTAAAATGCAAGTTCCATGAAGATAAGGATTTTTGTCTTTCTTGTTGATGCATGTCTTACAGGTGCCTAGTGGTGCCTAGCAATGCCCGGCATGTAATGGATATAGAATACAAATTTATAGAATAAATGAATGACCTAATACTAGAAAAAAGAATACACCCTTGCTACTCTGACTTTGCCTGCCAGCTACCTGCCATACCCCTAGGCCAGTGTCATCAGCATCACCTGGGGAATTATTAGAAATGCAGGATGTGAGATTTATGAGTATTTTACTAGGTTAGGATCTGCATTTTAACATGCTTTCCAGGTGATCTGTGTACACATTAAAGTTCAAATAGTATTGTTTGTGTCTCTTATTTCATGGATGCTAGGATGCAGCTTAAGACAGTAATCCAAGAGGGTAGGGAATTTTACCTCTACACATCTGCCGCTGGCTTGCAGAATGTTCAGAATTGCTTGTTCTAGAAAATGGACAAGACATATGTTCAGGTGGAACACGGTTATCCACCATAAAGACCATAAAATCTGGACAAAACAAACTCTTAAATGCTTTTATCTAGTTGACAATAGTCTGATCATGCCTAGAAATAAAAATCCAACTAACATTCAGACATTTGAAACCCAGAGAGTCTGTGGGCAGGGCCTTGTCTGCCTACTCATCAGTGGTCTCATCTGAGATCAGTACAAAAAAAGACAAAACAACCATTTCCAATTAATACACACAAAGGGTACATGTGGATATAAGGATAGAAAGAACAGACTCTAGGGACTTCAAAAGTGGAAAGGGAGGGAAGGGAGAGAAGGGTGAGGGTTAAAAAATTGTCTATTGGATACAACATTTAATACTTGGATGATGGGTATGTCAGGGGCATGTGAACCAGAGCAATTCCATCTTAAACAGGAGCTGCGTAAAATGAGGCTGAAACCTACAGGGCTGCATTCCCAGATGGTTAAGGCATTCTATGTCACAGGATGAGATAGGAGGTCAGCACAAAGTACAGGTCATAAAGGCCTTGCTGATAAAACAGGTTGCAGTAAAAGACCCAGCCAAAACCAACCAAAACCAAAATGGCCACAGGAGTGACCTCTGGCTGTCCTCACTGCTGCACTCCCATCAGTGCCATGACGGTTTGCAAATGCCATGGCAACGTCAGGAAATTACTCTATATGGTCTTAAAAGGGGAGAGATGAATAATCCACCGCTTGTTTAGCATATCATCAAGAAATAACCATAAAAATGGGCAACCAGCAGCCCTCAGGGCTGCTCTGTTTATGGAGTAGCAATTCTTTTATTCCTTTACTTTCTTAATAAATTTGCTTTCACTTTGCACTGTGGACTTGCCCTGAATTATTTCTTGAGAGAGATCCAAGAACCCTCTCTTGGGGTCTGGATCGGGACCCCTTTCTGGTAACAGGTACACTAGAAGCCAATGATTACAGACATTGCAAAGTGTATATTATATGCCAGGCTTTGTTCTAAGTATTTTATTGCTCTTCTGTTTCCATGTCACTACTAAGGCATTTGTTTTATAGATGACCTTGGTCCAGATGGAAGTTCTCAACAAGAGTTTGTCAACAAAAAGGGTAAAACTGTAAAACATTTGAGGAGAATTATTCTGGGTCAAATATGAGAACTATGAGACATGACACAGTTTCAGGGTCTCCTGAGAACATGTGCCCAAGGTTGTTGGGCTACAACTTGGTTTTGTAAGTTTTAGAGAGACATAAGACATTAATCAATACATGTAAGGTGTACACTGGTTCAGTCTGGAAAAGAGGGACAACTCAAAGTGTGGCCTTCCAGGTCACAGGTGGATTCAAAGATTTTCTGATTGGCAATTGATTGAAATAGTTAAATTATTATCTAAAGACCTGGAATCAGTAGAAAGGAATATCTGGGTTACGATAAGGGGTAGTGAAGACCAAGGTTTTTATCATGCAGATGAGGCCTCCAGGTGGCAGGCTTCAGGGAGAATAGATTATTAATGTTTCTTATCAGACTTAAAAAGATGCCAAGCTCTTAGTTCATACTCTCCTGGATCAGGGAAAGGCCCTGGAAGGGAAAGGTGGATCTCCACAGAATGCAGATTTTCCCCACAAGAGAGAGTCTTGCAGAGCCATTTCAAAAATGTCAAAAAATATATTTGGGTAAAATGCTTTGATTTCTTTCAGGGCCTACTCTCTGTCATGTTGGTATCTTATTGCCATGAAGATTCTGTTTGTCAGTCTTAAGATCTCGGCTCTAACATTAATGTTGGTCAGTTGTGCCTGAATTGTAAACAAGGAGGGTATAATGGGACAGGTACTGCTCCCCCTAATTATTATGGCCTGAACTTGATTTACAGGTTAACTTTGGATTGTCTTTGGCAGAAAGGAGAGGCCCCTTCAGTTGGGGGCCAGTTTAAGATAAGGACTATTTTTCCCTGGTGGAATTCTACTCATCAAATCAAGTGCTTAGAATTTTATTTTTGGTTTACAAGTTTCAACTTCTTTAGTAATAATTAGTGTCATTCTGCTCATAGCTCTTGGCCAAGCATTTCAACAATGTATAGGTGGATTTGTACACCAAAAGAATTGGTAAACAAATAGGGACTGTTTTCTTCACAAAAATGAACTCCATGAAGCAAAATAATTACCTTTTTTTTCCCTCAGCCAGAAGCTCAAGTTTTAGTTTTCCACATTTCCAGAATCACATTGAACAATGAGTTAATGAGAATTTTTTTCTACTAGAAAGTATCAGACCATTGGCCAGGCACGGTGGCTCACACCTGTAATCCCAGCACTTTGGGAGGCCGAGGCAGGTGGATCATGAGGTCAGCAGTTCAAGACCAGCCTGGCCAACATGGCAAAACCTCATCTCTACTAAAAATGCAAAAATTAGCAGGGCATGGTAGCGGGCTCCTGTAGTCCCAGCTACTCAGGAGGCTGAGGCAGGAGAATCGCTTGAACCCAGGAGGTGGAGGTTGCAGTGAGCCAAGATTGCGGCACTGCAAAGTATCAGGCCATCTTGTGATAAGCATTATTGTATATTATTAAACTTTTTAGAGCATCTTTCTTTGTAAATTAGCCTCAAAAATCTGAATATACACTATGGTAGCACTAATGAAAAATATGTTCAAGGAAAAGAAAATGTCAGGAAATACCTAAGCTTTAAAATACAATATATCATCTCTCTGTCAAGAAAAGTAGGCATCCTATATATTTTTTTTTTCCATGATTTAAGGCAGGTTCTAAAATTCATTATTTCTGTTGATGAATTCTGTCCATTTCACTAACTTATCCTGTCAACAGATAGTTCTGATTTCCATGTTACAATTTTAACATCTTCAGCCCAAGGCAAAGTAGGAAAATAGGAAGTAGGGAAATTATTTTCGTACTGAGTTTTTCCTCCTTCTCTTCCTTGCCTGCCTGTCCTTAGGCACACACCCATCAAATGTTTGCTTCTTATCAAACTAGTTCAAAGAAAGCATGAAATTCAGCCTGCCAAGGTGCAATGGTTGTGACATCACTGATAGGAGTGATTTGCACTTAAGCCAACTTGAAAAGTTTAAGATAAGGACTATTTTTCCCTGGTGGAATTCTAGTCGTCAAATCAACTTGAGGTCTTTTTAGACATTCGAATACACCCCAAGTCGGGTCACCCTACATCCTAACTGGTGTACTTTGCTTCCCAAGTGTTCATATTCCCCTCAAGGATCTTTGCCTATAGATATTATAAATTCCTTGCTCCTCATTAATTTTAACCTCTGAAGTTCACTTAACTTTCACTGAAGTCTAATTTCCTTAAAAGAATCAAGCTTGTTAATTGTGGAATGTAAACGCTGAGGACTATGCCAAGTTTTTCTGGATTCTTGAACTTTGGACATTCGAGAATGGCAATTTAAAAATCAATATGGGTTTAGGAATGTTAACCAAATTAACATTGCACTCCTGTTCACACCCTGCCTTTAATGAGTCTTTTTTATTTTCTACAAGGCTGATCATTATAATTATTTATGCCCCAATTAGTCAGATAAAGCAAGTTGCTTTTGTTCTATTAGGCTGTATGCTGGATTCAACTTGCATTACTAATACATCGTGCACTCGGTGTTCACTTGCAAACTAAAAGGCAGCCACACTTTTTATTCTACAGTTTCCTGAAACCCTATTTTCTTTTAAAATTTACTGTTTACTGTTTTTCTTAAGAAGATTTCCTCCTGACATCAACATCTTGTGAAAAATCCGCTACTTTGAAATTCCAGATTTAGTTTTCTTTCAGCGTCTTTGGCTAATTTCCCGAGGTGGCCATGATAAACTATAAGGCCTGCAAAATGTCTAATGTGCAATCATTATGCTTCACATGCCTGAAACCTATCCACTGCAGTGGAACACTGTAAGACTTAAGGAGACTCTTTCCCTGACTTTAAAATGTTTATAATATTTAAAGAACTCTATTGTTTTCAATTTAGGATTACACCTTGTTACTATTAAATTTCACCCAGAATCTATACAGAGCCATGGATTTAATCAATCTTCATTGACTTGATATCTAACATACTCCAGTAACAGCTTCTACTGAAATTTTAATTGAAAGTAAGAAAATGTTACCATACTTTGATGCTCAACTGTTCTTTACAACTGAACAGAAAAAAAGGGGTCCTATTTTATTTTTTTAATTGTGAAGTAAATGCAAAATTTTCAAGACAATGACTCTTTTAATATTTAAGTCATGTTGCAGGATTGGCATGGTCATAAGCAAGACAATTTGTGGAAATGAATAAGTGGAAATGAATCCTAAGCTATTTAACTCGTAGCTTTATTAATTAAAACAAGAGTCTACTACTTAAGACTATATTCTTTAGTTAATATTCTCTCTTTAATAATTTATTGATCAAAAATAAATTTCCATTTCCTGACATTACATATAAACCTCTAAGAACAAAAGTACTGTTAATTGATAAAACTTAATTAAATCAGAGATTGTTTTGACACATTTCAAATTTGAGGAATTTAAATTGTGAAGTTTCAGTCTCATCCCTAGCTAATGCTGAAGTGGCTTTCATCATAATCAAGTGCACATGCATGCACACACACAGAAAACATTTGCAACCATAGATTTCAAACACTTGCTATTTATGGCAACACTGCTCTGGTTCACAAAAACCGGGCCTTAGTTTTTATTTAACCCATGTGAGCTTTCTCTCTTACAATCATGCAGGAGTTTGAAAAAAGAGTTAAAAGAATCCTCATTGGCGGCACTCTGAGAGATGTTGTTGGTGTGGGGTAATAGATTAGTCAAGATTTTCTAGAGAACCAGAACCAATAGGATATGCATATCCAAAGAAAGAGATTTATTTTAAGCAATTGGCTTGTGTCATTATTGAGACTGAAAAGTCCCAAATCTGCAAGTTGATGCAGTTCTAGTATGAAGACTGACAGTCAATAACCCAGGACAGCCCGAGGTATGATTGACACCTGAAGGCTATCTGCTAGAGAATTCCCTCTTGCTCAGTAAACTGGTCTTTGTGTTCTATTTAGGTCCTCAACTAATTGGATGAGGGCCTCCCACCTTATAGAGGGCAATCTGCTTTAACCAAGAGTTTACTGATTTAAATATTAATCTTATCCAAAAACACTTTCCAAATTGACACATAAAATTAACTTCACAAATACATCCCTTGGCAATGTGGCACCCAGATGCATCTCCTTAAACCATACTTAATCTCCAAATGAAAACAGTAACCATGTCATACCTGCACCTAAGGTGACACAGCCTTCCTGCATACAACCCAGAGAGTATGCCAAGCCTTTGGGTGATGCTCAGTCTTCTCCTTGGTATCCTGTAATGGATACTTTGATGTAAAGTTAACAATGCTTCACCATTATGGTATAAAGTCAGTATCTCTTATGTTACATAATAGAGGGATAAAAGAGGGGAAAAGACAAAATGTTGATAGATAGATTAATACACACACAGACATATTTATAACAAAGTGAGGAGGAATCATGACAATTGCAGTCCTCATTTCTGTAACTGGTTACATGGTCAAAGCTGTTGTCTGTAACTACCATCTTCCACCACCCATTGTGTATTCCCTGTGCCTTCAGCAAGCTCCTCAGCTGGACTTTGTGCCTTCTTTTTGGTTGTAGGAGGAGCTAGATGCTGTAAATCATTCTTTACCTTACTGGGGCTATCTTGACATATCACACACTGATGGACCCCTAGAAATTTCACTGGAGTAGAAGTCCCTTGAAATTTAATCAGATTTATTTTCCATCCACTGGCATGCAAATGTCTTAAAAATAAGTCTAGGGTAGCTGTCATTTCTTGCTCAGTAGGTCTAATCAACTTAATGTCATCAATGTAATGGACTAGTGTGCTATCATCTGAAAGAGAAAGGCAATCAAGATCTCTGCAAACTAGATTGTGACAGAGTGCTGGAAAGCTGATATACCCCTGAGGTAGGACAGTGAGGTATATTGCTGTCCATGCCAAATGAAAGCAAACTGCTTCTCATGAGCCTTAGAAGCAGGGATGGAAAAAAGGGCTTTTTCTAGATCAATACCTGCATGTAAGATGCCAGGGTAGGTGTTAAATTGTTTGAAAAATAAAATCACATCTGGTACAGCTGCCACAATTAAAGTTCACCTTTTTGTTCAGCTTATGATATTCCAATGTCATTTTCCAAGATCCATCTGTCTTCTGCACAGGCTAAAGAGGAGAGAGGAATGGGGATGAGGTGGAAATCATTATCCCCAACTCTTTCAAGTCCTTGATGGTGGCATTAATCTCTGCAATCCCTACAAGAAGGCACTGCTTTCAGCTTGGTGGTTTTAGTTTGCTATATTTCAGATTAGAGGTGGTTTTAATGACTTCCACTTGGCCATTTTCCTCATGAGTCCCCATTTCAAAGATCACAGAGCAATGTGGAGATTCTGTTTATTGTTAAGTATGTCTATTCTAATTATGCATTCTGAAACTTCAGAAATAACCACGGTGTGGGTTTGGGGGCACCCTGGGCTCACTGTGAGTTGGACCCTAGCTAATAATCTGTTGGTCACCTGATCTCTGTAAGCCGCTACTGTGACTGGAGGGCCACATGATGTTTTGTATCGCCTAGAATAGCGTCAGTTCAGACCCAGTGTTTTAATATAATGTTTTTATAATTTAAAAAAATCATGTAAAAAACAAAGATTTCTATCTTTCCTCCCTTATTCCTGAAAAGAGAAATTATAACTGATGTTGTGTGCCTCTCAGAGAATAAAGAAAGAAGTTGCTATCAGATTCAACCACTCTCAGGAAATGGAGATTACACTTATTTCAGAAAAAAAATTCAAAACCATAACTTTTCTGGTTGCTAAGCAGCCTACTAAGAATGTTTAGGAATAAGAATGTGAAAAAGCAGAATACATGTATATAGATTTGTGCTTTAAAGTGACAGAGCAGTGAGACAGTAACTGTGAAGGATCTGCAGGTATAGGAGGCACAGAGGGAGCAGACACAGCCGGGCCCTGCAGCTGCACCACAGCCTTGCAGCACGTTGCTCTTGTGGGGAAGCTCTGGAGGCAACGATTAAGCTCAGAAACAAGCCATGGGATTCTTTTCCAACAACAAATCTCATCGATAGCACTATGACTTCTAATCCCAAATAACATAAACTTTCTACCAATAGTAAAGTTAAACACTTTGAAATTCAGTGCATTACCTAGATTCAGAGTTTTATTTCACAGTGCTGCTTCACATAACTGGTGAATAAGTATAGTCTTTTCAAGAGACAGGAATCTGACATAGGTTTTAAAAATATTAGTGAAAGGATCTGGGAGAAATTCTATAGCAGAGTGGCTGAGTGGCTGACTGGCTGTGGGGACTTAAGCAAAGTATTTAAGTTTTTAGGGACCCTCATTTCTCAAAAATGAAATTTTGTTTTTGGAGGAAAACACTTCTACATTAACCTCTGGGATTTATAATGCCTAATAGCACTATCACTAAATTATATTTAAGTTATATTTAAACATTTCAAATTTTTGTTCATATACTTCTAAAACCTCAAAGTTGAAATTGTCACTAAAGATCATATGGTCCAAAGGCTCAACTTCCTTTGAATTCAGCTAATGCCATCTCTGACAATGGCGAGCTGAGCAGGGAATTCGTGGTTACCAACAATCCCCTTGTGAAGAAGCTGTGATCTCTTAGGAGGTGGTTCCCAACCTCTTGTGTAAATCAATTCATCTGTGCAACACAGTCAATTTACAGAGGGGCTGAATCCCCCTGAAGTTGGCTGAATACCCAGGAGAGGAGACTGGGGCAATTCCTTTTTTGTTGTGTTTTTGTTCCTGATAATTTTTATTTATTTAAGACATTCTACTTTTTAAAAGTACTGTTAGGTTCACAGCAAAATTGAGAGGCAGGTACAGAGGTTTCTTGGATACTCCCAGGCCCCACACATGCACAGCCCCCTCCCTTATCAACATCCCCACCAGAATGGTACATTTGTTACAGTCAGTGAACCCACAGTGACACCCCATCATCACCAGAGTCCATAGGTTTCATCAGGGTTCACTCTTGGTGCTGTACATCCTATGGGTTTGGGCAAAAGTGTCATGACACATATCCACCAAGGTGGCATCATACAGAGTGGTTCCATTGCCCTAAAAGTCCTCTGTGTTCTGCCTCTCCTTCTCTCCCTCCCTGCTAATCCACAAAAAAATGCTGTACAATCTTTTTACTGTCTGCATAGTTTTTATTTTCCAGAATGTCATGCAATTGGAACCATTCAGTATGCAACCTTTTGATTTCTTTCACTTTGTAATATGCACTTAAGGTTCCTCCATGTCTTTTCATGGCTAGATGACCAGGTTGGTTCCTTTTGATTAAACTCCATTTGTGATTCTGGTGCACACCAAAGACCAAAGACTGTATACTACTGTGCATTGTCACAGGATTATGGTAAGCTACATAGAGCAGAAGTGTGATTGCTTTTGGTTTGTTTTGAAGAGAACAAGGTTGCACTTGCACAGCATAAGCTCCTCAACACTTAGACATTACAAAAGGTGTTAGAAGGACCAGACGTAATACTTCCACCACTCTTGGCCTTTCTAGTTCCATTTTCATTATCATAAAGCCAAGGATAGGAATAAAAATAGTTTCATTTACTTTGGAAATGTGAAATGTTAAATTTTTTTTAAATAATTCACTGGTGAACTCACTAAAGAATTTAGGAAGAAGGAGTTCAGAGAAATAATATTTTGTAATTAAAATAAATTCCTTTGTTCACACAATCACTTCTTATTTAATGTTAGCTATGTGTCTGGCAAAGCTCTGTGTATCGTGGAAACTGAAGGGATGAGAACAAGAAGTTCCCTGTGTATGTAGAGACTAAGTTTCAGATAGGAAGGTGGACCATGTGCACTTAAACAGGTAAATGAGCACAGTAAGTTTAGGTCGTGAAAACTGCTACGAGGGATGCAACAGTGTGGCAGAACAAGAGTCTGTAGAAACTAGGATGGCCAGGAAGGTGTCTAAGGGGAGCTAGTAAGAAGGACTCTGTGTGCTGTGGGAAGAGTGCTTAGCAGAAACTATAACACAATAGTGACAGTCATGAAGAAGCCAAAGACCAGACTGCAAAGCAGTAAGATGAGGTGTTTATTGGGGTCTTGGGAATTGCAATTTACTAGACACAGATGTGACTAGAAGCCAAATTGTGTTCCAAAAAGAAGAAAGGGTATAGGGATTTTTAGAAGAGTGATGAGGATGATTACACAAGTTGTTTTGAAAGAATTATCATTGGTGGAGGCGGCTGGCTTAGGACTTGAGTCCACAGCTCATTGATTGTTGCTGTTCAGGAGTTGCAGACCTGGAAAGATTTAGCTTTTTTCTAGGATATTGCGGGTGTGGTAATCTTGCCCAGTTCAAAGGTTCGAGGCAAGTTCCTGTTTTGCCAGGTTTCAGGTTATGCAGGTAGTCTTCTTTAGAAGGGATTCCCACTCTATTTTAGAGCTCTGACCCAGGGTGATGCTGTTTAGTAAATCACATTTTACAACAGAAAGAAGATGGAGTAGTTGAGAAGAGTACGAAATAGGACGAGTGGTAGAAGAGGTCAGAGGGGAGGCAGGGCAAAAATCATGTGTCTTTTAGGTTATTCTAAGCAAAAAGGGGATTGAATTTTATCTTTAATCATCACTCTTCTCCCAGGTAAAGACTGAGTGGAAGATGGGGAAAAAATGAAATAGTACAAGCAGAAAACCCTTTTAAGAGCCTGTTTCTCAGTTCACAGGTCTTATTGATGAAGTGGTGAGGCAGCAGAAGCTGATACACCAATTTCAAATTTCAATTACTTTGAGCTTGTTTATATTGTGTATGTGTTTCCTATACTGATCCATTTCCCATTTCCCAATAGTTTGTGCCACATTTACAAACTATTAAAATTAACTTTTTTGGCACATGTATCCTGTCCCACCTTTTTATACTCTATACCTCTCTTACCTAACTCAATATGTATACAAAGCACTGTGGGACTTAATAAATTATAATTCCATAAATGATAAGTAAATGTAATTAAACTTCTAAAATTTGCACAATCCCCAGAAAGTCTTCCTGTTTTAAGTCACTGTTGAGAATATGGAATAATTTATTAATATCATTTATAGTTTGGAAATTAATATGGTTTGGCTCTGTGTCCCCATCCAAATCTCACCTTGAATTGTAGTTTTTATAATCCCCACATGTGGGAGTGACCTTGTGGGAGGTAATTGAATCATTGGGCAGTTTCCCCCATGTTGCTCTCATGATAATGAGTGAGAATCATGATATTTGATGGTTTTAAGTGTCTGACATTTCCCCTCCTGGCACTCATTCTTTCTCTTGCTGCCCTGTGAAGAGGTGCCTTCAGCCATGATTGTAAGTCTCCTGAGGCCTCCCCAACCATGTTTAATTGACTATAAGTCAATTAAATTACCTAGTCTTGGGTATTTCTTTATAAATTACCTAGTCTTTGGCATTTCTTCATACCAGCATGAGAATGGACTAATACAGTAAATTCATACCAGAAGTATTGGTGTGCTGCTATAAAGATACTTGAAAATGTGGAAGCAACTTTGGAGCTGGGTAACAGGCAGAGGTTGGAACCATTTGGAGGGCTCAGAAAAAGACAGGAAAATGTGGGAATGTTTGGAACTTCCTAGAGACTTGTTGAATGGCTTTGACCAAAATGCTCATAGTGATGTGGACAATAAAGTCCAGGCTGAGGTGGTCTCAGATGGAGGTGAGAAACTTGTTGGGAACTGGAGCAAAGGTGACTCTTGTTATGTTTTAGCAAAAAGACTGGTGGCATTTTGCCCTGCCTTAGAGATCTGTGGAACTTTGAGCTTGAGAGAGATGATTTAGGGTATCTGGTGGAAGCAATTTCTAAGTGGCAAAGCATACAAGACAAAGAAGAGCATAAAAGTTTGGAAAATATGCAGACTGATGACTAAATAGAAAATAAAAACCCATTTTCTCCCCTATTTTCTGGGGAGAAATTTAGGCCTGCTGCAGAAATTTGCATATGCTGAATGTTAATCACTAAGACAATGGGGAAAATGTCTCCAGGCCATGTCAGAGACCTTCACAGCAGCCCCTCTCATCACAGGCCTGGAAGCCTAGGAGGAAACAATGGTTTCCTGGGCTGGCCCAGGGTCCACCTGTTATGTGCAGCCCAGGGACCTGGCACCCTGCAATCCAGCCACTCCAGCCATGGCTAAAAGGGACCCAAGTACAGCTTGGGCCATGGCTTCAGAGGGTGCAAGCCCCAAGCCTTGGCAGCTACCACATGCTGTAGAGCCTGCAGGTGCACAGAAGTCAAGAATTGAGGTTTGGGAGCCTCTGCCTAGATTTCAGAGGATGTATGGAAACACCTGGATGTCCAGGCAAAAGTTTGCTACAGGAATGGAGTCCTCATGGAGAACCTCTGCTAGGGCAGTGCAGAAGGGAAATGTGGGGTTGGAGCCCCCACACAGAGTCCCCAGTGAGGCACTGCCTAGTGGAGCCATGAGAAGAGGGCCAACATCCTCCAGACCCCAGAATGGTAGATCCACTGATAGCTTGCACCATGCACCTGGAAAAGCCACAGGCTCCCAATGCCAGCTCATGAAAGTAGCTGGGAAAGGGACTGTACCCTGCAAAGGCACAGGGGTGGAGCTGCCCAAGACCGTGGGAGCACATCTCTCACATGAATGTGACCTGGATGTGAGACATGGAGTCAAAGGAGATCATTTTGGAACTTTAAGGTTTAATGAATGACTGCCCAGTTGGATTTCAGCTATGCATGGTGCCTGTAGCCTCTTTGTTTTAGCCAATTTCTCCCATTTGGAATGGGTGTATTTACGCAATGCCTGTATCTAGGAAGTAACTAACTTGCTTTTGATTTTACAGGCTCATAGGCAGAAGGGACTTGCCTTATCTTAGATAAGACTTCGGACTTTTACTTTTTGGTTAAATTGTGGGATGCATTGAGACTTTGGGGGGCTGTTGGAAGGGCATGATTGTGTTTTGAAATGTGAGGACATGAAATTTGGGAGGGGTCAAGGGCAGAATGATATGGTTTAGCTCTGTGTCCCCACCCAAATCTCATCTTGAATTGTAGTTTCCATAATCCCCATGTGTCACGGAAGGGACTTGTGGGTGGTAATTGAATCATGTGAGTGGTTTCCCCCATGCTGTTCTTGTGATAATGAGTAAGTCTCACGAGATGTGACGGTTTTATAAGTGTCTGGCATTTCCCCTGCTGGCACTCATTCTCTCTCCTGCCGCCCTGTGAAGAGGTACCTTCTTCCTTGACTGTAGTTTTTCTGAGGGCTCCCCAGCCATACAGAACTGTGAGTCAATTAAAACTCATTCCTTTATAAATTACCCAGTCTTGGGTATTTCCTCATAGTAGCATGAGAATGAACTAATACAGTAAAAAAACCTCAGATTTCAGAAAGCAATTTGGCAAAGTATTATTTAACTTAAATTTATTTTGAAATCCAAATTAGTGACTCAAATTAGTTATAAATAAAATTAATTTGAAGATGTTTCAAAGTTGGGTCAGGTGATTATAATGTGATACTTCAATCATTTGAACGTGAGTTATCAAAATACTTTTACTGAGACAGGAAAAAGAGACAGGAAGTAGAGACTGCATATTTTACCCTGTGTAAATGGTTGTTTCTCAGAACATGAAGTTTTGAGCACTCACAGAAAAGCAGTGCACTGCATACATTACTCCCATGAGTCAAGGGAACAGTTGGGAGAAGCAATTCTACAGTAGTCTATATGTGACAGTGACCACAGTACCGCCTACTTTTTTTATTACCTCATTATGTTTTTTGCTATACAATTAACTCACGCACATTACAAAGCATGTAAAAAAAAAGTCTAAAAGTACAAAGAAGGAAAATACTACTTATATTCTCAGCACTGAAAGAAGATATTCATTAATATTTTGAGATACTGTTTTCTGAAAATTAATTTTACCTAGATTGATATTGATTTAGTTATTTTTCTTCTCCTCCTCCTTCTCCATCCTCCTCCCCCCTCCTCCTCCTTCTTCTTCTTCCTCCTCCTCCTTCTCCTCCTTCTTCTTCTTCCTCCTCCTCCTTCTCCTCCTTCTTCTTCGTCTTCTTCCTCCTCCTCCTTCTCCTCCTTCTTCTTCTTCTTCCTCTGCCTCTTTTTCCTCCTCCTTCTTCTTCTTCCTCCTCCTTCTACTCCTCTTCCTCCTCCTCCTTATTCTACTTCTTCTTCTCCTTCTTCTTCTGCTCCTTTTTCTTCTTCTTCTTCCTCTTCCTCCTTCTTCTTCCTCCTCCTCCTCTTTCTCCTCCTCCCTCCTCCTTCTCCTCCTCTCCCTCCTCTGCCTCTTCCTCCTCCTCTTCCTCCTCCTCCTTCTCCTTCTCCTTCTTCTGCTCCTTTTTCTTCTTCTTCTTCCTCCTCCTCCTTCTTCTTCCTCCTCCTCTTTATCATCCTCCCTCCTCCTCCTCTTCATAGTCCTTCTTCTTCTTCCTCCTCCTCCTCTTCCTCCTCCTCCTCTCTTCCTCCTCCTTCTTCTTCCTCCTCTTCCTCTTCCTCCTCCTCCTGCTTCTCCTTGTTGTTGTTGTTGTTCTTCTTCTTCTTCCTTTTCTTCTTCCTCTTCTTCTTGTTGGGGGATTGAGTAGCTTACATCATTTTATCCTTCTATACATACAGTTGCATCTCATTTATTTTTTGTTTTATTTTGTTTTGTTTTAATCATTGAGTGGAAAATAACAAACTCAATTTCTCTCACTGTACTGTCACAATACACTTCTGACACCAGATATGATAGAATTTCTCCCCACCAGTAAGCAAGCCATCAATTCTGCAGCAAAAATCAGCTTGCTGCCCTCTAATTCAGTTAAATTCTGATACTATCTACCTGGAGATAGAATCAGATTGCCCAGAATGAAGACTCAGTCCAACAGGACAGCCCCACTTCTGATGCCAGTTAAAAGCCTCAAGTTATTTTGCCTGTGTTTTGGACCAGCTTGCTATAGATTCCCATAACCCAATCCTTGGGTTCAATTTATTTGCTAGAGTGGCTCACAGGACTTAGGGAAACTCTTAAGTTTAAAGATTTATTACAAATGATGTATTAAAGGATAAAAATAAACAACCAGATGAATAGATAGATAGGGCAAAGTCTGGAAGGGTCCCAAGCACAGGAATATCTCTCCTTGTGGAGTTGGGGTGCACCTCCTTCTTGGTATGTTCATGTGCTCTTAATCACCTTCCTGAAAACCACTACATGTTCATCTATCTGCAGACTCCTTGAACCCTGCCCTTTTTTGGTTTTTATAGAAGCTCCATTACATAGGCATGATTGATGATATCAGTGGCCACTGGGGATCAACTTAACCTTTACCTCCTCTACCCTCCCTGGAGATTGGGGGCAGGAATGAAAGGTCCAACCCTCAAATCTCATTGTTGGTTCCCCTGGCAACCAGCCCCTGTACTGAGGCTACCCAGGAACCCCCACCCATCAGCCAACTCATTAGCATATAAAAAGTCACTTCACTTTGGAGATTTCAAGGATATTAGGAGTTAAACGACAAGAAACACATCACATGTATATTTCACAACTATGAAAAGGTAAGAATTTTTGATGTTAAATTCCTTTGAAAATATTATTTGTATGTGTTCTAAAATAGCTCAGCCTATGTAAGCATAGGAAATTACTCAATACTTTTTTTCAATATTGGACATCTGAACTATTTCTAATTCTAGCCATTTTATGTGTGTGTATCTGTGTCTATGTGCTCACTTATTCCTGGGCACAGGCCAAGCTAACCAGAGGGTGAATTCAGTTTGTAGTTTAACTCTAAAGCAAATATAATAATAGTCCCTCCCTAAAACTCACCCCCTCTTTGCTAATGAAAGGCCATGAGAGGCCTTATGGGAGGGGCCTGAATTCTGCTAAAATGTAGGCATAGTTTAGCCACTGTTCTGGAGGTCACAAGATCTGTGAATTCCCTAATTCCTATTGTTAATAACACCACTATTGTAGAACCTCAGATTCATCTTTTGAGATGTTTTTCAAACTTTTGCATTCTGATGATGGACTAACTTCACCTGGACTTGGGACTCATGATTAAACTGGTCCTGTGGCCCCCATCCAGAGGCTCAGTGCATGAAGATTGTTTTCAGCACCCCTATGATTTCATCCCCAACCAACCAGCAGCACACAGTCCTTAGCCCCCTGCCCATAAAATTATCCTCAAAAAAACTCTAGCCTTCAAATTTTCATGGTAACTGATTTCAACAATAATTTCAGTCCTCCCACCTGGCTGCTGTGGGATAATTAAACTCTTTCTCAATACCATGGTCTCAGTGAATTGGTTTTGTCTGTGCAGTGGGCAGGAAGAACCTTTCAGGTGATTACATGTGTAATTACTATTTCATGTGACATTCCAAAATTGAATTCCACACTATAGAAGGAGAAAAATCTCCCTGATAATCACATTACTAAATATAACAGGATATAGATAAAAGTTAAAGTAATAAAGTCAGTAACTACCAGGAAGCCAAAAGATCTTCTAATAGCATATATATACTTATTAGTAAAATAGTATGAGAACTGTCAAAAACGTTAAAATAGTAAAAGAAATAATAAATACACATTTCTATTCCCCATCCAATTGAAATATTATCTAATAAAGAACAAAATGAGAGTGTACAAAAAGTGAAAGAGTACATACAAATTATGGTTTTCATTTGGGTCAAGAAATTACCCTAGAAGACCTTTGTGAATTGACACAATGTCAGAGCCTTCCCATTTGTGAGTTACCACTATAAAAGAGTCTTTCTCCCAATGTCCATTGTCACCTCAAGACACTTTATAAGCTCAGACTGCTAAATCTTTTGGATAACCTAGTTCCTTGTATCAGACTCTTTCCTTTTGGACATTTTGCAATTTATTTTGCAATTTATCTTGGTTTGCAATTTATTTTGTTTTAGCCATAATTTTACTTGGACTCGGATTGAAGCTTTTCCCTGTCCTACAGCTCTATTTTCTGGCTCTTGTCAGGCCTCCACCCCTCCATTCTAGGCCAGGTCAATATGTTACTGTTCAATACTCTTGCAGTGGAGATTTGGGGAGGATGACACACATAAAATACTGAAAAATTAAATACAGAAACTCCTAAAGAGTTTCACATCCTGCATGGTAACATAAGATGATTTATAGGCCCATCGCCCAGTAGAATGACTGAAAATTACAAATATATATATATATATATACACACATGTAATTTTTATATATATAAATATAAATATATATATTATATATATAACAAAGAACAACAATGAATAATTAGAGTCTCTGAAAATAGTCCTAAGAGCACATAGCAAATAAAGAAAACACTTATTTAAGAAAATACATTTAATAAAGTGAAAGTCTGTTTCATTTTATGCATGACCTGCACTTCTACTTTCTCCTCCCAGTGTAGCATGTCTAAAATTTCACTCCAGATGGGAGCATCCAAGAGCACTCCCATAAGCAGGTTATAGTCCTTCCCAGGAGGGCAGTCCATCAGCATATCTCATCCATTTTTCACTTCTCTGTTGCAGAGACTAAGTAGTGGATGTGGCTGGGGCTGAGTGGGAGATGGGGCTTCCTTCTTCAATCCACACCCACTCATGGAAAAGAGGCTGTATCTTGAGCGAGTGTACTGAGAATACTGGGGCCTTGATCACCCACAACCCAGCTTATAAGTCAAAGGTTCTACTTTGGGATAGGCAATGACTTTGTCCCTATTCCCAGGTGTAGAGCCTGAGCTTCTATTTTGCACAAGGGGAAAATAGGTCAGAAAGCGTAGCACCTCTCAAAAAACTAACTTTTGAAAAGAAACAGAAATGTTAATTAATAAAGTTAATACAACAACATCTATAAGTACATACTTGCTCTCCCTTCTTTTCCCAGCTTCCCCAAAAGATATATAATTATATAAACTAATAATTATAAAAATTGTATGTTTGAGTTTGTGACATATATAGTTGTAATATGTTTAACAATAATCCCACATGCAAAAAAGAAAAGGTGAACATAGCTGTATAGGAATAACATATCCGCATAAGTTGAAATTAAGATATTATCAATCTGAAGCAGAAACTGAAAAGTTAAAGTATGTATGCTAAACTCTAGCGAAACCACTAAAGAAATAACATCTATATGCAGTTAAAAACAATAATTAAAATCATACATTAGAAAAACACACTTAATGCAAGAGCATGCAGTAACTGAAGAATAGAGAAACAAAAGTATCATGAGACACATAGCAAACAAAAAGTAAAATTGCAGACATAAATTCAACTATTTATATTACAATAGAAAATGAAAATGAATAAAGCAACCCGTTCAAAAGGCAGAGTCTGTCAGATTGAATAAAAGGAAAGCAAAATCATGCTGCGAAAGAACAAGATCCAATTATATGTTTTGTCCAGAAGACATTACTTCAGATTCAAAAATACAAAGAGAGAAAAAGAATGGAAGAAAAATACATCACACCAAAAACCATAAGAAAGCTGGAGTGGCTATACTAATATCACACAAAATAGACAAGAAAACAAAAAAAAAATGTGACCAGATAGAGAGAGGGGCATTTTATAATAATAGAAAGGCTCAATCTATCAGGAAGATATAACTAAGCATATATGCACCTAAAAATGGATCTCCAAACTGACAGAAGCAAAGGAGGAAGGGAGAAACAGGCAACGCAACAATATTTGGAGCCTTCAAAACCTCACTTTCAAAAATAGATTGACAAATAGGCAGAATTTCAACAAGGTGACAATATAAACCTACTAGACCTAAATCTACAAAACACTCTACCCAACAACTGCACAATATATATTCTTCTCAAGTGCATATGGAACTTTCTTCATGGTAGATCATGTGTTAGACCATAAAAAAAATGTAAATAAATTTAAAATAATGATAATAAAACAAAGTTTGTTCTCTGACCATGGTGGAATGAAATTATCAACCAAAAACAGAAAAAAAATATAAAACATGAATATGTAGACATTAAACAGTACACTCTGGATACATTGCAATAAAAAAAGAAAATTAAGAAATACTTTGAGATGAGTGAAAATGAATATACAATGTATCATAACTTCAGATGACATGATCTTTTATCCTGTACATGGAAAATCCTAAGAAATCAACTAAAAAAATTAGACTAATAAGCAAGTTCAGCAAGTGTGCCAAAAACAAGATTAATAACAAAAATAAATTATATTTCTATATACCTGCAGTGAAAAATTTGAAAAGAAAAATTAAGAAAATAATTGCATTTACAATAGCATAAAAAGAGGAAAACAATAGCAATTTTAACAAAATAATGTCAAATTTGTATTTTTAAAACCATAAAACATTGTTGAAAGAAATTTAAGAAGATCTGAATGAATAGAAATGCCTCTTCTATTCATGAATCAGAAGACTCAATATTGTTAAAATGACAGTACTCCCCAACTTTATCTGCAGATTCAATGACATTTCTTTTAGAATCTGAACTTGTTTCTTTGTAGAAATTGACAAGCTGCTCCTAAAATTCCTATTAACTCAATGGATCCAAAAATTCCATTTAAAGTCTTGTATCCTACTGAATCTACTTGAAGAAGTAAGACAGAGTTGAAAGATTCACTCTTTTTGGTCGGGCGCGGTGGCTCATGCCTGTAATCCCAGCACTTTGGGAGGCCGAGGCGGGCGGATCACGAGGTCAGGAGATCGAGACCATCCCGGCTAAAACGGTGAAACCCCGTCTCTACTAAAAATACAAAAAAATTAGCCGGGCGTAGTGGCGGGCGCCTGTAGTCCCAGCTACTTGGGAGGCTGAGGCAGGAGAATGGCGTGAACCCGGGAGGCGGAGCTTGCAGTGAGCCAAGATCCCGCCACTGCACTCCAGCCTGGGCGACAGAGCGAGACTCCATCTCAAAAAAAAAAAAAAAAAAAAGATTCACTCTTTTTTATTTTAAACAGAGCAACAATAATGAGGCTGTTGTGCTACTGGCATACGTATCCCAACAGAGCAATGAAACAGAATTGAGATGTCAGAAGTGAACCCCTGATCTATGGTCGATAGATATTTTTAAAAGGTAACAAGACCATTAAATGGGGGGAAAAATAGTGTTTTCCACAAATGATGCTGAGACAATTGGAAAAATCATATGAAATCAGAACCTTGCCTCGTACAATATACAAAAATAACCTCAAAATGTACTGATGGTCTAAATGTAAAAGCTCAAAGTATGAGAATTTTAGATGAATACTTAGGGATAAATCTTTGTGTACTTGGATTTGGTGATGCAGTCTTAGACATAAAAAAAGCACAATCAAACAATAAGTAAGTAAATAAGTTAGAGTTCATTAAAATGAAAAACCTCTGTGCCTCAAGAACACTATCAAGAAAATAAAAAAGTCAACACACAGAATGGAAGAAAACATTTGTAAGTCATATATCTGATAAGAAACTTTTATATATGTAATACATACACATAAAATATATATATTTTATGAACACAGACATACGTATGTATATATGTAAATTCTTTAACTCAATAGTAAAAAGGCAAACACGCAATTAAAAAGAAAATGGGCAAAGGGTCTGAACAGATGGTTCTCCAAAAGAATGTATCCAAATGACCAATAAACACAGAAAAAGATGCTTGATATTATTAGTCGCCAAGAAAATGCAAAACCACAGTGAAATACCATATCATACCCACTAAGATGGCTAGGATCGTAAAGCCAGATATCTGTAAGTGTTGGTGAAAATGTAGAGAAATTGTAACCCTCATAATTTTCTGATAGGAATGTAAAATGTTGTAGCCATTTTGGAAAAATGTTTTACAGCTCCATGAATGGTCAAGCATAGAGTTACACTGTAATCCAGCAATTCCATTATTATGCGTGTGTCCAAGAGAAAAGAAGACACATGTCCACAAAAAAACTTACACATAGATATTTATAGCAGCATTATTCATAATAACCAAAAATTAGGAACAACCCAAATGTATATAAACTAAAGAACGGATAAACAAAATGTGATATAACCATACAATAGAATTAGAATATTATTCAGTTATATAAAGTAATGAAATACTGGTCCAAGTTATAACATGAGTAAGCTTTAAAAACAGTGTGCTAAGTAAAAGCTATAAAATATAGATTGTATATGGTTCCATTCACATAAAATGTCCAGAACAGGGAAACCTATAGAGACAGGAAGCATATTAATAGTTACTTAAGACTAGGAAAATAGGGGAATTAGGGAAGTGATAACATAT
Organism: Homo sapiens; assembly: GCF_000001405.40. Lineage (NCBI taxonomy): Eukaryota > Metazoa > Chordata > Mammalia > Primates > Hominidae > Homo > Homo sapiens. Next base: position 52,130,117 of record NC_000007.14, on the reverse strand, counting down.
ACAGATTTCTTTTTGAGGTAATGAAAAATTCTAAAATTGATTTTTTTGTAAATTTCACAACTAATAAATTAGTGGGTTTTTTAAAGTTCACAACTGTGTGAACTAAAAAAAAAGTTTGATTTCACATTTTAACTGGGTAAATTTCATGAAGTATGAATTATATATCAATAAAACTGTTACCAGAAAGAGTGAAATCTCTTAAATATGCAAAATGAATGACTATAATGGGAAAATTGAATTAAAAAGGAAGAAGGCAAAAATGGAATCATCTTTAAATCTTTGGCTTAACCATTTATTTTTTATTACAATCACTGCCTATGATTTTAACAAAGTCAAGATTGCATTTTTCATTTCTATTTGCCAAATCTAGCACAATGACTAATGCACTGACAGTATAAACATGAGTATCGAAATCGGATGCTACCGAATCATGATTACTTAAGAGTTTATTATTTCTATCAAATTAACTTATAGCAAGCGATTGCTGGCTGTAGCCTATTCTGCATCTGCCCTAAAGGGAAGCCAATTTCTTATTCTCATTGATCTCAATAATGAGGGGCAACCTTGAAGGAAACTTGGCTATTGTCATTATACCTCATTTGCTATCACAGATTGAGTCCAACCAACGACTTAACAGGGTGCCTTGCATATGATAAACACTGGTATTTACTAAGCGGATGAATGAGCTACCACTGAAAAGCAAATGTTAATATGCCCTTGATTCCTTCCACAGGCAGGACAAGAGAGGCATCTCTTTATTTTCTTTAATTGAGAATATAAAGATTGACACACAATGAGTAACTTAACTTTTTTTTTTTTTTTTTTTTTTATGAGACAGTTTAACTCTTGTCACCCAGGCTGGAGTGCAGTGGCACGATTTCCGCTCACTGCAACCTCCGCCTCCCGGGTTCAAGGGATTCTCCTGCCTCAGCCTCCCGACTAGCTGAGATTACAGGCACCTGCCACCATGCCCGGCTAATTTTTGTATTTTTAATAGAGACGGGGTTTCTCCGTGTTGGCCAGGCTAGTCTCGGTCTCCTGACCTCAGGTGATTTACTCGCCTCAGCCTCCCAAAGTGCTGGGATTATAGACGTGTACCACAGCGCCCGGCCCTTCACCTTTTGATAGAGCCATCATTCGTCAAAGAGAGGCTGTGTTTCCATTTTGAATGTGAAAGCCTAAAATACCATTAGCCTTCAGAATTGTTTGATTCTTTTCATGATAGATAAGAGATTACTTTAGGATATCACTGAGCCATGGGTAGCAAGTCATTCAGGAAATGAGGCAGATTTTAGAAACAGCCTTTTTTTTTTTTTTTCTGGCAGAGTCTCGCTCTGTCGCCCAAGCTGGAGTGCAGTCGCGCGATCTCGGCTCACTGCAAGCTCCGCCTACCGGGTTCACGCCATTCTCCTGCCTCAGCCTCCCAAGTAGCTGGGACTACGGGCCCCCGCTCTTTTTTACAATAAGCATGGTCTCATTTTCATGGCATCTCCCGTTCTCTCTTCCCTCTTTCTCATCCTCAATCTCTATACATTGGCCAACCATTCTGTATTCTACCGTTTAGATTTCAATAAGAACCAATCTGATTTACTTAGTTCATTTTACATGCCTTTGAACAGAGAAATCTGTGGTCTGTCTTCTGGATGGGATATCCTTGAGTCAGGTGCTTAAATTCATTGCAACATTCCCTTGCCATACACTATGCAAAAACATTTCTCATCCTGTATGACTGGATAATGTGCTCTTGTAAAAATATTTTGGCCATAAGGGGATATTGGCCATGAAAAACATTTTTACAGACATCTCATTTCACCTACTTTAAGCATAAGCTTCATTAAAAAAAAAAAGTTACCATTATCCAGATCCCTTTACCAAAAATTTTTAATGTTATTTTTATAGTTTTACTTTTCTTATACACTTTCAAAACACCTCACTGTAAAGGATAACATTTCTCATAGAATTGAGTCCAAACATCTTTTGCTGGTAATGCTTTGTGTTCACACTGAGGAACATCTCAACATTTTCATTTTCAGGGTACGCTTTCTTCCCACCTGAGCCATTCTTTTATACCACTTCTATGCAGGCCTTTGTCACCAAGGCCAACCAACACTTTCAAGATATCATTATTTCTTCTAAGAACCAGTTAACAATCTCATGGAAACCACTCATTTGCTACAAACATAGGATTTATGACAGATTTATACACAAAACATCCTTTTGTTCAGACTAATTGTCAGGGTGACTGGAGGCTCACTATCCATGGGTGATTTCAGAGCCTTTCTGACCTTAGTCTGATTGATTTTAAAACCTGGAATTGGCCAGGATCCTAGAAAATTGAATAGACAAATGCTAAGAATTTAGGTGAAACCTGATAGTCAGATTCTCACGCTAATGCTAGAGTGCAGCTGCATATCTAGCAATCACCCTCCAAATGAGAAAACAAGGTGATAGCCAAAGTGCTCGCCTAGAAAACTGTGCAAGTCTATTACTGAAATGTCTTTTTCTTTACTTTTCATTTTCTTTAAATTTAAAAAGTTATTCTTTCTCCTTCAATATGATAGCTTTCCCCAACCATCCTTCCAACAATAAACCTGTATTTGCCAAATGGTCACACTTTGGGCCTTAATTTATATTCTCTCTATTTATCAATTGCCAATTTCCTTTCCAAAACTCGTGGCATAAATTCACAATTTACATGAAGATTCTCTTCAAGTGTATTTCTAATATATAATATGGGTATTTTTTATTTTTGCAAAATTATTTATCTTTGTCTTTGCCTCCAAACAAGTCTTTAGTCTTAATATTTGTGTTTCTAATATGTGGTGTTTGTAAGCAATATATGGTGTTTGTAAGCAAATTTTTTCTATTTCTTCCCTTTTTAAAAATTGTCTGAATTGACATTTCAAGGAGTATAACATAGGTCATTGGTAGTTTGTGTGTGTTAGTTAAATATATGTTAAAGGGCTGATGGGGTGCCAGCACCCCTATGTGCTATGTTCATAGCCACATTTTCTAGATAGTGGAGACTGACAGAATTGTCCATTTCAATTGTGTTAAATGGAGTTGTATTGCCATGCTCAGATGTAGAACTTTAGGATCTCCGAAACATTGGGGGTAAGATGAAGACTGTGTAGGGAATTATAATGCAGAAATGGACTTCCCTGTGCCCCTAATTTTATAGGATTACTCAGCATATCTATGACCAATGACCAGCAGGACTCATTAAAATAGAGATAGACTCCAGAATCTGTTATGATATAAAGGAGTTTAAACATGAATGGTTATGGAGTAGGTGGCCAGAATGCCAGGCCACGTTACATGTTAAGGTATCTGAAAGTTATGACATATATGAACTTAAAATGGAGAAAGCAACTTGGCAGAGTCTTTAGGCCTGGGTTTGCAATCATATTTCTTGGGCTTATACATTATTCTGCCAATGATGCACTGTACAAATATGTTTTCCAACCAATCTCTATCTCAGTTGTCTCATCTTTACAATCTGGGTAATGGTTTTACCTATTTTATAGGGCCATTGTGAGTTACTTCACATAAAAGTCTATTAAAAATATCTGGAAAATAGTGAGAACCTAATTAAAAGTACTGATTTTTATTTTCATAGTATTCAGTTTTGATAACTGCACATCAAAAAATGGAAAAAAAAGCTTTTGAAATGGTGACAAACTTTCAGGTTAAAGGTCAGTCATACACAAAGAAAAATCTTTTAAACTCTCATTAAAAGATAAAAATTGGCAGTTGTATTAGAAATGAAGGCGATGAGGACGACATGTCACAGTACAGAGAAAAATGTTCAAATAAAATGTACATCAGTTGGGAGAGATTTCAGAAAGCATGCTAGGATTAAAAGCCATTGACTGCAAATCTCAATACTCAGAATATGTGAAGCTGTAATATAGATTTTTTTTAAAGATACTGACTGTTTCCTGCTATCTGCTTCCAACATTAAGATGTAAGGAATCAAATCTCAAGAAAGGGTGTCATTTATATAGAAGAATTAGGGAACAACAAGCAGGGAATGGGTAAAATGAAAACAGGAATGAGTGTGAGGTTGACAGAATGAAAAGAAGCTCAAAATCGATAACAGACATAGAATAAAAGCAAAACTGACACTTTGGAAATGTGATTCGGTAATCTTGAAGACAACCAAGGTACTCTCCAAAAACGAAGAAGAAAGAAGAGGCAAAGTTATTAAAACAACAAAAAAAGACAGCAGGTCTTGAGAAAGGAGGACCCTGTTCCAGCCTGAAAACTGAAGGTAGCGATGAAAAAACAGTGACAGATAAAACAATAGCTAAAGAGTCACTTGAGAAAGAGACATTCAGCTAGCTTACTGAAAATGAATGTTAATATTAACAGGATAATTTGGCACAGCTGTGGAAAGGAAAAGTGGTAACCAAAAATCAACAGATGATTGGTCACTCTCAAGCATGTTAATCTTCCTCCAGAGGTGTGCTATGAAAAAAAGAGTGAAGAAAGGAAATTATCTGCTGGACATATTTGAGCTTCTTTTCATCCTTTTTTTTTTTTTACAAGACACCTAAAGGAGTCCAGGGAATGTCACCCCCAAATATAACACCCTGGTATGCTGATTATTTGCAGTTAAAGGCCACTGGGGGCCACCAGATGCTGGACAGGCTTTACTCTGATATTCCTCTATCCTTCTAAAGAACAGATCTGCCAAAGAGGAACACAATTGCCTTCAATTCCCTCCCTGAAATTTCGTTAACCAAAAAAGATGAAAACTCATATCACAGCAAAAGACATTGAAAATTAAACACCACACATGAGGCCCAAAAGACAATGGTTGTCCCAAACCATTGTCTGTTCTGTGATTCAATTAAATTCCAAAAGAGCATCATTTACTAAGCATTGAACATTAGGCCCATTTATTCCCCCTAAAAATCATTTACTATCCCTCAAATGATCACTTTTTCCCCTCTCTCCTTCCTCTATGAGAAAGGATATATAGGCATCTGGACATCATTGAGGTATTGGGTAATCATTGTCCTGTGATTTTCCCCCTATGCATATTAAATAAATTTGTATGCCTTTTTCTCTTATGAATCTGCCTGTTTTAAGTTCACTTTTAGCGAACCTTCAAAGGATGGAGGGAAAGCTTTATCCCTTTCCCTTACAAACCACATCATTTTCATTCTGTCTTTGTATCCAGTTGTTCTCTGTGGCATCTATTTGTTGATTTGTTTTTAACTTTCTTTCAAATTACTGATACATAGGGAATATGCAAGAACCTAAAGCATTTTTTTTCTCATTGTTTGGCTCGTTTTTATATAGCTGAGTTTTGGACCCAAATTTAACATTCTTTGCCATCTAATTTTATTTGCCTTGGCAGATTTTTTTTTTCACACTGCCAGAGTCAACTTTTGTAATTTATCTAGATATCTCAGAACTGAATGAGATTTACCAAGTACAGAAACACAAAAATGATTCCTGAAATAGTTATGGTGAGTTCATACATGGCTGAAGAAAATTGCATGGAATTATGCATTAAATGTTTTACAATTGTAGAGTTGGACATTTAATAAATCAACTTTTAGATGTTTTACAAAACAATACTCCAGAATTCCATGAAGAACCTGTAATTTTATTATTTAGAATATAATATATTTTATTTGACACTGACACCAAACTCTAGGGGAGGAAAAAATAATTTTCTCTCTACCCTCACAAGTTCTTAGCTAGAAACTTAGTATTAAAAGACAGATTAACAAGAGAAAAACAAACAAAAGTGTCTTAATATGTATGTCTCATATATACATGAGAGATACCAAGAAAGTGAGTAACTCTTCAAGCGGTGGCTCAGAATTCCAGCTTTTATAGGCATCTTCAACAAAAAATAATAAATATTTAGATGAGTGATAAGACAAAGAAAAGGACCTTGATCCTCTAGGGATGGCAAATTGTGGAAAAGCAAACATAGGGTAGATTAAGGTCAGCTAGTAAGGTTTGTTAATAAATTCATCTGGTGTGGTCTCTAGGCTCGTATGATCTAAAGTCATCTCTGTTGGTAAACCTTTGTCCTTCCTGGTAGAAAGGGGAGAAGGGACACCTTTACTTTTGCAAATTTATGCCCTGCGTTTAGGCAAATACGGGAAAGACAGAGAGCTTGTCTTGTATCTACTTCTTCTCAATTGCCTTCAGCTCAAAGTAATCCTCATGCTAAAGTGGCTTATTTTGGGATGGTATATTCTGTTACCCTTCAAAACAATTAATATGTAGTTGCTCAAGACAAATGTATGTAACACAGCCATACACACACACAGTCATATCATACAAATTAATATAAAGAACAAAATAATTTACACCATGTTTATCATCACTGAAGTGGTATAATAAAATAAGAAGCTTTTGTTTCTACTTTTCACCAATGAAGGATTATCTTATACTATCAAACTAATACAAGCCGCCAAACTAATACAAGCACATTTTCTCTAATGAAGAGATTAGCCCTGGATTCCACTTATATTAAAGCAATATATTTCATTTCTAAAATTATTAATCAGCATAGCCTATCATGGACAAAAGCTCTTCTAATTATCTTCTAGAGGTGTACTTGGTAGGACTTTCTGAAAAAGAACCAGATTCATCATCTGCTTTGAAATTGCTTAGGCTGAAAGAAAGCTATCTTTGATAACTTTAATCACATAATTTATGCTTAACATTTTAGTAGTTGCTATGGAGACTTAGAATCAGTTTCATATGTTAAATATAGCATTCTTTTACTTGTACCCTTATTTGCATTTTAAAGACCTAATGTCTATCACTTCTCCTCCAGTACCCTTGGTGATAGTAGCTTTTTGATGCGTTACCTGACATCTTCAATGCTGTCCACAATTTTTTTTTCCAAAACTGATTTTAGGACTCACATAGAATAAGTTTGCTAAATTACCATTAGAACGGCTTGCATTTTTACTTCTTCCTTAAAAATAGTATGCTACTTACAACATTCACACAAGTAAAGCATTATTAGTGACCAACTATCTAATGATTTAATTTTAATTCCAATCCTATTGTAACAAATATCATAATTATACAAGCAAAATGGTACCGTGGAAGGATGACCACACATGAAAGATGACATAGCTTCTCCCTTTCTCTCACTAATTGTATGTACTTTCAGCTATCTCTAATATCATTTTATTCACTGATAAAATGAGGATAATGTTCATTGTATCAAGCCCACAAGTTTTTGTGAGCACTGCAAACTAACTGCATGAAAGCATTCCATTTAATGGAAAAGTTTTGTGTAAATGTTACCCATTATATACTTACAGTAGATTCAGGTAGAAAGAAATGTATATTGATATTTAAACAAACAAATATGGAAGCTAAATGAGACAACTGAGGAACCTCTGTATTGCAAACTTGGTAGGACCTGGTGTACATTAATGTGTGATATTTGAGTTGTGCCCTCAGATAATGTGCTTCTGCATATAGTGGTTTTATTTTATTCCAGCATGCTTGTGACTTGAAGCACTAAGACACTGGGATATCTTGCTGTGGTTTAAAATGCCTTATATTTATGTTGTACAGAAAAGGGCAATAAGACATTTTCAACCAAACTATGTTCCCTTTAAAAAAAATAATAATAATAATGAAAAGATGGTACAGCTATTTCAAAGTCACAAAGATGTGCTACTGACAGATATTAAGAAAACCTATCAAAGATATTGCAGACGCTTATTAAGTATGATTTTACTTTCTTCTTTGGCTTGCATTCGTCACCATATTTGATATTTAAAAGAAAAAACATGTATTTGTTGAGTAAGATTTTTCTGCAGAAGTAGTTACTTGTCTTAATGATTCATCCAGATACATTGTCCCCAATTAAAGAAAAAAAAAGAGGAAATTGAATTGTTGCAACTATTGAAGGATAGCGCATTCTTTAAGAGGTAGAAAAGACAGAAAATATTTTTTGCTGCACTTGTGATTGTTGTTGAAATAAATAGTTCATTTATAAGCTGGGCATGGTGGCTCATGCCTGTAATCCCAGCACTTTGGGAGGCTGAAGCAGGCGGATCACCTGAGGTTGGGAGTTCAAGACTAGCCTGACCAACATGGAGAAACCCTGTCTCTACTAAAAATAGAAAATTAGCCTGGCATGTGGTGCATGCCTGTAATCCCAGCTACTTGGGAGGCTGAGGCAGGACAATCACTTGAACCCAGGAGGCAGAGGTTGCAGTGAGCCGAGATCGTGCCATTGCACTCCAGCCTAGACAACGAGAGAGAAACCTGGTCTCAAAAAAAAAAAATAAATAAATGCATTTCTTTTGGGGATATGGCACTCGAAGGGAAATTTAGACTATGCTGGAATGTTTGTCCATAGGAAATAACAATCTGGGTTACTGAGGAAAGTTAGGACTAGAATAACATATTTAAGAAAATCAGCATTTAGATGATAGCTAAAGCCCTGGGAGTATGAGCAATTGCCCAGTAATGGTGTTTATTTTAAAAAGGATGTCCAAGGAAGAAACTTTGTAAAATGCTAACACTTAAGTTGGAAAGACAAAGTTGAAGTGGATATAGAGGTTTTGCCAAAAGTCAGGTGAGGAGGTAAAGTTGGTGAAGTCTAATTTAAGTTCTTGGCTCACATCTGTAATCCCAGCACTTTGGGAGGGCTGATCACTAGAGGTCAGGAGTTCGAGACCATCCTGGCCAACATAGCGAAACCCCGTCTCTGCTAAAAATATGAAAATTAGCTGGGCGTGGTAGCGTGCACCTGCAGTTCCAGCTACTCATGAGGCTGAGGCACAAGAATTGCTTGAACCCAGGAGGTGAAAGTTGCAGTGAGCCAGGGTTGTGCCACTGTACTCCAGCCTGGGGGACAGAGTGAGACTTTGCCTCGAAAAAAAAAAAGAAAGAAGTAAAATAAATAATAATAACAATAGTTAAAATTCTGCTCTTTATCCTGTGTCTCAGCATAGGGCTGCACACAGCAGAGAATGGGTGTCTCTTCCTAATTCATATGCAGATTCCACAAGGGTTAGCAGCAACTGTGTTGGGAAAAGACAAGGAGGGCTATAGGAAATGCATGGTTACGATGGTGGGAGACAATGAAAAAGCCACGCATTTCAGTGATTTAGAAAGACTTTTTAAGAGGGATGGTGAAAAAGCCTGCTTTATACCTAAGTGAGATACAAGACATACAAAGAAGTCTCTGAGAGATAAAGAAGGATCTTATAGATAGAAGCCTACAAATGATTCATTGCAGCCTCTGGATCGCGGTATTTTTGCTCATTCATTTATGGAGATTGAATATGATTGCCAAAGTTAATTGGGTAAGAGTCACTACTGAATAAACTGTGCTCTAAGCAAAGGTATTGCTCTGCCTGGCAAATTTAACTTTTGAATATTCAAACTTCTGTTTTTATTTCCTGAGTACATCAACAACAAAAAAAGACAAAGGAAAACTTTTGAAGGACAGTAACTAAATATGTTTTACCTAACAATATGATGATGAAAATTTGTAAATCCGAGATAACATCTTTTTTTCTCCTTGCCAAAAACTTCCTCCTGGAGGTGTTTTCTCTGGTGCTCAGGCTGACAGCAAGAGCAATGGCAGATTTCCATCAGATCAGTTATGCACTGAGGTTTTGAACATCGTGTGTGGGACTTTGGTTTTAAACAAAGATGATATTTCTATGTATAATAGCATCAAGATGCATGAAATAATGAAACCAATTTTTTTTAAAAAATGGCTATTGCGCCATAACCATTCTTTAAAATTTGTTCATATATAAAGATAAAATGCTAGAGTTTTAGTTCAAGATACAGTGGAATAAGCACACAGTGTCTCTTAAAGAATGCATGAATAAAACCTGGAAGCAATGCTAGGGCAAGGTGTTTTAGGATTCAGAAGTAAACAGTATGAGGTTAATTAAAGGAAAAGACCAGAATTTAAAGTGCCACCTAAATGGCCATGAGATTAACAATTTTTTCTCCTTCGCTATCCCTGGCCTAGTCTCAACACAGCCCAAAATACTGGAAGTTGGCAGAGAAGCCCTAACATTCTGTCTCAGAGAAGGAAAGGGAAGCCCTCATGCTCAGAGAAAGGGAAAAATCCACCACCACCACTTCTCCCCCTGCTTTTTTTTCTTAATACTTTCTTCTTGGGCCATTGTCCTTAAACAATTCTGTGACAGTAGAAGTAATGGGAAACAACGAGGCTCAAAATTCTTAGGGAGCTGAAGCTTCTTCTCACATCAGAAGAGCTATGGTCCCAAGCTGGAGGGAAAGCCCACACTGATTTTTTTCTCTCTCTCTGTCCTTCAGGGACTGGTTTCTGGTTGCAGGCACAGTCACAGCAAGGAACAGCACAGCTAACAAAAGCCCCAGCTCTCTTAATGAGGAACTAAATGGGGAAACACTGGGAAGTGGGAAACACTGGGAACTGGGAAACACTGGGGAGATTACAGAGAAAGAAGAACTCAGGAAAACAAACGCCTAAAGTTGCCTGTGAATTCCTGGGCTTCCCTGTAAGGTATTTGTGTTTAGATCTAATCCTTTTCAGCATACTAGAGAATGAGACTGTACCCAAGGGCCACAATGGATACAGAGTGGCATGCACATGAGACAGTTCAAAATAACACTTGCAGGAATTGGAAAGTTGAAATTACATTGGACCCAGAGACCACAGAATGCATGTTGGAACTTGCAAACTGAACCTAATTATGTTGACTACCTGCTAGAAAAAAAAATCTATATTTTCAACAGGACTTAAACAAGATTCATAACATAGTATTAAACTAAGATACAATAAAAACTTATACAAAGAAAAAGGATTATATCAACTTACATAGGCAAAGAAATTCAATAAATGTCAAAGATAAGATGACTCAGATGTTTGGATTATATCAAAAAGACTAAAAGCAACTATGATAAGGATGACTCAAAGTCGTCATTGGAAATAATTTTGAAACAACTGGGAAAAAAAAGCCCTCAGCAAAAAACATAAAAGATATAAAGATGTGGCTGGAGGCTTAGTGGTGTGAGACTATAGTCTCAGTTTCTTGGGAGGCAGAGGTGGGAGGATCACTTGAGCCCAGGAGTTCAAGATTAACCTGGGCAAAAAAACCAAAGAAATATATAAAGATAAACCAGATGGAAAATTCAGAATTGAAAATTATAATAAGCAAGAAGAAGAGAAGAAGGGCAGAAAGAAGGAGGAGGAGGACGAGTGGGCAAAGAGGAAAGGGAGAGGGAGAGGCAGGAGAGAAAGACTTCTAATTGGATGGCACAATGCCAGAATAGAGACAGCAAGAGAGCGTCAGTGAAAGTAAAGGTAGATCAATAAAAATGATTAAATCTGAATTACACAGAGAAATATACTGTTAAAAATGAATAAAACCTGAAGGACTTGTGGGACAATAAATATCATATCAGCAGAGGGTTGTGAACCCTAAAGTATCTGAGACAAGTCTCAATCAATTTTGAAAGTTTATTTTGCCAAGGTTAAGGACACACCCATGAAACAGCCTCAGGAGGTCCTGAAGACATGTGCCCAGGGTGGTCAGGGTATAGCTGGCTTTTGTACATTTTAGGGAGACATAATACATCAATCACTACATGTAAAATGTACATTGATTAAATCTGGAAAGGCAGGATGACTTGAAGTGGGTGTTTCCAGGTCATAGATTTAAGTTCATAGATTTAAAGATTTTGTGATTGACAATTGGTTGAAGGAGTTAAGTTATTATTCTAAAGACCTGGAATCAGTAGAAAGGACTGTCTGGGTTACAATAAGGGGCTGTGGAGACCAAAGTTTTATCATGGAGATGAAACCTCCAGGTAGCAGGCTTCAGAGGATAGACTGTAAATGTGTCTTATCAGGCTTACGGCCCATATTGATGTTAATGCTGGTCAGCTATTCCTGAACTCTGAAAGGGAGGAGACCATAATGAGGCATGTTCAAGGCCCCCTTCCATCACGGCCTGAACAATTTTTTCAGGTTAATTTTGGAATGCCCTTGGCAGAGACAAGGGATCCCTTCAGAAGGTTGGGGGCTTAGAATTTTATTTTTGGTTTACGGGGGTACTGATTATCACATTCTTCTCATGCTGAGGTTGCTGCAGTTGTCTGAGTATCATGAAAATTGGGCAAGAGAGTACAGAGGATCACCAAGGGTCCAAATATATATCCTCCACTTTCCCCATTGACTAGCAAGAGCAACTTCAGCAGATATTTAATTTGCAAAGAATAGGCTTAGTTTGCATGTTTTATTTTCAGATATGTCAGTTTTGCAATACAGCAGTTAGGAGATTATTTTCAAGCAGGTCTCATTATGTAAAATTTCCCCACATTGTAAGGTTATAAAATTCTTTATTATAGTGTTGAAACCATCAAATGCCCACTATGCCTTGATGATGATAACCTTTTTTCTTTTTGTAAAACTGAATGAGTAAACACACAAGAGAGCTAAGTTCTTCTACGAACCAAGGGTGAAACTGAAGGATAATAACGACTAGAGCTAGGAGATATTTGCAGGATGAGTGAAGGTAGAGTGGCCAGGGAGAAGACCCTGCTTGTGAGCATCTAAGGAGATCAGTGAGAACATGAGAAGTGTTTAATGGGATTTTTGCTACTTTGTTCTTTGCTTTTCGTTTAAGGAAAATATGCTGTGTGCCATCAAAACCTCATCTCAGACCCCATAAAAATTTTGCGTTGGTGGATTTTTATAGTTAGTGTTGTAAAGAACTTTGTCCTGCCTGACCTAGGCACAGGAGTCAGTGCTTTGTGATCAATTTGATGTAGGGAGTAATGGAGACCCCCTGTGAGACTCTTTCAGACCATTCTCAAAGTCAAAGCTATTTTCATGACAACATTAAGACATTATTTGCCCTTTTCACCTTTATTCTCTCATGGGAATACAGTAGAGATTTCTAAAGACTATAATGTCTTAGATCACAGCAGATTAAATTCAGAAGCAGATATGAGACTCCAGCTACCTGAATATAAGGCAGGCACTAAAGGTATTAAGAAATGCCACTTGTCAAAGGTAAAATTACAGAAATTTAAAGATCTCAATTGGCTTCACTGTGATTCTAGAGTTGGCAGTACTTTTATTCCGTAAAATAGAATAAAACTTCCAATAAATAGAGTAGAGACGGTTGGTTTTATAGAGAGAAAATGCTGAAGAAAGCAGAAGCAAAGAACAAAAAGTGGATTGGTCGTTTTAAAGTTACTTCCCCTGTGAGGCAGGAACCAGGAGACTGAACAATAGAGAAATAACCGATTGGTGCACATCAGGTTACTTCAGGTTTAAACAGAGGGACCTTCCTTATCATGTTCACTGAAACTGGTCTGTTTGGTTAATTAGGCTTTTATCTCGCTCTTCTGATTTCTCTGTAGGTCAGATAATAACTCAATTTTGGTCTGGTGACATGCAGATTTAGCATTGGTGACTCCGTTTTTATTTTTAATCTGGTCCATTGGGGCTTAGTCCAAAACCATGGTCTTCTATAATGTTTGTTCAACACACGCTTCTCACTAATTTCTTTGTTTTACCATTAAGCAATACGATTCTTATCATTTATTTCTTTGTTTTTGAAACTTTTTTTATGAAAATGTTAATTATATTAACTTAAAATGGCTTATCAACATTTCTAAAGGAATAGATTAATAAGAACTTTTAAAATATCTTAGTACTAACTTGGTAAATGTTGATATATGCAACTCACATCAACAAAAACTCTTTTGGTTCCAAAATAATTTTAAGATAGTCCTGAGATAAAGAAGCTTGAGAATCACTAAACTGAAGAAGAAATCTATGCTGCCAGGTTACCAGTGAAGGCAGACATGTGGATCACTGTGGTATTAACTAACACCAGAACCACTGAGGAGAAGGAGGCTTGTAGAAAAAGAGGTGGGAGGAAGCTGGTGCTTCATAGGCCTGAGCTCAGGAAGGTACTGAGCTAGTGAAACGGCTTTGGAACGTATCAACACAGAGAAAAGGATTAAAACTCAGGTAACCCAGGAACAGTGCTAAGAGCAAAAATTGTAGTGTGAACCTCAAAAATCTGAGACAGGTCTCAGTTAATTTAGACAGTTTATTTCGCCAAGGTTGAGGATGCACGCCCATGACACAGCCTCAGGAAGTCCTGATGACATGTGCTCAAGGTGGTCAGCACAGTTTGGTTTTATACATTCTAGGGAGACGAGACATCAATCAACATACGTAAGATGAACATTGGTTTGGTCTGGAAAGGCGGGACCTCTCGAAGCAAAGGCGGGAAGACTAGAATTGGGGAGGGGGATACCAGGTCATAGGTAGCTAAGAGACAAATGGTTGCATTCTTTTGAGTTTCTTATTAGCCTGTCCAAAGGAGGGAATCAGATATACATTTATCTCAGAGAGCAGGGGGGTAACTTTGAATAGAATGGGAGGCAGTTTGCCCTAAGCAGTTTCCAGCTTGGCTTTTCCCTTTAGCTTAGTGATTTTGGGGCTCCAAGATTTATTTTCCATTCACAGTAGGGTACTGAAAATGAAACCGTCCCAATATCAAATGTTTTGAGCATGAGAGCAAAGGGGGACTTGAGAGGATGTGGTGAGAGATTCCATAGTAGGGAATTTTTTTATTAGTAATTATCTTTCATTACCCAGTGTCACTTTACTCAAAACAAAATAGTATTTAGACCTAATATTACCTGTAATGATTATATACATGGATATAGCAACAATCTCACCGTTATGTGTTAAACATTGCGAGTAAGTGTGTACATCTGTGTGTGTGTGTGCAAATTACCTGCAGCAAATGCTTCCTATTTTTCTTACTTTGCTTTTTAGTCTGTTTTCATCAATTTTTTGTGCAAGTTTCAGAACACACGACTTCAAGGGTGGCATGTGAAATGGATTAATATTTCAATTTTAAAACAAATTATTCTCTGTATTGTTTAACTTCCGAATCCTGAAGAATGGAAATGTCATTTTGGAAGTGTCAGCAGGCAGCTCACAATTGCAGCACTTAACTTGCAATTGGTTATTCCAGACAATGGAAACAACAACGCCAACCTCCACCAGCACAACAGAAACAATGCCAGTAAGTGGGAGCACAAATAATTTGAAGGTTTGGTTTTCAGTTTTTTACTGTAAAACACTGCAGTCCACTGGATGGGATCTTGACTGTTTTGTGTCCCTTGATGATATGAGGAGCATACTGTGAGGCACTGGCTAATGTTGTAATCTAATGCAGTGGTTGATGTTTATAATTTAATGCAACTTTGCTTAAGGACAGCTTTTTCAGCCTTTAATAAAAGATAATTTTCATATAAAGAGTTAAGAATTCTTTCACTTTATTCTCAGAGGTCCCTTCACCTCTTACTTCCTACCCCACAATATCCACGCTGTCATATGCAGACAGCCTTTCACTCCTGTGTTGTTTGTCCTCTTTATGCTGATTGATATGTTAATTTAAGTGACAATTATAAAGCAGTATTTACACGCTGTACATAACAATAGAGGAATAGAAATGTGAATGCGACACACTTGTTTGCCTTGTTTCAATTAAGAAAGGTGAAAAATTAAATATGAAAACTAGAAATTGACAAAAATAAGAGTATTTCTTGTTTACAGGACTTTTGTTCATCAATTTCACCTTATGGTTTGTGTTCATCATTCAAGAGACCCCTTTTTGGGTTTGTTACCTTTTTTGTTTGTTTGAGAGGAGATTTTCTGATGGCATAATATGTACTTTTTCCCTGCAGATATTTTATAAAATGTTAGGAAGTGGTGTTTCATGATGATAAAGCTCTTCAATTGGAGGAAGTCTTTGTCACAAAAGGAATATCCAAGAAACATGCTGCACTCTAACACTTTAATAGGCAAAATGCATGAGTGGTAATGCCTCAGTGGAGTTATCTAGAGTTTGAAGTAACAGTTCTGTTTCCCTTCTGAGTTAATACACGACTCTGGGAAGAGTGAGGAAATAAAAGGAAGTCGTGGAGAGAGAAAGTTCAGTGACTTGATCTGCTCCCAGAAACACTGCAAAAAGCATATGCCTCATATTCTAAGATGAATGAATAAAGAAATTGCTGGAGAGCCAAAAATACTATACATTTGGAATGAATTGCAGTCATGCACAGCATAATAACGTTTCTGTCAATGACAGACCAGGTATATGACAGTGGTCCCATAAGATTATAATACTGTATTTTTACTGTACCTTTCTATATTTAGGTATGTTAGAGACACAAATATTTGCCATTGTTTTACAGTTGCCTACAGTATCCAGCACAGTAACCTGCTGTGAAGATTTGCAGGCTAGGAGGAATACGCTGTACCATCTAGCCTAGGTATGTGGTAGGCTGTACCATGTAGGTTTGTGTAAGTGCACTCTATGATGTTCACACTGTAGCAGGACAAGCCACAGAAAACCCCTCAGACACCGAGTTAAAGAAGGAAGGGCTTTATTCGTCCGGGAGCATCGTCAAGACTCACGTCTCAAAAACCGAGCTCCCCGAGTGAGCACTTCCTGTCCCATTTAAGGGCTCACAACTCTAAGGGGTTCTGCGTAAGAGGGTTGTGATCAATTGAGCAAGCAGGGGGCACGTGACTGGGGGCTGCATGCACTGGTAATTAGAATGGAACAGAACAGGACAGGGATTTTCACAGTGCTTTTCTGTACAATGTCTGGAATCTATAGCTAACATAACTGATTAGGTCAGGGATCGATCTTTAACTACCAGGCCCAGGGTGTGGCACCGGGCTGTCTGCCTGTGGATTTCATTTCTGCCTTTTAGTTTTTACTTCTTCCTTTGGAGGCAGAAGTTGGGCATAAGGCAATATGAGGAGTGGTCTCCTCCCTTAACACAAATACAAAACAACCTGACGCCGCTGCTCAAAACACGTCCCCTTTGTTAAGCAGCATGTGATTTTAATTCACTTCTACTTATCATGTACTTTTAAGCTAGTTCACGATAAATGTAGCTACTCAATCATGGCCTTCATATTTTGTGAGCACATTAAAATATAGATTACAATACTTTTTTAAAAAAGATCAGAAGAAAGTGAATAACTAGTGTTCTCACTTCTACAGTGTGGAAAGACTTTGTAAGATTTTGGAACCTCTGTGGAATTCCAGTTTAAATTTAGTACCATGCTTCTTAGTATATCAATATGGAGAATCTCATCTTCATGAATAAATGTAATTCAAGGAAAAAAATAGCACAATACTCAGTGGAAATTTAGAGAGAAAAGAGAAAAACTACTTCTGTCTGGGAGTGCCTGCACAAGATTGAACACCTAGTATATGTCAGTCACTGGATAGATGCTGGGAGGTAGCATTTAAATTACTCTACATAATTAGAATTTGGACATTTCATATTATTTTATTCAAAATTTGATTGAGAACATATTCCAATATTCTTACATTTGTTTAAGAACATGATATTAATGACAACATAATGTTAACTAAATTGATATATTTAAAAGTTACTTTTCACGTTTGGAACATTGTTTTGTTTTTGTTTTTTGAGACAGAGTCTCTCCCTGTCACCCAGGCTGGAGTGCAGTGGTGTGATCTTAACTCACTGCAACCTCTGCCTCCTGGGTTCAAGCGATTCTCCTGCCTCAGCCTCCTGAGTAGCTGAGACTACAGGCATACACCACCACACCCGGCTAATTTTTAGTAGAGATGGGATTTCACTTTGTTGGCCAGGCTGGTCTCGACCTCCTGACCTCAGGTTATCTACTCACCTCGGCTTCCTGAAGTGCTGGGATTACAGGCATGAGCCACCGTGCCTGGCCTGGAACATTAAGCCTAATAAAAATGCTGTGTCATGTCCTAAAACAAAAATCGAAAAAAATTATTCATCTCTTATTATGTTCTTAGCAAAAATAACTTACTAGTAAAAAATGAGAATACATTAAAGTTCTTAAAATAGGTGAATAGATTGCTTTCCAGAAGGGATAGACCAAATTAATCTTATATTTGTTTTATGGCACAGTACATAGTCAACTTCAGTAACCATGCCAGATGTACTTAGAAATCATATCCAGAAGTTTTGGATATAGTGTTCTATTTAGGCTTATTAGGGCAATTATTTATTTTGCCCAACTTTTCTACATGGTTGTTGATTGTTTTATCTGGTTGTTCTATCAGTTACTGTTCCATTAGTTATCAGGTATTAAACCCTTGTAATAATTATATTACACATTTTCCTTTTTATTCTGTTAATTTTTGTTTTATTTAATTTGAGACCACATTATTACGTACCTAAAGATTTAGAATTGTAATATAGTGCTGGTTCTATTAGGCCTGTTGGTGTGTTTCCTGTTCACTTGGCAAGTTAGAGTCAAACGCTGGGTATTTACCAGGACTTCTTTTCCTGGATAAGCTCTGTTCAATAAAATTTAGCCTAAAGCTGTCTCCTTATATATTTTATGTTTAGCCTAAAAGTTTCTCTGTACATAGTAAACTATAACCTAAATGGAGGTATAAACAGACTGTAACCTACTCTCGTGCCAATTACTGAGTTTGGCCAATCAAAGGGTGCCAACTGTTCAAACCATGTTTGAATAGGGCAAACGTCAAGCTGTAACCAATCTGGCTATCGCTGTACCTCACTTCCATTTTTTCTGTACATCATTTTCCTATTTCTGTCCACAAATCTTCTTCCACTACATGGCTGTGCTGGAGTCTCTCTGAGCCTACGCTGGAGGCTTGCCCGCTTCACCAATCATTCTTTGCTCAATTAAACTCTGTAAAATTTAATTTGGCTAAGGTTTTTCTTTTAACAGCAATAAACTTCAGTCTTTGTTTTCCCTGTTAAGTGAATCTCTCTAAAATTCTAAGTTTCTGAGCCTCTCAGACAGCACATTCAGAGAAGACAGCTGTTTCAAAGAGACAAGAGACTACCAATAGTAGGCATAACTATGGTCTTCCCATCTCCCCCAGATCCTGAGCCTTTCATTCCTCACTGTCTTAGAAACTCCAAACGCATTTTCTTGTAAGCCATTTTATCCAAATTTGCTAGTTGTTTTCAACAGGAGGGGTCTTAGAAAATAATTGATTTTTCCATTGACAGAAGCAGAACTCTAGTTTGAATCAACTTAAAGCTCTATGTCGAGTAATGCTGCTAATTCAATGTCTAATTTATTATTAGGCTGAGTTCCAACATTTCACTTTTTATCATTCGTTTATACTTCTCCACGAAATAAAGTAATAAATACTGATTAGGATTATGAGCCAATGCGTAAAGAAGATTTAACCCATAATACTCCTGAGCTATAAAACCAATAATGCTCCCATTAATCATTTAAATTCACCTCTTTTTCCTACCCACGTAGAATTATGTCATAAGTTTTTATGATAGGGAGAAATCTTAATAATTATGGAAATATTCATAGATTTATATTTTCTTCCTATTCACTGGCTGTTCTTCAGGATGGCATGTTGGAGGAGGCCTCCCTTATCTGTGTAAGCTTATAGGGAATGTCTCATATCTACTTGTATTGGGTGCAGATTGAATCTCATCCTGCTGCATGAACACTAAGATTTTATTGCTCCTGTCTCTCTAGACAAAGTGATGTGTTTTCATTTATCACTGGAGTCTGAGGTTCCTGGCATCTACCCCAGTGCCAAAGCTTCTGGACCCTGCTTCCAGAAATCAGCAAGTTTATCTAAGCTTTCAGTATCTCTGTACCCTTTCAGAAAGGTTCTCAGAGAACCTAGTACTCTTGGATGCACTGTGGAGAAATCTAACAATGCTTTCAATCCAGGTTCCTGCATCTAGCTTAGCTCTCGGTCTTCTCTTTGCCAAGGCTGTTCTAGACAGTAGCATTGCAATAATGCAAGACTTTCAGGGATTCCATGTGTGAACTGGACACAACTGCCTGCCTTCATCTTTCCCTTCAGCCTAATTAACATGTTACCCAAACTGAAGACTTGAGCCCAAGGAAGAGGGTCTAGAATACTTTCTTTGACCACACAATTTCTTTTATGTCCTTGCTATCAGAAGTGTGGTCAGGAGACCAGCAATTTCCAAACCACGGGCACATTAATAAGGAACGTAGAATCTTGACACATAACCTAGAGCTACTAATCAGGAAGTAAATTCTAAAAAGGCCAAGAGTATAGACATTTTAGAATTGAGAAATATTGCTGCAAGTCATATCCTGAATTATCTCCAAACTTGGTTATTGTCATTACTAAGGCCAATTTTTCAAATCTTTCATCTTAAAAGAACCTCTCTGAATTTATTGTCTTATCGCAGATTGAAAAACATCTATTCAGAGTATCAGAACTTGAGGAACAATGCCTCTCTTTGCATTTCTGCTATGAGACCTGCATCCATCAGGGTTTGACCAGAAAAGGAGAATCAGAGGAGATACATATTAAGGGATTTATTACAAGAAACTGGCTAAGCAGCTTCAAAATCTTTAGAGCAGGCTGTCAGTAAGAATAGGCTAAAGCTGCTGTCCACAGACAGAATTCATTCTCTCAGAAAAGCATCAACCCTGCTTTTAAGGCTTCTCAAGTTAGTGAATCAGGCTCACCATATTATCTAGTCTCCCCTGCTGTAAGTCAACTGATTATGGACTATAACTTCAATCACATCTATAAAATGTCTTCATGACAACACCTGCATTAGTGATTGATTAAATAACTGGTGACTGTAGCCTGGTCACACTGAAACATCAAAAGACCATCACAGGATCTCTGTTTTCTGGGGCAAAGGGATGCCTCTGCAGATATTGGGGTGGGAGTAGAAGTCAGGCCAAAAAATGCAAAAGTTACAGTAGGTTAACACTGTAAAAACATAATGCCAGAAAGAATTAAGCTACTTTTAAACAAGTGAATAAGGGTAGAGAGAGAGAGGTTAACAATGAGCAAGGACAGGATCTATTAACTTAAATATTAAGGATCCTAATATTCCCTGCAATGTTCTCTAGTGCTTAGCAACAGCTGTCAGGTTCAGACTGTAAAGGGATGACTTAAGTTCTGCTGTTGCGGCTATTTGAGGCTATTTCTTTTAGGAAAGAGAACTGATTTCCTGGGTCTTCCATATTACTGGGATCACATGCTGCTTCATCCCACACAGGCCAGTTAATGTGTCTTAATCAAGTACATATTTAGAGAGGTAAAGGAGTGTGTGTGTGTGTGTGTGTGTGTGTGTGTGTGTGTGTGTGAGAGAGAGAGAAAGAGAGAAACAAAGAGAGAGAGAGAAGTGAGGGGGACTTATTTTCATGGAGTTGGAATTTGTATATATGGGTTTTTAGCTCTTCTAGTACCTAGTACGTGTTTGTGCTATCTTATCTTTGAGTTTTCATGATTTTTAGTTTATTGCTTTCATACTTTCATCCCTCTTTCATATCCAAAATTTTCTTCTGAGCACACTCACATATATCCAAGTTTATAGGCATAAATTTCCCTATGATATTCCAAAAGTTTAAGGTTAAATATTAATATTTAATGATACACTTCTTACATTGTTTGGTAATCAATAGCAAAACTTGTAAAACAGAAGACAACAGCACAAATCCCACTGAGAATTTGTAGCATAAATGCAGGGAAAAAAACCAAGCTACATATATATAAAGGCTGTGATGGGAGAAAAAATTTCCATATACAAAGTACACAATGAAATATGCAAATTATATGGTACAGATACATAAAAATTAAAGCAATACATGTAAAAAAAATTAAATATACAACACAGGGAACATTTCTGAGGATTGGGCATTAGAAGTTTGGGGACGTGTTGGGAAGTTTACTTGAACTTGAAGAGAAGTACTAAAACTTATTGAGTTGTTTCCATGTACATAAGCTCATGTTATGCTCTTATAGCACACTGTAACTTGGCATCGATTGACAGGAATTCAGCTTCAGAGAAATTAACAGATTTAACTGAAAATGAGGGCAGACTGGAAATTTCAACCCAGGTCTGCCTGCACCTGCCTCTCAGACATTCCCATCCTCTTCCACCTCTCCTTTCTCCCAAGGAGCTTTAGAAGAGAGTAATAGGCTGGGTACGGTGGCTCACGCCTGTAATCCCAACACTTTGGGGGGCCAAGATGGGTGGATCACTAGGTAAGGAGTATGAGACCAGCCTGGCCAACACGGTGAAACCCCGTCTTTACTAAAAATACAAAAATTAGCTGGGCATGGTGGCGTGTGCCTGTAATCCCAGCTACTCGGGAGGCTGAGGCAGGAGAATCGCTTGAACCTGGGAGGCAGAGGTTGCAGTGAGCTGAGATTGTGCCACTGCACTCCAGCCTGGGTAGCAGAGTGAGACTACCTCAAAAAAAAAAAAAAAAAAAAAAAAAAAAAGAATGATATAGAGTGTCAGTCTCAAAACGACTAGCATGAAACAACACATCCTTTTAATTCCTTGAGCATTCTTTAAAATGTATGTGAATTTTACACTCTCCATTATACATTTATGTTTTATAATAAAAATATGAGATTTTCTTTTTTATTTATTTTTATTTTTAAATTTTATTTGGCCTGTGGGATTGGGAAGGTTGAGCAGGGCAGGAGCGAGTCCCATTCGAGGCCAGGTGAGGGTGCAAGTGGGAAGGGCCACATGGGAGCCCAGCCCTGAAGATTCCAGCTGAGCTGGTAACTTCAAGGAGTAAGTGACAAGGAACTGCCTCGGCAAAATGTGAGATTTTCAATGAGCGTGTAAAGGTGGAAGGCTCGGCCTGAGAGTGGAATGCCACCTCAGAGGCATCATTTTCCTGCAGTTTGATTGGTGCAGGGGTCCACTCTGTATTGCCTTCTCAAGCAAGAGGCAGAAATAAATAATGCCGTAAAGGAAAACAACATAATTGAAGAACTGTACTTACAGGATTGGAAGATATGTCTTTGAAATGGCTAGGAATTCAGTTATTCTTCAGCCATGCGTCTCATACCAGGATTAATTTAATCATGTATTCGATATCTTATTCCCTTTAGGCTGCTACAGCAAAATGCCGTAGACAGGGTGGCTTATAAATAACAGAAATCTATTCCAGTTCCGGAGGTTTGAAGTCCAAGATCGAGGCATGGACAGATTCAGGGTCTGGTGAGGGCCTGTTTCTTGGTCTGTAATGGCACCTCTGGCTGTGTCCGCACATGGTGATGAGGTAGGCGGGGGACCCGACTCCAGAAGTGGGGACTCAGACACTGGACCAGACTGAGGACTAACTAAAACAGGGCTGAGGCGGAAGCAGCTTTCCATAAGTCACGCCCATCGGTGTGCCATGTCAGTTTACCTACCATTGCCATGGCAACACCCAGGAATTACCGCCCCTTTCCATGACAACAACTTGATGACCCAAAAGTTATTACCCTTTCCCTAGAAATTTCCGCATAAACTAATCCTTAATCTACATCCAATTAAAAGTTGGTATAAATACGACTACAAATCAGCCCTGAGCTGCTACTCTGCCTACAGCGGAGCGCTGCTCTGCAGAAGCAGTCACAGAGCTGTAATACTGCTGCTTCAATAAAGCTGTTTTCTTTTATTAATATTATTATTATACTTTAAGTTCTAGGGTACATGTGCACAATGTGCAGGTTAGTTACATATGTATACATGTGCCATATTGGTATGCTGCACCCATTAACTCGTCACTTAACATTAGGTATATCTCCTAATGCTTTCCCTCCCCCCTCCCCCCATCCCACCACAGCCCCTGGTGTATGATGTTCCCCTTCCTGTGTCCAAGTGTTCTCATTGTTCAATTCCCACCTACGAGTGAGAACATGCAGTGTTTGGTTTCTCGTTGTGATAGTTTGCTGAGAATGATGGTTTCCAGCTTCATCCATGTCCCTACAAAGGACATGAACTCATCATTTTTTATGGCTGCATAGTATTCCATGGTGTATATGTGCCACATTTTCTTAATCCAGTCTATCATTGATGGACATTTGGGTTGGTTCCAAGTCTTTGCTATTGTAAATAGTGCCACAATAAACATATGTGTGCATGTGTCTTTAAAGCAGCATGATTTATAATCCTTTGGGTATATACCACAGTAATGGGATGGCTGGGTCAAATGGTACTTGTAGTTCTAGATCCTTAAGGAATCACAACACTGTCTTCCACAATGGTTGAACTAGTTTACAGTCCCACCAACAGTGTAAAAGTGTTCCTATTTCTCCACATCCTCTCCAGCACCTGTTGTTTCCTGACTTTTTAATGATCGCCATTCTAACTGGTGTGAGATGGTATCTCATTGTGGTTTTGATTTGCATTTCTCTGATGGCCAGTGATGATGAGCATTTTTTCATGTGTCTGTTGGCTGCATAAATGTCTTCTTTTGAGAAGTGTCTGTACATATCCTTTGCCCACTTTTTGATGGGGTTGTTTGTTTTTTTCTTGTAAATTTGTTTGAGTTCTTTGTAGATTCTGGATATTAGCCGTCGGATGAGTGGATTGCAAAAATTTTCTCCCATTTTGTAGGTTGCCTGTTCACTCTGATGGTAGTTTCTTTTGCTGTGCAGAAGCTCTTGAGTTTAATTAGATCTCATTTGTCAATTTTGGCTTTTGTTGCCATTGCTTTTGGTGTTTTAGACATGAAGTCTTTGCCCATGCCTATGTCCTGAATGGTATTGCCTAGGTTTTCTTCTAGGGTTTTTATGGTTTCAGGTCTAACATTTAAGTCTTTAATCCATCTTGAATTAATTTTTGTATAAGGTGTAAGGAGGGGATCCAGTTTCAGCTTTCTACATATGGCTAGCCAGTTTTCCCAGCACCATTTATTAAATAGGGAATCCTTTCCCCATTGCTTGTTTTTGTCAGGTTTGTTAAAGATCAGATGTTTGTAGATGTGTGGTATTATTTCTGAGGCCTCTGTTCTGTTCCATTGGTCTATATCTCTGTTTTGATACCAATACCATGCTGTTTTGGTTACTATAGCCTTGTAGTACAATTTGAAGTCAGGTAGTGTGATGCCTCCAGTTTTGTTCTTTTGGCTTAGGATTGTCTTGGCAATGCAGCCCCTTTTTTGGTTCCATACGAACTTTAAAGTAGTTTTTCCCAATTCTTTGAAGAAAGTCATTGGTAGCTTGATGGGGATGGCATTGAATCTATAAGTTACCTAGGGCAGTATGGCCATTTTCACAATATTGATTCTTCCTATCCATGAGCATGGAATGTTCTTCCGTTTGTTTGTGTCCTCTTTTATTTTTTTGAACAGTGGTTTGTAGTTCTCCTTGAAGAGGTCCTTCACATCCCTTGTAAGTTGGATTCCTAGGTATTTTATTCTCTTTGAAGCAATTGAGAATGGAAGTTCACTCATGAGTTGGCTCTCTGTTTGTCTGTTATTGGTGTATAAGAATGCTTGTGATTTTTGCATATGGATTTTTGTATCCAGAGACTCTGCTGAAGTTGCTTATCAGCTTAAGGAGATTTTGGACTGAGATGATAGGGTTTTCTAAATATACAATCATGTCATCTGCAAACAGGGACAATTTGACTTCCTCTTTTCCTAATTGAATACCCTTTATTTCTTTCTCCTGCCTCATTGCCCTGACCAGAACTTCCAACACTATGTTAAATAGGAGTGGTGAGAGAGGACATCCCTGTCTTGTGCCAGTTTTCAAAGGGAATGCTTCTAGTTCTTGCCCATTCCATATGATATTGGCTGTGGGTTTGTCATAAATAGCTCTTATTATTTTGAGATATGTCCCATCAATACCTAATTTATTGAGAGTTTTTAGCATGAAGAGCTGTTGAATTTTGTCGAAGGCCTTTTCTGCATCTATTGAGATAATCTGTGGTTTTTGTCGTTGGTTCTGTTTGTATGCTGGATTACGTTTACTGATTTGCGTATGTTTAACCTGCCTTGCATCCCAGGGATGAAGTCCACTTGATCATGGTGGATAAGCTTTTTGATGTGCTGCTGGATTCAGTTTGCCAGTATTTTATTGAGGATTTTTGCATCGATGTTCATCAGGGATATTGATCTAAAATTATCTTTTTTTGTGTGTCTTTGCCAGGCTTTAGCATCAGGATGATGCTGGCCTCATAAAATGAGTTAGGGAGGATTCCCTCTTTTTCTATTGATTGGAATAGTTTCAGAAGGAATGGTACCAGCTCCTCCTTTTACTTCTGGTAGAATTCGGCTGTGAATCCATCTCGTCCTGGACTTTTTTCACTGGTAGGCTATTGATTATTGCCTCAATTTCAGAGCCTGTTATTGGTCTATTCAGGGATTCAACTTCTTCCTGGTTTAGTCTTGGGAGGGTGTATGTGTCCAGGAATTTATCCATTTCTTCTAGATTTTCTAGTTTATTTGGGTAGAGGTGTTTCTAGTATTCTCTGATGATAGTTTGTATTTCTGTGGGATCAGTGGTGATATCCCCTTTATCATTTTTATTGCATCTATTTGATTCTTCTCTCTTATCTTCTTTATTAGTCTTGCTAGCTGTCTATCAATTTTGTTGATCTTTTCAAAAAACCAGTTCCTGGATTCATTGATTTTTTGATGGGTTTTTGTGTCTCTATCTCCTTCAGTTCTTCTCTGATCTTAGTTATTTCTTGCCTTCTGCTAGCTTTTGAATGTGTTTGCTCTTGCTTCTCTAGTTCTTTTAATTGTGATGTTAGGGTGTCAATTTTAGATCTTTCCTGCTTTCTCTTGTGGGCATTTAGTGCTATAAATTTCCCTCTACACACTGCTTTGAATGTGTCCCAGAGATTCTGGTATGTTGTGTCTTTGTTCTCATTGGTTTCAAAGAACATCCTTATTTCTGCCTTCATTTCATTATGTACCCAGTAGTCATTCAGGAGCAGCTTGATCAGTTTCCATGTAGTTGTGCGGTTTGGGGTGAGTTTCTTAATCCTGAGTTCTAGTTTGATTGCACTGTGGTCTGAGAGACAGTTTGTTATCATTTCTGTTCTTTTACATTTGATGAGGAGTGCTTTACTTCCAACTATGTTGTCAGTTTTGGAATAAGTGCGATGTGGTGCTGAAAAGAATGTATATCCTATTGATTTGGGGTGGAGAGTTCTGTAGATGTCTATTAGTTCTGCTTGGTGCAGAGCTGAGTTCAATTCCTGGATATCCTTGTTAACTTTCTATCTCGTTGATCTGTCTAATGTTGACCATGGGGTGTTAAAGTCTCCCATTATTATTGTGTGGAAGTCTAAGTCTCTTTGTAGATCTCTAAGGACTTGCTTTATGAATCTGGGTGCTCCTGTATTGGGTGCATATATATTTAAGATAGTTAGCTCTTCTTGTTGAATTGATCCCTTTACCATTATGTAACAGCCTTCTTTGTCTCTTTTGATCTTTGTTGGTTTAAAATCTGTTTTATCAGAGACTAGGATTGCAACCCCTGCCTTTTTTTCGTTTTCCATTTGCTTGGTAGATCTTCCTCCATTCCTTTATTTTGAGCCTATGTGTGTCTCTGCACATGAGATGGGTCTCCTGAATACAGCACACTGATGGGTCTTGACTCTTTATCCCATATGCTAGTCTGTGTCTTTTTATTGGAGCATTTAGCCCATTTACATTTAAGGTTAATATTGTTATGTGTGAATTTGTTCCTGTCATCATGATGTTAGCTGGTTATTTTGCTCGTTAGTTGATGCAGTTTCTTCCTAGCATCGATGGTCTTTACTATTTGACATGTTTTTGCAGTGTCTGGTACCAGTTGTTCCTTTCCATGTTTAGTGCTTCCTTCAGGAGCTCTTGTAGGGCAGGACTGGTGGTGACAAAATCTCCCAGCATTTGCTGAAAACTAACAAAGAGAAAGGACATCCACACCAAAACACCATCTGTATGTCACCATCATCAAAGACCAAAGGTAGATAAAACCACAAAAATGGGGAAAAAACAGAGCAGAAAAGCTGAAAATTCTAAA
Organism: Homo sapiens; assembly: GCF_000001405.40. Lineage (NCBI taxonomy): Eukaryota > Metazoa > Chordata > Mammalia > Primates > Hominidae > Homo > Homo sapiens. The sequence continues at coordinate 52,102,293 of NC_000007.14, read as the reverse complement.
AATCAGAGCACCTCTCCCCCTCCAAAGGAACACAGCTCCTCACCACAATGGAACAAAGCTGGACAGAGAATGACTTTGATGAGTTGAGAGAAGAAGGCTTCAGAAAATCAAACTTCTCCAAGCTAAAGGAGGAATTTTGAAACCAATGTAAAGGAGCTGAAAACCTCGAAAAAAGATTAGACGAATGGCTAACTAGAATAACCAGTGTAGAAAAGTCCTTAAATGACCTGAAAACCATGGCACGAGAACTACGTGACGAATGCACAAGCTTCAGTAGCCGATTTGATCAACTGGAAGAAGGGTATCAGTGATTGAAGATCAAATGAATGAAATGAAGCAAGAAGAGAAGTTTAGAGAAAAAAGAGTAAAAAGAAATGAACAAAGCCTCCAAGAAATATGGGACTATGTGAAAAGACCAAATCTACATCTGATTGGTGTACCTGAAAGTGACGGGGAGAATGGAACCAAGTTAGAAAACACTCTTCAGGATATTATCCAGGAGAACTTCCCCAACCTAGCAAGGCAGGCCAACATTCAAATTCAGGAAATACAGAGAACGCCACAAAGATACTCCTAGAGAAGAGCAACTCCAAGACACATAATTGTCAGATTCACCAAAGTTGAAATGAAGGAAAAAATGTTAAGGGCGGCCAGAGAGAAAGGTCGGGTTACCCGCAAAGGGAAGCCCATCAGAGTAACAGCGGATCTCTTGGCAGAAACTCTACAAGCCAGAAGAGAGTGGGGGCCAATATTCAACACTCTTGAAGAAAATAATTTTCAACCCAGAATTTCATATCCAGCCAAACTAAGCTTCATAAGTGAAGAAGAAATAAAGCTGTTTTCTTTTACCTCTGGCTTGCCCTTGAATTCTTTCCTGGGCAAAGGCAAGAACCTTTGCAGGCTAAGCCCCACTTTGGGGCTCACCTGTCTTGCATCAGTAGGAAGAGCAAACAAACTCTCTCGGGCCTCTTTTACAAGGGTACAAATCCCTTTCATGAGTATGGAGCCCTCATGACCTAATTACATCCTAAAGACCACACCATTTAATATTATTGCACTGAGATTTAGGTTTCAACGTACGAATTTTGGGCAGGTACAAACACTCAGACCATAGCAGATAAGTAGGAATGCAAAGTCAGTCCAGACCCAAAGCAGGAGCAGGAGAGGGTAATGAAACACTAGTTCCATGCAATCAGACTGTTTTAGAGACAGACTCAAATGCTGGGATCCACATTTAGGAATTCATGTGTAAACTAATAATCCTTGTGGATGGTCAAGATGAGAAACAGAGATACAAAATGTTTTTAGAAACACTAGTTTGGAAGTGTGTTCCAAAGTGTAGTAACATACATAGTCTGGACTTAACACATACATCGAGAAGCATGTTGTCTATTGTGTGAGGAGGAGCAGTCAGTGTGGATTTCCTGTAAGAAGCCCATTCCCCTCCATCCAAATCCCATCTCCCTTTATTCTTTCACAGGATTATGTCAGGACTACATTTCTAAGCCTCCCTTGCTCAGAGTAGATATATCTCCCCAAGAACAAAGGGGAAAATATTCCCCTTCCATAAGTCCTTTTCCTTGCTTCTTTGCTCCTTCTCCCTTTGTCCCCACTGGAACAGTGAAGTCAAGAGTCACTCTGCCACCCAAGCTGGATTGCAGTGGCAAAATCTTGGCTCACTGCAACCTCTGTCCCCTGGGTTCAAGTGATTCTCCTGTCTCAGCCTCCCAAGTGGCTGGGATTACAGGCGCCTACCACCACACCTGGCTAATTTTGTATTTTTAGTAGAGATGAGTTTTTGCCATGTTGGCCAGGCTAATCTCGAACTCCTGACCTCGTGATCCACCCGCCTCGGCCTCCCAAAGTGCTGGGATTACAGGCATGAGTCACCGTGCCTGACCGGCTCTGGAATCTTTTGCTGGAGATTGCTGGGCTGCTCCATCTTTGTGTTCCTGAATGGCTTGTGTGGAGAAGTACAACCCAAACCCCACCTGCCTTGCCCTGGCCTACCTGGATAGTTACATGAGAAACAAACAAGTGTATATTACATTTGAGCCACTGTATTCTGTGGTCTGTTTCATTTCAGCGGTTTAACCTACCAAACTAATACAAAAAAAGTATACAAAGTGCTGAGGAAAGAAAGATTTTTAAGAAATAGAGACAGAAAGAAATCCTCAGGATTAAAAACAGCAATAAAATTGTGACTTGTGAGCACCTAATGAGCCCCAGAAACATTTTCGTATACTATCTTCTATTCCAGAAAGAAGAGCTGCCAGAAGGAGCTTCTACTTTGCCCACTTCTTCAATAAGAAAAGTGGGACTCTGGGATTTGACTAACTTTGAGTTAAGAAAACATGCTTGATGTAATTCAACTCCAAGTATGACTTCAAAAATACATGCTTTTCCCACAGACCGTATTGACATCTTCCATAAACACCTGTGAGACGAGAAAGACTAAGTTGCACTCAGCTTTTGCCACAGAGAATCCACACCTTGTTTGTTCTGAAGAATCTGGGTCATTCAGAGTGGGAAATTTAATGGAGGTTAAAGCGTACACACAGTGCTTGAGAGAGTAACTCTTATCTTGGATGGTTTTAATCGTTAATAAGTGTTATTTTTCCTGGTTTTACATTATAGAAATACTGAGATTTCTTTCAGTTGAGAGAAAAGGCATAGGTCCTAAAGCAAAGCCTTAGAGGCACTTATTAACTTGCTAGCTTTATAGCAGAACACTTCATCTGCAACTCTAATAGCTTTGTGCTTACAACAGTCCTTTATGAACAGTAAATAGGTTTCAGCACTTGAAGATCGCAACTCTATATAATTTCAACAGTGAAAGGAAGCTCCGAGGTCATGTGACCCAGCCCCCTCATTTTATAATGCCAAAGAAGACTCCCAGAAATGGAAAGGAACTTACCCAATGACATAAAACTGGCTAAGGTAAAAGCAAGAGCACCCATTCCTAATTTTCCTTCAGAGACATTTCTCTACTGCAATTGATGCTTCCATAGGAACCAATCACAAATGGCGCTTCAGAGAGAGGGGGCTAGGTCAAGGTGAACTGCATAACATAACCAGGAAACTGGATTTTCTAATAAAAATATTTTTTCTACGAAAATTAAACATATCTTTTGGTTGAAAAGCAAATCGTTCTTACCTTCCTAGAAAGGGTTTTTAAATCCCTCCCTCCCCCAGCCAGCCTCTACCCACAAATGTTGCTGATTGGGTTTATCCACACTTTTCTCAGAATATTAAATTAGGAATGAAGGTAACTTCTGATGTTAGTACGAGAAAGAGAGAAAGGGATAGGAAAACAGAGAGATAGAGAGATAGGGAAACAGAGAGAGAGAGACAGAAAAAGAGAGACAGAGAGACAGAGATGGAGAGAGTGATAGAGAGAAAATGACTTAGCTGCTTTTGTTAAATTCAGAGACCACCTAGAAACACAGGTTGGTGAGGGACTGGAGGGCCATTTGTTTACATGATTACAAAAAGTCTCATTTCGAACAAAGCTGAATAGAGAGGATGCTATCTAGAATTATACTTTAATTGCAAATGTCAGAGAGAAAGCTTTCAATATTTTATCATTGAGTATAATTGCATTGCATTTGGGGGAAGATATATAATATTTATAAATTTTCTGTTTATTTCTGTCTTATTTAAAATTGTTAATACGCATTGATTTCATCAAATATTTTTCTTAATTTATGGTTTATTACGGTTTTTAAAAAATTTGGACAATATGTAAAATTAGATCGATTGAGTTGTTTAAAAAAAAATTTTACCAATCTTAAATTCTGGGAAAAAAAGAAACCAAGATGGTAATGATTAATTATATAATACTTTCTATTTTATTATATTCAATTTTCTCATATTTTTCTTAGGAAATTTTGCCTTTCTATTCATGACAAACATTGCCATATAATTTTCTTTTATTATGTTGTATTTTCCAAGACTTGGTATCAATGTTATGCTGACCTCAAAAAATTAGTTGGGAAATATTCTCTGTTTTAAATTTTATAGAAGATTTCTTTATATTTTTCTTCCTTAAATTTGTTCTTCCTCATAGTCTTTAAATAACTGGAATTTGCTAGTGGTGCATTTTGAGCCTACAATTTGCTTTATAAAATGTTTGTAATTAAAAATTAAATTTTGTATGGATATAGGACTATCAAGTTTGTGCGTTTTTTGGGCTGTTTCCTTTGTTTCTGTATATGTTCCGGTAGATTTTTTTGCCCGTAAATTTGGGCTTGTCACCTAAATAAATACATTTGACATTTATTGCCATAAAATTATTCATATATCTTTTATTATGTATTTTTTAGCATCAGTAATATAATCAATTTCATCTGCTTTATTAATACCTAGAAGCTTCTCTGTTTTTAAATATTCTTTCTAAATATCAATTTTTATACAGAACAGTAGAGAAACACTTTTGACTTTAATTTCTTTATGTTCTATTTCATTAATTTATTGTGTTATTTTTGCATTGTTTTATACTTACATTATTTGGATTTAATCTGATACATGGATGCTTACTTAATTCATTAATTTCCAACTTTTCTCCATATGTAAACTCAAATGTATTGATTTGGCCAAAATTTCTATACACAGGCAATTGCTCTTCATCAGTTACTGAGTGAGGTATGATACATTTTTCACTATGAATTTGGATTTTATTATTTATCATGGAAATCCATGGCTTTGCTGTTGTTACATATATTTTGAAGCCAGATTATTAGGTATTATGCAAAATAAAAAATGTTAGCAATTGCATTTCAATAGAAGCTACCATTACTATCAAATATCTCATTTCCAGAAATGCATGTGATTTTTTAAAGCTCTCTTCATCTTATTAGTATAGTTATTTTAACTTTATACTTGTTTGTGTTTGTGCGGTGTAACATTTTTCCTCTATTTATTTTCAACTGTTCTGTATCTTTGTATTGAAACTGGATTTCTTTAATTAATACTAGATTTTTTTCATTAATACTGTGACAACAATTGCTTTTTATGGGAAGTATTTAGTTCGTTTATATTTAATGTAACTACTGATATATTAGAATTTACGATTTCCATCTCCAGTGTTCTACGGGTCTTTTTAACTCCTGTTTTGCCCAGTAGGGGACAAATCATTTCTGTAAGTTATTATTTTGCTTCCCCAATAATTTCCTTGTTTTTTCTATTATTATTAAAGACTTTTTTTAAAAAGAATTTTTAGATTCACAACAAAATTGAAAGGAAGGTACAAAAATGTCCCATAAAACCCCTGCCTCCACACATGCACAGCCTTCCTCATTATCAGCATCACCCACCAGAGTGGTACACCTGTCACAGCTGATGAACCTGCACAGACACATCATTATTACCCAGTGTTTATAGTTTACATTAGGGTTCACTCTTGATATTGCTCATTCTATGGGTTTAGACAAACTTACAATAACAGGTATCCACTGTTATAATATCCTGCAAAGTTTTTTTACAGCCCTAAAAATCTTTGTGCTCTGCCCATTCATCCCTCCCTTCCTCCCTCTAATCCCTGACGGTCACTGATCTTTTTAGTGTCCCCATAGTTTTGCCTATTCTAGAATGCTGGGAATTGTAAAGTAGGCAGCCATTTCAGGTTGACTTCTGACAATAGTTTGGATATTTGTCCCCGTCCAAATCTCATGTTGAATTGCCATTCCCAATGCTGGAGGTGGGGCATGGTGGCAGGCGTTTGGATCATGGGGACCTATCTCTCATGTCTTGGTCCTGTTTTTCTGATAGTGAGTGGGTTCTCATGAGATGTGGTCATTTAAAAGTGTGTGACATCTTCCCTGCTCAACTCTCGCTATCTTACTCCTGCTTTGGCCATGTGACGGACGTGCGTGCTTCCACTTTGCCTTCCACCAGGATGAGAATCTTTCCGATGCCCCACAGAAACAGATGCTGCTATGCTTGCTGTACAGCCTACAGAACCCTGAGCCAATTAAATCTCTTTTCTTATAAATTACCCAGTCTCAGGTATTTCTTTATAGCAATGCAAGAATGGCCTAACATAGCTTCTTTCACATAGTAATATGCATTTAAATTTCTTCCATGTATTTTAATGGCTTGATGGCTCATTTCTTTTTAGCACTGAATAATATTCCATTGTCTGGATGTACCACAGTTTATTTAACTTGGTTGCTTCCAAGTTTTGGCAGTTATGCATAAAGCTGCTATAAACATCCATGTGCAGGTTTTCATATGTACATAACTTTTCAACTCCTTTGGGGAACTAATGAGTGCAATGCTGCATCATATGGTAAGAGGATGTTTAGTTTTCTAAGAAACTGCCAAACTTTCTTTCGAAGTGACTGTACCACTTTGCATTCCCACCAGGAATAACTTAGAGCTCTGCTTGCTCCATATCCTCTTCATCAGCATTTGAAGTTGTCAGAGTTCTCAACTGGGGCCATTCTAATAGGCATGTAGAAATATCTCACTATTTTAATTTTCATTTCTCTGATGACACAGGATGTGGAGCATGTTTTCATATGCTTATTTGCCATCTGTCTATCTTCTTTAGTGAGGTTTCTGTTAAGGTCTTTGGCCCATTTTTTCATCAAGGTTTTAAGTGTTCTTCTGTTTAGTTTTAAGTGTTCTTTGTGTACTTTGGATAGCAGTCATTTATCAGATGTGTCTTTTGCAATATTTTCTCCCACTCTGTGACTTGTCATTTCATTCTCTTTTCAATGCCTTTTGCAGAGCAGAAATGTTTAATTTTAATGAAGTCTAGCTTATCAGTTCTTCCTTTCAACAACATAGACTGTGTTTTTGTTGTTTTATCTAAAAAGTTAGCACCACACCGAAGGTTTGACTTCATTGTCTCCTTTGCTATTTTCTAGTTTTATAGTTTTACATTTTACATTTAGGTCTGTGATGCGATCTGAGCTCATTTTTGTGAAGGGCATAAAGTCTGTGTCTATACTTTTTATTTTTTGCATGAGAATGTCTAGTTGTTACATCACTATTTGTTGAAAAGACTATCTTTGCTCTACTGCATTGCCTTCACTCTTTTATCAAAGCCAGTTGATTATATTTATCTGGGTCTATTTCTGGACTCTATATTGGACTCCATTGGTCTGTTTGTCTATTCTTTCACCATTGCCACAGTGTTTTGGTTACTGTAGCTTTGCTGTAAGTCTTGAAGTCTAATAGTGTAACTTTGTTATTTCCCATCAATACTGCATGTTTGCATTTCTTGAGGATCTATTACTCATGTCTATTTTTCTCTTAATTTTGTTTCTTGTTAAGCCTAAGAATTTTTCTTTTAAATAATGGAAGTTCAGGATGGTATTTATCTTCCTCTAATAAAGTTGTGTTCTTGCTTCCTGCAGGAAGTTGTTACATGACGAGATCAGTTACATTCAGTCAGTTACTGAGCTAATCTAAAGATGGGTTCCATTTTTAAGAGAATAGATCTACATTTGGTTTCAGTTTTTCCTGCGGTGAGGTCCTTCTGGGGTACACCGTGTCTAACTAGACCTTCTACCTGACCTATCCTCTCTGCCCATCTCTGGAATTTAATTTTCTGTTTCCCAAGAGACTGGTGAATTTTTTCTAAGTGTTTCTCTCTCTTAGCTATTGCTTTGTGATAGTCTTTTAAGCCTTGTTACCTCCTTCTAACTAACCATAAATATAGTGTGGGGAAAATTATGGGATATTGGATTCACCTCAATACATTCTCTTTCTCTTCTGGATTTTAGCAAACTCATGCTGCTGCGTTGGTGAAACTCAAATTTTTGTGTATATTTTTTAGCCATTTTTGTGGTAGTTTTCAGAAGGAAGGTTGGGCTTCAGATTTGGAAGCAGATGTTACACGATTTTTAACAGTATTCACATTACCAAAGGATGCTGGATAGATGCAAAATAAACTATAGATTAAGATCACCTAATTATCTTGTGAGTAACATAATTACACTGAATTTGTGAGTTTGTTAAAAAGTGACATTATTTGGCTAAATGTACACAGTTTAAATAAAAGCCAAAAGACTTTCACTTTCGGAAAGTGGGAAAGTCACAAGAAAGTATTAGTTCCCCCACAAGAATAAAAACAAGTGAGATATTCTACAAAAATATCATACTTTGAACCTAGCAAAGAACTCAGGCTTCAAGTAATCTCAAGAACTAAAAGCGAAGTGGTGATAAGCTCTTTAAATAATTTAAAAAACTTGGCAACAAGAAAAAGAGAAATCAGCCATATATATGGATAAAAAGAATCAAGTTCTAATGTTCAAAGGTGCGTATGACTGACCTAAGATTTCAGGGTCTCTGGACATGAAGGGAGACTGCAGGATCTCTGACATAAAGGGTGTCTGCCTGCATCCAACTGCTCTTTCACTAGACTTTCCTAAATGTAGGTCAGAAAGACTGTAGGCAGAGCAGGGCTGAAAGACACTCCTCTGTGGAGCAGGCCTTCCTGAACCTATCAATCATAGTCAGCTGAATTCCCTGATAGTTTTCACATTCCCCCTGGTCAGTCTGGTTCTGATGATTGTTTTGTCTCTGCACACTGCTATTTCTTGCTTATTTCTATGCTTCATAATTTTTTTGTTGACAGCCACTCACATTTTACAGTATTTAAATAAATACTTGTTATATTTTAAGATAAGCATGCATTTCCTTCTGCTGGCCCTTTGCTCTGTGGGTTTGCTAAACTCAGGAGTTGGGCTGAGTTTAAAGTTCATTGTTGCTATGGTTACCCTCAGGGCGCCAGAGCTTCAAGTCTCTCTTGGGATAATAAGTATTTCTAGTCTGGGAAAACTTGCCATAGAGGTCCTCACAGTGTTTATGCTGCGCTGGGCTTTGGGTCATCTCTGAGCTGCTCCGCAGAGAGAATCTGTTTTTGCCGTTCTTGCAGATACATTTTATTGTGGGTTTTACTCAGTGTTTGTAGGTGTGGTCATTGCGTTGCAATGGGAATATTTTCTGATACTCTAAGCCTCAGTCATAGTCAGGCACTGTCAACCTGAGTGTCCAGCTGTGGACTTCGTAAGTACTTCTGCTCCTTTGTGATGTTGGGTTAGTACTTATTTCTACCCCTCCTTTTCCTCTCTTTCAGTTACAGTGCGTTTCCACAGTGTCCTCGGCCAGTGTTCTCATACATTTTGTTCCCCTTCCTCCTACATACCATGGCTTTTGTTCTCCGTGGTGCGATGGGGAGATGAGTCTGGGTGGGATTCTTGCAGTGGTGGCTCCTACCCTCTCCCAGACAGCACCTGGGAACAGCTTCCCCAGGATTCTCCCCAGTCCTCTCTGTGAACATCTGGTGCAGTCAAACCCACCTGGAGAAAATCCTGCAATAAGAAACGAACCTCCTGTATCAGTGGGCAACAGGGGCTTCATACTTTCCTTCTAGCTGTCACTAAACATAGAGCAAATTGCTAAAGATTTCTGGCTGAATCTTCCCATGGCCGATATGGTATTTGATGAGGTCTGCCCAGGTATGCAAATGCTCAGGTCCTGTTTCTCTCTCCGGGCCTCTATGTCTCTAGATTTCAGGTTATCTGTTTACTCTGTGACATAGGTTTCTGAGAAGTCCAAGAAATGTGAATGATTTCCAGTTTGTCCAGCTTTTTGCTTGTTGTAATGGTGGAAATGACAAAGATTCTCTCCTGGACCAAACTCTAGCCAGGTTCCCCAGTCCCTATTCTTGAATAGCCTCCACCTTGGCCTTCAAAGTAAATGTTTGAAACACTAAGTTAGTTTCTAATAGCTCAAGGCCATATCTGTAGGATGATGCTACCCCCTTAAAGTGCCTGCCTGAGAAACTCAAGGCTGCCAACAGCATTTACTGTTTGCTCCAGCCAACACCTAAAGATAGAACCCCTGTCTCCCAGCCTCTGCTGGAGGCCAGGGGCCTCATTTTCATAAGCACCAGGAAACAACCCAGATGAATTTAACATGGACCAACACTTCCTTTTGCTTTCTGTAACTTTTCACTTCCCCCACTTGCCCCTCATCTTATCCTCATTTTTCCTTTAAACACCCATCAGCCCTGAACGAATCCTAGCGTTCAGTTCATGCTGCTCTTTTCCCCACTGCAGTAGCACATTACTGATGAAATCCAGCTTTGCCACTAGTGTCTGGCCTTGTCTTTAACAGGAGCAACAGCCTTTCCAGCTCTCCCTATCTCTGAGCTGAAACTGAAAGTTTATATTGCAGCATAGATTTATTTGTGCTTAAATGAGGTGCTTTTCCTGTTTGGTGGTTTATCCTATATTCCAATTCAAACATTCTTTACTATCCACTCAATGACAGTAGCAGAGGATACTCAATAAATTAAGTATGTCGATAGTATAGCCCCAAGACATAAGAGGTGTGATTTCTGAGTGTCTAACTGACCCATCAAATAATAAGCAATTGTAAATGGGACTAATGCTTTGAGTGACTTCAGCTTATTCTATGCTGTCAGTCTTCCTAATAATCCCCCCACAGTAGAAGCTGAAAGTCATTCCTAAACTTACCTAATATCATTCATTTTCTAACTAATACAGAAAAGGGAAGCTTTATACTTCTTGAACACAAAAGAAAATGACTTTTATTTTATTTCCAAGATCCATCAAATTCAGCTTTCCAATCCAATGCAGAAGAGTTATATCTCTCTGCATATTTACTGAGAGCCTAAATCTTAGACTTGTGTTTTTCACATCTGAGTGGCTCTCAAAAGAGCAGTGGTTGATGAAGTAAAATGCCACATTCAGTGACTGGCAAATATAAAGCAAAATGCTTTCAGGAAGTCAACTGAAATGCCTGCATTACTGACATGATCACTCTGAGGTTGGAAAACTAAAATTAATCAAAGTACAGTGGAGGGTGGTCTGCTGTGCACTTTGTTTTATTTTATCTGAGCGGAGCCTGGCCTGTGCAGTTACAATGAAGTATCGTGTTCCTTCCATTATAAATTCCAATTTACATGTGTTTATCACTTAGCTCTGAGAGTTCAAGATGGGCTCCAATTTCCAAAGCGGCATCCGCCCAGGAGCAAGATTTAAAGCGGCTTGTCTTTGTTAACGGAATTCAAAGAAAGGAAAGAATGAAATAGAAGTTTTCTTAACTGCATGCCTTTTATTCCTGATAAAATACATGTGATATTGAATGCAGTATTGCAAGTCATTTCTATGTATTGTGTGTGGCAGAGCCCTTGAATATCATGTTAAAATAAAAGCTTGTATAATAATAAAACTCAGAATAGCCTCAAACCATCAATAGCAAGAACCTTACTTTCCTCTAAATCCAATAGCATAATAGCTTATGAAAAATTAAGATAAAGTGACATATAAATTGCATATTGTAGCTTCTTAAAAATCTCTGTATAGCTGTTAAAGAAAAATAATATGAACACATTCTTAGAGTAAAACACCAAGCTTGAATAAAGATTGTTTAATCCTAAGAGCAGTATTATTCTTCCCTGAACTGAACCACAGCTATCTAAATTTGTGGTGCCCTACCTGCAAAGGGAATTCATCTGTGCTGAAGAGGCACAGATAAGCAGACGCTGAACATGTTGGTAATTAGACAATATAGTGATCAAATCAGCAAAGAAATATAAAGTCAACCAAATCTATTTCTTATGTTGAATTCCACATAATTATTTTAAAGGCAACGATAAAAAATACTAACTAATGTGAGTTCATAATAACTCTTTTAGGAATATATTTAGTATACAAAATCACTTAAAATATTATAAATTTCTCCTCTATTGATCTCAGTTATGAGAAACCAACACTTATAGATCTGTTTGTCATCTTTGTGTTGGCCTTTCAAAAATATACATTGGATGAATGTCCAAACTAACCAACACTGTCCAGTTGTTTTGGCTGCTGGATTGTTGGTAATACAAAGAACACTTTTCATTGCTGTTATATACTCATTTATATTGAAGCACATTGTTACTTTCCTTTTCATCATCTCTTACTTATTTTCTCAGATATCTAAAATATATTTTAGAAGAATCATGCTGGTAATTTTTTAGCCCTGATGAAAACACAGGTACACCTAGTTTTATTTTGCCTTAGTTTATTGCACTTCCCAAATATTGCGGTTTTTTTTTTTTTTTTTTTTTTTTTTTTTTTTTTTTTACAAATTGAAGGTTTCTGGCAACTCTGTGTTGAGCAAGTCTATTGGCGCCATTTTTCCAACAGCATGTGCTCACATCATGTCTCTTTATCACATTTCAGTGATTCTCATGGTATTTCAAATGTTTTTATGATTGTTATATCTGCTGTGGGGATCTGTGATCAGTGATCTTTGATGTTAACATTGAAATCATTTTGGGCACCATGACTGTGCCCATATAAGAGGGTGAACTTAATTGATGTGTTGTGTGTTGTGATTGCTCCATTGACTGGCTGATCCTCTGTCTCTCTCCCTCCCTTCGGAGCCCCCTATTCCCTGAGACACAATGTTGAAATTAGGCCAATTAATAATTCTACAATGGCTTGTAAGTGTTCAAGGGAAAGGAATATTCACAAGTCTCTTATTTTAAATCAAAAGCTAGAAATTATTAAGCTTAGCGAGGAAAGAGTGTCTAGTCAATCACTGCAGCAAACTTCACTGTTGTCTTATTTTAAACAATTGCCACAGCTACTCCAGCCTTCAGCAACCACCATCCTGATTGGTCAGCAGCCATTGACATCGAAGCAAGACTCTCCACCAGCAAAAAGATTACAACTCAGTGAAAGTTTAGATGACTGTTAACATTTTTTAGCAATAAATTACTTTAAAATTAAGATGTGATTTTCACAGACACAGAATAATATAGTGTAAATAGAGTACAAGATAGTGTAAACATAACTTTTACATGCACTGGAAAGTCAAAACATTTGTGTCACTCATTTTATAGCAATATTCCTTTTATTGAAGTGTTCTGGAACCAAACCTGCAATATCTCTGAGCTAGGCCTGCATATAATTTTTAATCCCAGAAAAAAAAATCACTTATTTCATTTTGGAATTCAGACTCACTTACTGTACATGGATTAATTTTTTTAACAATTGATGGAGAAATGAAATTCTGAAAAATATAACTCTGTATCAAGGTGGTATTTTCCTATAAAACAAAAATACAGAATTCAGTTATTAGAAAATAAAGCAAAGAGAGATTTAAAAACCCACATCTGTTCCAGGACACGGTGAGTGAGTTTAGCAGTGTTGTATAGTCATACCGTGGCTACTCATTACATAGGCAAATGAATAAATACAGAAATCACATCGGATTCTGTGTATGTAGGTAGCTGGATCATCATTGTTCATATTCTAATTCTGAGTGGTATCTGTTAACATAGCAGACTGTGTCTTTTTCAAATGTTGAAAAGGCGGTTTTACTGCTTGGAATTAAGTTGTATTTCTACTATGCATAGTCTTTTCAAAACATCAAGTAGCAACATTACTGCTCGGAGAGTAATCGCCTACAGCACTGGAAATGTTTTGGAAAATGGACAGAAGAGCGTCGCTTTCCCTGCAGCAGGACATCGCAGGGAGCAAGCAGCCCCAGCGATGTTTGCGAGGCGCTTTGGCACCATCACGGGCGTGGCAGAATGCCTCAGGGTGAGAGCCCTGCATGGTCTGAAAACACCATTTCTAACAATTTCACTACGAGTGGGCGTCCGTCCTCTCGGGGCCTTGGCTCCGGGGCTGTTCCTACCGCATCCTTCAGGACGGCCCGCAGGAGTCGTCCTGCCGCGGAGAGGCTGCCCTGCCCTCAGTTCTCTCCCCGTAAGAGAAGTGACAGAGGCGATGGTCCTAGAGGCTCCCCTTCCCCAGTGTGGGACTTAGCAGAGGGCGGGTCCAGCGGGTCTGAGAGGATTCAAAGGGACTGGCAGGGGGCGCAGCGGGGCTTCGGAACGCCTCCTGCTTTCCAAAAAGGCCTTTTACGGAGGCCCCCACCTTTTTCCAACAAGGCCCCTTGCTGCATCAGGGCTCTTCCCGAGTGACACAGCCACGTAGATGTTCCCTGTCCCTCACCCTGCGATTGTGCAGACCCTCAGTGAAGGGGTCCCTCCCAGGGGAAGCTGGTCAGGTACTTGCTGACCGCCGACGCACGGCCTCTCCTGTGGTGCTGAGCAGTCAGAGAACCGCGGACGCCGGTTACTGCTCTACAGGCCGCCTTGCCCTGTTCGCATCTGCACCACACGGATGTGTTCCGGTCCCACGGACATGACGCAACGCAGTTTATAATCCTAACTTCCATATCTCTTGAAACTCTTTTTTATGTGTTACTAAAAGTTTTTTCCCCGGTGCAGTGTCACACACCTGTAATCCCAGCATTTCGGGCGGCCGAGGAGGACGGATCACTTGAGGTCAGGAGTTCGAGACCAGCCTGAGCAATATGATGAAACCCCATTTCTACTAAAAATGCAAAAATTTGCCGGCCGCAGTGGCTCACACTTGTAATCCCAGCACTTTGGGAGGCCGAGGTGGACGGATCACTTGAGGCTGAGTTCGAGACCAGCCTGGGCCACAGACCAAGACCTTGCCTCTACAAAAAAATAAAAATTAAAAAACAAAACAAAACAACAACAGACACAAGCAGCCAGGCGAAGCTGAGGCAGGAGGATCACTTGAACCTGGGAGGTTGAGGCTGCAGTGAGCTGTAATGGTGCCACTGCACTCCAGCCTGGGCACAGAGTGGGACCATCTCTTAAAAATAAATAAAAATTATTTTAAAAATAGTTTATGGGCCAGGTGAAGTGGCTCATGCCTGTAATCCCAGCACTTTGGGAAGCCGAGGCGGGCGGATCACTAGGTCAGCAGATAGAGACCTTCCTGGCTAACACAGTGAAACCCCGTCTCTACTAAAAATACAAAAAATTAGCCGGGCATGGTGGCACGTGTCTGTAGTCCCAGCTACTTGGAAGGCTGAGGCAGGAGAATCGCTTGAACCCAGGAGGCCGAGGTTGCAGTCAGCCGAGATCCTGCCACTGCACTCCAGCCTGGGTGACACAGCAAGACTCCATCTCAAAACAAAAACAAAATTTACATTATGTTGTAAAAAAACAGAACCTGACTAAGCAAGTGAGGGCTAATTTTGTATCTGTACACCTAGACCCAAGGTATTTAGCTAGGTGATTAACAAAGAAAGACTTCCTAATTACCATGATCTTTATTCCCTGAGACAATGCTGCTTTTCTATCAAAACTCACTGCATGCATGCTTAAGAACAATGACTTCACTCTTTTGAATCTCAGTTTTTTGTTTGAACACTGAGATTCATAATTCTTAGTTTATGTTTCACTTCTTTTGGAAAAATAAAATCTTTTAAAAGCATTGATATAGTGTCTGGCATAGAGTAATAACCTGATGAATGTTAGATACATTCACCTTTTTGGTGACTTTTTGTTATATAATATTTGTTTAATCAAGAAATCTCTGGTGATTTAAACTTAAAGATGTTTTAAATGGTTACAGTCCATAATGACAATATGTTTCTTGACTTTTTTATCTACCTATAGACATGCTTCATCCAACTGGCATCTTTTGATGGAACAGAGGAATTCTGAGGTCTGGCAAGATTTTACACAATTTAAATGTTTAATACATTATTTTTTAAAAAGTGGGACTCTTCATTTTGTATTTCTTCTCATTTTTCACTGATGCCCAAACATATTCCTTTGGCACATAATGGTAATTCACTTCCACTAATCTTAGCAGATTGAGGAGCTCCAGCCCTTGCCATAGCTATGTTTCCATTCAGCTGGGAGCTGCATTATAACAGTGTTTAAGGGCTTCATTTTTAATCAACTCTGCCAGACTACTCAAGTGCTCTTAAGACTTTATTTTCTCAAAGTCAAAATGCACAGAGTCTTCCAAGGATATAATGAGACCAACTATCAAAAGATAATTTTCCTGACTGGGACCATGGTCCTCCTGACCCAACTTTCAATCTCAAGATTTTACTGTGGATGTTGTTCAAAGCATTGACGTAAATGCTGAAGATGAACACAAAGGGCATTATTGCCCTATTTGTGTAGATTTGAGTGTCAGAAAACACTCTGTAGAATACTAAGTTTTTACAGACTACTTGGGTGACAGCAAAACAGTAATTTAAAACTTTAAAGTTCCCTTTCCTTATTTATAAAGCAGGATCAATTATACTTTCTCCTGAGAATGAGCATGTGACAAACACCTGATACAGTACGTAAGGAGCTCAACATACCTCACTGGCAAATATTCATTCTTGTCCATTCTTGATTTCCCTAGATTTCCTTTTTCTAGAAGCATACTGAGCCATACTTACCCTCTGGGCTGTGGCCTGCATGCTAGTGAGAGATGACATCTGAAGGCCTTTATCTGGGGACTGTACTTCCCCTCCTCTTCAGTCTGCTCTAGACTCAGATATCCCTCACTTTTGTAAACCAAAAATAAAATAAAAGTCCCCCAAGTGACTGAATGCATCCCCTCTCAACAAAGGAGATTCGAAAGAAACCTGAAAAACTAGTTCAGGTCATGACAGGAAGTGGGGTGGGGTGGGGGTCAGACATACCTCACTATACCCTCTCTCTTAGGAAGTTCAGGTACAAGTGACCAGCATTAACATTAAAACAGAGATCCTAAGACTGACAGAACAGACTCGCTGGAGCAATAAGATACCAACTCCAACCTGACTCAGGTATAAACATCACATGACAGGTAACAGGCCTAAAGGAAATAAATTATTTTACTCCAAAATATATTTCTTTGACATACTTTGGAATGGCTGTGAAAGCCATCTCTTACAGGGAAAATTTACATTCCATAGAGAATTCTTTTCCCTTTCCAGGTATTTTCCTGACCCAGGAGAGAAAACTAAGAGTCTGACACATTTTAAGGTCTGATAAGACATTTACCATCTATTCTTTCTGAAGCCTACAACCTGGAAGGCTTCTCTACATGACAAGCACCTTGGTTTTCATGACCACCCCCTGTACCCATCTTAAACCCAAGCATTTCCCTGCTGACTTCAACTCTTTAGGCAAAGCTTAGCTCTTTCAACCAACTGCCGATCAGGAAATCTTTGGATCCAGCTATGACCTGTAAGCCCAACCCCCGCTTTGACATGTCCAGCCTTTCCGGGCTGGACCAATGTGTACATTCCATGTATGGATTTATGTCTTTGCCTGTAACTTCTTTTCTCCTAAATTGTATAAAACCAAGCTGTAATCCAACCACCTTGGGCACATGTTCTTAGGCTCTCCTGAGGCTGTGTCATGGGTCATGGTCCTCACATTTGGTTTAGAATAAACCTCTTCAAATATTTTACAGAGTTTACTTTTTTCATCAACACCCTTTTATATTTGATGATTTTACATTTACAATTCTATCTGATCTTGGAAATATACCATGTGTTATCAGACTAAAATATTAAAAACATAAGAAAACAGCATGTTTTCTACTGAAGGAAGCTATACTGTTGTTTATTTCACAAATTGTTCAAGATGTTCAACCTTTTCTTCTTAGTATTTAAGAAAGGTGTTCTTAGGCAAAGATTTTTGGCAAAAATGTTCTACTCCTCTTTCAGAGCTTATTTTGCTACCTATATCTATCTTTTTCTTTTTCTATTTATCTGTGTATTATCTATCTTTTACAGTCAGAGAAAAGAGAACACATGTGTAAAGTTAAGTAAATGTACAAACCAGTATGTATTCATATTATTCATGGCTTCCGTATTCCCACATACATAACTAATTTATAAATCCCTAATTTTACATGCCTTTTAATCACAATTTGCAACTATGTTTTTAGTTTTTTATCTTACATTTTATCATCGATTGCAAACTATAGTTCATTCTAAATTTCTTCATGTATCCTGTGAAATTTTTTTAACTTTGAAAATATACACTAATTGTATAAAAACTACACTTCTTCTCCCAATATCAACACTTCAGCTACTCATATTCAACTTGATTATGTGAAATAATTAAGGCAAATGTGATTAAGTATTTAAATAATTGATAAAGATGAAATTTTCCCTGAAACTAATATGTTCTCTGTATGTCAAGCCTGTTTAAGCAACATTCCTCTGAGTTTCTCTGTCTTTTGATGTTTGAAAATTCTGAATTAGGTTTACAAAGGCAGTTTATGAAGTAGCAACCCTATGTCTCAGTGAACCCAGAACAACACTATTTTCTTGTCCCAACTTAACCACCAATGGATCTTCCTTGTTTTCTTCAAAGTCTGAAAAATGAAATACACATTGACATATTATCAGTGTTCAAACCTCCTTCCCCAAGATGACATTTTCAAAAGCAAACTGAATTCACAAGAGGTATGTGAATTGGAAAACATCCAGGTACATTTAGGTGAATTCTATAGAAAAGCACCTGACAGAGACATAAAGTTCCTAATGGGAGAAGTAGAATAGGAATATGGGAAGATAAATTAAAGATATAGTTGGAAGGCTTAAATTCCATGTTATGAAGTATATAACTTAGTTTTTAGAAGTAGAGTGATATTCGTATATATTAACAGCTTAATATGTTGAGCAGTTTTTGAGAGCTAAATATTTCAAATGTTTATTTCACTTAATAGGAAAATTATAATTTAAAGTTTTGCTTCAGTAGCTTATAAAGGAAGTGAAGAATGAGATATAATTAAGAAGTGCAATGGTTAGGCCTAGACAGTTGAAAAGGAATACTTGGCTACAAGGCTACTGCCGTATGGTTTTAATGTTTTAGTGCCCCCCCAAAATTCATATGTTGAGACCTAATACTTAATGTGAGACTATTAAGATGTGGAGCCCTTGTGAGGTGATAAATTCATAAGGGCTGCACTCCCATGGATGGGATTAAAGCCCTTGTAAAAGAGGCTCAAGCACACATCCTTACCCCCTTCTGCCATGTGAGGATGCAGAAAGAAGGTACCGTCTATGAAGCAGAGGTGCCTCACTGGATGCTGAATTTCCTGGTGCCTTGAACTTGGACTTCCCAGCCTCCAGTACTGAGAACAATAAATTTCTGTTGTTTATAAATTACCTAAGCTAAGGTATTTTGTTATAGCAGCCCAAATGGACAATACAGCTTCCATAATGCTAAACTAAAAGAGAACGACAATGCATGTTATAATCTAAAGAGATAAATCTACTTTTTGGCTAGGCGTGGTGGCTCACACCTGTAATCCTAGCACAGGAGGATCACTGGAGTCCAGGAGTTCAAGACCAGCCTGGGAAACATGGCAAGATCCTGTCTCTAATTAAAAAAAAAAAAATCGACTTTCTATTAGAAGAACAAGGAATGTACCATCGACTCTGAACAACTGAGTTATATATACAAAGGTCAACATTTATTTGAGCCTTAGGACAAACTAGAATCTGGACTTCTAATTCTCACTGATGCTTCCTTTCTTTCTTTCTTTCTTTTTTTTTTTTTTTGTATTCTGGTTTAATTCTTGTTTCTTGCTGAACAGGATTTCCTTACCATAACGTACAGAATATGTTCATCCACCATTCCTATATTTTCCATCTTATGACTTCAAGCACTAGATATACAAGCTTACTCTCTTGGCTCACTTCCAAAACTCCCAGAGATGGGTTTCAGTGTCACGTGAAGCTAGTGTGACAGGGATGCTCTGATAACAATAAATACATATTTAAGAAGTGGGAGATGAAAATGTAAGAAAGAGGTTTATGTTGATATATACATATATATCCACTACAAGCAATCACAGGCATGGGAAGCCCAGACACACATTGTACAATTCATGTAAGAAATATGTACTGGCCGGGCACAGTGACTCACGCCGGTAGTCCCAGCACTTTGGGAGGCTGAGGCAGGCAGATCATCTGAGGTCAGGAGTTCGAGACCAGTCTGGCCAATATGGTTAAACCCCATCTCTACTAAAAATACAAAAATTAGCCGGGCGTGGTGGTGGGAGCCTGTAATCCCAGCTACTTGGGAGGCTGAGGCAGGAGAATCACTTGAACCCGGGAAGTGGAGATTGCAGTGAGCCGAGATCACGCCATTGCACTCCAGCCTGGGTGACTCCATTAAAAATAAATAAATAAATAAATATTTACTGAGTGCCTATTATATCACAAACCATGATAGGCAATGGGTATACCACACTACATAAGACAGAATCCCTGGCACAGCGTATATTATATTTAAAAATAACACTGGATTATGTCTATACTTAATTTTTAGGATTGTGAGAATTAAATGAGTTTATATATTTAAGGCATTTTAAGTGCTTGCCACAGTAAATACACCTCATGTGATAGCTATTAGCGTAGGGATTAATATCAAAATGGCCAGATATTCAGCAAAAGAAATTTCTCTCTCCTATGAGCCTGGAGAGATTCTGAGACATCTCAAGTGGCTTCAGCCTGTACTACCAAGGCAATCATTTCTAATCAACAATCTTTACGTTGCCAGGGAAGGAAAATTGAATCAAGTCATTTCACTTTAAAAGGTGAAATTGTCAATGCATTTAATGCATTGTGGGGTGTTTTATGTATTGGTAGGAATCTTTGTTTACAATAAATAGAAATGCGCTTCAGGGAACTTGAGCAATGTGGGTACTTGGGAGACATGGGGCTCCATATAACTAAGAAAAAGCTGAAGAATGAGAATTCAGAAAGACCCAGATCAGAACATAAAATCTGGGTAGCCAAGCTGGTGGGCAGGTTCTTGAGGGGCTGACATGCATCAGATTGAGTCAGCCTGGCCCCTCTTGCTGCTGATGTCTCAGCCTGAGGTGCAGGCCTCTAAAGGGAGGAATCGGGTTCACCCAGCACCCCATCCATGTGCCTCCCTGGTGGCCAGGGCCCCTCAGTTGAACCGGTTCCCAAGAACATGTTGAGTAGCTGGGGCAAAAATAGGAAATTTTATACTTTCTAGAAAAAGGGAAAATGATTTTGGAGCAAAAAAGTGAGAA
Source organism: Homo sapiens (assembly GCF_000001405.40). Taxonomy (NCBI): domain Eukaryota; kingdom Metazoa; phylum Chordata; class Mammalia; order Primates; family Hominidae; genus Homo; species Homo sapiens. The sequence continues at coordinate 52,081,417 of NC_000007.14, read as the reverse complement.
ATATCTAGTATAATATATGAAGACTCAATGTCTGAGATTTCTGTAAGTCCTGTAGATTGTATAAGAAAGCGCACACTATAATAACATCTAATTGTTTTTTCAAGCATATTCTAAATAATGCATTTCTTCAATATTCCTAAACCATAATTATTGGTGGTTAACATTTTTACTTTTTATTTTTAAGAGCTGTCCTTTTAGAAAAACAAAAATCACTAAATTATAACCTAAATGTTTTATCTCTGCTACCTACGTCTCTAAGAACACAATCTGAATGGCTCCTAACCAGAATGAAGATCTGGGTGAATAATTTATATGTGGAATTAAAAGCAAAATCATTTTTCACAGTGCATTCTATATTAAATGTATGTCATTATTGGTAAGACACACCAATTGTCACTACTCTGTATGAAAACAGGTTTTAGATCCTTTTATAACATCTCTTAATACGAGGCTGTTATTTTTCAAAACAAAACCAAAGAAAATTGAAAAAAAAAATTTATGTTCACTTGCAAACTTTAAGTGCAGTCCAAATCCTGAAGTTGGTTAAGTGTGTTTCCCTTCTATCACCTAGAATATGTTCCCTCAATAACTATTAGTAGATGTTACTTAGTATTCACACTTAGCAGTTCTTCTGAAAAATGATGGTTTTAGTGTTTTCCATTTCACTGGAATTCCCATTATATATCTGCAAGAAAATGTAAACTCCTGTGTCATGATAGATGACTCAGTCAATCAACATTAAGCACTTATGCACTCAGATAAGAAACTGAGTTTGTACTTGTGTAGAGATGTGAAGGGCTTGCCAGCGCAGTGAGTGATCATCAAATCCATCTCTGTCTCCCTAACGCCAGGACTCAGAAAGGAGATATTGACCCATAAATTTTCCTACTCCAGACACAGACAAAAGTGGTTTCAAGATGGGATGTGCATACCCAAGTTTTCACTTTTCTTCTTTTTATATTCAATTGAATAACACATACCATGTACCTCATTGCAATAGCAAAACAGCATCTAAAGAGTGCACAGATCCCCAGGCATGAGCAAAGTTAGCCTTTAAGGTGCCATAAAATATATATGGCCCCAGACATTTAAAGTGTCCGTGGGGTAAGAAAAAACTCAGAGCAGGATTAAAACCATTCACTGAATCCTGAACATTTCTCACCTGTCTGTATGCCATTGCTCTGTCAGGGTTTCACACCCCACAGTTCTGCTCCAGTTCCTGGGTCCTGTGGTCAAGTCAGAAAGGTCAAAATTACAGAGGAAACGTAAATGATGCAGAATAAACACAATAGTTGATCAATAACATTTATTAAGAATCTACTCTGCCAGGCTGTAATAAAAGAAGGAGCTATGACCTTGTAACAGTTAATGGGCCAACCAGAAAGACTAGCTGAAAACTATGCAGTGGCAAACTGTGTAATGCAACAATAAATAAGGTAGACTGCTGTTTACATGTCCTATCTCCAGGGCATACACAAGGACAATCATCTGGTGCAATAGAGGGATAACTTCACCCAGTTGGAAGCAATGAGGCATTGTGTCACAGAGGAGCTGAGATTTAAGGATGGTCAAAAATTAACTAGGTGAGCTAGTTTGAGAAAAAGAATTCTGGCAAGTGGGAAGGGCATGCATGAGGTTATGAATACAGAAGACAACAATGAACATAAAGCCTTGGTAGAAAAAAGAAAAAACAAAAGTTGAACTCAGTGTGCATCTGTGTTATAAGCCAAAGAAGCATGTAAACCAAGAACACCGATGAAATCAATGTGATTGGAAATCTAAGAAGATAAAAGGCCAGACTCAGTGCAAGCAGAAACAAGGTAAGGTACAGGTACCATAAATTTTGAAGCGGGAAGATAGACTTTTGTATCTGGAATTTTAGTAACTGCATGCTTTTCACATGAGATACCCAATCAAGCAGAAGAGTGACTAAAAAGGCACACCTGAACTTTATGTCTTCTGCAAGTTACCATATTAATCTTTTCCATCTGTATCTAAGCCCTTGCAAAGACAATCTTTAGTAACTGCATTAATAATTTCAACCCAATGTATTCTTCATTTCATTTTGACACAATAAGAATATGCAAAAATGCAAAGACAATTGGAAAGAAGATGGCAAAGAGGTAGGTGGCTTAGGGGTTACTAAGTAGCTGGATCAGTTCTGGTTGCTGCTTCAGATCTGTTCTCCTTTTCCCACCCAGCTCTGTAGCCCTAGGCTGAACTGTATGCCCAAATCAACAGAATACTTCCCTTTTGGCTTTTGCTTAGGTTCAGCCTAAAAATATCATAACCAGAAAGGAGAAAGATTGAGGTCCAGCTTTCCATTCTTCTTTCTCCATCCAAGATGGATTACCTCAGGCTGGGTTATTTGACCAAAAGTCACTGATTCTACCAAGAGATTCTCTTAAATACCCCTGTGCTACCTCTTTCTTCCTCTCTCTTTGCTGATAACTACTGTCTCTCCCCAGCTTCTAGGCTTGGGATGGTGATGGCGTGTGGTGTCCCGCTCCTTCCAATCCTGGGAAGGCAATGCTTTGTGGTTTCCTTGGCCCTTGAGAACCACTTTATAAATAGATTCCTGATTTTCCCCAAATCATCCAAATTGAGCATGCCATTTGTTATCTTGTCAGGACCCTGACTGGTTGGTCATTGGTACCAGGAGTGGTGTGAGGAAAAAGGCTCTTAGAGCATTCTGTGATTGAGTTCATCCCCTTTGGAGATATGCAGGGCAGCCACCTGGTTGTATGCGGGTAGGGCACAGATATCCTGTCCTGCAGTAGAGTCTTGCTTGGGATGGAGAGCAGCAGGGGACCATGGCCTGCGGAGATGAAGTGCCTGAGGCCATCAGTCACACTGGAATCCAAAGTGATTATGAAGGCAGGGCCTCAGCTGGTATTTTGATGCCTCTATAATGCAAGGAACTGAGAGATGTAAAGCTGTTGCACATTTGACGGAAAATACACAGGAAAAATTAATAACTTCCCTTGACAGATTTGAAAGAGTTCCTCATCCCCCTCAGTTTGAGGACAGACACAGGTGAAGACCAAGCTGAGGGCCTGATGTAAGGGTTGTTTACACTGGGAAAATAGCACCGGTGGGCCTAAGGTGAGGGATAGGAACATATAAGCAGACACCTAAGAGTCTGAGAAATTCAAACCTTGGTCTCCTTGGGGGAAGCAGCCCTCTGCATAAGTGAATTCCAACTGTCTTTCCTGGGCACTTGCTTACAGGAAGCTTCCGAAGACCCAGAGCTACCACCACTGCTGCTTTGAGGCCCATGGGCCCATGGTGAGATTTAGATCCCTTCATAAGTCAAGGAGGAAAGCTTAGACCTTTTGTAGGAGGAGCTCACCCACACTCCAAAAAGCTTATAGTCCTGTATAGATTCTGTATAGATTCAGCAGTCTGCAGAGTATATATGGTAGCAGGTCCTAAAAGAACTATGACAATAGAAGGCCAGATGGGACTGGATTAATGAAATGAGCCCATTACTTTTGGATTTAGGGTTCAACGAGTTAAATGAAGCCCATGATGGTGGCACTGACTTTCTGTGGTTGTGGAATTGAAACCCAGATGCAATGCTTTCATAAAAGAAGTAGGCTGACAAGCTGAGCACACTAGAGAAGCCTCAGCTTGTCAGCCTGCTTCTTTTATGAAAGGAGTCAAAGTTTCTGGAGTGTTAGCAACAAGGTTCTTTTCTGCATGCAAAAAGCCAGTCACTGTGGCCACTAGTTTTTGCAAAAGAGAAAAGATTTTATTCACAAGGCTGCCATGTGAGGAGACGCAAGAACAAATCTGAAATCCACCTCCCTAAAAATAGGGCTTGGGGGTAGTAAGGGATAAACAGCCAGTCTAAAGTGTGGGCAAAGGTGATTGGTGGGTAGGAAAGATGAGATAATCGGGGTTTCTGTGTAAGTGTAATCAAGCCACATGATTTATCACAGGATTCAACTGCATGAAATAGTGGCATAAGCATGACCTGAGGGTGGTATTTTTGGCCCTCTGATGTTAAAAGGTCACTCTTCAAGCACCCCAGCAGGCCTAGTTAAAGGTTGGTGGTCTCAAGCAGCTTAAACTGGACAAGAGCTGCCCCCTAGTTCCTGAAAAACAATTTTGAGCAACCGTAACTATCGTGACTCACAGTCAGGTGTCTATAAGGAGGGTAGTGGAATTTTAGGATCAACTGGAAGTAGGCAATTAAAAGCAAGCAAGGCAGGTTAGCTTTGGTGGCTTAATCAGGTGACCTTTCAGTTTCAGGAGAAGGCATTATTTTAAAAGGATTTGGTGCAAACTCTCACCCCTTGTGTAATCAAAATCTTCAGGAGGGCCCCCAAGGCACTACTCTCTTCTTTGATACAAAAATGCTTCAGTGAGAAGTGTCCCAGCATTCTTGAAAAGGTCTTGTTGACTGGGCACTGTGACTGAAGGCTGTAATCCCAGCACTTTGGGAGGCCGAGGCGGGTGGATCATGAGGTCAGGAGATCAAGACCATCCTGGCTAACACGGTGAAACCCCGTCTCTACTAAAAATTAAAAAAAATAAAATAAAAAAAATAAAAAAAGCCAGGCATGGTGGTGGGCACCTGTAGTCCCACCTACTTAGGAGGCTGAGGCAGGAGAATGGCATGAACCCAAGAGGCAGAGCTTGCAGTGAGCCGGGATTGCGCCACTGCACTGCAGCCTGGGCTACAGAGCGAGATTCTGTCTCGAAAAAAAAAAGAAAAAAAAAAAGGTTTTGTCTAGGGTTTTTATGTTTTGGGATTTTACATTTAAGTCTTCACTCTATCTTGAGTTAATTTTTGTATAAGGTTTAATGAAGAGGTCCAGTTTCTGTTTTCTGCATATGGCTAGTCAGTTTTCCCAGCACCATTTATTAAATAGGGAATCCTTTCCCCATTGCATTCAGGACATAGACATGGGCAAAGACTTCATGATGAAAACACCAAAAGCAATTGCAACAAAAGCCAAACTTGACAAATGGGGTCTAATTAAGCTAAAGAGCTTCTACACAGCAAAAGAAACTAGCATCAGAGTGAACAGGCAACCTACAGAATGGGAGAAAATTTTTGCAGTCCACCCATCTGACAAAGGTCTAATATCCAGAATCTACAAGGAACTTAAACAAATTTACAAGAAAAAAACAAACAACCCCATCAAAAAGTGGGCAAAGGATATGAACAGACACTTCTCAAAAGAAGACATTTATATGGCCAGCAAGCATATGAAAAACAGCTCATCATCACTGATCATTAGAGAAATGCAAATCAAAACCACAATGAGATACCATCTCATGCCAGTCAGAATGGTGATTATTAAAACGTCAATAAACAGTAAATGCTGACAAGGCTGTGGAGAAATAGGAACACTTTTACGTTGCTGATGGGAATGTAAATTAGTTCAGCCACCATGGAAGAGAGTGTGGTGATTCTTCAAGAATCAAGAACCAGAAATAGGATTTGATCCAGCAATCCCATTACTGCATATATACCCAAAGGAATATAAATCATTCTACTATAAAGACACATGCACATGTATGTTTATTGCAGCACTATTTAAAATAGCAAAGATATGGAACCAACCCAAATGCCCATCAATGATAGACTGGATAAAGAAAATGTGGTACATACCCACCATGGAATACTATGCAGCCATAAAAAAGAATGAGCTTATGTCCTTTGCAGGGTCATGGATGAAGCTGGAAGCCACCATCCTCAGCAAACTAACACAAGAACAAAAAAACCAAATCGCACATATTCTCACTCATAAGTGGGAGTTAAACAATGAGAGCATATGGACACAGGGAGAGGAACAACACACACTGGGGCCTGTCGGGGGTTGTGGGGGCAAGGGAAGGGAGAGCATTAGGACAAATATCTAATGCATGTGGGGCTTAAAACCTAGGTGACAGGTGCAGCAAACAACCATGTCACATGTATACCTATGTAACAAACCTGCACATTCTTCACGTGTATCCCGGAACTTAAAGTAAAATTAAAAAAAAAAAAAGTTGTTGCCATATATAGCTCTGAATGAGGAATTAATGTTGAGAATGCTGAAAGTGGAGTTAGATCCTGTAGTTGTGAAGTAGGTTCACTGTGCACAGATTACCAATCTGTAATTTCTACCACTTGCCTGCGTTCAATGAGACAGAACACTCACACAACCATTTAAGGAAGCCACTTCATTGCTCATATATAGGAAGCAAGAAATAAAAGAAGCGTAGAATTTATGGCAAGTCAGTCCTTCAAGACTCATGAAAAATGCAGGCTGAATGCAGTATTGTCTGGACATGCCCCATGTCACACTGCAACTAAGTGACCCTGAATGCATTCCACTCTAGGTTTTTTATACACTGAAGTCACTTGATTCAACGGGCTAAAGCATTGCAAGATGCAATTTTCTTGACGGAATAGGAATGGATCCCAGGCTGTTCTGAACAGACCCTCCTTCTCAGGCTGTTTCATGCTCAGCACATTTTATCATTGTTCTAAGAACTACAAGTGGGAAAGGCTGACTTACATGAACATTAGTGGACTATCTGATGTTCTGGCTTCTCATTTGCTTTAGCCAATAAGAGGTCAAGCAGAAGACTGGAGGGAGGTGGGAGGCTGAGCTATTGAATCCCCTGGTCTTCTTCTAAGTGTGTGACTCTGAGCTGGTTGCACTCCTCAGCCAGGGTTAAAACTTCTGTTAGGCACTCCTCTGCACACATCTCTGTCATTCCAGGCTCTGGCATCTGCTCCTTCCAATCCCTTCTGGTCTCCTGTGCCACAGTATTCCTATGATACTGCACTATTTCTTTTGGTTTCTCTGTATCTTGCATACCTCTTTAGCCCCTTAATTAAACCCTCCTCAAATTACCCAGTTTAAATGTAATGTCTGTTCTGTTCGGTTTTTCAGAATCTATGATTCCTACAAAGAAATAAGCAAGCTGATTCCTAACTTCCCAGCAGGGAAATCTGCAAAGCATTGATGTATAGAACCAGAGTCCTCAAAGACCCAGGAATTGGCAGGAGCACTTACCAGTGGGATTAGTATTGATGAGGTGGGGATGAAAAAGTAAGTTACAGTGAGTATAAATGGCTTGAAAGGATTTTAAATGCTAATACCCTCCTCTAGTTCCTTTTAGCTAAGTGACCTGCCAACCCCTTGCCAACCCTGAATTTTTGATTCCTCAGTGGAACAGAAGGTCTCTGGGCTGAAAAAAAGCTGGCACAATTGAAATTGCTGATACCGTGACAAAAAAGAGGAGTCCTGGGAATTTTCCTCAACTGAATCCTTAATAAAGAGCCCCTCTACACCTCTTTCTCCATTCTCCCCAAGCATGCTGATCGTCAATTCTTTATCTTTGAGTCAAATGCTGTAACAATTTTTCTCCGGGTAATCTAACAATCGGAAGGGCAAAGAATACAAAATAGAAATGAGAGTTTGCCAGCAAATAGCCCATGCTTACCTTTCACAGTAAAGCTCAGGCTGCACAAACCTCACATGCAAGATCTGAGTTGACGGTCTCTGTCTTGTTGCTCTCCAGTACAAATTATGAGCAGTGACACATTGATTTCCAGACGTTGGAGAAAAATGTCTAACAGAAAAAACAGACAGAAAAATACTAAATTGGAGCATTCTTAGCAGAGAGAAAAATACCTCAACTCCGCCATTAGTATCTTCAGAAATATAAATTATATGGCATCCACAAAACAGAAACATGAGCTTTCAGACAACATAAAGGTGCCCATGGAAATTGAAAACATAACAGCAGCAGAAATAAACACCTAAATAAAGGATTTGGAAGATAAAGTGAATATAACTCCTAGGAAGTAGAGGAGGAAAGATAAAAAGATGGAAATTATAATAAAATAATTGCCCAGGAAGTTCAAACTCTGAATAATGGGGAATCTGGAATGGGAGAGTTTTTTAAACAATACAGATGAAGATATTATTAATAAATTAATTCAAGAAAATTTTCATTTACAGTAAAAAATCCTTAAGTATGTGTATATTGGAATAAATAAATCCGGAGCAAAATACATCACTAGGAAATTTCAAAGTACTTATGACCAAGAGAAGATTCTACAAGGTTTTAGAGAGAGAAAGAGAAAAGCAGAAAGAGAGAGAGAGAGAATATGTAAACATGTGAAGAGCAACCTTGGACAATAGCATTCTCCTGACAATTCTGAAGGAATATAATACTCAGCCTCAAATTACATACCCAGGCAAATTGTTAAAGGGTATGATGGTAGAATAAAAATATTTTTAGATAGTTAAAGTCTCAAAATATTATTGCAAGGGGTTGGGCCATTTCTGAAGAAGGTACAAAAGGATGTACTGACTGCATATGTGAGTGAGTCAAGGAAATGAATATACAGGATCCAGGAGCCAGGCTATCCAGTGCAGGAGGGAGGCAGAGGTCTCTCCTTGGGGCCTCTAAGAGGATGGTAGCTGGGCCCAGGAACAGTGGAACTGCAAAGACAGAAGGTCAAGAAATGTCTTCAAGATGCCATTGGATTACTTTTTAACATTTAGAGTGAAGTGGATTATCACAGGTAGCAACTGTACCTCAGGTCAAAAAACTGAATATTGCCACCATCCAGAAGCCTCCTTATGTCCCTTCATAATCACTGCTTATGTTTCTTCTCAGAATGTAGCTCGCATCCTACCTTTTAACACTATAGTTTCCTCTCTATTTGATGATTACTTAAATAGGATTATAAATTCATATCCTCTTTTGGCTTCACTTGTTCAATATTACTTTGTGTGTGGTTATTGCACATTCATTTTCATTGCTTTTTCATTGCTCAATTGCATGAATGTGCACTAATTTGTTTATCCATTCTACTGTTGGTGAACATTTGGGTTGCTTCTTGCTTTGTGCTATTACAAATAATGCTGCTACCTGTGATTTTGCACGTCTTGGTGCATATGTGCATGCATTTCTTTTGGATATATATCTAGGCTGTAGGGTAAGCTTATGTTTAACTTTAATAGACAATTATATATTGTTTCCCAAAGTGACTATAACAAATTGTGCTCCTACCACTAGTGTACAGGAATTCCTTTTGCTACATATTTTCACCAACATAAGTATTTGTAGTACTTTTAATTTTAGTTATTCTGGGGTATATATAGTGGTTTCCTATTGTGTTTCTACTCAGCTACTAAGTGGCATAACCAATAAACAATATCAAGGATATAGGACTGCAAAGTGTGATCTGTACTCTAGAGCTTGATGTACACTAATCCTGTAAAATTGGTGAAGTGAAATTTTTAAATCTCATATTTCCATTGAAACAGTGTAAGTAAACAGCAAATGTATTGTCAAGTATTCATTTTTTTTTCCTCTAAATTTCTGCTACCTAGGGCTAGTTTATGCAAACAGTGACCTATCTGCAAGAAACATTATTTTTTAGGAAAGAGATAATTCAATGCAAAAAGAAAAAAGAAAGGAAGGAGGAGTGGGAAAGGAAGAAAATGAAAGAGAAAGAAAGAGAGAGAGAGAAAAAGAAAGAGAGAGAAAGAAAGAAAAAGAAAGAAAAGAAAGAAGAAAAAGAAAGAAAGAGAAAGAAAGAAAGAAAGAAAAAGAAAGAAAGAAAGGAAAAAAAGAAAGAGAGGGAAAAAGAAAGAAAAAATGAGCTGCGCTGCTGCTTTTTATTGTTGACATGGTATATTTTTAACAATAAAATTTTCCAGAACAAAATAATGATATTATTCAAGAAAATTATTTATATTTTGTCTATATAATTAGAGCTTTAAATAGATGAAGCCTAGAGAAAATAAAGTATACCTGTGTATATAGCTTTGTAAGATAACATATATCTATATTAGTCAGAGTTCTCCAAAAAAACGGAACCAACAGAATCTCTGTCTCTCTATCTACTGATCTAATTAACAGACTTATTATGATGAATTAGTTCACATGGTTATGGAGGCAAAGAAGTCCCACAATTCGCTGTCTGCAAGCTGGAAACCCAGGAAAGACAGTGGCACAGTTCCAGTCCAAGCCTGAAGGCCTGAGAACCAGGGGAGACAATGGTGTCAGCCCCAGTTGATGTGTTGAAGACCCATGTCCCAGCTCAGCCAGTCAGACAGAGGAGTTTCCTTCTTAGGCAGTATTTTCCTTCTATTCAGGCCTTCAACAAGCTGGAAGAGCCCCACCCACATTGGGAAGGGCAATCTTCTTCACTCGATCTACTCAATTAAATGTTAATTTCATCCAGAAACACCCTCACAGAAACTACAAGTTTTAACCAAATATCTGAGCACTCCGTAGCCCCGCCAACTGGACACATGAAATGAACCATTGCAACATACAAATATGGCTAAAGATCATGAGGTTACCTGATGCACAGACATCTTCCTGCTGCCATAGAGTTCTAATCCTACAGTTATCTGTGGTTGGTGTATCATGGTCGGCTTCTGTGTGGTATTTGTGCTCCCATTCGCTATCCTGTGTTGTGTGCAGAACCATGCATGTGTATATGGGTTTTTTTCATTTTTAAGACATAACAAAATTGCCAAAAAAATTGTGATAAAGTATTTTAAATAAAACATCAGAAGTCAAAACAAAATTCCAAATAAGTAGAAAATTAAAATAGAAAATGTTAATTTAAGTATCTAACCAACACAGAGAAATTAAAAAGATTAGATCTGATATACTCATCATTCCTCTAGAAAAACATAACAATACTTTGATGTAAAGAATTCTATATAAAAGAAAATATTTTTAAATCAATTATTTACTAAGAAAATTACTGATAATGTGTGAACAGGTAAACTCAGTAAAAACTTTTAGTAATAAAATTATATATTTTCATGTAAATATTGATATATATGTAAATATTTTATGTAAATATTGAGATGATATATTTTTATGTAAATATTGAAATATCTAGTAGATATTGAGATAAGAGACTGTGTTGCTATAAGAATTGCTGGCAACCAAATGTGGTCATAATCTTATTTAACACTACATTGACAAAGACATTTTGTCATGCTCTCTTCTCTAAGTGCCCCCAGAGTGAGCCTGAAATCCATGCTTCAGTAAAAATGCATCGGAATTCATTACACATTTTACTTCTTTATCCACACAACCATCACTGTGGTTTATGAGGAGAGAAAGAAGAAAAAGAGAGAAAAACATGGCAACTGGTTCTTAAACTTCTAAAGTCTCTACAGCAGAGATTGTATAGTTATAGGTTCCATGAGAAAATATCTTTCAAAAAAACACATCCTAAAACTAATGAATATTTAGTAAATTACTGAAAAATACAAGGTATCATATTGTAATGAAGTTTTTCCCGAATTGATATAAGAATTAACATAGTTTTTAAACAAAATGAATAAGTGCCAGAAGCATAGAACCATTATAAAACTCAAAGTAAACTATTCTCATATTCATCCCTGACATATGCTAAAAATGGTTTTGTTTAGCGTTTTTAAATACTGTTAATAAAATATGTCATATACTTGTTGTGCATCTTTAAATTTTTGGCCAGTGTATATAGGAACACATGCACACACACACATACAGAGATAGAACCATCTGCATCTGTGAAGGGACCAGGGGAACCCTGAGATGCAGCTTAGCTGTCAAATGCAGTGAGTGGTGTGGGCTCTCCCTCCAATCTGGTTCAGCAGAACTGCACTTCTGTTCTCATGTGTAGCATTTAATAGGTTTCTATGTAATAGATATTTGGGAAAAACCAACATTTGAGATCTTATCTAACTGCTCATTGGGCAGTTCTAAATTAGTAGCCCAGTGGTGAATATTTTGACATGGGTAGGTCAGAGGTAGGTCAAGAAATTTCAGTAAATAATTATCAAATCTCACCATCAACATTATGCCGTTGTTGTATGGTTATTGTCATCATTATTAATTGTAAAGAAATATTACTTTCTTCTATGGTACTCTGAAAAATACCTGCTACTCCTAATTTATTACCCCAAGAATGGCCCACACAGGGCAGAGGTCCAGAGCTTTCTTTCGTCTCTCTGTTGCTTTCCATTGTCACAGCAGGAAAATTATTGATAGCCCTTAATTTGTAGTAGGAAAAGTAATGCCAGCATTGATTCTATGGTAAGGAGGCCACATTCTGGGAAGAAAAACAAACCTTTTAAATATTTTCTTTTTTGAAACATTTTCCCAAATGAAATCATATGCTGTTTTGAGGCTTAATTTGGTTCGCTCACACTGAAGGGCCCCTGTTGTTAGTTCTGAAGTAATACAGCTTTTCCGTGAGCTCCTGCCTGGAATTTGAGCTGTGTCCTCATGACCTGGAGGTATGTGGGCCATGGTCATCAGCCCAGGGGAAGGAACGCAGCACCTTTGGAAGCAGGCGACCCATGGTTACTGTCTGTTGCCTAATATGTTTTAACGTCAAATACAGTGCACAAGAAGAAAGTGAATAAAATGCAACCACACTAAATTAGGAAACTTTATGAAATGAGTACCCATTAAATTACCCCCAAAACCTTAGACACCCCCATTGTGTAACTTCCCCATCACAGCCCTGGTCACCACATAGGTAACTACTCTTTTGAATTTTATGATAATCTCTTACTTTTCTTTTTAAAATAATTTATCACCTACATGTGTTTCCCTTAACGACTTATCTGGGTTTTCTCCTGTCCTTGCATGCTACAATAATTTGAATCACATTCTATCTATTCTTTTATTTCCTTTTTCACATGAAATTATAACTGCTAGAGCCATCCACATTCATGTACACGTTTATAGTTCCTTCTAGTATTTGATGGTATGCATGTACAACAATTTATGTTTCAGTTCTTCTTTTGATGGACATTTGTTTTTGTTTCTTCTTTCTTTTTGACCATCCTGGGCATCCCTGCACATATATCTGAAGCACACATTAACAGATTACCCTTAGGGCATCTCTCCAAGAGTGAAATCAGTAGATAACGTCCTTTGTATTCAACATTCACGGATTCTGACAAATTATATTCCAGTTGGCAGGTGCCAATTAATACTCCTCTTTGTAGCATATGGAAGTTTCTGTGACTTCACTCTCATTGTTTAGTGTTTCCTGACATTTAAATTTTGACCATCAAATCATATCGAATTGAACCTCATTGTATTTTTAAATTATGATTCTCTTGATACTATAATGTTTGTTATTAAGGCACCTTTAAACAGTCTCCAATCCTAAAGTTCCTAAACTACGTTATATTCTGGGATTGTTATTATTTTGGCCTAATTAAGTCTAGAGTTGATTGTATGCTGTAGAAGTCCAATGTCATTTTCTAATACACCAAATACTGTTCATCTACCATTTGTTGAAAGGGCCATTCTTTCCCTACTGCTCGACCATGCTCATCATACACCAAGCATGTGAGCTTCCTTAAATGACCAAAATTACATTAAAACTATATGGCAAGGTGTTCAACATCCTAGTTATCATGAGAATGTGAATGAAAACTACAATTAGCTGCCTTAATAGGAGCACAAGATGACCAAAATTAAAAAGGCTGACAATAATAAGTGTTTCAAGGATATGGAGTAACCAGAACTTAACTACACTACTATAGAGAATAAAATTGATCTAATGACATAGACAACTCCTTGGCAGAATCTTATAAATTTAAAAATATATTGTCATAGCCTGGGACCCATAGTTGCAGAATCTGAGATATGGATTAAGTTTTGGTTCACCTAAAGGGGATATAATTCTCCTATTTCTTTAGTGGGTCTTTTGCATTTTTGCTCAGTAATGATTTCTGCATTCACCTACTATTAGGCCTAAGCACTATCTCAAGTTTGGGGCTAGTTCATATAATTCTGCTTTGATTATTGCTGAACAGATATTCTGTGCATATATGCCTGGTTTTATTCCTAAAGGTAAAATTTCTGGGCCATAGGATATGTATATGATTTGATACAGATATATGCACTTCTTAAGATTCTCTCAAATGCCTCCTTCCTATTTCTATGACTTGGAGAGCACCTGAATAGTGCCATGTTCTTCCTCTATGTCGAACTTTTGTTCTGGAGATAAAAGTACTTTGATTATTATTTCTATATCTATTGAATAAAATATGTTTGCTCCCAGTATGTCATTCTTTTTATATGTTACAGGACTTATTTTTCTAATTTTAAGTCTTCAATCTACATTTACGAATGAGATTAGTCTCTAATCCATAGTTCTCATAATGCCCTTGACAGCTTTGTATATCAAAGTCATGCTGAACTCTAAATTGATCCAAAGTGCTTCCAGGTTTCTTATTCTCTGGAAGAATTGGTAAATATTAGTGCTATTCTTTCTTAAATGTTTACTACACTTTATCATTGGACTTATTTTGTCTTGGTATTTCTTTGAGGAAGGTTTTAAAATAAGATTCAATTTCTTTAATAGATATAAGCTACTCAGATTTTCTTTCTTTTGTTTCAGTTTTGGTAAATTGTATTTTTCTACAAAGCTATGTATTTCATATAATTTTCAATTTTATATGTATAAATTTGCTTATAACAGTTGCTTCTTCCCATTTCAATATCTATAGTCTGTTGTGGTATTCTTTTTCATTGAGGATATTGGTCATATTTATCTTCATAAGTTCTGTTTTTCATCTTTTCCAGAGGTAATTAGTTAACATTGCTTGAATCAATTATTAAATCGGATGCAAAAAATAATTATTTTTCTGATTATTTCCATTATTCTACTTGTATTGGCTGGCATTTTTTGTGTGTGAAGATAAAATATTCTCTTATTCTTGCTTTCTGAAACAACAAAATGTTCTCTGCCCACATTGTATTATTTGTTTCCTGCCTGAAATGTGTAATCGGGCATTTCTTTAAAAAGTCTCATTTCCTTTTAAAAGGAAATATATTTATAGGCTAATATCTGGCTATTCTCATTGCTAATTGAACATCATTGCTTCTCAATATTCTTAGTAGTTAGAGCTACAAAGTACACTTAAAATTCATGTTTTTATGACACCTTAAATCTAAACATAACACTGTTCTATTTTTCCACAAATTCTCTCTTTCATTATTTGTTTTTCCTTTCTCTTATAGTGAAAATACTGGTTACAAAAAAAAAATCAGTAATTTTACTCCTTTGCTCTATTTTATAATAAATACAAAATAGTTTCAGAATTACGTTACCTCTAAAAAATTAGAAGCCTATCATGTAAGTGTCAATATTTTTGTAGGTTTTGGTTTTGTTATTATTTTTTTCTATTTTAGAATTTCTCTGCATATATTTGGTGGGTTTCTTTTAGCCATATCATCTTTAGAATAAATTTTACTAGTTTAAGAAAGAAAAGTTTATAGTTTTTATAGCATTAGACTATGTTGTAGCCGAATGGAGACATCTTTCCAATGTGGAAACTTTTATATTTTTTCTTTATTTGATTACATGTTGTAAATAATCTCACAAAATGCTTAATAAAATAATGAGAGCAGACATCCTTACATTGTTTCCAATCTTGGTGACTAAATGTTCAATATGTTACATTTAAGTATGATAGTAACTATAGTTTTCTTTATAGCTGCCATAAAATATTACCACGAATTTAGCACCTTTTATAAAAAGTTATTTTAAAATTATTTAGTCCAGAAGTCCGAAACAGGTCTCATTGGCTAAAATCAATGTGTCAGCAGGGCTGTGTTCCCTTCTGGAGACCCTTGGGAAAGGGCTGTTTTATTGTTCCTTTGTATTGTTGGCAGAATTACAAAGGCTCTTCACTTTTAAGAGTGAAGATTACATTAGGCAACCCAGATAATCCAGGGTAATCTCACTATATCAAGGACTTTAGCTTTAATATCATTTGCATATTTTTTTGCCATGTAAGATATCATTCACAGATTTTGCGAAATTAGGGCATTAGGACATGGAAGTCTTTGGTGGTGCTGTTATTGTACTCACCACAATGCTTTTTTTAAAATTAGGAAAAGGTAATCTTATTCATACATTGTGGAAAATTTTATTAGGAGTGGATGCTGAATTTTGACAAGTTTTTTTTTAAATGAGCATAACTTTTTTCCCTCCTCTATTATCTAAATACAGTGAATTACCTTGATTTTTAAACACTAGGAAAACTTTGCATTGCTGGGTAGAGCACCACTTTTGTATGATGTGTTATTCTCTGTATAGTCTACTAGTTATGAACTGCTAGTATCTTATTGAAGATTTTGTTTGTTAGTGTTCATAAAACATGCTGGTTTATAATGTTCTATTCTTGTAGTATCTTTTTTTGATTTTGGTATCTAAATTATGGTGGTGTCATAAAAGGAGCTGAGAAACATTTTCTCCTGTTTTCTGAGAAAGTTTGTGTGAATTGGCTTTATTTTTATCATATTGTTTTATGTTCTACCATTGAAAACATCTGAGCCTAAAGTTTTCATTATGGAATGATATTGATTATCATTTTCCTCTACTTTTCATAGTTTTACTTGAAATGGACCCTGCAACAATAGACAGATTAGCAAAAGAAAAATAAATGAAAGTTTCATACACATACATCTCATGTATATGTAGAAGATACTTTGAGAAATGAGGAAATCTCAAAGAGGTGGCTTTGAATTCAGGCTTAAATTCCATTTTCCACTGAAAGAAGGAAGGATGTTTAGGGTGAGCAATAATGGGGAGGTGACCAGAAAAAGCATGGCAAATGAGAGTAAAGTTTTTATGCTGATGTAAGTCTGTGCCTTCTCCTTTGACAAGATAATCTATTTAGAGGCATCCTTCTCTCCCTGGTACAGAGAGAGACACTCTCACAAAAGGAGATCTCCTTTAGAGATGTAAATTGCCCTTACTAAATGGTATCTTCTACTTTGTTTTCAGAGCTTCTCCTGTATCTGCAGTTTCTCAAAATAATCAGCTCAAAATAATCCTTATGCGAAAGAGGAATGATTTTGTGTGGCATTCTTGTCTCCATACATCAATTCTTTTTTTTTCTTTTTGTGAGGGAAGATACTTTAATGTTTTCTTGTATAGGTTTTTCATATTTCTTGCTGTAATATCTGCTCCCAGCATATTTTAGAGATTTTTGTTGTTGTTTCCATAACAAAAGACAATTTTTATTACTTTATTTCACCTTAAATTTTTATTTCGATTGTATAAAATCTGTTGATTTTTTATTAATTTTTAAACAATTGTTCAAGGAATTTTTATCAATGAATTTCTAGTTCTTTCTAGTTATTTTATTAGTAAGTACAAAAATTTAAAAATTTAATTCAAATTTTTATAACACTAATTATTCTCCTCATATCTTAATATAGTAACTAAATTTTTCAAAATAATGGTACATCATAATGGACTTTTTTGCTTTAAAAAAATGGAGCAAAAAAGCCTGTAGCATTTACCCATTAAGTAAGCTGCTGGCTTTGAGCTAGGTATATTAACATATTTTATTATGTTAAAGAGTTACCTTTCAACTTCCATTTTATTGATGTTTTAAACATTAATAAGCACTTAAAGATTTAAAGGCCTTTTCAAGTTCTATAGAGATAACTGTACTATTTTGTCTTAGATGAATTAATATGATGAATTCCTAATCCATCATTCCTAAACTCCTCTTCATATTAGTGTATTTTTTAATGCTACTGGATTATGTTTGCAAATATTTTCTTTAGGAATTCCACATTACTATAAAAAAGCGTGATTTATATGAAAATTTATTTTTTTGCTATCCTTACCAGATTAGAATATCAATATTTTACTTGTTTATGGCAAGTTGAGTTTTCTTCATTTCTGGATCTCTGAAACACTTTGTGTATTATTAGAACTATCTGTCTTAGAAAATTTTGTAAAATTCTTGTGTAAAAAATCTGGGCCTGCTTATTTTCATGTGGATATTCTTGAACAATGTTCTCAATTTTTTTTTTTTTGTAGAAAATGTCTTTTCTAAGCGTAATCAATTATAGCATACTAAAATTTCCTAAGAAATTGTCAGTTTTACCTGTTTCCGAATTTATTTTCAAAAAATTAATAAAATTAATCTAATATTTTAAAAATATTTTTCATTTTGAATCATTATTTCCTACTTATTGTGACAGCATCTGAATATTTATGTCTTCCCATTTTTGCTTCCTTATGTATCCATTGGTTTATCTATGGCAATGAAAATTTAAGAATCAATGTTATGATTTGTTTTGTAGTTCTGCCAATTTTTCATTCTCTCCGTCATTCAGTTTTGATTTTGCATTTGTTATTTTCTTCTTCATTTTACTTTTCTCTTTTGCTCTCTGTGCTTTTTGAATTGAGCATTTTCTTTCTCTATTTTTATTCTTTCATTTGTGTTTCTGTGTGTAAGTTTATAAATTTTCTTCAGAAGCTGTCTTATTTTTATCTCAAAGAGTCTGATGTGTAGCATGTTATTGTTGTTTTAAGAAATCTGGAAATTTGAATTTTATATCCCTTTAGAACTAAAAGTTGATTAATAGAGTTAAAAAAAATCTTAAAATATGTGACATTTTTCTTGATTTTGTTATTATTTTCTTGTTTTACTGAATGTGATAACTATTTTTTCTACTCCCATGGAATTTGATGAGATTTCCTGCCTAAAAATTGACTATCAAAAATTTTTGTGTGTTCTATTAAATCTTGAAGTATTGTTTTGAAAAAAATCATGTACTTACTATTATTGGAATACAAAGATCTTTCACACACATACACACAACATCAATCTTACAGATTTTTATTGTTTATGTCTTTTATATTTTAGTTATTTGTTGGCTTGCATTATCTTGCCAAAATTTCAATTAAAATTCTAATTTTAGTGTTTTCATTTTTGTATCACCTATCCTTTCTGCTTTATAGAATGCATGTTGTGTTGTGTGATGCATAGATATTC
The DNA here is from genome assembly GCF_000001405.40 of Homo sapiens. Classification (NCBI taxonomy): domain Eukaryota; kingdom Metazoa; phylum Chordata; class Mammalia; order Primates; family Hominidae; genus Homo; species Homo sapiens. The sequence goes on along the minus strand of NC_000007.14, from coordinate 52,062,611 downwards.
ATAAATATTTTATCTTCAATGTGAAATGTGGCCTTTCAATAGCAGAATATTCTTTGTACTGTTTAATATTCTGGCTCCCTTTTCTGATATCAGGATTACATCAAATGCTTTCCATTTGCTTGCATAAACTTCTATAGTGTTGTCCATCCTAATTCATTTTTTTCTCAATTTGTGTTAGGTGTGTCTTTTGTAAATAACATCAAATTTGGTTTTGAGCCAATTTTAATATTTTTTTGCAAGTGAGTTAAGCAAATTAACATTTATAAATATAACTGATATAATTAGCATCAACTGTGCCATAATATGTTAGATTCCTAAATATATTGTGAACTATATTATATTTATTGTAATTTTTCCTTTATGTGGTCTTTGTTTGATCTTTACTTGTAATTTTTTTGCATTGTTTGATCTTTACTTGTAATTTTTTTTGGTGTATATGAAGCTATAGGAAAAGCATCCCCTCAGCCCTCTGAAGGTTCACAGAAAATGAACTGACAAAAGGCAGATTAGTAGGAGGAAAATCCATACAGAATTTCATTGACGTGCATGAGGGAAGATCACAGTAGAGTGAAACCCAAAAACTCAATGTGGTCCAGAGGCTTGTACATGCTTCTTCATAGAGGAAGGGCATATAGGGTGTGTAGGAGTAAATAATTTTCAGGAGAAATGAATGAGCCCAAAGAACAAGGACCTGGGACAAAGTTTTTTGTGGTCTGGGGGAGGTGGTGGGAAAGTGAGGGGTGAAACTTCACTGTGAACAAAGGCAGTTTTATTATGCAGATAAAGCCTCCCAGATAATCTCTCAAGCGGCCCTCAGAACAACAGATGAAAAAAATCTGGGTATCATGAGGACTTCCAGTTTCTTCTCTTTTCTAGTGGGTAATCTTTTCTGGTTATTTGATAAGATTTCTAAGAAAGGAGTCTTAAGACAATTGCGTTACTTTTGGAAATAAAGATTTTAGTCAGATAAGGACAAGGGACTCTGTTGCTTCAGGAAAGAAAGAGGATCAGAGAGAGTGGGCAGAAGGTCACAGAGAGACTTTGGTTCTGAGTCTTATTTCTGAGGCCTTTCACCTTTAATTCACAGCACCCAGCATATCAAAATGCCATATATTGGGGTATTGCTTTCTGTGTCCTGATAAAGCTTTATGTTTTTATTCAAGTAGAAGCCTTTAATAACACCTTTGATACTGTACTGAGATCTTCTTTTAGTTTCTACTTTTTGTTTAATCGTATTTAAATATTTTCTTTGAGTGTTATCTATCCATGTCATAAATTAATAAGCTTATACAACATTTTTCTCTCTCACTCTTTTCCTCCAATTTTAAGTTGTTATTTCTACTTAACCAAATCATCTATCATTTATATACTACTTTTCCCCCTTAGAGATACTTTTTTTAAGTCTTAGATTTACAGTTGAACTTAGTCAATACTTATTACCAGCTGCCTCTCAGTCATCTCTTGGTGGATGAAGCATGTTTTTATTATTCTTTAGGAATTTCTTTTGAAAGCATTTTCCTGGCATTAGGGAAATGCAAATTAAAACCACAGTGAAATACCCGCTACTCGTATATTAGAATTGATTTTTAAAACACTGAAACTACTGAACCCTGGCAAATGGGATTGCAAAATGGTACAGCTGCCTTGGAACAATGTTTAGCAGTTTCTTAGAAAATGAAACAAGCACTTACTACATAACCCAGCAATCACGGTCCTAGCCATTTACACAAAAGAAATGAAAACCAATATTAAGAGACAATTACATGTCTTGGCCATCCTTTGGCATTTGATTTCCATACAAAGTTATAACGTTTTAGTTAATTTTAATAAATCTAAATCAGTCTAGAGGTAAGTAATTTCTTTATATTACTGAACCTTCATTTAAAGATGTGACCTTTTTTTAAAATGTTGTTCTGCTTATTAGTATCATATAGATACTCAATTTACACATATTTTTACTTTGTATACAACAAACTGAGCAAACAAGCAATGTCTTATATAGCGAGAAGGCTTTTGAGTTTTCTGTGTACATAGGTATGGCATTTGTAAAACTAGATTAATCAAAGCAGGGATTGATTTGCTTGGAAGCTGTGTTTCAAATCCTTTGAGGAAAGGTCTGTTTCAAATAATCCTTACCCTTTGTGGCCCCAGCTTAATGTTGGATGATAATTCCAGGGCATCTCTCCCTCCTTTTTGAGAACAATTTTTGTCTCATTAGCCTCACAAGGAGGTTAACATCTGCACTCAGCTTGTCAGCTTCTCAATGCCTCCACTGAAAGCAGAAGCCAAAAAGAAACACTAGAATTGTCATACATTTCTATAAGAAATATGGTTTCAATGCTAGGCGCATCCTCCTGGTTTTCCATTTCTTTAGTATTTTAAGCATAGTTTTTAGCCTTCAATTAAATTTGTATTACCAATTGTAGGTAATCAAACATATGTTACCATATGGGATGCAACAAAAAGATCACAGTACCCCATATGTAATGTTCTTGCTAAGTTCCAATATGAATCAAATCATGATAAATAAAAATGAAAAATGGGAAACATTCTGCAAAACGACTGGCCTGTAATCTTCACAAATGTCATGGTAAGGCAATCACTTATATATATTTGAAGTGATCAATGATATTCTTGCTCTATCATGGCTGAATGTAATGGTAAGATAGAGATTACAGTTTCTAAAATCACACCATCCTGTGAATCCTGAAGAAATCATTCAAATTCATTTTATGATGAGCCTTCTGGAAATATCTGAGTGGCACAGGAAAATTTGTTCATTAATGATAACTTGTCAAATGACTTCATATAAACACATTCATAAGGCAGAAAAGGAAAGAGATGATATGATAATATTTTTATACACTTAGCAGTAGTTTATTAGAAGCAGGGTACCATAAGAACTGTTAGCTTTTGCGCAAGTTTCTGACCTTAGAATCAGTTACTTAGAGACCGTCCATCTAACTATTCCCCAACGAGAGTCATCTAATCGCACACACAGGCTTCAGGCGTACCCTAAATGATTTCTTGTTTTGTGTCAGGGTGGGATCCAATATCTGGCTGACCATTCAAACATTGAAAATTCTGAAGTACACAGCAGGCAATTCTCAAGAATTAACTATTTTGATACAGCAACTCTTATTGCAGATGATTTTTATTTTCACATAAATATAAAAATAAATCCACAACTACTTTTTATAGGTATAGAAAGTGTTAGCATTGATATGAAACCGAACATGAAAAAACATAACTTGTTTGCCAAGAATATCAAAAAAATTACATAATTTAGAATATTTACCTGAACCCAAATTTGCCCAAAGCATTGAACAAATGATCAAACCCGGTCTTCTTGAACAGAGGATAAATGAATACTGAAAATGCAAAGTAGATAGTGATAATGTAAGTACTGGCCATGAAGATTCATTTAATTTCATCAATATTTTTTCTTGAAAGAGTTTTCAGAATGCTATTGGCTAGTTAGGTCAATATTGCATTAATTATGACAGGTATAATAGCCATAATAAGTGTGGATTTCTCCTAAGTGCTATGACACAAGTAACATAAGGCTGTTGATCTTCAAAATGAAGAACTAGCAAGACAAATAGTTGGACAATCCCAAATTTAAATATATATATATATACATATATATACATATATACATATATATATATGCACACACACACATATATATCCTCTACTTAATATTTCTCTTAAATTAAAAATGGGAAAGTGTAAAGAATACACATAGAGTAATTTTAAATTGCACATTAAGGAAAGGAAAAATATCTTTGTTGACGAGTAATACTTTAAAGAGTATAAGATAATTTTTAAGAAGCCATTTTTTAGTATAAAATAAAATGCCTGCTATGTAGAAAATTCAAAGTAGAAAAGCTAAATAAATAATTCTATCATCCGGAAATAATTTATGAAAACATTTTATTTTGTTGGGACACAAGTACCTATCTTGAGATATTATCTTAAGATAAAAACACCTTAGATCTATTGCCTCTTCCCATTCATACCTTCTTTCCCTCACAATTTATTGTCACATTATTTGTTAGAAATATTTATATTTCGTGAATAGTGCTACAATAAACATATGTGTGCATATGTTTTTATAGTAGAATTATTTATAATCCTTTGGGTATGCACCCAGTAATGGGATTGCTGGGTCAAATGGCATTTCTAGCTCTAGATCCTTGAGGAATCACCATGCTGTCTTCCACAATGGCTGAACTAATTTACACCCCCACCAACAGTGTAAAAGTGTTCCTATTTCTCCACAACCTCTCTAGCATCTGTTGTTTCCTGACTTTTTAATAATCACCATTCTAAGTGGCGTGAGATGGTATCTCATTGTGGTTTTGATTTGCATTTCTCTAATGACCAATGATGATGAGCTTTTTTTCATATGTTTGTTGGCCACATAAATGTCTTCTGTTGAAAAGTATCTGTTCACATCCCTCGCTCACTTTTTGATGGGTTTGTTTTTTTCTTGTAAATTTGTTTAAGTTCCTTGTAGATTCTGGATATTAGCCCTTTGTTCGATGGTTAGATTGCAAAAATATTCTCCCATTCTGTAAAAAGACTTGGAACCAACCCAAATGCCCATCAATAATAGACTGGATAAAGAAAATGTGGCACATGTACACCATGGAATACTATGCAGCCATAAAAAAGAATGAGTTCATGTCCTTTGCAGAGACATGGACGAAGCCAGAAACCATCATTCTCAGCAAACTAACATAGGAACAGAAAACCAAACACTGCACGTTCTCAGTCATAAGTGGGAATTGAACAATGAGAACATATGGACACAGGGCAGGGAACATCACACACGGGGGCTTGTTGGGGAGTCGGGGGCAAGGGGAGGGATAGCGTTAGGAGAAATATCTAACGTAGATGACGGGTTGATGGGAGCAGCAAACCACCATGGCATGTGTATACCTACGTAACAAACCTGCATGTTCTGCACACGTACCCCAGAACTTAAAGTATAATTTAAAAAAGAAATATTTATCTTTACAAAATGAGATCTTTCAGAAATTGCATATTCACCAACCCACTCCTAGTCCCCTATCCCAGAAGAGAACCATACTTTTGCAGATGGGGGAAGGTGGGTGTAAAGCTAAGGTTTACAAAATATTTAACTTAACATCTTATGTTTATTTCAGAAGTTTGTGTATATTTACATGTTCCAGATCAAAGAAGAAAACTGATTTTCATGGTAAAACAAAAAAGAGAGAGAGAGAATATAATGGTAGTAGAAAAAAAACCTGTCAATCTAGCATCCAAATCCATCACAAATATGTTTCCAGAATGAGGATAGAAGAAAAAAAATTCAGACCAAAAAAAAAAATAAGAAAAAATGTGTGACCCACACATCTGGTCTAAAGGATGTAGTAAAGGTGTTTTATGGCAGAAGAAAGATAATCTTACTGAAACATTCAAGAAGTAGAAAGGAACAAAAAGAAACAAACAAAAAAACATAAATATTTGGAACCCTATTGGCCCTTAATGTTGGTCTCTAACTTCCTGTTCCAGACTTCATACCGGGATTCTTCTTGGCAGCTTCCCCTGAAATACTCAAAAACATTATGACATATCTTCTCATTTCTTCCATATGAGAAAATCCTCATTTAGATTCATTCTGAGGCTTGAGAACTGTCACAATCTGTATTTTCTTAAGATGTGGTGATATTCTATTAATATTATCAGCACAGTCAATAATAGTGTTTTCTTTAGCACTTAGGTCATTCCTCTTCAAGCTGCTGCTGTGAAGTCAGACGTGATTGATTTTCCTATTTTACAGACTATTGTTAAAAATTTGCCAAATGATTTGAGGGTTTCCCAGGCCTATCTGTAGTGTTTGAGGTACAGTTAGCATTAGAAAATATAGGAACTGAAATTCTAACCTGCTGTCAGCTGGATGAAATCTTGTCAGAGCACTGTCTAATTAATAAAAATGCACATCTCTAATAGTTACTTGTCAACCCTATTTCATGTCAAGTACTGATTTGTTGGCATTGGACACTCACTTATTCTGAAATTTGACAGAATGCTTCCATTTCAAATGTGTAGACAATGGCAGAAATATGCTAATCTCTACTCTTTCTTCCACATGGACTTTTTCTTTATCATATACATGACTTAATTGTGTCAAAGCGAAGTTTTTCTCTACATAATAAGTTGAATAAGTTATAGTGTTTAAAGTGAAATTTGACAGTTCAAAAAATAACATTTTTGTTATTTTGGCCAATCCTAGTGCTTAATTATCTTACTGTGCCGCTTAGAGGTAGATGAGAAATAATAAGAAAAGAAAATGTTTCCACTGGACAGAGTTTTAATTTTATTCCTCCAAGGTGCTTTTTCCGCTTCTAATAGAAAGACTGAGGTGTTTACCATCTATGCCTTAAACATAAAGACTTCAACTTTCCAAATATCACCTAAAGTGGTCTGTGTGGTTGTATTAGTTCTTCATCAAAAAATAATGATTTCTCACAGTAAAAGTGATGGACTGGTATAAACTGATATTATCCTTTTAGCTTTGCTAATTGTATCTTCATTTATCACTAAAAAATACAAGGTCCAAAGTATGTTTAATTTCCGTGCCATGTCTCAACCAAAGGGTATATTATTGTAAATGTACAGTAGGCAAAGTTCTGTTTTCCCACTTCATCTAGGGAAGTCATTTCTGTCAGACACAGGTTTAGGTACTTTGAAAATAATGATGCCCTTTTTCTCATATAGGGGCTTCCAGTTCTGTTAGAGTGATTACAGGAAACCACATAGAAGGGATATAAATATAGATTATTACACTTACAAAGGAGAATCCAATACAGAGGGTCACATTTGCAAACTGAATAAAAATATATCAATTTTCAGATTTAATGAAAAATTTAAAATACACTATGGCCCGTTTTTTACACGACACTCATGTAAGGTTCATAGAATCACCACTTAGGGCTTTAAACCCTCAGGTTCCCATGTAGCAGGGGAATCTGGACTCTTCACACATGTTTCTTCAGTATTTCCTAATAATGCAAACTTGGAAGGACCATATATTCAGGCTTCATAATTATTTGGAGTGCTTTAGTTCACAAGAGCCTATGTAAGTATATATTTTTCCCAATTACCATCACAGAATAATCTGTACTCTCTTCTGGGTTTTTGATATACACAGTATTATATATATATGGGATACATACTTCTCAACATTAGCTAATATCTCAGTTATGAAACTGATATCTATAGAGGGTTAGAGGGTTGCTTGAAAGGTGCATAGTCCATTCAACTGCCTTACCTGTCCACATTCTAGACCTTATTCAAAACTCCAGAAAGAGAATGCATATGTGGATTTGTTTGTTTTTGTAGGAGTTTTTGCTTCTTTTATATAGTACTTTTACTGAATTGGGGTTTGGTATCATGCCCTCGACTTCCGTAGAAGAACAGGTAAGAAACACATAACACCATAAAACATGTATTTAGTTTGGGGATGCTGTTTTGGTTGTTATCTACTATGTCACACTGTGCCTCTTTATGAGGACTCACGGGAGTAATTTCCTTCAAATTTCTGTGTTCCTTTCCTGAGAAAATGGTTTGTTCTTCTCTTGGGGACATAATTTATTTGCTCTTCCATCTATACCAATTATATAAGGCCTTATGATATTCTTCACCTTATTATCCTTTACCGTGAATTTCTCTCAACTTCTTAGTCTCATAGCAAACCGTAGTGATTTTTGTAAGTTATACCATATCTTTTTTTTCAACATTTTGTCATGAAAATAAATAAAATACATTTATCACCCTCATCATGTTGTTGGAATGAATAAGCACGGAAGAGGTTACTGAACACGTCTTGCTGGTGAGGCTACCATAATTAAAACCCAATTTAGATTATTAAAAATAGCCTCTGATTCCACTTATGCCTAGGAAGGTGGAAAGAGTAGCTACAATATTAGCAGCCGGATATCCTGTAAATCATAACATACTCTGAAGCTAGCAGAGAGCAGGCAATCAAGCAGCCAAAAATCCAAGGAGAGGCAAGATCACTGGAGACACAGTGCAGGAGTGAAGAATGGTTGCCGTATATGTGGATGAAAAGAAAGCAGCTAACATTTTTAAGAGTTGCTGAAGACTGTCTGTTTGCTGGCATGAGAGTTAAGAAACTCCAGGGAACCCAGACACAAAGGGAGCTCGCGTGCATTCACAGGCTCTTTTCCATTGGTCCTCAACTGGATGATCACAAGAAGAATAGGAGCAGAGCTGAGGTCCAGAGAAAGTCTTCTGCAAGGATCAGTCACCATTGTAGGAAAGGTATGACACCATCCCTATTCCGGCTGCCCTGTCTCATATAGAGCAAACAAAAAAATTAAGCACAGAGCGGAGAAGAGACAAATTTGTCATGTAAAGATCCATCATTGATGGGAGACAGCAAAATAAAAGTCCTTCCACCCTTAGAGAAGGAACAGAAACACTTCTGTGATCCAGCACCTATACCAGTACTATTCGAGCTTTCATATCAGTAAGGGAGAGTCATGAAATTCTCTCCCACAAAAGACCAGCCCCAAATATTTGGCAATGCTTGTTTACCACAGAGAAGAGGGGGAGAAATGAAGAAGAAGCCTCACCTTCAAGGAGCAGTCACACAAAAAGTAACAAAACCTGCAGGTGGGCTAAGACAATCCAGAATCCCCCTGCCTTTCACTATGAGGCTATCAAGCAGTGATTGAAGGCAGCAGCAGATGTATCATTTCCAGTCTGACATGTAAAGAATTTGGAGATTGTCACTCCCATCCTCACAAGAAAAGCATAAAGCTGAACAAGCAGAAAATCATCATCTCTTACACCTGTCAGAGAACTGAGGTCACAGGACAAACATCTGCCCTCAATATTGGGGATACAGGTGAACACAGAGAACCATTCTTACCAGGAACAGAAACTCACGAGCAGAAGCAGATTGATGGCACCTGTCAGAACACTTAGACTGCAATTCATGAATTTCTGCAGACTCAGTGAGGAGGAGCTTGAGAATTATAAAGTCTGTTTGAGCAATCAAGATGTACTTCAATAGGTGAATAGATGAACATACCGTGGGATATCCATACAAGGGAGTAGTACCAGCAATGAAAAGAAATCAGCTACTAAACTATGAAAAGACATGGAAGAATCTTAAATGCATATTGCTAAGCAAAAGAAGCAAATGTGAAAAGATGATATACCGTATGATTCCAAATATATGACATTCTAGAAAAGGCAAAACTATGGAGACAGTAAAAATGTCAGCAGTTGCCAAGCATCTGGAGGGAGGGAGGGAGGGAGGTAGGGAAGGAGGGATGACTAGGAGGAGCATAGAGGATTCTTAGAACAGGGCAACTGTTAGCATCCTGTAGTGCCAGAGATCTGTAATTATACATTTGTCAAAACCCACAGAAAGTACCACACAGAGAATGAACTAATGTATCAATATTTGCCCACCCATTGTAACAAATAAACTGAACTGATTCTAATAATAGGGAAACTGTGTGTAGTTGTAGCATGTGTATGTGGAGCATGTGTGTGTGCACACATACACATTAGAGTATATGGGAACTCTCTATTCTTTCTGTTCAATTTTTTGTATACCTAAAACTTCTCTGAAAAATACAGTTTATTTAATAAAAAAAAGTAACAACAGTTTACTTCTGGGATCAGGGAAAGAGTGGAGTGCCTTCTTTGTCATAAGCATATAAAAAAGCTAAAAGGTGAAATTGCAAAAAATTGCTAAAACTCCTCTGATCCCGAAGCCCTCACTCTACTAACAGATCCTAAACCCATCTCAAAAACTGACAACATACACACACATACACACACACACACACACACACACAAGCACACACTACTGGCTTGAACAGAAGAACAATGTGCCCATTTCCAAGTAAAACTACTGTGTGCACCTTTCCTATAGCATGATGCCTGGCATACAGAGTCAAACACTATGATACAAAAAAAAAAAAAAAAAAAAAAGAGCAAGCAAAAACATTCCATTGTCAAGAGAAAAAGAAATCCAAACAACCAGATTCAGAGATCACCCAGAAATAAATATATAGCAAAATCTTTAGAAAACATGCATTTAAATGGGGAATTTGAACAGATCTTTAAAAACTATAAAAATCATATCATGGGAGTACTAGAAATAAAAATTGTGTCAGAATTCCTTTTATGAAATTATTATTAGACACAAAATAGCTGAAGGAAAAATAAGTAAAATTGAAAATAGGACAACAGAAATTATCCAAACTGAAACACAAAAAGAAAAATGAGAATTTTTTTTAAAGATGTACTTAAGAGTGGTGGATGATAAAAAACAGGCCACTATATTTGGAATACCAGAGGGAAGAGAGAGGGAAGCCATAGCAGAGACAATGATTGAGAATTTTCAGAAATAATGATGAAATCAAATCACAGATCCAATAATTTCAGAGAACACCAAGGAGGTAAAAAGCCTAAATATGTAATATTCAAAGAGCTACGATGCAAAGATAAAGAGAAATGTTTGAAGACAGAGAAAAAAAGACACATTATGTATAGAACAAAGATAAGGAATACGTCATACTTCTAATAAAAAATTATATAAAACAAAACAGCAGAGCAGCCTTTTGACAGTATCAAAAACGAAATCTGAAACCCTGGAATTCTATGTTGTGTGAAAATATTTTTCAAAAATGAAGGTAGAATAACATATTTCCCCTGAAAAAATATAAGAGTATTCATTGCCTGGAGATCTGAACTTAAAGAAATATGAAAGGAGTTTCTTTAGTTACAAGAAACAAAATCAGACATAAAAATTTAGGTTTACACAAAGGAATGAATAGCTTCAAATGGCAAACAGAATGTAATTTTAAAGTGCATATTTTTATTTTTCATTTATTTAAGAGATAGTTAACATTTGGTAAAGAATAGTAACAATGTTTTGAGTAGTTTATAAGACATATTTTAACACATATGACAGCACTGGCACAAAGTTTGGGAGGGAGTAATTATGAAGTTCTTATACATACAGTATAATTATTTTGAAATTGAATGGTGATAAATTAAAGATTTACATTGTAAGCCCTAAGGTAAGATCAAAAAAATGGAAAAAAGATTTGTAGCTTATAAGTTGTAGTAGAGAAACAATTGAATCATAAAAAAATCAATTAATCCAAAAGCAGGCAGAAAAAGAGAAAGAGAACAGAATAGATAAAAACAAAACAAAATAAAAAAGTAATAAGATACTAAGTTTAAATATGATCATATCAATAATTATCTTAAATATAAATGGTATAAGCCCGCCCATTAAATGACAGATTTTTTATATTGAGTATAAAAGCAAGATCAAACTATATGCAATTATAAGACATTTTCTCAAAAGTGTTAAAAGTCTTAAAAGCTATACCATTGAAAATGTTATGCTGACACTAACCAAAAGAAAGGTGAAGTGGCTGGACTTTAGAACCTGAAATACACCAATGATAATAAATACAAGTCATGATAAAAGGACTAATTTATCAAGAAAACCTAACAATCTTAAATGTGTGACACATAACAACAGGGCTTGTATTTCAAAATACATGAAATAAAAAATTATAGAACTGAAAAGCTAAGTAGACCAATCCATAATTAAAGTCAGAGATTTCAACACCTCTTTCTCATAATCAGCAGAACAACTTGATAGATTATTATTGAGAATAATAGATAGGTGAATAACACTATCAACTAACACTCTGCTCAGTGACAGTGGGATATATATTCTTTTCATGAACATACACCAAGATCGATCTCAACTTAGAAAATAAAACTTTAAAAATTGTAAACTTTTATATTCCTACAGAATATTTTCCTATAGAATATTTTTCTGACCATAGTGAAGTTACACCAGTAACAAAATATATCTGGAAAATATTCAAATACTTGGAAGTTAAACAACACACGTCTCAATAACCCATCCCTTAATCATTCTAATGTTCAAAAATCAAATAAAATGAAGACTTTTTCATTCTGTCATACCATGGAACAGGTTAAGCCTTTTGTACAGAGGAAAAAAAACCATCATTTTTGCAGGTGTTCCCATGACAGATGGTTTAGCTCTCTTAGTCATCGAATGTATGAATAGTTCGAGACAAGAAGGTTAGCATTCTTGTCTCTCCTGGATGAAGTCGTGTCTTGTTTTGTTTTGTTTTAGTTTTACCGTAAGGTTTAGTTTTACCGAGAGGTATAGTTTTGCTTACGGACAAGATCAGTTCTAAGAAAATGCTGAATGTGTCTTTGCAATGAATAGATCCAGCTGAGCAAGATAACTTTAAATTTGATTACTCTTTCCTGGTTGGAAATGCTGCAAAAATACCATGCAACGAAGAGTGATTCCAAAATATTAGAAGTGGTGTTATTTTTTTCAAATTCACTCAAAATTTTTAATTTTGAGAGCATATTCAAACTGCATTTTAGACTCTTTTCCAAAATCTGCAATCCACCCCCTTACATTGTATCATTACAGAGTATATTTTATAAATATGTGCATTGATAACAAATGTCTTGAAATTAAAAGTATCTGTCAAGGCACATTTAGTTTTGTCTGATGTCTCTTTTCTTGCTGTCTTTAATGAGGGCAAAATTATACAAAGTTCATGAGTCAATGACCAAATCAGCAACATAAAATAACTGTATTTTTAAGTACGAATTGTTTGAAGATGTTGGTATTCCAAATTTAATATGCTTTTAAGTTTATTGTTGAATCTTTCACCTTGTTGTTTCATTAAAAATGTTAGCGTTACAAATGTTATCGCTGTACTAACTACATATTATTGTAACACATTTAAATTCAAGCAAAAGAGAAACTCCACTCTAAAAATAAGCACTTTTACAGTTCATCATCTAGAATCAAGAGCCAAAATGTTAGCAGTCCAGAGGAAATGGTGCATAGTACCAAAAGAACATCACATTATAATTAAGTTAGTAATTGTTCAATAATTCTTAGGGTATTACTATATAAATGCATAGTTTCTCCATATATTTTTAAATGATATGTCTATTAAGACAGTTATTCTTCATAAGAGTAGTGTCTACGTTCAATGATTTCATTCCATTTCAACATTGAGAAAACATGCCAAACACCTTACATGTCTAATAATGCAGGTTGTGTCTTAGTACTCATTCAAGTGAATAATTCATATGCTTTTTCTTTTCTTTTCTTTTCTTTTCTTTTCTTTTCTTTTCTTTTCTTTTCTTTTCTTTTCTTTTCTTTTCTTTTCTTTTCTTTTCTTTGAGATAGAGTCTTGCTCTGTCACCCAGGCTGGAGTGCAGTGGCACGATCTCCGCTCACTGCCAGTTTCAAGCAGTTCTCGTGCCTAAGTCTCCCGAGTAGCTGGGACCACAGGTGGGCACCATCATGTCCAGTTAATGTTTTTGTATTTTTAGTAGAGATGGGGTTTCGTCATGTTGCCCTGGCTGGTCTCAAACTCCTAGGCTCAAGTGATCTGCCCACCTTGGCCTCCCAAAGTGCTGGGATTACAGGTGTGAGCCACCGCGCCTGGCTGATAGCATGCATTTTAAAGAAAAATATTTATAGGGTGTATTTTTTAAACTTGAAAATGTATTTATGTATCAAAGTATTGAATTCTCAATGTAATGGGAATTTTTAATAAATAAAACAATTGAGAAAATCATAGGGAAAAATATGTTTATTTGTGTTCCACAATGAGAATTAACAAAATTTTTATTTTCTTCTTCTGTGTGCATGTGTGGTGTTTGCACAACTGAGATTTTTAAAAATCTTTACTTACTTTGAGTAATCTATAAAACAACGTATTTTTTTCTTGTATCATCACATAGTATGGAGAAGAATCACATTAAAATATATTCTCCAGGTTTACTGAGGGGGGCTGCATTTAAGCATTTAATAATTATAATTTGGGCTTAAATTACTTGTGTTATTAAAATTACTACATCAAGAAATACCTTTGCATATCAGTTCATTTTGCATTTTTAATCACTAGAAAGAATTCTTAAAAGTGAGATTATCAGATAAATATGAAAGAAGATCTTTAAGGATCTTGATACATGTTGTTAATTTTTTAAGATACTTCATATTTAGCTGTTTTTTTTTCCCACCAGTGTGGGAATGCTTATATCATGCAACCTTGTCATAATTTATTATTTTTATTTAAAATACATTTTATAATCCAAAGTTATTTCTAATTGCTTTTTGAATGCACATTTTATTATTCATGGAAATATTTTTGTGTTTTCTATTAACAACTTTTTAATTCTCATCCTTTACTGTATATCAAATCATAGTTTTAACATGCTTCTTACCAAATTGAAAGAATTTTAAACATGAATAATATTAAGGTATGCTACATTTGGCATATTAATATATTAATGTCTTATATTTGCAACAAATGTTATTTTTATTATTTTGTTCATTTTTCTGAATGTAAGAGTAAATTATATTTACTCCAAAACATTAAACACATAAAAATCCATAATTCTACAAACACAAAAAATTGTTAATATTTTATGTATATCCATAATTATATGTACCTTAATCTATAAATATGTTTTTATTACTAGAAATATATTGCTGTAATTATATATAATTATTTTCATTGAAGCTTTATTTTATTAATGATTTTCCATAGAAGTATTTTAATGGCTGTCAAATACTCTAAAATATGGAACAGTTTCATTATTTCACCAATCTCATATTTTTGAAAGCTTAATGGTTTCCACGAATATCATATTGAAAAAAATACCTTGGTGGCTACATTTTTTGTGTTCTTTCTTTGCTTTTTCCTTAGGATTCACTTCCATAAGTAAAATTTTGGCTCAAAGAATATATAATCTAGCAAAGTTATTGACTCAATATCACTATTTTTGCTTTAAGGAAATTGCAAGTATTTATATATACTCACCAGCACTCTGAGATACTCTGCTTTATGATTACTATTATATATGTGTATACACATATACACTTATATACACACATGTATAGACACATTTGCATGCATGTGCACACACACACGTGCTTATGCACATACACATATATGCAAAACAGTGGCAGTTAGATTAAAAAGCTTAGACATTTATTGTTTAAAATATTACATCATTCTTTTTTTAGATTGAGTCTTGCTGTCTCGCCCAGGCTAGAGTGCAGTGGCACGATCTCAGCTCACTGCAAACTGCACCTCCCAGGTTCAAGTGATTCTCCTGCCTCGGCCTCCCGAGTAGCTGGGATTATAGACACGCGCCACCATGCCCGGCTAATTTTTGTATTTTTGTATAGACAGGATTTTGCCATGTTGGCCAGGCTGGTCATGATCTCCTGACCACAAGCGATCTGCCTAACTCGGCCTCCCAAAGTGCTGGCATTACAGGCATGAGCCACCGCGCCCGTTCTTACATCATTCTTATAGTGGAGATCATACATTTGTTTACATTTCTATTGCCTTATTTTTTATGAATTGCACATTTTATAATGTAACTATTTTCTCTGATATAATTACAGTAAGTTCAAATACTTCTTTTTTTTTCTTTTTTTTTTGAGGTGGAGTCTCACTGTGTTGCCCATGCTGCTGGAGTGCAGTGGCACGATCTCAGCTCACTGCAACCTCTGCCGCCCAGGTTCAAGCGATTCTCCTGCCTCAGCCTCCCGAGTAGCTGGGATTACAGGCGCCTGCCATCGCGCCTGGCTAATTTTTGTACTTTTAGTAGAGACAGGGTTTCACCACGTTGGCCAGTCTGGTCTTGAGCTCCTGACCTCGTGATCCACCCGCCTTGGCCTCTCAAAGTGCTGGGATTACAGGCGTGAGCCAATGCACCAGGCCATCAAATACTTCTTAATATTATAAGGGGATCAACTCTTTCCCTGCCTTATAAAATATAATTTTCCCATGGTTTGACTTCTTTTGGTAATTTTGTATTTTTATATATCAAATTAGTTAATTTTTTTTCTGTAGTTGAAGGTTTTAAAAGGTATTTCCTGAGATTAAGTTCTAACAATGACTTACACTTTATTTTACTTTATTTGTGCTGTAAATTTACTCTATTATTTCACAACAATATTTAAGATATTAATTGAGGATTTTCTGTTGTTTAAAAGCTTAATAGAAATTTAATTTATAGAGAGCATGTGTACATAATTGTGTCAACCATAAGCAGATAGCATGATGAGCTGTCACATATTTAACACCTGAGCAGCCAGCATTGACATCAAGAAAGGAATTGT
The DNA here is from genome assembly GCF_000001405.40 of Homo sapiens. Lineage (NCBI taxonomy): Eukaryota > Metazoa > Chordata > Mammalia > Primates > Hominidae > Homo > Homo sapiens. The sequence goes on along the minus strand of NC_000007.14, from coordinate 52,046,368 downwards.
GATCAAACACTGGAAGCCCCACGTGTCTCTCTCCAATGATTTCTCACCCCTCCCAAAATGGCAGCCACCATCCTCATGTGGTGGCTTACCATCATAAGGTAAGTTTGCTTCTTTTTAAAATTCGTGATAATGGCGTCATACAGTATGTTTCCGGCCAGAATTCTCTGGATTCTTTTGCTCAATATCATATTTGTGATAATCCTTTTCAACCATGTTGACATGAATACTCAGGTTTGTTTGCAATTTTGGGCAATAAAAAACAGTTTTGCAGGAACATCCTAGTATGTCTTTGGATGAACACAAGCTGGAATTCTGTGGGATATATAACTAAGGATTGAATTTCTGTCACATACAGCAGGCTTATGTTTAGCTTTACTAGATAATATTGGACAATTTATCAAAGTGCATGTATCAAATTATAACCCCTCCAGCAACATATGAGCACCCCAGTTGTTCCACATCTTTTCTGGTAAGTGCTTGTTTTTTCCTTTGTCTGTTTCATTTGCATGTTGGTGTGTTTTAGGACTATTGCGTTATGATTTCAATACATACTTTCTAGTTAACTAGTGAAGTTGAGCACCATCACAATGCACATATTGGTGACTGGGATACCCTCCTCTATGAAATAACTTTTTTGGTCTCTTTTTCCACTTTTTTTTTCCTTGTTTTGTTAATTTTTTTTTTTTTACTTTACATTGTGGGATACATGTGCAGAATGTGCAGGTTTATACATGCGCCATGGTGGTTTGCTGCACCTATCAACCCGTCATCTACTTTTTAAGCCCCACATGCATTAGGTATTTGTCCTAATGCTCTCCCTCTCCTTTTCCCCGACCCTCAGACACGCCCCAGTATGTGATGTTCCTTCCCTGTGTTCATATGTTCTCATTGTTCAACTCCCACTTATGAATGAGAGCATGTGATATTTGGTCTTCTATTCCTGCGTTAGTTTGCTGAGGATGACGGTTTCCAGTTTCATCCATGTCCCTGCAAAGGGCCTGAACTCGTTCTTTTTTATGGCTGCATAGTATTCCATGGTGTATATGTGCCACATTTTGTTTATCCAGTCTATCATTGGTGGACATTTGGGTTGGTTCCAAGTCTTGTGCATTTGTCTTTATAGTAGAATGATTTATAATTTTTTGCAACCCCATCAAAAAGGGGGCGAAGGATATGAACAGACACTTTTCAAAAGAAGTCATTTATGCGGCCAACAAACATATGAAAAAAAAGCTCATCATCACTGGTCATTAGAGAAATGCAAATCAAAACCACAATGAGATACCATCTCACTCCAGTTAGAATGATGATCATTAAAAAGTCAGGAAACAACAGATGCAGGCAAGAATGTAGAGAAATAGGAACACTTTTATACTGTTGGTAGGAGTGTAAATTAGTTTAACCATTGTAGAAGACAGTGTGGTGATTCCTCAAGGATGTAGAACTAGAAATACCATTTTCCCACTTTTTAAATTGGGCTAATGGACTTTTTTTTTATTGATTTGTAGCCATACTTTCTATACCTCATATATTTTGGATACTAGTACATTTCAGGTATATGTATTACAAATATCTTATCTTGCTCTGTTTCATACTCTTTTAGTGGTGTGTATTATCCAAAGGGTTGAACTGTCAAAAAAGATTCATACAGATCAGACATCTCACCTAACAAAAATTGCTTAATGGTTTCCTGGATTCAAGTAAAAAGCACATGCAGCTGTAGCAACCCTCTCTAACAGAGGCTCACCACCTTTTCCTAATCGCCCCTTTTATTTTTAAAGGCACATTTTATTGTGCATTTTTATAGAACCAAAGAACTAGTTCTGGTTATTCTAACAAAAGACTAATAATATGTGTGGTGCACACCAGCTCAGAGGAGGAAGGAGACAGGAGAGTTGAGATGAGTACATCCACCCACATGTAATTCTTAGATCCACAAATTCAGGTTTATTTACAACACTCTAGACCGAGAAGTATATCTTGCTAAAATAGTTTGGGTTAAGAGTCCCACGGGTTATCCTGCTGCTAACAAATAACAGTTGTCTTGTTTATAAAGAGATCTGAGGGAAGTCAACACTGCCTCAGGTATCCTCATGGGGATAGTAAGGGCTTGAGGGGTCTGCCCTTACCTTTTTCATCCCCGCCAGGTGTCTTTTGCTGAACAGAAGTTCTTAATTTTAAGGCAATCCAACTTATTATTTTCTTTCGATCAACGTATTTGTGTTCTTGTTTCAGAAATATTTTGCTACCACAAGTTCAGGAAAATGTTCTTCTATGTTTTCTTATTATAGTCATATTATTTTACAAGGCACAATACACCTAAAATTGGTTTTTGTTTATATTGTGAGCTAAGGGTTAAGGTTCATTTTTTCATATTCAATAAACTCAACTTTCAATGAAAATATCTTCTTTCCCCACTTACTGTAACTTCAGGGATGCCTTTGTCATAATTACAGTATATGAATGTTCTTTTCTTTTTTACTGCTGTGGGTTTATGTTTGCAACAAAGCTAAATTATCCTAATTACTGTAGTCTAGTAACAAGTCCTGATATCTGCTAGTGTAAACTCTCTGTCTTTGTTTTTTTTTTTTTCCTAAGTTTCCTTGGCTATCTTGAGAATTAGAAACTCCATGTACATTTTACAATTCACACACACACACACACACACACACACACACACACAGATTTTTTTTGGAACTGTGTTGAATCTTTAAATCCATCTGGGTAAAATTGACATTTTTGCAATACTAAGTTTTCCGAAGTATAATCATGGTATATGTTGTTCTTTTTATATTCCCCACTATTGTGTTGTGTGTTGTTTTTATTTGTCATTTTTATTATAGAGGACTTTCACATATTTTATCAGATTTGTCCTTAGATATTTGATCTTTTCAATGCTATTTTAAATGGTGTTATATTTTCAGCTTCATTTCTATTTAATGGTAATGAGAATATAAAAATAAAATTGATTTTGGCACATTGACTTTAAATCCAGCTATCTTGCTAAATTTACTCAAATCTAATATGTATACATATTCATCAGATTCTATATGTTCACAATCATGTCATACACTAATAATTTTGCTTTCCTATGCAAAGATTGTCATTTGTTTACTTTAACCCTTTGTGGTCACTAAAACATCTAGTGCAATGTTTTATGTAAGTGGTGATGGTTCCTCTGTTAGGTAAAATTTGCCTTGGATCTCTTATATTCCTATACATCTTGTAAGTAAGCCCCTTTGTTTTAGACTAGGTATTCACGTATATTTAAATAGCAAACAGCCATAAAATCTAGAGATCCTATTGCTCCAGAGGTGCGTTTGCTCTCTAGTCTAATAAAGATAATGCCTCCCTCCAAGGCAAGGGGTAGGTTTGCTTTCAACCCCTGCAAAATATTCAAGTTCCCTAACCTTAGGGCTACTCAGCTCTGATCTACACCCGCATCATGCACAGCATCAACCTGGGCTGCTGCGTCATCCTATGGGACTTAGAGGACAAAGGGAATGAATACATCCTAGATGCTCACAGTGCTTGCCATGCTGAGAGAATCTGTCCTTGTCTGACACTCTTGTTTGTTCCTTTTCTGTTAGTATCCATGAAAGAGCAAAACACTTCCGTGAGCTTTTTAATTAGGGTAGTATCTCAAACTCTTCACAGTTTTTGACACTTGCTTCCAGATTTCCTTTTTAACCCCTGGGTTATTTGTTTGTTCCTGAGTTCCCGAGTGTTTGGAAATTTTCCTAACCTCAAAATAATTGATGTCTAATTCAGTTCTATTGTGATTAGAAAACAATCTGTATGATCTCAGTTATTTTAAATTTGTTGAAGTTTGTTTTATGGCTCACAATATAGTGTAACTTGGCTTATGTTTTGTGAACTCTTGAAAAGAATGTATTTTACTGTTATTGGGTGGAGTGTTTTGTAAGTGTCAATTAGATACGCTTGTTGAGATAATGTCATTGAGTTCTTATGCATACTTGGTAATTTCTTTCCAGTTGTTTTATCAACAACTGGGGGAAAGTTGTCAAAGTTTTCAAAAATAATTGTGGATTTGTCGTTTCTCCTTGCAGTTTTATCAGGTTTTGCTTTGTGTGTTTTAAGCCCTGTTCTTAGTCACATGTACATTTAGGATTACTAAGACTTCCAGATGAATTGAATATTTATATAATTTTTATATAATTTGATCCCTGTTTATATATTTTTGTATATATAATATCTCTCTCTGCTTATGGTAATTTTATTTGTTTTGGATATATCTGCTGTACTTGATATCATGTTACCCTTGCTCTATTTTGGTTAATGTTTGCATAATACACCTTTCCATCGTTTTACTTTCAGTCTGCATATAGCATTGTATTTGAGGTGAATTTCTTATAGATAGCACATAGTTAGGTCATGATTTATAATCCAGTGCAATTAATGTCTTTCAATTGGTACATTTAGGCCATTTATATTTTATAATCTTTGTTATCATAATATCAGTAATCACTGATAGATAAGGGCTTATGTCTGCCGTTTACTTCTTTGTTTTCTGTTTTTCCTATCTGCTTTTTATTTTTTTTCTGCTTTTATGCTCCTTAGTTAGTTGCTTAAAACCTTTTTTAGAATTTAATTTTGATTTATCAATAGTGTTTCTCAGCATACCTCTTTATGCAGGTTTTTTAGTGATGGCTCTAGGTATTTCATTATACACACATAACTTACCGCAGTCTACATGTGTTAAAACTTTAATTTTTTTAAAAAATAATATTTTTATAGAGATAAGGATCTCATTATGTTGCCCAGGCTGGTCTCAAACCCCTGGCCTCAAGTGATCCTCCTACCTCAACCTCCCAAAGGATACTTTATAAATTTGAGTGAATACAGAAATCATCCCTCCTTTTGTGCCACCTTAGCTTCCCCAGTTTACAATGGAATTGTCTCATATTTTTACACATATATTATCTGGTATATTTCATATATCAGAGGTATAACTTTTGCTGCAATATCACACATTATTTAGAAAACTCAAGAGGAAAAGGAGAGAGTCTATTAGATTAGTTTATCCAACCACATTCTTTCTTTGTCCAGATGTTCTAGGGTTACTTGTTTTATCATTTTCTTTCTGTTTAGAGAACTTCCCTTAGCTATTCTCGTAGAGTAAGTCTGCTGGTGACAAATTCTTTTATCCACTTTTTACCTGAGTATGTCTTGGTTTTTCCCTTCATTTCTGAAGGCTATTTTCAGTGGATATAAGATACTGAGTTGACCAAGCTTTTCTCTCAACACTTGAAAAATGTTGTGCAACTTCCCTCTGGCTTCTGTGGTTTCTAATGGGAACTCTGCTGTCATTCTAATTATTTGTTATTCACAGGTATGGTGTTGTTTTTCTCTCTCTCACTGCTCTCAAAAAAAATTTTTTTGTCTTTAGTTTCCAGAAGTTTAAATATCATTTTGTAGTTTTCCTTGCTTCTTGAATTATGTCTTTTACCAAATTTTGAAAAATTTCAGCCACTACTTTTCTAAGTACTTTTTCAGCTCCACACTCTTTCTTTTCTCCTTTCTTCACTAGGATGCAACAAATGTTAAATATGTTTTATAGTTATGTAGGTTCTTGAGGCTCTGTTCATCATTTTATTCCAGTCTGTTTTCTCTCTGCCATCCTGACTGGATTTTTTCTATTGTTTTATTTTCAGGTTTACAGATTCTTTCCTTTGCATCTAAATTTTGTTTTGAGTTTATCTATACATTTTTATTTATTATATTTTTCAGTTCTAAAGGTTCTGATGGGTTCTTCTTTATAGTTTTTTGTTGTTGTTGTTGAGCTTTCTGTCTTAGCCGATGCTGTCCATTTTTCTCATTTATTACAAGCATGTTTGTATTAATTTGTTGAAGCATTTTATAATGGCTAATATAAAATGTTAGAAATATCTGACATAATTCTAACATCTCTGTCAACTCAGTTGGCATTTATTGATCATCTTTTCTTCACTTAACTTTTTATCTTCCTGTTTCTCAGTATGATGAATTTTTTTTTAAATTAAAACCTGGGGATTGGGATATTATGGTAGGTGATTCTGGACCTTGTTTAAACCATCGGTTTTAGCTGGCTTCCTCTGATACCACTCCACCAGGGGAATGAGGAGGGATGCCACTTCATTACTGTCCGAGGTAGTGAGTGCATCACAATGGTTTCCTTTTGGCCTCTACTGACATCAAAGTGGAGGTATCATTTCTACCGGGCAGTGGTTAAAATCTGACTCTTTACCTTATAGACTCCTCTGACATCACCCTAGGAAAAAAGAACTGTATTACCATGCCCATTTAAGATAGCAAAGGCTTACAGGGGATCCCATAATTCTATCCTTGCCAGATCATAACAATCTGGCAATTACTTATATTTGGGCATGTTTATTATTGTCATTATGTTTTTGTTTTCTATCTGACTTCCTGCTTTTTTTCCCTCTGTCTGTGCCCTTTCTATGGTTAATCAAGTATGTCGTGTAATTGAATTTTCTCTCTCTTATGTTGCTAGTTCTACATTATTTTGTTTTAAGGTATACTTTAGAGATCAGACAATTCACTCTTGACATGTTATAGGCTAATAAAAATATTTTTTCTATGTCACTTAAACAAATATCTTTATTTAACTTTTACTTTTGTTTTTTTTTTTTTTTTTTTTTTTGAGACGGAGTTTCGCTCTGTCGCCCAGGCTGGAGCGCAGTGGCGCGATCTCGACTCACTGCAAGCTCCGCCTCCCGGGTTCACGCCATTCTCCTGCCTCAGCCTCCCGAGTAGCTGGGACTACAGGCGCGCGCCACCATGCCCGGCTAATTTTTGTATTTTTAGTAGAGACGGGGTTTCACCGTGTCAGCCAGGATGGTCTCGATCTCCTGACCTCGTGATCCTCCCATCTCGGCCTCCCAAAGTGCTGGGATTACAGGCGTGAGCCACCGCGCCCGGCCAACTTTTACTTTTCAAATATTTTTTCTGGGTGTAGAATTATGGGTTGGCAGATAAATTCTTTCAATCCTTTGAAGATGTCATTCCATTGCCTTTGGCTTTAGTTTTGTTGTCTTTTTTCTTGGTAAGAAATATAGCATAGGATTTCCTTCCATTATAGGTGGTGTGCCTTTATTTCTCTGGTTGTTTTCATGATTTTCTTTTTGTCTTTTATTTTTCACCAATATTACTATGATGTGTCCAAGGTAATTTTCTATGTAATTATCTTGTTTGGTATGAAGAGATTCTTTTTCTCATAGTTAAATGTCTTCCAAGATTTTTGTGAAATTCTCAATTATTACCATTTTGAATATTATTCTGCTTCATTTTTTCTCATTTCCATCTAGGTCTCCAATTAAGTTGACTTTAGAAATTTCTTATAAATTCTACATAGTTCTAATTGTCTTTTCTGTATATTCTATTTTTAGTAATTCACTTCAGTTGGACTATTTTTTATGGAACATTTATACCACTTCACACAAACTGCCTTTTAGTGTATTCCGCATTCTATCAAAATAATCTAATGATTCTTTAATTTAAAATACATTATCAGTCTTAGAATTTTCATTTGATCATTTCAATTATATAGATTTCCCCATTACCCATAAAATTCTCCATTTAATCTATTTTTCACAGATTTTTTGCCTGTTTTTCTTGAATCTATTAATCATAGTTTCTATTAAAATTTTTTTTCCCAGTTAAAGCCAATTTCTGGAACACCTGCAAAAGTGTTGCTATTTTTTTTTTCTTTGCTCTTGGGAATAAAGTTTTATCATAGGTTTATGATATTTTTTCATTAAATGCCAGACAAAGCATGTACAAAATAGAGATTGCCCTGATGAAATTATTTTTCTCTAGCAAGGATTCATTCATTCTTCCCTTCCTGGTGAGAAAGAATCACATCTGTTTATCTTGATATAATGAGACTGGGCTAAATCAAGGCAAGGCTGTCACCCTAATGTGTCTACTCTTGCCCTGTGGAGTTTTTAGCCAACTGACTATCCCCCTTTCCTTCACTGTCATGACTTAATCACTATTTTCAGTCTCACCCTCAAAGATCTCTGATCTTCTTTCCAGTAGCTTTCTGTTTAAGTTATTAATCTCAAACTCCATGCAGTTTCGGTACTCAGCAAATGTCCTGGAGAGGAAGTGAACTTGCCAAATATTTCAAGCCTCCCCTCCCCATTGGTGGTCTCAACTCGTGCAGTTTTATTCTTGCTAAGCATTAACAAATGCCCACATGCAAAATGAGCTGTCAAAGGCCCACTCACATTCAGAGGTGCTTGAGTCTAGATTCCAAGGCCCTGGAGCTCTCATTGCTTTAGCAATTCTTCACTGACTTCATACACATCATTTCTCTATTTAACTTGCTCTACTAATTTTGTTAAGCATGAATATTTGCCTCCTAATAGATAGTCTAACCAATTTGAAGGTAAAGTTCATGGTTTAAATGTAAACCTATTAGTCGGGTCAAATGTATCTGGGTATATGGTAGGCATTCTTTTCTTTTCCAAAGAGTTAACTAATTAATCTCTACAATATCATTTACTAAATAATGATTTTCCTATTGATGTGAAGTATATTATTTTTTACATTAAAATTAAACATAAAGTTGCAATGGTTTCTATCAATATATACCTTCTTCAGCGCCACACTTAAAACTGTGACACATTAAAATATGTATATATATTTGACTGGCAAATCTCCATTATTACTTTCAGTTTTTATCATTTTTGTGGGTAGTCTCATGTAGGTATTATTTTAGGTAAATAAATATTGAACCTAGTGATTTTTTTTTTTAAATCCAAGAAGAAACCAATGCTGGAGTTTTGAATGAAACAATAAAATTAAAGCTCTTTTGTAGTGAATCAATATTTTTACTACCTTAAAACTTCTTATTCAAGGAATGGTACATATCTCTCTATAATTTTTTATAATTTTTACAATGTGGTTTTACTTATTTCTATATATGTTTATGAACTGATAGTGTATAATGAATGTTGTGAGTGAGATGATTCTTTGAGAATAATTTACAATGACATATCTGAAGTAGCTGTTTTATTGGTTCTGTCATGGGGTATGTTATGAAACTCTTACATTCTAACTAATACATTTTTTTCTTTTAAGTGTAAAAACCATCATGTACAACTCAACAATTTATTGAAACATAAACTCTGCCTGAATAAAGAAATAGGACATCACCAGCACTCTCAAGACTATCCTCTCCCTCACCTAAAGGTAATCACTATTCTAATATTTGTGGTTAGTACCCTCTTGCATTTTTATTGTATTATCACCTAACCGTACATATAGAAGTATCCTAGTTTTGGTTAATTTTGTATACTCATAATGTTATTTTTTGACCCTCCTCTTTGGTCAAAATTCCATTTGAGATCCATTTATGCTGTTTTTGATAGCTGCAGCTTGTGAATATTTTCTGTTATCTAGAATATCATTGTATTTGTAGATTATTTATTCACTCTCTTGCTAATGGATATTTTTATTATTTCCATTTTTGGTGGTTATATGAATAATGCTGCATTGAATATTTCTGTACATATTCCTTAGGAGTGTGCCTTGCCCTTGGGTAAAAACCTAGATGGGAAAATTTGGGGACATTATTTTAATATTTAATACATAATATTAAACTTTTCCCAAAGTGACATTATTGATTTATATGCACACCAGTATAGGAGATGTCCTATTAATCCACGTTTTGACAAATATTTTTAAAATTTTAGTTATGTAGGTGACTGCAGTGATATCACATTGATATTTTCATAGGAATTTCCCTCATTAGAAAGATGCTTGGGTGTATTTTCTTGTGTTGTCACCATTTAGATGCCCAATTTGGAAATTTTGGTCCAGGCGTGTCCCTGACTATTCTGTCTGACCTGTGACTTTTCTTCTTAATTTGTAGAAGTTTTCTCTACATATTATTAGTATGACTCTTTTTTAGATTATGTGTTGCAACTATTTTAAAACACCTTGCAGTTTCCCTTTTTATAATCTATATGGTGTCCCTAAGATCTGAAGTGATATCTTGTTTATTTGCCTCCATCTCTTTTTGTCTCCTGGTTAGTTTATTTTTATATCAATTTTATTGATCTTTCCAAGAAACTAGTTTCGGTTTCAATGCTTTCTTTTTTTTTCATTTTTTTAGCTTTCTATATTATTAATTTTTGTACTTATTTCATTTTTGTTTATTTATATTTTCTACTTTCCTTATGTACAAATTTAAGTAATTGATTGGAGACTTTTCATCTTCCTAATACAAAAATTTGACCGGTCACAGTGGCTCACGCCTGTAATCCAGCACTTTGGGGGGCCAAGGCGGGCAGATCACCTGAGGTCAAGAGTTTGAGACCAGCCTGGCCAACATGGTGAAACCCTGCCTCTACTAAAAATACAAAAATTAGCCCAGCATGGTGGCGCATGCCTGTAATCCCAGCTACTTGGCAGGCTGAGGCAGGAGAATCATTTGAACCTGGGAAGCAGAGGTTGCAGTGAGACGAGATTGCACCATTGCTCTCCAGCCTGGGCAACAGAGTGAGACTTCATCTAAAAAAAAAAAAAAAGATAAAAATTTAATGCTATTCTAAGCAGTACTTTAAGTGCATTTCACAAATTTTAATATATTATTCTTTTCTTTATTTAAAATATTAAAGTAACTTTTATAATTTTTTAACCCATAGGTTATTTTAAACGGTGCTTATAAATATCCTAATATTTAGGGGATTTCCCAAATAGCTTTCGGTTATTGATTCCTTATGTATTTTCCTGCAGTTCAAAAACATACTTTATATGATTTTAAGTCTCACATATTTATTGAGAATTATTCCATGGTGAGAATATGGTCTATGTATTATTAAGTGTTCTCCAGAGAAACAGAACCAACAGGATATCTAATGATGTAGAAGAAAAGATCTGTTATGGACATTAGCTCACATGATTGTGGAGGCCGAGAGTCCCATAATCTGCCATCTGCAGGCAGGAGGGCCAGGAAAGCTATTGGTGCAACTCAGCCTGTGTCAAAAGGCCAAAAGCCTGAGACCCTTAGAATGGAGGTGGAGGTGGAATGCGGGCAGATGTGAGGGAGTTGACAGCCACTGGTATAAGTCCCAGAGCCAAAAGGTGGGAAAACCAGGAGCTCTGATGTCTGAGGGCAGGAGAAGATGGATGCCCCAGGTCAAGAAGAAGGAGCAATTCAGTTGTCCTCTACCTTTTTGTTCTGTTCTGGCCCATAAGGGACTGGATCAAGCCAGCCCTTCTTGGTGAGAGCCAACTTCTTTACCCAGTCTACTGATTCAAATGCTAATCTCTTCCAAAAATATCCTTACAGACACAGCAAGAAATATTATTTTATCAGCTGTTGGGGCATCCCTAAACCCAATCAAATCAACACATAAAATTAATCACCACAGTCTACCCTTATGAACATTCCAGCTGCACATTCCATGAATGCTTTATTTTCACTTGAAAAGTGCACTTGTATTCCAACACTGTTGGGCAGATTATTATATATAAAAGTCAATTAGGGTAGAGTTGTTAAATTTTTGGTACCCTAAAGTTTTTTCTCCTGGTTCCATCAATTAATATGAGAGGAATGCTGAAATTCCCAGCTATAACTGTAAATTAATCTACATCTCTCTGTTTTCTTGGTTTTGATTCACGCATTTTAAAGTTTTGTTTTTAGGTATATACACATTTATGATCATTAGACTCCTGTTATCATTGTGGAATGTGATTCTTTGTCCTTGCAACTATCCCTTGTCTTGAAGTCTACATTGCCTTATGGAACACAGCTGTTCCTGTTTTCTTAAGATCAGTTTTTGTAGAAGATATCTCTTTTCATCCTTTTCAGTTTAACCCATTTGTATCTTTATATTTAGAAAATGACTCTTGTAGATGGAATAAATATAATTCAATCTTGATTGTTTTAGCCAGTTGGATGATCTGTAATTTAATTTGAGTGGTTAGAAAATTCTAACCATATTTAACGTATCCATCAATATGACTGAGTTTAAAATTTATCTTCATGTTACTTATTCCTTATTTTATCTTTACATATCTCCCTTTAAACTGACATGTACTAAAATGATTCAACTTTACCTCATCTTTGTCTTGTGAAACTTGTGCCTGTTTATGTCATTTGTGTGTGTGTATGTGTATGTGTGTGTTTGTGTGTGTGAGAAAGAGAGAGAGAGAAAGAGAGGGATAGAGAAAGAGACTGCTCTAGGATTCTCGTCCGTCTTTAATGTATCATAATCAAAGATTGAATAATATTATACCACCTCAGAATAGTGTGAGAGCCACCACAGTGTACTTTCACCTCCCTCCCTTTATCCCTTGGACTACTCCTATCACATAAGAATGTCTATACACGTTGGGAATAGACCCCCAAATCTGGCCATAAACTGGCCCCAAAACTGGCCGTAAACAAAATCTGTGCAGCACTGTGACATGTTTGTGATGGCCATGATGCCCACGCTGGGTTTACCAGAACGAGGGCAAGGAACACCTGGCCCACCCAGGGTGCAACACCCTTAAAGGTGTTCTTAAACCACTAACAACAGCATGAGTAATCTGTGACTTAAGGGCTTGCTCCTGCTGCAGATAACTAGCCAGAGCCATCCCTTTATTTTGGCCCAACCCTTTGTTTCCCATAAGGAATACTTTTAGTTAATCTATAATCTATAGAAACAATGCTTATCACTGGCTTGCTGTCAATAAATACATGGGTAAATCTCTGTTCGAGGCTCTCAGTTCTGAAGGGTGTGAGACCCCTGATTTCCCACTTCACACCTCTATATTTCTGTGTGTCTGTCTTTAATTCCTCCAGCACAGCTGGGTTAGGGTCTCCCCGACCGAGCTGGTCTCGGCAGTACATCTCTACATGTATTTCTTATGTATGTACATGTAATAAACAAGTCAAAAGATTGTGGTAATTTTTGCTTCAAGTAGTCAGTTATCTTTAAAAGAGTTTTAAACATGTGAAAATATTTTATATTTATCAATACATTCACCATTTCAAGTACTCTTCATTTATTTTTGTAGATTGAAGTTCCCATCCAGTGCCATTCTTTTTCTTCCTGAAAGGGTTGATATGATATTGTGTATAGTGCTTAGTGCTAGTTTCCTGACAATTAGTTTTCTTTAATTTCATTCATCAGAAGTCTTTATTTTGCCTTTGCTTTTATAGACATTTTTTCTGGGTATATAATTCTAGGGCTTTTCTTCAGAACTTTAAAGATATTTCTCTATTATCTTATTATTTTGTAGTTTTTGATGAGAAATCTATTGCCATTCCTAGTTTTGCTTATGTGTATGTGATAGGACTTTTTTCTCTTTGGATGTTGTTACGATTTTCCTCTTTATCTCTGATTTTCAGTGATGTGATTATTAATACATGCTTTCATGTGGTCCTCTTTATGTTTATTCTGTTTGGGGTTTATTGAAATTTTGGGGATCTTTGAGTTCATCATTTGTATTAGTTTGGAAAATTGTACCCATTATTTTATCAAATATTTGTTATATATTCCTTTTGTTTTCTTCTTGGACTTCGATTTCACATGTTTCAGAGCTTGATATTTTCCACAGGCAATTCACACTCTGCTCATTTTTCTTAATCTAATTACTCCCTATGCTTCATTTTATTATAGTTTCTTTTGTGATGTCTGTTATTTTCTGAACCTTCTCTGGCAATCTCTACTAGATTACTGTTAATCTTATCCAGTATATATTTTTCAGATTATTTTCTCTAGAGGTTATATATGATTTTTTTTTTCTTGAGACAAGGTCTCTCTCTGTCACCTAGGCTGGAGTGCAGTGGTGCATTCACAGCTCCCTGCAGCCTCAACCTCCTGGGATCAAGTGATCCTCTTACCTCTAATAATTTCTAGTACCTATGTATTATCATAATTTTTCATAAATTAGTATCAAGCGCTTCACAAATAATGCAAGACCCTTACAGCAGTACCTGCTCATTTACCACCACTAGGTCTTTGTGCTCTGGGATCAGACATATTACTTCTACATATGTTATAAACTCCATAGTGTGTGGTTCTTAAATTGTCTTTGAGTGGTTAGTTTTCTTGTAGTCTATTTAAGAAATATGAAAATAAGACTGGCCTCATGTTTACAATATTCACTTAGTCTCATGTTTGTAATATTCACTGCTCTCCCTTCACTTATGTACATCCAAATTTTCCTCTGTTATTTTTCTTCAATCTGAAGAAACTTTAAAAATTTTCTATAATAAAAATCCGCTGGTTAAATGCATAAATTGTTGTGTATCTAAAACTTCTCTATTTAATTTTTATTTTTGAAGGAGATGATATTCTCTGTATATGGAGAAATTCTGCTTGTATAGAGTTTTGTTTTCTTACTTCATTTTAAAGATGTTCCTCCACTGTTTTCTCTCTTGCATTGTTTTCAATGTGAAATTAGTGAACCTTTTTTTTTTAATGGTTGCTCCTCTGTGTGTAATTGTTTTGTGTTTCACTGTAGTAAAGTCCAAGCATGGCTTTGGTTGCCTTTATTCCGACTGGGAACTATTCAGCCTTTTAGTCTTGTGCAATATTTTTCTCCAGTGAGGAAAAAAAATTCAACTTTTTTATTTTAATATTTTTCCCTCTAGCCTTTCTTTTCCTCTCTCCTCTCCTTCTGGCTATCAAATTGTACATATCTTTGGCACTAATATTGCCCTAAGATCACCACTAGCTTGTTCATTGTTTCACTGTTTTTTCCACATGGTCATGTTTACTAATCTTCTTATCTATAGTTTCCAATATGTTGTTAATCCCACTGGATGAATTTTTCACATATTCTATTTTTCAGTTCTGCAGTTTCAATGTTGTTTTTTGTAGTTTTACTTTCTCTATTGACAACCTACTCTTTTTACTCATTATGTCCAAATAATGCTTTATTTCCCTAGGTACGAATGTAGTATATACTTAAAAATAATTCTGTACTAATTTCAATAGCTCTGTCATTTCTCGGTCTCTTTCTATTGCTGTTTTCCTGGCTATATAATGTATTGGCTTCATATTTTTGGTACAATGTTTTAAAGAATTGAGTTTTTTGTTATGTACCTTTAAAAGCTATTGGTTGTTTTGTTTTTCTTTTTTTCCTTAGACGGTAGTTAAATTCTGCTAGCCTTTTTGAGACTGTTTTTAGGCTTTGGCAGCAGAGGTTTAAAGAGGGAATTACTCAGTTTAATACCCAGATGCCTTCCCTGTGTCCAGTGTCTGCTCTGGGTATTTGAAGCTTCTCTCTTGCTCCACAGTTTCCTGTCTTCAATATTTTCATCCATCTTACGGATCCCCAGTGGCTGTACTCTTCCAAATTAAAACACATTCTTTTTCCTGTGCAACCAAATACACAGCCAGAAACTTTAGGGTGACGGAAAGCCTGGAACTCTCTTGCTGGGTAGCTCTTTCTTCATGGCTCATCCGCACAAATACCAGCTGCCTCAGCCTCGCAGGCCTCTCAGCTCCACCTCCTCATCCCCATGGGATTGTTTCACTCTGCTTAGCACTGACTCTTTTCCTGCAGTCCACCTGCAGGCAAAAGCCACCTAGATATCTTGCTTGTTTCCCATTTGTCAGGGATCACACTACTCAATATCTGAAAAGAATTGCAGTGTATAATCTTCCCAGGTGCATATGTGTTGAAGACAGATGGATGGTTAGTCTGGTGACAGATACTCCATTATGGCCAGAATCAGATATATTACTCATTAGTTTTTAATAGCAATCTTACTTACGTTGGGCTCTAAAAACAAAATATGAAGGGATGATCCCTTTTCTTCTATTCTGTGGAAGAACTAAGGTAATATTACTATTATTTCATGGAAAGATTTAATAGGATTCATTGTTGAAACAAGTTTGAAATTTTCTCTTAGTTACTTTCATAATACAAAATTCAATATATTTAATAGTTGAAAGACTTGTTAAGTCTTTTTTTAGTAAAAAAAAATTACGGGAGCTCTAAAAAATGGTTTTCTATGAAAGAAAAAATGTTTAACTTCAAACTTCCACAAATCCTAATAGCCACTGCTTCAAAGTATATTATATTGTAAGGTAAATATTCTGCTTTCAGACAAGTTATCATTTGTCTGTGGAAACAAGGAGACCCAGACAAACAAGGACTAAATAAGTATAATACCCACGTATTCTTTCTAAAAAAGTACTTGAAATATTTCAGCAGCTTGAGAGATGGATGAACCTTCCAAGTGAGTGTTTTTATAAAAAGGAGATAAAGAATGAATACAGGCAAAACTTTAACAAAATTGTACATTAACAAGCAAGCTACATGCAAGGTTAAAAAAAGAATTATAAAATGACATGATAGGAGCATATTTATCCTCATATATTATTTTATAATTATTGCATATAGATCAAAGATTTAATCTTACATTAAATATAAATGTTGATGGGGCATATTTAAAACAATGTGGTATTAAACCACAGACATAGGCAACAACTCTTCCAGTTGCAAATGACATAAAGTCAACTCAGACCAACTGAAGTAAAAAGGCACTTCATGTTAAACACAGTTGATGGGAGGCTGTTGGCTTGGACCAGCCACCAGCATTAGGCCCCAGCAGACCAGACCAAACCAGAATGGAGGGACTTGTGCTATGCACGATGTAATCAAACTAAACTGTGAAATAGGCCAGTTTTCTCAAAAACAAAATTCCAGTCAACCTGAGCCAGCACAATAAGGAAGTCCCTTCCATTTAACCCTGTAAGAAAATAATTTTGAAACAACCAGTCCGCCTCTTGTTCTCTGTGTCTGCTTTCCTTAGCCCTTTTCTGTCCGTAAAGCCAGACTTCCCTGGCTCAGCTCATTGGAACACTCATGCCATTTAATAGAATGTATACAATTTACAAAGCTAACTGCCTAATGATAGACATTGGATATTTCTGTTTGTGTGGGTGTGGATGGATGGTGGGGGGGTGTGTAGGTGTCAGGGAGCATAAGAAGGATGAAGAGAGAGATCCCCGTGCATTTAAATTTAGGTCTAAAACAATGTCAAAAGCAGAATATATCAAAGTACAGCCTAAAGCTTCTGAAATGTTTAACTCTTTGGCCTTTTTGTTAAGCCCAAATATCTTCTGTAACAACAAAAAAGTTGAAAAATCTGGACCATTTGACTTCAGAAAGAAAATGTGAGGCTTTGTAAATATTGTCATTTTGAAAATATGAGACTTTTTTTCTCCCTCATGTTGGATGTCATAGTTTTTAGGAGTTTTACCCAACTGGCATGAACCTAAACCAGGAAGGAGACACAGGATGTTAAGCAGTAAGGTTGGGTTATGCTAAAGAGTGGGTTATGAAGGTAAATAGCAAAAAAATGCTGAAATGATGGGTTGTCAGCCTAGGTTAGGAGTACTTCATGATAGACTTGCAATGCTTGATTAAATAAATTTAACTTCTATTTTAGTTAGTGAAGAACAAAGAGGACAATAGCATTTCCAAATCTCTTCTTTAGGCAGTGAATGGTTGAAATAAGTCAAGTCTGGTTTAAAGTATTACATGTAGACATAAGGGTAGAAGCTTTTATTATTTAGGTTTAAGGTACACTGCTCTCCAGTTTTTCTTTGCAGGGAAATATTTCAATGTCTTGTTTCCCTCACTTCTGTACAATCAATTCTGGAATATTCAGCCAAATTCTAAAAGTAAAAATGTCTGTAAATGTAGCCTATGTTCTAAATCTCAACTTCAGGTAGAAGATAGCTTTCTTTTACAACTTTCAGGACATGTATCTCATAGTGCTATATATCCTCTTGATCCTGCAGATACAGAGGACATTTTATATTTCTTGCAAGTAAATTGTAAATACATAGTACAGACTAACAGTATACCTTGAAGCTGTGACTCTTAGTTAAATGACCCTGTATAACAACATTAACTTAAATGTCTTATAAATTAAAACTGTTTCTTTTTTGTTGGCTTTATAGCAGGGTTACTATAAACAATTTCTATGCAGACCTTGAGCTTTGTGGCTGATTTATACTTATTGTGCTTTATGCACTGTGACTCCTCTATATGTTACATTCTCACTTCTTAGGAAACTCACTTTACTGCAAGACTTCTGTTTGCTATTGCACATATGTACTATAAAATAGAAAAAAGCTCTTTTAGATGTTGGCCAGTAATTTTTTTTACTTGACTTCTAAGAAATAAAATCACCTTACGATTGAGCTGGTGCTGTAGTTTACATGTTTGGCTTAAAGCTGTGAGAAGTGGAGAAAAGCTGCAGGCACTAATTATGCCTAGTACAATCATTCCTCCTCCTTTTTGTCTATTTGTAAAATCTATTACAAAAATCACCTTTTCCTATTTATATGTTAAAATTATCTTGAGTATATCTTAGTATGAACATCTTGTATCAAATAAGAATGTTCTATCCATTAAACAAATTGAACAAGATGAGAAACTGAATAATAAGCATGTTTGGATACTTAGGGCAATAAACTCTGAGTTTAGATACTTTTCAGAAGAGAAAGAGCCACTGCACAGACAAAATATATTTGTTCCTCCATGGACAAAGCATATATCTGAACTTTAGCTGGCTCTACCCGCCCCACGGAGGTGATGAGACAGGTTCATGAGTCAACAGGATCTGTTTATTGAAAAAGGCTGATAGAAAAATCTTCAGTGATAAAGTTCAAGGGAACAGATTCAGAAGAAACAGACAGAAATAACAAAACAAGTATTTTGCCTCAATATATGGATTTTTAAAATAAGAACTACTTAACCATTTTTTTACATATTGAAGTAAATTTTCTGTCATTTTTTTTTTTTTTTTTTTTTTTTTTTGAGACGGAGTCTCGCTCTGTCGCCCAGGCTGGAGTGCAGTGGCGCGATCTCGGCTCACTGCAAGCTCCGCCTCCCGGGTTCACGCCATTCTCCTGCCTCAGCCTCCCGAGTAGCTGGGACTACAGGCGCCCGCTACCACGCCCGGCTAATTTTTTGTAATTTTAGTAGAGACGGGGTTTCACCGTGTTAGCCAGGATGGTCTCGATCTCCTGACCTCGTGATCCGCCCGCCTCGGCCTCCCAAAGTGCTGGGATTACAGGCGTGAGCCACCGCGCCCGGCCTGTCATTTTTTAGTCTTCAAGACAATTTGTCAAATATTGTAGAATGAGTTTCTGATACAGAAGAAAAGCAAAGCCTGTCTTTTGTATGAAAAGTATAGAATCAAATCAACCTGAAAGATATGGTTTGTATCACTATATGCTCTTAATTGAATGTTAATTGAATGTTGAATATGTTCTTAATTGAATGTTGTGACCTCATTGTTATGCTGCAGTTCATTTACCCATTCCTGCTAGAATTTATTTTGGTTTTTACAGCCATTTCAAAACTTCATTATTCTCCTTGTACCCAACACTTGGCTTTCATTCATCAGCAGACGACCTTGTCTACTAATTCATTAAGAATACTGAAATTGATAAGTGGGAACCACATAAATTTATCTCTTATGCAATGTGATGATGACTCAATCTTTATCATTAGCATTATTTATTGTAAGAGGCACCTTCTGCTGGCGTTATTAATTATGTTATTATTTCCAAATAGTCTCTGTTTCTGTAGAAAGCCAGGAGTGAATAACTCTGCCCTGGGAACAAGAAACTATTTCCCTGCAGACTAAAGCGCTCCCTAGACTTTAACTTGCCCATTCCCCTTTCAACATATTATGACTATGAGGCAGAGATGTTATATTAATATACCAGAATTATCTTTTTGGCTAGCTTGTTTTTAAAAAATTGTGAGTCTTCTTTAGGAAATTGCTGGAAAGTATAGAGAATGAGGTACTGAACAAAGAATTTACCAGGATGGCTCAAAATCCCATCGCACTAACCTGGTGGTTGTCTAAAAAGCAGACTAGAAGCCAGGCATGCCTCAGACTACCAACAAATAATCTGCCTTGAACAAACTCTAGCTAGGATCGTCAGAGACTGCTCCCCAAGTAGGCCTTGACCTTGGCTTAAAAAGACTTGAACTAGGGCCAGGTGCAGTGGCTCGCGCCTGTAATCCCAACACTTTGGGAGGCCGAAGCGGGCTAATCAGCTGAGGTCAGGAGTTGGAGACTAGCCTGGCCAACGCGGCAAACCCTGTCTCTGCTAAAAATAGAAAAAATTAGCAGGGCGTGGTAGCTGGTGCCTGTAATCCCAGCTACTTGAGAACTGATACAGGAGAATCGCTTGAACCCAGGAGGCGGAGGTTGCAGTGAGCCGAGATCGTGCCACTGTACTCCAGTCTGGGCCTCAGATCGAGACTCTGCCACAGAAAAAAAAAAAAAAAAAGACTTGAAATAACATTGATATAGTTTCTGTGAGCTCAAGGTTGCATCCCTAGAATGACCCCGGTCCCCCCTAAGGTGCCTGCCTGAGAAAACTCGAGGCTGCCCAAAGAAAGCAGTTACTGTTTGCTTCAGCCAACAGCTAAAGATGGGGCCCTTGTTCACTAGTGTGTATGGAAGGGCAGGAGTCTAACTTTGACAAGGACTATTTAGCAAGCCCAGATGGCTTTTATGTGGACAATCTACCCTTCCTGCTTTTTGTAATTTTCACTTTGCTGGCTCTACTGGCCCCCCTTGCCTCCCTCCCCATGCCCTCATTGTCTCTTTAAGCATTCAATCACCTCTGAACAAATTAAAGTTGAGTTCAGTTCATGCTGGGCTTTTTCCTACTGTAATAGTTATTACAGATTAAAATATGTCCTTCCCACTTTAAATTGTGTTAGTCTTCGTTTATCTTTGATGCCAATCTAACAAATTCTTGCTCTGAGGAAGAATGTGGCACAATAGAACTAAAACAATAAGGAAGACTTGTCCAGGGTTTTCCTCTCAGACAGGTTGGTATTCACGTTTATCAGAAGTCCACATCGAACTTGCATCACTTGGATTTGCTGAAAAACATAAAGTAAAGAGTTAAAATTAAAACAAGCATATAGTGTTTCTGATACATTGAAGATAATCATAAATACAGCAGAAAAACTGAAAATAGATATTGAAACATACATTATAATGCAAATTGGCAAAGATAAAATTAACACTTGAATCTTTATTATCAAAATTAATAGTTTACATTTCTCTATGAAAAGATAGAGGATGATTCAGGGAATGAAAAAGTAATAGAAGATGAATAAAAAATATACAGTTGAATGATAAAGAGCCTTAGATTCACCTGTAATAACATATGGCAAAACAAATTTTAGATGGATTGTACAGTTAAATGTTTACAAGATAATTAGGAAGCTATCATATTTTATCAACTCTAATATCTGTGTATTTTAACATTTTTTTTTTGAGACAGAGTCTCACTCTGTCGCCCAGGTTAGAGTGCTGTGGCATGATCTCAGCTCACTGCAGCTTCCGCCTCCTGGGTTCAAGTGATTCTCCTGACTCAGCCTCCCAAGTAACTAGGATTATAGGTGCACACCACCATGCCTGGCTAATTTTTGTATTTTTAGTAGAGACGGGGTTTCACCATGTTGACCAGGCTGCTCTCAAACTCCTAGCCTCAAGTGATCCATCTGCCTTGACCTCCCAAAGTGCTGGGATTACAGGCATGAGCCACTGTGCCTGGCTATTTCAACATTTTAATATCATTGAAATAGTGATTCATCTTTCAGTGAATGGCATGTAATAGTATTATTATTTTTTAGGCGTGCATAAAATAATTGTGTATTTTATAATCAAAATACTTTAATTTTGATGAAGTATGGTATATATAAAAGAAGGTAATTACTTATCTGATTTTGGGTGAGAGGAGGGTTTCTGAGTAATGTGGAAATTACTCTAAAATCATAATAGCTAAGCCAGACTCCATAAGAAAGATTGCACTGGATAAAAATGCAGACTGTAATATTAAAAGTCAAACAACAAAGTGAGAAAAACTTTGCAATGTAAGTGACATATACTAGGTTACTACATTTTTTTTCATTTTACATAATTTCATACTTAGAGAAAAGTTGGAAGGCTAATGTAAAAAATTCCAGTATACCCTTCACACAGATTCTTGAAATGTTTACATTTTCCTGTATTTGCTTTAGTCTTATCTCTTTCTATAGAAAGCTAGATATATAGACAGATAGATGATGATAGAGGACAGATAGATATACAGCATATGTATTATATATATATAACCTTTGAAAATAAATTACTGAGATGATATCTATTAATCAACAAATGATTCAGTACCTATTTTCTAAAAACAAGGACATTCTCTTACATAATCACAGTACAATAATAAAAATTAGAAAATTAACATTGATACAAAATGATTAAATTATTATTAAAATTTCAATGATTATTCAAATAATTTTCTTTTATGGGACAAAAATCCAAGAGTATGAGTTGCATTCACTTATTGTGCTTCTTTCCTTTCCTTTAATCTGGAATATTTCTTTAATTTTACTTTATTTTTAATAACCTTGACTTTTTAATGACAGAGGGACGTTATTTTTTCAAATGTTATTAAATTTGAATTTGTCTAGTGTTTCTTCAGTATTAAATAAACATCATTTATTCTTGTCAGAAATACCCTAGAATTGGTGCTATGTTTTTTTCATTACCTCATTTCAAAAGGCACAGAATATCAATTTATCCCAATACTGGTGATGTCAACTACTCGAATAAATTTGTGCTTGCCATATTTCTACACTGTAAAATTACTATATTTTATTTTGTAATATAAAAGTATCTTTTGTGTAGATATTTTGAGGATACGTAAACATACATCCTGTTAATCATCAAACCTTCTCCCACTAGTTTTAGCAACCGTTGCCATTCCTTGCCTGAAACAACTACTACTATGTTACCATTTGTAATTTCCTAATTCTATCAATCTTCCTGTGAATATTAGTTAGGATGCCAATGTAAGAAAACGCCCCCATCGTTTGTTTATTTTTCTACTTCCCTTCTTTTTCTTTTTTCTTCTTCTTTTTTTTTTTTTTTTGAGTCTCACTCTGTTGCCAGGCTGGAGTGCAGTGGCACCATCTCAGCTCACTGCAACCTCCGACTCCTGGGTTCAAGCGATTCTCTGGGCTCAGCCTCCTGAGTAGCTGGGATTACAGGCACCTGCCACCATGCCCAGCTAATTTTCGTATTTTTGTAGAGACGGGGTTTCACCATGTTGGCCAGGGTGGCCTCCATCTCTTGACCTTGTGGATCTGCCCACTTTGGCTTCCCAAAGTGCTGGGATTACGGGTGTGAGCCACCGCACTTGGCCTTATTTTTCTACTTACCTTCTTATTTTCTGATAGAAGTGTGGACTCATGGATTCTTATTTATTTAACAGGTAATACTCAATTAAAATTATTTTATTTTGATATGCAAATTGCCCCAACATTGTCCAGTGGGAGCCCCTTAAATCCCTTTATGGGGTGGGGTGTGTGTGTATTGTCGTGTTCTTTTATTCACTAAACATCTCCCTTACTTTCTGGCACAAAGAGATGTTGCACACTCATCCTCTACTTCATTACGCTAGTGCTGGCACCAGCCATCTTTCTAAAGAATCCTGATTTCTTTGGGTGAAGATGGGCATTTAGTTTGCTAATTATTACTAGGATGTCATTCTCCCAGCCTTTCTCAGAGGACAGAGCTAAATATATATATATATATATTCACTTAGAGAGATGGAGATAGATAGTTTAGATAGATATAGATAGTTACAGCCATATATATTCACACGTAGACAGATATATTGTTAAAACTAGATGTCATTATATGTATGCATATCCATTGATCTACATAAATATATCTGTACTTATATATGACAATATATATCTGCCTATATATATTTATACAAAAATCTATATCCATATTTACCTGTCTATTTATATGAAACTGTGAGTTCTTGGTGCCTTTGACTTTACCACAACAGTACAGGATTCATTTTAGCCTTTCCTTATTTGTAACTTTCACCTTTGACAGTGAGAAACCTGATTCCCATTATCCACAATACATTTACTTCTTATTTGTTCAGTATTAGAACACACAAATAGTAATTTTAGATTTGCCATTTTTCTCTTTGTTTTAGGCTGAGAACATAGAGTCCCAATACTGTGTACAAATGTTACTTGGATTAGTTGTTGCTAATAAAGTAAGTACATTTGTTTCTGTTTTAAGTTGGCATTTTTCCCCATCTCTGTTGATTGTGTGTGAGAGTGTGTGTGTGTGTGTGTGTGTGTAATATGAAACATTAATACGTCTCCAAATGTCAACTATTCAAGAAAGACTACTCAGAGAAGTGACCCTCCCTCCATCCTGCTTACACTCTTTCCAGTCCACCATTTTTCTTCCCATCCCAACCATTCATTGTGGACATTTCCAATTATTAAAAAATGAGACATAGAAATTATATTCTATGTGTAAAATTGTATCCTATTTATCATTGTAAATAACGTCCTAGTTCAGCTTCTCCAGAAGTATGGCTTGAGTTAAGGGCATTGTCCACACTAGTTATTCAGGATGTGTTCCAGGAGGCCTAGAGGGAGCAAGGCAGAAACCAGGACAAAGTCAAGTAGATGGGGATTTCGGAGGAAGTGATATTCTGAGTGTCTGTGGCTGAATCACTGCAGTTGTCCAAGGGTGGTCCTCTTCAGGTTCAATTGGTTAGGAGTTAAGAAACCAGAAGGAGAAGCCCTGGTACCCCGACCAGGAAAGAGGAACTAGATGAAGCAAGAAATCCTCTGCTCCAACATGGTTAACAAAATGCAGTCACTGAGCTTAACTGAAGGGTTAGCCAAACGAAAATAGGAAGACAAGCATGAGGATATTGACAGGGCCATGAATTAGACTAACGTGCCTGCAATCTCTCCTCACACATTTGTGACATCAGAGCCTCAAGGTCATCCCTAACCTTTCTAGCAACAGATAAAGAAATAAATTTAGTATATCAATTAAGGATGACCATAAGTTAAAATATAGGCAAATATTGAAGAACTAAGACTCCTCTTAGTAGTAAGATTGAACAGGAATTTCATCAGACTGACTTCATGAGTATTACTCTGTGAAATACTCTGAGCAATTTCATTCACAACATACACTCTCTAAAAGCAGCTGCTTTGACTGCGACCTTCAGTTCGGGTGTGTTTTTATACTACAGCAGAATTCAGTAAAAGTTGTAAAACACATACATTTCTTAAGGCCCTTTTTTTCTTATTGTCCTTATAATTGCTAAGTTGTTTTCCTAATTATTGAACTACAATTCCTTCTTTGATACCAGAAATGGAGTTTCTCTTTCTTGGAAGGCTCTCCTATCAGGGATATGGGACTAAAGGCAGAACCAAAATGACAAATTGGTGTGAAATACTGTTCCAAATGGCTCAAGGGCCTCTCTCTGTCTCTGTCTCTATCTCTCTTTATCTTTTTCTTTCTCTCATCTCTATCTCACTATTTCTATACCTATTTATACATAACTATATCTCTATTTATCTATCCATTTATATTAACCTATGAGTTGATATTGGTATCTTTGGCTTCCACACAACACAGGATTGCAAAGACCTACCAGGTGCTGGGGAGTCTCCAGTTCCAATATGTTTCAAAATTACAGAAAATGAGGGTTCACATAGGAGATTTTCTCCTGACCTCCCAGGACATATCAGGGAGGCTGCATGAAGGTGTGTGTGCCACGTGGCAGGAGGCACTTTGACACACTGGACTAGATTAGCAGGACAGCGTCCCAATAGGAAATAGTTCTGAAACCGAGTCATATATGGCAGTTGAAGAAATATAAAATAATTACATGTACTGGTGTTTACAATCTCTGTAGGGGAATCTACAGAGTAAAAGTTAAAGCAATTTATGGGAGTTAAAGAGACACTTAAATTGTGAGGACAAACTTTAAACAAATAAAGTGACTCCAAAAAGAATAGAAACATCATGGGGAAAATTTACATCCAATGCATGTTTCAACTAGATGCTGATTATAGTCCATATTTTCATCAACCAGGCTTTCAAGTCCTTTCAAACTGCCCGATATTATGGTTTTAGAAAACTATCTTTAATAGAGTTTGTCTTTGGGAACAAAAGGAAGTAACTTTACAATCTGTGAGAGTCTGAAAAAGTTACTGAACTTCTCTAACCCCAGTAAGGTTATCTATAAAATTTGAATAGGACTTTTGTCTTGATTTCCAATTGGTGATATTGAAGTAAGATGCTCTGCACAGTTTACAAAAAATGGGCATGACACATGGTAGGTAAGCAATAAATGGGAATCTTTCTTCCTCTCAGCCAAAGTTGCAGAATTTGTGCCAAGATCCATTTGGATAATAAATTCAAAGTATGTAGTAAGAAATATGGTAATACCATGAAAATTATACTTTCCTACATAAGACTTCATGATTTCTTAAAAAGCCACCAAACAAAAGTCAAAATTTTGGATTCGGTTCCCATCCTCGCCCATTGCATATGTGGCACAATTATTGTCTCTGTAACTCCATTATTCCCTCATTTCACAACACTGAAAACATCCTCATTTACCTTTTATGGTTATTGTGAAAATCAAATGATAAAAATGCACACTATCAGCTATAAAATAATATAAAAACAGTAGGTGATGGTAATATCAATGTCATGTGATTATAGTCGTAAAAGTGTAAGTGTGGTACAAAGCTGAAATGCTAGACCCAGGGCAGAATAGTGTATTTCTTTTCTTGAGTAGTTTCCTTATTTCAATTAGTGGAAAAAATTTCTGTGGATAAGAGTATGACACAGGAACAATTTTCAGATTTGAATGTTTTTGGTAATTATCACCTATAGAGTCACCTCCATGGCCCTTAACACTCCACACCTGGGTCACAGATGGCAAAGCCTCTTGGCATTGACAGTGTTCTTGAGTGAGGATGGAGAGCAGCCGCTTTCACAGGGCGTGGAAACAAGCCTCTAACCACACACAATTCTTACCCAACCTTTCCTACTCTTCCTGAGAGCATTCATTTTTTAAAAAAACTCCCAACGCTGCATCCATTAGGTAGAATAGGATAATTGAAGGGGCTCCCAAGACTTCACAGGACGAACTCACGTAAAGCTTCAATTACAATACGGGATATAGCATGGTTAGAGGAGAATCCTCAGGAAAGCATTGTGTATCTAAAAGCACTACAAGCACCCCCGAACCCCAGGGTCCTTTCTCAGTGCCACAGAATGCACCTCAGGGTGACCATCTCCTCTGCCTCCTGGGGGTTCCCTGTCTTAGCACTTGAAGTTCCATATTCTAGGAATCTCTTGAGTCCGGTAACCCAGGATGGTTAGTCACTCCAGATGAGCTTCGTCTTCAGCTTAGGAACCATCAAGATACATGTGATGAACTGTGGTTTCAGGGAATTCCAGGCAAAAGGTCCCATAAGATCTGCATTCCACTGGTTTTGCAGCAGGGTCAGTCTGGGTAACCTGGTGCGCCCAGGAGTAAACCACCCAGAATGGAAGTATTTGTTAAAAAACATATAGACATGTAAGCTTGGGTGTCTCCAGGGAACTTTCAAACTTTAAACAGCATATTATAGTTCACTAGTGAGCCCACCTCATTTCTGTTTTGGACAAGCGTCAAGATCAGATGTCCAGGCATCCCAGAAGAAAGCATAGAGCTATCCTGTCCAGCTGTAAGACTACCTTATCTTTTGCACTATTAAATTCTTCTCGGTATCCAAGGAATTTAGAGTTGTAGAGAGACCAGCACAATCAGCCAGTGGTGGGCAAGACTCTAACTTGGAATCCCCGAGATGCCGCCCCCTGGTGTTCATCAGCATAATTGCCTCCCCTTGAATGTGGGCAGAGCAGGTGAACATGATGCAATTTTACTCCCGTGGTTGGGATACTAACTTTGAATTCATCAAAAGGAGATTCTTCTGGTTGGGCCTGACTTTGTTAGGGAGCCATTTCAAAACCTGTGAAAGGACAGAAAGCTGCTGTCCTACTGGCTTTAGAAGAAAGCTAGCCGCCAGGCTGTGAGAGGAGGAGGCCACACACAGAGACCTCCCGGCAGCCTCTGAAAGTGAAAGCAGTCCCTGGAAGCTGAAAGTCCAGCATTTGGCCTTTACACTCTGAAATCTCAAAGACGCCATCAACTTTCAGAGATAAATGTCGTTACTCTTTAAACCCCAGATACTCAGTCTTGGTGCTCAAAAGTGAGTTTTTTAATGAATAAGAAGTAGCCAAACTGCTGGAAATGAATTTCAATAGATCACTCAGTGGACTATAGAAAAGATTGAGGGTGATGCAACACTCTGAAAAGGTCATGATCTTTAAGCCTTATCTAAAGACATCACAGGCACATGAAGAGGATTAAAATCACATTGAAAGCATTGTTTACCCATAGCTAATGACCAAATGGAATTTCATTTCTTTTGTTATTACAGCTATTTTCTAAGCGAATGGACATGTACTTTGGTAAATGGGTTTAACCTTTCACAGATAGAAAAAATAAGAGGATTTTCATTTAATCTCTCTTCTACAAAGCTAATGCTGAAATGAAACTCCTCCAGCCATTGTATTTTTGTACAATGCATTATATAACTTTACAATACTTAAAATTTTAGTCATATGTATACAAAGGAGATCATTAGCATACCTAATATCCCTAAAATGATACAGGTCAAAGTTACTATTGTGTACATGGCAATGACGTATATTTCTCTGACAAAGAGTCACTATTTCTTCGCCTATTAAAGTTGGAATTGTCAAATATTTAATTTTTCATGCTAAATTTAATTTTATCAAGAACATGATTATTGTAGGCATACATATTTAACATCACTTTCTAAAATGGCATATAATCAAACTCCAGTCTTGTTAAAAATTCACAAAAATAGAACTACCTAATACTACTTGAGGTCTTAGTTCAAAGAATCAGAGAATAGAAGGAAGGTAAGAAGGTAAAAAAATATATATTCTACCTCCCTTCTGTTTTTAGTGGAACAACCCCTATGCTACCTTTTTCATTCCATTATTGTAAGAATTCTCCTGAAATTTTCTTCCTTCCTTTCCACTCTCCTCATTCATTCATCTCTTCCTCTTTCTAAGCCACCTCGACTACTGATTCCTCCCTTCATACATCATCTCCCCTTTCTTTGACTCTAATTCACGTCCTTCTTTTAAAATAAAATAAAGTTAACCATCACCTTATTTTGATTTATGTACAAGTCTCTCTTATGTAGTCTGTGAGGAAAATAACAATAAAAAGAAATTCCCCTAACAAAGCTATTCCATGTAGCCTTTCATCGCATCTGCCTCTTTCACCTGGAAGAAAGGCCGGTGCTTCATGTCTAACTAGGCAACAGTACCATCCTATCTGAATAAAATCAGATTTCCAACAATAACAATGAAAACAACGTGACTGGGCCTATTACAATTTGATGCT
This sequence comes from Homo sapiens, assembly GCF_000001405.40. Lineage (NCBI taxonomy): Eukaryota > Metazoa > Chordata > Mammalia > Primates > Hominidae > Homo > Homo sapiens. The sequence continues at coordinate 52,017,008 of NC_000007.14, read as the reverse complement.
TTGCAGTATCGTCAATCAATTTGTCAGCACCAGTAAGACCGCCTAGCCTTAGCTGGCTCTATTTTTCCATCCCAGGCATGCACTGCTGCCCGTCCTTATATAGAAGGCTATCATCGCAGATAATGACTACCAAGGTAATTGGACCTGTCACACCTTGCAGCCTGGTTTCCAGCTTATGGGAGAAAGGTTTGCATCCCAGAGCTGAAGAAATGGGTTCGCGTTCAATGAGATGAAGCCATTTTGAAAAGGTTGTCCACGTAATATATCTCTTATAATAAACCCAACTTCTGTCTTTTCCACTGGGCTCATGTTTCTATGATTTTTTTTAATACTGCCTATTTTGCTTTTGGTTGAAGGATTGGAATCTGTTTAATTTTTTATTAAGTGTAAGGAAGTAGAAGGTAAAACCGTTGTTTAATGTGTATCATTATAAACTTTTAACAAGTTTGCAAAATATTATCTTTGTTCATAATTATTTCAACATAGGATCTTTTATCTTCTGTTTCAAAACACAAGGAATCTATAGTTTTCACTTCTTCTGCCTACTTTTGTCTTTTGTCCACTTTTTCAATTGTGTTTAGTTGACATTATGACACTGAGCATTCTCATCTCACTTTCTTATCATTTTCTGTTGCTCTTCCAAGACATCGTGTAGTCGGGCTCATCAGTTCCACGGTACAGGACTTTCAGCCAGACTCCTTCTTCCACAATTTGATTGATGGAACTTTCTGTTCTCTGCATTACCTTCGATTTTGATTTTATTTTCTGATGTAATTTTGCTTGGGGCACAATCTCTGTTTTCTGTAGTTTTTTTTTTCCCCCTTGGTTAAATATACATTACTCCCCCTTTGATTTTGTGAACAAGAATAACATCAAAATATTATTTTTATTTTTATGTCAACAAACTGTCTGAAATGAAAGATGTTATTTTGGGTGTTCAAGGATAACCCCCACATTACTCTCAGCAATTAATATGAAAACTGTAAATTAATTTCCTTTACACCTTAAGTAAGAATTAACATACTTAGAGAATAATCTTGTACTGCCATGCACTGATTTTGCAGATTGTGGTAATGGGTGTTGAAACACTGAGTTCAAAAGAGCTGGGGGTTATGGACAGAAAGGTGATAGCAAGAGGAGACTCTTTATGAGTGCAGAAATCTTAAACAACAGGGAAGGCAGTGACGCTCAGTTTCCTAAAACAAAATGTCCCCAAAGGTTATCCAATCAAATCTCAGCCTAACCCCTGAGACAGTACAAAACACATAATAGGCACTTAAAGCATGATGTCTACCAGGAAATTAGATAAATGCATGAACTAATATATTCAGAGTAATATTTTTATAAAAATGAAAAAACAGAGAAAGAGAGAGAGAGCAAAAGAAAATATAATCACACGAGTTCAGCAACTTCTCCCTCTCTCTATTCATTTCTAAACACCCACAGGATTTCCTGACTTACAGAATTTTGGGAACCAATTCCCTTTAAATCATCAAACTTTGCTATAGTAATGGGTAAAATAAGGTGCTTGGATGCTCACTTTATAATCATAGCACTTCATATTATGTAACATTTTAAAGTTTACTGAGTGCTTTACAAAATGCATTATCTCACTTAAATTCATCTTCTACAAATGATTTCATGTTGCCCAGATGAGTGTCAGTACACCTTAACAAAATTTTAAAACAAAAATGGTCATATTGCCTGATGAATACAGCTCTGCTCACAATTTTTTTTTTAATGGTTAGAAGAACACATTGTATTTGCATTTAAGCTTGCAGGCAGGAAAGTGATATCTGGAAAATACACTCACCAGATAAATAAGCTAACTGCTCTGCTTAAATCTATCATTGGTTGTTTCAAATATAGGACAAGGAAACTGAAAAGCTTGTTCAGGCTGGAAAATCCAATTATAATTTTATTTATTTATTTTTACTTTTTATTTTTTATTTTTTTTTAGACAGAGTCTCGCTCTGTCACCAGGCTGGAGTGCAGTGGCACGATCTAGGCTCACTGCAACCTCCGCCTCCTGGATTCAAGCGATTCTCCTGCCTCAGCCTCCTGAGTAGCTGGAACTACAGGTGTGCAGCACCACGCCCGGCTAATTTTTTTGTATTTTTAGTAAAGACGGGGTTTCACATGTTACCCAGGATGGTCTTGATCTCCTGACCTCGTGATCTGCCTGCCTCAGCCTCCCAAAGTGCTGGGATTACAGGCATGAGCCACCGCCCCTGGCTCAATCATAATTTTAAATGAGGGAAAAGGTTCCTGTGATCACCCTCATCCCAAACCCTGGGAGTCGTGTTGCAGATTGGGATTTGAGCACAGTGGTGGCCTCCCCAGGTGAGCTGGGTGGTGGCGGGGAGGGCTCATTCTGATCCAGTCAGTAGGGCTGCGCTGACAGTAGAGAACTCAGCAACAAGAACTATCTAGTGGTCACCATGCACCAGTCATTCAAAACAATGTCAGGGAATACTCCTCCCAAACAGGACAAACCATATCCCCAAACCCTTATCCACAGCCTACCTGGCTGCAATTGAGACAGGACGTTTCAAGATAAAAATCCTAAAACAGGAGACAGCTGCCCTGAAGAGTCTTTGCATAGTGCAACTCATCCCCATACTACTGGAGGCCCAGGCCCCTACAGCCTTAAACTTCCTAGATGCATCCATGTTGAGTTCCAATAAGAGTGGAAACTCCCACATTCAGAATACACATCATAATCATGTATCAGTAGAACACATGGGCCTTAAGCTCACTTAGATAATTAACTGATTATCCTAATAAGAAACATACTATTTTATAACAGCTGACTGTTCTATAGGAATCAAATGATGTGATTTCAAATGTCATGTTTTGAATATTTGAGTTTCAATCCCCTCATTAATCACCCACAGTAAACTGATTCATTACAGGTGTTAATTCAGTTTTGTCTGTTGCTGTCAGATTACTAATGCCACAAGCATAAAGTGTGTCATTATAGAACTTATTATCAGTATAAAATTTCTGCAAAGATTACAGAGATTTGGCTTGATAAGAGCAAAATGAGTCAAGAGTGATGGAGAATAATTATCTCAAATGGTTAAATTAAACAATCAGTCTTTTCAGCTGGAAATAAAGCCCTATTATCAGTCCTGGACTATCTTTTGAAGAAGATGGATTCCACTTCAAGTGCTTCCTCGGAGTTTGAGGCTGAGACCTACCTTCTCCATGCCATTATCCTTTCCAGGTAATTTCTGTCATCTGCTGGCTTCAAGGAAGCACCATGCTCAGAGCCTTTCAGATGTCTTTGAAATCAAAGGTAAGGCTCTCTGATTTATTTTCCTCTTTTCCCCTTAAATAGCATTCAAGTGCTGCAGGAATTAAATGTGCATGATTTCGCCTGGTGAATTTTAGGATATGTGAATTTAATCTTATAAAGCATGGCTTCAGTGTGTGTAACTGTTCTACTTTAGCTGTAACTTTAAGCACATAAGAATGAAAATGAATTACTGATGACAAAGCAATTACTCCAACTCTTGTAGTTCAAGTTAAGCTGAAATAAAAGTACTTCTGTGCAATGAAATAAATAAAAGACTTGGTTACATATAGAGAGAAGATCTGGGTGGAAACTTCTTTCATATTTTTATTTTTACATGCATGAATTCAGTTTTCTCCTTAGGGTTCCAACTAGATAAGGACTAGAAGAGGAAACTATTGTTTGCTGAATCCCACTATTTCCCAGGCTCAGCAGTCAAGTGGGCCTTCTCACTGATCCCTGAACAGAGATATAGGTCTTCTCTAAGGTTCACACAGCTTTTCTTAAGTGGTTGAGTTGATATCATATATCTCTGAACCAAGTGTTCTGTCTTCATTTGTTTTGTACTGCTGTAACAGAATACCACAAACTGCATAATTTATGAATAAAATAAATTTACTTTTTATGGTTCTGGAGGCCAGGAAGTCCAATAGCAAGGTGCCAGTATCTGGCAAGGCCTTCTTTCTGCGTTATCCCATGGCAGAAGGTGAATGGGCAAGAGACAGCAAGAGAGCAGTAGAGCTGAACTCACTTTCATAACAAACCCACTCTCTCAAGAACGGGTACCCACTTCTGCTATAACAACATGAATCCTTTCACAAGGGCAGAACCCTCATGATCTAATCATCTCTTAAAGATCCCACCTCTCAACAATGTTGCTTTGGGGATTAAGTTTCCAACACATGAACTTTGGGGGACACAATTGACACACTAGAGAAGTGTCTACCCACTTTTAGCACTCATGCCTCAATTATATTATTCCATATGATCCTCTGCAACAGAAGATAAGGTGACAGTGTTTATCCTCTGAAATCTGTGGAAGACAGTATTGGCTTGCCCACCCCAAAAGGAAGGGAAAAGTGGCTCAGATAATAGAACTGGAGTGTACACACTCTAACAGCCACCACTCAGAGACAAAGTAGACTCTGAATCTGTGTGCATGAATCCTGTGAAGACCTAAGCTATTCACTTAGCAGCCACAGAGACCACCACTATGAATGGGGCACTAGTCCTCAAGGGTGAGGACTCTTAGTGCATAAACTGGCCATATTCATTTCGGGGTTTGGACAGTCCTCTCCTGGTGAGTCCTGAAGAAGCCTAAAATTATGTCTGGCCTTTAGGGAATACCTAATTGGCTGAGAAGACATTGAAAAATTTCTAACATAGAGAAATGAAACAGTCTGTATTTATTAGGGACCCTGAGCCTATGGGTCCTGACCCTGACCCCTCCATGTAGTAAGAGTCATATGAGGGCTGGATTGACTGAGTCCATTAACTGTAAGTGATCACTAATTAGTCTCCTCCAAAGCAGACCATGGAAAGTCTTACCCAGGCACAGCTATTTACAGAGGTGGTCAGTATATACCAGGCTTCATTTGCATTGGAATTATAAATGTGACCCGTATACACAAGTACTTGAATCTCACCCTTCACCTCTCACTACCATTGACTGCAAATTTTCCCCAGAATCTCATTTCTGGATATAACTAAATATTTCCAGAATAATTACATAGGCTACAAGAAGATCCCCTAGAACCTAAACTTTACTTCTCCCCAAAACTTCTCCCCTAAGCTATACAAGCTGAGGAGAAGCTTTGGGTCACATAAAAGAGGGCAATGCCCGCATCCCCAGCTCTTTCTGCTTCATTTCTCCTCACAGCCCATCTTATCTTTACATCACAGCTTCTCCCCCAGGATGCTGCATCAGTGGTTCCAAATTGGGGTTCGGGGGCAGGAATGCCCTCAAGTGGAATACAGACCCTCACTCCCGCCCACTTCCAGGTGTGCTGCATTGGAGTCATTCTGCATATGTGGCAATTATTTTTTTTCTTTTCTTTTTTGAGATGGAGTTTCACTCTTGTCACCCAGGCTGGAGTGCAATGGCGCGATCTCGGCTCACTGCAACCTCCTCCTCCCAGGTTCAAGTGATTCTCCTGCTTCAGCCTCCCGTGTAGCTGGGATTACAGATGCCCACCACCATACCCAACTAATTTTGTATTTTTAGTAAAAATGGGGTTTTGTCATTTTGGTCAGGCTGCTCTTGACCTCCTGACCTCAGGTGATCCTCCCGCCTCGGCCTTCCAAAGTGCTGGGATTACAGGCATGAGCCACCACTCCTGGCCGGTTCTCTTGAAATCCCAGTAACATCCCTCTTATGTCAAGTGTCCTTCAGAGCCTTCAAGTCAGTCATGCAATAATGCCCATGGAGAGCCAGAGACTGCCATAGATGAGGACAAAATGTTCACAAAGCATCCAAGTTCCCCGCTGCACTCTAATGGAGGGAGGTAGACATATGTATGTAAATGTAACAGTAGACGATATAATTTTAAAATGTTTTTCCCAAACATTAATTATGGTAAGAAGAAGGACTAATGAAGATTTGGAAGGGGGGTGGAAGGTCTATCTAAGGAGCAGACCTAAAAGATTGGAATCAAATGCCACGTGAAGATACAGGGCAAGAGCAGAGGAACTGCAGGTGCAAAGACTGAGAGAGAAATGAGATTTGTGCAACGAAGGACAAGAGAAGGGCAGGGAGGCAGAGTCCAAGGCACAGGGAGAAAGTCACAGGATGAGGAGAGATGGGTGGGCAGGGCCCTGCAGGTGTGGTGAGGCGTGTGGATTTCCTTCTCATTACAAAGGACTCTGATGGATTTTAGGCTGATAGCAACTTGATCTGATTTTACTTTTAAAAGATCACTCTGGCTTCTATGCAGAGAATGGACTGAAGGAAACCAGGAAAACCAGTTTTAGTTAGGAAAATGGTGCATTTGAGGATGACAGTGGCCTGGCCCATGACTTCCTCCTCAGTATCTGTGAGTTTCGAAGAAAGACCAAGTGGGCACACCCAACCCATGCCATACTTTTTCACCTTGCTTTCTCCTGTTCCTGACAAGGGGGATGCATTTACATTTTGGACACAGTGGCCCTCATTGCCAAGTTCCATCCACAGCTCTCAGCTCTCTGGATAAGAGTGTTCACACCCACCACATTGCACAGCCCCGGAAGAGGAAACTTCAGTGTCTTGGATTCCCATAGTGTGACCTAGAATGGTGGGGACAGCATGTCTCCTTGGCATTGCTGCTGCATCCCCCTTGGGCAAGGGTACAGCCATAGAAAGGTGGCTCTTTGCCTTCTGCAGCACAGGGCCCAGGTCTAAGGACAGTGCCAACCCAAACAAGGACAGCAATTTACTGTCATCTGCAGGGTGTATTTTGCGGTTGAGCCATCCACTGTGCTGAAGGCCTGAATACCCATTAGATAGGTCCATCTCTGAGTAACAGTTGAAGAGATGGTCTGATGCTCCTCAAAGAGATTCTGCATTCCATAAAAACTGAAGACTATGCATAGATACCTGTGTTAAGTACAATTGAATATTTCATGACATTAAAATCTTCTCTGAACATTTTTTCTTAGTTAAGATAATTGCCTTTCTGGAGCTCACACTGTACAAAATCTTTCATATCATCAGCCAAATACTACAAACATATTTTCTCCCTGAATTCATTTAGCAAGCATTGGACATAAACATTGTCATCTCTATTTTATAGATGAAGTAATTGATAATTTAAAAAGGTTAAGCAACAGAAGAATTTCCTATGCAAGTCTAGACCTCCAAGGTGCACGCTTCTATCTTTATAGCCTTTGGAGGCCTCAAAAGAGCTTACAAATCCAAAGCTCATCTCCTCTAGCTCTTCCCCGTATTCCAAACCAGATCCCAAAGACTGAGAGAATAATGTCAAATCTCAAAGTAAAGACTATTGCTCTCCCTCCCAGTTCTTACTGTGCAGCTTAACAACTGCTCAGTTCCTTCCTGGCTTCACACACACACACACACACACACACACACACACACACCATGGCTACAGAGCATGGTTTCTTTGTAATTTATTTCCTTTATGTGGGAACCAAGTACTGTTATGTTTTGCCATTTTGAGAAGGATATATAAAGATATGCTCTGCATCTCATAGTGGCTGGATTGGAGGGCAAGGTTAGAAATAGAGGTTAAAGTATGTGTGTTGCTGGAGGAAAAGCATATTTTTACGTTCCCTTTTTCTACTTGGCAAGCAGATGGCTGGAACCTTCTATGAGTGCCAGGAAGAAACAGCTGGCAAATCAAAACATACTGTAAGTGGTTAGAAGTGCTTATGAGCATTTGGAAGAAACAACAATTTTGAAAGAGGGGAAAAGTTCAAGCCATACTTAACATGCAGAGATGAGCTTGAAGCAGGAAGCTGGAATGCTACAGAAACTGAGCAGAGGCAGGATCCAGCATGAATTGCCAACCCTCCTCAAAAAGTGCCTGCCTCAGTAGGATGCAATGGCCATAATGCACCTGAAAGGAAAGGTAATTCAGAGAAAATGAGGAAGAAGGTGGGAGACGGAGAGAGACCAAGAAGACAGGGAAGGGCCAACAGGAGATCAGTAGGAAAAGAGCAGAGCCAGAGAATCAGGGTGATGAGTGGGAAGAACAAAGGAGAGACAATTGAAGATGCCTTCCTGCTGGAGGGGTCAGCTCGTCTCTGAATTCTGGAATTCTCACCTGTTTTCATATTCCTTTGACATGACTCTCCCTTTGAGCATTTAAAGCCAAACACTTGGTCCCCAGCACCTCCTGTTTTTCTGCATAGAAAAAGAACAGGATGTTGACAAACAGGACTGAATGCAAGGATCCTCAAAGCTCTTTCTGAATGGAGCTGACTCCCAATCTGAAGTTGGGAGCAAACAAGTAAAACACTTCCCAGGCCCACTCAGACCCACAGCAGTTTCATAGGCAGGTACTCGGGATGGCAGGATCCTCCCACAATTCACAAGTGAGGAGTTCAAATTACTACAGAAGTGTGACTCGTCACTAGCATCAGATACGCTTGGAATCCTTGCACCAGGCTGTCTGTGTGACAATGAGTTGGTCACTTATACTCTGGGAGCCCTGGTTGCCTCCTTTGGAACCAACATCTACCTCATAGTTTGACATGGAAATTAAGTGAGACGAAACAATCAAATGATCAAACAAAATGTTCTGCACACTTGGGGATGCTCCATTAATTTCAAAAACTGTTTCACTGATGACCTCAGAAGATAGTCATGGGCCATGACAGTGATAAACCTATAACAGATAATTACTACTTTACATTATTTTATGATTGACAGTTGCCATATATGGTCATTAGTATTTCCATTCATTTTTTGCTATTTTTATATAAAGAAATGTTTCCTTTTCTTCAATATGTTCAGGATCTGAGAGTCATGAGGATTATGGATTTCAAAAAGGGTAGGTCAAACATCTAAAATGTTTATGTCGAAGACTCTAAAAAATAGTATTACTGCTTTGGATATTTTGATGAAATTTGGCCACGGCAGATATGGTAATTCAAATATCTACTGCACAATCAGAAACTATTCAACAGCCCACATAGAGAAACAGTGTGAAAAGAACAAACAAACATACCAGATGACTTGGGTTCCATATAATTGTCCAGTAAACTTGAGAAATATATTTACACTTTTGGTGCCTGAATATGCTCATTTATAAAATATGCATTAGGTTGACGTAAGATCTCTTCTAATTTAGGAAATTCCTTGCTATATGTGGGACCTGAGGTTTCTTTGCTAATTAGATCCCAGGCAAATTTATAAAGGAAATTTGTCGTGTTTCCCAGCCTTGCTAGATTTCTTCCTTGACCCCTTCTCACTTCCAGCCTCATCCACGCTGCCTTCTGAAGACCTAAGATTTCCCACTATGGCTCCCTCCAGAATTCTCTCTAGTCAAATTGGAGAAGGTCCTAAACTGAACCTTCCTCTGATCACATTAACTTTATTTGGACTCTTTCCCATTTGTTAAGTTTCCTATTAAGACTGTAGACAAGGCAGAGATGAGAATCAAGATGTAAGTGTTAAAGTGAGGAATCACTTGAAGGCAGATCTGAACTGGCCTGCTGTCCACTGCATGAAGCACAGGTCCAGCCCAGAGGCCTTGGAGATCATTGGCCGACTCCATTCCTCCCAACATTTTAGTACCTCTGCAGCTTCAAGGACAACTTTTTGGAAGTAGAAATCATTGGAGGAAAAGTCTCTATATTGTAAAGACCTAATACCTAATTATCATGAAAATTAATATATTTGATTTTCAGCCATCTGGCTCAATTTTTTTTTCTCTCTACATCCAAAAAAAAAAAAAAGTTTTTTTAATGGTTAGAAGGCTCTTCTTTATATCAAATTAGAGCTTATCTTCCACTATTTTTAATCTTTTGGTCCTAGATCTACCCACTGGAGCAGCTCTCTCTCTCAAATTGTTTTCTGCTTCAACACATACCACGTGTGCAGCAGACTCCTCTGGGAGTAAAATTGCCATGATTATTAATGATGTACCAAAAACGGCTGCACATTTGAGCTGCTGTACTAAAAGATCAGAGGTGATGTATGCACAGTTCCTAGCACAGTAGCTTGTTTCACTTTTTAAAAAAACATATTCATGCATTCTTTCATCCATACATTCATTAACATGTGTTTATTTATTGCCTCCTTTGGGCAGGGACCATGCTAGTGCTAAGGATCATCAGTGGTCAAAACAAGCAAACGAATAAACCAACAAGTAAACTCTTGTCCTCAGGAAAGGAAAGTTATTATTTAAATACAGTATTGATCCTTCTCTACTTTGTAAAATACCTGTACAGTCTGTGCAAACAAATCTCTGAACTGTGATTAGGGAGTGCTCTGCAGGGGCTTATGAAACAATGTTCACCTCTTTTTCTGTCTAATATTGTTTCAGATGGTGAAAATGCCTATCATGTTCCCCCTTTGCCTTCTTACACTTTCTATATTTATTTCTCTTTGACCTGCCTTGAAAATCTCTCACTTTATTGGTTGTCCATCTTTAAGCCCACGTTTTCTTCAGAATGAAAAATGAAGTTCATATGTTAGTGAAAGATTGGGAGAAATAAGAAAATCAGGTGTTTGAAGTCCTTCAGAAGCTGAAGAAAAGAGCCAGGAATGAGAGTGGGAGAAGAAAAAGAACAGTGGATTGTGTGAAGTGAGTTAAATAAGGGTGGTAAAGAGTTTTACTATGGGCCAGTTCCCACCAGACATCCAGCTGTGATATCATCCAGTCCTGGAGAGCTGTGAGACTGCGGTCTGATGAGTTAAGGATTCTGAAATGGGGGGATTAAGCAGCTGTGAGGTTGAGGTTTCTAGATGCTATCACCTTGGGCACCAAAGTAACAAGTGGTGATGCAAGGTCCAGCATGGGTAAAAATGAGACTTTAGGTTACAACATTGTCAACATATGGGGGAAACCACTTATTAGCACAGTGCTTTGTGCGGATGACATGAACCACACAACACATACATTTCACCCCTTAACTGAAATAATAATAGGTAGGGAAAGGTGGAAGTAGAAGAATGATCACCTCATAAAAGCATTTTATAATCATTGGGCCTTAGGAGAACAAGAAGCCTACCATCTTGGGAACTACAGGAATTATTTGGGTGTGTGGGGGGAAGGATTACACTTTCATTAAGACAAAGAAGTAAAATGAGCCATGCGTGAAGGTTGGAAGGGGTAGAGTGAAATAGCTCTCAGCCAACTTTCTATGCCCACTACAGTCACAGGAGCAACATACACAGTGCATAGCGTTAATGTTGAGTTTGCAGGAAAGGTGGGAGGAGGAGAGACACCACGTGGGGTTAATTACACACCACGTGGGGTTAATTACACCACATATATAATTGCAAATCCAGACCCTCTCTGCTTCCACAGGCTGAGTTGCTCCCTGAAAAGGATGCTTTTAAGAGTCAGCAATGCTGGACAATTTATTTGCAGTGATACAGGGATTCCAGATGGTGCAATGCAAAGGAATAGGAAGAAAATGAGCCATCAAAGACAGTCAGGTGCAGTGATGCATGCCTGTAATTCCAGCCTTTTGGGAAGCCAAGGAAGGGAAGATCACTTGAGCCCTAGAGTTCAAGACTAGCCTGGGAATGATAGTGAGACCCTGTCTCTACAATTTTTTTAAAATTAGCCAGCATAGTGGCACATGCTTTTGGTACCAGCTACTTGAGATGCTGAGGTAGGAAGATTGTTTGAGCCCAGAAGGTTGAGGCTGCAATGAGCTGTGATCCTACCGCTGCACTATAGCCTGGGCAACAGAGAAAACCCTGCCTCAACTTAAATAAATAAATAAATAAATAAATAAATAAATAAATAAATAAAAACAATGTGGGCAGAATATAATGGCAAGAAATGAAGTGTGGAGAGATTGACAGGTCTCTGTAGGTGCAAGTTCAACTTCAATGTGAATTTCATACAAAATCCCAGTTGTTGACACAGCATCACAAGGCAGTATCCATTTGATGAAAAAAAGTTTGCAGCAGCAATATTTGTGAGAAGAGTTATAATTGTAGACAGCATAAGATACATTATTTATATTTTAACTTTTAGCACCTTCCAAAATTATATAGAATTTGTTTAGTCTCATCCAATTAACCCCCATCCCAAGAATCATGAGCTTAATGTAGGGGTTTTATTTCCCGTGAATGTAAAACCAAAGGATCTGAGCTCATCTAAAGTCAGTTCACTCTTGCTGTGGGGACTAGAAATCCAGAACCTTGGAGCTATCATCTGAAATCACTTACAATTTTGTTCTGTGTTTTTTGTTTCCTGTTATTTGCTTAGATTGACTTCTAGTAGCTACCTCCACCAGGACCAAGCTAGTGAAAATTTACTAATAATTCAGTGTTGTTAGTTGCTAACAGATTGTGCCTTGTAGGTCTCTAAGATATTTAGCTAAAAAACCATCAGGGAAGCAACTGAAACCAATTCTCCACTGACATACTCTTGCCCATAGCTATAAAAACTGTACCTTTATGGTTTTAACAGTCACTCTACCCACTCATTTCCATTTTCCACATCCATTATTAGTTCTGAAGACAGAATGATCCCAATGCCTCATCATCTCCATTTAACCTTCTCAAATGCTGTTGGGTATCATGGTTATACCCCTGGTCTTCCCACTTTCTTCTGGAGCACATCTGATGTGTCAGGACAGGGGAGACCACAGGATTTCACATCCTTCCTTCCAGCTCTCTGAATTCTGTGCCCTCTTCCTTGATGATAAGGGCAGTCAACTTGGAGACTCACTTTCACCTTCTGCTGTTTGTCCCAAGATTACATCTTTCAAAAGTCTTTTTATTTTTAATGCATGTCTACCACTATGCTTTATTTCTCTCTCTCAATTCCAGTTTCCTAATGCTTCTTTAAATATTCCAAATTCAACAGATATTTGTGTGATTGAGGTAATGGAAAAGCATGAAGATATGATTCTGAGAAATGTTTATTTTACAATGCGATCACGTGTTATGATGGCCTTGGGCTTGCAAGTGGAAACTACAAGGGCGCGGAACCTGACTACAGTGCTAATAACAGCCCCAATACCTCAGGCGTGGGGGAAAGCCTTTCAGGACTTAGTATCTTATCTGAAAAATGGGGATAATGTTACTTAACTTCTTTTGGGGCTATGTGTGCTACACACACAGCATCTAGCATAAGCCAATACTCATAAGCCATATGCACATTAGAAATTATATTATCTTAATTCTTTCCGTTGGTTATATATTTTATATTGGCAATTTCCTCAACTTTCTTCTTTGAGATTACACACTATAAACCTATACACTTTATCCTCTGCTCATTCTAATTGCATATCTTTGTGCAATGTCTTCTGCTTTTCTCTTACTACCTTATTACCTAAATGAGTCATCAATCAAGGTTGCCCATGGGATTCGTATTGCAAAACAATATGAAGATTTCTTAGCCTTCATCTCATTCACTCCACCAGCGGCATTTGACAGTGGATCAGTTTTTCCTACTTGAAAGTTTTGCTTCACTTGACAGCTGGAACACCACTCTTTTTATTTTCCTCCACCTATTTTACTGGGCATTTTAAAATCTTGTTCTTTGCTGATTGCCTTGATCAATCTGATGCCAATTAGTATTTCCCAGGGTTCAGTCTCCCTACCTCTTTCTCTTCTCTGGTTATATCCAGTTCTTTGTTATCACTTCAATATCTAGGCCCTAAATTCTCCACGGTCCCTCCACCAGTCACAAACTCTTCCCACAACTTAAACATTATTTTCTAAATCTATGTATAACATTTTCGTTTGCAAATTTATGAGACATCTCAAAACCAATTTACCCAAAACAAAATTCTTAACTTCTTTTCCTATTACTCTTTAGAAAATTGTAAGGTCATTTCTGAAAAAGGTAATTCCATTCTATAGTTGTGGATGTCCAACACTTTAAACCTCCTGGCTTATTTTTATACTCCACATCCAAACAATCAGGAAATCCTGATTTCTATCATTGAAATATGCTCAGAACCAAATTCTTTCTTTTATCAATACCCCTACTCTCCTAGTTCAAGCCACATTCTTCTCCTGTACTATTACCTGAGCTTTCTATTTTTATTCCTGCTTCCACGCATTGGGATGAAGCAAGGATCTCCCTTAGGGGCCTGCCTCACCCCTGGCCCCCCAATCCCGCACAGGCATGAAATAAAGGAAAATCTTGAGTTCCTTCAAGGGAAATTCAAAGCATCTATCCAACCTTGAGAAGTATATAAACAACTTGATAAGCAAGAAGTTAATAATAGCTTAAAGCAGAGCCACAAAATGTTTGTTTACCTATAGAAACTAAAGATAACATCTTAACATGGGTCTCTGAGCTGTTTTTCAGAAACCTGGACACCCATCAAATGAACCCACTGGCATGTAGACCTCTGAAAGGGGGAGCTGAGACCTGAACTCTGACCGTTGTTCTTTGTTCTAAATTTCTTCCTGAGGGGCCAGAAGGAAGTAACATCCATGAGCCAGAGCTAAAATTATCTTTCTGCTGACCCCAAATTTTTAAATAAAGTTTGTCTTCCTTAACCAATTGCAAATCAGAAAATCTTTGAATCTATCTATAACCTGTAACACCCTGCTTCAAGATATCTTGCCCTTTTAGGCCAAAATCAATGTTTAATCACCATGTATTGATTTACAATTTTGCATCTTGCTTCTGCTTTCCTGAAATTTAGCCCTGCCTTTAAAAATCCTAACCTGTGAGCTAGTGTGGAGGTCAAGTCTTAAATATGAGCTGTGTAATTGTCTTTGCTTGGAGTCTTGCAAATAAATGAATGCCTTTCTCCCACTGCAGACCTCCGTGTGGATGTTTGGTTTTACTGCACCAGGCGAGCAGACCCCAGTTTGCTTCGGTAAGAACTTGCCCTACTCTGGGCTCTTCTCCACTCATTAGCCAAATCAGTCTTCAGGTTATAAGGCAGATCATGGCATTTCTCTGCACAAAACCCTCCTGTATGAGTTACTCATTAGAAAATTCAAACCCCCATATGGTCTCCATGTCCCCTCCTCTGCCAATATCACTTCACCTTCCTCTCCTGCTGTTTCCCATTTGGTCATGTCCTCACCTTGCTGTTCCTGAAAGACTCAAAAAAGGACACCACTCAGAAAAGTGGATCTTACTTTTCCCTCTACCTGGAGGTCTCTATCCACAGATAGACATCTAGCTTGACCTGTCCGTTCATCTGAGTCTCCACTCAAATCTCACCTAGAGGAAAGACTTTCTAGGACACAGTTTCCAAAATACAGCCAGCAAACATCATCTTTCTATCCCTTCACACTGCTTAATTTTCTTTTGGTTCTTATCACCACCAGATATATTATACATTTTTTAATCATCTGATTTTTCATACAATTTAAGTTACACAAGAGCTGAAGTTATTTCCTTAACTCTCAAGTGATAGATGAATAAGTGAATTAAAGAATGATCACATAAATAAGAAGCTACCTCAAATCCTGACTCTTCCCTAATCTGGCCCACTAGCTTCATAGATGTGGGTATGCTCAGTATCACAAGGCTTTGTCATTGGAAGGGCTCACACTTGGTTTAATGCTATGTTGTCACTGTCAATATTCTTAATAATTTTTGTACAAAGGATCTCACGTTTTCATTTTGCATTAGGTCCTGCAAATTATGTAGCTGGTCTTGTGTTTTGGCTACCTTGATCAATATGTTTGATGTTTCTCATTGCATTTATTGGAGAGATTTTAATATTTCCTATGTTTCATTTGTATTCTTAGACAGATTGTTTTCAGTTGCTTTGAATCCTGTCTGTGTTGTAAGGGTGGGCAGTATCAGCTCTATTAGAGACTGACTTCCCTTTCCTTGGGCATACTGGGCTTCAAGGTAGAAGGCATAAAGCCAGCTTGTCTTATAAAAGTTAGAAAACCGTTGTAATATAATGATGGTCTTCTCTCCAAATTGTTAATTGCAAACTCTTTCAACCTTCCTTCATATTTCATCCCTTCTTAACAACATAAATACAATAATTGAGAATTATTTTAGTTGGCTTTCTCATAAGAAAACATTTGCACTTGGGGTAGATATAATCTCCATGATTCCATGGGACCTCAATACTCTAATGTTCACTAGTAGCCACTGAATTGATTGGGTCACACCATGTTTAGTTTCTGCACACCAGATGTCTGTTACAACCACAGATGAGACATAAAAACACAAATGTCAAGAAATCTAACTCTGACAATTAAGCTTTACTTATTTATTATAAACATAAATTATTACTAACACAAAGTAAATTAAATACTAAGATTTCAAGGACAGAATTTTACATAAAAATAAACAGAAATAGAATAGAGGCAAAGATAGCAGAAATGGATTCTGCAGTTAAGATCTTTCTCTGGTAAACTTACTTTTGCTTTCCTTTTCCCACAACTAAATTAATGTTTTTGTTCATGTCAACCTCTTGAGATTTTTGGTGTATAGGAAATGTCTATAAATTTCATAAATTTAACAAATATAGTACATGTATTTATAACCACATTTATGGACCATTACTTCATACTGCTTTAATTAACAATGAGCCTTCCTGACTTTGTCCCTGGACTTACTTGCTAATAGTAGGATAAATTCAGCATGATTACCAAGACATATAAAAACTTAGTATCAAAGCTATGCCAAAAAATAAAACAGAAAATACTCCAATTGTTAAATCATGTTAAACACATGTGATCTTAGTTTATCATGGAACAACTGCTTTGGCCAAAATGAAACCAAAAAATATTTAAATAGAAAAAAATTATAATAATTTCAGGCTAAGATTGTAAGGATGGCATCAGATAAAAAATGTTTTTATTCCCACATTTAAGGATATATTGGTTTAAGAAATGCTGGCTGATTATAACAAAGAAACACCAAAATTTCAGTGGCTGAACCCCATTACATCATATCAGTTTTTTTTAATTCATTTATAAGTCCATTATAGGTCCTTTTGGTCAACAGTCAGCCTTCTGTAGAGTAACTACAGAATCCAGTTAATTTCCATCATGCGGATCTGCCATCTCCCATATGTGACATCTAATATTTCTGTGCTCAAGAGCATTAAGACAAAAAAAAAAGAAGGAAACATGGAAGTGATCACAGCATCAATTCTTGTTAAACCCAGTCCAAATCCATACCTAACTGCAAAAGTGGTCAGGACATGACTCTAGCTGACCAAGATAAAAGAGTAGGCCGGGCACGGTGGCTTACACTTGCTACCCCAGCACTTTGGGAGGCCAAAGCAGGTGGATTGCCTGAGGTCAGGAGTTTGAGACCATCCTGGCCAATATGGTGAAACCCTGTCTCTACTAAAAATACGAAAATCAGCTGGGCATAATGGTGGGTGCCTGTAGTCCCGGCTATTCAGGGGGTCATTTTGGGGGTCAAACTCAGGAGGCTGAGGCAGGAGAATCACTTGAACCCTGGGAGGTGGAGGTTGCAGTGAGCTGAGATGGTGCCACTGCACTCCAGCCTGGGTAACAGAGCAAGACTCGGTCTCAAAAAAAAAATGATAAAAGAGTAAATGCCTTTGCAAACATCTATGCAATGTCCTAATCTACCTCATGCATCCCCAACTACTTATGTTTGCCCTCTTACCACACACAGAAATCTCCCATCCTTTCCCCATGTGAGAGAGTACACAGTTATATCCAATCGCTGCATGGAGCTTAAGATCTAGAATTTCCAGGTGTTGTAGACTCTTCTCTACTGTTCCCAATGCAGGTCCTCATGGTGTGATGATCTGTGAACCAATGTACACCAAAACATTGGTGTAGCAGGGAGAGGAATCCGAATGAAGATTCCATTGTAAAAGGAAAAAAATCAGAGACAGCATTACGGCATTTACAGTTGGCATAATTATAATTTCCTGCAGGGCAGTTATGAGGAAGGCACTGTCCTGAGAATGGGAAAAGTCCCTGACAAGACTCTGGTTCTGTCTTCTGAAGGAACCCTCGTGTCCACTGTCCTCTTGGCTCTCCTCCCTGGGAAGTTCTCCTTCAGCCAGTTATCCTACATGGGCTCATCTGAAGGGGCAGCAAGGAGGGTGCCCTGACTTGGGGCTGCAAGGCTTTCACAACCCACTTCCTTGTGGTGGAGAGAGGATGCGGTGTTGTTTTGAACCTCAAATAATAAATTATTTTGCTTGCTTTATTTGTGTAGAGGCTCCTGGATTCTTTTTTTTTTAAGTTCATGTCCACAGGAATGAGGATTATTTAGCAATACAATTTTCTCAAGCACTTTGTGAGTTTCTGATTAATTTGCTTGTAGTTGGTTTTAATTTTATGTGCCAGTAAACATAACTACTATTTTTGCTTTTGTTTTTTCTAAACATAGCCTCAGATCTACTTTCCTCTGCCCTTCTCTTTCTCTATCTGTTCATCGCTATCTCTGTCTCTCTTTATCCTAAGTAGTATTCACCCTAAAGGCATCTAAAAAATAGACTTGAAAGGAAATAACACACCCATATTCTAATCTCTGCTATAAGGTTCAGTTTTTTAAACCAAGATTTTCTTTCCTGTCACTCAAAGCCTTGTTTAGTCTTTATCTTATGAATAGGATTCCAGAAACAGTCAACCTTTCCAATGTATAGCCCCTTGATCTTTGGACTCTTTATTTTCTTTGATCTCTGCTTGGCATGCCATCTATTTTTGTCTAAACTTTTTCTTTTTTACAATTCTATGCTAAGGGCACCTAACGATAGTCAAAGCGCATGCACTGGCTCTTTCCCACCCCTTCACTTAAGGCTGCAGGTTGATCAGGCATATGGTCCACTTGCCAAGTTATCGCTGGCTACAGCTCAACCAAATATGCTTCCACTGCACATTGATCATTGAGGTTCCAGCCTGTGAAGACATTTGAGCTCAATGCTAAATGTAGATTTGTTAAGACAATGCCCAAGAATTTAGTTCTATGCAAAAGCAGAAACACACCACAAAGTATCATTTTCTAATTTAGTTGAAGTATTAAAATGACTCCCAAATGTATTGGTGTATACAAAAGTGGAGAGTAGATACAAAGTGTGTGGTTGTGTTAGATTCCTATGGCTGCTCTAAAAAATTACTGCATACTTAGTAACTTCTAATGACACAGATTTGTTAGCTTACAGTTGTAGAGGTCAAAAGCCCAAAATAGGTCTCAATGGGTTAAAATCACTGTGTCAGCAGGGCTATATTCCCTCTGAAGTCTTCAGGGGAAATGGTCATTGCCTTTTTTAGCTTCGAGAGGCTGCCTACATTTCTTGAATTGTGGCCTCTGTTCCATCATCAAGGCCATCAGTGGCTTGTTGAGTCTTTCTTACTCACTCTCATGATTAAATTGGATCCAATTAGATAATCCAGGACAATCTCCACAGCACAATATCAGTGAATTAGCAATCTTGAGTACCTCTGCAACCTTTACTCTGCTTTCTCATGCAACCTGACATATTCACAGGTTCTAAAAATTAGAATGTGAACGTCATTTAAAGGGGATGGGCATTATTCTGTCTAGTGGCAAAATGAAGTCTTTTATCAACTTTTGCCCCCCTACCCCGTTTTCTATATGTGATTTTCCATTTTACCATCAGTGGCCCAGTAAGAAGAGAAATGCTGAGATTGACAGGTTTCTATAAGCCATATCTGGAAGTCAAGCAAGTCATTTCTGGGCAGATTCATTGGCTAGGACTCAGTCACAAAAAGGCAATTAACAAACTCTTATAGAGGTTTGAATAGTTAATCTCACTATTTTCATTAATAGAATAGCACACTTATGTAGTGAACAGCCAGTTAGGCCATGTCACATGAGTCAAGGTATTGATGTACAGAAGCTGAAGACAACAGAAGAGCACAATGTAGTATAAAATATTAATTTAATAAAATCAAGGCTTCTAAATATATTGCTCTGTTTACTTCACATTGTAATATGATAGGAAAAGGTCATGAAGATATTTTTATTTTAACCATGCAAAGGTTCAAAGGTTTCTTCATGACAAACTACTGGGAAGAGGCTTAGGACATGAAGATGAGGTAGTAATCTTCCTTTTACACGATCCTGTCTTTTGTTTTGAAATTACGTCACTTTTTCTGCTATGATATGTGGACCATCAGTCACACATGTAGCAGACATTTTTAAATTTTAAAAACTTGTTTTAATCTGTGTCTGTAAGTTATGTAAAATGTGAGAAATAAACTGCATTTTGTGAACAGTTATTTGGAAATATTTTCACTGTATGTGGCTTTGTTGCCAAAATGACATGTGAAAACTACAAAAATACTAATATTTTCACACTAAATAACTTGAATACAGTATTTTCTAACTTGTTTAAAATTCTCCCAAGTAAAAAAACTTTTATTAGGATTTTAACTTGCTTGTTAAAATATATTAAAAAGTAGCTGGCTGACTAGACACAGCCAAGAAAGCCTCTCCCACTTTGAGAAACCAAAATATCAAGTAAATCATTACACTCAAACAGATCTTTTGAGATAACACAGTCAAAGTCAAGAAGTGACACGGATACTGAATTTGAAGAGGGAGAAATCTAGGAACCCTTCATGGAGTCACCAAGTGCCAGGACTAGCTCCAGGTCCTGAACAGGTTCTAAGTAAGGGGTGAATGAAAGAACTCCAGGGTACCACACTCCCACCATGGACTTCCAGGATCCTAGCTACAGGATACCCTACAAACCTCCATAGAGATTTGAATTAGCAGGGGGGACTGCCCAGAAAGTAGGCATAGGCAGAGCTCGAACATGCACAGAGGCCAGAAGGTTTTGTGTGCAGGGCAGCCAAAGCAAAACGTGACCACAGGCACCCATCCTTCAAGGTTTTCCGTTGTGCTGTGAGTGACTATAGCTCCTGAGGACAGCCAGGCTGGGAGGGAGCAGGGCTGCTCCATTCCTGTGGGACTGGGGCACATCTAATCTGTGGGTCCCCTTTTCCACCAGCACCTCTCAAGACCCCTGCCTGGCCACTTCCAAAGAGGGTGCACATAGCACCACCTCTCCTGGCACTGCTGAGTGTTTAGCCAGTGGCCTGAGAACACTTTGTCCCTCCCCCTGCAGTACAGCCAGTACAGCCAGTGCTTGCTCTTGAGGGGATGGAGGACAAAGCCACAGGCCTAGACCCAAACTCCCAGCATTTGAGCACACTGCCCAGGGGTGAGATGAAATCTGTGGCCTCGAGTGGAAGAGCAGTGCCCACTCTCAGCACACTAAGAGTGAGGCACAAGTTCATGCACTGGCATGGGAGCTGGACACCACCCCCTTCCAGAAGACTGATCTGGGGAGGATATAGCCTGTCAGCCAGCTGCAGCTTCTTCCTGATAAAGCACTGCAGCCTGTAATGCCTGGAACAGCTCCACTGTGATCTGGACACAGAAGGCTGGGGATGAAACTAGCTGGTCTGGCTTACTCGTGGGGTAGATACTGGAGGAAGACTTAGTTTGGGGAGTTTGAGCTGGGCAGTCCCCAGTGCAGTCTTCTGGGCAAAAAAAATCTCAGGCTGCAGATACCACACCAGCTACACATCCACGGTACCACTGCCCTTCCTGGAGATCCTCTGCCCTTGGCCCACAGTATCACCAGACCACCTGCAGATATTCACCACAACCTACTCTGACTCTGCCAAGCTCAGAGGACCAGAGGGTCCCTGGGGAGTCCTGGGCCTTCTGGTGACCTAAGCGTTGGCTGGGGCTGCCCCTATGGAAGGGGGGAGTGCAACATTCCAGAGCCCCCCATAGGGCTGATGAAACATGAGCATGTTGCCAGTGATTGGTGGAGGCTCACCCAAGGCTCAGGAACAGACTCCCTTCCTCCTTCCCCAGAGTACAGCTGTGTAAGCACTGAAATACAAATGAGGCACATGGCTGAATGACAGCCTATCTGACGGCCCTTAATCTTAATCTTAATCATAACCAGAATTACACTACCAAACAAAAATAAATTCCATTAGCACACACTGCCTATGAAATCCAATGCAGGAGAGTAGCCACAATTAAGAAAACTGTATAGAGTCTTGATACTCTGAAAACACCCAGAAATGAAGTCAATAGACTATATACACATACAATACAGTCAAACTCTCAAGGGAAAAAAGAACATAAAAACTAAAAGTCTGTTACAAATGACAGCAACTTCAAAAAGATAAGGGGACACCAGCCCTCTCAGATGGGAAGCAATCAGTTCAAAAATTCCAGCAATTCAAAAAGTCAGAGTGTTTGCTTACCTCCATAAAATTGTACTAGCTCCTAAGCAATGGATATTAAACAAATTGAAATGTCCGAAATGACAGATATTGAATTCAAAATTTGAATGGCAAAGAAACTCAACAAGATTCAAAAGAAAGTTGAAACCTAATCCAGGGAAGCCAGAAAAATGATCCAAGAGTTGAAAGACAACATAGCCATTTAAACAAACAACTGAACTGAACTTCTGAAATTTACAAATTTATGACAGGAATTTCAAAAATATATTTGGAAGCCTTAACAAGACTAGACCAAGCTGAGAAAAGAATTTTCGAGCTAAAAGACTGGTTCTTTGAATCAACCCAGTCAAATATAAATAAAGAAAAAAAAAGATGTTAAAAAATGAACAAAACATCCAAGAAATATGGGATTATGTAAACAGACTAAACCTATGACTGATTGGCATTCCTGGGAGAGGAGAGAGAGGAAGCAACTTGGAAAACATATTTGAGGCTATAGTCTAGGAAAATTTTCCCCAATCTTGCTAAAGAGGTTGATGTGCAAATTCTAGAAATTCAAGGAACCTCTGCAAGATATTATACAAGACCACCATCCACAAGATATAGTTATCAGACTTTCCAAGGTCAACACATACACAAAAAATCTTAAAGGCAGCTAGAGAAAAGGGTAAAATCATTTACAAAACGAACCCAATAATGCTAACGGCATAATTCTCAGCAGAAACCTTACAAGCCAGAACAGATTAGGGGCCTATTTTCAACATCGTTAAAGAAAAAAAATTCCAGTCAAGAATTTCATATCCTGCCAAACTAACATTCATGAGCACAAGACAAATAAAACCTTTTCCAAACAGGCAAACACTAAGCGAATTTGTTGCCACTAGACCAGCCTTACAAGAGATCCTTAAGGGAGTGCTAAATATGGAAACAAAACAATACTCACTACCACAGAAACTCACATAGTACATAGCTCACAGACCCCATGAAGCAACCACACAATTGAAACTACAAAGCAACCAGCTAACAATATCAAGAAAGAATCAAAACCTCACATATCAATATTAACCTTCAATGTAAACAGTCCAAATGCCCCACTTTAAAGGCATAGAATAGCAAATTGGATTAAAAAAAAACAAGACCCAACCGTCTTTTTCTTCAAGAGAACCATCTCACATGTAATTACATGTAAAGGGATGGAGAAAGATTTATGGAAACAGAAAACAAAAAAGAGCAGGGGCCACTAAACTAATGTCAGATAAAACAGACTTTAAATCAACAACTGCAAACAAACAAACAAAAACACAAAGAAGGGCACTTTACACAATGGTAAAGTGTTCAACAAGAAGACTTAACTACCCTAAATATATATTTACCCAATATTGACACACCAAGATTCACAAAACAAGTACTTCTAGACCTATGAAAAGATTTGGACAGCCACACAATAATAGTGGATGACTTTAACACTCCACTGACAGCACTAGACAGATCATCAAGGCAAAAAATTAATAAAGGCTGTGCACGGTGGCCCACGCCTGTAATCCCAGCACTCTGGGAGGCTGAGGCAGGCGGATCATGAGGTCAGGAGATCGAGACCATCCTGGCCAACATGGTGAAACCCCATTTCTACTAAAAATAGAAAAAATTATCAGGGCGTGGTAGCAGGCATCTGTAGTCCTAGCTACTGCGGAGGCTGAGGCAGGAGAATAGCATGAACTCGGGAGGCAAAGCTTGCAGTGAGCTGAGATTGCACCACTGCACTCTGGCCTGGGCAACAGAGCGAGACTCCATCTCAAAAAAAATAAAAAAAAAATAAAAAATTAATAAAAATATTCTGGCTTTAAATTTGACACTTGATCAACTAGACATAATAGACATCCATAGAATGCTCCATGCAACAACCACAGAATATTCATTCTTCTCATTTGCACATGAAGCATACCCTAAGATTGATCATATGCTTGGCCATAAAGCAAAGTGTCAATAAATTCAAAAAAATCAAAATTATTCCAAGCATACTTTCATAACACAGTGAAATACAAATAGAAATCAATACCTAGAAGATATCTCAAAACCACAAAATTACATGGAAATTAAACAACCTATTTCCAAATGACTTTTGGGTAAACAGTAACGTTAAGGTAGAAATTTTAAAAATTCCTTGAAATTAATGAAAACTGACACAGAACATTCCAAAACCCCTAAAGTGCTGCAAAAGCAGCGATAAGAGGAAAGTTTATAGTGTTAAATGACTGCATCAAGAAGTGAAAACAATCTCAAATTAACATCCAACATCACACCTAGAAGAGCTAGAAAAACAAGAACAAACTAATCCCAAAGCCAGCAGAAGAAAATAAATAACTAAAATCAGAGCAGAACTGAATGAAATTGAGACCCAAAAATCCATACAAAAAATCAACAAAATAAAAAGCTTGTTCCTTAAAGGATAAACAAGATTGATAGACTGCTAGGTATATTAGCAAAGAAAAAAAGAGAAAATATCCAAATAAGCACAAACAGGAATGACAAAGGTGATATTACAACTGACCCACAGATATACAAAAGATCCTCAGAGTCTATCATGAACAACTCTATGAACACCAACTAGAAAATCTACAGTAAGTGGATAAATTCCTGGAAACACACAAACTCTCAAATTGAACTAGGAAGAAATTGAAACCCTGAAAAGACCAATAATGAGTTCTAAAATTGAATCAGTAACATAAAAACACTACCAACTAAAAAAGTCCTCGACCAGATAGATTCAAAGCTGAATTCTACCAGACATACAAAGATCAATCCTATTGAAACTATTTCAAAAAATCGAGGAAGAGGAATTCCTCTCTAATTCATTTCATGAAGTTAATATCATCCTGATGCCAAAACCTGGCAGACATAATGAAAAAGGAAAACTTCAGGGTGATATCCTTGATGAACATAGATGTAAAAATCCTCAAGAAAGCACAAGTAAACTGAATCCAGAAGCACATCAAAAATTTAATTCACTATAATCAAGTAGGCCTTATTCCTGGAATGCAGAGATGGTTCAGCATACACAAATTGCCAGACACGGTGGCTCACGCCTGTAATCCCAGCACTTCGAGAGGCCAAGGCGGGCAGATCACCTGAGGTCAGGAGTTTGAGACCAGCCTGACCAACATGGAGAAACCCTGTCTCTACTAAAAATACAAAATTAGCCCAGCATGGTGGTGCATGCCTGTAATTCCAGCTACTAGAGAGGGAGAAGCAGGAGAATCGCTTGAACCTGGGAGGCAGAGGTGGCGGTGAGCTGAGATCACGCCATTGCACTCCAGCCTGGGCAACAAGAGCGAAACTCCTGTTTCCAAAAAAAAAAAAAAAAAAAAAAAAGCATACACAAATCAATGAATGTGATTCATCACATAAACAGAATTTAAAATGAACACCATACAATCATCTAAATAGATATAAAAAAGCTTTCCATAAAATTCAGCATCCCTTCATGATAAAAACCCTGAAAAAACTAGAGGTCAAAAGAACATATCAAAATATTAAGAGCCATCTGTGACAAACCGACAGCCAACATCATACTGAACAGGAAAATGCTGAAATCATTTCCCTTGAGAACTGGAATGAGACAAGTATACCCACTATTTTCACTCTCATTCAACATAGTACTGGAAGTCGTACTCAGAGCAACCAGCAAGAGAAAGAAATAAAAGCCATCCAAATATAAAAAGTAAAAATCAAGCTATCTCTCCTCACCGATGATACAATTTTATACCAAAAAAAAAAAAAAAAAAACCTAAAGACTCTGCCAAAAATCTCCTAGAACTGATAAACGACTTCACTATGTTTCTGGATACAAAATCAATGTACAAAAATCAGTAGCATTTCTATACAACAATAACATTCAAGCTGAGAGCCAAATCAAGAATGCACTCTGATTTATAATAGTCACCAAAAAAAAAGCCACCTAGGAATCATATAACCAGGAAGAGAAACAGCTCTAAAAGGAGAACTACAAAACAATGCTGAAAGAAATAATAGAGGATACAAACAGAAAAATATTCCATGCTTATGTATTAGAAAAATCAATATGTTAAAATGTACATACTATCCAAAGCAATGTACAGATTCAATGCTATTCCTATCAAACTACCAATATCATTTTTCACAGTATTAGAAAAACTATTCTAAAATTCATATGGAATCAAAAAGAGCCCAAATAGCCAAAGCAAAACTAAGCAAAAAGAAGAAAACTGGAGGCATCACATTACCTAACTTCAAAATATACTACAAAGCTACACTAACCAAATTATCATGGTACTAGTACAAAAACAGACATGTAGACCAATGGAACAGAACAGAGAACCCAGAAATAAAGCTACACACCTACAAATATTAGATCTTCAACAAAGTCAACAAAAATAAACAATGGGAAAAAGATTTTCTATTCAATAAATGTTGCTGGGATAACTGGCTAGTCATGTGCAGAAGAGTGAAACTGAACCCTTATCTATCATAATATACAAAAATTCATTCAAGATGAACTAAATAAAGACTTAAATGTAAGACATCAAACTATAAAAATTATAGAAAACCTAGGAAATACCCTTTTCTACATTGTCCTTAGCAAAGAATTTATGGCTAAGTCCTCAAAAACAACTACATGCAACAAAAACTGAACAAAAAACAACTGGGACCTAATTAAACTAAAGAACTTCTGCACAGCAACGGAAACTATCAACAGAGTAAAGAGACAACCTACAGAATGAGAGAAAATATTTGCAAACTATGTATCCAACAAATATCTAATATTCAGGAACTATAAGGAATATAAACAAGTGAATAAGTAATAAACAAACCCATCAAAAAGTGGGTAAGGAACGCGAACAGACATTTCTCAAAAGAAGACATACATGTAGCCAACAAGTGTATGAAAAAATGCTCGCCATCACTAATCATTAGAGAAATGCAAATCAAAACCACAATGAGATACCATCCCACACCAATCAGAATTATTACTGTTAAAAAGCCAAAAAACAACAGATGTTGGTGTGGCTGTGGAGAAAAGGGAACACTTATACACTCTTAGTGGGAATGTAAACTAGTTCAGCTACTGTGGAAAGCAGCTTAGAGATTTCTCAAAGAACTAAAAGTAGAACTACCACAAGACTCAGCAATCCCATTACCATCAACAGTGGATAGGATAAAGAAAATGTGTACATATATACCATGGAATACTATGCAGCCATAAAAAATGAAATCATGTTCTTTGCAGCAACATGGATGCAGCTGGAAGTCATTATTCTAAGCAAATTAGCACAGAAACAGAAAACCATGTAACCACATGTTCTCACTTATAAGTGGGAGCTAAACACTGGGTACTCATGGACAAAAAGATAATAACAATAGACACTGGGAATACAAGGGGTGGAGGGAAGGAGAGAGAGAGCAAGGGTTGAAAAACTAGCTGAGGAATACTGTGCTCACTACCTGGATAACAGGTTCAATCGTATCCCAAACCTCAGCATCATGCAATATACCCTTGCATAAACCTTCACATGTAACTTTTGAATGTAAAATAAAAGTTGACAAAGCTACTAAAAATAAACCATTTTGCCTAGGTTGCAATGAAGTAATGTCAGAATAGTGATAATTTACTAGCTAAATTTTATCAAAAGCTTGTGTAATTGGTGAATGAGATGATATGTCTTTGGAATATTACACTTAATTGAATTAAATAGCAAAGTGAAAGGCATGTACCAATTTTAAAGGTGTTAAAATATAGAAACAAATAATGATGTACATCTTAAAGTATAAATATGGTAATACACAGAGTCAACCACGTATGTCTTCCACATATAGCTGCATATTATTGTGAGGTTTCTTCTTTAGATGTGACAGCCACTAATTTTAATCAATGAAATAAAGCAAACTTAGAATGAAACCTTCAATTTGCTACATTACAAAGTGTTACAGCAAGATTTTAAAGTTTGATATGTTCAATCATGCTGTGACAGAATATAATAATGCTAATAATACTAATGGATTTTGTACAATTAGCAAGCATAATATATTTAAGAGTATATTGAAATATTGTTCACTTTGCCTTTTAGACAAATTCCATTTTGTTTTATTTCTATAAATCACATAATAGATTATTGTATGAATGCATAATTTTAAGTAAAAATAGTCACTAAATAAAATGGTTTAAATTTTTTAATGAATAAATAAAAAATATGTTGGGGAAAATATGTTTGAAAAGATTCCTATCAAAATGATTTCCTCAATAAAAAGTATTGTGAGTTCATGGGCCTGCTCTCCTGGGATGGCTATGCAGGCCTCCATGACTTGCCTGCACCTGTCTGTCCCTCCCCACCTTGGTTTGGGTTTTAGAAATTCACTGTACCGAACTGCTTTTATTCCAGTGTACCATGATCTTCCTCTGACCTGTCCCTCTGGCATGGAACTTTTCCTTTTTTGTTCACAAGTTAAGTATTTTCTTCTTTAAAAAGAAAATTAGTGGAGATGTCACTGCACTGTGTCCAGTCTACCTGTATAGCTTCCATCATCACACCTTTCTGTTGGCACGTCCACTTGTTACCCTGGGACTCCGGACTCTTCCAGGATAGTAGACATGGATGAATTGTCTTTAAACTCCTGAAGTGTGTAGCCTATGGCTCTTAAAAAGTCATTCATTAAATGAAAAGAAGAAAAATGAAAATAATACACCAAGAAATGCCATTTATTCACTTTCTGATATAATCCAGGAACTGGATTGTGCTACTTATAGATCCACTCATCAGGTTAATCCTCAATCTCTCGTGGTGAGGAAATATACTCTGAGAAGTTGAACAAATGTTGTGTGATTAAAGGATTAGTAAATGTCAGAGACAGAAAAACAAAACTATGCCAATGTTCTTTTTGTTTTATGCCAATTCACCAGTGAATAGATATATAAATGGATGATAGGTGCCTAATTCTGATATTTGGTCATGAGTACTTTATTAAAAGATGAGATCGGGTATCTAATTTCTGCATTTTTATCAATACTTTGATCTATGATAA
Organism: Homo sapiens; assembly: GCF_000001405.40. NCBI lineage: Eukaryota > Metazoa > Chordata > Mammalia > Primates > Hominidae > Homo > Homo sapiens. The sequence continues at coordinate 51,987,867 of NC_000007.14, read as the reverse complement.
AAATATACAGGGTACTTATGTTTTGACAAAAATTAATTAAAATTTTATCATCCAGTTTCAAACACACAAAGATAGAAGTTTTTTTTTTTTTTCTAAAAAAGCACATACAATTATCTTTGGAGATATTTCTTTCTGGTCATATCTCCAAACTGCAGTGGGGCTATCTCTGTCGTGTCTGCTGAATGTTGACAATGTCTTGGAAGGGGTTCTCTTCATCTGAGAGTCTCCTGGGTATGGTAGACCAAGAATTCTCATCTATTTCCCAACAAATAATCCCCAAGGAACCAGTCAAAAAGCAACATGCCCACCATTCTGTGGATGAAGACATTTTGGACATCCTACTATTAATCAGTTCATTATACACATTGGGCCTATTAATAGTTTTTCTCCTCGTCATCTCTCCTGAGTTGCAAATGTCAAGCTGGACCCACCTGTGCCTCCCACAGAGCACTGCGGGTTTCCACACACTGAGGAGGACGCCGACTGTACTGGGCATCTCCGCTCCTTCGTCTCTCCCACGCAAGGCGCCTATGAAAGAGGTGACTCTCAGTGTGGTTACAGATTCTTTTCCACTCAGAAATGCAGCCAGAAACAAAATCGTTACTCAAAGCTGCTTAAAGTATAATAATCTATTCATCAACTTAATTGTCCAGTCCATTATTAAAGCTCCTTGATATATTAAATTCTGTACCAGGAGCTAGGGCTTGATATATGAGTGAGACATCCTCCCACCTTTCAAAAAGCTTATAGACAAATAGAAAGATGGACACATAAACAAATAACATCTTATCAAGTGTACTCACAGTCATAGCAGCGCGATGGGGGTGTGAATAGACAGCCTGCTTTAAGCTACCCAAGTTAGGGGAGAGTTTATAGAGGATGAAGGATGAGAAGAGCACACAAAACACAAAAGAAATGACGCTTCATCAAAGCACAGAGGGGGAAGCAGCATAGAATGTTTAGAAACAGACTATTTGCTCTAAGACAGAAGCCCTGGGCCATGCATGATGGTGAAGTGGCTACGTTGTCTGGGGTACAAACCGGAGGGTTCATCGCCTCGCGCCAGGAAAATTTAGGACAGGGACACACACTAGGAGTTTAGGAGTGGAGGTTTAATAGTCGAAAGAAAGAGAAAAAAAGAGAAAGGAAAACAGTTCTCTCTCTAGTGAGAGAGTGGGGACTTCCGAGAGGAAAAAGACTGGCTGGCTGTGAATGTGCTGGATTTTTTAGTCTGGCTTGGGGAGGCGGTGTCTGATTGACATATGGCTCACAGATTGATTCGATCAGGTATGACGTTTACATGATGCGCAGGGAAGGCTGAGGACCCTACCCTAATCTTATTATGCAAATGGGCTTTCCAGTTGACCAGGCCATCTTGTCTGCTCCTTTTTATATACGTGGCTGACAAAGAAAGAGAAGGGAAGATAGAGCCGCCATCTTGAACATGATTGGCATAACTGTCAGCATCTATGTTCTGCAGCTCGATTTTACAGGCTGCTCTTTGTTAGAAAGGAAAATAATTTGGGGCGGCTTTTCATTAAAAGGAAAACCTTACTGAGGACTTCCTGCCCTCACTATCTGCCTGAGTAATTTCTTCTTAACTACTGTATCATTGGGACCTGGCAGTAGGTAAGGTAGGAAAGTAGAGGGCATTGAATGTCATTCTTAAAAATGTTGACTGTGTCTCTTTGGGTAAATAGAGTCACTAAAGAATGCAAAGAATGGAAATAATGCAATCACCTTCTCATTTAGAAAGCTATTTTAGGCCGGGTGTGGTGGCTCATGCCTGTAATCCCAGCACTTTGGGAGGCCGAGGCAGGCGGATCACCTGAGATCAGGAGTTCAAGACCAGCCTGGCCAAGATAGTGAAACCCCATCTCTACTAAAAATACAAAAAAAAAATTAGCTGAGTGTGGTGGCAGGCACCATAATCCCAGCTACTCGGGAGGCTGAGGCAGGAGAATGGCTTGAACTCAGGAGGTGGTGGTGGAGGTGGAGGTGAGCTGATATCACGCCATTGCACTCCAGCCTGGGCAACAAGAGTGAAACTCCATCTCAAAAAAAAAAAAAAAAAAAAAAAGCTATTTTTTGAAGGTGGGAGGTAGAGCTGAATTGCAATGAGAGACGATGTCATGGATCTGAACTGAGGCAACAGAAATGTTGATAGACAACGAGTGGAAAAACTGCAGTGGCATTAACAGGGCTTATTTGCTTATTGGTTATAGAAGAATAAGCTTTAAGCTTTAAAAAGAAGGGCTGGAAAATGATGCCCAGACCTCTTGCTTGGATGAAAGGTTTGAGAGGATCCGCCAATGGTAGAAAAAGAAGAAAGGTTTGGAATGGAGTGGGCGAGGTGGGGAGAAAGAGACTGAGGAGCAACATGGACATGGGAACATGCTTATGGAGCATTCAGGTGGAGATTTGTAATTGAAGATTGATTTATGCGACTGCACCTCAGTAAAGAGATCTGAGCTGAACATATGTGGATTACTAATTTGTAATCATCATCACTGAATTTTTTTTTCAAGAATGGTGATTGATTATGCTTAGTTTTTCATATAATTTAACACAATTTATTATGCATATCTCATAGGGCCCCATCTGTGCCCTCTGCCCCTGCAACAACTGGGCCATTCATTTCAAGGCTCTGTGTCAACTGCTTTGCCCATCTTCCCCAGAGCACTTCTCAGATAGGTCAGTTATGTAAATGTGTTTGCCTGATTATCTTTCAGCTGCCTCTTTCCTTCTGCTTTCTTGGCCCATTGAGGTAGCATCCATTGGTCAGGAATAAATCCATAGCTTATCATGTTTCCTTTTTTTTGATTCTGGAAAAGTCTTTTGGTATGTTTCAAAAATTGTGACACATAGTGAAAAAGGGTTTTGTTTTGTTGGTTTTGTTTTGTTTTGAAGAGACACTGTCTTTTGAGTTTATCAAAGTTGATTCTGTTTTCCATCCCTTAACACATATAGGGCATGTAAAGAGTAAAAGAGAACAAGGAAACACTCATGAATCATGACAGTACCCGTGATATGGTCTGTATATTTGCCCCTGACCAAATCTCATGTTGAATTGTAATCCCCATTACTGGAGCTGGGCCTGGTGGGAGGTGTTTGGATCATGGGGGCGGATCCCTCATGGCATCCCTTCCGCTCTCTTTGTGATAGTGGGTTCTCAAGAGATCTGATCATTTAAAAGTGTGTGGGACCTCCCCTCCACAGTCACTCTCTTGCTCCTGCTTTCACCATGTGGCACGCCTGCTCCCCTTTTGCCTTCTGCCATGATTGTAAGCTTCTTGAGTTCCCCCCAGAAGCTGAGCAGATGCCAGCACCATGTTTCTTGTAAAGCTTGCAGAAGTGTGAGCCAATTAAACCTATTTTCTTTATAAATTATCTAGTCTCAAGCATTTCTTTATAAAAATGCAAGAACAGCCTAACACATCCTGCAATAGCTGAAACCTATAAACACAGAGAGTCAAGTTTATGTAACTTGGACCCAGTTACTTTTACACTGTAGAGCACCCAATTTGAGAAGTGATTCCAGGAGCAGACAGTTGGATTCAGACTGTCACTATTGAGGTTTTCTACACAGATACAAATGCCCCTGATCCTTACATCTTTCAGAGTAAAAGGCTACTCAGTATGACTCATGAAAGGACATTAACTAATACCTTTGCCTTACCCTTGGTCTTTGGACCACTACAATTCAAAATAATCATTTATTCTCCTCTTCAGCTCATCAATAATTAGCACATCCCTTCAAGTTATGTATATAAAGAAGAGAATGATTATATAAAATCAAAGCAGAACTGTGCCCTTTAATGCCATTCTGATTAAACCTTACTTTCTGGGAAAGCAGAAGACAGAAATCAAAGAATATAAGTTTACTGTTGTGCTTAAAATGAAGATGTACAGTTCAAATTCTATCTGCGGAAGCTGAAATTCAAAAGATGAATTTAAAGAATTGATTTTAAAAGTAGGTAACTTTCAATTGAAATAATGGTCTTCATTGTGCAAAATACATAACCACAAATTTCCCTAGTTAAAAATATTTCCAAAATCCTATTTATTTGCATTTGAAAATGTAAAAATCTCATAGGAAAAATAACTTAAAAATTATTGATTGGCCCAACCACCTAGCCTATTATTGCTATCCATCCACTCCCACCAAGGATTTGAGTACATCCCATGCTAGGAAATTTGTTGCTTATAAGATCAGAACATCTTTAAAACTTTTGACTCCTAGAAATATCTTTCTTCTATTTAGCTAAAATCTGTACTGGCATACTCCACATATTTGTCTTATTTCTGTTTCCTTATGAAAACAACACAATTTTGTGAAATTCATATATGGTATTATGTATCAAAACTGCTTAATAAACTTAGGAATGTGAAGGTGTTTCCTATCAGTCAATTCTGTCACATTTTATTGTGTTAAGACACAAAATATTTTGACCTTTAAGAGTAACATCCAGAAGATATCCAATTATTATTGCAATGCCTAGAAAAACACAGAGGTGTATTAGATATACATAAAATACATAGAAAAACAAGTAAATAAAGAGAAAATATGAAGCCGAGTCAGAAAAAGTAATTGAATGTAAGAGAGAGGAAAATGAGTAGGTGGCCCATGGATTGAATGTGCAGTGGAAAATCTGCAGCAAGTTAGTAACTATGGTTTATAGTAATTATGTTTTCATGATGATGTGAAGAAAAAGGAAAGATGCCGAAAGTCTGTCTCAATATGATAAGGCTAAGTAAGAGGATTTAATTTAAGGTAAGATCACTTAAATATTCTGCTTAATATGCACCAATCTTTTTAAAGTGCTTTACATATGTTAACTCATTTAATCTTCACAGCAATCTCACAAGGCAGGTTCTGTTATTATTCCCTTTTGCAGATCAGGAGAATGAGATAGATAGATGTTAATAACTTGTCCGAGGTTATACAGCAGGTGAGTGACAAAGTGAGGTCCTAAGTCCTGGCATTCGCCTTAAAAGGACATGCTTTTTAATTACTGTGAGTCAGTGAGATCGACTCTGCTGGTGGCAGCTATTGCAGTTCCCGATAACTAGGAAGTATGCTGTCTTGGAGGTGGAGATAGATTGTTTATGCTCTTGAAGTCTAGAGGCAGCATTTTTGAAGAATCCTGGTCAAAACCTTCATAAGATTAGACCACGATGAGTTCATAGGGTAATGTTGTAATTAATTGCCCCAAATAGGGCATTTTTGAGGGTGAATAGGACATATTGAAAATTAAATTAGAATAAAGGTACCAAGAACTTTTCCTAGCAAATCAGGATAAATAATTATAAAACATTTTCCCAGAATTCATATATTACAGAGCAAGACCCCACCAAATAAATTAAAGTTTCTGATGTTAAGAAGAATTAGGACTAAGGGTCAGGTGTTTTTTCCATTGATGTGATTTTTTTCCTCTGTCATTTATCTTCTGTAAAACAGTAACATTTACCTTACATCAGCTCATGCATCTGAAAAAGGGCATATCAACATTGAAATACAGTAGGCTGGCATAAGTCTTGAAATGTGCTTGCCATCAGAGAGACTGGTGGTTTTTTCCTGAGGCAGATTTTGAGTTGTTTTTAAACATTACCATGGCTGTAGCCTTGGGTCATTTATCTTCCTACACTCTGCCTTGTCATTTGAACATCCATCCACCTATGCATTCACATCCAATTTGAGTTTTGTCTGCTGCTAAAGTCACAGAAACTGTGCTTTGCAAAGCACAGTTTTCATCATTATAAGCAAAGATCGTCTCCCCTTTCTCCCCCCTAACAATGGTCATCAGATAATAGGAATTTGTTAAAGTCATCTGGTGGTGCATTTTAAGTCACTAGTTATATTTAACATAAAAAGAATACTCAAGATAAATTTCTATAGATTCATGAATGATTCACAAAAATAAACAACAAGGGAAATTCAGAATGATCAGGCTACAGGTCAAATGTTGAAAGGAAAACATACCGCTATCTCTTATTTCTCTTTTTAAGACTGCTGGAAATTGACTGGTAGGTGCTTCTTCTTTTGTGTCCTTACCAATTTTGCTTCGTTTTATTCATGGTAATCCATTCTAAAAATTCCATGTTAGGGATGAATGTATCTCACTAAGCACCACATGCTATTGGAGGAAAAGGAGAGTCCACATAGCAACCTATAATCCCCAGGGAGAAAAGGCATGCAGGGAGAATCCCTGTTAGATAATAGTGCTGCCTTTTTCTGCTTAGTATATGCAGATGATCAATATTAAAGACAAAATAATTACAGGAACAACGATGGATTTTAATTACACATTCCGGATACAAATAAAGTACTTCATCAGATATGTGACTGGCAAATATTTCCTCCAACTCTATAGCTTGTCTTTTTATTCCCTAAATAGTGTCTTTAACAGAGAAAACATTTGTAATTTGATATAACTTGAGTAAATTTGGTAGTTTTGGGGTTTTTTTATTTTTTAGACAAAGTCTCACTCACTGTCGCCCAGGCTAGAGTGCAGTGGCGTGATCTTGGCTCACTGCAATCTCCAATTCCCGGGTTCAAGTGAATCCCTTGTCTCAGCCTCCTAAGTATCTGGGACTACAGGTGCACACCACCATGTCAGGCTAATTTTTGTATTTTTAGTAGAGATGGGGTTTCATCATGTTGGCCAGGCTGTTATCCAACTCCTGGGCTCAAGTGATCCACCCACCTCTGCTCCCCAGAGTGCCGGGATTACAGGTGAGAACCACCATGCCCGGCCAAGTTTGTGTTTTTTTGAGAAACTGGTTCATTTTATCAAAGTTGTCAAATTTATATGTGCAGAGGGGCTCACAGTGTTCTTATTACTTGAAGCTGAGTCAGCAAAAGTAAAGCATTAAATGTATGAAAGAGGAAAATAAGTAGGTGGCCCATACATTGAGTGTGATGGGTCTTTCAATGTCTGCTTTGTCTGTAGTGACATTGTCCTTTCATTCCTGATATTAGTAATGTGTCTTCTCCTCTCTGTTAGAAAAAAAGACTTTATTTATTATTTCAAATAGCCATATTAATTTCACTGATTTTCTGCACTCCTTTGAGTGTTGAGTTGTCTCTGTCAATCCTGAGCCAGAACAGGAGGTCTTCTCTGAAACTCTGTGCCACAGTGCTCACCTCTGAGTTTCAGGCTGTGTTGAGTTCAGGTGGGAGATATTATAGACAGAAAGAGATAGAAAGAGAGGGGCAGAAAGAAGGAGAAAGAGAATGGTAAACTCATTTACCGTTTAATGGCTTCAAAGTCTGATGTTCTTCTGCAATTTGCTTGCTGGTATTTACATTACAATCTTCAAAGAGTTTCTCCAGGCTGCATACTGTCCAGGTTTTATGACAGCATTCACTGGAAGATCAAGTGTGAAGCACACTCATTCCATCTCACCCAGAATGGGAACATGGCAGTAGTTTTTTAGTACCTATTTTCTACTGTAAACACTAAGCTTTATACCTATTATTGAGCAACAAGAAGAATCTCACAAGAAGCCGTATGTCATTGGTTGTCTGTTGGGATAGGACTGTAATAACAAGAAAATAAAACCCTGTGGTAGGGACTTTAGAGCCTTAAATGTCCATTTCTCAGTTATGGCTGAAATGACTTCCATTGCTCTTGCATGCATGCTTTTTTATCCTCTGTTTATATCTTGTGAGATACTTTTTTAAAGGTTTTTGTTTTAATAAAGTATCACACCTAAAGACAAGTTTTGAGAATGATATAAAAAATTCTCAACTGCCATTTACTTCAACTTAACAAATGTTAACAATTTTTTCCTCTTTTTCTTATTTTATTCAATGGATTATACTCATTGCTCTCACGACTTATTTCAATATTCAAGTTTTCTTAACCCAGAGTGAACCCCATCATCCTGAAACGTTTTTCTTTTTCTTTTTCTTTTTTTTTTTTTTTGAGATGGAGTCTCACTGTGTTCCCTGGGCTAGAGTGCCATGGTGTGATTTCAGCTCACTGCAACCTCCACCTCCTCGGAGGTTCTAGCGATTCTCCTGCCTCAGCCTCCCAAGCAGCTGGGATTACAGGGGCCCACCACCATGTCCAGCTACTTTTTTTTGTATTTTTAGTGGAGACGGGGTTTCCCCATGTTGGTTAGGCTGCTCTCAAACTCCTGACCTCAGTTGATCCACCTGCCTCGGCCTCCCAAAGTGCTAGGATTATAGGCGGGAGCCACCTTGCCGGGCAACTTTTTTCATTTCTGACATATTATTATTTTTTATTACATTCTTACTTTCTGACTATCAGAATATCACATGTACCCTGTAAATATGCAGAACTATCCTGTATCGATTTTTAAAAATGTCCCAGTTCCTAGAACTGAAATAAGTCCTTTCTCTAGGGGGCTAAGACTTCTCTCAGAAGGAAATGTTATCTGGAAACCAAGATATGAGCGTGCCTATTGTTATTGGGGGATCCCATTCATTTTTTTTTTCTACATCAGATTAAACCTGGATTGAAGCTTCCCTGACTAAATTTGAGAAAAAACAACTTTGGTTTATTTAGTGAACTTTGGTGACTTTCTCTTCTTCAATGGGCTTTTAGCCTGGGGCTCATGCAGCCTGGGCCATAAAGGGAGAGCCCTGTGGCTCCTGTCATGATGGCCACTGCTGTTTTTCCTCCTTGTGCAGATCCAAGTGTCCCAACACATCGGGCTGCTGCACTAGCAGCCTCATCCCTCCTGTGCTGAGCTCAGCTCTGGAGACCTATGTTGAGGTTTTAATGCTGGGGTCCCCAGGGCCCAGTGCTTACACACCTGTGCTGCCGTCCCCACCCTGGGCTGCTGCATGAAGGCAGGCTCCAAACCCCTGGGCCTTGCTAGGCCTGTTCCTAAGGCTTTTTAGCAGGCAGAGCAAGGGGAAAAATATACACTCTCATATACATAAATATACATATATATGTTTATACGTGCACACATTTACCTATCAAAACCATGACTTCATTCTCAATCTCACCAAGGACAGTCAGTTCCACTCACACTACCATTTATTCTCACCCTTTTCCTGTCCATACCTTTCCAGCTGTGAAAACTCTCAATAATCTAATTATATGCTCAATCCTAAGAATTACTCATCAATAAAATTGTGAAAAACAAACTAGACACGGGAGTTCAAATTGAGTTAAAAGCTCTCTTTTTCTTTAACCTGAGGGGATACACTTTGTTCAAAAGTTATTTGGGTTAACTCTTCTTTCATAACTTGGGTGTGATTGTTACTCAATTGAAATAAAATTATGCTCATTTATTTCTCTTTGTATTACATTTTGGTTCTATTTTTTTCCATTATTCTTGCTTTGTTTTTGCTAATATTTTTGTGGTGCTGTTGTTTTGCTTTGTGTATCTAAAAATATTAATCTAGCTCCAAATGTCAAAACTCTACAAAAAGGTATATTCAGAGAGATATACTCCATCTCTATTACCTAGTCCCTCTAGGTAAAAAAATTTCAATAATTTCTATATATCATTCCTGTTTTTCTTTTTTATGAAGATAAGCATGTGTGTGTGTATGTGTGTGTACAAATATCTATATTTAATACATATGATATATAGTAATTAAATATATTTAATAAATAAATATAATTCAAATAATTTAAATATAATTAAATATATTTAATAAATATATTCAATATCTAATATACATTACATTTAAATTATTATTTAAATAATAATTTCATTTATTAAATATTTTTAAATATTACTTATTAAATTATATTTAAATTATTATTGTATTTATCAAATATATAATAAACATTGAATATATAATGTGCATTTATTATTATATACTTAATATATAATTAACACATACATATATTTTTAAAATACTTTTTTTAAACATGCAGGTTTGTTACATATGTATACATGTGCCATGTTGGTGTGCTGCACCCATTAACTCATCATTTACATTAGGTGTATCTCCTAATGCTATCCCTCCACGCTCCCCCCACCCCATGACAGGACCCGGTGTTTGATGTTCCCCTTCCTGTGGATCACTTTATTTCTATCTCCAGCTATCTGATCCACTTAGAGCAGGGTTTCTTAACCTTGACGCTACTAACATTTGAGGCAGGATGATTCTTTGTTCTAGGGCTTATCCTGCACATTATATTAATAGAATTTTATCAGTGCCTCTAGTCTTTACCGATAAGACAGCAGTAGCATCTCTCAGCTATAAAAATGTCTGCAGACATCACCATGTCCCTATGGAGGAAGATAGACAAAATTGCCCATGTGAGAGCCACTGATTCAGAGTATATATACACTTTTAATTGCAGACTGTTGTTTTATGTTTAAATACCTAGAAGGATTAGTAGTCCATTGTGACTCTTCCTTTCCAAAGGTTTTTTTTAAACTTTTTTTCTTGCTTATTTGTATAGTTCAATGCAAAGATTTACTAGTATTTTGTATTGAAATTGTCTTAAATTTATAATTAACTTAGAGACAACCGACAAGGAAAATTAAAATAGCTTACCTTAAAATGCAACTGCAAATAAATGCAATGAATACCAATAATATTAAGTTTAAATATAAAAATAAAACCAAATATATTATAAACCAATAAAACAAGTTATAGTGATTTAACTGAATAACAGAGATGCATACCTGAACATAAGTTCCTCAATTAGAAGAATAAAATGGTTTTTATTGGTTGACAATAAAGGAACCTTAGATTTAAGGAAAAAAATTACACCCTCAGTGAGATATTTTTGAGATCAAACAGTACTGCAAATTCCATATTTTGGGTACTTGTTCCTATAGAATATATATATATATGTAGTGACAGCCATATTATCTGGCAGAAAAGAAAAACTCCTAACGAAAATTGTGCGATTCTCATTATAGTTTGGTTTCAATAAGCCAGCTGAAGGATTTTCTGGAATCAATGCTACAGGGTCAAGTTATTTGATAAAGTCTATGAAATCATGGGGAAGGGATGAGGTTTTATATTCAGGTTGGCTTTTAGTTACAGAGGTAAATGCTTATTATGATATTTATGCTAAATCTTTCAATACTCTCAAGTCCAAAATATATTCAGAAAGTTATATCAAAATATATTCAGCTTGTTCTAACAATAAAGAGGATGAAATTCATCAAAACCAATTGTTTATTCTCTTAGTTTCAATTTTGCAGTTATCAGAATGATTATTTATTTATTTATTTATTTATTTTTGAGACAGGGTCTCACTCTGTCACCCAGGCTGGAGTGCAGTGGTGCCATCTTGGCTCACAGCAAACTCCGCCTTCTAGGTTCAGGTGATCCTCCAAGTGCCAGGGATCACAGGCGTGCACCACCATACCAGGTTAATTTTTATGTTTTTAGTAGAGGCAGGGTTTCACCATGTTGGCAAGGCTGGTCTTGAACTCCTGCCTGAAGTGATCCACCCGCCTTGGCCTCCCAAATTGTTGGGATTATAAGCATGAGTCATGGGGCCAGCCTCGGAATTTATTTTATTCCTGTAACATAGTCTTATAAAAACAAATTTAAGTCATTCAAATATTCTAACAAGATGTGCTGGGAATTGCCAATTTGCAAAAACCATCTCCCATAGTCAAGTTTATCTGCAACTTGTATCCATTGAGAATGTTTCCATGAAGGAAGCAGTAAACCTCTACATAAGCCAGCTGTTTGTAGACACGGTGCTTCTTTTCATAAAGCTGACACCAACCTCAGTTAAAAAGTGTCTTGCCTTTCTTCTTATTAATAGACATGCGTAGACTAGCAAAGACTTGTATGTGTCTCCACAACTGTCCCCAGAGAATTGTGGTCTTACATTCAGTTCATAAACATATTATGTTTATGGTGAAGTCAATACAAAATTCAGAATTTTCTACTTCAAGTATGTGATTTGCTTGCTACTAAATATCTTTATTGGCTTTTTAAAATTTTTGATAACTGATTCAGAAAACAAAAGATTAAAGGAGTTCACAGTATCAGTGCATTTATCAATTTTTTATTGAGACATATTGACTTTCTTATACTTGTAATAAAAAAATTGTTATTTTTCATTTGTGATGAGATCTATAACTCCACAACCAGCTGTGTCAAGGGGAGCAGAATCAATCATTTTGCAAGCTTTGACCTTTATTACTTTGACCATTAGGAGTAGGTAAAATAAATGTCTTATAAATTATTTCACTAACTTCTTTATTATTCAATAAATGAAATTTCCAGGGCTTTCACGTTTTCAACCTCTGTCCATTTGCTGGTAAGTTTACAAGATCCACTTAGTTTGCTTCAAACTTTGTGAGTTTTGAATTGTGTTCTGTCTGCATTTCCAATAACATTTGGGGATGGTCTATTTCTAGAAATTGTATTTGCAAATATTTAAACATAACTGGTAGATTTCATACCATTACTCATTTTTAAAATATTTCAAATAAGCCACATCATATTACCTGAGGTTTTTTTTTTTTTTCATTGTGCTGGAACTTTTACAACAATAGTAGATATTTAAGTAAGCACTCATCTGCCTCTCCACATATTTATATAAAGTTATAGGAATTAATCTGCTAGATTCAAGAAATGATTTTAAAAAAACTTCTCTTTTGGTATTTTTAAATTCCAGCAATCAAACACTAATTTACATAGAGTTCAGCAGAAAAGGAAAGGCAGAAAGAGAAGTAGGGAGGAAGGAAGAGAGCAAGGGAGGTAAGAGTGCACGACTGAGCCCAATTCACAATTTCTGTATACACATACTTTAACCATTGAACAATTGCTGAATTCCATAGGCAAGTTGTTGATATGTGGCAGAAAGGAATACAGCAAGGAATAAAAAATTATTATTTGTGGGCCATGCACAGTGGCTCACACCTATAATCCCAGCACTTTGGGAGGCCAAGGTGGGCAGATCACAATGTCAGGAGTCCAGACCAGTCTGGCCAATATGGTGAAACCCCGTGTCTACTAAAAATACAAAAATTAGCTGGGCGTGGTGGTGGGCGCCTGTAGTCCCAACTACTCAGGAGGCTGAGGCTGGAGAATTGCTTGAACCCGGGAGCAGGAGGCTGCAGTGAACCAAGATCACGCCACTGTACTCCAGTCTGGGTGACAGAGCAAGACTCCGTCTCAAAAAAACAAAACAAAACAAAAATTATTATTTGTGAATGCATACTACTGACCCATAGCATCATTTCTAGCTATACTTCCTAAGAACTATGGCAGAAACTTTGATGATTGAAGGTGAGTAAGGTAAGGTTCATATGTTAAATAATTTTGTTAAAATTCCTTCACCTGGAGAAAACATGGGTTGTTTTGAATTCAAGCCTGACTTCACAGACATGCTTATGCCCTAATTCTCTTAAGGAACATTCCTTATTCCCAGTTACATAAGGTGGTTAAGGAATAGTAATAAGTTTATGCACGTAACAAAAAATTGTACAAACCCTAAGGTAAAAAGTAATTCTAATTTCTGCTGCTATATTTTTAAAAAGTGTCTTTGTAGGCCATTAAAAAAAAAAAAGTAATACCACGCCAACTCTTAGGGCTAATTTGCACATAATTGTAGTAATGTAAGCCCTTGTGTTTCAGAAAAACAAAGAAAAGAATGTGCACTAACTCTTCCTAGCAACAAAAGTATTTTGAAGCTTTTCCCTGGCTGCACTTTTCTCATTTCCCCCTAAGAAATAGTTGGAACTACAAAACTCCCTTTACTATTACTGTAGGATGTTGAGAAAAGATAAACTTGTAGAGAATGGGTGGAGGGAGTACAATGTCTGCTGGAGGCTGCTGATAAGTCCGGGCTTCAGGGCTCTCACTAATTGGGTCCTTCCCGAGCTTCTTCCAGTCTGAAGACATTACACATTGCTCCTGCAGACAACTGCATCATAATGAGTGTCCTCGGGGTGGTGGTAGCCTATGTTCCCCCTAATTTCCCATTTTATCTTTTGCTCCATTTCTTTGGCCTCTGACTCCTGTGGTGTTATAGGGACCTACCCCAGATACTTGTTTATTTTCAAGCTTTATTTCTTTGTAAAAAAATGCAATTGGATTATGGAAACCTGGGCAGAGGCCATCACAGTCTTAATGCAAGTGAAAAACCTGGCCCTGTGGTACAGGAATCCCAAAGCCAGACCCTGAAAAAGTCAGTCTGTTCCATCCAGTATCATGGGGAAATGTATTAATTTTATTGGGGGGGGCACAGGAGTATTCCATATAATTTGATTAAAATAGTTATGGCAATTTTGACCCATTTCCTTATCCATCAAAATTATTCTGGTCCTTCAAGTGCTGCTTCAAGGCGCAGCTCTTATAGAAGATTCCTAGTATAATTCACATCAGTTTCCCTTTGAATGAATCAAGATGGCATTAGTATGTGCACACGCATTCACAGATAGTTACCAATTCTATCAAGGAAAAAATAAACTGAAAAAAAAAAACAAAATAAATGAAATAAAAACTAAATCTAATTTTTAATAGGAGTTTCTTGTTCTTATACATAGCTGGTTATTGTTTGTCAGTTACAACCAGAGCAGCGTCCCTGACCAGGGCCTCTTGTTAATGAAGTGAATTCCACGCGGCCCTCGTTTTCCATGTTGCTATATAAACTTCACAGTCGTCATTTGTGTTTGCTTCATAACCCTCTTTGTTTATGCTCATCACTTTAACCCCAGCACTGGCATAGTGCCTGGGTGCTTGCCTGTGGCGGGCGGGGCGGGTGGGGGCGGGTGGGGGGGAAGTTGAATAAATCCCTGGGGAATGAATCAATGCGTGACCTTCTAATGACTTCATAATATTGTGTGAAATTTTTTTGCAACATAATTAATCTAACTATTCTACTCTGTTTAGTGAGTTTTCTCTATTGTAGGGACATTATGGCATGTGTACATTTTGTGGTACAATGTGATCACAGAGTGTCTTTTCTGCAGAGGCTCTTGTTTCCACTGGGACACCTCTCCGGATACCACAACTTCCTACCTCCCCTCCCTGGGTCAGGTTTAACCTGGAAGCTGGGGGAGGCGAAAGGACAGGGGCAAGAACATCGTTGGCTTTCTCTTTCTCCCCCAACTTGTGCTCTAATCCTCCTTCCCCACCCATTGACCACTCTAGATCCTCCATGATGAAAGAGGGAAAGGAGAAGGACCCAGCTCAGGTGTGCCTTCACAGGGTGAGTTGTAATTCTCGAGTTTCTTACGGCCTTGCAGGATGTTGGAGGCCCTTTAGCACATGAGCCCTTTCCAGGCATCTCTGGAGGTCCCTCATGTGTCCTCCAGCTGCAGTTCAGCCCATGGCCCCATTTTCAGGGCCACCACTGACCTTCCCCTTCCAGCCTCTGGGATGACACCATCTCCTGGCCCCTGTAGAAATCCTTCTTGGGCCCTACTGCTTCTGAGATTTAGCAAATAAAAATAGGCTGCCCAGATAAATGGGAATTTCCAATTAAGAGTGAATTGTCTTTAGTGTAAGGATGTGACAAAGGGTTGACTGAACTTTAGTGAGTCTCTTCTGAATCCTCTCACCAAGGAGGTCTCAGCTTGTGGGGTTCCACATGTGCGTCTGTCTTTGCATTGCCCAGTTTTAGCAAAAATCCTGCCAAGTTGATTCAGTGAGAATCTCCCACCCTCAAAGTTCTGATCACCCTTGATATTGATCAGGTTCCGCATCCTCCACCATTCCACAGGTGATATCAGATCACCCAGGCCTGCCATCAGCAAGAAGCCTGTTAGGTCAGTTTAGCCAGAATCCCCCACTTACTCCTAAAGCTTCCTTTCAGTTTTTTCCATCTCCTTCCCCTCAGCCTGCTCTTTGGCTATAACATCTCTGCCTTTCCTTGCTGTACTCTGAGTTGAGTCCAGTCTCTCACCATGGAAATCCCATTGCAGCAGTCCCTATGCCCATCATAAAAGTTCTGAGTAAATTCTGCTTCATCATTTTAACAAGGGTCAGAATATCTTTTTCTTTAGCACATACCCGAATATTGCATGGGAAGTTCATATTTAGCTGCCTACTTTTTGCATGGCAACACTAATACCCTCCAGGTAAGAAAACACTGTTGGTAGAAGTATAGTTCCCATATTCAACCCATGTCGGCCACCATGGGTGGCCTCAATCTATCTCTCCCTGGAATTTTTTTTTTTTTTTCAGATACCTGCCAGTGTCTGCCAAACACAGAGCAAACCTTCCAAGATTCCCAGTATCCTGGAAGCCCCCAACACTGAGCTTCAGAAGAGAGAAAGTATATATTCTGCATTCCCACCTACCCATTGTAAGGGAGGCTGGAACTAACTGCACACCAGCAATCCTTCTCCTAAGAAATCCTCTCCATTTTCCAATAATCTTCAAGGTAACTGTTGAGTCCAGGGCCATGTGTTCTCCACATTTTTTCTAAATCATGCGTAGCTGGTACAGCATGTCAGTGGGAAATTAGAACACTTGCCAACTTTGGTCAGTTCTGTTTTCTTAACTCCAGCACAGCTTAAAGACACAACGTTCTATTGTTCACATCCTGTTACATGCATAGAGTTGTTTCCCTCATTTCTATCATTTATTTGGGAAAGAATTTCAATGCCATGATTATATGAATATGCATGAACATTTTTGTGACTCATAAACTCCACTGTATCTCATTTGACTACCTCTGTTTTCCTCAACTCCTCACAGCTGGGCTTCTCGCTGCCTCCCACCAACAAACCAATGTTGTCTGAGGCAGCCTGGCACCTGTGAGCATCACGGGTTGGGATACTTGCAAGGACTTACCAGACTCCACTGAGCATGTCACAAAAGGCTCTTGAGTAAGAGCCCTGGATGCTGCCCAGGAGCCCCTGCCTTTAAATAAGAGCCCTGTGTCCCTGGGTCAAGCCACCAAGATTTGTGAAAGGAATTTAGTCTCCTGAAGAGGTCAAGGCACAACTTCCAGTGAGGTTTAGTGCCCCTCTGTTCAAAGAGTCAAGTGAGGCAGGCTCACTGGTTATGCAGATGAAAACAACACCCAAAAGCAAACTGGCCTTAAGGACTTCCAGGGGAATTTTGGACTTTAAATAGTATATCACGGATCCCACTACCCTTAGCATGGTAAGTGTCAAACAAGACACCCAGCTGTCTCCAGAGATAAAGTTAGACTTTTCTGTCAAGCTATAAATCAATTTTTTTCCTACACAGCACTTCCCAAGTTTCAATTAGTATTGAGTTTGAATCTTTAGGCTTCAGACAGTAATAGGAAAAATCAGCTCTGTTTTTCCTTCCCACCACTCATACCACTCAATATTTCACTACTGACACCAAACTGTATAGTAGGAAAACACAAAACTATACTCTCCTACTAGTCTCACTCAGTACAGAACATTTCTGATTGCCAGAATGTGTGTGTTTCTACAACAACCAAGTCTGCAACATCAGCTGGGTGTCCTGGAATAGATAAAGAGGTACTTAGGACAAGGTCTGGAAGTGTCCTCTGCAGTCCCCATTGAGTGAGGGTGCGACACCCTCTTGGCAGATGGATGTATTCACCTACCAAGAAACTCTCCAACCCCAAAGTTCAGTAGTTTTTGTGGAGGCTTACTTATGTTGGCACAATTAATTATTATTAACTCCATTTCCAGCCCTCTTCTCTTGCTAGAGGATGGGGGTTAGAGTTGAAAGCTCCAAGCTTCTAATCATGGTCTGGTCTTTCTGAGGACCAGCCTCCACCCAGGAGCCCAACAAGAGTTGTCTCACTAAAAGAAAAGACACTCCCGTCACTGAAGAAATTCCAAGGATTCCAAGGTCCCAAGGAGCCCACCAAGAGTTGTCTTATTAAAAAAATTTTAAAAAGACATTCCTATCACCCAGGAAATTACAAGGTTCTGTGTCAGGAACCAGGGTCAAAGACACAATATTAGAACAAAAAATGCTCCTACTACCCTCATTGCTCAGGAAACTACAAGGGTTTTAAGAGGTTTGTAACCTGAAAATGGGGATAAAGAAACAAATATCTCTTTCCTATTCTAGCACAATATCAAGGCTTGAATTCTGTATCTATTTAAAATAAAGGCTGGCTGGGTGCAGTGGCTCACACATGTAATCCCAGCACTTTGGGAGGCCGAGGCAGGCGGCTCATGAGGTTAGGAGTTCGAGACCAGCCAGGTCAACATGGTGAAACCCCGTCTCTACTAAAAATATGAAAAATTAGCTGGGTGTGGTGGCAGGCACCTGTAATCCCAGCTGCTCGGGAGGCTAAGGCAGGAGAATTGCTTGAACCTGGGAGGCAGAGGTTGCAGTGAGCTGAGACTGTGCCACTGCACTCCAGCCTGGACAACAGAGTGAGACACCATCTCAATAATAAATAAATAAAATAAAAATAAAGACTAATGTACACCTTCCTAAGTATTCTCCCAGCAGGTATTCCCTGGGTAGGCATTACTCAGGGAGATCTAGAGTTACAACCTCTTCTTCTTATCTCTTCATCCCTCCGCCCTCATTTTAATTAGAAAGCTGGAGCCTGGTGAGCTTCTTGACCTAATATGTTATTATCCTTCCTCTTCCTCAGATCCCTGAAAAGGAATCAGATTGCAAAGCTGAGACCTCTCATGACTCCTCCTTGATTTCCAAGGGTGTCTGCTTCAAGCCTCACAAGATAATCCATTTTTGCCATGTTATGTTTCTGGTTAAATGCCTTATAGGTAATAGGTCTACTTTTAAGCATTAGGAGAAATATCTAATGTAAATGACGAGTTAATGGGTGCAGCACACCAACATGGCACATGTATACATATGTAACAAACCTGCACATTGTGCACATGTACCCTAGAACTTAAAGTATAATAATTATAAAAAAAAGTTTGAAGAAGTTGACTGTAGTTTCTTTTGAAGAATTTAAATCGTGAAAATTATTATAAACCAAGTTTTAAATATTATTTTGAGAAGTTATACAACAATATCTTAAATATCGTTAAAGTAAGTTTGGCCTAAAGCTGCCCCCTACAGATTTTAAGGTTGACCTATAGGTTTCTTCTTACATAGTAGACTGTAACCTAACTGGATGTGTAAACAAACTGGAACCTACTGTTGTGTCAATCACAGAATTTTGTCTAATCATGAAAAATCAGTTGTTCAAACTATGTTAAAATAAGGGAAACATCGAGCTGTAACCAATCTGGCTGTTTCTGTACCTCCTTTTCATTTTCTTATGTCATTTTCCTTTTCCTGGCCATACATTGTCTCTGAACACATGGCAGTATCAGAGTAATTTCTAAGCTATTCCGACTGAGTGGGGAGGCTGCTCCATCTGCAGACTGTTCTTTGTTCAGTTGAACTCTGTTACATTGAATTTGTATAAAGTTTTTCTTTCAACAATATGAGCATGTATGCAGATTTATGATGGAGGGAAAAAAAGAAAATATTGTATTTCTGAGGGTTAACAGGATTGTCATAATTTACTGCAGATTTGACTTTTACTTTTGTTTCAGCAGAAGAAAAACCTGACAATTGACATTGTTCACACTTCAGCTACAAAGTAACACATTAGTTCATCAGAAGCAGAGAAGTCTTTCTGATACTGCTAGAATTGTCTGATATGAAAATTTGCACAGAAGGTACTAATAAAATGTCCTTCATGATATTATTTAGAAATCACATAGAAGCCAATTTTTCTGGACCACTTTTTGAACGATTCTAGATGAAACTTAAAGGCATATCATTAAAGTGTAACTCAGTAAAGGTGCTTCAATGGGGGCTAAGATTACGTGGTCCACGGTTATGACTTTCCAATAGTCTAACATAATCAAAGGATAAAATTTAGGAGATAGAGTAAAAGATAGTTGGAACATTTATTAGACTATCTTTCCTAAATAGCACTAATGTCTGCTTGGTACAGAAATATTTTTGGTGCATTTTTAATATTGTCAACAGAAAACCACATGGCCTTTTCTGTACAATACAGTGACAGCATTCAAGGAATTTGCATTCACACATATGATGGCTACATAGACATACATGTAAATATATATACACACACATATATACCTACACTTGAATTGGACAACAAACTTTAAATTATTTACCTTTTACTCTTTTTCAAAATGCTATATCTAAAAATATAATAAAACAATGTAAGAGATACTGCAGATATTTATTATGGTCTAGCACATAAATGGCTCCACCACAATACCTGCTAATGAAGTGGAATCTAAAATGTACCCTGGGAACACAGAGGAAAAAGGAACAAAATAAAATGGGTAGGAACTATGTATTTCTTGGGGAGGTGACATTTGAATGAGAGCTTGAAGGACAAGTAAATGTTGATTGATGCAGAAGACAGCATTGCCATTAGAGAGAAGTGCCTGGGAGATGGCAGAAAGGCAGAAGACAGCACAACACGGATAGGGAGCAGCTTCCATCCTGGAAGCAAGAAGGCACATGGCAGAGCACTGAGGAGTGGACAAGGTGAACAGAGGCAAGCACAGACTGGAGAGTTGATATTGTGTCCATCAGACTAATGGGAATGGGTGGATGAGTTTTTGAAAAAGGAGAATAGGAAAGCTGTGATTAATCATGTGACCATGGATTTTAGACAAATAGCAGCAGTGAGGGCTGGGTAAAAGTTGGCAGACCATGGAAGAAGATGAGTTAGGCCAGCTATGAGGCATCCCAGAGAGTGGGGACGCACACCACTTCTATGACTGCACCCCCGTCCTTCCTGTCCTACTGCGTGCTGCTCTACCCACCATGCGTTGGCAGCTAACTCTCTCATGGCTTCCAGTCTCTGCCAATATTTTCTATCTCCTAGGCTAGCCCATGATTTTCCCTTGTGTGTATTTCTCCACCATTGGGTCATCTTTTTTCTCTGTCTTTTCCAGAACTCCTAAATGATGTGTCCAGCAGGCCTCAACTTTAACCATAATCTACAACCAATACTAAAATTAAATTAACATTGTAAACATAAGTAACCCAATCACATTCAAAATGGCTTAGTTATTTCATCCCAATGAAAATCAAAGTCATATTTACTTTCATTTTGAATTAACCCTAGTTGAAGCTACAAAATTTAAACACCAAACAGTAAGTTAGAACCCTGATTAACCCTCTCTAACTCTAAGTTAGAACCCCACTTAGAAAATGAGGCCCAGAGAGTTTAGTTAGAACCCTGATTAACCCTCTCTAACTCTAAGTTAGAACCCCACTTAGAAAATGAGGCCCAGAGAGTTTAAGCATCAATTTTCAAAGAAACATAAAAACTGAAATCTTTTGAACCTGCTCACCAAGCCCATTTCTATCTTCATCAAGTTTATTGGGTTTCCAGAGAGTTAAGGAGTTGACACATTTACAGTTTGGATAACTGACTATATTCCTATAATCTGACTATCTAGAAATAGGTGAGCATTTCCTTTTACTTTAACATTTCTGGAAAACACCAACCATGGATAACTCTGCATGTAAATGTTATTAAAAAGTTCCAAATAGATTCTGTTTTTACAGCTATCTCTAAAACTATGCTTAAATTGGTAAACTCCACGTACTCAGCCTGATTTATTAACTTGTTACCCTTTATGTAGCAACTGGTAGATTGATTACTACCCAAATAACTAATTACTACCCAGTAAACTTTTCTTTGTCTCTTCCAACATTCACAACATTTGGCAGTGGAGTTAATTGGAAGAGAAATTGTTACTTTTTGCATTTTTTGTGGAAACAATAAAAGGCCACTGAATGGTTTTACACAAAGGATCTTTGCGGCTGTAGATCGTGTTGTGAGAGTGATATTTACCCAGTGCTGCAGATGGTTTTAAATGATAGGCTTTTAGGTTTCCTTTTGGAATAACGATGACAAGAAGACTACTGAAGTTATTTTTGTATTAAAGCACTTGCACACATCAGTAAGTGAAGAATTTGAACTTTAGAGCTTATTGATTTTAAAATGTATTATACAATGATCCATACATCAATGAATTAGACAATGAGACCAATCTGTTAATAACAAACACATTCACTTGGAAGAATATTAGTTGCACAGAGGATAAGAATCTCTTTAAAATTAAACAGAAATAAAAGTTTCATCTTCTTAAATTTTGGTTCAAAGAATCTCTGATTGAAAGCCGTTTTTAAAGTTAAAGTGTCTGAGATCTCTGTTGAAGTTAGATTGGTCTGGAACAATATTCACTAAAGAACTCTTATCTTTGTGATTCTGCCATTTACTTCATTTGCTGTATCCTCATGCTCCTAGCTTCAACTGTGCCAGTGATAAAATCTTTCTGCAAGACAAAACCGTGCAGAATGTGACCACAGATCTCCCTCACAGCTGACATCGATTTGCTTTTGGTGTTTATCTGACAATTATCGGATGCACTGTCTTAGCTAACAATGAAAATCCTTAAAGCTATAATTTACCCTTTACCATGGATTTAAAACTAGAACAACCTGCATCAAACGCACTGGAAATTATCTTGTATGACTCCAAAAAAAAAAAAAAAAAGAAAGAAAGAAAAAAATGAAAAAAATGCACAGACACACATTCATAGCAATTTAACTCCTTTTTTGTAGTATGGTTGCTCTATTCTTAGACAGTCTTACAACCAAATTCTGAAAAGAAACAGACATTTTCACATATAACAATATTATTTATTCAAGAATGTTGAACTGGTTGACTATTTTCACTTAAAATTATTTTAATGAACTCAACTGTTCTCAAAGATCAATATAGGAAAACCAAAACATTCAAAAGAGTACAACTGGACCTTTAAAACAATATGACAATGAAAATAAAATTTTGGATAGAAATATGGAATACATAGGTTATCTTTTTCTATTGGTCTTAATTTTAATTATTTACCATTTATATGAGCTTTAGAACTAAATTAAAACAAGCAGGCAATTCAGTAGAAAGCAATAGTTTTGTGATTGTATAATTACTGACTTTTATAAGCCATGATTCTCAGAACTAAGTCCATGTGTACATGCACAATGCCAGAAGGAATGTTTCTTATTCCAGGCAAAAGCCAAAATAAGTTATCTTAAGCAGTAGGCCCATCAGATATCAAAGAAGGAAAGAAAATCCATAAAGTTCACACACTTGAGAAGGGGTTTCAATAGATTCAGAGAAGAGGCATGCCTTCCTGTTGGTGAAACACCCTGACATGTCATGGATAAGGTTAGAGGTTTGCCCTGGGCTACCTGTTACTGAAGAAAGCATTTTTGGATTTATCAGTGTAGCTGTAGCAGGACCCAGATCAGGGAAAGATATTGCACTTAGGACCTCCAATGACCCCTAGAACCTAGTGAAGGCCTGTCCATGAGAAAGGTTTCCCATAGATTAAGACAAAAACGTCATCACATCACCAATAGGGGAAGGGGGTTAAGAACTCTGACAATTTCTATAGGTAAACCAAAGGAAACATGTTGAAACCAATGTATGGGCTCTTTCTGGAAGGATTTGAAATCTTGATTTCTTGGGTTGTGTAATGAAACATTGCTGCTTTTTTGTCTGACATGATACCTACCCAAAGTTATCAGCTTGCATCTTCGGTCAGCCATAGTTCTTAGTTCTTAGGCATCATGAGAATGAAAGTGGCCGTGGCTTCCCAAGCAAGAACATTAATCTCGGTTCTATAAGACCCTGTGTTTTCAGGATTTCTCCCTCCATTCTTAAAACTCCCCAGTACCTACAGTTGGCTTATATATGCACAGGTTCTGCATGCATGGACTCAACCAACCACAGATCAAAAATAGTTTTAAAAAGTGGATGGCTGCATCTGTACTGAACACGCAGACCTTTTTACTGGTGAAAATGAGAAGGAAACCTAGGGAGTGTTGGAACCACAGGACGAAAGTATCCTGTGTTCCTAATGCCCAAGTAGAGGACAGCATCTCTGACCACAGGAACATTCTCCTGGAGGATGGTAGGAAAATCATAAAACTTCATGTGACTTCAAATACTAAATTTTGGTGATTAATCTGTTATTGCAGCTTTCCTGTTCTTCTCTAACAAATACAGATTCTTTCCTATATCTATATTATTTGATATTTCTGACATCATTAATGTGTTCCAAGTAAATTTTCACATTGATTTTGCTGGGAGTTTAGGTCACATAACTTCTTGATTTATTCTTCAACTATTATCCCCCCATCCAATTGTATTTGAAAGATGTTTCTTTATCTTCTAACCATTTAAAATATATTTTTTCACTGGAACATATCCATTTTCTGCCTTACTGATATTTTTTTCTCACTGTCTTACTTGCTGGTGTATTTTTGTTTTTGTTTTATTTTGTTTTGCAGATATGATCAACAACAAAGGATTTTTCATTATTCAAAATACCCTTAAAAGACAAAAACTCTTTCTTTAGTTTTCTCTAAAGGATACAACCCTAAGTTTCTCAGAGATTCACATCCTCTTGCTGATTGCTAAATAGAAACTTAATAAAACATTTTTATGTGATGACATGATACAAGTTTACCTATAGTATTTATCTGCTAACCCTTCACCAAAAAGGAGAAATCTCACCCTGATATTTGTACTTTTTATCAACAAAATGGCATAGGCCAGGTCCACTACTGTCTCAGTGTCTTTACTAGACATGAACAACTTGGAAGGGGTTGAAGGAGCTCTTTTTATACAGTAGGTCTCTGAGCATCATGGCAGCATGACACAGCACCTGGCACAGAGATGACTGGTAAACCAACATGAAGCCTATGTATGCAGGCTCACACCCATTATTGCTGATGCCATAAGTAAATGTCTATCTGTGGCAATCACTGAGAGCATAATTGCCAAGGCCCTGTGAGATGCAAAGCATACCATATGTCTCCTGTTTATGTCTACAATGTATTACTACAAATCATTGAGCTGGAGAACACCATCCCTCCTAAACTAGAGAAGAACCCGTCCTGGGTCTGCCCAGTCTTTGAGATACAGGAATTGGAGGACACCAGTGAAACAAGTTATGCTGGAATCAGACACGGACTGTAGAGCTTGAAGTTGATACCACAATGTATAACTAAGAGTCCAAAATTTTCAAATCAAGTTATTGGCTCCATTTAGTCTCACCTAAAACTTTGAGTACCCCTTGGGTTAACAGACATCACAGATTAAATTCTTTGGTGGGAGTGCCAGATTTAGGACACGTTTTTTCTCTGAAGAATATCTTCCCTTGACCAGACTTTCCCTTGTAGTCTTGGTATCTCATTGTCCCTCTATCTCGATCATTGACATGGCTTTCTAGACAAGCAAGAAACCCCGTCTCAGAAGAACTGGGAGTTGCTCAACGGGGCTGAAACAATGGCAGGTAGAAGTCAGAGTACACAGAGATTAGAGAGAGCCCCTTCTTCGCTCTAATTTCTCCCAGTAAGAGAGGAGTCTAGTTAAAGAGGAAAGAGGCTGATGAGGAACTCCACTTTGAGGACAGAAATCTAGATAGAGTGATAGGCACAAAAGGACTCACACTTTCATTCATTCTTTTCCAATGGCCCTCTAGTGCTTCCCAGAGAGATCATTCATCTGAAATATACAGCCACCATCACATTTATGTGGGAACATAAAATTTATTCCCACTACCATTAGGAAAAGACTGAGATTCCCACTATGGCATTAATTGCTTTTGATCTCAACATTGTAATTAGTAAACCAATATAAATAATCTATATTTTAGCAATGAAGAAACAGCATTATCCCTACTTTCTTATTATGATAGTAATGAGAAACAATTGATAATTAACTGAACAATTTTAAAACAAATGTCCAGTGGAAATAAGAGAGTAATGGCTAGTGTTGAAGGGAATAATAAATAATTAAATTATTTAAATTTATTTGTATCAGTAATAACCAATTAAAAACATGGAAGCAGGAGAAATCGTATTAACAATAAGAGATAATATGTACATATTTAACAAGAAATTTGAAGATATTGTATTAGTAAAATTGCGCAATTTTCATTAAAGCATAGAGGAAAACTTGAATGAATAGGATTGGAACTCAGGGTTATAAAGAAAGATGGAAGTTATTGTAAAATAAATTTTATTTTGTTGGAATTTTATCTAAATTCAAAATAGAATTTGGAATAAGATTTTAGCAAATGGTTGTGTTGGGAGACAATTTTCTATGGGTCTCTCAGTTTCTGTACATTTTGTGAGCCGACAGTTACAGGTTTTGCTATAGACTACCTTATCAAGAATGTTTGCAGAGCAAACAGCTTTTAAAGTTTGAGGTAATGTCTTCCCCAGAGGGTAAGTAGTATATTGGCCAATATAATAAAAATAATGTCTCCCTCAGAGCAAATGTCAGGTGGGTTTACTGGCACACCATTGTAAAAGATTTGGCCTATAGAATATTAACAAATATTTTGGTGAACTGTTTAAATTTTAAAGTGTTAAATAAGCAAAAATCATACAGAGTATGTTATCTAACTATATTGAAATCAAATTAGAAAATTACATAAGTACAGTAGGAAAGTCTTCAAGTACTTGGAAATCAAGAAATGTACTTTTAAATAATCCATCAGTCAAAGAGAAAATCCCAAAAGAAATAAAAAGCACATAAAACTGAATGGAATAAAATAAAAAATATGAAAAATGTGGGATGTGTCTAAGCAGTGCAGGGAAGGCAATGAACAGCACAAAATACTTATAATCTAAGTTCTTAGCTCAAGAAACTAGAAAAAGAAGACAAAAATAACTGCCAATGGGGTTCAGGACATGCTACCCCAGAATATAAATGTAGGAGGCCAGAATATGCCCCTTCTTAAATATGCTTATTGGCATAGGAATTATTTTGAGTAGTTTATTTTGAGAAAATGCAGACTCTCGGAAGAATCTATGAAAACAGAGTAGAAGATAACCTTTTGTAAGTGAAATTTACATCTATAAAGGAAATCTCTATTTGTAAGGTTGTCTCCTTCTCTGCAGAAAAAGAAGGATGACTAAATCACTAGACAAGGCACCAACTGAATCAGCATAACAGGCCTTACCCTTGTTTAAAGCACCATCTCCCCAAATCCAGCCCTTCCCCACAGGTTTCTTTCCTAGGGTCATTCAGCACATGAGGGTATCTGAGCCTGAAGTCAAAACCTCATTTCTTTTAGCATCACTCATGTATACATCAGGCACACATGTTAATAAACTTCTCTTTGTTTTTCTCTGGTTAATCTGTATTTTATTACAAGGGTCTGTTCCAACTAAGAACTATAAAGCATCAACTTACTTTACCTCCCCAACAATGCAAAGCAAGAATAAGGAAGAAAATTATAATCATAATAGCAGAAACAAGTAAAATTGGAAAGAGAAACACAATAAAGAAAATCAATAAAACAAAAAGTCTTTTCTTCAAAAAACTTATTAAAATTGAACAAGATTAACAAAAAAAGAGTGAAGACACAAATGAGCAAAAATACCAGGAATGAAACAAAAGATATCACTATAGATCCTGCAGACATTAAAAGGATAAGGAGATGCTATAAGCTATTGTATTGTCATAAATTTGACAACTTAAGAATTATACCCATTCCTCAGAAACCAAAAACTACCAAAATTCAACCAAGATGAAACAGACAATCTGGATAGTCCTATAACCATTAAAATATTTGAATTGATAATTTAAAAGCTCTCAAAAATGAATTATCTAGAACTAGAACTAGATGTTATCACTGGAGAATCTTACCAAATATTTAAAGAATAACTGACAAATTATCATCAATATTACACAATCTCTTCCCTACCCACACCCACACCCCCACCAAAAAGAAGAGAAATAAAAACTTCTTAATACATTTCATGGAGCTGATACTACCCCATTAGTAAAACCAGACAAAGACAAAAGAGAAAGAGAGAGAATAAAGTGAAAAACTAGTATGCCTCACAGACTTTTGGGGGCAAAGCACGATGGCAGAATAGAAGCCTACAACAATCATCCCCTCAACTAAAACACCAAATTTTAACAACTATCTGCACACAGAAAAGCACCATCACAAGAACCAAATATCAGGTGAGCAAATATAGTATCTGGTTTTAACTTCATATCACTGAAACAACCATTGAGGACTACAGGAGAGACAGTCTTGAATCGTCGACACCACTTCTGCCCCAACCTCTGGCAAGAGCCTCGCAGCATAGAGGCAGAATCTGTGCACTTTGGGGAGGAAGAATGCAGTGACTGGGGGACTTTATCTTGCACATGGTGCTCCCTTGTCATAGCAGAAAATAAGCTGTGCTGGGCTCAGCCAGTGCCCGTGCATCAAGAGAGCATTTGGACCAGTCCCAGCCACAGGGGAATCACCCATCCCAGCAGTTAGAACTTGAGTTTCTCAGCAAACCTCACCACTGCAGGGTAAAGTGCTCTCGGGTCCCTAGCAAACTTGAAAGGAAATCTAGGACACAAGGACTATAATTCCTAGGCAACTGCTAATGCTGGACCGGGCTTAAAGTCAGGAGACTAGGGTGGCATGTAACCTAGGGAGACATCAAATGGAGCAGATAAGGGAATGCCTGTGCCACCCTTTCCCCAACCCCATGCGGTGCAGCTTACAGCAACAAAAGGGGCTCCTTCCTTCTGCTTAAGGAGAGGAGATAGAAGAGTAAAGAGGACTTCGTTTTGCATCTTTGAAACCAGCTGATCCACGGTAAGATAAGGCATTAGGCAGTCAGGAGGGCCCATTGTAGGCCCTACCTCCTGAACAATGTTTCTAGGCACACCCTGCTTCACTGAAGGAAAGGGCCCAGTCCTAGTAATGGAGACATTTGAACTGGGACAACTCCATCTTCAATAGGGACTGGGTAAAATAAGTCTGAGACCTACTGGGCTGCATTCCCAGGAGGTTAGACATTCTAAGTCACAGGATGAGACAGGAGGTTGGCA
The DNA here is from genome assembly GCF_000001405.40 of Homo sapiens. Lineage (NCBI taxonomy): Eukaryota > Metazoa > Chordata > Mammalia > Primates > Hominidae > Homo > Homo sapiens. Next base: position 51,959,089 of record NC_000007.14, on the reverse strand, counting down.
CAAGATAAAGGTCTTTATGACCTTGTTGATAAAAATAGTTTGCAGTAACGAAGCTGGTTAAAGCCCACCAACACCAAGATAGTGATAAGAGTGACCTCTGATCATCCTCACTCTCATCATACACTAGTTAAAATGTATTAGCATGCTAAAAGACACCCCCACCAGTGCCACGACAGTTTACAGATGCCTTGGTAATGTCAGGAAGTTACCCTATATGGTCTAAAAAGGGAAGGAACCCTCAGTTCTGGGAATTGCCCACCCTTATCCCAGAAAACTCATGAATAATCCTTGCTTAGTATATAATCAAGAAATAACCATAAATATGGGCAACCAGCCACCCTTGGCTGCTTTACCTATGGAGTAGCCATTATTTATTCCTTTACTTTCTTAATAAACTTGCTTTCACTTTACTCTATGGGCTTTGCCTGAATTCTTTCTTTCCTGAGATCCAAGAACCCTCTCTTGGGGTGCTTGCCACCACAGGGGTGCTTGCATCACCACACCCCCAGTGCCAGGTGGCTCAGAACAGAGAGATACTCTGTTTGGGAAAAAGTAAGGGGAAAGAACAGGAGTCTTTGCCTGGTAATCCAGAGAATTCTTCTGGATCTTATCCAAGATCATCAAGGTGGTACCAATAAAACCACAGTGTTATAAGGCTTGGGGCCCAAGTCCCTTCAATATCTGGAAAACCTTCCCAAAAAGGACAGGGACTAACACATCCAGACCGTAAAAAATGCAAAAAATACCTACCTCTTCAATGCTCAGACACCAAAGAACATCTACAAGCATCAACACCATCCAGGAAAACATGACTTCACCAAATAAACTAAATAAGGCACCAGAGAGCAATCCTGAAGAAACAGAGATATGTGATCTTTCAGACAGAGAAATAGCTATTTTGAAGAAGCTCAAAGAAATCCAAGATAATACCAAAAAGGAATTCAGAATTATGTCAGATAAGTAACAAAGAGATTGAAATAATGAAAAAGAATCGAGAAGAAATTTTAGAGTTGAAAAACGCAATTGACATGCTGAAGAATGCATCAGAATCTCTTAATATCAGAATTGATAAAGCAGAAGGAAGAATTAGTGAGCTTGAAGACAGGCTGTTTAAAAATAGATAGAGGAGACAAAAGAAAAAAGAATAAAAACAATGATGCATGCCTACAAGATCTAGAAAATACCCTCAAAAGAGTTATTGGCTTTAAAGAGGAGGTAGAGAAAGAGGTAGAAGTATAAGTTTGTTCAAATGGATAATACCAGATAACGTCCCAAACCTAGGGAAAGATACCAACATTCAAGTACAAGAAGGTTATAGCACACCAAGCAAAGTTAACCTAAAGAAGTCTACCTCAATGCATTTAATAATCAAATTCCCAAAAGTCAAGATAAAGAAAGGATCCTAAAATCAGCAAAAGAGAAGAAACAAATAACATACAATGGATCTCCAATATGTCTGACAGCAGACTTTTCAGCGGAAACCTTACAATCCAGGAGACAGTAGTGTGACATATTTAAAGTGCTGAAGGAAAAAAAAAAAAAACTTTTAACCTAGAATAGTATATCCAGTGAAAATACTCTTTAAGCATGAAGAAGAAATAAAGACCTTCCCAGATGAACAAAAGCTGAGGGATTTCATTGACACTAGACCTGTCCTACAAGAAATGTTAAAGGGAGTCCTTCAATCTGGAAGTAAAGGATGTTAATGAGCAAGAAGAGATCATCTGAAGGTTCAAATCTCACTGGTAATAGCACACAGGAAAACACAGAATAGTGTAACACTGTAATAGTAGTGTGTAAACTACTCTTGTCTTAAGAAGAAAGATTAAATAATGAACTATTTTCAATGGAGAAGGCACTGACTTAAATCTACATACAAAACCTTACCACATACCAAACACTTGTTTACCATACTGTTTCTGGTTACCATCCCATAACTTGCTTCACTTGCCCAGAAACACAAAATCCCTTTTCTTTTGGTGGTATTTAAGCTCAAGATCTAATTACCTCGTGAGTCATTCACCTCTGAGTTCTTCTGTGTGTTACATGAATGATGCACAGGTTAGTAGTTTTTGCTCTTATTAATCTGTCTTTGGTCAGCCTAATGTACAGGGAGATGGAGAAATTTAAGATGGGTTATTTTGCCCCTACATACTCAAAGTTTATTATGATATTTTAAAAACTTGATTAGAAGAGAAAAATATTTTTAAGAAATAAAAGTTTAAAGAAAATAACTTATTATAAAATAGCCATTATTCACAGAGTATTTCTCTGTTGGGTCATGATTGCAGGGAGCTTCCATGGGTTTATAAGGAAACATTTCAAGGACAGGTTGAAATTTCACTGTTTTGTATAATTAGAAATAATTAAATTAATTTTTTCCAACGTAATGGAATTGAGAAAAACCACATAATTGAATGCATTTACAAGCAGAAAAGAAACTTTCTGAGAGTGGTCTACACTCGCTTGTAATAATGTAGCAATTTGATATCTACCTTCTTTATTGGAACTTGAAAATATCCCAAATCTTAATATACAAGTGCTCACTATATTAAGTAAAATATGCATTAGCCAAGATTAGTGATGAGTTAATAGTCCCATTTATAGAATACCAAGTAAAATGATTGTCTTAAACAATATACTTCTAGTGAGGCAATATTTAGTTATGGAACACAGTCTCATGGCCATAAAGTGTACTTTTTTTTTTACATCCATGAAAATGCAAATAAAGAATTACTTTAAAAGAAAATTGGATTATGTTTGATGTGTAGAAAGTACAGAAATGTCCAGATGGATATTTCTTTTTCCAATATGGGGAAATATTTAAAAATCTGATAATAGCAATTCAGTAAAAATGAGCACACAGCATGTAAAGAGTTGTTATTAAGACTTAGAGCAAATAATTGTTAATAATTATTAATTTTTTATTGACAAAAGATAACTGCATACATTTATTAGGTAAAATGTAATATTTTGACATACTCATACCATGTAAAATAATTAAATCAAGTTAATTAACATATGCCTCACCTCACTCATGACTTTTTATGATGAGGCATTTGAAATTTACTTTTAGTTATTTTGAAATATACAATACTTTATTATTTAATATAGTCACCCCGCTCTGCAAGAGATCTCAAACCCTATTCCTCTTGTTTATCTGAAACTGGTATCCCCTCCCTGATCAACAACTCTTCATTCCTTTACTCCCTTCCCCCCAAACTTCTGGTAACCATCATTCTACTATCTGCTTCTATCAGTTCAACTTGTTTAGATTCCATATATAAGTAAGACCAGGCAGTATGTGTCTTTCTGTGCCTGGATTATTTCACTTAACACATTGTCCTCCAGGTTCATCCATATTGTGCAAATGACAAGATTTCCTTCTTTTAAAAATGAGAGTAGTATTCCATTGTGTATATGTACCGCATTTTCTTTATCCATTCATCCCTTGGACACTTAGGTTGATTCCATAACTTGGCTATTGTGAATAACACTGCAATGAACATGGGAGTGCAGAAATCTCTTCAACATATTGATTGCATTTCCTTTGGATCTATAACCAGAAGTAAGATTACTGAATCATATGGTAGTTCTATTTTTAATTTTTGGGGAAACCTATGTACTGTTTTCCACAACGGCTATACTAATTGGCATTCTCATCAACAATGTACACAAGAGTTATTATCTCTACATCCTCACCAACACTTGTTATTGTTCATCATTTTCATGATAGCTATTCTAATTGGTGTGAGGTGATATCTCATTGTGGTTTTATTTTGCATTTACCTACTGATTAGTGATGCTGAGCATTTTTTAAAATATACTTGGTCATTTGTATTTCTTCTGAGAAATGTCTATCAGGGAGTTTGTCCAATTTTTAATTGGGTTATTTGTCTTCTTGTTATTGAGAAGCAAATGAAATTTGAGTTAGACACTATTTCCAGTGAAATTTCTGATTGGGAACCTGACATTCACAGTCTCTCTAATCATCTTTAGAGTTAAGTAGGTGGATTTACGCATATTCTAAGTCCTCTAAGAGAAGAAGGGCTTAATGGTGTGAGGGACGGGAAGAGTCGTCCTGAAACTAGAATTTGAGTCTTTAAGGATGAGAGTTTGCAATCCAGTGTGAGATGCAGAAGGCACTGGGACCTGAGAAAACAGCATAAACAAAGCAAAGACTTGGAGTCTCAGAAGTAACTGTAGCTCACAACATAGGAAATGTCTGAAAGATAAAACGGTATAACTATAAACAGATAATCAGCATAAATACTTATGTAATTTTATGCACAGGAGAACAATTTCTACATTTACAATTTCTACATGTAAAACAAACAGGTAAAGGGAGAAGTTTTGTTGTTTGTTTACTTTTGTTTTTTGTTTGCTTTGTTTCTTTCTTTATAAGATATCTTAAAATATTCAAGGATGATTTTGCAAGCAAAGAAAATGGCCCAAGCAGTGCCAATTCTATTTTATCAGAGAATGTCTCCATTTTGGGGCTACCAAATCCTTATTAAGAATTATGGTATTCCAGATATGTATTAGAATAAAAAAAGAGTAATATTGGTGAGCCCACAAGATCTGCATATGTGAATTTCTTTGAGAAAAATGAATTCATTTCTCAAAAGCAAATGATATTTAAAGGCAGGGCCACCAGAAATCCCTCCAGAGTTTGTCACACTTGTATAAGGTATCTTTGAAGGTCACTCATATGTGGTTCTTCTCTCCTTTTAGATGAATGGAAAACTCCATTTCCCCACCCTTCTGTGGATAGGTAGGACCTTGTGACTAATTCTGGCCAATACTCTGTAAGAAGAAATGGCATGTCACTTCTAGGCTGAGGAGTTAATTGCCGGTGTAAGACCTAGTGCTCTGTCTCTTTCCTGGGCTCCATATCTTAGAAAACCTCATGTTTCGGGAGGTGGAGCTACAAGGTGGGCACACTGTGGCCTGCGTGGTGGAGTCTCCCTTCCCAGTCTCTTGCCAACCTCCAACAATCACAAATTAAAAAAAAAAAAACATTGTGTTTAACAACACAGATTTTGGGCTTGATACCAAAGCATGATAAAAATTATTTTGACTATTATGAAAACCCATGACTAGTTAACATGGAACTTTTTAGAAATTATTAAATCATATTCACCATTATAAAATTATTTTCCAAAAAACCATCTTTTCTAGAGATAAGAAAATTTTTAAATATCGAGAAGCAATTACGGGAGAAAACTGAAATATACAATCTCACTTAAGTCTCACCGTAGCTTATGAAGCGCATACTATTTCCCTTGTCTTACAGATGAAAAAACTAATGAACAGTAATTTCTAAAGAGATTTACTGACTGAGTGTGGTGGCTCATACCTGTAATCCCAGCACTTTCGGAGGCCGAGGCCAGCAGATCCCTTGAGCTCAGGAGTTTGAGACCAGCCTTGGAAACATGGTGAGAACCTGTCTCTACAAAAAATACAAAAATTAGCTGGGTGTGGTGGCATGTGCCTGTACTAGGTCATCAGCTACTAGGGAGGCTGAGCTGAGAGGATCACTTGAGCCTGGGAGGCAGAGGTTGCAGTGATTGTCCCACTGCACTCCAGCCTGGGTGACAGAGCAAGAGACCCTGTCTCAAAAAAAAAAAAAAAAATTTACCAAAGTTCGCATGAGTAATAAACAATGAAATCATAATTCAGACCCATACTTTATTATTTTTTCATATTATACACACTGGATTATAGGCAGGGGTTTCTATAGAAGAAAAATTATTTCATTGCAGGTCTCTTATCTCTAAATGTAAGTCTCTGTAAACATAGAAGACATATATCTCCCTGAATTGTTAAATCTTTGAATAGCTTAGGGTTTAAAAATTTAAAAAAGTTCAGCATTCTTCTTCAGTAACTTTATTAGTGTATAGAAATATACATAGATCGATATATACCTACATACATTCACACATTTTATCTTAATCTTTATATTAAGATAAAATATAATTCTTCTTTGGTTTGTTTGTCATTTTGAATATTTTAAATGACAGTATTAAAAAAACCTCCATGATTTGCTTTGGATCATATAAAACTCCTGATAATCCAATTCTATGAACTTCCATCTTCTAACTCATTAGACAGAGCATGATTTCTGGATGAGCAAACCCTAAATCTGAATTCTAGCTGCACCATGTCTAGTCATGAGATTTGAGGCTAATGTTTTGGTGTAAGTCTCAGCTTTCTCTTCTGTTTAACAGGATAGTAATACCTATTCGAAAAAAATATTGTTAAAATTAAAAATCACATTTGTAAAGTAAAAGAAATTACACTGTGTCTGCCTCATGGTAGCAAAGTAGAAGCTGTTTGAATTAGGCTGCTTTTAAATTTGAAGATGAGAATGAGGAGTATTTTAAAGTCCATTACTGGGGAGCTTTCTTGGAATATTAATTTCATGACTCATCATCTCATCTGTATCAGGATAAATCAGATAAAAAGTATCAGCTGTCATCTAATAATTGGCACACCATACTTTTTGCATATTTATTATTACGATATGTTAACCATTTTTACATAGACAATGACTATACTTAATAATCTATGTATAAGTAGGCATTTTCCCCAAAGGAATATTTTTAGGCAATTACCTACAAGTGAACTTTATAATTGACATAGAAGATAGATGAAATGACCGTGTGAAAATATGAGAACTATTTTTCAATTGAAGTTAATAAAAAATGAAATAATTTTTATAATTCAGCAAAACCCATGTTTATTTGAAAAACTATAGTATTCTGAGATTTTATTATTCAAGTGTAAGAGTTGATTTAAAAAAAAGCGCACAAAAGCATTTTTAGAGTTTGGAGACATGAGAGAATCCTACCTTGTTATTAGAAGACTTTGGGCAGTCATTTATTTTCTCTGAGTCCCAGGAACTTGAAATGTAAAACAAAGTAATAATATTTTTACCACCACTTTCACAGGGATATGTGTAATACATATACACATGCTTTTCCAATTGTAAGTTTTTGTACCAATATACATGTTTTTATCTAGACACTGAGCAATTATATATTTTTTCATATCAAAAATGTTACTAAAACATTCCTTATGTGGAGTATTATAAGCAGATTATTCTTATTCTCATTTGATATCCAAATCTAAAATACAAGTTTCATTTTCAGAGGACATGGTTTGGGCTAATTTGGATTGATAATTTAACTTGATCTAAAGTATAACAACCTTTAATGGGTATTTGTTATTGTCTCTAAACTTTGTAACAATTTGTAGTTTAAAAATTCTCCTTTCATCATTTTATGGGTAATTGTAAAAAAAAAACAGCTATATAGTGGTATTTTTATAAGAAAGTAAGAAGAAACGATGATTGATTTTTATTTTCTGTAATTTAAAGGATGATTATGACAAGAAAGGGTTTCTGAACAATGAGGATAAAGAGATTGAGGAAAAGAAAGTGCTTATTTATTTTAAAGCTGATGAAAGAATTACTTTCCTGTTAAGTACTTGTTCATAACTCTTATTATTTTTCACATATTAAACTTTTACTTCTAGTATAAAATTTAATGGAATTTGCCTTAAAAAATAATTCCCACTCTCCACCTTTTTCTATTATTCTAATCCAAATCCTTTTTGTGAGCCATAGATATGGACTTCTCGTGTTCAGTTGGCTGCTTTTTGTGTTTAGGAGATTATATTTGAATACTAAATTTTATCTAAGCTCTGAGCTAACAATACATATAAAAATAGCACATTGGACTAGCTCTGAATTTAGAAAAAGCATATAATTGTGCTTTCATTTTCTTCTGGTATTGTTCAAATTGCTTTATTAAACAGGCAAAACAATAAAATTTTAGTTGAGCTTTTACATTTCAGCACATCTAAAGAATTAAATTTAGAGAATGATGATGGCACATTGAAAACTGGACTTGAAAAATCCAAATTTTTCAAGTATTCTTCAGACAGATTCCTTGGCAAGCATGAGCATAGCTTTCCATGGCTTTCTAGCACTTCAGAGCTTAGGTTTATGTGGCTCAGACCAAACCAGAGCCAGGGATCTCCATTGCAGAAAGGATGCAAGCATGAATAAGCAGGAATCTCGTCATCTGGTATTTTCTGCTATCTTGGGCCATTCTCGGGTGTGATGTGGCCAGAAGGCATTTTAGTACAAATCAAGAACAGCAAACCCTATTTTCCACTAAATTACCCTTTTGCAAAATATTGATTTATTTGATTATTGCAACTGCATTCGAAATCACTCTCTACCTCCTATACTGCAAAAATTCACAATTACAAAATGCATACCTTTTATTAGACAGCAAGACAAACATGCAAATAAATAAAAATCAAAGTTAACAGAGAATGTGTTCTACTGACAGAAACAAGCTCTGAAATGCAGATAGAGAATTCTAAACAAACCACAAAGAAGTTTTGCTAAAGGCCATTAATAAAAGACATAAAAGTAAGTCTGGCAGATTTCCTAAAGAACTTTATATTGCTAATTTTGAGGGTGAAGGAGTCTACATCTTCTACAAATATATCATGGTCTTAATATTTCAAATGTTAATATTTCCTTTAAAAAATGCTTTCCAAGCATGCTCTATGCACAGCGGGCACTCTGAAAATGCTAGTTGATTGTTGGTTAGATTTCATTTAGGAGAGATCAGCTGAAGCAAATAGATTTTCAGTGAAACAGTAATTGCTTGCCAGGAAAGAGATGACTGAAAGAAGAGGCGTGCAGGGCCCCCTGTGGCCACACCACCCTCCTCTCTTTCCACTACAATGGGCACAATGGCTTCGAGTCGACCATGCACATGAATCACAGGAACTCCCTGCTGGCCACTCCAAAAGCTGCTGCGAGGCCCTTGTTTAGATGATTTTAGTGTTAGATGGTAACACTTGAGAATCCATGATAGTGTAGAAGTTCAAAAATAAATCACAAAAATATAAATGATTTTAGACTGATGCAAGAAGCACTTTGCAGCACTCACTCAAAACAAAACACAATGAATGCATCTGAGTCTAATACAAAAAGTCCATCCTTGTGTTTGGATGGCTCTTCAGGAAAGTGTTTATTTATTAATCCGTACACTCTCCTCCCCAAGGCAATCCAGCCTAGTTGTAAAGGTCATAGATTCCAGACCCAGAGTGCTTGATTTCACCTCCTGCCTCTGCCATGGAATGCTCTTTAGCTGTGCGCAAATGAGCCAACCTCTCTGTGCTTACTTTCTCAACTGTAAAGTTAGTTGTTACAGAAAACATCAACCTCACAGGATAGTTGTGAGACTAAAGGGGTTAATCATTTATAGAAAGTGCTCACCACAGTGCTTGGCGTATAGCGAAAATACAAGAAAAGCCCTTTATCATTTTTCTTGAGTTAATGTCATTAAATATAACCATAAAATTATTCTTCCTCATGATTTTGGAAGCTATTAAAATGGATACAATTATTACATTGTTCTATGTAATATCAACAGTTAACTTTAAAATATTTTTAAAACCTCCCTTATAAAAATAATGTCAAATTTTTTTATTTTTTGCAGAGACAGAATCTCATTGTGTTGCCCAGCCTGGTCTCGAACCCCTGACCTCAGGTGATCCTTTTGCCTCAACCTCACAAAGTGCTGGAATTACAGGCATGAGTTACCACACCTGGCATTTAAAATGTTTTAAATGTAATAGGATTAAACAATTAGAATACATATTCCTTTTCTGTGCCATGGAATCATATTTTCTTTCTTTTTTTTTTTTTTTGAGACGGAGTCTTGTTCTGTCGCCCAAGCTGGAGTGCAGTGGCGCGATCTCGACTCACTGCAAGCTCCGCCTTCCGGGTTCACGCCATTCTCCTGCCGCGTGTTTTGGAATTCGCTGTGGTTCAATAGTCCATAAGCTTTCATTTAATTTTTGAAACCAGCTTTTGAACATTCAATGGAAAAGTAAAACACTAAGACATGATTGTTTAGTCCAGTTTTAAAAGAATGTATTTTTTCACAGAACCTATTTAATTTCTTAGGTTTCTTAATAGATTATAGAAAATTAGGTTGTCATTGGAATTTTGTAATCTTTTTGTATCTTTGAAACATTTTTTCTTTATATTACGATGCTAAAATTTAAAGCTTTTAAAAACTGTTAATGACTTTATTTCAAACTTTTTTTAAGTGTTGAATGATTCTCTGTATCTCACATGATGTTCCTTTTACTTAATTCATTCTATCTGGTATTAATTGGTGTCTTTTTCTTCTTTTAGTGTGTATTTTAGCTGACATAATTTATTTTTAATAACTTTTGTGGGGTTTTTTGTACTTTTGTAATGTGATTACCATACATTGATCCTTTTTTCTTAATAAATCCAAGAAATAGATAAGTTTAATAGATAAGTTTAACATGTTGATGATAATTTTTAAAACTGTTATATCTTCTATTATGCTGTGTTATGTGCATGTTAATTCATTTTTCTTTACTTGCAACGTAATTTATATTTTAGTTTATTTTATGCTCCATGATTACTGTGTTATATGTTCTGATTATAATTTTATCAACGTGTAGGCTAAAATATATAACAAAAATGTGAAATCCTATGGTTGACATGATATTGGATCATCAAATAGAGCCCTATCTGAGGGATCTTGCCACACTGATTTCTTGTGTTTTTTCCTGGTCACCTCACTTTGTTGTGAAATCCTAGTCATAAGTTCCGAAGTATTCCACTTTAAAAAAAAGAAAGAGAGAGAAGGAAAGAAAAGAAAAAAAAGCAGTGTGTCTTCCCTCATCCCCACTTTCCCCTTGAGCTTTCAGTGTGCTTCCTTAGATAGCCGTGCTGCTTGAGCAGCATCGTTTCCTTATGCCCCATCTCCTAGAATCAGGCTTCTGGACTCTTCTACACCTAAATGGCTCTCACTAAGGTCATCAACAAACTTGAGGTTTATCAATTCAATAGGCACTCTTTATTCCTTTCCTTACTCAACCCCTTTCAACATATGAAACCCTCATTCCTACAGAGCAGGTCTTGGGCCTCTTGCTCTTCTCTCTGGTGCCAGCTCAACCTCATCTCAGGAAACTGGATTCCTCTGAAGCTCATTCCACAATGCTCTGTTCTTTTCACTCTATATTTCCCCTAAAATACTATCATCCAATTGCATAGTTTTAAAAGTCACCTAATGCTAATGACTACCAAAATTGTGTTAGCATCTGGACTTATCCTTTGTACTGCAAATCCAAGTAGTTAAAAAATCTCAGATACTGTCACAGGTTCCTCAAACTGAATATTCAAAACCAAATTCCCGACCTTCGCGCGTGCACACACACACACACACACACACACACACACACCCCTAAAAGTTTTTCTTGGCAGTTCCTTACCCCTATTAGTTTTTAAATTTATCACCAAATTGACTGAAGCCTCTAAGATATATCTTAAATTCTTCCCACATCCAGTGCCCCATCACCTGCTGCCAGGGCCACCTGGCCTCCCTTGGATGTACAAGTGGCAGCTGTTTCCACAATCCTTCAGTTCTTAGGTGAAGCATCCCCTTTTACGTAGGCTTGCCTTGACCACTCTAACTCAGCAGGACACTTTGTGGCTCTCTGCTGTAGTGCCGTTTGTTTTCTTTCTTGCACTAATAACTATCTATAATCATTTTCTTACTTGGTTACTTTTTAAAATAGATATCCTTCCGAAATTGCAAAGTCTATAAATGCAAAGACCTTGCCCATTCTTTTGTTCATCTAACACAGACCCTGGTGCATAGTTTATACACAATGTTTTTAGAAATAATGGGCTGGGCACGGTGTCTCACGCCTGTAATCACAGCACTTTGGGAGGCTGAGGTGGGTGGATCACCTGAGGTCAGGAGTTTAAGCTCAGCCTGGCCAACATGGTGAAACCCCGTCTCCACTAAAAATACAAAAATTAGCCGGTTGTGGTGACCGGCACCTGTAGTCCCAGCTACTCGGGAGGCTGAGGGAGGAGAATCGCTTGAACCCTGGAGGCAGAGGTTGCAGTGAGCTGAGATTATGCCACTGCATGCCAGCCTGGGCGACAGAGCAAGACTTTGTCTCAAAAACAAAACAAAACAAAACCAAAAAGCAAACACAAAAGAAGGTATGTTTACAAACACACAAATGGAAGTATGATATTTACAACATTTGTCCTGTTAACTTCCATCTTTGGTATTTTGCACAGCCACACAGTCAGCATTATCCTCTGTAGCTGAATTGCAGGGAGGCTGTTCGAGACTGAAGATGGTTTCTACCATAGCGATATGGTGTCCAGCAGGGATCTCTGCCCTGAGTCTACATGGAGAGGTAGGAATCCTGAAAACTCCTTCCCCTTCCACAAACCTCTCAGAACCATTTATTCTGAAGATAAAAGATTCCAAGAGGGCATGACACATTGACTCCAAATTTATCAATTTGATATGTTGAAAGTCTGTCTTGCTGAGAAGCAGAATTAAAAGCCAGGTGATAACTACTTCCTTGCCATTGTAAGCCCAAGGCCACATTTGTGGGGAGAATAAAGAAGATCTAAGTTCCTGTGAAGGTCAGGAGACTGTAGCTGCATGAAATAGTTTTAACTCATTTCTCTGCAAAGTTAGTTGAGATTCAGCGTTAAACACAATGTGTTCAATTATGCAAAAATTACATGAGCGGTCACTGTAGAATATATAGTAAATTCATATTCAATTTGGTGTTTTTGTAAAATTACTAGAAGGTGAAAGTGATGAGGCATATTATATGATAATCTCATTTAATTCAGTATCCCTAAGAGGTTCAGTGAAGCAACGTCAGTTCTTTTGTCCGAATGAAAGAACACCTCTAGCTGTTTAATGCAGTGTGATCTCCAGGGAGTAGACCTCTGGGTTCAGGGGTCACACGCTCTTCTCCATATTCAAAGTGCATCTGCCATTCTATAGCTGTGCACCAGCCTGTAAAAACCTTCCTTTTAAAGAATAACATACGGTGTTATATGTCTGGAATATAACATATTCCATGTGTTATATGTCATGTCTGGATATAGTGTTTAAAATAGCAAAATGAAAAATGCTTCCTTGAGTAGAGTCATAGTTTATTTTCAGATAAGTGAACCAAGGTTTATATCTGTACCAACAGCTAACTAGTTGCAGGGTATGGTTAAGTCACTTAGGTTTCCTAGGTCTCACTTTCTTCAGCTGTTAAATGGGATACTTAGACCAGTTAATCTTTAAGTTCTTTTTCATCTAGATATATGAAGCCAATTTTCTCCACCTTCTAAAAATCTGAAGTTTTTTATCATAGATTATAAGCACTTAAATGTCTCTGACTGCCTTTCCAGAGGCAGAAATTTTCTAGAAATTCACTTTCACCAGCACAAAGCCTTTTCTCATTTCAGAGCCTTTCCCTTTGATTTCCTTTGACTAAAATATTTGTCAGCCCATGCATTTACTCTTGACTAAAATGTCTCCTTCTCTGAGAGGACTTCTCTAGCTACCCCATTAAAATAGCATCTTTCTATCCTCTTGTGCTAAATGTTTCTTTTACTCATTTTCTTGGTTAATTTAGCATTTTATTTTGGGGTTTATTGTATCTCTCACAAGAATGTACATGATATGATAGACTGGATAAAGGAAATGTGGCACATATACACCATGGAATACTATGCAGCCATGAAAAAGAATGAGTTCATGTCCTTTGTAGGGACATGGATGAAGCTGGAAACCATCATTCTCAGCAAACTAACACAGGAACAGAAAACCAGACACCACATGTTCTCACTCATAAATGGGAGTTGAATAAAGAGAACATATGGGCAAAGGGAGGGGAACATCACACACTGGGGCCTGTCGGAGGTCGAGGGCAAGAGGAGGGATAGCATTAGGAGAAATACCTAATGTAGATGACAGGTTGATTGGTGCAGCAAACCGCCATGGCACATGTATACCTATGTAACAAACCTGCACATTCTGCACATGTATCCCAGAACTTAAAGTATATATTATTTTTTTAAAAAAAAGAATGTAAGCTCCATCATGACAGTAACTTGGACATTGTGTTCATTTTGGTTGCAGTTTTTTATTTTATTTTATTTTTTGAGACAGAGTCTCGCTCTTGTTGCCCAGGCTGCAGGGCAGTGGCGGGATCTCAGCTCACTGCAGCCTCCGCCTCCTGGGTTCAAGCAATTCTCCTGCCTCAGCCTCCCAACTAGCTGAGATTATAGGTGCCCACCACCACACCCAGCTAATTTTTGTATTTTTAGTAGAGACAGGGTTTCAGCATATTGGCCAGGCTGGTCTTGAACTCCCAATCTCAGGTGATCCACCCGCCTCAGCCTCCCAAAGTTTTGGGATTACAGGTGTGAGCCACCGTGCTGGGCCTTTTTTTTTTTTTTTCTGAGACAGAGTCTTGCTCTGTTGCTAGTAGTGCAGTGGTGCAATCTCTGCTCACTGCAACCTCTGCCTCCCAGCTTCAAGTGATTCTCCTGCCTCAGCCTCCCAAGTAGCTGGGACTACAGGTGCACACCACCACACCTTGCTAATTTTTGTATTTTTAGTAGAGACAGGGTTTCACCATATTGGTCAGGCTGATTTGAACTCTTGACCTCAGGTGACCCACCTGCCTTAGCCTCCCAAAGTGCTGGATTATAGGCATGGTTTTCAAAAAACCAGCCCCTGGATTCACTGATTTTTTTTAAGCGTTTTTTTGTGTCTCTATCTGCTTCAGTTCTGCTCTGATCTTAGTTATTTCTTGCCTTCTGCTAGCTTTTGAATGTGTTTGCTCTTGCTTCTCTAGTTCTTTTCATTGTGATGTTAGGGTGTTGATTTTATATTTTTCCTGCTTTCTCTTGTGGGCATTTAGTGCTATAGATTTCCCTCTACACATTGCTTTAAATGTGTCCCAGAGATTCTGGTATATTGTGTCTTTGTTCTCATTGGTTTCAAAGAACATCCTTATTTCTGCCTTCATTTCGTTATGTACCCAGTAGTCATTCAGGAGCAGATTGTTCAGTTTCCATGTAACTGAGCGGTTTTGAGTGAGTTTCTTAATAGTGAGTTCTAGTTTGATTGCCCTGTGGTCTGAGAGACAGTTTGTTGTAATTTCTGTTCTTTTACATTTGCTGAGGAGTGCTTTACTTCCAACTATGTGGTCAATTTTTGAATAAGTGTGATGTGGTGCTGAGAAGAATGTATATTCTGTTGATTTGGGGTGGAGAGTTCTGTAGATGTCTTTTAGGTCTGCTTGATGCAGAGCTGAGTTCAATTCCTGGATATCCTTGTTAACTTTCTGTCTCGTTGATCTGTCTAATGTTGACAGTGGGGTGTTAAAGTCTCCCATTATTATTGTGTGGGAGTCTAAGTCTCTTTGTAGGTCACTAAGAACTTGCTTTATGAATCTGGGTGCTCCTGTATTGGGTGCATATATATTTAGGATAGTTAGCTCTTCTTGTTGAATTGATCCCTTTACCATTATGTAATGGCCTTCTTTGTCTCTTTTGATCTTTGCTGGTTTAAAGTCTGTTTTATCAGAGACTAGGATTGAAACCCCTGCTTTTTTTTGTTTTCCATTTCCTTGGTAGATCTTCCTCCCTCCCTTTATTTTGAGCCTATGTGTGTCTCTGCACGCAAGATGGGTCTGCTGAATACAGCACACTGCGGGTCCTGACTCTTAATCCAATTTGGCAGTCTATGTCGTTTAATTCGGGCATTTAGTCCATTTACATTTAAGGTTAATATTGTTTTGTCTGAATTTGATCCTGTCATTATGATGTTAGCTGGTTATTTTGCTCATTAGTTGATGCAGCTTTTTCCTAGTAACAATGGCCTTTACAATTTGGCATGTTTTTGCAGTGGCTGGTACCGGTTGTTCCTTTCCATGTTTAGTGCTTCCTTCAGGAGCTCTTGTAAGGCATGCCTGGTGGTGACAAAATCTCTCAGCATTTGTTTGTCTGTAAAGTATTTTATTTCTCCATCACTTATGAAGCTTAATTTGGCTAGATATGAAATTCTGGGTTGAAAATTCCTTTCTTTAAGCATGTTGAATATTGCTCCCCACTCTCTTCTGGCTTGTAGAGTTTCTGCGGAGAGATCCGCTGTTAGTCTGATGGGCTTCCCTTTGTGGGTAACCCGACCTTTCTCTCTGGCTGCCCTTAACATTTTTTCCTGCATTTCAACTTTGGTGAATCTGACAATTATGTGTCTTGGAGTTACTCTTCTCGAGGAGTATCTTTGTGGTTTTCTCTGTATTTCCTGAATGTGAATGTTGGCCTGCCTCGCTAGGTTGGGGAAGTTCTCCTGGATGATATCCTGAAGAATGTTTTCCAACTTGGTTCCATTCTCCCCATCAATTTCAGGTACACCAATCAGATGTAAATTTGGTCTTTTCACATAGTCTCATATTTCTTGGAGGCTTTGTTCATTTCTTTTTACTCTTTTTTTCTCTTAACTTCTCTTTTTGCTTCATTTCATTCATTTGATCTTCAATCACTGATACCCTTTCTTCCAGTTGATCAAATCAGCTACTCAAGCTTATGCATGCGTCACATAGTTCTCGTGCCATGGTTTTCAGCTCCATCGGGTCATTTAAGGACTTCTCTACACTGGTTATTCTAGTTAGCCATTCGTCTACTCTTTTTTCAATGTTTTTAGCTTCTTTGTGATGGGTTCGAACATCCTCCTTTAGCTCGGAGAAGTTTGTTATTACCGATCGTCTGAAGGCTTCTTCTCTTGACTCGTCAAAGTCATTCTCTGTCCAGCTTTGTTCTGTTGCTGGCGAGGAGCTCCATTCCTTTGGAGGAGAAGAGGCACTCTGACTTTTAGAATGTTCAGCTTTTCTGCTCTGGTTTCTCCCAAACTTTGTGGTTTTATCTACCTCTGGTCTTTGATGATGGTGACGTACAGATGGGTTTTGGTGTGGATGTCCTTTCTGTTTGTTAGTTTTCCTTCTAACAGTCAGGACCCTCCACTGCAAGTCTGTTGGAGTTTGCTGGAGGTCCACTCCAGACCCTGTTTGCCTGGGTATCACCAGCGGAGGCTGCAGAACAGCAAATGTGGCTGCCTAATCCTTCCTTTGGAAGCTTCGTCTCAGAGAGGCAGCTGGCCTTATGAGGTGTCAGTCGCCCCCCTACTGAGAGGTGCCTCCCAGTTAGGCTACTCAGGGGTCAGGGACCCACTTGAGGAGGCAGTCTGTCCGTTCTCAGATCTCAAACTCCGTGCTGGGAGAACCACTACTCTCTTCCTGTCAGACAGGGACGTTTAAGTCTGCAGAAGTTTCTGCTGCCTTTTGTTCAGCTATGCCCTGCCCCTAGAGGTGGAGTCTACAGAAGCAGGCAGGCCTCCTTGAGCTGCAGTGGGCTCCACCCAGTTTGAGCTTCCCAGCCGCTTTGTTTACCTACTCAAGCCTCAGCAATGGCGGACACCCCTCCCCCAGCCTCGTGCCTTGCAGTATGATCTCAGACTGCTGTGCTAGCAGTGAGCGAGGCTCCATGGGCATGGGACCCTCCGAGCCATGCATGGGATATAATCTCCTGTTGTGCTGTTTGCTAAGGCCATTGGAAAAGCGCAGTATTAGGGTGAGAGTGTCCCGATTTTCCAGGTGCCGTCTGTCACGGTTTCCCTTTGCTAGGAAAAGGAATTCCCTGACCCCTTGTGCTTCCCAGGTGAGGCAATGCCCCACCCTGCTCTGTGGGCTGCACCCATTTGTCTGGCAAGCCCCAGTGAGATGAACCCGGTACCTCAGTTGGAAATACAGAAATCATCCATCTTCTGCATTGCTCACGCTGGGGGCCGCAGACTGGAGCTGTTCCTATTTGGCCATCTTGTTGCCAACCCCCAAATTAACCCTTTTTTCATGAATGTGTAAAATCAGTTTCTAAAACATCAATAGTTTAGATGTCAAGTACACAGAACGCTTTTACTGTTCTTTAGAACATTAAAAGAAATCACTCAATTCCATATTGCATTAACTTTGCTTTCTTCTTGGTGGTTCCAGCTCCATGAGTTTACGATGGAATTAATATTGGTCTTGCATATATTTTATTTGTTATGTAGCTCAAAAAGTTATGGAGCATCAAAAGTACGCAAAATAAGGTATGGGATTGTTTAAAATACTGTGCCATTTAAATAAAAAACACGTTTTATTACTCTGTAACCTGAAAAACAATAATCATTTACTATAAATCTCGTCAATCCAAAATGTTCCAAGTTACTCTTATACAACGGAACATGACAGTAGAACAGTGCATGTATAATCCCGGAGGTTTCAAAATCAATAGCCAGCTTTTTGTATAATTTTGTCTTCAAAAATAGTCTCAAATTTTGTCATATATTTTGGGCAATCTCAAAGGACATTTTCCTAAGAATATCAGTAGATCTTGAAAAAAAGTGATAGCTCAATGTTATTATTTATCTAAACATTTCATTTTTATCAGTAGGTTTATTATACTGGTTTGATTATATGGTTTCTGAGATGCATTTAAGATATTATTAAAAATTGTGAAACTATAATAATAGTTGTTTTTTTGGCTATACTAGACTTATGTCTCTAGTACATATAGTCATGTCTTTTGCTGAAAATCCTAATATCAACTCACACTCACAATCCCACTTAATCTGTGAAATTAATCACTTGCTTAAATTAATCATCTGTGCCCAACATACCCTCCTCAGTCAATCAGGCCACTACTTCCTGAGAAACTCTGTCATGAAAACCCTGAAATCTGGCACTCACATTTATATCACACCATTCCCACATTACCTATATTCAGCAAACCTTTAAATTCATTAATTTTTGCTTAGAAATCTCTCTCATGCTGTTGATTCCTTTTTTTCCTAGAAGATCAGATTTTTGAAGAGCCCTTCAGCTATTCTTTCAGGCTCCATTTTTTTTTTCTACTTCCAGTACTTCACATGTATTTCTAGGCCCTGTTGGCCGGCTTATCTTCTGCACAAGGTAACCTCTAGCACCTGTTACATCCAACATATGCTCCTCTCTCAGCTTATGGAGATCCAGAATCTAAGTGCAGTGATGCACAGGTCCCCCTTTTCTATCATTCCCTCCTCAGAAGCTTGATCTCAAGAAGACAGTACTTCTTGACTCTCTTGACTTTTTGCCTTATAGTACTGCATAAGATCCCCACAGCATCTGAACCACCAGGCCAGCTCCCACCAGCATGCTGCTTTTTCAGACCCTACCACCTGCCCAATCAGTTTCCTTTCCACCTAGATCCAGAGAAAACCCAACTCTCTATAAGAAGCTTTTGTGGATTACTTTCAGCTCATTCTATTACCTTACCTGTCTCTAGAACTTTTAACTCAGTGAATTATGAAAAAGGCTTTTTTTTACATAGCTCTAAAATACTTAAGATGGCTTGAACTTCCATAGACTTCAAATATTAATAATTCAGTGGTTTACTTGTGGCCTTTTTGCTTATGTATACATCTTTACTTTCTTCATAACCAAAATTGTTATGACTGAATAGAGGTTTATTGTGTACTGATTTTTTTTAAACATAAAGCACTAATGCTTTCCCCTGCAGTCTTAGGAATGAGTGAAACTAATGTCTGTTTAATGGCTACTATGAGACAAACTATAAACTATCTATTTTACAAAGAAAGAGATTACAAAAGATGGACTAGGACTACTCATCAAAAGATGAAATAGGACTTTCCAGCAATCATCCTTCAATGGACACATTAATTTGAATAACTACCCATGCCTGAAAATACCTTCATAAGAGCTGAAGGAAACAGGAGAGAGATCAAAGCACCACGTGGGTATAGCACTGAAATAAGGAAAGATGCATTGAAAAGGGAAAGACAGTTTCACTTTACCTGCTTCACATCTTGCCCAACCAAAGGCAGCACAGCACAGAGATACCATCTTCTTGAGGGAAAGATAGGAAAGTATCACTGAACTTTGCCTTGAGTACTGGGCCCACCTCCATAAAACTCAGAACCGGGCAGGCCCCACAGCCTCAAACTCAAGGCTGGTGCCTACAGAATGAGCCTCTAGGTCTGCCCCAGAGCCAGGCTGAGCTGCCCTTCAGCCTTCGGCTCCAGATCTTCATGGTGGACTTCATCTCCTGTCTGCCCCCTTGTGTTTCAAACAGCAGCTCCAAGCTCCCAACCACATTCAACACCAGGTTTGCCCCAGCAGCACCAAGCTATGGGCTTATGCTAGTGGTGGGCTAGTCTCAGTGAGCCCTAGGCTTCAGGTCCACCTCAACTCCAAGCCAGCTCCTATAGCCGTAGTAATTAGGCCAGTAACTCTGGACCCAGGCTTCATGTTGGCCCCTACAGCCCCAAGCTCCACATCTACCCCAGGCTCCAGAGCAGCCCAGAGCAAAGTTGGCCTGCACAGCCCCAGACTTCAGACACCCACATAAGCACTAGATCAGCACACCTGACCTGTGGGTCCACACTCAGCACCTGCAGACCCAGGCTCCAGATCCACATGGTGTCAAAATAATCCCTACATCTTCAGCTTCCAGGAGAAGCCCCTGAAGTCCCAGGCCATAGGTCAGTCCTTGCAGACCTAGCTTCTAGGGTAGCATCCACACATTTTGTTTTCAAGCTGGCCTCCATGAGCCCAGAGTCCAGGCCAGTCTCCAGGACTCCAGGATTTAGGCTGGCCCCTGTGGACTCATTCTTTGGAAGACCCAGGGTCCAGGTCCTTTCCAGTAGACCCAGGGATCAACCCCAACCCAGTAGATATATATGCTGGGCTGTCCCCTAAAGACTCATGTTCCAGGGTCATTCCTATGGATACAGGCTCCAGGCTGGTCACCATGGCCTGAGTACACAGGTTAATTCCCACAGACTGAGACTTCAGGCCAGCCCCAGCACCAGTCTAACACCCATGGCCCCAGGTTCCAAACCAGCACCTACAGACCTAAGATCCAGGCTAGTCATGGTGGCCCCAGGATTCATTGCCTCAGAGTCCAGGCCTGCTCCAGTAGACCCAGGGTTCATGTCCACCCCAATGGACACTAGTACCAGGCTAGTCCCTATGGGCTAAAGATGTAGGAACACCCCTGCAGATCCAGTCTCCAGTCCCTGGACCCAGGATCCAGGCTCATCCCAGAGGACACAGGTTCAAGGCCAGTACCAATGCCAAGCTAGCCCCTGTGAACCCAGGGGCCATGCTCAACAGACCCAGTCAACAAATCCAGCACAATGCATCTAGGCTCCAGGATTACCCACCTGCTGACCCAGACACCAGGCTAGCAAGCCCTCTCATGAACCATACTAAATGGCCTGCCTTGAATCTCTGGATGGGTTAACTGGTAAAGAGCTTTCCCAGACAAAGCTAGTCTGCATATTGAAATATGTACCTACTTCTTTAAATGCATAGACACCAACACATAAGGATTAACAGTAATCAGGGAAACATGACATCACCAAAGAGACAAAATGAAGCACAAGTGATTAAACTAAAGAAATTACCTTCCTGACAAAGAATTCAAAATAGCTGCTCTGGGGAAGGTCAGGAAATTTCAACAAAATACAAAAAATCAATTCAGTGAAATAAGGAAAAAAATAAATGGTTGAAGGAAAAATTTTACAGAGATATTGAAATTATTAATAAAACAAAAATGTTAGAGCTGAAAATATAATGAATGAAATAAAAACTGCAATAGTGGGCTAATAGCAGAATTTATTAAGGAGAAGAAATAATCTATGAACTCAAGATTATTTGAAAATATACGATCACAGGAGAAAAAAGAAAACAAGAATGAAAAAGAATAAAGAAAGCATACAGAATTTAAAACACAGTATAAAAAGAGCAAATATTCAAGTCAAAGTTTAGGAAAGAGATGAGACAGTCAAAGAAGTAGTACTTACTTAAAGAAATAATAACACAAATCTTTCCAAACCTGGGAAAAGATATAAGTATCCAAATACAACTCCCCAGTAAGATTCAATTCAAGCAAGATACCTACCCCTAAGATATACTATAACCAAACTGTCAAAACTCAAAGTCAAAGAGAGGATCCTAAAAGCAGCAAGAGAAAAGAAAAAGATAACATGTAAGGGAATTATATTAAAGCTAGTAGCAGATTTATCAGCAGAAACCTTATAGGCCAAGATAGAGGGTGCAAAGTGCTAAGGAAAAAAAAAATGCCAACCAAGAATATTGTACCTGAAAAAGTTGTCCTTGAGAAATGAAGGAAAGATTTTTCCAGACAAACAAAAGAAAGCTGAGGGAGCTAATCACCACCAGACCCTTCTTACAAGAAATACTAAAGGGAGTTCTTCCAGCTGAAAGAAAAATATGCTAATTGTAACATAAAAACACAAAAGTATAAAACACAAAAACATGAAAGTATAAAAGTAAGTATGTGGCCGGGTGCGGAGGCACACATCTGTAATCCCAGCACTTTGGAAGGCCGAGATGGGCAGATCACGAGGTCAGGAGATCGAGACCATCCTGGCTAACATGGTGAAACCCCGTCTCTACTAAAAATACAAAAAAATTAGCCAGGCATGGTAGCAGGTGCCTGCTACTCGGGAGGTTGAGGCAGGAGAATGGCGTGAACCTGGGAGGCGGAGCTTGCAGTGACCCGAGATCGTGCCACTGCACTCCAGCCTGGGCGAGAGTGAGACTCCGTCTCAAAAAAAAAAAAAAAAAAAAGTAAGTATGCAGCAAAATTCAGCACACTCTAATACAGTAATGAAGTGAGTAAATGACTTGTATCTTTAGCATGAAGGTTAAGCAACAAAACCGTTAAAAATACTAATAGCTATAATAATTTGTTAAGAGATATGCAATAAAAAAAGATATAAATTGTGACATTAGAAATTCAGGATGTAGGAATGGAGTCAAAATGTAGAATTTTTTGTTTGCTTGGTTTTTTTTTTGGTTTTTGTTTTTGTAATCAAAGTTAAGTTTTTATAAGTTTAAAGTAACCTATTATAACTATTGGATGATTTTATAAGTCTCATGGAAATCCCAAAGCAAAAAAAATATAGTATATACACAAAAAATAAGCAGTAAGAAATTAAAGCATACTAATAATGAAAATTACCTAATCACAAAGGAAGATAGAGAGGAAAAAAGGAATAATAGATCTACAAAACAAGCAGAAAACAACTAGCAAAACGACAGTAGTAAATTCTTACTTATCAATATTAACCTTGAATGTAAATGGATTAAATTCTCCAATCAAAAGACATAAAAGGGCTAAATGAATTTTTTAAAATATACAACTATATGCTGCTTATAAGAGACTCCCTTTACCCGTAAGAACACACATAGATTGAAAGTTAAGGGATGAAAAAAGATATTCCATGAAAACAAAATGCAGAAGAGAACAGAAGTAGCTATACTTACATCAGATAAAATGGATTTCTTAAGTCAAAAACTGTAAAATAATACAAAGGTGTTACATAATGATAAAAGAGTCAATTCAGCAAAAGGATATAATGACTATAAATAAATATGCACCCAACATCAGAACACCTAAACATATGAAGCAAATATTAATTGGTATTAAGAGAGAGATAAACTGTAATGCACTAATAATAGAGGAATTCAACAAACCTACTTTCATTAATGGCAAGATCCATAAACAGAACATTAAAAAAGAAATATTGGACATAAATTACACTTTAGACCAAATGGACCTAACAGACATACACAGAACACTCCTTCCAAAAGTGGCAGAATGCACATTCTTCTTCTCAAGCACACAGGGAACATTCCCCAGGATAGATCATATGTTAAGCCAAAATACAAGCCTTAGCAAGTTTAAAAAGTTTGAAATCATATCAAGTATCTTTTCTGACCACAATGGTATGAAACTAGAAATCAACTGAAAGAGAAAGATTGTAAAATTTACAAAAACATAGACATTAAACAATGTAATCCTAAACAACCAATGGGTCAATGAAGAAATTAAAAGAGAAAATATATAAACAAAAAATGTTTAGACAAATGAAAATGGAAATACCACATACCAAAACATATGAGATAGCAAAAGCAGTTATTATAAGAGGGAAATTTATAGCAACAAACATCTGCATTAAAAAAGAAAAGTCTCACATAAACAACTTAATATTTCAACTTTCTAGAAAAATAAAAACTAAGCCCAGAGTTAAAGGAAGTAAATAATAAAATCAGAGTAGAAATAAATAAAGTCTAGAAAATCAATAGAAAATATCAATAAAATGAAGACTTGGTTTTTGAAAAGAGAAACAAAATTGAAAAATCTTTAGCTAAACTAAGAATAAAAGAAAAAAGCCTCAAATAAACAAAATCAGAAATGGAAACTAAGACATTACAACTGATACAACAGAAACACAGCCAAAGGGTCATATGAAGCTATTATGACCAATTATTTGACAATAAGCTGGATAACTTAGATGGATGAAATAGATAAATTTCTAGGCATATCAACTTACCAAGGATGAATCATGAAGAAATAGAAAATCCGAACAGACCATTAAAGAGTAAGGAGATCAAATCTAAAGTCTCCCATCAAAGAAAATCTCAGGACTGGATGACTTCACTGATAAATTCTACCAAACATTTAAAAATACCAATCTTTCTCAGACTATCCCCAAAAAATTAAAGAGGGGAAAATGCTTTCAATCAAAGCCAGACAAGGACACTACCAAAAAAGAAACAGAAAAATTAAAAATAAAAATACAGGCCAATATCCCTGCTGAACATAGATGCAGAAATCCTCAACAAAACACTAGCAAACAAAATTCAACACGCATTAAAAAAAATTATTCACCATGATCAAGTGGGATTTATCCTCGAGATTCAAGTATGGTTCAACATATGCAGACTTACAAATGTGATACACCACATTAACAGAATGAAAGACAAAAGACATAATCATCTGAATGGATGTAGAGAAAGCATTTGACAAGATTCAACATCCTTTCACAATAAAGGCTCAACAGATTATATATAGAAGGAATGTACCTCTACACAGTAAAGGTCATATATGACAAATTCATAGGTAACATCATACTCAATGAGTAAAAGCTGAAAGTTTTTTATCTAAGATCAGGAACAAAATAGAGATGCCCACTCTTGCCAGTTCTATTCAGCTTAGTACTGGATGTCCTAGCCAGTGCAATTAGGCAACAGGAAGAAATGAAAGGCATCCCAATTGGAAAGGAAGAAGTGAAATTGTCGCTTTTTGCCGATGACATGATCTTATATATATTTAAAAAACCCTAAACAATCCACCCCAAAACTATTAGAACTAATAAACAAATTTAGTAAAGTTGCAGGATACAAAATCAAAATACAAAAATTAGTAGCATTTCTACACACTAACACCACACTATCTGAATAAGAAATCAAGAAAACAATCCCATTTACAATAGCTGCAAAAATACTGAGAATAAAATTAGCCAAGGAAATATTCTATACACTGAAAACCATCAAACATTAATGAAATAAATTGAAAAAGATGCAAATAAATGAAAATAAATTCCATGTGCATTGACTGGAAGAATTAATATTGTTAAAATGTCCATAGTACCCAAACTGATCTACAGATTTAATGTATTCCTCATCAAAATTTCAATAACATGATCTCAGAAATAGAAAAAGGTTTCTAAAGTTTTTATGAACTGCCTAAGACCCCAAATTGCCAAAGCAATCCTGAGCAAAAAAACAAAGCTGGAGGCATCACAATATCAAACTTCAAAATTTACTGCAATATTGTAGTAATCAAAACAGCATGGCACTTGTCTAAAAACAGATATACAGAACAATAGAATAAAATTGAGAGCCCAGAAATCCATAGATACGTGATAGATAGATAGATAGATAGATAGATCGAATGAAAGTAAAATTCACTTTTCAAGTGATTTTTCACAAAGGTGCCAAGAACAGACAAGGAGCAAAAGATAGTCTCTTCAATAACTGGTGCAGGAAAACTGAATCTCCAAATACAGAATAATGAAATTAGACCTTTGTCTCATACCACACACTAAAACAGCTCAAAACCGATTAAAAACTTAAATGTAAGACCCAAAACTGTAAAACTACTAGAAAAAAACATAGAGAAAAGCCCCACAACATTCGTCTGGGCAAAAGCAAAACTGAAAAAACAGAATTGCATCAAATTGAAAGCTTCTCCACAGCCAAGGAAACAATGAACATAGTGAAGACAGTTTAAGGAATGGGAGAAAATATTTGCAAACTATGCATCTGATAAGGGGCTACTATCCAAAATATATAAGGAACTCAACTCAACTGCAAGGAAAAAAATTTTTAAATGGGCAAAGGAACTGAGTAGACCTTACTCAAAACAAGACATACAGACAACCAAGAACTATATGAAACAATGTTTATCACTAATCATTATAAAAATTAAAATTAAAATTACAATGAGACATCATCCTATGTCTCTTAAAATGGCTATTATCAACACAATAAAAGATAACAATTGTTGGTGGGGATATAGAGAAAAGGGAACCCTTGTGCCCTGTTGGTAAGAATGTAGGTTAGTATAGCCATTATAGAAAACAGTATGGAGCTTCCTCAAAAAATTAAAAATAGAATTACCATATTATCCAACAACCACACTACTAAGTATATAGCCAAAGGAAGTGAAATGAGTGTGTTGAAGAGATAGCTGCACTCCCGTGTTTATTGCAGCATTGTTTACAATAGCCAACATTGGGAATCAACTTGAGTGTCCACTGATGAATAATTGGACCAAAAAAAATGTGGTATATATACACAATGGAATACTATTCAGCCATAAAGAAGAAAATACTGTCATTTGTGACAGCATGAATGAACTTGGAAGACATTACGCTAAGTGAAATAAGCCAGGCACAGATACACAAATACTGCATAATCTCACCTATATATGGAATCTAAAAATATTGAACTCATAGAAGTAGAGAGTAGAATGGTGGTTGCCAGAGGTTGGGACATTGAGGGGAAGGGGAGACGTTGGTTAAGGCTTGCAAAATTTTAGTTTAATAGGAGGAATAACTTCAAATGTGCTAATGTACAACATGGTAACTATAGATGACAATATATTACATTCATTAAAAATGCTAAGGAAGTAGATTTTAAGTGTAATCACAAAAATAATAACTGAGAGAATGTATGTATTAATTTGCTCAATTTAGAGATTTCACTTTATACATGTTTTAAAGCATCATTTTTTACACAGTAAATATATAAATTTTGCTAATTTAAAAAATACAGTAAGATAAATGTTAAAAAAAGAAATTTCTGATTTCTAAATGAGCATTAGATATCAATGCCTATGACTATAAGAGATTGTTGTATGATTTGTATTTTCAGGCAGGAAAAGAAAAGAGAAGCAGAGATTTATTTTTAACCTTCAAACTAAAGAATTTTATTCTTGTTTAAAGACTCTGCACAGATTGAAATTTGAAATTTTTGCAAGTAATTTACAAAAATGTTGAAAATTAACTCAGGCAATATATGATAACAAAATAGTCTGCAATCTTATCATTCACAATTTTTATTTTTGGATCAAAGTTGTTTATATAGTAAACCAAACGCAAAAAAAAAATGAAGAAAAACTCAAAAACTTGAAACTTTTATTATTTCTGATGTTTTCTGCTTTTTAGACATACATGTTTTCTATCCCCATTTCTATGTCCTGAGTTTCTACATAGACTTCTCAATGTTTTTATGAATAAATTAGTACATAATTTATGTAGTTTTGATCCCTCCTCTCCAAAAAGACTTAATTAGATTTTTCATCAATTACAGCCTTGTGTATGAGACTTTATGAGATTTTAGTTGTCTTCATTCATTTGCTTACACCCACAGTGGGAAGCATGTATACCATGTTGTTCTACACCATAAAATTTTAAATGATAGTCTTCATCCATCATATTAATAGTCCAATTAACAGTATACAGCATGCTATGGTTCTACCTGATTTACTTCCTCTAGCAAACAAGTACACAATATTTCTAGTTAGATTCCTGGTATTAAGATTACCAGGGAAACTAAGATTTAAACTTGCTGCTACACTGTTAATAATGCTAACTATGAAGTTTTTAAGCAGCAAGATATGCATCCTGCAATTCTTATCAGTCGTGCATCTCATACAGGAAGTAAACTGCAAAGACGTCTTCTCAACTCATGTGAAACCAATTCATTCTCTAGTGCTAATTATAAGCTATCAAAGAGATGACCTTTTCCAGAGTGCCTAGACCTTTCATGAGGGTTTCAATGGCACACCTAAGTCAATTGATTAAAATATTATTTGTCTACATGATTTTTTTTCAATGTAAAATGTTTCATATTATTAAGCAATGGAGTAATCTTTACAAAGTTAAAGCTTAATCTAAGTAATGAGCAACATTAATCAAAGTCTAACAGGACTAATCAGGCTTCAGACAATGCAACCATTTAAAAAGTTTGCTAATGAGTGTTTCAAGTGGAAGTGAATGATTTTATTCTTAGGTGTAATATCACTATTCATGAGCATCCACTGGAAACATTAAACTCTAGTAGAAAGGCCACTGCTGCAGCTTCCATAATTACCTATAAAAACTTCTTCAACAATGGTCAGGAATAGAATATATTTGCATAATATGCAATTTCAATGCCCAGTGGTTTTCTGAATAATGCGTCACTTGTCAAACTTCATCTTAGGTTAGCATAATGTTTTTCTTCTAGCCACTGAAGGAGGCTGAGTCTATTTTGCATTACTATTTTGTGTTTAGCACTGAACAAACAAAAATAAATGATGAACTTCCAAATAAATAAAGCCTTTGACTAAAGTAGGCAGGAGAAAAGAATACAATGAGAAATGAGCACTATGTCTAAATCTTAGCCTGCCTTTATTTATTTATTTTGTTGTGTGTTTGATTTCCCATCACTGTGGCAGGAAATACTATGGCCCCAAAAAGGTGTCCTCATCCTAATCCCAGGGACCTGCGATTTTGTTACCTTACATAGCGAAAGCAGGACTTGGCAGTTATGCTTACTATTTAGATGGGAGGGTCACCCTAGATGACCTTACTATTTAGATAGGAGGGTCACTCACTCAGTTAAGTCCAGTGTAACCAGTGTGAGAGAGACTGGAAGGTGCTACATTGCTGGCTTTGAGTGTGGAGAAAGAGGTCACAAACCAAAGACAGCAGGCAGTCTCTAGAAACTAGAAAAGGCAAGAGAAGTGATTCTCCCTGAGAAACCTCAGAGGAACACAGCCTTGCCACCAAATACCTTGAATGTAGCCCAGTGAGAACCATTTTGGACATCTGACCTCTAAACTGTAAGATAATACATTTGTGTTGTCTTAAGTCACTTAAGAATACCACTGACATTGCGTCCACTCTCAATTTTTGCATATTACTCATCTGAATATCTCTCATTTGTATCTCAAGAATCCCATTTTTAATTTCAGTACAAGTTCTTTGGTTTAGACCATCACCATTACTTTCCTCAGTTATTTTCCTTAAATTACTTGGCTAGAACCTCAGGGACCTTGACCTTCTGCTATTTTCATGAGAGGCAAATGGGTCAAGTGTTCAAGGCCTTCAGAGAAAGAGAGATCCTGTCTTGTTGGAAGAGTCAGAGAAAGCTTGCATTGACAAGGATTATTGCTGTAATCATGACTTTGCTCCCATTTTTCAATTTTATTACAGATACCGCAAAAACAAAGTTTTTTTCCAGGAAAATGAGGAGCATATGCCTCAGTTTGGTATTCCTGATCTCCAACATTGTGCCTCCAGCTGCATCATTCACTGTGGGTTATACACCAAAAACTCTCCCTAAACTATGCAATCATATAGCGTGATAAAAGTGGTTTAGTTCAGTCGCTTTTAAAGTGTATGTTGATAAACAATTAATCTACATTTGCAGGTGTTCTGATCACTTTTTTTTTAAGTCGTGCACTTTATTTCGAACTACAGAGAAACAGAAAATGCAAGAACCTTGATTATAACAAAACAGCAGCCACACTGGAGCACTCCCTCTTCTCCAAATACACTTCAGCATTTCTACGGCTTTGTCTTCAGTGCTGCTGTTACCTGTGGGTGAATTGCCTTTCATCCACAGTCTCCACTCATCACTCCCTGAAAAAAGTTAAAGAACTTAAAATCTCCTCTGATTTAGTCAAGCCAAGCCAGAGACCTATCAAGAGTGTGTATGAATTTAGTAACTGATGACTTTTTCCCTAAAAATCAATGGCTGTTCTTCCACATCCTGGAGGAATTGATTAGACATCATTGATGTCTTTTCTCAAGCTCTGATTCAATTATTATCTTACCTAATGAAGGAATCCGGCTACCAAGTCCACTAGAGGACATGGTCTGAGCCATCTGGCCATCCATCATGACCTCACTAACTCTTCATGGACTCTATTCTTTATCCCAATGGTAAGGACCATTTTACTAGAATGATCTCAGTTGTATAAAAGTTTTCTAGGGTTTTACTTTAATAAATGCATTGATTCAAAATGCAGAATTAGCCATTAATTCTGTTCACCAAGTATTTATGTTCTCATCTATCTGGGGCTGTGGTGATTGCACTTCAGAAACCCCTTGAGATCCTATGGGACCATGTAACAAGTTCTAGCCAATGCTTTTCAAGCAGGTTTCTGATTCAAGGGCTGTTTCCCTCTAGCATGATGACTGGCCATCTTCAGGATGGTATCAGATGCCTCAGCCAAGGCATCTGAATGACCCAAAGAGTAGAGTGCTTATGGCAGACAAGAGAAGAGCATGAAGTATGAATATGAAAAACATCTTCGTTGTTTTGAACCACTTAAATTTGTAGGTTGTTTTTTACTGCAGCATAATCTACTCTATCCTGATCGATACACATACATATTTTGTGTGTAATGATGTACACACAAAAATGAGAGAAAGTGGAGCAAGAATGAGAATAGTATATTTATCTATAGTAAAGGAGATGACAGACTAGCCAACTCTAAAAAAAAAAAAAAAAAAAGAGGCAGCTCTCTAGATTCCTCCTCTCTAGGCAGGGCATCTCTGAAAAAAAGGCAGCAGCCCCCATCAGGGGCTTATAGATAAAACTCTCATCTTCCTGGGACAGAGCACCTGGGGGAAGGGGTGGCTGTGGGCGCAGCTTCAGCAGAATTAAACGTTCTTGCCTGCAGGCTCTGAATGAGTAGCAGACCTCCCAGCATAGCACTTCAGCTCTGCTAAGGGACAGACTGCCTCCTCAAGTGGGTCTCCTCCTGACGGAGACACCTCCCACCAGGGGTCGACAGATACCTCGTACAGGAGAAATCTGGCTGGCATGTGGCTAATGATCCTCTGGGACGAAGCTCCAGAGGAAGGAGCAGGCAGAAATCTTTGCTGTTCTGCAGCCTCTGCTGGTGATTCCCAGGCAAACAGGGTCTGGTGAGGACCCCCAGCAAACTCCAGCACACCTACAGAAGAGAGGCCTGACTGTTAGAAGGAAAACTAACAAACAGAAAGCAATAGAATCAACATCAACCAAAAGGACAACCACGCAAAAACTCCATCCGAAGGTCACCAACGGAAAAGACCAAAGGTAGATAAATCCACAAAGATGAGGAAAAATCAGAGCACAAAGGCTGAAAATTCCAAAAACCAGAGAGCCTCTTCTCCTCCAAAGGACCACAACTCCTCACCAGCAAGGGAACAAAACTGGATGGAGAATGAGTTTGATGAATTGACAGAAGTAGGCCTCAGAAGGTAGGGAATAACAAACTCCTCCAAGCTAAAGGAGCATGTTCTAACCCAATGCAAGGAAGCTAAGAACCTTGATAAAAGGTTAGAGGAATTGCTAACTAGAATAACCAGTTTAGATAAGAACATAAATGCCTGGTGGAGCTGAAAAACATAGCACAAGAACTTCATGAAGCATACATAAGTATCAATAGCCAAATCGATCAAGCAGAAGAAAGGATATCAGAGATTGAAGATCAACTTAATGAAATAAAGCATGACAACAAGATTAAAGTAAAAAGAATGAAAAGGAACAAACAAAGCCTCCAAGAAATATGGGACTATGTGAAAAGACCAAACCTACGTTTGATTGGTGTACCTGAAAGTGACGGGCAGAATGGAACCAAATTGGAAAACACACTTCAGGATATTATCCAGGAGAACTTCCCCAACCTAGCAAGACAAGCCAACATTCAAATTCAGGAAATACAGGGAAAACCACAAAGATACTCCTCAAGAAGAGCAACACGAAGAAATGTAATCGTCAGATTCACCAAGGTTGAAAGGAAGGAAAAAAGGTTAAGGGCAGCCAGAGAGAAAGGTCAGGTTACCCACAAAGGGAAGCCCATCAGACTAACAGTAGATCTCTCTGCAGAAACCCTACAAGCCAGAAGAGAGTGTGTGCCAATATTCAACATTCTACAAGAAAAGGATTTTAAACCCAGAATTTCAAATCCAGCCAAACTAAGCTTCATAAGTGAAGGAGAAATAAAATACTTTCCAGACAAGCAAATGCTGAGGGATTTTGTCACCATCAGGACTGCCTTATAAGAGTCCCAGAATATAAATACTGGCAAACCCAATCCAGCAGCACATTAAAAAGCTTATCCACCATGATCAAGTTGGCTTCATCCCTGGGATGCAAGACTGGTTTAACATATGCAAATCAATCAACATAATCCATCACATAAATAGAACCAAAGACAAAAACCATATGATTATCTCAATAGGTGCAGAAAAGTCCTTCGATAAAATTCAACACCCCTTCATGCTAAAAACAGTCAATAAACTGGCTATTGGTGGAACATATCTCAAAATAATAAGAGCTATTTATGATAGACCCACAGGCAATAGCCTACTGAAAGGGCAAAAGCTGGAAGCATTCCCTTTGAAAACAGGCACAAGAAAAGGATGCCCTCTCTCACCACTCCCATTTAACATAGTATCCGAAGTTCTTGCCAGGGCAATCAAGCAAGAGAAAGAAATAAAGGGTATTCAAATGGGAAGAGAGGAAGTCAAATTGTCTCTGTTTGCAGATGACATGATTGTATATTTAGAAAACCCCATCATCTCAATCCAAAATCTCCTTAAGCTGATAAGCAACTTCAGCAAAGTCTCAGATACAAAATCAATGTGCAAAAATCACAAGCATTCCTATACACCAATAATAGACAAACAGAGAACCAAATTATGAGTGAACTCCCATTCACAATTGCTACCCAGAGAATAAAATACCTACGAATACAACTTACAACTGATGTGAAGGACCTCTTCAAGGAGAACTACAAACCATCGCTCAAGGAAATAAGACAGGATACAAACAAATGGAAAAACGTCCCATGCTCATGAATAGGAAGAATCAATATTGCAAAAATGGCCATACTGCCCAAAATAATTTATAGATTAAATGCTATTCCCATCAAGCTACCATTTACTTTCTTCACAGAATTAGAAAAAACTACTTTAAATTTCATATGGAACCAAAAAAGAGCCCATATAGCCAAGACAATCCTAAACAAAAAGAACAAAGCTGGAGGCATCATGCTGTCTGACTTCAAACTATACTACAAGGCTACAGTAACCAAAACAGCATGGTAGTGGTACCAAAACAGCATGGTAGTGGTACCAAAACAGATATACAGACCAATGGAACAGAACAGAGGCCTCAGAAATAACACTACATATTTACAACCATCTGATCTTTGACAAACCTGACAAAAATAAGCTTTGAGGGAAGGATTCCCTATCTAATACATGGTGTTGGGAAAACTGGCTAGCCATATGCAGAAAGCTGAAACTGGACCCCTTCCTTACACCTTATACAAAAATTAACTCAAGATGGATTAAAAATTTAAATGTAAGACATAAAACCATGAAAACCCTAGAAGAAAACCTGGGCACTACCATTCAGTAGATAGGCATGGGCAAAGACTTTATGACTAACACACCAAATGGCAATGGCAACAAAAGCCAAAATTGACAAATGGGATTGAATTAAACTAAAGAGCTCTGCACAGCAAAAGAAACTATCATCAGAGTGAACAGGCAACCTACAGAATGGGAGAAAATTTTTGCAATCTATCCATCTGACAAAGGGGTAATATCCAGAATCTACAAAGAACTTAAACAAATTTACAAGAAAAAAGCAAACAATCCCATCAAAAAGTGGGTGAAGGACATGAACAGATGCTTCTCAAAAGAAGACATTTATGTGGCCAACAAACATATGAAAAAAAGATCATTATCACTGATCATTAGAGAAATGCAAATCAAAACCACAATGGGATACCATCTCATGCCAGTTAGAATGGCAATCATTAAAAAGTCAGGAAACAACAGACACTGGAGAGGATGTGGGAAAATAGGAACTCTTTTACACTGTTGGTGGGAGTGGAAACTAGTTCATCCATTGTGGAAGACAGTGTGGTGATTCCTCAAGGGTCTAGAACCAGAAATACCATTTGACCCAGCAATCCCATTACTGGGTATATACCCAGAGGATTATAAATTATTCTACTATAAAGACACACGCACATGTGTGTTTATTGCAGCATTACTCACAATAGCAAAGACTTAGAACTAACCCGAATGCTCATCAGTGATAGACTGGGTAAAGAAAATGTGACACATATACAACATGGAATACTATGCAGCCATAAAAAAGGATGAGTTTATGTCCTTTGCAAGGACCCTGATGAAGCTGGAAACCATCATTCTCAGCAAACTAACACAGGAACAGAAAACCAAACATCGCATGTTCTCACTCATAAGTGAGAGTTGAACGATTAGAATACATGGACACAGGGCGGGGAACATCACATACTGGGGCCTGTCAGGGGGTAGGGGGAAAGAGGAGGGATAGTATTAGGAGAAATACCTAATGTAGATGATGGGTTGATGGGTAGTGCAAACCACTATTGCACATGTATACCTATGTAACAAACCTGCATGTTCTGCACCGGTATCCCAGAACTTAAAGTATAATAAAAAAATAAATAAAAGGCAGAGGAACCCTAGAGACCTTTGCTTATCTCTTCTTATATACCCTGAAATGGCAGTTCCCAACTTCTTGCGCTAAAATGACCCATTTCAGTCTCAGAACATACTGAGATGCCTGTGTGCTTTTCATATTCATCAGCTGGGGACATATTTGATGAAAAATTCCTCCTATGAATTGAGAAAAGGATCACACATTTTTATTTATTTGCTTTTGTTTCCTGACCAAAAATCATTGCCCAGGCCAATGTTGTGGGATGTTCCCCTATCCTTTATTTTAGTAGTTTTACAGTTTCGGGCCTTACATGTAGGTTTTCAATCTGTTTGAGTTGATTTCTGTATCCTAATTTCATTGTTCTGCATTTGAATATCCAGTTTTCCCAGCACCATTTATTGAACAGACTGTCTTTTCCCCATTGTCTGTTTTTGGCACCTTTATCAAAAATCAGAAAGATGTAGCCCTCACTGCTCCAACAGGAGAACCTTGCAGCATAGTTAATAACTGCTCAGGAGCACTGTCCCAAGGGGCACGGTATAATCTCTTCCCAAAATTCTGCTCTCAGTTCCTCCCAGGCCTAATACCTATTCAATGTCTACCTATTCTATGGAACCTTCAGCATTTTGGCTGCTCCCTAACTACTTCTCCTAAGACATCTTCTTGTCAAATAATTCCTAAACAAACCTGATGTCATCTTTGTTTCTAACACCAAGTGCAGAAACTCATGATCTCTTGGAGACCTTTCATCACTTTGCTTGTCTTGCAGTTAGCATGATAAGATACAGATGCCCTTTAGAGACAGTAGTGACTGCAGCCAAATCCCACACTTTGACATTATTTCAGCCCATTCAATTGAAATATATTCATGGAACCACTATCTGTTATCAGTATTAGAGATGATCAAAGTTAGGAGCTGGGCCTCAATTTCCACCAGCCCAGGACCTTGGGTTCCCCAAATAAGACAGGCTAACAGTGATAAAACTATAAGACACAGGTTGCCAAAATAAGAATGATGTTTATTGGCTTATTAGAAATGCAGCTGCCAAGCATCTTGGAGTGTACAAATTCATTACTCAGCATGTGCTTTCTCTGCACAGGAACTAACTTATAACCAGCTTGGTGGTTGTTGAGCCAGATATAAATGGATGTGGTAGAAACTGTACAATAATAAAAGTTAGTATTACTAAAAGACATCTATTCATATGCTCAAAAGGGTAAACAAATGGAGCTAAATAGACACAGGTAGGTAAATAAGGCACTCACATCTCTGAACTTCTGAGTAAGAGTGGCCCAGTCTCTCTCCTTAGCATCCTTTCTGCCCAGACCCCGTAGACATCCCTTCTTTTCTGTGAACATAGTGCTTCTTCAAACATAGTTGCTGGATGGACTGGTACAAAGGATTATTCTACCTGCAGATCTTCACTTGATCTTGACTTTGTTTGCTTGCGTTTACTTTAGAGGCTATCTACTTTTGTGTTATTAATAAGATAATAACAATGATAATTGCATGTGGAAAGTGTTGATGGCATTTTTGTAAGTCTCCCTTTATTTCTATATTTTTCAAGACACGTTTTAACCAGTCCCCTCCTTTTTGTAAATGCTCATGTACCTCTAAGAGAGATCTCTCTTTGTTCAGCTTGGAATTGGAATTCAAATTTTACAAAGCCAAAAATAAAAGCAATTGCACATTGCAAGTGTTAAGCAGAGGTTTTTTATTTTAACTAAATTAAATTAACTTTGAATACCCCAAATTCTAAAATTATAAATGCTTGCTTAGTTTTGTTTTGTTTTGTTTTGTTTTAGATAGGATCTCACTCTGTTGCCCGGGGAGGAGTGCAGTGGTAAAATCATGGCTCACTGTTACTTTGAACTTCTGGGTTCAAAAAGTCTTCCTGCCTCATCCTCCTGAGTAGCTAGGACTACAGATGTGCACTATGGTGCCCAAACATATATATATATATTTTATGTAGAAAGTCAGGGCCTTGCTATGGTTCCCACGTTGGTCTCGAATTCCTGGCCTCAAGTGATCCTTGAGAATCCCAAAACACTTGGCCTCCCAAATCGCTGGGATTATAGGTGGGAGCCACCAAGCCTGGCCACTGGAATAGTCATTGAAATGAAATATCATTGGAAAAACCAAATCAAACATACAAGTACAAATGGCACCGTACATTTCTGGATTTCAGTAATCAAATGAATATGTCCTTAGAAATATCTTCTAGGAAAGGAAGCAAAATTAAATGTCACCCTGGTTTTTTATATTTTTGATGTTTTGAGAATGGATTTTGCTGCTGAAGTTTTCCTGCAGATTGTAAGTTTGTATTTTAACAAAGTAAATACTCCAACATCTGAATCAATGTGATTTTCTTCTGACTTTTATTAATTGCATGAATAATATTCTAGCAATATGAAGGAAACAACGTGAAAGAAATGTAGCCACCAGAAATGCAGCTCTTTTGCTCTTTTCCATGTGCACATGCACTTTGAACAAAACAAAAATTACAGCATATATTTTATTATGCTTTTTAAATTTAATATTCTACCAGAAACATTTTCATATGTTGTATAGTCATTATATGCTTAAGAGTTTCATATCTTAATTTATTTCATAATATTATATCATATTTATATACCATAATGCTATGTACCTATCTTTAGACATGTATTTTACTTCCTCATTTCTACTACATAAATATTATTTTAAAGTATATATTTAATGTGTGTGTGCTATACATTTTCCAATTTTGAATTATATCCTTTGGGTATATTCTTAAAGGAAAACAATTTTTAGATACAAATTGATATGGTTTTATATTATGTTTTACTTTACAAGCGTGTCAACGTACCCATTCTCCCACAGCAATCATGAGTGTATTTTTTCAATACAGTATTTCCAACATGAGTAAATGTGGCTGCACCTCTCATTCGTGCTTGCTTTTGACCTGAACCTCCCAGGCCCTGGGGAATGAACCCCTCAAACAGTGCCCTTAGCACCTGCCTGGGGAGGGAGGAATGATCGCAGCAGCAAGGCGGAAAAAGAAGGCTCAGCTTCAGGTCTTCGCTCCTACTCCAAAATGTTTCCAAGCTTTCTTTTGTAGGTACTGCTCTGAAAAGAAGAAACATGTTATCTTAAGTCAGAGCTTCTGAAGGTGGGAGGATCTCTTCTGAAAATACAAACATTCACTCTAGGAGCCTTTCTGGGATGACTTGGCTCTTGTGAAAGGAGATGAAAAGTG
Organism: Homo sapiens; assembly: GCF_000001405.40. NCBI lineage: Eukaryota > Metazoa > Chordata > Mammalia > Primates > Hominidae > Homo > Homo sapiens. Next base: position 51,920,996 of record NC_000007.14, on the reverse strand, counting down.
AGAAGTATGCAAGAGCCTGGAGATGAGAAGGGGACCCCTGCCCTCCCACTGTGGAGCTCCTGAGCACTGGGCTCTGACTTTTATTATAATCTGCTGGTGGCTCCTACTGTGGAGAAGGAGTTAGTCTACTTGGTGGGAGGTGCTTAGCCCTGTCCCAAGTCAAGGAAATATCCTTTGAAGACCCCAGGGAGATGGACCTGGGCATGGCCTCCCAGAGTTGCTTTAAAAGGTGGGCACAAGCCAGAGACGTGTAGGTGTGGAGGGCAAGAGAGACAGGGAGTCTGGAAGGAACTCTGGCTTGAGGGCCGTGGTGCTGCAACTGCACCAGCAGGATTGGGATAAAAAACCTCCTTTGTACCCACAGCTGATGGGGACTGGTAGCATCCTGGCTGGTTGGAGAAAAAAGAGATGCAGATATAAAAATTACTCATTATTTTAACTTTCCTCAATTTATTACTTGAGGGTTTGAGGCAGTCTTACTTTATCAAAGGGAACTTGGGTGTAGAGTCTTGTTTCTTGCTATTTCTTGATGTGTAGTTTCACATTCTTCAGTCTAATTTTTCTGTTCTACAAAATAGGGAGAATGATGCATTTCTCATGGAATCATTGTGAAGATTCAACATTGAGATGATGATGATGATGATAATGATACTAATACTAGCTAACATTTATTCTATGCCACTCAGACCTTTCCATACCTTTATATTTCACAGTCTGCTGCTATCGTATTGTCCCACTATTATTTGTTTTGCAGATGAGAAAACCAAAATTCAGAAACGGGAAGTGTACCGTAGGGATACAATGAAGTATAAGTAGCCAAGAGCTGTACAAAATGTAGCTGCTGCTGTCTTCTCTGGAGTGGGAATTCTTTCTTCTTTTTTTTTTCTTTCTTTTTTTTTTTTTTTTGAGATAGAGTCTCACTCTGTAGCCCAAGCTGGAGTCCAGTGGTGCGATCTTGCTCACTACTACCTCCGCCTCCTGGGTCCTGGTTCAAGCAATTCTCCTGCCTCAGCCTCCCGAGTAGCTGGGATTACAGGCACGTGCCACCATGTCCAGCTAATTTTTGTATTTTTAGTAGAGATAGGGCTTCACCATGTTGGCCAGGCTGGTCTTGAACTCCTGACTTCGTGATCCACCTGCCTCGGCCTCCCAAAGTGCTGGGATTACAGGCATGAGCCACTACGCCAGGCCTGGAGTGGGAATTGTTTATATTCTTTGTCCCTTGCTACTTTACTTTGTACACTCTATCTTATTAAGCTGTATTAGTCTTTAGAGTAGGATAATTAAATCACTCTAATCTTTTCCTTTGATATAAATGCTTTGATATTCAGTGATTCATTTTTAATTTTAGTTCTATTATTTGGAAATGTACAGATGATTTATTTTTGCCTTTGTGGCATGTTTTAATATTTGTTTGTATTTTCCATTGCTTTAAAACATAGGAATGCCCATCCTTTCACACATTAAAGAACCTATTCTCTTGAACCTAATTGCAACCCATTTTCCCCTAGTAAAATAAACATTTTTTCACTTTCCTTTATAATACCTACTTTGTCACATCATAAACCTAGAGAAGCAAAATATAATATTTCTGCTATTAGTGTTCTATTCCATTGATCTATATGCCTTATTATTCTTATTCAGCTATGTCACACTGACTAAATTATTAATTTACAAAGCACTTTAAAATTTTGGTGGGCCGATAGCACTTTATGACTTTGTATATGTATACACACATATATACTCATCTTATTCTTTTTTTTTCCTAATGGATTCACATTTACTCGATTGATTACAAAATAGAGCCTGTTAGGGTTTGTACAAACACATATGCATATTTCACATATATATGCATATATGTGTATCTATAGGCTTGTTTTCATTGCCATTATATTTTTATTTAACACTTTCACTAAATGTATCTTTATTAAAATTCTCTTCTAAATAACTAAATGAAGCTTGCTTTTTCTTCTACAAGTAGTATACATCTCTCATTATATGTATTTCTAAATAATATTTGTGTGTATTTATTTTATTAACATTTCTTTTCCATTATGACTTGTAATTAATTATCACCAGAGGCATTAATGCATTTGTACTTCAGCCATCGTATTTTTAATATGAAGGCATTCTTTCCTGAGCTCTGCATGCTTGCTTTCCTTAGTATCTAGTTACTGTTTTATGGAGAAAATACAGCTGTGTCATATCATACTGAAGGCTAGGTTCTAAAATCAGGGAATGAAGCAAAGAGCAGAGAGTCAAAAATAATTCTCCAGTAGCCTCTAAATAACAAATTAAGTAGAGGATGCACAGTTTTGTGAACTATTTCTCAACCCATCCAAGCAATCGTGAGCTGAGCATTTCTAAGCCAGGTCACCACCACCAGGAGGAAGAAGCATTTACTCTGGGATGCCGATGGCATAGGTATTTATCAAGGTTTTCCTTGGTCATTTCAGAGATGGCTACTTGGTTTTATCCTTCTCTCTCTGCTTTTCCTTTTCTCTAGCTGAATAAACAGCTGGTGTTTGGTGAGGGGGAAAATAATGGAGAGGGTTATGGTTAGTGTTTGGTGGGAGAGAGAATGGTGGAGGGGCCCATAGTTGGTGTTTGGTGGGAGAGAGAACGGTGGAGAAGGCCATAGTTGGTGTTTAGTGGGAGAGATAATGGTGGAGGGGGTCATAGTTGGTGTTTGGTGGGAGAGAGAATGGTGGAGGAGGTCATAGTTGGTGTTTGGCGGGAGAGAGAATGGTGGAGGGGGTCATAGTTGGTATTTGGTGGGAGAGAGAATGGTGGAAGGGGTTGTGGTTGTGGTAGGGGGGCTTTCTTCTGCAGACTCCTTTTACCTGCATATTCAGCCCCACCACTTATTTCTAAGCATCAGCAACCTGCTGGCTCTACTTTCTAAGTTAAAAAAATATGTTAAAATCTTTCGCCAGATGATGGTCCCTTTGTCTTCTCTTTGAAGTTGTGTGCTTGCCCTTTTTAATCCCTTCCTGAGATTTTAAAGGATTTCAGTGAGAAGTAGACACAAAAACTTATGTGCCATCTAGCAGACTGAACTAGCAGGTTCTGTCTCCTTCATGTCATTCTTTCCTTGATTGTCCAGTAATCCTTTCTCTCATTTGCTTTTCAGTCTCCCATTCTGCCTTTATATCTCTCTTATTTGCAACTTGTCTACAATTATTTTCCCAATAATAACCTTCTTAAAAACTCATGGCACAGTATCATAGAAGTAACATTTTACTGCCAAGTTTGGGGAGAAAAATGTGTCATATAAAAATTCATTAACTTTGTATCTGTTATTACATTTTAAATTACTTCATAGTCCAGTGTTTAAAACATTAAGTGACAAATGGAAATATGGTTGACTTGCCACGAAAAGTAATGGATAGAAGGCAATACTCAGAAATGAGTTTAAATCTACAAATTATGATGTCAGTGCTGACCAGTGAAAACCACCAGGAATGCATGTGTTTTTGAACAAGCTGTGCTTATTACTCTTTGCAGTGAGAAGTGACACACACCATGGAGAACTTTGGCACACTTTACTAAGAAAGAGCTAGAAAAGAGTTATTACAGCATTTAGGCTGTTAGGTGATTTTTGAGTAGGTTTTCAGAAAGCAGGACTATGCTCTGGATTGGATGCTGTCAAGGAGGAGGGGTTGTCCTATGATTGGGTTTCTGAATACATTTTATCTAGAAGGAAGAAGACTCGGCCAAAGCTAAAGTAATAATTGCTAAAGAAGCCACCTTCACTTATGTCAGCTAGCAGAGGGGGTATTTGTCATTTTTTGTTTGTGTGGACAATGTTAATGTTTTATTTATGTTAGACTTGATTACAGACTCATCTTGTTTTGTCCTGAACAATAATGTTCATAAATGGCCTTGTCTCGTTTTGATGTTCTGTGAAATTTGTATGTGTAATAGGAAAATGCAGTGCCATGCACACCATAATCTACTAATGGTACCAGGCAGTTTTGGGGTATCAAGAGCTGCTATTCTCAACAATTTAAAAAAATCAAAAATAAAATTACTTTTAAAGATAACTCCATCGATTCCTATTTCTTCATTCAAGCTCCTTCATTAAAGTGTTTGAAAGTGATGTCAAGAGTGATTTTCATTTTTGTCACATTTTAATGAACAAAAATGATCATGGGGGTGGTTTCCTCCATGTTGTTCTCATGATAATGAGTGAGTTCTCATGAGATATGATAGTTTTATAAGGGGCCCTTCCCCCTTCACTCTCTCTCTCCTGCTGCCTTGTGAAGAAGGTGCCTGCTTCTCCTTTGCCTTCCACCATAGCTATAAGTTTCCTGAGGCCTCCCCAGTCATGTGGAACTGTGAGTCAATTAAACCCCTTTCCTTTATAAATTACCAAGTCCCAGGCATTTCTTTATAGCAATGTGAAAAAGGACTAATGCACACGAATAGCTGTGCAAAGAAAGAGACAGACGATAAATTAAAATCTGTACATAACCTTCCGAAATTTTAGTCCCACAGAAAATAATTTTATTTTTTAACTTTATTGCCAGCAAAAGACATTATTACCACCTACAACATTTTGTTGTCTTCCAAATAATTAACACACTTGAAATAATGTCTTAGTTATTAGTAACTCCAAATTCCCCAAATAATCTGTCAACTTCTCTAGTATTACTACTAATGATACAGTGACATTAGAATTTTAAAATCAGGGTTTTTTAACAAAGTTGATGTCAGAAAAGTTAGTAAGGAAAGAGAGTTATGCCTTTTTCCCCTCAAGCTACTTTTGTTTTCATTGGAAATGTTTTTCACATGCAAGCTACACCAGAAAAAAAATTCTGCCAGCATTACATGGTATCATAGACAATTACCTAAGTAAAATACGGACTCGAAATTAGGCAGATGCCACTATGACTTAAGGTCTCTGGGCCCTACAGAGGCAACCTTCTTTATTACTTTGAATAATGTTCCAAATAAAACAGAACCACTGTTCTTTTTTGTTTGGTTTGGTTTGTTTTCAACTTTTAGTTTAGATTTAGTGGTACATGTGCAGGTTTGTGACCTGAGTATATTGCATGATACTGATGTCTGGGGTGTGAATGAGACTGTCACCCAGGTACTGAGCATGGTACCCAACAGTTAGTTTTTCAACCCTTGCTCCCCTTTCTCCCTCTGCTCTCTAGTAGTCTTCAGTGTCTATTTTTGCCATCTTTATGTCCATGAGTACCCAATGTTTAGCTCCCACTTACGAGTGAGAACATGCAATATTTCGTTTTCTGTTCCCGCATTAATTTGTTTAGGATAATAGTTTCCAGCTGTATCCATGTTGCTGCAAAGGACATCATTTCATTCTTTTTTATGATGGTGTAGTATTCCATGGTGTATATGTAGCACATTTTCTTTATCCAATCCACCATTGATGAGCACATAGGTTCATTCCATGTCTTTGCTATCGTGAATAGGGTTGTGAGGAACATGCAAATGTGTATGCCTTTTTGGTAGAATGATTTGTTTTCTTTTGGATATACACCTAGCAATGGAATTGTTGGGTCAAATGGTAGTTCTGTTTTACATTCTTGAGAAAACTTCACCTGCTTTCCACAGGGCTGAACTAATTTATGTACTCACCAACTGTGTATAAGCATTCCATTTTCTCTGCAGCCTCAGTACCATCTGTCATTTTTTGACCTTTTAATAATAGCAATTCTGACCGGTGTGAGATGGTATCTCATTGTGGTTTTGATTGGCATTTCTCTTATGATTAGTGATGTAGAGCACTTTTTTCATCTGTTTGATGGCCACTTGCATGTCTTCTTTTGAGAAGTGTCTGTTCATGTCTTTTGCCCGTTTTTAATTGGGTTATTTGTTTTTTGCTTGTTGAGTTCTTTAAGGTAATTCTGCAGCTACCTTAAACCACAATGCTATGATTTAGACGAGCTTACACATGTACTGGAAAGGGCATGGTCTTTAGATCTGAAAGATCTAGATTTGATTATGCAAGTTTTCTTGTTTTTGTTTTTTGTTTTTCATACATGGGAAAGTTTTAGAGCAACAATATACTTTTTTTATAAGCACTAGTTTCTGATTTTGTGAAATAAACTTAAAAGTTTGCATTTTACTGTAGTCCCAGCTACTTGGGAGGCTGAGGCAGGAGAATGGCGTGAACCCGGGAGGCGGAGCTTGCAGTGAGCCGAGATCCCGCCACTGCACTCCAGCCTGGGCGACAGAGCGAGACTCCGTCTCAAAAAAAAAAAAAAAAAAGTTTGCATTTTACAAGGTTATTGTAAAATTTAGATGAGGTTGAGTCCACAAAACATCTAGCAAAAGTAACTGGCACTTACAAAAGCCTATCGGACAGATAAAACCCCTTTCTCACTTTTCCTGTTGATTTTATACTTATTATTATTATTATTATTATTGCTTTATCGATCCTCCTCCTTTATTTCTATCATTATCATCATCACCATCATGGTCATCATCCTCATTGTCTCTCCATATTGTGTTCTTATTCTGTTCCAGGCTCCATGCTGAACACACTATAGGCATAACCACATTAATCCTAACTACATGCCAATACTATGAAGCAGACAGACATATCCTATACAAAGTCATCAATATCAGAATAGTTAAGTATTTTACCTAACATTCAATAGCTTGTGGTTTTCTTCCCTTCAACTTCTTAACATTGAACTATCCTAGAACTCTAGCATTGATCCTTCTCTGCTAGATTTCTCTATCAACACTCATCACACTGCTTATCTTTAGTCTCATGGCTTCATATACCATCTGTGTACCAATGACATATATGTATGGTGATATATTCCAGCCCAAACAATTCCCTTCAACTTCAGATTCATGGTATGCAATATCTCCTATGAGATATCTAACACATGCCTCAAATCTGATAATATGCCAGTAAACTCTGAAAATCTTCCTCCAAAATCTACTCTACTCCTCAGTTTTTCTTATTTTGGTGAACAACATTTCCACCCTAAGATCAAGCCAAGAATTTTGGGATCACATTGACTTCACTCATATCCCATCTAACCCATCAACAAATAATTATTCAAAAGATATACAAGATGTGACTCCATGTCTAGCTACCAAGTGTCTCTTCCAAGCCATCTCACATCACTTCCAGATAATTGCACTGTTTTCCCTTCCCTTTCACTGTTTTCCCTCAAGGTTGTGTAAAATGCCCCAAGAGCCATCCATCTCACCGTCAACCCTCTGTCTTGCCATCACTAGACCTGGTCATTCTCTGCTGGCCTCTTTGGTCTTTCTCTAATCCTGCAGGTGTAGTCCCACCCTCGGCCCTTGGCACGTGCTGTTTTCTCTCCTCCCTTCCCGAGTATCTGCTTTTTTCACCTCCTTTTGGCATTTGCTCAAATGTCCTTTCCTCAATGATGAATTTTGTGATTCTTACATTTAAAATTCACAACACATGCTCATGTCAGCATTCCCCATTCTACTCCCTAGCCTTAATTTTGTCATAGCACATATTACCCTTTAATATTTTCTATAAATTATTTGTGTATTTGTATTATTTCTCTGTCCTACTTCAGTGTAAGGACCATGGGGGAAGAATTTTCATTCAGTTTTGTTCATCAGTAAATCAAAAAAAAATTTAGAACAGTGCCTGACGATTACAAAATATATTTTAAATAAATGGATGGATGAAGACACTGAATACTAGCTGAGGAGTTACTATGGATATTGATACCCAGGAAACCATTGCAGAAGTATGACACTGCAGCCGGGTCATCAGATGTGTGCTCTGGAGAGAAAGCTCTGATGGCAATGTAAAAAATAAGTGGACATGGTTAGAAATCACAAGTAGAAAGTCCAGATGAGCATGCAATTGCAACAGTCCAAATGAGGATGGGATCTATGCTCAAAAGTGCAAAAATAAATTCAAGAGAACTATTAGGATATTATTTAAATAATTTGTCAGATTGTTGGAAATATAGAGGAGACGGAAGTGATAAAATCATGGCATATTTTCAAATCTTAGGGATGCTGAAGTTGGTATTGCCATTAACAATGTTGTAAGCAGCAAATTTACTAATTTATCAAAAAATTGGAGGAAATATTATGGCTATGAAGAGCAAAGACAAATTCAATATTAGGCAATGGTTCTACACAAGAAGTGGTTTTGCCTTTCAGGGAACATAAAGAAATGTCTGGAGATATTTTTGATTTTCACATCTGGGGATGATGGGGGAGTGCCACTAGAATTTACTGGCACCTACTATGAATCTACATTCTACAATAAACAACAAATAATTATATGACCCACAAAGTCAATAGCACTCAAGTTGAGAAACCATGGTATCAGCCATGCTGAATTTGAGATACCTGCTCTGTATTCACATAAAACCACTCAAAAATCAAATCTAGAAATCAGTAGACAGGTTATTTTCAGTAATATAGTTTAATATTCATTGACTATGTGTTTTTGATGGTAGCTGTAAAAATAGTTAAAATCATCAAGAAAATACAGTTTGAATGAGAATCCAAACACACAACGTTAGCAAACTTATTTACATGTATCTGGATAATTAAGAAAGCAAATCAGGGGAAGGAGATAGAATTTGGATGAAATGGAGAAAAGAGACAAGATAAGAGTCTGAGAGAAAAGAAGTTGAGGAAGACGTTTGAAATGAGAGGAGAAATGATGCTGGTTTCTTTGTTAAGAAACGGGACTTGAACAAGGATGAGGCAGGATGCAAGGCATAGTTCCACCAAGCAGAGCAAGTCTCGGGGGGAGTCCCGGGCACTTTAATAGAAAAAGCAGGGGCACACGTAGCTTCCTGAGGTCATTAACAGAACAGAGAGACAATACGGTGTAGGGGTAAGAAAATCCCACTGATTTGGGTGAGGTCCTCCCTCTTCTGCTTGTTGGCCCTGTATCTCCTTTATCCTGTGTTTCCTCTTCTGTAAAATGGTGGTGACTCACTCAGACTGCAGGTCTGCAGCCAGGGTTAAATGGGATCTTGTGTGTGTAGCACCCATTTCTTTCAAGTCCCTCTCACATCTTCTCCTTCTGGGGCTCTGTGTCAGTTTCCTTTCCCTCATGCTTTCGGGGGAGGTTCAGCCAATGGCAGCCTCTGGTAGGAGATTAGAGGACAGAAGAAAGAAATTGAGGGTGTTTCTTTCCCTTCTTCTTTGTGCCTGGAGGAGTCCCCTCCATGGTTCCAGCTTCTGCTGTATACGCGCCTCTCCCTTTGTGGTCTCAGCTAATGTTGAGTAGCTGTGTCACAGCACTGAGTCCTCCACTTCTCTGGCACCTGGGCTGCAGAGACACTGGGTCTTCCCATCCTCCTCCAAGCCTAGGCACCTCACAACCTTCCTGGAATGCCTCCTTTTGCACTGTTTGGGTTCTGCACTTCTCTATCTGTGGTGCAGACAATCATGTAGATGAAGTCCTCTGATGTTTTTCAGTTCTAGGGTGTCTAGTGACCCTGATGAATGCTGCGGGTGATTAATAACATGATGCAGAATATGTGCTTTCTGGGTCTATTGAGTTGGAAATATCAATAGTAAGTCCAGGTGGGAAGCTCTAAATTCTCGAGTGCTCAGCTCATGCTCGACACCAGCACAGCGCTTAATCAGCAGCACATGATGACTTTGTCCCTTACTTTCTCTTGCTTTCTAAGTATTATTACTCTGCTAGACGGAAGCCAAAAAATTGTTTACATTAAGAGACCATTTTTCCCATGAATAGACTCAGGAAAATTATATCTCTTGAGCTCTATATAAAGGATTTGAAACCTACAGACAATATTTTCAGCTACAAGTTTCCAATTCCTCAAATGATGTTTATTGATATTCAATAAAAGCTGAAAACAGAACAGAGGGTTTTGCCAAAAAGTTGTTTCTGTACTTGTGTAAATTAATTTGGGCTAGGAATGTAAGTTTTGGCTGAAACTGAGTACAGTGAGGTCTTCAAAAAACATAAGGAGAGAGAAATTTTGAACACTCATGTTATTTTTAAGAATATTTACTAGGTACCAAAAGTCACAATAAAGTTGGTTAGTCAATAAAAAAGCCATATGTAGTCTTAGCCAATTTTTCTTAATCTTATCTAGACTAATTCTTTCATTGCAGGATTCTTAAAATGAAAATAGCCCCAATCATCTCTTTGAGAACAAGGACGTAGATCTTACATCAAGAACACAAGGTGAGTGAAAAGGATTTCCTTGGGGCTTGCTCCCTGAATGTTGACTTTCTGCAGCCCACTTCTTATGGAAGTGTCCACAATGGATGGAGCTCCCTGACTGTGCAGACGAAGCATGTGCCAGCTACTTCACAGCTTGAACCTACCTGAGACTTTTTTCATAGTCTTTCCACTTACCAAAACACCTGAAATTACAAGGAGGGAAGAGGAAAGTAAAAAATTCTCAATGAAGATGAAGAGTGAAGAAATGTTCTTTTTTTTCTTTTTCTCCCAATTTGGTGGAAAATTCTATAGATTAGAAATCTGGTGAACTGGGTATTGTGATGAACTGAGTGTTTGTTTTTTCCCCAAATTCATGTTGCAATCCTATCTTCCAATGTGATGGCATTAGGAGGCAGGACTTTTTGGAAGTGATTAGGTCATAAGAGTAGAGCCCTCCTGAATGGGATTAATACCCTAATAAAGGAGACCCCAGAGAGACCCTCACCTCTTGTGCCACGTGAGAATATTACGGAACCACCAAGTTAGTATGCCCACTGCCCAGTAACAGACCAATACACCAAGACAGAAGGGTTTGCAGCAGAGAAAGAGTTTAATGATCCCAAGTGAGGCAATGGGAGGGACTCTCCAGTCCATCTCCCTGAGGAGTTCTGGACTGAAGTTTCTAATGAGATTGTGGCGAGCAAAGGGCTGAAACATTAGGGTTATTTATTGGTCAGGGTGAGGGAGATGAAATATTTGGGATTTGGAAACTGCATTCTTTGGTGAGTCAGTGTCTCATGGGGTCCTTTAGACAACTTGACATCAGTAGTTTCACTGGTATACAGGACCAAAAGAATGCTTCACATGGAAATCTTAACTTTACAACGTTCAGGTTGTTATATACAGAGAAGTTAAGGATAACTGTAATCTTGTGATAAGGTCCACGTGATTCTCGGACAACAGCAGGGAAAATCTATGAGGAAGCCCATTGGAGAGCAAGCTGACCTAATGATGAATACTGAGTGTGCTGCAAGCTTGGTTTATTTTTGTTTCTCATCCACTCTTTTTCTCTGATAAATTTTATGAAATTTATAGGGACAGTTTCAAGGATGCAGTAAGAAGATGGAATCCATGAACCAGGAAGTGGGTCTTCAGCAGACACCACATCTGCCAACACCTTGATCTTGGACTTCCTAAGCCTCCATAACAGTGAGAAATAAACGTGTTTTTTAAACCACCCAGTCTATGGTACTTTTGTTACAGCAGCCCAAATGGACTAAGATAGATATTATTCCAATCCCTAGCACCCTCTAGTTTTGTCCCTCAAAACAGCCAGACATTTAATCTTCCTGAACCTCTTGTCTCATCTCTAAAATGTCAGTGATAATAGGTTTATATCCACCTCAATCTCTTGCAGTGAGAATCAAATAACATATGTAAAATTTTTTGTTACATACACAGTTTTCAAAACTATGAGCAAGCCATAAGGGTTTATGATACTAAAAAGAGTTGCATTGTGAGGGTAAGATTTTACCAAAAAATTGTGCAAAATAATCTATCTGGAGACTCTGCTCATTTGCTGGCCTTGGGCAAACCCACGTTCAGGTAACCCTGATGTCTGGTAATTCTGTATTTTTTTCCTGCAACAATTACCATGCTGATTATGCAGCTGTGGTTCATGGGTCTTGAAAAACAGATTTAAAGATCACGAAAAAACTTTGTTAGCTAACTGTCACCGAGGAGATGATTATACAGTATTACACAGCACAATTAAAGTATACTTCAAGAGCTGAAATAAAAGCTTTTTCACTTTGCCCTTGCCAACACTTGATTTTAGCATCTGTGATTTTCCATCATAGTCAATTAAAAAGGAAAAAATAATCCGTGAGAGGTCATGGCAAGTATTTGTGATTGCAAGGTATTAGTGACTGCACCATTAAATGGAAAAAGAAAAGGACCCTGAAATCACAACTAGGGGGAGGAGAGGTGGTGAGAGGTGGCGATTTCAAATTGCATTTTGTTAGGACATCCTGGAAGTGGAGAGAGTCACGCCCACCAAATCATGTTCCTATGTTCCTGAACTAAAATCTAAAATAAGTGCAGGGATAGAGGAAATGAGGTTGATGTGTTGCTTGAAGTGGTGTATCATGTCCCAGAGAGAACAAGCCACACAGAAGATGACACTGGTACTTGATGTGCTTGATTTCATTTTTCTTAAGGCATCTGCATGGTTACAGCAGGCTGCAAATTATCACAGAGCAATTAGATATTTTTCCCATTATGCTCTAAAGCCATTGTGTCTGATTCTCCATCAATGCTCCTGGCCCAGCTCCTTGTGTAGGTGACCAGTCAGATGCCCTCTGTATCTCACTGCTGCGTGATTCATGCCAGCCCCACCATGACTTTGGCAACCCTTGCATCTCTGAAGAAAGGCAGTTCCTCTGTCCCCGAGTCACTTGATTATTGCACCGAAACTCTTAATCCATTTGAGCCAAGACTGTGCAGAGTCTTGGATGTAAGTGACCCATGCAACTTGTCCCCATCAACTGGCTCCACTGCCCAGGCACTCCTGCCAGGGTCCACCTCAAGTGATGTTCCAGAAGACCCTAGAATTTGTATATTTTAATTCCACTGGACTGTCTTCCTTATTTCTATCTCTACCTTCCTACTCTCACTGTTCTCCATTTCTTCTTTGCCTGGCCTCTCCATATTTTCATAGCAGAAAATGTCTTCCCAGATTATGACCTTGGCTCTCAGTGCTGCTCGTTGGTTTCATGGAGACTTTTCTTCTCTTGTTGACTCCCCAGATTGCATTTTGGGTGTCAGCTCTCATCAGCACTACCTGGGGCTGTCCCCAGCCTGGATTCAGTCTTTACAGATACCTCGTGATATTGAGGGGCTCATCCTCACATGCAGCACCAAAGTGAAGTTCTTTAGACACAGCAGTTTGACCATGAGGATGAGATTGATGCAGTTTCAAATGTTCTGAACTGGGAGTTTGGGAAGTCTGAATTCTGATCAAAACTGTGCTACAGATTACCTATGCACTGGGCCAAAACACGTGCTCTCCAGAAAGCATTTCCCTCAACTGCAAATAACAGATCGCTAGTGTCTCTTCTAATTCCAATGACTTTAGATTGGCTGTATAAATACCTAGAGCTGAGAGCAAGAGGAATGGAATTTTGTGGGCACAGGTGTCAGGGTCATTTGTGTTGTACAAGCTCACGTCTCTGTCACCAAGAAGGAGAGGCCCAGCCCCTCAGCCCAATGATATAGCCTTTGCAACCCAGAAACTGCTTAAGAAGCATCTAGGTGCAGCCTGCTGAGGTTGCCCATGAGAATGGAATGGAATCATTAGTTGGCAAAGAGAAGGAAAAGAGCATCCCCCTGGCAAACGGTGGCTGTAAATACTACCCCCTCAGGGCCACGAGGGGCTGCCAGCAAGAAAGAGAAGACAGAAAAAGCAATAATCAATTAGACCAAGTGCAGCTGAAATGTAGGCTGCCAGGGGAGCAGGAATCAGAAGAAAGTGGGTTTGAGAAAGGATTCAGATGACAGACTCCCTGTTTGCATAGCCAGGAATTCACAGAACCAGAGATCTCTGTGAGGAGGAAGGGCCAAAAAAGTCACCGGCAACTGTGACGTCAATCCAGTACCTGTAAGGCAGCATCAGGCTTGTGGCTGAGGCTGGAGGCTGGCTCACACCCCTGCTCTCCTGCCTGCTGCTGTCAGAGCCTGTAAGGGACCCAGCCTTTCTTTGCTCAGTCTCTCCAAGATGGGATGCTAAGCAAACCCATGTCAGAAGGTCTTTGGAACCTTAAATGTGTTAACACATGTATAGTCATTAGAATAATAGCAGCCACAGTCCCTCATCTCCTGTACTAAAATCATCCCTGAGGACTCGGACATGCCTCTCAAGTTGGTCAACCCACAGCCCCCCAGTCCTGGGTCCCACTCCTCAAGGCTACCAATGTCCCTTCTCTTAGAGCCTTTCCTTCTGGGGCCCTTTGCTCCTTGCTCTCCCTCCTTGCATTTCCTCCCTGCCTGCTCTAATATTTCCTCTACCCAGTGCAGTAGCCAATTTGTCTTTTCTTCTTTCTTTTTTCTCTTGCAGTATCTTGGAGCACTTTGGGAGTCTAACATAAGCTCTGGACTTCTCAGGAGAAAATTCAGATATGCAAATAGCTACATAATTTATATAGGCTAACAAAAATTTTCCCACTGACTTGTCTATTTCCTGTGATTGTGAGGCCTGTTTTCAACTTACTCCTTTTCTATTCAACTTCTTCACTCATTTGCCTGCCAACTTTAGGTGCCACCCCCACCAGCACGCTTTCTGTGACACTCCAACCTGCCATGTAGGCACACACATGACATAATAAAAAATGTGCCTCAGGCCGGGCGTGGTGGTTCATGCCTGTAATCCCAGCACTTTGGGAGGCCGAGGTGGGCAGATCACGAGGTCAGGAGTTCGAGACCAGCCTGACCAACATGGTGAAACCATGTCTCTGCTAAAAAAAATACAAAAATTAGCTGGGCATGGTGGTGGGCACCTGAATCCCAGCTACTCAGGAGGCTGAGGCAGGATAATTGCTTGAACCTGGGAGGCAGAGGTTGCAGTGAGCCAAGATCGTGCCACTGCACTCAAGCCTGGGTGACAGAGCAAGACTGTGTCTCCAAAAAAAAAAAAAAATGTGTCTCATCCATACACATTCCCACAGATGGGCACATAGTGGTGCATTCTGGGTCTGTTGTAACAAATGAAAACCTTAGAGGGTGGCAGTGTCAATGTATTTGCCCAAGACAAAGACCTTAAAGTTTAGGCTTAGATTCTTCTTTTAAAGCAAGTATGCCCAATCCCATCTTAGGCCCCCAAACTCTCAGTGAAACACATGTAGAACACCAAATGGTAAGCAGGTGCCTCGCTGATGACATCAAGCATCACCAGTCAGCTAGCGACAGTTGCTGGCCTGCTCTTGATGACATGTCTGTTTTAATTTGAAGAATACCTACCAAAAAGGACAACTTTGTTTCAGAATAGACAACTCAAAGCAATTCACTCCGTCAGTAATTAGATAATAGGACTCATTGCCTAGAAAGAACACTCCGAGTTTGTGAAAAGTGGCTGCATCTGTCTGCTTTTTGTTTCTGGCAGCAGATGGAACTGGCCTCAGCTGTGTGACACTGAGCACGTTCTTACCTTCTTTCCACTTCTGCTTCCCTTTCTATACATTGGAACCATTAGTGCTTACCTCAACAGGCTGGGGTGAAAATGAAATGAGATTGCATCACGGCCCTGGATTAGGCTTCCAAGAAATGGCAGACTTACTCCCACCATATACACCTTGTCCTCTCCTGTCTTATATCCTCACCTGATGCTCCTTCCTCCACTTGACTTGAAATGAGAAACGCATCCCATCCTTGCATCCTGAATGCATGCTGAATGTCTTTGTCTGGCAGACTGTTTGATTACACATTTTGTGAAGAGGTGAGGTTACAACACTCATTACTGGTAACAATTAAAACCTACTTAGAGAGAACACTGTTTTGCAACAGAGGAAACCTTGTGATAGTAGAACATAGATAAACAGTAACATCTGCTCTCAGCATAACATTCATGCTCATAAAGCAAACATTTTCTATTGTAAAGTTCATCATCTAGAAAGGCCCTCCTGATATTCCTTGTTTGTGTAAAATCCCCTCGGCACGTTTAGTGTACTCCCATTTTCCTATCCTGTTTTCAATCTTTCCCTTTCTCAATCTCTTTTGTTTTCGTTAATAACACAGAATATAATTTTTAAGGCCATAAGGGGACCATTGTTGCACTCATATTATTGTTTATGCCAACAGAGTGCTCGATTTTGTAAATAAACATATGCCTTAAAATTTTGGCTCTCAATCTAGGCTTAAATTTAATGCCATTCTTTCTTATCACATGAAATGATGATGGTCTGAAGTTTTGCGTTTTGTTTTTTTTTTTCCCTTTAGTGACTTTGCTTCTTACCAAAGAGGGTGCTCAGCTTTAGAACAGTGAGATTTGTTGGTATTTTGATAAGCAACTGTACTCAATATTGGATCAATTTAGAAACACAGACTCCCCAAATACAGCACGTAGTTTACACAATAGTCCATTTGGTGAGATTGATCCATTGGAAGAATAGCACAATAGATTGTGATAGCCAGATGCACTGGGTCAGTTCAAGCCAATTAATACCAAGTAAAGTGCCAGAATCCTTTGAATTGTTAGTAAAGCAAGTGCCATGTTTCCAGTGGCCTTTGATAAGCTGAATTAATGTAGCAATTATACACGGGCTCTAGGGACTTTTCTGTAATGCCTTTGAAACAAAGAGAAATGCTCCATCTCCCACTCAGACCTGCATTTTAATATCTGCTCTTTGACACAAGATCTAATTAATAGCCCTAATTAATACCTTTAATGAACAGCTTCTGGCTGATAGTCAACTGTGGTTTCGTTTTGTTTTGATTTTAAATCTTTTTAGATTTATCTCCCCAAAATAACTGGTTAAAGAGCAGCCATAGTACCTCCAGTTCCTATAGAATTTTATTCCCTGAGTAACTTAAAAGACAACATGGGCCAGGCACGGCGGCTCACGCCTGTAATCCCAGCACTTTGAGAGGCCGAGGTGGGCAGATCACCTGAGGTCGGGAGTCCGAGACCACCCTGACCAACATGGAGAAACCCCGTCTCTACTAAAAATACAAAATTAGCCAGGCGTGGTGGTGCATGCCTGTAATCCTAGCTACTCGGGAGGCTGAGGTGGGAGAATCGTTTGAACTTGGGAGGCAGAGGTTGCAGTGAGCTGAGATCATGCCCTGCACTCCAGCCTGGGCAACCAGAGTGAAACTCCATCAAAAAAAAAAAAAAAAAAAAAAAAAAAAGGCTCATAAAGCAATCCAAATGATGAGGAATAAGCTTTTCAGAGCCGTACCCACATTAGATGGTATGCTTTCCCCTGGAGAGAATGAAGTCCAGAGATGGCTTCTTGGTGGGTTTCTATTTCCTTAAAACACTTCTTCTGCCGGGAGCAGATGACTGTGGTGCACTCTCTCATACCTCTTGGCATTTCCCTTTCCAGTATTAAGTACTAAGAAACAGAGAAAAACTTTTTAAAATTGCATTTCTCCTCTTCTGCTCCCCTGATGTTAACTACCTGCTTTCTACAGGCTTTCCTGAGGGTTTTTGATGAATTCTTCCCCTGACCTTGGCAAGCGTCTCTCTACTGCCATCCTCTAGTCCTGCAACAAAGGCTGTGTGATCTCAGAGCCATTCACAGGCAGGCTCTGCTCCTGTTTGCACTGGTCTTTTAACTGCTCTTAATAAAGACTTGAGGGAAATATATGAAAATATCATAAAATTATTGAATAGAATATTAAGAAGAAATCATTTCAAAACAGTGAACGGAAATATAATGGTAACTCATTATTTCCATGTTTGCTAATCAGAATGTTTATAAATAGATACAAGTATAAAAGAGCTTCTTATTTTCCCACTTTTCTTCTTGTTTATTCACTTATCAGAAAACTTGGTTAGCTAATAGAAAAATATACAGGTTATATTCCTAATTTTAGAGACACTTTGAAAATATATGTAACATGTTATGGTCATTTAACATCTGTGTTAGCTGTTAGGTTAGCTTCTGAATGACCTCATTTTATTCCCCGAGCAATGTGTGGTTATCAGGGTTATGACTGTAACAATAAAGTATGCAAGACATATAGACAACTAAAGGAATCCAATTGTAGGGAAGGATTTTTTCCTGCAACAACAGCTCAGTATAGTGTAGGGTCAGCTCAGGATAATATAGTGTAGGGTCAGAGAAGATTTCCAAATGAGTATCTTTGTGCCAGACCCAGCCTCCACTGTTTGTGCATGCTCCTGACAATTCGAACTTTTCTAATGCTGAAAACCTTCATGGCCTATGAAATAACAGTGAGTGAGATCATCGGCTAATGACCAATTACCCATTTCAAAGAACAGTGTGTGGCACATTTCTGAAAATCCCTTTAGAGGGGCAAAACTGTTTTTGAGAAATCAGTCTTAAATATGAGCACCATCAATGCAGGCCTTTTTTTTCGGCCAGGAGTATTCATTAGCACTAACAAGGCCTGAAGCATGGAGTGATTTTTGTCAAAGGCGGTGCACCATTAGATTTTTCCATGAATTGATTGTAATCACCTTTATCTTGAACTTCAAGGATGTAATTTGGACCTAAGTGTTTTCATCTGAAACCTTGCATTTTCAAGTTGTAAAAAGTCCACAAACTTCTAAGCTCTTCTAAGGACACCGGCCATATTAGGTTAGCACCCTACCTAAACCCTGCAGTGTGACCTCGTCTTCACTAAAGAAATCTGCAATGACCTTATTTCCATAGCCCTTCTTAGGGTGTAGAGGAAGGAAAGTCAAATACAATTATTCATTAAGAATTATCAGATAGGCAAGCAGAGCCTCAGATTCATATAAATTCAGAACTCAGAAATCTTGGAGAACATCAAGGCACTGATTCTCAGAGTTACTGTCGTGAGGAAACTGTTTTGCTTCCTGTTGTTTATCTATGCTTATATTTCAATCCAGTCCTGCAACTGCAAGGAGCTGAATTGCCTTAGCAACCTGAATGAACTTGGAAGAAGGCCCTGCCCAGCTTCAGATGAAAACACCCTAGGAAGGGCTATGGAAATGGGAGATTTTACATCTTTTGTTTAATCCCATCCATGAATAGATTTTGCTCTGGAAAGCCCACCCGGGTGGAGGCCCAGGGCCCAGGTGGAAGGCCCCTCCCCAGCTGTGAGTCCAGAATGCGGCCTCTCACGGGAGCAGGTGACTGTCAGGAGATGCCTGGCTCCTATATTTTGTCCTTCAACTTCTGGGTTAAGGGAGGGACTGACCCAAGGCAGTCTGAAGGAAGGGGAGTGTGGCAGAGAGAGAAAAGTTATTGCATAGTTTTTGTTTTGCTCTCATCTATATTATGGGTTGAATTGTGTCCCACAAAAGTGATATGATGAAGCCTGAATGTGACCGTGTTTGGAAATAAGGTCATTGCAGATTTCATTAGTGAAGACGAGGTCACACTGCAGGGTTTAGGTAGGGTGCTAACCCAATATGGCCGGTGTCCTTAGAAGAAAACAGCCACGTGAAGACACAGACACACAGACACAATGCCACGGAGGCTGGGATCGGAGCGCTGCGGCTGCAATGCCCCGGCACTGATGTGGGACACTGCCACCAGAAGCCAGAAGAAGCAGAGAAGGATACTCACCTACAGGTTTTGGAGAGCGCAGCCCAGCCGACGCCTTGACTTCAGACTTGTAGCCTCCAGAGAAGTGAGATAACGAGTCTGTGGTTTGGAGCTTCCCAGTTTGTGTTGCTTTGTGGTAGTGAGAGGTGACAGCGTGCTGACAGTCCTCACAGCCCTTCCTCGCTCTCCACGCCTCCTCTGCCTGGGCTCCCACTTTGACTGCACTTGAGAAGCCCTTCAGCCCGCCGCTGCACTGTTGGAGCCCCTTTCTGGGCTGGCCAAGGCCGGAGCCGGCTCTCTCAGCTTGCAGGGAGTTGTGGAGGGAGAGGCGCGAGCGGGAACCGGGACTGCGTGCGGCGCTTGCGGGCTAGCTGGAGTTCCGGGTGGGCGTGGGCTTGGCGGGCCCTGCACTTGGAGCAGCCGGCCCGCCCTGCCGGCCCCGGGCAGTGAGGGGCTTAGCACCCAAGCCAGCGGCTGCGGACGGTGTACTGGGTCCCCCAGCAGTGCCGGCTCACCGGCGCTGCACTCAATTTCTCGTGGGGCCTTAGCTGCCTTCCCGCTGGGCAGGGCTCACGACCTGCAGCTCGCCATGCCTGAGCCTCCGCCCCCACCCACCCCCGGCCGTGGGCTCCTGTGCAGCCCAAGCCTACCCAACGAGCGCCACCCCCTGCTCCATGGCGCCCAGTCCCATCGACCACCCAAGGGCTGAGGAGTGTGGGCGCATGGCGCGGGACTGGCAGGCAGCTCCACCTGCAGCCCCAGTGCCAGATCCACTGGGTGAAGCCAGCTGGGCTCCTGAGTCTGATGGGAACTTGGAGAACCTTTATGTCTAACTAAGGGATTGTAAATACACCAATCAGCACTCTGTATCTAGCTCAAGGTTTGTAAACACACCAATCAGCACCCTGTGCCTAGCTCAGGGTTTGTGAATGCACCAATGGACACTCTGTATCTAGCTACTCTGGTGGGGCCTTGGAGAACCTTTGTGTGGACACTCTGTATCTAGCTAATCTGGTGGGGACGTGGAGAACCTTTGTGTCTAACTCAGGGATTGTAAACACACCAATCAGCACCCTGTCAAAACAGACCACTCTATCAATCAGTAGGATGTGGGTGGGGCCAGATAAGAGAATAAAAGCAGGCTGCCGAGCCAGCAGTGGCAACCCTCTCCGGTCCCCTTCCACATGGTGGAAGCTTTGTTCTTTCGCTCTTTGCAATAAATCTTGCTGCTGCTCACTCTTTGGGTCCACACTGCCGTTATGAGCTGTAACGCTCACCGGGAGGGTCCGTGGCTTCATTCTTGAAGTCAGTGAGACCAAGAACCCACCAATTCCGGACACAGTAGCAGCCTGAGCAAACCCACACAATGTCATCTCGTGGTCTTGTTCTCAACCACGCCCACCCCATCAAACAGCTTCGCTCTTCTGTGTTCACAGCCATGGGGGATAATGTGTGACCTCACTAAGAAAAGGAAAAAGAAACGGAAGATAGTCTTCTTGGCTGGACTTTTCAAAAGATTTCAGGAATAAGAGACGACTCTAGGCATAGACAAATGACAGGGAGAGTTGGGCTTCTCACCTCACCCCCTGGCTGAAGAGCTCCTGGGCTCGGAGGGGAAGTGAGATGGAGGCCGAGGTGGATGAGAACAAAGAGGACAGAGGGCCCAGGAGAGAGGCCTGGGCTCCGCACACAGGAAGGAGGGACATGGCAGCAAGGGCGCTGGGAAAGGTGAGCATCAGGATGGGGTGGTCTTCGACCCCTGCTGCCTCAGCCCAGCTGCACTGGCCCCCCGCCCTGCCTGGGTCTGGGAGGGACTTGCCTCCCACCTCAGCCGCTGCTTCCTCCAGTGACCACGGCAGGGCTGCTGCCTGCCCCGGCTCTGAAATTGTGTGAGATCCCCTGGGACCCCAGGCAGACAACCCATCTTGCTCCTTGGGGATGTTACAAGACACCCATGGGTCCACAGGAAATAAGGAAGACCCCAGAAGCTAATGATAGGAGGTGATAGGAAAGGGAGAGGGTCTGCTCTGGCAGAGGGAGAGCAGGGTGAAACCCTGAGTATACTGGCTCCAGCTCCTTCTGCAGGCTGGACCCGTCAGCCCCTTACTTGCACAAGGTTTAGTGAATGACGTAGACTGAATGTTTGTGTCCACTCAAACTCAGATGTTGAAATCCTCACTCCCAGGGTGAAACCCTCATGAATGGGATCAGTGCCCTTATAAAAGAGACCCAGGGAGCTCTCTCACCCTTCAGCCATGTGAGGACGCAGGAGAAGACAGGGAACCAGGAAGCCTGTGCGAGGAATCAAGGATGGGCCCTTACCATACACCGAATCTGCCTGCACCTTGAGGTTGGATTTCCAACCTCGTAACTGAAAGAAATAAATTTCTATTGTTTGTAACTCTCCAGTCTGGAATAATTTTGTTACAGTAGCCCAAAAGGACTAAGACAGTGAGTCAGTAACACAAAGAAACCCATCAGGACACCCAGGGGCCATCTTTAAAAACAGTCAGGGACCATAGAAGAGGGATGACAACTCTCAAGAACTCTTAATTCAGGACTTTTTGTGGTTTTCCCACTTGCGTACATGACTATTTTCTGCATGGTCATTAACAAGGAAACCCTGGAAACAAATAGTGCTCCCTCTTCAGAGACAGGATGAGGTGGTTTTGTCCCTGCTGGTGACCCACCCCACAGACAGCCTCCTGTTTCTTCCTTTGTTCCATGTGGGGCTCAGTGGCCAGGTAGTCCTCCCTAGCTTCAGCCTTCTGGGTGGCTTCTTGGAGAGGTTTATTCATTCTCCAAAATGTGCCAGGAGAGTATTCCATTGTTGTTGTGAGAAGGGGTGATACATGGAGTGTCCTCCACCACGTGGCATCATGAGAGGATGAGTCTGAAGACGGAGACCAGAGGGAGGAGAAAATAGAGGAGCAGAATCATGGAAGAGGCCGAAATTCCTCATAACCTTACCTGGCCACTAAAATAGTCAACCTACTGCCTATTTGGTGTGAGTTAGTAAGTGTCTTTAATTCTTAAGCCATTTGAATTGGCAGAATGTGCAGCTGAAAACAAACTAACTGACATCAAACACTGTTGGTGTTTGTGGATTCCTGCATGGCCCATCCTGGAGGGAGGAGAACCCTGCTCAGGAGAGTGCAGTGGGGAGTTCTCAAAGCACAGAAAGTAGGAGAAAGGAGGAGTCTGCAAGGAGACAAGGTACCAGGAGCTTAAAATATGATGCCCACATGTTTTCTGCCCTATTCCCAAGCAGCTGAGTCCTCAACGTAGACCACACAAAAGGGAACCCACTGTCATAGTCGCTCAGTGGCAATCACACATAAGTGCCATTTCTAGGCACTGTTTCTCATGTTAGAGCCACTGTTGGGAAAGTGTGGAGAAATATTTGAGAGAATAAAGTATTGGGAAGGTGTAGCACAACTTTAGAGCAGAGCAGATCAGAGCATAATGAGCCCAAGAAATACTGGGATGTTCTGAAAAGCTGAGGAGCTGCTTTGGGCTCAGGCCCACCCTGACAGCAATGCTTCCAGAATTAGCACCCATGCCCAGCAATGAGTGCCAATCAGGCAATGCTTTCCAGCTCTCTGACAACCTCAGACTTCCGTGGCAGTGCACAGGGGGTACAGCACATCCTTATTAGTGACAGACCTACTGGAATGGCACAGACTTTTCTACAAGACTTTAACAATTTTATCTTATTTTCATTAAGTTTCTTTTTGAATCTGAAGCAATTATCCTCCAAGAATTGTACAGACTGTACTTTAAGAGAAACCCTTGACATGGCAAGTTATTTCTAATTCTTCAGTAAGTATTTTAACTTCACCTGAATTCACAAGATCTGGATAGGTCTAAGTAAGATAAAAGAAATCTTAGTGCAGAAACACAGAAAAAACAAATGAGAGAACATTCCAAAAGTCAAGACTTTTTCTCAAAAAAACAGGATCACTCAAAATATCAAAAGAGAGAGCAAAGTAATTGTCGGTGATGACCAAAAGCCAAAAAACATGGGAGTTGCGCCCGGAGAATACAAAAGTTTCTCTTAGATAAAAGACATTTCTCTTCTGCTTCATCTTTTTAAAAAAAGAACAAAAACCCAGAGGGAAAAGCTGACAGAAGCTTTCATTATTTATTTAGCAATGTTTAGATACCTTAATTTTTAATTTTCACAAATAGCTTTTTTCGGGGAAGTACAAAAAAAGTTGTGGAAAAATTATGGTCTTTCTTATAAATGATTTGTTCTCTCTTGACACTGTTAATAATTCCTGAGAGTGAACTATTTTGTGCCTTAGAAATATAATCCTACAGGTTGGAAATGATTCATAAATCTCTGGGCTTTCAAACTCTTTTTTCTTAAAAATCCCTTGTTTCCCTTTCACACAACCACCCTAAGCTGGATTCTGAAGAACAGAAGGCTAATTTAATTATGCTCATTGGATTCCAGTAAGTTGATTTTCACTGATTTTTGCTTCCATTTTTCAAAGGTGAGCTGCACAAAATGGAGGGAATCCCTTGACACTGGATAACCAAGGACATAATAAGGGCCATTTTGTGACTCTCCACTCTGTAATATAGATCTGACTTTTTCCACTAAAGCTTGGCTAATCTTTCCCTTGCTCAGAAACATTTGATACCCCTGGAGATGTCCCCCTTGTATTTGCAAATTCCAGCAAAGACTTCAGCTAAGGTCGGAGGACACACTGCTAGCTGCGGCACCCATGCATCTACGAGTAGAATCTGCCTCATAAACCTTTTTCCTTCATGAGTCTCAAGGCCTTGTTTCCTGAAATCCCAAAATGTTTCTGTGTTTTTAATGTAGGGACTGAGAGAAATCAATGCAGTTGGATCCCAGAGTATGAAATGGGGCTTCCAGGATGTTCCCTGAGAGATCCAGGGACAGACTTGGGGACAGTGGAGTCACCATGTTTTGCTCTGACATTGGTACAGTTGTTCACGTTTCTCATGTAATGAGCATTTCTCAAGTGCCTTCTAGATGCATACTCTGTGCCTACAGAACACATCCCAAGACTCCTGCTAAGCGTACTTTGTTTCTGAGCATCTCTGATACCATCTTCTTTCTTCCTCCCTTCTTCTCCCTCACAGTTTCTATTCCACAACTGTAACCACACTTCCTGGACCTGCTAGTCTCTTTCATGTGTCTGTCTCAGCAGCTGTATTTGCTGTCTGGAATTCCTGTATACACCTCCTTCCCCAAACCCTCGCTCCATGAACATCTACTCTTCTAGCCCCCAGCCCAGAGCAGAGACAACTCCTGCTCTTGAAAACTTTCTCTGGTTGAGTTCTGCCAGTGCAGAGGAAATAACTCCTTTCTTTCCCCTTCTGTTCTTCATCAATATTTCCAAGCTCTCAAAGACGCTGTTGCTCTTACTTGCTGAACCTCAAAGCAGCAGCTCCACCTTAATCCAGCATTGCTCTGATTTTGTGGGAAATGATCTGGACCTGAATCTCCCTTCCTGGCTTTCTCTCCAGAAGCATTGAGTCCCAGGGTTGCAATGCCCTTGTCTAGGTACTCAACAAGTGCCTGCCCATTGTTTTCCAGTTGGCTTTAGTTCAGGACTGGTAGGTAACCTATTTTTTTTTTTAATTGAACTGGGTTTTTTTAATTTTTTTAATTTTTTTTATTTTATTTTTTTATTATACTTTAAGTTTTAGGGTACATGTGCACATTGTGCAGGTTAGTTACATATGTATACATGTGCCATGCTGGTGCGCTGCACCCACTAACTCGTCATCTAGCATTAGGTATATCTCCCAATGCTATCCCTCCCCTCTCCCCGCACCCCACAACAGTCCCCAGAGTGTGATATTCCCCTTCCTGTGTCCATGTGATCTCATTGTTCAATTCCCACCTATGAGTGAGAATATGCGGTGTTTGATTTTTTGTTCTTGCAATAGTTTACTGAGAATGATGATTTCCAATTTCATCCATGTCCCTACAAAGGACATGAACTCATCATTTTTTACGGCTGCATAGTATTCCATGGTGTATATGTGCCACATGTTCTTAATCCAGTCTATCATTGTTGGACATTTGGGTTGGTTCCAAGTCTTTGCTATTGTGAATAATGCCGCAATAAACATACGTGTGCATGTGTCTTTATAGCAGCATGATTTATAGTCCTTTGGGTATATACCCAGTAATGGGATGGCTGGGTCAAATGGTATTTCTGGTTCTAGATCCCTGAGGAATCACCACACTGACTTCCACAATGGGTGAACTAGTTTACAGTCCCACCAACAGTGTAAAAGTGTTCCTATTTCTCCACATCCTCTCCAGCACCTGTTGTTTCCTGACTTTTTAATGATGGCCATTCTAACTGGTGTGAGTTGGTATCTCATTGTGGTTTTGATTTGCATTTCTCTGATGGCCAGTGATGGTGAGCATTTTTTCATGTGTTTTTTGGCTGCATAAATGTCTTCTTTTGAGAAGTGTCTGTTCATGTCCTCCGCCCACTTTTTGATGGGGTTGTTTTTTTCTTGTAAATTTGTTTGAGTTCATTGTAGATTCTGGATATTAGCCCTTTGTCAGATGAGTAGGTTGTGAAAATTTTCTCCCATTTTGTAGGTTGCCTGTTCACTCTGATGGTAGTTTCTTTTGCTGTGCAGAAGCTCTTGAGTTTAATTAGATCCCATTTGTCAATTTTGGCTTTTGTTGCCATTGCTTTTGGTGTTTTAGACATGAAGTCCTTGCCCATGCCTATGTCCTGAATGGTAATGCCTAGGTTTTCTTCTAGGGTTTTTATGGTTTTAGGTCTAACGTTTAAGTCTTTAATCCATCTTGAATTAATTTTTGTATAAGGTGTAAGGAAGGGATCCAGTTTCAGCTTTCTACATATGGCTAGCCAGTTTTCCCAGCACCATTTATTAAAGAGGGAATCCTTTCCCCATTGCTTGTTTTTCTCAGGTTTGTCAAAGATCAGATAGTTGTAGATATGCGGTGTTATTTCTGAGGGCTCTGTTCTGTTCCATTGATCTATATCTCTGTTTTGGTACCAGTACCATGCTGTTTTGGTTACTGTAGCCTTGTAGTGTAGTTTGAAGTCAGGTAGCGTGATGCCTCCAGCTTTGTTCTTTTGGCTTAGGATTGACTTGGCAATGTGGGCTCTTTTTTGGTTCCATATGAACTTTAAAGTAGTTTTTTCCAATTCTGTGAAGAAAGCCATTGCTAGCTTGATGGGGATGGCATTGAATCTGTAAATTACCTTGGGCAGTAGGGCCATTTTCACGATATTGATTCTTCCTACCCATGAGCATGGAATGTTCTTCCATTTGTTTGTATCCTCTTTTATTTCCTTGAGCAGTGGTTTGTAGTTCTCCTCGAAGAGGTCCTTCACATCCCTTGTAAGTTGGATTCCTAGGTATTTTATTCTCTTTGAAGCAATTGTGAATGGGAGTTCACTCATGATTTGGCTCTCTGTTTGTCTGTTGTTGGTGTATAAGAATGCTTGTGATTTTTATACATTGATTTTGTATCCTGAGACTTTGCTGAAGTTGCTTATCAGCTTAAGGAGATTTTGGGCTGAGACAATGGGGTTTTCTAGATATACAGTCATGTCATCTGCAAACAGGGACAATTTGACTTTTTGAATTTAACTCTTTTCCTAATTGAATACCCTTTATTTCCTTCTCCTGCCTAATTGCCCTGGCCAGAACTTCCAACACTATGTTGAATAGGAGTGGTGAGAGAGGGCATCCCTGTCTTGTGCCAGTTTTCAAAGGGAATGCCTCCAGTTTTTGCCCATTCAGTATGATATTGGCTGTGGGTTTGTCATAGATAACTCTTATTATTTTGAAATATGTCCCATCAATACCTAATTTATTGAGAGTTTTTAGTATGAAGCGTTGTTGAATTTTGTCAAAGGCTTTTTCTGCATCTATTGAGATAATCATGTGGTTTTTGTCTTTGGCTCTGTTTATATGCTGGATTACATTTATTGATTTGTGTATATTGAACCAGCCTTGTATCCCAGGGATGAAGCCCACCTGATTATGGTGGGTAAGCTTTTTGATGTGCTGCTGGATTTGTTTTGCCAGTATTTTATTGAGGATTTCTGCATCAATGTTCATCAAGGATATTGGTCTAAAATTCTCTTTTTTGGTTGTGTCTCTGCCCGGCTTTGGTATCAGAATGATGCTGGCCTCATAAAATGAGTTAGGGAGGATTCCCTCTTTTTCTACTGATTGGAATAGTTTCAGAAGGAATGGTACCAGTTCCTCCTTGTACCTCTGATAGAATTCGGCTGTGAATCCATCTGGTCCTGGACTCTTTTTGGTTGGTAAGCTATTGATTATTGCCACAATTTCAGATCCTGTAATTGGTCTATTCAGAGATTCAATTTCTTCCTGGTTTAGTCTTGGGAGAGTGTATGTGTCGAGGAATTTATCCATTTCTTCTAGATTTTCTAGTTTATTTGCATAGAGGTGTTTGTAGTATTCTCTGATGGTACTTTGTATTTCTGTGGGATTGGTGGTGATATCCCCTTTATCATTTTTGACTGCGTCTATTTGATTCTTCTCCCTTTTTTTCTTTATTAGTCTTGCTGGCGTTCTATCAATTTTGTTGATCCTTTCAAAAAACCAGCTCCTGGATTCATTAATTTTTTGAAGGGTTTTTTGTGTCTCTATTTCCTTCAGTTCTGCTCTGATTTTAGTTATTTCTTGCCTTCTGCTAGCTTTTGAATGTGTTTGCTCTTGCTTTTCTAGTTCTTTTAATTGTGATGTTAGGGTGTCAATTTTGGATCTTTCCTGCTTTCTCTTGTGTGCATTTAGTGCTATAAATTTCCCTCTACACACTGCTTTGAATGCGTCCCAGAGATTCTGACATGTTGTGTCTTTGTTCTCGTTGGTTTCAAAGAACATCTTGATTTCTGCCTTCATTTCGTTATGTACCCAGTAGTCATTCAGGAGCAGGTTGTTCAGTTTCCATGAAGTTGAGTGGTTTGGAGTGAGATTCTTAATCCTGAGTTCTAGTTTGATTGTACTGTGGTCTGAGAGATAGTTTGTTATAATCTCTGTTCTTTTACATTTGCTGAGGAGAGCTTTACTTCCAAGTATGTGGTCAATTTTTGAATAGGTGTGGTGTGGTGCTGAAAAAAAATGTATATTCTGTTGATTTGGGGTGGAGAGTTCTGTAGATGTCTTTTAGGTCTGCTTGATGCAGAGTTGAGTTCAATTCCTGGATATCCTTGTTGACTTTCTGTCTCGTTGATCTGTCTAATGTTGACAGTGGGGTGTTAAAGTCTCCCATTATTAATGTGTGGGAGTCTAAGTCTCTTTGTAGGTCACTCAGGACTTGCTTTATGAATCTGGGTGCTCCTGTATTGGGTGCATATATATTTAGGATAGTTAGCTCTTCTTGTTGAATTGATCCCTTTACCATTATGTAATGGCCTTCTTTGTCTCTTTTGATCTTTGTTGGTTAAAGTCTGTTTTATCAGAGACTAGGATTGCAACCCCTGCTTTTTTTTGTTTTCCATTTGCTTGGTAGATCTTCCTCCATCCTTTTATTTTGAGCCTATGTGTGTCTCTGCCCGTGAGATGGGTTTCCTGAATAGAGCACACTGATGGGTCTTGACTCTTTATCCAATTTGCCAGTCTGTGTCTTTTAATTGGAGCATTTAGTCCATTTACATTTAAAGTTAATATTGTTATGTGTGAATTTGATCCTGTCATTATGATGTTAGCTGGTGATTTTGCTCGTTAGTTGATGCAGTTTCTTCCTAGTCTCCATAGTCTTTACATTTTGGCATGATTCTGCATCGGCTGGTACCGGTTGTTCCTTTCCATGTTTAGTGCTTCCTTCAGGAGCTCTTTTAGGACAGGCCTGGTGGTGACAAAATCTCTCAGCATTTGCTTGTCTGTAAAGTATTTTATTT
The DNA here is from genome assembly GCF_000001405.40 of Homo sapiens. Taxonomy (NCBI): domain Eukaryota; kingdom Metazoa; phylum Chordata; class Mammalia; order Primates; family Hominidae; genus Homo; species Homo sapiens. The sequence continues at coordinate 51,891,687 of NC_000007.14, read as the reverse complement.
CTCCTTCACTTATGAAGCTTAGTTTGGCTGGATATGAAATTCTGGGTTGAAAATTCTTTTCTTGAAGAATGTTGAATATTGGCCCCCACTCTCTTCTGGCTTGTAGAGTTTCTGCTGAGAGATCCGCTGTTAGTCTGATGGGCTTCCCTTTGAGGGTAACCCGACCTTTCTCTCTGGCTGCCCTTAACATTTTTTCCTTCATTTCAACTTTGGTGAATCTGACAATTATGTGTCTTGGAGTTGCTCTTCTCGAGGAGTATCTTTGTGGCATTCTCTGTATTTCCTGAATCTGAACGTTGGCCTGCCTTGCTAGATTGGGGAAGTTCTCCTGGATAATATCCTGCAGAGTGTTTTCCAACTTGGTTCCATTCTCCCCATCACTTTCAGGTACACCAATCAGACGTAGATTTGGTCTTTTCACATAGTCCCATATTTCTTGGAGGCTTTGCTCATTTCTTTTTATTCTTTTTTCTCTAAACTTCCTATCTCGCTTCATTTCATTCATCTTCCATTGCTGATACCCTTTCTTCCAGTTGATCGCATCGGCTCCTGAGGCTTCTGCATTCTTCATGTAGTTTTCGAGCCTTGGTTTTCAGCTCCATCAGCTCCTTTAAGCACTTCTCTGTATTGGTTATTCTAGTTATACATTCTTCTAAATTTTTTTTCAAAGTTTTCAACTTCTTTGCCTTTGGTTTGAATGTCCTCCCGTAGCTCAGAGTAATTTGATCGTCTGAAGCCTTCTTCTCTCAGCTCGTCAAAGTCATTCTCCATCCAGCTTTGTTCCGTTGCTGGTGAGGAACTGTGTTCCTTTGGAGGAGGAGAGGCGCTCTGCTTTTTAGAGTTTCCAGTTTTTCTGTTCTGTTTTTTTCCCCATCTTTGTGGTTTTATCTACTTTTAGTCTTTGATGATGGTGATGTACAGATGGGTTTTTGGTGTGGATGTCCTTTCTCTTTGTTAGTTTTCCTTCTAACAGACAGGACCCTCAGCTGCAGGTCTGTTGGAATACCCTGCCGTGTGAGATGTCAGTGTGCCCCTGCTGGGGGGTGCCTCCCAATTAGGCTGCTCGGGTGTCAGGTGTCAGGGACCCACTTGAGGAGGCAGTCTGCCCATTCTCAGATCTCCAGCTGCGTGCTGGGAGAACCACTGCTCTCTTCAAAGATGTCAGACAGGGACATTTAAGTCTGCAGAGGTTACTGCTGTCTTTTTGTTTGTCTGTGCCCTGCCCCCAGAGGTGGAGCCTACAGAGGCAGGCAGGCCTCCTTGAGCTGTGGTGGGCTCCACCCAGTTCGAGCTTCCAGGCTGCTTTGTTTACCTAAGCAAGCCTGGGCAATGGCGGGCGCCCCTCCCCCAGCCTCGCTGCCGCCTTGCAGTTTGATCTCACACTGCTGTGCTAGTAATCAGCGAGACTCCGTGGGCATAGGACCCTCCGAGCCAGGTGCGGGATATAATCTCGCAGTGCGCCGTTTTTTAAGCCGGTCGGAAAAGCACAGTATTCAGGTGGGAGTGACCCGATTTTCCAGGTGCGTCCGTCACCCCTTTCTTTGACTCAGAAAGGGAACTCCCTGACCCCTTGCGCTTCCCAGGTGAGGCAATGCCTCGCCCTGCTTCAGCTCGCGCATGGTGCACGCACCCACTGACCTGCGCCCACTGTCTGGCACTCCCTAGTGAGATGAACCCGGTACCTCAGATGGAAATGCAGAAATCACCCATCTTCTGCGTCGCTCACGCTGGTAGCTGTAGACCAGAGCTGTTGCTATTCGGCCATCTTGGCTCCTCCCTGGTAACCTATTTTTAAACCTATTTTTCGTGGAATTATTTTTGAGAAACAAATCTGTAAATAGTTACTGACTGCCCTAATTGAGACATTTGAATTTATAGGTGACAGTCTTTCACAGCCTTGTTTTCTCCATTGCTCAGCTGTCCTCACTAGAAACCACTCCCTTCTTGGGACAAACTCATAGTGCTTCCCCTCAGGAAAGAGTTGGAATTTATTTGTGACTTCGAGTCCTCTCTCTTTTGGAAGGAGTTGGTTTTTATATATGTTTGTGTCTCCTGAACATCACCCAGGGAATGACGCAGAATCTGCCTCATAAACCTTTTTCCTTCATGAGTCTCAAGGCCTTGGTTCCTGAAATCCCAAAGTGTTTCTGATTACATTATTTTAATAGTTTTAAGGGTTCACAACTTGGTCTTCCACTGAAGGGTGGTTTAAACATGTATTAGATATGTTCCAAAATAATTATCTAAACGTAAGCATTCCCAAGAGATACAATGAGCCCAAAGCCTTCGGTGTCCCTGAGACTAGATGTGACAAACTCTTCATCTACAGAAACAGTGGCATACAAAAGTTTCTCTCTCCAAACTGCCAGAACAATCAAATCTTGGGGGAAATAATAAGTTTATTTGTTTAACTTTTAGCTTAACTTTCCAATGAAGTTATGAGTAAATATTTTTGATTCAGCCTCAATAATGTTGCAAGGTATATCTTTTTAACCCTGTTTTTCTTATTTGAAAATAAATGCGTATAGGGGTGATGCTTTTCAGAATCCTGCAGCTTCTCAATCATAGAAGTTAGGTTTCCATCTGACTTGGAAACCAGGTCTCCCCCTATGGGAACATGAACTACGTCATGTTTTTTGGAGGTAAACAGAACAACTGCATGCCCAGTTAGTTCATACATTTGATTTGCAATCTAGGTTTCCTGTGAATAAGAGATTCAGTCACTGGCAATGTCATAATTTTGCTTCCTTTCTTTCTGTTCTCACCCTCACTCTAGGTAATCTGATTTCTCTATTACCAAAAGACACTTTAATTTAACACATAGCAGAAATGTGAAGTTCAGGGATACTTTTCTCTTTATTTTAGCTGAGTAAGCCTATGGTGTGTTAGTTTGAATGAACTCAATTGAAAAAACAATTGGTTGCTTTCAGAGTGGTTGGCCTCAAAGCATAAAAATAGACCTAACTTAAAGAATTTTATTTTAAAATGCTGGGTTTCATTTTAATATTACCAAGGGATAACACATTATCATGGGTAAATCTATGAAATCCCTGAGATCTTTTGAGTTTTGCTTCTCCCTCCTTGAACTACTGAGTTCCTCAAAGGATTGTCTTTTTTCCACTATACTTTAGCCATCAGAACTTAATTTGTGTTAAATACATTGAATAAGCAAATAGGATTTGCCAGACTTTATAGGTAGCAAAATTAACTTCCAAAGACTGAGAGCATTGTAATTTTTTCTATAAAATCCATGTAATTGTCATATAGTCCACATGGGAGAGTTAAGCCATAGTTCCCTGAGGAGGTTGTCCTTTGTCTGTAGGGAAGCAAATGTAACTTAATCTACTACAGAAAGGGAAGCATCTGTATATAAGAAGTACTCTTGTGTATAGACTATGTATATAGTCTTCTATATACAAGAAGACAAGATGTCCCATATGGAACAGGGATGATTTTTAGGCACCTCGAAATTTTGAAGATGTCACTATTCCAAAGGAGAAGTTGATATAATTGCCCCCATATCAGCAGCTAAGAGAAGAGGAAGTGTGAATAGATGGCATTCGTGGAAACAAAATGTTGATAGCGTATCCTCAGTGATGAAGACTCATACTTACACCACCCCCTGCATTGCAGAGATTTGGTCAATCACCACCAGCAGGAGCATGAGAAAGACTGAAATATCCTTGGGAAAGCTGAAGCTGAGCCAGGAAATGAATACACTCATATGGCATTTCTTAGAAACTGCCATACACCCCGCCTCAGAGTCATCTTGTTACAAATTTAGATATCTGGGTTCTACTGCAGACCAAATGAATCCAAGTAGTGAAGCATGGACTCAGAAATGTGAACAAGCCCCTCAAGTATGTCTTGTGCTCAGTAGAGTCTCAGGTCCACAGCGTTCCATGCTCAGGATTGGCAGTTAGAGAAAGAGAAGGTGGAATATCCTAAGAGCACGCATCACAATCTAAGGATGCCAGCTGTGATGGAGGGGGTCTACCTGGTTTTTTGCTGTTTAGAGGTTACACCCGTGCAGCGGCTGCCTAAAAGCAGTTGGTGCACAGTCAGCAGATGAGGACACCACGGAGAGAAGGACCAAGAGGGAGACAATTATCACAGCAGAAAGGAGAGAAAGCAAGCAGTGCCGTGCACCTGCAGCAGGAAGGATGCTCTCTTCTGACTGTGAAGGGGCAGAAAGAAACAGCCCAGGGAAGTGGGGAGTCAGGTGGCAGCAGATAGTGGGAATTAGAAGACCTCTGTGTTCTCTGTCAAGTTAGAGGCTACGATCTACAAAAAGAAGAGAAGGCATGGAATGGATGCTCTGCAGAAAGCAAGCTGGCGACAGAAAAATACCAAGATTGCACCCCAGAATTGCAAACCCTGAGCCCAGTGGCCCCAGTGGGCAGAGCACTGTGGCAGCTCTGGAGATTGAGGAAGCTCTGTCCTGGGGACAGTTTCACTAACAGGAGATGAACAAAAAGGACAATGTGAAACAAAGACAGGTACCTGGCAGTATATACTTGACACTAATTGAGTGAAACAGCCAATAAATATTGAGGGAACGGTGACAATTACTATGACAGCCTTTTCTTTTGCCCCCCGTTTCTGGGGGTCTTGCTGCATATTGAAATTGGACCCTGAGCCAAAGGATGATGTGCGTGAAGGATCTTGATGGGTTAATGCAATTATTCACTGACAGTTTTTCTCACTGGTGTTAAATTTCTCTTTGTTAAATAAAATAAATAAGAAAACATTAAATCACAATACTTCTAAAATACTTTAATGTTTCTTACAGAATACAAAAACCATTATCAAACGTTTGATGGTATTTACATAAAAACGCTATGACTTAAATTACATAGGAAGAAAATTCTCCTATTTGCCTAGTGTGTCTGATAACAATTTTGTATGAAAAAGTGAAATACAAACAAATAATAAGCTGAATGCAGTGAGCCCTGGTGGACAATTAAGGACAAAAACCAACCACATGTTTAGAAAGTCCAGGATGAAAAATGACCCTATTACTTTTACATCCATGCTGTGTACCTGATGAGCCAATTTTAATTAAAAACAGACACAATAATATATTTAAAGAATGAAATGAATTTTCAGTAACTACAAAGTTTACAAAGACCATAGAAATGAACTGAGAAAAAGGGCAATCTATTGTCCAGTAAAATATTGCCTGTGTTCTTGCTCTGTTGAGCTTTCCTAAGAGGGTAAAAGAAAAATAACTGAAGCAACATATTATGTATAATGTGTTTGTTAATTTGTGCTGTTTGAACTGATGTCACGTGGTTCGTTAAAAAGAAAATAGCCACATATAATTTATAAATACTTGAGTGTATCCTTAATTCTACTAAAGTCAACAGCAACCAACATGTCCTTTCAAATATTGTTAAGAATCAAAGAAGTTCCTTCCTGGAACTGGGGTCTTCTGTCTATTTGAGGAGCACGGATTGTCTATCTACATGATCTTCCTTTAAGTGCAGTGTTCTTTCCTTCCTTCCACCTCTACTTCCACCCTCCCCACTGCCCCTTGTATATCCTTGATGCATTTTGTCTTTGGCAGTGAAGTTTGTTTCCCTGTATTCCTACCTAAGCCATACACATATAAGCCCTACCTATATCCAAGTTCTGGTGCTGCTGTTTAATATGTAAATGTTCCTTTAATGTGGATGGTGGAAGGAATGTGAATTTCCCAGTCTGGCTTCCTGCTAATGTACTCCTCTGGAATTGGTTTTGCCACCGTCATCAATAACCTCTAAGTTACAAAGTCCAAAGGAAATATTCCAATCTGTCCCTTGCTTATTGGCTCTGTTGGGTTGGCAGCATTGATGGAACCCTTTTCCTCCTTGCTTCCTGAGATTTCATGATAACAGGGTTTTCTAGCATTTCTTTTGCCATGGTTCTCCTTCTCAGTCTTTTACCATTGACTTCCAAAGTCATGCTGACATATCCTAAATCTACTCAATACAGATCTTTCTCCTAAATTCTTGATCAATGCATCCATTGCTTCATGCACTTTCATTTGGTTATTCTACTTGGACCTCAAAATCAACCTGTCTAAAACTGACTCCAAGCTTCCCCTACCCCACCAAGTCCACTGTGACATTCCATTCCTGGTGCTCTTTTAATTACTGAGTCATCAGATAGCTTCCTTCATTGAGAGCCTACTCTGTGTCACATATCAGGCACTATGACTGCTCTTACCTAAGCAAGACCTTCCAGGAGAAATTGGCTCCAAATCTCACTTGACTCTTCCTTCTTAACAAGTCTTCATATGACTTTAATTATGGCTCCTATCATCTCTTACTTGGATTCAGACAATAGTTTTCTAACTTGTATAATCACTGCAAGTCCTACTCCCTCCAGCCACAAAGCTTAGTAAAAGGCAAACTGATCTTGTCATTTTCTTAATTAAAACACCTCATTGTGCACTGAAAAAGTTTATGCAGCATGTAAACTGAATACATAATAAGTCTGAGTTACTCCCATATGTACACAACCATTTTCCAAATATCTGCAGATGCTTTTGTGATTACTATCTGATACATATTTACACATGAACTTTAACTTTTATTAATTCAAACTAGTTAATCATTATATATTTTAATTGTGAATTAAAAGTCCAATTACTATCTGTAAATCATTTTTTGTTTTTAAAAATAGATGGGAACACTTTGAGTAATGGGAAATTTCCAGACTCATTAGCATGGCCTCTCCTTACAGGTGCAGCCTCACCTCTTAGCCCATCTCATCCCATATCTTTCATTTTGAACACACCACATCACCAGATGTCTCCAGTAAGCGGATTCCTTTTTGAAGTGGTCCTTTGTCTTTTTGAGAGTATTTTGCCCACTTCTTTCTTCCTAATTAAGAAATATCTTTGTTAACATGGAAGGCAGAGATCTTTTCATCCCAGGGAGGAAAGCCCTGCCCAGGTCCCGGGAACGAGAACAGTCATGGCATCCCACTCCCTGTATCCCATGGAGGGCACTGGCCCCTGTCTGCTAACAAGAGCTATGGCAGGTATTCTTAGCTCTCCAACCAGGTTAGAGGGCTTGATCCATCTCTTCTGGAATAAAATAACAATGCCTCCCACGGAGCAATATTTTCATTCCCTCCCTGTCCACCCTTCTCATTTCTTTCATGAATGCAGTTTTAATGACAGGATTGCAGCTGCTGAAAAGGAAAGGCCAAAAGAAAGCCTAAAGCATCAGCTCCAGTATCACTGATTCTCTCATCCAATGTTCAGAAACAGCCTGCTTTGAATTTAAATCACAAAAATAAACTAGACTATTATTTGTATTTGTGTAACTTACATCCAAATAAACTCTAACCAAAGAACTTCTCATGACTGCTTACCTTTGCATATGCTAGCAATATGGATTCCTCCTTTTCTCACCTGGCGAAAACTTTCCCATCATTCAGAAGTCAGCCAAGCCAGCGCAATCTTTCAGAAGCCCATCCTGTGCATGATAGCACTTCATACAGCATGTTGTAAAAGACTGTGTACTAGTCCATCTCCTCCAATAGACCATCTGGGTTTTTGTTTTGTTTGTTTTGAGATGGGGTTTCTCTCTGTTGCCCAGGCTGGAGTGCAGTGGCACAATCTCGGCTCACTGCAACCTCTGCCTCCTGGGTTCAAGCAATTCTCCTCCCTCAGCCTCCCAAGTAGCTGGGATTACAGGGACGTGCCACCATGCTGGCTAATTTTTGTATTTTTAGTAGAGACATGGTTTTGCCATGTTGGCCAGGCTGGTCTCGAACTCCTGACCTCAGGTGATCCACCTGCCCACCTCAGCCTCCCAAAATGCTAGGATTACAAGTGTGAGCCACTGTGCCCTACTGGACCATCTGTTTAGTCCATCAAATACTGGACTACTGGACATCAAATAACTCTGACGTTTATACCCACTTTTCACACCTTAGTTGATTTCCTTTAAGTCAGCCACCACATTAGACCCAGGCAACAAGACACAGAGCCCTATTCCCTGGGATCCCTTGATTTTCAGAGCACGATTCTGGCCTTCATTTAAACCACTCCCCTCCCCACAGATAGAGGATTCCCCCAGACCAGGGGATGTGCCCATTCAGACCTCATGCTCGTCTTCTAAACCACACATGCAAACTGGCACCACCAGAATGCACTGCCAAACCAGGCCCACACTCTGAGCCCAATTCAGGACCTTCAAAGGTGTTTTCCACATTCAAACTCCTGACAGCTGAAGACCCACGAGGTGTTGCTCCCCTAAGCTGGGGCAGGAGCAGGGGTAGGAGGCAGGAGAACTATCTAGGATGGGGCAGGACAAAGCTTGGATGAGGGCATCCAGGCAGACAGTTGTGGGTGAGGCGCCTCACCAAGTGAGGCAAAGCAGAGAGAGAAAGAGCAGGAGTTCACTGCTACCTTCCCTCGAGCAGAGGACACTCAGACTCGGCTCCAAAGCCATCCCACGTGTGCCGGTGTAAGAGGATGGGAATGATTTTACACAAGGTCTGGCAGTTATGTTCCTGATATGGGATGCAGGCCTCATGTTCCACTCTTATCACTGCCCATAAATGTTAAAAAGAAGGCATTCTTGAAATTGTTAACCACGTAGTATATATATTAAGGCTGTTAAATAAGCAAAACTAAAGAATGAATGAATACAAAGCCTCAAACGTCTCATGCATATATGTACTAATTCAGCAAATCCTTCCTTATCCAGTGCCAAAATGTGAGTGTGTTTGGATGTGTATATATGCATTTCTGTGTGTGTTTGTGTGTGCACCTGTGTGCTTGTGCATGTGTATGTCATTTGTGTGTGTGTTTGGGTGTGTGTTTCCATGTATGTTTCTGTGTATGTGTGTTTGTGTATCTGTGTGTGCTTTTTTGTGTATCTGTGAGTTTATATGTCTTTGTATGCTTTTTCGTATATGTATGTGTTTGTGTGTCTGTGTGTGTGTGTTTCTGTGGTGAATAAATAGGTGCAAGCTGCTATGGTTTGTGGTTTGTCCTCTGAATTATCAAATTATGTAGTTATTTTAAAATTTAAGTATTATTTAGTTATTAAAAATTAAGTTAAATTACTTAATTATTAAAATTAAATAATAATTAAAATAGAATATTAAAAAAAATTCTGACATTCTGTGGATGACAATTTAAGGACCCAGAGGGGCAGCTGGGAGATCAGTTTCACAGCCATTGTGATGGCCCTGGTGAGGAATCCCAGGAGGGGCTTGCAGAGCTGAGGGAAAGGGGGTTTTTGGAGTCCTTGCTGTCTGTGAAGGACAGACTTGGGAGCTAGAGAGGCTGCAGAGAGGTGTACAGCGAGTGGCTTCAGACTGTATCAACTTGATGTCTCTCCTACCTTTCTGTGGTCCTCACCTGGCTTCCTAGAGTTACCAATGAACTTTAGGTAGATATTTAATAGCCTTAGAAACTTGCTTTGGCATTTGCCTCAGTAGAGCCAAGGATGCAGGATGGCTCTGCACACTGGTTACTCAATTCTGCAGGTACCTGCAAGACTTATATACCCCATATCCCTCCCTTGCTGGCACCGGCACCTTTCCTCAGCTCCTCTCTGACAGTCCCCACTATATCCCAGATTGCTTTTACAAAGAGTAGTGACCATGTGCATATCTCAGCAAAGCAGGTACTAAAGAAGTCACTAATCATGCTTCCTTTGTATTCTTGATTCAACTTCTAGGTTGCAAATGAAAAACAAAACAGAACTGACAAAAACCCAAACTCCTTGAATGTGGCAGTCTCATGAGTTTTTTCCTAAAACTGCCTGTACCATCCAAACTTGAACTCTAAGCCTGATAGTCAACTTGCCTTGTTTGCACACACTTAATGTGGTTAAAAAATGAATGATGCAATGGAGAAGATGATCATTATGAAGTGAGAAATAAGTTCTGACAAACAGAACAATTCAACAGAGAAAAATTGCATCAGCAATAGCTGGATCTTAAATAAAAGGGGTAGTCTACATATAGAACTCTCATAGTCCCTTTAAATCTTCAGATTCACATGGTACTAATGTATATATTTAAATAAATTAGCATAGCCATAGCCTAAAAGAGTCTCTTCCTAACAATACGCTTTATTTATTCCCAACACTTTGCTGAAAAGTCTCTGTTGGAAGCCCAGGCACTGAGGGAGATGCAATACTACTTATTCAAAAGCCATTTGAATCACTGACTGTAAGAATGTTACTATGCAAGATATATTGCGTCAGACCCAGGACTGCACCATGAAGTTAATTCACAAAAGTAGAATAATTTGTAGTTACTTAGAATTTTGCTACAGTCCTTTGAATCACCTTCCCTCTGATATTGGAAATGCAATATTTGGAGTACTTGTGAAGGCATTAGGCTTGCATTAAGGATGTAAACAAACTTCAGGTGAGCCTTCTAACTCCAAAGGTACACAGATGCTATTGTGTATCAGAGAGATTGGGCATTAAAGACAAATTGATATAAACTACAAAATACTTGTGTATGTGTCCACCAAGTGAGTCACTAGAAAACAACACGAGAAAACAGGTCATTTTTTAAAAGCAAGCTAAAAGTCGGTGAATTTCAGCTATATACAAGGCAATAATTCCAAAATGCTTTGGAGGACTCAGCGTAGCCGATTCAGTGGTTAGTGTCTTGTAGACAATGTGGTAAAGTTAATTTCAGATATAAATACATTCAAAAATGTGTTTCTCTCTCCTTTTAAGGCAGCCTGACCAGTTTGGCCTTTGTTCACTGCTCTTGCCACTAGATTGATTCAAGGCTAAAGTTGATTGATGGGAGCTGTCTGCAGACACTGTGGGCAGCCTTCTGAGTAGGACTTTGTAGAGTTCTGTACATTTTATTTGCTCTCTATAACTTACAGTGAGTTGAAGGAGGCCACATCCAGAGATCAATCATTTTGAGCAAATATGTTTCCAAAGTTTTTCTACTCTCCATGACTCTTTTTTTCCATTGTGTGTACATATATACCCCACATGAATTTTTTTTTCAAAACATATTCACTTAAGGGAGTTGAACAATGAGAACACATGGACACAGGGAGGGGAACATCATGCACCAGGGCCTGCAGTGGGTGGGGGGCTAGGGGAGGGATAACATTAGGAGAAATACCTAATGTAGGTGACGGGTTGATGGGTGCTGCAAACCACCATGGCATGTGTATACCTATGTAACAAACCTCCATGTTCTGCACATGTAACCCAGAACTTAAAGTAAAATAAAAAAAAAAGTATTCACTTAAATAATTATCCAATGGAATCATTAGAAGGCCTGAATCTTTCAATAGAATTCATCAGCATCCACGGAAACTAGAAGGACAAAGTACAAAAATACATAGTTTTGAGCAAGAATGAGTTTATTTGACAGCCTCTCATTAAGTGAGAACTGTTCTTAGGATTCTCCATCCCAAGGTACTATTTTTTGACAACAGACCAGTATTCATGGAGATCACATTGTTTTACTTTCCTGTTGAGACGATAAGGATACCCAGTAGTCAATAACGTGTCTCTACCAGTAGATGACTTAGGAGATTTCACCCTCTAGTTTCTACAATTGTCATCATTTGAGGTCAGGGTTGCTGCTGCATTCCTAAACTCAACCCATAATTGCTTTAATGAATTTAAAGAATGTATTTACCTACAAGTGATCAGGGAGCATTGCAGGAGAAATCAAAAGTACTGCTGGAAGAAAACAAACAGGTAAATCACATATGTGTGTGTGTGTGCGTCTATATATAATCTTCTTAATATATAACATATATTCTGTAGGTATAATACATACTACTTGTATAATATATAATTATGTGTATTATATGAAACATTATACATATATTTATTATATGTAATATTTTTTAAACTCCAGCAGTTTATTAAGCCTAGACTTTAGATATTAAGTATTTATTAAAGCCTAAAAATGATTATAATGAAATTATATTTGATTGAATGTTCACAGATCAGACAACAGTGGTAGCTGAAACTATAAATTTTTATTTTTTGACTGGTTAAAGGCCTCGTCCTCTAATTCTGAAATCTTTACTCTCCTATGTGAATCAATTTCACATTTTAGCATATTACTAAAGACTTGTTAGGCAATGTAGGAAAACTAGAGGCTACAAATATACTTAGCATACATTAAATTTGCATCTAGTTCATCAATCTTAAAAATAAAAACACATACAAACTGTGTATTCTAGGGAAAAGTTAAAAATACTTTCTATCCAACTGCCTTGCCAACAGTAAACCATGAAGTCAACTGGGTGTGAAGGCACATGAGGCCACTGCAACAAAATATCTCATTGTAAAATAATGAGCAGCAATCTGTCCAGAGGCGAGGAGAAAGAGAAAGTGAAGGACATGGAGGAGGAGGAAGAAGAAATACAGAAGTATAAATGTATAAAATAAAAGTGCCTCCCGGCATGTGCCTCTCTCTAGAGAGCAGCTAAGGGGTCCAGATAGTCTGATGTCAGAACAGTCCCTGCTAGTGGCTGCTTCTACCCTCAGCTGCAGATCCTGTCACTCCCATCCTGCTCTTTGCTTCTCAAGATGCCCTTGCTTCCTGGGCTCCTCTGTCTCCCAGTGCAAATGCTGGATCCCAGCTAGACTCTACTCCAGACCAGGCACCCTGCTATGATGGAGGAGGAGTCTAGCTCAAACCAGCTGCAGCAGATCCACAGGGACTGGGAGAAAAGAGACTAGAGAAAAGAGCTCAGTCTGCCTGGGGCTTGCCGTAAGAATGAGGAGAAATGTTTCTCCTTGTCCAGGCAAGGCAGTGGGGAAGTGGGATATTTTAAAAAGCATCAGGGGTTGGGCCTGGCTCAAAGGATCGAAAGATTAAAGTTGAGATTCATAGGGCACAAGTAATGTGCTATTTCTAGTTAATAAAATGCCTAGGCAAACCTGGGAGATTTGATGTCGTTTTTATTGCTTTCCGAAGGAAGTATCCTGTGAACATTTCCATAATATCTTTTCTAAGCATTTTCATTTTACAAAGAAAATGCAATGACCCCCTGACCACTTCACATTGTTGGTGTCAAAGAAGAAGTATTATAATAATTAAACTCTAGTTCTTAATGTCTAGATATAAATACATGTATATATGAGCCACCATAAAGTATATTTGGATATGCAAAAGCTGAAAAAGAAGTAATATCTTACTGTTTCTCATTTAATTTGGATAATTACATTTTGGTTACATCATGGTAATATTATCAATGTTTTACAAATGCCCTTTGGAAATTACATTTTTGGCCAGGGGCAGTGGTTCATGCCTATAATTTCAGCACTTTTGGAAGGCTGAGGCCAGAGAATCACTTGAGGCCAGGAGTTCTAGACTAGTGTGGCAATATAGCTGGACCCTGTCTCCACAAAAAAATTTAAATTAGCTGGGCATGTTGGCACATTCATATAGTTCTAGTTACTCAGGAGGCTGAAGCAGGAGGATTACTTAAGCCCAGAAGTTCGAGTTTACAGTGAACTATCACGGCACCACTGCACTCCAGCCTAGCCCAGAGTGAGATCCTGTCTCAAAAAAAAAAAAAAAAAAAAAAAGAAATGGCATTTTTAACCATTTTCACATATGTTTCATATGAGCTAAATCAAGAATGGTTTGAATTGCAGGTGTATTCTCCAGCCCTTGTTCATGGTGGTATTGCTGGCAAACATTCATGGCCATGACCAACCTGGCATGGTCTTCATCTTTACTCAGTGATGAGATGGGCTTCACGTCTGTGATCTGCTCCTCCTTTGACTCTGTAAAAGCAGATGAATAGTACATCTCTAAAACTCAAGTAGAGCCTGCAGCCTGCACACTCATCATGAGTCCTAAATTACCAAGGCTTTGTATACGCGTGTATGAAAACAGCATATTTGCATAACTATAAGGGAGTGACAATTGAGACCACACTTAAGTCTAAAGGAGAAGCAAGCAAAATAAGAGATGCGGGTTTTCTTCATTAAAGCAAGACTTACTTGACTATGCCCCCCTGGCTTTGTAAACACAAGGAGAAGTAGTGACTGTCCCTGGGTGGCCTTTCTCAGTGTTCCCTGGCAAAGCTGAACACCAAGGAGCAGATGGGTAAGTGTGCAGAGAGACCTGGAAGCTCCAGGGAGGAATGGGTCCTTCCCTTGCAAAGCACATCCTTTCCAGTGGGTTGGACTGGATGTGCCAAGGGCACTGAAAGAAAGGGTCCCATGGGAAGGCTCACCATGGAGGAAGGTAGACTGGGGGTAACCAGGACCAGCACCAGGGTCCAGCATTGTCCCTCAGAAGTGTGACCCACAGACCTGGTGTCACAGTCTGCCAGGGATTCACAGGGGTGCTTTCACTTGAAAGAATAACGAATGCAGCATCTACCCAGTACACACATGCAGATGCACACGCACATCCCTCATACATAAAGTGAAACAATGATTTTCAGTAAAAACTCTACATTCATATTCACAACCATGAGGGACTAAAAAACTGTGCATAGGTTTTGGATGCTAAATCTGTTAGTTGATCTATGTCTGATCACATGTACTTAAATTACTTAACATTTTGGCTAATATAATTTCATGTTACTTCAAGTTTATTATTGTCAAATTTGTGTTAGTATTTCTATTGTGTTGTGTTAGATATTTAATTCACAAAAACTGATTCGTAGCGAAAAAGTAGTTCATCAAAGTATAAAATTAACAATGAAAACTGTAATTAAAATTTTTAATTCTAAGTAATTTTGTAAAAACAAATTGTAAGCAGGATTCCAATGTCGGTGGAGACTGTGAAGCCACGACAAGTGAAACATTCACGGAGAAACACACCACGCATGCAGAATGAAAAAGAATCGTGTAATTAGGAAGTATGAATGTAAATAACACAAAATTGGGTGGGGCTAGCAAACCATTTGCCTATAAACTCCAGTGTATAACCTTTTAAGAAACAACTTTGCCATTAAATAATAATAATAGTAGTTTTAAAAGTGTTAAATCAATAATACTTTTTGTTTTGGATAGGTAGGAAATAAGTCTTTCTACTATGAATTAGTAAATTATGGTACTTGTGTGAGGAAGAGAACAAAACTAGAGAGCAATCATTCAAAGTTCCACTTGCACTACAGAGCAACTGAATGGAAATCATTCTCCAGGTCTGTAACAAACGCAGTTCAAATCCTGCTAATGATCAGTGATCTCAATGGTACTCAGGATCACTGTTCCCTGCAGGAAGCACGGTGGCTGGTATTAGTATCCCGCTGGCTTCTCAGGCTTTCCAGAATGCCCACACTCTTCTGCCTCCCTTAGTGGAGTTTTGTCAATCACCTTTGTTCCCAAATTTATTTATGGAAGTTTGGCTCATTATTATAACAGTTTAATTTTACTAAATATCATGTTAATGTATGAATAAAGACACAAAGAGTGGTTCCAACGAAAATCAAATTGAATGCTTTCAATAAAAACAAATAAATGTTAATTGCTGAAAATATTTGTAGCAAATTAAGATAGGTCTGAAATACCTAGGGGGTAGAGAATCATATAAATTTAGTGGTACTGTTCATGCCAGTTGTTTCCAAGAATATTTACATTCAGAATCCATGTTAAAGAGTGGTGACAGGCCAGGCATGGTGGCTTATGCCTGTAATTCCAGCACTTTGGGAGGCCAAGGTGGGTGGATCACGAAGTCAGGAGTTTGAGACCAGCCTGGCCAATATAATGAAACCCTGTCTATACTAATAACGCAAAAATTAGCTGGGCATGGTGGTGTGCGCCTGTAGTCCCAGCTACTGGGGAGGCTGAGGTAGGAGAATCACTTGAACCCGGGAGGCAGAGGTTTCAGTGAGCCGAGATCACACCACTGCATTCCAGCCTGGGTGACAGAGTGAGACTCCATCTCAAAAAAAAAAAAAAAAATTGGGGACAATGAGTATGCTGACAGCAAGAATAGGACTTGTAATAGTAACTTTTACAAAGTCTTATCCCTTCACCAAATATTCATGTAAATGCCCACTCATATTTTCAAGTTAAGATAAAGTGTCTAAGTTATGCTAATAACTTTTTCATTCCGTATTTTAATAAGCTTTTTTTCAATTAAATAAACAACTACTGCTAAATTTATCAAATTGGCTAGACAGGCATCCACTGTAATATAGTCACCAGTTCTCCACAAGCAACATGGAAAATATTATTTTAACAAAGGAACGTCGTGCATATTGGTTAACAAAATGATACGCAATCTGAAGAAATAAACTCCTGTCACATAGGCATGCCAGAAGTAATGCAGCCAGATAAAACAACAGGTGTTCATAACAAATCAGAATTTTGGAATATGTGAGGAAAACTTCGAAACCACAGTATCACCTGTAAGTCTTTGAAATCTCATTCAAAAGAAACCTCATGCTAAGGAAAAACCAGTGGTTCACAAGAATGGCTGCCCCGGGAATCCATGTTAGAAGGGAAATTAGGCTGTAGTGGAACTCATATTTTGGGAGGATCTATGATACAGTAAGACTTATGCTACAGGGAAAGGCATATTTTCATTTAATTAAAGATAAGTTTGTGATCACAGAAACAGATTTGATTATAAGGACATTGTGACAGGTCCTGATCAAAGGCCAGCTGTAATGGCAGCTACTTTAATCATCAAAAACCATGATCAGACCGCACGCAGTCACTGATGCCTGTAATCCCAGCACTTTGGAAGGCTGAGGCAGGCGGATCACGAGGCCAGGAGATGAGCCTGGCCAACATGGTGAAACCCCGTCTCTACTAAAAATACAAAAATTAGCCGGGTGTAAAGGCATGCGCCTGTAATCCCAGCTACTCAGGAGGCTGAGGCAGGCGAATTGCTTGAACTCAGGAGGCAGAGGTTGCAGTGAGCCAAGATCATGCCACTGCACTCCAGCCAGGGAGACAGAGCAAGATTCCACCTCAAAAAAAGAAAAATGATCATAATAGTAAAAGTTAACTTTTTTTAAGTATGCAGTAATGGCCAGGTAATGTTCTAAGTACTTTACGTGTAAGGTAGATACTATTTTTATCCCCATTTTATAGATGAGGAAGCTGAGGCAAAGAAGAATAAAATAATTGATTTAAAATAACACAGTGAATAAAAGGTAGAGCCAGGACAGAAACCCACATAATCGAGCTACCCTACGGTGTATGCTGGGCTTATGACTGAGATGCTGGAGTCTCTGCCCATACCAGTCCTGCCTGGGCATTCCCCTTGCCTACTGGAGAGAGATGGGCAACAGTACGGGCTCCACTTTTGCACACTATCAAGTGATGGCTGTGGAGGCTGGGGCTCAGACTAGTTTTTGAAATAATGGCTCTGAAAAAGCTAGTAAGGCTAGTCCCATAATTTGAAGTGACTGATGTAAGCAATACTTCTCAACAATAAATCCATTCTAATGGAGAGCCCAAAGAGCCTGCGTCAAAATATCACATTTTTTAATATTGAAAGATCATGAGGTTCTTTTTTTTTTTTTTTTTTTTTTTTTTTTTTTTTTTTTTTGAGACGGAGTCTCGCTCTGTCACCCAGGCTGGAGTGCAGTGGCGGGATCTCGGCTCACTGCAAGCTCCGCCTCCCGGGTTCACGCCATTCTCCTGCCTCAGCCTCCCAAGTAGCTGGGACTACAGGCGCCCGCCACTACGCCCGGCTAATTTTTTGTATTTTTAGTAGAGACGGGGTTTCACCGTTTTAGCCGGGATGGTCTCGATCTCCTGACCTCGGCCTCCCAAAGTGCTGGGATTACAGGCGTGAGCCACCGCGCCCGGCCGATCATGAGGTTCTTAAGAAGATTATTGCAAATAGTTTTATTGCCAACTGTATGGCAATTTCCTGGTGCTTAATGATTTTCTTCTTTTGTTGGAGCAAAAAAGTCAACAGCAGATTATTAGGCATTAAAATAAAACAAAATACAGACCTTCACCCAAGAGCTGGAATGGAAGTAAAGAAATGCTTCTCTGAGTGAAGTATATCAGAAAATGGGTAAGAAATCCACCGACAACTACTCCCAATTGAAACATCTAAGTACCCCACTTTTAAATCGGATGTCTCAACTGTTCTGAAAAGGTGCTGAAACAAATTTTCACTAAGAAGTCTCTATATAGCTTCTGACTCTATGGTTGAAATAAGTACCCCAGACTGTGACAGAAACATCAGACCTTTGCTGCATTTCTACCAACTTTTAGTAGTGAATCAAAAAAATAATTTTATAGAAATAAAGAAAAG
Organism: Homo sapiens; assembly: GCF_000001405.40. NCBI lineage: Eukaryota > Metazoa > Chordata > Mammalia > Primates > Hominidae > Homo > Homo sapiens. Next base: position 51,873,486 of record NC_000007.14, on the reverse strand, counting down.
AATGTAAAAGAACTGAGCCCTAGGTCTCAAAATATCCACTGTCTAGCCAGGCATTTGAGCCTTGAGGAGGGATTATAAATAATACCTTCCCTCTCCCCCTATTACATATTGAGATTAATCATTAGAGTTAACATTATTATGTTTTCTTTTAATTATATTAAATTTATGATAACTAATTTTTTTTCTTTGTAAACCAACCAAAAATCAGTACTCTTGGTGGCTGCCATCTTTGCTGTTTGAGAGCCTTCACTGGTGATACCTCCAGGTACTGGAAAAACTGAGGTGACTAGGTACCCCAGCAGCCCTGCAGAGTCGTGACCAGACTGTTAAAAGAAAAACAAACCAACAAAAACAGCAACAACAAGAACAAAACCCACTAAAATTCCATCCAAAATTCAGCAACCTCAAACATCACAGGTAGATAAACCAATAAAGATGAGAAAGTATCAGTGCAAAAATGTTGAAAACTCAAAAAGTCAGAGTGCCCACTTTCCTCCAAATGACAGCAACACCTTTCCAGCAAGTGAACAGACCTGAGCTGAGGCTGAGAGGGCTGAAATGACAGAAGTAGGCTTCAGAATGTGGATTGAAATGAACTTCGCCGAGCTAAAGGAGCACATTGTAACCCAGTGCAAGGAAGATAAGAATTATGATAAAACAACGCAGGAGCTGACAGCCGAAATAGCCAGTATAGAGTGGAACATAACTGACCTGATAGGGCTAAAAAACACACTACAAGAACTTCACAATGCTATCACAAGTATTAATAACAGAATAGACCAAGTGGAGGAAAGAATCTCAGAGCTTAACGACTTGCTTTCTGAAATAAGACAGGCAGAGAAGAATAGTGAAAAAAGAAAAAAAAAGGAATGAACGAAACCTCTGAGAAATATAGGATTATGTGAAGAGACCAAATCTATAACAGATTGTGAAAGAGATAGGGAGAATGGAATCCATTTGGAAACCATATTTTAGGATATCATACAGGAGAACTTCCCCAACATAGCTAGACAGGCCAACATTCAAATTCAGGAAATGCAGAGAACCCCATAAGTTATTCCAAGAGAAGATTATCCCCAAGACACATAATCATTACATTCTCCAAGGTCGAAATAAAATAAATGTTAAGGGAAGCCAGACAGAAAGGCCAGGTAACCAAAAAGGGAAACCCATCAGACTAACGGTGAACCTCTCAGAGGAAACCCTACAAGCCAGAAGAGATTGGGGGGCCAATATTCAAAATTCTTAAAGGAAAGAAATTCCAACTGAGGATTTAATATTCACCTAAATTAAGCTTCATAGGCAAAGGAGAAATAAGATCTTTTTCAGACAAGCAAATGCTGAGGAAATTTGTTACCACCAGACCTAACACTAAATATGGAAAGGAAAAACCATTAATTTTTGGAGTTTTATTTAATGTCGGGAGCAGATTGGGTAATAAAATGTATTTTGAGAATAAGACGGCCTTTTGACCTTTTAGGGTCTAGGGCTGTAAAGCGTCTCAGGGTTGCTGCCAAACAAGTCATGAACTGGGCTGGATTTTTATATTCGATGAAAAAGAGCCTAAACGCTATCTGATTTGGGATAAAGAAAAAGGAGCATTAACCTTGACTATGCCTTTAGCTCCAGCCACCTTTTTAAGAGTAAATTGCTGGGCAGGATGGGGAGGGCTAGTCACGGAACGAAACTGTAAGCCGGACCAGGTGTGAGGAGGGGAGGTGATAAAAAGATTATAGGGTGGAGGAGCAGAGGCTGAGGAAGAATTGGGACCTAGCTCGGCCTGGCGAGGAACAACCTGGGGAGGAAGGGAGAGGTCAGATGGGTCTGTAGAAAAGGAAGATTAGAAAGACTCAGCGACACTTGGGATTGGTACTGAGGGGACAGGCGGAAGGGAAAGAAGGAAGATTTGGGACGAGTTGCACTGGTCACAGAGACTAGGAAGGGACTGATGTGTAAAAGAATGCCTGGACGTCAGGCACCTCAGACCGTTTGCCTATTTTATGACAAGAATTATTTAGATTTTGCAGGATGGAAAAATTCAAAGTGCCATTTTCTGGCTATTTGGAACTACTGTCGAGTTTGTATTGGGGTCAAGCGGCATTGCAGAAGAAAATAAGGCATTTAGGTTTTAGGTCAGGTGTGAGTTGAAGAGGTTTTAAGTTTTTGAGAACACAGGCTAAGGGAGAAGAAGGAGGAATGGAAGGTGGAAGCTTACCCATAGTGAAGGAGGCAAGCCCAGAGAAAAGAGTAGAGACAGGGAGAAGGGGTGGAGGGTTCTTGCCCTCCAGAAAAGCAGAGAAGGGGTTGGGGCACGGAAATAAGGGATTGGGGCACAGAGATAAGAGGTCAGGGTGCGGAAATAAGCAATTGGGGCACAGAGATAAGAGGTTAGGGTGCGGAAATAAGCGATTGGGGGGTTCTTGTCCCCTAGGAAAGTGGGACTTGCCACTAAGGGTGAAGGAGAAGGGGTTGAGGGGTACTTGCCCCTGCCCCAGGAAAGCAGGACTTGCCACTAAGGGTGAAGGAGAAGGGGTTGAGGGGTACTTGCCCCTGCCCCAGGAAAGCGGGACTTGCCGCTAAGGGTGAAGGAGAAGGGGTTGAGGGGTACTTGCCCCTGCCCCAGGAAAGCGGGACTTGCCGCTAAGGGTGAAGGAGAAGGGGTTGAGGGGTACTTGCCCCTGCCCCAGGAAAGCGGGACTTGCCGCTAAGGGTGAAGGACCAAGGCAGGCGTCCCTGCGTGGTCTGACACCCTTGAAACGTGAGTGTATAATCAGAGAGGCATCCCTGCAATGATTAAACACCAAGGGAAGGCTGCTTTCCCAGTCCGTGACCGGCGCCGGAGTTTTGGGTTCACGGATAAAACATGTCTCTTTTGTCTCTACCAGAAAATGAAAGGAATTGAAATTAAGAGAAGGGAGAGATTGAAGTGTGGCGCCAAGATTGAAAGGAGAAAGAGGTTGAGGGACAGTGAGGGAGGTTGGAGAATAGAGTAAAAAGAGGCCGCTTACCGGATTTGAAATTGGTGAGATGTTTCTTGGGCTGGTCGGTCTGAGGACCTGAGGTCGTAGGTGGATCTTTCTCAAGGAGCAAAGAGCAGGAGGACAGGGGATTGATCTCCCAAGGGAGGTCCCCTGATCCGAGTCACGGCACCAAATTTCATGCGTGTCCCTGTGAAGAGACCACCAAACAGGCTTTGTGTGGGCAACATGGCTGTTTATTTCACCTGAGTGCAGGCGGGCTGAGTCTGAAAAGAGTCAGCGAAGGGCGATAAGTGTGGGGCCGTTTTATAGGATTTGGGTAGGTAAAGGAAAATTACAGTCAAAGGGGATTTGTTCTCTGGCGGGTAGGAGTGGGGGTCACAAGGTGCTCAGTGGGCAGGAGTGGGGGTTGCAAGGTGCTCAGTGGGGGGTGCTTTTTGAGCCAGGATGAGCCAGGAAAAGGACTTTCACAAGGTAATGTCATCAGTTAAGGCAAGGACCGGCCATTTACACTTCTTCTGTGGTGGAATGTCATCAGTTAAGGTGGGGCAGGGCATATTCACTTCTTTTGTGATTCTTTAGTTACTTCAGGCCATCTGGGCGTAAAGGTGCAGGTCACAGGGGATGCGATGGCTTGGCTTGGGCTCAGAGGCCTGACAGAGATAAGCGTTGCTGCAGAGGCCCACGGAAGAAAAACTCAGTGCCAACTCCAGAAGTTGCCAAAGGAAGATTCCTTCACGGACACGTGTGGTTTCTCCCCTGAAACTCGCCCTAGTCCTGTTGGCAACAGCCTCTTTCTTCCTCCCTTTAGTGGCCTCTGACAATGCCCTTCTGAGTACAATACTAATCACTGTTTGCGTCTTGTTCACTTGCACTGCCCATTTCCTGCATATTCTTAGACTGTAAGCTTTCTTAAGACAGCATAAATATCCTTCCTACCTTGTGCTCCACATTCCCTGCTCTCTGCCTGGCCCAGAGAAGGCACTCAGTAAATACTAACCTAAGGAATAGATGAACTAACAGTGCTTTGCCCTGATTCCCATATGTTCTTCAAAAAAAAAAAAAAAATCTATGCTTGTAGTCATAATTTAGATTATCTAGCAGGAATTAAGAGCTGTTAGGTACTCGACTGAAAATATGAAATAAGCCTCTATGGACTTCCAGCCTAAGAGAGGGCCCCAAGATGCAAAATAGAGAGAAAATGGTTCCAGTTCTGATCGTCATTAAAATCCCGAGTGACCTTGAGCCACTCTCTTTCCCTCCCTGAGAGGCAATTTTCTCACTTATAAAATATAGATGATGAATAAGATGCTTTTCTAAGCCTCAGAATCTTAGCAAATGTTGTCCATTCTTAATAAACCCTAAATATAACTTTTGTGAATTGTTTTGGCAAAAAGTAAAACTACCCAAATAAATGAACTGATAGTTTTGCATTTTCTCTTCTTGTGTTTACAGAGATAATTAAATATTGATGATATTCAGTTTAATAACCAATATGTCATTGTAGCCAAGGAACTTTTAGCTTTTCTTTATCAGAGACTTTCTTTTCTAGGATGGGGAAAAACAAAAATTTTTGAAAAATGGGCTCCAAAAGCAAATATCTCCCTCTATGTTCTTTCTTTCAGTGTTAGATTATAAAAATGTGTTTGTTTTCTGTTCCTCAGCCCCAGGTCTCTGAAAACAAAAAGAATGAAAGTATCTTTACCTTTTTTAGCTGTAAAGTGATGGCGTTCTCCTTCAACTTTTATCAGCTTCAAAATATTTTCTTATTTTTAGTTTATTTATCCAGGATAATAAATCAACTCACATTTCAGATGCCAGGTCCATGTACCATGGAAGTCCCTGTTGTCACACGCATCTGTGTGAAGAGACCACCAAACAGGCTTTGTGTGAGCAACAAGGCTGTTTATTTCACCTGGGTGCAGGTGGGCTGAGTCCAAAAACACAGTCAGCAAAGGGAGATAGGGCTGGGGCCCTTTTATAGGATTTGGGTAGGTAGTGGAAAATTACAGTGAAAGGAGGTTGTTCTCTGGTGGGCAAGGGTGGGGGTAACAAGGTGCTCAGTGGGGGAACTTCTGAGCCAGGAGAAGGAATTTCACAAGGTAATGTCATCAATTAAGTCAGGAACCGGCCATTTTCACTTCTTTTGTGATTCTTCACTTGCTTCAGGCCATCTGGATGTATATGTGCAGGTCACAAGGGATATGATGGCTTAGCTTGGGCTCGGAGGCCTGACACCTGTTACTACCCTGAAGAGGAGTTCCACAGGAGAAGACAACATGTCCAGGAGGCTAGATGAGCAATGATTGGTCTGCAGACTGACAGGCTTGAATGCACCCCCATGAGGATCTTTTCCAATCAGATTTTCAACTTAGAGTCACAGGCATAATTCTAAAAGATTTCTACTGCAAGCTGTAGAACTATTACTTCACTTTCCCACCCAATACTACAAAAGATGTACAGAAGATAAGAGTGCATGGGTGTGTGCATGTGTGTGTATGTGTGTGTGTGTGTGTATTTTTGAGTTTTTTTTTTCTTTCTGATAGTGTTAGGATAGTGTTTGGATGAGTATCAGATATCTATTCTGCAGAAATCAGGGCCTTGGTGACATGAATATTTCCATGGAGGGGCCAAAATATTTCAAGCCTGGCCCTAAGAAGGATTGCTGGATGTGCAACATTAGGATCTGAGATCAAGGTGACATAATCTAGAAAGTGAAGTTAACTAGGACTTTCCTCTGATATTGCTTTGGATCAAATTAGGTGAACTTTGCACCAATCTGCACCTTACTACGTACAATGCTGTGTATAGCATTTCTAGAATAAACCGAGAAAGTGAATTAAAGCACTTAGAAAACATCAGTGTGGTCGTGCCTTGGCAACTCTTTCAAAGCTTTTTGAAGTCATCCAGATATTATGAGAATTTACTCAAAGTGAAACTGTTCACAAGGATGAACCTTAGAAAATGGCAGAAGTTTCCACCTTTAAAGATGAACCATCAAGATTTGGAATGGAAGCAATACAGCTTCACAATGGTTTGAAAGGAGAGCACAGATCTAGTCCAGGTTACTTCCTCTGGAGCCAAGCATCCTTAGAGCAGAAAGCACAGAAGAATGTGAAGCCATGCTAATTCCAGGCCCTGCCCCTAAGGAACTAGTCTAGGGGAGTTCACAGGTCCGCCACAGCCCCACATTCCATGGGGGTGGTGGCTGAAGGAGGCCACCTCTAAGCCACTGCAGCTACAGGAAGTCCCATGAGTCTCCAGGTGAGGGAGCACCTTAGATATACCAGATGGGGGCTCAGGTAGCTGTGGTGGGCAGTGGAAGGCCACACGCTCCCCCTCCCCCTATCCACTGATTTACATAAGGAGTTTACTGCATAAAGAATTTGCACCATGCCTCTGATAGAGATGTGGAAATGTGGGTACTTACAGTGAACGTGGCAGGAGATCTTAGTGACTTGGAGCATCCTGCCCCACCTGGGGAATAGCAGGGTGGATCTTCCTGGAGCCTCAATGACCTGAGGATGAACCTCAGTTTCTCTCACAAAGTGAGTCCTTGAAGAGCTCCCTTTCTAGTATCAATCCTGATCTGCCCCTCTTTACCCCAGTCTTTCCACTAGGCCCCTTTTCTTTTTCATAGAAGCTTTAAATGTCTTGCCCCATTAAATGCATCCAGCACAATGCACGCACTCTGACCCCATGCTCTGCTCATCAGCAGCTCTAAAAGCCAGCCAGGGGCAACATCAGTTGTCCTAGTTTCTCACTATTCTGCATTTCTTGCCCTTTAAGGATGCTGTGATACCTGTCCCCAGCTCATCAGCTTGGTGCTCAGCTCAAAAGCTATTGATGTCCAAACTTCCTGCTTCATCTCTCAACTCTCACTGGTCCTCTGCTCCAGGCATCCCCTGAACTTTGGAGCAGACATCTCCTTCAACTGTCTTTGTGTTACTGCAACACACGTGCCTGACCCAAACCTGCTCACTCCCTTTCCTTTTGCCCCATCATCTTGCCCAATGGAAGAGCATTCAAAACTGCAAAACTGGAGCCTGGGGCACTTGCCTGTAGGAAAACTGGAAATAAAATGGATTTTTGCCCTAGGGCAAGGTAAGTGGTTAGGTTGGGCAGCCCAAAGCTTTAGAGTGTCCTCATTGGCCAGATTGCAGAAGCAAGTGGAGCTAAATTAGGGGTCAGCAAACTACGGCTCAGGGGCCACGTCCTGCTGCCTGTTTTGTAAATAAAGTTTTATTGGAATACAGCCATACTGATGTGTTTACATATTTTCTGTGGCTCCTTTCATAATACAAAGGCAGCGTTGAGTAGTTGAAACAGAGACTGTGTGACCCACAAAACCCAAAATGTTCACTATCTGGCACTTTACAAGAAACATTTTGTGGAACCCTGACATAGAGCGAGTGCCCTCACAAAAAATACACCAAACCAGAGTCTAAAGCAACCAGTCTACACCAAGCAATTCATCAGATAAAGGCTATGCAGCAAAAAAAGTGCCTTGTCAGAGACTTCATATATGATATAGATATATATATATATTTATTTACCTACATACAAACACAGAGAGAGAGAGAGAAAGAATGTAAAGTGATCTATGCAGATATACCCTAAGTATAATTGTGTAAATACAGCATGGGAAAAATAGATACAAATGTACCAAAATGGTAATAATCACCAATTATTTAACTAAATAGATTTGAGTAAATTTTGAGGGAATGTTTCAGAAGAAAGGTGGAAGCTAGGTTACATTCATCCATGCAAACATTTAAATGGAAGTGTAGACACTAGCTGTTTGTAAAATGTTTCTCAGACATTATTTTCCATGAAATTTACATCCTCTCCATCTAACCAGGTCTTGTTCTGTCTTTATTTTTCTAGTTTTCCACCATCTTCTCTTTTTCATTTCCTCTTGCTTATTCCCCCTTATTGCCTTTCAAATAATAAAATATTTGTTCCCCTGTTCTCTTGCATATGTTTACATATTATTTCTATTTGTGTTAAAGATAATATGTAAACATTATGTATTTTTGATTTTTTTGTTTAGTGAAACCTCAGGGTTTCATCATCTTTTTAAAAGTGACTGATCAAAATTATTTTCCAAAGAAAACCGTTTTCCTAAGACATCTTCCTAGGAGGATCTCTAATATATTCTTGAAGCCTTCTTCAAAGATGTTACTGTTCTCTTCCCATTGTTATATATGTTTAATTACTTCATAAAGAAAGCAGAAAATTACTTCACCACAGATTTGGCTACTCAAGTCATCTTCTGTGATGTGACTAGGAAAGGATAATTAGACCATTTTAGCCTCTTTGCTCAAGTGGTTTTAAATGCTGATCTTTCAAGATGGGATACTGAGATTGGGTAAAGTTCACAACAAAACAGTGTATAGGGTTGGTGGGCACAGCCCGGTAAGATCTGAAAAGGAGTCTTATGAAGTAAATTGTTTTTGGAAAAGTGGACAGTTTTTCAAGGAGCTAAATTCTGATATTTGATCAAACCTTACTATTAGTTCCTAGCTTTGTGTTTTCTGTATGTCTTCATAAGTATGTTAATTTGCAAAAGAAGAAAAGTTACCTCTAAATATTATTACGACTTTAACATGCAGCATCAAGGGTGACAATTTCTTACAAAATACCAGAGCAATGTCAAGAGAAATCAAACCACAAACAAGGACACTTATTGTCAACATTATTTAATATTGCTTTGAAATATGTAGCAAAGTCAGTAACATACAGATGATGACTTAATTATTAAGGTGATTGTAGTTCTAGACAATCAAAGATACATATTTGTTTTATAATTTTAATATCCATCAGTAAAACCCTAGAAAAGATAAATATAACTAGTCTGCAAACTTTCTTCCCACTAGTAATAACTGGTTTAATTCTACTTTAAAATAAGCCTTATTAAAAATTTAATAAAATATTTCAAAACTGGAAACCATTAAAAATGTATGCAAACTATTGGAAGAAAGTGACGAAACTCAGGCTCACAAAAAGACTATATTTCTCAAATATTATTCACTTCTTTATATCCCCACTGGATCATTCAATGTAAGCTTCCATTCTCTCTCTCCTGTCACACCAAGTGCTTTCTATTTGGTGTCCTAGAAGAATGGTTAAATAAATTTTAGTAAGATCATGCATTCACATGTGAAAATTATTATTATAAGTAAGCAGAAAACAACAGCAAAGAAAATATATGTATACTATTATGAAGGAAATATATAAAATTTTAGTGATTAGCATTGGATACTAGAATTATAAAATTTGAAAATAATTATTTATTCATTTTTCTATTTTTTAAAATGTCCTAAAATGAACAAGTATTACTCTGAAAAACTAGGGGAAAAATGAAAGTATATTAAAATTAATTAAAACTATTTGTGATGTGACTAATGGATAAACAAAATATGGTATGTATATACAATAGAACACGATGCAGCCTTACAAAGGAAGGAAATTCTGACACCTGCTATGACACGAAGGAACCTCGAGGATATTATGTTCAGTGAAATATGCTAGGCACAAAAGCACAAATACTATATGATCCCAATTATAAGAGGTATCTAAAGTAGCCAAACTCATAGATATGAAAAGTAGAGTGGTAGTTACCAGTGGATAGGGAGTGTAGGCAAAGGAGAATTGTTGTTTAATGGATATATTATGGAGTTTCAGTTCTGTGAGTTGAAAAAGTTCTGGAGATCTGTTTCACAACGATGTATACATACCTAAAACTCCTATGCTGCTGGGCACTGTGGCTCACGTGTGTAAACCCAGCAATTTGGGAGGCCAAGGCAGGTGGATAACCTGAGGTCAGGAGTTCAAGGCCAGCCTGGCCAACATGGTGAAACCCCATCTCTACTAAAAATACAAAAATTAGCCAGGTTTGATGGTGCATGCCTGTAGTCCCAGCTACTCAGGAGGCTGAGGCAGGAGAATCACTTGAACCTGGGAGGCAGAGGTTGCGGTGAGTCGGGATCGTGCCACTGCACTCCAGCCTAGGCAAGAGAGCAAGACTCCTTCTCAAAAACAAAACAAAACAAAAACTCCTACGCTGTAGAGTTAAAAATGATTAAAGTGATAAATTGTATATGTGATTTTTGATACAATTAAAAATTTTATGTGATTTTCTTACAAATATTTTATTTCTATATAATCTGATAGAACCTAAAAACTTCTATATTCTTTATAGGTAAGTATTATGGGGCACACTTTTGGAATATGGGAGATTTTTGTTAATTCCTATAACCAAACTTTGCTTATGGCAAATTAACAAAGATAATCATTTATTATATTAATGATAATAATGTGTCATTTAGGCACATAGCATAAGATATATGCTAATTATGATAACTAGAACAGGAATCTATTCTCAGAAATTATATCATAGTATGCTCTTTTACAACACAACATTCTCTTTGGTTTTCTACTGAAAATTACTCTTGGCTGAATTTTTTAATGCTTAACATCAGTTCTCATCTGTCTGTTTTCTATTTTAGGCATAACTGCAATGAATATCCTATGGGTAAATATGATAATCTTGAAGACCACAATGTGTGTATTTGGGCATGCACGTATGATAGCATGAGTAGACTCCGGTGGGCTTTCCCTGCTGTGTGCGACATTCCCCAAGCACTGTAATGCTCAGCTTAGCGTTGCTCTTTCTTTTGGAGAGCAGAGACCTATTTACCTTTGCCCGCTTTTCACCATAATCATGCCTGATACCTCGCAAGCACCTTTAAGTATGTGTTCAGTGAATCAATGAACATAAACCATGATCATTTCAATCCTTCTACTGAGAATCAGCCACTGATTCAGCACGTCATTTTTAACAGAATTCAGTCATTATCATGGGTACAGTTTCCTAAACATAATACTTTTCAAAATGCCTAATTAAAAATATATTGTTCTGAAAAATAATTGATCTTTATCATTTGACATGGTATTATTAACTATTAAAATCAAATAATCCATTAGGTGTTTAAATAGGCATCATTGTTGAATAATTAAGAGTATTAATAATTGGGAAACAAGTATCTCTGTGTGTGTGTGTGTGTGTGTGTGTGTGTGTGTGTGTAAAGATTGCAGATTTGAAGACATGGAGAGGTCAGGTATAGGTCTTTAATTATGCAATGAAAAAGGTGCATGGATTGCATTCACTAATTGAGCGTCACAGGTCACTCTGGCTTAATGGGAAGGCTCTCTTCTCAATCAGCACACCACTGAAGCCAGCTTTTCTCATTTCAGCTATTGATTGTTTCCCCTCACCTTGGGGAATGCATTTGTCTATGATCCTCTGCTATTCATGGATATCATCTCCTCATTTCTCTAGAATGCACCTAGTGTTTGTGGCACTCTATGCCCTGGACACTTGCTCCTAAAAAGTACTATCCAATTACAATGTAGAGAAATAGCTACTGGGAATTCAGTAATGAGAAAAACCTTTGGAGGCTGAAGCTGCCAATACATCACCTTTGTACATGTGAGCACAGAATAGATCTTCTCACCAAATGGGCCAGTGTGCATGGTGGGAAATTAAAGGGAGAGAAGCAATGGGTAGGAGCCTGAAAAAGTAATGAACAAGGATGTGGCATTAAGTTTGCTCAGCAAAACAGTCATGGGTAAATTTGTGCTTGAAATCTTTATTCCACTACCAAATAGGAAAAATGTTTGAAGACACAGCAGGCTTTCTAAATGCGTCTTTAAAAATCTTTGCAGCCGTTTTCATTTTAAAATTATTTTCAAATAACTTTGCGTTTTAAATATTTAAATTTAATTTTTTTATTTTAGAAATTTATATTCTTGTGTTCTCTTTTGGCATGAATCCTGTTGCATAAGGTATAACTAGCTTGTCTTGCAGTCTATATTGCTATTGGCATATACTAGAACATGAATGTTCTTTCTTCTTGGGAAAAAGGATATTTCCCTAAACTTTCTTTGTTTATATTATCATACTTATTATATTATGGATATATTATAATTATGCATTGCACTTATAATTAATATATATGAGCTATAATTGTGGATATTTACATGTATATTTAAGATAAAAGATGTTTTAATTGTATGTACATTATAAGTCACTACTTCTCATGTAGATCTGAAGCAGTTTAATTTGTCCACTATTTGCTCAGCTACATCTCTCCTTTAAAAAAAAAAATCCTGGTGTGTGATGTTCCTCTTCCTGTGTCCAAGTGTTCTCATTGTTCAATTGCCACCTATGAGTGAGAACAGGGGGAGGGATAGCATTAGGAGATATACCTAATGTAAATGATGAGTTAATGGATGCAGCACACCAACATGGCACATGTATACATATGTAACAAACCTGCATGTTGTGCACATGTACCCCAGAACTTAAAGTATGTATATATATGAAAGTTCAGCTCAAAAAGCTGATTTTTTCAAAGTACAAAATGAAATACCATTTCAGGAACAGACCATGACTCAAAGAAGCTCTTCACTTTGACCAACACAGGATTGATTCACTAACTCCATTGTTCTCAAATGAATCCCACTGTGTCCTAAGAGAGACTCTGGGAAGGCTTCACCAAGAACAGTAATTATAGCTTTTCTATGTTCTCTAGCATTCAATAAATTCTTCCTAATGTGAAAAAAAAATCCCCTTCCTCCATTATCGAATATTTCCTAACCTCTGGTATGCAGATATCTTCTTTTGTGAATTTTTCTGTTTATGCTTGTTTTCTAATGGTGGCTATAAATGCTAATATATAGGCCCATTTTATTAATTAACAAATCCTTCTGTAGAGTTTACTCTATGACATCATCTTACATGCTTTACAAATATTAACTTTTTATCCTCATAATAATCCTTGGAGGTTGGCATGGCCATAACCCTCATTTTACTGATTAAACAAACAATCAAAAAATAAAGCTGAGGCCCAGATGTCTGAAGGAGGTTGCACAAGGTCACACATGTTGTAAGCAGCCTGGTTGGGAATGCCTCTTCAAGCGCTCCGCTCCAGGGCCCTGCTCTTCACCTCTGGGCTCTGTTGTTGCTCTGTTTCTAGGCTGGTTGCATTAAGAACTGGGACTGACTCTTGCTTTTCTTCTTTGGGAGCCAGCAATTGCTCTGCAGGGATCCCTGTTTCATGCTTAGTGAATGCTGTGGTGCACTGACCCATCCCATTTTTTGGACTCAGGCACACAGTTTTCCAGCAGCCAAGAGAGTTGATGGCTGACAACTGTCAGCTCTTACCCTCTCTGGCCATTGCCCTCACTGAAGGCAAATGCCTCATCCAATGTCACACCCCCTCCTGAGGGGCAGCCCAAATCTAGTGGCTGTCCATGTCCACCCAGTGACCCACCCTCTTTTCCAAATTTGAGAGAACTCTGAACGGCCATCCCAGCTCCAGAATCACCTGTGGGATCTGCTGAGGACTTAGCTGGGGCTGCATTACAGTTCAGTCCTTCCTCTGCTCGGTTCAATCCATGGGTAATAATCTACAGGGCACTCCCAAACATGCTTCCTCTCATGTTAATTCCAAAGCAGTCAGTATTAAGGAGCTGGCTCTAAAGTGGGCGTTTGCTTCTAGACTAAGGTGGCAGCCGGGCACCAGCTCTGCAAGGGCTGAACTCAAGAGTATGAGGAGAACAAGTTACAGGTCCTGTTGCATCTGCAGAGGGTCTCAGGAGCCACAATTGATCTCTATCATCTTCCTCTACCACCACCATTCCTCAGTCTTGGGCAGCACTTCAGTGGATGTAGGTTGCTTTCTAGATCTACTTCCAGGGTTTGGAGGCTGTAATTAATTTGTAAAAATTGTCAGGCCGTGGTTGATGCAGTTTTCTATACACATTGTTAACATGGCATGGAAGCACTCAGGAACCCCTGGATTCCACATATATTCCCTCTGCCACAATTGGGTAACACCATTAGCACCAGTCCTAAATCCTTACTGTAAATGGAGTCTATGATGCCCATTAACATGGTAACTTCCAACTTTGCTGGCTCACTGGCCTCAGGAACCCAAATTAAGCAAATAATAGCATCAAAGTCAGTGCAATTCTCCCTGGATACTTTTTTTTGGATGAATTCCCCCTTTACAGTCTGAATTTTGGGAAATGGGTATTCAAATTTTACAAATGAGCTACTAAGAATCTTGCTAAGAGAGACCAATCCTACTTCCACCCTGTGATTCCCAGACGCACATTCCACTTGTTGAGTACACAGCAGCACATGCCATAATGGCCACTGGAGTGTAGAATTCCTACCCACCTTAAATTGCCATCTCTCTGGTGCCTTGAGTAAGAATTTGGCAGACTAGTCCATCATTATCTTGGGCCAGAAGCCTCTGAGTGATAAGATATATTGTCCAATAAGTGCATTCCATGGTTACCTGTCCATGAAATGAATCCCCTGGTCTGAAGCAATTAGGATCTTATGCCCTTAAATGTAGCATTTTTTTCACAGTTGTTCTGGCAGAAGTTAGTTGTTTTTCATGGTTGTTCTGGTAGAATTTAATATTGCAGACACTTTTCTCACTGATATATCTGCAGAGCTTCCAAATAAGGGCAGGCTTCTATCCTCTGGGAAGGGCTGATTCTGATTCATGAAAGGTTCAAGGAAATCTGGGTTTAAGGTTCTCAGTTTTGCCTTCACAAATATCCCAGAAGTTACCCTTTGGTCATGGAAGGCAATCTTATACAATTACAGTTGGGAAAAATAACACTGGTGTCTCCAGGGTGCAATGGGTTCAATGTAATCAGCTTTTGCAAATGGTGAGTTAGTCATCTTAAGAGATGATGCCATATCAGACAGCCAGTGTTGTCCTCTGCTGATAACAGGTGGAATATTCAGCAGTTGCTAGGCTAGACTTAATGGGACAGAGCTCATTATCTTGATCCCACACAAACTCCCAACCCTGCCTCAGTGGTTTCTCTGTTCATGGGCCCATAAGAGAAGTCATTCTGTTTACAGAAGTGTTGAGTGTCTCTTCATAGTGAATGCTATCTAATGGGCAATAGCAGGACACAAGAAAGATCTGTAATTTTGTACCAGCCTTCATAGGCTCATCCACATTTTTGTTCCTTAGAAATTCCTCCAGAGACAGGATATTTCTTCTGACTTGCTATCTTGGTTTGAGGAGGTGGGGAAGTTTCAGCAGCTTCTCCTTGGCCCTTCCTATCCTAATGACTGTTACTCCACAGGTCAAGGAGTCAGCATGAGAGTTAGGCCAGCTATTATGTCTATTTATCCCAATTATACTATAGAAGAAATTGCACAGAATATAAGCAGGTTTTGAACTTGGGCCAAAAGTCCATTTAATACCTGGTTCTCGTTATATCCCAATCTAATTTGAGGACCACTATGGAATTTTGGGTATTTGATATCAGTGTTAGTTCTTTATACTATCAGAGCAGCCCTTGTTTACTACTGCATAGTTACCCTAGTTAATGGCTGTAAATCTCTTGGTAAATATCAGTGCATGGTTATCATTTATACTTGTAGAGATGTGCAGAGCCCTCTACAGTATAAAGGGGATCCTTCCTTCCCTTTAGCCAGTGGGCTTTGTTCCTATGACTTGGCTTTGACTTGAAAACCAAAATTAGGTCTGATTTGGTAGTGCTCTCTCTCTCTCTTTATTTCTCTCTCCTCTCTCCCCTCGTTCCTCCTTTCTTTCTTTCCTCTCTCTCTTTCTCTCTCATCTCTTGATCTTCTCACCAACACTCCATTTTTGTCTGTACCCTAAGTGAAACAAACCCTGGCTGGCCCTTCCTTCACAGTGATCTGTTAGTCTTCACCACAGAGCCCCTTTTGCTGTTTGCTAGGGTCATTATTTCCACTCTGCTTCTGACAAGTGCAACCATTTGGCTTCAGCCATTCCATTCTAAACCCCAGGCTGTAATACCCTACTGTCACTCTGCCTGTAGATGACAGTTACCACGGAGCTTCTGGGTACCTTGAATGCATGCATTCCTCATTACTTTAGCAAAGGGAGTGCCACTGGTGAGGCATCTGGTCTCATATAATGAGTCATTCTAACGTTGGTACCTCCTTTAGCCTTCTGACTCCTTCCTCAAAACTATGCCCAGAAAGTTAAGAAATATCCAGCTTCTTTACTGTAGGCCTTTTACATTCCATTAGCCTGTCAGGATCAGGTCAGGGTTCCAGCCAAGATATTTATTTATGTCATCAGTGAGTGCCTCCATCTGAAAAATTCCTCCTCTATCTGGCCTTAATAGTTGGTTCCCCTCCCTGCCTCTGCCCAACACCCTCAATATGTTCTCCTCCATGTGTTTTCCCAGTTCCTACTGGATTGGAGTAGGTGATTCCTGCAATGATTTTCATGTGTGAGCTCCTCCCTCCCAGAGCAGGAACAGCATTTCCCCACTTAGGTTGTACTGAGGCCTGACCTTGGTTTTATGTCTGTAGTCAATAAGGATTCACAGGGTAGATCTTAAAGAAGTTGATTTTAATATTGTGGACACTTTCCTCACTCTCTGCAGAGCTTCCAAATAAAGGCATGCTTCTATCCTCTGGGAAGGGCTAATTCTGATTCATGAAAGGTTCAAGGGAACCTGGGTTCAAGATTCTCAGTCTTGCCTTCATAATTATCCTAATTCCAGATTTTACAGTTCTGCTATTTTATTATCAGGGCCCTGCTTTTGCCATAAGAAATATGCTGAGCTAGAAGTCCACCTCTTTGAAGCTCTTCTATCTTTTCAATTAAATCTTCGTCCTGGTTTTCAGCATGGTCTTCTCTGCAGCCACAGATGAAAGTCTCTTTACACACAACCATGGAGGACTTCTGGCTTTCAAAACACACTTGAATTGTTAGCTGGCTGACCTGAGATCATATTTACCTCCCAAGATTTCCAAAGCAGTTAACAAAAGCCAGCTAATTCTTAAAATCCTTAAAATTATGTCCTTCCCTCTCCCATACTGTTCACTTGCCACAGCTCATGTAAAACCTAACTGTGCATCTTCTACTTGAATCTTTCCCCAGCCCCCACAAACTAGGGGTTCAGCAACTGTGATGCTGACCCATGCTTTTTCTCCAGCAATGGGGTGGTCCTTTTAGCCATCTGACTAGAGAAAGATCCAGCTATAAATTTCTACTTACTGTGACAAAAAGGCCTAATGACAGGCTAATTCTAGTTTTGCTAATTGTTAACTTGGGTTTTCTAAGTAAAATCGGAGACAGTGTCTTTTGTGTGGGCTTTTAAATTTGAGGATTACTGTGAGGAATGAAGGAAAGTCAGGAAGGAAGAAATGCCAAGAATATTGTGTGTTATTCAATTTTCCACTGTTTGGAAGAATTAGTGCTCAATCCCACAAGACCTTCTGAAGAGCTTTATTAATTGTCCCACTTGGAAAGGACAGTCATGTGGAGTCTGCCTACTCCTGGGGAGCTGTATAGGAAGAGGCCTTGGGCTGGGAGAACTCCTGTACCAGAAGATGAAGAGCCCATGCTGGACTCATTGCCTTGTTAAAATTGCCCTTACAAAAATGATGGTGGTGAAAGAGATCTGATGTAACTGACTCCATCTTGCTTCTAACCTGTGACCTGTCCTTGCTCTTTCCTGGGTATAGACCAAGCTAGCTATGGAAAAAATTTAGTTTATAGTTTAACTTTGAAACAAAGATGATAACACCCCCTTCCCAAAATAAAACTCTCTCCTTGCTTGGGAATCAGATCTCCTCTATAAAACTAACAAATTAGCCACAAGATTAAAATTATGTCTCAGGACTTATGTAGCCAGAGGCCACAAGAACCCTAACCTCCTTTATTGCTCCTATAGGTAACATTACTATTGTAAAACCTAGGATTGGTGTTCCAGGTATTTTTCAGACCCTGCATTCTGATAGACCAACTGGCACCATCCAGACCAGTAAAGTGACTCATCTAGTCTTGTGGCCTCCACCTAGGAACTTATGCACAAAACAACCGCTTCAGCTCCCTATGATTTTATCCCCAACCCAACCAATCAGCATTCCCCATTCCCTAGTCCCCTGCCCACCAAACTATCCTTACAATCCTTAGCCTCAGAATTTTCAGGGAGGCTGATTTGAGTAACAATAAAACTCTTGTCTTCCATTTAGCTTGCTCTGCATTTATTGCTCTTTCTCTATTGCAATACCACTGTCTCAGTAAATCTGCTTTTCTGGGCAGTACGCAGGATGAACCCATTGGGGAATTACATTTTGAGGGAATGCCTTTTCCTGTTCTCAGTGTGATGTGCACTCCCTTGTTATGTATAAGTGCATGCATCAGTGATCCTCAGGCACAACCCCAACTGTCTGTATTTCAAACCCCATGGAAAGGGGTAGAGCTCTTCCACTGCAGCATGCAGTGGAGTGTGTACAGCCACACTGCTGTGTTGATGCAAACTCCACTGGCCATGGGGGACCTGTGCATTGCAAGGGACTAGATCTTGTGCTTATGCTCTCTCCTCTTGCTGTAAGCAAATGCCACACTACTTGAGTCTGTGTGTATGTGTCTGTTCTTAGCCACCTTGAATCATCTTTTGGTTTCTTCCCTGGCTGGAATTTATCTGTCTTTCACCCTTGGCCACTGTTAGGACTTAAAAAAATTATACTCAAAATATGGCACTTTGACATGTTGAACTAAAGAAACAGTCTCAAGTTCTCTCTGACCTTCCCCAGACCCCATCTCTCAATCCTCTGTCTCCCCCAAACACAGAGTAGAGCTATTCTCTGAAATTCCCTTATCTATCTGGAAACTGGACCTACCAAACAGGAATAAAATTGCCTTTGTTTTCCCTAAAACTTCATTAGCTGGAGAAAATGAAACTCATGTTACAGAGAAAGAGACTGAAAATTAAACACCTGGAGCACAGAACTTTGTCTCAAATCATTGTGTGTTCTCTGATCCCTTTCTCTTTACAAAAGAATCATTTATGAGCAAATTTCTGTCTTCAGGTCCATTCATCTCTCCTAAAATTATTTACTACTCCTCTAAATTTCTATAGTCACCCTTTCCCTATTCCTTATGAAGAGGGTATTAAAGTTTCAATTATCTGGCCCCTCATTGAGTCTCCTACTTTGTGTAAGGCTCCCATGTGTATGCATGTTAAATAAGTTTGTATGCCTTTTTTCCTGCTAGTCTGTCCATGTCAGGTCATTTCAACAGACTTAGACTTAATCCTTCAGAGGGAAAGTCTGAACTTCCTTACACCATTCTCATGTTATATCCCGTCCTGTGGCACAGCCAGGCCATCCAATGAAAAGTGACACAGTAGCTAAGAACTGTCCTTTATCCATCGACTCCATCACCTGTAGCAAAGTGGGCCCCACAGGCACTAGGGTATGTTCCCAGAGTAACCCATCCTGGAAGTCAGAGAAGCCTGAGGCATAAAGTGAGGGCCATATGGTGCAGGCCTGAGGGTCAAGGCATTAGATGCTTCTGTACAAAAATGGCCAAAACCTGCATGGCCTTAGTTATTGCAGCAGTGGTTGGTGGAAGAGGAGGATTTGAGGTGGTGCAGAGGACAATAAGCCAGGTGTTAACCAGTGAAAGATTCTGATAAAACTCTTGGCTGCGAATTCACCCAAGTTCCAGAGGAGTCTCATATGGAGCCTCACTATTCAATACTAGCTCAGTTAAGTCTTGGAAGAGAGTTCCTGGAAAAAGCATGTTTGCAGCAACAAATAGATGTATATAACAATCTTCTCACCATTCATCCAACTTATTTTTCATGAGCCCTTTCCACAGTAGATTTCCCTTTGGGAGAAATGGCACTGACTATATAAAAGTTATTTAAGATTTAAATGTTTTCAGAGTAAGAGTCCAGGCCACAGGTACCTGTTTCACTTGCCTTTATTAGCATCTAATATTCTTAGAGCTGAAAAAGCAGAACGTCTCAGTTTCCAGTTCAAGCCTCAAACTATATATCTGAGTATCACTTTTACTGAAAGTTATGAGGTAGAGCTTTGCATTGGCTCTAACTAATCTACTTTGCCGAGCTAAATTGCTTGAGATTTAGCACAGAGCTTTGCTGCAATATTCTAACAGTGAAAAATCAGGTGCAGAGCAAATGAGATTAATGTCTCAGGCAGCACTGTATATTTCCTTCGCTTAACATGGAGCATGCCGTATTTCCTTTCTTGGTGCGACTTCAAAGAATTATCATATTTTAGAGTGAAACTAATTGTCAGAGAGAATGGAAGTTCATTTCCACAGATGAGTTAGCTCCTCAGGCCCAGGAAGGAAGTGGTTTTCGTTTATCTTTATTTGCATTCCCAAGGATGACTAGAGACACGGGCATAAAGACGTCTGCATTATGGCTGCCCAGCTGCTTGGGCAAACCCTTTGTCTTCTATTGCTGACGTGTACAGGATCTGCTGTTCTCTTCAGCTGTATTTGTACTGGAGAACAATTATTAAGTTGATTGGTACAATAAAGCAATGGTGATGATGACGACGTTGATGATAACTAATAATTAAACAAAGGAACAAGAGGTTGTGCTGGGCACATTACACTGTCACTTCATTTGGCACCCTCAATATGCATATGGATTACATATCATTAACAGCATTCTACTAATTAGGAAATATGCTCCAAGAAGCAATGAGTACTCAGGATTTGAAATAAAACCCCTAGTCTTTATTTTGTTCTTTGACTCTTGATGCAAGGAAGATACTGTACTTTATGTTAGAGAACATTACTTGGGCATAAGACATTGACCAAAGGTTAGAGACAGAATGTCAGAGATGGACGTGAGGCCTTAAAATCAATTCTTCATAGTTTCTTATTTCAGATCTTAGGAATTGAAGGCCAAATAGGTAAAGTGGCAGGCCCAAAGTCACACAACCATTCAAAGGAAATATCCTAGCCCAGGATTTAATCAATATAGGCACTGCAGTTGACTGTAGTATAATCTGCAATGAAGACATGCCCATATTAAATGCCTTAACCAGGGATGGGTTAATAACAATACAGTGTAGGTGTATAGAAGACTGAATCTACCTCTGATTTTTTGTGCCTGAAACGGTAGCCCAGAGAGCAAGTAATCATTGAATGGCTCTGGTGGCAATTGACTGGATCCCTACTGGCTCAGACCTCCCTTGTCCCAGGAACCCCATATCACCACCACCAGCACAAGGTGATGCTCTAAGTCTTATCTTTCCTCTTCTAGATAAGATTGGAAAGCCACTGCAGTGAAATTTTGTGTAGTTGCACAATCTGCTTAACAAAGACCGAACAATTGCTGAAACTAACACATTGCCTGGCAAGTTCCGTAATAAACTGAAATGATTTTTTTGTACCTGATACATGAAAATCAAAATTTGGTTAACTTAAGTCAGAGCAGTAAGCAATAATGTTTGAAGAAATTGCAATTTGTATATGAAAGCTAGTAGCAAAGAGCAAACTGTACATAGTAGCAGATATTCTGTTATCTGGATGTATAACAGAGAAGGCACTGGATTATTGTTTTGTGACAACTTGTTGGAGAAGACCAAAAATTCTTCAAAAACTTTTTTTGCTCTTTTCCCAGACACATAAAACTGTCTGAATCAGTGTGTTCTCTGCACTTCCTTTCCCACTATGACCATAAATTCTTGCCCTTGATCTCCATTGGCAGAGTTACTGAAGCCAATGAGGCTGGCACTTCAGAAGGTCTCACTTGTATGGCTCCTTCCAAGACCCCCTGGGGTGGATCCTAGCAACTTGCTGACATGCCCGTATGTTTCCTAAAATTTGTCAAAATATAATATATTGATTATTCTGAGTTGAGGTTCTGCTTTTCTACTCTGATGTTCCTTCTTCACACTTCCCTTCACATTGTAGGCATTATAGTTACTGTGGGAATTTTTGGACTTTGGTTAAGGGAAAGTGGATTAGGGAAAGTTGAATTTGGGCTTGGAGTGATATATTTAAATATCTTTCAGTATCTTCCATGTTCGCTTGAGTTTTTGGTAGCACCTTAATGTAGCAATGACTAAAAGAAGCTGTCCATTGCCCTCTCTGATCTCTCAGGGATGTGTCACTAAAGTATGGGGCCAGTATGTGTCCGTCCTTTGTCACTTAGCGCCAAAGGTACATGAGCAATGAAGGAGAAAATGGGAAGGGATGCAAACACAAACCTCCAAGAAGTTGCCTCTTCATCCTCTCATCTAACCTACCACTGATTATTTTATGCAGGAAAAAATAGATGCAACTGGTAGAATTCAAAATCATATCAAAGGGTTTACAGAAAAAGTAGTGGAAGGTGGACATTTCACCCATTCCTTCTCCCTTACTGCACTTTCCAAAACCAAGTACCAGAGACCCATGATTGCTTTCTATCTTCCTTTTATGTTTGAACCCATATCTTGTTTATCAATGTTATACAATACCTGCTAATTATATTATAAAAGATTGGAATTTAGCTTATGTAGAACACTGCCCTGCTCATTCACAATTTTCAATGATTATTATTTTGGTTTTTCTATTTTCAGCTCTAAGTCTCATATTTTTCATTTCATCAACTGGAGAAATAATAGTGCAAAAACTGTGAATCAGTTTTTCACATTGAGAACCAATCTATAAACAAAACTTGGAAGACATAAATACCACTATAAAACATAATGTAAACAGCATCCCCAATGTCAAAGTAAAAATATTTGTTTTGCTGAGAGAGATGGACAGATGAAGAGGGAGGAAAAGGGAAAGGAAGGCTGTCCTCATGGATAGTGAAACTCAGACAAAAGATTGTGTCTTAACAAGCCAGCACAAAGAGGTTAGAGCAAAGTGGATTTCATATTAATGTATCTTTTATAGCTATTATGCATTTATATAGATACATGTATATATGTATGTGTATATATATAGGTTTATACATATGCATATGTGTATATGCCTTATTGATACATCCTCATGTTACCCCATTTCAAGACAATTCTGTAAGATTTTTAGTATTTGGTCTATTTAAAGTCATCTATTTATGTTTTAATATTTTTGACTTAGTACATGGACTAGTAAAAGTTAGTGCTCCCAGCTTTACAAATAAATACTGGCATTACATAAAGTCTTTTACCAATATAGATTTTTCAGTGAATCACATTTAAAGTTACCTCACATGTAGTTTTGAATGATGGAGCAAAACTGCACTGCCAGCCCACTTTACAATGCAGGGGATTAGGCTGGCATTACACTTAAGCACTTCCTAATTCACAGGATGGCAATCTCCACTGTGGCTCCCTGGAACACGGTGAGAGGCTTTTGCTTCCCCAGGTTGCTGAAGCTGTAATTAAAGACATAAGAGTACCAATCTCCCTGTGCTAATTACTTGCTGCTTAAAACCTGCTTGGGATATAATTTGGCCCTGTGTAAGTCTTCTTTTCTTTTTCTTTTCTAATGATCGCATTAATTGTAGCTATTTTATAATCTCCACCACTAAAGAAGAGAAGAAGTTGTAAATTGCTCATATTTTTGGCTGTTTGAAAACACAAGATAAAGTGATTTTTAAAGAATTTATAAAAATAGTTTGTTATAGTTAAGGGCAATACCAAATTATAATCTGGAAAATTGATTAAATTAAATTTATATTGTTTTTTTCTTTGTCCTGAGGATTCATTAAATGATAAAGTGGACTTGTGTTGTTCTAATGATCTATTATTTGCAGGATTTCCTATTCTATTAAGAAAATGCTCAGCATCATAACTGATTAATCAGAATAGCAAAAAAAGCCTTTTTGAAGGAAGAAATGGAAGCAAGGATTAGTTGAAGCAAAAATCATCTTTTCCTTGTGAACATGAAGAAAAATTCCAGAGGATCAAAGGAGATTTTAGAGATATGTTTGTACCTTGAGAAATGATGAATTTTTCCCACAGAAAAATAAGCCATTTTTTACAGTTTACAGTGGTATAAACTTGATTAAGCTCATTGCTGCATAAGAATGCAGCAATAGCATGCATAATTGATGCATGCTATTTTTCACTTCACTGTACAAAACAAACTTACTAATGCTAACTTAGAGCCTATCCCTCTTCCAGCTGATTTTTAATCCACCTTCCCCACTCCACATGCTTCCTATTAATTAATCATCTTAGCACCTTACCTAGCAGGTTCTAAGCTCTCTTTCTCGGAGGAAAAACAGGGGAGTTTGCAGGCTGAAGAACAAAGAGTAAAACAGACTTTCTCAAATTAAATGTGTTCTTTGTGCTCAAGGAATTAAGCTGTTGTTTGTTCCTTCAAGAAAACTCCAAAGATTCTCTGAGCAAGAGCAGTAGGATTTAAATATTAAAAATTGAAAGGATATTTCCACTCATTACACTAGGAAGATTCTACACTGCAATTAAAACACAATTGTCTCCACATGTATATTCTCCCCAACTTTCCATCCTCACTGTCTCAGGGCACACAGGATAGCTGCAAGAAAAACTTACCTTTATAATGGACCATATCTGCTCCCTCCTGACAAAGGTGGAACTCATTTAGATATGCTCAAATTTTATTTCTGAAAGTACAGTTGTTTTCGTGAAGCCTGTAATAAAAGTGTATAACGCTATGGAAGATTACAAACTTAAAATGTGACATTCCATCACACCTTCTTAGAGCTTCTCAGTAATTCATCAAGGGTTATTTTCTACCAAGCCAATAGCATAACGAGAGAAAGCCATATTGTGACACATTGTTGGATAATATTTATTTAAACATTTAGTCATTCAGAAAACTACTGTTCATTGGTTCCTCTATGCCAAGCATTGGACTGCATACTACTGAACATGCAAAGTTATGTCAGGCTAAATACAATGAGCTTTTGGACTTGTTAGAGGAACAGGGCATCAAGGACTCATGGAACTAGAGATTGATCAGCACTCATTGTAGCATGGGAAACAGAGCCCCCTGTTCAATGCAATGGCAAAATGACAAGGCTGATAATGGTAGTGAACACAAGAGACATTTATCTTGTTATTAGTATTTTCCCAAGATGCACAAAAGTTTTAACTGGAGATATGAGTAAGAACAGACAATTTCAAGCTGGGAATTTTAGGGAGGAATTTGGACAGAAGATCACATGAGATGAACTTTGAAAGATAGGGTGATTTTTGAGATAATGAAATGATTAACTAGAGAGTTTTAGCATAGTGGGCAATCCTGAGTAAATTACAGAGATAAAAAAGTATATATCATATGGAAGGAATATGAAATGAGCTCAACATGATGGCAGCAAAGACTTTAAAAGTAGAGACTTGGAAAGTGAAACTGGAAGGCTATTTGCAACAGGTGGTGGGCACTCATGAATTTCAGGCTAAGGAGCTGGAATTGTAGCCTGTAGGTAATAGGGAGCCTTTGAGAACTCTAGTGTCCACTCGGATGAACAGCCCAGATAACCCTGCAATGAAAACTGTGCTAGGAGGGAGCAGGCAGAGCCTCCAGCTGTCAGCCCCTTGAAGGATTGCCTGAGCTGCAGGGCTCCTCACCGAATATCAGTGACTGACCAGGGTGGAGATAAAAATGTCTGGCTTTCTCAGCCCAATAGGAGACAACTCTGAAGGGCCATTTTAGATTCAGAGCTCCCTGCAGGCCGTCCAAGGCTGGTGTCAGCCTGTGTTGCATCTTGGCTCCTCCCCATACTCTCTCCTGCCCTCCCCAACCTGTCCATGGTGCTGATCCCTAATAAGCATCCTGCACACTAATCTCAGAGCCTGCTTTGCAGGATGCTCGACCTACTGCAAAGGCTTGGAGCTGAGGAGTAACATAATTAGAACTGTTATAAAGAAACGTTAAAGTGGCAACAACGAGCAGAACACCTGAGGATGGGGAGTGTGGGGGCCGATTTTAGGATTTTCTAAACCTTGCAGGAGGGAAGGAGGCTACACAGGGTAGCATGGAAAAACTGACTCAACAGGAGGAATATGCTAAAATGCAACCATTGCAGATTTGTGACTGGTCAAATATTTGGAGAAAATATGAAAGAATCAGAAACCATTCAAAGCTGGATGACTGAAATGGTGCTGTCAGTAGAAAATAGGCACAGAGAGGAAAGAACAAAGAGGGTGAACATGATGAGCTCAGTTTTAGTCACATTGAGTTTGCAGGGCTAGAGGGACGTGATAGCCAGATGTTTATTAGTTGGTGGGATTTCCAGGCTGATATTTGAGAACAGAAATTAGGCAGAGACAAAAATAAGTTACTCTCAAAAAGGATGATATTTACTTATGCAGACATTGGAGCAATGTGTGTGAGAGAGAAGAACAGTTGTGGTTCTTATATTTAGGAAGTAGGAAGAGAAAGGAAGGTGAGCTGGAAAAGGAAAAATAATTCCTGATTGAATGTGTCAGAGAAGAAAAACTACCAGGACAACCC
The DNA here is from genome assembly GCF_000001405.40 of Homo sapiens. Taxonomy (NCBI): domain Eukaryota; kingdom Metazoa; phylum Chordata; class Mammalia; order Primates; family Hominidae; genus Homo; species Homo sapiens. The sequence continues at coordinate 51,847,217 of NC_000007.14, read as the reverse complement.
AGTGTCCCAGAAGCCAAAGGGCAAGTTATATATTGCAGTAGCAAGAGGAGGCTGTGGACAAATCCTTCAACCAGATGAGGGGCTAGAAAGGATGCCATGTGAGTGAGCTGGAGAGGGCAGTGAGGGGGAACATGAAGTGTATACTGGGAAGGGGTGAAGGTAGGAAGAGGGAGGAACTACTAGCTGGAGGCCAGTAAGGGTATTTCCCAATTGTAGAGTGATAGAAAGTTTGAGGGGATAATTTTTTATGGTGGAAGGTGGAGAATTTAATTCTTCAAATCTCTATTCTCCATGGAAATCAGACAAAAAAAAGTGAGAAAAAGACAAAATTATCAGCCATCTCAAAGTGACTCTACCCACAAGTTAAAAAGGAGCCACCTCATGCTACATTCAAGTGACAGAACCCTGGGAATCCCTGCAAGCTGGAGGCAGTGCTGGGGCAGAGGAGAGGGAGGAAATGCTTCAGGAAGAATATTTTGAGTTCTTCATAGAAGAACAAGTGCTGAGAATACAAGAATTGAGGTAGAAGGTAGAGAATTTTGGGAAATGCTGCAATAGCTGTGACTTCTCTGGTAAGGATGAGATGCTAATAAGGCTTAGAATTCCTTTGTAATTACATTTGTCTGATGTCACTGTAAGCAAAGATTGGGCTCCTTCAGGACACAGCATTTACTATGCAATGTCTGTAGGCAGAAGAGACAGGCCCTATGCAGGGAGGATGCTTGAAGATCATGAGAGAGAAAGAGAGTGACAGACACAAGATGGACAAGACAGCTCCTTGCATTTTCCTGCATATATGACATAAATGAATGATAGTGCATAAAAACGTTCCAACAGCAGTGTGGAGACACAAGGATGCCATCTGTGTTATGGTGTGAGAGAGAAACTTCACAGGAAGGGAACTAAAACTAAGGAAGGAAAAAATGTGGAGTGGAAAGACTATGGGCTTTGGGGTGACCTAGAAGAGGATGTGTGTAGGAAATGAGGAAATGTCTACCTCAGTCTTAGAATAAATCATAGAAAGCAGTGTGAATCATCTCACAACTAAGAGATTCTTACGTCTTCTCCCTCTCTACTGGGGGAACCCACCCCCAATATTTCAACATAGGTTCTTTCTATTTTCCATAAGTTTCGGCCGGCTGAGAAATAAAGAGAGACAGTATAAAGAGAGGAATTTTACAGTTGGGCCACCAGGGGTGACATCACATATTGGTAGGACTGTGATGGCTGCCTGAGTCTCAGACCAGCAAGTTTTCATTAAAGGCTTCAAAAGGGGAGGGGATGTAAGAATAGGGAGTAGGTACAAAGATCACATGCTTCAAAGGGCAAAAAGCAGAACCACTAATAAGGGTCTAACAAAGATCACATGCTTCTGAGGGAACAGGACAAACGGCAAAAGCAGAACCATGGATAAGGGTCCAACAAAGATCACAGGGCAAAGGGCAAAAGCAGAACCACTGATAGGGGTTCAACAAAGATCACAGGGCAAAGGGCAAAAGGCAAAAGCAGAACCACTGATAAAGGTCCAACAAAGATCACAGGGCAAAGGGCAAAAGCAGAACCACTGATAAGGTTTTATGTTCAGCGGTGCACATATTGTCTTGATAAACATCTTAAACAACAGAAAACAGTGTTCAAGAGCAGAGAACGAGTCTGACCACAAATTTACCAGGGTGGGGTTTTCCCAACCCTAGTAAGCCTGAGGGTTCTGCAAGAGACCAGGGCTTATCACACTCCTTATCTCAACTGCACAAGACAGACATTCCCAGAGCTGCTGTTTATAGACCTCCCCCCCAGGAATGCATTCCTTTCCCAGGGTATTAATATTAATATTCCTTGCTAGGAAAAGAATTTAGTGATATCTTTCCTACTTGCACGTCTGTTTATAGGCTCTTTGCAAGAAGAAAAATATGGCTCTTTTTGCCCAACCTCACAGGAAGTATAGACAGGCATAAAAAATTATAAAAGTATTATTTGAGAACTGATAAATGTCCATATTAAGATGAAATCTTCACAATTTATGAACCTCTACCACTGCTCCAGCTGGTCCCTCTGTTCAGGGTCTCTGACTTCCCATAACACTTCTCAGCATATAAACTAGTGTTCTCAAACCAGAGTGGCAGCTCCCCTACCTGAAATTAAATCACAACAGCTTACCTTTGACCAAAGCAACAGTATTTTTTTATTTTTATTTTTTGAGACAATGTCTCGCTCTTGTTGCCCAGGCTGGAGTGCAATGGTGCGATCTCTGCTCACTGCAACCTCTGCCTCCTGGGTTCAAGCAATTCTCCTGCCTCAGCCTTCCGAGTAGCTGGAATTGCAGGTGCCTGCCACCACACCTGGCTAATTTTTTGTATTTTTAGTAGAGATCTGGTTTCATCATGTTGGCCAGGCTAATCTCGAACTCTTGACCTCAGGTGATCCACCCTCCTCAGCCTCTCAAAGTGCTGGGATTAGAGGTGTGAGACATTGCGCCTGGCCCAGGAACAGTATTTTTAAAAATCTCATCCAGTCGTCAGTTTATTTGGCTATACAGTTGAAATAGAGAACTACCAATGTATATATATACATACTGATGTATGTATAGCTCCTTGCATTTTCCTACATATATGACATAAATTATATACATACATCAGTATGTATATATACATACTGATAAATATAGATGTAAATCATAAATATCCATATATACCATAAATATGAGACATATACAGGGTTTGGTGGTTAGGAGGTCATTTATGTTAGGATATAAATTGTTATTTATATATAATAATTTAATTGTACATTTTATAATAACAAAAAGAGCATAATTGCGGTTTGTAATAGAAAGGATAAATGCTTGAGGTGAAGAATACCCCATTTATCCTGATGTGATTATTATGCATTGCATCCCTGTATCAAAAATATCTCATGTACCCCATAAATATATACACCTAATATATAACCACAAAAATTAAAAATAAAAATTTAAATACCATAAAAGTGTGTCATTCTTTTAATTTCATTAGAAAACTCTGTTTTTGTATGAAAATATATGAAACATGAGCAACTATATGCAAACTGCTTTCTGATTTTTTTCTCAGAATATGTATTTTTTCTCAACTTCTTCAAATTTTTAAAAATGTAGTTTCATTTTTAGATTATTAAGAAATCTCCATATTGCTTCCTGTAATGGTTGTACTAATTTACATTTTTACCAGCTGTGTACAAGACTCCTCTTTTCTCTGCATCCTCAACAAAACTTATCTTTTGTATTTTTGATAAAATGCTAAATGAGTATGAGGTGATATCTCATTGTGGTTATAATTTGCATTTCCCTAATGATTAGTGATGCTGAGATTTTTTTCATGAATCTATTGGTCATTTGTACATCTTCTTTTGAGAAATATTTGTTCAGATCCTTTGCTCATTTTTCAATCAGGTTATTAGTTTTCTTGTTATTGAATTTTGTTCCCTATTTATTTTCAATATTAACCTCTTAGAAGATGTATGGTTTGTAAATATTTTCTCCCACTCTATGGATTGTCTCTTCCCTCTGTTAATTATTTCCTTTATTGTGTAGAAGCTTTTTAGTTTGAAAACCAAAAATGGAACTACTGTACGATCCAGCAATCCCACGTCTGGGTATATATCCAAAGAAATTGAAATCAATATATCAAAGAGATATCTGAACTCCAGTGTTTTTGCAACCAGTGTATTTTGCAACATTACTCACAATATTCAAGATATGCAATCAACCTAAGTGTCCATCAGTGGACAAATGGGTAAAGAAAATATGGTATATACACAACAGAATACTATTCAGCCTTAAAAAGGAAAGAAATTGTATCATTTGCAACAAGATGAGTGAATCTGGAAGACATAATTCATGAAATAAGCCATACATGGAAAGACAAATACTTCATGATCTCACTGATACATGTAATCCAAAAAAGTCAAAATCATAGAAGTAGAAAGTAAAATGGTTGTTAGGAGGCTGGGAGTGGAGGTTGGGGAGTACTATGGAGGGATGTTGGTCAAAGGGTACAAAGTTTCAGTTAGAAATAAGTTTGTGAGATCTATTGCACAGCAAATTGAGTACAGTTATTAATATTCTATTGTATATTTCAGGATAGCTAAGGGTAAACTTCAAAAGATTCACAGAAAATGGTAAGTAAGTGAAATGATGGATATGTTAATTAGCTTGATTTAATCATAGCACATTGAATACAGATATCAAAACATCACTTTGTATCCCATAAAAGTATACAACTATGATTAGTCAATTAAAATAATATTAATTTTAAACTGTGGCTTTTAAATTACCCATCTTTAAGAAATAAAACTAGTTTACTTTGATATTCCATAATTTTAGTGTCTTATTAGAGACACATTTGTTTAATTTATACATCTAAATGTTTGGATATTTCCACTAAACAAAATAATCAGTAAAATACTTGTTTGTAGCTTGAAGAAGATTGCTTTGGAGAATGAATCAAGAATGGGATTTAATGTCATGTACAGAATCACTTATTAGTCTCATAGTTTACCAGCCTACACAAGCCTTGCCAAAACACTTCATTTCTAAAGCCTCATTGCATCATCTGTATAATGGGAAGAATAATTCAATCATCTGATCAGTAAATCAGCAATGAGGCAGAGCACATAGTACAGAAAATATTCTCACTTCCTCCCTTTCCTCAGCAAGGCTTCACCTTCTGCATTTCAGAAATTTACATAATTTCAATTTCTTTATCACTAAGCATATACATGTAGATTCAGCAATATCATTACATTCAAAGATTCATAGCTAACACACACACACATTTGGCTGTCTGTCTAAAATAAATGGTTTCTGTCAGTTCCCTGGATGATTCTCAGTCTGCGTTTTCCCCATCTCTTCTTAAAACTTTTGAAGTCCAGCACGCTTACAGCAAAGTGTACATTTCATGAGCAAGAAGTTAAATGAATGTTCAGAAACTGAACGTGTGTATGGAACCAGCACTCAGATGAAGACGTGGTACATCACCAACAAATCAGAAGCCCCCAAATGCCTTTACCAGCCAGTCACTGCCATCTGCCCTGAGAGTCCCCTCTCCTGACTTCTAACAACACAGACCACCACCCTCTGTTATTATGCTTTATATAACTGGAACTAAACAGTACTTCATCTTTTCTGTTGAGGTTCATTTGCTTAACCATTTGTTTGTGAGAGTCATCCATATTTTGATTCTCATTGCTATACAATATTTAAATGGGAATATACCGCAATGTAATTACCCACTTTACTGGTGATGGGCCCTAGTCTAGTTTCCAGGTTACGTAGTGCAATACAGACATTTTAGTGCAAGTCTTTTCATCAACACATGTACATATTTCCATTTAGTATCTCTCCATGGGTAAAATTGAGTGGGTGTATGTTTAACTTTAGTAAATACTGATATATGGTTCTCCAACAAGTTTGTATCAATTTACAATCCTGCCAGAAATGTACAAAAGCTCTGGTTCTAGTTGTTGTACATCCTCACCAACACTCGGCACTTTCATCTTTTTTTTATTAAGTTCATTCTGGTCCATGGAAGTGATTTTGCACTGTGGTTTTAATTTATATTTCCTGGATGACAAAAAAAGGTTAGTGTCTTTCAATATGTTGGTGATTTGAATTGCCTATTATATGACATGCGTGTTCAAGTCTTTTGTTCATTTTTTTCTATTGAGTTATCTTTCCTTTTTATTGATTTTAGAAATTCTTTGTATGTTCTGAATGCAAACTTTTCATAGCATTGCATTTACTTATCTATCCACCCATCTAATCTATTTATCCATTGTTTGGATATTTGACTGCTCCAAACTTCATGTTTAAATGTGATCCCAAGGCAAGGCCTAACGGGAGGTGTTTGGGTCATGGGGCAGATGCCTCACAAATAGATTACTTCCCTCCATGAGAGGGGTAAGTGAGTTCTTACTCTATTATTTCCTGGGAGAGCTTATTGTTCAAAGAGCCAGACAGCCCCCTCTTGCTTGCTTTCTCCCTCCATGTGATCTCCGCACAACCAGCTCCACTTCACCTTCCACCACTAGTAGAAGCAGCCTGAGGCCCTTACCAGAAGCAGATGCCAGTGCCATGCTTCTTGTACAGTCCACAGAACTGTGAGCCAAATAAACCTCTTTTCATTATAAATTACCCAGCCTCAGGTGTTCCTTAATAGCAACACAAGCAGACTAAGACACCGTCTATCTTTCATCTATTCATTTATTATCTATTTATCTACCTGCCTCATCTTGTCCCTCTCTATGGGTTCCTTTTTCTCTCTCCCAATGATGTCTTTTGGAAACCATCATCCTCAGCAAACTAACACAGGAACAGAAAACCAAACACTGCATGTTCTCACTCATAAGTGGAAGTTGAACAATGAGAACACCTGGACACAGGGAGGGGAACATCACACACTGGGGTATGTCAGGAGTTAGGGGGCAAGGGGAGGGAGAGCATTAGGACAAATACCTAATGCGTGTGGGGCTTAAAACCTAGATGATGGGTTGACGGGTGCAGCAAACCACCATGGCATATGTATACCTATGTAACAAACCTGCATGTTCGACACATGCATCCCAGAACTTAAAGTACAAATTTTTTAAAAAAGAGAAGTTCTTAATTTTAATATGATTTGACTTATCACTTTATTCCTTCCATAATTAGCACTTTTGTTCTTAATCTTTTTTAAGATACCACTTCTTTCACCATCCTTCAATATTTGTATTCTCCAGGAATTCTCAGCCACATCTCACATATTTTGCACACTTCCATTGTGTGAACTTGTGTTTTCAACTATAATGAAAATGTGCACATTTTGCAATTTTTAGCCAAGATTACATTTCAAAGTTCTAAGCCCATATATTTGTCATAATTAAGGTAAAATTTACATACAGTGAAATGCACAGGTGCTATGTGCAAAATTTGATAAGTTTTGAAAAAGAATATGTGTAACCACCAGAGTAATAAAGACCCAGAAATTTCTTAGATACCCATCCCCCTACCATAGGCAAACATTCTCTTTTTATGACCACAGCTTATATTTGCTTGTTATAGAACTTCATACAAAGTTTGAAACTTATGATAGATACTCTTTGGGGCCACTCTTGTTTCCTTCAACATAATGCTCTTCAGAATCATTCATATTGTTCTGTTTTTATAGTTCATAATTTCTATTGCTGAATAGAGCTCAATTTTATTAACATACCACAATTTTGTTTTTGAGTCAGAGTCTCGTTGTGTCTCCAGGCTGGAGTGCGGTGGGCTATCTCGGCTCACTGCAACCTCTGCCTCCCCAGTTCAAGCGATTCTCCTGCCTCAGCCTCCTGAGTAGCTGGGAATACAGGCACCCCCAACCATACCTGGCTAATTTTTGTATTTTTAGTAGAAACGGGATTTCACAATGTTAGCCAGGATGGTCTCAATCTCCTGACCTCGTGATCCACCCGCCTTGGCCTCCCAAAGTGCTGGGATTACAGGTGTGAGCCACAGTGCCCAGCCAACATACCACAATTTTTATATTGATGGATATTTGGTTTATTTTAGTGTTGGAACATTATGAACTAAAGTGCTATAAACATTCATATGCAAGAAATTTGGGAACAGATATTTTCTTTTCTACTTGATCATGATATATTAACATTGTTCTACTTAGTTGTTTTTGACTTGCAAATTTTTCCTTAAGTGTTTATTACATGGTTTATTAACAGGTTTAGGAGGGAGGAGCCAAGATGGCCGAATAGGAACAGCTCCGGTCTACAGCTCCCAGCATGAGCGACGCAGAAGACGGGTGATTTCTGCATTTCCATCTGAGGTACCGGGTTCATCGCACTAGGGAGTGCCAGACAGTGGGTGCAGGTCAGTGGGTGCACGCACCGTGCTGGAGCCGCAGCAGGGCGGGGCATTGCCTAACTCGGGAAGCACAAGGGGTCAGGGAGTTCCCTTTCCTAGTCAAAGAAAGTGGTGACAGACGGCATCTGGAAAATCGGGTCACTCCCACCCGAATACTGCGCTTTTCTGACAGGCTTAAAAAATGGTGCACCAGGAGATAATATCCCGCACCTGGCTCGGAGGGTCCTGCACCCACGGAGTCTCACTGATTGCTAGCACAGCAGTCTGAGATCAAACTGCAAGGCGGCAGTGAGGCTGGGGGAGGGGTGCCCGCCATTGCCCAGGTTTGCTTAGGTAAACAAAGCAGCCTGGAAGCTCGAAGTGGGTGGAGCCCACCACAGCTCAAGGAGGCCTGCCTGTCTCTGTAGGCTCCACCTCTGGGAGCAGGGCACAGACAAACAAAAAGACAGCAGTAACCTCTGAAGACTTAAATGTCCCTGTCTGACAGCTTTGAAGAGAGCAGTGCTTCTCCCAGCATGCAGCTGGAGATCTGAGAACGGGCAGACTGCCTCCTCAAGTGGGTCCCTGACCCCTGACCCCCCAGCAGCCTAACTGGGAGGCACCCCCCAGCAGGGGCAGACTGACACCTCACACGGCCAGGTACTCCAACAGACCTGCAGCTGAGGGTCCTGTCTGTTAGAAGGAAAACTAACAAAGAGAAAGGACATCCACACCAAAAACCCATCTGTACATCACCATCATCAAAGACCAAAAGTAGATAAAACCACAAAGATGGGGAAAAAGCAGAGCAGAAAAACTGGAAACTCTAAAAAGCAGAGCACCTCTCCTCCTCCAAAGGAACACAGTTCCTCACCAGCAACGGAACAAAGCTGGATGGAGAATGACTTTGACGAGCTGAGAGAAGAAGTCTTCAGACAATCAAATTATTCCGTGCTATGGGAGGACATTCAAACCCAAGGCAAAGAAGTTGAAAACTTTGAAAAAAATTTAGAAGAATGTATAACTAGAATAACCAATACAGAGAAGTGCTTAAAGGAGCTGATGGAGCTGAAAACCAAGGCTCACGAACTATGTGAAGAATGCAGAAGCCTCAGGAGCCGATGCGATCAACTGGAAGAAAGGGTATCAGCGATGGAAGACGAAATGAATGAAATGAAGCAAGAAGGGAAGTTTAGAGAAAAAAGAATAAAAAGGAATGAGCAAAGCCTCCAAGAAATATGGGACTATGTGAAAGACCAAATCTACGTCTGATTGGTGTACCTGAAAGTGATGGGGAGAATGGAACCAAGTTGGAAAACACTCTGCAGGATATTATCCAGGAGAACTTCCCCAATCTAGCAAGGCAGGCCAATGTTCAGATTCAGGAAATACAGAGAACGCCACAGAGATACTCCTCAAGAAGAGCAACTCCAAGACACATAATTGTCAGATTCACCAAAGTTGAAATGAAGGAAAAAATGTTAAGGGCAGCCAGAGAGAAAGGTCAGGTTACCCACAAAGGGAAGCCCATCAGACTAACAGCGGATTTCTCGGCAGAAACTCTACAGGACAGAAGAGAGTGGGGGCCAATATTCAACATTCTTCAAGAAAAGAATTTTCAACCCAGAATTTCATATCCAGCCAAACTAAGCTTCATAAGTGAAGGAGAAATAAAATACTTTACAGACAAGCAAAGGCTGAGAGATTTTGTCACCACCAGGCCTGCCCTAAAAGAGCTCCTGAAGGAAGCGCTAAACATGGAAAGGAACAACCGGCACCAGCCACTGCAAAATCATGCCAAAATGTAAAGACCATCGAGAATAGGAAGAAACTACATCAACTAACGAGCAAAATAACCAGCTAAAATCATAATGACAGGATCAAATTCACACATAACAATATTAACTTTAAATGTAAATGGACTAAATGCTCCAATTAAAAGACACAGACTGGCAAATTGGATAAAGAGTCAAGACCCATCAGTGTGCTGTATTCAGGAAACCCATCTCATGGGCGGAGACACACATAGGCTCAAAAAAGGATGGAGGAAGATCTACCAAGCAAATGGAAAACGAAAAAAAGCAGGGGTTGCAATCCTAGTCTCTGATAAAACAGACTTTAAACCAACAAAGATCAAAAGAGACAAAGAAGGCCATTACATAATGGTAAAGGGATCAATTCAACAAGAAGAGCTAACTATCCTAAATATATATGCACCCAATACAGGAGCACCCAGATTCATAAAGCAAGTCCTCAGTGACCTACAAAGAGACTTAGACTCCCACACAGTAATAATGGGAGACTTTAACAACCCACTGTCAACATTAGACAGATCAAGGAGACAGAAAGTCAACAAGGGTACCCAGGAATTGAACTCAGCTCTGCACCAAGCAGACCTAATAGACATCTACAGAACTCTCCACCCCAAATCAACAGAATATACATTTTTTTCAGCACCACACCACACCTATTCCAAAATTGACCACATACTTGGAAGTAAAGCTCTCCTCAGCAAATGTAAAAGAACAGAAATTATAACAAACTATCTCTCCGACTACAGTGCAATCAAACTAGAGCTCAGGATTAAGAATCTCACTCAAAACTGCTCAACTACATGGAAACTGAACAACCTGCTCCTGAATGACTACTGGGTACATAACAAAGTGAAGGCAGAAATAAAGATGTTCTTTGAAGCCAACCAGAACAAAGACACAACATGCCAGAATCTCTGGGACACATTCAAAGCAGTATGTAGAGGGAAAATTATAGTATTAAATGCCCACAAGAGAAAGCAGGAAAGATCCAAAATTGACACCCTAACATCACAATTAAAAGAACTAGAAAAGCAAGAGCAAACACATTCAAAAGCTAGCAGAAGGCAAGAAATAACTAAAATCAGAGCAGAACTGAAAGAAATAGAGACACACAAAACCCTTCAAAAAATTAATGAATCCAGGAGCTGGTTTTTTGAAAGGATCAACAAAACTGATAGAACGCTAGCAAGACTAATAAAGAAAAAAAGAGAGAAGAATCAAATAGACACAATAAAAAATGATAAAGGGGACATCACCACTGATCCCACAGAAATACAAAGTACCATCAGAGAATACTACAAACACCTCTATGCAAATAAACTAGAAAATCTAGAAGAAATGGATAAATTCCTCGACACATACACTCTCCCAAGACTAAACCAGGAAGAAGTTGAATCTCTGAATAGACCAATAACAGGATCTGAAATTGTGGCAATAATCAATAGCTTACCAACAAAAAAGAGTCCAGGACCAGATGGATTCACAGCTGAATTCTACCAGAAGTACAAGGAGGAACTGGTACCATTCCTTCTGAAATTATTCCAATCAACAGAAAAAGAGGGAATCCTCCCTAACTCATTTTATGAGGCCAGCATCATCCTGATACCAAAGCCAGGCAGAGACACAATCAAAAAAGAGAATTTAGACCAATATCCTTGATGAACATTGATGCAAAAATCCTCAATAAAATACTGGCAAACCGAATCCAGCAGCACATCAAAAAGCTTATCCACCATGATCAAGTGGGCTTCATCCCTGGGATGGAAGGCTGGTTCAATATATGCAAATCAATAAATGTAATCCAGCATATAAACAGAACCAAAGACAAAAACCACATGATTATCTCAATAGATGCAGAAAAGGCCTTTGACAAAATTCAACAATGCTTCATGCTAAAAACTCTCAATAAATTAGGTATTGATGGGACATATCTCAAAATAATAAGAGCTATCTATGACAAACCCACAGCCAATATCATACTGAATGGGCAAAAACTGGAAGCATTCCCTTTGAAACTGGCACAAGACAGGGATGCCCTCTCTCACCACTCCTATTCGACATAGTGTTGGAAGTTCTGGCCAGGGCAATCAGGCAGGAGAAGGAAATAAAGGGTATTCAAGTAGGAAAAGAGGATGTCAAATTCTCCCTGTTTGCAGATGACATGGTTGTATATCTAGAAAACCCCATTGTCTCAGCCCAAAATCTCCTTAAGCTGATTAGCAACTTCAGCAAAGTCTCAGGATACAAAATCAATGTACAAAAATCACAAGCATTCTTATACACCAACAACAGACAAACAGAGAGTCAAATCATGAGTGAACTCCCATTCACAATTGCTTCAAAGAGAATAAAATACCTAGGAATCCAACTTACAAGGGATGTGAAGGACCTCTTCAAGGAGAACTACAAACCACTGCTCAAGGAAATAAAAGAGGATACAAACAAATGGAAGAACATTCCATGCTCATGGGTAGGAAGAATCAATATCGTGAAAATGGCCATACTGCCTAAGGTAATTTACAGATTCAATGCCATCCCCATCAAGCTAGCAATGACTTTCTTCACAGGATTGGAAAAAACTCCTTTAAAGTTCATATGGAACCAAAAAAGAGCCCACATCACCAAGTCAATCCTGAGCCAAAAGAACAAAGCTGGAGGCATCACACTACCTGACTTCAAACTATACTACAAGGCTACAGTAACCAAAACAGCATGGTCCTGGTACCAAAACAGATATAGATCAATGGAACAGAACAGAGCCCTCAGAAATAACACCGCATATCTACAACTATCTGATCTTTGACAAACCTGAGAAAAACAAGCAATGGGGAAAGGATTCCCTCTTTAATAAATGGTGCTGGGAAAACTGGCTAGCCATATGTAGAAAGCTGAAACTGGATCCCTTCCTTACACCTTATACAAAAATCAATTCAAGATGGATTAAAGACTTAAACATTAGACCTAAAACCATAAAAACCCTAGAAGAAAACATAGGCATTACCATTCAGGACATAGGCATGGGCAAGGACTTCATGTCTAAGACACCAAAAGCAATGGCAACAAAAGCCAAAATTGACAAATGGGATCTAATTAAACTAAAGAGCTTCTGCACAGCAAAAGAAACTACCATCAGAGTGAACAGGCAACCTACAAAATGGGAGAAAATTTTCGCAACCTACTCATCTGACAAAGGGCTAATATCCAGAATCTACAATGAACTCAAACAAATTTACAAGAAAAAAACAACCCCATCAAAAAGTGGGCAAAGGACATGAACAGACACGTCTCAAAAGAAGACATTTATGCACCCAAAAAACACATGAAAAAATGCTCACCATCACTGGCCATCAGAGAAATGCAAATCAAAACCACAATGAGATATCATCTCACACCAGTTAGAATGGTAATCATTAAAAAGTCAGGAAACAACAGGTGCTGGAGAGGATGTGGAGAAATAGGAACACTTTTACACTGTTGGTGGGACCGTAAACTAGTTCAACCATTGTGGAAGTCAGTGTGGCGATTCCTCAGGGATCTAGAACTAGAAATACCATTTGACCCAGCCATCCCATTACTGGGTATATACCCAAAGGACTATAAATCATGCTGCTATAAAGACACATGCACACGTATGTTTATTGCGGCATTATTCACAGTAGCAAAGACTTGTAACCAACCCAAATGTCCAACAAGGATAGACTGGATTAAGAAAATGTGGCACATATACACCATATAATGCTATGCAGCCATAAAAAATGATGAGTTCATGTCCTTTGAAGGGACATGGATGAAACTGGAAATCATCATCCTCAGTAAACTATCACAAGAACAAAAAACCAAACACCGCATATTCTCACTCATAGGTGGGAATTGAACAATGAGATCACATGGACACAGGAAGGGGAACATCACACTCTGGGGACTGTTGTGGGTTGGGGGGAGAGGGGAGGGATAGCACTGGGTGATATACCTAATGCTAGATGACGAGTTAGTGGGTGCAGCACACCAGCATGGCACATGTATACATATGTAACTAACCTGCACATTGTGTACATGTACCCTAAAACTTAAAGTATAATAATAATAAATTTAAAAAAGAAGAGGTTTATTACATAGAGGTTTATTACATAGAGATAATTGCCAGTAGTTTTCCTTTCATAGGTCTTTTTCAGGTTTTGTTGCTTAGGGACATTCTGGTCATATGAAATTAGTAGTGAAGCTTTCATCTTTAGCTATTTTCTGAAAAGAACTTTGTATAAAATTATTTCTTTCTTAAATGTTTGCCAAGATTTACCTTGGCAAAACTGGTAAAATCACCTAAGTCTGGAGCCTTTTTGAATGATAGGACCTTTGATTATAAAATCAATTACTTAAAAAATACAGAGATATTCATATATTCTATTGTATATTTTATCAATTTTTATACTTTTCAAATAATTTGTCCATTGTGTTTATATTTGTCTAATTTATTGATATTAAGTTGTTCTTTGTATTCTTTTATGATCTTTTTATTGCCTATAGGATGTGAATGGATATCTACTCTTTTACTCGTCCTTTTGATAATTTGTGTTTTGATAACACTTTTATTGATCCAGATGGTTAGGGGATATTAATTTTATTCACACTCTCACAGAATAAACTTTGGACTTTGTTAATATTCTACATTATTTGCCTGTTTTGTATTTCATTCATTTCTGCTCTTATTTGTATTCCCTATATTTTATACCTATATAATTTTTTTCTTCTTTAACCTAGGTTATTATGGTAAAAATTTAGATTCTTAAAATCTTTCACTTTGTTCTAATAATCATTTAAAGATATACATTTCCTTAAGCACTGCTTTAGCTGAATTTTATAATTCTTGAAATGCTGTATTTTAATTATCAGTTGGTTGAAATTATTTTTAAATTTCTCTTGTGGGTACTTTTTTGAAAAATGAGTTTTTTAGAAGCTTGTTAATTCTTGAGTATCTGGATTTTTAAATAAACATCATATTCTTATGGATTTCTAATGATTGCCTTTAAAATCAGAAAGTGTATTCTGTAAGATTTCCATCTTGAGATTCATTGAGACTTATTTCATAATCCAATATATGATCTATTTCAAAAAACATTGAATGTGCCCTTAAAAAGGATGTGTATTCTTCAGTTGTTATGTGTACTGTTTTATAAATATTAATTAGGTTAAGATTGTAATGTTGCTCATATCTTTTATAATATTAAGACTTTTTTACCTAGTTGTTCTATCAATCGCTGAGAAAGGACTGTTAAAATTTCTAACTATATTTGTAAATTTGTCTATATGCCCCTTTAATTCACATGATCAATTTTTGCTTCATCCATCTCTATTACTAGATACATAGGCATGTATGACTATTTTGTATTCCTAATGAATTAGCCTCTTTGCTCTTATGAAATTTCCCTCTTTAACCATTAATAGTATTAATGCATTCAGGAAAGAGTATTAGTCTGCATTACTATGCAGACTAATGACCCATCAAAATATCCATGCCCTAATTCGAAGAATTTATGAACATGTTACATGGCAAAAGGTCCTTTGCAGAAGCAACAAAATTAAGAACCTTGTGATAGAGAAATTGTCCTGGATTATCAGGGTGAGCCCAGTCTTGTCACATGAGTCACTGACATTGAAGAACCTTTTCCCAGTGGCTTCAGATTCAGAGGGAGATGTGACTCTGAAACACTGAGCAGAGGAATGCAAATTTGCTGGCTTTGAAGATGGAGGAAAATTAGCCGAGGAATGTGGATGATCTCTAGAAGCTGCAAAAGTCAAGAAAAAAGATTCTCATCTAGAGAATCAGACAAAAGGAGCAGCCCTACCTACACTTAATTTTAGCCTATGTCAAACTTCTAATTAATGGAACCTTGAGAAAATAAATTTATATTGTTTTAAGCCACTAAATTTGTGGCAGTTTGCTATAGAAGCAATGTAAAACCAATACAATTACTTTGTCTGAGGTTAACATAGACACACCAGATTCTTAGACTAATTGCTAACATGCTATATCTCCCCCACCTCTTCCCCTTTTTCAATTTGAAACTCTTCTTGGCATTGTATTTAAATTGTTTCTTTTGAAGAACTGGATCTTGTTTTTGTTTTTTATACAATCTGCAAATCTCTGTCTTTTAATATGGGACTTTTTTCATTTATATTTAATGTAACTATTGATATGATTGTCTCTAGATTCATCATTTTTCTGTCTGTTTTTTATTTTTCCCATCAATTTTGTTTCTCTGCTTTCCCTGTCTTATCTATTTTGAAGAAATAAGACATTTTTAATATTTCATTTTATAGTCCTCTAAAGACATTCGGCTATAGATTTTTTGTATTATAGTAGATATCCAGGTGTAAATTATGTATCCTTAGTTTATTTATAATCTATTTGTAGTTAATATTATACTACTGTATGTAATATATAAGAACCTTGAAACAACATAGTTTTAAAAACACTCCTGTTCTTTCTAATATTGTTATTATATATTTTACAGTTACATACATTATAAATTCTACAACACAATGTTATACTTTATTTTCAACAGTAAACTGTGTTTTTAAAAAATTAAGAGAAGAACAGAAGAATGTCTTTTATTCTTACCAATATTTCTAATACTTTTCATTCCTGTCTGTGAAACTGAGTTTCTAGCTTCCATTTGGTGTCATATACCTTCAACCTAAACAGATCTTTAAATATTTCTTCATATGCAACACTGCTGGCAATGAATTACATCACTTTTTATTTACCTAAGAATTTATTTTGCTTTTATTTTTAAATGATATTTTTACAGAATATATAATTTATGTTCAACAGCTCTTATCCTTTCAGTTCCATAAAGATGTTTTTTCCATTCTATTTTCGCCTTCAATGATTCTGTTGGGAAGTAAGCTATTATCTATATTGCTTATCCCCTCCATAACATGAATATTTCTCCCTCTGGCTTCTTTCCAGATTTTCTCTTTATCACTGTTTTTTATCAGCTTAGCTGTGATAGATCAAGGTGGGTTTTATTGCTTGTTTTCTTTTCTTTTCTTTTCTTTTCTTTTCTTTTCTTTTCTTTTCTTTCTGCATGAGGTTTGATGAGCTTCTTGAATTTGGGAAAGACTGTTTTAACAAATGTGGCTGGTTTTTTCTCCTGATTTCTTCAATTTTATTTTTTATGAAACTTTTTATTTTCTGAATTCATTTTCTGAATCATCTTCTCTTTTTCTGGGACTCCAAAAATGTGCTTGATACTGTTTTATGTCATTACTGTTGTTAGTATATTTCCATTTTTTCTCTGTTCTTGAGATTAGGTATTTTTTATTGACTTGTTTTAAACTCGCTGACCATTTCTTTAGCTATATCCATTCTGCTATTGATTCTATTCAGGATAGTTTTCATTTTAGACATTATATTTTTTACTTCTAGATTTTTCAGATATTTTAGTTTTGATTTATTTTTAAGATTCACTTTTTCATTTATTATAACCATCTTTTATCTTATCTTTATCTTATGTAAGATAAAGATTATATTTATATAATCCTTCATTATATTTATAACAGCTGCTTTAAAATCTTTTTCTGCTAGTTGTGACATTGGGATCCTCTTAGGATAATTTCTTGTTGACTTCTTTTTCTTAAGCATAGGCTGTATATTCCTGTGTATTTGATGTCTAGTAATTGTTTCTCCTATGTTCATCATTGGAAATGTTATAGAGACTGTTGTCTTCCACTGAGAGTACAGTTTTTCTTTTTGCAGATATGTAAATTATTGGCATAGCACTTTGGAATTGTAAAGACTTGAAATCACTTTTGGTCCAAATGATTCATTGATAAGCCTGGGGTTTACCAAGCTCTTCTAATTTGGTAGGATTCAAACTCAGACCTTTATCTCTCTTGTGATAGGTAGCAGTTGACATATTTGCTCCAGTGTTTTAAACATCCAACTGAAGTTTCTCACTAATCTCCTCAGAGTCCCTTCCACATGCACAGTTCAATAGTTAGCCAGTGCTGCGAGAGGAGTTTATATGGAGATTTGGAAACTCCCTCTTTTTAATTCTCTCCTATTTTGGATCTCCACCCCTCAGTTTTCAGCTTCTCTGTTGGTTTAAATCTCCTTCCCCTGGCCTCTAGTATTCTAGTGACTGTGGCTTTCTTCTTGAGTCCTATTTTCAACATTGCCCTTAGTGAAAAGTCTCTTCAGGTAAAAAACTTATAAACATGGATCTTTCCCAATTCCATTTCCTTCTTTCAACGGTCAAATAACTTCCATTTCCTGCTTGCTTTAGTTCACATTCAAGTACTTACAAGTAGTTGAGTTTTCAAAGATATTTTGTTCAGAGATTTTGTCGTCACATGCTATAGAGTGTGTTACATACTCACTTCACTGTTACCAAAACTGGAAACTTCTGGATCATTATTTTTGCCCGTTTCTTGAACAACTTCCTCCAGATTACCTGTAACTCTTCACCTCACACTCCCTCTGTCATCTTTTCTCCCTCATATTTCCTCAGTAAATATCAAGATGTATACAAAGTATTTCCTCATTTATTATTTAACCTAATTAACAGATATTACTAAGGGCCTATTGTGAGTTAAAAATTATTTTTAATTATGAGTCTATATCAGAGCAAGTTGGACACATTGTTGTCACATGGGGCTTGGCTTTCCTTGATGTCATCCTTCGCATTGCGCTAGTCACCAGGTTTTGTTGATTCAGCTGGAAAGAACTATAGAGTTGGCCCATATTTTTACATCCTCATAGCTATTTAATTATTGTGTCTTGCCTAAACACTGAACAATGTCTTCTATAGATCCCTTTTCAAAGAGTATCTTCTCTGTTTCCAAAGTGAACTTTCTAAAGATAAATATCAGCATATTGCTTCAATTTTTAAAATTACTCAATTCCTAAAAGAGCCTGTGTGATCCAGGCCTTTTCGGCCTGTCTCTCTAGCCTTATATTCATTTTTATATGCACTTTATAACAGTAACATTTCAAAAGTTAGACTTTACCAATTTTGAGAAATATTTCTTACATGCTTTACATACTGTTCCCTTTTATTAGAAAGCTTTTTTACCCATAACAGTAGTTGAATACATGATTAGATTCCACAAATTTCTACAAATTTCAACCTATAATCTTTCCTTTTTGAACAAATCTTACATCTCCTCCAAGTACAATAACCTAGTTTAAACTTAGGGGCTTTTGTCACATGTCATACATGTTTCTATTATAACTCTGACACTATACCCATAGTTTCCCTGGTCTATCTTCCAAATGAGAAAAATATTTAAAAACTGCATCACTTTCATTTCTCTTTCATTAGATGATAACACAGGGCCTGCTCCATTACCTAACTTATTAAAGTATTTGTATAGAATACAGAGTTGAACCCCTGCTGGACAAACATATCAGTGATCCAGTAGCTAGCTTGGCTTGATTCATAAAAAAGACACAGAGTTTCAAGATATATATGCTTCTGTGTCATTTTTATTTCTCTTTATATTGAAATGTTCTGCAAAGTGGTATGTACATTTCCTTCAAGATTATCTGATTGCCCAGGGTTTATTGGCCAAACAAAATAAAACAAAACAAAGCCTGTGGTCATGTTTCACTACATCAGGTATTATCCATTGCAATCAGGCTTACTTTAGAAATATCCCTTGGTTATACGATCTGAGAGGATGTAATTTGTTGATGTTAATTACTTCCTACCCACCCTCCTTTCCAGCTCAAGTGATCCTTTAAATTATACCTTTCCACTAAGGCATTAATCTTCCATTGGGTTTCATTTTAATGGTTTGTCCACACATAAACTGAACAGAATTTAGAGCTGGGAGAGGACTTAGAAATCGTCTCACATAGTGCTTCTCAAATTTAGGAATATAAACCCTGTGGGCACATGGCTGTATTCTAGAGGGGTGGACTGAAGAGCTGCTAGAAAAATCTCTGTGAAACATGAGTTTTTCCCCAAAGCCTCTGCAGGAAGATAAAGTCAAATCTTTTAGTTTGCAACTAATTTGAGGAATCATTTCATATTAAAAGTAGTATATATGAAGACTTTAAATGCAAATTAACTTTAGTAGTTGGATTCATCAAGACACTTTTTAAAAATCTAAGTATGCATTGGTAAACAGTAGTACATCTTAAGTCAGACATTCATTCTTCAATGGCCTTGGGTATTTGAATAACAATGATCTATTCTTTTTCCTTCCTTCCTTCTTTTCCTTCCTTCCTTCCTCCCTCCCTCTTTCTTTCTTTCTTTCCTTCCTTCTTTCTTTCTTTCTTTCTTTCTTACTTTCTTTCTTTCTTTTTTTCTTTCTTTCTTTTTCTTTCTTTCTTCCCATCTTTCTCAGAGATAAAACATGCCCAAAGAATAGCAAATTCCCTGGCAACCTTCCTTCAGCACTTTTATGACTCCATATCCAGTCCTCTCTGTACCCTACCCTGCTCATGTGTGATTCAGCATGTTTTCTTTAGCTGAAATAAATAAAATAAATTATTTTATTTCTTTAACTAAATTAAAGAAAATTCTTTAAAAGGATAAAGAATGTATCCCTTTCTGGAGAATGTGCTCCTTTCCTCTCAGGCTCTAGTCCTGCACCACAAGAGATGCCAGGGGTACACGGGTGGCACTTCATCATCTCTTTGTCACACTGGAGAAAATTTAGGCTCAGAGAAATTTAAAATTTCAGAAAAAAATTACAATGTTAACATGGAGCTAAGATCCAAACCACTTATTTATTCCAAATTTTACACCTTTACCAAAATGCTTCTCAGTTACAACTAAAGTCTGTCTATATAAACAGCAACGTGCACATCACCAGCAAGCTCCGTGTCATACTGGGACAAGCAAGGGCTCATTTCCTGTTGGAACTCCCATGGGATCTTAACTGAGTGAAAGATGCAGATTGCCCTCGTCCCCCTGCCCCAGCAGATCCAATCACAGGTGACATGTGGCACCAAGATTCAAACTCTGTGCAGCCACAGATGCCAGGTGAATATTTCCTGATGAAATTAAGGGCATCTGAGTTTATTTCTTTAATTTACTTTTGGATCTTGGAATACCATTCAATGACTTTTCTCTAAATGGTTTCTCACTAATCCACTGGAATGTGATAAGCACGAAGTCATTGGAGATTTCTAAAGTGGACTGTATTTAAAATAAGTGATTAGACTGGCAATTAAAATCTGTAAAATATTCTATGTTTTAGTAATTCCTCAAAAAATCCCTTATTCCTTAAAGCATAACTTAATTTGCAATTATGAATCCATTTCTTTTGCTTCAAATTGTGAAACATAATAGTGTTTCCTAAATACATGCTAATAGTTAGTTCTAAAATTGTAGTAATAATCTGCTTAATAACCCAAATGCTAGGTAAACTGACAGTTATCGTCACAAAAAGGATAATAAGTACAATCAGCTCTGCGCAGGCAACCACATATCTTTTAGAAGTTGTGAAAACATCATAACTGCAATGAACATTTTATTTAATTTGCATGATTTAAAAAGTACAGCATGTGCCTGTATTTGACTTTGCTAAGATTTACCAAGTGTGGAGCTCCTTCAAGGAGATGAGCTGTTGTCAAATGTACATTCTCAAGCCATTCTGTGGGGGAGAAGGTCATTGGAGAAGCCAACAAGGACAAATATTTGATGCTCTGCTGTGGTATCTCTAACAGAAGCAAGTACTACATACCTTTTATTTCTCCAACTAGATCTCTACAGGTCTGCCATCAAATAAGACCTTGAACCTTTGAATTATAGAGAGCCTGGCTTTCTGAATGAAAAAGGTTAGCATCCCAGGGTGGAGCAGACATTGTGGCACAGGCCGTGAAAGGTTTCCTGGGCTACACTGGTGGAATGCTTGGAATCATAGTGTTCTTAGTCTTCATTGCTTAGTGTCACTGGATCAAACAAAATCAACTTAGAAAAGAGTATGGCTATAGCAGAGAAGAGGGTCTTGAACTGATAAATGATACCTGGAAACTTCCAACATTTCTATTGGACCCAAGGGAGAGAAACAAGCAGCAGATACTTACAGAGGAGCATCTGGTTCACTAAGAAGAAAACCTAAAAGAGAATGTGTCATGACAGAAACCAAAACCAGACTGCACTTCGGGATGGAGGGAGCAGACAGTTGCATGGAATGCTGGTAAGAGGCTGAATAAACTTTGGAAAGAGAATTGGTCTTTGGCCTAGGAAGGTAAAAGCCACGGCAACTTTAACAAGATGTTCTGAGATGAGTGGGAGACATTCTAATCGGTAGAAGTAGCAGTGTGAATTGAGGAGGGATAGACAACTCCCCTGAGATGCTTTCCTATGCATAAAGAGGGACAGTGACATCAGGAGCATGCTGGAGTCTGGGAGGGTCAAAATCTCCTATGTGGAATATGCCTTTTGTAATGTAGTTTGTAGTACTTAGGATTTCCATTTACATTGTCCTTGGATTCAAAGAGTTTACAGAATAATATGGGATATTTATGTGTGTGTTTGCATAAATAACAGACAATGTGACAAAAGGAAAAAAGGAGGTGTAGATACAAATAAATGGGATTAATTCTAGAGTGAAACAAGGAAGTGTTCAGGAGAGCCAGCATTTAAGGTGAGCCCTGAAGGACCGATAAAGTCGTACCAGGTATAAAAATGAAGGAAGGGATTTTCATGCAAAGAGAACAATATGAGCTAAGGTGGACAGCTGAAGTGGTGGTCAGCACTTGGTTTGCTCAGTACTAATATGAGTGATTTGAGGGAATAGAGGAAGTAAGACTGGACAGGTAGATTACAGCCATATCATGAATGATTTTGAATATGCAAATGAGAATTTAAATCTGAGCCTATAGACAGCTGAGAATAATATCTCCAGCAATGGAATGAGAGAAAGTCTATATTTTAGTGGCTTGAATATGTACTATTAACATATATTGTCAGGTAGTGAATTTTGAGCTTCTTAACATTGTCAATTTACATAACAAGTCCATTTTGATGTAGGGTTTAGGCTGAAATCTGACTTCACACTGCTTGGATTTACAACCTGTCTCTTCCTATTACCTGCTTAGACTTATTAGGCAAGTTTTTCATATTGTCAACACCATAGACAGTTCATTATAAGTGCTCAAAGAAGTGTAGCTATTGTGACTACAACATACCTCCCAAATTCTTGAGAGACCATTACTTCCAAGATGGGCTCATGAGAAGACGAGTTCCATGTCACATTGCTGTGGGAGGATTTGTAAAAGGGAACGCAGTGGGAGCAAAGAGAATATGGCAGGTCAGGGCAAGGAATTAGGGCAACATTCCATAGATAACAGGGAGAAAGGAAGTGGCGCCATCACTGGTGTTCTTTACGAAATAAGCCAGGGAGTAGAGTGTAGTGCAGAAAGAATGTATTTACTTAGGGATTCCTTCAGCAAATATATATTGAGCACTGTCTTTGCTGAGGACTGGGTTTACAGTTAGGAACCGGCGGACATGGTACCTGTCCTCAAGGACCTCACAGTATATCGAGAGAAAACAGAGAGTCTAGGGACAGGGACATTCACACAGAGTCTCTTGAAATAGTAAAACTGAGAGGCCCAGAGGATCTGAGCTGGAGGATGACATAGAGAATACAAAGAAGGGATGGTGATTAAACAACTCCTGAGTATAGTAGGAAATGGGCTCTGACACCAACCCGTCCTGCTCCCTGTAAGGAAAGGAAGCACTATCTGCAAAAGGCTGTCTTGGCTTTAGAGCAGTGCAGCCTCCACAGAGCTCCCATGTGGATAGAGCAGCTTGCTTGCCCAAGGAAACGTACACAGAGGGCAAGAGGAAGTTATTGCGGAGCCCTTTCCCCATTAGGACCCCTGTGCTCAGACATCAGATTCTTTGGCAGTCAAGTCTCCTCTCTGATCTGCATTCTCACAAAACCGCAGGTACTAGAACCATCTCTAGTTCTTAACCACTCCTCTCTCCATCTTAAATGCTTCTGCTTTCTTTTTCACACTACTAACCAAACTCCAAACATACTAGTCTTTCAAGTTCTGTGTTAGATATTATATCAATTTAACCCCACTCAAATTTGGAGCATTTTAGTTATATCTTTGTAAAGATAAATTATTTTTGTTTGCATCTTTCTGATGGCCTTTGGTATACTACTTGGTTATTTTCGTTGGTGTCTCTCTCACTACAAGATAAATAGATCCTAAGTACCTAAGACTGTAGTCATTGGCACCTGCGTGCAAGTACCTAGCACAGAGTTTTTCATATGGTGAATTAAACAAACAAAAACACAAAATACTCATTGCTCATACTTTATATTCTTGTTCATATTAAAAATCACATTAAGCTATGGAGTGCTGGGCTATTACTAATCCTATACTACAGATGAGAAAACAGAGGCATAGAGATATGATATGATGTATTTAAGGTTACACAACTACAAAACAGCAGAATTCAAATCACTAGATTCCAAAGCAAGTTAATCAAATGCTATAGGCCCCATCTTCATCGAAGGTGTTTACTGAGTGTTAATATTTACTGAGTGTTAATTGACAGATTCTGCTCTTGGTGTTTTTCCTATTGCTGCAGTACAGGGTAGGTTGTTCTGCTGTAACAAATAGCCCTGATGTCTCAGTGGCTTAATTCCACAATTATTTGTTTTTCCTGCATGTTACATTTCCATCTTAAGTTGGTTGGGCATCATATTGACTCCTTACTTCAACCTTGGGGCAGAGAAAAAGCAAGGCAGAGAGGCAAGACCAAGAACTAAATGCTTTCAGCTAAAAGTACCACCCATCTTCCACTAACATTTCCTTAGCCAAATGAAGTCATATGGCCATGCCTAACTTAAAGTGGTCAAGGCATTATAGCCTTCCCATGTGCCTGAAAAGAGATAGAAATCAGTTATTGACGAGCAGTTTTATTGTCTACCTTACAAGTAAAAACTCCTTTACAACAATGCAGTGGGATAGGTAATGTCATTATCTCTAAATTATAGATGAGAAAACGGCACAGACAAGGAATTTGCCAATGTGCACACAGAGAGTAAGTGGCAGAGCTGGATTCAAACTAGGCAGTCTGCCCCAGACTGTATGCTCTTAACTCTTGCACTTATTCTTCTCAGGGGATAATAAATCTAATCTGCTGCTCCAAGAAGTACCCATGTCACTTTTCGGAGCCTAGGAAAACATTTTAGTGTTTTTTTAAAATCAGAAGAAACAAAAAGAATGTGATCCAACATGGATTATATTTGTCTTTATACCAATGCAGTCTTAAAACCACATGTATAAATGCACATATATGTGTATACATATGTATAAATTGTGTGTGTGTGTGTGTGTGCATGCACATAGAATATTAGTGGTCTATCAAGTCAAAAATGCCTGCCCAAAGCTCATAAAATCCATAATGTGTCCCTCATCCTCTGGATCTTGATGGTGCAACTTAAACAAGCCACTGCATTTTGGCATTTAGAAAAGTACTTGAATTAAACTCAGTATATTAGGCTTTTTTCTGTAGTGTAGACAATTAGACTCATTAAAAGTTTATCAACAGGGAAGTAAGCTAATGAAAGTTGAATCTCAAAGTAATTTATTTATTTCTTTACTCACAGTTGTTTTTTGGGCTGAACTGTTAGAGCAATGCCTTAAGGTTTCCATGTTTAGGATGAAGAGAGAATTGTATCTTTCTATTGTCTGTAAGATGGTCTCAAATCTTCACCTTCTTGTATTCTCAGCCTTATGTAATACCCTCTTGTTGGGTGTGGGCTGGAACTAATAATAAAGTTTCTAAGAAACAGAATATGGCAAAAGCAATGACTGTCACTTGTGAGATTAGGTTAAAAAGAGGCTATGACTTTGGTCTTAGGCTATCTTCCCTCACTCACTTGCTCACTTTGAGGAAGGCCAGATACCATGTTGGAGGTGCCTTAAGGAGAGCTGTGCATGGCAAGCAACTGTGGGAGGCCCCATCAAACACCCAGCAAAGAAATAAGACCCTCAGTCCAAAAACCAGGGATAACTGAATCCTGCCAACAACCGCATAAGTGAACTTGAAATAGGATTCTCCCTATGTTGAGCCTTCAGATGAGACTACAGCCCCAACCAACACCTAAATTGCACCCTGTGAGAGACCTTAAGTCAGAATCATCCAGCTAAGCTGGCTGAATTTCTGACTCATGAAATCTGTGAAATACTAAATGTTGTTTCTTTAAACCACTATGTTTTGGAGGTAATCTTTCATGCAGCAATAAATAGCTAATACATTATCCCATATTACCTTCCAAAGCATCACCAAGATCAGGTCTCAGCAGGACCCATGCCTGGATAAAAACACCTTAAATGGCACAGGAATTGCAGCTACCAGAGAAACATATGTGAACATGAATCTTGAGGCTCAGTTACTTGTGGAAGAAGATCAGAATATATGGCTGGATAGGGAGAATGTGACAACCTGCGAACTCTTACTCATGACTTGGAATTCAGAGTTCTAGCCAGGAACCCTGGCACTGATCTTATTATACTAATAAGATGGCTCATTGAACTTGGACAAAATTTTGACCTGCAAAAAAAAAGGAGGAGATACTGGATCTAGTTTGCCATAGTATTAATGACAAGAACCTAGCAGGAATTGACATCCAATGGACTGAGTGATCACAGCTACCCACCATTAAGTCTTTTCAAGTCTGCTGAGCCATACCAGTGGTGGAGAAATCCATTGTTTAATGAAAATGTTATATTTGGAATGAGGTCCAAGTGGGGAAGAATGAATAAGTTTTATTATTAGATAGTCCAGATGCCCATGTCATATACTTGTTTTGCACTGAAGCCTGTGCTTTGAATGACACTAATTTTGGGAGATTTCCAATGCCCAGCAATCAGAGAAGGAATGAATTCTGACCTAGTTCACAGATATTTTAACATAATACAATGGTGTCAGGGGAAGATGGATCTCTGACACATTATAGGTCCACTTGTTGGTAGCTTTAAAGAAATTAAAGGGAAAATTCCCTGGGGACAGTATAAAGAGGAGGTCACTATTCTATTTGGAAAGAATTGGGCTGACCTATGGAAACAGAGACCTGGACAATGGGTAAAGTCATGGCTAGTTGATTAGAGATAAGGAAGGAACAAAAGTCAAAAGTCAAGTACAGGTAGGGCAGGGGAAGTTAGTATATGAACAGAAAAGTGAAATTAGGGAAGAAACAAGTACATTTTTAATGTATTCCATTAATGGCCAACAGTGGCCATCTACACCAGAGGAGCCTTTCAACAACCAGATGGGCAGATGGCTAGTCCTGTGCATGCAGTAAAGCCTTTCTCCTTGGCCTGCCTAGTGCTGCACTGTGGGCTCACCATTCACAGAGCAGTCATGGTGACTGGGATAGAGTCACACATGGGCTGCCTCTCTAACCAAATGGTGACACTAGCATGGTGACACTGCTGTTGACTTTCCAACCTGCAAAGAGCATAAGCCAGGCCTTGGCACCATTCTTTGATCAGACTAGCCCGCGTCATGGCCTTTTCCATCCTGAAGTGATTAGTGATTTGTCCTTATTGGAATGAACATGTACATATTTGCATATTGTTTGTTTCTCTGCCTACAGTGCCTCAACCAACCCTACCATCTAAGGACTTATGAAATCTAAGTTCTACGAATATGGCATCCCTATTCAATGCTGCTGCAGACCAAGGGGTATATTTTGTGGCAAATAAAGGCTAAAAATTGGCACATTAACCTGAAATGTGTTGGTCTTACCCAGCTGCATCACCCAGATACAGCTGGTCTAATAGAACTGTGTGGTAACATGTAAAAACTCAGTTAAAAAGTCACCTTGGGGGACAACATCTACAGGTTGGAGTGGCCCCTCCAGAAAGCAAGCAGTGTAACTTGTCCAATCTAAAACAGTGATCTACTTGAGAAATTTGAAATTTTCATCTACTAACTTAGGTTCCATTGATTTAGATGCTCTAATTCCCAAGAAATGAATGTTTCTGCCAGCTTGAATCCGTGGCTGTGACCTGGTCATTTTGGGCTCCTTGTGTCTGTGGAACAGCAGGCAAATAAACTTGTTACTTAGTTCAAGGGGAATCACCTCTGACTACTATAAGGTGTGAGAGCTGTTCCTGTACAATGGGGGCAGGAAAAAGTTTGTCTGGGCCCTAGAGGATTCCCTGAGCATCTCTTGGTGCTTCTTTGTGCAGTAATAGGAACTGGGTAATTGCAGCAATCATGGCCAAGTAAAAACAAAGCAACTGATTGCCTGCTATCTGTTTTTTTTTTTTTTCCAGGAAAGAAGAGAGGACATCTTATTGTTTAAAAAACAATTAAGAGCCTATATCGTATTATGAAAGTCAAATGTAACGTATGGCATAAGCAGACCAGAGAGGTGCAGGCTGAGCTGGGTGCACATTCACTGCAGCACCTCAGCCCACTGGGGCTTGTTTTAGCTGCTGTCTCTGAGACCATCCCTGTGTGCACTGGTCAGATCCATGCCAGCGCAGCCTGGCAGCTCCTCACCACATTCCTCTTCTTATCCCAACCAAGATCCCTCAGCAAGTGGCTCTGCACCCATGTGTGTGCAAGACCTGGAAGCACATGGCATGAGACCCTCTTGGGTTTAATTAAAGGGAGGTGGGAGTGGGTAGATAAGTTCTTCCATGCGTGACCCCTGGATATAAGTTTCCATGCTTCCTGCTTCTTTCCCCTTTGCTCCACTCTTACTTCCATAGGATTCCCCTCCTTAGTAAGGAAGTACCACTTACTCCTTTGCCTCCGCCTGCATTTTCTGAGGCACGTGGGATGGAACACTGTCCGACGCATCCATGGGCCACTCTATTGCATGTGTTTCTTCCTGGTACTTATCCAGCCTGAAATTATGCATTTACTTTATTGATTAGAGAGACCGGGATTAATTGGTCATTTGCACCCTGGCATTCTCAAGGCCAAGAACAATTCCTGACATATCGTTGGCACCCAATAATATATGTTCAATGAACAATTAATCCTCCAACAACTATCAGAGATGAGGGTCAAAGAGGAGATCTGAAGTCTTATTTTGTCACTATTCTGAGAAGCTAAGAATGTGTCATAGATGGAAGACTCGGTTCTGCTCTGAGATCTTACTGTTCCCATTAGCCCAACCCACTCCATCTGCTTCACGACCCTGACTCCTCTTTCTACAGGATGAACTGCCTCTGCCCCTGGTGAGTTCTCAATTCCAGGAGAGCCCAAATGCCCCCTAGAGCTTGCCATTCTGATGAGAAGCTATTGGTCCTCAGAAGCTCACACACTCAGGCTTAAAGGGAAAATTTGTCACAAACTTTGGAATTGCCTCAGCACTAGATTAAAAATCAAGAAGAGTTGTGGGAAACTATGTTTAAACACTTTCATTTAAATAAAATTAAATATTAAGTGATTTGCTTCTAACTATAAACAATTAATACATTTCCCTTTTCAGAGTGGCTTTAATAATGCAGCTGAAAACCTCTACTTGCACCTCTAAAATAAGTTATTTTCAAATAGCTGACGAGGCGATGGTTATTTTGCAAGCGCAGATGCCTCCTAACATAACCAGATGGTCAAATCCCTGAAGTCCTTCTAACTCACAAAGAATTTCCAAAGGATTACCAGTAAAATTTAGTGCTGACTCCTGGAAAGAGGCCTCCAAAGGGCCTTGCGTAAAACACTGTGTAAGTTCCATCAAAGGCAGGATGAACACTGAATCCCAGAGGCCTCCTGTTTTGATGAACTGGCAGCCTCTTTCCTGGGAAACTGTCTGAGACGGGCCTCTGGTAATCTCTCTTGGGCCACTGTTGCCTCTGTTTGACAGGTCTGCTTTCAGGCTCCTGTTTTGAGACCCAGCCTGGAGTTATGCTGCTTTAAATGCTTAGCTTCAGTCTGCAAACAGGGACGATTTGACTTCCTCTTTTCCTAATTGAATAACCTTTATTTCTTTCTCCTGCCCGACTGCCCTGGCCAGAACTTCCAACACTATGTTGAATAGAAGTGGTGAGAGAGGGCATCCCTGTCTTGTACCAGTTTTCTAAGGGAATGCTTCCAGTTTTTGCCCATTCAGTATGACATTGGCTGTGGGTTTGTCATAAATAGCTCTTATTATTTTGAGATACATCCAATCAATATCTAATTTATTAAGAGTTTTTAACATGAAGGGCTGTTGAATTTTGTCAAAGGCCTTTTCTGCATCTTTTGAGATAATCATGTAGTTTTTGTCGTGGGTTCTGTTTATATGCTGGATTACGCTTATTGATTTGCATATGTTGAACGAGCCTTGCATCCCAGGGATGAAGCCCACTTGACCATGGTGGATAAGCTTTTTGATGTGCTGCTGGATTCAGTTTGCCAGTATTTTATTGAGGATTTTTGCATTGATGTTCATCAGGGATATTGGTCTAAAATTCTCTTTCGTCTCAGCCCAAAATCTCCTTAAGCTGATAAGCAATTTCAGCAAAGTCTCAGGATAGAAAATCAATGTGCAAAAATCACAAGCATTCCTATACACCAATAATAGACAAAAAGAGAGCCAAATCATGAGTGAACTCCCATTCACAATTGCTTCAAAGAGAATAAAATACCTAGGAATCCAACTTACAAGGGATGTGAAGGACCTCTTCAAGGAGAACTGCAAATCACTGCTCAACGAAATAAAAGAGGACTCAAACAAATGGAAGAATGTTCCATGCTCATGGATAGGAAGAATCAATATTCTGAAAATGGCCATACTGCCCTAAGTAATTTATAGATTCAATGCTATCCCCATCAAACTACCAATGACTTTCTTCACAGAATTGGAAAAAACTACTTTAAAGTTCATATGGAACCAAAAAAAGAACCCACATTGCCAAGATAATCCTAAGCCAAAAGAACAAAGCTGGAGGCATCACGCTACCTGACTTCAAACTATACTACAAGGCTACAGTAACCAAAACAGCATGGTCCTGGTACCAAAACAGAGATATAGATCAATGGAACAGAATAGAGGCCTCAGAAATAACACCACACATCTACAACTATCTGATCTTTGACAAACCTGAGAAAAACAAGCAATGGGGAAAGGATTCGCTATTTAATAAATAGCGCTGGGAAAACTGGCTAGCCATATGTAGAAAGCTGAAACTGGATCCCTTCCTTACACCTTATACAAAAATTAATTCAAGATAGATTAAAGACTTAAATGTTAGACCTAAAACCATAAAAACCCTAGAAGAAAACCTAGGCAATACCATTCAGGACATAGGCATGGGCAAGGACTTCACGTCTAAAACACCAAAAGCAATGGTAACAAAAGCCAAAATGGACAAATGGGATCTAATTAAACTAAAGAGCTTCTGCACAGCAAAAGAAACTACCATCAGAGTGAACGGGCAACCTACAGAATGGGAGAAAATTTTTGCAATGTACCCATCTGACTAAGGGCTAATATCCAGAATCTACAATGAACTCAAACAAACTTAGAAAAAAAAAAAAAACAACCCCATCAAAAAGTGGGCAAAGGATATGAACAGACACTTCTCTAAAGAGGATATTCATGCAGCCAACAGACACATGAAAAAATGCTCATCATCACTGGCCATCAGAGAAATGCAAATCAAAACCACAATGAAATACCATCTCACACCAGTTAGAATGGCGATCATTAAAAAGTCAGGAAATAACAGGTGCTGGAGAGGATGTGGAGAAATAGGAACACTTTTACACTGTTGGTGGGACTGTAAACTAGTTCAACCATTGTGGAAGACTGTGTGGCGATTCCTCAAGGATCTAGAACTAGAAATATCATTTGACCCAGCCATCCCATTACTGCGTATATACCCAAAGGATTGTAAATTATGCTGCTATAAAGACACATGCACATGTGTTTATAGCGGCACTATTCACAATAGCAAAGACTTGGAACCAAGCCAAATGTCTATCAATGATAGACTGGATTAAGAAAATGTGGCACATATACACCATGGAATACTATGCAGCCATAACAAATGATGAGCTCATGTCCTTTGTAGGTACATGGATGAAGCTGGAAACCATCATTCTCAGCAAGCTATTGCAGGGACAAAAAACCAAACACCGCATATTCTCACTCATAGGTGGGAATTGAACAATAAGAACACTTGGACACAGGAAGGGGAACATCACACACTGGGGCCTGTTGTGGGGTAGGGGGAGGAGGGAGGGATAGCATTAGGAGGTATACCTAATGTAAATGACGAGTTAATGGGTACAGCACACCAACATGGCACATGTATACATATGTAACAAATCTGAACGTTGTGCACATGTACCCTAGAACTTAAAGTATAATTAAAAAAAAGAAAAATAAATAAATAAATAAAAATGCTTAGCTTCGGTCATTTTGAGTAAAGAATTATCTTTGGTAGAGGAGTGATAGTGCTTTACTAGCAGTAAAATTTATTAAATCCTGAAAACAATCTTATAGGCCTTAGGCTAGGTGCTATTACTAACCCCATTTCACAGATGAGGAAACTGAGACTTAGAGACTATCAGCAACTTGCCTCTGAGGAAAGCTGGGGCTCAGATCTCATGTCTGACACAATCTCTCGGAGTGGTGCTAGATCAGTCACTCTACCCCACTGAATCTTAGCTTCTATGTTGAGGGGATAGAACAAAGTCACAGGATAATAGTAAAAATTATTTATGATCCTTGACCTTCCAAAGTCCTAAGTGCTATGGAAATTTAAGCACTTCTTGTTATTACATGAATCTAAATGGACGATTAGTTTCATGGAGACTGACAGTTTTTCATGGTGCGTAAGGGCACAGACTCAACTCCTGGCTCTACCCCTTCCTAGCCAAGTGACTTAGGCCTGGTTATTCTCCTCTCTGAGCCTCAGTCTTCTCATCTGCAAATGAGGGGTAATAACAGCACCTGGCCAAAGGCCTATATAATTGGTTTTAGGATTAAATAAATTGCTAAATATAAAGCTGGGAGCAATGCCTCACACAGATTAAGTGCTGTACAAATTTTGGGTTATAATTGATTCGTCTGTAAATATAGAAAGCTTTCAAATTTCCATGTTAAACAATGGAATTCTTCAATGTCTTCCAAAGGCATATTAAAATCTAAAAATATAAATAATAATCTTTTAAATCCCACATCTATGCCAACTTTTCTAAGCATCTTCACAACCTTCTCAAGGTTCTTTGTAACTGGATGATCTCATTCCAGCCTCTCTCCCAAACCTCAGAATACAACCACAGGTACCCTCTGCCGCAGCGCAGAGTAAGTTATTTGCATGCCCTGGAAAGTGCCAGGCTGTCCTGTGTCCCTCTGCCCTCACATGTGCCACCCTCAGCCTGGATGATCCATGCTCCAGTAGAAGCTTTGAAAGAGTCATTAATCAAAGTTCTGCTCATTAGGACTCCACAGTGAAAACTTTCCTTACTCATGTCTTCCTCTGGATTATTGCTCTGTGTTTGGGGCCACCACTATCATTTCTTCAGAAAAAATATCTTATTCAGGATTAAGTTTTTTATGTTATTATGTTTATTTCTTTGTTGTCTTTCTCTATGACAAACCGTGGGAATGGAGACTATTTTCTCTACCATTGAGTCACCTGTGTATTACAATCATGTTGAGTATATGTGGAAGGTTATAAGGTACTAGCTTGTAATAATCAAACATACTACATTATCAGAATTGGATTCTATTTTCTATAACAAAAGACCCTAAAATAAGTAGAAATATATTTTCTCTATTTCACAACACAAAGTTCAGAGATGATGCCCTCAGGGCTGCTTTGCAAGTTCCATAGTCATCAGGGATTGAGACGCCTTCTGACTTTCACCTCTGGCTCCTGGCATATTGTGTATCCTCGAAGTTACTTCATAGCCCAAAATTGTCGCAGGTGCTTCAGCCATCACGACCATATTCCACTTAGGAGGAAGAACATGACCCTATCTGTGATTTCTAAGAAGTCCCTACACATTTCCTTTTAGATCTAACCACCAAAACCTTTTCTCATAGCCACATCTAGAAGCAAATGAAGCTGGGAAAACATGTCTTTTATTTCATATCACAACAAAAAGTGGGGTTGTATTAATGGAATAATTAGCAATCAAGGCCACATAATCTATTAATGCATTTGCCATGTCATTTACATATTTACTCACATGGGTCTGACATTCAAGATTGTGAGGGCCTTGAGAAAAGGGACATTATTTCTTTCGTTTTAGTGTTAGTAAAGTCTAGTTCAATGCTTGCAATGCGTGGCACCTAGGAGCCATCCAATTTGCTGAAGGAGTGATTAAAAGGATGAATAAATAATTTAATCAACAAACAAACAGATGTTTGAAATTTTAAAAGATACGTCTTTCAAATGTACTTCAGTGGCCTTATTCTTACTTGAGAATTTTCCACTTATTAAATCTAATATTTATTACCATTTAAAGTTTAACAAATTGCTTAACAGGAGATCTGAGATCATTCTGACATTTCAAGTGGGAGAGATTTTTTTTTTTTTTGCAAACATTCCAGGGCTATAAATTTTTATTAGTTAAGTTTGCCCATTCCCTAAAGTGAATGTGGCATTTTTTTCTTTTCAAAGGTTAGCTGTGTTTTTCAAACATCTACGTTTTTTTTTGAACTCACATAAGGTACAATATTTAAACACAGTGACCTCATTCTTTTACATCTTTTGCTAGGATTTATTCTAATTTTGTTAGTGAAAATATTTGAACATAATATTCCAAAAAGCTAGCTCAATTGCTTTTAAACAACATTGACTTAAAGTTATTCTAAAATTCTAAAGCCTTTGCAAGGATAACTACACTATTTCTTTTCAAATATAAGCAGGTACATATTACTGAAACTTGTAGACATAAATAAAATGTGAAGGCAAGGCATAGATTCCTCAAAATCTTTATGTTTTGAAAAATAGAAGCTCAGAGTGCTGAATTTCAAATGTATTTTGATTTGAAATTAATAGCTGATTTAGATTCCAGGGCTTTTATCATCCGTGCATATTTAATTAGAAATACACTTGGAAATGTAACAAATTTCATGCATCAGTAAGCATTTTAAATAATTAATAGTTGATTATTTTCTCTTTTAAGATGGCCTCATTTGCAATTCTATGTCAACGATGAGCTTGACCTTTAGGTTAAAATCAAGTTGCATTTCTATTTAGAAAATAGTTCTTTACTTAGAGAACATAATGAATGGCATTGTCAGCCTTTATGCTGTGTAAAGTGATGAAGGTTTGGCCAATGTTACATAAACATTAAGTGAAGAGATCAATAATCATTGTAATAATGCAATGTTCAAATTGGCATTTTCAGTGCCTGATCCCTGGGACCTTTTGCTAAGCCCCGGATTGTAAGTTAGTAAACAAGGCAGATCCATGGAGAGTGCTCCTCCTCAGAGCAGAATGACAGCAGTGGCTCTGACCAAGCCAGGCCACGGAGAGCCCCACCTCCCACCCACCATGCCACCAAAGAGAGTTTGCTTTGCTTGTGTCTTCCTCACTTGACAGTTGGGCAGCACCTAGTGAGCACTGAGGGTGGACTTTCACAGGATGGGGTTGAGAATCTTCAGGTGGTATCTACACATCTCCAGATTAGTGATACATGTTCCAAGTCTATATCCACCCCAACAGGAGTCTTCAGAAAAATGCCATCAATGCTATTGTAACCAACTCAGTTCATACCATGGAGAAGACGACAAGGAGTAAGTAGTTCCTAGAGAGCAGTTCTGATGTCACAGTGACCAGGCAGCCAAATAAGACTTTATGGAGCCCAGAACACAAATCTGTTCCTCTCCATAGCTGGCCATTAAACGAAGCTTTCACTTAAGGCAAACTAAAGGCACTTTTGGGTTCTCCCAAGTCATCAAGCCAGAGGTCAAAATTCCAAACAATTGAACCAGTCTTTCACCAAGGTCAATTAAAATAAAATGATGCTCACTAGTCTGACCTCTGCTTTTACTCATAAAGAGTTTGCCCATTGCCCTTTAACTCTAAAGCCAGAGGTCCTGAGGCCAGCATGTGCCACTTCAGGGAACACAATATGTGTTCAGTTGGATCCTAGTGACCCACAGGTGAAAAGAGAGAAAATGGACTTTCAAAATTCCACAACCATTCTTATGTAATAAGCTCAATGAATTATCTTAACAGTCTTATAGGATAAATATCATCATTTCCAATTTCCACATTAGGATATGGTGGCTTAAAGGGGCTTTAACTTAACAATTATATAGATAAGTAAGTGGCTGGAACTTCACAACTCCAAAGGATTTTGGAATGATAGACGAAGAAAGAAAAAAAGGGCTTAATAATTAAATGACAAAATTATACATATCACATCCTTAAAGTAAGCAGATGATGAGATACTGGGATAAAATAAAGAAATTCAGGAAATGAAGACTTTAGCCTATACTTTTTAGAGAGGAATTTGGGCTCACTTAGTCCAGGAATCAGAAGTGTTAGCATACCTAAGGTATACTTCAACCTGCAAGTTGTAAAACACTATTCTAATAGTGTAGATGGTTCACTTTATTGTATATAAATCTTTTAAAGATGGTTCTCTGAAGGGCTAATAGAAATGTAGAGTGTGCTTCAAACCTCATTCCTTCCCTTAGCCCTTCTGGACTTATTATGTACAATAGGTGAGTTAACCTCACTCGTGTAATGTGGAAAATATATAAATCTTGGTGCACTGCAATAGTCTTCAGGGAGGTATTGACTTTTTATGGATGTAATTATTTTGTGAATGATCACAATGTTTTAAGCCTCTGAGTGATATTTCACAGAGAGTTATGGTGTTTCACTACATTAATATTTGCAAAGATCCTCCAGTTGCCAGAAAGTTCCAGGGCAGGGTGATCGAGGATCCTGACTGTTGGGCTGAGGGGAGCGTCATGGAGGTGGGATCACAGGGAAAGCTGATGTTCAGTAAGTAGAGATTACATTTGGTGCATGTACTTAAACTCTTTTTTAATCCCACTCAGGCTCAGAAATGAAGAAAGAAAATCAGAAATAGGAAAAAGCTTGCATAATTGCTGAAACTAGGGTAGGAATGCCAACCATCAACACATTTCTTCCCACGGTAGTACAGATGAGGCCACGTTGCTGTATTTTTCTAGTGAATTTTGAGAGGAAATCTTGGTGAAACCTCCCATGGGAATGACCAATGTGGAAGGAGAACATGGATTTAGAACTCACTATTTCACATGAACCCACTTCGTTCTCCAGAGATCATCACCACTTGGAGACGGCCATGCGGAGTCCAGGTGTAGCTATGCCAACAAAGGCATGTGAAGATGGACAAGATCCTGCAGTGCAGCTTCACCAGCAAGAGGAAGCATTCTAACAGTTAAAAGGAGTGTCCTCGGGCCAGGAGCCGTGGCTCACACCTGTAATCGCAGCACTTTGGGAGGCCGAGGAGAGCGGATCACGACATCAAGAGATGGACAGCATCCCGGCCAACATGGTGAAACCCCGTCTCTACTAAAATTACAAAAATTACCCGGGCATGGTGGCACACACCTGTAGTCCCAGCTACTTGGGAGGCTGAGGCAGGAGAATTGCTTGAACCCAGGAGGCGGAGGTTTCAGTGAGCAGAGTTCACGCCACTGCACTCCAGCCTGGGCAACAGAGCGAGACTCCATCTCAAAAAAAAAAAGAAAAAAGAAAAAAAAAGGAGTGTCCTCCATGGCAAAGACAACCCACTTGACCCAGTAGCTGAGGGCAGAGGCAGGGAAGCAGAAACAGACACCTCTCACACTCCAAGACCTCACCTCATGGAACACTAGATGTTCATTCAGAAAACCACAGCAAATGAAGGTTTTTCTACTGGCCCATGCATGACTTTACTTCCATACCGCCTCCTTCATTGAATTAAATGTGAGAGGGTCAATCCAGAGATCCCCAAGCAAATAAAGGCAGGTACAAGAAGAATCCATCCATATGACAGTGGACAAATAAATGCTCCACTATCAAAGAAGGAAATGTCCTTGTTTCAGAATGGTTACCTTGGAAAATATTTTATTTTGGTATTGATGAAAAAATGTGAATTAAAAAAGGGAGATCAATATACTGCTTTTATCATTTAACTAATGCCACAATAAGAAACACAAAGGAACTGCTCAAAACTTAGTGGCCTAGAACAGTCAGCATTTATTTATCCACATTCATTTTTCCAGAAGTTGACTAGCTGTCATTTGGAATGATGGTAGCAATTTGGAATGATGGTAGCAATTTGCCATGTGTGTCTCTAATCTAGCCAGCTACAGTGGGCATTGTCTCTTTAAGAGGCAGGGTTCTAGCCAGGCGCGGTGGCACAGGCTTGTAATCCCAGCACTTTGGGAGGCCTAGGCGGGTGGATCACCTGAGGTCAGGAGTTCGCAACCAACTTGACTAACATGGTGAAACCCCGTTTCTACTAAATACAAAAAAAAAAAAAAAAAATTAGCCGGGCGTGGTGGTGCATACCTGTCATCCAAGCTACTTGGGAAGCTGAGATAGGAGAATCCCTTGTGCCTGGGAGACGGGGGTTGCAGGGAGTCGAGATTGCGCCATTGCACTCCAGCCTGGGCAACACGAGAGAAACTCCACCTGAAAAAAAAAAAAAAAAAAAAAAAAAAGGAAGAAAAAGAGGCAGGGTTCCCAGGAAGAAAAAGGAAGAGTCCAAATCCTCTTTTTGTGTACCCATCACCAGAATACTGTACCTAGGCTCAGAAAAACACACCTCACTTCTGCTTTCACTTCTGTTGCCCAAAGAAAGTGACAAGCCCAGCCCAGATTCAAAGGGTAGAGAAATAAGGTTCCGCCTGCAAGGTAATATTGCAAATGGCGTAGATACAGGAAGGAGTGGGAAATTGGAGCCAGTTTTATAATAAACATATCATGGCATAAAGAAATTGAAAACAAGATTTGAAAAAGAATTTATTACAAGAAATAATTTATTAAAAGCATCTACTTGTTTTCTGAAGGGTTATAAAGAATATATGGATCCCTTGAGAGTAAAAATAGATGAATGGTTAAGATGTTAAATCAAGAGACAAGAGATTTATAAAAGAGACTGACTTAAGGAAAACAATATATAGGTATTACCACACCGTAATTTAATATGCCTATAAAAGTGGTACAAATTATAATTGACAATGCAGATAACTGAGTCTGCAGAGGTCAAGTCTGGAGTCTTTCGGAACACAGAGACAAAAGGCAGCTATAAATACAAATTAGGAGAAATAGTAAAAGGGAGTCCTGGCATTAGACCTCTAACAATCCCACAATGCTCCTGAAAATCACAAACAGAGAGAAACACTATTGTAAGATTTAACAGAAGAAACTGTTTTAAACTGAGAAAAGATGTATACATGGTAATCAAAATCATTCACTAAGCATCAAGAAAAATATAATGAGAACACAAAAACAAGTAAACTAGTGGGGAGGAAAATAAGAAATTAATGACTTTTTAAAGTCGAAAAATTCTAATTAACAATTATATCAAATTCCACTCCTTTAACTAGACAATTCAAAAATTACTAACAGGAAAATGTTTGACACAAATACATGACAAAAGGCAGTAAGTCTACAATGGAGTTAAGGACAAGTCTTTTCAAATTTACAAGTAGTAGGTAATTTCTATTCTAAAACATGAAAGGGAATTTTTAAAAAATTGAATGTCTTCCATTCTCTTTTGTAAATTCAATGTAAAGTTGACATCAAATCTAGTCAAAGCAATTCAAATAACACAATATCTTTGAATGTACATGCAAGCATTTTGATTATAATCTGCACAGATTTCGTGTTATATTAAAACATTAATATATTGCAACTAAGATATAATAATTCAAGAATGATTTAATATTATCAGAAAACTTACGGCATAAGTCCTTATGTTAATAATTAAATGAAGAAAAAGTATATGACTACCTTTAATAATTCTGAAAAGCAGCTAGTGAAATTGTTTATTACTAGCAAATATTGTTGCCAAATTGGTAATATATTCATAAAACCTAACATGACATAGAAAAATCATTTACAAACAACAGAAATCACAATTAATAAAGACACTATCCACAAGTTTTAGAAATTACCAAAATTATTTTTATGAGTATTGTCATTTATTGTTGTTTTGGATACCTGTTTATCTCTAAGTCAATATAAATAAGAGTCATAATTATTGAAAAGGATAGACAATCATTGTTACTTAGAAATTTATGACTGCATGCCACAAGAACAAACAAAACAGCTCTTAGAAATAACTGAAGTTCAGCCCAGGCACAGTGGCTCACGCCTGTAATCCCAGCACTTTGGGAGGCCAGGTGGGTGGATCATGAAGTCAAGAGATCGAGACCAACCTGGCCAACATGGTGAAACCCCATCTCTACTAAAAATACAAAAACTAGCTGGGCATGGTGGCGTGCACCTGTAGTCCCAGCTACTTGGGAGGCTGAGGCAGTAGATTGCTTGAACCTGGGAGGCAGGGGTTGCACTGAGCCGAGATCGCACCACTGCGCTGGAGCCTGGCTACAGAGTGAGACTCCATCTTAAGAGAAAAAAAAATGAAAAAATAAGAGTTCAGTAATGAGGCAGTGCACAAAATAAATACTAAAGTTACTATTCTTCATTACAGCAATAGGTTTTTTGCAAATAGGGTGAAAAATCCTTTTCAAAAGCCTTCAAAAAATATAAAATACTTGTAAATATAATTCAATTAGATATAGCATATTGTGTCCGGAATTGGTGGGTTCTTGGTCTCACTGACTTCAAGAATGAAGCCGCGGACCCTTGCGGTGAGTGTTACAGCACTTAAGGTGGCGCCTCTGGAGTTTATTCCTTCTGATTTTCGGATGTGTTCGGAGTTTCTTCCTTCTGGTGGGTTCGTGGTCTCCCGGCTCAGGAGTGAAGCTGCAGACCTTCGCGGTGAGTGTTAGGGCTCTTAAGGTGGCGCGTCTAGAGTTGTTCGTTCCTCCCGGTGGGTTCTTGGTCTCGCTGGCTTCAGGAGTGAAGCTGCAGACCTTTGCGGTGAGCGTTACAGCTCATAAAGGCAGTGTGGACCCAAAGAGTGAGCAGCAGCAGGATTTATTGCAAAGAGCGAAATAACAAATCTTCCACAGTGTGGAAGGGGACCCCAGCGGGTTGCCAGTGCTGGCTGGGCAGCCTGCTTTTATTCTCTTATCTGGCCCCACCCACATCCTGCTGATTGGTAGAGCCGAGTGGTCTGTTTTGACAGGGAGCTGATTGGTGCGTTTACAATCCCTGAGCTAGACACAAAGGTTCTCCACGTTCCCACCAGACTCAGGAGCCCAGCTGGCTTCACCCAGTGGATCTCGGCACTGGGGCTGCAGGTGGAGCTGCCTGCCAGTCCTGCGCCGTGTGCCCACACTCCTCAGTCCTTGGGTGGTCGATGGGACTGGGCGCCGTGGAGCAGGGGGCGGCGGTCGTCGGGGAGGCTCGGGCTGCACAGGAGCCCACGGAGGCCGGGTGGCGGGGGAGGCTCAGGCATGGCGGGCTGCAGGTCCCGAGCCCTGCCCCGCGGGAAGGCAGCTAAGGCCCCGCGAGAAATCAAGCGCAGGGCCGGCACTGCTGGGGGGCCCAGTACACCCTCCGCAGCCGCTGGCCCAGGTGCTACACCCCTCATTGCCCGGGGCCGGCAGGGCCGGCCTGCTGCTCCGAGTGCGGGGCCTGCCAAGCCCACGCCCACCAGGAACTCCAGCTGGCCCGCAAGCGCCCCGCGCAGCCCCGGTTCCCGCTGGCGCCTCTCCCTCCACACCTCCCTGCAAGCTGAGGGGGCCGGCTCTGGCCTTGACCATCCCAGAAAGGGGCTCCCACAGTGCAGCGGTGGGCTGAAGGGCTCATCAAGTGCCGCCAAAGTGGGAGCCCAGGCAGAGGAGGTGCCGAGAGCGAGCAAGGGCTGTGAGGACTGCCAGCACGCTGTCACCTCCCAATATCTTATGCAAGCAAAATTACAGAAGATTGTTGACGGTAATAAAAGTAGATTAGGCATATCAGGTTCCTAAATGGGATTTTTCTGTATGGTAATGATTTTAAACCTTCCTTTAAAATGCTTTAACATAATTTTGATAAAATCACATTCATATTGTTTGGAACTTGTCAAGGTTGTTCTAGTTATCTGAAAGAAGAAAGGGTGTTGGAATGAGAATTAGGTTTTACTAATGTGTAATGGATCAGGTAGGCACAGAATTCTGTGGTCTCATACTAAGCACAAAACAACAAAAGCAAATATGACAGCAAAGAAACAGAGAGCGAAGAGTGACTAAATCACCT
This sequence comes from Homo sapiens, assembly GCF_000001405.40. Taxonomy (NCBI): domain Eukaryota; kingdom Metazoa; phylum Chordata; class Mammalia; order Primates; family Hominidae; genus Homo; species Homo sapiens. Next base: position 51,805,312 of record NC_000007.14, on the reverse strand, counting down.
GTCATTTATTTAAACTGAAAACTTGGTACAATCAGATGAAGCCCAGCAAATATTCACATTTTCTAATTTTTAGATATTAAAATTTGAATAAAACAGTTTTTACAAATATAGCACCACATCCCCAAATGCACCCATATGTTTGAATTCAAAGTTAGCAGAAACAGAAGCAATCGTTTTGGAAATACTAAAAATACCATGTACTGCTGTGTTTGTACAGAATGAGACCTCAACATGCTTTCCTGCAAACATTCCTCACATGCCCACTATACAGGGTGAGAAAAGCTGCTGGGACAGCTATGAGTAGGAGAAAAATGAGAATCCCTTTGCTTCTCTGCAATTGTGTAAGATTTATCAAAGAGAGCTCACTATGCAATTATACCAACATAATGATTTGGAGAAAGGTACCAAGGTTTCTATAAGGAGAAATGGGGTGCATTAATCTACCTAGGATCTATCTGAAAATGAGTAAATAAGCATGGTGACACAAATCATTTTTTTCCTTTGGTAAAATTTCAACTGAAAAGCTATAAAATGAATTATCATTGAGGTCTGGAGCAAGGTTTTATCATGAATGAGGAACTGGAAATTGAAATATGCCCCTGCCACTAGATTAATCTTCCCTTGGTATTCTATTTTATTTCTCTACTCAAAAATCAATGAATTCCCACCAGCTGGCAAATATTATATGAATTACTTAGTCAGGTATTTAATGCCCTTGATGCTCTCATTCTAACTTACTTCTCTTCTCTTGAAATTACCTCATGCTCCGGTCCAACACTGTTCAATAGAAATATAATGTGAGCCACATATATAAATTTTAATTTTCTAGTAGCTAAATTAAAAAGTAAAAAGAAATAGGTAAAATAAATTTTAATAATATTTTATTTAAATTAATATAACCAAAGTAGTATCCCTACAACATGTGATCAACGTATTCTTACTTATAAGTGGGAGCTAAGCATTGTGTACGCAAGTGCATACAGAATGGTATAATGGACATTGGAGACTCAGAAGAGGGGAGCTTGGAAAGGGTGTGAGGGATAAAAACATCACCTATTGGGTACAATGTGCACTAAAAGCCCAGACTTCATAGCTATACAATTCATCCATGTAACCAAAACCACTTATAACCCTGAAGTTATAGAAAATTTAAAGAATTTAAACAAAACAAGACTAATGACGTATGTTTGAGGTTTTTTTGGTACTGTCTTTGATATCCGGTATGCATTTTATACCTACAGCACATCTCAACTGGGACTAAGCACATTTCAAGTATTCCAGAGCCACCCGGGGATAGTGGCTACCGTGCTGAACCATACAGCTCCAGCTGAACCAATGGTTTGATTCTTCTTCCATTCCACACCTTCACTGATTGTATACCTTGTGTCTATTCCTCGTGGTAGAACAGCATCACCATCCTTGACGCCTTCTGTGCAGTGATTTCCTCTGCATCATGTTCCAGGAGATGTAGCATTGCAGGTACTGGAGAGCCTCAGTGATGCTGTATTCACTCATACACAATCAAACAAATGATACATAATTTTGGCATCCTCTGAAATACACTGTTAGTCACCCATGGTCCCAGAATTACAGAAAATATGTTCTGTTGCATTTCTGGCTTTTTAGAAAACGGGAACTGTTTATTTTTCATCTTTGCAACTACAACCCCCACCATTGTCTCCTCACTACACACTATGCTAGAATAGCATATCCATTTTTTACATTGTTAATAAATGTTTCTTGAAAGAATAAGACAAATAAAAGTAAACAGTTTGGTCCTTCACACACTGCTGGTAGGCCTAGTTTAACCATTTTATAAATGGTATAGGAATGGAATATTCCATGAAATACTCTATTTTACAGATTGCAGAGGTAGTGAAATGCCAGGCTGACAAAGATAAATTTCAGGGAAAAGAAAACTCACAGGGCTCAGTGAGTGAGCAGAAATCTGACAGACAATCTTCACTGTGAAGAAGGAAAGATAATGCATCTGAGAAGAAAATCTACCCTCGTTATAAAATGATGTGCTCAGAGCTCTCATTTTCAAGGCAAGTAATGGAAGTAGTAATAGGCAGCCTGCTTCTTAAGCACAACACAGCCATAGGTTACTAAGTCTGCATGGGCAAGCCGGCAAAACGACATAATTAATCAAGAATTAGAAAAGTGCAATTCTACTGAACAAAGGCTGAGTTTGAACCCGTGACCGATGCAGCCAGCCACAAAGGGGTTAACAGAGGTGGTTCATAAGAGAAGCCTGTGGTTTAAAACCTGGAAATGGATAAGCCTGCTGCAGTGGGCTTGTCCCTGGAGGGAAACGGAGGGAACACAACGACAGAAGTCTGCCAGTCATTGAGGGAAGAAAGGGCACCAGCAGCAGGAGATGTTCTGGAAAGCAGCCAGGGGAGGGGCTGGTTTCCTGCAGCGAGGCCCAGAAAATGTAACAGCCCAGGATTTCCCACAGGGCTGGCTGTAGGGTTGATGAGGATAGGCTGATATAGGTTTGGTGCACTGGTAAGGACAGGCAATGCCCCATCCTCCTAGCCAGGTTATCCATCTACATATTAGGCATCAGTGGGAAAGAAAATGCCCACATAAACAGACTGAGCTCCAAAATGATGCACAAACATGGGAATGAGAGAGAAGTCAGATCATTAAGAAAAAAGCACAGTCAGAAGCGGACTGGCAGTCACTTGGATGCGAAGCTATCTCAATGACTGGCTTAGATTTTCACACTGTATCCAAACAGGTTTCATCCTAGAATGCTTCTCAAGCTGAAGGTATTGCTATGTGGATTCAATTATGAAGATTTGGTGTTCCCAGGACACAGGGAATCAAACATGCTGTGGTAAAGGTCATCTGTGTTCGAATACTTGCTTTCTAACCAATATATAATGTCATAGATGTAGTTACCGATAAAAGCATAGAATGTGTGTGTGTGTGTGTGTGTGTGTGTGTGTGTATACACATGTGGTCCTTTGAATGAAATTGCATCTTGGCACAGCCAAGTAATTCCTCCTTGCCTAGTCTTCTTGCTAATAGTAAAATCTCACTCACATCACCAAGTACTCATGGCAAAATCAAGACTTAGCATTCCTGGAGTACAAAAAATTCCAAACCCTTTATGCTGTCCGGAATGAACATCATCAGAAACCAGCTACAATGGGAAGCTCTACATCTCCTGCAATAGCTGCCAGAGAAAGACGCCACACAATAGGGCTTCTCACTAACACATCAGGCAGCTCACATGCAAAGATGACTTTGTTCAGCCACACTGGAAGGAACACATAAAAGTCTATCTAAATATAGACCTGGAAACAGAAATTGAGTTTCTACCATACCTGTAGCACATGCAAAGAATGGATCCCGCAGATATAAGTTCTCTGCTTGGAAAACCTATTCTTTTAGCTGCATTTCTAATTTCATCAAAGTAGAAGATGGAAACAGATGATATAAATGCAACTCGATTATATTTTCAGCTAATATACAGTTGACCCTTAAACAAGACAGAAGTTAAGACCACTGGCCCCTCAAGCAACTGGAAATTTTCGTATAAATTTTGAGTCTCCCAAAATTTAACTACTACTGTTGACCTGAAGCATTACTGATAACACAGTCAATTAACACATATGTTATGTTATATGTATTACATACTGTATTTTTACAATAAATTAAGCTAGAGAAAGACAATGCTGTTAAGAAAATCATAAGGAAGAGAAAATATATTTACTATTCATTAAGTGGAAGTGGATCATCATAAAGGTCTTCATCCTCTTTGTCTTCACATTGAGTAGGCTGAGGAAGGGGAGGAGAAGTAAGGGTTGATCTTGCTGTCTCCAGCATGGCAGAGGCAGAAGAAAATCTGCATATCAGTAAATCCACATAGTTAAAATCCATGTTGTTCATGTGTTAACCATATAATAAAACACATTAAAAAGAAACTAAGTTGTCAATGAAAGACTCAGGACAATTGTCCTCTCTTTATGACTATACACAGAACCTTTTATTCAAGAACGACTAATTTTAAAAATTTAACTGCAATAGATTTTCTAATATTTTTGCAATATAAAAGGAGAAAATCAAACCAAATTGATAGGATTGAAATATGTATTGTGCAGTTTCTAGAAACCTAAAAATGTCCACATTATAAACCCGAAATTATTTGGCATACAAAGGATTAGGAAAATATTAACTCACATGTGATAAGAGAGCAGATACCAATATTAAGAGAGCACAGATATTGGAATTACCTAGCATGCAATCATGAAAATTCTTGAAACAAATGGAAACACAGTCATCCGTTGAAATCCCTAAGAAATTGGTGCCAGGACCTCCCTCAAATAACAAAATCTGCAGATGCTCAAATCCCTTACATAATCTGGTATAGTATTTGCATATAACTATGGGTATCTTCCCCTATACATTAAATCATCTTTAAATTACTTAAAATACTTAATATAATGTAAATGCTATGTAAGTCACTGTTATACTGTATTGTTTAGGAAATAATGGCAAGAAAAAAATATGTGCCTGTTCAGTAGAGATGTAATGTTTAAAAATGTTTTTGAGCCATAGTTGGTTGAATCTGTGGATAAGCAACCCACGGACATGGAGGGCCAACTGTATAGAAAGTTTAAGCAAATAAATAGAAGATAGAAAGAAGAACCAAATGGAAAGATTAGAACAAAAAAACACAATAACCAAAATAAGTTTAAGTAAATAAATTAATAATTGATAGAAAAGAAAAAAATAAGAATGAAGATGGAGGAATCAAACTACCTGATTTTAAGACTTACCATAAAGCTACAATGATCACACTACAATGCAGTATTGGCAGAAAGATCAAAAATTAGATTACTGTAACAGAACAGCTCAGAAGTAGACCACACGAATATGAACAATGATTTTTGACAAAGGTGCACGCTCAATTGGAGAAAATATAGTCTTTTTTTAAGAAATTGTGCTAAACAATTGAATAGGGGTATGTACTTAAATATATACCTCAATGTACACTTTAGCATCTTATAAAAAATTTCACTCAAAATTAAGTATGGACCTAAAGGTAAAATTCAAAGATACAGAATTTGTAGAAGAAAACCCAAGGGAAAACTTTCATGGCACAAAGTTATGCAAAGTGTTATATATGACACCAAAAGCACTATCCAGAAAACAGTGATAAACTACATTTCATCAAAATTTTAAACTTTTGTTCTGTGAAGGACTGGTTAGGAGAGTGACACATCAAACTACGAACTGTGAGAAAATATCTGCAAATAACATATCTGAAAAAGACTTGCATTGCAAATATACAAAAGACTTTCAGTACTCAACAGAAAGGAAAACAATCAAATTTAAAAATAGACAAAAGACACTTCACCAAAGAGGATAGTCAAGGATGCGAAACATCCTTTAAATGCCAACTAAAATCAAAGAGATACCACTACACCTATTAAAATATAAAAAATATCAACAATTTCAAGTGCCGATGAGGATGCAGAACAACATTGCTGATGGGTTAAAAATGATACAACCATTCTGGAAAAACAGTTCTTCAACTTCTTGTAAAATTAAATATATATTTAAAATATGACCCAGCAATCACATTCCTGGATATTTACCTTAGAGAATCAAAAGTTTACATTTACAGAAAAACTTCCACATGAATGTTTATAGTAAATTTATAAAAGCTAAAAACTGGAAACAACTCAGAACTCAGAACTCTGATATCCTTCACATGTGAATGGGTAAAAAAAACCCTGGGCTATATCTGTATAATAGAATAGTTGTCATCAATAAAATTCAGCCAACAAAAACTTGAATGAGGCCGGGCGTGGTGGCTCATGCCTGTAATCCCAGCACTTTGGAAGGCCGGGGCAGGCGATCACCTGAGGTCAGGAATTCAAGAACAGCCTGGCCAACATGGTGAAACCCTGTCTCTACTAAAAATACAAAAATTAGCTGGGCGTAGTGGTGCGTGCCTGTAGTCCCAGTTACTCGGAAGGCTGAGCATAATAATCTCTTGAACCCGGGAGACAGAATTTGGCAGGAGCAGAGATTGTGCCACTACATTCCAGCCTGGGCGACAGAGCCACACTCTATCTCAATAAAAAAACAAACAAACAAACAAAACGAATGAATCTCAAAGGGATTCTGTTGAATTAAAGAGGTCTTACAAGGTTATGTATTTTTGGATTCTACTTATTGGCTATTCTGGAAAAGGCAAAACTATAAATGAACAGAACAGTGGTTTCTAGGCATTAAGGGTTGAAGAAGCATGTGACTATTAAAATTCCTGACGGAATATTTTGGATTATGGAACTTTTCTGTACTTTGATTCTGGTGCAGTTCCACAAATTATTATTCTGTTAAAACACATAGACCTGTACGCCAAAACAAAATGCCAATTTTACTGTAGGCAAATATTTTTTAAAAAAAATTTCTAGCTTATCACCTTCTGACAAATATGTGTCTTATTTATGCATACAAGGGAAGTTCTCCTGCCTTTACCAGATACAACAGAACAGTGTTGTCAATAGAGTAGACTGATGAAGACTGAGGATAGTCTCTGCAAACTAGATCATGATAGAAAACCAGAAACAACATAGCCCAGTGGAAGTGTACTGCTGTTCCTTCCAGGTAAACTGTAATTGATAGTACTTTAAAAATAATATAAAGAAAAAGCATTTTCTAAACCTATCACTACATACCATGTGCCAGGGGCACATAGAATTATTCCAGTAAAGAAACTGCATCTGGAAAAAGAGCTGCAGTTGAAGCCTCCAGCTGATAAAGTTTAAGATAACACACAGACATTTTTAAAGACATATTGACTTAATGCTCAAGTAAAATATGAGAGATAAAAGAGAGTAGAAGAAATAAAACCTGCAATGTAATTTTTAGTGATTTATGTTGGCACAGACTCTGTGATTATACAAAAAAAGTGTCACTGTTTTCAGTTTGCTATTCTCGGTCAGGGAGCAAGCAGCAGAAATTCTCTCTTTCTTACTTCTTTCTACCACATTAGCAAGATTTAAAAAGACCACACAGTCTCAGGTAGGTTATTGCATTATCCATTGGCAAGCACCATTTCTACCCATGTTCTTAGGTTTCTTATGTGCATATATGCATCCATAAATGTATATAGAATGTATATGAGTGCAAAATCTGACTCATAAGAATTTATGCTGTGTGTGTGTGTGTGTGTGTGTGTGTGTGTATGTACCCGTACAACTTAGATTCTTATGAGTCAGTTTTGCACTAATTCCTCTTGGGTATGCAGTCATCTTACTCTAGTTATGCATCAGAAGGCAATAGTGAGTGGTAAACTGTTCTTGAGAAAAGTCATCTTCTTGCAAAAAAAGCAGGTAAAAATGCTAGTATTTACAAAGTCTTTGAGCAAGAGATGTGTAATTTCCTTAGAAGCAGGAGCTAGTTCTGTTGGTGAGGGAAGACTGAGGATTTCTGAAGGTTCAAAGTTCTCACATTTATCATGTCTTACCCCAAAATCCCTATCTAAAGTCTCATTTCTCACTGCCTTGCACTCAATGCCTTTACTTTCCCAGAGAAGAGTTAATGGATGCTTTGTATTCAATTCAATGTTTTTGCGCAATTGTATATTGTATCTTATTTTTAGCCAAATTTTCTCCATAGCTACAAAACAGAAGATATTTTTAGAATATTCATGTAAATTCTCAGGTTCTCTGTTACTTTAGCTCTGAGCTTGTTATTGTTGTGAGTGAGATTGCTGAGTCATCATCCCAACCCTTGGTCTTGTAGCTATTATTACTCTGCTCAAATGTATTATTTGCCATATCATATCAAAATTCTGTCACTTATAAGTTTTCTACACCAAAGAGCAGCAGGTAATTAATAAAAATAATTTGGATGCCAGATTATTACAATGTTTTATTTGCCACTGGAAAGGAGGTAATTATTAAAGAGCAAACAGTGATCAACCCAATGTCAGAATCCTGTTTTTGAAGATCTATTTCTCGGTATCATCCCTGATACCAAGGAGTGATTGGAAGAGTAAATACAAAGAAAGAGAAATTAAGAGATACTTGAAACTGGGCAGCAATAGAAACTGAGCAGCAATATAAGGTTTTGTGTCCAAATTGTAACTGCATCTCAAACTTAAATAAACTTAAGCATGAAGAAGAAAAATAATAAATTTTAGAGATATATATAAAATAATGAAAAAAACGCCATAGAGAAATTTAACGAATCCAAAATCTGATTCTTCAAGAAATCAATAATGAAACAGCATTGTTGTCTGAAGTAACACCTGAGGTTCGTTGTCCCACACTCATGGAGAACAAGGATGCAGACACACAAAGAGTGAGGTTGAGAGTGGAAGTTTAATAAGCAAAAGAAAGAGAAGAGCTCTCTGCTGCAGAGAGGGGTCCTGGAAAAATGGGTTGCCAGACCGCAGTGAAATGCAAGGGGTTTTATAGATGAGCTGGTGAGGAGGCAGTGTCTGATTCACACAGAAGGCGCAAAAAACTGGTTAGACCAGGTGTGCCATTTACATAGGTTGCAAATTTCTGGTGACCCTCACCTTAATCTTTATTATGCAGGCAAGTTCTCTGCCTGAGCTGTGCCATGTTGCCCATTTCTTTGTTTCTGTACACATGTAACCAAAAAGGGAAGATGGAGCCTTCCTGTTGGACATGCCTGGCACCCAGGTAGCCCTTTTCTCTTGGTGCAGCTGCCAGCATTCCCTCTTGCAAGCATCCAGCTTGCCTATCTATCTTTGCAGATCAATTTTTCAGGCTGCTCTTTGTTAGAAAAGACATGATTTGGGGTGCTGCTTTTTACTAAAAGGATAGCTCTGCCGAGGACTTTGTTGTCCTCACTACCTGTCTAAATAATTTCTTTCTACCTCCTGTATTAATAAGATATATTGATTTTCATTTTATTATAAAGATACATAGATGCATATGTTCATTGCAGCACTATTCACAATAGCAAAAATATGAAATCAACCTAAATGCCCATCAATGGTAGACTGGGTAAAGAAAATGTGGTACATACCAACCATGGAATACTATGCATTCATAAAAAGGAACAAGATCATGTCCTTTGCAGGAACATATAGGAAGCTGGAGGCCATTATCCTTAGCAAACTAATGCAGGAACAGAAACCAACTACTGCATATTCTCACTTATAAGTGGGAGCTAAATGATGAGAACACATGGACACATAGAAGGGAACAACACACACTGGGGCCTGTTGGAGGGTGGAGAGTGGGAAGAGGGAGAGGATCAGGAAAAATAACTAAAAGGTACTAGGCTTAATACCTGAGTGATGAAATAATTTGTACAACAAACCCCCATGACACAAATTTACATATATAATAAACCTACACATGCACACCTGAACCTAAAAATAAATAGATTAATTAATTAAATAAAATTTCATTTTCTTGCTTTATGAAATACATTTGGCATGTAAAAAAAGATACATTGATTTCATGAAGATAAAAAAGAAGACACAAATAAACAAAATTTAGAATAAAGAAAATGAGAGGTGAAGACATATATAATAGTAGTTAAAATTATAAAAGTATATATAAACAACTGTATAATAATAATTTTAAAACCTGGATGAAAAATAAATCAATAACTTGGAACAAGAATAAATAGACAACTTGAATAGATATATTTAAATACATTTAAAAAGGTGATTCAAGTTACCTCTTCAAAAAAGTCCCAGGTGAAGACATTGTTACAAGTAAATAGTGTCAGCATTTCAAGGAACTGAGAATCTACACCAGGTCCAACCTCTGGGCCATGGACTAGTACCTGTCTGTGGCCTGTTAGGAACCCGGCTGCACGGCTGGAGGTAAGCGGCAGGCAAGGAAGTGAAGCTTCATCTGTATTTACAGCTGCTCCTCATCACTCACATTACCACTTGATCTCTTCCTCCTGTCAGATCAGCCATGGCATTAGATTCTCATAGGAGAGGATCTAATTATATTGTGAACTGCACATGCAAAGGATCTAGCTTGTGGGCTCCTTATGGGAATCTAATGCCTTATGATCTGTCACTGTCTCCCATCACCCCAAGATGTGACCGATTACTTGTAGGGAAACAACCTCAGGGCTCCCACTGATTCTAAATTATGGCGAGTTATATAATTATTTCATTATATATTACAATGTAATAATAATAAAGTGAACAATAAATGTAATGCGTTTGAATCATCCCAAAATCATCCCCCGCCACCCGCCACCCTGACCCATGGAAAAATTATCTTCCACGAAACCAGTCTTTGGTGCCACAAAGGTTGCGGGCTGCTGACTTATACTATAAGACTTCTTAAAAAAAAAAAAAAAAAAAGAAAAAAAGGCAAAGTCACCCAATCATTTTGTCAGACAAGAACAAAAGGATAACAAAGTCTAAAGCATAAAGAGAAAAATTTAAATAAATACATAAATATTATTTTGACAACAGATCCACATTATTTTGTATAAACATAGGTGCAAAAATTTTAGTTAAGATGTTCCTAATTGTACCTAACACATTATTGTAAAATACAGTAATCATGTTTCTCATGAATGCATTGATGATTAATATTCAAAATATCTTAAATGAAAAATACATTTATAATGCAATCGAAATATGATAACATTTATAGATTTTTGGGTATTAATCATCAATGTATCTGCATTACACAGTTACATGTGTAATTTCAAAATTATATATACATAAAAACTAAACTGTACTCCTTTTCTTTCACTTTAAAATATTATTTCCTCTTAATTTTTACATTGATTTGTTCAAATCAGAATCTAGACTGGGAGATATACATTTCATTTGATTACTATGTTTCTCAAGCCACTTAATTTAAAAATTGAGGTCACTCACTTTTTTCTTGTCTTTTTAAAAATTAATATTCATTTTTTAGGGCAGTTTAGGTTTACAAAAATTTGAGCAGAGAATATAGAGAGTTCCTATATACCCTCTTGGCCTTTCTGATTATTGAGATCTTACGAGTGTTGTACATTAATTACAATTAATGAGCTAATATTGACACATTATTATTGACTAAAGTACATAGTTCATAATTTGGTCACTCTGTGGGTTTTGGCTGATGTATAATTATATACATTCACCATTAAAGTATCCAACAAAATAATTTCACAGCTCAAAAAATCCCTTGTGTTCCACTATTTCATCCTTGCCCCACAAATCCCTGGCTAGTACTGATCCTCTTATGCCTCCATAGTTTTAGCTTTTCCAGGATGTGATATAGTTGAATCATAGAGTATATAGTCTTTGCACATTAGCTTCTTTCACTTATCAATATATAATTAAGTTTTCTTCATGTCTTTATGTGGCTAGGAACCTGTTATAAACTGAATGTTTGTGTCTCCTCCATAAGTCATATCTTGAAGCCTTAAGTCCGAGTGTGATGACATTTGGAGATGAGACCTTTGGGAGTTAATTAGATTTAGATGAGGTCATGAGGGTGGGACCCTCATGATGGAGTTACTGCCCTTATAAGAAGAAAAAAAGAAAAAGAAAGACAACTCCTGATCACCTCATGCACACACACCAAAAAGAGGCTAATATAAGGAACCAGCCAGAAGGCAGCCTTCTGCAACTCAAGCAGAGAGTCCTCACCAGATACTGGCCCTGCTGGCACCTTGATATTTGACTTCAGTCTCCAGGACTGTGAGAAATACATTCTGTTGTCTAAATCACCCAGTCTATGGAATTTTGTTATGGAAGCTGAAGCTGACTAAGAAAATATTTCTTTTTTTTTTTTTTTGTATGTTTCTTTGAGATTGTTGCTCAGCCTGGAGTACACTGGTGTGATCATGGCTCATTGCTGCCTCAACCTCCTGGACTCGGACGGTTTTCCCACCTCAGCCTCCCAAGTAGCCAGGACCATAGTCACATGCCACCCATGCCCAGCTAATTTTTGTATTTTTTTGTTGAGATGGAGTTGCGCCGTGTTCCCCAGGCTGGTTTGAAATCCCTAGGCTCAAGTGATCCTCCTGCCTTGGCCTCCTAAAGTGTTGGGATTATAGACATGAGCCACCATGCCCAGCCATCTTTTTATTGTTGAGTAATATTTCATTGTATAGATGAACCACACTTTGTGTATTCATTCACCTATGGAAAGAATTAGTTGCATCTAAATTGTGGAAATTCTGAATAAAGCTGCTATAAACATTTGTTTGCAGAGTTTTATGGGCATGTACATTTTTTATTCATTTGAGTAAATACCAGGGAGCATGATTACTGGATCATATGGTAAGACTATGTTTAGTCTTGTAAGAAACTGCCAAACTCTCTTCCAAACTAGTTATATCACTGTGCATTCCTGCTGGCAACGAATGAGAGTTCCTGTTACTAAATGTTTAATTGGCTTATGAGTTTTCAATGTTTTAGATTTCAGCCATTCTAGTAAGTGTATAGTGGTATCTCATTGTTGTTTTCATTTATAATTGTATTATAATAATGTTGAATATCTTCTCATATACCTATTTGCCATCTGTATATTTTTGATGAGATATCTGTTCTGATATTTGCTCATTTTAATTGGATTGTTTAATTGACCTTTACAATATTTAATGCCTTTACAATAGTAAAGGCATTTATAAAGGCATTAATGCCTCTACAATAATACATTTATAAAGGAATTAATGCCTTTACAATAATACAATTTAATGTCAGTACAATATTCAATGCCTTTACAATATTTAATAATTTCCTATTGTTGAGCTTTGTGTCTTTGTGTATTTTGGATAACAGTCCTTTATCTTACATGTGTTTTGCAAATATTTTCTCCCAGTCTGTGGATTATCTTTTCTTTCTCATAACAGTGTCTATCTCAGAGCAGAAATTTTTTAATTTTAATGAAGTCTAATTTATCATTTTATTTTTCTTTCTTGGATCATGCTTTTGGTCACTGTATCTAAAAAATAATCACCAAACCCAAAGTCTCCTAGATTTTCTTCTATATCATTTATCTTCCAGAAGATTTATGCTAGAGTTTTATAACTAAGTCTATGATCCATTTTGAGTTTGCTTTTATAAAAAGTATACAGTCCTTGTCTGAATTTATTTTATTGTTTGCACACGGATGCCCACTTGTTCCAGCACCATTTGTCAAAGAAACTATCCATTCTCTGTTGAATTCCCTCTGCACTTTTGTCCAAGTTTCATTGACTATATTTTTGTGGATCTATGCCTGGACTCTCTATTTGGTTCCAACAGTCTATATGTCTATTCCTTAGCCAATACCCCATTGTCTTGATTCTTATAGCTTCATAGTAAGCCTTGAAGTCAGTTAGCATCAATCTTCTGACCTTGTGCTTCTTTGTCAATACTGTTTCCATTCTAAGTTTTCTTACTTTCAAAATACACTTTTTTTTTTCGAGATGGAGTCTCACTCTGTTGCCCAGGTTGGAGTGCAGTGGCGCGAGCTTTGCTCACTGCAACCTCCACTTCTGGGTTCAAGCATCTCCTGCCTCAGCCTCCCTAGTAGCGGAGATTACAGGCATGCGCCACCAAACCTGGCTAATTTTTGCATTTTTAGTGGAGACAGAGTTTCATCAGGTTGGCCAGGATGGTCTCAAACTCCTGACCTCAAGTGATCCGCCCACCTTGGCCTCCCAGAGCGCTGGGATTACAGGCATGAGCCACCCGAACTGGCCTCAAAATACACTTTAGAATCTGTTTGTTGATGTCCACAAAATAACTTGCTAGGATTTTCATTGGGATTGTATTGAATCTATAGATCAAATTGGGAAAAACTGCTATTTTAAAATATTGAGTCTTTTTATCCATGTATATGGAGTATCTCTATTTATTTATGTTTGTTTTTTTTCCTCACAGTTTTACAGTCTCCACTCAAATAGATTTAGTATATATTTTCAAAGATTTGTATATGCGTTTCATTTTTTCATTCAAATGTAAATGGCTTTGTGTTTTCAATATCAAATTCCAATTGTTCATTATTGGCATGTAAGAAAGTAATTGACTTTTGTACATTAACCTTATTTCCTGCAAGCTTGCTATAATGGTGTTTCTTCCTTTTTTCTTTTTTTCCTTCTTACAGGTTTGTCAATTTTATCAATTATTTCAAAAAATTTGTTTTGCTTCATTGACATTCTGTATTGATTTCCTGTCTCCAAGTTCAATGATTACTGCCTTAAGCTTTATTGTTTCTTTGTTTTTACTTAGTTTTAATTTAATCTTTTCTTCTTTTTCTAGTTTACTTCAGTTGAGCCTACATTATTGTTTTTAAGGCCAGGTATGCTGGCTCATGCCTATAATCCCAGCACTAAGAAGCAGGAAGATCCCTTGAGCCCAGGAGTTTGAGACCACCCTGAGCAACATAACAGGACCCCATTTCTATTTGGTAGAAAATAAAATAAAAAATAAAATCTTTCTCTTTTATAATATATACATTGAATACTATAAATTTCCATTTAAGCACTGCTTTCACTGCATTTCACAAATTGTAATGAATTGTATTTTAATTTTTATTTAGTTAAAAATATTTTTTAAATTTTTCTTGAAATTTCTTCTTTAATCCACATGTTATTCAGAAGTGTTTTCTTTAATCTCCAAGTATTTTGGGATTTTCCAGCTATCTTTCTGTTATTGTAATCTAAGAGCAAACCTTGCATGATTTCTATCTTTCCAATTTGTTAAGGTATGTTTTCTGCCCCATAATGTGTTCTAATTTGGTGAATATTCCATGTGAGCTTGAGAACAACGTGTATTCTGTTCTTATTATATGAAGTATTTTATAGATGTTAATTAAGTCCAGTTGACCGAAGGTGTTGTTCAATTCACTATATCATCACTGAACCACTGGATCTATTAGTAATGAAAGGATGTTGAAATCTCCAACTATGAAAGTGGATTCATCAATTTCTCCTTGCACTTCTACCAATGCTCTTGCTCACGTCTTTCAATGTTCTGTTAAATCCGTATATGTTATGATAGAATCAACTCCTCAGTCGTTACCTTTATATACCTTTATATACCTTCATATACCTTTATATGCCTGGCAGTTTTACTTACTCTGAAGTCTGCTCTGTCTAAAGTTAGTATAGCTTCTCCAGGTCTCTTTTAACTAGTATTAACATGGTATACCTTTCTCCAATTCTTCATTTTTAATCTATCCAAGTTTTTATATTTAAAGTGAGAATTTCACAGAAAACATATAGTTGGAACTTTAAAAAAATCATTCTAACAATCTCTGTCTTTTAACCTGTATATTTAGACTACTGACATTTAGAGCAATTTTGATATAGTTGGATGCAGGCCTTGTTAAGAAAATCAGAATGCTCTGGGCATACTTCAAAATAGCTCCTCTCATCTCACCCTGCCAAAAGCATCAGGGGATTTTTCTCCCGCCCTCACTGTGAGAACCTGGCAGGGCTAGAAGAGCAAAACTGATGAAAGTGTGGGGACCCTCCTAAGACAGAGTCTTCCTCATTTTTAACTTTCAAATTTGTTCTCCCTGAGCCTCCCACACTTCCTTCATTATGAGTTACATTTCTTTCTTCAGTACTTGTCCCTGTGGGCATCTCTGCTCCTGGGCTTTGGCTCTGGTAAGTTGCCTGGTGCTGCCTATCTTCTTAATTTTGGGAGTGACAGTTTGCTCTATGACTGCCCTCTAATGGCTCTAAGAAGAGTTGTTGATTTTTAGTTTGCTCAGCTTTTTTCTTGTTGCATGGACAGAAGCAATGATCTCTGAGTTTCTTATATCTGGAGCAGTAACCAGAAGTCTTGACTACTCCCTTTAAATACAGAGAGGACAAGAATGCCTGCTAGGGACCAGACCTTCTGGGTAATACATAAAGCCCAGCAAAAGAAACAATGCATGTACAGAATTGAAAAAAATAAAATGTTCATTGTTTATAGATTTTATGATCAACTATAGAAAACACAACAGGAATTTAATATACTATTAGAAGTAAGAATACAAGTTTCCTAGTACAGAATTTAAAAGAATAAAGATCACTTCTCTATATCAGCAATAACAATTAAAAACTATATATTGAGGAATGAAGCTCACATAGGAAAATACACAACTTTATTATTATTATTATACTTTAAGTTTTAGGGTACATGTGCACAATGTGCAGGTTAGTTACATATGTATACATGTGCCATGCTGGTGTGCTGCACCCATTAACTCGTAATTTAGCATTAGGTATATCTCCCAATGCTATCCCTCCCCCCTCCCCCCAACCCACAACAGTCCCCAGAGTGTGATGTTCCCCTTCCTGTGTCCATGTGTTCTCATTGTTCAATTCCCACCTATGAGTGAGAACATGCAGTGTTTGGTTTTTTGTCCTTGCAATAGTTTACTGAGAATGATGATTTCCAATTTCATCCATGTCCCTACAAAGGACATGAACTCATCCTTTTTTATGGCTGCATAGTATTCCATGGTGTATATGTGACACATTTTCTTAATCCAGTCTATCGTTGTTGGACATTTGGGTTGGTTCCAAGTCTTTGCTATTGTCAATAGTGCCGCAATAAACATACGTGTGCATGTGTCTTTATAGCAGCATGATTTATAGTCCTTTGGGTATATACCCAGTAATGGGATGGCTGGGTCAAATGGTATTTCTGGTTCTAGATCCCTGAGGAATCGCCACACTGACTTCCACAATGGTTAAACTAGTTTACGGTCCCACCAACAGTGTAAAAGTGTTCCTATTTCTCCACATCCTCTCCAGCACCTGTTGTTTCCTGACTTTTTAATGATTGCCATTCTAACTGGTGTGAGATGGTATCTCATTGCGGTTTTGATTTGCATTTCTCTGATGGCCAGTGATGATGAGCATTTATTCATGTGTCTTTTGGCTGCATAAATGTCTTCTTTTGAGAATTGTCTGTTCATATCCTTTGCCCACTTTTTGATGGCATTGTTTGTTTTTTTCTTGTAAATTTGTTTGAGTTCATTGTAGATTCTGGATATTAACCCTTTGTCAGATGAGTAGATTGCAAAAATTTTCTCCCATTTTGTAGGTTGCCTGTTCACTCTGATGGTAGTTTCTTTTGCTATGCAGAAGCTCTTTAGTTTAATTAGATCCCATTTGTCAATTTTGGCTTTTGTTGACATTGCTTTTGGTGTTTTAGACATGAAGTCCTTGCCCACACCTATGTCCTGAATGGTAATACCTAGGTTTTCTTCTAGGGTTTTTATGGTTTTAGGTCTAACATTTAAGTCTTTAATCCATCTTGAATTAATTTTTCTGTAAGGTGTAAGGAAGGGATCCAGTTTCAGCTTTCTACATATGGCTAGCCAGTTTTCCCAGCACCATTTATTAAATAGGGAATCCTTTCCCCATTGCTTGTTTTTCTCAGGTTTGTCAAAGATCAGATAGTTGTAGATATGCGGCGTTATTTCTGAGGGCTCTGTTCTGTTCCATTGATCTATATCTCTGTTTTGGTACCAGTACCATGCTGTTTTGGTTACTGTAGCCTTGTAGTATAGTTTGAAGTCAGGTAGCGTGATGCCTCCAGCTTTGTTCTTTTGGCTTAGGATTGACTTGGCGATGCGGGCTCTTTTTTGGTTCCATATGAACTTTAAAGTAGTTTTTTCCAATTCTGTGGGAAAATACACGACTTTTTAAAGAAAATTCTTAAAACCTGATTAGGGTAAAAAAATAAAAATATTGTATTTAATTCCAATTAATCTATAAATGTATAATCTAATCACAATTAAAACTCAGCTGGATTTATTTCCAAGTGCTCAATAAAATTACTTAAAAATTTACATGAGATAATAAAGGTTCATGAATAGCTAAATTAGCCTTGAGAAAATAAAAGAGAAATTTGTCTTGTAAGAATTTATAATATAATGGAATAATAATAATGTTAATATTAATAATAAAAAAACTGTATGATATGATTGTTCCAACTAAAATATAGACTGTTTTCAAATAAAATGGCAAAGTCAGAAATAAAACCTCATGAAACATATATAACCTGATATGCAATAGAAGTGGCACCAATACACTAACAATAAAAGGAAAAATATTTAATAGCTTGTTTGGGGCAGACTGCTGAGCTTACATGAAAATAAAGCTGGATCTATATCTTAAACTAACTATAAGGGGGTTCAGTGTTATAGACTTAAAAGTGAAAGATAACATAAGCTAAGAGATGAAAATATAGAACACCATCTTTAGGATCTAGAGGTAGGGAATTCTCTTTTAAACAAAATTAAACACTCACAAACCATTAGGATCAAGGAAATTACTGGAACGTATTTTATCAAAATTTGAAATATCTATTCAACCAGAATAAACAAATATGAAGCTATGGTAGAGGATAGCCTGTGAGAAGATAATTGAAATGTAAAACTTTAGCAAAGATTACTATTTAGAAATATAAGAAATTCCTAAAAACATAAGCAAATATAGGAAACCTAAAAAGTTTAATTCAGCAAAGACAGGAAAAAGACAAATAATAAAAGGAAAACCCATAAAGCTAACCAGTTCAGAAAGATATGCTCAAATTTATTAGTTGTTAGATAATTTCAAAGAAAAACAAGATATCAATCTGCACTGATCAAACTGATAAATGCAGAGAAATTCACTGGCCTCCAATGTAACATTCATAGGACAACTTTTGGCTTCAATATTTGCAGTATCTCAAGTTGGAGGCAACCAAAGTGTTCATCCGTAAGAAAATAGACAAAAAGAAAATTGTAATGTTTACATGATACAAAACATCATGCTACAATTTAAAGCAACAAATTAAATTCATGCATAGCAATGTTGATGGATTTAAAGGCTTGGGGTTATGCTTTTATAAAAGAAAACATAAAAGAATATCTATTGCACAATAGCACTGACAGTATTTACCTATGAAACCTTGAAACATAAATGTGTAAAAGAGTACTACCTTTGTTCAACAAAGAATTGAACAACTCTTTTGGATCCTAAACTGTTCTAGATACTGGAGTTTATTAGGGGCAAAAATATACATATATGTCCTTATTATGATGGAGCATGCAACTCAGAGGGTGGAGACTGACAATATGCTGATTTGAAAACCAATGGAACCTAAAAGGACAACAGGGAATGAGAAAGCTGGAAAGGGCGAGGCAAGCACAGGGAACTAAGAAGCAGCCGCCGCCAGATGGGAGGGCACTCAGGATATGGAGCCTAGAGTTTTTTAAGAAAGGTGATGTGGTCAGTTATGCAAATGCCTCTGAGTTTGAACAGAAGGACCAAACAAGTGGCATCAGGCTGTGCAATGTGACATCATTCATAACCATGTCGAGAGCAGATGTCCTGGAGCCGCAGGAACTGACGCCCCAGAGCAGTGCACTGTGGTGAGACAGAGATTCAGAAAGCGGGTGGAGGAAATATGTGGCACTTTTTCGAGAAGTTTTGCTGTTAGAAAAGCAAAGCAACAAGGAGACAGCTGATGAAGAGCCTGCGCACAAGAGTGAGATGTGTTTTTGCAGAGGAAGAGAGAATGATAGCAGGTGCAAAATATTCAACAACAGGGGAAGTAACTCAAGCATGGTGCAGGAGTCAGCCTTTGAAGAAGGGCCACTTTGGCCATCCTAGAGGGATGGAAGGTGCCAGGTGTGGAGGCCAGTGCAGTGGAGTTGGTAGATTTGGGGCAGGAACATAAGAATGTTCCCATCCATTTAGTTTCTCTGCAAAATGAGGCAAAGCCATCAGCTGTGACATAGAGGAGAAGGGTGTGCAAATATTTTTACCTCCTCGAGCTGTGAATACCGAGGTCTAGGCCTAAGTATGTTCTGATGAAATAAAAAGTATTCAGAGCCTCATTTTCCAATGCACACTCCAGAACCAAGGACTTGGGAGACAGTGAGAGCACTTGGTCCACGCACAGGCAATGAACCCTTCCTTACTAGTAGACAGTGGTAATGGGGCCTCGTTCTGCATGTAAAGGTTGAGAAACATTCTGAATCATCACGAGAAAGCACAGCTCAAACAAGTGAAGACATGCAAGTCCAGCCTAAGTGAGAGAATTGCTTAAGCCCAGGAGTATGAGTCTGCAGTGAGCTATGATTGTGCCACTGCACTCTAGCCTGAGTGACAGGGCAAGACCACTTATTTAAAAAAGAATAATTATTATTTGAAAAAGTGAAGCAAGAAGAGGGACATCAGAAACCAAATCTTCACATGTTCATTACAAGATGATCATAAGCAGGCCGTTATTTCATCTATGAGGGTAACATATTAGTAGATTATGAAATCAGTGTAGTAGAGTCAAGTTCAGCATTTTAAAAGTGAATGAAGAAGAGAAGAGATTAGGAAAAAAAAGAAAGTATCACTGTGCATCTTATGGATATATGCACACATAGTACACACAAACCCTATGTGTGTGTACAATGGAGGTATGCATGGACGTACATGAGTACTATGTCATACACTATCACTTGTTTGAAAAATTGAAAAATACTTCTGTAGGAGATGCAAAGATTTAGATATGATCCCTAAATTCTAGGAATAATAATGCTCATAAGAGGGCTAGGTTAGGGACCAACTCAGAGGCTATGTTCTCAGGAAAACTCCCTTTCTTACCATTCCCAAAACATTAGCCACAAGCTAGAATTTTGTTTCATGCCACCTCTAAATGCCAGCAGTACTGTTTTATACTCCTCCTGTTATAAATGCTGCCATTGTCAGTCTTTTAAAATCCTCCTGAATATTCTTCTGGATACCATTTTATGATTAGAAAATACTGCTAGATATATAGTATTTCAGGGTTTTAAAAAATAGTTCTTGTTGCAGATATTAGTTAATGAACTCAGCTTGTACAAGCTGTGACGAGTTGAAGGAAATCTATTGTTTTGTGCTGTCTACAAGAAATTGTGGACTGATTTTATTCTTGTCATTCCAATATTTTGTTTGTTCTTTACTGTCTTTCAAACTTCATGGAAATATTTGGTTTCATCTGAATTAAAGTAGACATATTCTGAAGCTAAATTTAAAAAATACAACAAAATGAGTGTATCTTTCAGGACTTTTGCCATTCTAAATATTTTATCAGAAAAGTGATAGCAGTTTAACCATAATTCCTTCCCTTTTTTTAGAGCAATAATATTTTCCAGACCTTTCCTTACATTTACACACACACGTATTTTCCATCAGGAACACTATAGAATTCTACCTATTGGGTCTCATTTGTTATTTCTGTGAATTGTATTTCGGCATTTCATTTCCTTTCCTCTTTTTTTTTTTTTTTTTTTTTTGAGACAGGGTTTTGCTCTGTTGCCTAAGCTGGAGTGCAGTGGCACAACCAGGGCTCACTGCAGCTTCCACCTCCTCTGCTCAAGTGATCCTCCCACCTCAGCCTCCCATGTAGCTGGAACTACAGGACTGTGCTACCACACCCTGCTAAGTTTTTTGTTTTTTGTTTTGTAGAGACAGGGTCTCACTATATTGCCCAGGCTGGTCTTGAACTCCTGGGCTCAAGTGATCTGCCCACTTCAGCCTCCCAAAATGCTGATATTATAGCTGTGAGCCACATTTCCTCCTTTTTGAAACAGGAAATTTCATAGCTGTGTTGCTCTATGAATGCAAATCTCCAACCTTGTTTGTCGATTTTAGAATTTTTTAAGGGATCCTGATTATTTTTATTAATTTAAAACTACCCAAAAAGTATGTAATGTAGACATTATTTTTCTCAACTCTTTTAATACTACAGCTGAAGGGAAGAACTCCAGCCCATCTTTCCTGGCCCAGCAGCCCAGCCTGGGAAGACAGAGGCACTGAGGCAGCTGTGGCTATGTTTCATTTGAACCCTGTGTAAATGTCACACTCGGCTGTGCAACCCTGTCAGACTCATGGCTGACACTTATTACTGTAGTCACAGCTGTCTTTGAAACAACTTTATACCTAGAGAGAATCTGAAATCTCCAGGGAAGCACAGTTTCCTGGAAATTTGGAAGCATGTTCAGTGTCAAAGGAAAGAAAGCCAGCAACATTAAAAAAAAAAAAGCTATACTGTTGGGGAGGCAGGGGTGGGGATTCCTTCAGAAGCTAAATATGTCCCAAGGGTTTTAGGTCATAGGGGCCGGCACAAAATCCACAGGCTCTTCAAAGGTAGTTTCTCCCTTTCCACTTAACTGAAAGCAATCTTTCCCCTGAGGAGAGTGGTTACTGTAAGCAGAGGCAGCTCATTCTCCCACAGATGGCTAATAAGACAACTGGAGAGGTGTGATTTTCCTAGTTCACCTCTACTCGCTCAAAATCCCTTTTCTCCTTGCTGAAATTCCTGATATAAAGATGTATGGATGCAGATCCCTGACCACCCCATGCCACACACAACTCTCATTAATCCAGGTTTGCAGATCCAAGTTCACACCTCTTTAATTCACCTCCTCCCATTATCCTGGAAGACTTCAAGGTCTATGCAAAGCAGCCATCCAACCAATTTAACCATGATCTTTGAAATTCTCAATTCCAATGACTCTCAGGCTCAGACCCATGAGCCACCCAGTGGCTGTGGTCCACAATTTGCCATCACCCACAACTGATCTACACCTGAAAGCCCAGTGCCCAGCGATGTGCTCAGATCACAAACTGCACTTCCAGCGTGCTCACCTCCTTGCTTCCACGGCACCCACTCCTTGAGTTTGACAATTCTTTCAACCCCTTGACCCCACCATGTTTGCAGTCTAGCCACCATTCATTGGCCTCACTTTTCAATATCCATCTTCAAGTTCATAGTCCATCAGGTGAACAAATCACTTGTGATACTTTTCATGTGCTGATTTTCATCATACTCTCACATTTACATTGTTTTGTTTTTGTTTTTGCTTTTAATTTTTACAGGCACACAGTAGATATATATATTTAGGGAATACGTGAGATATTTTGATACAGGCATATGATGCATAATAATCACATCAGAGTAAATGGGGTGCCCATCACTTCAAGCATTTATCATTTCTTTGTGTTACAAACATTCCAATTATACCCTTTTAGTTATTTAACAATGTACATTATTATTGACTGTAATCACCCTCTTATGCTGTCAAATACAAGCTCTTATTCATTCTATCTAACTATATTTTTGTATCCATTAACTATCCCCACTCTTCACCCCACTACCCCTCCCAGCCTCTGGTCACCATCATTCTGCTCTCTATCTACTTGCAATACTTTTAACCCCTTTCCATTGGTCTTTCTTGCAATATGATGTCACCCTCAATCATTAAGTCATCCATTGTTTTGCCCCACCTCTCAGATGCCTACCCATATGGAGACAGACACAAATATTGCCAAAAGATACCCTTTTTTCCCCAAATTCAGAAGTGGCCCTAATTCCATTTGCTTCTCTCTAGTAAGGTTCCATTCTTATTTGACTCAATGAATATTTTAAACATACATGAATTTCCTTTAATCTCCTTTTATCAATTTCCTTACTCTCAGTATCAGATCCACATTTTTAATATTAAAAATAAAATAGAACTCTCATGAAAGGTTGCTAAATACAGATGTGCATCATGTGCACTGCATAAAGGCTACTGACCCATGAACAGTGTGGGAATTGAAATCCAGTCTGTGCTGAGGTAGAGGGCTCCTCGGTTGGTATAATTTGCTTGATGGGAGAGAGAATCCTTTGACAGTCAGTCCACCCAGAAGAGGTGCCTTTTTTTTTTTTTGTAATTTACAAAGTTCTGCATCAGACATTAATTATTCTCACTTCTCCCCAACACACACACACACACACACACACACTTTATTATTATTATTATTATACCCACCCGCAAACACTTCTTGTCATCTCAGCAAAGGTCGCAGCTCTCATCTTGTCTAGACTTATCCCCACACATGAGTTTTCTACCTCATCACCTTCACCCTTCTCTGGAATCTCCCTTTGGTGTTTATCCTTTTGTTCTTCCATATCTTCAAGCCTTCTAGCATGGTTCATTTCCAAAATAATCTAGGATAAGACCTGCAAGGTAACATTGTAACAGAATGAATTACTGAGCTAGGAATTTTCTTTAACACCAACTAGGTTAGGGGAGTTGAAAATGAGTTGAGGTGGATAAATTATTATGCAAAAAATTGTCAATCAACTTGCCTTAAAATTTCACCAACAACGTTGCCATCGTATCCTGCAATGCTTAGTGGCAGCGAGTGTGGGAAACCAGGAGCCAGAGTTGTGGTATTTCCTGATTCACTGAGAGGCTTGGCAGGGCACTGCCTTTGAGTGACCCGCACTGAGCTTCAGAAACGCAACATGGGTGTGGAAAGACAGCCTGCACTTGTAGCGGGGGAAACGGGGGAGATGTTAGAAAAAAAGTGTAATGGAGTTCAGATTTTTAAGCAGATAACCAGTAATTCTTAGTCATAGGACTTTTCTCAGCTTTTCATCTGCCTTGACTTGGCTGAAGTATTTGCTATTGACAATCATCCCCCTTCTCCTTAAGTGCACCTTTCCTTTTGTCTTCAGGGACAGCTGTCACCCAGATCCCATCTGTCCATCAGATCATGGCTCTTCCCACCCTCAGCCTCTACTTTTCTGTCTCTGTCCCCCAGCATGGATGTCACACGGGTGTTGGCCTCAGCATCCATCACTGGTTCCCAGCATGCCCCTCTCACCATCATCCCACCTTAGGCTTCCTCTGCCCACTTTATACAGTGGAGCCCACTTCCACCTCTGCTGTCCTGATGCCACAGTATTACTTGTATTAATAGGATCAATTCAACCAACTTGTTTTCCATTTCTGGTACATGGATCCCTGCCTTGATTAAGTAAAGAATTCCCTTCCTTCCACCATGGGCATTACTGTTGGCCTTCCCTATCTGTGGGTTCCAAATTCGAGGATTTCACTAATCAAGGATAGAATTTTTATGGATCTGCGGTTGGTTGAATCCGTGCTCAGATGCAGAACCTGCAGATGCAGTGGAAGGCTGACTGTAAGGGACTTGAGCATCTGTGGATTTTGGTATCCAGTGAGGCCCTGGAACCAGTCCCCTGGGGTTACTGAAGGATGACTGCACTTAGCTTTGGACACCCACCCTCAGCCAGGGCTTCTGTTCCTGCTGAAGGAATCCCTGGTGTTCATGGTCTGTCCCTGACAGCCTCATTAATATAACTTGATGAAGGCAGCTTCCCCTCAATTTTCAGTGCCAAGTCCCATTGTCCCGATTGGACATGCTACTTGGGAACCTAGATGGACACTGAGCTGCGCCACTGAATTCTCTGCATATCAGCTAAGAACAGATGGGCTTTCTGCTACCACCTGAGCTCATGTTGTTCCCTTAAACAAATCTCACCTGATTCCAATGGCTCCTTAAAAGAAGGGTGTCTCCCTCAGACCCTATCACCTCAGAATGGGCTATAGCAAAGGCCTTCTTCACGGTCCCTCCTTCAATCCCCCTAAGTAAAATCTCACTGCTGCCAGATCAGCCCCACTGGAAATGACTCTTATAAGGGAACCATCCCGTCCAACAAAAACGTTATGGTCAAAATCCTCTGGATGGCTGCCCAGTTGACAAGTTCTCATTTTCTAGAACTTCCCCCTCTTCTAATCTACATGCAGACATATCTTCTTTTCTGTTCCTATGCTAACCCTCCCTTGTGCCATACTTGGTTAGATGGGGCATAAATATATGTGTCAATCTTAGTTCTCCCACTATGAGTTTTGAGTAGGAAAAGAGAACATTGGATGGGTCCCTCTGTAGGGCTGGGTCTGTGCTATAGATGCTTAGTGAGCTGGAAACTGAGACAGTGAGGTCATCTGTCTTGTGTTACTCAAAGGAGTATTTCAAGGAATTGTCACACAGGATTGCAGTAATTGATATTGCCAGTTCTTGCTTCTACTTTCAAAAAGTGATTCCAAAATGGGACTACTTTGTAATCCTCACATTGTGCCACTTATTTGGACATCACAGATCCCTGATGCAATGGGGTGGGATACATCCACCATCCAGTGCCTATTTGCTAAGGACCTGCAGTGTGCAAGGAACTAAGGGAACACAGAGGATCATCAGGCAAGGATTTTATGCAACAGAAGCTTGCAATGCAGAACTGAAGAAATAAGATGATCACCCACATCAAATTCTATTTTCTTTGGCATCTGAGTTCACCAAAGAAGAAAGGAATTTCCCTGAGAGAAACATGCCAAAATAAAGTTATGTACTGGCAGTTCCTAATCTCCTGATGCCTTTGGAAAGTAAAACAATGGCACATTGGGACAAAGGTAATAGCAAAATTTGTCATTAAGATTTCTGCCCTTGATTGAATACCATTCAATAATAACTGCAAACATCACAGAGATCATATCCAATCTCAAGCTTTTTAAAAATTCAAATAATTTCGATCACCCATTTTTCTTTCTTCATCTGATGTATGTTGAATGAATCTAAGAACCAGTTGGGGTAGAGGGCTGAAATGTTATACATTAATCAAGCAAGACAGCCCAAGACCTTCTTACTGCTCTGTAAACTGAATTATTTCTCCCAACCCCTAAGCCCCAAGGAAATAGGCACCAAAAGTAAAGAGAAACACCCTTGAATCAAAACATTATCTAGCATGAGGAACTTAAACTTCATAATCAAATGTTTATTTTCACTTCCTACATTGATACCCTCAGGGTGAACAAGAAAGGAGACACCTTTCTTTTGTATTTGCCAGTTCCTTACACTGTTGGCATCTCTGATGACCAGCCAAAAATTATTAAACTGCCTCAGTAAACCCAGCACTAGCTTTATGTTCAGTTTAGGAGGAAGGGAGGGTATTCTACTGGCATTGTTTCTGGGAATTCATCTACCAACTAGACTAGTTAGATGGGGAATTCTACAATCCATAACTGAACACAATTGTGACCTATTAAAAATAAAAACTCAGAATATAGACACCTTGTGGTAGAAACATCACAGAGTTCCTTTAAGCATTCACTGCCCGGACCCTGTAACATGCCTACACGTATTTCAGAATGCAAGAGAAGGCTGCATGTATTATTCTACCCCCAGTAACTCCTGTGATAGATTATAACAGATGGAAGACTTGGCAATAATAGGCACAGCTGTGCAGGGCCAGGACAAAAGAATAAAGAAATCACTACAGTCCAAGTAAGTGCTTCTAATTATCTGTTTCTTTTTAATATGAGAAATGCTATTGTGTCTCTGTCTTCTAAATACTGAACACAAAGCATATTTATATTCATCTAGGACTTAAAGATGCTATCCATCCTAAGCAAAGAGGCCCCTCCAATTCCCAGCATTTATTCATGTGTTAATATCATGAAGATGTGCCTGGTTTATAGAAGTATGGTCAAAACTTACCTATTATAGCCATTTTTTCATCTAAAGTTGTTACTTATGGATGTAACAGAAATAGAGCTCTGACCAAATCTTATTATTTTTCCAGATAATATTTTTTTTACTTTTATTTAGTGCCATTATTCCTATCCCTGAAGCAAAGTAGGGTAGTGGGGAAAAAAAAAACATTTAAAGCCGTGGGTTTTAAGCCTCATTCTCCCATAGAATATTGGAGGATAGTTACATAACCTCCCTGAATGCATTTTGAAAAACAATCAAGTAATAGTAAGCTTTTTTACAAATTTAGTTTGAGGATTAAATGTAATAATGATTATTTGTTAAACTTCCAATAGTGAGACAGATAACAAGTGCTCAATAAGTATTTGTGAAATATAGAAATCAATAACTTTGTATTATATGAGAACGTTATCATCTCTATTTTAAGAATAGGATATTTGTTGGCAATAGATGTGGCTCTTTCTTGGTTGCACTCATGTTCCCCCTCCATGGACCTAAGCAGGAGGCCATCAGGGTATGTGGCTGGGCTGGGCCTAAATTAGAATGACCTCAGCACCAGCCTAGGAGGGGCAGGGGCTGGCGCTGGGGTCAACACCCTTCTTTCCCTAGGATGTTTGGTCACCCTAGATACTAAACAGCAGAGAGAGGCACTCAGTGTGGAAGGATGTTTGAACTGAAAGGATGCTGTCCTCAGAGTCAAACAAACCTAGCTAGAAGTGCTGGCTCTGCTACTTATTCATGGTCCTGACTTGTATCTTCACTGCTCTGAGTTTCTATCCTCAGCTGGTACATGGGGACAAGCAAAGCTACCATCTATCATCACCATTCCTGAAAGGTAATCTATGTAATAGTTCTACCCTAGTGCCTGGCGTCTCAGTCCTCAATCAGTGCTGCCCATTGTTATTGAGGACTGTGTTCCTCCCAGCTTCACCCCACTCTCCTGCTTCTGGATTCATAGATGCGTGACACACTTATACAACACACAGTACAGATATACAACACACACATGCAACACACACCTGCAACACACACCTGCAACACACACACTATAGACACACTACAACCACACACACGATGCACGCATATAACATACAACACACACTATAGATACAACACACACATACTACACACCACGCATACAGCACATACAACACACAACACATACATAACACAGAGAACACACACAACTACATAACACATACCCAACACACACAACACATACAGGCATACCACACAACACACATAACACACACACAACACACACATCTAATACACACCAAACACCACACAACACATGCACAGCACATATAATATACTACACACAACACACACAGCCAGTACAGAACACATACATCACACATTCCTAAAATATACAACACACACACAACACTTATACAACAAACACACAAACTACGTGCAGACATACAACACAATACACACACACAATACAAAACACACATGTGCCACACACCACACACACATACATAACACAAATGCCACACACAACACACATTAGTTGTGGCACAGGTTCTCAGCCAAGTCTCTGTGAGCAAGCTTCCATTGCTGTGCTGGTAGAATCAAGTCATTCTGCCAGACTGGAGATCCAGCTGATTCCAGGAGTTTCTATGCCATGTATAAGACCCAGCCTACACTGTCCCAGGAGATGAGGTCCAAGCACGCATCTTCCCCAGGCTGCAGCTCCAGGCAGCCTCTGAGCCGGGCAGACTAGTGGAGGTGGATTCCGTAGGAGTGTGCTGAGCTCCAACCCCACATGTTCGAGGATTTCAACTCCCTCCGGGTCTCAAGCTTAGCTGGTGGTCACAGCACACTGATGCCTTGTCAGGTGCTTGATGGCTGTCCTCAGAACTGGAGCCTCACCCCTTATCTCAGCTTCCTGCTTGGGGTTCCTGCCATTTTGCACCATCTCCTGGTTGGTGATCTGGCTAACTCACAATGACTTATCTCCCAAATACCCTACTGATCCTACCTGACTATTACCAACAGCTGGGATCAATTAGCCCACCACGAGCTCTGGGGATTGCATCCCAAAATCTTACATGGGCTATCTTCAGGAAAAAATATTTTTTGAGTAGATGGGGTTGTGATATTTATATTGACAGGACTACTCTATTTAAAATAGGGTTACTGAATTTATCCCTAAGCTGATGACTTCCAGGAAAATACGGATTTTACCAACAGATTTATTAATAATATTTATTCATAATTGATCAATCTACTGAATATAGAATATCAATATCTACTATATTACTGATTTTAATAAACTACCCAGTATTTACCTAAATGTCTCCATCCTCAAAAGCAAGGCGTGCTGCCTGAATTAGAAAATAGATAATTTTCTAAACTCCTTACTTCTCTTTTATTAAAAAATAATTCACACACTGGGGCCTGTTGGAGGGCATGGGGGAAGAGAGAACATCAGGAAGAATAGTTGATGGATGGTGAGCTTAATACCTAGATGATGGGTTAATCTGTGCAGCAAACCACCATGACATACGTTTACCTATGTAACAAACCTGCACATCCTGCACATGTGCCCTGGAACTTAAAAGTTGAAAAAAAAAATGTAGTGTATAGGCTGCGTGCGGTGGCTCACTCCTGCAATCTCAGCACTTTGGGAGGCCGAGGTGGGTGGATTACCTGAGGCCAGGAGTTCAAGACCAGCCTGGCCAACATGGTGAAACCCCGTCTCTACTAAAAACACAAAACTTAGCCGGGCATGATGGGGGGTGCCTGTAATCCCAGCTACTCAGGACGCTGAGGCAGGAGAATTGCTTGAACCCGGAAGGCAGAGGTTGCAGTGAGCCAAAATCGTGCCATTGCACTCCAGCCTGGGCGACAGAGCAAGACTCCTTGAAAAAAAGTGTAGTGTATATTTTTAAATTGCTAAAAGCATAGTTGTTTAACATTCTTTCCACAAAAACAAATCATAAGTTGGTAAGGTGATTGTTATGTTAATTAGCTTGATTTACTCTTTCTACCATTGTAGACTATATAGAGTTCAAAACATCACATTGTACCCCAAAATATATACAATTATTACCTGTCAAGAAACAAATTTTAAAAATACATACAATAATTAAAATTTTAAATAATAATAATAATATTTACAGTTCTGGCACAAGTCTAAAAGCCTTACACGAACCACTTCATTTACTCCTCACGAGAAGTACATGAGGCAAATACTATTACAGTGCCCATTTTACAGGTGAGCAAATATTCACTAATTCTTTTGTTAACTATAACTTGTATAGTTCAGGTATAACCTATTCTATGTTGAGTTCAATAGCAATAAGAGACATTCATTCAATTATCATATTCTTATACTTTCTTCTGAAAGTTGATGTTCATAGTTATACAAGTGAATATGCAAAACTTACACAAAATTATATCTTGCCCCTGAGCCAGAAATACCTTTACTAAGCTTACGGACAGCATTGATCTGTGAGGCTACTACAGATGCGTTGTTGAACACTTTTGTGGCATGCAGTGTGAAGTGGATAAACTCTGTCTCATACCTGAAGCTATGAGAACAATATCTGGGCCCCGAGGAAGCTGTAATGGAAGGTTGTGGCCGCTGAGTGCAGGTCAGGCCAGTGCGCCAAGCAAGAGGAGAGCAGAGTTCATGGGCCTCTTCCTGCTCCACAGCCGAGCCCCCAGCAGAGCGCAGCTGCCCTCTGTAGCCTGACTCGCCTGAGTCACAAGGGGATCTGATGATACCTGGGAAGCAGAAGAAAGGCCTTTGTCAAACAAAGGCCACATTTCCATTTTTCTTGGTTTACAGGAGGGATCCACAGCCTGGATGAGAAAAGAGAAAATGAGAAGTAAGCAAGGTTATAAAGATGGTGTTGCTGAAAGGTTTGTTTTTTCCAGCTGATGCTTAAGATAAAGGAATAAATGACTTCTAATGGGCAGGCATCTCACAAAAATATAGCAAAGTTTGATCACCTAGAGACCACCTAATTTGACCAAGTGGCTTGAAAAATGAACCTGGAGATCGTAGGAAAAAAGAAAAAAGCTGCAACAAAGCAGCAAAGCTGAATGAAATAGACTTCATCTTCTAAGAAATATAAATAACATGTGAGAGATGTCCAGTATTCTAGACAAAGATAAGAAAGATTGTTGTTACCGAAGACCTACGTGTTTATATACTGCTATGCAGTGAAGGTAACACTATCTCCTAGGAAGCACCAAGGCACAATGAGAAGAGGTTTATAATGGAAACAGCAATGGGATTGGGGAGGAGCAAGGGAGATATATTTTATTTTAAAAGTCACACTTCTGTAGGAAGGAAAGCAACTTGGTTTCATATGCCAAGAAATACATGAGCATGAAAATGCATGACCTGAAAATCTCTCCCTGTGAAGGCGGACTTGAGAGCAGGGAGACTGCAATGAATTGTGTGCTCCACCTACTGACCCGAAGATGGGCAACAGAGTGAAACAGAGAATCCAGGTGGACTCAGAGATGATTTAATAGAAACGCCCATCGGCTGCCTTAATTTTAAGCAACTCCAGGCCCTTCACCAGTTCCTCTTGCTGTTCCATTTTCATGTTAGAATCAGGTGATATCTGTACCAAGAAGAGCACCCTAAGGGAGCAAGAAACAGGAAAGCTTCATCTTGTATTCCCTCCAAATCCCCCTCATCGAATGAACGGGCTGATTTTATTTTTTAAATCATATGCTTCTAGCCTAATGTGGTGCAGGAAGTGCTTTGACTGCTCCTTGCACATTACACGTGCATGCCTCAGAAACCCATCATTATTTCCCTCTACCTGCTCCAGCAACCTTCCTCTCTTGATATGAGATTCATCCTCCGTGAGTGCCCTAAAACTCTGCAGCCCTCCAGGGAAGATGCAATCAAACCGCAGACACGTTGGTGGAAAGCACTGCAGGGGTCCATTTCTTTAGGCTGGCATGCAGATGGACTAAAATATTCACCAGAGGAAAAGCAGGACCACGGTCATTAGAAGAGAACAGATTGAGGAGTCCCCAGAGTGCCTCAAAGGAAACCAAAAGCCCAAATACATTTGAAAACTAAAGTGTGGTATAAATCAATACATTTAAACTTGTAATTCAAGGTTATTCATTCAGCTGAAACTTCTTGCACATTTCAAATGTCCTTTCTGTGAGTTCAAAGAGTTCATGCATTTGAAATTTGAAACCAAAAAAAAAGGTCAAACTTCACATTTTCACAGAAGGCAGCATGTCTGTGGAGTAATCATTATTTGGGATTACGTGTTTTGTGTCATATATTCAGAAGACTGTTTTATTCTACTTTGTCCCGGAATTGGTAGGAATATTGGACTGTTTCACTGTGATCCAGAGCTCATAATCGTGAAACATATTAGTCTCTTTGGGATGCTGGAATCAAGTCTTTCATGTAATAAGTCAAATCTGAAGTCATATGCTGTGTTTGATTCATCTTGGCTTGTTCTTTTAAGTGAAACGAGGCTTGAAGACACAGGCAGAATAAATGCTCTTCTTTGATAGAGCCAGAAACTCTCCCCAGCAGCCTTTCAGATCAATGGAAAATCACTTTCTGGGATAATCATACATGAGCATATTTCATCTGCTGACTTCTCAGCACAGATGAGGTTATCAGAATAGCAAGAACTGAAACAGTAGCCTCTCCATAATGAGCCCAGAAGCAGTTTCTTTTCAAGGGAGAGAGGATCAGGGAATAGTCTGGGTGTTGGCTGACTCAGCAAGAACCACAGTAGCTCTCTCCAAGAGGCAGAAACAATAAGGGCCAGGGGTATGTCTTCTGGAGTTGGACTTGCTGAGAATCCTAACGCTCTGTGTCTCAGTTTTCTCAGCTGTAAAATGAGAATTAAAAGTGTACCTTTCAGCCGGGCATGGTGGCTCATGCCTGTAATCCCAGCACTTTGGGAGGCCAAGGCGGGAGGATCATGAGTTCAAGAGATCAAGACCATCCTGGCCAACAAGGTGAAACCACCTCTCTACTAAAAATACAAAAATTAGCTGGGCATGGTGGCGTGCACCTGCAGTCCCAGCTACTGGGGAGGCTGAGGCAGGAGAATCGCTTGAACCCGGGAAGTGGAAGTTGCAGTGAGCTGAGATCATGCCACTGCACTACAGCCTGGAGACAGAGCAAGACTCTGTCACACACATACACAGAAAAGTGCACCTTTCTTATAAGGCTTGTTTTGGGGAATAGCAAAGTTACTAGGCACTGAGAATAGTAATGGGTACATAATAAAATGCTACCTAAAGAGTACTGTCATCATACTTATCATCATCATCGTTATCATCCTCAACCTTATCAAAGTTAGTAGAGACACTACATATCAAACATATTTTAAATGTGGATATCAAAATCCAGAAAGCTTTAGTAACTCAGAAGCCTGAAGCCTGAAGGTAGCCAAAACATATATATATATAACAACCCGAGAGGAATAGGTGATCTGAGTCAGTGGTATCAAAATGATATATTTTCATACCAGACAAGAAAAATAAGACAAGGTGAAGATATGAAGCAGTTCTATGGCAGAGACAAGTGCTTCTCGTATGACTTTGTCTTGAGAACTTGGAATAATTAAGTCTAGCTTTGGATTTCAGGGCCCACATGATACAAGATTTTACTTCAAGTTCGCATTTGCTGCTGCACAATTATGTTCAAATAGGACTTCCTAGGTAAGAAGTTCTCCAACACAGCACAGGTTGAACTGAGGAGAGAAAGGTAAATATGTTGGATGCAGGCTGGGAACTGTCATAAAGCTGATGGCTCTGACCACCTCTTTTTGTGTGGCACCTATGGGAAGTGATTGGGTCAAATAGTTTCCCCAACCTAGAGAAGGGCACACAGGCTTTGAAGCACGTCAGCAGCTTCCTCATAATATAATGATACCTCTGACTCAGATCACCCATTCTTCTTGGGTCATTATATGTGTATATATATTTATATATATATAATATGTATTATGTATTATTAATATATGTATATATATTATATGTATATGTGTGTGTGTGTGTGTGTGTGTGTGTGTGTGTGTGTGTGTGTGTATATATATATATATATATATAATGACCCAAGAGGAATAGGTGATCTGAGTCAGAGGTATCATTTTGGAAAAGAAGGGGTTGTTGTTATTAACTTGAAAGATGAAGAATGAAGAGAACTGTGAAAGGCCAGGTTAGGGACTGGGAGAGTAGGGACTAGGAGAGCTGTGGGGCCAGCCTGTGCTGTCCTAGCTCAATACATAGCATCCCCCTTTCCTCAGTGTGTTCATCTTTTAAATGCTTTTCTGCCTCTGAAAATTGTTACAATAATTTAACAATATAATAAATGGGAATTACTTTGAAAATTAAAAGACATTATGGAAATAATTATAATAGCTAATATTTATTGTGAGCTCAATTTCCTAAGAGCTTGGTAATTTTCCAAACTCTTTTCCTATAATAATAAATTTAACATTCACAACATTGCAATGAGTTGGTACTAATAGTCTCCCCATTAAACAGATGAGTCCAGCAGGTTAAATGGCATGCCCAAGGCTGCATAGGTAGTAAGAGGCCCACATCATGTTCCAGGCACCATCATAGGGACTGGGGATTCAACAGTGAACAGGAGCAGAAAGGTGGTTGCCTTTAAGAATGGCAACGTGTCACATACAAGACTAATGAACAACTAACCATAACTGTCAGATGGTAGAAGGGGCATAAGAAAAAGAAGGCAAGGTCAAGGGGTGAAGCAGTTATGTTGCAGAGACACGTTCAAACAGGACTTTCTCGGGGAGACGATCTGGTGATGGAACACAGGTCGAACTCCAGAGAGAATCGCATGTAGGATGGAAGGTTAGGAATCAGGGAGAGGCAGGAACAGCTGCAGTGCTGCCCACAGCTGTGATGCTGAACACCTCTGCTTGTATGTGGGATCTATGGGAGCTAGTTGTATAAAACGGTTACAGAAGAAAGAAGCACCAGAGGGCTCAAGGGAGAGAAAACAGCAAGTGTGGCCAAGCAGGCCAGTGGGGCGGGAGATCAGTGAGCAAGAAGGAAGTGATGCTTACAAGGGTCCTGATCTGCCGGCACAGAACATGTGGCCATGACGTGGAGTGCTGTGTTGAACCATGACAAAGCAGCAAAGTTCACATAGGTACCCACAGTATTGCTGATAATGCGTTATAGTATCAGTACCTTCAATACAAGTTTGTAAACAAATAATTCACTTCATCAAAAATTCATGCACCGGGAGGGAAGCCGGTGGAGAGAAGTCTGAGTTATCAGACATACTCAGTACCAGGGTTGTTGGGTATAGGCCAGTCAATCACCAAACAGATTGACTGAAATCATGTGGTCCCAGGTGAACGCTCTTCACCTATGACACAATCCACGTGAGTGGGATTTCATTAACCAAAAGAAGGAGCCAAGCCCAATATGATTTTCAATGTGGCTTTGTATAAAATTACTCAGAGGGAATCATGTGAATTACAGTTTGCTAGTGAATTAAATTTTTCCCCATTTTCTATGGTAAGTAGTTGTCAAGCGAGGATAGCCCATAATTTATCAAAGACCTGGAAGACATTTCCAATACAATTGATTTCATTTCTCAATTAAAAAGGTCAATGTCCTTGAATTCTAACAACATCTGAAAATATCCATCTAATTAGACTTTCAAAAATCTATGAGAGGAATTCATTTTACCTACCTGTCATCTGTTTTGATTGTTGAACTTTTTAACAAATGAAAAGCAATTGATGAAGCTTCTCAGCAAACAAAGCAAACATAATGCCAAATGCTGAATCCATCACTTAGAAACAGAAGAAAGTAATAGCCAAGATTTATGCATCAATAAAGCTCAGCTGCTTTTTTCAGTAGGGTCCCCTGGGATCTAACCTGCAAGGTGTGTGCTTCTCTAATCACTTTGGCTTGAGAATTTGGAATAAATAAGTCTAGATTTGCATTTCAGGGCTCACGTAATACAAGATTTTACTTCAAGTTCACATTTGCTGCTGCACAATTATGTTCAAATAGGACTTCCTAGGTAAGATGTTCTCCAACACAGCACACATTAAACTGAGGAGAGAAAGGTAAATATGTTGGGTGAGGGCCAGGAACTGTCATAAAGCTGATGGCTCTGACCACCTCTTTTTTGTGTGGCACCTATGGGAAGCGATTGGGTCAAATAGTTTCCCCAACATAGAGAAGGGGACACAGGCTTTGAAACATGTCAGCAGCTTCCTCATTGTTCTACCTTACAGCATGCTTATTTGTGTGGCTGAAAGGAGTGGAGGTCTCGGATGGAAATAGCTCTGCTGTTACCTGATTATCCTCTCTAGGACTGTCCTTGCCTTCAGGATTCCTGTACAGTACAGTTCTCTGCTCAACATCCACAATAGACTGTGTTCAAATCCCAGCTCCACCCCTTCCGAGCAATGACTTTGGGCATATTAGAGAACCTCTTTGTGCCACAGCTTCCCCCAAATATAAAAGGGATGAGTAAGAAAAAGAAGCAGGAGTGTTGTTGAAAGAATTCAATGAATTAAAAATTAAATCAATCAAATTGCTCCCACCACATAAGGCATGCTAAGTGAGATGATAACTACAATACCAAATAAAACTGCATGAATATCATAGAAGAGGTAGTAACAAATCCTTATGCATGAGCTAAAGTACGATCACTTTCCAGATGAAGGTAGTACAGACGACTTCAGAAAGAGACCAACATTTGAGCAGAGCCCTAAGAATGTGCTGAAAGTCAATAGCATAGAGTCTCAGGCCTCTTTGGGAAGAAGAAAGGCTTGAACGTAAGAGTAGAGGGCACATTTTGGATAAATTTTGTCTGGCCTGACTCAATTGTAGGATTGGTGCTGACAGCAATATTAATGAAAATTGTCATCATATGTGGCAGTCTTTTTCTAACTGCTTTACATATATTATTAATTCTCAATATACCCTATGATATTTGTACTATTATTATCTCCATTTTATGCATGAAGAACTGGAGCATAAAGAGATTTAGTAAATTGCCAAAGGGCACAGTTAACACCTGGGAGCTGGGGTTAGATCTGGGGAGTTTGCACCCAGCACCTGTGCTCTCTAGCATGCTGACAGTTACCTCTGAAATAGCGAATGGCAGCGCTGGAACTCTTCAGAATTTGCGTCTTCTGATCATTTGCGTATCAAGACCATCTCACCCAGGATAAGAAAAGAAACAAGTCCTAAAGCATCCCTTTGAAAATTAGTTGTGTGATTTTCCAAAGTATGTTTTTTAGACTCTAAAGGGAGGCCATAACCATTTCATGATCTCACCTTTCTTCTTTATGGAGATCAATTCTACATAAAGATGATTATCAGGAAATATTGAATGTCTTGTATCACTGGTTCTTTTATCCTTGAGAATATATTACTATGGTCAAATTGAGTATTTAACAGCCACTGAAAGCGCTTTGACCAAGCTATACTGAAGCTCTCATAAATAACACTATCCTCCTACCCAATATATGGACTTGCTGAAAAGACCACCTATCTGTGCTACACAGTGACACCCCCTCGGGATTTTTCTGATTTCATCCTGATGTCATTTAACTTGTTCTCCTGTCTTTTACATATATTGACTTGTTCTCCTGTCTTTTACATGTATTGTCAACTGAAAATTACATCTAAAGACTTGACTAGATCAGGTTATAGATTTTAGAAAGAGTCTTTCACAGGTGCTGCTAAATACTTCATTTACATCACATCAGAGTGCACACACAGTGACATAAGGTAACTAGTACTGATGCTGAGATTAATCTCTGGTTAAGCCACTAACAGGCAGATCTCTCCTTTGAAGTTGTGTTGCATTACTCAGGATGAGAAAATGATATGTGAAATGATAATTTTGCACAATGTGAACATTCCATTTTCTGACAAACTTTCACAGAATGATCCTATCGCCCCCTGATGATGACTGCTTGAATCAATTATTACATTAGGATTTGTAAAGTGGGAATTACTATATTCAATAATTCCTTTTATATTTATATCAAGAGCTTTTGGCCAAGAAATTAACCTTTTTGGTTACCTTGAAATACAGTTGTATTGGAAAAGCAGTTTAGTACTAATTTCTTTCCTTTATATATTTTCAGAGAAAGGAGTCAGTGTAGTCACCTCCAATCATGTCAGATACAATCTTGATTTTGTGTGTGTGTGTGGCTTTCTATTTTGTGAATATAATTATAGAATGAAGGAATGCACACACTCACTCACAGATAGAATCTTTTTATTGTGTCTCCGTCAATCACAGTCGCCTTCTTTTCCTTGATATCCTAATTGTCCCTGCTTTGCCCCATAGAGTCTCCTGCAGTCTAGCTCCTGTTTCCCTTTGTCCGTATCCTGTTTGTTTTTGAGAGTTTCCTTGATTTTCAGCATAGCAAGATTCTTCGGTAAATTGAAAAGAAAAGAAAGGAGAGAAGAGGCTTCTGTTTCCAGAAAAATGGAACAGTCATAGTTTTTTATATTCCTCCTACACAACTAAACGTAGTCTCAACTAACTTGAAGTACAGGTAAAATTCCTGGACATTATATATAAAATAAACACAGAAAAATTCTGTGTT
The DNA here is from genome assembly GCF_000001405.40 of Homo sapiens. Classification (NCBI taxonomy): domain Eukaryota; kingdom Metazoa; phylum Chordata; class Mammalia; order Primates; family Hominidae; genus Homo; species Homo sapiens. The sequence continues at coordinate 51,766,463 of NC_000007.14, read as the reverse complement.
TAGAGGTGTAGAGAAGAAGGCAGGTTGTCCAGAGATGTTGGGATCCAAGCAACTACAGGGCAGTAAGTTCTCTAGGTTTTCTTTTCGTCTCATATATCCCTGACTTGGAGCTGAAGAAGTCAGTAAACCAGAAATGCCAAGGGACATGAAGAAAGACAGCGCCAATAAAAGCTCTGCTCTTTCTAGCCAAAGGTGTAGGAAAGGGGAAAGAGAGCAAGATGGAAAACTTTTGCATAATAAGCAAGGAAACCATGGAAAAAAACGATGGCACTATCTTCATCCATACTGCAAGGCTGAGTGTGGAGTTTAGACTGCCACCCTAGCAAGACTATAATGAACTACTCCAACATCCATTGCAAGGTCAAGTCAGAGAAGATCAACTAGGGAGCTGCCTCTATCCTGAGAATGTTAGTGGGTATCACATGGGGAACCTGAATTTCTATGCCCTTCTCCACGAGGGTGGTGCCAGAGGAGGACTCGTGAGGAGTCTAAACTTTCCCCATCATCCAATAGTAAAAAGACCACCCTCAAGACATTGTGAGTGAAGATCACATGGGGAGCAAGAATTCGCATTCAGAATAAAGGGAATTCTCCCTCAGGTGTCAGGGGGAACTGAAGGAGGAACCTGAACACCTCTATCCACATGGCAGTAGTGAGGCAGTGCCAAACAAAACCATCTAAAACAGAACATTTAAATGAGATTCAGATGCTCATAACGCAATATGAAAATGTCTAATTTCAGTTAGAAATTACTCATGATATCAAGAAACATAAGAAAGCTAAATGAAAAAAAGAATTAGTCATTGCCAACACCAAGATGATGAGATGTTAGAAGCATCTGACAAAGGTTTTACAGCAGCTATCATAAATATGCTTTGACAAACAATTACAAACATGCTTAAATAAACTTTTAAAGTTCAAAATTTCAACAAAGAAATAGAAGAAGAGGTAAAGTAGAGTGAAATGGAGATTTTATAACTAAATAATACAATAAAGAAAAGAAAATACTCAGTTAATGAGCTCAACAGCAGAATGGAGGGGACAGAAGAAAGAATTAGCAAAATAAAAATAGAACAATAGAAATTACAGTCTGAACAACAGATAGAAGCTATACTTTTAAAAAAATCAAAAGAAAATGAAGACAGCCTCAGGAAGCTCTCTATATTATACAGTGTTAGGAAAACTATTTCTTATATAAGATGTTATAAAAGTGTTTGTCTGTTTGAGATAAGGTATTACTCTGTCACCCAGGCTGGAGTGCAGTGGTGCAATCACAGCTCCTGCAGCCTCGACCTCTGGACTCAAGTAGATCCTCTCACCTCAAGCCTCATGAGTAACTGGAACCACAGGCATATACAATCATGCCCAACTATTTTTTTCTTCTTGTAGAGATGGAGTCTCCCTATGTTGCTCAGGCTGGCCTCCAACTCCTAGGCTCAAGCGATCCTCCCAACTCAGCCTCCCAAAGTGCTGGGATTCCAGGTGTGAGCCACCGTGCCTGGCCTTACAAAAGTTTTAACATTTGTGTTGTCCTTAAAAAACTGACTTCAAATGTTAACAATCTGGACAGGTTTTAAGCAAAAGCATGGAAAATGATCTATCAGATAAACATTAATCAAAGGAAAGTAGGATTCATTATATAATATCAAATAAAGTAGATTTCAGAAAAAAAAGTTTAGCCAACACAATGAGGGATACATATAGTGAAAAAAGGGCTGATACACCAAGAAGTAATAGCAATATTAGATGTGTATGCAATGAACAAAAGACATGCAAAATGCATAAAACAAAACTGAAAACTGAAATGGACAAATTCATTAACTGTAAAGGAAAACAGCAAATCCTGTGTCAACAACTGATAGAACAACTAGACAGAAAATAAGCATGAACATTGAAGAATTCAAGAATACCATCAATCGATGGGACCTAACCAATTCAACAACTAAACAGATGTAATAGAACTTATTTTAAAATATTTCAGCAAAAATACAGCACTTATGTAAAAAAATATCAATTCTTAAATCTGCATATGAGTGTGTACATTATTATACTCTCTATTTTTCTATGTGCTTAACATTTTCATAATAAAAGTCAAAAGACTGGCAAATAATAAATGATACTTCCTTTATAACTAGTCAGCTGTTTTCATTAGGTAACTTCCCTTTGATTATTAGAACTACTATATGGACCTGGTAGATATTTTTAGAGCATTTTAACAATATAGAAATGGTTTTTCTTTGAGTTTTTCAATATAGAGGCCAAAAGGTTCCCTATTTTTGCCCTCATTCTTCTTTTAAACAGCAAGCATTTTATTGAGTGCCTATTTGGACAAGATGAATCAAACCAAATAGCTTTTCTGAAAAGAGTCCATAACCTCATTAAGGAGATAAATATGTGGATAACTATGCAAAATACACCGTGAATGTATAATAAATACAGAAGGCGTGTAGAGATTATCATGCTTCAGGGGAATGGGAGTGGGGTGGTGTGGTGTGTGATACCTGGTCTTTGCACTAAACTGATGTATGATGAGGCATTTACCAGACAGAAAAGAGAAGGAATGACATCCTAAGTAAAAAGGAAAGTTCATGTAATGGCACAAGGCGAGGAGATATGAGCAAAAACCAGTTAATTCTAGACAATTTAATATTGCTGAATGAAAAGGCAGAATGACTGAGAATAAGGCAGGATAAGTAAATATTAACTATATCATGGGAGGTCTTACAAATCATAATGTGGCCAATCCCTGAAGTCTACAATTATATTTTTGCTCTTCCAGGAGGAGGAAAGCAGCCTTCCAATCCTGTGTGCATGTTGATCATGGCAAGCTGTTGTTAGTGACTCCCAAGAGATACAAGAGCACTTCAGTGGGAATTTTAGGCAAGAGTGAGTGTTTCAGGGTTCATAATTTCTTGTGACTAAGAACTGTGTATCATAACCCATGAAAGGCATATGGCACTAGGTCAATATCAACTGTTTTAGCCGAGTGTTGCATTGTCACGGGCAGCCAAGAGAAATCACGATTTATTTCTAATGGTATTACATACCCCAGTTGCTTGTGCTGACTCCCAAGGAGATGGTACCCTGCTAGGCAAATATGCCATGCCTTGCCTGTTTTTCACTGTTAAGTCTATTGAACCTCAAATAATAGGGAATGCAATCACAAAACTGAAATGCTCTTGTCAATTAGCACAAAATACAATTCAATGACTTTATCCTGGAAACAATGGCAAACCATAGAAAATAAATCAAAGTAATTAAAAATGAGCTGTAGATAAATCACTTTGGTAATGACGTTAACAAGAAAAAAGGGTTAGAGATAGCTGAGAAGAAAGTAGCTATGTAAGTGATTAAAGGTAAGAGACTGAAACAAGGCAGCTACCATGTAGATGTAGAGATGGTGGCCTGTTTTAGTGAGGTAGAAAGTGGAGGAGGTGAGGCTCAATGGCAAGCAGACGAGAGGACAAAGGAGAGTTCCTGCATTCAAGGCTTAGGTGACTCCGTGCTGCCACTGCTGTTACCTAGGATAGAAAACCTGGGCAGATAATAGTATCGGGGAGTAATATCAAGAATTCATTTTTTTATGGTTCACTGATGAACTTATAAAAATCCAGGCTGAGATGCACAGTATACTGTTGGTGCTCAAACAAGGGGTCTGTTAGACTTAACTTTGGGACCTATTAGGCATGTAAGGAATTGTGGCTACCTAGTAGTGGACATTATGGAAGAAATGAGGAACTGAAAGATATTGTTCATAGTGCAGATGTTTGGTTTTGCAACATAAAAAAATAAGTACAAATCACTGCATTGTATAAACAATGGTCCAGAAGAAAACAGAATAAAACAAGGCATGTTGTTTACAACAGCAACACAAATGCATAGCAAAGAATAAGAAACTTGGGAATTATGAAATGCCATTTAGAAGGAATGTGACTTTATCAGGAAGCTTAGACTAAGTTACATGGTGCTAGTAAACGATCCCTAAAATCTCAATGACTTCTAGAAGCAAAACATGCATTTCTTCCTCCTGCTACATGTACATTGCACAGTGGCTGGTTGCTGTTCTGCTAGTATTTATCTGACAGTCCTGGTGAAGGAGTAGGCCCTGTGAAGACATTTCCAACGCCATGGATAAAGAAAAGAGAACATGGTAGAACCGCACAATGTCTCAAAGCTTCTACTTGAATATTGCAACACCACTGCTAGTCACATTTCTTTAGTCAAATAAGACTCTGTCAGACATCAATGGAGCGTGAGTTTGCAATGATCCCACAGAACTTAAACAATTTTATGTTCCAGTCCAAGTCACTTTTAAGTGTCTTTGATAGATTTTATAACCAAAAAAGTGACTGTTGCATAGAAAAAACAAACTCCATAAAAAGGACACAAAAACAAAATGGACAATTATTTGCAAAATTGGTAACACAAATTGTTACCACTTCATGGCGGTTAACTAGGAAGTGGGACTTTTAAGTCTTTCTCCCTTATTCCCTGCTATCCTCGGGAAACGAGCGTGTCTGTATTCTTGTTCCCTCATAAACAGCATCAGGCCTCTGTAGAATGGAAGCATCTCACCTTTTATTTATGCTTCTCTGTAAGTATTTGCTGTTTTACAATTAGCAAGTATCATTTTCATAATAATAATGCTTCTAAAATTGCAAGAAAATTATCAAAACTCCAATAGATAAATGAGTAATTATTATGAGTGGAACCATAACAAATTAGGAAATAGAAACAATAAAGAAACACATGGAAAATGTCCAAGAACATTTGTAATGAAGGCACAGAAATTTAAGCAACAAAGAAATTCAATTTCATACCTATTAAATTAACATAAATCTAAATACGTGTTAGGACTTAATCCAAAATGAGACAACAGAACCGCACTAATTCCTTCTCAATAATGTTGCAAATTGGTACAATTTTGGAAAACATAATGGTAATACATTTCAAGAGCTAAGAGAAAGTTATTAATTTTTGAACTATTAATCCAACTCTTGGGTATTTATCCCTAAGAAATAATTCAACAGCAGAAGTCCCCCTAGAGCTTATATTATGTTGCCAATGCTGACATTGATTGAAACCTGTCTCTGCCATGAAAACCTTTTCCCCTTGGCCATCTCAAATGGAGCTGCTCACCTGCCAGCATGGCCTGGAGGTGGGCCTGGGAGTCAGCATCTCCGGTGCCAGATGCTCCCTCATTTCCTACAATCCTCGTCTTCAGCGCAGCTAATTGGGAGGAAGCAGCACTCGGAACACAGCGAGCACTCGATAACTGCTTCTTGAATGATTTCATTAGAAACCTCACCACAGAGAAATTATCTTAATTATAAAACAGTAGCACCAAAAAAGGTTACTGTAACACAATTGCCCAAACTACCGAGTGAAAAATAAAGAAAAATTAGCTGAAAAAAGCATGGTTTGAAAGGTCAAGATTATTATCGTTCAGCAAAGTAGTCACTGAGAACAATTTTTCTGTCCAAAAATGCAGTAAAACAGAAAGAATAAGATCTAGTATTCAGTAACAGAGTAGGGAGACTATGGTTAACAATAATTTCTTGTGTCTTTCAAAATAACTAAAATAGTGGAATTGGAATGTTCCTAACACAAAGAAATGATGAATGCTCAAAGTGATGGATACCCCAATTACCCTTATTTAATTATTATCCATTGAATGCTTTTATCAAAATATCATATGTACCTATGTACAATTATTGCATATCCATAATTTTTTAAAAATTTAAAAAACAAATGTAGAAATGCAAGCTCACACATACAGACTGGTCACAGTTCTGCAGAACTGGAAGGTAACAACTAAACTAGGGTTTTGCAATTCTTTTTTTGAATGTTCTGCAGAGCCTTTGGCTTGGAAAACAGAAGTAGGACCCATAGGATGCTGGGATGCCAGAGGTGTGGGCAATACTTCTCTGCCTCCTGCAATCGACATTTCTGTACCTCCCATCTCAGATATGCATGGAATTCACTGTCAGTAACCAGCTGAAACATTCTACACATTCCACTTTTAAATTTTTGACTAGTTACAGTCAAACCCCATCTTGTACTGTCAATTGATTTACATCCCAAATACCAACAGCTCCAATTTTTGAAGTTAAAATATCATCCATAGTCTCTGTTATTTTTTATTTTCTGCATTTAATGGAACTTGGTTTCTTACCTGAAATGAGCTCCACTCTCTGGTCCTGAAGCTAATTCTTTCCTCTTAGCATCTTCATTAGCTCCTACACATGCCACGGTGGCTGGCTCAATAAATCTCTCTGTGTAAATGGTTCCTCCCTCAGGACTCCCCATTAGGCTGCCCACGGATTGATAAATTTCAGGGTAAAATGCCTGAATCACCCATTCTTTCTTCCTTTGCTTTAAATGAGCTTACTGCTTCTTTCTGTTTCCCATTTTCTCAAATGATAGAAAGTGAGATGTATTACAGGTGCCATGATCTGTGCACAAAATGAAACTCTACTTTCGAGTCCACTGATTCTTCTCTAAGTAACTTTTTCAGGAGGGACTTGTTCAATGAGTTATTTCATAATATGTCAAAGCCAAGACTAAACTAAACAATTAATTCATTTATTGCCCTCAGTGAATGCTGACTTTTTTTAAGGCTTTGAAACTCCAAACTATAATTTTGAAATGTTACATTGAATCATAATCAAGGCTATTAGAAGAGAAAAGCTACTGAATTGGATTATTTTTTATTTAAAACTAGCTTTAAGTTATTGATATTTTGGACTTTTATATCTAATGGTCTTGACAGAGGTCTCTGATTTTTCATTAGCTGTTTCTGCACTCCTGGAGTCCTTCCTTTTTCCTTAAGTCTTTTTCATGCCATTCACTTTTCATAGTTTTTACCTCTGCCATCAGCTGTGGCTTTATTTCAGGATGCAGTGTGCTTGACAGACCATAGAAAACAAAGGGGAGAAGTAGCCTGGTCCTGACAACACGTGGGAAGAAATGCATGCCCTTAAATGTGAAATTTTACCAATCCTTGAACAAAAGGAGCAAGTTAAGAGAATAACCCAAGCCTGAAGGACCTCAAATTTTGGCTTCTACTCAGTGGCAAGGTTGGGCAAATGAAGGCAATTAACAAATTTTGGTTGATGCGACTTAAACGTGTGCCTAGATCTGGGTAAATGTAAGGGCGGTCAGTGTTCAAGGCAGCCCAGGGCTCCAAATTTCCTAGATTCTCAGGCTCTGCCAAGACCCTCAGAGTGGCTGCTCTGCTGGAACGGCAGTCGATCACAATGAGATACACAGAGGATTATCCAGACCATAAACGATAAATTAAAGAAAATGAGTCCCGTATTTTATGGCCTAGTCAGTCTGGGAAGAGTTGTTCAGAGTGAAGTCAGAAAACCCCTTAATGAGAAAACATGAGCAGCATAAATCATAATAGCATAAAAATTGAACTTAGAGGGGGGCTATATAAATAATTCTAAATGTTTATGGAACACCACAGTTGCTTCAAGATCTATAAATATAATCAGTACCTAGATTTTTCTTGGCTCGCTTGATATATTTCATGTAATGAATTTTATCTATGCCACAAAAAGTACTATCATCTATTATTTTAACATCATAGAATAAAAACATTTCCATTGAGTGCTCTCGAATACTCATCCTACACTAGGTCATCTGATATGTACTTTCACACACACAAAAAGTCACCTAGCCTCTAGAGAGGATTATGAAATTTTGAATGATGAAAAGGAAGGCTTGCAAAGGTTGGTACCAAAGTTTGGATGTTTGTCCCCTCCAAATCTCATGTTGAAATGTCATCCCCAATGCTGGAGGTGGGGCTGAGTGTGAAGTTTTGGGTCATAGGGGTGGATCCTTCATGAACAGCCCCCTGGCAGTAATGAATGAGTTCTCTATCTGTTAGTTCCTGCGAGATCTGGTTGTTTAAAGAGCCTCGCACCTTATCCTCTGTCTCTGTAGCTCACTTTCCTGCTCTCACTCTCTCCCTCTCTCCCTTCCCACCCTCTTCTTCTCACTATTGCCACATGACATGCCTGCTCCCCGTTCACCTTCCTCCATCCCAGTAAAAGCTTCCCGAGGCCTCCCCAGAAGCTGAGCAGATGCTGGCATCACTCCTCTTTCGTACCCTGAAGAACCATGAGTCAAATTAACCTGTTTGCTTTACAAATTATCCAGTTTCAGGTATAAATTTGTAGCAACACAAAATGGATTAACACAGTACCTGGCTTGTGCACTGCATGAATGGTGGGAATGGAAGTTGAAGGTGGGTCTGCCCAACTCTGAAGCCCAGCCTCCATGGGCCAACATTCTGCTTGTCAGCATTTTAGAACGAATAGTCACATAAAGGTATAAGCTATGAGAATTCTTGGACTGTTCAAAGGTCACGAATTTACATCCAGGCAATCATTTCGATATTGAGAAAAATGTAGATCAAATGTCGTAGGCAGCCTAAATGTTTTCTCCTCTTGTGCCTTACCGTCTCTTAATAGTCATTAATATTTTCTATCACTATGACTGAGAAGTAAATAAAATCTGATTTTTCTGTCTTCTCACACTTAATTGTTTCTGGGTTTGCTCCCAGGATGTTTCACAGAGCTGTGGCATCTAGAAGCTGGTACCTCAGTGGTGTTTTAAGGAATTTAGCTGATTACAGTTTGAAAAATGGTTTCCCATACATTATCTCAGTTGATCTATTATATATTCCAGCCTATGAGATAATCTGGTATTAGCATTTTCATTTAACAAATAAGAAAACAGATTAAAGTAGGAAGTTAAATGTGGAGTGGAAACTCATAAATGTAAGTACAGGTCTTAGAACCAAATCCTGAGCTTCCTCCACTTCTGATTTATTCAAATTGTTAACACATAAATTTGGCCTAAAGGATGACTCGCAGGGAATTCCACTGTGAGAATGTGTATCCTTTAGCTCAGTGATTTTAACGTGTGGTCCCTGGGCCAACAACATCCTCACCTAGAAATTTGTTAGATATAGACATTCTCAGATCCCTCCCCATACCTACTGAATTGAGACCTCTGGGGTGGGGCTCACCATCTGTGTTTTAAGGAGCCCTCCAGGGGATTCTGATGCTTGCTGGAGTTAAAGAGCCTTTGGTTTAGCCAGAGGAGTTAGTATGAATCTAGAAGTTCAAACCAGATCAAGTTTAGAGATCTAATGTACCATTTAAGGACTCAAGTTAATAAAATTATGCTGTATTGGGAATTTTGTTAAATAAGTGGATTTTAGCCTTTCTTGTTACCAAAAAAGTAACCATGTGAGATGATAGATATGTCCATCTGCTTCACTATAATAACATTTTCCTATCTATATGTATACAAATAACATCACATGGTAAACCTCAAATATGCACAATAAACGTTATTTTAAAAAACAAAAAGGAATTAAAGAGGAAACAATGTTTTTAGAAATCACTGTTTTGCAGGCTGTCTTACCCCTAATATCTGTAAACTTGGGAAGATGCAACTGTGCTGAAAAGGCCCTGTGACCCCCTTGCTCTGGATGGTCAAGCTAGGGAAGTGAAGACAGTATCGGCAAGGGAAGAAGCAAAAGCTTCTGCAGCTCCCGTGGAGTAAGGGAATCGAGGGTCCACAGACTGCTTTATGTAGGGGTTCACTTTAAGGAGGAAGCACTTAAGTTGATCTTGCTGCTCTGATATTTACTAAAAGTCACAACTAAGAGTATGATTACAGTGAGTCACCACATGTTTTCTAGTCCTAAAAATCAGGGGTTTAACTCAGTTCTTAAAATATGGACATAATGAAGTGCATGGCATTCCCTGTGAAGTATCACTTAAATTTTAAGTCTGATTCTCGTCAAGCCTTTGAGCCACACTTAGCAGTTACAGAAAATCAGGGGATAGAGAAGCAGTCAGTGGCCCCACCAAGGAAGCACTCAGATGAGCTCAGTGTCTACAAATGCTACATGCCCCAAATTCAAACTCTTGAAATTAAACAGTAGGGTGGCTAGTCTAGAATAAATTAGTAATAAATCTAATAATAAAATGGGATGTGATGTGTGCAGCTTAATTGTTTCCTTGGTTTAGAGGGTATTAGCTCCATGCAGATAGACAGATAGAGATAGGTTGACAGAGACATGCATACAGAGCAATTATTACAGAATGCCCTCAATTGTTGAACTAAGGTGGACACAGATGACCATTTACTATTCTTGTGGTATATTTATATGCTTGAATTTCTTCAAAATTAAATGTTGATAAAAATAGTGAAAACAGAGAAGGTTATAGAGAAGAAAGGAAAAAAATCTCTATCTCTTCCATCATTCTACGATTAACAAAACCTAGATTAATAAAAGAATAGAGAGGCAAGCAAACCTTTGTTGAACTCCCAATTTCTTTATCCCTTATTCTATGGTAATCAAATCAAAGCTCTGACCCTAAAACTATGTCTCTTCAACTAGAGTCAGAAATTCCAGGGGCCTGGTGCATAGTCAAAATGCTGCAAGGGTCATGAGAGCATTTTCCTAAAGGGATCCTCATGGTCTCATGACTCCTCCCCACTCCCAGGCCTCTGTTCCCCATGTTTTCCTTCCTAGACATGAAAATATGAATGGAAAAACAAGGAGAACAGGGCTAAAGGATTTCTGAACACTGGTGGTAATAAATACGAACACATGCATACACCCAGACATGCACACATGTATCCATGCACCTGGAGAGAAAGAGAGAGACTAGAAGATGTGGATGTCAGCCTCCTCAAAAAGTTTTGCCAGGTCGGGTGCGGTGGCGCATGCCTGTAATCCCAGCACTTTGGGAGGCCGGGGCGGGTGGATCGCCTGAGCTCAGGGGTTCAAGACCACACAGGGCAACATGGTGAAATCCCATTTCTACTAAAAATACAAAATAATTAACCAGGTGTGGTGTCGCACCCCTCTAGTCCCAGCTACTTGGGAGGCTGAGGCAGGAGAATCACTTGAGCCCCAGAGGTGAAGTTTGCAGTGAGCCAAGATTGTGCCACTGCACTTCAGCTTGGGCTATGGAGTGAGACTCCGTCTCAAAAACAAAAACAAAAACAAATAAAAAAAAAAACTTTTGCCAAATAATATCAAATTAACTTTAAAGTTTTAACAAACAAAAATCTTATTTTCAACGCAGAAATTCTCCTTTCCCAGATGAAAATATTTCAAATATTTTAGGTTTTCATGCAGAGAATTACACTTTCAACTAAATCAGATGCCGCTATGCCTAAAGCATCTCCCTCATCTCTGATACCACCCTCTCTGGGCACGTTGTTTTTTCTTTCTTTTTTGGCTCCTTAAATGAAACATGTATTAAAAAGAAGGGCGTAACACTGCCTGTGTATTCACGGTACCAACTCTCTAAATCCACCTTTTCTATATTAGCCTATGCAAATTGAAAATATATAAAATGAAACAAAGCACACATACATTATATAGGCACGTGCCAGATAACAATGCTTCGGCAAAGGAGGAACTGCACACAGACAGTGGTCCCATAAGATTATCACACCATATTTTTACTGTATTTTTTCTATGTTTAGATACGTTTAGATACACAAATACTTGCCACTGTATTACAATTGCCTACAGTGTTCAACGCAGTTACCTGCTGTGAAGCTTTGTAGCCTAGGAGCAATAGACCATGCCATAGAGCCTAGGTGTGTGGTAGGCTGTACTACCTAAGTTCGTGTAAATGCACTCTATGATGTTCACACAATGATGAAATCACCTAAGGACACATTTTCAGAAGTATCCTCTTCACTAAGTGATGAATAACTGTATATATATTCATCACTTCACTAAGTGATGAATAACTGTATATACATATATATATATATATATATATATATATATATATATATATATATATATATATATATATAGAAAGAGACAGAGTCAGGTATGTATATGTGTATGTACCCCAAGACAAAATAACTGCCTTCAATTATGAATGTGGGTCTTTGTGCACAGATATGTGTGTGTGTGAATAAACTTTTATTTTTTGCCACCTGTTGCTCTTTATGAATTAAACATTTGGGAAGTGAAGATTTGCTTAATGCCATAGGCTTTGGATTGTAGTATTATTTTTCTTCCTCTCTTTTCTAAAATTTCCCCCATGCATTTATTATTTCACTGAAATGGAGCCGATTAAGATGGCAAAATCTCCAGCTACTTTACCACAGCTTCATGAATAACAGGGTACAGCTGCCTGGGCTTTGTCCCCGCGAGGAAGAGAAAATAACAGTCTTGAGATGAAAGCACATAGAGTTGTTAATCACTTTCTAATAGTCCGTGCTTAGAATTATTGGTGAGATATCTGAAACCACATCTGCAGGTCTGGGGTCTTACTTTTGCATATTGGTGGAATAACAGCAGCCATGCCAATGCTGAGCCCTGCGGGGCTATGTGATTAGCGAGGCCACCACTCCCTTGCCCAATGCACACAAAGTACCATTTTAATGTTATCTGCCGTAGAATCAAGCCCCAGGGACTGCCCCAACTTTTGAATTTTGCTTTTAAAATGTGCTTCTGTCTCAAGTGTGTTTTTTTGCTGTGGCTTCACAGAAATATTCCGGGGAGGGTTAATATGAACAGACATGATAATGATCATGGCAACTGTGCTTTGGGGTATACCTCAGAGTGCTCAGCACACTTCCCTGGTGTTTTGTTTCAAATTGGGATGAGTTTCTAAAAGTGTTCCATAAAAGATAAAAACCCTAACATTGTTTTTCACCTGCTGAAGAAATGTTGCATGTGGTTTGCTAATGATAGAAAAAGATAGTTTAACTACTATTTCCTTATTGAAAAGTTTTATCTGAAAGAAAACCTAATATATATGTGGTATGGTAAAAACAATTGATTTTGGGAGGAAAATCATAAATGTATTTAAATATAGTACAATTTCTGATACAGGGATGAATTATTGGTTGAACACACTGATTCCAATTTTATTTTCCCTTGATTCCCTTGATTGAACACACTGATTCCAATTTTATTTTCTCCAATGAAATAGAAGAGTCTGCACAATAGGACATCTATAGTTAATGATAATTTATTGTATATTTCAAAATATTAATAACTAGAAGAGTGAATTTGGAATGCACCAAACACAAAGTAATGATAAACAGTTGAGGTGATGGATATCCCAGTTACCCAGATTTGATCATCACACATTGTATGCTTGCATCAAAATGTCACATGTACCCTATAAATGTATACAACTATTATCTACCCATAACTATTTAAAAAGCAGAGTAGGAGTTAAGAAGCAAGGTGCCATATGAAGCTTTGGAGATTTAAGCATAATTATCTAAAGAGAATACACCCAATGGCACAGAGCCCAGGAACCTTGTATGTGAGTTTAGGGTAAAATGAAAATTTTTATTTTTAATGTAAATTATTTCATATACTTTTCGGTGTCTTTCTTGTTCTCTTTGCATCAAATATGTGCTAGAGAGAACATGGAAAAAGAAAGAGATTTTGTCTGCTTTGCGCCAGAATTTTAAAGAGGAGACTAGGAAGCTAGGGTGGAGATGCCTCAGAAGGCTAGGGTGATGACAGCAGCCTCTTCCTCTCTTGGGCCGTTCCTCCTGACCTGACCAAGTCTTCTCCTTCTGCTGCTGCTTTTCTCTAAGATACCTTGGAGGTTTTCCACCTGGCTTTAATAAAGAACATTTGATCCCTTGCAAGTTGCTGCAGGGGTGTGAATGCCATCACAGAATGGGAACAAAAGGATGTAATGACTTATAGAGTCCTAAAATTCAGAAAGAGGGGCCAAATGACAGCGTATGCATAACCCATATGGAGCAGCAGCGTTTTAGCTCACAGCTGAGGAGACTATAAGAGGAAAATAACAAGAAAATAAAACATCTTAAGTTCCAAAAAAAAAAAAAAGAAAGTTGCTTTTTTCTTCTTCAGAGTCTATACCCTTTATTCTCTATAAATCCGTGTTTTTATGCATCAGTCCTTCATACAAAAATCCAATTCAGAGAACAACTCCAAGGATAAAAGTAACTATGTCGTGGTACTTTATATTCAAGATTTTGAAGACAATCAAAAAGATAAATAGGTTTGATATGTTTTTGCAATCTGAAGACTGTAGTTGTTCATTCACTTTTTTCTATATGGAAAAAAATGAATACTTTCAGACACTTAAACAATGAATTTCTCACTTTCTTGCAGAGCACAAGAGGAACTATCTCCTCTGTCAGATCAACACAAAATAAATGAATGAGTGAAATCAGGAACTGGACCAGAAGCCTCAAATTTTGACTTTAAATGTAAAGGAAAGATTCTGGGCCTGGTGTGGTGGCTCACGCCTGTAATCCCAGCACTGTGGGAGGCCGAGGCAGGCGGATCACAGGGTCAGGAGATCGAGACCATCCTGGCTAACATGGTGAAACCCCGCCTCTACTAAAATACAAAAAATTAGCTGGGCGTGGTGGCGGGCACCTGTAGTCCCAGCTACTCGGGAGGCTGAGGCAGGAAAATGAGGCGGAGCTTGCAGTGAGCCGAGATCGTGCCACTGCACTCCAGCCTGGACAACAAAGTGAGACTCCGTCAAAAAAAAAAAAAAAAAGGAAAGAGTCTACCAATGACCAGGAGAATAATGAGAATCTGGCTCTCCATTTAGACACGTGCCCAGAGCTGAATGGACCACTCCTCTTTCTGGAAAGATTAGAAGGTGGATGAATGGTGACCGACATACCCTGGGTCTACAGAAAAAAGAAAAATAATACTCATTATAAATAGGAAAGGAATTCTTCAAAGCATACACTAACACATAAAATGGTGTTCTCTTTAGGATTTCAAGAAAGTAAGGAAGTAGACATTCTGAAACATGATTATATGTAAGAGATGGATGTCCACAGACCAATTTGAACGTACCGAATCGGTGCAGGCAGCCCCCAGACAGAAGCCAAGGAGAGAAGGTGACTCAGGCCCACTAGAAGGTGAGGGGTTGGGGAGGTGAGTAAGGGAAGAGTCGGAGGCTTCACGTGGCTTCACCTTCACTTAGTCAGTGGAATTTCGATTTCTGCTGGAATCCCCACGTGGGTTTGTCCGTACATTCAGCAGTGCACTGACAATTTTGAAAGATGTTCTTTTTGTCGCTTTGTATTTGTCACGCTGTGAGAACAACATGTGTACAGCACACTGTGATATGATACCTTAAATTCATTTGACAATTTTACAAAGTGCCTAGAGTGTGCCAGGTACTGATCTTAGTTTCTGGCAATATAAGAATTAATCCAAGAAACATATGTTCTGCCCTTATAGAATTTACATTATGATGGGTGAGAGGAGGGAGGGGGCAGAGAAAATTAGCAAAACTTGGAGTAAAACTAGAAAGCGATAAGTGCTGGGAAGCAAAATAAAGCAGAGAAAAAGAATAGGGAATTGCAGGAGGCAGAAGTTGTGAATTTTGAAACAAATTTAATGAAGGCCTTGCTTGGAAGGTGATATTGAATAAAGAACTGAAAGGGTTTGGGGAGGACAAAGCTCTGCTGATATCTAGGGGAAGACCATCCCAGGGAGAGGAATCAGAGGGGAGGAGCTCTGGAATGATCAGATGCCTGCCCTGTTCCAGAAATAGCACAGAGGCAAGAGTGGCTGCCGGAGAAGGAGCGAGGGAGACCATAAGAGGCCCAGTGATGAGGATACCAGAGGAGACCAGGTGCTGCAGTGTCATTTAGAAGATACAGGAATGATGTTTCCTGAAGTACATTTTAACAGGATATTAAATGGCTGCCATGCGGGAAATGGATCGGGGTAGGGATAGAGTGCAAGGCCGGAAGCAGGAAGGCCAGTTAAGAGATTATGACAGCATCCCAATGAAGACATTACACTGGATTGCAGCAGAGTGATAGAGGTGGAGGTTGAGAGAGATTCTGGACATGCTTTGAAAGTGGAGAATTTGCTGATAGGTGGGATATGGGGTATGCAAGAAAGAAAAGCAAAATGGCTCCATGACCTATTTATCTATCAAACAAAGTCAGAGTTGCTACCAGCTAAGAAGAGGAAGAATGTGGAGATGGGACCACAGATTTGAGGCAGAAGAATCAAGATATTCCTTCTGGCCATTGTATAGACAAGATGCCCAATTAGACATTTGAGGGAAAATGTCAACAGCTGATCTATGAGTCTGGTGTGATATGGATCTTCATGGATGGGGAGTTGAGACATTCTAGCATCAAGAGTTTAGATGAGGGTACAACAAAGTATAAAGAAAATATATATGGACAAGAAGAGATGAGTGAGCTAGGGAAAAATCAGTGTGGTATCCTAGAAACTATTTGATGAAAGATTTCAAGGTGGCAGGAGCCATTAGCTGCATTCAATGATGACTTGGGTGCAACTAAGATGAGGACTTAGACGTGACCATTGTGTTTAACAGCATGGAAGTTTTTGGTGACGTTGGCAATGGTGGAAGTGAATGCCTGCTGTATGAAGTTTGAAAGAGAAGTGGTGGAAAGAATTCTGAGACAATGAGCAATTTTGAAGAACTGACGCTAAAGGAGAACAGGGAAATAAGGCAAGAAGTGGGGAGGTAAGAGTGGCCATTCATTAGAAAGAGAAAATATTAATATATTAAAAAAAATACCTGCACTTATATGTGTATTGCAGCACTATTCACAATAGCAAAGATATGGAATCAACCCAAGTGTCCATCAACAGATGATTGGATAAAGAAAATGTGCTATGTATACACAATGGAATACTATTCAGCCATAAAAAAGGAAATCATGTGTTTTTCAGCAACATGAATGGAACTTGGGGTCCAAAGCAACTCAAACACAGAAAGATAAATATCACATGTTCTCACGTATAAGTGGGAGCTAAATAGTATCTATACATGCATGTAGAGTGTGAAATGATAAACAACGGAGACTGAAAAAGATGATGGGGTGGGAGGATGAGTGGAAGATGAGAGATTACTTAATGTGTACAATGTACATTATTCAGGCAATGGATACCCTAAAGTCTTGAGTTGATGACTATGAAATCTATATATGTGACAAAATTGCATTTATGCTTATAAATTTATACAAATGAAAGAGAGAGAGAAAAAAACCTGATGCTGACACCTGAAGGCTAAGGCTTCATTGCTGGAATGATGTCCGTGGCATGGGGAGAGGACCGGGCCAGTAAAGCACTGGAAGGTTCTGGTGGTGTGACAATAGATGTATTACTGGGGAAGGTGACTCTCAAAGATGATCCCTGACGATTTTGAAGGGTAGGTGCCCGAAGCTGGAAGGAAGCCTGTGGGCACAAATGGATATGGCTATCCGGTAGACGGTTTTCAGTTCCACACAGTTAGCCTTATTATTATTTTCATTGACATGATTATTACTTAAAACATGGATATAACTGAATCTTATGATACAATATCTAAGAGTTTGAAGGGAACTGGCAAGTCTTAACTCATGTGTGCAGGCAATAAAACATGTTCCAAGACATCTAAAGATCTGTTAATTAAGCCCTCAATATGCCCTTCATGAAAATATCCCTAGGAATACTTGAGCTTAGGAAAATTTGAATCAATTTTTTTAAACTCAAGAATCGTAGTGTTACAATATAAAATGGGTAACTGTGACCATGGCAACAAGCTAAACAAATAAGGACTAAATAATTGATTTGAGTGTGCTTCCAAACAAAAGAGTCAAAAGTGATTTGATTTTTTTTGAGAGAGAAGATACACAGTTAAACATTAATAAATAAGATAATCCCAGCTTGTACCAAAAGTACCCATGAGAGATGTGAGGAGGTGCATTTATCTTATATTCTGGTTCATAGACACATTTTATTTTCAATGTTGATAATTTTTAAGCTATCAGCTAAATCACATCTCTCTGTGGATGTTAGCTAATACTAGTAAGTTTGTTACAAAAATAATCCCTAAATTAGCTGATATGGTTTGGCTCTGTGTCCTCATCCAAATCTCACCTTGAATTGTAATAATCCCCACATGTTGTGGGAGGGGCCCGTTGGGAGGTAATTGAATCATGGGGGCAGGTCTTTCTCATACTGTTCTCATAATAGTGAATAAGTCTTAGAAGATCTGATGGTTTTATAAAGGGGGTCTCCTTGCAAATGCTCCCTTGCCTGCCATCGTGTAAGACATCTCTTGGCTTTTTCTTTGTCTTGGGCCATGACTGTGAGGCCTCCCCAGTCATGTGAGTCCATTAAACCCCTTTTATTCTTTGTAAATTACCCAGTCTCAGGTTTGTCTTTCTTAGCAGCATAAGAACAGACTAATACGTAAAACAATTTAAATGTAAGTGTATGATTTCTAAATGTCAATAAAAATTTTAAAATAATTAAAGAAAATATACGTAAGCAGATAGGAAAGAAATAAAAGGAATTAAAAGATGTAAAAACACCAAAGGATGATAGAAATAGTAATATATGCATTATTTTCTCTTATGATAGGTATATTCCTTAAAAATATCCCATATAATAGGGTTCTATTATTAAAAATTAGACACAGCCAGCTCTCCATAGCTGCAAGTTTTGCATCTACAGATTAAACCAATGGCAGATCAAAAATATTTAATAAATAAATAGTGCAACAATAAAAACAATACAAATAAAAACAAATATAGCACAGCAACCATTTATATAGCATTTAGATTGTATTAGATATTATAAGTAATCTAGAGATTATTTAAAGTACACAGGAGGCCGTGCATAGGTTATGTGAAAATACTACACCATTTTATATCAGGGACTTGAACATCCTCAGATTTTGGTATGTGAGGGCCTCCTGGAACCAGTTCCCCATGGATACAAAGGGATGACCGTAATCCCATGGGAAAAATCTTGCTCATATTTAAGCACCTGTAGAATATATTTAAAAACAGTATGCTTCTAATTTTATGAAATGTGTGTGTACCATAAAACTAAATTTTTCTTGTCTCTTAATCATAGGATTTCTGGGGAGGTTATTTTTCTTATTTTACCTTTCCATGATATTAGAATTTACTTTAGTGAGCTTGCAACAATTTTTTATTCAGGAAACAAATCCCATTTTTGTGAAACTTATCTTTTCTACTCCCTGAAAATAAAAAAATTCTAATTGTAATAGTTTAATAAAATAGTAATTCAGAAAAAATATGTGAATTGCATTGTAAATTAAAATTAAAAGATTTATACAAAATTTTTTGTTTGTATTATATATAATAATGTATACTGATAGTGATAGAAAAATAGATATTTAAATTTAGATGCTTTGTTCTGGGTTATACAGCATTAGAAATTTGGATTGATTTTGGACCAGCTGGCATTAGGCACCTTTTCAACTGTGAACAGACAAGATTTTATTCTGGTCCTCTTTTCAATCCTCACACCTAACTCAGAAAGGAGAAAGCAAAATGTAGAACAGGAAACCTCATCGTAGAAATCACACCCTGGAGGACAATAACACAGTCCCTCATACCAAACACTTAAGCCAAAGCCTGCACCTTGGGGTCTGGGGGGCAGGATTGTCTGCCAGGCATGAAGTCAAGTAGTCAGAAGTATAGGGTTAAATCAGCAAATTAATGACAGCAAAGAGCACAGCATGGAAATATTAGGAAATTCAAGGATACTTCTCTTGTCTCTAAATCAATTCAATCAGATTCTCCTCCAAGTGGAGAGGGTGATATTGATGAAATGACTTTATTCACAGAGTGTTAAACTTGCAAGGAGAGAATTGCCATGACTTAGAGAAGATGCATTCAACTAAACCAGACTGTTGTTCAAAATCTTCGAATCTCCTCAATCAAATTACTGAGCCCTTGACAACAATCAACTAAAAGCTCTTCTGCTGCGCGTGGCACAACAAATGAGGCTATAAAGTTTAAACTCTTGAAGACAGGGGAAGGTGTCCATTAAAAATAAAAAAAACGATGAATGTCTGTGTTTAAATATTCAGAAGAGAATACCAATAAAAAAGGCTGACTTGCCAGTGTTCATAAGGATTTTGGCAGTACCCAAAATGATCACCATTTAAGAAAATATATTTGTAATTGATGGAAATGAATCTGTCACCTCCAGGCAGGCAAATGGTGGCAAGAAGCACACAATATGGGCTATACTAGACAGGAATGTGTTATGCCTCCCCAAAGGGAGCTCCCAGTTGGACTCACAACTGCTGAACACACAGCCCATTTTTAGTTGTTCTCCTAGAAGAGCTTACAAAGCTTGCATTTTGTGAAATTCTCACTTTGGGAAAAGCTGTATGATGGGAGATTTTAATAAGAGATGAGAACAGAGGAAGGAAAGGTGAGTAAAGCCTATACTGTTACCGCTACTCTCCTCAGGTAATACCATCAGGTAGTACCATGGAATCTATCAAGAACTCACTGTCACCTGGAGTAGGCTTCACTTCAAGCAGATTTCCAGACACTGAGCAAAGTTTATCATGCCATGTTTCAAACTTCAGTTTTCTGCCTGATAATGTTTTCAAAAAAATAGGCAAAATGTCTATAATGAGAATGCCTTCATTTGGAACACATTTGAGCATTTACCTTTCTCTTTTATAAATTTTGCATTAAGATAAATATATGTCAGCAAAAATATATTTCTAAAGGACCAGCTGTTTAGACACTTTTGAAATTTACTGGAGAAGACTTTCCAATGCATTTATACTGCAAGGTGAAACTAACGACAAAAAC
The DNA here is from genome assembly GCF_000001405.40 of Homo sapiens. Classification (NCBI taxonomy): domain Eukaryota; kingdom Metazoa; phylum Chordata; class Mammalia; order Primates; family Hominidae; genus Homo; species Homo sapiens. The sequence goes on along the minus strand of NC_000007.14, from coordinate 51,745,820 downwards.
AGTGCTAGTCTCACTGATAAAGCCTCATAGGCACTGAGAAAGCAATACCATTCCTGGCTCTGCTTATCTTGTTTTAACGTAAAACTAAGATGAAGCCACACCGGGAATACATTTCAGTTCCTCTAGTACTGCATAACCAAGAAAAACATTAAGCTTTTATTGTTTCTCGCCCTCTCTCTCTTTTTCTGTTTTATCTATCTTTGCATTGTAATCATTTCTTCGCATATATATTCTAAAATGACTATGGTATAGTCTAAATATAAAATGACTGTTGTGTAAGACTTATACAGGCACAATTCCCCTCTCTCTCTCCCACCTCTCTCCATCTCTCTCTGTCTCTGTATGCATCTGTACTTCTACCATTTCAAAAAAATTTTGAGGTAATTCAATGCATGGTTGCAATGAAGGATAAAAGAGCATCAAAGAATGGCAAGTGCAGTGTGGAGGGAAAGAGCTGTAAAAGTACAGGGAGCGCCATCTCAGGAGCATGGCAATTGCAGGTCATGGAAAGATAAGGCAGTTACTTCCTCAACGGCACCATTCAACTTGTTTCCGTTTCAAGCACACTGAAGGCAGGGATCAGACAACCCATGTCATTTTATCAGAAATCACCATGTAGAGGTGACATTGTGGTGTTCACTGAACTGCCAAGGGCTACCTCAAGTCTTAGCACCAGCCCACGGCCCACCCAGTCTCCCACGTCGTCTACATGAGTGGCCCAATTCAAAAGAGAGAAAAGCAGAGGTGCCACATGCTCCACCATAATATGCCTTCTGCAATATCCCAGCTTCAAGTTTAAACAAAGGAAAAAGGAACTGGGACATTGAGGAGAACTTTATTTCCGCAACTTGCACCTAAACTTGGAATTACTCTTCCTATTTCTAAAAGGCAATGGGAGTTCCAACCTTGACTGAAATCCTGGGCCAGGGGATCAGATACGTGAGCTTCCAAACCAGACTGCCTTTGTATACACAGTTCCCCACTCGTGCACTAAAGGCACAAGTCCCTGGCATTATGATGTTAGTGAATTTCATGTCATAAAGATGCAAGCAGCAGCTTAAGCAAGTTGACGGGCTATTTCTCATCTCAGGTCAGAATTCCAAAGGGGAAGCTCTAGAGCTGTGGCTGTGGCTTTCAGTGGGGAAACCCGGCCTTGGTCCCTGGTGGTCGTGCCTGCCACTATATCCTTCAATCCAGGCCAGGTGGTTTCCTGCTTCTGCTGCTCTCTAGATTCCCCCAACTTGGCCTCTCAGATGCAATGATCACTATATACCAGCCTCCTGCATTGAATTTTATGTCCTTTTATATTTTGTGGACTTCAATGGGAAGACCCTGCTGTCCTCCAAAGACCAAATTATCACCAATATATTTGTTGCATCCTCCTTAGAGTGGAGATATGCAAACTAAGGCTGTGGACATAATGAAGCCCAAAGCCTGTCTTTGCAGACAGAGTTTTATTATAACCCAGCCATGCTCATTTGTTGAAGTCTTGTTCATGGACACTTTTCTACTACAGCAAAAAATGTTGAGCGGTTGTAACAGAGACTGTTCAGCCCACAAAGCCCAGAGTACTAACATTCTGGTACTTTGCAGGAAAAGCTTGCTGGCCCCTTGTTCCTCTGCGTGAGATGACTCGCCATCACATCCATGGTCAAGTTCTAGGATGGAGGAAGGGAGGAAGAAAGGGAGCAGCTCCATCATTTAAGCACATGCCCCAGAAGCTGCACACATTTCTTCAAGTCCAATTATGTAGAACTGAACGTAGTCAAATGGTCACACTTAGCTGCAAGGGAGACTGGCGAGTTTTGTCATTATTTTGTGTAGGGATGGACTCAGCAGCAACACTGACAATTCTCTCACTTTGTGAGCAGGTGAGAATTGCAGGTCTCAAGATGAGAGCTAAGACAATCCTCATTTTAATTCCAGCAATCCAAAGCAAGTATATTCAATGTCTTGCATGTTTGCGATGCTAAACAAATGTTTTTATTAAAAAGTGACAGTGATCCTTTTAAAAGTCAGCACCTGGCACTGTTTTCCTGAGCCCTGACATTTTATGATTGTACACAATGCCTACTATGAGTTGTTTACTGAATTTTGATTACTTTATAATCATACTGGAATCATATTTGTGGAGCTCAAGCAAATAAAATCCCCACAGCATTCCGAACGCAAGGAGAAAGCTGCTGGAAATATCTGCACTGCAGCCAGCAGTAAGGGCCATAATCTCTGACCCTGGTCTCTTCACTATACATAATGCTTTGCATCTTAGTTTGTTAGTACCAATTTTTGCATTATGAACATACCGTAGCTGGAATTTAAATTTTTTTGGAGAATGGTTGATTATAAGAAAAGAAATCAGATTATATTATATTACTACAAATACCCTAAGCATTTTGGTATACTACTTTTTTTTTGCTCATCTTGTTTTAACGTAAAACTAAGATGAAGCCACACCAGGAATACATTCCCCTTGCATATAACTTTCTCTTTATTAAAAATTGCAGTCAGTCTTTAAACATACATAAAAATTAAACACAGGTACTATTAATAAAATTGCATTGGTACAATGCACTGAGATGCATTTATAGCGTGTATTGGTATTCTCTTTGAGTCCTGGGATATCCAGATTGGTAGAATTGAAAGAGATATTACTCAAAAATAGTGTAATCCATGGCATGGGAATCAGGCACAGAATGACTTCAGAAAAGCATGGCTTTATAGTTCTTTTTGCTGATTCCATTCCCATTCCAACACAACACCAGAGTCATCCACACCCACATGACTAAATTCTCATTAGATCTACTGAAACTGTCATTTAATAGGTAAGGCAGCCTGGCATGGTGGCTCAGGCCTGTAATCCCAACATTTTAGGAGGCCAAGACAGGAGGATTACCTGAGCCCAGGAGTTCAAGACCAGCTTGGGCAACATAGCAAGAACCCATCTATACAAAAAATTTACAAATTAGTTGGTTGTGGTGGCACACACCTGTAGTTCCAGCTACTCAGGAGATTGAGGTGGGAGTATGGCTTGAGCCCAGGAGTTCAAGGTTGCAGTGAGCTAGGATTGCACCACTGTACTCTACCCTGGACAACAGAGCAAGCCCCTGTCTCTACCAAAACAAACAAACAAACAAAAACAAAAGAAAGAACCTATACCAAGAACAAGGAGGGTGATACAAGCAGCCATGGTGAGCAAATAAATTACTGGTAAACATGTAAATAAATCTAATTTTTTTATTATAAGGACAATAATTATTATAGTTACTATTTAGATAGTATTGATTGAAAACAAATTAGAATTAAAATGCTACACAATAGTGTCATGAAAGATGAGAAGAAAATAAAAATTATAGTCATACTGCTTCAATTTAAATTTTATTATATTAAAATTATTTATTGTGTTTCATTTACAAGAATGAGAATAAATACCAGTAGAAGAAAAAAGTGTGTTTGGGTGAATAGAGAAAATTTAATCAGTATAATTAAAAGCAGGAATGAAAAGCAGAGGAGAAGCATAAAAAAGCAGAATGTGTAAAATTACATGATAGAAATAAATCCAAGGAAGACAGACCCCTCTGAAATCCTCAGGTGATAAATGAAGATTGATGTAATTACCATTCCCAATGATTCATTTAGGGATGTATTTGTATTCTACTGCTGCATGACAAATTGCCGTGGACTTATCAGCTTAAAACAACAGACCTTTATTATCTTACAGCTTCTGCAGATTAGGAGTCTGTGCATAGCTTAGCTAGGTCCTCTGCTCAGGATCTCGCCAGGCTGGTATTCAAGTGTTGACCAGGGCCAGGGTTTCACCTGATACCCAGGGTTCTCTTCCAAGCTCCCTGGTTGTTGGAAGAATTCATTTCCTTGTGCTTATAGGACTGTGGTCCTCATTTTCTCATTAGTTGTTAGATAGAGACTTCTCTCAGCTCCCAGGGGCCACCACTGTTCTCTGCCTCAAGGCTCCAATAGGCAGTTCAGGACATGACTGTTGGCTTTAAAAGCTCATCTCTCTGATGCTTCATCTTAATTTAAAAGCTCCTCTGATTAGGGAAGGCCCACCCAGTATGGTCTCCCTTTCGAGTAACTCAACAGTGACTGATTTATAGTCTATGCAGAGGAGTGATACATCATCTGCCCAGGTTGCATCCACACTCAAGGCAAGCAATTGTACAGGGTATGTCCACCAGTAGTAAGAATCTCAGGGCCATCTTTATGTCCAACCTAGGCTGAGTGTGAAAAGGTAACCCAAACCTGGCAAAGGATTAGGTTTGTTAAATCTTTTGGAGACTTCTAATGTTTTTCCTCATGATGAAAAGTGAGATGCTTGTGAGAAGCAAGTTCACTTACTTTTTAGATTTTCCATTTGCTGTGGGAAGAAATGATACTTGAGCTGCAGCCAGCCTGCAGCCCTGACTAGAAAGCCCGGAGACTGTGACTGGTGGAGGCCTGACACATGCTTATGGATGGAGCTTCCTGCAGTTGGGGAATCTGTCACTCCAGCAGTGAAAATGCCAAGTTATAACAGTGAATGCCAAGTTATAAAGAAGTACACATGAGATACATTATAAAAACATACTCAGAAAAAGTGAACACCAACTTCCAGCATGTGATCACCTGTGCAGTGGGAGGAGGTAGAAAAATGTGGTGGGAGGGTGCCTTTGCAAAATTGCATATTTTTATTTCTCAAAAATATAACACAAAGATTGAAAAAATGTTAACATTTCCTAGATCTGAGTAGTGAGTTTTAACAAATCTATTGTATCATTTTGGATGCTTTTCTGTAATTTGAAGTGCTTTGTAACTTAAAATAGAGCATATTTGGTGCAGCTGAAATTGCATCATAGCTCTGCAGGGTATCCTCAGAATGACCAGCCACCTCATCCCTCCATGTTTCAGCTGCCTGAGCTTTACCATGGCCTAGGAAGCAGAGTTTTACAAGGATACTTGTGAAAAATCAGTCAAATGAGCAGTGGGAGACAGAAAACCAAAGAACCTTCACATTTCTGCAAAAAGCACTTATTCCAGCACACAATATTCTAAACCAGGTTCCTCAATGCTCCAGGAAAATCTCAAAATGTATTCTAATTTTAATGTTGACCGTATCAGATAAGTAAAGCAGATTTATGCAACAATTTTATTGAGGTGTAATTTGAATACCATAAAATACTTATTTTAAGTGTGCAATTTCATGATTTTTGTCAATTTACCATATAGCGCAACCTCCATCACTATCCGGTTTTAGAACATTCTCAAAATTCTAATAAAATCCCTTTGCCTCTTTGGAGTTTAATTTTTTCTTCATATCCAACTAAGGCAAACATTAATCTACTCTACATCCCTATATTTTTGTCCTACAGGTGCATTTCATGTAAAGTGCATCATACAGGACTGGACTTTTGCCTCTGGTTGTCTGCACTTGGCATATTTTTGAGGTTCACCTGCATTGCAGCATGCATCATACTCCATTCCTTTTAACTGCTGAATAACATTCCATTGTATGGATGGATATGCCATATTTTGTTTATCCATTCACCAGTTGATGAACATTTGAGTTATTTCCACTTTTGGGTTACTATGAATAATCTTGCTATAAACATTCACATGCAAATTTTTGTGTGGACATGTGGTGTTGTTTTCTCCTGCTTTGGAAGATACTTAAGACTAGACTTGCTGGGTCATTTGGTAAATTTCAAAACACAAGTACTCTTACGTTTTCTATCTCCCATAACCAGTCCAAGATTGGGAGGTATATTAGCTTACCAAGAATTAGGTTTCCATCAACTAAAAACATGAACACAAGCTACTCTGCAGCTAATACAGTTTTCAGAAGCACTGCCTTAAAGACTTTGGGAAATGTATCACATGGAATGAATTTAAAATTTGGGGATTAATTTAAAATTCGATTTTTATAATAGGCATAAATTTGTTTATTTTCTAGTATGTAATTTAGTTATTCATTTAACATAAAATCATAAAAATTTTCAACACTTCTATATATTCTTTTAAGTTGCTGCTTAAAATCCCAATGAGTAGACATGGCATTTACTTAATTACTCCAGTATAGATGAATATTCAATTTATTTCTTTTAAAAATTATGAAAAATATCTTTCAATATCATTTCTGTGCACACAGAAATGCCAGCTTTGTCATGTTTTTGGATAATTTCTTTAGGACAAAAAAAAATCCAAATATAGTTCCTGAGTTACAGTGTGCACTTAGTGGCTTTTGACCTATGCTGCCAAATTGCTTTCCAAAACGTCTATCCCAGTGCCAGTTTATACTGCCACTGGCACTGTATGAATGTCCATTTCATTGTATAATTGCCAGCATTGGGTATTACCTTTTCTAAGCATAGAATTTTCTCAGTATTCATTTTTCTAAATCACAACAAATAGATGTAAGAAAAAAAAAAAATCAGGGGTCCCATGCCTTGTTTTCCTAAAATCTGTTTGGAGCCCACAGCCACTCTCTGGTTTTTTTGCTACAAACAAGGGCTCATTTTCTTAGAAAAGTTCAGACTCTTTCTTAAATATATCTTTTTCTTTTCTCCTCCTTTGCTCCATTTATTCTCCCCCTCCCCAGCTTGCATTCTTTATAGACCACGATCTCACACTAAAATAAATAAATAAATAAATAAAATGTGTATTATCTTCCCTAACAGACAGATCTTTCCAAAAAATATTGGTTGGAATAAGATTTTCTTTTTTATCTGGATAGTATATTTTATTTTACATACATAATATATACATATATATGTACATTTATTTATAATTTATTTACTCATAGAAGGCATGGAAATAGTGTTTAATGTACCAGCAGTTTGAAGGACCAGGTGTCTATTTCTTGATAACTGATTCAAGCACCTGCCAGAAGCTTCTGGGCTACCAATTCCATAATATATCTCGCTTAAAAAATGTTGTTCTCTCTCTGTTCAGCGAGAACATTATCAAAAATGTAGCACAGTCCGTTTTCCCCTCAGGATGCCAAACTGCTGGTGCCTATCCTTAAAGGTCACACAGCAACTCCTGGTGGCATATCTCAGTGGCTACTGTCACAGGACAGTGTCCAGCCCCACACTACCTCGCAGACCCAGCAGCTGGGTTCAGCAGCACTTCCAAGGATCTTCTCACAGCTCCTGTCTGTGGACCCCTCCTGCATGAGCTCTTGGCAAGGGTGGGAACAGACTCTACAGTTACCAGAATGTGCATTGCTGGACACACCCATAGGTTATAGTGTACCCCCTCAGCAGGTGTAGCTCTTGAAGCTCCTATTCTCCCACAGGCACTCCTGGAGCAGAAAATGTTCCCCAATTTCCCCTTAGATTGAGGTAAAAGCTTGTTCTCAGTGATGGTCATCCTTCCCTTCTGGTAACACCTGAATATAGATAGCTGATGACCATCATAGCCTGGACACTTCTGTCTGCACAGGAGGACATAAATGTTCGGCACAGGACATATTCAGCAACTCTTGATACCCAAGACTTTGTGAGATAAAGAGGAAAACTAACTGCAATCATGGTCATTAGCCAGATTTTTAAGTAGTGGCAAAATCTGACAGCAAAATTAGAGAGCAGTTCATGACAGTAGGATTTTAGGACATATTAGAACAAGGAAAAGAAAGGAAGGACGTGAATTAGAAAACATATTTGTGAACTACCCACTAAGTTATAGGCAGTGTTTTTGAAATGTCATTATGGATTTTATATTTCTTTCATCCTACATGGCAATCCTCCTTTTCCAAGATGAGGAAAATAAGGTACAGGAAAGTTAAGTAGCTCACCAAAATTAGCTTAGCTCATAAGTGACAGATCAGAATTTAAATTGTGTTGGTCAGAGGAGTGAAGCCTTTGCTGGGGAGAGGTAGGGAGGAGTGCAAAGGCTGAAATATATGTGATCTGAGAGGTGGTAGAGTTTTGAAAGAAAGGCCTCGCTGCTCCCACCTATGCCAAGCAGAGCCATGACACTAGGATGTGACACGTATTGTGATGCACAGTTCTAATTATCACCCCTGCCCCAGTTCCGAGGGGCAAAGGCAGCCAGAATGAGGTCTAACTGGGGCAATCCATAAGAGAAGACAACCCGTGCCTGTCTCAGCCCGTCTGCCCAGCACATATGCTGGCTGGTTGATTAGTTCCCACTAGGCAGGGGCAAACCTGCACACCAAAGTGCAAGGGGTAATGGAACTTGAAGTCAAGGCTGGTGTGTTTCAGTTAATTAGAACCAAGAACACAGAGTCTACCCAAATGGTTGTGATGTTATCAAGATCCACAGCCACATGGCAGACAGCCAAACATCAATCAAATAAGAAGCTTCATACAAGAGAGCTAAAAGAGATAAAAGGTAAATGCCAAATAACCCTTTCATCTAGCTTAAGTGTTCAACATGTTTCAATCACACACAAAAAGCCTTTTGGACATTACAGTCATTCTGTGTATTCACAATTAACTCAGGTGCAAGCCTGTGAAACAGCATAGGTACTCTTGTTTTCCCAATGTTTAAAAAAATGTATTATGTTCCTACTAGTGGGACTCAAAAAACCAAGTAAATAGTTTACGAATACCTACCCTGTTGCCTCACCAAATTTGAATGATTCTTTCTTTCTTATCTGGATACCTAGAATCTATTTATTTTAATGTAATGTAGACACAATCCTGGGATTGTTCAAACTCGGTCTCCATCACTTTCTGTTTGTGAAGACTTGGGAAAGTCAGTGTTATGTCACTGAATGGGGACTTTTGATTTATAATTCAGTAATAGCAGTGACCATCTCACAGATGCCAGGGGTCTGGAAACTATGAATGTAAAGAAGCTGGAACTTAGCAACACTGAATAGGTAATCATGAGCACATCATAACTGAACAGGTGCTGGGATGGCAGAGGCACTGGTGGGGTCAGAGTATTACAAAATCCTTTTACAAATGAAGCAACCAAGGTGCAGAGAGAAGATGCCCCAGAGCTAACTGGTGAGACCTACACGAAAACAGAGCACCAGCCTCCAGCTTAGCCCAAGTCTGATGCCACCATATCCTAAGCTTCCTTCCAGAGCAGAACATGAATATCAATGGCTGTAGCCCAGCAAGCAATCCATGCTGTGATTTTTTAGCTCTTTTTTATTTAGTCATTCATTATAAAATTAGAACATAATAGAAAACAAAGATTTTCCCATGTATAACATTGAGCAAATCCTTTGCACTGAATTTTCTCACTTGTAAAAACTGAAGTTTTTAAAAAATGTATTAGTCCATTCTCACACTGCTAATAAAGGCACCCCCAAGACTGAGTAATTTATAAAGGAAAGAGGTTTAATTGATTCACAGTTCTGCAGGGCTAGAGGGCCTCAGGAAATTTATAATCATGGCAGAAGGGGAAACAAAAATGTCCTTCTTCATTGCTGCAGCAAGGAGAAGTGCAGAGCAAAGGTAGGGGGGAAAGCCCCTTATAATACCATCAGATCTTGTAAGAACTCACTATCACAAGAACATCATGGAGGTAACTGCATCCATGATTCAATTACTGCCCACCAGGTCCCTCCCACGACACATGGGGATTATTGGAACTATGGTTCAAGATGAGATTTGGGTGGGGACACACCCAACCCATATCATAAAGTGATGAAAATCTTCTAAAATTGACAGTGTGATTGTTGTACATATCTGTGGATATACAGAAAACCACTGAATTGTACATAGTGGATGAATTGTATGGTATGTGAATTATATGTCACCAAAGCTGTTAAATATAATTAAAGTGTTTAAAGAGATAAACCTCAAAACTCACTCTATCCGCAAGAGAAAGACAAGGAGCATACTACAGTATGAGCTTTAAATTTAAAAGACTAAATTCTTAGCTCTGATGGACCTCATTCTAACTGTCACTGGGCAAATTATCTCATCCCAATAAGCCTCAGTTTCTGCATCATTAAAATAGGCTGGTGTAAATAACACCAGGTGATATGACTTGGCTGTGTCCCCACCCAAACCTCATCTTGAATTGTAGCTCCCATAATCCCCACGTCATGGGAGGGACCAAAAGGAGGTAATTGAATCATGGGGGCAGGTTTTTCCCATGCTGTTCTTGTGGTAGTAAGTAAGTCTCATGAGATCTGATCATTTTATAAAGGGCAGTGCCCCTACACATGCTCTCTTGCCTGCCACCATGTAAGATGTGCCTTTGCTCCTTCTTTACCTTCTGCCATGATTGTGAGGCCTCCCAAGCCATGTGAAACTGAGTCCATTAAACCTCTTTTTTTCTTTATAAATTACCCAGTCTCAGGTATTTCTTCATAGCAGTATGAAAATGGACTAATACAACAAATTGGTATTGGTAGAGTGGGGTACTGCTATTAAAATACCCGAAACTGTGGAAGTCACTTTGCAACTGAATAACAGGCAGAGATTGGAACAGTTTGGAGAGCTCAGAAGAAGACAGGAAGATATGGGAGAGCTTGGAGCTTCCTAGAGATGAGTTGAATGGTTTTGACCAAAATGCCGATAATGATATGGACAGTGAAGTCCAGGCCAAAGTGGTCTGAGATGGAGATGAGGAACTTATTGGGAATGGGAGCAAAGGTCATTCTTGCTATGTCTTAGCAAAGAGCCTGGCAGCATTTTCCCCTGCACTAGAGATCTGTGGAACTTTGAACATGAGAGATGATTTAGGATATCTGGTGGAAGAAATTTCTAAGCAGCAAAGCATTCAAGAGGTGACTGGGTGCTTTTAAAAGCATTCGGTTTTATTCATTCACAAATATATGGTTTGGAATTGGAACTTATGTTTAAAAGGAAAGCAAAGCATAAAAGTTTGGAAAATTTGCAGCCTGACGATGCGATAGAAAAAAAAACCCATTTTCTGCAGAGAAAGTTAAGACAGCTGCAGAAATTTGCATAAGTAACAAGGAGTCAAATGTTAATCTCCAAGATAAGGGGAAAATGTCTCCATGAAATTTCAGAGATCTTCACAGCAGGCCTTCCCATCACAAGCCATGAGGCCTAGGAGGAAAAAATGGTTTTGTGGTTTGGCCCAGGACCTTGCTGCTTTGTGCAGTCTCAGGACTTGGTGCCCTGCATCCCAGTGGTGGCTAAAAGGGGCCAATGTACAGCTTGGGCCATTGCTTCAGAGTGTGTCAGTCCCATGCCTTGGCAGCTTACACGTGGTATTGGGCCTGTGTATGCACAGAAGTCAAGAATTGAGATTTGGGAACCTCCCACTAGATTTCAGAGAATGTGTAGAAGTGTCTATGTGTCTAGGCAGAGCAGGCAGAGCCCTCATGGAGAAACCTCTAGGGAAGTGTGGAAGGGATATGTGGGGTGGGATTCCCCACACAGAGTCCCCACTGGGGTACTGCCTAGTGGAGCTGTGAGAAAAGGGCCTCTGTCCTCCAGACCCCAGAATGGTAGATCCACCAACAGCTTACACTGTGTGCCTGGAAAAGCCTCAGACACTCAACACCAGCCTGTGAAATCAGCCAGGCCGAGGGGCTGCACCCTGCAAAGCCACAGGGGCAGAGCTGCTCAAGACCATGGGAACCCACCTCTTGCATCAGCATGACCTAGATGTGAGACATGGAGTCAGACGAGATCATTTTGGAGCTTTAAGATTTGACTGCCCTCCTGGATTTCAGACTTGCATGGAGCCTGTAGTCCCTTTGTTTTGCCCAATTTCTCTCATTTGGAATGGCTGTATTTACCCAATGCCTGTACCCCCATTGTATCTAGGAACTAACTAACTTGCTTTTGTTTTCTACAGGCTCATAGGCAGAAGAACTTGCCTTGTCTCAGATGAGACCTTGGACTGTGGACTTTTGAGTTAGTGCTGAAATCAGTTAAGACTTTGGGGGACTGTTGGAAAGACATAATTGGTTTAAAATGTGAAGACATGAGATGTGGGAGGAGCTGGGCTGGAATGATATGGTTTGGCTGTGACCCCACCCAAATCTCACCTTGAATTGTAGCTCCCATAATTCACACACGTGGGTGGGGCTCAGTGGGAGGTAATTGAATCATGGGGGCAGGTTTTTCCTGTGCTGTTCTTGCAATAGAGAGTAAGTCTCATGAGATATGATGGTTTTATAAAGGGCAGTTCCCCTCCACATGCTCTCTTCCCTGCCATCATGTAAGATGTGACTTTGCTCCTCTTCTACCTTCCACCATGGTTGTGAGGCCTCCCCAGCCATGTGAAACTGTGAGTCCACTAAACCTCTTTTTTTCTTTATAAATTACCCAGTCTCGGGTATTTCTTCATAGCAGTATGAAAATGGATTAATACACCAGGGCATAGGAACTCAGTGAGTATATGTGAAAATGCCTGGTGCTCAAGAAATGCCCAGGTTTTTCAATTCTTATTAAAATTCTAAACTATTAGGCAGCTGGATTCATTGCTATTTAAAAATCAAGCATACTTCCTATCAACAGGACTCTTGCTAAGAATAGTACACTCACAAGCAATAGTGTTAAACACAGAACTGTACATATTTTCTTAAGACTTGGGAAGGTGACTTGGTTGTGTATGCAGCTATGTTTATTCAAAAGAGATTTAGATGTGCATCTTCCAACAAGTAATTAAAATAATACAAAAGAGCACTTCTCAGATCTTACCAGTCTGAATAAAAATGGAAATGGCAAGGACACAAGCTGAACTGTATTTGTGTCTATATCAACATGGCCCTCCTGTGGCCTTAGGTGGAAGGAGAACTTGCTCCAATCCCAGACAGAATTGCTTTAAAACACACTGTTCACTTCCTATCTCTTCACTGAGGGGCAAGTTGCTTAATCACACTGAGGCTCACAATGTTGGTTTGTAAAATGCTTATAGAATTACAGTACAAAATAAAAGAAGCATTATACAAATATTGCCTAGTTCTGTATTATGTGTCTGTCAATATTTGTTTCTACTCTTTTAATAAAAATGCAAAAGTTGGTCAATAGATGTGGGATATAAAAATTCACAGGCCTGCATGGCATCATATAGACAAAATTATCTTGTGTTTAATTGATTTTACTTTTCATCCAGGTGTGTGCATGCTGATTTTATGTTCTTTGCCTAAAACTCATCATAAGGATAGTGAGAAATTAAAAATGATTGTTCTTGCAAAGTCTGTTGAGACAGCAAGGAACTAGCTAAGACTAGCCCCTACTAGGTATTCAGTCTTGCTGAAAGTCTACCATGTCAAGCATGTACTAAATTCAGAAAAGAACTGCAATTGCCATTCCAGTCATCTCTGCCCTTTGGCTTTACTTTTCTTAAATTTTCAGGGGAAGAAAACATAAAAACTCCCCAAACCCTCAAATCTTTGTATCTTTTACTGAGGGTGCTAAACTGTCCCTTTTTTTCTGTGTAGATACGAAAAAGATACGGTCTTCCCTCTGGTGATATTTGCTCTGTGGGAAAGAAGCTGAAATAACATTCTGGATACAGATAGACTACAAATGACTTGAGCCCTTTGAAAATCACTCTCTCGGTATTGATTCACTTGGGGAATGAAAGCCTATTGGACTGACTGAAGCCAGCCCTGGGCAGACACATACCCAGGGCTGCAGAATTCCATGGGAGAGGCAGGAGTGCTCTGAGCAATTCGAGCTGCCAAGGGCACTTAGCAACATGCCCACCAGCCAGGCTTGCTTCAACTTCATGCCTGCCTTAGAAAGGCTCAGTTTATTCTGAACACTCTCTCTCCCGTTTTCAGGTGACAAGTTTGGAAAAAAGAATGGAGTCATTATTAAATAAACTAGCTGTGATCAGTCATGATATAACAACACTTTGCTCTTTAATTTTCAAAGCTCTTGATAAAACATTATTGTATTTTAATCCTCCTACAAACCTGGGACTAATTCTTTTTATTGAGCTAAGTCTTTTCTCCACAGAAGGAGAAACAGACTTTGAGACCCTCAAAGAGTGGTCAACAAGGCAACTTAGGTGGGGCCAGGTTTGGCTGCCTAATCTGTGACACCTGATTAGTATTATTGCACCTCATCAACAGCTTCCAAGGTTCCTGGCAATGCTAGAAACACATCATCCATCAATGTAGGAATAGTTAATACATTATATTAGAAATATAATAGAAAACCATGCAGCCATTTGAAAGAATGAGCTAGAATGTAGCACTGACACGGGAACAAGTCAGTCTATGCTGTGTTGTGAAAAAAAAAAATCAAGCAATAAAACAAAGGGACAGCATGATTCAACTTCAGTTTTGGAAAATATTTCTGTGTTTTAAATGTTTTTGCAAGAAGATCTTCAAAGTTTCTCACAAAAAGCCAAAGTGAATCTGGGATTCTGCCTGCAGTAGAAAGCATGACTGGTTTGGGGAGGCTGAGGTAAAGGAATAGCAGTTTCAACTTTTTTGAGTGATAGAATAATAGCACGAAGTCCCTCTCGCCCCTGGCCTCCAATGTAACCAGCCAGCATGATCTGAGTTAGGATGCTTTGCAGGCCCTCCCAGTGTGCTCATTGAGTCATGATCATAATTTTAAATAAATAAACCTACTTTTGTTGAGCCTGACAGGGTGCTGGGAGCTCTAACTCATTCCCTCTTTTGTTCTTTGCCACTACTCTGCAAGAGAGGCATTAACATGAAAAATAGTAGCTCCTCTGCATAAATGCTGGCTAGCAGGACAAAAGGGGAAGACCCGCACATTTACAGGTTCTTCTAAAGGCAGGAGCTGATATTGAGTGTGCACTGTTAGACCGTGTCCCTACACTACAAAGTAGGGATCATCATCTTATTTTACATGAAGGAAACTGGGGCTCAGTAAAGAAGTACCCAGAGCCATCCCTCCAGCTAAGTGCAGAATCAAACCCCATATCTGACACTGTAGTCAAGAGAGACAGTCAAAAGGGAATGAGTCCTTGGTTGTAGCTCCAGCTGAACTTAGCTACATGGAATATTCAGCACCTGTGTGCATGCATGTGTGATTGTGTGTGAGTGCATGTATGTGCAGTGTGTGTGCCTGCACACCCATATGCATATTACCCACTCTCAGTAGGACAGGGAAACAATACTTGTTGTCTCATGCTAGTGCCACAAGCTAAACCTTTTCATCGCACCTAATCACACCAAAAAAGTCCTGTCTGCCCTCCTTCCAGCCCTCAACCTGCCCCACATCACTTCATACGACTTTACTGGGGATACTCAGGAAGCTGCTTGAGCCCCAAGAGACCTCCTGGGGAGAGTTTCTGGTACCTGGACAGAGCTCCCTTCCCATTTTTCTCTCCAGGATTCTTCTGGAATGTCCACTTTTTCCTGTTGCAGAATTGGGGGCATATGCAGAAATCAGGTGAAGGAGGAAAAGGGTTATGAAACTGATAAAGACTCCTTCCCATCTTTTTTCTGACATGTGCTCTGGGAAGAGGGAAACCTTCCAGCCTGGCGAAGACGTTGTTATTGAGCTCACTTCCCTACCCACAGAAGCTGCCCCCTTCTAAGGGGCTGTTCATGGGCTCAAATGAGGGCTGGCCTGGGGATATTTCATTATGAGACACAGAAGCACAGGATTTGAGCTAAATCCATTAAAAAGGAAAATGGGACTTCGATGTGTGTAGGTGAGTGCTGGGGTGGCTGACACACGTCACTGACGTCTTCAAGGTTGAAGTTTCATCTGGAAAACGCCCTTGGTACTCTCCCCAGGGTTCTGTATGCACCCAACTCTAATTTAAACTGCAACATGATACAACAGATGGAAACAGAGAAAGTTGAAATAAGCCTTTTGGAACTTGTAGCTGCACAAAGCCATTGTACATGAAAAGTACAGAGAAAACAACTGGAATCATTTCAGGCTTTGAAAACTTATAATTACAGGTGAGTGGCTATTATGTTATTGGAACAGCCATTATAACGGAAAGGTACAATTTCAGATAATATATGTGAGGACATTAATATACCATCAGATTTTTACAGCACAAGTATCACAATGCATCCAATTTCAAATTAAAGGTTACCTTCCTGGGTCTTTTTTTCCCTGGATTCTCTACCTCTATTTTTAAGTAGAGCATTCATGTGAAATAATGGCATCATTTCTCAAAAAAAAAAAACACAATAATTTTTGGTTGCGCACTTTTTACTATTATTAAAAAGCTTCCAGGTCTTTAACACTGTAGGAAAATAACAAAAATCAAAATCACCCATCAGTACATTCTCTACATGACTGTCACCTCTGAGTTACTTATGCTAATTGAATAGAACTATGACATGGAAAATCAAGATGGAAGCAAATCTAGAAATTACCTTTATTTACACCTAGAATTTAAATTTAAATGTGCATGCATTTGACCTTGGAGGTCTCCAGACACTGGATTAAGAAACTCAGCAAGGACTGCAGAAAACCGAGAGACATGAGCCATAGAAAGTACCATTCAAATTCTGTCCGGAACTCTATCACCTTGCTGTTGGGTGACATTTCCAGCATCCCTGACCCTCTGCACCCTTATGAGTCCTGTGTAGTATGTGATCCAGAGGATGATTGTGATGGAAAGAAAGGTACCCACAGACAGAGATGAAGGACCAGGAAGAGGCACAAAGACACATGCATGGAGTCCTTTCCACAGAAGGGGCAGTTTCCTTTGACCTCTGAGCTGTCTGCTGTTCAGACTATAAAGGAGTAAAGTTCTCAGTGTAAGAGCCCATGGGAAAACTCTTTTGGCCATCCCCACAGGGATTTTTGTGCCTTCCTCGTCCTTCTCAGCCACCCTAGGATCTCTAGCTGAGTGGTTACCTGTCCATTTGTGGGAGTAACTGAAAACAAATAGTAGCAACACAACACTCGCCTAAATCCTTATTTTGAGTCTGAGTGAACTGTAGGTCCATTATCTAGGTGTTCATCCTCTTGGCAGGCTCACTTCCCAGGTTGTTGTATGGAAATCCAGCTCAGTTCAATGCCGCACCTGGTATAAATTCCTGATACAAGTTAGTTTCACCATCTAAGAGGATTGCACGTTTCCATCCTCCAACTTCCCTGTTCAAAATTCCAAACAACATAACATGAGTTTCCATGATCATGCAAACACCAGCCTGAGTTAAGCTATCTTCTCCTTTTGCATTTATTTTCCATGTTTTCTTGGTTCTTGAAAGGATTTAATGATTTGCTACAGGGCAGCCTTCTCAGAGAGACTGATGGGCTGTAGGTTATTGGAAAGAGTGACATAGGACTGTGGCAACAACAGATTTTATTACATAAGCCACACTGATAGGAATCTGACCTAAATAAAAGAGAAAAGGGGGTTGAGAATATGGCCTTTTGTGATTTTAAGATGCAAGTTTATTGCAATGCATTATGTTTTCTGTATGAAATTAAATACGAAAAGGCCCAATTTATGATAATCTAAATGTTCTTTCTGTGAAAATTGACTTATGTCCAGATATACAAAATAATTCTGAAAACAGTATTAAAATTGCATTGTGGATAGTTTGTTGGAACTCTATGAAGGGGCTGCACAGTGACGAGCATATTCCCATGAGTAAGAACACCTTAGATATATGGATGCTCCTCAACTTCTGAATGGGTTACATCCCATAAACCCACCATAAGAAGAAAATGAAGTGTGTTAAAGATGCATTCAATACTTCAATGAAGCCATTGTAGAGTCAAATAATAGTAAGCTGAACCAATTGTGGTACATATGCTCCCTGACTTACGATGGCGTTACCTTCCAATAAACTCTTAGTAAAGTTGAAAAATTGTAAGTCCAGCCATGGTAAGTCAGGGACAATTTGTACCAATAAATAAAGATCAAAGTCAGAAAAAATAGCAGCCTATAAAAAAGCAACTTAGAAAATCTCTATGAAAACCTTGCTGTAGATACTGGCTACGGAGAACATGACACAGATTGGGGCCACATATCAGCAGGCATGTTTGCTAGTTGATGTCAGGATAATTTTGGTGAATATGTCAATCACATTTTTATTGCAAAATAATCACATATAATGTAGAAAATATAGATGCAAAACAAAAATGTTACATGTCACCTACAATATGACACAGATGTTAATTTTCAATACTAAATGACAGCATGGAAAAGAAAAAACATTTTGAACAAAATATTTGACATGTGTGTACATAGTAGGCAACATGTCCAAGGAGAAACTAGTTCTGTACTTGTGCCAATTGTACAGGTTCTGATAAGAAAGCCCAGGCACTCAGTGATTCATTCCTGCATCTTATGCACTTTCTCTGTGTCAGACGCCCTGGGACAGAGAAATAGAAAGTAATCAACAGGACCCTGAGCTCCGGGCTGGAGTCAGCAATGCCTCTCCTTTCTCTGCCACCACCTTCTCCCACTCACTCTCACCCCCAGGAGGGAGCAGCTGACAGAATTCCTTAACTAGTGTGAACACTTCAAGGATGTTTATTAAACTAACCCTAAAAATTTTAAACAGTTGATAGATTATAAAGACATAAGTACAAAGTTTAACAGTACTGTAGAACCAAGAAACTTATTCTTGTCCAGACATATATATTCAACTTGAGAGAAGTTTGTTCTCAAAACCTTTAAAAAGGAGAGTCTGTTTCCTAGCCATCGCCATATAAAAATAATCTGTAGAAGTGGCAAAGATTGTTCACGAGGTCCCACGGTGTCAATTCACATACTCTTTAAACAAGGACTTACATTCACACATGGTATCTATTTTCAGAACACATTTAATAGGCAATATGACAAAGGTACAGAAATACTTTCAAAGCGTGTACACTCATAATGTACAAATGACTGTGGTGTAAATTAGCTGAATTATTCATTGAGTTGCAGTGCCAGGCAAAATTATCGGGACAAGTTTAGTTCATTTTTCAAAACCAAAAATTGTCAGTTCCTTATGATGCCTGAGGACACACTACATCCATGTCTATATAATGCTAAAGCATTTGTGGGAAAAATAAACTATTCAGCCAGTCATCTCCCATGTTTCTCTATTGAGGTCAAAGTTAGCTGGATGAAGACTTTGAACAAAAACATCCAGTTGATTGACTACGGTGTTAAGGTGAAACCTGGAAAATAAAATGAGTTTTTCATAGTTTTGCAGGATATAAGTCAAATTTCTTGATTTTATACATGAGAAAAGAGGCCAAGAGAAACTGGACAACTTACCTAAGCAAAGAGCGTTTCTGATGACTAGAAGGGCCAAGCAATACCACGAAAGTTGTAAGGTAAGAGCAGCTTCCTTACCTGGACAGATCACCACCCTCTCTTTGCTTCAGGTCTTCTTGATAAAGGGAAAACCTGTGGTTTGGGATAAGAAGTTTAATCAAAGTGAAAACTAGGTCCTCTTTCAAAAAATATCCCAGTAAACTCTTTGCAATTAGTGTTGTTCATGTTGCAATGGAAGCAACATCTGGCAGGGTGGCAGCTCAAGGAAGAGGGGCTCAACCTCATCCTGAGTTTTTGGGTGTGAAGCATGTGAAGGCTTCGTACACAGCCAGCCCTAACACTCTTCCCTTTCTAATTCGCATCCTGGGATTAGTGGTCCACAGGACCCTGTAAGGGTGTTTGTGAGAAGTCTGAACTGAACCGGAGTGTGGTCAGTGGTCTTTGAAGATGGGCTCCAACAACTGCTCCCTCCTCTGTGTGTGAATGCTCCTCCTTTGTCAAGGAATTATGTTTATTTTCCATTCGTTTACATAGGGGTTGAACTTGTGAGTTGTTGGACAGGTGCAGGTTTTAGGTCTAGCCCTTAACAGGACTGAAAGCATTTGCTTTTACTCTCTTGGGCCCCTGTCACTACTGTCTAAGGAAGCAAGTAGAAACTGTTAAGAGTGAGCTCTTACACAACACCAATGGCTAGGCATGTGAGAGAGGCTGTTCTGAAAGTGCCAGACCCAACCAGGCCTTCAGCTGAAGGTGGACGCAAGAGCAATCCCAGCTGACACCAAGTGGAGCAGAAGATCTGCTCAGCTCAGCTCAGCAAACCCACAAAATCCTGAGAAATAACAAGCTGCTGTTGCTTTACTTGCTAAGCTTCACATTTATGTAGAGTAGATAGCAAGAAGTATCCAGGCCGCAGGACATAACACACATGTAATGTTGTGAGTTATCACAAGAGCCAAGTTTTACTAGGGCTTCTTATTCAGAGTTTCCATGTCACATGAAAATCAGAAGCAGGGATTGACCCTAACTAAGCTGCAAACCTACTGAAAGGAGGGAAAGGAAAGGACATCATGGAAGCTAGGATGCTCCCTCATGTAACAGAAATAGAGATAAGACTCATGGCAGGGGATGGTATAAGGAGAACAAAAGAGGAAAGACCAATTAAACAATGACAGGCACATCTGGATTCTGTCTTTTTGATACTACAGATAATTCCAAATCAATGAAAACTTCCAGCTGGCTCCCTGCTTCTCACCATATTTTACCAGAAAGTAGCTAGCATGAATATCAAAATCGGTCATGTATACCTTTTGGAATCTGAGCCCCAAGGAGGGAGAGAAAGATTGGCAGCACATGCATCATCAACACTAACTCATGAAAAATATAGTCTTGTCCATACCCATACCACCCTGAACATGCCCAGTCTCTTCCCATAAGTATAATCTTGTGGCACTCCTCCATCTTGCTTTCCTTGACCCGTTTTGAAGAGCAGTTGGGTTTGTCCTGTGAGACAATGAAGTAAGATTGTCCTGCACATATGTGTGCTTTCTTATGTTAAGTAGTATTTGTCCACAGCATACAATATATGCCATGGCTCCAATGATGCTCCCTTGCTCGTGGTGTCCTTTTGCAGCTGACTGATTATATAGCTGACCAAATTTTACGATGGTTAATTATGCAAGTTTCAGACAGCTAAGAATGATATTGAAACGTGATCTATGCCAAGCTTAATGTTCCATTTCATAGCAATTTAAATGGAACAAAAATGATATGCTCATAGTCCCAATAATCTTGAACTCTCTGCTATCCTACAATGTGACAGAAATTTCTAATCAGTAAGCAATGAGCAGATGAATTCATCAAATTAAACCCCAGAAACTCGCAGAACTAAGCCCTCCTTCCTTGAACACAATGAGCAATGGAAACACCATTTGTCCTTCATCAAGGGGGCAGGAAAACCAGAAGACACACGTGCATGTCCACAGAAGCTTTGAGTAGAGAAGATAACAGGATGGAGATTCAGCCTTTGATTCTTTCCACTTTTATGCAGTGATTTAGTGTCTGCCTTGTGTTATAAGGGCTGTGGGGAGCTGTGGACAGAGAAGAAACAATGAGAATTCTATTGATTGAGTACTGTCTCTACCTTGGAAGTTTTCACCAATTGAGGGTGGCCATTTAGGGAGCTAACCATGAAATGGCTGCCAAATTCTGTAATTCAGTTCAGAAAATGAATCTTTTCTAATTATGTAGCCAATTTAGTATTGGCACTGAGAATTTTTTTAGGTCTAAAAGGTATGGACATTTCAAACATTTACAATCCAGTGTGATACACACATAAGGTAGGTGACACAGAGTGCGAAAGGAGCTGAGGAAGGGAATCCAAAGAAGCCTGTAGAGGTCTACACATTCTCCCTCTTTTGTTCTGAGTCTTGAAAGAAGCATTGGAAGTTCTGAGTAGAGAATGAAGTAAGGATACTGTGGGTAGAGACAATAACGGATGAAAAGGCATGTTGCGTGCAGGCCGGCAACTGATTCCATGTGACTATCACATAAAATGAGCTTGGGTTTAGTGAGATATGAGTCTCAGAAAACCTTGTTATGAAGCTGACTACAAAAGGACTTGAATACTATAATATACAGTTTAGAAAGTATGGAAAAAAGCAATAAAGGGATAAATCAATGAAATCTAACAGACATATGTAGAACATTCCACTCAACAACAACAGAAAGTACATTCAATTGCATGTGGATCATTCTCCAGGATAGACCATATGTTAGGCCACAGGTTAAGTATCAATGTATTTTTAAAAATAGATATCATGCAAAGTATCTTCTCCAATGACAACAGGATAAAGTTAGAAATCAATAACAGAAGAAAACCAGAAAATTTATAAATTTGTGGAAATTAAAAGTACACTTTCAAAAAGCCAGTGGATCAAAGAAAAATCAAAATGGAAATAAAATATCTTGAGACAAGACAATAATAGTGAAAAACACAACCTACTAAAACTGTGAGATGCAATGAAAGGAAAGGGAAGGGGGAGATTTACAGTTATAAACCATTACATTAAAAAAGAAGAAAGATCTCAAATCAACAATTTAACTGATAAAGAACAAACTAAAGCCAAAGCCAGTAGGAGGGAAAAAATAAAAATTGGAACAGAGATAAATGAAATAGAAAATGAAGAACAATAGAGAAAATCAACAAAACCAATAGTTGTTTTGAAAAAAATTCACAACAATGGACAAATCTTTAGCTAAATGGACTAAGAAAAGGAGAAGGCTAACATTACTGAAATCAGAAATGAAAGTGGGAACATCCCTACCAATGGTACAGCAAAAACAAAAACAAACAAAAAAAAAAGGTTATAAGAGTACTGTGAACATATGTACACTAATCAGTTGGGTAACCTAAATGAAATGGATAAATCACTAGTGACACAAAACTGGCCAAGATTTAATTATGAAGAAATAGAAGTCCATAACTAATATAGAGATTAAATAAAGAATCAACATCTAACAAAATAAAGCCCCAGACCTGATGGCTCCACTGGTGAGTTCTACCAAACATTTCACAAAGAACTAATACCAAACCCTTGCAAACTTTTCCAAAAAATTGAGAGGAAAGATCATTTCCTAACTCCATGAGGCCAGCATGACTCTGAAAACACAGGCAGACAAAGACTACAGACTAATATCTCTTATGAATATTGATGCAATAATTCTCAACAAAATACTACAAACCAAATTCAACAGCACATTAAAGAGATTATAACCCATGACAAGTGATATTTGTAAGAATGTTTCAACATATGAAAATCAATCAATGTAATATACCCCATTAACAAAATTGAAGGAGGAACTGATTATCACAACTGATGCAGAAAAAGCATTTGACAAAAATCCACATCCTTTCATGATAAAAACACTCAACAACTAGAAAAAAAAGAAAAACTACTTTAACATAATAGACATAACACATAAAAAGCCCACAGCAAACATACTCAATAGTGAATGACTGAAATCTTTTCATCTAAGCTAGAGAAAAAGGAAAAAATGCCCACTTTCATGACATATGTTCATCATAGTACTAGAAGTTTTAGCCAAAGCAATCAGACAAGAAAAAAGAAATAAAATACATCCAAATTTGGAAAGGAAAAAGTCAAATTACCTCTGCTCACAGATGACATGATCATATATATAGAAAACCCTAAAGCTTTTACAAAATACCTGCTAGAACTAATAAACAAATTTAGCAGTGAAATAGGATTACAAATGGATATGCAAAAATCAGTTGGATTTCTATACATAACAATGAACAATCTGAAAATAAAATTAAGAAAACAATTCAATTTCCAAGAGCATCAAAAATAAAATACTCATATTAACTTAACTAAAGAAGTTAATGATGTGTATGATAAAAATTCTAGGCCAGGCGCAGTGGCTCACACCTGCAACCCTAGCATCTTGGGAGGCTGAGGTGGGCAGATCACAAGATCAGGAGTTCAAGACCAGCCTGGCCAATATGGTGAAACTCTGTCTCTACTAAAAATACAAAAAAATTAGCCAGGCATGGTGGCACATGTCTATAATCCCAGCTACTCAGGAGGCTGAGGCAGAAGAATTGCTTGAACCCAGGAGGCAGAGGTTGCAGTGAACCAAGATCATGCCACTGCACTCCAGCCTGTGTAACAGAGCAAGACTCTGTCTCAAAAAAAAAAATATATATATATATACAACATTGCTGAAATAAATTAAAGACATGAATAAATGGAAAGATTCATGTTCATAGATTGGACCACTCAATATTGTTAAGATGTCAATATAACCCAAAGTGATTGAGAAATTTAATGCAGTCACTAACAAAATCACAAGTTTTGGTAGAAATAGAAAAACCCATCCTAAAATGTATATAGAATCCCAAGGGGTCTCAAGCAGCCAAGTAAATCTTGATTCAAAAAAAAAAAAGCTGGAGGACTCATGTATGCTGATTTCAAAACTTACTACAAAGCTACAGGAATCAAAACTGTGTTGTACTGGTATTAAGACAGTATCCAAATTAAGACATTAAGTGTCCCTTAAGACATGTAGACGAATGGAACAAAACAGAGAGCCCAGAAATAAACCCTTGTGTATATAGTCAAATGATTTTCAGCAAGAGTGCCAAGACCATTCAATGTGGAAAGAAGATTCACCTCTTTTTAACAAAATGGTCCTGGGAAAACTGGATACCCAAATGCAAAATTAATGTGGGCACCAGATATAAAAGTGGTGCCATATATAAAAATCAACTCAAAATGGATCAAAGATCTACATATAAGGGCTAAAACTATAAAACTCTTAAAAGAAAACATAGGATAAAATCTTCATGACATTAGATTTGGTAATGATTTCTTGGGTATGACACTAAAGACACAGGCAATAAAGAAAAATTAGAAATTGGATTTCATAAAAATTTTAAAATTTTATGCATCAAAAGACCCTATTAACAAAGTAAAAAGGCAATTCACAGAATTGGAGAAAATATTTGACAATCTCATATCTGATAAAAGCTTAATATCTAGAATATATAGAGAATTCCTAAAGCTCAATTACAAAAAAAACTTATCCGAAAAATGGGCAAAGGACTTGAATAGATATTTCTCCAAGACAGATATACAAATGACCAGTAACTACCCGAAAAGATCTTCAACATCACTAGTTATAATGGAAAATGGAAATCAAACCACGATGAGATACAACCTCACACTCATTAGACTATTATCAAAAATAAAAAACTAAATAAGTAACAGAAAATAACAAGTGTTAGCAAGAATGTAGAGAAATTGAAACCCTTGAGCACTGTTGGTGGGAAGGTAAACTGGTGCAGCAGCTGCGGAAAACAGCGTGGCAGTTCTTGAAAATATTAAATATAGAATTACCATACAATCCAGAAATTCTACTTCTAGGTATATACCCAAGAGGAATGAAAGCACGGACCCAAATATCTGTATACTCATGTTCATAGCAGCATTATTTGCAATAGTCAAAATATGGAAGCAACCTCTCAGGTCCACCTATGGATGATAGAATAATTGAAATGTACTCTACACATACAATGGAATATTATTCACCCATCAAAAGGAAGAAATCCTTATATATGTGTCTTGGTCTGCTTGCGCTGCTATGACAAAATACCAAAAACTGGTAATTATTAATGAACAGAAATTTATTTCTTATAGTTCTGGGAGCTATAAGTCCAAGATCAAGATGCCAGCAGATTCAGCATCTGGTTCAGGGTGGCTCTCTACTTCCAAGAGGAGGCCTTATTGCTGCAGCCTCCAGAAGGGAGGAGCACTGTGTTCTTACATGGCAAAAGGAAGAAGGGCAAAAGGGGGACAAACTCCTTCATGAAGTCCTTTTATAAGGGCACCTAATCTCACTCATGATGGAAGAGCTCTCTTGATCTAATCACCACCTAAAACCCCCACCTCTTAATAGTACCACATTGATAACACCTGGATTTTCAAGGTGACCCATTCAAATCACAGCAATGTGCCACAACAGGGATGAACCTTAAGACATTAAACCAAGTGAAATAAACCAGTCACAAAAAGACAACGTGTGACTCCACTTATATGAGATATCCAGAATAGTCAAACTCACAGAGACAAAAAGTTAAATGGTGGTTGCCAGGTTCTGAGGGGAGAGAGAAGTGGGGAATTGTTTAATGAGTACGAAGTTTCGGTTTTGAAGGATGGAAAGCATTCTAGAGATGAGTGGTGGTGATGGTTGCACAACCATGTGAATGGACTCAGTACCCCAGAACTGTGCACTCAGAATGGTCATTTTGTTATGCGTATCCTGCCACAATAACAAAAATGTGTTATTTAAAAAATGAGCAATGGAGAAGAAATGGGGAGTTTTTAAGCAAATAATGACATTATTTTTTCTGTATTTTAGGAAGCTTATTTAATCACCACCATGGAGAACACCATGAAAGAAAGTAAAACAGGAAATGTTGGACGAATGCATAAATGAAGACCTGGACTAAGACCCTATGTTTTCAAGAGAGGAGACGACATGCCCAGGAGTCCTTTGTGTGGTATCATCAGTAGGAATTTGTGACCAACTCAAGACGGGTGACAGAAGCAGATGGTAAACTGTGGGACCCTGTCTTCTCATAACTTGAGTGGAAGGCAGCAGCATCACCATGGCAGAGAAAACAGGAAAAGCAGCTGAGAAAGACGAGGTGGAGTTCAGGGCTTTACACAAACTGAAGGGATATCACCCAGATGAAACTCTCCACTCAGATTCTGGTGTTGGGTATGTTAGTGCCATGGACTGAATGTTTGTGTCCCCTCACAAATTCACATGTTGAAACCCTCACTTCCCATGTGACGGTATTAGGATGTGGGGCCTTTGGGAAGTGATTAGGTCACAAAGATGGAGCCCCCATGATGTGATTAGCATCCTTTTAGAAGACATTGCAGAACTCCCTGGAGTACTTCCTCTGTTTCTCACAGTCTCTTTCTCTCTCTGCCGTGTGAGGATAGAAGGAGAAGGCAGCCATTTCCAAACCCGGAAGAAGGGCTTCGCCAGACACTGGATCTGCAGGACCTTGACCCTGGCTTCCCAGCCTTTGGAACCGTGAGAAATGGATTTTCCAGCCCAACCTGAAAAAAACACTTAGTCTCATTCTCAGAAATGTCTTGGTTTGAGATACATATTTGAGAATTATGAGCGAATAGACAGTAAAGATCTGAATATGAAAAAAGTGGCTGAGAGAAGCCCGGTGACTTACCCAAGATGGCCCACAGAAGCCAGAAGGTTTACATCATCTCTGGAACACAAATCTCCTACTAAAATGTTTCTTCTATATTCACTTGCATTAAATCATTAATTTTATGTAAAATAATGACCATTACTTGTCTATAATTATTATTTTTAGTAGTACACATCTGCAAGTCATGACAGTTTTGCACAAGAAAACAAAGCTTGTGAGAGGCAAGAGCTATGACCTCAATTTTATAGAGAAAATATTCTATTAACCTCCGCAGATACTGCATGTTTGGGGCTAGCTCAACAATCTTATGACATGTGCTCAGGAGGAAATATAGACCTGGGTAATTTTCCTGCATGACTTCAGCATATAATAGCTGTAACAGTCGCTTATTAGAAACACCTACTTCTATGAAAAGGGTGGGAACTGCAAGAATCTTAACTGTATCTATGATGAGGAGTATAGGCCACCTGGAAGCACAGTTATTGTGGAATATATTTCCATTCTAACAAAACCTTTGATTCTGGATCTTAGCATCAAGCTTTAGTGTGTTTTTCTTAGCAGAAACTATCACGTAGTAAGCAGTCAGCAAATACTCATAGATGATCATGGATGATGCTAATATTGGAAATGTTTATTGTTGATTGCCATGGTAAGGTAGTGAGTTTCTTTTTTGAATTGGAATTTGGACTGTTGAGTAGCTGCTAAATATTATTAGAGCCAACCAGTAGAAGGTGAGTGACGGAGGAAAATAAGCAAGACACGCCCATCACCATGGCTTCCACAGTTTTAGGAATCGTCTCTGAGCATTGAGATGCAGAATTGGCAGGTGATGTTAGCAAATACTATTGGTGGAGAGTCACCTCCCGCAGTTGTTCGCTGGGTTTTTATGCAGGAATCAGGACCTCATTGAGAATGTCAGGCACAGCTTCCCAGAGAAAAGACCAGTGTGGCAGGAGTGTCCACAAGAAAGGCTGCTGGAACTTGAGAGTCATAATATGGAAGGAAATGGAGAGGTACCTTTTCCCTCCCCCTCAGGCAGGGCTCCAATGCTGAGTCCTGCAGGGGAAGAGGTGCCCTTTGTCAGGACCACTCAAACTGGCCAGATGGCCTCTGTGCCCAAGGGTGGTGACTAATACTAATCAGGGTTCTCTAGAGGGACAGAACTAATAGGATACAGATAGAGATACAGATAGATATAGATATAGATATAGATATAAATATAGATGCAGATATAGATATAGATAAAGGGGAGTTTATTAAGTATTAACTCACCTGATCACAAGGTTCCACAACAGGCTGTCTGCAAGCAGAGGAGCAAGAAGAGCCAGTCTGAGTCCCAGAACTGAAGAATGTGGAGTCCGATGTTTGAGGGCAGGAAGCATCCAGCATGGGAGAAAGATGTAAGTTAGGAGGCTAGGCCCCTCTTTCCTTTTCACGTTTTTCTACCTGCTTTATATTCGCTGGCAGCTGATTAGATTGTGCCCACCAGATTAAGGGTGGATCTGCCTTCCCCCGCCCACTGACTCAAATGTTAATTTCTTTTGGCAACACCCTCACAGACACACTCAGGATCAATACTTTGTATCCTTCAATCCAATCAAGTTGACACTCAGTATTAACCATCACAGTGGTGTTTGACTTTCTGCATGTCATCCCCAGGAGATTGCCAGCCCTCTGCCCCCTAACATCTTTGCACAAAGATTAGGCTGGGCACAGTGGCTCATGCCTGCAATCCCAATGACTTGGAAGATCAAGGTGGGATGACTGCTTAAGGCCAAGAGTTCAAGACCCACCTGGGCAACATAGCAAAACCCTATCTCTACAAAATGTTTTTTTTTTTTTTAATTATCTGGGCATGGGGCACACACCTGTACTCTTAGCTACTTGGGAAGCTGAGACAGGAGGATTGCTTGAAGCCAGGAGTTCGAGGTTGCAGTGAGCCACATTAATGCCACAGAACTCCAGTCTGGACAACAGAGTGAGACCCTGTCTCTAAGAAAAAAAAAATTAAATTGGCAAGATAATATGTTCTCTGTTCTGGATTTTTTTAAAGAGACTCTCTTGCTATGTTGCCCAGGCTGCAGTGTGGCTATTCACAGGTACAATTCCTCTACTGATCAGCATGAAAGTTTTGACATGCTCCATTTCTGACCTGGGCTGCTTCACTCCTCCTTAGACAACCTGTTGGTCCCTCACTCCCAGGAGGTCACTGTATTGATGTGGAACTTAGTGTGGACACCTCATGGTCACAGTGCATGACAGCCCAGAACTCCTGGGCTCAAGCAATCCTCCCACTGGACTATGTGCACCCACCACTGCCCCGGGGGTGTTCTGGGATTTTTTTTAAAAAGAGAATCTTAACTTATAATTTACTTTTTAAAAAGTGAACGTTTGTAGTAGAAAAATCTTTGGTGATTGCAATCAACAAATATTCAAAGTCAATAATTTTAATTAATTTTTTAAACCTCAAATTTTCTGTCTCATTGAGGGGAAAGATTATACAATAGTATTTTACAAGGAATGTTGTACTTGCAATCATAGACTCTAAGCTGGAATTATGGTTCTGTCTCTTCTCTTCTGTGTGACCTAGAGTATAGGTTTCTTAACCTCATCTGTAATTTGGAGATAATTATTCATCCTTACCTAGTATTTAAAAACTAAAAACTATATAAATAAAAAGTGTTATCCTAGAGAGTGAAAGGATAGGCATAAAATAAACTGCTTTTTGCCTCTTCAGTATTCACAGTACTGAAAACATATATCTGAGGTACTTGCATAAAAGCACATACTTTAAATGAATATGCACAGTGTTGACTATGGAGATTATATGATCACTGAACTTCAGAGCTCAAGAAGGCCAGAAAAGTGATGTTTTCAAATACTTACAGTAATTAAGATCCCTATTGAAGAAGAATCTGGATCAGTTTTCACTTTTCTTTTTCAAGAAATGACAGATATGGTATGCAAAATATTTGATTTCTTTAAAAATAATGGAAACTTTAGGTGAATAGACTCTAGCTAGATGCAGATTTCTTAGCCAGAATCTGTGAGCAAATTACTCAGTGGTTGACAAATAAGACTAAACCTGGGACCAATGTCAGGTGACACAAACCAGTGATGTTGCATTTATCTTGATTGAAGTTTAGAATCATAGGAAAAGATGTATTCCTGGAGGCTCCCTGTCTAAAATAAAGCCATGGGGAGAGTTGTGGAAAATAATCCATACCCAGATTATAAGAACTAAGGATCCATTATTGAAAACAACTCACACAGGCAGAAATAAGTTACTGGCTGGAGGCAGTCAGTATATGCAAAATATTTTAGGGTAACCAACACAGATTCTGGTAGAAAAATTGTGGAGGGATAGAATGGAGTGATGGTGAGACTATTCACTAATAAAGCAAGACCAGTGTTTAGATGAATAGAGCTCCAGAGATTTTAGTTTCTTGGGGCAAAGTACAATATATACAAAATTAAGAAGTTAGAATTCTTTGCCAAATAGCTAAGTTTTTTAGTTTCTCATACTTTTAAACATTGCTTTTTATATCTTCCAATTTAAATAGAAATTTGGATTTATATATATATTAATTGCATTCAAAATAAATGGTGTGGATCTCTTATTTCTTGTTTTAACATGTATAAGATTCTTGGCTATAGAGTCTCCAATATATCACTGTCATTTGGTGCCAGACATACCAAATTTTAGATACCAAGCTCCTGGAGAATTATAATTTCTAGGGATTTTTCCCCATTATTCCACTTATTTCTCTCATCATCTGATACCTGTAAAGCCATCCTCTTTCATAACACTTATGACTTTCTACTGTATGGTACTTCTTTGCTCAACAACCAGACTCATCTAGGCTAGGCACTGAGATATGTGTAAAAGATTCATGGATAAGGACAGCAACGTCTTTCCCTCCCCAACAGCTTGTTGGGGGAGATGAATTTCTAAGCATATAATTAAAATTCCAGGGTAAAGATTACTATTATTTTCAAGATAATGATAAGTACTATGAAATACAGAGGAGAAGAGATAAAACTTTTCATTGTAGGGGGAGTAAAAATCAAAGTTGAGATGATAGCAATTATGCATCATGGTGAAAAATAAGTAGAGTTCATCAGAGCCTGGCAGGAGAAGCTGCACATGAACATAGCTAACACAGTTAAAGGGCATTGCCTGTTTAATCTTGGTAAGCACTGTGGTGTCATTTGAGCTAACTGGGTATTATCAAGAGCAAAAGGCATAAAACAAAGTTGGAAACATAGCTAAGTACAGTGCTAAGAAGACTGGAAATGGTGAGTTAAAAAAAAGGCATTTTAAAGAGAGTATTGATGAAATCAGAATTGTGTTTTTAAAAGATAACCCCTTAAAAGTGTGTAAAGAACGGATTGAGGGATTAATGGCTGGAGAAAAAATAAGCAAAACAGGAAACTATTGCAATAATAAGAGTGAGGTTTAGAGCCATTGGCAATAGTGAAAGAGACAGAATGGATTTGGCAAACATGATGTGTAGAATTGTAAAGAATGGAGGCAGAAAGAAGGTGAGGAAAGCTTCTGCGTTTCTCAAGAGGCAATTTGATGGGGAGTTGTGCTTTACTATCTCCTATGCAAGTCCAGGTCTGGGTAAGGTGAGTTAGATACTCACATTTGATGCACAGATCTATGAGTTAGACACTCACATTGATGCACAATCTAAAGAAGCACTAAAAATCTTAGTTATCAAGAGATATAATATTTTAATGTAATATTCAAAAAAAAATATCAATGTAAAAATCCAATATGAATGTATTAGAGTTTCAGAGAGAAAGAAAGAAAAGAGTTATTATGAAAAACTGGCAGATGATTATGGAGGCTGAAAAGTCCCAGGTTCTGTGGGGTGGGTCTGCCTGCAAGCTGGAGACCTCGGAGAGCTATGGTGTAGCTCCAGCCTGTGTCCAAAGGCCCGAAGACCAAGACATCTGATGGTGTAAGTTCTAGTCTAAAGGCTGGCAGGCTAACTACCCACGGATAACCAATGTTTTAGTTCAGATCTGAAGGCAGGAAAAGTGCTGATGTTCCAATCTGAGGCTATTAGGCAAGAGGAATGTCCTCTCACTTGGGGAAGGTCAGTCTTTTTGTACTACTCAGGCTTTCAAGCAATTGGATGAAGCGCACCCACATTAGAGAGAGCAATCTTCTGTACTTAGTCTACTAATTTAAACGTTAATCTCATCCCAAAACACCCCCAGAGAAGCACCCAGAATAGTATTTAGACAAATACCTGGGCACTTTGTGGCCCAGTTAAGTTAAGTTAAGATGGCCCATAAAACCAGTCATCATAATAAACAAAATATAAAAAAATTTTAAATAAAGCCTGGCTCAGTATTATTGATTTTCTTTTTGTCTCAGACTCCTATTTGGCTTGGCATGGCACTGCTCTTATGTCTTATAATATCTCCTACTTGGCACAATGTCACTTGAAGTGCCATTCCCCCAAGATTTGCAATGTGCCCTGTAAGGGTTCAATAAGTGTAGCTTTCAATGTTCCAAGAAAGGGTTCAATAAGTGTACATTTAACAAAGTAATGCAAGCCACTGTGTGTGGGAAAGAAAGATTTTTCCACCACAAGATAAATTTAATAGCAAACTCAGAATGCCTTTAAATATTCTTTAGGATGTATCATACAAAAATACATTTATGCTTTGTGGTTAATTTTTAACTCACAGTACTGGGTTTGGAAATGAGTGGAAGCTAATTATTTTCTTCTGTTTTCTATGGGTGTCATTTCAATAGCTGTAACCACGGGAATGGCAGTCTAGGATAATGGAAACAGAGTCTCGTCAGAATATTGCACATCCTATTGCATGTAAAAGAATGTTATACTGCTCCATAAATTAGAAAAGTAAGGTTCAAGGAGTTTAATTAGCTTAGTCTTGGCTGCATGCTTAGTAGGCAGTGGAAACATTACATGGCCATAGTTCTGTCCCACTCCCAACCTGATGATGTTTCCATTACTACCTCTGGGATAATCTTCTCAAATATGCCAAATACCCAGCATTGTTTTCTTGAAAAGTACATGTATTTACTTTCAAGAAGTCTAACACAGTAAACAACTAATTTCTAATTTTGATTTGCATACCTACACCAAAATGCAATAGAAGTTATGATTTTAAAATATACATCTGAATGCAAACCAAGTTCTTTTCCCAATAAATTAAATGTTACCAGATGTCAGCTTAAAATAACCAACTCTTCAATAGCATTGTTCCAATCAGGAAAAGGAACCATAGCAACATAATTATCAACTTACACAGTTCCTCACCCCTCCATTTTGATTCTGAAAGGCAATTTGGTTGAATTACTTGTTTATGTATTTTTTGCAACCTGGCTTTCTGTTCACATTAGCTTCTTATTCAAGTCAAATACCTCTTCCCCCAACCACATATATTCTGATGTGAAATCTAAACATCAAATCTGTCCTCTCAGTCCTTCCTCACATCTTTGACTGCTGACAGTCATCTCGTTAAGTGTTGACTCTTCACATGTAAATATGGAGACATAAATGTGTCAATTTAAAATTCTGGAATATCAACTGACATGTTTTCCTGCAGTATTTCCTGTTACCCTGTAGTAATGCCAACTTGGGAACTAGACCGTGAGGCATCCATTGCTTCCAGGAAATGCTTTTCCAAAATGGATGGTAAAGAACTGAATAAAACAGACAAATACTGGCTTTGAAGTTTTAAAACTTGAGGTCCAGGCATGAGACACAAAGGTCTGGATGTGACCCCTGCAAACCTGCCAGGGACTGACAAGGAGTGAGAATGCTGCAAAGGATTTCAGCTTAGAAAAGAGAGACAACGTCCCTATGCCCCAAGAAGGAACAACTGCCTAGAACCTAATGCCCTCAGCTGAAAGGCTGCGGCAGATGCCAGGAATGAGCCGTTACCAGACTTTACCCAATTAACTGAAATTACATCACCCGTACTAGTGGAAAGGGATTCAAAGTATTTTGAAACTAAATACGGAACAAATAAAGCTGCTTTTATTATATACCTAAACATATCTAACCTTATAACCTAGTATTTGAATCTCTAATAGTTAATACCCCTACTGTCGTTATGAAGATAAGTGAGATAAAAACTAAGGCTTCTTTAATTCTTGGGTGTCCACAATTCTGTCTCCCACTGTAGTTTATATTCACAACTGAAACTACCTCTTTATTAGCTGACTCATAACCCTTATACAGTGGCCAGAGTCACATTTCTAAAGTACACTAACTTATGCCTATCTTCCTTAAAATCATTCAAGGTAAAGAAAAATACTTAATTCCTGTCCCACTTCATGTCCTCATACTTGCCCATGTGCTGAGCAAGCTTCAAGACACTGAAATTCTTGCCATTGTCCTAATCCACAATTTCACACCTAGCTGCCTTTGTCAATCTCTTCTCTGTCTTCCTGCAGCACAAGCACACAGAAATCCCTCATTTACCCAGTGACTTTCTTCCATGTCTTATCATTTATCTCAAATATCATCTCCCATAAGAGTCAATGAAGAAAACCCCTTCCTCCAGGATGGACCTTAATCAGTGTCCCTGTGCTATCCTAGGATCAATGCTGTCTTCAATTATAAACTCTAAAACATTGTGTTGCTGGGGTTTTTTTTATTACTTTAATGACTCCTTTGCCAGATGATAAGCCTCATAAACATAAAGGACAAAATGTTAGCTATTCTTTTTTTACTTATTTTTATTTTTATAGACTTAAGGGGTACAGGTACAGTTGTGTTACATGAATGTATTGCACACTGGTGATGACTGGGCATTACCTCTACTTTTTGTTTTAGGCAAGTTACTGGGGTTAGAACAGATCACCTTAATCCCATCAGGGGTGCCTTGGCCTGAGGTCAGTTTTCAGACTTTTAAAGGCTCAACCTACCTCTCTTTCATCCCTGCTTCTAAGGTATAGTCCTCCAGGGGTCCCATGGTGTGGGGTTTGTACCAATGAACTTCTTCCCTGAGTTGGTCCTGAAACATAATTTTGCCTTTTAGAACCATGAGATTTTCAAAAGCTCCAGTTAGATGTTTTGCAGCCATCTGCTCAGTTTCTTAAATGTTTACCCACTGTAGATTAATAATCAGCAAATCTATATACAAGAAACAAGTTCAGAAGGTATCAAATTTACTCCTAATAAATATAAGAAAAATACATGTGAAAATTAGATTTAGATCCAATTCTCATTCATCAAATCAGTAAAACTTCCTGATGTTTGACAAAACTCATGATGAAGCTATGATGAAACAGGCATAGTCATATATTGTATAATATAATAAGTCTTATAGAGTATATTTTGGCAGTATCTATAAAAATCTCTCCCTCTCTCTCCCTCTCTCTCCCTCTCTCTCTCTCTCTCTCACACACACACACACACACACACACAAACACACCACAGAAACACTTTGAACCAGAAATCCACCTTCTAGGAATCTACCCAGATGGTATATTCTGTAAATATGAAGCATTATATGAACAAGGTCATGTTCTGTGTCACAGTTTACAAAGCAGAAGACAGGAAACAACTCAAATACCTTTAGTTAAGGAACTGCTTGTATATGTGGTATATTCACACAATGACATATCACTCAGCTGTAAGAAAAAATGAGCAAAATTTCTATGTATTGAAATAGAGATAGTCCCAGACTGTATTTTAAAGTGCACAGCAGTGATTATTGAATCCTTTCAGTGTTGTAGTAGAAATAAAAGTACAAATACACCTAGTGATGTATTTTTGCAAAAAGAAATTCTGGGTAAATGAAGAAGGAAATAGCATGGGAGTCAAAGTGGGGTGGAGGGTAAAGGGATGGGAATGAAACTTCTCTGAGTGTCTGAGTGTACCTTGTTTTGAATGCAATATTTTATGTGATCAAAAAATCACTTTAGATCAAAACGGAAAAAAGAAAACTAAAAAATTAAAAAAAGAACTGAAACAAATGAGTCTACATCTATGAACTTGGTAATATAATCACATAGAAAATAATTATTTCAAGCTGTTGTGTAACAGAATGCTCTGACTGCATATGTATACATTCTTAGAGGGATCTATTCAGGATACAAGGAAACGTGCAAAGAAAGCAAAGCCTCTTTTGGTGATTTTAATAGTAGCATTAATATTATAATTTTTAAAATATGCATATTGTGATGATTATGTAAAAATGGCAATTTGTGAAATACCCAGATTTTTCAGTGTAAGAAGGAGACAATATCAAAGAAATTCCACAAAATATACTACTTGGTTAAATTTTAATTGGAAATATGAATATGTATATATTATTTTTCTCACATAAATTATATATATGTATTTGTATATATATCATATATATATATATACATACACATATTTCCTAGCTCCATACAATGAACGTGGAAGCAATGTCATCCCAATATCAATCAATTCAGATCTTGGCTTCTAAATAATATTCCTTACTAACAGGAATCAAGCAAGAGAATTACAAGATAAACTTTGGATATTTTGGACCAGAAATCAAAGAAATGCTCCAAGAAACAAGTAAGTCCAAAGGATAATTTATTATCACCTACCTTCTCATATAACACAAAAGGCAATTGATAGCATGAACAATACAATTTTCTTGCCAAAAATATGTGATTTGAGTCTAATAAGGTCTTTAGGTTTAATTTCAAGTTTCTGGAAAATAAAGGAGATACAAGAAAAAAATAAATTACAGTCCAGGTAATTTACATACACAAAGAAAATAAAGCATATACAGCAAAATTTTAATAATTGTTGAAGCTAGATGGTAAGTAAATGGGTGTTTGTTTTATTATTTCTTCAACTTTTCTGCAGTTTTGAAACATTTTATAATAAACACTTGGAAAAAAAATTTCCTCCCATTGATTCTGTCTCACTGTAACTTGTGGTAGAAGCTGCTGGCTACTGCCTATGGGTTGAAAAAGTGAGAGACACACTGTGGCACCACAGATGCATCTGTTCTGACAGCAGAGAACTGGAAGTCCCATAGAGACAACCTTCTCTTTGTTCCAGCCCTGGGTAATCTTTTCACCATCTAGAGCAGGAGTGTCCAATCTTTCGGCTTCCCTGGGCCACCTTGGAAGAAGAATTGTCTTGGGCCACAAATAAAATACACTAATACTAATGACAGCTGATGAGCTAAAAAAAAAAAAATTGCAAAAAAACACCTCATAATGTTTTAAGAAAGTTTATGAATTTGTGTTGGGCCACATTCAGAGCTGTCCTGGGCCACATGAGGCCTACAGTCCATGGGTTGGACAAGCTTGATCTAGAGAGAAAGCATCCCAGCCCATGTTTCTGCATGGCCATGCTTCAATTGATCCTTGTCACTTTCAGGAGAAAAACCCAAACCTGGAACAGAAACACAATTTGGCCACTAGATTATACCTCTTTTCCATGTGGCCACAATCCCTACACCATGCTATAACCAATGGCTAAAATTCTCCCTCCTCCCTGAAATGCCCTGCTCCTCCACACAGTGATGTCTCTGCCCATGCTTGCTAATACGGTGAAAAGTCCTTTCCCATTCCCCAGAGATTATTCCTCTTTAACATTCAAAATTCACGGAGAATGTCTCTGCTTGATTCTGTGTACCTATTAGGTAGCACTGTCATTTGCATTTAACAACAAACTTATCTCTCTACTTTCTGGCATCTAGTATTAGGTCTGGCACATCAATGCCCATTGCTTTAATTCTGTTATATTCAACAAATATTTATCTAGTAGGTGGCAGACAAGCACCAGGCTAACGATTGGTGACTGTCAACAAAAATGAATGAGAAGATGGCCTCAAACCTGGCTCAGAAAATCACACTTGGAATCCTCATTACTGTAACTATAAATCAGAAAGTCAAATGCCTCACCATGGCATTTTGTGAGTACAGCAATGCTTCACTTCTTCAAACACTCACAGTTGCCACATCCATGATTTCTCAACTACATGTGAGATTCATATGCAGATGCCTCAAGTGTGGCAGCAAGCGATGATCTGAAATCAAGGCAATCAGGCAAAAATGGCATTCAGGCCGGGCGCCGTGGCTCCAGCCTGACCAACATGGTGAAACCCCGTCTCTACTAAAAATACAAAAAAATTAGCCAGGCGTGGTGGTGCACGCCTGTAATCCCAGCTACTCAGGAGTCTGAGGAAGGAGAATTGCTTGACCCGGGAGGCAGAGGTTACAGTGAGCTGAGATCGTGCCACTGAACTCCAGCCTGGGCGACAGAGACTGTCAAAAAAAAAAAAAAAAAAAAAAAAAAGAGGCATTCAAAGCCACTGCAATTGAATGTTGCTCTTCCAAAGAAAAGCCTTCCATCTTGTACCAATGCTGATTTGTTCAGATATAATGCTTCCTTTAAGAACACAGAAAATAAAAATGTGCTTATTCAGGGACACGGATGAAGCTGGAAGCCATCATCCTCAGCAAATTAACACAGGAACAGAAAATCAAACACTGCATGTTCTCACTCATAAGTGGGAGTTGAAGAATGAGAACACAGGGACACTGGGAGGGGAGCATCACGCACCAGGGCCTGTCAGGGGCTGGAGGGAAAGGGGAGGGAGAGCATTAGGACAAATACCTAGTGCATGCGGGGCTTAAAACCTAGATGATGGGTTGATAGGTGCAACAAACCACCATGGCACACGTATATCTATGTAACAAACCTGCACATGTATCCCAGAACTTAAAGTAAAGTAAAATATTTTTTTAAATGTGTTTATTATATCAACAAACACAATTGGCACTGAAATTCATAAATGTAACAATTTTTGGTCTTGTTTTTACAGCCATATTCCTTCCTTCCTGAAATGTCTTGGGCATAACAATTTTCATTGTTCTAACCAAGATATATTGAAATTTTAGAGCTATGTTTCACCTCACACTATCAAGCTGGCACTTTGCCAACTCATCGCCTCCCACTGATTTTTTTGGATGATCTCTTTGCACTATAGTACTGAAAGTGGTATGTAAGAAGGTCTTCTGTTGTCAGAGATAAGAGATGGAAAGGACAGGTACAAAAGACAAAAGTATTCAGTGAAAGTCTAAATTATTGTTTTTTACATGTGTTTATTTTGAATCAAAGCACCCAAAAGAACAAGTATTTTAAAGCACTACTGTTTGTAAAACATTGAGCTGGTATCCGTGAGACCTAATTAAAAAAAAAAAGAAAAGAAGAAGAAGGCATGTGCTCTGCCCCCTGCTCTCCCAGAAAACCACACATTAGTAGAACAAATAGGAATGTGACAGATAGATGATGACAGACAGCTAGATAGACAGGTGGATAAACAGGTGTATTGATAGATGTATGGATAGATAGACAGGTAGGTAGGTAGGTAGATAGATAGATAGATAGATAGATAGATAGATAGATAGATAGTACAGATATATGGACAGGTAGAAAAACGAATAAATGGATAGATAGCTCTGACACAGGCAGACCATAATAAAGGATTTAATACAAATAAGCTCTAGAAATAGAGAAAGAAATTATTAACTCAGCAAGGAGAAATCATGGAAGGCTTATGAGATTTTTTGTGCCTCTCTACATTCAATGTAACAAGATCTATGCTGTAGAAATAGTATAAACATAAAGAAGACGATTGTGATTAGGAACCTTGGTTTTGAAATACTTAGAGCCACCTGTTATTTTAGGGCTACTCACAGGCCAAATTTTGTTCCAGGCCACAACCTTGTTCAAAAGGTAAAATTCCAAAACATTGCAGAAAAACAGTTAACAGGAAATCAAATGTCACTCTCTAGTTTCAAAATAACAATGCAATTATCAGAAGCAATGAGGGAAAAGGGGGCTTTTGTGTCTAGCTTTGCTTTGCTTTGTTTTCCAATGATAGTACCAAAATGTAAAATACCCGAAAAGATGTGCCTAATTTCCATAACAGGACCCAAGAAACTGTGGAATTCAGTATTAAAACTAGAGATTTTAGATGCTCAAGCAAAGGTTTCTGTGAGAGTTTTTGTTTTGAGGTTGACCTAGTTTTTGCCACAGCCTCCCCAGCTCCCTCCCCCTCCCCGTTGAACCACCGGACTCTGAGGACAAGCCAGGCCATGCTGGGAAGCCTTAAGGAGAATTGGTACAGCACCAGAGAATGTGGTTAATAAGTCCATTTTCTTGCTGACCCCACTCTTTATAAATGAAACTCAAGCAGGTAACAGCAGGAAATTGAAGAGAGATTTCAAATTCTGAGGTCTGAGACACAGCCACACATACATCTAGTAGCCTAGCAGAGAAAAGGGCAAAGACAGAAACAGGATAATTTGGGGAGAAAAATCAGAATGGAGGCCCCAACTCTAATAAGCCATGTCTAGAGAACAATTCTTTCTTAGTCACCAACAAAAGAAAATTGTTCTTAATAAGATATTAAGAACAAAATAATAAAAAATACCAGGGTTTTTAATGACTAGCTCCAGCTTCGGCTCCTTAATCCTTCAAGGAAATCATCATTAAACTCATATTCCATATGAGAAACACTGAGGGGTAGAGTTTAAGTGATGCGCACAGCTGGAAAAGGTAGGACCAGGATTCAGTCTCAGATCTGACTCCAGCATTGCTGCCCTTTCTCTTGTGAAACTTTGACCCTTAAGAAGTTGTGTATGTGTGTGACCATGTGGATGCCTGTGCATGCATATGTGGAACTACTTGTATGTGCACATGTCCATACATATGTATTTCAGTCAGTGTATTATCATGTGAATATAAATCAAACTCCAGTTCAGCAATTTACAGAGCTATGCTGAAATTGCTATAGAATAATCAAAAGAGGCTCATATAAAGCCAAACTTCCTGTGTTTGCCACTGAGTAATTGTGCTATCTTGGACAAGTCCTTAAAATTCTTGGTGACTCAGTCTATATGCTGTAAAAAGAAGATAATATTAGTACCAATATTACTAGAATTTCTGATTACATGATTTTATGTATCTAAAGTGCTTAGAACTTTCCCTAGCCAATTATCATTGTTATAAAATTGTTAGCTATTGTTATTACTCATATGTTTCATTGGAAAGTGGTTTACTATTTCCTTCTTAATTTTTCATTGTTTCATTGTGTACAGCTTTCTTTTTTCCATAAAGGACTTCTAACAGGTTTTATAATCCAAAATTATCTAAAGCTATAAAGCATTCAACTATATTTCAGAATAGGAATCTCTGTTGTGTTGCCCGGAAGAAGACTTCCTCACAGTTGAACACAGACAGGACAACATGACCAACTGACATAGCACTATGAGGTTATGCTATTATGGGTTAATTTTCAATCAGCAAAAATGGGTGGCGGTCACAGGTAGAGAAAGGATTGTTCATGCAGGATCTTCAGTGGTCATTTGAGCCCATGTGCTCAGAATGTCTTCCCAAGGCTCTGGCCACACTCACAACTGACCCACAGCAGTTACAGGCCATTGAGTTGAGTTTCAACAATATAAATTCTCTCATATGTGTGGTTCCAGGGTCCAGTCTATCAACTTTTCTCTCTAGCTCATAAAGCCTTGCCAAACCTATTTTCTACTCAATTAACTATTTACTATTTTCAGTTTCTCAATAATCCAACACATTTCAACAGCTCAGTCTCAATATTTTTCCACATGTGCATTCAAACAGTGGGATTCCTGGCAATCTGAGAAGGATTTGCTGAAAACTCACAATAAATTGGGTCCGGCTTTTCAGCATTAAAATAAATCTCAGCCAGTAGAAAACCATATTCCAAGCAAAAGTGGGTTTTGTGATTTTCAGAATGAAAACCATTTTTACACAGAACAACCAGATCCAGGTGCTCAGAAGAATGCCATAAATTGACTGAGCAAAATGCCATGTAAATAAAGCCAGTTAATGCAGATACATTGTCCAATCTGTCACAAGCTCAACACCTGTCTCTTGTGGAAAGGCCTATTTGGTGCCCTCCACCACACCACACATGCAATGTACACACATAAATGCATGTGCTATTACACATGCATGCATGCATACACATGTGCACACACCAGTAAGGAAGGGACAATAGACCTTCCTAGGACATGCTCCTTGTACATAGTTTATTCTTTTCCCAGGTTACCTCTTAT
Source organism: Homo sapiens (assembly GCF_000001405.40). Taxonomy (NCBI): domain Eukaryota; kingdom Metazoa; phylum Chordata; class Mammalia; order Primates; family Hominidae; genus Homo; species Homo sapiens. Next base: position 51,703,884 of record NC_000007.14, on the reverse strand, counting down.
TCTCCCATCTGCTCTAAAGCAGTTGTACAAAAAGCCTCAAAAACAATTTTCACATTTTTCTCAGAGACAAAAGTTATTAGTAGGTTGGACCATATAAAATTGCCATTTTTGTAGCTAAAAGTAGCTAAAAACAAGCAATTTAATATGGTTCAACAGTATGTTGCTTACTTTTATTTATCAAAATATCATTTATATACAGCAAAATGCACAGCTATTAAACATTGATAAGTTTCACAAATGCATTACCTGTGTAGTTAAGATGCAAGTCAACATATAAAACATTTCCATCTTTTCATAAAACTTCCTTGTGCCTTTTTCCAGTCAACCTCCTGCCATCCACAACCACCTCTATGATTTTTATCAGCACAGATTAGGTTTGCTTGTTCTAGGCCTTCACATAAATAAAATAATGCTGATTCTTTCTTGTCTGGCTTTTTAATTCAGCATAATATTTCTGAGATTTGTTGACATTGCTGTACATGTTGGTAGTCATTCCTGCATGCTGCTGAGCAACGTTCTGTGGAATGAGCAAACCATAGCTTCTTTATGCTCCCATCAGCAGGTATCTAGATTGTATACAGTTTGAGGCTACTATGCAAAAAGAAAACAGAGAGTGCTATGAACATGCTTAAATGCATCTTTATGTAGACAAATGTCATCACTTTTCTTCAGAAAATATCTAGAGTTGGATTGTTATGTTTTTTAAAAACACTTCATTGACCAAAGCAGCTCATCAACTTTCCAAAGTAATTCTATATTCTCATGAGCATTATATTCAAGTTGCAAGTGCTGGACATATTCACCAACATTAAGTGTTATCGGTCTTCATCATTTTAGTCACTTTAGTGGCTATAAAGTGGTATCTAATTGCATTTCCTTCATGAAGAATGATATTGAGCACTATTCATGTTTATAGTGGCCATTTGTATTTCTTCTGGTAGTCCATTGAATTGAGATTCATAACATAGTTAATTGGTTTCTGCATGTGACTAGACTAGTAATGTGTATATTGTGTAAATTCAGGAACTGAAAGTGGGGGAATCCCTATTTCACACATGAAGTAAAAAAAATCAAAAGGGGGTCTGCAGAGCAAAAAATACAATAAAATAAAGTAGGAATCAGATGAGACACTAGCAATGCAGGGATGCTGAACTTCTCTTGTGTGCTAGGTTCCATTCCCGAGTTTCAGCTGTTTCACTGAATGTGCGTTCTGATCTGCAGTAAGCTTCCTTCCCTTGCTTAAGCAAGCTCAAATGGTTTCTGTTGTGTTCAGTCAAAAGCAACTTGAATAATGCCAAAATCGTCTGACTAATAAATTTTAAGTGTTTTGTAAATATTTGGAGTTATAGAAAGACCTCTTTTATTTAAAGGAAATTAAACCTATTAAAGTATTTAATTAAATATTAATTATTAAACCTATTAAACACATACCCACATACACACCTCAGTAGCTTTCTAATTATTTTTGAGAAAATATTCAAAGATGTCCCTTTGGTAAATTTTTGAGAAAAAAATAATTTATCTAAACATAAATATGATAAAAAATGAGGACGTTGAAAAATCTTTACAGTTTCTGTATGTGTGTATTTTAAAAAATATTTTATGTGTACTTGATAATTTTATTGTGCCATAGGAAAGTTTTGCAAACTTTGATTTTTATTTAATTTATCTACTTATCTTTCTTGTCTTATCATTTTCTTGTCTTATTGCATTAGCTACAATTTTCAATATGATGTTGAATATGAGTGGTGAGAGACGATGTCCTTGCCTTGTTCCCACTCTTAGGAAGGAATTACCTAGTTTCTCACCATCATATAGTTTTTCTTCTATGGTCTATTGATGTGATAAATTACAATAATTGATTTTTGAACACTGAACCAACCTTGCATACCTGGAACAAATCTCACTTATTCATGGTGTATAGCTCTCTGTATACATTCTTGAAACAAAATGTTAAAAAATTTTTGCATGTGGGTTTATGAGAGATATTAGTCTGTAGTTTTTCTTTCTTGTAATGTCTTTGTCTAGTGTTGGTATTAGGGTAATTCCAGCCTCATAGAATGAGTTAGAAAGTTTTCTGTCTGCTTTATTTATTTATTTTTCGTAGAGAATTAGTATCAATTCTTTCGTAAATGTTTGGTAGACTTCCACAATAAAAACATCTGGACCTGGTGCTTTGTTTTGAAAGGCTTATAATTTTTTAATTTAATCTATTTAATATATATAGCCTATTTAGATACTAGTAATCTATATTTTCTCTCTTTTTTCTTGGTCACCCTGGCTAGGATTTTATCAATTGTGTTGATATTTTCAGAAAACCAGCTTTTAGCTTTGTTGATTTTCTCTATTGTGTTTCTGTTTTTAATTCCATTTATTTCTGCTCTGATTTTTATTATTTATGTTCTTCTTACTTTGGATATAATTTACTCTCTTTTTTTCTAGCTTCCTAAGGTGGAAATTTAGATTATTGATTTTAGATCTTTCTTCTTCTCTAATTTAGGTATTCATTTCAATAAATTTCTCTCTAAGTACTGTTTTCACTGCATTCCATGAATTCTAATAGGTTGTATTTTCATTTAGTTCAAAACATTTCAAAATTTCTCGAGATTTATTTGATCCATATGTTATTTAGAAGTGTGTTTTCTTATCTTCCAGGATTTTCAGATTTTTCAATCTATCTTTTTGTTACTGATTTCTGCTTTAGTACTATTAAAGTCTGAGTGTTCTCTTTGTATGATTTCTGTTCTTTTAAATTTTGTTTGGGTTTGTTTTATGGCCCAGAATGTGGTCTATCTGAATGTTTTACATAAGCTTGAGAAGTATGTGTCTTCTGTTGTTGCTTGATGAATTAGTCTATAAATGTCAGTTAGGTCCAGTTGGTTTATGATAGTGATCAGTTCAGCTATGTCCTTACTGATTTTCCATTAGATTTGTCAATTGCAGATGGGGGTGTTGTGGTTTCCAACTGTAATAGTGAATTTGTCTATTTCTCCACGCAATCCTGTCAGTTATCCTCTATGTAAACTGATACTCTGTTATTCGACAGATTTGTTATGTCTTACTGGAAAAATGACACCCTTTATTATTACGTAATGCCCTTATTTATCCCTGATAATCTTATCTGCTCTGCCATCTGCTTTAACTGAAATTAATATACCTATTGCATCTTTCTTTTGATTAGTGTTAGCATCATACCTTTCTCCTTCTCTTTATATTTAGTCTATTTATGTCATTACATTTAGAGTATATTTCTTCAGACAACATACAGATGAATCTTATTTTTTAATCCTTTGTGGCAGTCTCTGTCTTTTAATCGGCACATTTAGATTATTGACCTTTTACAGTTGATATAGATTAATATATTTTTTAAAAGATTCTAATATAAAGTGTTGAAATAGATTAATATCTTCTATACATGTAACTGGGTTTTATACACTGGCTTGTTCTTTTTTCTTTTTAAGGGGGTAGTTGGGGGGTCTTCCATTCTTTTTCTGTCTTTTCTGGTTTTAATTGAGCCATCACTTTAAAGGATTCCATTTTCTCTCCTTAGCATATAAATTATACTTCTTTTTAAAATTTTCTTACTGGTAGACCTAGAGTTTGCAATATATATTTATGACCAATCCAAATCTACTTTCAAATAATACTATTCCACTTTACAAGTAGCGCAAGTATATTAGAACAAAGTATTCTCAACTCCTCTCTCCTATCCTTTGTAACATTGCTGTAATTCATTTTACTTATCCACATTATGGTTGCCAATATTGTTGCTATTATTATTTTGGATAAACTGTTATCTGTCAGATCAATTAAGAATAAGGAAACTACAAGATTTTCTTTTACCTCCATTTATTTCTTCTCTAACCCTTTTTTTCTTTATGTATATCTGAGTTTGTGACCTACACCATTTTCTTTTCCTCTGAAGAACTTCTTTTAACATTTTTTTTTTTTGCAGGGACAATCTGTTGGTGAGAAACTCCCTTAATTTTTCCTTGTGTGAGAATGTCTTTATTTCTCCTTCACTTTTAAAAGATAATTATTCTGGATACAGAATTCTAGGTTGATGGGTTTGGCACTTTTTTTTTCTTAACACTACAAATATTGTAGTCCCCTCTCTTCTTGTTTGCATTGTTTCTGAAGAGATGTTCAAGTTTCTATTGACATACCTTTAAGCTCACTGATTCCTTTCCTGGTTCTTTTTGCATGTTGTCCTTTTTTCCCTTTAGAATCCTTAGAATATGAATCATAGTTATTTTATATTCCTGGACTGATCATTCCAAAGACTCTGCCATATTTGAGTTTGGCAAAACTGATGCTTGGTTTGTCTCTGTTCTATGCTTTCTACCTGCTTTGAGAATTCCATGTAATTTTTTGTTGAAAGCTGTATATGACATTCTGGGAAGTAGGAAATGAGGTAGACAAGGCTTTAGTGTGTGTTTTGATGGTAATCTGGCTAGGAGTTAGGCTGCATTTACTGATTGCTGTAGCTGTGTTTTTATAGGCTAAAATCTCCTTAGGGCCTTTGTTTTTGTTACCATATCATCTTTGAGCGTCCCTAGAGACATTTTAAGTGGGACCTGAGGCTGCAGCTCATTTACTTGTAATCAAGTGTTACTGTTCATGAGAGCGGTGATGTGGTGGCAATGTGTGGTGGGAGGGGACTCGCATTCTAGGGTCCTCTATTAGGTCTCAGTCTTTTTAGTGAGTTTGAATTACCATCCCCTGTGTCAAAAGCTGGACATGGCAGGAGTTGCGTGTTTATCTTTCTCCAGGCAATTAGGCTTTGGTAAAACATAGTAGGTTAGTCTCATTTTAAATAATTTCCAGTGAGGGGAGGCCTTATTGAAGACAACAGAAAATCTAGGTGTATTTTAAAATAGTTTATTTTCCCCTCTCTCTACCTGGAGCTCCAGGGCATTTTTTTCAGATATTCACTGTGAGGACCTGGTAAGGATCCTGTAGATAAACTCACGAAAGTGGGTGGCCACTAAGACTGGGTCCCTTCCAAATGAACTCCCAACCTCGTCTACAGGCATTCCCTACCAACTCATCAGTCTTAAAATGATTCTACAGATTCAAGCTTCAGCGACTGCTTCTGCTCCTTCTCTTGTCTCCATGCTGTGATTTTCTGTATCTATCTGCCTGTCTCTCCAGTTTGCAGAGTAGGAGTTTGCCCTGTGACCTTAATTATCTGATAGATCTAGGTCAAGTTGCTGACTTTCTCTTTATTCAGTTTTTTTCCTTGGAACTGATGACTTCCAAGCACCTTCCATGTAGCAGCAGAAACTGGAAGCTCCTTGATTTCAATAAAATGTCTAAAACTATGTTTAATAACACCCAAAAATATTTTCCTGAGTTAGCGTTTCTGAGCATCTTTACAGTCAATTGACTCTGGTCGGAGGTAAGACTGCTACACTAACGTCAAAACCAGATCTTATTCCTAAGCCAGTTCCATTTCCTCTACTCATGCACTCAATTCATCTAAGAATATAGAATCTAAATTTAGAAACTAACCATTGGGCTGAGATGCCAGATCAAATGAAAATGCCAGTGGAAAAATTATTTATCTTTGATCAATCAGCACATATACTTCAGAGTGCTACTATGTATAAGGCATGTACTCACAGAATCTGGTGGAATGTCTAATACAGTAAAATTAGAATGATGCCTGCAGCCTTCAAGACCAGGCAACACAGTGGGGGTGCTTGTCATGATAAAGTAAGAATTCCTCCTAATGAGCTGTATTCACAAAGTTAGGGTGGACCATTAATCAGTAAATTGTAAGATAATTATTTTCCGGCTCTACAAATCCCAAACCAGTGGTCATTACAGATGTCAATTTTCCCTTAAGGTTAGGGAAAATTGTGTAAGGTGTCTCTTATGGTCACTTTTTTTATCCCCTGTACTTAGTATACAGAATGGGATGCATTGGGTGCTTATAAGTATTTGTGAACAAAACAAGTGGAGAAATGTTCATATCCAATCAGAATCATATAAAGATTAGCCTGATGGCAGAGGCTTAGAATTCAAGAAATTACCAGGGGATGCTGGCTCCTGCACAGCAACTTCGCTTGGCAGGGAAAAATTAGGACAGGGTAACTTGAAGTAATATACTGCCATTATTTACACCCATTGTATATCCCAGAAGTCTCTGGTCAGATATTCAGTAAAGCAGAAAAGGTGCTGATATTGTTATCAGTGTGGAGACTTGGGGAAGAATGAAACATATCAATGCCATAGCTCACATATGCCTTTCAGTCAGAGTGAAGTAGGTCTACACAGTGTCTGCTGTTCACTCTCAGGGACTTACTCTGCAACCAGGGTTCTTATGCTGCAGTTCATGGATGAACTTCAAGGGGCCCTTGAGACCCCAGATATTTTGTATATATGTTTTTATGCAAGAAGAGCCACAGCTTTCATTAGCTGCTGAGATAATTATATACTGTAGAAGAGTACAACCATATAAGTAGCTGGAAAGTGACCCCAGGACTTGTTCCCATTTGCAAAAGTTCACCAATTATTTCAATAAACAGATATCAAATGTCTGCTCAGAGCAAGAGAGACAGAGGGACAGAGCACTGACCTGTTCCATCGCTGCATCCTCACAACCTGACTTCTGGGGAGGAGAAAGAACAGACCCAATCGTTGACTGAGAAAGTTTTTTTAAGGTTTCAGTCTGTTTGAGATATTATCATCAGTTTCTGTTTATATGACAAAAAGATGACTGATCTTTCCATTTTTATTTTGATATAAAATAGCTATTTAATGTATTAAATTATCATCAATTAATGAGTTATCATTATCATTAAACTGCTGCATCCCAGAAAAAAATAGAGAGAAAAAAATCAAAATCAATAGTATTTTCATCTTCATCAAAGTGGACTCAGGGAGTCATACATACGAATCCTAATGCTGTGGCATTTTAAGTACCATTTCACAGAGGCTGATTCCTCCCTGCTTTCTAGCTCCCTGACAACTTTTCACACTCCCTCTTCCTTCACCTTTACCCTCTAGGGCAAAAAAGGCCAAAATCTCTTGACCTTCCTTCACTCAGAAAAGGGTAAGACTGCAAACAGAATCAGAAATAACAGACTTTAAGCATGCAATTCAAGGCACCGGGAGAGAATGTATTTTTGCAGAGTCAGAGAGAGATGGAAAATCACCCTGAAGGAAAGGTCACCGCATCCTTGCCCATGGAGGCCGAACGCCGGCTTACTAATTGACCACTTACCTCCCAGAACCATGACAAGCAGTCACTCATCTGCAGTTCTCAGACCTTTAAACACCTCAATGATAAGGTGGGTTTAAAAAATGAAAGATTCTGATAATTAGTGCTAATTGATTTTACCTGAGCAGGCTTACATTTAACCATCTACACGACTCCCTCTCTGTTTGGTGGTCAGGAGTGTTTTGTATATTTGGTAGGTAGCAAAAAAAAAAAAGTCTGAATTAATTAGGGAGAAAGTACATAAACTTAGCAAGAAAATCCAGTGTGCATGAACTTTTTGTCTGTTGCTCTGACTCCCTGAGTTTAATAGGCATTTATGGGTTGAGATCATTTTCCTCTATGCTTGATCCTGAGAAATTGCTAGATGAAGCCAGGATCTGTTTCTGAAAGGGAAATAGTAACCACCGAGCTTGTGACAAAGCTTCTGCCACAACTGCCTTTGGTTGTTAGACAATGCTGTTTCCTAGAAAAATAAAAGAGATATGCTATGCATATCATCTGTTGTTATGCACCATATATCTTTTACTTATAATATCATATTTTTAAGTGAATAATGTTATAAAAACACACTAATCACAATCCTGGTTTCCCCCTCATACATGATTGAAGGCACACATACCAAATTCTATTGTTCTTGTTCTGATTCTCACATTCATTAACAGTAGTTTTGCCCCCAGCAAGAAATTTCACATGAATGAAATGGATTTTTTGTGTTTGTCAAATGTATCCCTCTAGCATGACTAGACCTGCTGAAGAAAACTTCCTAAGTGACTGGCCTTTGAATAGATGTTCTAGAGGAAATTAATGTGCAAACAAGTTCCTGTACCAACAACATTTAAAAGAAGCTAAAATCTGATTAGGAACCTAGCAACTTGTCAAAAAATAACCCATCCAGATTTGATTTCTTTCTCAGTACTCTATTATGCCGATGATAGTATCTCAAATATGGGAGATGGCTATTAATTCATGGAGTCTGACGTCTTGACCTTCATGATTTGGAGTCAAGTTGTTCTACAGAGGAATACTAAGGCAATTTGGGGAGAATGATTTTTTTCATTTTATAAAGGTCAATGACACAAAAAGTTGTGGGTTATACTATCTTTAAAGTATTCTAAGAAGCATAAATAGGTATATTTTTCCAGGAGGCAATTAATAGCAAAATATACATAACGTGTATACACACACATATATATGATGCACATGTACATGGGTGTAAGTGTGTGTGTTTGTTTATCTTTTGATCTGGTGAAGCCACTTTCAGGAATTTTTTAATGTAGTGGTAACTGAAAAAATATGCATACAGAGATATAAAAAGAAGTCTATTGAAACCATGTTATAAGCATGAATAACTGGAAACCACCCCTAATCAATGGAAGTTATAGCATATCCAACCAAAAGCATAAACTTCATTCACCAGAGATGACACAGGCTTATTTATCCACATGAGGAAATATCTAGAAGACCTATCTGACAGGAAAGAAGAGGATAAAATTATCATATATAAGAATATAGTGCTATATATGGTGAGAAAAAACAAGAAAATGCCTGAAAAGAACATCATTAAAATGTCAGTCTCCACATGGATATTACTTCAAATGTCTTCTTTATAATCATAAGTAAAACAATAAGTGTGTTTTTGTTTAGAGAAGAAAACCCTATATATAGGAACTATACACTGTTCAAAATAGCAAAATAGTGGAAAATAGTGGGACAACAGAAGATATGAAGTGTTACCCAAGTTCGGATACTGCCAGTCTAACAGCATGCAGTGGGCAAAGGTCCTTTCAGTCCTGGTCAAACAGGAGTTATTACAATCAGTCGTTTCAGACTCTGTATGGAGAAAGACAACTCTCTCCTGGAGCTGTTGAGGCATCAAATCTTCTATTCAAAGTGTGCAGCTTAGCAACCACTCTCCTCAATGATTTGTTCCTTCACATTTCATCTGTGTCTAATGACGCTCATTCAAACACCTGTGTAGTGTTCTACTGTTTCCATATAGAAATTCATACCCACTCAAGTAAGCAGATGGATCACGATAAAGAATCTTCCAGGTAAGATCGCAGATCGGGCACATCTAATTTCTACCTTCTCAGAGACCTATTAAAATAACAGAATATAAAAAAGAAAACTCTCCCCCATATAGATGCTGAAAACAAGAGAAGTAAGACAGTCTGAATATCAAAACAGAAGCATTTCTGCTGCACATGGTGCAGAGGGCATCAACTGAAGGGAGGAGAAAAGAGCTCCTCTGGAAAGGAAATGAAGGAGATGCAGCAGAAGCCTATTGATACGCCCATTTAGAGGAGGGAAGAACTGGAAGAAGGAGTACACACAGCTTATCCAGACCTGCTACAGCAAATCTGAAAGCATTCAGCCCGGACTGCTTGGATGTGGTCCTGGGGCAGTAGAGCCATGCTCCCTGCTCACACGTCATGGTGACGCCTGCTTGTGGGAATGATTAGACAACGTGTCCCTACCTAGCTTTGATGTACCATACCAAAGACACAAGAGGGAGTCACTGAAATAAAGAGACTGAACTGAAAATGACATTTCAGTAAATTTAAATGTTATTCCACCAATAACTAATCTGGACTGAATCCATTTGAGTGCTAAAAATATATATATTTAAAAAGGACTAGCTATGAACTAGCCAGATAGTCATGAAGATAAAGCCATGTAAGGTCAAAAAAAAAAAAAAAAAAAAAACCAACAAATGAAAGCACAAGCTGTAGTTGCCAAATTTAACATTTCAATAGGGGCAAGGAATATTTGAATGGATATTCAGAAGGTGAATTAAGAAAGTAGAGCAAAAGTGAAAGGAAGTATCCTAAAGCACATGAGAAGATGCTAAAAAGCTTAGCATATAAAAGTAAACATACACAAGCATATAAAGTAAACAAGAAGAGAGAACCAGAAAACCCACTCCACTTGCAATATGGATCCAAGAAGTAAGGAAAATGGGGGGAAAAGTAACCAAAGAAATAACAGTGCAGCTCTCCTGATCCAAAGCTTTTTCCCTCCTCTCACAGAGTAAAATCAAAACCCCTGCCCAGCCCACAAGGACGTCCACAGTGTGGCCACTGCTTCCTCTCGGACCTGCCACCCATTGCTCGCTCATTGGGCCCAGCTGCAAGGGTGCCTTCATTCATGGGTCCCACCAAGCACATGCCCTGCTGAGGGACCCTGCCCTGCTCATTCCCTAACCCGCTCACCCACTTCCTCCTGGTTTCCCCAACACTCAGCCCTTGCATGTGCTCCGCAGGGACCCCCTCTTCCACCTGCCTGCTCTACTTGTCTTCACAGCACTCTTCTTCAGAGAACACACTGTGTTAGTGCATTCACTTATTTTACATCTCTTCTCAATTACCCCATGAGGGCAGGCACATTGTCTGTTTTGTTCCCTAGTGCAGTGGTTCTGGATATGGCATAAAGGGGCTTTGGATGTCTGGAAACATTTTTTGCTTCCAGACACAACTTGGGGAGAGAGGGGATGCTATTGGCATCTAGATGACAAGGGCCAGAAATGCTGCTAAACATCCTACAGTGCACAGGGAGGACTCCCACCACAAAGAATATTCAGTCCAAAATGTCCATAGTGCTGAGGTGGAGAAACTCTGCCTGATGGTATCTCTAGAGTGTAATAGGTGCACAGTAAATATTGTGGATAGATGGATGAAGGAATGGAAGAATGGTTGGCAAGATGAACTGAAGATAACTTTCCTGAGCTGAACAGAGACTATGAAGGTTGAGAAAGATAACTGATCATTAATATAAAATGGAGAAAAGCAAATATATTTCTACAGATATTTTTGTGCTTTTTAATTCCAAGTTGTGTTTTTTTAAAGGACAATCATGAAGGAAAGGGGAAAAGTTACCAGTAAATAAAATAAACAAACAAATAAATAAAATGAGGGTCAGACTCCTTTAGCCACTCACTGCCCAAGGAAGCTATTGATGTCTACAGAGCTTTATGGAGAACAACTGAGAGCAATGTATTTTATTTCCAGTTACCTGTTGTCATGCACGACCATGTAGAGAGAAGTAGAGTGTTTCAGCTTTCAAGAAGAGGAATTATTCACATGTACCCCAGTAAAATGAAGGATAAGTCAAATCAAATCATTCAGGATTGGGAGGAGTAGGCAGAATTGATTGGCTCAGAGCAGTAATATCTGTCAAGCATAGAGTTGTATAACTAAGCATTATTGTTGATATGTAAATGAAACAATGCAAATGCAAAAAGTAACCCTTGCACAAAAAAACTACACAAAATCGAAATGAAATCTGCATATGTGATTATAGCAGCAAAAATATTCTTAAAATATTCAACATCTAGTAATAATTATACTATTTTTCCTACTTAAGTAGAAAACAATTGCAATAATAATTATTCTCAATATTGTGCAGTACAAGGAAATAGGCACTCATATACTCTTGTGATGAAAGTATAACTTAGTACAAACTGCCTGGAGGGCAATTAGGCAGCACAAGGAGAAAGCCTCAAAAAATAGCATACACTTTGATGAAGGAGTTTTATTTCTAGCAATTTGTCCTAAGGAATCAATCACAGATGTTTAAAAAGATGCATGTGCAGTACTGTTCTTTGCAGCATAATTTATAATAGTGAAAAATTGGAAACAATCTAAATGGCTGCCAATAAGAAATTGGTTTTCAAAACATGGAACATATAAACTATGATGAAATTCAAGAGAGTGATTAGCAGACATGTGCGAGAATACCAAATGAAATAGGAAAAAAGAATCATGAGAAACGTAAGCTCAAAATTATGGGTAGTATGACCTAAATTCAGTTAAAATATGTGAAAATATAATGCTAATTTTTATATGTGTAAAACATGTGCAAAGAAAAGGGCTGAAATTAAATTTAGCATTGTTATTGGTGACTCTCTAAGTCAATGTTGCAAAATACAAGTGAAGTGGAAAGGCTTTCCCTGCCGGTTGTGAAGACATATTACAAAGTCTTGGTAAAATACATTAATTTATTGACCATCACGAACAGGCTAATAAGCCAATAAAACAGGATAGATATGACAGAGATTGACTTACATGTATATACAAATTTTACATTTGGTAAAGATGCCACCAGAATTAAATGGAGAAAAGATGGGTAGTTTAAAATAATGTTGAGAAAATTCGTTCACTTAATAGAGAAAAATAAAGATGGTTTCTGACCTAATGTCATATATAAGGTAAACCATGGCTAAATCTATAATAACCAAAGCAGCATGGTGCTGGTACAAAAATAGACAATAGATCAAGGGAACAGAATAGAGAATCCAGAAATAAAGCCACATACCTACAACCAACTGACCTTTCACAAAGTTGACAAAAATATGCACTAAGGGAAAGGACGCCCCATTCAATAAATGGTGCTGGGAAAATTGGCTAGCCATATGCAGAAAAATAAAACTGGACCCCCATCTCTCAACATATATAAAAGTTTACTCATGATGGATTAAAAGCTTAAACATAAGATCTGAAACTATGCATATCCTAAAAGAAAATCTTGGAAAAACTCTTCTGTACATTAGCCTTGGCAAAGAATTTATGACTAAGTCCCCAAAAGGAAACACAACAAAAATAAAAATAGACGAATGGGACTTAATTTAACTAAAAAGCTTCTGCACAGTGAAAGAAATAATCAACCAAGTAAACAGACAAGCTACAGAATGAGGAACAATATTTGCAAAGTATACATCTGACAAAGAGCTAATATCCAGAATCTACAAAGAACTTATACAACCCAATAAGACCAAAAACAAATAAATTAATTGAATAACCTGATTAAAAAGTGGGCAAAGAATGAACAAACACTTTTCAAAAGAAGACATCCAAGCAACACGAACATGAAAAAATGCTCAATGTCACTAATCATTAAAGAAATTCAAATTAAAGCCACAATAAGATACCATCACACACCAGTCATAATGGCTATTATTAAAAAGTCAAAAAACAACGGATGCTGGCAAGGACGTGAAGAAAAGGGAATACTTACACACTGTTGGTGGGAATATATATTAGTACAACCTCTATGAAAAACAATATGGAGGTTTCTGAAATAACTAAAAATAGAACTACTCTTCAATACAGCAATCTGTTACTGGGTATACACCCAAAAGGAAAAAAATATATTATATCAAAAAGGAACCTGCACTCACATGTTTATTAGAGCACTATTTACAATAGCAAAGACATGGGTATCCACCTGTGTCTATCAAACAGATAATCCGATTTAAAAAATGGGGCATACACACACACATTATGGAATACTACTTACCCGTTAAAAAGAATAAAATTATGTCTTTTGCCTCAACATGATGGAGCTGGAAACCATTGGGCTAAGTGAAATGAACCATATACAGAAAGTCAAAAAACATGCTTTCACTTACAGTGGGAGCTAAACAATGGGTACACACAGACAAACAGAGTGGAGTAATAGACATTGGAGACTCCGAAAGGTAGGAGTGGGGGAAGGGGATTGGGGAGGCAATACTGCCTACTGAGTGCAATGTGCACTGTTTGGGTGATGGATCCGTTCAAAGTGCAGACTTCACCACACTGTACAAGACATCCACGTCACACAACTGCACTTGTACCTCTAAATCTATAAATTTTTTAAAAAGATTAAAAGATAAAGTCTATATTTAAAAAACTAAAAAAAGACTCAAGTATAAAAGTAAATTTTCAAAGTTAATAGAAAATATTGTAGAAGAAAACTTGTGAACATAAAGGGGAAGAACACTGATTAAAGAAAACTTCAAAAGTACACATAACCAAGACAATAGTGAATCTGATAATATAAAAATTAATGTTATCTTTATTTTTAACACTTTTATTGAGGTATAATTGATATACGAAGAACTGCACATATTTAATTTGATGAGTCTGCACTTACGCAAGCACTTATAATGCCATCACCACAAGGTAACAGACATATCCAACATCTCCCAAAATTGCTTTGTGTCCCTTTGTTTGTTTTTGTGGTAAGAACACGTCATATGAGCTCCACCCATTTAACACATTTCAAAGTGCACAATATCATATTGTCAAATATAGACACTATGTTGTACAGCAGATCTCTAGAACTCATTAAGCTTGCATAATTAAAACTTTATGCCCATTCAACAAGGTTTATAGAAAAGTTTCAAATTGAGAGAAGATAGTTCTAATGCCCGAAGTGAAAAGGATTAATATCTCGAAAAGGCAGCAAACTCTTGCAAAAATAAGAGAACAATTACTCTACATTAAAAATGGATAAAGAAGATAATTTTCAGAAAATAAAATCTCAAAGTTAAAAAAAAAGAAAAAAGAAAAGGTGCTCAAATTCTACAGAAATCAGAGAAATACAAATTACAGCAAAAATGATACATCGTTGTACACAAATTAAATTTAGAAAATTTAGAGAGCTGGAAAATGTCAAGTATTAGCGGGAATGGATGTATATAGATGCAAACCCGCTTGCTCTGCTGGGGAGAATGTAGACCAGTGCAGACATTCGAGAGAGCAGTTTGGCAGTGTTGAGTTCAACTTAAAATATTCATAATATAATCTGCAAAATGTGTACTCATGGGTTTAGCTCCTGAAGATATTCTCATACAAATGGATAAGAGAAATGTTTGTAAAGCTAGAAAAGGGCTGTACCTGTAACCATTGCCAAGTATGGTTATCCAGTTATTTCTTGAAAAACACAAAATGTTTCAATGTAAAATGATGAAGAAATATTCAGGCAAATGCAACCAAAATGATACTACTGTGGCAATAATCATAGCAAACAAAAGAGAATGTAAGACAAAGTACATTTGTAAATATGAGTGTCAATACATATGAGAAAGACTCCATAGACAATTAGATAAAACCATTGTAAGCTTGTGTACCTGGTATAATATATAATCAGAATGTGCAACAAAACTTTGACTCTTTAAATATTCCAACAAATAAAACACTAACCTAAATGATTTTACAAGTGATTTTACCAAAGCTTCAAGAAAAAGATAAATTCAGAGACTAGAAAAGTGAGAATATTCCCATTTATTTCATGTCATATGAATATGGTTTCAGCCAGACCTAGGTTGAATTTCCAAATCTGCCAAGTACTAAGTTGGAACTCTGCAATAAGTTACCTAACCTGTACAGTTTCCCTATCATACATTCAACAAATATTTATTTGGCACATACTATGTAATTCTAAGTAGCAGAGATACAGTAGGGAACAAAATAGACAAAAGCCCTCATCTTCGTGGAGTTGATGGAAGAGTCATGTGCACATCTGTGGAATGAGCATCCAGGCAAAAGCCACATGTGTAAGAGCCCCTGGAGGAGAGCAGGACAGAATCAGGCATGTCACCAATAGGAATGGCAAGAGAGTGTTAGGACATGAGGTCTTGCAAGGTTTGCCCTTGGTAGCCATTGGTCTTTCATTTGTATTTGAAATAAAACAATTATCTACTAGAGAGCTTTGAGCAGAGAATGAACATCGTCTGGCTTGGTTTTTAACAAGGTTATGCTGGCAGCTGTGTTTTGGATCAACTATAGGGGCCAAAGATGATAGGAGAGAGTCCAGTATTTCAGGCAGGAGATGACAGTGGTTTGGAGAAGAGGGATGGCAGAGCAGGTAATGAATGGTTGTTAGCCTCTGGATGTATTTTCATAGAGGGGCTGATTAGATTGACTGATGGATCGCTTGCCTGGTAGAAGTGACAAAATAGAGTCAATTACTCCAAGGTTCTTGGCATGAGCAAATGGAGTTTCTTTTTTTTAATTATTATTATACTTTAAGTTCTAGGGTACATGTGCACAACGTGCAGGTTTGTTACATACGTATACATGTGCCATGTTGGTGTGCTGCACCCATTAACTAAGGGAGGGCTGTGAGAGGACCAGTTTAGGGAAAATGGTCTGAAGTTCAGTTGTGAACATTTGGAAATGCCTATTACTCGTCCAAGTGGAGATTCGAGTTGGCTATTGGGTAGAGAATTCTAATATGAATTTGAAATGTTATCAATATCAATAGTGCATGTAGATGATATTTAAAGCCAGGAGGCTACACGAGATCACTGAAGAAGTAAATATAATCAAGAAGAGAAGGAATCCAAAGACCGAGCCCTAGGCTGCTCCAGGCGATAAACAGAAGCCAGCTGATTTGATCCTGATGGAAGAGGCTTCTAAGGTAGGAGGAAAACCAAGCAAACACAAGGGTCGAGATAAAATTATGAGAAAAAATTGAAAGAGGTTGATATCATCTAATTCAAAAGATTATGAACACCCTGAGACAAGTAAAGTACATGATGGGCTGTCCTCCCTCTTTTATTCCACATATAGACCCCATGGAGATTGCTTACTAGATAGATAGATAGATGATAGATAGATAGATAGATAGATAGATAGATAGATAGATAGATAGATAGATAGATAATAAGTTATATATAATGAGATGGAAAGTAAGTACTGTTTAAAATTGTTTCATAAATTATTGTGATTTATTGGCAGTATGTATCTAGAAAAAAATTATACATATCTTTGTTTTGTTTCATTTAGATGTCACTTTTTATTTTTATTATGCTTCAAATTCTGGGATACATGTGCAGAACGTTCAGGTTTGTTACATAGGCATACATGTGCCATGGTGGTTTGCTGCACCCATCAACCCATCATCTACATTAGGTATTTCTCCTAATGCTATCCCTCCCCCAGCTCCCCACCCCCCGACAGGCCTCCATGTGTGATATTCCCCCTCCCTCTATCCAAGTGTTGTCATTGTTCAACTCCCACTTATGAGTGAGAACATGTGGTGTTTGGTTTTCTGTTCCTGTTAATTTATTGAGAATGACGGTTTCCAGCTTCATTCATGTCCCTACAAACGACATGAACTTACCCTTTTTATGGCTGCATAGTATTCCATGGTATATATGTGTCACATTTTCTTTATCCAGTCTATCATTGATAGGCATTTGGGTTGGTTCCAAGTCTTTGCTATAAACTACACGTGTCTTTGAATAATTAATTCCACCTCTCAGAAGTAACTCATATTTTGAAGAATAATTACATGTAAAATATCCTTATTTTACTATTATATATCAAAGGGTAAACATAAGTGACCAAAAATCAAGGAATGGTTAAATAAATATGGGATATTCACTCAAAAGAATTAAAAATGATTATTGTAAATACTCTGCTATCTGGGAAAAACTGATTTAATAGAAAATGTAAAAGCCCTGGTAACATAAAGAGAATTGGGATGATGATTAGCAGTATATAAAAAACATACAAACAAAAGATTAAGAAAGAAATTGAATGGTGTTCAAATGTCAGGAAGTTTTCTGTTAAAATAATGCAAATACAGATGGTTTTTTTTTTTTTTTTTTTTTTGCTTCTCTCTCCTATGATAGTTTACCAGGTTGTATTTCTACAACTGAGACAATAAAATCCCACATGATTTGAAAATTAAAATTCATTATTAGATTTTTTAAATGCCATGCTTAAGAGATGTTTTTAGTGATGATGTGGCATAACAATTGAGCCTAGGTTATACCTCACAGGAAAAGCTGTATAATAAAGCCAATGAAAACAACATGAAAATAATTTGCTCACAAGTCAATATAAAGGCCCGATTATGGTTCTTCAATTCTACAAAGTAAAGAATATGCTGACAGCATGAAATCTCAAAGCAAATACCAGCTTGTACATGCACATGTTACACACGGAACCCCTGCTAGGGAATCCATGGCAGGGCAGCAGCTGGAACCTGGGGATGCTCCGTCTCCAGGTTGGTAATTTGCTCTGTTGTCTCCAGCCCCAGTGAAAAGCTTGAGCAAAACTTACACGATCTACATTTCCAATATAAAATTAAATGGACTTCGAATGCTGACATATTTTTAGTTAACTAAAGGATAAAATTTCTGATTTATTTGCATAAATAATTCAAAACAGAATAGTGCCAAGATTGAGAGAAGATGATGAAAGAGAAAGAAATGGATAATGGAATCAAATTTCATACCTGGTGTTCTCAGAAACATTCACAACCACTAAAATTATCCTAATTTTACCTTAAAACTTGTGTTCACTTGATTTCCTTCCTACCTTAGTAGTCTCTTCCATCAGAATCAAATCGGCTGTTTACTGTTTATCTCCTGTTATTGACAGCACTTCTTTTTTTTCTAACTGAAAATAGCAACACCAAAAAGTATGAGATAAAGTCTAGCAAAAATACAAGTCCGTGTATGACTTAAAATCTATGTGTGAAAAAACAATGAAATCGTTCTTATTAAGTCCATAGTTTACAGTAAGCTCTGGCTTAGCAGAGATTTGTTCTATGAAATAGAAATATGAACAAGGAACAGGAAAAAGTGGATAGCAAGTGTGCATCCTAGAGTTAGTCTTACCAGAATTAATTTTTCCAGATTGGAAAGTGACCACCACAGTGAATGCCCCTAGAATATTTTAGGACTCAGCTTTCTACTACCAGTGTTTCTTTTCTTTCTATTTAAGTGTCTAGGAATAGAAGACTAATGGAATGACAAGTGTAAAATTTACAATGAGTGACTTCAGGAAGAATTACATTCGATTTTTAAATAAAGGAAAACTAAAGATTTTCCTGTACTGAGGACAGAAAACCATTAGTCAAGTATAATAAACAATATTTGAGGTTTAGTGGGAAAGAATTTTAATATTAGGGTTTGCTCCCTGATCAAACCCCTGTATCTTTTTACAATAAACAAGAAAAATGATTCTGACTAGTGTAAATAGAAAAAAAAATCTTTAGAAGGATATCAAGTACAGCAGAATCATCAAGAAGCCTAGAAAAACAGGGTCACAAAAGAACAGAAATCTGGGTAGCTTCAGGGATCTTGAGAGTAAGAATTTAATAATGATAGTAATAATAATAATTGCAACAATAACAATAATAATGATAGATTTTATCTGTTGAGAGAATACTATGTAACAATATTATAGTAAACACTGTACATGAATTAAGTAATTTAATTCTCACAATTAGTCTAGGGGGTAGTTATTATTATTCCATTCTGCAAAAAGAAAATAGAGACATAATAAGAATCATCTTGCCAAAAATTAAAGCGACAAGTGGTAAGAGGCAGGAAGTCCCGCTCACGAGCCATCATTGTTATCCACAACAACTTAGTTCCTTTCAGTGCTATGAACCAAAGAATTGATTGGCTGTAACTATTTTTTCCATCCTATCACTGCATTCTAGGCTCAAAGTACCAGGGGGACACTGGAACCTGCAGTAGGGATCTAACCCCTAAACAGGGCCTAGGAGTCTACACCTATATTTACCCGAACCTCTGGAGGTTACACCACATCTGATACACCCATGATTACCTGTGTATATTAAACACTATATACACATGATACGTACATCATTCTTTCTCACTTGGTTAGAATACTGTATTCATGGGTTCTGGATAATAGATTCATTCTTTCCTAAAGAAATTTGATTCTCATACATGCAAAGGGCTAGCAAACGGTGCACACCAAAATCTAACCCCATCTAGCTATGCCTAGAATGTGACCAGGAATAAGGTGAAGAGTTAAGGCAGAAAAACCCAGATTCCCCAGGCACCTTGTCCATCAAACCCTGGCCATTATTCTTTTTTTTTTTTTATTATTATACTTTAAGTTTTAGGGTACATGTGCACAATGTGCAGGTTAGTTTCATATGTATACATGTGACATGCTGGTGCCCTGCACCCACTAACTCGTCATCTAGCATTAGGTATATCTCCCAGTGCTATCCCTCCCCCCTCCCCCAACCCTACAACAGTCCCCAGAGTGTGATGTTTCCCTTCCTGTGTCCATATGTTCTCATTGTTCAATTCCCACCTATGAGTGACAATATGCAGTGTTTGGTTTTTTGTTCTTGCGATAGTTTACTGAGAATGATGATTTCCAATTTCATCCATGTCCCTACAAAGGACATGAACTCATCATTTTTTATGGCCGCATAGTATTCCATGGTGTATATGCGCCACATTTTCTTAATCCAGTTTATCATTGTTGGACATTTGGCTTGGTTCCAAGCCTTTGCTATTGTGAATAGTGCTGCAATAAACATACGTGTGCATGTGTCTTTATAGCAGCATGATTTATAGTCCTTTGGGTATATACCCAGTAATGGGATGGCTGGGTCAAATGGTATTTCTAGTTCTAGATCCCTGAGGAATCGCCACACTGACTTCCACAATGGTTGAACTAGTTTACAGTTCCACCAACAGTGTAAAAGTGTTCCTATTTCTCCACATCCTCTCCAGCACCTGTTGTTTCCTGACTTTTTAATGATTGCCATTCTAACTGGTGTGAGATGATATCTCATTGTGGTTTTGATTTGCATTTCTCTGATGGCCAGTGATGGTGAGCATTTTTTCATGTGTTTTTTGGCTGCATAAATGTCTTCTTTTGAGAAGTGTCTGTTCATGTCCTTCGCCCACTTTTTGATGGGGTTGTTTGTTTTTTTCTTGTAAATTTGTTTGAGTTCATTGCAGATTCTGGATAGTAGCCCTTTGTCAGATAAGTAGGTTGCAAAAATTTTCTCCCATTCTGTGGGTTGCCTGTTCACTCTGATGGTAGTTTGTTTTGCTGTGCAGAAGCTCTTGAGTTTAATTAGATCCCATTTGTCAATTTTGGCTTTTGTTGCCATTGCTTTTGGTGTTTTAGACATGAAGTCCTTGCCCATGCCTATATCCTGAATGGTAATGCCTAGGTTTTCTTCTAGGGTTTTTATGGTTTTCAGTCTAACGTTTAAGTCTTTAATCCATCTTGAATTGATTTTTGTATAAGGTGTAAGGAAGGGATCCAGTTTCAGCTTTTTACATATGGCTAGCCAGTTTTCCCAGCACCATTTATTAAACAGGGAATCCTTTCCCCATTGCTTGTTTTTCTCAGGTTTGTCAAAGATCAGATAGTTGTAGATATGCGGCGTTATTTCTGAGGGCTCTGTTCTGTTCCATTGATCTATATCTCTGTTTTGGTACCAGGACCATGCTGTTTTGGTTACTGTAGCCTTGCAGTATAGTTTGAAGTCAGGTAGTGTGATGCCTCCAGCTTTGCTCTTTTGGCTTAGGATTGACTTGGTGATGCGGGCTCTTTTTTGGTTCCGTATGAACTTTAAAGTAGTTTTTTCCAATTCTGTGAAGAAAGTCATTGGTAGCTTGATGGGGATGGCATTGAATCTATAAATTACCTAGGGCAGTATGGCCATTTTCACGATATTGATTCTTCCTACCCATGAGCATGGAATGTTCTTCCATTTGTTTGTATCCTCTTTTATTTCATTGAGCAGTGGTTTGTAGTTCTCCTTGAAGAGGTCCTTCACGTCCCTTGTAAGGTGGATTCCTAGGTATTTTATTCTCTTTGAAGCAATCGTGAATGGGAGTTCACTCATGATTTGGCTCTCTGTTTGTCTGTTATTGGTGTATAAGAATGCTTGTGATTTTTGTACATTGATTTTGTATCCTGAGACTTTGCTGAAGTTGCTTATCAGCTTAAGGAGATTTTGGGCTGAGACAATGGGGTTTTCTAGATATACAACCATGTCGTCTGCAAACAGGGACAATTTGACTTCCTCTTTTCCTAATTGAATACCCTTTATTTCCTTCTCCTGCCTAATGCCCCCCTGGCCATTATTCTTTACAAAGACATTTCATCCTATGTTCAGGATACCCCTGCACTGTACGATTATCCCCACTTCTAGGTGAAAACATTGCATTTGGAGAGAAAAAGAGGCTGCCCAGGATGACACAGCCAGTCAGTGGCCACAGCGTAAGTTCTACCCAGTGTTCTCGGCTTCCCAGGTTCAGACTCCTCCTCCCCAAGGCTGGCTGTGTGTGCATCTGTCAGCAGTCATAGAAAATCAGTGTGATACACTGTTGGTGGGACATTTGGGGTATCTTCTACAGAAGGCTGCAGCTCCAAACCTAACTCTCTGTTTTAATCTCTGCTTCAGAGAGAGAAGCTGGTGAAACCATCACAGAGCCACACTTTTGTACTTAACCCAGATGGTCCTGAAAGAATCAGTGGAACTGGTAAGAGCAAGCAAATAGGAGTCAGCTACGTTTAATGGACCAATCATGTTTGCTGCTCTGTTCCTCCATCTTCTTGCCCTTGCTCTTGGTGCCCAATGCTTGCTCTATCACAGTACACTTTGATTACTTCTGAGACTTCTGGGTTGTATTAATATTTCACTTTATCTCTCAATTCTATTTGTGAAACTGCTTTTATATTGTAGAGTGTCCACACAGACAGAAGCTAAAATCCAAAATTCAAGCAAAAAAAATGCAACTGTAAAAGTTTCTGCATCAAAGATCCCACCCACCGAGGTAAAAAGGGATGTTCAATTAAAGATCTAATTCACAGGGCAAATCCAGCTGACAGCAGAGGCGGGGCGGCTGGTGGAGGGTTTCAGAGGAAATGTCTGAGTGGATTTCCACACAGCCACACGGTGAAAGCAAAATAAGCCAAAGCCAGCCATCTGCACTTGAGAGGATGATACTGACTCCAAGCCGAGAGAGAGAAAAAAAAGCAATAAAATGCTGAATACCGTGGAAGTAAACATTCAAACTGAGCTTATAAACCAAACTGCATTAGGTCTAAAGTACACCTTTTTCTCTTGTCTCAATTTCACTCTCCCTCTGGCCTTGAAGTTAGGCTTTTAAACTTTAACCATAATTAGATATTTTCACTACATTTTCTATAATCTAATTTTTCCACAGTTCTTTAAAGCTCTTAAAAAAATGTTTCCCCATGTACTGCAGTTAAAAGCAAACCGCATGCAACCTCTTCCCACTGACTGACACACAGCTCTACAAGGCAATGTACAAACTATGCCAGTAAGACCCTGGGCTCACATGAACGCGCCACTGAAATTGCGGGACGTGGGATCCCAGGGAGTGTCCCTGTCGGTGATGCTGTACCGTGTGTAGCCTTTCCATTATCTCTTCAGTGTATCCTGCCTGCTGCCAGCTTGCCCACCCTAAAGGTAAAACACATGCAGCCAACTCAGGACTCCACAAACACACTCTGTGTTCTCCAAATGCAGCAGCTTCAGTGTCCAAGAAGCCTCACCTTTAGCTCCTTCCAGTTCAGAGAGGGAGACCCAACGGCCCCTCCCCTAGTGCAGAGCAGCGTCTCTCACCAGCTGAAGTCAATGACGTTATTTGTTAGCATTTTTGTAATCATTGTTTCAAACATTTATCCCCTCTCCTCACTCCAATCCCTTCCTTCTCTGCCATCTCCTTCACACATCTGTTTACTCCACAACATTCTCTAAGCCTATTCCCAAGGTTGTTGGGAGCTCTGATCACTGTCTTCATCTTAACAGTTTACCAAGATCATCAGCCCCTTCCAAATAAGGAGAATATCTAGAACAGAACTATTCAATAAAAATACAATGAGTGCAACATAGGTAATTTTAACTTTCTAGTAATCACACTGAAAACAAATGAGAAAAGATAAATTCATTTAAACAACAATGATTGAACTCAATATATTCAAAATATCATCCTGTTAATATGTGATTCTAATTACATTCCTAGTGCCCAACAGTGACATGTGTCTAGTAGCTGTCAGGGAAGACCTAGAAGATAATGAACCCTCGCTATGTGGGAGGGACTTCTGTTACATTATCTCATAGGTATTATTCATTCCACTTCACCAGGAGAAAATTGAAAGTCAGTGAAGCTGTGTAGCCTGCTTAAATTTAGAAAGCTTGTAAACTGAAGAGTTAGAATTAAAACTAGATCTATCTGACACCAAAGGCATGTTTTTTCTATCTCTCCATACGTCTCCGTACTTCCAAAAGAAGACTCTAGTCCCTTGGTCAGCTACTTCAAAGATGCAAAAGCCGTGGGACTTTATTCCCTTCAGGCACAAACTATGCGCCAACCACCACCGCTTCCTCCAACCCCTCTGCTCCTGACACGCATATGCACATACACGCACACACAGAGAGAGACAGGGAGACCTTAACCTCTATAAGTTTATACCAGCCAAACTCAGACGCACTCTCAGAGCTCCTTGACAAGTTTGTTCTTTCATCTTGACTTCCTCACGTGTCTTGATTTTTCTTAGTACCCTTTAATGCCAGTGTCACGTGGCTTATTTTTCCAACACTCTACTTGAACATTTTTGGAGGTCTCTGGTCATCTTTTTATACCAAACAAAATGGTCATTTTTCAGTCTCCAGTCTCACGGGGGACTCTTTCACTCTTGAAGATCAATTTCATATTTTTTTTTACCTCCACGATAAGAAGTGTGCTGTAATACATATTAGTTGGCATTTTTGGTAACTTGCTATTCACGGGAAGTTCTTATGTCCACAGGAAGATACTTGTTATGTTTCTATCTCAATTTCCTTTAGCTGAAACTAGACCAATTATAGCTATATCATAAGATTTCTGTTTTTTAAAAAATATATTCCCCACATTTTAGTGGAAAATATTTACTAACCTGCTTTGGTTTCTAAACATTCATTTAGAGAACACTCTAAATGAGGCTTCATTGGCAGATCATCTAAATAAATAGCATGATCATTTCTAATCTTAAATGTAGCTATTTCAACTATGAATTCATGACAGATGAATTTTGATAGAAAAACAAAAACATTGTTAAAATTTTCCCTAAAGCACAATATTTTTTAAAAAGAGTTACATATGTATATATTAGTAGTTTAAATTTTAAAGAGTATTCTTGCCTAGTCTTTGATTGGCTGAGTTTAGCCTAATGACTATCTCATTATCCACTCTCTGCAGCCCTGTGTTCTCAGTAAGGGCAGAAACTCCTAGGTTAACAGGGGACACACATAATTCTCAACAGAAGCACCTCATGTTCAATGTCCTGTCCTTATTCTTCCTGAGAAAAAAGCATGATCATCTTTACATACCCTGCTATCCAGTTCAAAATACCACTGTATTTTCATCAACTCAGTGACTACCCAGGATAATGCATCTATGTCTTCCAAAGGCCAGCATTTCCTCTGAATTTTTATTTTCATATAGCCTATAGTTTTGCTCACATCAGCTTTTCTATCTCTCACAACTTCAATCTAAATTTCTCTAATGCTTTTTAGTCATTTCTTTCCTTCCCAAAGACCTTTAAGTGTTTTGCTACTTTTAAATAAAATCTGTATATATTTAAGGTGTATGACATGTTTTGGTATACGTATACATATATGAAATGATCACCACAGTCAAGCAAATTAACATAGCCTTCTCACACGGTTACCTTTTTTTGTATTTTCTTTTTTTTATTACTATACTTTAAGTTCTAGGGTACATGTGCACAACGTGCAGGTTTGATACATAGGTATACATGTGCCATGTTGGTTTGCTGCACCCATCAACTAATCATTTACATTAAGTATTTCTCCTAATGCTATCCCTCCCCCAGCCCCCACCCCTGGACAGGCCCCAGTGTGTGATGTTCCCTGCCCTGTGTCCAAGTGATCTCATTGTACCATTTTTGTTTTTTTGTAGTAAGAGCACTTGAAACCTAAAATCTCCAGCACACAATATAGAATTATCAACTCTTAGCCATTATATTGTACATTATACCTCTACACAAGTTCATCCTACATAACTGCACCATATCTCCTCATTTCCTTCACCTCCCCACCCCTCTGAGGAACCATCATTCTACTCTCTGCTTCTAAGAATTTGACTGTTTTAGATTCTGCACATAAGTGAGATCATGCAGTGTTATTCTTTCTGCGTCTGGCTTCTCTTACCACAATATCCTCCAGGTTCATTCATATTGTCACAAATGGCAGAGTCTCATTTGTTTCTAAGGCTGAATAATATACCATAATTTATTTACCTATTCATCTGTTGATGGGCACATAAGTTGTTTCCACGCCTTGGCTACTGTGAATAATGTTGCAATGAACATGGGAGTGCAGACATCTTTTCAAGGTACTGATTTCATTTTTGGGGTTATGTACTCAGAAGAATGATTGCTGGATCATATAGTAGCATCTATAATGTTTTCCGTAATCATTGTACTAATTTACATTCCCACCAACAGTGTACAATCTTTTCTCCACATTCTCACCCACACTTACCTCTCATCTTTTTGATAATTGCCATCCTAACAGGAATGAGGTGGTATCTTATTGTGGTTTTGATTTGCATTTCCCTGATTATCAGTAATATTGAGCACCTTTGCCTGTCCCTGCTGGCCATTTATATGTCCTGTTTAGAAAAGTGACTATCCAAGTGCTTTGCCCATTTTTCAATTGAGTTATTTGGGGTTTTTGTTTGTTTGTTTCCTATTTAGTTGTGTGAATTTCTTATATATCTTGGGTATTAACACCTTATTAGATATACAGTTTAAAAATATTTCTCTCTATAGGCTGCCTGGTCATTTTGTTGATTGTTTCCTTTACTGTGCAAAAGCTTTTTAGTTTGTAATCATCCCACTTATTTATTTTTGCTTTTGTTGCAAAAAGAGAGTTTTGTGTCACATTGAAAAAAAACTTATTTCCGAGACCAATGTCATGAAGCTTTTCCCCTATGTTTTTTTCCAGAAATTTATGATCTCAGGTATTATGTTTAAGTGTTTATTTTGAGTTTACTTTGTGTGTGTTGAAAGGGCCAAATTTTATTATTTTGTATGTGAATATCCAGTTTTACCAACACCATATATTGAACAGATTATCCTTCCCCCATTGTGTATGTTCATTGTCATTGTTAAAAAGTAGTGGACCACTTATGGTTTGGCTTATTTCTGGGCTATTCTGTCCCATTGGTTTATATGTCTATCTATATGCCAGTACCATATTTTTTTGATTACTATTGCTTTGTAACATAATTTGAAATCAGGAAGTTTGATGCCTCCAGCTTTGTTCTTTTTGCTCAATATTGCTTTACCTATTGGGGGTTTTTTCGTAGTCCCATACATATTTAAGAACTGTTTTTTCTCTTTCTATGGAAAATGTCATTGGGATTTTGATAGAGTTTACATGAAATCTGTAGGTTGCTTTGGGTTAGTGTGGACATTTTAACAATATAAATTATTCCAATCCATGAACATAAGATTTGTGTCTTCTTCAAATTCTTTAATCAATGTTTTACCACCTTCTGTGTAAAATCTTTCACTTCTTTGGTTAAATTTATTTCTAAGTATTTTATTGATGCTATTGCAAATGGAATTGTTTTCTTGATTTCTTTTTCAGTTAAATTGTTGTTGGTTTAAAGAAAGACAACCAGGACATAGGCACGGTCAAAGATTTCATGACAAAGGCATCAAAAGCAACTGCAACAAAAACAAAAAATGACACATGGGATTTAATTAAACTAAAGAGCTTCTGCACAGCAAAGAAACTATTAGCAGAGTACCTAGACAATCTACAGAATGGGAGAAATTTTTGCAAACTATGCATCTGACAAAGGTCTAATATTCAGCATCTATAAGGAATTTAAACAAATTTACAAGAAAGAAACAACCCCATTAAAAAGCAAGCAAAGGACACGAATAGACACTTCTCAAAAGAAGACATGTATGTGGTCAACAATCATATGAAAAAACCCTCAACATCACTAATCATTAGAGAAATGCAAATCAAAACCACAATAAGATATCATCTCACACAGAATAGTTATTAAAAAGTCAAAAAATAACAGATGCTGGCGAGGTTGTGAAGAAACGAAACACTTATATTCTGTTGGTGGGACTGTAAATTAGTTCAACCATTGTGGAAGACAGTGTGGCGATTCCTCAAAAACCCAAAGACAGAAATGCTGCTTGACCAAGCAATCCCATTACTGGGTATATACCCAAAGGAGTATAAATCATTCTGTTATAAAGACAGATGCACGTGTGTTCATTGCAGCACTATTCACTATAGCAAAGATATGGAATCAACCTAAATGCCCATCAGTGGCAGACTGAATAAAGAAAATGTGGTACATATACACCATGGAACACTATGCAGCCATAAAAAATAATGAGATCATGTCCTTTGCAGGGACATAGATGGAGCTAGAGGCCATTATCCACAGCAAACGAATGCAGGAACGGAAAAACCAAACACCACATGTTTTCACTCATAAGTGGGGACTAAATGATGAGAACACATGAACACATAGAGCGAAAAGAAAACACACTGGGGTTTTTCAAAGGGTGGAGGGTGAGAGGTGGGGGAGGATAAGGAAAAATAACTAATGGGTACTAGGCGTAATACCTGGGTGATGAAACAATCTGTACACAAACTCCCATGACACAAGTTTACCTATGTAACAAACCTGCACATGTATCCCTGAACTTAAAATAAAACTTAAAAAAAAGAAAGGCAACCAATTTTTATATGTTGATTTTGTATCCTGCAAGTCTACTGAAGTCATATATTAGTTATAATAATTTTTTGTAGAATCTTTAGGTTTTCTCCACATACACATAGAATCTTGTCACCTGAAAACAAATAATTTTGCTTCTTATTTTCTAATGTGAATGACTTTTTCTTCATTTTTGTTTAATTGCCCTTGCTAGTACTTCTAGTACTTTGCTGAATAGAAATAGTGAGAGTGGGCATTCTTACCCTGTACCCAGTCATAGAGGAAAAGCTTTCAGTTCTTCCCCATGGATTATGATGTTACTGTGAGCTTTTCATAAATGGCCTTAATTGTGTTAAGAAATTTTCTTTTTTTTTAATATGCTTTAAGTTTTAGGGTACATGTGCACAACCTGCAGGTTTGTTACATATGTATACACGTGCCATGTTGGTGTGCTGCACCCATTAACTTGTCATTTAACATTAGGTATATCTCCTAATGCTATCCTTCTCACCCCCTGCACCCTACAACAGGCCCCAGTGTGTGATGTTCCCCTTCCTGTGTCCATGTGTTCTCATTGTTCAATTCCCACCTATGAGTGAGAACATGCAGTGTTTGGCTTTTTGTCCTTGTGATAGTTTGCTGAGAATGATGGTTTCCAGCTTCATCCATGTCCCTACAAAGGACATGAACTCATCATTTTTTATGGCTGCATAGTATTCCATGGTGTATATGTGCCACATTTTCTTAATCCAGTCTATTATTGTTGGACATTTGGGTTGGTTCCAAGTCTTTGCTATTGTGAATAGTGCCGCAATAAACATATGTGTGCATGTGTCTTTATAGCAGCATGATTTATAATCCTTTGGGTATATACTCAGTAATGAGATGGCTGGGTCAAATGGTATTTCTAGTTCTAGATCCCTGAGGAATCGCCACGCTGACTTCCACAATGGTTGAACTAGTTTACAGTCCCACTAACAGTGTAAAAGTGTTCCTATTTCTCCACATCCTCTCCAGCACCTGTTGTTTCCTGACTTTTTAATGATTGCCATTCTAACTGGTGTGAGATGATATCTCATAGTGGTTTTGATTTGCATTTCTCTGATGGCCAGTGATGATGAGCATTTATTCATGTGTCTTTTGGCTGCATAAATGTCTTCTTTTGAGAAGTGTCTGTTCATACCTTTTGCCCACTTTTTGATGGGGTTCTTTGTTTTTTTCTTGTAAATTTGTTTGAGTTCATTGTAGATTCTGGATAGTAGCCCTTTGTCAGATGAGTAGGTTGCAAAAATTTTCTCCCATTCTGTGGGTTGCCTGTTCACTCTGATGGTAGTTTGTTTTGCTGTGCAGAAGCTCTTGAGTTTAATTAGATCACATTTGTCAATTTTGGCTTTTGTTGCCATTGCTTTTGGTGTTTTAGACATGAAGTCCTTGCCCATGCCTATGTCCTGAATGGTATTGCCTAGGTTTTCTTCTAGGGTTTTTATGGTTTCAGGTCTAACATTTAAGTCTTTAATCTATCTTGAATTAATTTTTGTACAAGGTGTAAGGAAGGGATCCAGTTTCAGCTTTCTACATATGGCTAGCCAGTTTTCCCAGCACCATTTATTAAATAGGAAATCCTTTCCCCGTTTCCTGTTTTTGTCAGGGTTATCAAAGATCAGCTAATTGTAGATATGTGGCATTATTTCTGAGGGCTCTGTTCTGTTCCATTGATCTATATCTCTGTTTTGGTACCAGGACCATGCTGTTTTGGTTACTGTCGCCTTGTAGTATAGTTTGAAGTCAGGTAGCATGATGCCTCCAGCTTTGTTCTTTTGGCTTAGGATTGACTTGGCAATGCAGGCTCTTTTTTGGTTCTGTATGAACTTTAGTTTTTTCCAATTCTGTGAAGAAAGTCATTGGTAGCTTGATGGGGATGGCATTGAACCTATAAATTACCTTCGACAGTATGACCATTTTCGTGATATTAATTCTTCCTACCCATGAGCATGGAATGTTCTTCCATTTGTTTGTATCCTCTTTTATTTTGTTGAGCAGTGGTTTGTCGTTCTCCTTGAAGCGGTCCTTCACATCCCTTGTAAATTGGATTCCTAGGTATTTTATTCTCCTTGAAGCAATTGTGAATGGGAGTTCACTCATGATTTGGCTCTCTGTTTGTCTGTTATTGGTGTATAGGAATGCTTGTGATTTGTTTGCACATTGATTTTGTATCCTGAGACTTTGTTGAAGTTGCTTATCAGCTTAAGGAGATTTTGGGCTGAGACTATGGGGTTTTCTAGATATACAGTCATGTCATCTGCAAACAGGGACAATTTGACTTCCTCTTTTTCCTAATTGAATACCCTTTATTTCCTTCTCCTGCCTGATTGCCCTGGCCAGAACTTCCAACACTATGTTGAATAGGAGTGGTGAGAGAGGGCATCCCTGTCTTGTGCTGGTTTTCAAAGGGAATGCTTCCAGTTTTTGCCCATTCAGTATGATATTGGCTGTGGATTTGTCATAGATAGCTCGTATTATTTTGAGATAAGTCCCATCAATACCTAATTTATTGAGAGTTTTTAGCATGAAGGCATTGTTGAATTTTGTCAAAGGCCTTTTCTGCATCTGTTGAGATAATCATGTGGTTTTTGTCGTTGGTTCTGTTTATATGCTGAATTACGTTTATTGATTTTCGTATGTTGAACCAGCCTTGCATCCCAGGGATGAAGCCCACTTAATCATGGTGGATAAGCTTTTTGATGTGTTGCTGGATTCGGTTTGCCAGTATTTTATTGAGGATTGTTGCATTGATGTTCATCAGGGATATTGGCCTAAAATTCTCTTTTTTTGTTGTGTCTCTGCCGGGCTTTGGTATCAGGATGCTGGCCTCATAAAATGAGTTAGGGAGGATTCCCTCTTTTTCTATTGATTGGAATAATTTCAGAAGGAATGGTACCAGCTCCTCCTTGTACCTCTGGCATAATTTAGCTGTGAATCCATCTGGTCCTGTACTTTTTTTGGTTGGTAAGGTATTAATTATTGCCTCAATTTCAGAGCCTGTTATTGACAATTCAGAGCCTCAAATTCAGAGCCTGAATAGACCAATGTCTATTCAGAGATTCAACTTCTTCCTGGTTTAGTCTTGGGAGGGTGTATGTGTCGAGGAATTTATCCATTTCTTCTAGATTTTCTAGTTTATTTGCATAGAGGTGTTTATAGTATTCTCTGATGGTAGTTTGTATTTCTGTGGGATCGGTGGTGATATCCCGTTTATCATTTTTTATTGCGTCTATTTGATTCTTCTCTCTTTTCTTCTTTATTAGTCTTGCTAGCAGTCTATCAATTTTGTTGATCTTTTCAAAAAACCAGCTCCTGGATTCACTGATTTTTTGAAGGGTTTTTTGTGTCTCTATTTCCTTCAGTTCTGTTCTCATCTTAGTTATTTCTTACCTTCTGCTAGCTTTTGAATGTGTTTGCTCTTGCTTCTCTAGTTCTTTTCATTGTGATGTTAGGGTGTCAATTTTAGATCTTTCCTGCTTTCTCTTGAGGGCATTTAGTGCTACAAATTTCCCTCTACACACTGCTTTGAATGTGTCCCAGAGATTCTGGTATGTTGTGTCTTTGTTCTCATTGGTTTCAAAGAACATCTTTATTTCTGCCTTCATTTCGTTATGTACCCAGTAGTCATTCAGGAGCAGGTTGTTCAGTTTCCATGTAGTTGAGCTGTTTTGAGTGAGTTTCTTAATCCTGAGTTCTAGTTTGATTGCACTGTGGTCTGAGAGACAATTTGTTATGATTTCCGTTCTTTTACATTTGCTGAGGAGTGCTTTACTTCCAACTATGTGGTCAATTTTGGAATACGTG
Organism: Homo sapiens; assembly: GCF_000001405.40. Lineage (NCBI taxonomy): Eukaryota > Metazoa > Chordata > Mammalia > Primates > Hominidae > Homo > Homo sapiens. The sequence continues at coordinate 51,671,515 of NC_000007.14, read as the reverse complement.
TTGTGTGGTGCTGAAAAGAATTGTATCCTTAAAATATGTATAATTACAATATGTATAATTGATATGTATGTATCAATTTTTAAAGTAAATAATTTTTCTATAAAAAAAGAATGTAAATTCTGTTGATTTGGGGTGGAGAGTTCTGTAGATGTCTATTAGGTCTGCTTGGTGCAGAGCTGAGTTCAATTCCTGGATATCCTTGTTAACTTTCTGTCTCGTTGATCTGTCTAATGTTGACAGTGGGGTGTTAAAGTCTCCCATTATTATTGTGTAGAGTCTAAGTCTCTTTGTAGGTCTCTCAGACTTGCTTTATGAATCTGGGTGCTCCTGTATTGGGTGCCTATATATTTAAGATAGTTAGCTCTTCTTGTTGAATTGGGGAAAAAAACAGAGCAGAAAAACTGAAAATTCTAAAAATCAGAGAGCCTCTCCTCCTCCAAAGGAATGCAACTCCTCACCAGCAACGGAACAAAGCTGGATGGAGAATTACTTTGACGAGTTGAGAGAAGAAGGCTTCAGACGATGAAACTACTCCGAGCTAAAGGAAGTTCGAACCCATGGCAAAGAAGTTAAAAACCTTGAAAAAAGATTAGACGAATGGCTAACTAGAATAACCAATGCAGAGAAGTCCTTAAAGGACCTGATGGAGCTGAAAACCACGGCACGAGAACTACGTGACGAATGCACAAGCCTCAGTAGCCGATTCAATCAACTGGAGGAAAGGGTATCAGTGATGGAAGATCAAATGAATGAAAGGAAGTGAGAAGAGAAGTTTAGAGAAAAAAGAATAAAAAGAAATGAACAAAGCCTCCAAGAAATATGGGACTATGTGAAAAGACCAAATCTACGTCTGATTGGTGTACCTGAAAGTGACGGGGAGAATGGAACCAAGTTGGAAAACATTCTGCAGGATATTATCCAGGAGAACTCCCCCAATCTAGCAAGGCAGGCCAACATTCAGATTCAGGAAATACAGAGAAAACCACAAAGATACTCCTCGAGAAGAGCAACTCCAGGACACATAATTGTCAGTTTCACCAAAGTTGAAATGAAGGAAAAAATGTTAAGGGCAGCCAGAGAGAAAGGTCGGGTTACCCACAAAGGGAAGCCCATCAGACTAACAGCTGATCTCTTGGCAGAAACTCTACAAGCCAGAAGAGAGTGGGGGCCAATATTCAACGTTCTTCAAGAAAATAATTTTCAACCCAGAATTTCATATCCAGCCAAACTAAGCTTCATAAGTGAAAGAGAAATAAAATACTTTACAGACAAGCAAATGCTGAGAGATTTTGTCACCACCAGGCCTGCCCTAAAAGAGCTCCTGAAGGAAGCACTAAACATGGAAAGGAACAACCAGTACCAGCCACTGCAAAAACATGCCAAATTGTAAAGACCATTGAGGCTAGGAAGAAACTGCATCAACAAACGAGCAAAATAACCAGCGAACATCATAATGACAGGATAAAATTCACACATAACAATATTAACCTTAAATGTAAATGGGCTAAATGCTCCAATTAAAAGACACAGACTGGCAAATTGGATAAAGAGTCAAGACCATCAGTGTGCTATATTCAGGAAACCCATCTCACGTGCAGAGACACACATAGGCTCAAAATAAAGGGGTGGAGGAAGATCTACCAAGCAAATGGAAAGCAAAAAAAAAGCAGGGGTTGCAATCCTAGTCTGTGATAAAACAGACTTTAAACCAACAAAGATCAAAAGAGACAAAGAAGGCCATTACATAATAGTAAATAAATTTTCATTCTATACCTATTTTGTTGAGAGTTTTTTTTATCATGCATGGTTGTTAAACTTTATCAAATTCTTTTTCCACATGTGTTGAGATGATCATGTGGCTTTCATCTTTTATTCTATTAATGTGGTACATCTTATTGATTTATTTGCATATATAAAACTAATCTTGCATCTCAGAGATAAATTCCACTTGGTCATGGGGTATAATCTTTTTGATGTGCTGTTGAATTCAGTTTGCTAGTATTTTCTTGATTGCTAGTATTTTCTTGATGATTGTTGCATCTATGTTTATCAGAGATATTGTCCTGCAGTTTTGTTTTTTTTTTTTTTTTGTGGTGCTTTTGTCCGACTTTGATATCAGGGTGATTCTGGCCTCATAAAATGAGCTTGGAAGCATTCCCTGTACTTTAATTTTCTGGAAGAGTTTAAGAAGGATTGGTATTACTTCTCCTTTGAATGTTTGGTAGAAGCCATATAGTCCTGGGCTTTTCCTTATTGGAAGGTTTTTAAATTACCCTGTCAATCTTCTTATTTGTTATTGATCTGTTCTGGTTTTCTATTGCCTCCCAATTCAATCTTGATAGGTTATGTGTTTCCAGGAATTTATCCATTACTCCTACATTATCCCATTTGTTGATATATAATAGTCATATAATAGGCCTTCTTTATGACCATTTTTATTTCTGAGGCATCTGTTGTAATATGTCCTCTTTTATTTCTGAATTTGTGCATTTGAGGAAAACATGATCTGAGTGGTTTTCTAGAAGGTAGCTAACAGCCAGTGGGCTTCTTTTCAGGCTTTGATGTGTTTTCACCCTGATTACCAAAGTGTGTTTCTTTGTGTCCTCAGTGCCTTATTTAGTGCTTGGCACATAGTTGGTGCTCAGTAAATAGCTCTGGAATGAATCAACAAATAAATGGATAAGTGACTGACTGACTGAATGAATAAACTTATGTTATACTTAAGTCTCTTATGTATCTTCTGAGATACTCAACATTAAAGAATTTCATGGACAAATGATTTTGAGATTATCCTTCATGCCATCTTAAGACAATGCACACTGGCATAATTGACAAATCAGAGAAGGTGACCCTGAGCCATTGCGACTCAACCAGTAGGCTACTGGAACCAAGACATAAAAATGCTACAATGTCTTAAGCACATTAAAGGGCAAACATGTGGGAACTGTTAGTGGCACATTCATAGGAAGTCCATGCTATTCTCCACATTGGTGTTAGTGCGCAGATGTAAATCACATCTCTTCCCTCCTCAAAATGTGTCCTTATCTCCCTAGAGCACATAGAAGTTCCAACCACCCATCTTCAAGTTAGTTTCAAGGCCTCTGCTTTCTGACCTAGCCTATGTATGAGGCATGGTACATGGAAGATCGGCTGTGCCATAGCTAAAGCAGCTAAGTTTCCTGGAACACATCTTACCCACTGATTGGCTCTCTGAAGATTCACTTTCAGGCTCCACAGCTAACTCAGAGCCCAGAGAGCCAATCAGAGGGTAAGGTGTGTTCATATTTGAAAGGTCTAGGTATGAAAGCATTAATTCATTTTTTTATTCACAGAGATAAGCAGTATATGTGTATAGTAGATACCTCATATGGTACATTAGATTGTATTTATGGTATTGGTAGGCAAGGAATATACATGTATACCCGTATATGTTTATGGTACATATGTATACATATATAGAGAGAGTATATTCTTACAAGACAGGATCTGTAATGAACATTCTTGCAACTTCGTGTTTATTCTCATTTTCAAGATTAGGCAGTTCTTTTTGACACTAGCAGGAACCCTAATAGATGCTATTTTAAAAGAAGCTGAAAACAGGAAAATCTGATTTGACCACACCATCATTTAATTCTTTTCCAGACAAAGGTTTTATTGATTTTAGTGTATGCAATGAATTGAACAATTCTAAGATTAAGGTGATAGTGAAAGCATTGAAGAAATATATTGTGAAGTGTCAGAACTTTGATCAATTTAAAACAAAAAGCTAAGCAATATAAAAAAACTGTAGTCAAATCAGTCAGGTTATAAGTTTCTTTCCCTCTGAGAGATAAGCCGGCCAAGAAAGAGTGTCCATTTTCTTTTTAGGAATTCAATTTTTAAATCAAAATATAAGTATTTTGGTTGTTTCCTGCAATAGTCTCTCTTTATGACCAACAACAGTAATATTGCCTGTATCAGAGGATAGACAATGAGAGAGTTGAAGGAAGTATTCTTTAAAAAATTATAAGAAAGGGCAGAGAGATAGTAAGAAGGAAGGAAGAAAAGAGAGAGAGAGATAGGCTTTCAGCAAACAGAAATTGCATTTTTTAAAGTCTCACTAAAATACTAAACAGTAACTCCAAGGAAATAAAGAATATGATGATACAAACAAGACAAAAGATTTTAAACAATGTAATACATCTTTGCTGTTAGATGTGGCTGTGTAAAAGATGTTCGTTTAAAAGAAAGTGAAGGAGAAGTAAATCTATTTTTATCGTTAAGATGTACTTATAATTATTTTAATTAATTGATTTGAATGACAGTTGTGGATAACGAATGAGCTACTGATGTCCAATTCCAAAATTGCAAGTAAGAAAAACATGGCTTATCAGTACTTTTTGAGAAAAGATATGAGTTTATCTGCTCTTCTTTTCTCATAAACCCTTCTGTCTTTGTGAAATATCTCTGGCTCCATCTTCAGAGAAATAATGTGTGTGCAGCCTGGAAAGAGAGACTGTGATCTGGGAAGGCACAGACCAGTTTATCAGCACGACTCAGCATACCGCCTCCCTTCTCCAGGACCAGACCACTTTCCTGGACTGCCAGGATGCCAGGATACAGCCTTTATTTCCTAACCACGGTTTTCAATGCTGAAATTATTCTTACAAGTCAATAGTAGATTTATTTTCAATATAAACGCACAAGCTATTTGGAAAGGAATCATATAGCGGGCATGTTGCTGGACAATTTGCAAGCCTCCAGAGTTTCCTGGAATGTTTCAGAAGGAAAAACAAACAGCAAGACAGGTTATGGGGGGTGGGGTGGATGGTGAGCTCCAACAGTTAATCTGTCTTTGAATGGTTGGTTATTAATCAGCTTTGCATGCCAAAAGCTAAATATTCAAGAATGCATTCCAATTCATAATTAGAAAGTTTAATTCTAGCCTTCTAACCAAATATTTGGTTCAGAGAAAGTACCCTCGTAAAGCACAGATTAACAACCTTGAGTGGCAGCCATGAGCTCAGTGCAGCTCACTTAGGAATCTCAGGTGTCAGTGTTCTGTGTCCTGTGCCACTTGAAGCAGATTGGCTGACACCTTGACAGCTTGCTGCATTCGACCAGTCCTGTAAAATACGTGGAGTTCTAGCCATAGGAATCAAGGCTTTTGCAGCAAGAGATAGGGTGTTGTTCAAGGTCAAGGAATAAAAGAGAATAAAAATGTAGATTTCCTTTTCCCCTCATGCAGCCAACATGAAAACAGTTTAAAACTGTTAAGCTCACAATTACAAGGAGAGTATGCTTTTAGCGGTACCTCGTATAACAGACCAGGAAATTTTTATAGGATATCTTTAAAAAGCCATCCCACAGTGATTCACCAGACACTTGGAGGCAATAATGAAAGTGCCTCAATGCCTTACAATTTCCAATAGCTGAAACTTAAATCCAAGAGAGTCAATACTTACATTATTTATGTTTTTCAATAAAAACTAATTAAAGATACTTAAATTTTTAGTGATGGTCCGAGAAATGTAATTGAGCAGGCTCAGATTTAGCAAGCCATTAATTGAGTTCTCGATAAGGATCTGAATGAAGAAGGAATCGATTTCTTATGAATTTCAGCTCTTTTGGCTCCGCTTTCTTCAAGCAGGAAAGGAAGGAAGCCTAAGATTCCATCTTCTCTCAGTCTTCTTGTCTCTCAGCCCCGGAGGGAAAGAATATTTAAAAGGCATTGTTAGAAACTCCCAGAAATGGTGCTTGAGATGAGATTTGTTTTTAATTTTTCAGCTGGATCATTATTTCTGGAGAATGTAAATAGTGGCAAATGCCAATCATTGAACTTGAAAAAAAAGGAAGAAATTAGCCACAAGACGTTTAAGTCACTTTTAACTCCAATTCATTCCCTAAAGCTGCCTGGAAAACACTCTAGTTCTATTTTGAAGATGTCTTTATGTTCACAAAAGGCCACTGCGCAGGCTTGCTGCTGGCTGCTGTGAAGGGAAATTCAAATTCTGGCAAACTGCTGCTTTCATCTGGTCCTTGAACAAAGAAGCTATTTTGAAATTCTGATGGCATCTTAGGGAAAACAAGACATACCCCAAAATTTCAAAAATAAATATAGCTTATTGCTTAACACTCTGCATGTAACAACTAATATCCCCAAGGAAAATGTAGAGTCTGGTAGCAGCACCACATTCTAGATTTAAGATGATACATCGATCAAATGCAGCATTTCTCCAGTGAACCTTCGTTTACTGGTACAGGAAACCATGCCATGACTCACAGCAGATTTCGCCAGACCTCGCCACTATGGGCAATAGTGGCACCTAACAATTCAATGCAACACTAAGGAATGGGGGGCAACCAATTAAATTTCACAGTAGCTGACTTCAGTTTTGCTTCACAGGATGTTTCCCCCAAGGAACATAGCTTCTCTTGCAGAAAATATGCCATCGGCTTCAGATCAACACTAGGATTTTTCCCTAATTGTCCATTTGTGCTCCTGCTCCACACACAATGCCCGCTGAAAACACATCATTGCCTTGATAACACTCTTGACTTCCTTGGCCCGTGAGAAATCACAGGTCCTCTCAACTCATGGGGCTCTCTGTGTCTTTTCTTTGGAAGAACACTATGACAGCTGGTGATATTCCTTCTACTGCCTTTGCGATTATTAGCATCATGCAAATAATGCTAAACTACACCCTCACCTGCTCACCTGCAATTCCATGTTAAACATCCATCTGCTCCACTGGAATGGAAGCATAAGGAGACAAGGGACAATGCACGTGAGGTTGGGTGTGTTTTCCAGAGAAGCCTAGCATGCATGCTGTAGGAAAACAAAAAATATTTCTTAAATTTATACAGAAGTAAATCTTAAAGTTCGGTTTTTCATGATTAGAATTGAATTTTTTTTTTTTTTGAGACAGGGTCTCACTCTATCACCCAGGCTGGAGTGCAGTGGTGCCATTTCGGCTCACTGCATCCTCTGCCTCCTGGGTTCAAACAATTCTCGTGCCTCAGCCTCCCGAATAGCTGGGATTACTGGCGTGCGCCACCACACCCAGCTAATTTTTGTATTTTTAGAAGAAACAGGATTTTGCCATGTTGACCAGGTAGTTTTTGGTGTCATAAATTCCCTCTATGTGGAAGTAAGCCCAGTTGTTCATGGTATTTACAATAAGAAACGTTGTTAAAGCACAGATTTAATCTCAGCCTCTGGGAAACGAAGCAAACCTTGTCAACAGCCGGTGTTCACATTTCAACAAGGTTTTGCTCCTCTGGTATAGGTCCTTACCTAATCATTACAACAAATGCAAAAATACAAACTAAATGATATTGGCAAGTTTGAAATTCTGATGGCATCTTAGGGAAAAGTCTAAAAATATGTCAAGGTTTTAGTTCAGTTTGTCTCAAGCGTAACTGGATGTGAAAGTCCACATCTTTAGTGTGTAACTGTTTGTAGCTCTTTTCTGAGATACACATATTTTGATTATTTTCCTCACTTTTGAAGGGCATGAAACATTACAGGCATGTAGTTGTAGTTTCACATGTATCTTGGAATACTATTTAGTCATAAAAAAAGAATGAACTCCTGTCATTCTTGGCAACATCGATGGAACTGGAGGACATTATATTAAGTGAAATAAGCCAGGAACAGAAAGTTAAACACTGTGTTCTCACTCATATGTGGAAGCTAAATTTAAAGCTGAATTCATAGAAGTAAAAAGCAGAACAGATAATGCTAGAGTCAGGGAAAGGCAGGGGGAAGAAGGAAAAATTAAAGGATATAAAACTACAGCTAGACAAGAGGAATAAGTCCTAGCATTCTGTACCACTGTAGAATGACTATTGTTAACAATAGCATATTATATAGTTTCAGATAGGAACAAGAAGGATATTTAATTTTCCCAACACAAAGAAATTATAAAGGTTTGAGATGAGGCATGTGCTAATTGCCCTGATGTGATCACTATATATTATATGTATTTTAACTTCATTATATACCCAATGAATATGTACAATATGTATCAATTTAAAATTAAAACAACTAAGAAATAAAAATACACTTAAAAATAGTAATAAACAAATGTTCATCAATAAATAAATAAATGTCATAGAGTGGCAACCTATGTATGCATATAAATAGATAAATACTATTAGGAGAAATTCCTTAAGGCTTATGAATACATATCCTATTAATTGAAGGAGACTTAGATAATTCTAATATTATCTGGTTGAATTACTTTAGGATTTGTCAACCATGGTGCTATTGACATTTTGGGCCAGGTAATTCTTTGTTATGGGGTCTCCCCTATTGTGTGATATTTAGCAGCCTCTCTGGCCAGTACCCACTAGATGCCAGTAGCACCACCCTAGTACTGACAACAATACATTTCTTCAGACATGGCCAAATAGGGTCAATGAAAGGGGTTTCAGCGAGGTGGCAAAATCACCCCACTTGATAACCACTGCTTTAGTGCTATCTTGAAGAAAAAAATGCCAGACAGACTATGTCATTGAAAACCTAGGCAGCACACTGTACTAAGCATCTTACAAGCTCTGCTACTGACGATACGTCGGTGCCATCCTACTCCAACTAGTCAACAAATCTTAAGATCAGTCCATGAAGAAGTTCTTCCAGAATACCCATTGTGAACGAAAGTAAGAAGATTGTAGTTTTAATCATGCATAATTAAGGCTTTTTACTGAACTGCACTGGAACTCCCCTGGTCACAATACTGCCACTCCACTTGCTGCCCTACATTCTGCACTTGATGGAAATAACTTTAGTTGATCCTCTCAAAAAGCTTGCAAGAAAGTAATGTAGATCCTTGTTTGTAAATGAGGAGAAAAAAAGGCTTGAGACTATTAGGGATTTGTCCCAGGTTGCACAGCCAGAGAGTGACAAGAGGGGCTTAGGATTCTGTCCTACCCGATTTCACATTGTGTGTTCCATCATTTTCATCCTAGGACCTCTGTTCATAAGCAGTTTGCTAAATTGAGATCATATCCATTGACAAGCGTCTTGAAATTAAGCTGAGAGGACAGTGGTGAAAGTCAGCGTCTTTTGCAGCCCTGCAGTGGCACCATCATTCCCCCAGCTCAGTTTGCTTCTCCCATTGCTGAGCTCTTGGCTCTGGTGACCTCCAGATCCCCGACCCTGTGCCACCCCATCACCCTGCCTGCAACCTGTGCCCTCAATCTCCCCTCCAAATTGTATCTCAGGAGAAACAGCACTGTAGAATAGATAAACCATTTTTCAGTTGAAACCCTGACGGTGCCATCAAGATGCAGGGGGACCTTGAGGTTTGATGCATCTTCTTTTCTCACAGGGCTCATGGCCAAATCTTCCTCTCCTAAAGGACACAAGCACTCTGTCTCCTAAGCACCAGAGATGCTCAGCCAGCAGAGACTTGGAAGATCATTTCCTTATGTAGGGAAGGATTTTCTCATGAACTTTATACCAAGTGGTGAATGGCTGCTACCTTATTTTCCCATTTGCCTTCTGTTATTTGATTTTGACATGGCGTCCTTACTTTAACTAACTTATTGCATTTCCACTGGGGACACTGCAGGTGGGCATTGTCGAGAAAGCTACTGAGAAATGGGGGTTGGGGGCTGCAAAGGAGCCTCCTTGGCAGCACCTCCGTGGCTGCTGTGTGTGCAGGCCCCGTGCCAGCTCTGGGTGCCTCAACCCTGCTGGCCGCCTGGGCTTTCTTCCTTTATGAACATTCAATCTCTTGTTTTCCATAAATTTGATCTATTGGCTGAAGAGCCAAGGAGGAATTTTCTTATTAGGGCACAATTTTCTTATTAGGGCACAATTAGGGGTCTTGCCTCTGTCTCCTAACGCAGCAGGGGTATAAAGGAAGGGGTCGGGCACTGCATCAAAGGCCAGTGCTGCCCTTGCCACCTTCAGGACAGTTGTTAGTCCTGCGAACTGGAACCTCACCTGGAAGGGATGACTGGGCCCCATCAACTCAAAGTCCTTTCTGGCTCTGAAACTCTGTCTGCAGCTCATCAGGCCCTGCTGATTGTGCCAATTGGAATAAGCAGCCTGACGTGATTTGTCTGGCTAATGATGTGATGTGGGATGGACAGAGAAATTGGGCCATGACGGGCTTGTTAATGACCATTAGCATATGCACCTGCAGCTGTGTACCTGCTTCTGCTGAGCGCAGACCCAGCTTGTGCTCCTCTCGCCATCACCTGAGCATCAAGGGCTGCTGGAATCACATAGGCATTTAGATTGCCGGAACAGGCTTCCTTCCCTCCTTACCCTTCCTTCTGAGTATCTTCTGCAAATCTGTCTTCTCACCCTATGGATGTTCTTCAGAGAGGATGGGCCCTTGCCTCCCTGAGTGGGTCCCTGGACCCACCATGGGCATTGCCCTGTTGGGGCGTGTTAGAGGCGCAGACTCTCAGGGCCCACCCCAGACACGTTGTATCAGATCCTCCGGTTGATTCCTGTGCAAGTTAAAGTTTGAGAAGTGCAATTCTAGACCAGGGGGCAAGCACATTGAGGTAGAGTGGGGCTGTCTGTCTCCAGAAGATTTTAGTGGTCTTAATACAGTTTAACTCCCAATGGAATTAGTTGCTATGGGTTGAAATATGCCTCTCTAAAAAAATTATAGGGTCAAGTCCTAACCCCCTCATTTGGAAACAGGGTTGCTGCAGATATCTTTAGTTAAGATGAGGTTATACTGAGCTAGAACGTATACAAAGGGGACATCTGGACACAGACACACACAGGAAGAATACATGTGAAGATGAAGCAGAGGTGAGGGCAATGGCTCCCCAAGCCAACCAACGCCAAAGACTGCCAGCGGCCGCAGGGGCTGGAGGTGAGCCTGGAGCAAACTCGCACTCACACTCAGTCTTCCACGTCTCGCCTCCAGAACTGAGAGACAATAAATATCTGTTGCTTGCACCACCCAGTTTGTGCTACTTTGTTATAGCATACTATTATAATCCCCTAACTGATATTAACTCCAAAATCTAAGATAGTCAAAACATAAAATTTTTCTTAGTGGTGCTGCATGCCATTAGCATCCAAGAGAAAATACAGGAATCCTCTCCCCAAAATTTTTTCAAGAGCTTTCTGGAAGGATGGTTTCTGACACCTATTGGGTCAGATGGCCTCCTCTGAGATGCTTCATCACTGTCTCCTATCCCATCCTGCGCCTTCTTGGAGGCTGAACACAAGCTCTGTTTGTATTTGCTCTGAGTTAGTCTACTTCTCATAAAAGCCCATTGCTGCCTAAGCAGGATGGAGTCTGGGGTGAAATGATACCGCAATAACAATGAAACATAAAGTTATAATTTCACAGCCCAGGGCAAGCTGGCAGAACCAGGTTATATAATATTAAAATAGTAAGCTCTATGTGTTTAAGAAACTCTTATATCACACCACCCAGGGGTGGATTTTTTTCCTCTCGTTGCTCTCACAGTGACTCAGGATCCTAATTTATTATTTATATGATTTGAAAGATGTCAGCTGTTTGCCATTTAAGAAACAATTGCAACATACAGCATTGTGTTGGAGACTTTAAATATATTTTAAAAAGTAATCCTTTAAACAAATCCCACAAATCTATTTCTATACCCATTTAAGACATGAGGAATTAAAGATCAATACAGATAAGTGAATTGTCTAGACTGCCAGAGTAAGTACTGAAATTTTTTTTCAGTTTTCCTTTCTATGCCTTGTATCAATAAGAACTGTCTGTCTTGCTTTTGTATGCTCAGGTCCTAGCACCATTCTTTGCCCACAGAAGCGCCCAATATAATAGTGGTTCATGGAAATCAATAGATAATGCTTAAAGAGCAAAATATCCTGCCTCTCCATGGCTTTTGAACCCTAAGAATATTAAACTTTCATGCAAGAATAAGAGGGAATCCATTAGCTATGTATGACCTTGGAGAAAAGTGAAACATCCGAGCCACCAGCAGCAGTAACAGCCTCAAAGGCTTTGGGTTTGGGTTGCTTTAGCAAGTGACAAGGAAAGCCTGTACAGGACAGGAATGGGGACATTTTGCAGACTCCGTGGCAGCTGGGCCCCCCACTGCAGAAGTCCGTCCCTTCCGTGGAGAGAGCTGGGAGGGTGCAAGAGTTAAGGGCACAAACTTCAGCATTACAGACCTCATTTCACTCCTGGCTCTGGCCAATATCTTTTTTTTTTTTTTTTTTTTTTTTTTTTTTTGAGACAGAGTCTCGCTCTGTCGCCCACGCTGGAGTGCAGTGGTGCTATCTCAGCTCACTACAACTGCTGCCTCCCAGGTTCAAGCTATTCTCCTGCCTCAGCCTCCCAAGTTCCTGGAACTACAGGCACGTGCTACCATGCCCGGCTAATTTTTTGTATTTTTAGTAGAGACGGGTTTCACTGTGTTAGCCAGGATAGTCTCGATCTCCTGACCTCGTGATCTGCCCGTCTGCCCAATATCTTAACTCTTCTGCATCTCAGTTTTCTCCTTTGTAAGATGAGGTTACAATGGTATCAGCATCTCAAAGTTCTTGTGAGGATCCAAGGAGGTACTCTTGTGTGTTTGCACGGAGCCTGACACACACATAAGCATTCGGGCAGGGCTGCTCCTCAGCATAAGTGGTTGAACCCTGCGCCGTCCGTGTCAGAGGACCTCAAGGCCCCCACTGTTAGCAGTCCCTGCTTGTCCAAGGCCCCCAGCAGGACTCCCTTGCCACTGTAGAGACCCTTGTGGAGATCCCAGGCTCTGAGAAATGGCCCTTCTACAGTTCCCTGCAAGCCCTGCACGCAGCACATACCTGCCTCTGATGCTTGAGAGCCCACTCCAGCCATTCCCTTTGGAAAGTACTTTAAAACTTTTGTGAGAAATCCAACCTTTGACTTGCTCAAGTGTATTGGTGATCATCCTTCGAGTGATCTCAGGGACCAGCCTCCCTAAGCACCCCAGTTTACTCAGTTCAGTTGCCTCTGCCACCTGCTTCATTAGGCCCTGCAAATGCCACAGGCTGTATTTACTGTTTTCTGCCTGTGATTTCAAATGGCCTAATAGTTGCCTTAAGATACGTTCTATAACTGAAAAGTGCAAAGAAAAAAATGACTGATTGCCATGAGTATTTCATAAATTATAAGTTCAATTTCTTGCAAGCATTCTCAGTCGTATTTGTTAGATATCAGGAAAACCATTTCTCTCTTTTCCTACTGGTCCTCAGGCTGAACCAGTGAGAGGACAGTGCCCACATCCGCTTGGCAGGAGCCATGGGAATGGTGCCCAGCAGGTGGAATCTGACCCTGAAGTCCTCATTTTTAGGAGCAATGGGCATTTAGTTTCTAAGAAAACCAGTGTAATGTGTGGCATTGTTCTTGGGAATAGATTTAAATCCAACCAAAAACGTAGGTGCACTTTTGAATCACTGTTTGGAGAAAATGGTGTGTTCACTTAGGTTCCTAAATCTTTGGATGTCCAAACACCCTTCCACACTGAAAGTAGATCAAGTGTTGCCTTCTTACAATATAACTCAATATTTGAAAACAAAACAAAAATTCCCTTCTCTAAAAGAGAGTTTCCATGTCAGGGTAGGATGTTCCTATTTATGCTTTGTAGTTATATTTTTTATGAAACTTGTTTCCCTAGCACAGGAAGATAAACTGTTGCGGCAGGAAGATACTACTTAAGTAAAATGGCAAAATGTAGCATGAATCAAAATCACCTTGAATGTTTGTGGCCTTTTATCATGGCATGCTCAAAAAACATTCTTCTGCATAGGATGTATTTAGGCTTGTCAGCAGAGAGATTTTGTAATATTAGATACTATTGGGTTTTCCATGTAGACAATAACTTCAGCGGTGCCAAAATTTACATCCTTTGGCTCAGTTCGATTTGATCTTCAAAGAGTCCTTATGTGAGACAACAGTGGCCCATAAAATCACATGTTCGTCTGGAAACATCAGTTACAACAGACAGCCCAGCTCCGCAATCAGCAAAGCCAGGTCCTGGCACCATACTTAGACCTCCCTTCTTCCATGGAAGGAGCTGCTTGGATGCTCCTGCACCATAACCTTAGCCTTGTTCAAAAAGCATTCTCTTCAGATAAACGCAGAACACAGGAGCTTCTGTCCTTGTGGAGTTTCGGGTGTGCCACCCTCCTGGCTCAAAGATGCATTCTTGTTCGCCACCCTCCTGGCTCAAAGATGCATTCTTGTTCACCAGCCAGAAGCTCTCCAAACCCCGTGGTTAAGGGATTTTGTGAAGGCTGCATGGCATAGGCACGATTGATGAAATCCATGGCCACTGGTGACTATGTCCATCTCCAGCCCCTCTCCCCTCCCTGAAGGTAGAGGGCAAGACTGACTGTTCCAATCATCTTATTATATGGTTTGTTCCCTGGAAACCAGCCTCCACTCTCTTCTTTTAATTTCTGTCCTTTCTGGTCATTAAGCAAGTTTAAAGCCTCCCCCACCCCTGTTTTACTGTCATGGCCAAATTTTCTTCCTTTTTTTCTCATTTTAATCCTCAGTATACTATAAGCTTTCTGATAGTTCCTTGTACTGATTCCAAGTTTTCTGCCTATTTTTTATTCTAAAATTCAAGCTTTTATAAAATTAATATAACACATGACCTAAAAGATGCATTCTCTATTGCTAAGCTTGCCAGGTTGGAGTCAGGCTACATGGCCTTACATGGGACCCAGAGTCTGGAGGCTGTGCTAACCCAGTGGGAGCAGTCACAGGGGACCCTGACTTCGGCTGAGCCCCAAGGCCAGAGAGACCAGGTGGAGGGCCTTGAACAGGCACTTACCCCAAGTCTCCCTTGACTAACCTTTAGAATCTATGAAATGATGCATATGAAATATGTAAATTACTTTTATGTATCATATAAAGTTACATAAAGTAATACACCTAAGGGATATTCAAGTGTGTGTAGTTATAAATATTATACCAGATATACCACTCCACAGGATGATGAATATTATCATTCCATGACTTAGGGGGAATGGCTGCAAATCAATGGAAATCTATAAAACACTGAAGACAAATGTTACATTTAGTCAGGTTTCTAAATTTGACTTTAAAATAATATTTATGTGAAATGCCTCACTACCTTTGAAAATCGTTGGTACTCACAAAGCATCCAAAAGGGGCCAGCTTAAAGCTTACAATTTTATAAGTTCCAGCTCCCGTGAGGGGCACGCCTTACAAATATGCTGAGTTCTCTGACCTAAATCCCAAACCAAGTCAGGTAATTAAGATGTAAACCTGCATTTCTATGCAATTGTTTGCAGATCTAGAGATTGATACCAATGATTAACATTTTGAAAGTAATAAGTTGGAGGATAAAGACATCTGTCAAGTTCTAGCAACCGTAAAGTGCTTTACCTGGGGACAGTAACTAATAAATGACAGGTTCAGTTTCTGTGCCTTCCTCCACCTGGACCTCGATGGTTGCCTCTTTTAAAATCAGCTCTCCCTCCCCTCAAAATAAAAAAAAATTAAAAAAATCAGTGAAAGAGATACAAGTCCAGTGAGAAATCTGATATTTAACAATTATTTTTCTTTAGCTTGTCTGCTTGCAACGAATTAACATATCAAATAAACTCACTGCTTTTTACCAAGTCTGTAAAACTACACACATAGGCACAACTTTCCATCAGATGGCATAAAACGTATGTAAGTGTGACGATCAAGAACTCACTATATGTAACCTTTGAGAGAGGCACAGCCCATCCTGAATAAAATGTCTCCCTCACCCTCAAGGGAACCCCCCATGCGGGCATGGCAGCTTCAGGGAAAGGTCACAATTGCTCTTCAGAGCTGAAAACTGGTGGGGCTAGAAAGCAATGACTGCCTTTTTAGCCTCGGTTCCTTGTGGGTGTGTGATCTCTTGGTTAAGAGCAAAGGCCCCCAGTGAGGCAGATTTAGATTCAAATCCCTTCTCTTCCAATCATTCTGTTTACTCATTTCTTAATTTTTGAGTCCCAGTCTCCTGCATTTGGTAAAATGCAGATAATATGAAATACCAATACCTAGTCACTAGGTTGTTGCGGGGCCTGAACCAGACTGTAAAACACCTGGAAAGTCACAAAATATGTCAATATACACAATCCTAACTAATATGTGATCTTAAAACTCATTTCACTGTGGACCCATCCCGTGGATTTCTCTCCTCTCTGCCCTGATTTCTCAGTAGAACTTTCTTTGTTCCTGCTAAGCATTTGGCCACCTTATGTCATTTTCATTGTGCCTCTCTGTTTCATACATGAGTCTTTTGCCTTTCCAATAAGACTTTAAGTGATTCTGAAGGTGTTCATGCGGTACTGGCAATAATAAACAACATTATGTTGTAGCATGAAAGGTTGGGCTGGTGATCCAATTCAAACTGCCTGCCTCTGTTGACGGACCACGTGCCTCCTCCCTCTGCTCCGGACACTCCTGCCACATAGGGGTTTTGGAGCTCCTTGAATCCACCTCACCATCAGAGCCGTTTCACAGGCAGTGTCTGCCCCACTGGTGTTTACTCTTGCTCTTGCTAATCCCCACTCACCTCCAGGTTTTAGAGTGGCATTGTCATACTCTCAGGTTTGACATCCCTTTCTAATATTCCCAGAGGACATTGAATTTCCCATTGATCCTGCCTGTTAGACCAATAATCACTGGTTTGCTGTCTATCTTAACCCACCCAGCCCTGCCTATGGCCAATGTGGGGGGAAAACAGATCATGTCTCTCTTGTTGACTGAGCTCTGAGGCCTTCATCCAGTGGCTGGCATGTGGGGCATCAATCATATTGGATGAAGGAGAGAACAATGAACAAATGAATCAAGTTTCACACATTCTGATGATGACTTTGAAACAAGCACTCAGGTTCCTGTTCTTCTCTGGTGTTTTTCCATCTTCAGAGGGGATACCCCTGAGGTCCCAACAGCACCTCGGATCAGGCATGTCTTTCTGAAAACTTCTTCTGAGCCATGCTGAGCCCCAGCTGCAACAGTACCATGGAAGGAGGCCATCTATGTGGCCAGAGAAGGTGAGAGGGTCAGCAAGCTCAGGATCAATGGTTCTGAGTAACGTCTGAGGGCACTCAGGAGAACATTGATGAAAGCAATGCTCTTGCTGCCTGCAGGCATCCAGAAATATCTATGAGTCCTTTATTTTCATGTTCCTATCACATGCAGAAAATAACGCTGTTGTCAATCAAACAGGTTATTGAGGAACCCTACAACCGGCACACAATCCTTTGTTACAAGTATCTGCAGGCAAGTAATCTCATTTTAACCCAAGATGTTTTTAAATACATGGAAGAGTTGGGCCAAGACCTAGGGATGACATGCACCATCAGCACAGACACACGTGGATCAGCACGCAGTGGGTCAGCGGTTGTATGAATTGGAAGGCCTCTTCATTCCTCAGCCCCAGCATTCTCATGCTCTCATCTGTAAACAAGATGTGTGTGTTGACTTAGGACATGGGGCAGGGGCTCCTAAAGGATAGCTAAGACTCTTTCCTAGTCCAATATTCAACAATTTGTTAATCATTCAATGAATAGAATCAGACTCAGTCAATGTAAGAAAACTGTCTGAGCCAATACACTTTTACTTTTCTGTTGTTTTATTTTGTGCACCAGAGATTGGTGGCCTGAAATGTGTCAAGGAAAACAATAATCAAGAAAACTACAAAACTCTTCCCAGTTGTAGAAATACAGATACTTGAATTCAACTATTTTTCACAGTTTCCTTGGAAATACATGCAGTCTTGTGATCTCCTTTAACCCCTGCAGGCAATTTTATTCTTAATTTTCAGTATGCTTTCCCAGGAGAGATTCAAAGCTACTTTGATCAAAGTTTTAAAATGCTGCTGCTACCAGTGAAAGGATTAAAATTATGAAATAAAGTCTGCATATTACCATACTGTATATGGTCCATGTATTACAATTCATATTTGAATAAGAAAATGTTCGAAGGCTTTCTTAGCATGATTAAGAAGAGGCGAGCAATAAAAAGCACTGTATAAAAACCAGCCTCATTTCATAAAGAAGATATTTTCTTGTAATGACTTTCTGATAAAATTAACTAATGCCTGGGCCAGTGCATTAAGAAATCAATTATCACCATGATTCTTTCTGACTAGGATAAGACTTTCCATGTGGCTTTGCCTATGGGAAGGTAATTCACTGGCTGAAAAATGTGGGAGCTATATTTTTTGTTTTATAATAATTAAAAATTTTTTTTTATTTCTTCACAAAAAATCAATGGTATTTTTTATTAAATTTAATCTTGCAAAGGAAAGAGGTAAAAAATCCTTTTATTATGAGACCCCAGTGGGCTAGGCTTCAATATTTCCTTGTGTGTTCTCAGCACCCTATGGTCAGCTTGGAAAGAATAATAAACAGCTTGATACCAAGCACCCCATTATGAGGCCTGCATATGCTGTTAGAGGCAGAAGCCAACAGACAGGGTTCAAGAGTATGTCTCCAATAACACCGCAGGCCAAGGTTAACCATCAAATTTACTCCAGAGTAGAAAAATCTGACAGCTCAATTTCACATCACAGCTCTTGAGGGAAATCTGATTGAATGATAAAAATAGTATCTATTTTTATTGTATGTGTATAATCAATATACCGTGCACTCTTCATAGTAGCCATGAAACCATTTTAAATATGAGGATATTGAGGTTCTGAGTGGTTACAACTAACCAGTTATGTGGTAATTAAGTCAAAGTTGAATCCCAGTCTCTATGCCCCTTTAATATCTTTCCGGACTAGGAAAACTGGGAGGCCTTTGACACATCATTAGTGGTTTGGAGAAACAATCTGGGCTCCTTATTCTACAGAGAAGCATCTCAAGTTATGTTTCTAAAAACATTAATGCGAGGATGACTCTGGAATGGTGTTGGCACCCAAGTCTGGAGATAAAGAGACTAAACACACATGCCATATAAAAAGGGCAGGAACAGGCTCAAAAAGAGAAGAGAGAACCAAGCATCAAATGCACCCAGGAAATAAAACCCACAGGAAACATTTAAGAAAATCTGGGGCCAATTGCTGCAAAGGAGCCTGAGAAGCCTCCTGCGGGACATTCTGGACCTCACCTGCCAGTCCAGGATGCTTTGGCCTGGCTCAGAATCCAAGCTGAGCAGCCAGAAGGACGCAACTGGTGCATAAGATCTTAAAAGCCAAACAGCAGCCAGCCATTGCTGTCATCTTCGAACATATGACCAGGGGGCCATGAACCCTCATAGGAGTTAGGTTACAGAGAAGGAGTAAGAACTAACAGTTCTAAACACCAATCAGTTGTTGAAACTGGTTTTACAATTGGTGAGCCCTTCATCTTCCTGAGTGAGGAAGTCTCTTCTTCCCTGAAGTCAAGAGCAATTACTAGCCGAACAGTCACGATTCTGTTCTAGGAGTAGGTAAGGCTTCATGTATAAAAAGTCCATTTTTCAAATTCTTTCATCAGAACCCCTACTAAGTTGCTCTCCTCAAACATTAAAAGAAAGAAGATTGAAACGTGGAATCCTTTGAGGTCAGAAGAGCCAACGATGAACAACTAGGTAAGAAACATTATTCTGGCCCAGTTCCCTTGAAACAAGAACTCTTACATTATTTCCCTTTAAACTGAAAATAATCCTTCCTTTTTTCTTCTTTTCCTTACAATGAAAGAAATAATATTCATTAGAGAAGAATTATGCAACATGGATAATCTAAAATAATGACAGAAATCCATAATTGTACCACTCTGATATAACAGTTGTACTTTATTTTTTTCTTTGTAAATCTTATTTCTGAAGGAGGTGTGTGTGTGTGTGTGTGTATGTGTGTGTGTGCACATGTGCTCAAAAGGATTATGAAGAGGAAGAGGATTTCCCTCTAGTGGAAAACTGGTGATGAGGCTTGAGGGAAATCCCACCGGGATTTTCCTGGTAGAAATTCCGTAGCAGGCATCTCATATTGGTGCTAGCCAATATTAAATTGTGTATTGTTGGCTATCATGCCATGTAACATTCCTCCACCACTTCCATTATTCCCCTACCTTCAGCAAAATCTTCTCTACACAGTGCCTTCTCTTGGTGATATTTTGTCCAGAAAGAAAGGTGGGGGAAGGCATTGCGATAAACTTTTTAGTTGCATTCAAGTGGAGGGAATTTAACAGTCACAGGAGCAGAGTTGCAGAGTGGAGAAGGAAAGTGCAGTAGAACAATCAAACAGACTTGGAAAGCTGGAGGCCCTCAAACAATCCTTCTTAGTTTGGGAAAAGAATCTGGACTGCTTACTCTACAAGAGAAGCATCTCAAGATAGATTTCTAAAAACATTAATGAGAGGATGACTCTGGAATGGTGTAGAATCCGGGGACACAAAAGTTGCTGAGAAATCTCAACTGCTCCCAAGCAGCCCAGTGTTGAGCCACCCCATTTCACAGAACACAGTTGAACAATCCAGCAACCAAAAGTAACTTAGTGTACTGTACACTTAGTGTACTGTAAGTGTTCATGCAGACTTTCAAAACAATGCCTAACAGACTGTAAATCTGGGCTGTAAACTTGAGAAAGTTAATTACCTTCTCTGAACCTCACTTTGTCCTTTGTAAGGTGGAGACAGCTATACTTCATTCACACTGTGATGGAGTATGTGAACTAACAATATAAGGGGAGTGTCTTAATCTATTTACGTTGCTATAAAGGAATACTTAAGCCTGGGTAATTTATAAAGAAAAGAGGTTTATTTGGCTCATAGTTCTGTAGGCTGCACAAGAAGCATGGCACCAACGTCAGCTTCTGATGAGGGCCTCAGGCTGCTTCCACTCATGATGGAGGCAAAGTAGAGCTGGCATGTGCAGAGATGACATGGCAAGGGAGGAAGCAAGAGAGAAAAGGGAGAGGGGTCAGCCTTTTTAACAACCAACCAGCTCTTACAGAAACTAATAGAGTGAGTACTCACTCATTGCCAGGAGGATGGCACAAAGCCATTCTTAAAGGATCATCCCCTACCACCCAAACACCTTCCATCAGGCCCCACCTTCAACAGTGTGGGTCAAAATTCCACATGAGATTTGGAAGGGGAAAAACATCCAAACTATATCAGGGAGCGAGAACAGTGCGTGGCACGTATTGGTGATTCACGAACATGAATTTCCATTCCTCCCATTGGTAGCACCTGTGCTGAGCTTTTTAATACCCATTTGGCTCCCACCAGTGTTCATATCATGGTCATTTCTCACATTGGAGTTTCCTGGTGTGAACTTTCAGGATTTATATCTCACCTCCTTTGGATCAGCTGCTCGGTGCCTTGCAAAAGGGTAATATCATAAGTTAATATGTTTGTTGGCAACAATATGCCCGTGAAAGAAAACTTGTCAGCCCCCTACTTGGACTATCAGTCTGTTTGCTTTCAAATGCCATGCTTTGGAAATATCTAGACAAGCTGGAACAAGCTGAAAGGAAATACAGCTGTAAGAGTTTTGCTGCATGTGAAATACAGCAGTAAGAGTTTTGCTGCATATGAAATAGCTGCAGAAATTGTGCTGAGGAGCTAAGAGAAGATTCAAATGACTATAATCCTCATCTCCAAGGGCCATAGCTTGAGACAGATTTGAGAGTATTTATGATCAGTAATTTTCCATAAGGATATAGTGACTGTGTTCTAAGAGTGCATTACTGACTCGCCAGAGGACAGTGGAAGCCCTTTCCTCAGCTGTGGGCCTAAGAGAACTATAGCTGCTGTCTCCCTGACATATAAAATCCAGGGGTTCTAAGAATCAGAGATATTTGGAATCAAGAACTGATGACCCATGAAACACCCGAGCAATGCCCAGAAATCTGTGGGGTTAACAGCATGAAAGTCTGTGGCATAAAGGAAACTGAGCTGCCTGCACCATTACCTACCTATTCCTTGACAGAAATCACAGTGATCTAAATATATCTTGTGCTGATTTTGATCAGAAGTATATCTGAATCATTTTTATTTGGTCTCCAAATGAGCAAAGACTAAAGCCAAAATTAAAGCCAAAACTCCTCTTAAGTAGAAGAAGAAAGGGTACCATTAGCTTGATCTATATTATCTCAGAGGCTAAAACTAGGACCACTGAGTATAAGGCATAGGAGAAAATATGTATGCTGAGTGTAAAAAGGAGCCAGAGAAGTGGAAATGTAGACTGAGTTATCTCAGCAAGCAGTGAGTTCTTCAGGGACATACTCAAGCAGAAACTGTGCGGCCACTTAGTGAGAATGTGGCAGACAACACATGATGACCTCACAGTCCTCAGCTAGATCTCCTTGAGACTTCCTTTTACATCTGAGAAGTTACAGAATTCTAACACAGCATCATAAAAAGGGGCCTCCGTGGAGGACACCTCCAAGCAGATAGCAAGGTAGGACCATAGAGTCACAGGTCAATGTTGTAGGGATCTTCAATCTGTCAAGGTCCTACTGTGCCCCTCAAACCACACTGCCACAAGATAGCAAGTTCTCTGGAATTTTACCTACTACTTCTGTCACCTGCGCATCATATATCAGACAGCCACAACTGATGTCTATGGTTAGGAAAGAGACTGACTCCCCAGATGACTTGGTCTAGGAATTTTTAGCCCGAAGGAGACACTTTGAAATGGGTGGGTCCAGACACCACCATGTGTGTCCTGTTGGGAAAAACATTCACTGTGGATTCCAATATGCTTCTTGTATTTATCTCGAGCTTGCAACTACTATGGAATAAGACAGAATGGGGTGTCTTGAAGAAAGGGCTGTGGAAGCCATGGAAGGGGCCAGGTTAGTCACTTATCAATTAAACTTACGAATAATAGTAATTTGCCACTCTTTCAGTGAACAAAATATAATGATCTAAGTCTTTCCTGCCTGTAAATTCTGCTCATTTTGGATTATTCTTCAGTGCATATCCTCAGCACATTCTAAAATGCCCACCATGCTCATTTGGGAGAATAAGACAAAGTTTTCCTATTTGCATCTGATTGAAATACTGTTGTTTGGTTTTTTATCACCAGTATTTTAAGAAATTTTAAGTTCAGCCCATGCTCCTGTATTGAAGAGGGACAGCAGGGCCTGTGATCCTCCTTAAACTGAGGTGCTCCTTGGGATGCCAGACCTACTGGGATAACTTAGAAACCCCTGACATGTAGCTTCAGTTCCAGGTCACCCACTTCCAAACAACTTCCCTCTGTGCTGCACAAGGATTTCAACAACCTCCAAATGCCAGAGGCAGATGTCGGAAGCTGCCAAAAGGAGCAAGCCAAGACAGCTATACTACAACTTCGTGTCTGCCTGTAGAGGTTCGCAGACAAGGCAGCACCCACTAAGCCCTGCTCCGCTAAGGCAGACAGCTTCTAGGAAACACAAAGCCATTTGTTACCTCGCGCGGTTTTTGCATAACTTGCTTATGAAATCTGGCGCGTGTCCAGTTCTTTGTCCTTGTTCTTACACAGCACAATGAATATATCATTCCATTAGCCCACAGCTTAGAGCCGATTTCACTATCATCATCCGTTTAGGGCTTAACAGTGTTTACCGAGGCTTTAGCAGAGTTCTTTGTGACATGCGGCAGAAGCCAGCCTAGCAACTGTAGCTAACAGGCTGGGAGCAAAGCCATGCCGATGCAAAATCAGTGGCTTACAGTATCTCAAGGCATTTGGCTGGTGTGCTTTGAAAAATCAAGAGGCTCTAACAAAAGAAAATAAACTGCTAGGGACCAAGACAGATAAAGGAAATAACAAGCAACATCCTGAGAAGCATTACAGTTTTTAGCAGCCTTGGATGAGGAGGAGGAGGAAGGAGGGGAACGAAGGTGATGTGGCCCATTTATCAGACCTCCCAGTGGGAGCTGATGTCAGGAGAGAGCATTAGCACTTGGTAATAGCCGCCCACAGACACTCGGTGTGATTCAGAGATGTCTGAGCAGGGGCTGGTGGATGCAACCAGATGTGCCCCACTGCCCACCTCTGTGGCTGTGAGACCACCTTCATCAGCACTGGGGCAAATGCCAAGCCCACTGCCTGCAGGGCCACACTGTCTTCCCTGGTCTTACCTACCCTCACCCAGGACCTTCGGCTACCCAGAGCTTTCGAGCTAACTAACTCCCCAATCCTTCTTACCAAACCCCATTTGTGAGCTAGGTTTCCAGAATGTTCACTCTCACTAGTGCCAGTTTAAATTGGTTTTCTTTTCCGATAGTTGCATTTTGGTGTTTGGTCACCCGATGGCCGATTGTAAGGGTACCTTCCATCTCAATGGCAATTTCAGACACAAACAAGCCTTTGTTTCGAGAAAGGGCTGGGCTATGGTTCTGTGCATGAAAATGTTAAAAGTATATGTTCCCATGAGTCATCTGAACACCCTGAATCCCATACTAATTTCATAGGAATCTTCTAGAAAATCATACTTCATTAGCTTCTTCAGGTTTTTTGGTTGTTAACATTTTTGGTTTTCTTTGTCTTTGTTCCTATCTTACCCAATTCTTAAGAGAACAACTACGGCCGGGCGCGGTGGCTCACGCCTGTAATCCCAGCACTTTGGGAGGCCGAGGCGGGTGGATCATGAGGTCAGGAGATCGAGACCATCCTGGCTAACAAGGTGAAACCCCGTCTCTACTAAAAATACAAAAAATTAGCCGGGCGCGGTGGCGGGCGCCTGTAGTCCCAGCTACTCGGGAGGCTGAGGCAGGAGAATGGCGTGAACCCGGGAAGCGGAGCTTGCAGTGAGCCGAGGTTGCGCCACTGCAGTCCGCAGTCCGGCCTGGGTGACAGAGCGAGACTCCGTCTCAAAAAAAAAAAAAAAAGAGAGAACAACTACATCTTAGGAGTCAAGGAAAGTCCAGTTTCCACTTTGTGCCTCGTATCCTGATTATGTTTGGTTCTCAAAATCCTCCCGGGAAGATGATTTTCTGTTAAAGGTGGCTGATAGGAGTCAAGGGCCGTGCAAAGACAGTTTAGACGTGGCTTTCTACGTTTCACTCAAATCCCTTGAGGGCTCTCTACTGATGCATCCCAGGAAAGAGAGAAAGTTCTGCGGGGAGGCTCGTAGATGGTCCCTAAGCTCTCAGGTCTCTTGCATATTGGGCCAGGTTAAGCTTCGCAGGAAGCTTCGCAGGAACGGGGTCGTCACCATGTTACAGACGTTTTTCATTCCTTGGAGACGCCTTATGATCTCTCCACCTGTTTCCTTAATACAATTTATGTTTTTCTTTTCTCATCATGAAAATTGAAATAGTAATAGAAACTAGAGCTCGCATTGCTGATTGACCTCTCTCAATTTGCCCACCGCCCCGAGAGACCATGGCCAGACATAGAGCTGTTAGGAGTGAACTCGCACACGTGTGTTCCCGCCCTGGGCTCCCATTACAGCTGCAGCATGTCCACAGGGCGATGAGTGAGAACACATTCACCTGCACCTGCCTGTCTCCCCTCCCATCCTCTGTCTCTCATTTCCCATTGCTGATCTTACTGATCCGCCGTTCTTCCTCCTGCTCCAGGTTTCCAGGCTCCCTGGGCCCCTACGCCCACCGCCAGCCCATCTTCAGAGGAGTTTCTGTTACAGTCTCACAGAAATCTAATCCTGAGTGGCCAGATTTAGCCCTGTCACTATGAAGGTGGAAAACCCCTTGGAGACATGGGGGAAGAGAATTTGATCCAGCGCTTGACTGCAGGCTGGTGGGGCCCGCGGGGCCAGGACGGTGGCACACTGCCACCTAAGGGAGGGACACCCAAGGAACAGGATCCTGCGGGACAAGTCAACTCCTGCTGCTTCTCACCTGCCTCCTCCTGTGTGACAGAATCACCTGGGGAGAAACGCCACCCCTGGAGATTGAGGAGCACAGGGCAAAGCCCCCAGACATTTAGGATTCAGGTTCTTATCCAGGCTTCAATAGGAGAAGAGGGGCTAGGCAGATTTTTGTACCAACATAAATCAACGTGCACAAGAGAGAGCGGGGCGCAGGCTTCCTGGCTACTTCTGGCTGACCCGGGGAGAAGGGGCTGCTGCATTCCCGAGTTTCCTCATGTGGGAATGTGGAGAGCACCATCGCACAAAGCATTCCTTGGGTTAATGCATGAATAGCACTCGGCCCGGAGTCTGACTCACAGCAAGCACTCAGTAAACAAAGGCAATTAAAATTATCTACGGCTTGATGTTCATCTGAAGTGTCTGGAAGTCTTAGAAGGGGGCCTTATATAAGGGATAAATGCACAAGGCTGCAGAGTGATAAATGAAGCCACTTAGCTGCTTTAAACCTTGAGACACCAGACATACATCAGCAGAGATCATCTGGACACCCCCCAACGCTGCGTGCACATCAGGAGATGCAACTGCATTTGTCCCAGCCTGAGAGAGCCTGAGCAGGGTGGGGCTGGCACCTGCTTTGCCCACTTAGAGGGCACAAGCTCCATAGCAAAAATCCTCATGCAGAAACCTGAGAGCGGCGATCCACCTTCAAAGCAGGGTCCCAGAATAGGGAGCAATGTGTTCCCTGGTGAATCTGGCCCAGCAAGATTCAATACACCAAGGTACAGTAAGCAGGCAGTCATTGCATGCAAATGTCTACAGCAGAGCAGAGCTATTCAGAAACCTTGAGCAGGCTGCAGTCCCAGGCAGGTGCGCTCACCTTGCAAAGAAAATGGAAAGATTACTGGAAAATGAAATGGGGAGATCAAAGCCCAGGTCAGGAACTAACACCCTGCAGCGAAGATGACCAGGAACCTCTCAATCTGTGCAGGGGAAATGGGTGCAGTGGAGGCCGTGTAGGAGCTGGGCTCTGCACCATTGGGGGACTGTGGCTTCTAACAGAAAGTGGGGTAGCACTGCCATTAGGGATTGAACTGTGGGCCCTAAAAACTCATATGTTAAAGTCCTAAGCCCCTGTATCAGAATATGACCGTATTTGGAAATAAGGTGACTGAAAATATAATTAGTTGAGATGAGGTCTTACTGAACTAGGGTGGCCGCATTCTGATATGACTGATGTCCCTATAAAGAGAGCAAGCTCAGAGACAGACACATACTCAGGGAGAAGGGCATGTGTAGATTGTAGTGATGCTATCACAAGCCAAGGAATAACCAGGAGCCAGGAAAGAGGCCTGAAGCAGCTCCTTCCTGGCACCTTCAGAGCACATGGCCCTGGGCACACCTTGATGGCAGGCCTCCAGCTCCCAGAACTGCTCAACAATATGTTCCTGTTGTTCAGGCCACTCAATCTGTGACACTTTGTTATGGCAGCCTAAGAAGACTAACACAACTTCCCAGATGGGCTTAGGGACAGGAGCCAGATGAGAGGAGGGTGGGTGAGGCCGGTGTGGACGCAGTGGGAGGGCTGGGAGAAGGTTACCCCACTGTGGAACACAACACCTAAAATCCAGAGTCATGAAACAGCAACACCGGTCTTGTTCATGAATCTGCATTTTGGGCAGGACTTTGATCCTGGAGCCCCTGAGCCAGGCACAGGCAGGGCATCCCTGCTCCGCTCATTGTCACTGGTGTGGCGGAGGGCTGAGGTGGAAGTGCCTGAAGATGCCCCGCTTGCCCACGAGGCTCCTGCAGGCCACAGCCATGGCCAACTCAGCGGGGCTGGCAGTGGGAATGTCCACTGGGGCTGTTCATGTGGCCTCTGCTTAATCACAACATGGCAGCCAGATTCCAGGGTGAGGAAACCAGAAGAGAGTGAGAGACAGAGAGAATAGGACAGAGAGAGAGAGAGACAGGACAGAAACAGAGGGACAGAAATGGAGGGAGACAGAGACAGAGAGAAACAGAGGGAGACAGAGAGACAGAGGGAAACAGAGAGAAAGATAAAGAGAGACAGAGAGAGAGTAGGACAGAGAGAAACAAGAGAAAGAGAAAGACAGGCAAAGAGAGAGACAGAACAGAGAAAAAGAGAGAGGCAGAGACTGAGACAGAGCGAGCCAGGAGAAACTGTACCCTATTATGACCTGGCCTCAGTGGTCACTCAGCATCCCTCCATCACACTCATTGGTTAAAGTGTCACTAGCCCACCCAGGTTCGAGAAAAAATAGACTCAATTTACTGATGGGGAGGGGCAAGCTTCTGGAGGAGCATGTGGAACCAGAACTACTGCCATGGCTATTTTTTTAAAACACCATTTGCCACAGCCTGCCCTCTGGCTTCTATAGAGAGTCACATTAATGCATTAATACGTAAAGAAATTTTTAAGTGGTGAATTGATACTGGAAGTATTCAGTGCAAAGGTTACAGAAAAAGTAATTTGCTCTCTTAATAACAGGATAAATGAAAAAATTAACTTTATTTAGCAAAGACAAAAAGACACTGCCACAGTTCTCTTTCGGGCACTTTTTCCATGAACAATCAGTTCTCATCGTCTATAAGTGTATTCAGCATTGTACTTTATTCATGCTAAATCTTACTTCCAACTCCCTTTTCTATATTATCTCATATTTAAAAAAGTCCTTCCTCGGTCAAATACTCAATAGAATAAATGCAATTGGCTGTCAAGATGATTTGGTCAATCTGGATAAATTTCCTTCTAAATTATATTAAGAATGGAGGCTCCTATAAAGTCGTGGGTATACAACATTTAATTTTATAATGGCGGCATATTAAAAGTATTCAAATTCAGTGAACTGATTCTGCTTATTATTACCCTAAATTATATCCTCTGGTTCAGCAAGAGATTAAAGAAGATTTTAGTTTCTCTTCTTGTAGTCCAAGACATATAGTAATGAGCTCACATCAATTCCACTCCTTCACCTGCTTTCTCCACCCCTGGCTTTCCAGGGACAAATCAGCCAGTGAGCAAAAAGTTTAAGGGCAGCAAGGACAGAATGTTTTTATTTTATTTTCCATAGGTGCTTCATGGTACAGAATAAAAATTATATGTAAGCCTATATAGTAGAAAGTAAATCTTGCTTTTTTTTTGAGCCCCAGCACATCCTCCTCCCAGAGGCAAATAATGTTAATAATAATATGTACATATATAATCTTATTGACATAAATGCGAACACGTTTTACCCACTGAGCTGCTGCTCCATGTTCATTATTTTGACAATAAATCTCAGAGACTCTTTCCCATCAGCTCCTAGAAGGCTGCGATATTGATTGTGATGGCTGTCTGGCGTTACACTGGATGACAACCCTCCATGACACAGCCAGTGCCCTATGGTGGGCGTTTGGGCAGTTCCCATTCCTTGGGTTTTTGTCAGTCACACAGGACAGCTCTTCCTTGTCTGGGAGCCATCAGTCTGAGTGGTGGTGTTCTCCCGATTTATCAGTGGACCTTGTTGAACAAAGGGGCAAGAGGCAGAATCTGGAAAGCACTTCTGCTCCCCCTGAAAGGGTTGTCCTTGGGGTGGCTTCACCACCTCATCCAGGTCGTAGGATGTATGCATGTTCTTGCAATTGAACTGTGCAGGGGCAGGAGGAAATGCTGGAGAAAATCACCACGGCCACCACTTTACAGGGTCCACTGGACTCTTAGGATTCTAACAGCCCAGCAGAGATTTCACACTGTTCAGCATGAGCGACACTGACTTTCAAACACATCTTAGTGGAGGAGGCATTGTCCACCTCTGTGTTACCCTACATTGGCGGTGTGGCACACCATTGCTCAGGCCATTAGGGTCTTGTCATCTGAGCTGATTCAGTCTCCACAGATGCTTGCCACGAGTGCTGCGGCCAGGGCCTTTTTTCCCATCTCTTCCCTTTGCCTCTATAGAGAAAGGGTCTAGACTCACACAGAATTACAGGCTCCATGAGAGTGTGCCTCAGGTTCCTCTGCTAGAAAGGATGGGGTGAGGGAAGGTCAACTTCACCTTCCTGATATAGCTCTTGGTGTGAGGCTGGACTACAGTCCTGAAGCCTGCAGTGTCTATGGGGAAGGGTCAGGCTTACCGCAAGGAGTGTAATGACTGGTCAGTAAGTGTTCTGTGACGCCAGGAACCTGCCCTACCTGCTCAAGCCTATAATGATAAAAGGGGAGAAAAGAGACAGGGGAGCCCACCTGACATAGCCCTCTTTTGCATCATTCTGAAGTGGGCCTTGCCAAACTTGTCCCCACCTGGCCATATTCCTTGGCAGATGGCTCAGAGCAACATGAAGTGTCTGGAGATTTCTCCACTTCCTCCCTGGTTCCATGGAGCAGATCATGGATTCAGACGTCAAGATCACATTTGTGGTCACCAAACTCTAAACTGTTTTGCAAACCGGAGCTCTGCAAGCCATATTGAGCTCACACAAGCCTTTGGTTTGTTGGAACATAGAATTTAAAAGTATACATTTGCATCTGTAGCCTGTCATGCCCTCTCAATTCACATGAGTCCCACAGTCCCAGTGAATCTACAACAGGTGCTTCCTATAAATGTGCCGCCGCCTGGCCCCTATGTCTGCAGTTAGGATGGGATTGTCTCCTCCTCCTCTCTGTTTCTCAGGGCTCATCGGGAAGGTGGAAGCTTCAGCCTGCATCCTGGAATGAACTGAGCTGGGAGCTCAAGCAGACCTCCATGCACGCGGTGGCCTTGGTAAGTTATGTAAGAAAAGGAAATGCTGATATCCTGCATTATCAAGTAGAGATAATAGCTCTTATCTCCCAAGGCTATCATGAGATTCAGAATGTTCGGGGTAAAGGGCCTGGTTCCAAGGCTGGTGCGACGGGAAACGGTCAATAAATACCTTAGTGCTCTTCCTGCATCTTCACCCTGAGCAACTGTCAAAATGCTTCAAATTGAACATTTTGTGTTCTACTCTCTCCTCAGATAGCATAAAAGCCTCGCTCCCTCCAAGTAAAACTATTAGTCAGGCAACTTGATACAAGCCTATGTTCTCAGCATAAAGAAGTGTGATTGAAGTCAAGAAAGACACAAAAGCCAAAAATTCAGCCCTGAGTGCTTCTTGCTTCCAACTCAGAGACAAAACACCTTCTGACATATTATTGCTTAGACTGCAGGAAGCAGTGAGTGGCTGCTGACATTTCCAAGGGCCGGTAAACATTTTTCTAAGGTGCCTGGCCATGCGGAAACATTTTTTTTTGTTTGTTTGATAGAAAGCACTGAAGTTCCTCTGGGTTTTATGGAGAACTCAGTGTTGCCTGTATAGGTTCCATGAGCTCCCATCGAAAGGCTGCTTATACTAAAAATGAGCGAATGCCAATTTCCCAGAAACCCAGCTAGATACGGGGATTTTGAGATTCTTATTGGAGGACCCCGATAGGCAGATTCATTAAGTTTGGATTTATGGGTTGTATTTGATTTCCTATTCCTGCCAGGGAGCTTCCTTTCTAAGTTAGGTTTTACCTATTTTTAGGAGGATACGCAGAATCATTGTGATGCAGAATTAGAGCTTCAGAGACTGCATCGTCCCTAAAGCTGGGAAAGGGGTTGTTAGAAATGGGACACTGGCACCTGTCACCTTGCAGGGACGGGCATCTGTCATACTGAGAGGTGGTGTGCGAACAGTGTCTCCATGGCTTCATGACTCACTGCCTGGTTCCCTGTGCTTCAGGGGGTCACAGAGCATTATGAGAGAGGGAGAAAGGAGGACCAACTCCTAGCTGCCGCCCCTTCTTCCAAAGTCCATATCACACGTTTTCTCCACTTCTGCCCTTTCCTTTTCTCACTTAAATTATATTTTCCTCAGCAGCAACGATTTGCAGCTTGTAACTCAAATTCCCAAGGAGGCACCTCATGTAAATGCACGGCTCTTCTGTATGAGTAATTCTCTAATAATCCTATTTTGAGCAGCTTCTCTTAGAATAGCGCCATTCAGTGGAGACACGGTGTGAGTCACACGTAACATTCCAGGAGCCACATTCTAAAAATTTAAAAGGAACTGGTCAAATTAATTTTCATCGTAAATTTTTAGGCAAGTTTGTCCAAAATGTTATTATTTCAACCTATGATAAAGATGAAAAAGAGTAGTGATCTTTTTTCAACTAAATCTAAATCCAGTGTGTACTTTATGCTTACAGCAAATCTCAATTCAGACTGGCCACATTTCAAGTGCTCAGGACCCATCTGCGGCTGGTGGCTACCATATTGGGCAGGCAGTCCTAGGAGACACAGTTGCCAGGGGTGGGAAGGAGCCACCACGGGTAAGGGTGAGCACGACGAGGATCCCACTCCCCAAGAGCTGCACCCTTGTTGGGTAGCAAGATGTAGCAAGAACACAGCAGAACGGTTAAGAACAGCAGCTTCTGCATCAGAAAAACCTGGATTTGATAGATTAGCTACGCAACCTTGTACCAGTTGTTTAACATCACTAAGCCTCATGTGATCACACACATTGAAGAAGATCAGTAATAGTATCTTCTCTTGAAATTGTTTAAGGATTGAATAAGTTGACACTTTCATGTGCTCAGCCTTCCGGGGGTACCTATTCTTAAATTGGAAGTTGTCTTCACTTCTGCACCAATCTCTGGCATCTGAGGATCCTACCTTCCTTTCCTTGTCTTTCTAAGAGACTTGGGTATGTCCTGGAGAGGAGAGCTGGCCCTAGCTCCTAATAGTGGGAAAATATTGAACAGGAAGCGGCACCAAGCCTCATGGAGACCCTCAGAGGACATGGGCAGTCCTCACCTCTACTTTCCCCCAGTTCCTAGAAATGCTCATTTCTATGAGCATATTTATAATATTGTTCTGTACCTGGATAGTTACATGAAGGTTTCCCCATGGACTTCTTAAGCGAAAATATTAAGTCTTATTATTTTTAAATGCCTCTTCTCCTGGCTCCTGGATAGTTACGTGAAGATTTCCCCATGGACTTCTTAAGGGTAAATATTAAGTCTTACTATTTTTAAATGTCTCTTCTCCTGGCTCTGATTCTTCGGAATTGAGCTAACTAGAAACCAGCCATGCTGTGCAGACTCTGCTCTGGGAACCCCCTTTCCCGTGCCTGGCCGCACCAACGCGGAACAGGCTGCTGTCACACAGCTCCTCCTCCAGGGGAGGGAGAAATCAGAGGAGGAGAGAAGCTCCAGGGCATCTGGGTTGAGGAGAAGGGTTGGGGCCTGCTGAGGATGGGGCAGCTGGAACTGCCAGGGTAAGGAGAGGACAGGTAGGTGAGGACCTGGCACTGGCTGGAAGGAAATGAGTGGACAGGACCTCTAGAGTTTCTGGTCTCTCACCTCCTCCTTCCACCTTCTCCTCCTGCCCCGTCTGCTCCTCCAGCCCCATGCCATGCCAACTCTGCAGGCACTTTGCCCTCTTGTGATGATTTTTCATACCTGGCTTCCCTTTACAACTCATACATTTCATGATGTTTCTGAAAATACGTCCATGGCCAATCTGCAGGAGCATCAACTGGGGGCTTCATAAAATGAAAATCCATGGTACCCACTGGCATCATGCCACAGTAGCACTGGTGGGATTAAGGAAGGATGCCAGGGCACTGGTTTACACTTCCCTCAGCAGCAGCTCCAGAGTCACCTGGGAGCTTGTGGAGAATGCTCGTTCTCAGGCCCCAGCTCAAGACCAACAGAATCCAAAGGCCTGAATGGAGCCCCGCAAGCTGCTTTAACCAGCCCTCCAGGCGATGCCCATGCAGGCAAAAGTTTGAGCCCTGCTGCATTAGAAGATGTCAATATACTTCAATGGCAAAGGATGTGGACATTTATCATGGTGATGCTATAAAGCAGGAGGTATTATGGCATGCTCTCAGAGATACTACAGCTTTCCTGATGACCCCAAGTTATCCATGAAGCCATGAGGGGTAGGATCCCCTGGTTCTAAGAAGCGGCCTTTATCCTCTTCACCATGGCTTCCCCTTCTATCTCTTTTCCTCTCTGACTCCTCTGGAGACTTTGCCTCTAATCCCCCATCCTTTTCCAGATATTCGTATCAGCCCAGGTGCTGGACCTGAATCCCCAGGAGTAAAAAGTGGCAATCTACATTCATGCCAGGTCCCCAGATTATTCTTCTTTCATGTAAAAAACGTGACAGTTCCACACTGCACGGTGCTCTCTCCTAGGCTACGATGGGCACGGGGACTCCAGTGCCCAGCTCCCACTTCCCCCAGGCCTGGTCTCCTCCCTGCCTAAGCTCCAACCCCAGCAACCTTGTTCCTTTACAGCTGTTGCTGTTGGTCAATAAAAGTGCCACACAGAGATTCTATATGAAGCCAACGAGGAGAATGTTAGTGGCAAAAGTGTTGTTCTTTTTTTTCCTCTTTCAAAGAGTTCCTGTCTATTGTTCTGCTCTCTCCTGGGATGCATGCTGTTCTCTCTCTATAAGGCCTTTTCCTTGATCTGCAGCAGTGTTTCTCAACTGCACACACCAGAGTCACCTGGAGAGTGTGTAAAAAATGCAAATAGCTGCAGATGACTGACCATGCTGCCAGGGTTTCTGATTCTGGGAAGCCCCATTATTTGCATTTCTACTAAATTCCCAGGTAATGCTGATGCTGCCGTTCCATGCACCACGCTTCAACAACTGGCGATAGTGCTCAGTCGCATGGTGGAATCATCTGTGAAGTTAAAAAAAAAAAAAAAAATGATGGTAGTCCCAGCTACTCAAGAGGCTGAGGCAGGAGCATCACTTGAGCCTAAGAATTCAAGGCTGCAGTGAGCTATGATCATGCCTGTGACTATCCACTGAACTTCAGCCTGGGTGACATAGTGAGCCCACGTTTTTTTAAAAAGTGGGGGACCATGTCAACCTACCTAAGACCAATTAAATCAGAATTCCAGGACTGGACCTAGCCTATGCATTGATATTTTTTAAAGCAACTCAGAAGATTCTAATATGCAACCAGTGTTGAGACTATCAAAAACCCAATCAGTAGCAAGAGACTCAGCTAGCTGTTAGCCCACAAAATGCGCATGGAGAGTCTCCCATCTTCATAGGCTTGCAGGTTTCATTGTTATTCTTGGTGCACTGGGAAAGGGGCCCTGGAGAGTGTGAAGAGCTGAGAGGGGTCAGGGGAGTCTGACCAGGGGATGCGGGTTTCTGGCTCCTCCTCTCCTCTGCACAGCCAGACCAGCGGAATGAGGAGCCTGTCCTCTCCTTTCCCCTTCCCATGTAGCTTCCCTCAGCTAGGGATACCTCCCCTTGCTCTCACCCAGGCTGCTTCCCCTCCACTGAGAGGTGCAGGCACCAGGAGGAAGGGAGTAGGCTGCAGAAGACCCATGGGGTGTCCTGAAATGGCCTTTGCAAAAATTATAGCAGTGAGAAAATTATGGCAGTGGGAGAGATCTGATCTAACAACCCCACTCTTGCTTTAGCTTTCAAGCTGCCCTTATATATTCCTGGGCTTAAGCCAAGCTAACTTTGGGAGACATTTAGTTTACAGTTTAAATGATAATATCCCTTCCCCAAAACTCAACTGCGTTTGTAAAGCTAGCGAGAGACCACGAGGCTAGAAGGGTGAAGAACCTGAATCCTGCTAAGATGTAGACATAAATAGTCGTCAGCCATTATTCTGGAGGCCACAAGATATGCAACTTCCCCAATTATGCCCGCCGATAACATCACTATTGTAGAACCTGAGATTGGCCTTCTGCAATATCTTTCCAGGTGTTTTGCATGTCTAACAACCAATGGCTCCACGTGGACCTGCCAGTGCTCCTGCAACCCCATCCAGAAGTGACTCAGCTCACAGGACAATTTCCCACACCTTTATGATTGCACCCCAACCAA
Organism: Homo sapiens; assembly: GCF_000001405.40. Taxonomy (NCBI): domain Eukaryota; kingdom Metazoa; phylum Chordata; class Mammalia; order Primates; family Hominidae; genus Homo; species Homo sapiens. Next base: position 51,635,963 of record NC_000007.14, on the reverse strand, counting down.
TCAGCAGCAAGCACCCACTGCTTAGCCTCCCCCATCATTTCCCCCAAACTATCTTTGAAAAATCCCTAACCTATGAGCCTTTGATAAGATTGATTTGAGTAATAACTCCGTCTTACACGTGGCATGGCTGGCCTCATATCAATTAAACTCTTTTTTTCCTGCAATGCTATAGTATTGATTTTCTTTGTACAGCAGGAAGGAAGAACCCACCAGGTGGTTACAGTCTCAGACAGTTCCCAGACCTCAGACAATACAAGTGGAGGAGAGAGAGAAGAAAGCTGACAAGCCCCAGCAGCCCACAGGAAGGGGATTTAACAAGAGGAGGGGATTGCCTTAAAGGGAAGGATTGAAATATCTGTTCCACTTCTGTTCACTCTGCTCTGAGTCCTGGTTAGAGAAACAAGATCACTATCTATAGTATATGTCTATAAATTGGACAAAGATAAGTCAGAGGCAGCTTGTACTTTGAACTTTTTGAACTTGTATCTTCTTATACCTCTTCTTTTTTATCTCAAGTCTGATTATTTTTTATGAGGTTTTTGGGAAAATTTACATTTGTGAGTAGACACTGATGTGTCAGTGTCCGTTTCCTGCATCTTTTGAGGTCTGAAATTTAACAGGACATATAAATGTAATCATGATTAAAATAATAACATTAGCTTTATTGTTGATAGCCAGTGCGTTTTGGTGATAAATTTCTGCAGTAAACAAATTTCATGGAATATTGTGGAATTCTTCCAGAATTTGGGGGAATATGTGAAAAAGCAGAACAGTACTCTTTCTGTGGTCCTATTGTAAGAATCACAATTTGGCCAAACCCAGTAGCTCATGCCTGTTATCCTAGCACTTTGGGAGACCAACGTGGGCAGATCACCTGAGGTCAGGAGTTTGAGAGCAGCCTGGCCAACATGGTGAAACCCCGTCTCTACTAAAAATACAAAAATTGGCTGGGCCTGGTGGCGCATGCCAGCTACTCAGGAGGCTGAGGCAAGAATTGCTTGAACCTGGGAGGCGGAGGTTGCAGTGAGCCAAGATCACACCACTGCATTCCATCCTGGGTGGTAGAGTGAGACTCCGTCTCAAAAAAAAAAAAAAAATCACAATGAATATATAACCATAAATATTATAAAGCAGTAGGTTCTCAAATGAGCATCCACATGAGCTCAGACCTTGTTAGAAATGTAGATTCTTGGGCCCCACCCAAGCCTACCAAATCAGGAACATGAGGCTCAAGTTGCAAGCCACTCTCAGAAATTACATGCATGCTCTGCAGAGGACTGAGTCCCAGCAGACTCTCCTTCCCACCACCCAGCTCTCTGTCTTGTGCTTCTCCCAACTCTCTACATTCCAGTAATCCTCCACACACTCTCATCTCCTCCAGGACCATGCCTCGTTGCAATTCTACTGGGAAATTTTCTGCTTGTCCCCATATCTGTACACATCACATTGGAAGTGCCCTGACATCTATTTCTTACTGTATTTTTCCTTCTCTTCTTTATATTTGAGAACAAAAAATAGAATTATAAGGCCCCCAACTGACTGAACTAACCCCTCTTAGCCAAGAGGACTCCAGAGAAACTATAAAAATTGAGTTCCTGGCCATGGCAGTGTTAAGGAAGCAGGAGGCTAGGAGAGCCCAGTCCATTTCATGTTCAGCTCCATCTGGAGACTAACAAGGCACATACCTTGCCAGTCACGACCCATGGTCATAAGCTGTTTATAGCGGAGGAAACAGCCTAAAGATACCTGCAAGGACACACTCCTATAAAACAGAAAGTCCAGATGTCCCAATGCCCATAGCAATATATGCTTTCAAGGTAATTATAGTTATGCTGTGATGTACTCACACACTAAAATGTCAAGGATTGTTTTCTTTAAGTCAATAGAATAATAGGTTTTGTCATGCTGCCAGCCAACCCACATGTAGGCACAGGTAAGTTTAGTCTTTACATAGACAAAACTCCTATATAAGAAAAACAAAAACAAAGCCGAGGTGTTGTTTCTCTTGCTTTCTGAAGATGCCGTACTCTGTAACTAAGGAGCTTTCAATAAACTCTCTCTTCCCACTACATTCTGTGACTCATCTTGAATTCCATCCTGCAGGAAATCCAAGAACCCTCTCCTGGGGTCTGGATCAAGACCACTTTTCCAGTAACAACGGGATGGGAGGTCAGACCCACGTCATCATGCCCCCTGCCTTTCTCATTTTAGACTCAACAACTGACTAGCATTCATATTAAAATAGAGGTCATAGGACTGACAGAACGAACTCTTTGTGGCAGTAAGATACCAAATCATAAACAGGACCTAAGGCCATGCCAGGCAAGGGTTACGTCACTCATCTCTACACTTAAAGAATCAACTCTGTTCTAACTGCCACAAGGTTTTCTTCTTCTCCAGCAGCTAAACAAGCACTGGCCTGGAGATGAGCCACATTGAAACAAGTGCAGTGCATCCACTGCCCAACGCTGACTGACTGACCTCACTTCACAGCCATAACTACAGCTTTGACTGGACACAGGCTGATTTCAGTGACTTTCTCGTGGAAAAGACCATGAACCATGGGCTGAGTCTGAATGGTTCACTGAGGCTGCACACTGAGCACCTACATGCACTCTCCTGCTTCACCTTTTGAAGGATAGGACCTGATGGGAATGTATTTAAATGTGAAAACTCCACCACAAGGGGAATATGGGTCATATGTAACATGCGTGTTGTGAATATTTATTCTGTGTGCATTCATTGAGACCCTTTCCTGAGTATTCATAGCTACTTCTGTAACCTGTTGAATGTGTACATGGAGCCAACCCATTCAGCACAAATCCCTGTTCCACCCTTCCCTCCCTTGAAGCATCTGCTAACAGTGGTTACACTTCCCAGCCTGTCAGGATGGCCTCCTTGCAGGCTGTAACTCTTTATGAGAAATGAGGTCTTTTTTCCAAATTTACAGATCTTGTGGTTTTTTTTTAACATCAGCACTTTTTAGAATCTTCTCAAATTTGACCTCAAAGAGGACCAATAAAATTGCCTTGTTAGTCCATTCTTACGCTAATAAAGACATACCTGAGACTGGGTAATTTATAAAGGAAAGAGGTTTAATTGGCTCACAGTTTCACACAGCTGGGGAGGCCTCAGGAATCTTACAATCATGGCAGAAGGCACTTCTTCACTGGATGGCAGGAGAAAGAATGAGAACCAAGCAAAGGGGGAAACGCCTTATAAAACCATCAGATCTCATGAGAACTTACTCACTATCACAAGAATAGCATGGGGAAAACTGCCCCCATGATTAAATTACCTCCCACTGGGTCCCTCCCACAACACATGGAGATTATGGGAACTACAATTCAAGATGAGATTTGAGTGGGGACACAGCCAAACCATATCAAGTACTAGCCTGGTTTCATTTTCCTGACACATCTAATTAACTTATCCTAGTTTTGCTGGGTTAAATTTTTGCAAAATGTTAGACTAGGGCATAAGAGGGTATAAATGAAAAATCCTTCACAGACCAAAAGATCATTCTTAAGTTAATAAAAATTGGAATAATGATAGAAAAAAAAAGCCTTGAGTTTTCTTCTGCACTCCACCACCACCATTTTAGCTGCTATTGAGCTTCGTCTACTCCTCAGTCTCCTCGCATTCTAAGGGAGGCTGAAGAGGGCCCTGCTCCAGCTGTGTTCCTGGGAGCCCCGCTGTTCCAAGAGCCACTTAGGCTTTTGCAAAAACATTTGGGGAAGAAAGTTGCAAAGCAAAATATAACTTTCAAAGCTCTATGATCTTTTAAGTCCCTCTGGTATGAAATGTGTGTGATTTTATGGAGTTTCCCAGGGGAGCATGACAGCAGCATGTAAAGTGAGGCTTGACTGTCTGTGCTGAACCAGACTAACCAGCATGAGGCCACTGTGCAGGCCAGGCTAAGCTGAGACTTGGACCATGGGAGAAAGCAGAAATAAGTTCAAGGGCAGAATCACTGTCGGGACAATGTGAGGTGATGGTAGGTTGGTGACAGCAACTGTAAGTGAGGTCCCAGTGATGTCCTGGAGGAGGGCCTGACCTGGCAGTCCCAGCAGGAGCTCACCTCTGAGGGCCACGGCTCACATGCCCCTCCCTGAGCCAGGACGCAGCACCACTGTGTGTGCCTGTGTGTGGCTGTGTGTACCTGTGTGTGCCTGTGTGTGACTCTGTGCAACTCTGTGTGCCTGTGTGTGCCTGTGTGTGGTGGCTGCTTGGTCCTCAAACGTTGAGTCATGCAGGGAGCATGGATTCATCCCAAAGTTCCTTGTCTACTCTCACAGCAAGCACTTATTTTATGGTCAAGGAAATTAAAATTTACTTAATCGGTATAAGCAGAAATATGGGAAAACGTTCATTACAGTAACAGTCTGATAAAATGTTTGAGGTACTGAATAACCCTATTGCCCTAGTTTGATGATTACACACTGTATAAATGTATCACAATATCACATGTACCCCCCAAAATACGTACAACTAGGATAAATCAATTCAAAAAGTTTTAATATCCTGATGAATGTTTCCATCACTTAATTTTCTTCATTTTCCAGCAATACAAAATATTCCAGCTAAAATTGATACTCAGATACAGGATACCACTAAAGACAATGCAGAGCCATGGACATGGGTGAGGATTGGAGTAGGCCTCAAGGCCCCAGGAGCAGACGGCTGTGGGGTCACTGACCGGGTCCCAGGAGAGCCCCATTCCCGGGAGAGGGAGGCTTGTTGGGGCACGTGTCCATCCTTCACTAGGTCGGTGGCCCCGAGGCACGGAGGTGAGACAGATCCTCAAAAGAAGAAAAAGCGCTGACAGAGCACCTTAGCGGAAGAGTGGGTAAAGGACACCAGAACAGCAGCCCAGTTGTGTGTGGGAGTGGCATCTGCGCGGGATGCACCGCAGTGGCAGGAAGGAGCTGGGTGGCCCTCAGAAAGGCGCGTTGGAATCCAAAAGCAACAGGACAATAAGGAGATTTCGTTATCGTCAGCACTGGTGGCAAAAATGAGATTGCTGGCAGAAATAGAACCTCGAGGAAGGAAAGAGAGAAGCGGGAAGCAGCATGATGGTGTTTTCATCAGGGCTCTGTGTTACACCACATCAATTGGCTCTGCCTCCTGATAAAATGTCCAGTAAAATGATTATCACCAACGAGCGCTTTCAGAGAGGGATTTATTTTCAGACAGCCGCAATCAGGGAAGGGCGGAACTGATTCACGGAGGATATGTTGAGAGCAGAGGCTGCCGGGGGGTCCTCACCGTAGCACTTCACAGACCTGCCACAGAAACCGGGGACAGACCTGTTTTCAGCCTTTCCTTGCCTAGAGGAAAACATTCTGTGTCCCTCCCAAACACACAAACTTTTAACTTTTCTGGGTTTTGACCTGTACAACTTTTAACTTTTCTGTTCCTGACATTTTAAGTGCTGAAATATATTTAAAGATTTAACTTAATATGGGTTTAACAATTTTTTTTTCTATTTTTGAGTACAAATGGGACAAATATCATTATTGCAAATACTTAAAAGGTTCATATTCAGCTGGGCGTGGTGGCTCACACCCACAATCCCAGCACTTTGGGAGGCCAAGGTGGGCAGATCACTTGAGGCCAAGAGCTCAAAACCAGGCCGGCCAACATGGTGAGACCCTGTCTCTACTAAACATACAAAAATTAGCCAGATGTGGTGGCACACACCATGGCCTGCATCAGCTCCATGGCCCTAGTCATAAAGATGACTTCATGTGCTGTCACCATGACAGCAAATCAATTGCATTGTTTCTTCTAGTAACACAACTTAACTCAAGTTTACCCAATACATCCTGCACCTCAGAACCCCATTGATATGACTGTGTCCTCACCCAAATCTCAATTTGAATTTTATCTCCCAGATTTCCCACATGTTGTAGGAGGGACCCATGGGAAGTAACTGAATCATGGGGGCCAGTCTTTCCCGTGCTATTCTTGTGATAATCAATAAGTCTTAAAAGGTCCGATGGGCTTATCAGGGGGTTCCACTTTTGCTTCTTCCTCATCTTCTCTTGCTGCCACCATGTAAGAAGTGCCTTTCACCTCCCACCATGATTCTGAGGCCTCCCCAGCCATGTGGAACTGTAAGTCAAATTAAACCTCTTTTTCTTCTCAGTCTTGGGTATGTCTTTATCAGCAGCATGAAAACGGACTAATATACCCATCTCCTATCTACCCCAGGCCTAAAAGTTCTGTGGTTCTGAAACAGAGTGATCAAAATGACCGTGAAACCAATCGAACCCAAGAACTTTGCCCTAAAGATGTTCTTCTTTGGGGACTGGGGAGGGTATGTAAAATTGTGAACACACTAAAGGAGATCATGGCAGTGATGGGCCAAGAGAAGTTACTTTCATTGAGCACCTACTATGTGCGGTGCTCAGGCACAGTTACTCATCTGTTTCCTCATTTCCTCCTCACAGTGCCGCTGTGAGAGAGGCAGTCATCAGTTCTCCTTGACAGATGGAGAAGCAGGCCGTTTGACTCAACCTACAGGAAGCATCAGCATCTAAAGGCAGGAGCTTAAGGCCAGCACCTGTGAGCCATCTGGCCTATGACACATCACCGAGTAAGGTCAGAGTAGTTTACAGCGTGAGGGCTTTGGAGGCCCAGACTGATCTGAGTCCTGTCTCTGCTCCTTAATAGGTGTGAAACCTACTTGTTCCACTGAAATACTCTAAGCCCCAAGTTTCTCACATGTAAGATAACATATATGTATAACATACATTAATATACACCACACAGATGTGTTGTGAAAACAAGACTTAATAATGTGCTTGGCTCTTACACATTTAATAAAATGTTCCCTCGTTTGCCACTCCAAATTCACATACCCATCAACTCTAAGCTCAAGATTTGAATTCAGCCCATCAGCCTCCAGCACCTCTGAACTGTCTAGCCTATGGCACATCACTGAGTAAGCTTTGAGCAGGCCCTGCAGAGCAGGAGCCCTGTGTCCAGCACCAGCCTCCAGGGCCAGGCATCACCATGGAACATGAAGGGCAGTAAGGCAGCATTGCTGCGCCTCACTGCCTTGTGTTTACAACTTACACAGCGTTGTATCACACCGCCCTAGAGAGAGATGTATAGTGTTAGACTCACTGTGGCCATAGGTACAGTGGTAGTCACCCAGGGATCAGCACAGAATTTCCTTTGCCTGGCAACAATACCCACATTACACACAGCTAGACATCCTATGGACACATTTATCTATTAGGTCTTGTAATTGCAAGATTTCTCCCTATAATATTTTGGACAAAGTACTGCTAAGCAAACAAAAATTAATTATTTTCAAAATGAAATTTAGTTGTGAACCTGGGCTCATTCTCTTTAGTACCAAGGTCTCCATCCAGGCCATGGTCTTCACTAAGCATAACCTAATCTCCCACTGATCATTAAGCCACATGTCTGTCTTATTGTAATTCAATCACACAATAGGGCTTGCTTCTGGTTTCTTGTTCTTTCTCTCATCTTTCAATAGGTTTGTGCTCATCTTCAGGGGGTCCTAAACAGGGAAATGCTCTGCCAGGAGACACTAGCCTTTTCTTTTTTTTTTTTTTTTTTGGAGACGGAGTCTCGCTCTGTCGCCCATGCTGGAGTGCGGTGGCATGATCTCGGCTCGGCTCACAGCAACCTCCGTCTCCCAGGTTCAAACAATTCTCCTGCCTCAGTCTCCCAAGTAGCTGGGATGACTGGCACCTGCCACCAAGCCCAGCTAACTTTTGTATTTTTAGTAGAGACAGGGTTTCACCATGTCAGCCAGGCTGGTCTCAAACTCCTGACCTCAGGTGATCTGCCTACCTCGGCCTCCCAAAGTGCTAGGATTACAGCCATGAGCCACCACGCCTGGCTGACACTAGCCTTTTCTGTTTCCTCTGTTTATCCCTCTTCATCTTGAGGCCATGCTAATTTAAGTATCAGATGGCCACACGTGCACACGCATACACACGTTCACATAGATAACGCTTTTGATAAAGTGATAACACTTTTGAGTGTTTTTTTTTTAAATGTTACTGGTATACAACTCAAACCATTATGACACTGAATTTACGTACTTAATATTTGTGGATCTCAATTTTCTTCTCTGTAAATGAAGATGGCAATGCATGTCCCAAGAGGTCAAAAGGAGGTTTCCATGAGATAATGTGAGTAAACTCCTAATAGAGTGCCCTGTCTCCATTAGCTGCTCAATCAGCTCCCTGTTTTGGTACTATTTACTGATTTTTCCTTAGATTGCATGACTTAAACTGTTCGGGAGCCAGCAAGCTAACTCTCAATTTCTCCTTCATTAGGACTCATCATCAGACATCTCCTTATTTGCTCATACTCATTACACATATGCTGAACTAAAAAAATAAAACTGTCAATCAAATACAACAGAACAGGCCAAAAAGGGACATTTATTGTACAGCATGCTACCACAGGCAAAAGTGAATTCAAAAACAAAGGCAGATGGACACACTAATTGGCAAAGCTGACAGCACACCTTTTGTTAAGTCTCTTCATAATGAGTGATTATCGGGATATATAGAGGATGAAATGAATACTGCATGAGCTCCCAAAATTCTTCAGCAAACTATAATGGAGCCTTCTAGTGCCATGTGTCATTTTTCAACATACCTTACATAAATTCTGGTCATATAGTTTCCTCCAAAGCAGAATAACCACATAAGAACTAAGGAATATAAGAAAAAAGATTAGCATTTGTCCTGAAAGAAATTTCAGGCAATATACTTCTCATTTGGCAGGCTAGGCTTCCAACAGTTTTCGGTGACTTGGGAATGGGCAAAAAGGTTCTGCTGTCCAAAAAATACTTCCCCACCTACTCAATGATGCACTCAATCACTTTATCAGGACCTGTTCCAATCACCCTGTGGCTCTTATTTGCAATGCTTGACATGGGTGGTTCTGCCAGTGAGTTTGGTAGGAGACTTATGGGAAGTTTTCAGTGTCCTCAGTTTCTGCATCCTCATGGGGACCAGTCAACCTCCCCAGCCCTTTCTGTCTATTCGCCGAGCCCACAGACCAATCCCAATGCCTCTCAGGTGGGAGGCAGGTAGAGAAGCCCCATGTGTGTGACAGATGACTCACCACGGGGAAGCTGGGCAGGAAGGTTACTCAGAGCAAGACATGAAGTGGGGTGAGTTCACACAGCCATGGCCACGGTGGACCTGGAAGCATGGGGTGAAGGGAAGCAGCAGCAGGAGGGAGGGTCTTTCAGCTTGGACAGAGGCAGACAAGTCAGAGAACAAGCTGGGCCTCCCACCCACAAGATACGATTGGAAGCCGCCACACTGAAGAAGCCGAGGCACACAAGGGCAATTACAGGGCTACTTGCCCATCTTGGAGTTTGATTTTGTTACAAAGCTACGACATTTGTCATATTTAATAATTTAAATTCAATACAAACATGTTCAAACTACCATGGTGTGGATGCACCATCAGGGTAGCCCACGCAAGTCTTGGTCTCTAAACCAAGAAATCGGTGTGGAGCCTGGGACATGGGCAGCCCTGAACCCACTGAGCAAATGAGGGACTAAGTGAATGAGCAGTAAAGACAGCAAACACCACTGCTTTCTTCTGTGCTTTGAGAAAATTGTACAAGACACAACAGAAAAACAGAACTCGAATCTGACTTCTGCTCCGAATGGCGACTGTCTCCTTTTGCCACTCCTTCCTCTTGGTGTATTCACAGCCTGTGTCCTTAAAAATCTCTCATGGGTTTCTCTTGGGATCAACACTTAGCTTGCCAGTCTATAATCTTCCTACTTCTGAGTCATGGAAACCCTTGGGAAATTCGTGAGACCCTGGACTAACTCTATGGAATGTTCTTTCTTTCCTTTTGAAAGTAGATTTAAGTATTAAAAACAGTAACTATTTTTATTCTTTTTAAAGTAAACGGCATCAAAAGCTGTGTGGCCACTTTTTCATAAAATAGTCCTATACTAAGAAAATAGGAAGTGGAGCACAAGAAGGATTTCTCATCAAAGTCATGTTGAAGACAGTGAGCAGCGTGTTTGCTGTGTTTCTTCAGCACTAGACAAGAAGAAGAAACGTGCCTCTCGGGGCCAAATGAGAAGACCGAGTGCCAAGAGGGTCACCAGTGAGTCCACCCTGTGGAGCGTGCACTGCAGACTGTCAGCAGCTCATCCCACCCTTTGACACAGTTTCCCGGTTCTGTCCATGGAGATGAAATGAGCTGACAGCCAGTTCTCAGCGTCCAGCCCTCCAGCAGATGAACAGGACTGTGCCTGGCTGGGCCGACAAGGCCCTCCCTAGGCACAAGACCAGAAGCTGTCCCTGCAGTACTTGGCACCGTCTCAGGGAACGAAGGGGCACTAAGAGCCTTACAACTGAGCCCTGTCTCTTGGTTTCCCGAAACTTCTACAGCCCTTAAAATCTATTCTCCTTATCCAGACACAGAAAGAAAAATACTGCATGATCTCACTTAAATGTGCTATCTAAAAAATAAGTCAAATAAATGGAATCAGAGAGTAAAATCGTGGTTACCAGAGGTGGGGAGGGGGAGGAATGGGAAGAAGCAGGTCAAAGGGTACAACTTGCATTTAGGGAGGATGAATAATCTAGAGATCTAAGGTACAGCATGAAGACCACAGTTAATATTGCATTAGATACCAGAAGTTTGCTAAGAGAGTAGCTGTTAGGTGCTCTTACCACACATATACACAGAAAAGTAACTATGGAAAGTGATGGATATGTTAATTTGCTTGACTACGGTAATCAGTTCACTATGATATACACATTAAAACATCTTGTTGTACACCTCAAATATATACTATTAAAATCTGTGGAAGTCACACACACACTCTCACTCCTAACATTAAAGTTGGAGTAAATGCTTTTCTGCAGTAAGTCTATTTTCTGTTAAATCTCTCTCTCTCTCTCTCTCTCCACACACACACACACAGTCAGTCCTCCATCTCCCTGGATTTCCAGTTGTGGATCCAACAAACCAGGGATCAAAAATATGTGAAAAAAAATTTTGTCTGTACTAAATACATACATGTTTTTTATTGCCATCATTTCCTAAACAATGTAGGTTATATGTAAATACTACTCTATTAGCAATATGGGATGTGAGCACCAGTGTTTGGTACCCTTGAGGGCCCTGGAACCAATTCCCCAGAGATATCAAGGAAAAACTGGGTATGTACAGTCCTCTCTTCTCTCTCTCTAAATATATATATATATTTATATTATATATTATATTAAATATATATGTATGTTTACACACATACATATACACACATATGGAATTTAAATATATATCTATATTTACTTATACACACACACACTTATGTATATACTTATACACATACAAGCCAACCTCAGTCCTGCTGGAGGCCTGGACACTCCTTTCCCAGCTGCTCCTGTAGCTCCTCACTCTTTTTTTTTTTTTTTTTTTTTTGAGACGGAGTCTCGCTCTGTCGCCCAGGCTGGACTGCGGACTGCAGTGGCGCAATCTCGGCTCACTGCAAGCTCCGCTTCCCGGGTTCAACGCCATTCTCCTGCCTCAGCCTCCCCAGTAGCTGGGACTACAGGCGCCCGCCACCGCGCCCGGCTAATTTTTTGTATTTTTAGTAGAGACGGGGTTTCACCTTGTTAGCCAGGATGGTCTCGATCTCCTGACCTCATGATCCACCCGCCTCGGCCTCCCAAAGTGCTGGGATTACAGGCGTGAGCCACCGCGCCCGGCCAGCTCCTCACTCTTATCAGGTCTCAGTTTAAACTTCATCAGAGAAGCCTTCCTGGCCATTCCAGGAGACCACATGCTGAGGCTGTAACCTCTCCACTCTCACCTGATCATCCTCCATCTTAGCTCTTCCCATCTCCTGGCATTTGTCCTCTCTGAAGACGGGGCATTTTACAGTTCCCTATCGGCAGCCTGGATCCCACGGTTATGCCTGGCATGTGGTTGGTGCCCAGTAGATGCTGGTGGAAGCCAGGGAAGGAGAGGCACAGAAGGTCAGTGGAGGTTGTTTGTGATTGCTTGGCCAGGCTGCCAAGGGTCTTTCCTTCGTGTGGCCGAGTCATTCAACTCTACTCAGTTTGGGGAGCTCTTCAGTATCTTTTCAGTGAATTTTTTTTAAAGAAAACCAGTGTCCAATTATGTGATTTGCAGCCAAAGACCCTGGGTGGACACACCCCTAGGTGTTCTCCTCTCCCTGTGACACCCAAGGTTCCTCCTAGCACATGCTTCCTTACCACCTGCTCTTTTCAGTCCCTATGTCCAGCCATAACCCAGGCCCTTCCACTGACTGGTGGTGTCATCTTAGAAGCCCTTAACTGCTTTGGGTCTCAGCTCACTTGTCAGTCCCATAGAGATTTCAGTCACCTCCTTCCTGGTGCTGCTGTCTTGGGTTTAGGGACATATCTAGGGAAATATCTTATATAAAGAGAGAGTTTCATCAGCACAAAGCATTATAAAGTCAGGTATGTGAGGTTTTAATTGAAGAAAGGAGGTGTATTAGTCTGTTTTCATGCTGCTGATGAAGATATACCCAGGACTGGGCAATTTACAAAAAAAGAGGTTTAATTGGACTCACAGTTCCACATGGCTGGGGAAGCCTCACAATCATAGTGGAAGGCAAGGAGAAGCAAGTCATGTCTTACATGGATGGCAGCAGGCAAAGAAAAGATGAGGAAGATGCAAAAGTAGAAACCCCTGATAAAACCATCAGATCTCACGAGACTTATTCACTGTCACGAGAATAACATGGGAAAGACTTGCCCCCCTGATTCAATTACCTCCCACCAGGTCCCTCCCACAACATGTGGGAATTCAACATAAGATTTGGGTGGGGACACAGCCAAACCATATCAGGAGGAAAAAAGAGAAAGAGTAAGAGCATCATGGGATCAGGGTGAATGGAATTAGGAGGCTGGAATTTCCCACCACATAGCTGTTTGTTAGCGGGCTCAAAGGCCTTCCTGTTGTCATGCATCTAAACTTTTATCATTTAAATAAGACCTGGGGTCTACATTTGAAACGGTTTATGTAAAGTTTAGGAATGTTCTTGAAGAAAGTTGACACATCTTAACCTATTTCCTTTTGGCCTTCTTGCATAAGGGCAGATGAGGATGGAGGAATCTCAGTCTCCAGTCATCCCATGAAAATACTGACCTAGCTTCAACTTGCTAGCACTTCCTACTTACGGAAGCAATGAATGGATGATCATCATTTCACCTGTAATAACAATTTCTAAGTGGTCTTGCCATACCCACAGAGGACTTGGAGTGAATGTAGAGATAATGACATGCATCATGAACCTTTATTTCTCATAAAAATGAGATATTTTGAACCATCCACCTTCAGGGTTAGGCCGGCTCTTGGAAACTGACTTTTGGGATAAACAGCTGCATGTGGTCTCTGCCCTTTCTCCACAGCCTCCAGCCCAGGTCTATGTGTTGAGCACTATGAAACCTAGCACCAAAAATAAATATGAAGGAGACATCCTCACTAATGGAAGAGGCTCCAAAAGAAAAATAGTTCTAGAACCCTCTGCCCTTCATCCTAATCCTACCTGGTCCCCATGTTTTCTTGTTTTTTTTTTTTTTAATTACTCTCTGGACTTATTTATTAAGGGTGAATTTGGCTAGAGATCCTATGATATTAATCTTTTTGACCAAGAGTTTGTTCCTTACTCTATGTGGAAAACCAGGGGGTCGATATGGATCTCCAGGCATATCCTGCATCAGAGGCATTCAAGCAAGAGTAACTCCATCTTGAGTGAGGGCTAAGAAAATGAGGCTGGACTTGCTGGGCTGCATTCCCAGAAAGTTAGGTATTCCTAGCCTCTAGATGTTTGCAGTTAAGGGAACAGATTGATAATGTCAACTAAACAGACCCAGACTTGGGAGTGTCCTGATATCTCAATATCTTAAGAACAAACACATTCCTAATTTTGCTTTAAAGAAAATAGTATCGATTCTTGCAAAATATAGCAATTAAGAAAATTAATCCTTTATCACAAACCCTTGTAGTAGAGCACATCTCCCCATGGTCTTTTTTATCCTATATAAATGAGTCTTGTACCTAGGGTGGACGCATTCCTCCTCTTACTTTTGGGAACGCCCTATTCTGTCTATGGAGTAGCTGTACTTTCACTACTTTACTTTCTTAATAAACTTGCTTTTGCTTTTCACTGTGGACTCGCCCTGAATTTTTTCTTGCATGAGATCCAAGAACCCTCTCTTGGGGTCTGAATCGGGATCGCTTTCCTGTAACACCTGAACAGGGGCAGCACCCACCACCTGGGTCCTGCCTCAACTGCTCAGTGTGGCATCACTCCCAGCCAGGGGCCTGCTGCTCCTTGGTCCTGGCCTCCCAAAACCACTACCTAATAAGTGGGGACTGTGGTGGGGAAGGTAACTGCCATTGGCTGTAATGCCTTTATCTTGCTTAGGGTCAACAGAGCTGGCAGTACAAAAATCTAATTATTTTCTGGTCAGACTCTGGGACTTTTAACACAAATTGTGTCTTCCTAGACACTGAGCAGGACCCATGAAAGAGAAACAATAATATTCTGCAGGATAAATATTCTATACACAAGTTAAACATGTTCTACCTTTTCTCAAAGCCAAAAGCATTATTATATAATAACAGCGAGAACTTTGAAAAATATGCTTTCCATACATTCTCAAGAAAAGGAAACCATCTTCTATATTGGGCTTCCCATTCCCGGGAGAAATTGATTGTGTTTCTTCCCAGGGGGAAGCCGGGAGGGAGTAGAACATCAAATAAACTGATTTTTAAACAAAACGACATTCACCAAAGGTTGCTCAGATAAAGAACAATTCTTTCTGTGGCTCTCACAGCTTCCCCAGTGCCCTTTAACATGGGTGCAGTTGGTGTGTGGAATACCGCTGCTGTCTGGAGTCGGGTTTGGCAGGCACAGGCAGCTCAGTCGCATTAAACAGATTCATTTAACAATCCAATGAGCCGAATGGCACTCACAGCCGACAGGGGGCTTAGTAGGAAGCAAGTCTCTCTGAGCAGGCACCTGCCTCTCCCTTGAGGCTGGAGGAATCAAACAAAGCCAGCCCTTTCCAAGGAAGCTGGTGACTGGCCTCCACCTATCTCTCCCAAACACCTGGCCCTGTCTTGAAATGCCACAGACATGCCCCCAGGCACTCTCCCCTCATCCTGGCCATCACCAAAAGATCACAACAGACAGAGGCCCTAGAAAATCTAAGTCCTGTTTTTTTTTCAGGATTAGCATCATGGAATACTATTTTGACATATTTATAGCAGGTCGATGGCCTTCTTCAAAGAAACAGAACCTTTAGCCTCGTAAAAGAATGTGTAGATTTGGAGAGTTTGAAAGAACAAGGAGGTATCTAATTAGTATCACCTCTCCAGCATCCTAGCCAAGAGGTTAAACGATACCACGCCTGGCCATGCTGCTCCTTCTCAAGACAGTTCTTTCTATCTAGCATAGATTTATGAAAACGTGCTTCCTGGTGTTGATTTGAAATTGCTCTTGGAGTTTCACTACTTTTCTCAAACAGTGGATCTCTCCTTAATTCCATGATTTTTTTTTTACATTTTTTTTAAAAAGTTCCAGGCTGTTTAGCATTTACTAATCCATGTCATTCAAAGATTCTTCTTTTTGATCACAGGGTCCCTCCAGTCTCTGTAGGACTTCTTAGTTATGTGCCCTCCATGCTGTATGCTCCTTTTTACAATCGGAGGTCATTAGATAGCTCCTGTAACAGGATGAATCCTAACAGGAAACAGGATGATTCAAGGAAGGTTATTTACAAAGGCACCAATTATGACAGTGTAGGTGTAGATGGGGGAGCAGGAAGTGGGGCGGGGAATGACAGGGCCAGCAGCAGCATGGATGCCATCACCCTCAGGCTGGGAAAGGCGGTGGGAGGAGGAAGGTACCAGAACCCTAGAGCCCAGAGAGTGGTGGCCTAGAGGTGGGCAGTGACTTGTGAGGGAGGGACCTAGACAATGCCAGAGAGAGCCAGGGGAATAAATCCCTGCCTGAACTGCCTCCCTCCAGCTGTTCTCCTATAGGGCAAGGAGGCTGTTTTATTTTATTTTATTTTATTTTATTTTAAGAGACAAATAATAGATCTACAGAAGCACTCCCCTTATTCTCAGCTCCACTTTCCCAGGTTTTGGTAACCCATGGTCAACTGCAGTATAAAAATATGAAGATATTGTGAGAGAGAGGAAGAGAGAGAGAAAGACCATATGCACTTAACTTTTATTACAGTATATTTTTATAATTGTTTTATTTTATTATTAGTTATTGTTACTCTCTTACTGTGCCTGATTTCTAAATTAAACTTTGTCATAGGTATGTATGTGTAGGAAACATAGTATATGTAGGGTTTGGTGCTATTCAGTCTCAGGCATTCACTGGAGGTCTTAGAATGTATTCCCTATGGACAACAGGGACTACTGTAACATTCATGGGATACAATGTGATGTTTTGGTCTACGTTTATATTGTGGAATGATTAAATCAGGCTAATTAACATAACCATCCCCTCATATACTTATCATTTCTTTGTGGTAAGAACATTCAAAACATATCCTTTTAGCAATTATTAAGTACACAATACATTGTTATTGATTAAAATACCCTGTTGTACAATCGATCATTAAAACTTAATCTGCCTGCCTAACTGAAACTTTGTATCCTGTGACCAACATCTCCCCATTCTCCATCCCCTCACCCTCTGCTACACCCTACCTCGATAACCACCAATCTATTTTCTACTTTCATAAATTCAACTATTTTTGCTTTCATATATAAGTGAGACCAGGCAGTATTTGTCTTTCTGTGCCTGGGTTATTTCACTACAGGCAGAAGAATGAAATTAGGCCCTTATCTCACCCTATCTACAAGAATCAACTCAAAATGAATGGAAGACTGAAATGTAAAACCTGAAAATGTAAAACTACTCCAAGAAAATAGGGGAAAAGCTCCATGACACTGGTTTGGACAATGATTGTTTTGGATAGAACTCCAAAAACACAGCAACAAAAGCAAAAATAGACCAATTGGACTACATCAAACTAAAAAGCTTCACAGCAAAGGAAATAGTCAACAGGGGAAGAGACAACCGATAGAATGGGAGAAAATATTTACAAACAGTATCCAACAAGAGGTTAATATCCAAAATATAAAGGAACTCAAATAACTCAATAGCAAAAAAAAAATCCAAATAATCTAATTTAAAAATGGACAAAAAACTTGAATAGATATTTCTCAAAAGAAGACATACAAATGGCCAACAGCTACTTTTAAAAATGGTCAACATCACTAGTCATCAGGGAACTGCAAATTAAAGCCACAATGAGATACCATCTCACACCTGCCAGAATGGCTGTTATTGAAAAGACTAAAGGTAAGTGTTGCTGAGAATGTACAGAAAGGGAACCCTTGCACACTGTTAGTGGGAATGTAAATTGGTACAGCCACTAGGAAAAACAGTATGGAGGTTCCTCAGAAATCTGAAAACATATCTAGCAATCCTTCTTCTGCGTGTGTGTCCAAAGAAATTGACATCAGTATCTTGAAGAGATATCTACACGCCCATGTTCACTCCATCATTATTTACAAGAGTAAAGATATGGAGTCAACCTAAGTGTCCATCAGTGGATGAGTGGGGAAAGAAAATGTGGCTTATATGTGCAATGGAGTGTATTCAGCGATAAAGAAGAATAAAATTTTATCATTTCAGACGACATGCACGAACCCAGAGGGAGTCTGTTGAAGCCTCCCACAAAGTCAACTCTAAGAGAAGGCAGGGAAGGAAGGAGTGCATCTGGTGGCAGGTGCCTGTGCAGCCCCTGGACTCAAAGGGGACTCTCCTTGTCACCCCCACGTACGTGTGCAGTAAATTCCCTTCTGAGGATCTTCTCACCTCATGGGCGTTTTGCTCTCCCATTCCTGGTATCATGGCTTGGAGTCTTGTCTACCTGTCCTGGGAACTTTCTGAAACGTGTCTTCCTGCAGTCCTGGTGACTCAGCTGAGGGGCCCTCTCCCTGGGGATGATCACTAATCATAGCTTTGCATACTGCCCTCTGGACTCCTCCTGTCATTTCCCTGTCACCTAATAATGCTGACCAAGGCAGGGACTCAGAGGCAGGAAACCTGGGTTCTAACCGGACCAAGGCAAGCCTGAGCCCCTGGCTAGTGTGTAGGCCAGCTGTTTCAGAATAGCCAAGGGCCTGAGTCCATTTAGAAGGAGGAGGCCTTCGCTCAGAGCCGAGACAGCAAGAGACTTTGGGAGGAGGGCAGAGGCTCCTGCTCCAGTAAACAGCACTTGTCACAGATTGGAAGTGGTCAGCAATTCTGCTTCTGTGAGGATGCAGCAGCTGCAAGGTCCACAGCTCTGACCACAGGGCCTGTGGGCAGCCCCGGGCAGCAATGTCAACAGGCTCCTATAGAGACAGACAGCAGTGGCCAAGTGAGAGCATCCAAAGGGATGAGCTTGGCATTGCTTAGGAATACACGTGAGACATCTCTGAAGACAGCCGGAGTCTGGGAAAGGACAACAGCTTGGATCGGGGAAGGGGAACAGGTCATCTATGACAACTGAGAGTCCGCCTACATCTGAAGGCAGGTGCATTAGAGAAATGCATGCTGGGCTTCCTGTTCCTCAGGATTGGGCATGACAACAGTGTCCCTACCTGTCCTCGCTGTTGCTGTTGTTTGTTTCATTCTCCCTTTGGGAGAAGCAGCAGGTACTAAGCTCATTTAAAACCTTGTCAGAGTCCTTGCTGTTAGCCCAAGGACGTGTCTGCAGACAGCTCAAGATGTGACCTTGTCCTAGGGCTAGTTTGTGTGATCTGCGCACTGGCACCATGGAAGCCCTTCCTATTATACCCACTCTTTCTGGTCATGGATTTCTATACAATTCTGTTTTTCCTCAACTTTCAAAGCTACTCTCTCCTCCCTGTGAAACAAGCCCATTCTTTATAAAACAGCCTCTCATTCCAGCAACACTCAGGTCACATCGAGGCCCTGAGTGTTGTTCTCCCCAGTTCTCTCTGGTCACTCTGTGCCTGGGTTCTGATGGCAATTGCTCCTGAAAACAGTTCCTTTACTCTCCTTGGGACCTGAGTTTCCATAACGTCAGAGCTATGGTTTGAATGTTCCCTCCAGAATGCATGTTGAAACGTGATCCCCAACATGCCAGTGTTGAGAGATAGGTCCTTTAAGAAGTGATTGGATTATGAAGGCTCTGCCCCCATAAATGGATAGATTAATGGGTTATCATGAGAGTGGGGCTAGTGGCTTTATAATAAGAGAAAGAGAGACCTGACCTAGCACATGAGCACACTCAGCCCCCTTGCCATGGGATGCCCTGCACGGCCTCAGGACTCAGCAGAGTCCCCACTAGCAGGAAGGCTCTCACCAGACACAGCCGTCTTGACCCTGGACTTCTCAGCTTCCATAACTGTAAGAAATAAATTTCTTTGCCTTATAAATTACCCAGTTTCAGGTATTCTGTTGTAAACAACAGAAAATGGACTGAAACATTCAGTTTCCACCAACATAAACTGAAAGTCTGTCCAAGTCTCTGGCAGGGAATGCCTATGGCTGTTTCTTAGAAAAGCTACTTAACTACCACAATCCAGTTTCTTATTTGTAGAACCGAGAGATTCCACTAAAGGATCTCCACCCAAAATTTGATGGGTGCACAGCCCGGCATACATAAATGATGTTAGAACAATGCTTTCCTTTCACACTCCCACCACACCGGCAGCAATGTCTCTCGCTTCACCTGTAGCTTCTCACTCCCAAATCCACCTGCAGAGACTGCATTGAAGTAGGTGACTTGGTGATTCCCAACACAAAGGAAGAGGGGGGAAGAAATGCTCCTGCAGATGGTGCCCAGCAAAGAGGTGGTCCTACCTAAAAGGCTGCCAACCATGCAGAGGAGAATCCAAGACAATCCCACACCTCCTCACTGGGATTCCCTTGTGGTGACACTCTATCTCTCTTGATCCCAGAACACACTTGCCCTGTGACATCCCATTATCTCCAGGATATTGGCTTCTTCACAGAACTCTTCCTAAAGCATGCTTATTTGTTGTCCTTTTCCCCAGGGGACTTCAAAGCTCTTGAAGCACTCACACCATGGAGCCCTCCTAACATGGCCATAAAACTTTACCAAAGAAAGCATCTAGAAATTCAGGCAAAAGCAGATGGAAAGACGGATGTGGAAATGTTGACCCAATTTCCTTTACCATGAAATGTTTTAATTGTATTCCACTTCTTCAAAAAGGAAGCCCCTCAAGAGTCCAGGCCAAGTTGTCTCTGACCTCTCTTTATCTCCTTTAGTTCTCCCTTCTCTCCCATGTTCCCAGGGAATGGTGGACATGGTCCCCAGATTGAGGACACGGAGAGAGCTATTAAGGAAGTAGAGACTCGGGGCAAGGCAAATATGTCCTTCAATGCCTTTGGACTGTCTGTATCTTTCTGTTATTCTCAGGTTTAATGAAAACCACTTCACACTGGCATGCATGCCGGGCCTCAGAAAATAAGCAAGTCACTGACCATGAGTGGTGGCTGCAAAAGAGCCTCAGATGCCTCTCTGGGCTACACAAGGTCTCTGGGCTATTCACAAATTTTCCTATTAAAAGCCCATGAGCTCTCAGGAATGCCAGGCTTCTCCACACGTGTTCCTGCCTCTGGCTTTCCAAAGGGTTGGCTAGCTGTCCAGCATTCAGTATTTGGCCTCAGCTTCCCTCTCCATTATGTTAATACATTTCCATCTGCCCTGCTTCCTTTCTACTGGCTTTTGCTCCTTTTAGCCGAAGTGTAGACAGAATCACATTTTCCTCCTTTGGTTAAAGATGCCCTATGGTCATATCACATGTGCTTTAGCCTCTTTTTTTGCTTTATTTCTACCATTTAATTCAAGGCTTTTGTGAGAACTTTTGACATTTATACCCCAAATTTTCCACTTAACTTACAAGGAAACAGCCTTTTAAGACTTTGCAGAGTGCTTAGCCCAGTAAATAAATCACTTCTCTGCTGTTTATATGTTTGGGACAATGAAGACTCTTGTCAAGGAACAAGCATTTCCACCTGGCATTTATGATCAATTTCTGTAGCTATTTAACAAGGCCATAGCTTTTTGGGAAAAGTCTACCTACCTTTTTGTCTTATACAATTCTTGGTTACTAAAAGTTCTTTTCTAGCATTATGAATAAAACATCAAGAATAACACACTGGTCTCTGTTTCCTATTTATGAATCTTGGTTTTTCTATAGAATAAATACTCACCCTTTGTATGTGTCTCCACTGTGCCCGGTCTCTTATGCAGCCCACTGGGAAGGTAGACACAGGGTCTTTGTGCCCATCCCATAAAGGGCCAAACAGCACTGCATGCCAGGAAAATGTGTAGAGATCAGTGCAACGCAATCCTCACCAGAAAGGAGCTTTGTGCAAATTTTGAAGACAGAGGCAAATAGGTTTTTCCATATTTCATCGCATTAACTTGTTACAGCAAACACGCTGGACTTGTATCTGGATCTCCAAGTATAGCCATCACAAATGAAGTCATGTTTTAAGAATAAATATTAAGCGAAACAAGCTGTAATGCTGCTCAGCTCATTACGGTTTTCTGAGCTGTGATTCAGCTGTCTGCTTCTGCTGTCCAGCAATGACTCAGAAACGACTGAATGACCACAGTGAATCAAAGATCTGGTCCACACTGAATTTGCTAAAACCATCATCCCTCAGATTTGGAAAAGTCAGACCCAAACAGCATGGGTCTCTTTGTGCCTTAATTACTGAGATAAGTGGACAATCCTTGGTTTCACTTCAACTGGCCCAAGGAAGCTTGGCTGGAAAGATTGTTTCCACTCCCCTGTAAGCTTATAAACAAACCAGGAACAATCTGTCTTCCTTGGCTCAAGCTTGGTTTGTTAGCAGAACCAGAAAACAAGGCTCCATGCCGGGCTCTGACAGCCACCACAGCTACGTGCCACGTGACTAACCAGCACTGGCAACATATGTACTTGGGTATCCAAGTGCCCACCACAAGGGAAGCCCCCTTAGACTGGAGGAATGGGGGAGCTGGAGGAGACCCACCGATCATGTCTCTGGCCTCTCTCTATAGACAGACTCAGGGCTAGGCAGAAGAAATAAGATGCAGGAAAGAACTAATCTCAATCCCTCCTAATTCACCCACAAAAGCCAACAGAATTCAACATGCATGACAAGACTCTTGGAGTGGACATTTTCAGTTCTCTGTGGGCAAAGACATCAGCAACAGGCCAATCTCCCCCTACTTGCCCTCCAAGTGCTCCCGATGGCTGTGCCAACCAGGATTCTATGAGAGGGATGACAGCTGATGCTAGCCCCAACTCAGCTGCCATTTGAGAGGAAAGGTCAAGAAATTTAGCCAGGTATCAAAGCACATTTTCATTAGAACCTTGCCTACCCCACCTCTAACTTTGACCCCAGGTTTGTACTCAGCAATGCCAGTGCACCCCAGAGGTCCACCTCCAAATTCAACTCTGAGTTCACTCCTCATGGGTACATTCTCACCTCCACAAACGCATTAGAGGTGGGTTTCTAGTTCTTATAAATCAATAAGAAATGAGTCTATTTTAACTTACTTGAAGAAGCAAATGTAATAACTCCAGGACCAAAGAAAAATAGCATATTCTGATCAGCTCAAGGCTCTATCCCACTGCACTTAGAACAGTGCCTTCCAATGAACATTTGTCTCCTTTTTCGTTTTTCTCTTTACTAGGATTTACGGATAAAGGTCTATGGCCATCCTGGGAACTTCAGAGATCAAATTCACCCAATCCTCACCAGAAAGTAGCTTTGTGAAAAATGTGAAGAAAAAGACAAATGGATCTTTCCTTCAGATATGACTTGCCTAAGGCTACTTGACTACACAGTGGTGGAGCCTGGTTTTCAACTGAGAGCTTTGTGGCTCCTGGTTTAACACTAGTTCCCACTATATCATGTTGCCTCTGTACTGTAGTATTTCAGCAAGTGGTTATCAGGTGGCTATGCTGGACCAGCCACTAAGGTAGGTGCTGGAATCCAGAGACGAGTACGGTGGTTTCATCCCTGTCCACAGGTGCTCACAGCCCCCAGTACAAAGTGGCCCCTGGAAATAAGAGACAGCTGCTCCCTGAGTACAGCCTCAAGTGACAAATCAGCATTACGCAGGTGACTCTAGGGGGGTGGCACGGGTGCTTCTGTCAAAGCCTCTGCAGAATCAGTGTGGGAGGGCACTGCACAGCCCATTGAGACAGACAGTCCTGGTCCCGGAGTTTGGTTAGGACAACGTGCACACACACAGAAGCACAAGAGGATTTGTTAAGGCACAGATTCCTCCCACCTACCCCCACCTCAGACCCCCGATTAGGTAGGGCAGGACAGGGCTTGGGGAATGTGCACTTCTAAAACATTCTCAGGGGATGTTGATGCTGCTGGTCTGGGACCACCTGTGACCCACTGGGATAAGAGGCTGAAGAAGAGGGAAGGGACAGAGGCTCAGAGCACTGCTTCTCTTCCTATGTTAGAGGAACAAACTACGGATCTGACAGAGAGGTCAACTGGTTAATTAATGTGTGACATTGTTAGGAATGAAGAAAGTGAAGTATGACTTTTGCCTTCACGCACCATCTTATTTTCTCCTTCTCCTCTTCTCAGCAATCCAAACCCCACACAAAGAGCATTCATTAATGTTAGCTTCTCTCTCTCTCTCTCTTTCTCCCTCCCTCCCTCCCTCTCTGCTGCTTTCCAGGAAGTTTCCCTAACATGGTGACATTCATGTGCAGGAATTCAGCATTACCACTACTGACAAAGAGCAATCCCCAGGGAAAGAGTGAAGATTAAGTCCAAAGAACTAAGCAAGAATGGAAAACACTCAAGCATCACTGGAAAAGAAATTTGGGAGATTTTTCCTACTGATTCCACATTAAAACATGACAAGACCAGTGTCTGCTCTCTGAATTTGGTAACAATAGTAGAAGCAGAAAGTAGGCAGTGGTGACAAGTGGTAAGTAGTCACGCATCACAGTAGCTCTCTACTGATACTACACACAGTAATGCCCAGTGTCTACCGGCTACATGAGACCAAATCAACTCCACCCTCAACACTGCTGTGTTGTTACATGGGTATTTATTACTTTCGTGTCTTCCTCCTGCATTTGCACTACCTGTGCTGCTATTGTTAACAAATATTTTAAAATCTATATTATATTATTTAATCCTGTTAACAGCTGTTAAGTCAGCTGGAGAGCTGTTATCTTTGATTTAAAAGATCTGACATACAGAAGTTACTTACGCAGAATTCCTTGTAAGCATAACCCAGCTGGCTTTGAACTTGGGCCTTGTGACTTCTACCCTGTCACTTCCTCACTTGGCCATCCATAAACTTGTATAGAAAAAAGATTCATGAACACCACAGCCCACTAAAACAGCCTATTGCCCCACTAAAAACTCATTTTATTATAGACAAACTTTTTAAAGAGCAAAGGAATGAGAGTCAATCCTTGATTTTTTACATAATGCAGTCCTGCCTTTCATGCAGGGCCTCAAAGGGGCCTAAGAGAGTGCTCAGAAACAGACCCCACACATGTGGAGACTGGACACAGGACAGAGGTGGCCCCATATGCCACAGGGAAGGGGGTCTTTGCAAGAAATGGAGTAGGAAAAATTGCACGTGTGTTTTTTAAAACGTGAAATGGGATTTCTACCTCACACCAGACACAAAAATTGACCCACATCCATTCATAAAAGATATCAAAAAGAGGCCAGGTGCAGTGGCTCATGCTTGTAATCTTAGCACTTTGGGAGGCCAAGGCGAGCGGATCACCTGAGATCAGGAGATTGAGACCAACCTGGCCAACATGGTGAAACCTCGTATCTAATAAAAATACAAAAAAATTAGCCAGGCATGGTGGCACATGCCTGTAATCCCAGCAACTCAGGAGGCTGAGGCAGGAGAATCACTTGAACCCAGGTGGCAGAGATTGCAGTGAGCCAAGATCACACCACTGCACTCCAGCCTGGGTGACAGAGAGAGAATCTGTCTCAAAAAAAAAAAAAAAAAAACAGAGAGAGCAATAATTCACATCACGAAGTAGGGGAAGATATTTCCTCTAGTTAAAACAAAGGACTAATATCTAGGGTATATGAAGATCGACACATCTACAAGAAAAAGACACACAAAGCAATAAAAAATAGACTAAATGTTTGAACAGGTTTTTTACAAGAGGGGAAACCTAAAGGGTCAGTACATATGTGAAAAAGTTGATAACCTTTTTAGTAATAAATGAAATGCAAATTAAAGCTACAATGAGATACAATTATACTCCTACTAGATTTAGAAAAATAGAAATGTCTTTTAACACTAAGTATTTATAACATCACAGAACAATATGAACTCCGATTTAATGCTCCTTGGAGTTTGATATAAATACTTCAGAAAACTTTTTGATATTTTCTGCTAAATTTAAAGATGCATATACCCTATGGCCAAGCAAGTCCATGCTTGAAAATATATAAAGTTATGTACCCCAGAGAAACTTATAGGAAATGCAACCAAATATATGTAAGCTAGTATTCAAAATATCCAAAAATTGAAAGCAGCCCATACATCTATCTGCATTAAAGTGGATGTGTTGTGTTATGTTCATACAATGAAATAACATAGAGCAATTGTAATCAATGAGCAACACACAATATGAATGAATTTAACAAAAGACATATCGAGAAGAAAATAATCTACCATGTGATCCCACTTCTATTGTATAAAATCAATAAAAACATTACAGCCAGCCCTCTGTAGCCATGAGTTTCACATTCACAGATTCAATCAATGGTTGATGAAAAACTTTTGGGAAAAATATCAATAAAAAATAAAAATACAACAATAAAAAATAGTGCAAATAAAAAATATAGTATATCAACTTTTTACATAGCAATGACATTGTATCAGGTATCAATAATTAACTTAGAAATGACTGAAAGCATATGGGAGAATGTGCATAGGTCATATGAAAATAATGCACCATTTTGTATCAAGGACTTGAGCATCCTTGGATTTCAGTACCCACAGGGTGTCCTGGAACCAATCCCCCATGAATACTGAGGGAAGACTGTATCATTAGGGATACACACAGGGAGGTAACGCAACATAAAGAAACCATGAGATTGACTGATGTAGATGTTCAGGACAGTGATTACCTTTAGTGAGAGGAAGGATGTTGCGATGAAGAAATAGCACAAAAGGGTGTGTGTGCTGTATTCTCATCAAGGCCGACTTTATGGCTGCAACCAGCACCATTGCACAAAGCCCACTCTTAGAAGACCCTGTGTTTGGTTTAATGCTCTGCCTCTGTCATCTTGAAATTCTTTTTTTTTTTTTTTTTTTTTTTGAGATAGAGTTTCGCTCTTTTTGCCCAGGCTGGAGTGCAATGGCACGATCTCCACTCACCGCAACCTCCACCTCCTGGGTTCAAGCAATTCTCCTGCCTCAGCCTCCCAAGCAACTGGGATTACAGGCATGCACCACCACGCCTGGCTAAATTTTTGTATTTTTTTAGTAGAGACGGGGTTTCTCCATGTTGGTCAGGCTGGTCTCCAACTCCCGACCTCAGATGATTCGCCTGCCTCGGCCTCCCAAAATGCTGGGATTACAGGCATGAGCCACCGCGCCTGGTCAAAATTTTTCATAATTTTTTAATAAGGGGCCTTGCACTCTCATTTTGCACTGAGTTCCATAAATAACATAGCCATTCTTGATTTTCATTACAGGATATTTGCTGTATAAACTTGCCCTTAGTGTTCTGTGCACTTTTAAGGAGTATGTGTTATATTTAATAAAAGAAAATCATTAGAAAAACACTATGAAAAAACTATTTAAAGCAGAGGGGTTGTGGGTTAGGCCACTGATATGGTGCCAGTAATGATGTTCTCTAAACTGTGCTGAAAATTTTATCAGGGTAACTCTCACTAGTCTTTCCTCAGTAAGGGACTCAGGGGCAAATTGAATTGTTTTCCAACCTCTACCAGCCTGTGAGCTACTCTCTTCATCTGAATCAAGTCAATTCTCAACCCACAATTTTTATGTATTAAGTCCATTCTGGAAGAAAGTGGGGAGAAAGGACAAATAAATAAATCATTGACAAAATGTAAATCATGACATCCCTAAGAGAAGACAGAGATGGAGAACCCTGCAGACTACTCTGGCCACCATTACCCAAGTTAACTTATTGCACCTGGAAAGGTTCAGCATGGATGAGTCTGAGAAAGTGAGTCACTGAACACATAGCTTTCCCCAAAGTGGAAAGAAAAGAGCTGAGGACAGCCAGCTTTAGACAGCGGAGAAGCACTGAAGGTACCTGGCACATGCACCGCCCCCAGGAGAATCCCAAGAGAATTGTGGAGAGACACAGAAATGTCT
The DNA here is from genome assembly GCF_000001405.40 of Homo sapiens. Classification (NCBI taxonomy): domain Eukaryota; kingdom Metazoa; phylum Chordata; class Mammalia; order Primates; family Hominidae; genus Homo; species Homo sapiens. Next base: position 51,608,492 of record NC_000007.14, on the reverse strand, counting down.
AATCTAACACTGCAGGACAGGGATAGGGATGGGGCTGGAAGTCTCAGCACCCTAGGATGTAGAGGTGTAAGAACTTCTGTATTCACCATCAACCTCCCAGGTTTCTCACTAGTGAAGAGGGGCACGCCCTCTTCACTTTCAAGGTTAGGCAGCCAGGGCGGGTCCCAGCTTGAGCTTAGGCCATATCTCCTCTTGGGATTCACATGTGGCCAAGGGCTATGGCAGGGTGGTGGTGCAGTAGCCTTGCCTCTGTCTGCGTGAGCTGAACCGAGTTGGGATGGAGCTAAATTGACATCCCTTTCTACTCTCCCCATTTGGGGGTTCTTCAGGAACAGATGGAGAGACATCAGCCTTACACTCGGTTTTCTCCAGAGTTGTCTTAATATCTTCCCCAAGGCTTGTCCCCAGCAAATGAAAGCAGAAAACTGTCATAAAAGTGTATATGTAGGTCTCTGGCTTTTTAGAAACTTCCCCTTGCTAGGTTATAAACCCTTCAAAGGCTGGGTTTTTTCTTCTTGACTCAAGCTTATAGAGCAGAGCCTGCTTCCTAATGAAGGATCCTTACAGTGGAGGAGGAGGGACCCAGCACTGGTCCAAGTGTCACCCTCGAGGAGCTGCGGGAGGTGGGCAAGGCATGAAACCCCTTTGCAACTATTTTCCAAATACTGGGAATCAACAAGCAATCTCTCTCTAAGTGCCTTCCCATCCCAGAACTTGGGTCAGAAAGCTTTCCAGATCTGCTTTTCTACAAATGCCTGGGAAGGCTTGAAAAGGACGAGGAGTCACAACTAAACGTGAATGAAGGATCACGAACTACTGTGTGTGTACATGTGCCTCTTCGTGTATGTGCACGTGTGTATGTACGTGTGTGTGCACATAGGTGTGTACACATGTGTGCGTGTGTATGCAAGTGTGCACATGTGTGTACGTGTGGGTGTGTGAATGTATGTGTACGTGTGTGTGAAATGCAAAAAGAAAGAAAAGAAAATCTGCTCAAATAGAACAGGCTGGAGGTCTCCCTTGGGAGGCAGCGAATTTAACTCGCTGTGGATCTGGCTGTGAAGAAGAGTGAAGCCCTGGGAGTGCAGCATGAGGAGGAGGAAAATAAAGTAAAACAGGGAACTCTGCTATTTTAACAGTTTATAAAATTTTGTCTTTAAAACCTTTTGTGACTCTAAAAACAATTTCTGAGGAAGGAGGCTGCTGAGTGTCGGGAAATGTTTAGTGAGCTGAGGGCCAGAGACCTTGCTTCCCACCCCCTCAATTATACCTCCCTGGCCACCAAGGACAGGCTTGGGTTTAGGAGGAATAATCTTAATGCTAACAGCGGCAATTCACTACGTAATAAAATGTAACGCCGCGTTCCCTCCAGCCTCTGAGAGGCCTCTGTGGAATCCACACTCAATCACCTACTGCTAAGGGCCGCCTGAGCTGTGGGTGAGAAGAGACCTCCTAGATGGGCCTTCAGGTTCTTACTGATTTATGACATGGGCGAGTGGATTAACTGCGTTGCTTCCATTTTGTCAACAGTAAAAAGGAGATAATGGTCCATTCCTCACAGGTTTTAATAGGAATGAGTCAATACTCATAAAGGGTTTTATGAGGAATGAGTCAATACTCATAAAGGGTTTAAAATGGCACCTGCACATAGCGTACTTTGGCCAGCTGTGTGTCCTGAACTAAAGTTCTTAAACCATGACCCCCTCATTTCCCACATTTGTAAAGTGAGGGTTCCCGCTCAGCCCTCAGTCACCACCGGCTTCCTCACATCCGGCCCCACCCAGGGGCACCGCGAGGGCAATCAGCTACTGCCACGTCACCCCCACCCACAGGCAGGCACAGCCAACAGGGGCACCGGGGGGCACACAGCCACACCAACCCAGCCACGGGCGGGCACAGCCAGCACGGGCACCAGGGGCCGCACAAATAGCCCCAAGCAGGTGTCAGCCTATTTCCCTTCCATTTTCATGATACAGTGGAAACTAAAAAGGGAAACTCAGAAAACCATCCCGCCAAAAAGGAAAAGCACACGTTAAGATGGTTTGAAGTCATGTCCAAAACCCTTCAATTCACTAAACCTCAGTCTTCTCATCTTGTAAAATGGGATTAAGTAAATGACAATGGTTCTCTCACGGGGTGGCTGTAGAGATTAAATAAGATAATGTAGGTTGTAAAGCTCCCTGTGGCTGGCACCATATGTGCCTCTGATAGAACATGCTCTTATTGTCGTGGTTATCATCATCATCATGCCAGATACTGATTGGAATGTCCATACCATCTCTTGCTACCAAATTATCAGCTTTTCGAGGGCAAGGACTGTGTCTTCCTCATTCTGATATCCATCACACTACCCTACATCGTATAGTAACTGGTTAAAATTATGCTGTAATCTCACTAAGTTGAATAGTATATTTAGATAATTTGTCCTATTGGTTCTCAGCTCTGACCGTACATTTAAATCACTTTGACCAGCTTATAAAGTACCTGTGACAGTTCTTTACCCCAAGCCAATTAAGTCTGAATTTCTAGGGGAAGTTTTCAGGCATCAATATTATATAAAAGCTCCCCAGAGGACTCTAAAGTGCGGCCAGAGCTGAGAACCAGTGTGCCTGTTACTCACTCCCTGTTCATCCATTTATTACTGACTACTAGGTACCAGGTACGGCTGTGGGCAACGAAGACAAAAACATAAACCAGACGATGCTCACTCTCACAACCTGCAGTGAACTATGCATAAGTTCTTCGTTAATAAATTATCACAGCATGGGTGTGAGTCCTGAGACGGAATCGTGTACACGGGGGACTACACCTGCTAAAGGAGAACACAAAGTACCTTTACAGAAAGAGAGATTTTCAAATAAGGGAGAGGATTAGGGAAAATGAACTTCCATTAATGGATTTTCATGATTATGCCTTCAAAGTTTATCCAAGATCATTGTTATGAGACACATCCATGTGGGGTCTGTTTATGAAATAAACACATTCCATTGTATGACATGTACATGTCATTGTATGAAATATAGAAATATGTTCGTGGAATGATCCACTAAAGGATTCTTATAAGAAACTTCTTTCAGAGCTGCTTCTTTGCTCCACAGAAGTACCATTTCCTCCTTTCCAGCACTGTGACTTACCAAACTTGTTTCCCTACTCACCTTGAACTCCAGAAATCTTATAGACACAGTTCTGCTCATTAGTGATTGTTGTGTTTAAACTATGGATAAACTATGAGAAGTTTTTTTTTTTTCTTTTGGACCACTGCTCTTAGTTTTGAAATTACTTCAAATTCTCTGTTTTGACATGATGGAGAGAAAACAAATACTAATTATTTCAAATAATGAATCCAAATGTCCTTGCTCTATAATTCCTTCACAAAAAAAGCATCTATGCTTTGTATTTCTTTTTTTTATTTTATTATTATTATACTTTAAGTTTTAGGGTACATGTGCACAATGTGCAAGTTAGTTACATATATATACATGTGCCACGCTGGTGTGCTGCACCCATTAACTTGTCATTTAGCATTAGGTATATCTCCTAAAGCTATAGCTCCCCCGTTCCCCCACCCCACAACAATCCCCAGAGTGTGATGTTCCCCTTCCTGTGTGCATGCGTTCTCATTGTTCAATTCCCACCTATGAGTGAGAAAATGCGGTGTTTGGTTTTTTGTTCTTGCAATAGTTTACTGAGAATGATGATTTCCAATTTCATCCATGTCCCTACAAAACAAAGGACATGAACTCATCATTTTTTATGGCTGCATAGTATTCCATGGTGTATATGCGACACATTTTCTTAATCCAGTCTATCATTGTTGGACATTTGGGTTGGTTCCAAGTCTTTGCTATTGTGAATAATGCCGCAATAAACATACGTGTGCATGTATCTTTATAGCAGCATGATTTATAGTCCTTTGGGTATATACCCAGTAACGGGATGGCTGAGTCAAATGGTATTTCTAGTTCTAGATCCCTGAGGAATCGCCACACTGACTTCCACAAGGGTTGAACTAGTTTACAGTCCCACCAACAGTGTAAAAGTGTTCCTATTTCTCCACATCCTCTCCAGCACCTGTTGTTTCCTGACCAGAAGGAAATAAAGGGTATTCAATTAGGAAAAGAGGAAGCCAAATTGTCCCTGTTTGCAGATGACATGATTGTATATCTAGAAAACCCTATTGTCTCAGCCCAAAATCTCCTTAAGCTGATAAGCAACTTCAACAAAGTCTCAGCATACAAAATCAATGTACAAAAATCACAAGCAACCTTATACATCAATAACAGACAAACAGAGAGCCAAATCATGAGTGAACTCCCATTCACGATTGCTTCAAAGAGAATAAAATACCTAGGAATCCAACTTACAAGGGATATGAAGGACCTCTTCAAGGAGAACTACAAACCACTGCTCAATGAAATAAAAGAGGATACAAACAAATGGAAGAACATTCCATGCTCATGGGGAGGAAGAATCAATATCATGAAAATGGCCATACTGCCCAAGGTAATTTATAGATTCAATGTCATCCCCATCAAGCTACCAATGACTTTCTTCACAGAATTGGAAAAAACCACTTTAAAGTTCATATGGAACCAAAAAAGAGCCCGCATCGCCAAGTCAATCCTAAGCCAAAAGAACAAAGCTGGAGGGATCACGCTACCTGACTTCAAACTATACTACAAGGCTACAGTAACCAAAACAGCATGGTCCTGGTACCAAAACAGAGATATAGATCAATGGAAGAGAACAGAGCCCTCAGAAATAACACCACATATCTACAACTATCTGATCTTTGACAAACCTGACAAAAACAAGCAATGGGGAAAGGATTCCCTATTTAATAAATGGTGCTGTGAAAACTGGCTAGCCATATGTAGAAAGCTGAAACTGGATCCCTTCCTTACACCTTATACAAAAATTAATTCAAGATGGATTAAAGACTTAAATGTTAGACCTAAAACCATAAAAACCCTAGAAGAAAACCTAGGCATTACCATTCAGGACATAGGCATGGGCAAGGACTTCATGTCTAAAACACCAAAAGCAATGGCAACAAAAGCCAAAATTGACAAATAGGATCTAATTAAACTCAAGAGCTTCTGCACAGCAAAAGAAACTACCATCAGAGTGAACAGGCAACCTACAAAATGGGAGAAAATTTTTGCAACCTACTCATCTGACAAAGGGCTAATATCCAGAATCTACAATGAACTCAAACAAATTTACAAGAAAAAAACAAACAACCCCATCAAAAAGTGGGTGAAGGACATGAACAGACACTTCTCAAAAGAAGACATTTGTGCAACCAAAAAACACATGAAAAAATATGCTTTGCATTTCTTACTTAAGCTGGGTTAGAAATGGAGAAGGGGTAACATAGATTTATTAAATCCTTATCATATGTCAAGCAGTTTGTAATTTGCTTTATTTATATGATTTAAATTGTTTATTTTAATAATCCCGTGATTGTGGTACTAACCTCCCATTTTAGAAAGGCAGAAGAAAAATGAAATTCAGATACGGTGGGGTCAGACAATTATGAGTAGCCCAACAAGGGGTTCAATGATATCTGTCTTAATGTGGGATCTGTTATATTTCCAATTAGTGCCTCTTCTCTCAAGGTTTGCTGTTTGGTCATCAAATATTTCAAATCCCCTCCAGCGATGTTTCAAATGCAAACCCTGAGTCTCAGCCATTTCCCATCATGTAAGTGCACTCCTTAATTTAATAAATTAAATCTATTGCCAAATGAGGCACATCCAGGGCACTTGGTGTGATAAAGAGATGAATCATAAATGGATTCTGCCCTTAAGGGAATTTATAAACTATTAGAGGGAGGAAAACACACATATGATAATTAAAACTTGTGCAGCAGTACAGCTCTATCCAAGACAAGGAACAGCTGAGGCTTTCTCCTCTGCTCCGCATCATGCTGGGAGGCAGCTGTCAGGCAATCCCCATGCAAGTGGCTGTTGGGGCAGGAGCAGGCACTGAGATGGAGCCAGGGAGAATCAGGAATTGGAGCCAAAGAGAGAAAACACTCACAGTGCCCAGTAGGACATCTAGAACTGTAATGTGCACAGCAATCTGACTAAAGGGCCGCTTATGATTCCCCAGGCCTGAGGTGGGCCTGAAATTCTGTGATTCTAACAAACTCATACAAGAGGCCTGGGCTGATATTTCAAGAACCACATTTTGAGTAGCAAAGGTCAACATTTTAAGTTCAATAGTGTGAGTGTGGAGCTGGGAACAAGCCAGCAGCCTGCAGGTCATGGAGGGACACACAAGTAGGCAAAGACAAAGATGAAGTGGAGGTCAGAGGGCTCCCATTCACACCAACCGGCTGGCCATGACACCACAAATTCACTGTTATTCCTCTGTGTCCACTAAAAGGTGGGTGGAGGAGCCAGTTTAAAGCATGCAATGATGGGACAGGTCATCATTCAGGGCTTCATTTAAAATAATTAGTCCAAAAAACTGGAAATGGAGCTATTACAAGAAACTCAGTGATTCTGGCCTCAGTAAGAAACAAGAGATTCGGGACCAAGTTAACACATATCCATTATTATTTTGGAGCAGTTGAATTTTGTTCATCTCTTCAGCTTGTTGGTTGTCTGTTTCCATAGTGGTGGTTGTAGGTTTGTCTTGATTTATTTTTGGTCATGGTGGAGTTTGGAGATGTCAGTTACATTCGGGCAACAGAGAGACCTCGTAGCTAATGTTGTGGAAGGGGCTAACACAAATCTATTCTGAGTGAAAGAGTTGAATCAAAAGTGCTGTGTAAATACAACCTAAGTATTAGTCATTGGGGTTTTTTTTAGAACATAAATTGGACAGTTAAGAGTGCCCCCTGTTTGTAAGAGAAAAAAATACCCTATGAAGTACAATATTAATTCAATACCAAAAGTGCTATTGCTTATTTAGCATTAACACAAATATGACTAATTTCTGGCTTACGTCTTACTGAGTGTTGGAATTTTGAATTTCAATTTTGAATTTGTCTCCTTTACTGTTTGCTTTATACTAGAGCATGTGGTTTGACCGATTTTCAAAAGGAACTTGACTTTTGAGTTCTGAATCATAACATGAAAGTGACAGCCACAATAATTTGACAAAATAGTCCCTCACACAAACTTCACACCCTGTCATCTAGTATAGACTTCCAAAACTTCAGCCATTTCCCCCAGAGAGCTCTGGAAGTGGAAGCCAAGGGTACATAGATGTTAAAAAATGAAGTCCCAGCTGTTCTGGGCCAGTCTTGCTTTCTGGGTGAGTACTAGGCATACAAAGTAAACAGTTACTAGGATTTTAATAATCTGAGGAGAAAATTTGGCCATCAAGTTTAGTTCTTTGTTCCAGGAAAATAATAGAATCAGGTGCTTGTGAACAAAGAAAGGCTGCCTAGCTAGTTCCAGAAGGATGAGCCATTTGAATCCATGGTAAAAGAAGAGCTAGAAATCAAGTTCACCTGAAGAAAGGATCCAGGAATTCATTCCAAAATCCAAGTGGGAGACATTCTGCCCATGTACGCTTTGGGGTCTCGACAACTTGGTTAATGTGAATACTATGCCACTTAAACCATCTTCTATGCCCCTAAACATATGATGGAGTAGGGCATGTGAATGGAGGTGGAGGTGAAACCTACTAGAAGATGAAGAACACTGCAATACTGCAGTTGCAATACTCTATGGATATATAAGATCTAACATCTACATAAGAGACACATGGGGAGGCTGAGGAAGAACTGGGACCTGGCTCAGCCTGGTGCAGAGCAGCCTAGGGAGGAGACAGTGGTACAACTTCATGTGGCAGGAATTAATTCTCAAGGTCTGAAGAGAGGACTCTCACAGGACATAGTCTAAGAGACATAAAAGAATGGGATTGGATTGTTTCTTTTGGTGTTTCAAGTTCACTGCAGAGTGTTACGAGATGATTTCTGAAAAAACCCCACAGATGTTGTAGTGGCAGCTGGAGAGCCTGCAATCGTGGAGTGCCAGCCTCCCCAGGGACACCCAGAACCCACCATCTACTGGAAAAAAGACAAAGTTCGAATTCATGACAAGGAAGAAACAATAAGTATCCGTGGTGGAAAACGGATGATCTCCAATACCAGGAAAAGTGATGCAGGGATGTATACTTGTATTGGTACCAATATGGTGGGAGAAAGGGACAGTGACCCAGGAGAGTTGACTGTTTTCGGTAAAACTTTCTTCTAAATTATAAATTTTTATTTTTATCAATTTTTCTTTGCTTTTAAGTGTTACTAACATTAAAAACTGGGCCATATGAGGACAGTTACTCATGACTCATGGTAAGCAGTGACAAATTAGAATTATCTTGTTTTTGGGGCGGAGCCAAGATGGCTGAATAGGAACAGCTCCAGTCTACAGCTCCCAGTGTGAGCGATGCAGAAGATGGGTGATTTCTGCATTTCCAACTGAGGTACCGGGTTCATCTCACTAGGAAGTGCCAGACAGTGGGTATAGGACAGTGGGTGCAGCGCACCGTGTGTGAGCCGAAGCAGGGCGAGGCTTCTCACCCGGGAAGTGCAAGGGGTCAGGGAATTCCCTTTCCTAGTCAAAGAAAGGGGTGACAGACGGCACCTGGAAAATCGGGTCGCTCTCACCCTAATACTGCGCTCTTCCAACGGGCTTAACAAACGGCACACCAGGAGATTGTATCCTGCACCTGGCTCGGAGGGTCCTATGCCCACAGAGCCTTACTCATTGCTAGCACAGCAGTCTGAGATCAAACTGCAAGGCAGCAGCGAGGCTGGGGGAGGGGCGCCTGCCATTGCCCAGGCTTGAGCAGGTAAACAAAGCGGCCAGGAAACTTGAATTGGGTGGAGCCCACCACAGCTCAAGGAGGCCTGCCTGCCTCTGTAGGCTCTACCTCTAGGGGCAGGGCACAGACAAACAAAAGATAGCAATAACCTCTGCAGACTTAAATGTCCCTGTCTGGCAGCTTTGAAGAGAGTAGTGTTTCTCCCAGCACACAGCTTGAGATCTGAGAACTGGCAGACTGCCTCCTCAAGTGGGTCCCTAATCCCCAAGTAGCCTAACTGGGAGGCAGCCCTCAGTAGGGGCAGAATGACACCTCACACGGCCGGGTACTCTTCTGAGACAAAACTTCCAGAGGAACGATCAGGCAGCAGCATTTGCGGTTCACCAATATCCGCTGTTCTGCAGCCACCGCTGCTGATACTCAGGCAAACAGGGTCTGGGGTGGACCTCCAGTAAACTCCAACAGACCTGCAGCTGAGGGTCCTGACTATTAGAAGGAAAACTAACAAACAGAAAGGACATCCATACCAAAAACCCATCTGTACATCACCATCATCAAAGACCAAAAGTAGATAAAACCACAAAGATGGGGAAAAAACAGAGCCGAAAAACCAGAAACTCTAAAAATCAGAGCACCTCTCCTCCTCCAAAGGAACGCAGCTCCCCACCAGCAACAGAACAAGGCTGGACGGAGAATGACTTTGACGAGTTGAGAGAAGAAGGCTTCAGAAGATCAAACTACTCTGAGCTAAAGGAAGAAGTTCGAACCAAAGGCAAAGAAGTTAAAAACTTTGAAAAAAAAATTAGACGAATGAATAACTAGAATAACCAATGCAGAGAAGTCCTTAAAGGACCTGATGGAGCTGAAAACCATGGCACAAGAACTACGTGACAAATGCACAAGCCTCAGTAACCGATGCAATCAACTGGAAGAAAGGGTATCAGCGATGGAAGATGAAATGAATGAAATGAAGCATGAAGAGAAGTTTAGAGAAAAAAGAATAAAAAGAAACGAACAAAGCCTCAAAGAAATATGGGACTATGTGAAAAGACCAAATCTGCATCTGATTGGTGTACCTGAAAGTGACAGGGAGAATGGAACCAAGTTGGAAAACACTCTGCAGGATATTATCCAGGAGAACTTCCCCAATCTAGCAAGGCAGGCCAACATTCAAACTCAGGAAATACAGAGAATGCCACAAAGATACTCCTTGAGAAGAGCAACTCCAAGACACATAATTGTCAGATTCACCAAAGTTGAAATGAAGGAAAAAATGTTAAGGGCAGCCAGAGAGTAAGGTCAGGTTACCCACAAAGGGAAGCCCATCAGACTAACAGCTCATCTCTCAGCAGAAACTCTACAAGCCAGAAGAGAGTGGGGACCAATATTCAACATTCTTCAAGAAAAGAATTTTCAACCCAGAATTTCATACGCAGCCAAACTAAGCTTCATAAGGGAAGGAGAAATAAAATACTTTACAGACAAGCAAATGCTGAGAGATTTTGTCACCACCAGGCCTGCCCTAAAAGAGCTCCTGAAGGAAGCACTAAACATGGAAAGGAAAAACCAGTACCAGCCACTGCAAAAACATGCCGAATTGTAAAGACCATCGAGGCTAGGAAGAAACTGCATCAACTAATGAGCAAAATAACCAGCGAACATCATAATGACAGGATCAAATTCACACATAACAATACTAAACTTAAATGTAAATGGGCTAAATGCTCCAATTAAAAGGCACAGACTGGCAAATTGGATAAAGAGTCAAGACCCATCAGTGTGCTGTATTCAGGAAACCCATCTCACGTGCAGAGACACACATAGGCTCAAAATAAAAGGATGGAGGAAGATCTACCAAGCAAATGGAAAACGAAAAAAAGGCAGGGGTTGCAATCCTAGTCTCTGATAAAACAGACTTTAAACCAACAAAGATCAGAAGAGACAAAGAAGGCCATTACATAATGGTAAAGGGATCAATTCAACAAGGAGAACTAACTATCCTAAATATATATGCACCCAATACAGGAGCACCCAGATTCATAAAGCAAGTCCTTAGTGACCTACAAAGAGACTTAGACTCCCACACAGTAATAATGGGAGACTTTAACACCCCACTGTCAACATTAGACAGATCAAGGAAACAGAAAGTTAACAAGGATATCCAGGAATTGAACTCAGCACTGCACCAAGCAGACCTAAAAGACATCTACAGAACTCTTCATCCCAAATCAACAGAATATACATTCTTTTCAGCACCACACCACACTTATTCCAAAATTGACCACATAGTTGGAAGTAAAGCACTCTTCAGCAAATGTAAAAGAACGGAAATTATAACAAACTGTCTCTCAGACCACAGTGCAATCAAACTAGAACTCAGGATTAAGAAACTCACTCAAAACCGCTCAACTACATGGAAACTGAACAACCTGCTCCTAAATGACTACTGGGTACATAACGAAATGAAGGCAGAAATAAAGATGTTCTTTGAAACCAGTGAGAACAAAGACACAACATACCAGAGTCTCTGGGATACATTCAAAGCAGTGTGTAGAGGGAAATTTGTAGCACTAAATGCCCACAAGAGAAAGCAGGAAAGATCTAAAATTGACACCCTAACATCACAACTAAAAAAACTAAAGAAGCAAGGGCAAACACATTCAAAAGCTAGCAGAAGGCAAAAAATAACTAAGATGAGAGCAGAACTGAAGGAAATAGAGACACAAAACCCTTCAAAAAAAAATCAATGAATCTAGGAGCTGGTTTTTTGAAAAGATCAACAAAATTGATAGACCACTATCAAGACTAATAAAGAATGAAAGAGAGAAGAATCAAATAGACACAATAAAAAATGACAAAGGGGATATCAACACTGATCCCACAGAAATATAAACTACCATCAGAGAATACTGTAAACACCTCTACGCAAATAAACTAGAAAATCTAGAAGAAATGGATAAATTCCTCGACACATACACTCTCCCAAGACCAAACCAGGAAGAAGTTGAATCTCTGAATAGACCAATAACAGGCTCTGAAATTGAGGCAATAATTAATAGCTGGCCAACCAAAAAAAGTCCAGGACCAGATGGATTCACAGCCAAATTCTACCAGAGGTACAAGGAGAAGCTGGTACCATTCCTTCTGAAACTATTCCAATCAAGAGAAAAAGAGGGAATCCTCCCTAACTCATTTTATGAGGCCAGCATCATCCTGATACAAAAGCCTGGCAGAGACACAACAAAAAAAGAGAATTTTAGACCAATATCCTTGATGAACATTGATGCAAAAATCCTCAATAAAATACAGGCAAACTGAATCCAGCAACACATCAAAAAGCTTATCCACCATGATCAAGTGGGCTTCATCCCTGGGATGCAAGGCTGGTTCAACATACGAAAATCAATAAATGCAATCCAGCATATAAACAGAACCAAAGACAAAAACCACATGATTATCAATAGATGTACAAAAGGCCTTTGACAAAATTCAACAATGCTTCATGCTAAAAACTCTCAATAAATTAGGTACTGATGGGACATATCTCAAAATAATAAGAGCTATCTATGACAAACCCACAGCCAGTATCATACTGAATGGACAAAAACTGGAAGCATTCCCTTTGAAAACTGGCACAAGACAGGGATGCCCTCTCTCACCACTCCTATTCAACATAGTGTTGGAAGTTCTGGCCAGGGCAATCAGGCAGGAGAAGGAAATAAAGGGCTTTCAATTAGGAAAAGAGGAAGTCAAATTGTCCCTGTTTGCAGATGACATGATTGTATATCTAGAAAACCCCATCAACTCAGCCCAAAATCTCCTTAAGCTGATAAGCAACTTCAGCAAAGTCTCAGCATACAAAATCACTGTGCAAAAATCACAAGCATTCTTATACACCAATAACAGACAAACAAAGAGCCAACTCATGAGTGAACTCCCATTCACAATTGCTTCAAAGAGAATAAAATACCTAGGAATCCAACTTACAAAGGATATGAAGGACCTCTTCAAGGAGAACTACAAACCACTGCTCAATGAAATAAAAGAGGATACAAACAAATGGAAGAACATTCCATGCTCATGGGTAGGAAGAATCAATATCGTGAAAATGGCCATACTGCCCAAGTTAATTTATAGATTCAATGTCATCCCCATCAAGCTACCAATGACTTTCTTCACAGAATTGGAAAAAACTACTTTAAAGTTCATACGGAACCAAAAAAGAACCCACATTTCCAAGTCAATCCTGAGCCAAAAGAACAAAGCTGGAGGCATCACGCTACCTGACTTCAAACTATATTACAAGGCTACAGTAACCAAAACAGCATGGTACTGGTACCAAAACAGAGATATAGAGCAATGGAACAGAACAAAGCCTTCAGAAATAATGCCACATGTCTACAACTATCTGATCTTTGACAAACCTGACAAAAACAAGAAATGGAGAAAGGATTCCCTATTTAATAAATGGTGCTGTGAAAACTGGCTAGCCATATGTAGAAAACTGAAACTGGATCCCTTCCTTACACCTTATACAAAAATTAATTCAAGATAGATTAAAGACTTAAATATTAGACCTGAAACCATAAAAACCCTAGAAGAAAACCTAGGCAATACCATTCAGGACATAGGCACGGGCAAGGACTTGATGCCTAAAACACCAAAATCAATGGCAACAAAAGCCAAAATTGACAAATGGGATCTAATTAAACTCAAGAGCTTCTGCACAGCAAAAGAAACCACCATCAGAGTGAACAAAATGGGAGAAAATTTTTGCAACCTACTCATCTGACAAAGGGCTAATATCCAGAATCTACAATGAACTCAAACAAATTTACAAGAAAAAACAAACAACCCCATCAAAAAGTGGGCAAAGGATATGAACAGACACTTCTCAAAAGAAGACATTTATGCAGCCAAAAAACACATGAAAAAATGCTCATCATCACTGGCCATCAGAGAAATGCAAATCAAAACCACAATGAGATACCATCTCACACCAGTTAGAATGGCGATCATTAAAAAGTCAGGAAACAACAGGTGCTGGAGAGGATGTGGAGAAACAGGAACACTTTTACACTGTTGGTGGGACTGTAAACTAGTTCAACCATTGTGGAAGTCGGTGTGGCGATTCCTCAGGGATCTAGAACTAGAAATACCATTTGACCCAGCCATCCCATTACTGGGTATATACCCAAAGGACTATAAATCATGCTGCTATAAAGATACATGCACACGTATGTTTATTGCGGCACTATTCACAATAGCAAAGACTTGGAACCAACCCAAATGTCCAACAATGATAGACTGGATTAAGAACATGTGGCACATATACACCATGGAATACTATGCAGCCATAAAAAATGATGAGTTCATGTCCTTTGTAGGAACATGGATGAAGCTGGAAACTATCATTCTCAGCAAACTATCACAAGGACAAAAAACCAAGCACCGCATGTTCTTACTCATAGGTGGGAATTGAACAATGAGAACACATGGACACAGGAAGGGGAACATCACACACAAGGGACTGTTGCGGGGTGGGGGGAGGGGGGAGGGATAGCATTAGGAGATATACCTAATGCTAAATGACGAGCTAATGGGTGCAGCACACCAACATGGCACATGTATATATATGTAACAAACCTGCACATTGTGCACATGTACCCTAAAACTTGAAGTATAATAATAATAATAATAAAAAGAAAAAAAAAGAAAAAAAAAAAAAAGAAACACATGGCCACACAGCTGGCTGGCTGGGCAAGCCAGCCTTGAATCTTACATAATCCTTTCTCCACCATGCACCAAGACAAGAACAGGGCAAGGAACAGGAAGAAAAAAGGGGTGGGGTGGTTATTTTTAGTCTCATTTCTCATTTCAACCAGGGACTATCACTCTCCAGACTCAGCAGATGGCGGGCCAGACAGTTTTGTCTGATGATCTAATTAGTTTTCAGCACCTCATTATCACCTCACAATGGAATCTAGAATAAAAGCTTAAAGTGCAGAATGTTTAACGGGCTGATTTGAATGCAGTAAAGTGAGTTCTTTAAGTTAAATTCTTTCATCAGCAATGTGCTGTATCTACTCAGGAGGCATTTGAAGAGAACGAAGATTTAGGTGAGGACTGTTAATAAAGTAGCATGTCTCTAACATTGAAATGTTGTCAAAAATGTGATGTGTATTCAAGATATAACACAGATAAGCCACAACATTCTGTAGTAAAAAGAAACTGAGAACCAGAAGAATTGAATTCTAGTTCATCTCTGCCACTAATTAACCATATGGCTAGAGGCAAGTCGGTTTCTCTAAGCGCCATTCCCTTACCTGTGACATGCAAACACGGGGCCAGGCAGATGGACTCTACATTTTCTTCCAGTTATAAAATCCTCCTATTTAGCAACACTTCTGTAAGGTCAACTCTGCAGCCTTCTACAACACACTTAGGAGATGTAATTTTTTCAGATAAAATAATTTTCAAAATTGCTAAGCATGAAGGGTTTTTGGAAAAAAAAATAGAGCATAATTGCTTCGGCAGTGTCATCTCTTTCCAGCAACAATGTTCAACACACCATGCGTCCAAATACACTGGCTGAGCTGGAAGCATAATGCCTGAGCTGAATCCACGGAGAGTTAGGAGCCTATGGAGGTTCCGCAGTAGCCAATCCTTCGCAGGATCAGTAAGGACTGCTGATCCCTGGGGACTCCCAGGGCAGTGTGAGCTTGCTGAGCCTGAGAGAGGCTGTGGGGCAGATACGATGTTCTCTACTTTCAGTGTCTGGCTCCCACTTGCTGCTTGATAGTGTTGCATAAAGACACAATACAAAGTATTTTTACGCAATGGTTAAAATGCACCCCAGCTGCAGGATTTTTTTACCTCTTGGCATCATATTTTTTTCTAACTTGATATGGAAGCTATTAACACTTCCAAACAGCCAATGTCTCTGTGCTTCATATTGTCATTACTCCTGACCTGCACTACCCCAAAATGGGTAGTCACATGTGCCTGTTTAAATTTAAATTGACATTAATATTAGATGAAATTTAAAATACAGCTCCTCATTTGCACCAGCCACATTTCAAGTGCCCCAAAGCCATGGTACTCACTAGCTGCATTTCATAGATAAGGGAATGGATAGATGCATGGTGGGTGCACTGGGCATCTCAAATTGGGACAGTATGGATCTAAATCATTTCCATCACCATCAAAAATTCCACTGGACAGTGCTGATCTAGACTGACCATCCCTGACTCCATGAAATTACTTTTTGGTTTTGACTTAGAGTACACAACCAGCATTGAAACATTCTTTGTGTGTTAATACCTTAAGAGGCAGGGTGGGGTGGCTCACACTGTAATCCCAGCACTTTTGGAGGCTAAAGCAGGTGGATCACCCTAGGTCAGGAGTTCAAGACCAGTCTGACCATTTGGTGAAACCCCGTCTCTACTAAAAATACAAAAATTAGCCGAATGTAGTGGTGCACACCTGTAGTCCCAGCTACTCAGGTGGTTGAAGCACAAGAATTGCTTGAACCTGGGAGGCAGAGGTTGCAGTGAGCTGAAATCATGCCATTGCACTCCAGCCTGTGTGACAGAACAAGACTGTGTCTCAAAAAAAAAAAAAAATCATAAGAGAGCTACTGTAGGTCATTTGGGACCTAGGAAGATGTGATCTAACATGGCATAATTTAGCAATTTCTTTAATTTGTCTTTGGGGGAACCACCAAGTGCTCTCACCCAAAAAAAGTCAACTAAAATTGAAAAATCTCAGCTGGGAGTGGTGGCATGCACCCGTAGCCCCAGCTACTTGGGAGGCTGAAGTGGGAAGATCACTTGAGACTGGAATTAGAGATTGCAGTGAGCTGAGATCATGATGGTGCCACTTTACTTCAGCCTGGGCAAAAGTATGACACTCTGACTCAAAAAAAAAGAAAAAGAAAAGAAAAAGAAAAATCTCAGGTCACAGTTAGATATGTTTTAAAAATTCTAGTCAACAATTTATACTCTTCATTATTTCCTAACCTAAAATATCAAGCTTAATCACATACTTTATATATTTACATTTGTATCCTTTATATATATACAAGTAGATTTGTAGATTGTGCTGAAATATAATCTCAGAGGAAGAACACTGCTAAGCTAATCTACACTTCTATCCTCTACCCTCCTACTACTCTTTTTGTTTTTCTACTTTAGGCTGTTACAGTCCCCTTTCTGTATTCGATCTAGTTCAAAGGTTGACTTTTGTTTGCATTCACAGCCTTCCCATTGTGGAGATTTATTTATTTTTCCTTTTGATCTCTCTTCCTTGAAAAGGTTAATTCATAAAGAAAAGAATGAGTCGATGACTATTTCCCTTGACCACTAAAACTTGATCTTCATTGTTCTCTTCCTTTGAAGGATTTCTCCCCACTTCCTTGTGTGAGGTATTCTATTTGGAGCACAAGACACACTTTAGTTGCCTGGGTCAGATGTAGAAATTACTTAAAATTCCTACAAACACCTTCTTTTATAAAATACGGAATCACAAAATATTGGTCTATATCAGAAATTATTTCAACACTATGATTAGGCTGGTGTTGCTCTCAGAAAAAAAAATAGTAATATACGTGATTTTTGTAATCAGCTTCTATTTCTTTTTTCAGTACTGATTCTTCCGTTTTCTCCTGGGATTCCTGCCTCCTCCCCTCTAGGAAGACATTCAGAAGATCTCACTTGCCTGAGCCGGAGGGGGACAGAGCTGCTACTACCTGCTGTGTCCGTGAGGAATCAGCCCAATAGGAAATGGAAGCAACACAGAAGAGAGACAGATGTGAGATGCAAATGGAGAAACTGCAGGCTGGGGACATCTTCTGAGCCTCTGAGTTCAGCCAGCCTGACAGCTGGTCTCTCTTCACTCCAGAACCTTTTTCAATCGTGAGGTCTGAAATACCTTTAGACTTTCAGTGGAGCCTGCTTCCTATGGGTTACAAAATTCTTTATCATGCATGGTTTAAATTGTGAAAACCTCTAGAAAAAACGTCTTAACTTGGTAATAATTTCATGCAAATTATTTTTATAAAGTGGCATGTATTTTAACAGAAGAAAACTTTTCTCAAACTATCCAATTTGCAGTAGCACAAGAAGGCAGTCGTGAGATTCTGCTAAAATTAATAGGCACATTGTTAAGTAATTATACAATATTAAAATATCACCAAGGGGACAGAACTGGAGATAAATGTCCTCATCTGGACTGGATGAAGCTCTTCTGGGATACCATGTTATAAAGTTCTTTAATTTAAAAAATTACATTTCCAGGGCCTAATATTGTCAGAAAGACAAATAATCTGGCTCAGTAAGAAGTACAGATTTAGAGGATTGTACTTAAGGGCCTAGCACCGTGGCTGTACATCATTGTCAAGCAGCAAGGAGTAGAGCTACAGACGCTGCATCCCTGGATCAACCGTGCAAGTGTTAATAGAAAAGGTATCCTTGAACATCTCTAAATCTGAGATGCCTGAGAGCCCAGTCTCTTGCTGAAACATTGCCTTTGGATGCTCCCAAGCATATATGCTGTTTTAATATAGGTTTATTATTATGTAGGTATGGGAAGGCCAGTAGATTGGAAGATTACTGCCACCAGAAAGACAGACTACTATTCTCACAGATCCCAAGAAGAGGAATATGGCACTCCATTGAGAGCCACACAAGGAAGCACCAGGGCCATCCAGAGGCAGAGGGAGTGAGGAAACGTGGGTAGGAAGCTTCACTGTGGTATCCACTGGAATAAATGCATATGGCAGTGTACACAGGCTTAGGATCAGATAGGGCTATGCCTACTTGTCTGCTGCCTGGCCCTGGGGTGAATAGGGCAGGAGGATGGTGACCCTGAGTGTCAGAGCCCCATAAAGGCGGGGCTGGGGGTGTAGGCTCCAGTTTGATTGTTGTCTT
Source organism: Homo sapiens (assembly GCF_000001405.40). Classification (NCBI taxonomy): domain Eukaryota; kingdom Metazoa; phylum Chordata; class Mammalia; order Primates; family Hominidae; genus Homo; species Homo sapiens. Next base: position 51,589,779 of record NC_000007.14, on the reverse strand, counting down.
AGTTTAGGCTGGCATAACAAAAATACCATAAATAGGCTGAGCAGCTTAAGCCACAAATATATATTGTTCACAGTTCTGGAGGCTGCAAAGTCCAAAATCAAGATGGCAGGAGATCGGGTGTCTGGTCAGGGTCCACACTCTGGTGTGCAGATAGCCACCTCCTCATTGTATCCTCATAGAGCAGAGAGCAGAGAGGAAATAAGCAAAGTCCCTCATGTCTCTTCTTATAAGGCCACTAATCCTGTTAGAAGGGCTCTACCCTCATGACCTAATCACCCCCCAAAGGCCCCACTTACTAATATATCCCATTGCAGATTAGAGTTTCAACATATGAATTTTGGGGTGACACACTGAGTTCACAGCAGTTAGCTTGCATTTGAAAAGCGTGTTCATGTGTGAGCTGCTTAGTGTCTCTAGGGATTGGCTAGCCCTTAGTGTCTCTAGGAATTGGCTAGCTTCCAGAGTCCTCAAAGCCCCAGATGTCAAAGCATCCAAATACAGACAATAAAAGATATGGTTAATGCACAAAGTTAATGGCTTACCCTCAACACCTGCATGGGTGTCTGATGGGATGGGTGCACTGGGGGCCTCATATTAGGTGGCAAAGGAGGTCCCAGGTTTCCCATAGGGATGAAACCCTGCAGAATGTGCTGATAACGGAAGTAAGGCCAGTCTGTCCATTTAAGACATCCCCAAGAAGGTTTCTAGATGAAAAATGCCTGCCATTCACTGCCAACATTTTTCATTTCCCAATTCTTGCTCTCTGAAACACACGAAAGGTGTTCCCATTAAAATAGTATGTTGTGTGAATTCTGGAAAACTGAACCAAGGAACAGACCCTTATTCTCTCTCCCAAATCCCTCTCAAGAGAATTCTAATTTAAAAAATGAACTTAAGAGTTGGCTGGACCTGCCTCTTCTCCTCAAGGATCCCTGGCACTTTTGCAGGCTAAAGTTCTTGAGAAGACTTGTAAGCCAGGGAAAGGGCTACCTTCACTGTTATTCAACGGTCTGGAAAAAACCACGAGCTGATCACCAGGATGAGTCTGCTTTCCAGGGACAGCACATCATCCTAAACGTCCCAGCCAGCAGACCCCTGCACTCTCCTGGTCAGCACAAACACCCGTCCTATCTTACCCTACACACAGACTGTTACCAGAATGCCAGGATTTGGTCTCGGCTAGGTCCCATTGCTCGCTGCACAGAAAGTCAATCACTGAGACAATGAGTATTTCAAGGGAAGAAGGCTTTTTATTCTGGCGATGTCAACAGAGAAATAGGGAGAAAAGTCTCAAATTCGTCTTCCCAACTAACTAACATTGGGGGTTTATATAGCAGGGAATGAATGTAGCTATGTGCAAGAAGGACTCAGGGAGGGGTAAGGAAGCAATCATGAGGAATGAGGGATCTGGCATCTATTGTCTGGATGCCATGAGTCAGTGAGTTTCAGTCCCCTGCCAGGGTCAGTTTCCTGAGGAAGAAACTCAGATGAGATAAATTTAAGTTTCAAGTTTTAAGATGGAGAGTCAATTTCTATGTTTATTCAAAAACCTGTAAATATTACTTCTGTGAAACAATTGGACCAATTTCAAGACCAGTGAGAAACTTGTTGACCCCAGTGACAGCCCCTGCCCTCCAGAGGGACTGCACAGTTCTCCAACAGACCTCTCCCCTACAGCTGGAAAAGGACTGCTCTTCCCTGTCCCTGTACCTAGAGAAGCCCAAGAAACCCCTTGCCTATGCCCCACACTTCTCAATCAAAAGATGAAAAGAAACCAAAAAATGCAGCCTATCAGCCAACAGTTGCCTGTCCCTTTATCTCCAGCCTAAGAAAAATGAAAACAACCCACATAAACAAAAACTTTCTCTTACTTTGAATTTCCCCATTCCCTGGAGACCCCAACAGCCTGAACAAAAATGCAGAAGCCAGGAGAGAGCCCAAAATGTCCTGGAGCTCGTTCACCTGCAGGGGAAGCAAAACACTGCAGAGAACAGGGCAGGACACAGCTGGTGTGCTAGTGCAGGAGGGCGGAGAATGCCTGTACAGGGCAACATGGCTGCATGCTATCACCTGGCAGGCAGGGGAATACAAAATAATGATGCAGCTCACACCTCCAGAGACTCTGACTTAATTGGTGTGGGCAGCAGCCTGAGCACCGGGATTTTTAAAAGCTCCCTGAGTTTAGCCAAAGTTGAGAAGCACCTCTATTAGAAGATATTGCAAAACATTATTTCTGACTTTTTAAATGTAATAACAGAACTGGAAAGTCATGAATTCATAACCTGGAAGGACCAAGGGGATGCTTCCTCACAACAAAGTATATTGAGCACCAGAAATCATTTTTATTTATTTAATAAATGTTTATCTAGCACTTACGTGCAAGGCATTGTTAAAGTACCTTACCAATATTAACTCAATTACACTCATACTGAACCTATGAAATTGATACTGTTGTTATCTACTTTTTAAATATGGTAAACTGAGGTGGGCGTTAGGTAAAGAACATCCACTTAATTCAAACATTCAAATAATATGAGCAAAAAGTTGGGATGGGAAGAACAGGCCATGGAGGGTGACACTTCTCAATCTTTAACATGCACACAGGTCCCTGGGATCTCGATACAGCACAGATTCCAACTCGGGAAAGGGGTTTGGGAGTCTGCCTTTCTAATAAACTCCTAGGAATGCTCCACATTTAGCAAGGAGAATTAATTTGTGAATAACAGTAGTTCAGAAGAGGCATGAAGGATAGTAAAGGAAATAGAAGAAATTTTCCCTGAGGTGAAGAAAGACTAAAATTTTTAATGGAAACAGCTTATTTCCCCCAGAAGGATTAATGAAAATAAAGCACTGACTGACCGTGAGGGGCCCTCATCGGTATCCCGAGTGACTAGATGGCTTACCAAGTAAAAAGCATGTGACTCCATGGAATCCTGACGTGCCACTAAAAGCTGGAACATGTTGTAATCCATTTGGCTTTCTTGCAAAGAAACCTTCTTCTGTCCAAAGCTCCTTCTCCGTGACTGGGAGAAAGGCATTTCAAATTGGTGAGGACTGGAAAGAACGACTACAGCTCATTTTCTGAGAAAGCTTCTAGTGGAAGTGCCCAGCCTGGAGAATATTCCGTCAGAACAATGATTCCAAAACAAAAGAACCCAGAGAAGGCAGCAAATGAGCTTAAAAATATCACAAATGTTAAACAGCAAACTTAGAGGGAGTCAGGAATTGCTTTGGGAAAGTCAGGGCAAGGCCCTGAGAGTCAGGTGAGCAACTGGTTGGGTTACCTGTGAAAATGAATGGTTAGGACAAGAGCAGATGGTAGGCTGTACAAAGTCTGTCTTCCCAGTCCACTGGGCCTCACAGCACTGCCTCTCACCTGCACTGGGGCAGCAGGTGGTACAGAGACAGAAAGACCCCATGCAGACAGCAGGCCACTGTGCCCTCTCTCCACACCAGGGACTGGTCAACAACAGCAAATGCAGCCACCCCATCCTCGAATCCCTTCACTCCAGCCTCAAAAGAGTTGTTTAACTCAAGATTTATGACAAAGAGAAAAGGATTTGCTGAAAATTGCTAAACCCACAAAATTGAATAAGAAATTTAGGCAGTTTCGTATACATTAACCTACCCGGGCTATGATCATTCTTTGACATTCAAACAGATCGAGTCCCAAGACTTCTAGAAATCCCCAAGTTTAGGAACACATAAATGCTTGTCCAGTCTATGGGCTTTCTCTGGAAACTTATTGCTATTAGGAGCCATTAACATTCTGGGAATTTCCTCACACTACATGCTAACCATCTTTCAATCCTCGTTAGGTTTTATCTCTGAAAGAGGACTGGGCAGCATTGGCTGGAGAACTTCCTGGAAGGCTTCACTGATCAATCAATTGGCTGTCGCTTATGGGTTGGTAGCAACAGCAGACCGGATCTCCGAGGATGCAGAGTCCATACCCAAGGCTGCGCCCTGGGGGTTCTGGTTTTGTAGCAGGAACTCATGTTGTGGACTTGATGAGGACTCCCCTCTCACCCAGCCTTGAACCCAAGAGAACAGTCAAACCGGGAAATGTTCTGGCTGTGGGTAAACTATAGCTCCCCAGAGGCTGCAAAGTAGAAAAACAACACAGAATTTACAGCTTGATGATTTCTAGAAAGCTGCTTCAACTCTACCCCTGGCCAAATTTACTCACATTACTATTGTTCTTCTACCCAAATAAATAGATGATTTGGGTATATTAAATCAATCAAGCCAGCTTTATTTTCTTTTTCACATTACTTGGAGTGAAAATTTGGGGAAAGCACTCCTCACCCATGATTAGTGAATTATTTCCTAAAACACACGACTGCTCCCTGGTGAGTTGTGTCCATGGAATGCCGGCAACCATGCCCAACTGACCCCAACACATCACCAGAGGACACTGGAGGCGTCAGAAAGTCTCCAATAACTGAATGGGAAACAGGACCCTTATGGAAGGGGCGCACTGCTCTGCTGCAGGCAGGGCACACACTCTCTCTCGGATGTGGTGCCATGACATGGAGAAGACAGACCCATTTCATGAGTCTGGCTTACCCTAAGCAAAAAGCTCCATGCTGCTGGCTCATCCACACAGGCCCCTTTGAGTAAGACTGGATCTAGTCACCACCCTTGCCATTTCCTGGGAAGCCTTACTCCTGCAACTGCGCAATGTGGCCCGGCACCCCACAACCCCTCAGACCCTGCACCTGTTCTCTCTGGTGGGTATGTTGGCCCAGTGGGTGCCCTGTAGGGAAACATGAGCTGTGGGCATTTGGTAGACCAGGCAGAGTGAGCAGACACCCCATGGCACCATCCTACCTGATCACTTTGCTTTTCGAGTTGCTATCATGATATAATAGTTAGTATTTATTAACTGCCTGCAGGCAGAGTTCTGCATATTTTTCCAATATTAGTTTATAGCTTTAACTTGCATTACTCCATTAAAAACACAGTAGGAATTAGATGAAGATTACCTGGAAAGAAGATGGGCTATAGGCTACATTCACAGGGCAGGGAAGGGAAGCAGGGATGGCAACTTCAAAGGCTCTGGGAGGAGTCCTAAAGGAGGAAAGGGTTCTGATCTCATATGTTCCCCGTGGCTAGGCTGGTGTAGTCACTGGTCCCAATTTTAGCAAAGCTGAGGAACACTATATCAATTCCAAAACCATACTATCATCTTACCAATGCTTACATAACAGCCATGATGCATACTCTGAAGGTTTATAAGCCAGAATTAAGAATATTGTTAAAAGAGAGACTCCACCCACTGCGGCCCCAGCCCAGGGCTTTAGGAAGCTCCTGTGGGCCAGCCCTGAGCCTTGACCACCAGCCCAATGTTGTGTGTGTGTGCTCTGCACCACACAGCCAGAAGGAGCTAGAGAGATCTCGATGGGTGTGCTTCTTGACGTCTTTCTTAGGTTTTTTTCTTCCACCTGTTTCAAATACTGTTTTTTCCCTCATAGCTGTCTTGCAGACACTATCTCTCCTCAATTTGATGCTCCCACTAGCTGATCTAATTTCTCCCATGGCTTCATCTAGCTAAAATTCATATAATACATCCTAAATAAATATAACCACTCCAGACTTGTCTCCTGAGTTTCCAGCCTGGAAATGCAATAGCTGGGTGCCAATGTCACTTGGGGTACGTACACCACAGCCTCTGCAGTCTCATTGTGTTCCCTTACAAGGCCTGATCTTCCCTCTTGGGGTCTACCTCAGTGAATTGCACCCATTTTCCAAAGGTGGGAACCTGGACATCAGTGCTTCCCTCCTCTTCTCTGTCTTCCACATCACGTAAATTACCAAAGTCTTGTTAATTACACCTCTATGTATCTCTTGAAGCTCTTTCCTTCTTTGGTCTGTTTAATCTTTCCTGGTTTGATCTTTCAACAATTCTCCCCTGGTTACTCCCACAGCACCCTTTGAGCTCTTCTGCTCTTTTGGAACTCTCCAAATTACCAGAATGTCGCATTTACTAATTTGCACATCTGCTCACACTCCTGTTTAAAATCCTCCTCTGAAACTCCAGAGCCTTCAGAATAAAATTTGACATCCTCAGCCTGACATCCTAGGCCCTTCAAGAGCTAGTCTTGATATTCTCTGTAGCCTTGGCTTCACTGCACCCCTCTTCCTCTTCCACCTTCTGCTACTGGCCCAAGCACAACTTGCTTTGCCCTACTCTCCTGCTTTGAAGCTCCCTGACTAGAGAGTTAAACTCTGGCTAGTCTCTGTTCATACTTCAAGACTAAGTTCCTCTCTCTTCACATCTACCTTGGCTTTCCCTACAAGATATGGTGATGTCCACTGATGAGCAATCTAAAGCAATGAGTTAGAGGGAGCAGAGAAGGTTGGGAAGCAAGTTTCCCCCATTGCCTCCTAAGTTACTCTTGCCTCTGACTACCTGGCATGCACTGCGGAGGAAACACAGACGAAAGAAACACAGTGTGCTCTCAAAGGACTATCCAGAAATGTCAGAAGTGGCGTTATGCACACAGAGTTGTATAAGCTAGATATTGGCAAATTGTAGAATTCCATTATTGTTCTTCTAAACATGGGGGAAAAATAAATATCATTCTTTCTGTTGTTATTTCATGGAACTCTCTCATATTGTTCCTTAGATGCCATCTTTCATTCACCTCAGCATACAATAGTCCCTTGTTATCCACGGTTTCACTTTCCATGGTTTCAGTTATTTGGCATCTAGTTGAGAAATTAATCTTTATCATACATACACATATATGTATAGGAAGAAACATGGTATATATAGGGTTCAGTACTATCAGCAATTTTAGGAAACCACAAGGGCTCTTGAAATGTGTTCCCCTGGATGAATGGGATCTATTGTATGGCTACTACCCTCTTGCTGCAGGCCAAGCATTGAGCTAGAAGCTTGGGAACTATAGACAAGTATGACCGAATCCTACTCTTCAAGGATCTCCTGGAATGACCATCACCCTGACACTCCCAAATACACCACTACAATTGAGTTAAGCAGCAGACGCACTTCCAGAATGGTGGTGGAAGCATTTCTGAAAATATATTCCTTGGTGAAAGAAGCAAGAACACCTGGGAGATTTCCAACTTTGATTTGTTCAGGACACTGGAAATTAAGACAGGCTTGCAACAATCTTAAGGTGTTTACTCAAGAAAAAATCTGAATTTTTGTAAGAAAAGTAAGCTTTGGATATTTTAACTTGTTGTATTATCATCCCCTGTCCCTACCTCCTCAGTAGCCTGAAAACCAGCAGCCTCCACAACAAAGGCTGGAGACAGAGGAGGAGAATAGACTCTCCAGTTCCCCCACATTCTATTATTTTTAATGTGTAGCTTTTCCACAACAAAAAGTTACAAGATACATACAGGAAAAGGAACTGGGAGCTGTACACAGGGAAACAATGTGGTCACTAGAAACTGACACTGTGGAAACCCAAATGTTGAACTTTTAAGACAAGCATTTTAAATCAGCTATTATAAATATACTCAATGGGTACAAAAAAATAGAAAGAATCATTAGGACCTACTATTTGATAGCACAACAGGGTGACTATAGTCAATAATAATTGTATATTTTAAAAGAACTCAAAAAAATGTAATTGGATTGTTTGTAACTCAAAGGATAAATGCTTGATGGGATGGATACCCCATTCTCCATGATGTGCTTATTTCACACTGCATGCCTGTATCAAAACATCTCATGTGCCCCATAAATATATACACCTACTATGTACCCACAAAAATGTTAAAAAATAATAAAAAATTAAACAACAAATATGCTCAAAAAACTAAAGAAAATCATGTTTAAAGAATTTTTTTAAGTATGAGAATAATGCTCAAACAGAGACTACTACTAAGAGATAGAGATTATAAAAAGAACAAAAGAGAAATTCTGAACTTGAAAACTATAAGAACTGAAATGCAAAATCTATTAGGACTCAACAACAGATTTTAACTGACAGAAGAAAGTAAGAGCAAACTTGAAGAGAGTTAAACTGAGGTTCTTTTATTCTGAAGAACATTAAAAAAATAAGAAAAATGAATACAGCCTCAAAGATCTGTGGGACACCATTAAGCATATCAACATACACCTGAATGCGAGTCCCAGAGAAAAGAAGAGGCGTGAGAGAAAGGCACAGAAAGAATATTTGAATAAATAATGGTGAAAACTCTCCAAAGGTAATGAAAATAATAATGTGCACGTCTAAGGTGTTCAATAGAATCCAAGTAAGATAAATTTAAAAATATTCACATTGTCAAAAGACAGTTAAACAGAGAATCTTGAAAGCATCAAAAGAGACATGATTGAATATATAGTGATCCTTAATACAATAACAGCTGAATTCTTATCAGAAACCATGCAAGCCAGAGGGAGTGGGATGACATACTTAAAGTGCTGAAGAAAAAGACTGTCAACCAGGAACTCTGTTTCCAACAAAACCATTAATTAAAAACAAAGAAGAAATTAAGATATTCCCAGATTAAAAAAAAAAAAACTAACAGAATTTGTTGCTAACAGATCTGCCTCACAAGAAATACTCAAGGGAGTCCTTTAGGCAGAAATGAAAGGAGGTTCGCATGAAGAGGAAATCCACAGGAAGAAATAAAGAGCATCGATAAAAGAAAATATAAAAGACTGTATAAATTTAATTCTATTTACATAATAGCTCTTTTCATCTCCTATCTTATAGATAAGAAAACTACATAAAGCAATAATTATTAAGCAGCATTGATAGGTTATAATAAATAAAGATATGAATTGTGTGATGATACTAGCCTAAAGAAAGGGAGAATAAATACCATTGGGGCAAAATGGTATTAAACTTACTGAAATTAAGTTATATTATTCTAATCTAGATGTTTTAAGTTAAGATGTTAATTGTAATCCCCAGAGCAACAATCATTAATAAAATAACTAAATCCACATTATATATATATACATATATATACATACATATATATATATAAAGAAACAACAAGCAAATTAAATGGTAGACTAGAAAAATCTATTTAACACAAAAGGAGGCAGTAATGAAGGAATAGAGAAACAACAAATTTGATATAAAAGAACAAAATAGTGAAATGCAAATGTAAATTCTACCTAAACAATAATTACATTAATATAAATAAAGTAAGTACCTCCAATGAAAAGCAGATATTGGCAGATAGGTTAAGAAAACAAACAAACAAAAACATGGTCTCACTATATGTTATATAAAAGAGATAGACTTTAGCATCAAACACACAAATAGGTCGAAAGTAAAAGAATACCAGAAAGAGATACCATGCAAACAGTAATAAACAGAGAGGCAGAGAGGCTAGATTACTATCAGATAAAATATAGTTTAAAACAAAAATAATTACTAGAGACAAAACATATATTTTATAATAGCACAGTCAATCCATCCATTAGATATAATAACTATAAACACAAGCATCTAACAGCAGATCCTCAACAAATGTGAAGCAAAGATAGAGAAAAGAAGGGAGAAATAGACAATTCACCAATAATGTTGGAGACTTCAGTACTTCATTTTCAATAATATGGAGAATAAAATAGGTAGAAGATCATCAAAGAAATAGACTTGAATAACACTATAAATCAACTAGTCCTAACAGGTATTCATAGAACACTCCACTGAACAGTAGCAGAAAACAGTTTTCTCAAGTGCACATAGCACACTCTCCAGAATAGACCATGTGTCAGCACATAAAATAAGCCTCAATCCATTCAAAATTCTGTAATTATAAAAAATATGTTATCTGACTGCAAAGGAATAAAATTGGAAATCAGTAACAGAAGGAAGTGTGGGTAATTCAAAAATAAATGAGAATTAAATGACACATTTTTAAATAGTTAATACATCAAAGAAGAAATCACAAGGGAAATTGGAAAACATTTTGAGTTAAATGAAAACAAAAACACAACATACTAAAATTTATGGGAAGTAGCTAAAGCAGTGCTTAGAAGAAAAGGTATGGCTGTAAACACCTATGTTTAAAAAAAGAAAATCTCAAATAAATAACCATCCACCTTAAGCTAACAAAACTCAAATCAAGCAGAAGAAAAAAAAGATTACAGTGAAAATAAATTTTAAAAAAAGAAAGCCAGTAGAAAAAATATTGAAATCAAAAATGTATTATTTGGCTGAGTGCAGTGGTTCACGCCGTAATCCCAACACTTTGGAAGGCTGAGGTGGGTGGATCACCTGAAGTTAGGAGTTTGAGACCAGCCCGGCCAACATGGCAAAACCCTGTCTACTAAAAAAATACAAAAACTAGCCAAGCATGGTGGCACACACCTGTGATCCCAGCTACTCAGGAGACTGAGGCAGGAGAATCGCTTGAACCCAGGAAGCAGAGGTTGCAGGGAGCTGAGATCGTGACACTGCATTCCAGCCTGGGTGACACAGCAAGACTCTGTCACAAAAAAACACACAAATATATATATATATAAAATATATAAATATATACAAATATAAATTTATATATACAAATATATAATATATATAATTATATATGTATAATTTTTATATACTATATAGATATATATAAAATTTGAAAAAAATAAACAAAATTGACAAACTTTTAGCTGGCCAGAAACAAATGGGAGAAGATTTATATTACCAATGTAAGTAAACAAAAAGGGGACATCACTATTGACCATACATAAACAAGAAGGATTTTAAGGGAATACTATGACAAATTATATGTCAATAAATAGATAAATTCCTAAAAAGATACAAACCACTAAAGTGGACAAAAACATAAAAATAAATTTTGAACAGATCTATAAGAAGTAAAGCTGTTAAATTAGTAATCAGAAAAGCTAACCACAAAGAAAACTCCAGAACAAGATAGTGTCACTGGTAAATTATTTCAAATACTTAATGAATAATCATCAATGTGCCACAAAGTCTTCCAAAAAATAAAAAAGGAAATTCATTTATTATTTCTATTCAAAATTTTACCATTCAGGTAAATTAGGGGGAAAAAAAGTAAAAAGTATCCAGATTGGAAGGAAAGAAGTAAAATTTTCTCTGTTCACAGGTGACATGATTCGTACAAAGAAAATTCTAAGGAAAACACACACACACACACACAGACACACGAAAGAAATAGAATTGAGAGTCTAGAAATGACCTCTTACATTTATGATCATTTAGTAGTTTTACAAGAAAGTCAAGACAAATCAAGAAGGAAACATTATCTTTTTAACAAATGATGCTGGATGGCACATGTATACATATGTAACTAACCTGCACATTGTGCACATGTACCCTAAAACTTAAAGTATAATAATAATAAAATAAAAAAATAAAATAAATAAAAACAAATGATGCTGGAAAAACTGGATATCCACATGCAAAATAATGAAGGTAGATCCTCCCCTCACACCATATACAAAAACTAAAAATGAATCAAACACCTAAATAAAAAAACTAAAACTATAAAACTCTTAGGAAAAAATACATAGAAATAAATTCTCATGATCTTGGGTTAAGCAATGTTTCATTAGACATGACACTGAAGCACAAGCAATGAAAGAAAAAAGTGGACATATTCTACTTGATAAATTTAAAACTTCTGTTCCTCAAAGGGCACAATCAAAAAAGTGAAAAGATGATCTACAGAATCAAAGAATCTGAAAGTCATGCATCTGATAAGGGCCTAGTATCCAAAATAGTATAAAGACCTCCTGCAATTCAACAATAAAAAGACAAATAATCAAATTTTTAAATGAGCAAATGACTCAAACACACGTTTCTCTAAAGAAGATAACGAGCTTGCTGGGTCCCCAAGCAGGCCATTTCTGCCTGGCACCACAGGGACCCTTTGGGAGGGCAGCCAGAGTTGTGGGGGGAAAATGCTGCAAGGAGAAGGTAGTCTCCAATTTGACCAATTTTGTGACCATTTGAACTGGGTGAAAAGCCTTCTGCCCAGAACTCAGGGAAGGGCATGAATCCAGTGTTCAGACTTCACAGGCAGGGGAAGAAATAAAACCCTGTTCTTTCTCAGAGGGGAGGTGGGTAGCCTGGAGCAAGTTCTCAAGCCCTGTTCACCCACTGCCTGGAAACAGACTCAGGCTGTTACGTGGGGCACGGTAAGACTGAGTCCAGCCCTTCAGATCATGTGGGAGCTGGGTGAGGACTGTGACTGCCGACTTTCCCCCACTGCCCTGATAACCTGCATGACTCAGCAAGGGAAGTCATAATGCTCCTAGGTACACAACTCCATTGACTTGGGAACCTCGTCCAGTTCCTCTACAGCAGCCTCAGCAAGACCTACCCAATGACAGTCTGAGCTCAGACATGCCTGGTACTGACCCCACCTGATGGGCCTTCCCTATCCACCCTGGTAGCTGAAGACAAAGGGTATATACTCTTGGGAGTTCTAGGGCCCCACCCACTGCCGGTTCCTCTCAATACTACTACAGCTGATGCTCTCTGGAAAGTGCCACCTCCTGGCAGGAGGCCAACCAGCAAAAAAATAGAGTATTAAACCACCAAAGCTAAGAATTCTCACAGAGTCCATTTCACCCCCTACCACCTCCACCAGAACAGGTGCTGTATCCACAGCTGAGAAATCCATAGAGCGTTCACATCACAGGACTCTGTGCAGACAACCCCCAGTACCAGCCCAGAGCCAGGAAGACTTGCTGGGTGGGTAGACCCAACAGAGAGATGATGATCACTGCAACTCAGCTCACAGGGAGCCACATCCATAGGAAAAGGAGGAGAGTACTACATCAAGGGAACAACCTGTTGGTCAAAAGAATCTGAACAATAACCTTCAGCCCTAGACCTTCCATCTGACAGAGCCTAATCAAATGAAAAGGCACCAGAAAACAAACCCTGGTAATATGACAAAACAAGGCTCTTTAATACCCCCAAGAAATCACACTAGCTTACCAACAATGAATCCAAATCAAGAAGAAATCCCTGATTTACCTGAAAAAAAGTTCAGGAGGTTAGTTATTAAGCTAATCAGGGAGGCACCAGAGAAAGGTGAAGCCCAATGCAAGGAAATCCAAAAAATGATACTAGAAGTGAAGGGAAAAATATTCAAGGAAATAGAGAGCTTAAAGAAAAAACAATCAAAACTTTGGGAAACATTGGACACACATAGAAATGCAAAATGCTCTGGAAAATCTCAACAATAGCATTGAATAAGTAGAAGAAAGAAATTCAGAGATTGAAGACAAGGTCTTTGAATTAACCCAATCCAATAAAGATGAAGAAAAAAGAATAAGAAAATATGAACAAAGCCTCCAAGAAGTCTGGGATTATGTTAAACAACCAAACCTAAGAATAATCAGTGTTCCTGAGGAAGAAGAGAAATCTAAAAGTTTAGAAAACATATTTGGGGGAATAATTGAGGAAAACTTCCACACCCTTGCTAGAGACCTAGACATCCAAATACAAGAAGCACAAAAAACATCTGGGAAATTCATCACAAAATTCATCACCTAGGGACATTGTCCTCAGGTTATTTAAAGTTAAGACGAAGGAAAGAATCTCAAGAGCTGTGAGACAAAAGCACCAAGTAAACTATAAAACAAAACCTATCAGATTAACAGCAGATTTCTCAGAAGAAACCCTACAAGTTAGAAGGGATTGGGGCCCTATCTTCAGCCTCCTCAAACAAAACAATCATCAGCCAAGAATTTTGTATCCAGCAAAACTAAGCATCATATATGAAGGAAAGACACAGTCTTTTTCAGACAAACAAATGCTGAGAGAATTTGCCACTACCAAGCCACCACTACAAGATCTGCTAAAAGGAGCTCTAAATCCTGACACAAATCCTGGAATCACATCAGAACAGAGCCTCTTTAAAGCATAAATCACATAGGACCTATAAAACAAAAATACAATTTAAGAAGCAAAAACAAAAAAAAAAAAAAAACAAGGTACACAGGCAATAAATAGTATGATGAATACAATGATACCTCACTTCTCAATACTAGCATTGAATGTAAATTTCCTAAATGCCCCTCTTAAAAGATACAGGACTGCAGAATGGATAAGAACTCACCAACCAACTATCTGCTGCCTTCAGGAGACTCACCTCACACATAAGGACTCACATAAACATAAAGTAAAAGGGTTGAAAAAGGCATTTCATGCAAATGGACATCAAAAGTGAATGAGAGTAGCTATTCTTATATCAGACAAAACAAACTTTAAAGCAACAGCAGTTAAACGAGACAAAGAGGGACATTGTATAATGGTAAAAGGCCATCTCCAACAGGAAAATATCACAATCCTAAACATATATGTACCTAACACTGGAGTTCCCAAATTTATAAAACAATTACTAGTAGACCTAAGAAATTAGATAAACAGCAACACAATAATAGTGGGGGACTTCAATACTACACTGACATCACTAGACTGGTCATCAAGGTAGAAAGTCAACAAAGAAACAATGGATTTAAACTATACCCTGGAGGAAATGGACTTAACAGATATATACAGAACATTTCATCCAATGACCACAGAATACACATTCTATTCAACAGCATGTGGAACTTTCTCCAAGATAGACCATATCATAGGCCACAAAATAAGCCTCAATAAATCTAAGAAAATTGAAATTATATCAAGCACTCTCTCAGACCACAGTGACATAAAACTGGAAATCAATTTGAAAAGGAACCTTCAAAACCATGCAAATACATGGAAATTAAATAACCTGCTCCTGAATGATCATTGGGTCAACAATGAAATCAAGATGGAAATTTAAAAATTCTTCAAACTGAATGACAATAATGATACAACCTATCACAACCTCTAGGATACAGCAAAGGCAGTGCTAAGAGGACCATTCATAGCCCTAAATGCCTCCATCAAAAATACTGAAAGAGCACAAACTGACATTCTAAGGTCACACCTCAAGGAACTAGAGAAAGAAGAAAAAACAAAACCCAAACCCAGCAGAAGAAAGGAAATAACCAAGATCAGAGCAGAACTCAATGAAATTGAAACAAAAAAATACAAAAAATAAATGAAACAAAAAGTTGGTTATTTGAAAAGATAAAATTGATAGACCATTAGCAAGATTAATCAAGAAAAGAAAAGAGAAAATCCAAAAAACCTCAATAAGAACTGAAATGAGAGCTATTACAACTGACACCACAGAAATACAAAAGATCATTCAAGGCTACTATGAACACAAAACACATAAGTTTATGCACATAAACTAGAAAACCTAGAAGAGATGGATAAACTCCTGGAAAAATACAACCCTCCTAGTTTAAATCAAGAAGAAATAGATACCCTGAACAGACCAATAACAAGCAGCAAGATTGAAGTGGTAATTTTAAAATTACCAACCAAAATAAAAGCCCAGGACCAGATGGATTCACAGCATAATTCTACCAGACATTCAAACAAGAATTGGTACCAATCTTTTCAACACTTAGAGAAAGAGGGAACCCTCCCTAATTCATTCTATGAACCCAGCATCACCCTAATACCAAAACCAGGAAAGGACATAACCAAAAAAGAAAACAACAGACCAATATCCCTGAGGAACATAGATGCTAAATTCCTTAACAAAATACTAGCTAACTAAATCCAACAACATATCAAACAGATAATCCACCATGGTCAAGTAGGTTTCATATCAGGGATGTAGGGATGATTTAACATAAGCAAGTCAATAAATGTGATACACCACATAAAGAGAATTAAAAACAAAAATCACATGATCATTTCAATAGATGCAGAAAAAACATTCGACAAAAATCCAGCATTGCTTTATGATTAAAACTCTCAGCAAAATTGGCCTACAAGGGACATACTTGAATGTAATACAAGCCGTCTATGACAAACCCACAGCCAACATAATACTGAATGGGGAAAAGTTGAAAGCATTCCCTCTGAGAACTGGAACAAGACAAGGATGCCCACTCTCACCATTCCTCCTCATCGTAGTACTGGAAGTTCTAGCCAGAGCAATCAGACAAGAGAAAGAAATCAAGAGCATCCAAATCAGTAAAGAGGAAATCAAACTGTCACTGTTTGCTGATGATATGATCATTTACCTCGAAAACCCTAAAGACTCCTACAGAAAGCTCCTAGAACCGATAAAAGAATTCAGCAAAGTTTCTAGATACAAGATTAATGTACACGAATCAGTAGCTCTTCTATACAAGAACAGCAACCAAGCAGAGAATCAAATCGAGAATTCAACCCCTTTTACTGAAAAAAAAAAACTTAAGAATATACCTAACCAAGGAAGAGAAAGACATCTACAAGGAAAACTACAAAACACTACTGAAAGAAATCATAGACAACACAAACAAATGGAAACACATCCCATGCTCATGGATGGGTAGAATCAATATTGTGAAAATTGACCATACTGTCAAAGCAATCTACAAATTCATTGCAATCCCCATCACAATACCACCATCATTCTTCACAGAATTAGGAAAAACAGTTCTAAAATTCATATGGAACCAAAAAAGAGCCTGCATAGCCAAAGCAAGACTAAGTAAAAAGGACAAAACTGGAGGCATCACGCTACCTGATTTCAAACTATACTATAAGGCCATAGTCACCAAAACAGCTTGATACCAGTATAAAAATAGGCACATAGACCAATGGAACAGAATAGAGAACCCAGAACTACACCCAAATACTTACAGCCAACTGATGTTTGACAAAGCAAACAAAAGCATAAAGTGGGGAAATGATGCCCTTTTCAACAAATGGTGCTGGGATAATTGGCTAGCTACATGTAGGAGAATGAAACTGGATCCTCATCTCTCACCTTATACAAAAATCAACTCAAGATGGATTAAGGACTTAAATCTAAGACCTGAAACTATAAAAATTCTAGAAGATAACCTTAGAAAAACCCTTCTAGACATTGGTTTGGGCAAGGATTTCATGACCAAGAACCCAAAAGCAAATACAACAAAAACAAAGATAAATAGTTGGGACTTAATTAAACTAAAGAGCTTTTGCATGGCAAAAGGAACAGTCAGCAGAGTAAACAGACAACCCACAGAGTGGGGGAAAATCTTCACAATCTATACATCTGACAAAGGACTAATATCCAGGATCTACAACGAACTCCAACAAATCAGCAAGAAAAAAACAAACAATCCCATCAAAAAGTAGGCTAACAACATAAATAGACAATTCTCAAAAGAAGATATACAAATGGCCAACAAACATATGAAAAAATTCTCAACATCACTAATGATCAGAGAAATACAAATCAAAACCACAATGCAATACCACCTTACTCCTGCAAGAATGGCCATAATCAAAAAATCAAACAACAGTAGATGTTGGTATGGATTCAGTAATCAGGGAGCACTTCTACACTGCTGGTGGGAATGTAAATTATTACAGCCACTATGGAAAACAGTTTAAAGATTCCTTAAAGGACTAAAAGTAGAACTACCATTTGATCCAACAATCCCACTACTGGGTATCTACCCAGAGGAAAAGAAGTCATTATACTTGCACATGCATGTTTATAGCAGCACAATTCACAATTGCAAAATCATGGAACCAGTCCAAATGCCCATCAATAAACAAGTGGATAAAGAAACTGTGGTATATATATATTCCATATATATACTCATATATATTCCATCTCACGTATATATATACACACATATATATTCCATCTCATATATATATATATACTCACACATATATATTCCATATATGTATATTCCATATATATATTCCATATATGTATATTCCATATATATATTCCATATATGTATATTCCATATATATATATATTCCATCTCATATATATGATGGAATACTACTCAGCCATAAAAAGGAATGAATTAATGCCATTCACAGCATATATATATATATATATATATATATATATGAGATGGAATACTACTCAGCCATAAAAAGGAATGAATTAATGGCATTCGCAGCGACCTGGATGAGACTGGAGACCATTATTCTAAGTGAAGTAACTCAGGAATGGAAAACAAAACACCATATGTTCTCACTGATATATGGGAGCTAAGCTATGAGGAAACAAAGGCATAAGAATGATACAATGGATTTTGGGGACTTGAGGGGAAGGGTGGGAGGGACCAAGAGATTAAAGACTACAAATGTGATGCAGTGTACGCTGCTCAGGTAATGGCTGCACCAAAATCTCACAAATCACCACTAAAGAACTTACTTATGTAACCAAACACCACCTGTACCCCAATAACCTATGGAAATTTTTTAAAATTTTAATTTAATTTAATTTTAAAAAAGAAATGGCAAATAAGCATATGAAAAAATGCTCCTCAGCACCAGTCATTACGAAATGTAAATCAAAATCATGATGAGATACCAGTTCACACTATCCTTTTAGCTATCTTTTTTTAATTTTAGGATAGCTAAAATAAAAAAGATGAAGTGTTTGTGAAGACCTGAAGAAAATGGAAGTCTCATACATTGCTAGTTTGGTGTAAAATGGTACAACCACTCTGGAAAATAGTTTGACAACTCCTCAAAATCTTAAATATAAACTTCATATAACTGAGAAATTTTATTCTTGGTGTATACTCAGATAATTAAAAACATGTGTCCACACAAAAACTTGTGTATCAATGTTCTAAGCAGCATCAACCACCAAAAAGTGTAAACTCAAATGTCTATCAGCTTATTAATGGGTGAACATCATGTATTATATACATACAATGGAATCTTTTTCAGCCATAAAAAGAAATGAAGTACTGACTCACGCTACATGGATTAACCCCGAAACTGTTTTGCTGGGTGAAAGAAGCCAGTCATGAAAGAGCACAAACTGTTGATTGCATTATATGAAAAGCCCAGAATAGAAAAGTTCATGAAGACCTAAAGTAGATTAGTGGTTTCCAGGGGATTAGGGGAGAGGCAAATCGGTAGTGAGTGCTAATGGGTACTGGATTTCTTTTTGTGCTAATAATTTTCTAAAGTTAGATAGTAGTGATGGTTGCACAGCCCGGTGAATAGACTAAAAACACTGGTTTGTATACTTTAAAAGGGTGAATTTTATGGTATACATCTCTATAAAGTCATTATTAAATATAGAATTAGACCAGTGAATCTGATCCATGAATTAACACAGGGCTGTTTGAGACCTGGGGACAGAGTGGATCACTTGCCAGGAGGTACATCATCTACAACGTTATACTTTATTGCCATTTAAAAGTCCACCATGTGAGTTTTTTATCTAACCACCTTCCTTGTCTGCTTACTCTATACACTAAATGTCATTACTCCCATCACCATACTCACCTCTTTCCATCTCCTCTTCCACTTCCCATGAAATCTGTGGCTCTCACTGCAGCCCTGGTTACCTGACGGTTCACATCTGTGATCAGCCCGTCTTCTCACTGTAAAGCCAAGGTTTACACAGCAGAGCTCCCCAGGAACACTCCAGATTGCATTTTCCACCTGCACAGGAGCAAATGGGGTTTAAACACATGATTGGGGTCAGAGCCTTGGCTTTGGCCATCTCATATGAGTGCTTGGATTGGAAGTTTTAAGCAAGGCCATGTCACCTTTACTTAGTGTTCAACATTCAAACAATACGTAGATCTATTTTTCACTTGTAGGAGTGCAGATAGGAATAATAACACAGCCACATTAGTTTTGTGGCCATTTGTAAATGAGAAAACTACTTCAGAAAGAACAGGTCTATTATATGGCAACAGATTAGACTTGGCAGGTCTTTCTGGCCTGAGAGTGAGAACATTATATTACTTGAAAGGGCATACATTTACCCAGCAATTCATATAATACAGAATAAACCAGAAGCTGGAAATTAGTAAATATAACAGTGCCTTTTGCAAAGAACCTGGCATTACACTAAGATCTAAAAATAGAAATATGTGGAACAAGAGCCCAGCGCAGAAGTATCTCTGATCCTGCTCTGTCTCCCTGAACCACTGCTATTGCCTCAGCTCAGTCCTGCACCAGCCCTTGCCTAGACTGTGAAAATTGCTTCTTAATTGTTTTTCTGATTACATTTGAAGCCCCTCAAGCTGATCTTCTACACAGCCTCTCAAGATAATCTGTCTAAAAGGAATCGTGTCCATAATCCACAAGATTCAAGTTACACGACACATGGAGCTCTTTCTCTTGTCATCCTTCTTGCTGTCACCTCATGATGTAGTCTGGATGAAATCTCTTGCAGCTTTGTTGCAAGTCATTCACGAATTTAGCACTACCAGGTACCCTGCTAGAGGCCTGATTTCATTTCACATATTTAATCTTTCCAACAAAACTGCCCCCACTTAACAGGCGAAGACATAAAATAAATTGTCAACGTCACCTGGATGGAAAGGCGGCAGTCCAGATCCTCCAGTGTGCACGCCACACCCAAACCCCTTGGCTGCTTTATTGCTGGATCACCTGTGCTCTCTGGGGCCTGCATGCCTTCACTCATACGTGTTTCTCTCTCTGACATGTTCTGTGCCTGGTAAACTTCTCTCAGGGCCCAGGTCAAGTGCCAGCTTTGCTGTGAAGGCTCTGTGACTCCCCAGAAGCTGCTCCCCTGACATCCCTCCTTGTGCTTCCCACATGTCCCTGAGCTGCTTCTCCCATCACTGCAATGGCCTCAGAAGACCGTTTCCTTTTCATCATGGTGTGACATGTGGTAGAAACACAATAATTTATATTTTTGCTTTTTAAAACTGTTTTCCATTTTTATTGCATTAGAATAACATAAAATTTACCATCTTAACCATATGAAGTGCACAGTTTAGTGATATTAAGTATATTCATAATATTGTGCACCCATCACCACCACCCATCTGCATAACCTTTCATCCTGTAAAAGGGAAACTCTGTACCTGATAAACACAAACTCCCCATTCTGTCCTCCTCCCAGCTTTTGAAAACCACCATTCTACTTTCTGTCTTTATGAATTTGACTAGTCTAGGGACCTCATATAAGTGGAATTGCACAGTATTTGCCTTTTTGTGACTGGCTTATTTCACTTAGCATAATGTCCTCAAGGTTAATCCATGTGGATTATGTCTCAGAATTCCCTTCCTTTAAGGCCAAATCGTTTGTTTACACCATGTTTTGTTTATACATTCATATGTCAATGGACCCCTGGGTTGCTTCCACATTTTAGCTAGTGTACATAAGGCAGCTATGAACATGGCATACAAATGTCTCTTGGATATGCTGCTTTCAATTATTTTGAGTATGTACCCAGAAGTGGAATTATTGGATCACAAGGTAATTCTATTTTTTAAGTTTTTGAGATACTATCATGTTGTCTTAGTGGCTGTAACATGTTACGTTCCCACAGAGAGTATACAAGAGTTCCAATTTCTTCACTTCCTCACCCACACTTGTAAATTCCTGATTTTTGATACTAGTCATCCTCATGGGTGTGAGGTGGCCTCTCAATTTGGTTTGCACTTCCCTAATGACTAGCGATGTTGGGCATCTTTTCATGTGCTTATGGACCATTTGTATGTCTTCTTTAGAGAAAGGTCCATTCAAGTCCTTCAATCCATTTTTGAATAGGGTTGTTTATTTATTGTTGTTAAGTTTTAGGAATTCTCTATATATTCTAGTTATTAATCTACTTTCAATTATTTTTACCCATTCTGTGGATTGTCCTTTTACTCTGTTGATATTATCTTTTGATGCAGAAATGTTTTCATTTTCACAAAATCCAGTTTGTCTACAATTGATAGTTACAGAATGACAGTCACAAGGATAACACGAACTTCCTATTTAACTCCTATATTTGTCTTTTGTGTTCTGAACAGATCTGGCATTGTCATTAGAATCCACATTCTGTCTTCCTGAAGCTTTAGGTTGAGGATGACCCTGTGCCAAGGGGCACTCATGGGGGATGGGGTACGGTAGGATAGCATCAGCACCTCAATAAACCCCAGAGTGCGCACGTCCAGGCACGCCGTGACAAGTAAGGAGAGGAAACCTGGGTTTAGGGCCCCAACCAACATGCCCACAGAGGGGGGTTAGGGAAGCTGTCAAAACCGTCTTTTAAATTCTAATTTTTTTTAGATGGAGTTTCATTCTTATTGTCCAGGGTGGAGTGCAATGGCGCTATCTCCGCTCGCTTGAACCTCCGCCTCCCGGGTTCAAGTGATTCTCCTGCCTCAGCCTCCCACGTAGCTGGGATTACAGGCACCCGCCATCAAGCCCAGCTAATTTTTTACGTATTTTTAGTAGAGACAGAGTTTCACCAGGTTGGCCAGGCTGGTCTTGAACTCCTGACCATAGGTGATCCAGCCACCTTGGCCTCCCAAAGTGCTGAGATTACAGGCGTGAGCCACTGCACCTGGCCACATTTGAATTTCTTTAGAGTATAGATGTAAAATATTTTAGCACATTTGGAAAATACAGAAAAAAAATTTAAAAAATAAAAAGATCACTTAAAACCCATGACCTGGAAATAACTGCTGTTAAGTGCCAGTGAAATTTCTCCCCAGTGTTTTCAGTTTGCTTATTTGTTTGTTTTCCTCTTCTCTGTGTATTGTAAGGGATACGCTCTTCTGCTGGGCTACTGTTTCAAAGAAAAATTTCTGTAGGTGACTTTTCCCCCTTGGGGATACTTAGCAATGGCTGGAAACACTTTTGGTTGTCAAGGGTACTACTGGCATCTAGTGGGTAGGGACCAGAGATGCTGCTAAACATTCTACAATATCCAGGACACACACACACACACACACACACACACACTGAGTAAAGAATTATGTCCACAAAATGTCAACTGTACCGAGGTTGGGAAGTTCTGCTCTGCACCTGCATCATCTTGCAGGCTTGTTCAAGCATGGGTTACCAAGCCCACTCTCTGAATTTCTCATTCCATTCATCTGGGTGGGACCAGACAACCTGCATTTCCAACAAGCTTCCCAGTGACCTCACACTTCCAGAGTTAGGAAGAGCCTAGGAGGATCACATCTCCACCTTTCTCTAGCTACCCACTCACCCTCCCAAAGAGGGGAGAATGAGCTGCCCTATGGGGGTGGCATCCAACATCTACCCTTCCCCCACTGACTGGAGGCCTTGCGTTCAAATCCACCTTCTCTCTCCCTGCTGGCGAGACTCCTGGTTGAGTGGCATCTGCTCTCTTCAAGGCCAGAACGCACAGGGACGCCCTTCTCTGCAGGGGCCCATTCCTGCCACCTACCTTGACCTGGGTGGGAGGAGAAGGAAGCCCACCTGGCCCCAGAAGCTGGTTTACGCTCTGCTCAGCCCAGTGCTACCCCAATACGCTCATTTTTCACCCTTTCTCATGTTGGCCAATTTCTCATTCATTTCTGAATTTAGAGGAAAAAGGGGGTGTGGTTTATGGGTCTTTTTAAGCTTCACCAAAAGGGGTTTTAACTGGAAATTGAAAAGGAGACATGTCCATGCAGCTAGCGGCAGGCAAGACCAACTTCACACGTGGGAAGTGGAAGGTCTCGGTGGTGGCCAAGGAACGAGAGTGGCTGTGGGGGCTGGGGACTCTTACTTACCATTTGGGGTCCCAGCAGCCTGTTGTGTCCAGCAGCCATAGGTACCCAGTTGTGCGTTTAATAGGCCCCTGGCTGTTTTTAAAAGGTACAAACTTTAGTCAGCTCTGGACAAGCAATGCCAACCGCTGGCTTTGACCTTAGCCTGTGAGGTGAGACTGAAATGAGATGAAAGGCTTGTCTCAAAACAGACCACAGGCTTTTGAGCCAATGCCATGGGAACTATTTTTGCTCCGTTTAAAATGTGTTTTCAGCCAGGACTGCAGGCAGGGGCCTTAAACAAGCACGGTGGTTCCTTTACAGGAGGGCTGCGGAGACCCTGCCACTGAAGTTCCTGGCCATCCACTCCATTCCCTCAAACATCTTACTAGTCTTCATCTCGTTTCAAACTGTGTTGCAGCTGGGCTTTGAAGGATGCAGGACAGTCACCCCCTGGTGTTTGGGGTTTGTCCTGAGAAATTTTTTTTTTTTAAGTCACACGGCCCCATGAGGACTCCACTGTTGCAGTGTTTGTTAAAAATAAACAAATTGTAAGCCTGAAGCCTGTCCTTGGATTTCAAGGACTCAGACAGTGAGCTCAGCCATAAAGGAATGATCAATGTTATCAAGGAGCAGGTAATGACAAGGGGCCAATTATACAATTATAGGGGAATCTGCTTCTTTTTCTAGGGTGTGGCTGTTTACCCAGCTAAAGGCTCTGTAAGAGGGCATAGGCCTCACATTTTCTCTAGGAATCCTGCTTCCTCAGGAGATCAGTGAGAGGCTGGATTAGGTGTGAATCTAGATTTTGTCATTAGTATCAGAAGAGAGGCAGTTGCAGACGAAAGGAAAAGCCCTGATTATACTGGAAAAAAAAAGAGGGGCTCCCTTAGAAGGATGTGAATTTTGAGGCAGCCTCCAGACACATAGAAAAGGGGTACACAGGGGCACTTCACCCCACCTGCCCCTGCTATTTCAGGATCACCGAGGAACAAAATCCAGTTACCATGACATCCTCAGCATCACTGCTGCCCACAGAAATCCACCCAGAGGCCGCAGTAGTGGCCTGGCTGCGGCTCCTCTCAAAATGAGAAGGCAGAGGTTGCAGGATTGATTTGGACAGCAAATGGTTTTGGTAGACCCAGAAATCGTTTATTTCACATTTCTCATCCTGGGGGATCCATAACATGAAACCTAGAAGAAAAACAAATGTCTAGGCCTAAAAGCAAAAGGAGAGTTTAAAAGAAAAACAGCACTGCAATAAAACAACAGCAGCCCCACAGGAGGAGGGGCCACCTTAAGCAGATGACCATGGTGGGCATCTGGCAAGGCCGCCTGAAGAAACGGAGAGTACAGGGACACCTGATGTGGAGGGCAGATCCGGAGGGGACAGGGACGCGTGATGTGGAGGGCAGATCCCTGCACAGGCTTCAAGGCAGCCATGCTGAGGAAGAGTGTAAGTGACTCAAATGGACACTAAAGGCCTCGCTCGGCTGAGGCAGAGGCAAGGCTGCAGTTTTATAGGGTGAGGAGGAGGGTCCTTGCGGTTTGGCTCAGAGATAGAAGCTGGGTGGGTTGGGGAAGGAAAATAGATTACGCTTTCCTGGAGATGACCTCACTGCCCAGGCCTTATAATTGTAAAGGAAAATCTAAAAATCTCAGGACCCCCAAACTTATGCCTGGAGGCTGAGTCATGCAACGCCCCCTTCCAAATGAATAGCTGTGACCAGTGCTATGCATCAGCCAGGTCCTCATGGAAAGGTGAAGCACCTCAGGCATCTGCACAGGGCTGTCCCTCACAGACCTTTCATAAATCAATTCTTTGTCTGCCCTCCCATAAGCAAGGACATGCCAGTTGTAATGTTAGGCCTGCAATCTAAGTCTAGCTCCTATAACTAAAGTCACATTCCACACTAATGTCAATAACAAGCTCCTCTTCCCAGGTGCAGAACCAGGTCTAGATGAGATCAGCCCTTCCTCTACCTCATTCCTTCTCTATTCATGCATCCACCTTATCTTAGTTAAAATGTATATTTACCAGGCACTGACCAAAGTCTCACAGGAATGTAACCACTCGCCTTACCACCTGCTGGCCCCTCTCTCTACATGTCCTCCCCTATTTAAGGAAATGGTATAAATATGAAACCTCCTGAAAACCTCTTTGGGAAAACAGCCACACATGTGTCTGTGGCTCATGATTTTCCCAGCACACACTGAAGCTGGCTGAATAAGCCTTGATGATTGAGGCCTTTCCCTCACTCATTTCACAACCACGTCATCCATGCCATGCCCTCCCCTACACGGTCCATTTGCACATGGCCAGTATTGGGGGCAAGGGTTGGGGAAGGAAATTGGGTTTCTGTTGGATCTGAGATTCAAGTTTCTAAATGGACATAATTGAACTAGGCCCTTAGTAACTGAGGGTGCCTACAAATGTGGAGCCTCTGCCTGGGATGAGATGGTGCGTGTGGAGTTGCAGGGGTGGCCCCTCGGGCTGGGGGGGTCAACAGTCTTTATCCTTTTATCTCACCAGGTTCTGCTGTCCAACATGCCCATGACCTAGAGCTGGAGTTCTTAAGTGCTTTTATCACTTTTCTTAGGACATCTTGGGCTGGCTATAAAAGGAAGAGGTTGAGAAGGGAAAGTTAGAAAAGTGCAGGAAAGAGGAGCTCATAAAAGTAGTGTTTCATGCTGGAAGAGAACGTATAATACATCAGTGGTTATGCAATGGATGTCCATCTGGACAGGAGCTGGGGAGACTGGGGAAGGGGAGGTGCCTGGGAAGAGGCTGGTGACCCCGACCCCAGCACCTGAGCTGGAGAGCAGCAAAGAGCAGGAAGCAGAGACCCAAGAGGGCCACAAGAGAGGCTGGAGACGAACTCCTTTGTGAGGTCTAAGGGCCTCATAAAGACTGCTGGAGACTGAATTTGTCGACACGGAGTGGTCCTGGATTATGACCTGCTCAAACTTATGGTTCTGAGATGGCAGAAGTCAAATCAGTGTGAAAATTATTTTATTTAAATAAGCAAGGTATGTGAGTCTTGAATGTTGGATAGAAAATTCCCCTAGAACTTGGCCGGGCGTGGTAGCTCAGGTCTGTAATCCCAGTACTTTGGGAGTCCGAGGGGGGTGGATCACCTGGAGGTCGGGAGTTCAAGACTAGCCTGACCAACATGGAGAAACCCCATCTCTACTAAAACTACAAAAATTAGCTGGGTGTGGTAGCACATGCCTGTAATCCCAGCTACTCAGAAGGTTGAGGCAGGAGACTCACTTGAACCCCGGGGGTGAAGGTTGCAGTGGGCTGAGATTGCACCATTGCACTCCAGCCTGGGCAACAAGAGCAAAATTCCATCTCAAAAAAAAAAAAAAAAAAAAAAAAAGAAAGAAAAGAAAGAAAAGAAGAAAATTCCCCTAGAACTTAATGGAGCATGAAGGAAATTTCCAAAATCCTTAATAAGTGTAGGCCTACACTTAAGGGATGCCAGAATCTGTGAAACAGGAAGAAAGGGTTTTTGCATAATACTGGAAGAATCTGGAAATTGCAAGGGGAAGCCAAGAAGTCACCACTGTTTCTAACAGGCTATGGGTATGTGGAGTGTCCAAAAAAGGTCAGACATCTCAAAAGGACCATCATGGACGTAGGTTCTCAGAAGGGATCTGTTGTCCACAAAGGCAAGCAGCAGAGAGAGCTTGCTGGGAACAAGATGAAGACAGAAGAGGATTGTTTGTAACGCACACTGTGAAGCTTCAAGAGGAAATGAATCACCAGCCTGACCAACATGAAGAAACCCCATCTTTACTAAAAATACAAAATTAGCCAGGTGTGGTTGCACATGCCTGTAATCCCAGCTACTCGGGAGGCTGAGGCAGGAGAATAGCTTGAACCTGGAAGGCGGAGGTTGCTGTGAGCCAAGATCATGCCATTGCACTCCAGCCTGGGCAACAAGAGCGAAACTCCATCTCAAAAAAAAAAAAAAAAAAGGATTGAATCATTGGAGGAAATATGGAAATAAAGGAAAAAGGAGGCTTGAAGTCCAAAGGGAAATGCATTTTGGGAATCCCCTAAAGATTCAAGGGCTGAAGGGCTTGTATATTACAAACAGGCACTGAGCTCCACCCCAAAAAGGTTGAGGCCGAGATACACCACCGAGGATTATAACCATGGCATCCTGTCCATTGGTTTGGTATGGGAAGGGGAGGTGCTCAGTGTGTATTTTAAGTTTACTCGAAGTTTAAATAATAGAGATATTTTTGGTTGATAGAGACACGTTTTACTCCTCAGTCTCATAGCTGCCTCCTCCCAGAGCCTCACCCTCTGGCAGCAAAGGCCAAATGACACCACACTGTGAGTAGTTGATTAATGTTCATGAGGGAACCTTCTCTAGGATAAAATTTCAAACAAATGTTTGAAAAAAATGTTAATGCTCATAATTTTCTGTGTCTTTACCGTGGAGATGGAGACACAACCACCTGATACCCAGCACATGAATCCAAACTTTATGAGCTTTACTTTTCTTCCCCATCACAGTCTGCCTTTCAGAGTTGCCAAACCATACAGGGCCTAGATATAAAGAGTACAGTGACAGCCACCATCTACAGAGCCTGATGATTATGTTCCAACACTGACTGTCCAGACGTTTAACCACATGAGGTAGATACAAGTCTCCCATTTCACAGGTGAGAAAACTTGTCTTCTTCTGAAAATAAATAGCTGATGCATGTCGCCTCACTAGAAACTATTATGTTGGTGCAAAAGTGATTACTTTTTACAAAAAGTAAAATTTTACACCTTTAGAAAACAGAAGCTTTTGGCCGGGCGTGGTGGTTCACACCTGTAATCCCAGCACTTTGGGAGGCCGAGGCAGGCTGATCACCTGAGGTCAGGAGTTCAAGATCAGCCTGACCAACATGGAGAAACCCCATCTCTACTAAAAATACAAAATTAGCTGGGGTAGTGGTACATGCCTGTAATCCCAGCTACTCTGGGGGCTGAGGCAGGAGAATCGCTTGAACCCAGGAGGCTTGGCAGTGAGCCAAGATCACACCATTGCACTCCAGCCTGGGCAACAAGAGCGAAACTCTGTCTCAAAAAAAAGAAAAAAAAAGAAAAGAAAAAAGAAAAAAAAAAGAAAACAGAAGCTTTTTCCCCTCCACCTCCCACAAGAAGACTTTCATACTCACTGAAAAAGTGATAACATTTTTGGCAGATCTACTTATTTGCAAACAATGTCTTTCCAAATCATTACTGGTGTAAGTGTCATTGTTTCCTTCAGAGTCAAATAATAAAGCTATATATTTGTGGACAGCATTTCATTTAAAAGAGAAACAAAGAAAAACATTCAGACAGTCCTCATGCAAGAGACTCATTTCCAGACTATATCCAACATTGTGTTTATTCTCCAGTGGTTTATGTGGGTGGCACAGAAAATCTTTGAGGCAGCAAAACTGCTACAGAGAAAACTTTGCATCCTGCTAGGCATTCCATCTGGCTGGACTACCATAGCTGGAACCTGCTTTCAGCTGTGAAATTTTGTAAAGTGCATTTCTGCCTCCTTAATTCTTATTTTTGTAGGAGTCTGTCCTGATTCTCAAACTATACAATTATTTATTGAAAGGTGGCCATCTGATAAATTTGTTGAAATCTCATTCCCCATCACATCTCCCGCTCAGTGCTCACCCTCAGATCTTGAAAGTGCAAACTCTCAGTCATTCATGAATGAAAGAATGAACACAAGCAGAAGAAAAGAGATGATCAGCACCTGCAAGATTATACATTATTGTGAGATTATCTATTCATCCTTTTGGTTGTATTAATAATTGTATTAGTCTGTTCTTACACTGCTATGAAGAAATACCCAAGACTGGGTAATTTATAAAGAAAAGAGGTTTAATTGACTCACAGTTCTATATGGCAGGGGAGTCCTCAGGAAACTTAAAGTCATGGCAGAAGGCACCTCTTCAAGAGTGGCAAGCGACAGAGAATGAGAATCCAGCAAAGGAGCAAGCCCCTTATAAAATCTTCAGATCACAGGAGAACTCACTCACTATCATGAGAATAGCATGGGAGAAACTGCCCCATGATTCAATTACCTCCCACTGGGTCCCTCCCACAACACATGGGCATTATGGGAACTAATTCAACATAAGATGTTGCTGAGGACACAGCCAAACCATATCATTCTGCCCCTGGCCCCTCCCAAATCTCAGGTCTTCACATTTCAAAACAAATCATGCCTTTCCAACGGTTCCCCAAAGTCTCAACTCATTGCAGCATTAACCCAAAAGTCCAAGTCCAAAGTTTCATCTGAGATAAGGCAAGTCCCTTCCACCTGTGAGCCTGTGAAATCAAAAGTCAGTTACTTCCTAGATCCAATGGGGGTACAGGCATTGGATAAATAAACCAGTTCCAAATGGGAGAAATTGGCTGAAACAAAGGGGCTAAAGGCCCTATGCAAGTCCAAAATCCAACAGGGCAGTCATTAAATCTTAAAATTCCAAAATTATCTCCTTTGACTTCATGTCTCACATCCACGTCATGCTGATGCATGAGGTGGCCTCCCATGGGGTTGGGCAGCTCTGCCCTTGTGGCTTTGCAGGGTACAGCCCCTCTCCTGGCTGCTTTCATGGCTGGCATTCAGTGCCTGCAGCTTTTCCAGGTGCACAGTGCAAGCTGTCAGTGGATCTACCATTCTGGGATCTGGAGGCAAGTGGCCCTCTTCTCACGGCTCCACTAGGCAGTGCCCCAGTGGGGACTCTGTGTGGGGGCTCCAGCCCCACATTTCTTTTTCTGCAGTGCCCTAACAGAGGTTCTCCATGAGGGCTCCTCCACTGTAGCAAACTTCTGCTTGGACATCCAAGTGTTTCCATACATCCTCTGAAATCTAGGCAGAGGTTCTCAAACCTCAGCTCTTGACTTCTGTGCACCAGCAGGCCCAACAACACATGTTAGCCATCAAGGCTTGGGGCTTGCACCCTCTGAAACAATAGCCCAAGCTATATGTTGGCCCCTTTTAGCCACTGCTGGGACTGAAGCAGGTGAGATGCAGGGCACCATGTCCCAAGGATGCACAGAGCAGGGGGGCCCTGGGCCCAGCCCACAAAACCAATTTTCCCTCCAAGGCTTCTGGGCCTGTGATGGAAGGAGCCACTGTGAAGGTCTCTGACATGCCCTGGAGACATTTTCCCAATTATCTTGGCAATTAACATTTGGCTCCTTGTTACTTATGCAAATTTCTACAGCAGGCTTGAATGTCTCCCCAGAAAATGGGTTTTTCTTTTTCTACTGCATTGTCAGGCTGAAAATTTTCCAAACTTTTATGCCCTGTCACCTCTTGAATGCTTTGCTACTTAGAAATTTATTCCACCAGATACCGTAAATAATCTCTTTCAAGTTCAAAATTCCACAGATCTGTAGGCCATAGGTAAAATGCTGCCAGTCTCTTTGGCAAAGTATAACAAGAGTCACCTTTACTCCAGTTCCCAGCAAGTTCCTCATCTCCATCTGAGACCATCTCAGCCTAAACTTCATTGTCCATATCACTATCAGCATTTTGGTCAAAACCATTCAACAAGTCTCTAGGGAGTTTCAACCTTTTTCACATTTTCCTGTCTTCTTCTCAGCCCTCCAAGTCACTAGGAAGTTCCAAACTTTCCTACATCTTTCTGTCTTCTTCTGAGCCATCCAAACTGTTCCAACCTCTGCCTGTTACCCTGTTCCAAAGTCATGTCCACATTTTTGGGTATCCTTATAGCAGCAACCCACTCCCTCAGTACCAATTTACTGTATTAGTCCATTCTCATGCTATATATTTCTCATGTTGGGTATGAAGAAATACCCAAGGCTGGGTAATTTATAAAGAAAAGAAGTTTAACTGACTCACAGTTCTTCATGGCTGGGGCAACCTCAGGAAACTTACAATCATGGCAAAAGACACTTCTTCACAGGGTGGCAGGAGAAAGAATGAGAACCCAGTTAAGGGGGAAGCCCCTTATAAAACCATCAGATCTTAAGGGGCCATTCCAAGATGGCCAAATAGGAACAGCTCTGGTCTGCCACTCCCAGCATGATGGATGCAGAAGATGGGTGATTTCTGCATTTCCAACTCAGGTATCTGGTTCATCTCATTGGGACTGGTTGGACAGTGAGTGCAGCCCATGGAGGGTGAACCAAAGCAGGGCAGGGCGTTGCCTCACCTGGGAAGCACAAGGGGTCAGAGGATTTCCCTTTCCTAGCCAAGGGAAGCCACGACAGACTACCTGGAAAAAGAGGACACCCCCATGCAAATACTGTGCTGTTCCCAAGGTCTTAGCAACCAGCAGACAAGGTGATTATCTCCCGTGCCTGGCTCTGTGGCTCCCATGCCCATGGAGCCTTGTTCACTGCTAGCACAGCAATTGGAGATCAATCTGCAAGACAGCAGCCTGGCTGGGGAGGGGCATCCACCATTGCTGAGGCTTGAGTAGGTAAACAAAGCAGCTAGGAAGCTTGAACTGGGTGGAGCCCACTGCAGCTCAACAAGGCCTACTGCTTCTAGACTCCACTTCTGTGGGCAGGGCATAGCTGAACAAAAGGCAGCAGACAACCTCTGCAGACTTAAATGTCCCTGTCTCACAGCTCTGAAGAGAGCAGTGGTTCTCCCAGCATGGCGTTTGAGCTCTGAGAGCAGACAGACTGCCACCTCAAGTGGGTCCCCGACCCCTGTGTAGACTAACTGGGAGACATCTCCCAGTAGGGGCTGACTTATACCTCATACAGGCAGGTGCCCCTCTGAGATGAAGCTTCCAGAGGAAGGATCAGGCAGCAATATTTGCTGTTCTGCAATATTTGCTGTTCTGCAGCCTTTGCTGGTGATACCCAGGCAAAGAGAGTCTGGAGTGGAACTCCAGCAAACTCCAACAGACCTGCAGCTGAGGGCTCTGACTGTTAGAAGAACAACTAACAAACAGAAAGGAATAGCATCAACATCAACAAAAAGGTCATCTACACCAAAACCCCATACGTAGGTCACCAACATCAAAGACCAAAGGTAGATAAAACCACAAAGATGGGGAGAAACCAGAGCAGAAAAGCTGAAAATTCTAAAAATCAGACCACCTCTTCTCCTCCAGAGGATTGCAGCTCCTTGCCAGCAACAGAACAAAACTGGATGGAGAATGATTTTGATGAGTTGACAGAAGTAGGCTTCAGAAGGTTGGTAATAACAAACTTCTCCGAGCTAAAGGATCATGTTCGAACTGAACACAAGGAAGCTAAAAACCTTGAAAAAAGATTAGAGAAATGGCTAACCAGAATAAACAGAGTAGAGAAGACCTTAAATGACCTGATGGAGCTGAAAACCATGGCACGAGAACTTTGTGTCGCATGCACAAGCTTCAGTAGCCGATTCGATCAAGTGGAAGAAAGGGTATCAGTGATTGAAGATCAAATTAATTAAATAAAGTGAGAAAACAAGGTTAGAGAAAAAAGAGTAAAAAGAAATGAACAAAGACTCCAAGAAATATGGGACTATGTGAAAAGACCAAATCTATGTTTGATTGGTGTATCTGAAATTGAAAGGCAGAATGGAACCAAGTTGGAATACACTCTTCAGGATATTATCCAGGAGAACTTCCCCAACCGAGCAAGGCAGGCCAACATTCAAATTCAGGAAATGCAGAGAAAACCACAAAGATACTCCTCAGGAAGAGCAACCCCAAGACACATAATTGTCAGATTCACCAAGGTTGAAATGAAGGAAAAAGTGTTAGGGGCAGCCAGAGAGAAAGGTCAGGCTACCCACAAAGAGAAGCCCATGAGACTAACAGCAGATCTCTCAGCAGAAACTCTCCAAGCCAGAAGAGAGTGGGGGCCAGTATTCAACATTCTTCAAGAAAAGAATTTTCAACCCAGAATTTCATATCCAGCCAAACTAAGCTTCATAAGTGAAGCAGAAATAAAATCCTTTACAGACAAACAAATGCTAAGAGATTTTTCTCGCCACCAGACCTGCCTTACAAGAGCTCCTGAAGGATGCAATAAACATGGAAAGAAACAACTGGTACCAGCCACTGCAAAAACATGCCAAAGTGTAAAGACCATCGATGCTATGAAGAAACTACATCAATTAATGGGCAAAATAACCAGCAAACATCATAATGACAGGATCAAATTCACATATAACAATATTAACTTTAAATGTAAATGGGCTAAATACCCCAATTAAAAGACACAGACTGGCAAATTGGATAAAGAGTCAAGACCCATCAATGTGCTGTATTCAGGAGACCCATCCCACGTGCAAAGATGCACATAGGCTCAAAATAAAGGGATGGAGGAAGATCTAACAAGCAAATGGAAAGCAAAAAAAAAGCAGGGGTTGCAATCCTAGTCTCTGATAAAACAGATTTTAAACCAACAAAGATCAAAAGAGACAAAGAAGGCCATTACATAATGATAAAGGGATCAATTCAACAAGAAGAGCTAACTATCCTAAATGTATATGCACCTAATACAGGAGCACCCAGATTCATAGGGCAAGCCCTTAGAGACCTACAAAGAGACTTAGACTCCCAGACAATAATAATGGGAGACTTTAATGCCCCACTGTCAATATTAGACAGAGCAACAAGACAGAAGGTTAACAAAGATATCCAGGACTTGAACTCAGTTCTGCAACAAGCAGACCTAATAGACACCTACAGAATTCTCAACCCCAAATCAACAGAATATACATTCTTCTCAGCACCACATTGCACTTATTCTAAAATTGGCCACATAATTGGAAGTAAAGCACTCCTTAGCAAATGTAAAAGAACAGAAATCACAACAAACTGTCTCTCAGACCACAGTGCAATCAAATTAGAACTCAGAATTAAGAAACTCACTCAAAACTTCACAACTACATGGAAACTGAACAACTTGCTCCTGACAGACTACTGGGTAAATAATGAAATGAATGCAGAAATAAAGATGTTCCTTGAAACCAATGAGAACAAAGACACAACGCACCAGAATCTCTGGAACACATTTAAAACAGAGTGTAGAGGGAAATTTATAGCACTAAATGCCCATAGAGAAAGCAGGAAAGAGTCTAAAATCAACACCCTAACATCACAATTAAAAGAACTAGAAAAGCGAGAGCAAACAAATTCAAAAGCTAGCAGAAGGCAAGAACTAACTAAGATCAGAGCAGAACTGAAAGACAGAGACACAAAAAACCCTTCAAAAAAATCAATGAATCTAGGAGCCGGTTTTTTGAAAAGATCAACAGAATTGATAGACTGCTAACAAGACTAATAAAGAAGAAAAGAGAGAAGAATAAAATAGACGCAATAAAAAATGATAAAGGAGATATCACCACCGATCCCACAGAAATACAAACTACCATCAGAGAATACTATAAACACCTCTAAACAAATAAACTAGAAAATCTAGAAGAAATGGATAAATTCCTCGACACATACACTCTCCCAAGACTAAACCAGGAAGAAGTTGAATCTCTGAATAGACCAATAACAGGCTCTGAAATTGAGGCAATAATTAATTCCCTATCAACCAAAAAAAGTCCAGGACCAGATGGATTCACAGTCAAATTCTACCAGAGGTACAAAGAGAAGCTGGTACCAATCCTTCTGAAACTATTCCAATAAATTGAAAAAGAGGGAATCCTCCCTAACTCATTTTATGAGGCCATCATCCTGATACCAAAGCCTAGCAGAGACTCAACAAAAAAAGAGAATTTTAGACCAATACCCTGATGAACATCGATGTGAAAATCTTCAATAAAATACAGGCAAACCTAATCCATCAAGACATCAAAAAGCTTATCCATCACGATCAAGTCGGCTTCATCCCTGGGATGCAAGGCTGGTTCAACATATGCAAATCAATAAATGTAATCCATCACATAAACAGAACCAATGACAAAAACCACATGATTATCCCAATAGATGCAGAAAAGGCCTTTGACAAAATTCAACAGTGCTTCATGCTAAAAACTCTCAATAAATTAGGTATTGAAGGAATGTATCCCAAAATAATAAGAGCTATTTATGACAAACCCACAGCCAATATCACACTGAATGGGCAAAAACTGGAAGCATTCCCTTTGAAAACTGGCACAAGACAGGGATGCCCTCTCTCACCACTCCTATTCAATATAGTGTTGGAAGTTCTGGCCAGGGCAATGAGGCAAGTGAAAGAAATAAAGGGTATTCAATTAGGAAAAGAGGAAGTCAAATTGTCCCTGTTTGCAGATGACATGATTATATATTTAGAAAACCCCATCGTCTCAGTCCAAAGTCTCCTTAAACTGATAAGCAACTTCAGCCAAGTCTCAGGATACAAAATCAATGTGCAAAAATCACAAGCATTCCTATACACCATTAACAGACAAACAGAGAGCCAAATCATGAGCAAACTCCCATTCACAATTGCTTCAAAGAGAATAAAATACCTAGGAATCCAACTAACAAGGGATGTGAAGGACCTCTTCAAGGAGAACTACAAACTACTCCTCAAGGAAATAAAAGAGGACACAAACAAATGGAAGAATATTCCATGCTCATGGATAGGAAGAATCAATATAGTGAAAATGGCCACACTGCCCAAAGTAATTTATAGATTCAATGCGATTCCCATCAAGCTACCAATGACTTTCTTCAAAGAATTGGAAAAAAAACTGCTTTAAAGTTCATATGGAACCAAAAAAGAGCCCGCGTTGCCAAGACAATCCTAAGCAAAAAGAACAAAGCTGGAGGCATCACACTACCTGACTTCAAACTATACTACAAGGCTACAGTAACCAAAACAGCATGGTCCTGGTACCAAAACAGATATACAGACCAATGGAATAGAACAGAGGCCTCAGAAATAACACCACACATCTACAACCATCTGATCTTTGACAAACCTGACAAAAACAAGAAAAGGGGAAAGGATTCCCTATTTAATAAATGGTACTGGGAAAACTGGCTAGCCATATGTAGAAAGCTGAAACTGGATCCCTTCCTTACACCTTATACAAAAATTAATTCAGGATGGATTAAAGACTTAAATGTTAGACCTAAAACCATAAAAACCCTAGAAGAAAACCTAGGCAATACCATTCAGGACATAGGCATGGGCAAGGACTTCCTGACTAAAACACCAAAAGCAATGGCAACAAAAGCCAAAGTTCACAAATGTGATCTAATTAAACTAAAGAGCTTCTGCATGGCAAAATAAATTACCATCAGAGTGAACAGACAGCCTACAGAATGGGAGAAAATTTTTGCAATCTACCCATCTGACAAAGGGCTAATATCTAGAATCTACAAAGAACTCAAACAAATCTACAAGAAACAAACAACCCCATCAAAAAGTGGGCAAAACGTATAAACAGACAATTCTCAAAAGAAGATATCTATGCAGCCAAAAGACACATGAAAAAATGCTCGTCATCACTGGTCATCAGAGAAATGCAAATCAAAACCACAATGAGGTACCATCTCACGCCAGTTAGAATGGCAATCATTAGAAAGTCAGGAAACAACAGATGCTGGAGAGGATGTGGAGGAATAGGAATGCTTTTACACTGTTGATGGGAGTGTAAATTAGTTCAACCATTGTGGAAGACTGTGGTGATTCCTCAAGGATCTAGAACTAGAATTACCATTTGACCCAGCAATCCCATTACTGGGTATATACCCAAAGGATTATAAATCATGCTACTGTAAAGACACATGCACACATATGTTTATTGTGGCACTATTCACAATAGCAAAGACTTGGAACCAAACCAAATGTCCATAAATGATAGACTAGATTAAGAAAATGTGGCACACATACACCATGGAATATTATGCAGCCATAAAAAATGATGAGTTCATGTCCTTTGCAGGGACATGAATGAAGCCAGAAACTATCATTCTCAGCAAACTATCACAAGGACAGAAAACCAAATACCGCATGTTCTCACTCATAGGTGGGAATCGAACAATGAGATCACTTGGGCACAGGGTGGAGAACATCACACACCTGGGCCTATTGGGGGGTGGGGAGCTGGAGGAGGGATAGCATTAGAAGAAATACCTAATATAAATGATGAGTTGATGGATGCAGCAAACCAACATGGCACATGTATCCCTATATATCAAACCTGCGTGTTGTGCACATGTACCCTAGAAGTTAAAGTGTAATAAAAATAAATAAATAAATAAATACTGAGAGGAACTTCTAAAAAAAAAAAAACCATCAGATCTCATGAGAACTTACTCACTATCATGAGAATAGCATGGGGGAAATCACTCCTGTGATTCAATTGCCTCCCTCTGGGTCCCTCCCTCCACACATGGGGATTACGGGAACTACAGTTCAAGATGAAATTTGGATCGGGACACAGTCAAACCATATCAAAAATGGTTTTACTTTGGTGATTCATCACCATGGCCCCTACTGGAGATAACACTGTACCTGGCATATAGCTGAGTCTCAGCAAATATAAATTAATGGTGAATAATGAACAAAACATTCATAGTCAATAAAAGAGATCCCTTTATGCCTTTACTTCTGCTGTGTGGCACCTGGCACAAGCTGCAGAAGGCAAAGCTGGGAAGACGGCGCCCACTGCCTTTGATATGCTCCACCAACCCCAGCCTGGGCCCCCATTCTCTCAGCACCTTGATTCCTGTCAACCAAGCAAATATGCTGGGTCCAGTCAATTGTGAGCAGATGTCCTGTCTCTATCTTGTAGTCATCACTCTTCATTTCAGAAGAGCACATTCATCATTCCATAAATGTCTTGGCAGTATCCAGCCTTTGCCAGACCACGTGCTAATCTAGTGATTAGGACAGGCTTTTCATTCTCTAGGCTTTGGCTTTTTGAGACATACGATGAGATCATTAGGCTCAATCCTGGTGGTCCATCTGGCTCTTATTTAAAATAATCCTGATACAGTGTAAGGCCTTCCTGCTAGTGCTCATGAGTATTTGTGTTTTAAAAGCTGTCCATAAAGTCCAAGAGGCTGGGGAAACAGGCAAGTCTGTGCCCCGCATCCCACCAGCTGGGTGCCTGTGGCAGTCCTACTGAAGGCACAGGTGGAGGTGGCACATTTCCTCTGGGCTTCCTATCCCCGGCAGCAGGGCGGCACTGTTCTAGCTCAACATGGCCAGAAGACACTGGGGAACATTGGCTCACCTCTTGTGCTAGCTCTCTTTCAACTGCAGATATAGAAAGTGAACCAGAGCAACTAACAGGGATTGTGTTGCTTACACACTGGAAAGGATGCTGAGGTGGCTTCAAAGGAAGGTCTGACAGGGCTGTGGTTTCCACAACTGGAACAGGGATTCACTGCAGCCAGGCCTTTCTTTCCTCCTCTCCCCTTCCTCTCACTCTGTCCTCATCTCTCTTTTCTGATTTTCTCTGGTTAACTTTATTCTGTAGAAAAGCTTACGCATGAGATGGGCAAGGTCGCTGGCAGCAGCCCCAGCACCCATTATTCCAGATTAGCAACTCTCCCTAATTGTTTTCCAATATCTATATCCATTTATTTAAAAAACATTTACCAAATTCCTCTGTTCTGGGTGCTTGGGCTATATCAATAGAATAAAGAACAAGGCAAAAAACAAAACCAAACTAAACTTTCTTGGAATGAAACACTGGACCAGCTACTTGGTAAGAATGCTAGGATTGGCCGGGCCTCGGTCATATGCTCATTCCTGAGGTGGGGATTGGAGGATTGCTGAGATTGACAGCCCTAACAAGTACGTGGAAATTTAAAAAAAGAAAAAAAAGAAGAAAAATGGATAAACCCAGAGAAGCACCTTCCTTTCATATCCCCTTCTCTCTCTTGTGGACTCTTCTCCAGCCCTTGCTGCATAATTTCCTGCATTATTGGACTCTCACATTCTCCAAGGGCCATGGCTCCTGTCCCATTTCCCTGCCTGCCTTTTCTTCTCCCCTGACCCTGAATAACTTCAGCACCCACCTGGGTGATGTATGTAACACTTGTCTTCAAAACTCCTCTACTCCTAGTCACCTGTAAGCAGCAATGTAACTTCATCCTTGAACTTGGCTGTGACTCAGAATGGCTCTGCTTCACAGACACAAACTTGAAAATCCTGCCCTCTGGCTTCACTCTCCCATCATTTGCATCTATCATTCCTATGAGACTTGTTCTTGAAATTCATCAAAAATTTTGTTGTAGGCCCTTATTTTCAAGAATACCCCTGGGTTTGTTTTTCAGCCCTACCCAGGCTAAACCCAAGGTATGGCTGCAACTCTGCTAAGAGTAGCACTGCATGGCCGGGTCACCCCAGCAGTGCTCTGTATACCCAAGCATTGCTGCTCCCATGGCTTCTTCGTAATTATGAAAAGAGACTGGGAAACCCCCTGACCTCTTCTCTGGAGTTGGCTGTTTCACCATTTTCTCTTCTCTCTCTCTCACTCGCTGTTGTGGCATCCCATCTCTTCCAGCCTCGGGTCTTGCTAGCTTTCTTCCCTCACATTGTTTTCAGAACATGTTTCCCCCAATGACTTCCTTCTGTTCCTCATATGCTCAGCTTCTTCCTTGCTCAGCACTTGGGAAGCTGCACCCCTCTCCACTTCTCCAGGCCCGGTATCCTTCCATTCTCCTGCTTGCCCTGGAAGGAGACTGTAGGTGGCATGCCCATCAGATGGGCTTGAGTACAAGAGTAATATCCAATCATTTTCATACTCTCAGTGCAAGCATAGTTTCTGGCACTTAATAGGCACTTTCCAAAATAACACTGTTGAAAGTTCAGTCTTGCTGGGCTGGATTAGGTTAAATTACACTACATGATGTTTGTGCCAGAGTTGGAATGCTGGAGGGCACTCATCAAGGATCAAGTTAGATGGGAAGTGAAGATATAACCTGGGTGCAGCTTTTGACAACAGCATAGATTAAAAAATGCAACAACTTGAGCGAGAGCTCACCTAAAATGATCTATATTTTGCAAGTCCTATCGCTTTAGAATCAAAACAATTCAAAGGAATCCAGAAACTGCTGAGATTAGCTACAGATAAATTTGCCTACTCTGAAAGAAGTTAACAATTGTAACTGGCAAGAGGTAACATAATAGTAATAAGGAAAAATAACTTTTCAGCAGTCTATACTCACTCAAAATATTTCACAAATGCTTGCACAAAAAAAGAAATAAATTGAAGTCACTATGAAAAGAACTCTCAACTAATGAGCCTGACATCAATTAATTCATTCCATCATGTTCTTTCACCCACCACCCCCTGCCCTTTCCCTACTTTTTTTTTTTTTTTTTTTTTGATGTAGTCTTGCTCTGTCACTTAGGCTGGAGTACAGTAGTGCGATCTCAACTCACTGCAACCTCCACCTCCCAGGTTCAAGCAATTCTTCTGCCTCAGCCTCCCTAGGAGCTGGGACTACAAGTGTGCGCCACCACGTCTGGCTAATTATTGTATTTATAGTAGAGACAGGGTTTCACCATATTGGCCAGGCTGGTCTCGAACTCCTGACCTCATGATCTGCCTGCTTCAGCCTCCTAAAGTGCTGGGATTACAGGTGTGAGCCACCATGCCCGGCCTTATCTACATATTTTTTAGTTTATCCTTAACCCCTGAAATA
Source organism: Homo sapiens (assembly GCF_000001405.40). Classification (NCBI taxonomy): domain Eukaryota; kingdom Metazoa; phylum Chordata; class Mammalia; order Primates; family Hominidae; genus Homo; species Homo sapiens. The sequence continues at coordinate 51,548,731 of NC_000007.14, read as the reverse complement.
GCTGAAAGTCAGGGAATTCACAGACTAAATGCACTGCTTTAACTTAAGATGCTCTCATTAAGCAACTACCCTGTACAAGCAGGGCAGGGGCTGTGGAGGATGCAAAGGTGAGCACATCACTGCTGCCAGGAAAGGGCTTCCAGGTTGCTGTGTGGAGCGGTCCCATCTGCAGAAATGAGGGAAAGATTGTAGTGTGCCCTGAGCAATCTTAGAAATAGATCCTCATTTCCATATCTCAAATTTGAAAAATTTTCATTTGAGACTCACTGAAGGGAGGGAGTTAAATTTGTACTTCCCAGCAATCTATCTCTTGCAAAGAACCTGGAATGAACCTGGGAAGTTGGCAAGATTCATATTCTCCCTATCAGAGTATGTTCTAACAAGTCCCTGAGAGGAAATGGTATTTTCCAGCAGATGAGCAGCAAATGAAATGTGGTTGACAGAAGGTCAGGAAAATCTTCAGCATGGGGTGTCTCTCAGAAGGGCTGGAGCTGGGCATGGTATTGGGGTAGTGAGGGCATGGACACTGCTGGAAAAGATGGGAGAAGAGCCCACAGGGCCACTGAGCCTCCACCAAGGGAAATGGTACCGCTCCCAAAGGCTGTTCCTGCTGCATCTGCCAAAAAGTGTGGAGCAATGGAATGTTAGCAGCTCTGGAAGAAACTGTAGAGACCATCTTGTCTAATTCCCTGCTTTGCAAACCAGAGAAGTGGCTTGTTGCAGGGTACCCAGAAAGTTGACACTGATATGTGGCTAAAATCCAGGTTTACCGCTTTCCAGCCAGTGCTCCATCCACAAAGTCAGCAAAGAACTGCTCAGATACACTTCTCCTCAGCTTTGCAGCTGCTCCACAACAAATCTGCTGGGCCTTGGTAGCTTTGATCCCTACAAATGGACCAAACTATCCAAGCCAGAAACTGACACAGACACTCCCAAATATTGTTTTGATTAATGACTATTAAAAACAAACATAGAGTTCTTTCTTGGTAAAGAGAAAGGGTAAGGTGATGAAGATTACAGTGTAACCCATTAAGTGAGATTAGTAAAAGTAGTATCAGAACCATGGGAAAAAATAATATTAATAATAATAAATCATCTAACCAACCCCTTTGAAAATGAGAAACCACTAAGCTATAGGTTGGCTCTTTCACTGTGTGGGTTAGACTGTCAGCTACACCAAGTCCTTTGTGAAATTAACACATCCCCTACCGGTTGAGGATTTCCTCTTGTCCAGTCAGCTCCAGTGTCCCCTTGACCCTGCATATCAAGAAGCACAACTCAAATACTCACATAGCTTTCCCAAATTGCACAGAGAAAATAATCTCAAACTCCTAGAGAATAGAAAGCAATAATTCATGAAATTTCCTATGACTTATTTTATTGTTCTTTTATAAGCTTTTAGCAGAAATCCATGCAAGTAAATAGTAAAATATTAAGTAAAAGCTCAGTGCAAGTGGAAATGCAACAGGAAGTCCAGAGAAGAGTGAAATAAAATTTTGCTGAAATAAAGCCCATTTGAGCCTATGCCACTGGTACAGATGAGCCACTAGATTGTCTCTGAGGTTCCTAGTGGCCAAAGCAGAAACAGAAAGATAGAGAGACAGTGTGTGTGTGAGAGAGAGAGACAGTATTAGCTCTTACAATGAATGAGGTACTCTATATCTGTTTAAAATTTTTCATCAACTCTAATAGGGAAAACTATCATGTCCCTTATCTTAAATGAGGAAGCAGGTTTAAAGAGTTCAGCTATTTATCTAAACTCAAAAACCTAAGGGGATTGAAAGCTTTGATTCCAGCCTAGGTCAGCCTAACCCCAAAGCCCATAATTGTGACACACACAGGGGTGGAGACAGAGCTGCCTCCTGATCCTGTTATGTCATATTGAGAGCAAATAGAATAACTTCTTTATTGTGGTGTTCAAAGGCTTGTCTAAACAATGTGGACCCTGTGCCACAGCTGTGCTGTGTCCCAAAATTTTGTCCTGGCATGCAGTCCTGTGTAGACAAGTCTCACAGGTGGCATTACCAGAAACAAGGTAATGTGAATGAGTACAAGATTTGTAGATCCACAGCCTTGAGTTAGAATCTTGGCCTCATCCCTTGGGTAGGGTATGAGCTCCAGTTCCCTCATCTATAAAGCAATTACATTTTAAGAAAGAAAACACTTTTTCTCTACCCTCTTACATTCTTTGACTAGGACCTGGAAATTAAACTGACAAAAGCCAGGAGAACAAATTTTAGTTGATGTTAATATTTTAATTTTTATGTGCACAAAGGCCTTCAGAGGAAAGAAGACCCTAAAGAAGTAATGATATTTGGTGGATTCATATACAATTTCAACAAAGAGTGATAGATTATGGAAAAGTAATAAGACAAAGGAAAAAGGGCTCGGATTTCTAGGCGTGGTAAATTGTGAAAAGGTAAATATATAAGAAAAACTAACAGAAAACAAGGGTGACTGCAGTTAGGTTTGTTTACACAAACCCATCTCCATGCTAACCTTCTCTCTCCAATGACAGATAATGGTTGTTTTTCCCCCTCCTGGTATGGAGTAGGAAGAGGGGAAGACCTTCACAAAGGAAAATTTATGTACTGCGTTTAGGAAGATACAGGCAGAATGTGCTGCTTCTTAATTGCCTTGAGCTCAAAACAACCCCCATGCTAAAGTGGCATACTTCAAGGTGGCAAGTTCCCACTTTCTCCAATGTCAGCCCTGCTGATTAGAGATTGGGATTAGAAGTGATTGTGTGTATGATATCTAACAAAGGGCAAGTACTCACTTAATGCTGCTGATGCCGCTATAGCCTCACCAGCTCTGATATTCACTGTTGGAAATTTGTTTTTTTAAAAAATATTGACATAGTCACTAGGGGAAAATTACAGAATGTCTTCATAGAGTTTTCAGGTATTCTCTCACAAAATTCAATGTTAACCTCTTATTCAAATCATAACCCACAGCCTTGCTAAGTATTGCTTAGAAATGAAAGACAGCCTGTGCCTCCCTGGAGGTGTGCCTTCTCTTTTTTCTTCTAGCCTTGCCCTGAGTCAAGCATGCTTGAATCACCAATCTCTTCTCGCTGTCTTGTCATCTCAGCAGAGGCAGGCCTAGTCCTCAGCAAGACAACTTCTTTTTGCAAAAGTTCCACTACTCAGGAAAACCTGGCTTCAAAAGAAAGCCATATGCCAGTCCCCCAGAGGACATTTATAGACACAAACCTTCAAGAAATACGTGAGAGAGAAAGGAGCCCTGCCTGGCACTTCCAAATCAAGTGCTCATGCTCTTAAAGAGCAGTTGAAAGAAAAGAGGCTGCTGTCATTCCCACACCATATCTTGGATTCAACGAAAAGGTTGTATCTGATGAGTCAACAAAGGTGAGTAATTGGCCAAGAGGAGAAGAGAGGAAGCCTCTCAAACCTCAACCCAGCCCAGCTGAGGAGTGAGCACACAATGCAGCTGTCAGGCCCCATTCAAAACACACTCCAACACCCTTGTCAGCCCAGTCCTCCAGGCCTCCCTCTGCTCTGCAGTGGGGGCCAGGACCACAACAGGGCCATATCCAGGGATGCACTGAACAACCACAGCTGCACCACCCTCTGGCACAAACAAATAATGAGAAATGATTTTGGCTCAAGACTCAATTTAATTCTCTCTCTGTTGTGATACAAATATATATATATGGAGATATATATATATATATATTTAAATGTATATCTCCATATGTATGTATATATGTTTATATGAGATATGTATATCTCTCCATATAAATTATATATATAAATTTTATATATATACATATATATATATATTTGTATCACAACATTAGCTCCACACCAAGCTCCAAAACACCCTTTAGTTCAAAAACATTTCCATGGAGAAAATTCCGTCAGGAGAAAAACAAGGCAGTACAAGGCTTCTTCCTGCCTTGATTCAGAGGTCATCTCTGTTAGAAATTGATACAGATCCAGTCTGTCACCCCAGCCACCATCTGTCCCTCACCACCACCTCCAATCATTCAGCTCAATGTTTGCATTCTAAGGCATTTGTTTGGAAAATCTCATGTTCTCTTAACAGATTTTAGTTGGGGGTAGCAGGATTGAAATTCCAGTACTTGTGGTATGAGGTTGGCACATCATTTCCCCACATTCAAATACAGTCAAGCAATTTATTGAAGGAAAATGGCAGATAAGAGGCAGGACAAACTAGCAGGTCCCACTCAGATGGACAGAGCAGCATGTGGAGACCCACATCACGAATTTTCGCTCCAACACCTACCACAGGAACATGCCAGGAAAGCTGAGAGAATCCATAGACCCTTTGAAGTAGGTGGATTGCTGCTTCAGGCTCTGTGGGACAGCTGAGGAACTGTTGAGTCGGCTTGCTTTCTCAGCTGGGAGTCCGGTAGCCTGGGGCAAGTTCTCAGCCTTGCTCACTGGCTGCCTGGAAATAAACTCAGTGCTGTTGAGGGGCCACAGTGGGAGAAAGACCAGCTTTTCAGGCTGTGGGCTATGTGGGAGTTGGGTGAGGCCCCTGTCTGCTGATTTTCCCTCACTTCCCTCATGACCTGTGTGACACAGCAGAGGCAGTCATAACCTTCCTGGTGACATAACTCCATTGGCCTGGAAACCACATCCCCATCCCCACAGCAGCCATAGCAAGCCCTGCCCAAGAGGAGTCTGAGCTTAGACATGCCTAACACTGCCCCCACCTCGTGGTCTCTCTCTAGACCTGGTAGCTGAAGACAAAGGACGTAATCCTTTGGGAGCTCTATGGCCCTGCCCACTGCCTGAGAAATCTGAATACCTAACCAGCCAACCCTAGGGCAAGTTTGCATCCTCCCTATAGTATCGCAGCTGATACACTCTTGAAAGTGCCACCTCCTGGCTGAAGGCCAATGAACACAAAACCAGCACATCAAACAAAAATACAACAAAAGACACTCACAGAGTCCACTTTACTCCCCTGCTACCTACACCAGCGCAGGTGCTGGTATCCACAGCTGAAGGACCTGAAGACAGATCACATCACAGGACTCTTTGCACACACTCCGCAGTACCATCTTGGAGTCAGCTAGCTCCACTGAGTGGCTAGATCCAGAAAAAAAAAAAAAATCAATGCAGTTCAGCTCTCAGGAAGCCCGATCCCTAGGGGAAAGGGGAGAGCACCACATCAAGGGAGCACACTGTGGGACAAAAGAATCTGAACAGCAACCTTGAGTCCCAGATTTTCCCTCTGACATAGTCTACTTAGATGAGAAGGAACCAGAAAAACAATTCTGGTAATATAACAAAACAAGATTATTTAATACTCCCAAAAGATCACACTAGCTCACCAACAATGGATCTAAACCAAGACGAAATATCTGAATTGCCAAAAAAAGAATTCAGAAGGTTGGCTATTAAGCCAATCAAGGAGGTACCAGAGAAAAGTGAAGTCCAATATAAAGAAATGAAATATATAATACAGGATATAAATGGAAAATTCTTCAATGAAATAGATAGCATGAATAAAAAACAATCACAACTTCCAGAAATGAAGGACACTTAGAGAATTGCAAAGTGCATTGGAAAGTCTCAGCAATAGAATTGAACAAGCAGAAGAAAGAATTTCAGAGCTCGAAGACAAGGCTTTTAAATTAATCCAAGCTAACAAAGAAAAAGAATTTTGAAAAATGAACAAAGCCTCCAAGAAGTTTGGGATTATGTTAAACAACCAAACTTAAGAATAGTTGGTGTTCCTGAGGAAGAAGAGAAATCTAAAAGTTTGGAAAACAAATTTGAGGGAATAACTAAGGACAACTTCCCCAGCCTTGCTAGAGATCTACATAGCCATATACAAGAAGCTCAAAGAATACCTGGGAAATTCATCACAAAAAAGACCATCACCTAGACACATAATCATTAGATTATCTAAAATCAAGACAAAGGAAAGGATTTAAAGAGCTGTGAGGCAAAAGCATCAGGTAACCTAAAAAGGAAAACCTATCACATTAACAGCAGATTTCTCAACAGAAACCCTACAGGCTAGAAGGAATTGGGGTCCTATCTTTAGCCTCCTTAAACAAAACAACTATCAGCCAAGAATGTTGTATCCAGGGAAACTAAGCTTCATAAATGAAGGAAAGATACAGTCTTTTTCAAACAAATGTTGAGAGAATTTTCCAGTACCAAGCCAGCAGTACAACAACTGCTAGAAAGAGCTCTAAATCTTGAAACAAATCCTCAAAACACACCAAAATAGAATCTCCTTAAAGCATAAAACTCACAGGACCTATAAAACAATAACACAATGAAAAAACCCAAAGTATTCAGGCAACAAATAGCATGATGAATAGAATAGTGCCTCACATATCAATACTAACGCTGAATGTAAATGGCCTAAATGCTCCACTTAAAAGACACAAAATGGCAGAAAGGATAAGAATTCACCAATCAAGAATCTGCTGTCTTCAAGAGACTCACCTGATACATAAGGACTTACATAAACTGAAGGTAAAAGCATGGGAAAAGATAATCCAGGCAAATGGAAACAATAAGTGAGCAGGAATAGCTATTCTTATATCAGACTAAACAAACTTTAAGGCACCCGCAGTTAGAAAAGGCAAAGAGGGGCATTTTACAATCAGAAAATCACAGTCCAACAAAAAAAAAATCACAATCCTAAATATATATGCACCTAACACTGGAGATCCCAAATTGATAAAATAATTACTAGTAGACTTAAGAAATGAGATAGACAGCAACACAATAATAGTGGGCGACTTCAATACTCCACTGACAGCACTAGACAGGTCATCAAGATAGAAAGTCAACAAAGAAAAGGCCAGGCACAGTGGCTTATGCCTGTAATCCCAGCACTTTGGGAGGCTGAGGCAGGCAGATCACGAGGTCAGGAGATCAAGGCCATCCTGGCTAACACGGTGAAACCCCGTCCCTACTAAAAAGACAAAAAATTATCCGGGCGTGGTGGCAGGCCCTTGTAGTCCCAGCTACTCAGGAGGCTGAGGCAGGAGAATGGCGTGAACCCAGGAGGCAGAGCTTGCAGTGAGCCAAGACTGCACCACTGCACTCCAGCCTGGGCGACAGAGCAAGACTCTATCTAAAAAACAAAAACAAAAAAAGAAAGCCAACAAAGAAACAATTGATTTAAACTATACCCTGGAAGAGATGGATGGACTTAACAGGTATTTACAGAACATTCTACCCAACAACTGCAGAATATACATTCTATTCATCAGTGTATGAAACTTTCTCCAAAATAGACCATATCCTAGGCCACAAAATAAGTCTCAATAAATTTAAGAAAACTGAAATTATATCAAGCACTCTCTCAGACCACAGTGGAATAAAACTGAAAATCAACTCCAAAAGGAACCTTCAAAACCATGCAAATACATGGAAATTAAATAACCTGCTCCTGAATGATCATTGGGTCAGCAATGAAATCAAGATGGAAATTTAAAAAATTTTGGAACTGAATGACAATAGTGACACAACCTATCAAAACCTCTAGGATACAGCAACGGCAGTGCTAAGAAGAAAGTTTATAGTGCTAAATGCCTACATCAAAAAGTCTGAAAGAACACAAATAGACAATCTAAGGTCACACCTCAAAGAACTATAAAGTTTATAGCCCTAAATGCCTACATCAAAAAGACGGAAAGAGCACAAAAGATAATCTAAGGTCACACCTCAAAGAACTAGAGAAACAAGAACAAACCAAACCCAAACTCAGCTGAAGAAAGGAAAAACCAAGATCAGAGCAGAACTAAATGAAATTGAAACAAAAAAAAATACAAAAGATAAATGAAACAAAAAGCTGGTTCTTTGAAAAGATAAATAAAATTGATAGACCGGTAGCAAGATTAACCAAGAAAAAAAAAAGAGAAAATCCAAATAAGCTCAAATAAAAACAAAATGGGAAATATTACAACTGACACCACAGAAATACAAAAGATCATTCAAGGCTACTGTAAAGACCTTTACGTGCATACACTAGAAAATCTAGAGGAGATGGATAAACCCCTGGAAAGATACAATCCTCCTACCTTAAATCAGGAAGAATTAGATACCTTGAACAGACCAATAACTAGCAGTGAGATAGAAATGGTAATTTTAAAAAATTACCAAAAAAAAGTCCAGGACCAGATGGATTCACACCTGAATTCTATCAGACATTGAAAGAAGAACTGGTACAAATACCACTGACACTACTCCACAAGATAGAGACAGAGGAACTCTCCTTAAATCATTCCATGAAGCCAATATCACCCTAATACCAAAACCAGGAAAGGACATCACAAAAAAAGAAAACTAAATGTCAATCTCCCTGATAAACATAGATGCAAAAATCCTCAAAAAAATACTAGCTAACCAAATCCAACAGCATATCAAAATGATAATCCACCATGATCAAGTTGGTTTTATACCACGTATGCAGGGACAGTTTAACATCTACAAGTCAATAAATGTGATACACCACATAAACAGAATTAAAAAACAAAAGTAACATGATCATCTCAATAGATGTAGTAAAAGCATTTGACAAAATCCAACATCCCTTTATGATTAAAACCTTCAGCAAAATCAGCATACAAGGGACATATTTTAAGGTAATAAAAGCCATCTGTGACAAACCCACAGCCAACATTATGCTGAATGGGCAAAAGTTAAAAGCATTCATCCTGAGAATAGAAACAAGACAAGGACGCCCACTTTCATTACCTCTATTCGACATAGTACTGGAAGTCTTAGCCAGGGCAATCAGACAAGAGAAAAAAATCAAGGCCATCCAAATCAGAAAAGAGAAAGTCAAACTGTCAGTGTTTGCTGATGATATGATCGTATACCTAGAAAACTCTAAAGACTCATCCAGAAAACTCCTAGAACTGGTAAATAAATTCAGCAGTTTCAGAAAACAAAATTAATGTACACAAATCAGTAGCTCTTCTATACTAACAGCAACCAAGCATATAATCAAATCAAGAACTCAACCCCTTTTACAATAGCTAAAAAAAAAAAAAAAAAAAAAAAAAAAATTTAAGAATCTGCTCAACCAAAATGGTGAAAGACCTCTGCAAGGAAAACTACAAAACACTGCTGAAACAAATCACAGATGATACAGACAAATGGAAATACATCCCATGCTCATGAATGGGTACAATTAATATTGTGAACATGATCATACTGCCAAAAGCAATCTAGAAATTCAATGCAATTCCCATCAAAATGTCATCATCATTCTTCACAGAACTAGAAAAAAAAATTCTAAAATCCACATGAATGGAACCACAAAAAAAGCCCACATAGCCAAAGCAAGACTAAGCAAAAAGAATAAATCTGGGGGCATTACATTACGCAACTTCAAAATGTACTATAAGGCCATAGTCACCAAAACAGCATGGTACTGGTATAAAAGTAGGCACATAGACCAATGGAACAGAATAGAGAACCCAGAAATAAACTCAAATACTTACAGCCAGCTGATCTTCAACCAAGCAAACAAAAACATGAAGTGTGGAGAGGACACCCTATTCGACAAATGGTGCTGGGATAATTGGCAAGCCACATATGAAGCTAGATCCTCATCTCTCACCTGATACAAAAATAAACTCAAGATGGATCAAAGACTTAAATCTAAAAACCTGAAACCATAAAAAATCTAGGAGATAACATTGGAAAAACCCTCTAGACCTTGGCTTAGGCAAAGACTTCATGACCAAGAACCCAAAAGCAAAGGCAACAAAAACAAAGACAAATAGATGGGAATTAATTAAACCAAAAAGCTTATGCCAGCAAAAGAAATAATCAGCAGAGTAAACAGACAATTCACGGAGTGGGAGAAAATCTTCACAATCTATACTTTTTACAAAGGACTCATATCCGGAATCCACAATGAACTCAAACAAATCAGCAAAAGAAAAACAAACAATCCCATCAAAAAGTGGGCTAAGGACATGAATAGACAATTCTCAAAAGAAGATATGTAAATGGCCAAAAAACATAAGAAAAAATGCTCAACTTCACTAATGATCAGGGAAATGCACATGAAAACCACAATGCGATACCACCTTACTCCTGCAATAATGGCCATAGTAAAAAAATAAAAAAAAAATAGAGGTTGGTGTGGATGTTGGTGGGAATGTAAACTAGTATAACCACTATGGAAAATGATGTTGAGATTCCTTAAAGAACTAAAAGCAATCCCACTCCTGGGTATCTACCCAGGGAAAAAGAAGTCGTTATACAAAAAAGACATGTGCACATGCATGTTTATAGTGGTACAATTTGCAATTGTACCCAAATGCCCATCAAACAAAAAGTGGATAAAGAAAATGTGGTGTGTATGTATATATATATATATATATATATATATATATATATATATATATACATATATATGTGTGTGTGTACACACACACACATACATACCATGGAATACTACTCAGCCATAAAAATGAATGAAAAATGGCATTTGCAGCAACCTAGGTGAAACTGGAGACCATTATTCCAAGTGAAGTAACTCAGGAATGGAAAACCAAACATTGTATGTTCTTACTCATAAGTGGGAGCTAAGCTGTGAGGATACAGAGGAATAAGAATTTTACAATGGACTTTGGGGACACAGGGGGAAGGGTGGGAGGGAGGTGAGGGATAAAAGACTGTACATTGGGAGGAATGTACACCGCTCAGGTGACTAGTGCACCAAAATCTCAGAAATCACCACTAAAGAACTTATTCATGTAACCAAACACCACCTGTTCCCCAAAAACCTATTGAAATAAATAAAAGTAATAAAAATAAAAATAATTTTAAAAAACAAATACAGTCATACATCACTTAACAACTAAGATGTGCTCTGAGAAATGCATCATTATGCAATTTAGTCATTGTGTGACACCATAGAGTGGACTTACACAAACCTAGGTGGTGTAGCCAACTACACAACTAGACTATATGGTATAGCCTACTGCTCCTAGGCTACAAACATGTACAGCATATCACTGACTGAATACTATAGGCAGCTGTAAAACAATGGTAAATTTTTTGTATCTAAACATATCTAACCATAGAAAAGGTAGAATAAAATACAGTAATATCATCTTATGGGACCACCATTATATATGCAGTTGGTTCATCATTAACTGAAATGTCATTATGTGGCAAATGACTATAATTTTACTGTCAATGTATGCATCAACTGTTCTTAATTTGTGTTGCTGAGAATACTAGTTTCAACAGATACTTCAGAGAAAGGTACAGGGAGGGACAGAGAGATGAAAAGAAGGAGAGTTAGAATAGGAAGGAATTATATTCTATTTCTCAAAAATTCAATTGTAACGTTTGCATTGTAAAGGTACTGAGAAATCCTGTGCTAAATAAATCTGCTTAACTCATATGTACCTGATTATATTACACCAAACTACCCTTTTTTGTTTTCATACCACTTCCAAATAGAGGAGCAACCACACACCAACTAAAACCAGGAAGTCAGGAGGGCTGGCAAGATGGCTGAATAGGAACAGCTCCATTCTGCAGCTCCCTGTGAGACCAACACAGAAGGTGGGTGATTTCTGCATTTCCAACTGAGGTACCCGGTTCATCTCATTGGAACTGGTTAGACAGTGGGTGCAGCCCATGGAGGGCAAGCAGAAGCAGGGTGGGGCGTCACCTCATCTGGGAAGCGCAAGGGGTCAGGAACTCCCTTCCCTAGCCAAGGGAAGCTGTGAGGGACTGTGCCAAGAGGAACTGTGCCATGAGGGATGGTGCTATCTGGCCCAGATACTACACTTTTCCCATGGTCTTTGCAACCCACGGGCCAGGATATCCCCTCAGGTGCCTATACAGCTAGGCCCCTGAGTTTCAAGCACAAAACTGGGCAGCCGTTTGGGCAGACACCGAGCTAGCCACAGGAGGTCTTTTTTCATAACCTAGTGGCACCTGGAACACCAGCAAGACAGAACTGTTCACTCCCCTGGAAAGGGGGCTGAAGCCAGGGAGCCAAGTGGTCTTGCTCAGCAGATCCCACACCCATGGAGCCCAACAAGCTAAGATCCGCTAGCTTGAAATTCTCACTGCCAGCACAGCAGTCTGAAGTCACCTGGGAGGCTGGAGCTTGGTTGGGGGAGGGGCATCCACCATTACTGAGGCTTGAGTAGGCAGTTTTCCCCTCACAGTGTAAACAAAGCTGCTGGGAAGTTTGAACTAGGAGTGGAACCCACTGCAGGGCTGCAAAGCCACTATAGCCAGTCTGTCTCTCTGGATTCCCTCTCTCTGGGCAGGGCATTTCTGAAAGAAAGGCAGCAGCCCCAGTCAGGAGATTATAGATAAAACTCCCATCTCCCTGGGACAGAGCACATCCGGGAAGGGGCAGCTGTGGGTGCAGCTTCAGCTGACTTAAATGTTCCTGCCTGCCAGCTCTGAAGACAGCAGCAGATCTCCCAGCACAGCACGTGAGCTCTGCTAAGGGACAGACTGCCTCCTCAAGCGGGTCCCTGACCCCCATGCCTCTTGACAGGGAGACACCTCCCAGGAGGGGTTGACAGACACCTCATACAGGAGAAATCCGGCTGGCATCTAGCAGGTGCCCTCTGGGATGAAGCTTCCAGAGGAAGAAGCAGGCACAAATCATTGCTGTTCTGCAGCCTCTGATGGTAATATGCAGGCAAACAGGGTCTGGAGTGGATCCCCAGCAAACTCCAGCTGACCTGCAGAAGAGGGCCCTGACTGTTAGCAGGAAAATTAACAAACAGAAAGTAATAGCATCAATGTCAACAAAAAGGACAACCATATAAAAACTCCATCTGAAGGTCACCAACGGCAAAGACCACAGGTAGATAAATCCATGAAGATGAGGAAAAGCCAGGCAAAAAGGCTGAAAATTCCAAAAACCAGAACACCTCTTCTCCTCCAAGGGATCACAACTCCTTGCCAGCAAGGGAACAAAACTGAATGGAGATGGAGAATGAGTTTGACGAATTGACAGAAGTAGGCTTCAGAAGGTGGGTAATAACAAACTCCTCTGAGCTAAAGGAGCATGTTTTAACCCAATGCATGGAAGCTGAAAACCTTGAAAAAAGGTTGGAGGAATTGCTAACTAGAATAACCAGTTTAGAGAAGAACATAAATGACCTGATGGAGCTGAAAAACATAGCATGAGAACTTCGTGAAGCATACGCAAGTATCAATAGCCGAATCGATCAAGTGGAAGAAAGGATATCAGAGATTGAAGATCAACTTAATGACATAAAGCATGAAGATAAGATTAAAGAAAAAATAATGAAAAGGAACAAACAAAGCCTCCAAGAAATATGGGACTACATGAAAAGACCAAACCTACGTTTGATTGGTGTACCTGAAAGTGATAGGGAGAATGGAACCAAGTTGGAAAACACTCTGCAGGATATTATCCAGAACTTCCCCAACCTAGCAAGACAGGCCAACATTCAAATTCAGGAAATACAGAGAACACCATAAATATACTCCTCAAGAAGAGCAATCCCAAGACACATAATTGTCAGATTCACCAAGGTTGAAATGAAGGAAAAAATGTTAAGCACAGCCAGACAGAAAGGTCAGGTTACCCACAAAGGGAAGCCCATCAGACTAACAGTGGATCTCTCTGCAGAAATCCTACAAGCCAGAACAGAGTGGGGGCCAATATTCAACATTCTTTAAAAAAACAATTTCCAACCCAGAATTTCATATCCAGCCAAACTAAGCTTCATAAGTGAAGGAGAAATAAAATCCTTTATAGACCAGCAAATGCTGAGGGACCATGCCTGCCTTACAAGAGCTCCTGAAGGAAGCACTAAACATGGAAAGGAATAACAAGTACCAGCCACTGCAAAACCATACCAAAATGTAAAGACCATCAACACTATGAAGAAACTGCATCAACTAATGGGCAAAATAACCAGCTACCATCATAATGACAGGATCAAATTCACACATAGCAATATTAACCTTAAATGTAAAAGGGCTAAGTGCCCCAATTAAAAGACACAGACTGGCAAATTGGATAGAGTCAAGACCCATCTGTGCACTGTATTCAGGAGACCTAACTCACATGCAAAGACACACATAGGCTCAAAATAAAGGGATGGAAAAATAATTACCAAGCAAATGGAAAGCAAAAATAAGCAAAGGTTGCCATCCTAGTCTTTGATAAAACAGACTTTAAACCAACAAAGATCAAAAAAGACAAAGAAGGGCATTACATAATGGCAAAGGGATCAATGCAACAAGAAGAGCTAACTATCCTAAATATATATGCACCCAATACATAAACACCCAGATTCACAAAGCAAGTTCTTAGAGACCTACAAAGATTAGACAGATCAACGAGACAGAAAATTAACAAGGATATTCAGGACTTGAACTCAGCTCTGGACCGAGCAGACCTAACAGACATCAACAGAACTCTCCACTCCAAATCATCAGAATATACATTCTTCTCAGCACCACATAGCACTTATTCTAAAACGGACTACATAATTGGAAGTAAAACACTCCTCAACAAATGCACAAGAATGGAAACCATAACAAGCAGCCTCTCAGACCACAGTGCAATCAAATTAGAACTCAGGATTAAGAAACTCACTCAAACTGCACAGCTACATGGAAACTGAACAACCTGCTCCTGAATTACTACTGGGTAAATAACAAAATTAAGGCAGAAATAAATAAGTTATTTGAAACCAATGAGAACAAAGACACAACGTACCAGAATCTCTGGGACACAGCTAAAGCGGTGTTAAAAGGGAAATTTATAGCACTAAATGCCCACAGGAGAGAGCAGGGAGGATCTAAAATCAACACTCTAACATCAGAATTAAAAAAAAAAAAACTGGAGAAGCAAGGGCAAACAAATTCAAAAGCTAGTGGAAGACAAGAAATAACTAAGATCAGAGCAGAACTGAAGCAGATAGAGATACGAAAAATCCTTCAAAAAAATCAATGCATCCAGGAGCTGGTTTTTTGAAAAGGTCAACAAAATAGATAGACCACTAGCCAGACTAATAAAGAAGAAAAGAGAGAAGAGTCAAATAGATGCAATAAAAAATGATAAATGGGATATCACCACTGATCCCACAGAATACAAACTACCATGAGAGAATACTATAAACACTTCTATGCAAATAAACTAGAAAATCTAGAAGAAATGGATAAATTCCTGGACACACACACCCTCCCAAGACTAAACCAGGAAGAAGTCGAACCCCTGAATAGGTCAATAACAAGTTCTGAAACTAAGGCAGTAATTAATAGCCTACCAACAAGAAACACTGCAGGACCAGACGGATTCACAGCCGAATTCTACCAGAGGTACAAAGAGGAGCTGGTACCATTCTTTCTGAAACGATTCCAAACAACAGAAAAAGGGGGACTCCTCCCTAACTCTTTTTTATGAGGCCAGCATTATCCTGATACAAAACCTGGCAGAGGCACAATAAAAAAAAAAAAGAAAATTTCAGGCCAATATCCCTGATGAACATTGCTGTGAAAATCCTCAATAAAATACTGGCAAACCGAATCCAGCAACACATTAAAAAACTTATCCACCATCACCTGAGGTCAGGAGTTTGAGACCAGCCTGAACAATATGTTGAAACTCTGTCTCTACTAAAGAAACAAACATTAGCCAGGCATGGTGGTGCATGCCTGTAGTCCCAGCTACTCAGGAGGCTGAGACAGGAGAATCGCTTGAACCTGGGAGGTGGAGGTTGCAGTGAGCTGAGATCGTGCCACTGCACTCCAGCTTGGGTGACAGAGTGAGACCCTGTCTCAAAAAAAAAAAGAAAAGAAAAAGAAAAAGAAAGCTTATCCACCACCATCAAGTCTGATTCATCCCTGGGATGTAAGGCTGGTTCAACATTTGCAAATCAATAAATATAATCCATCACATGAACAGAACCAATGACAAAAACCATATGATTATCTCAATAGATGCAGAAAAGGCCTTCAATAAAATTAAACACCTCTTCATGCTAAAAACACTTAATAAACTAGGTATTGATGGAATGTATCTCAAAGTAATAAGAGCTATTGATGACAAACCCACAGCCAATATATACTGAATGGGCAAAAACTGGAAGCACTCCCTTTGAAAACCAGCACAAGACAAAGATGCCTTCTCTCACCACACCTATTCAACATAGTATTGGAAGTTGTGGCCAGGGCAATCAGGCAAGAGAAACAAATAGAGGGTATTCAAATAGGAAAAGAGGAAGTCAAATTGTCTCTGTTTGCAGATGACATGATTGTATATTTAGAAAACCCCATTGTCTCAGCCCAAAATCTCCTTAAGCTGATAAGCAACTTCAGCCAACTCTCAGGATACACAATCAATGCGCAAAAATCACAAGCATTCCTATACACCAATGATAGAGAGCCAAATCATGAGTGAACTCCCATTCACAATTGCTACTAAAAGAATAAAATACCTAGTAATACAACTTACAAGGGATGTGAAGGACCTCTTCAAGGAGAACTACAAACCACTGCTCAAGGAAATAAGAGAGGACACAAACAAATGGTAAAACATTCCACACTCATGGATAGGAAGAATAAATATAGTGAAAATGGTCATACTACACAAAGTAATTTATAGATTCAATGCTATCCCCATCAAGCCACCATTGACTTTCTTCACAGAATTAGAAAAAACTACTTTAAATTTCATATGGAACCAAAAAAGAGCCTGTATAGCCAAGACAATCCTAAGCAAAAAGAACAAAGCTGGAGGCATCATGCTACCTGATTTCAAACTATGCTACAAGGCTACAGTAACCAAAACAGCATGAAACCAGTACCAACACAGATATATAGACCAATGGAACAGAACAGAGGCCTCAGAAATAACACCACCCATCTACAACCATCTGATCTTTGACAAACCTGACAAAAACAACAATGGGGAAAGGATTCCCTATTTAATAAATGGTGCTGGGAAAACTAGCTAGCCATATGCAGAAAACTGAAACTGAACCCCTTCCTTATAAAAAAAATTAACTCAAGATGGATTAAAGACTTAAACATAAGACCTAAAACCATAAAAAACCCTAGAAGAAAACCCAGGCAATGCTCTTCAGGACATAGGCATGGGCAAAGCCTTCCTGACTAAAACTCCAAAAGCAATGGCAACAAAAGCCAAAACTGACAAATGGAATCTAATTAAACTAAAGAGCTTCTGCACAGCAAAGGAAACTATCATCAGAATGAACAGGCAACCTACAGAATGGGAGAAAAATTTTGCAATCTATCCATCTGACAAAGGGCCAATATCCAGAATCTACAAAGAACTTAGACAAAATTCACAAGAAAAAAAACAAACCCATCAAAAAGTGGGCAAAGGATATGAAAAGATAATTCTCAAAAGAAGACATTTATGCAGCCAAACAATTTTAAAAAGCTCATCATCGCTGGTCATTAGAGAAATGCAAATCAAAATGACAATGAGATACCATCTCACGCCAGTTAGAATGGCGATCATTAAAAAGTCAGGAAACAACAGGTGCTGGAGAGGATGTAGAGAAATAGGAACACTTTTTACCTGTTGGTGGGAGTGTAAATTAGTTCAACCATTATGAAAGCCAGTGTGGTGATTCCTCAAAGACCTAGAACCAGAAATACCATTTGATCCAGCAATCCTATTACTGGGTATATACCCAAAGGATTATAAATCACTCTACTATAAAGACACATGCACACGTATGTTTACTGCAGCGCTAGTCACAATAGCAAAGACTTGGAACCAACCCAAATGCCCATCAATGATAGACTGGATAAAGAAAATGTGGACATATACACCATGGAATATTATGCAGCCATAAAAAAGAATGAGTTCATGTCCTTTGCAGGGACGTGGATGAAGCTGGAAACCATCATTCTCAGCAAACTAACACAGGAACAGAAAACCAAACACCATACATGCTCACTCATAAGTGGGAGTTGAACAATGAGAATATATGGGCCCAGGGAGGGGAACATCACACACCAGGGCCTGTCGAGGGGTGGGGAGCAAGGAGAGGGATAGCATTAGGAGAAATACCTAATGTAGATGACAGATTGATGGGTACAGCAAACCACATGGCACATGTATGCCTGTGTAACAAACCTGCACGTTTGCACATGTATCCCAGAACTTAAAAAAAAAAAGAAGTCATTTGCATTTGAAGGAAATATCTAAGGTGGTCATCACCTGTCCTTACATGTAGGAGAAAACCATCATAATTTTGCAGAGACTAGACTGAAAATAAAATACTAGAAAGACCAAAACCTTGGCAGAATCTTTGTAGGTATGTATGGGTCCTGACAAGCTTCTCTAATTAGTTTATTTATTTTGTACCACTGGACCCAAGACATTGTGACATCAAGCAAATGTAAGATATCTCTCTGCAAGTGATGTGGTTAGGGAAATAGCATAATGGTTCCATTCAAAATGTATACACAGTTGTCCTTGGACAAGGTGTGGACATGTGTGTACATGTGTATGTGTTTATGTTGTGTCTATTCGATTAAAAAATTAGGCATCAGATGACTTGTAAGGATGGGGGGCCACATATGTGCCCCATAAAGGCGGGGAACCTCAAAAATGCCCAGTCTTGAAGTAGCAACATTCACCTGAAGTATTTTTTTCAACCAGAGTTCAGCGAACTTTTTATATAAAAAGCCAAATGGCATATGCTTCAGGCTTTGAAGGCCATATGGTTTCCTGTTGCAACTACTCAACTCTCATGGTGTAGCACTAAAGAAAACAATACATAAATGAATGAGCATGGCTGTGTTCCAATAAAACTTTATTTACAAAAACAGGTGTTAGACCAGATTTGGCCTGCTGGCTATAATTTCCCTATGCCTGCTTTAGATCAGAACCGTTCAAGATAAACTTTTGTAATGATAAAAATATTTTGTATCTGCCCTGTCCAATGGGCTAGTCACTAGTCACATTGACTATTGATCAACTAAGGAGCTGCGTTTTCCATTTTATTTCATTTTAATTATTTTAAATCACCATATGTAGCTAGTGGCTACTGTATTGAACAGTGCAATTCTAGACAAAATAAATTTGTATAAATACTACCTGTGATTACTGGGTCCCACAGACAGCCTGGAGGAGAGGGACTGGATGCTTAGTTTATGAGGTTCCTAATAAGTAAACCACAGGATTCCTCTGAAAAAGGGGCAGGATATTCAGCCCAGGGCTTTGAACAGGAAATGGTTTCTAGGAAGAACATGGACCTTGCCTATGCTACCTATGCTGTGCTCAGAGTGGAGCTCAGCCTCTCTCCCCACTACAAGTCCCCGGTGCAGTGGTCTCTACACTGATCGCTATGGACCCCCTAAATAAAGTCTGCCTTACCATCTTTAGCTAGTGTCATGAGTAATTTTTTTTTTTACACCACTTTAAGTGTTTAGCTTTTTATTGCCTTCTCTTGGGGGATAGTCATAAAAAGAAACAATTCAAAAATTTTTCTTCTTTTATGCTGTAATTTCTGCTAATCAAGCTAGCTCTCCAGTGAACTCATCTACCACACATCAAGCTCTGTAGAATGGGGTTGTGAAGGATAAAGGGCAGGCGGGTAAAACGTGTCAGGGGCCCCTTGCAATTTACCCCCATTCTGATGGTCAAGGAAGGCAAACAGCCTATGCTGGAGAGGGTTCTAGCCCAAGACCTCTGGCCTGGGGGCAGCAGCCAAGTGAACTCCGGACCAGCAGGGGCTGAAAGCAGTGGAGGAGCTGCAGGAAAGAGCAACAGTGCCCGGGAGATGAGTGAGGAGGTGCTATGGAACCTAGTGCTGAAGGAACGCTGCACTGTGGAAGGTGAAGGGTGGATCACATACCAGTTAATATCTCGTGGAATTGGTGTTTCAAAGAAAGTACGTTGGGAAACACCTGCAAACTCACTTATTAGGGCCTTTACAAAAGTGAGGTAGGATACAAAAATCTCTTTCTTCTACTTGGTGTTAGAAACTCAAGGTCAAAGTAGAGACATAATATTTCCTACTCCTTCTGCTCATTCTCTCCTTTTCCCCCTAGTTTCCTCCTTCGGCAAAAAGAAGTAATTAGTTCATCTTTGTGAATTATAAAGCCAGTGAGATTTTCAGCATCTGGATATGACACATTTCTGATGTAAACCTGGGACTGTCCTCCTATTGTTGTCCTCACCATGAGGTTCTGTCTCAAGACATTCGCTTGAAGACCTCTTCCTCTCAGCATCAAACACAAAGGCTATGGCCTCAGTCCTGACTCCTCATGTATTCAATGAATGCTCTTTGCTTTAAAACAACCGTCTTATCATGGCCTACTCTCCTTCCATTCTTATCCTATGCGCCCGTGGATCTTAACCTTGGCTCTGCCTCCCAGCGATAAAAACACACCACTTCCTCTCCTAGATGACTCTGCTATAAAAACTCCATCTTCCTCCAACAAGCAGGATACTAGTTCCCCATGAACTAAACTCACAGGATCCCCACATGAGCAGACCCCACAACACATGCCAGTTGTAGGAGCCCACACTGGGACTGGGATTGGGCCAGAACCCCCCAGCCCAACCCCTCTTGAGAGAAGGCCTTTCCAGAAAGCTAGAACTGAGCCCATCGTGCATTGGCAACACCTAGATTTCCCAAATGTTCTCTACTGTGCCCTGTACAAAAAGAGATGGTTCACTTCAAACCAATATTGACCCACTCATTAATTTGTCCAGCAGATACTTATAGCATGCCTTCTGGTGTCAGGCCCTGGGCATACAGCAGTGAATAAAGGAGTGAACCCTGTCCACAGGGAGTGAACAGTCAAATAGGGAGGCACAGTGCCATGAGCCAAGGCTGACTGCAGTAGTCCATCTGGTGACAAATTTTTTGATAAAGAAGGCTAAAATCAAATATGCAAATGAAGCATCATGGTTATAATTAATTACAAATAACCTCTACTGAGAAAAAGGTACAGCTTGTTTTAGTTAACAGCCCTAGGTTCAAAGGCTGACTTCCGCAACATAGAGTGACAATCAGGTTTTTTACAAAAATCAGACACAGTTATCCCTCATTCAAAAAAACTGCTATAAACAGAAATAAGTCTTTACAATATATTTTCAAGTAATAAAAAATTAAAGAAAATTACCATATCTAAACCATTATGGTAATAATTGACTTAAGCAAAAAGCATTAACTGAAATTAAATCAAAATGAATGGGTAAAAGTTCAATGAGGAGAAGTATGTTTATATAATCTCAAAATACTTTTACCAATTAATTATATTTTTAGCTTTATTTTTTATTAAGGTGAAATAATACATATGAAATTTACCAGTTTTACCATTTTAAGTGCACAGTTCAGTGGTAATAAATACATTTACATTCTTTTTTTTCCCCTTCATCCACCCCCACCTCTCCACCCTCCCCAGCCTTGGATAACTACCAATCTACTCTCTATCTTCATGAGATCCACTTTTTAAGCTCCTACATATGAGTGAGAACATGCGATATTTGTCTTTTTGTTCTTGGCTTATTTCACTTAACATAATGACCTCCAGTTTCATTAATGTTGCTGCAAATGACAAGATTCCATTCTTTTTATGACTGAATAGTACTCCACTGTGTATATGCCACATTTTCCTTATCTATTCGTCTGTTGGTAGGCACTTAGGTTGATTTTGTACTTTGGCTATTGTGAACAGTGCTCCAATGAACATGAGAGCAGTTGTCTTTTCCATAGGTTAATTTCCTTTCTGTTGGGAATATATCCAGCAATGGGATTCCAGGATCATATGGTAGCTCTATTTTTAGTTTTTGGAGGAACCTCCAAACTGTTCTCCATAGTGGCTGCACTAATTTACATTCCCACCAACAGTATACGAGCCTTCCCCTTTCTCCATATCCTCTCCAGCATCTGCTATTGCCTGTCTTTTTGATAAAAACCATTTTAACTGGGATGATATCTCATTATCTCATTGTGGTTTTGATTTGCATTTCTAAGATGGGTAGTGATGTTAAGCATTTTTTAATATACCTGTTGGCCTCTCGTGTGTCTTCTGTTGAGCAATGTTCAGATCTTTTGCCCATTTTAAAATAGGATTATTATTGTTGTTGTTATTTTTGAGTTGTTTGAGCTCTTTATATATTCTGGTTATTCATTCCTTTTCAGCTAGATAGTTTGCAAATATTTTCTCCCATTCTGTATGTTGTCTCTTCACTTTGTTGATTACTGTGCAGCAGCTTTTCAGATTGATGTCATCCCATTTGTCTATTTTTGCTTTAGTTACCAGTGCTTTTAAGGTCTTACACAAAAAATCTGCCCAGATTAATGTCCTGGAGCATTTCCCTGATATTTTCTTTCAATACTTTCATATATTCAGATCTTAGATTTATGTCTTTAAACCATTTTTATCTGATATTTGTATATGGTGAGAGATGTGGGTCTAGTTTCAGTCTTCTGGATGTAGTTATCCAGTTTTCCCAGCACCATTTACTGTCCTTTCCCCATTGTATTTTCTTTGTGTCTTTGTTGAAGATGAGTTGGCTGTAAATGTGTGGATTTAAATCTTGGCTCTTTATGCTGTTCCATTGGTCTATGTATCTGTTTGTATGGCAGTACCATGCTGTTTGACTTTTCAGTATATTTTGAAGTCAGGTAGCATGATGCCTCCAGTTTCTTTGCTTTGAATTGCTTTGAATATCAGGGGTATTTTTTGGCTCCACATAAATTTTAGAATGTTTTTGCTGTTTCTGCAAAAAATATTGATATTTTCATAGGGATTGCATTAAATCTATAAATTGCTTTGAGTAGTATTGTCATTTTAACAATATTATTTCTTCCCATTTGTAAGCATGGACTATCTTTTCATTTCTTGTGTCTTCTTCGATTTCTTTTATCAGCGTTTTACAGTTTTCTTTGTATTGACCTTTCACTTTTTGCTTTAATTTCTAGGTATTTTGCATTTTTGAATTTACTATAAATGAGATTGCTTTGCTGATTTCTTTTTCAGATCGTTGGTATAATAAACACTACTGATTTCATATGGTGATTTTACATTCTACAACTTTACAGAATTTGTTTGTCAGTTCTAACAGCTTTTTGGTGGAGTCTTTAGGTTTTTCTAGGCATAAAATCATGCAGTCTGTGAATAACGATAATTTGACTTCTTCCTTTCCAATTAGGATGCACTTTATTTTTTTCTCTTGACTAATTGCTTTGGCCAGAAATTCCAGCGTCATGTTGAATAAAAGTGGTGAAAGCAGGCATCCTTGTCCTCTTGCAAGCCTTCAGTTTTTCCCCATTCAGTATGATGTTAGCTGTGGGTTTGTCATATATGGCCTTTTTTATTTTGAGGTATGCTCCTTTTATGCCCATTTTGATGAGAGTTTTATCATAAAGCTATGTTGAATTTTATCAAATGATTTTTAGGCATCTATTGAAATAATCATATGATTTTTGTTCTTGTTTCTGTTAATGTATCACGTTGATGAATTTGCATATGTTGAACCATTCTTGCATCCCTCGGATAAATCCCACTTGATTATAGGTAATCATATTTTTAATGTGTTGTTGAATTTGGTTTGCTAGTATTCTGTTCAGGATTTTTGCATCTATGTTTATCAGTAATGTTAGCCTATACTTTTCCTTTTTTGTTGTGTTCTTATCTTGTTTTCATATCAGTGTAATGCTGGCCTCATGGAATGAGTTTGAATGTATTTTTTCCTCTTCAATTTTTTGAAGAATTTGAGGAGAAATGGTATTAGTAATTCTTTAAATGTTTGGTAGAATTTAGTAGTGAAGTCATCCGGTCCAGGGCTCTTCTTTGATGAGAGACTGTGTTATGGCTTTGATCTCATTACTTATTATCAGTTTTACCACTTAATTATTAATAAAAAAACAATAGTGACTTTAGAGTGGGGAGATGGGAGCAAAATTAACATCACAAGTATTGGAACTAACCAACTTCATGTGCTTCTCGATATTGAGAAGAACACAACATGGCTTACGAAATAATCCTGCCCAAACTTGCATTATCTGAGACATCAGACAAACCCAAACTGAGAGGATGCCCTAGAACATAACTGACCTGTAATGTTAATGATATAAAAGACAAAGGGCCAAGAGTCTTTTCCAGATAACATAAGGCTAAAGAAACATGATTATAAAACGCAATGTGTGCAGCAGGACGGGACCCTGGACCAGAAGCTAAATGGCTATGAAAGACATTTCTGGAAACTAGGAAATTGAAATAGGGATTGTGATTTTGATCATCAATTGTGTCAAGGTTAAAATTCCTGAGTTTGATAACTATGTTGTGGTTATGATAGAAAATGTCCCTGTTCTTAGAAAATACACGCTGAAGAATCACAAAGTAAATGATAGAATATATGCAATCGACACTAAAATGGGATAGAAAAAATTTGATATATGACGGGAGAAAGAAAAGAAATATGGCAAAATATTAACAATGGTGAATCTGTATGAAAAATATATAAGAGTTCTTTATTCATTCTTGCAACTTGTCTACAATCAAAATTATTTCAAAATTAAAAAGGGAAAAAATATTGTATGTCAACACACTACAGAATTGAAAAATAAAATTCAGTGTTTTTTTCTTTCCATTCTAAGTCTCAGTTTCTTCATAAGCACAATGGGAAAATAATAATACCCCTCTCATAGGCTGCTAAGGAACATTAAATAAAATGTGAAAACATCAATTACAGAACCTCACACATAATAATGGGCATTCAATGAATGCAAGTTCACTCTAAAATGTCGAGTAATTATCCCCAAAAAATAAATACAGGAAAACTGGTGGAGTACATGCTCCTTACCCTTTGTTTCTAAAAATAAATAGTATTGTGCACTGAAACTGTGCTAATTGAAGTGAGTTATATACCTATTTGCTTTCCCTTGGTTAAGATGTTTTCTAACTTTCTTCAATTTTATTCTATGTGCAAATATGTTTTTGTGCCTAATGTTGACTCTACAAAGTGTTCAGTATGTGAGCAGCCTCCAAATTAAAATTTTTAAAAAAACAGATACATGTGCTGGGCTTGACACTTAATAATACCTGAATGAAAGCAGCAGCAGCAACCTAAACACCAGTGTCCTCACTAGATTTGGGTACCAATGTCTGGATAACATTTTTCACCTGGAAGGATTGAGAAAATTAAATGGAAAATGAGATGTAATTTTTTCAAATTTGAAGGAGATCAAGTTCAACAAACACTAGCATTAACATGAGCCAATACAGGCGGAAGGAGTAAATGGGAAAGAAAATTACCTTAGAGATTTTTGAATCCAGTGCTCTGAGAGTAACAACCATTTGCCTTATATGTGTGAGACACAGTGGATGCCCATCCTGTAAGTTACATATTATTATTCCCATTTTCTAGATGAGGAAAGTAAGGTCAAAGAGTAACATATTTGCTCAAATCGCTGTTCACTTAAATGGAGATCTCCTGGATCCTAGGACAGTTTTCTTTTCTGGCCTCCAGATGAAGCCACTAAAGGCAACATTGTATTTGCCTCTGAGCTCACACAGTCCCATCTCCTCCCACTGTGTCCCTTACCCCTCCCATGATGCTTTTTTATGCATATATTTCTGCTCCAAGGGAAAAGCAGAGGTTAGGAAGAATTATGGATCTATCTGATCCAGGTTGCTTTATTTACCCCCAGCAGCATCTCTAAGTTTTCCTGGAGGCAAGGACCCAATGTAGTAAAAACAAGACTACAATGGAATTAGGAAATTCGAATTTAGCCCCAGCTGGTCCACCACACAGGGTTGCTTAATTCCTTTGACTTTGTTCCCACTGAGGCATTGAGAAATTGAATCCTATCATTAAGTCCTCCAGCTCAGCACTCCTGAGAGATACACACTAGGGATCAGTCATACTAAGGATCCCCCAAATGCATGGTTCTGAGAAACCCTCTGAGAGCAGAGAAAACAAAAAGAGGATGGTCCTGGACCACGTGATCATGAAACAGACTAGAATGCCAGAGTCCAGCACGGGGCCCCTGAAGATTTCTCAGTCATTAGGGAGGCATTATCAGTTCTCATGAGACGTGGGGCTCTCAGCAGTGGACAGCAAGAGCTAGGTGTAAAACAGATGGAGAATAGAAAATTAGTCCATGGAAAATATTGATTTGAATGTTTTTCTCTTTGTTAACGTTCAGTTTTTACCTATTTTTAGAGCTTAAAAAAACTTCAAAAACATTCAGGTGGATAAAGAACATGGTAGACACACATCTGTCTTCCTGAACAACACAATCTGCACAGCGTGTTGCAGGTGTGCAAGAGCTTGATTAGACATGGGCGTACATGGTACTCCCAACAGGGAGAAAGGATTTCCTTTCATGAGACAGCTCAGGTTAGAAGATCATGCTCCAGGCCACCCAGCTAGCAAAACAAAGCCAGTTTTCTGAGTCTATGTCTATTGCTTTCTCCACTCTTCCATACTCCCTGGTTCTCTTGAAAGTACTTTTAACAAGTCAAACTCAGTATCATTCCAACATAATTTGTCCCCAAGGTTGCCTTTACATTAAATTGAGACACACCTTGGGTTGCGGTTTAAACACAGCGGGATGCTGTGGGGCTGCACACAGGCACAACAGTCCCTCCCACCCCAGGGAGGTTGGCAGGCTCTGCTGAGACGCCTTGTCTCCTCTCCCTCCCATGACACCTTACATGGAAAACCTGATTACTTCTATCCTCCTGTTCATTTAAATCCCCTGTGGCATCAAAGATTTATTTTTTTTTTACTGACAATGATTGCCCTTTCCATGGTAAAGTAGCAGCCAGGAGGGAGGCAGCCCCATGTGTGTGCTCCTCGTGACTAATTAGCCACTAGCAGAAGAGAGCAGCCCCACACAAGTGACTGATTTCAATGTGTTCCTCAAATGTGATTGAATGCAGAAGCGCATCTTTGAAATATCCATCTTGTTGTCAAAATGGTAATCATAACACAGGGCTGCTTTATTACACAGAACTAGAGTCAGGCAGTTACAGACGCAGCCAATGATGGGCTCTACAGATGCTCTCTAAAAATAAAAAGTAAAAGTCCACCTGCCAGCCCCACTTACAGCCTGTTTCTAAATGTTCCTACAGTCTTCTCAAGACAAGTGGAAAAAACTTTCTGAAGCAGTTAGGCGACTCTGATTCTCAAACTCAGCTCCCAAATTCCAGATCCAGTGGTAAATTTGATAGTCATTTTCCTGACACTAACACCACCTCTATCACCAACTCAAAGCATCAGGGAGTAAATGTTTAGAAGTTTTAGTTAAACAGAACTTAGTATTTCCCAATAGATGGAGAAAAGGCAGCTTGGTTCAATAGGCCAGTGTCAGTGGAAGTCAACTAAGCAGCTGCTGTGCAGCAACGTTTGCCCATCACGTTCATGCCCTTTCCTCAGGGCTCTCTTAGCCCTGGAAAACCACAGCTGCCCTGTGAACTGCAGTGACCTAGCTGAAGGTCAGGACCTTAGCAGGAAGGACCTGAGGGTGGAGAGCAGTGTGGCACGCTTTGGGCACGTGCCTCACACAGAAGGTGCCCCAAGCATGCGAGTGAGGAGGTTAGCAGGGTCACTCACAGCAGTGGCTCAGGCAGAGCACGTCCACTCATCCAGCAATGGGATTTTTATCCAAAGGAAGGGGCACTCCTTAATCACCTGCCCAGCTCCAGAGATACAAAGGCTCCAAGGGAATATACAAGCTCATGGTCAGCCCAAAATTGAAAGGAATACAAATGAAAAGCAAGGCAGGGGGATGACCAAGGAGGCAGCTGGTGATGTTGTACTAGGAATGGAGACAGATGAGCCTGGGTTTGGCCTGTAATCAATGTGCTGAATTTTACATAAGAGAAAGCTGCTTTTATACAAAGGGCTATGAGCTATGAGAATGGCTCTGTCCTATGTGGTAGCCAACCTCCAAGAGCCTCCCCATCATCCCCACCTCCTGGCATTCAAAATCTTATGCAGCCCCTCCCACAATCGAGTATGGCAGAAGTGATCTCATGCCACGGATTATAAAGACACGCCCTGCAGCTTCCATCTTGAGCAAACCTTTGCTTGCCTGATGCTCTCTCTGGAACCACCTGCTCTGGGAAAGGCCATGTTGTGAGCAGCCCCTTGGAAAGATCCACAGGGTAAAAACAGAAGCCTCCTGCCCACAGCCACGTGAATGTGTCCTCCAGCCCCAACCAATGTCCAGAGACTGCAGTGCCACCTGACAGCTAACCTGCAGCCTCATGAGAGACCCAGAGCTAAAGCCATGCAGCCAAGCCACCTCTGGATTCCTGACCCTCAGAGTGTGTGTGAGATAATACATGCATTGTTGTCTCCTGCCGAGTTTCAGGGTAATTGTTGCACAGCGATAGGTAACCAATACAGCTGACAAGGAAGTGACAACTCTACCAATGAAAACAACCCAGCAGAGTGTGGCTGAGTCGGCAGTGTGGAGGAGATGCTTGTAATGAATCTTTAAAAGATTTCATTGAACAGGACTGGAGGGAACAGCATCAGAGATGCCTCCCCGTATTAGTCTGCTGGGGCTGCCATAGCAAAGTACCATAGACTGTGAGGCTTAAACCACAGAAATGTACTTTCTCCCAGTTCTGGAGGCTGGAAGTCTGAGATTGTGGTGCTGCACAGCCCTCCTTCTGAGAGGAGGCTGAGAGGGAAGGACATGCTCCAGGCCTCTCCTGGGCTTGTAGATGGTGTGTTCTTCCTGTGTGTTCACATCGTCTTCCATATGTGCATATCTGTGTGCAAATTTCCCCTTGTAAGGACAACAGTCCTATTGGATTGAGGCCCAACTTAATAACCTCATTTTAACTTGATTACCTCTATAAAGACCCTGTCTCTATGTAAGGTCGCATTCATAGGTACTTGGGGGTAGGGCTTCAACACAGGAATTTTGCGGAACACAATTCATCTCCTAACACATCCTCATTCTGTATCCTCCAAAGCACCTGCCTCATTACTGGGTGAGAAACAGGAGGCCCAGTAAGCAGGAAGCATTTTTTAGGAAGAGAACTCACATCCAGTGTTTTTTTTAGATGGAGTTTCACTCTTGTCACCCAGGCTAGAGCACAGTGGTATGATCTCAGCTCACTGTAACCTCCGCCTCCCAGGTTCAAACAATTCTTCTGCCTCCCAAGTAGCTGGGATTACAGGCATTCACCACAATGCCCAGCTAATCTTTGTATTTTTAGTAGAGATGGGGTTTCACCATGTTGGCTAGGCTGGTCTTGAACTCCTGACCTCAGGTGATCTACCCACCTTGGCCTCCCAAAGTGCTGGGATTACAGGCATGAGCCACTGGGCCCATCCGAGAACCTCCATCCAGTGTTTTAAATCCACAGCTCAAAGCCACCATGCCCAAAAAGGGCCTGCACAGGTGTTCTTTGTGACTTTGCCCAGCAAGAGGGAAAAACAGTAAAAATGAAGACATTCTTTCTATTATTATTTCTCCACAGTTGCTTTTTAAACTAATGCCCTGTCAGCCACATAGAGGTGACATTCAAAACTGAAGTCAGTGCTAGGGAGTGATCTATATGTATATGAAGCCGTTTTCCTGTTGTTGGTTAAAATGAAATCTGTAATACCCTTTCTTGTATCATTATTGCTCTTCTAAATGTGTACCCAGAGGCTATTCTGTGATGGCCACCTACAAAATTTAGAGCAAATGTGTTTCTGTAGCTGTCACAATTATTCAAATGTAAGAGAAATGTACACTTTCCTGAAAGATTAAATTTGAAGTAGTTTTGTTTTAGTATTCAAAATTCACCTTTGAATGGCTATAAAAGATACAAGTCTTTCCTTTCCCTAATGTCTAAGAGAAGTATGAAACTCTTTAATGCCTATCATGATTAGCTTTCTCTGCAGGTTGCCAGGATACGCTGGGAGTGTGTGCTTTACTGCCAGTGGTAAATGACCGTGTCCACCAATACTTGAGATTTAATATGCAGAGCTAGAGATGGCATAAGAAAGACGACGACTCTGTCATTTTTCTGCATCCTTCCTACTGATGTGACTGCCAATGTGGGACTGGAGTTAGAGGACAGTGAGATTAGTTTCAAGCACTTTTAAGGAGCATGTAAACTGTTTCTTTATAAGAGGATATGATTATTAACATAAATCTCAGAATAAATGATGTAGACCCTTCAAAAAGCACAAGATTTGAAGTAACAAGTAAAACTCTAGTACGAATCAGAAAACACATACTAGCAAAAAAAAAAAATGACTTATTGTAAACATAACTTATCCTAGCCGGGTTTCCAAAACCTAGACTAGAACTTGGGAACAAGTGAGAATTAAGTCCCTTCTGGTTCTGGTATCTACTGGATGCTGAAACCTCTCTCCAACACCCCTGAGCCCTGCCTTCATCCTCTGTAAGACAGACATTTAAATTTTGTGTAAAAGGCATGTGTTGAGAACTAGAAATAAAACAATAAATGGCCATCTATCATTAAAGAAATTATAGATCACAGAGATAAACATAAATTCAAACATAAATTTAATAAATACTAAGTCAAATCTTGTTGTAGGCATTGGAATACATGAGGGGACAAAATGAAGGTCTTATGAAGCTCATAGATGAATGCAATACAGGATGAGCAATGGGAAAGGCTCCAGAAGACCAGAGGATGGGCCCTGAAATGAGACTGGGAGCTGGAGATAGCCAGGCCATTTCTTCCTTTAATACATTGTACCATGCCTGAGTGCCTCATATATGTCCGAAATTCTGCCAAGTACCAGTGATACAGTGAGGAGTAAGAAAGGCCCTGTTTCTGCCTTCTGGAATTTAAATTCCAGTTGAGAATACAGACAATTCAACAAGCAATTAAAACAAAGTACGATCACAATTAACTTTAGTTCTCATGTGAGAAGTCATGATTATGATAATTAAATTACATGACGAAGTGCCTAGCACAGAGTTGGCACTCAAAAAATGCTTGGTATTTTTACAAACTAAACAGTTTACTTGTATGCAGAGAGAAGTTATAAACAATAGTACATTGTAATGATTTCAGGAGCAAAGAAGGTTAACACAGGAAGTTTTGATGGATCATATAACCTTGAATTAAGTACTAGGTCCTTGTTCCCCATCTCTGTGGACTCCTATTTGTCCAGCCCAGACTAATTTTTCTCTCCTAATTTCACTGTCTAGGAGAGCTCATTAAGAGATTTACCTGATCAGACTAAATGTTTCTTTCCTTAATCCATCTCATTACACTTCCAACACCCCTGGTACTGGCCTAAACATTTGAATTTCATAGCTCCATTAATGCAAATAGAATCTCGTCAAGGTCTAAAGATTCCTAGGAGAGCCGGCATTGAATGTGTTCATTTGAATGCATAAGATAGCAGCATCCCCTTGCATATTTCCCTTGTTTACAATGATTCCTTCAGTCAGAGGTGAGATCATCAGTGCTATGCAAAGTGAATGAATACATTTCAGATTCTCTAAGTGAGTGAATGAACCCAGATCTCTTTATTCAACTTCAGACACATCCAATAAAGTGTTCGTGATAAGATGAAGTAGGCATTGAGCAGCGACCTGTACAGAATTATTAACATTCAAAAGCAATTGATACTTATGACAAAATGAAGAAGAACCATGAAAGACAAAAAAAAAAGAAAGAAAGAAGGAGAGGTCACTGTCAAAGTATGCAACCAGTAAGAAACCGTTGCTGCTCTCTCAGAGGACCAGGAGAAAACCTGACTGGAAGACCAAATGTGAATTTGAAGCCTTACCTCAGTTCTACCAGCTAAGAGACATTGATGAAGTCAATAAACTGTCTTTGCCTACCTTCTCCATCTGAAAACAGGGATAATAATCTTCACCTCAGAGCTGCACTGAGGACTCAGACAACAGCAGAATAGAGGAATGATTTACATAGTACTTGGAAAATAGATAATGTACAAAGAACCAGAGATACAATAGGGATTAATTTCTTCAAAAGTCTATGTATACACACTTAAACACTCACACAAACACATACAAGGAATCAGGAAAGAGTTGATTTCTTTCTTATTCAAACTAAAATAAGAGATTTTCTAAAGGCTAAAAAACGCCCAACTCATTATTTGGCTATTATGAGATTGCTATCAGAATTTAAAAAGGATAGTACAAGAGAATATAATTAGAAATCACTCTCATTAAGGAAAATAAGCAATATTATATAAAAATACCTAGAAATTATTTTCCACAGGGTACTAAGAATGCATAATGACCAAGTAGGACTTTTCTGAAAAACACAAAGATGTTGCAACCTCAAAAATCAATTTTTTTCTTTTCTTTTCTTTTTTCTTTTTCTTTCTTTTTTTTTTTTTTTGAGACAGCCTCACTCTGTTGCCCAGGCTGGAGTGCAGTAGCACGATCTCAGCTCACTGCAACCACCACCTCCTGGGTTCAAGAAATTCTCCTGCCTCCGCCTCCCAAGTAGCTGGGATTACAAGCATGCGCCAACATACCTGGCTAATTTTTGCATTTTTAGTAGAGACGGGGTTTCACCATTTGAGCCAGGGTGGTCTTGAACTCCTGATCTTAAGTGATCTGCCCACCTCAGCTTCCCAAAGTTCTGTGATTACAGGCATGAGCAACCACGCCTGGCCAGAAATCAATTTTAAATAATTTAAAATAATTTTAATAATTAAAATAGTAAATCAATTTTCATAGAACAATAAAAAAATGACCATTTTGAAATAGTAAAATTGAATATTTATGATTAAAAATACACTTAGCAAGCTGGAATAAAAGGGATTTTCATACTCTGATAAACAATAGCTTACAGCAATCCAGAGCAAACATGATAACTAATGCAGAAACAAAACAAGAAACAAAAACAAATTACCACCTCCTTTTAACATTGTACTGAAGATCCTAGCCAGTGCCACAAGAAAAATTTCTTTAAAAATTAGGAAAAATGAAATAAATAAAAGTCTCTGTTCAAACAATATATTGCAAATAGTATGGCATTTCCAATAGTGTCAGTAATGATTTTATTAAAACTTTTTTATTACAAAATAAAACTGCGAGGAGAGACATCAGCAAGATGGCTGGCTAGAGGTGTGTAATGTTCACCCCTACAACAAAAAAAAGGACCAGAACAACAACAACAACAATAAACTACATTTCAACTAGAGTGCCTAAAGAAGACACTGGAATACAGCAAAGGATGACAGAAACCCTGTGAAGCATGGAAACTAGAGTGGCCCCATAAAGAGAGGAGTGATGTTTTCTGCCTCTGCAAAACCATATTCCCAGCCAGGATCAGCTCAGAGCCAGCAGGGACTTCTCACTGTGGGAGAAAGGTAAGCAAGGGATTCCCAGAAGCCCCCATTAGCACTACAGACTCCTGCAGTCCTTGCTGCAGGAGAGTTCACAATTCTCACGGGCCCTGAGTCTAGCTTACAGGTCTGCCTGGAGTCCACATGGCTGCATTGCTCTAAAGAAGGAACCCACGTGAACCAAGCTGCTTCAGAATAGCACTTCATGAACCGAACTGCTTCAAAACAGCACCATCTTGAGATGGAAGTCACTACAAGACTGCATTCTGCTGCAGGGGCCATCTGGAGGCAGGATGGGCCCTGCTGTTACTCCACCATGCTCACACAACTGGCTGCCACACCACAAACCTGGCTACTCAAAGCCTAGACCCAGCAGACCAGCCATGTCACTAGCACCCAAGCCCAAGTGGATCTCTGCAACCCAAAGAACAGGAAATTCTTCACAGCAGGGAGGCTGCCCCTGTGACTAGCAGAATCACCATATTGTGTACCTCCTTAGGGACTGATGCCTCCTCAGTGAACTCACTCCCAATACTGCCAACCCTGCAACTGGCAGAACCACTGTGCTTTGTGCTTGCCCTCCAAGGCCTGAGGACCAGCTCACCCAGCAGCACCACAACCAGCAAAGCCATGCCACTGGCTCCACAAATACTTACAGCCTAAGCCACTGAGGCACTCAGAGAGACTGCTGATACTGATTACAGCTGAAGAAATTATGTGAAGACTACAATAATGCACCTACCTAGAATCAAAGCCAAAGTATACTACCCAACCAACATTCAAGGACCCATCTACAGAAAAAAAGTCTTTCCTTACAAAAGCTGCTCCACAAAATTGGAAGAGTCAACTGTCCCACCGAGATGCAAAGATATCAGTATAAGAACACAAGAAACATGAAAAAGCATGACACCTTCAAAGGAAAACAATAATTGTCCAGTAACAGACCCTCTCAAAAAAGAAAATCTGTGAAATGCCTGACAAGAAATGAAAAATAATGCTCTTAAGAAAACTCAATGAAATATAATACATATAAAAAGCTCAAAAAATCAGAAAAGCAACTCGTGACTTTTAATAAGAAATTTGACAAAGATGAATATTACAAAAAATAAACCAAACAAAAATCTTGGGGCTGAAGAATTCAATGAGTGGAATTAAAAAATATAACTGAGTGTTTCAACAACAGACTACATCAAGCAAAATGAAGAATTTTTGAACTTGAAGTTTTTTTGTTGTTTTTTTTTTTTATTTCAGAGGGAGTTTCCCTCTTGTCGCCCAGGATGTAGTGCAATGGTACGATTTTGGCTCACTGTAACCTCCACCTCCTGGGTTCAAGTGATTCTCCTGCCTTAGCCTCCAGAGTAGCTGGGATTACAGGCGCCCACCACCACACCCGTTAATTTTTGTATTTTTAGTAGAGACAGGGTTTCACCATATTGGCCAGGCTGGTCCTCCTGACCTCAGGTGATCCGCCCACCTTGGCCTCCCAAAGTGCTGGGATTACAGGCGTGAGCCACCACACCTGGCTAGGTCTTTTGAAACAACTTAATCAGACAAGAAATAAGAAAAAAAAGAATAAAGAAAGTCTATGGGACTGATGGGGCACCATAAAGTAAACAAATGTTTGCATTATGGGACTATTAGAGAAGAAGCAAGAAAAAAAACATATATGACAAACACATAGTAAACATTATACTGATCAGAGAAAAACAGAAAGCTTTTGTTCTAAGATCTGGAACAAGACAAGGATGCTCACTGTTACCATTTCCACTCAACATAGTACTGGAAGTTCTAGCCAGATGGATCTGGTAAGAGAAAGAAATAAAAGGCCTCCAGATTGAAAAAGAGAAAGTCAAATTGTCTCTCTCTGCAGATGACATGATTATATACATAGAAAACCCTAAGGTCTACACACACACACACACACACACACACACACAAACTGTTAGTACTAATAAACTGTAAAGTTGCAGGATACAAAATAAACATACAAAAATCAGTAGTGTTTCTATATGCCAATAGCAAGCTGTTTGAAAAAGACATCAAGAAAGCAATTCCAGTTACAATAACTACAAATGATAAAATACTGAGGAATAAATTTAGCTGAGAAGGTAAAAGATCTTCACAATAAAAGCTATAAAACATTGATAAAATAAATTGAGGAGCACACAAATAAATGGAATGATATTTACATTTGTGGATTGAAAGAATTAACATTGTTTAAATGTTCACATTACACAAAGCAATTGACAGATTGAATGAAATCTGTATGAAAATATCAATGACATTCTTAACAGAAATAGAAGAAGACAATCCTAAAATATATTTGGAACCTGAAACATTCCTGAAAGCCAAAGCAATCTTCAGCAAAAAGAACAAAGCTGGAAGCATCACACTACCAGACCTCAAAATTTATGACAAAGATGTAGTAAACAAAATAACATGGTATTAGCATAAAAGTAGACACATAGGCCAACAGTACCTAATAAAAACCCAGAAATAAATCCATGCACTTACACTCGATTGTTTTTTACAAAGGCACCAAGAACACATATTGAGGGAAAAAAATAGTCTCTTCAATAAAGGGTGCTGGAAAACCTATATATCCATGTGCAAAAAAAAAACTAGATACCTATCTCTCACCATATGCCAAAATGAATTCAAAATGGATTAAAAATGTAAATGTAAGCCTCAAAATTATAAAATTACTAGAAGAAAACATAGGGGAGGCCGGGCACAGTGGTTCACGCCTGCAATCCCAGCACTTTGGGAGGCCGAGGCATGTGGATCATCTGAGGTCAGGAGTTCAAGACCAGCCTGACCAACATGGTGAAACCCCCTCTCTACTAAAAATATGCAAATTAGCCAGGCGTGGTGGCTCACGCCTGTAATCCCAGCTACTTGGGAGGCTGAGGCAGGAGAATTGCTTGAACCCGGGAGGTGGAGGCTGCAGTGAGATGAGATTGTGCCACTGCACTCCAGCCTAGGTGACACAGTAAGACTCCATCTCAAAAAAAAAAAAAAAGAGAAAGAAAGAAAAGAAAAAGAAAACATAGGGGAAATGCTTCCTAACATTGATCTGTGCATGAACCATTTGGATAGGAGCTCAAAAGCATGAGCAGCAAAAGCAAATACAGACAAATGAATTACATCAAACTAAAATGCTTTTTTACAACAAAGGAAGTAACAAAGTGAAAAGACAACCTACAGCTTAGGAGGAAATATTTGCAAACAGTGCATCTGACAAGGGGTCAATATCCAGAATAATAAGGCACTCAAACAATGCAATAACAAAAAAGCAATAATCCAATTAAAAAATGGTCAAAAGATTGAAATAGATTTTTCTCAACATAAGACATACAAAGAGGAGGAGACAGAGCAAGAGGACCAAATAGAAGCCTCCACCAATCATCCTCACCACAAGAACACCAAATTTGACAACTATCTACACACAAAAAAGCACCTTCATAAGAACTAAAAACCAGGTAAGCAATCACAGAACCTAGTTTTAACCTTGTATCACTAAAAGAGGCACTGAAGAGGGTAGGAAACAGTCTTGCATTGCTGACACCACCCCTCCCTCATCCCCCAACAGCGGCTACATGGTACATAGAAAGAATCTGTGAAATTGGGGGACGGAGAGTGCAGCAATTGTGTGGCATTGCATTGGAATGCAGTGCTGCAAACAGCAGGCAAAACACAGCCAACACCCATGGAGGAAGCATTTAGACCAGCCTTAGCTAGAGGAGAATCACCCATCCCAGTGGTTGGAACTTGAGTTTCAGCAAGCCTTCCCACTTTGGACTAATGTACTTTGGGGTCCTAAATAAATTTTGAAAGGCAGTCTAAGCCAAAAGGACTGCAAATCCTAAGCAAGTTCTGGTGCTGTGCTGAACTTGCAACCAGTGGACATGGGGAGCACATGACCTAGTGAAACACCAGCCAGGGTGGCTAAGGGAGTGACTTCCCCCAACCCCAAGCAACACATCTCACAGTTCCTAAAGAAGCTCGTTCCTTCCGATTGAGGGGAGGAAAGGAGAAAGAAAAGAATACTTTGTTTTGCAAAGTGAATACTATTTGAGCCACAGTAGGATAGGGTACCAGGCAGATTCATGGAGCCCCATTTCCAGGCTCTAATACCCAGATGACATTTCTAGACACACTCTGGGCCGGAAGGGAACCTGCTGCCTTGAAGGGAAGGACTTAGCACTGGCGAATTCATCACCTGCTGACTAAAGAGCCCTTGGGCCTTGAGTAATCCACAGCAGTATCCAGGTAGTACATGCTATGGGCCTTGGGTAAGACTCTGGGACATGCTGGCTTAGGTTGTGACCCAGGATATTCACAACTATGATGGCTATGAGAGACCCCTTCTATTTGAAAAAAGGAGAGGGAAAATAAAGGGGACTTTGTCTTGCAGCTTAGGTACCAGCTCAGCCACAGTGTAGAAGAGTACCAAGCAGGCTCTTAGGGTCTCTGATTCCAGGCCTTGGCTCTTGGACAGCATTTCTGGACCTTCCCTGGGCCATAAGGAAACCCACTTTCTTGAATAATAAAAATCCAGGCCTGGCAGCATTCACAAGCTGACTGAAGAGACTTTGAGCCTTAAGTGAACAGCAGCGACAGTCTGACAGTACTCTTCCTAGGCCTGTGGTGGTGGCCATGGGGATAGGCCCCTCTGCCTGTGTAAAGGGGAGGGAAGAGTGGGAAGGACTGTGTCTCATGATTTGAGTGCCAACTCAGCCTCTGCCAATCTAGATTCTAAGGTTTCTAAGGTATATTTCTAAGGTTTTTGACTCTAGTACCTGGCTCCCAGGTGGCATCTCCTAATCCACCTGGGGCCTGGGGGAACTCACCACCCTAAATGGAAGGAAGCAAACATGGCTGGCTTTACCACCTGCTTAAGATCTTGTAGAGCCCCAAGGTCTTGAGTAAACATAGGTGGTAGCCAGGTAGTAATTTGAACATACCTTGAGCAAGACCCAGTGCTGTGCTGGCTTAAACCTGACCCAGTGCAATTCCAGTGATGGTGGCCACAGGGGTTCTTGTGTCGTCTTACCCCAAGCTCCAGGTGGCTCAGCACAGAAGGAGAGACTTCATTTGTTTGGGAGAAAGTAAAGGAAGAGAACAGGCAGAGACTGGTAATCCAGAAAATTTTTCTAGATCTTATCTGAGATCACCAATATAGTACCTCTGTGAATCTGCAAGATTCACAGCATGACTGGGTCTTGCATGCCCCTTAATGCAGATATGGCTTAGATCACAGCACCCAAGTCCTTTCAAACACCTGCAAAGCCTTCCAAACAAGAACAGGTGCAAATAAGCCCAGACTCTGACGACTACAATAAATACCTAATTCGTCAATGCCCAGACACTGACAAATATCAACAAGCATCGGTACCATCCAGGAAAACATGACCTTACCAAAAGAACTAAGTAAGGCACCAGGAACCAATACTGGAGAAAGAGAGATACATATGTGATTGTCAGACAGAGAATTCAAAATGGCTATGTTAAGGAAACTCAAACAAGTTCAAGATAACACAAAGAGTTCTCTGAATTCTAGCAGATAAATTTAACAAAGAGATTGGAACAATTAAAAAGAATCAAGCAGAAGTTCTGCAGTTAAAGAATGCAATTGGCATACTGAAAAATCTTTTGAAAGCAGAGTCTTTAAAAATCGGAGTCTTTTAAAAGCAGAATTGATTAAGCAAAAGAAAGAATTAGTGAGTTTGAAGACAGGCTATTAGAAAATACAGTCAAGAGGAGACAAGAGAAAAAATAAAATAAAATGAAGGACACCTACAAGGTCTAGAAAATAGCCTCAAAAGGGCAAATCTAAAAGGTTTTGGCCTATAAGAGGAGGTAGAGAGAGAGATAGGGGTAGAAAGTTTTTTCAAAGGGATAATAACAAAGAACTTTCCAAACCTAAAGAAAGATATCAATCCAAGTACAAGAAGGTTGTAGAACACTAAGCAGATTTAAGCCAAAGAAGACTACCTCAAGGCATTTAATAATCAAACTCCCAAAGGCCAAAGATAAAGAAAGGATTCTAAAAGCAGCAAGAGAGAAGAAACAAATAACATTCAATGGACTACAATATGTTTAGAAGCAGACTTTTCAGTGGAAACCTTACAGACAAGAAGAGTGGCATAACATATTTAAAGTGCTGAAGGAAAAACCTTGTACCCTAGAATAGTATATCTGGTGAAATATCCTTCAAACATGAAGGAGAAATGAAGACTTTATAGGCAAACAAAAGCTGAAGAATTTCATCAACACTGAACCTGACCCACAAGAAATGTTAAAGGGAGTACTTCGATCAAAAAGAAAAGAAACTTAATGAGCTGTAAGAAATCATCTGAAAGTATAAAAGTCACTGGTAATAGCGAGTACACAGAACAACACAGAATATCATAACACAGCAAGTGTGGTGTATAAACTGCTATTATCTTATGTAGGAAGACTAAAAGATGAACCACTCAAAAGTAGTAACGACAACAATTTTTAAAGACATAGTACAATAAGACATAAAGAGAAACAATAAAAAGATAAAAAGCAGTGGGATAAAGTTGAGGTGTAGAGTTTTCATTAGGTTTTTTTTTGGTTGTTTTTTAGTTTGTTTATGCAAACAGTGTTAACTTGTCAGCTTAAAATAATGGGTTATGGGATAATATTTGCAAGACACATGGTAATCTCAAATCAAAAAACCTACAATAGGTACATACACACAAAAAAGTGAGAAATTAAATTATACCATTGGAGAAAATCACCTTCAGTAAGACAGAAAGGAAGGAAAGAAGAAAAAAAGATCTTAAAACAACCAGAAAACAAATTTCAAAATGGCAGGAGTAAGTCCTTATCAGTTACAACATTGAATGTAAGTGTACTAAACTCTCCATTCAAAAGACATAGACTGGCTGAATAAATTTAAAAACCAAGACCCAATAATGTGTTGCATACAAAAAAACACACTTTACCTATAAAGACACATGTAGACTGAAAATAAAGGAATGGCAAAAGATATTCCATTCAAACAGAAACCAAAAAAGAGTAGAAGTAACTATACTTACATAAAAAAATAGATTTTAAGACAAAAACTATGAAAAGAGATAAAGAAAGTCATTATATAATGATACAAGGGTCAATTCAGCAAGAGGATATAACAGTTTAAATCTATATGCACCCAACATTGGAGCACTCAGATATATGAAGCAAATATTATTAGACTAGAAAAGAGAGATATACCCTAATACAATAATAGCTGACAACTTCAATAACCCACTTTCTACATTAGACAGATCTTCCAGACAGAAAATCAATAAAGAAACTTTGGATTTAAGCTTTACTGTAGACCAAATGGATCTAATAGAGAGTTACAGAACATTTCATCCAACAGCTGCAAACTATACATTCTTCTCCTTAGCATACAGATCATTCTCAAAGATAGACCATATGTTAGGCTCAAAAGCAAGTCTTAAAACATAAAAAGATCAAAATAATATCAAGTAACTTCTATGACCACAATGAAATGAAACTAGAAATCAGTATCAAGAGGAATTTTGGAAACTACACAAGCAGATAGAAATCAAATAATATGTTCATGAATGACTAGTGGATCAATGAAGAGATTAAGAAGGAAATAGAAAACTTTCTTGAAACAAACAGTAATAACATACCAAAATCTATAGGATTCAGCAAAAGCAGTACTAACAGGGAAGTTTATAGCTATAAGTGCCTACATCAAAAAATAAGAAAAACTTCAAATAAACAACAAAATGATGCATCTAAAAGAATTTAACAAGCAAGAGAAAACCAAATTCAAAATTAGTAGAAAACAATAAATAATAAAGATCAGAGCAGAAATAAATGAAATTGAAAAAAGAAATCAATATAAAAGACCAATGAAATAAAAAGTTTGATTTTAAAAAGATAAATAAAATTGACAAATCTTTAGCCAGGCTAAGCTAAATGGGATATCTCATTTACCCTGATTATTATATATGTTTATTATGTATTATGTATTATATTTATTATTATATGTATTACATATATTTATAGGGTATATGGGATATTTTTATATCAATGTAATTATTATACATTTTATAATTATGCATTCTATGCCTGTATCAAAATATGTCATATCCATATACCCTATAAATATATATACCTACTATGTACCCACAGAAATTAAACATTTTTTAAATTATAAATAAAATCAGTTAAATTAACTTTAAATATTTAAGAAAAGAAGATATACAAACAGCCAACAGGTACATGAAAAAATATTCATCACTAATCATTAGAGAAATGAAAATCAAAACCACAATTAGAATGGTTATTACTAAAAAGATAAAAAAAAACTTTGGGAGGCTAATGTGGGCAGATCACTTGAAGTCAGGAGTTCAAGACCAACCTGGCCAATATAGTGAAATCCCATCTCCACATTTATACAAAAGTTAGCTGGGTGTGGTGGCACATGCCTGTAATCCCAGTTACTCAGGAGGCTGAGTCAGGAGAATTGCTTGAACATGAAAGGCAGAGGTTGCAGTGAGCAGAGACTGAGCCACTGCTCTCCAGCTTGGGCAACAGAGCAAGACTCCATCTCAAAAAATAATAATAATAATAATAAAGATAAAATAAAATAAAAATAAAAAGACAAAACATAAACATTGGTACGGATGTGGAAAAATTGATAACCTTACACACTGTTGGAGCAATGTAAATTAGTACTGCCATCATAAAAAACAGTCTGAACATTTCTCAAAATATTAAAAATAGATTTACTACATGATTCAGCAATTTCACTGCTGATCATTTATCTAAAGAAAATGAAATCGGTATGTAAAAAAAGATGTCTGCACTCTCATATTTACCACAGCACGATTAACAATAGCCAAGATGTGGAGTCAACCTAATTGTTCATCACTGGACAAATGGATAAAGAAAATGCATTATGTATACACAAGGGAATACTACTCAGCCATAAAAGAGAATAAAATTCTGTTATTTGTGGCAACATGAATGAACCTGGAGAACATTATGCTAAGTGAAATAAGCCAGGCACAGAAAAACAAAAACCACATGATCTCCCCAACTTGTGGAATCTATAAAAGCTAATCTCATAGAAGTACAGAGTAGAATACTGGTTACCAGAGACCTGGGAGTGTAGGGGGAAGCAGAGGATGGAGAAAGATTGATCAATGAGTACAAAATTACAGTTAACATGCGATGAATAACTTCTGATGTTCTGTATTACTGTAGGGTAACGATAGTAAACAATATTACAGTGTATATTTCAAAATATCTAGAAGAGAGGATTCTGAATGTTCTTGCCACAAATAAATAATAAATGTTTGAGGTGATGAATATGCTAAATATAATAATTTCATCATTACACAATGTATACATATATCAAAACATCATTGTGTACTCCACAAATTTGTACAATTACTATGTGTCAGTTAAAAACAACATTTATTTAATAAATAAAATATCCTTGGATGTAAGATTTACATAAAAATAGCAGCAGTATCCCTGTACAGAAAACAATAATTAAACATAACAAAATTGTAAAATACCAATAATTTCACAATAGCAACAGGAAGCATAAATCATTTGGAATAAATGTTTTTAAAGATGTTCAGATATTTCATTTTTAAAATTGCAAATCATTTTTGAATAAAAAATAAAAACCTGTACAAATGTAGATATATCTTTATAGCCATCAATATAATTATAGAGATAGACATAGATACAGACATAGACACACATAGAATAGAGGTGGGTACAGATATAGACAGATATTCATATAGATATTATTAGTGAAAACACTGAATATAATGAAGAAATAAAATATTTCCCCAATTTATCTATAAATTAATTGCAATTGTGGTCGTAATCCAATGAAGTAATTTTTGGAATTTGACCAGCTGAAATTTATAAGGAGTAAAGAGCCAGGATTACTGAGACAATTTAGACGAATAAGCACAATAAGAAAGTAGTATTTTTCTTAGACGATATTGTCTTAGCCTGTTTGTGTTGCTGTAATAAAATACCTTAGACTAGATAATTTATAAACAAAATTTTACATTCTGACAGTTCTGGAGGCTGTGAAGTCCAAGATCAAGGAGCCAACAGATTTGGTGTCTAATGAGTGCTTCCTGCTTCAAAGATGATGCCTTGTTGCTGCATCCGCCCATGGCAGAAAGCAGAAGGACCAAACGCCTGTCTGGTTCTCTCCAGCCTTTTTATAAGGCACTAATCCCATTCAAGATTGGGGAGCCCTAATCACTTCCTAAAAGCCCCACCGTTTAATACTGTTGCATTGGGGATTAAGTTTCATCATGAATTTTGAAAACATTCAAATATTCAAACTGTAAGGAGAAAAAAATGAAAAATATCTTTAAGACTTCAAGTACATAAAGATTTCTTAAACAAGACACAGAAAACACAAACCATTTTTTTAAAATGGTAAATGTGACTATTTTAAATTTTAAAACTTCTGTTTAGCAAAAGACAAATATGAGCAGTTTTTAAAAGCCACAAACAGGTTTAAAAAATGTTTAGATATATATATAAGTGGAATAACTAGTATGATGGATAGATAAATCACTATATAAAATTATATCAAGAAGAAAAACTGAATAAAAAATCGAACAAATGATATTAATATATAATAACAAAAGAAGAGTGCCAAATAGTAAATAAATATGAAAAGACACTCAAATTCAGGCAATGTAAATTGAAAGAATAAGGTACTATTTCAGCCAGGCACAGTGACTCATGCCTGTAAACCCAGTATTTTGGGAGGCTGAGGCGGGCAGATCCCCTGAGGTCAGGAGTTTGAGACCAGCCTGGCCAACATGATGAAACCCTGTCTCTACTAAAAATACAAAAATTAGCCAGGAGTGGTGGCGCGGGCCTGTAATGCCAGCTACTGGAGAGGCTGTGATTATTTTGAGCCAATTTTGAGTGATCTAACAAAGTTGAATATGCATAGGACTTCTACTTTATCATACCACTTCTGATGCTTCTGATGCTAAAATACCTTTCACTGATATGCATAAGGCAATATAAAGAATGATATGTAGCCTTTAAAAAATAGAAATAATCCAAATATCTCTCAATAATGGACTGGATAAATTCATTTTTGTCCATTCATACAATAAAATACTATACAGAAATTACATTGAATAAAATAGGGCTATGGTTACCAACATGCATAAATCACAAAAACATAATGAGCAAAAAA
Source organism: Homo sapiens (assembly GCF_000001405.40). Lineage (NCBI taxonomy): Eukaryota > Metazoa > Chordata > Mammalia > Primates > Hominidae > Homo > Homo sapiens. The sequence continues at coordinate 51,504,216 of NC_000007.14, read as the reverse complement.
GAACAAGTTGCAGAAGCATATGTACAATATGCGTATTATTCATCCTAGAAAATATGTAAAACTATAATGCGTATTGTTCATGGATACATATATATGAAGCAATGCAATATATATGCGCATCAGAAAGTTTGGCTCTGCTATGGCCAATTAGCTCCTACTGGAGAAAAATGTTCTGATGATAACAGCCATATAATCTTTGAAAAAATATTTAAAAACAACTAACTAGAGGGACTAGATATTAAATAAAAGCAGGCGGAATCTAGAGTAGACACTTGAAAAAAAATGGAAAAGGGTCATTGCTTTTGTTTTTAGAGTTTTTAGCCTCAGGTAGGCTCAAGACTGTGCCATGAAATGTGGCTAACTCTCCAAAGGAAGGAAAAGCTACAGTCTTGCTAGCTAAAAGAACCACAGGGTATGGTTTCAGGCAACTATAGCTAATAGAAAAAATGAGAGTGGAAATCTTGGAAAAGAAAAATCCAGAGAGGGAAAACTTTATATCTAACAACTATTTGAACGAATGCTGATATGGTTTGGATCTGTGTTCCCAACAAATCTCATGTTGAATTGTAATCCCCAGTGTTAAATGTAGGGCCTGGTGGGAGGTGATGGGATCATGGTGGTGGAATTCTCATGAATGGGTTAGCACCATCCCCTCGGTGCAATTCTCTTGATAGTGACTGGGTATGATATCCGGTTGTTGAAAATTGTGTAGCGCCTCCCCACTCTCTCTCTCCCTCCTGTTCCAGCCATGTGAAGATGCCTGTTCCTGCTTTGCCTTCTGCCATGATTGAAAGTTTCCTGAGGCCTCCCCAGAAGCCAAGCAGATGCCAGCATCATGCTTCCTGCACAGCCTGTGAATCATGAGCCCATTAAACCTCTTTTGTTTACAAATTGCCCAGCCTCAGGTATTTCTTTATAGCAATGTGAGAACGGACTAATACAACTGCTGACTTCTCCTCAGAGAAATCATGAAAGTCAAAAGACAGTGCAACAACTCTTTTAAAGAGCTGATATTAGCAACCAAAGGGGGATATCATGAGGCCTTAGACTGAATTTGGAATAAAACCCAAAGCAAATCTGATCCTGTAAGTATTTAGAAAAATACTCTTTTTCTAAAGAACACAACAGTGAGGGTCTCTCACTTCTTCTGCTAGTATTACATGGTCAAGGAAAAACTAACAAACACTCAAAACAAAACAAAAAGGAAGGACAAAATCAAGCACAAATGTCTACTTTGTTTTTAAAAAGGGTAGAGATTAGGAAGATATAAGAACAAGTAAAAAATGACAGATTGGGAATATTGATTAAAAGGAGAATCTACACTACAGAAGGAGAGAAATGTACTGTAATCACTAATGAAAGTAAATGAGTTCTTAGTAAACTAAGGAAGAAAAAAAAAATGCATGCCAGCCAGAATTCTATGTGAAGTGGAAAAAAAAAAGAGAAAGAGAGAGACTGACAAATGGATAGAGGGTGGAGGGATATTAAAGGTAGTGGAGTGAAATGTTAATTGAGGAAAACAGGTGCTGGACATAAAAATGTGTACTTCTAACTTTCCCATATGTTTGAATTTCTTCATAATAGAATTTTTAAAATAAAACAATGATAGAAATAGAGATCGAAATTCTAGAGTGTTTACACTCTAACTACATAAATGAAAGCAGCAAGAACAAAACTGCTTTTACAATATTGTGGAGATTGTCTATAGGACTTCCCAGGGATTCCCTTCCCAGAGTGACTTTATTATTAGCCCAATAAAAATATTCTTGTCCATTGTCCCTAAGTGTGTTTTAAGCATTATGTACACCTGCGGTGTGGCTAAATTTTCAAACTGAATACAATTTTGTTCCAGTAATTACCTCTCCATGTTTCTGACCTTTTGGTGACTTAGCCCAGTAAAGGTCACCATCTGGAGCTGAGAAAAGAACCTGCCACATAGGAAGCTGCTAAGCAAATAACAAGTGAATAGGAGAGTGAGAGCAAGAATGATGATTTAACCATTCTACCATGGAAATCAGGAGGCAGAGAAAGGATTGCAACACGGAGTTAAATATAGTGCTCAAATCATAAGAATCACATGAAACCAACTTTCTTTTTTGGCCACAGACCTCAGTAATTATAGATCCTATAGTGGAGACAGTGGTATCTCAGGGACCTAAAAGCTACAATGTTCTTCATTTATCTGCACCTCCCTAGGTTTACGTAATTTCTCTTCTCTCTTGGTTTATTGTTTTTCCTTGCACACTTCTGATCCTTCCCTTAGCTCTTCCTAGGAATTCTCTTCTCCTCCACTTTCTCCCTAACATTTCTTATGCGCCCATCATCCACCTCCCCTCTCCCTTCTCCTCTCTCCTCTGCCTAGTACACTGCCTTCCCTCACCCTCCTTTTAACCTCCTCTGTTGTGCATCCTCTCCTTTTCACCTTGCTCATGAAATAATAATGAGAATGACAAATTGAAAATAGTGAAGGTCTCTAAGGAATTCACAATTCCGCCGAGTACACAGATATACGAGCAGGTTTGAAATACTGATGACTGAACCTTCATGTGAGCTTGACAGAAACCTTCTATTAACCAAACACAGAGAAAGGGCAGGAACCCGCAAGGTAATTTTTAATTACAGGTACTTTATCAAACTCCTTTTTTGAGATGACTCATTCTATGCCGGAGGGAATTAAATGAAAAAGGAAGGCAAAGCACAGTCACACATTAACCCCAGATTTGTTTCAGAAAAACTAGTCAGAGCTGTACATTTATAATCTGCTGGTACCAATGCTAACCATGAATGAGTGGCTGCGCAGTCTCTGGGGCCCAAACTAAAGAAACAAAAAGTAAGGATGCACTTAATATGAAGCATGCTATGAGCCTGGTGGGAAATGTGATGTCTTCTAGATATTGCTCATGTTGTATGTGGGAATCTGGACTATAGGGAGAGTCAACTACAAACCTCAACCACAGGTTTCCCTAAAGGGATTCCTCTGTCTGCAAGAATTTCTGTCCCAGTCAATGTGAAATGATGGGTACTGCTTTGAGAGAGATGATTAGAGGTTGAAGGGTGGGTTAGTGTGAACCTCAATGCTAGCCGCCACCACCACCATTACCAAGGAGGAGGTGGTAACTTGGAAGACAATGTAGAAAAGTGGTTAAGAGCAAAGACAATAGGGACAGGAGAAAAGCCAAATTTAGGGGGAGTGCTGCCTTATCCTTTAGCAGCCAGATAATCTCAGGCTACTTATTCTGTTTGTTCATTCATTTATTTTTAGCAAAGGTGTACATATAAATGTGTATGTGTATATGAGTACATCCATATATGTGCATGTACATACATGAATATGTGTGTGCACGTGCATATGTCAAACAGGTTCCTGTCCATTATCACTGAAGACCAAAGGTAAACACTTCAATTCCTTTAACAGATTATGCTAATATTTATATTTTCTGGTATTGTTTGCAACCAAATTTCTGGGGTTTCTTTCAGTGCATATACTGCTATTTTTTGGTTTCTGTCTCAAATATTGTTACTGGATTCCACTAAGCAGATGAGGATTTAAATCTCTAACATTCCACCCCAGAAACCCTAACATAGCGTACCTTCCCCTAGTCCCCTAGTACAGTTATATCAGAAGCTGTAGTTAGCTCTGTATTTGTTGTTCACTTCCCTATGAGTACATCATTAGTCACAGCTGAGCCACGAAGTATTATTACATTTATTTTCCGGGGTCAACATTGCATTTTCCCTAGAGTAAGTAATCCCCTCTCCCAAACTTCCCCCTTCTTTCTCGCCTTCTCTCTCAGGGAAGAAAGAAGTTTTTTAATTTTTGTCTACCTTTAAGGCATCCCCAAAATCTCACACATGAGGATAAGTCCCCTCTCAATACACCCAAGCACATCAAATCCTCCTGGATGTGACAAAGCTACCGTCCTAGGGCTTCCTTCACCACCGTGCTGAGGATTTCCTTTCCGTGGGGTGCCTGCTATGAAGTGAATGTTTGCGTCCTCCCTAAAATATGTATATTGAACCCTGACCCATCAGTGTGGCTGTATTTGAAGTAAGGAAACAGTTAATGTTTGATGAGGTCATAAGGGTGAAATTTGACCCTATAGGTGCAATGTCCATAGAAGAGGACACCAGTGACCACAAGCCAGAGGGAGAGCCCTCACCATGAGCTCACCCTCCTTGATTTCAATCTGAAATTTCCAACCTGGAGAATGGTGAAAAGGTAAATTGTTGTTGTGTCAGCCACCCAGTCTAAGGTACTTTGTTACAGCAGCCCTGGCAGATGAATACACCCTCATCTATTTCTCCACAGCCTATGCCTTCCTCACTACTGCTCACACCCCTAATAATGGGGTGGAACACGTTGGCTAGGAGCTTCTTGAGAAGAGAGGAAAGCTAAAATGTTGAGATTTATAGACCTGGAAATATCCTTAATCTACTCCCACACTTGGTTGAACATCAGATGGGGTATGAAACTCTAATTTTTAAGTCACTTTCCCTGAGAACATTGATGACATTTCTCATTGTTCCTAGTGCATATTTCTGCTAGCTTCCCAGGCCATTCTGGAGGAGTATGGTCTCATTTCTACTTTGACTCTGTGAAAGTAACCTGCATGTCTGTTAGTGAGAACATTAATGTGTGTGTGTCTGGAGGTTTTTACAATCATTTTGTCCCCATTATTCTGAAATTTCACCATTTGCTACTTAGTAAAGATCTATTTTTATCCACTTTGCTGGACATTCAAGCAGAGTATTCAACCTAGATACTCATGTATTTCAGCTTGGGAAATTTATTGAGTCATCTTTAAAATGAGTAGCTTTCTATTTTCTCTGCCCTTCCTTTTTGGAACCTTATTATTTGGATGTTGGATCTCCAGGACTGACACTCTTATTGTTTTTATTTTTTCTTTCCTGTGTGATATCTCTGTCCTTTAGTTCTACTTTTGGGGACAAAAGTCTATCTTCAATTCTATTGTCTAATTCTTATATTTAATTTTTCATTGTGATACATTTTAATTTCTGGAAGTTTTGTTTGGGTTCTCTGTTTTTTTAATAACCTCCTGTTCATGTGTCATAGATGGCATGTGCTCTCTTATCTGTCTGAGGATTTTAAATACTTGTTTAAGTTTTCCATTTCCTGCATGTTTTCTGTATACTCCAAATTAGGTTCATTTGTTTTGTTATATTTGCTATTTATCTGTTTTTTAAATTTGTCTGTCTTTCAAATTAGAGGTTTACTAAAAATATCTTGACATCTCTGGCTGCCTGCTTATATTTATGGGAGAGGGTAAAAACTTCATTCAAAGCCCCCCTCTGTGAGGGTATAGCCCTCTTTATTCACCAAAGAAAGGCCTGATGTGACCGCTTTAGGAATCACCTTCCTAGCCAGCATCTACAGGATTTTCTCATTGGTTGACCAATTTTTCAGAAGAGGACTTCTCCAATCTTCTCCAGTCCTCTTCCTTATAAATCTGGATTCTAATATTTTTCATAGTCTGGGACCATCACATTGGTCCCTGTAGATTTCCACTTGGTTCTCTGTTGTTCCAGAGCAGTACCTCTCCCATCAGCTGTGCCTGGGGACTCTATTCCCGAATTCCTCTGATTTAGCCTTTACAGCAAAAGTCCAGTGTTCTGCCAAGGTTAGCGAGAGGCAGTTGCTGGGATCCTCAGGGTATGAGTAGGGTTCCAGGAGTTTAAACATCTATTATACATGATTCAGAAAATCATTTCAGCCCCGTCTCTAGCTCTAGTCTTTCAAGTCCTTGTTTCCTCCACAGTCCTGAACTCTGGGTTGTGAAAATGGGCTAGCTTGCTGCTGGGCATCCCCCATCACTGACTCACTTTCCAATGTCTGCAAACTGCTAGGTTTGTTTCCTCTCACCCTTTACTACTACCTTAAAAATGTTACTGCTAAGGCCGGGTGCAGTGGCTCACACCTGTAATCCCAGCACTTTGGGAGGCCAAGGAAGGTGGATCATCTGAGGTCAAGAGTTCGAGACCAGCCTGACCAATATGGAGAAACCCCGTCTCTACTAAAACTACAAAAATTAGCCGGGCTTGGTGACACACGCCTGTAATCCCAGCCACTCAGGAGGCTGAGGCAGGAGAATCTCTTGAACCTGGGAGGCAGAGGTTGCAGTTAGCTGAGATCGCACCATTGCACTCCAGCTTGCGCAATAAGAGCGAAACTTCATCTCAAAAAAATATATATATCTATATCTATATCGATATCTATATCTATATCTATCTATCTATAGATATAGATAGATAGATAGATAGATAGATAGATAGATAGATTACTACTATTGCCTTCTCACCCATACTCTTGGACCATAAGTATATAGCATTTAAAAAGTAATTTACCATCACTGCGGTGATACTTTAGGAGGAAACTGTTAAACACATGGGTTCACTCTCTGTTCTGAAACCACTTCCTAGATATATGCCCTTAGTCAAGTTATTGCTTTACTGTAACTCAGTTTCCTTATTTCTAAAATGGGGATAATAATAGTATTCAACTGTGTAAGTTTATTTTGAGGATTCAGTAGATAATACCTATGAAGAGCTTGAACAGGAAATTACATAACCAGCAGCAGTACCCAGATACTACATCAAGGGACTTACGTGAGCCTCTGAGACTTGCTGGCTTCAGGTGAGACTCAGCAGATTACCAGCTGTGGTGGCTATGGGGCAAAACTCCTTCTACTCAAGAAAAGCAGAGGGAAAAATAAAGGGGACTTTATCTTACAACTTAGGTACCAGCAGGGCCAGGGGTGGGTAGAGCACCAAGTGGGCTTTTAGGGTCCTTGATTCCATGACTTGACTCTTGGATGGCATTTCTGGACTTTCCCTGGGCCAGAGGGAAGCCCACTGCCCTGAAGGGTGAGTCCCAGGCCAAGCAGCATTCACCACAAGCTGACTTAAGAGCCTTTGGGCCATAAGGGAACATCAGTGGTAATCTGGCAGTACTTCTCATGGCCTAGGGTGGTGGTGGCTATGCGGTGAGGCTCCTCTGCCTTTGGAAAGGGGAGAGAAGAGTGGGAAGAACTGCATCTTATGGTTTGAGCACCACATTAGCTGCAGCACAATAGAACACCAAGTAGACATCTAAGGTTTTTGACTCTAGTCCCTGACTCCTAGATGGCACCTCAGGACCCAGAGCCTGGGGGACCTCACTGTCCTGAAAGGAAGGACATAGACCTGGATGGCTTTGCCACCAGCTGATTGTACAGCCCCAGGGCCTTGAGTAAGCATAGGCAGTAGCCAGGGAGTGGTTACAGCAAACCTTGGACAAGACCCAGTGCTGGCTTCAGGTCTGACCCAGCACAGTCATAGCAGTGGTGGCTACAGGTGTGCTTGTGTCACTAAAGCCCCAGGTTTAGGTGGCTCAGAGAAAAGAGAGAGGAACTCTGTTTGTTTGGGAGAAAGTAAGGGAAGAGAACAAGAGTCTCTGCCTGGTAACCTGGAGAGTTCCCCAGGATCTCCAAGACCATTAAGGTAGTACCTCTACAAGTCTGCAACCACAGTGTTACTGGGTGTGAGGTGCTCCCCTAAAGCAGATAGATGTTAGGTCACAACACTCAAGTTCTTTCAAATATCTGGAAAACCTCCCAAGAAGGATAGGTACAAAAAGGCCCAAACTGTGAAGACTATAAGAAATACCTAACTCTTCAATGCCCAGACACCAAAGAACATCTACTAGCATTAACAACATCCAGGAAAACATGACCTCCATAAATAAATTATATAAGGCACCAGAGACCAATCCTGAAGAAACAGAGACATGGGACCTTTCAGAGAATTCAAAATCACCGTGTTAAGAAAACTCAAAAGAAATTCAAGATAACGTAGAGAAGGAATTCAGAATTCTATGAGATATATTTAACAAAGAGATTGAAATAAAAGGAATAAAGCAAAAATTCTGGAGCTGAAGAAGGCAATTGGCATACTAACGAATGCATCAGATTCCTTTACTAGCAGAATTGATCAAACAGAAGAAAGAATTAATGACCTTGAAGACAGGCTATTTGAATATACACAGTAAGGAGACAAAAGAAAAAAGAATTAAAAACAATGAAGCATGTCTACGGGATCTATAAAATAGCCACAAAATGGCAAATTTAAGAGTTATTGGCCTCAAAGAGGAGACACAGAAAGAGATAGGGGTAGAAAGTTTATTGAAAGGGATAACAGAGAAATTCCCAAACCTACAGAAAGACATCAATATCCAAGTACAAGAAGGTTATAAAACATCAAACAGATTTAAGCCAAAGAAGACTACCTCAAGATATTTAATAATCAAAATCCCAAAGGTCAAGGATAAAGAAAGGCTCCTAAAAGCAGCAAGAGAAAAGAAACAAACAACATACAATGGAGCTCCAATATGTCTAGCAGTGGGCTTTTCAGTGGAAACCTTACAGGCCAGGAGACTGAGGCATGACATATTTAAAGTGCTGAAGGAAAAAGCTTTTACCCTAGAATATTATAGTACATCTGGCAAAAATATATCCTTCAAACATGAAAGAGAAATAAAGACTTTCCCGGAGAAGCAAAAACTAAGGAATTTCATCAACACCGGGCCTGTCCTACAAGAAATGCTAAGGGGAGTACTTCAATCAGAAAGAAAAGGATGTTAATGAGCAATAAGAAAATCATCTGAAGATACAAAAACCACAGATAATAGTAAGTACACAGAAAAACACAGAATATGGTAGTGCTGTAACTGTGGTGTGTAAACTACTCTTATCCTAAGCAGAAAGGCTAGATGATGAATGAGTCAAAAATATACATATGTAACTAACCTGCACATTGTGCACATGTACCCTAAAACTTAAAGTATAATAATAAAAAAAAGAAAAAAAATAATAACTACAATTTTCAAGACATAGTACAATAAGATATAAATGAAAAAAAAACAAAAAGTTAAAAAGCAGGAGGACAAAGTGAAGATGTAGAGTTTTTATTAGTTTTCTTTTTGCTTGTTTGTTTGTGCAAACAGTGTGACATTGTTATCAGGTTAAAATAATGGGTTATAAAACAGTATTTGCAAACCACATGGCAACCGCAAACCAAAAAACATACAATGTATACACAAAAAATAAAAAGCAAGAAACTAAATCATGGCACCAGAGAAAATCACCTTTGCTAAAGGAAGACAGGGAGGAAAGAATAAAGAAAAAGTCACCACAAGACAACATAAAACAAATAATAAAATGGTAGGAGTAAGTCCTTACTTATCAATAGTAACATTGAATATATATTGATTAAACTCTCCATTCAAAAGGCATAGACTGGCTAAATGGATGAAAAAATAAGACCCATGTACCTGTTGCCTACAAGAAATATGCTTACCCTATAAAGACACACATAGACTGAAAATAAAAGGATAGAAAAAGCTATGTCATGCCTAAAGGAAACCAAAAGAGCAAGAGTAACTATACTTAGATCCAACAAAATATATTACAAGACAAAAACTAAAAGAGAAAAAGAAGGTCATCATATAATGATAAAGGGTCAACTGAGCAAAAGAATATAACAATTTTAAGTATATATGCACCCAAAACCAGAGCACCAGATATATAAAGCAAATATTATTAAAACTAAAGAGAGAGATAGGCCCCAATACAATAATAGTTGAAGACTTCAACACCCCACTTTCAGCATTAGACAGATCTTCCAGACAGAAAATCAACAAAGAAGCATCAGACTTAATCTGCACTACAGAACAAATGGATCTAATATATAGTTACAGAACATTTCATCCAACAGCTGCAAACTACACATTCTTTTCCTAAGCACATGGATCGTTCTCAAGAATAGGCCATATGTTAGGCTCAAAAGCAAGTCTTAAAACATAAAAAATTGAAATAATATCAAGCATCTTCTCTGACCACAATGGAACAAACTAGAAATTAATAAAAGAGGAATTTTGGAAACAATACAAACACATGGAAATTAAATGATATGCTCCTGGGCCAGGCGCAGTGGCTCATACCTGTGATCCCAGCACCTTGAGAGGCCGAGATGGGCGGATCACCTGTGGTCAGGAGTTTGAGACCAGCCTGGCCAACATGGTGAAACCCCATCTCTACTAAAATACAAAAATTAGCCTGTTGTGGTGGCGCATGCCTGTAATTCCAGCTACTCAGGAGGCTGAGACGTGAAAATCACTTCAACCCGGGAGGTAGAGGTTGCAGTGAGCTTAGATGGTGCCACTGCACTCCAACCTGGGTGACAGAGTAAGACTCTGTTTAAAAAAAAAAAAAAAAAAGCCTCCTGAATGACAAGCGGGTCAATGAAAAAATTAAGCGGAAATTGAAAAAATTTCTTGAAATATATAATAATGGAAACACAACAAGCCAAAAACTATGGAATAAGGCAAAAGCAATACAAGAGAGAAGCTTATAACTGTAAGTGCCTACATCGAAAAAGAGAAAAAACTCAAATAAACAATCTAATGATGCATCTTAAAGAACTAGAAAAGCAAGAGCAAACCAAACCCAAAATTAGTAGAAAAAAAGAAATAATAAAGATTGGAGCAGAAATAAATGAAAATGAAATGATAAAACAGGGAGAAAACGAAATGTTGCTTTTTTGAAAAGTTAAACAAAATTAACAAACCTTTAGCCAGACTAACTAAGAAAAAAAGAGAAAAATACAAATAAATAAAATCAGAAATGAAAAAAGATACATTAAAACTGATACTGCAGAAATCCAAACGATGATTAGTGGCTACCATGAGCAACTACATGCCAAAAAATTGGAAAAATCTGGAAGAAATTCACAAATTCCTAGACACATAAAACCTACCAAGACCTAACCAAGAAAAAATCCAAAACATGAACAGACCAATAATTAGTACAGAGCTTGAAGCTGTAATAAAATATCTCCCTCTAAAGAAAAGCCTGGGACCCTATGGCTTCACTGTTAAATTCTACCAAACATTTAAACAAGAACTAATACCAATCCTACCCAAACTATTCCAAAAAATAGAGGAGGAGAGAATACTTCCAAACTCATTCTATGAGGCTTGTTACCCAAACCAGAAAAAGACACATCAAAAAAAGAAAACTCTAGGCCAATATCTTCGATGAATATGGATGCAAAAATCCTCAGCAAAATACTAGCAAACTGAATTCAACAATACATTAGAAAGATCATTCATCATAACCAAGTGGGATTTTTCCCTGGGATGCAAGGATGGTTCAACATATGCAAATCAATCAATGTGATACATCATATCAACAGAATGAAGGATGAAAACCATATAATCATTTCAATTGAAGTGGAAAAAGCATTTGATAGACTTTGATATCCCTCCATGATAAAAAACCCTCAAAAAACTGGGGATAGAAGGAACATACCTCAATAAAAGCCATATAAAATAGACCCACAGCTAGTATCATACTGAATGGGGTAAAACCAAAAGCCTTTCCTCTAAGATCTGGAACATGACAGGATGCCCACTGTCACCACTGTTATTCAATATAGTGCTAGAAATCCTGGCTAGAGCAATCATAAAAAAGAAAGATATAAAGGGCATTCAAATTGGAAAGAAGAAGGCAAATTATCCTTGTTTGCAGATGATATAATCTTATATTTGGAACAATCTAAAGACTCCACAAGAAAACTATTAGAACTGATAAGTAAATTCAGTAAAGTTGCAAGATACAAAATCAATATACAACATTCAGTAGCATTTATATGCCAACAGTGCACAACATGAAAAAGAAATAAAAAAGTAATCCCATTTACAATAGCCACACATAAAATTAAAGACCTAGGAATTAACCAAAGAAATGAAAAATCTCTATAATGAAAATATAAAACACTGATGAAATAAACTGAAGAGGACACTGAAAAATGGAAAAATATCCCATGGTCATGGATTGGAAGAATCAATACTGTTAAAATGTTCATATTACCCCAAACAAGCTACAGATTCAATGCAATCTCTTTCAAAATACCAATGTCATTCTTCACAGAAATAGAAAAAACAATCCTAAAGTTTATTTGGAATCAGAAAAGGCCCAGAATAGTCAAAGCTATCCTAAGCAAAAAGAACAAAATTGGAGGAATCACATTACCTGACTTCAAATTATACTACAGAGCTACAGTAACCAAAACAATACGGCACTGGTATAAAAACAGACACATCAACCAAGGGAACAGATTAGAGAACCCAGAAACAAGCCCACATACCTACAGTGAACTTATTTTCAACAAAGGTGCCAAGAACATACACTGGGGAAAAGACTGTCTCTTCGATAAATGGTGCTTGGAAAACTGGATATCAATATGCAGAGGAATGTAGACCCCTATGTCTCACCAAATACAAAAATCAAACCAAAATAGATTAAATACTTAAATTTAAGGCCTCAAGCTATAAAACTAGTACAAGAAAACATTGGGGAAATCTCCAGGACATTTGTCTGGGCAAAAATTTCTTGAGCAATACTCCACAAGCACAAGCAACCAAAGCAAAAATGGACACATGATATCACATCAAGTTAAAAAGCTTCTGCACAGCAAAGGAAACAATCCACAAAGTGAGGAGAAAACCCACAGAATGGAGAAAATATTTGCAAACTACCCATCTGACAAAGGATTCATAACCAGAATATATAATGATCTCAAACAACTCTAAATGAAAAAATCTAATAATCTGATCCAAAAATGGGCAAAAGATGTGAATAGACATTCCTTAAAAGAAGACATACAAATGACAAACAGGCATATGAAAAAGTGCTCAATATCACTGATCATCAGAGAAATGCAAATCAAAACTACCGTGAGATATCATCTCACCCTAGTTAAAATGGCTTTTATCCAAAAGACAGGAAATAACAAATGCTGGCGAGGATGTGGAGAAAAGGAAATTCTTGTACAGTGTTGGTGGGAATGTAAATTAGTAAACCCGCTATGGAGAACAGGTTGGAGTCTCCTCAAAAAAACTACAAATAGAGCTACCATATGATCCAGCAATCCCATTGCTTGGTATACGCCCAAAAGAAAGGAAATCAGTATATCAAAGAGATACTTGCACTCCTATGTTCGTTGCAGCACTGTTTACAATAGCCAAGATTTGGAAGCAACCTAAGTGTTCATCAACAGATGAATGGATAAAGAAAATATGGTACATATACGCAATGGAGTATTATTCAGCCATAAAAATGAATGAGATACTGTCATTTGCAACAATATGGATGGAACTGGAGAACATTATGTTAAGTCAAATTAGCCAAGCACAAAAAGACATACATCACATGTTCTCACTTATTTGTGGGATCTAAAAATAAAAACAAGCTCATGAACATAGAGAGTAGAAGAATGGTGACCAGAGGCTGAGCAGAGTAGTGGCGGGGGTGGGGGGCTCTGGTGGGCAAGGTGGAGATGGTTAATGGGTACAAAAAAATAGTTGAAGAATGAATAAGACCTACTATTTGATAGCACAACAGGATGACTATAGACAATAATAACTTAATTGTACATTTTTAAATAACTTGAAGAGCATAATTGGACTGTTTGCAAACCAAAGAATAAATGCTTGAGGGAATGTATACCCCGTTTTCCATGATGTGCTTATTTCAAATTGCCTGGCAGTATCAAAACATCTCATGTACCCAATAAATACATACAACTACTATGTACCCACAACAATTTAAAATAAAAATAAAAATTTTAAAAAGAGCATGATTTTGATGGCACACAACGTGGGTTCAAATCTTAATTGCATTATTTACTAGCAAAGTGAATTTATGTAAGTTATTTACTAGTTCATGCCTCCACTTCTTCATGTGTGAAACAGAGAACACAACAGCTCCTACTTCAGTGAGTACTTGTGAGGGTTGCATGAGATAATCTGCAAAGTACTTAGAACTTAGCAAGCTCTCAATAAAAATTAGGTTACAGTGTCATTTTATTTTAGTGATCATAAATGTATTTCTAAAAGCTTATATAGTTTTCACTGAAAACAAGCTCATGAACATAGAGCTGAAAACTCATTTTTTCTTGCTTATCTTCCCTAGAAAGTTCATATCATGTCACAAGCAGAGCTGTAGAAATATAACTGAGGTGGTTTTGGAGGAAATACAGCATTTTCAGGAGACCAAATATTTTTCTCTGCAAATGTGCTAAACAATAGTCAATGGTGTTCATAAAATAACTTCACAGTGATAAATGTGAATGGTCCCATTGTAAACGTTGCATTGAGTGAAAATGTTGGCAGGAGTGGTGGGACTTGGGAACTCTTTCTAAGTTTTTCTTTATCATAAGAGTAAGTTTAGAAAGTTGGACAAGCAGGTAGGTAATTGCATGAATAAATAAGATTCCCAAAGATCCTTGGACTCAGAGACACCAAGATAATCCATGAGCATAACTGAAAAATGAGGCAAAGAGATGCAGGAAGAAGAGATGGAGAAGACATGGCACAATAACAAGAGTGCAGAAAACATCCAATTACAAAAGTGATTGTCAAAGTTCATTCCCAGGAGCACAGTGTTGTCTGAGCTGCTCAGAAGTATCCCGCCCCATAGAACGCAATAGCAACATCCTTCTCACATAAAGTCATCATCACTCAGTTAACCAAACTTTTCTTAAGTTTTTGTTGTTGCTGTTGTTTGTGTTTTGTTTTTTGTTTTTGTTTTTGCTTTTGTTTTTGTTTTTTGAGATGGAGTCTTACTCTGTTGCCCAGGCTGGAGTGCAGTGGTGCTATCTCGGCTCACTGCAACCTCCGCCTCCCGGGTTCAAGGGATTTTCCTGCCTCAGCCTCCCAAGTAGCTGGGATTACAGGCACCTGCCACCATGCCCAGCTAATTTTTGAATTTTTAGTAGAGACAGGGTTTCACCATGTTGAAACCAGACTGGTGCTGAACTCCTGACCTCAAGTGATCCACCCACTTTGGCCTCCCAAAGTGCTGGGATTACAGGCATGAGCCATTGCACCCTGCCAATTTAAGTATTTCCTCCACTACAATATTAAAACTTTTTGTACCTATTCCTGCCTCTAGACCCTTGCCTTCCTGAGTTTTGCAGCAGTTCAGCTCTGAGACCAGCTCTTCCTCCTGCAGCCCAGGGCTAGAATCTTGGTAATGCCTTTGTTTCCAGTTCCCCTTAGATTCCATTGCACCCAAGTGCTGAACCCTGCCTTACTCAATCATCTCTTAGCTGACTTTGTCATATTTTAAGCCAATGGCTTTCAATTCTAATGTTTTTCCTTATTTCTTATTATAAAAATAATACAATGTCATTGCTGAAAATCTGCAAAATACAGAGAAGCACAAAAAAGAAAACGTTTGAATCACCTCCAGGGAGAGCTACAGTAAATATTATCTAATTTTCCAGTAATTTTCTGTATATTTTTGTAGAAATGAGATCATGTAGTGTGAATATACCATGTAATAAACATTTTTTTTCTGTTCTCACTCTTCTGCCACAGAGCTTCATGGTAGACTATTATGGATTCTAACTTTTATATATGTGCAAGATGTACTTACTGGATCCCTCTATGTGATAATTTAGTATGTTTCAGATATTTCACCATTACAGATCATGCTAAAAATACTCCTTTATCTCCTTTAATGTATCCATCATTCTCTGCCACATACTTTAAAAAGAGAGTCAACATCCTCTGCTTCGGAAGGCAGAGAATTGTATTGTTAGGAATATTTTTGTAAAAGAATTTGGGAGAGTTGTTAGTATAAATGAATAATGTTTTTAAAGATGTTGGAAGTAGAGTAAGTGTCAGCTTGTTTTTGTGCTGCTATAACAGAATAGTATAGATTGGTTAATTAATAATGTACATATGTTTACTTGGCTTATGGTTCTGAGGCTGGGAAGTCCAAGATCAAGGGGCCCCATCTAGCGAGGGCCTTTCTGCTGCATCACAAACATGACAGAAGGCATCATATGGTGAGAGAGGGAACCCATCCTTTTATAAGGAGCCCACTCCCACAATAATGGCATTAATCCATTCATGAAGGCAAAGCCCTCATGACCTAATCACCTCTTAAAGGTCCCACCTCTCAACACTGTTGCAATGGGGATTGAGTTTCCAACATATGAACTTTGGGAGAGGTGTTCAAACCATAGCAGCAAGCTTTATTCATTTACTTCTGTATCTCTTAAATGAACTGTCTCATTCCTCCAAAATGTTAAGAAATATGAGAAACTCTTTACAATAGCCAATATAGATGCAATTAGTAACAGCTATTAGGTAACTTTTCTTTCCCTCTGCACTGGCTATTGCTTGTACCCCCCAGAAAAAGCCAGGGAACAAGAGAGGGTCAATACAGACAGAAGAACATACAGACAGCTGGAGGGGAAAGGCCGTTTATTCCAACTTCCCTCATTATTCATAGAATGAGACTGAGGTTCAAAGAGAGAAAGTGACTTCCCCGAGATCAAGAGGGAATCCCAGCAGAAACAGGAGCTTCAGACTCCAGTGTCCTGAATAAAATCTTTCCTTCTCTATAATGCTGGCTTTGTCAAAGCCACATCCACTGCTCACTCCGCAGAAAGACCATCAGCATGAGTTGTGCATGAAGTCAGGGGAAGTTTATTAGACCTACAGCAGTGGGGAAGAATACCAGCTTGCCTGAGTCTTAAAGGTGTTGGAAGGAGAAGAGGGATTTTGACAGGGTCTGGGAGACTGGCCTCAAGGGGTCTTTCAAGGTGGAGGACAGATTGTAAATGAGTGCTGTTCATGATTTAGGATTGGGGAACACAGCAAGGTGAGCATTTTAAGCCCTTCTTTATAAGTAAACTACTCCTTGATAAGCAAAGGAGTAGTTTGCTGACTAGACTTGAGAGAATAGCTATTGTCCAGATGAGCAAATTCTTTTCCCGTAGAAATTGGTTTACAGGAAGTTCCTAAGGCAAACATTGAATTATTGGTTGGTGTATAGACTGATGTTCTTGGAAAATAATTTCCTGCTACAAATAGTTATGTCATGATGTCATACAGGGTGGTCTTGGTTCCCAGTCCTGAGATTTCAGGTTTGTGAATGCGGGCATTCCATCACTTCATGAAGGACCCGGCAGCAGGGATCCAGGCTGGCCATGTGGCCACCTGAGGAAAGGGGGCTACCTTTGACTGAGGGGTCTGGCCCAGATAACCGAGGAATGGTCACAAAAACAGGGTGTCATAAGAACCTGGTGAAGTTTCAGCTACCTACAGGAACTTCTGCTGAATCAAAGAATAGAACCATAGAAAGCATGGGAATCCGCCTGCTCTGAGCTGAGCTGCCCTTCAGCAATTCTTCAGATATGGATCAGACACGTCCTGGCCATACTTCATCTAACCTCTTAAATCCAACCTCCATTAATTAAAAAAAATTGACTAAGTGTCCACTCAATGCCAAGGAACAAGCTAAGCATTAAGATGTGTCTTACATACACAAAGTATGTTTATTGCAGCACTATTCGCAATAGCAAAGACTTGGAACCAACCCAAATGCTCATCAATGATATACTAGATAAAGAAAACGTGGCACATATACACCATGGAATACTATGCAGCCATAAAAAGGATGAGTTCATGTCATTTGCAGGGACATGGATGAAGCTGGAAACCATCATTCTCAGCAAACTAACAGAAAACCAAACACCACATGTTCTCACTCGTAAGTGGGAGTGGAACAATGAGAACATATGGACACAGGGAGGGGAACATCACACACCGGGGCCTACTGGGGGGTGGGGGGCAAGAGGAGGGAAAGCATTAGAAGAAATACCTAATGTAGATGATGGGTTGATGGGTGTGGCAAACCACCATGGCATATGTATACCTATGTAACAAACCTGCCCATTCTGCACATGTATCCAAGAACATAAAGTATAATTAAAAAAAAAAAAAAAAGATGTGTCTTAGAAGGTGTGTGATCTAGTGAAGGATACAGCACAATATAGAAAAAGCTCCATTTAATGGAGTAAAGTGGTTAGAAAAAGTCTCACAGGCAGGGCGCGGTGGCTCACGCCTGTAATCCCACCACTTTGGGAGGCTGAGGCCAGCGGATCACGAGGTCAGGAGATTGAGACCATCTGACTAACACGGTGAAACCCCGTCTCTACTAAAAATACAAAAAATTAGCCGGGTGTGGTGGCGGGCACCTGTAGTCCCAGCTACTGGGGAGGCTGAGACAGGAGAATGGCATAAACCCCAGAGGCAGAGCTTGCAGTGAGCTGAGATCGCGCCACTGCAGTCCAGCCTGGGCAACAGAGCAAGACTCCGTCTCAGAAAAAAAAAAAAGAAAGAAAGAAAAGAAAAAGCCTCACAAAGATGACATTCACACTGGGTCATAAAGGATGATGGATTCTGCAGGTGAAGACGGGAAGGAAGGGCATTTCACCAGAAGCATATGCAAGTGATCTTGAGAAATGGGGTCTTATGAGGACATGGGAGAGTACAGGCTCCGTGGCCAGGAGCAGAGCAAGACACGGTGGGAAGGGCAGGGAGGGGCTGTATCCTTGAGGGACTTTTATGCCATTCTAAGGAACTGACTCCTTAAGGAGATGTGAAATAGTGAAGATTCATCTATGAAGATTTGATCTTGGTCTTATTCAGATATTTCTGGCACCTTGGTGGAGGACAGGTTGAAGCAGGGGACAGAGAGCTGCCCACTGACCCGGGAGCCTGCAAGCGTGGCAGGAGAAGGGGCCTGTAATGGATAAGAGAGGCAGCATGACCACCCCAAACCCCCAGCCTCACTGCTTTGACTCATTTTGCTGGCACCACGGGAAGACCACCGTAGTCCCCCCTTATCTGAGGTTTCATTTTCCACGGTTTCAGTTTCCTGCAGTCAACCTCAGTTCCATAATGTTAAATGGAAAATGCCAGAAATAAGCAATTCACAAGTTTTAAATGGTACGCCATTCTGGGTAGTGTGATGGAATCTGGCACGGTCCCCTCCACCCAGCACAGGAAGTGAGTCCTCCCTTTGTGCAGCGTATCCACGCTGTAGATCCTACAGGCCCCTTAGTCACTTAGGAGCGGCTCAGATATCAGATCCACTGCCTGAAAATCAGTACTGCAGTGCTTGTGTTTAAGTAGCCCCTATTTTACTTATCAATGGCCCCAAAGCATGAGAGTGGTGATGCTGGCAATTCAGATAATTCAGATGCAGCCAGTTCAGATGGCTTCTCAAAAAGAAGCCATAAAGTGCTTCCTTTAATAGAAAACGTTAGCTGGGCACGGTGGCTCACACCTGTAATCCCAGCACTTTGGGAGGCCGAGGCGGGTAGATCACCTGAGGTCAGGAGTTCGAGACCACCCTGGCCAATATGGTGAAAGCCCCTCTCTACTAAAAATACAAAAAAAAAAAAAATTAGCCCGGCGTGGTGGCGGGCACCTGTAATCCCAGCTACTCAGGAGGCTGAGGCGGGAGAATTGCTTGAACCCAGGAGGGCGGAGGTTGCATTGAGCCGACCACGAAACTGCACTCCAGCCTGGGTGACGAGCACAAAACTCCATCTCAGAAAAAAAGGGGAAAAGATAAAAGTCCTCAACTTAACAAGGGAAGAAAAGAATTATATGCTGAGGTTGCGAAGATCTACTGTAATAATGACTCTTCCATCCACAAAATTGTGAAGAAGGCAAAAGAAATTCATGCTAGTTTTGCTGTCACACCTCTAACTGCAAAAGTTACAGCGATGGTGTGTAATAAGTGCTTTGTTAAGATGCAAAAGGCATTAAATTTGTGGGTAGAAGATATGAACAGAAACACGTTCCTACTGATGGCAATGCATTTCACCAGAAAACACTGAGCCTACAGGAAAATTTCAGTAAGGGATCTCTTGAAACAAGTGACAACACACCATTTACCGCAGATTCAGGGACACAGAAGGTCAATGGGAGCCTAATGCCACATCACAATGCCTGCATACTTTATCTCATCACATAGGCATTGTATCATTTCACATCATCACAAGTGGAAAAGGGGTGTGTATATAGGACAATAAGATATTTTGAGAGAGAGAGAGAGAGAAACCACATTCACATAACTCATTAGAGTATTTGTTATCATTGTTCTATTTTATTATTTGTTTTGCTGTTAATCTCTTACTGTGCCTAATTTTTTAAATTAAACTTTATCGTATGTATGTATAGAAAAAAAAACATATATAGAGTTATCCGCTGTTTCAGGCATCCACTAGGGCAGTGGTCCTTAACCTTTTTGGCACCAGTGACCGGTTTCATGGAAGATAATTTTTCCACAGACCTGCAGTGCGAATGGTTCCAGGATGATTAAAAAGCATTACGCATTCATTGTGTACTTTATTTCTATTATTATTACGTACTCACCGTAACGTAGAATCAGTGGGAACCCTGAACTTGTTTTCCTACAACTAGACGGTTCCATCTTGGGGTGATAGGAGAAGGTGACAGATCATCAAGCATTAGATTCTCATAAGGATCACACAACCTAGATCCCTCGCATGCGCAGCTCACAGGTTTGCGCCTCTGTAAGAATCTAATGCCACCACTGATCTGGCAGGAGGTCGAGCTCAGGCTGTCATGCTCGCTGGCCGGCCACTCACCTGCTGTGTGGCTTGATTCCTAACAGGCCACAGACCAGTACCAGTCCGTCGCCTGGGGGTTGGGAACCCCTGCACTAGGGGAGTCTTGGAATGTATCCTGAGGATAGAGGGGAATTACTCTATATTAAAAGACCAAGTCCCAACTCAGAGGAAGGGAAAGATTGACCTTTTAAAAATTCCCCTCAGCATGATAAGTGGAAAAATTAAGAATCAAAACAAACTTTTTCTTAAGTAATTTGTTTTTATTCTCAGTGAACAAGTGAACTGTTTATAGTTCCCTACAGAATCACTCACCAAATTAGCATTTAGGTCAACCTGGCCTTGGATAAAGATATTTCAAAAGGAGATTTGTATCTTGGTAATAGACAATGGTCCTTTGCATTCAAAGCTGGGAGCCATTAGTAATTGTTGAGGTTTAACTCTGGGAATGCATTCAGTGCATCTTCCAATCAGCGTGAGTTCTACTCAGACTCCAGACTCAGCAGGGTGGCGGGAAGTATTGAGAAATTTTAGAGAACAGAGGTACTTAAACACAATTAAGGCAGCTGGTCTGAGCAGCACACCTCAGGGAGAAAGTTGACATGTAATCTTGCCTTTGTGTCTGCTGGCTCCTTTAATTGTGCTTCTGAATATGTGACATGCTTTTCCCACTTTCCACTTGTGACTGGGCTCTAATAAGTTCACAAGAAGACATTTAAGACTGCCATCATCGGCCAGGCTCAGTGGCTCATGCCTGTAATCCCAGCACTTTAGGAGGCCGAGGAGGGTGGATCATGAGGTCAGGAGATCAAGACCATCCTGGCCAACATGATGAAGCCCTGTCTCTACTAAAAATACAAAAGAATTAGCTGGGCACCGTGGCGTGTGCCTGTAGTCCCAGCTACTCGGGAGGCTGAGGCAGGAGAATCACTTGAACCCGGGAGGTGGAGGTTGCAGTGAGCCAAGACAGCGAGAGCGCCACTGCACTCCAGCCTGGTGACAGAACGAGACTGCATCTCCAAAAAAAAAAAAAGGAAAAAAAAAAAAGATTGCCATCATCTTGAAACTGTGCTGGATATTCACAAAGACACATTTGTAGATGTGCATCTTAAGAAATCTAGTATGAGCCTGATGTCTTCTACTAATTAGGAATCTGTTCTAATCAATGGCAGTGATAGGAAGCCTTATAGGATGTCCAGGTACATCAGATACTTCCACTGCCAATGGGAAGTTGCTATGCATCACAAAATGTGAAGGATCCACAAGGAGAAGACATACCCAGCCAAGATGCCTGGGGACATATATATTCCCAGTGAAGGTGGGATCATGTTTATAGCCTCAGACCTTCCATTTGTGATAAAAAGTGACCAGCTGAGTGCAGTTAGAGTAATGGAGCTGCTGTAGCAGAACTGAGAACTACGATATTGGGGTAAGGTGGAGGAAAGGTGATTAAACTGTATAATCTTTTATACAGTTTTTACTCCTAGAGACCAGCCTTGATTTGTTCATAACTTCACCCTTTGCTACTTCTGGGAATTATGAGGTCTATGACTTCTCCTCTAGCCCATGATTAGTTCATTACCTGAGACACAAGGGAGATCATACTACTAAGGGGGGTTGGTGAGAGGTTCTGGGGTGGGTGTGGTGGCTTTGAAGTCAGACAGGCCTGGATTTTAATCCTTCCTGATAAAAGAATTAATTTTAACTCTGGGAATTTTACTGAACACATGCCAGCCTCAGTCTACTCACCTACAAAATGGGAATAATAATATCTACTTTACAGCAGTCTTATAAAAATTGGTTGTATTGCATGTAAAGTATCTCAAAAATAGTAAGAATTATATTTATTATATTTATTGTATTAGTTCTGGGCCAAAGAGGTTAGCTGAACAATCTGGAGAAATCAATTCATGGCTACTGTTTTTTGAAATGATTTTTTAAAATCTCTTTATAACTATCCGGCACTCTCAAAAACAATGCAATGAATTTCAGCATATGTAAAAGGTTTCTTTGCAGAACACTCTGTGGTCATTTCCCCACCGAGATGACTCATTTTTTTCTCTGGCCAGTATGTGATACAACTCAAAGTCCAGTGGACAAATGTGCATGGCCAGGGTGGCTTCCGGAGTGCTCCATGCTGCATATACTCTGCAGAGTTGCTACCAAATGTCAGTGTGAACACACAAGGGTATAAGTTCCACAAGTCAGAAAAGAAAATGAAACTATAAATCATAGACTCTAGGGTAAAATTATTGAAATTGCTATGCCCTCAGCACATGGGAAATGGTCAACCATTGTGATAATGAATAGGTCCACCTGAAATCCCAGAGCAGGAAGGAGGTTTTATCTCAAAGGAAATATATTCAGTTCTGCCTCTTGGCTTTCCAAATAGCATTCTATTGGAAATGTGCAAATAAACTTTTAGAAATTAGGCATTTGATGACTTAATTTAAATCAAGCTATAAGGTTCACATCCATTAGCTTCAATTCATCTTGAGAAATCTGAATTTAGAAACCCATAGCTGCAGCCTTCTCTGGCATACAAATAATTCAAATTTACATCTTTTTGCACAGCTATAGCTGTATATATTTTCTGCCTATCACCAAGGAGAAGACACAGAGCTACAACTGAAGGGCAGTTGCTTCTAACACTGGCACTGGACCGCAAGTCAGATCACCTGACAGCCACAATGCATTCCAAGTCATAAAGTTCGCAAAGCACTTGCGTGTCTCGGCATGTGGTGTAGATGGACCTTTTGTGGCTAGTGCTCACAAGGGCGAACTGGTCCCCAGAAAGTTCAATGTCTTCTCCAAGGTCACTAGAAACAGGAAACAAAGAAATGCATGCCTATAGCAAGGTGAATCCTGAAACTTGAAATAAGAGATGGCCAAGGCTAAATAGTGAGATGGGATTAAAAAATCCAAGGTGGTGACAGAGCTCTTTGCAACTGAAGTTAAATTCAACAGCCTCACTCCACAGATGGAAGTGGCTGCATGTAGGAAACCTCCCCAGAGAGATCTCAGGTCTAGAACCAAGTGGATCCGACAGCAAACCCACACTTTCCACCACACTGAAACCCCAGGAGCAACACATCCTCCTCCACACTCAACTTTCATTTGCGACCGGGAAACAGAAAGGAAAATAGCAATGTCCTTTCAACAATCTCAATAATGAGCTATCCGAGCAGCCATTTTAGAAATGACTGTATTAATTGGGCTTAATTAATCACCCTCTGGGTTATCTACAGATAGGAGAATGGAGCTTTCCAAGGAGGTCAGAGGGTATCTGCAGTTTAGAGGTTTTGCCAAGAAAAAAAAAATCAGAGTTTTTTTTCTTAATTACCAAAATTACTGTAATTCACAGAATAATCTGAAACAGCTGGTCATCTGTTTAGGAGACAATTTCACATCATCACATAAAATAAATGAGTGCCAGGATCACTGCATTTGCCTATTCTTGACTGCATTAACTCACAGTTGGAACAAACAGTATCAATAATAGATTAGCATCTATGTATGAGCTACAGCCTTCCTTTGCCATTTTGTGCACTTCACAGCATGAAATTTTTACGAACTTTTATCCAGCAAAATAGAAAAGTCATTTCAGAACCTTACATATGAAGATACCTAATTCTTCCTACAACTGAGAGAGAAGACAATTAGCAATTCTCGCTTTCTTTATATCAAGGTAGGGATGATTTTAAAATCTCAAATCAAGGGCAATTGTGAGCTTTTATTAAAAAAAGATCCTTCATCCTGCAACTTCTGAGACTCTCAGACACTTCTCACACTTAGAGTAAGTAAGATGAGAATCATCACAAGTAAGATGAGAATGCGTCTTGGAGAGCAGCTGTGAGAGAGAAGATGAGCCTGTTGCACAAAGGGGACACCTGTTTTGCAGTTTGACAGTGTTTACTTGGGGATTATAAAACAATCATAACTGTCTTAAATTTGCATGTGCCTTATAGCTTCAAAAATTGCCAGAATACAAAGAAAACTGGATTCATATACAATAACAGTGGGCAATGCAATACATTTTTTGTAACTGATAGAATGAGGAGAAATAAATGTAAGGACGTTACTCAAGGATACTAAATATCTGATTCATATGAGTAAAACACTGTCATTTAGGAGATCAACGAGGTCTAAAACAATATCTGGACAGAGGGCTTTGTTTATAATACTAGTAGAAAATGTAAAGAAATAGACTAGAAATTTCTGCCAACAGGCAGTCAGTGTGACCTCAGTCTGGCTGAGATGGAGCACGGGAATTGCAGTTACAAATCTCTCGCCAAGATGAACATGATGTGCAGATGTGAAGCCTGTGTCACACAGGCCCTGGAGAGGTTGCAAGAAACGGGGAAAGAGGCAGAGCGGTCAGGAACTGAGGGTTTGGCAACCCAAGGGAGTATTGGGGTGCTCGTAGGTGAAAATGTTTTCGATGTGATCCCAAGGTGAAGAACAGGACTGAAATATAGAACAGCTTATCCACTCACCTTCTCCCTCCAGAATACACCCGCCCAGCCCTGGCTCCTCGACAGGTCATTTCCTACATGTGGCACAGCCGCCAGGGAACCAGCTCCCACTCTGAACAGAGAGGGTTTTACTAAAATTTTCTCTTGTTCAGGTACTGTCAGAATGGCTACAGTGATCACTGTGTTTATACGTGGCCCCATCAAATAACAAAAAATGTGTATTGCAAATATTAATACTAACTCAATGAAAAGTGCACTCTTACCTGACTTAGGTGATCCATCCCGCTGAGCCACTGCCTAACTGTGACATAATGGGGTCATTAAGTGGCTGCCATGAATAGCTGTGGCTACCTTAGCTGTGGAGACAAAGAACTGCTTGAAATCTAAGCTTGGATAGTCATGGAAACAGCCCCTGGGTTCCCCATAGAATCACAGCTAGGATGGCTGCAAGGTGGAATGACCAGCCTCAGCAAATAAAAACCCAGGGGCCGGGCGCGGTGGCTCACGCCTGTAATCCCAACGTTTTGGGAGGCTGAGGCCGGCGGATCATGAGGACAGGACATCGAGACCATCCTGGCTAACACGGTGAAACCCCGTCTCTACTAAAAATACAAAACGATTAGCCGGGTGTGGTGGCGGGCGCCTGTAGTCCCAGCTACTCTGGAGGCTGAGGCAAGAGAATGGCGTGAACCCGGGAGGCGGAGCTTGCAGTGAGCCGAGATCGCGCCACTGTACTCCAACCTGGGCTACAGAGCGAGACTCCGTCTCAAAAAAAAAAAAAACCCAGGAGACTCCGGTCAACTTGAATTTCAGTAAAGAACAAATCATATTTACTGTAAGTATGGCTGAAGTAGTCACGGAGCCAGGTGCAAGCACACAGTGGTATGCGGACATCACACACTGGTATTTCACCTGGCCACCCTACTCCTAGGGAAAGTATTTGAAAACTAAGAACTTTCACCCCCCACCCCATGCCCTGACGGTCCCTGCACCACACCAGCCTATCTGCGAATACTAGCAGCCGTGGAAGGGTCAGCATGGTCACATGTCTTCCACAGGACCCTCACTCCCGCATCACACCTGACAGCCAACTGCTCATGTCTCTCAGCAGCGGCTGCCAGCCTCGGCTGTCTAGCGCGGCACATGGCGCCTGCAGGGCCTGTGACCAGCAAGCATGCACGCACCTATCTTTGTATTCCTTTCCGGTTCCGTTTTAGCCAGCAAACCTCAAATATTGAAGGGGGAAAAAAAGCCTGCTAGGGACAGCTGACGCTGAGAGGAGAAGCAGAGGCTAAGCTATCTGACTTTCCATTCTGAAGGCCCGCGTGGCGGGGGCCAAGCCGCTGAAGACAGGAGAGCGGCATTCCACATGCACCATCTCCGCCTCCTCAGAGAGCCTGCAGGCTCACACACGCACACACACACACTAGCACACGCACAACACCACACACACACTCACACACCCACAAACACACACCCACACACGCCCACACACACACACACACCCGCAAACACACACCCAGATGCGCCCTCACACACACCCACGTGCACCTACACACACCCACACACTCACCCACACACACATACACACACATGCACCTACCTATACGCACACATGCTTCGCACCATTCACATGCTTACTCACACATTCACACACCCACACCATTCACACACCCACACAAACTCACACACCCCCACACACACCCACACAGTCTCACACACCCACACTCACACACACCCATACTCTCACACACACCCTCACACGACCACCCACACCATTCACATGCTTACACATTCACACGTCCACACACCATTCACACATCCACACACATACCACACACCATTCACACACACACACACCATTCACACACTCGCTCCCATATTCACATACCTACACACCATTCACACACCCACACACGTACCATACACACCATTCATGAACTCACACACACATCCATACATCATACACACCGACACACACAAATACACACTCATTCTCACGCAATCACACACCATACACATTTACTTTCTCACACACTATACACATTCACACATACACGATACACACACTTTACACAAATTTACTCAAAATACACACACTTGCACACGAATACTGTCACACACATTCACACACACTGACACACTGTCACACAAACGCACACACTATAACACAACACAAACTCAGTTTCACATTCTCTCACACAAGTGATTATCTTGGTAGTGCTATGACGTGGGCGTCACAGGGCCCTCAGCTCTTTTTTCAAGGCAAATAGCTATATCATATATTGTCAAAAGTTGTCTCTTTTTTTTTTAACATTCCGTCAATATACTGATGACTCTGGGGTTCACTGCGACATATCTAAAGTCTTAAGAAGGAAAAAGCAACCTAGCTTGGGCTGAGAAAACGGTGCGTCCCCCAACAATCCTTTATGACTTCCTTTGATAACACGCGGGAGTCGCGCCCTCCTCTGCCTCCAGCCTTCCTGGCCTGCGGGGACCCACAGCCTCTCCTCCACCGCAGCTCCCAGGGCCTCTCCCCCTTACCTCCTTTCTTCCCAAGGTAATGACTTCTTTATTATAACTGGCCTCGAGTCTTTTGTTCAAGTATGTATGGCATACTCATGATCTTTTAAGAAGCCAGTTCTCTTTTTAAAGTACGCTCTGGATAAGCTAAGAGTTCTTCCAGGAGATCTTTAAATAAAGCAGCAGGTGATGATGGAGGCATCAACCGAGAGGCGGCCCCTTCGCTCCCTGTGGGAGCCATCCCAGGGCCGATGGCTAGCAACTTGTCAACCCAGAAGGAAATGAGAATTTGCAGAGAGGAGGGCGAACTTTGCAGCGGAAGCACTGGACTGATTAGTTTTATGAGCTGACCTTTAAAGGAGGGCCTCGTTAACTAAGGATACTTTTCACTCAGCCCCTGTGCCAGCTGCTCTGAACTCCATGACCTGATTCCATCTCCTGGGGGAGCAGGGGCCTGAGTGCTAATGGAGCCGACCGCGGTGTGAACGTCGATCTGGCCTCCTGGGGAAGCACTTTAGAAAGGGCCCCTTGGCGGTTAGGGCTTAAAATAAGCACATGGTAAAATCAGAGCCCGGGTTTCTCTGGGGTCTCAGAAAGGACTCCGCGCTCAGACTCCAGGCCCCTATGGGGCAGAGCACCCCCAGGACTGATCCAGACCCAGCATCCAATCCCGAGAGAGGCCTGCAGACCTGGCGTCAAGCCTCCAGCAACCCTGCTGTGGACATCCTAACCCACCCTCAGACCCAGGGTTCAACCCAACATGGTGCCTCTGGCCTAGTGAGAGATACACATTTCACCGGAGTTTTAAAGCGTACCTGAGAGTGTAAATGAGAAAAAAAATGAAAAGATTCCCAGTTACAGCCCTCTTCACGCAAACATCCCTGAGTTTTAATAAATCGCTAAGTTGAATGTTCACACAATTCTCCGATTTTCTCTGTATTCTTTCTTGGCCACTCTAGACATTGAGTCACTTGTGTCCTTGTGAGTCTCTTCCTTCTCTTCTCTAGTGTGGTGGTTTGCAAAGTGCAGTTTCTGGACCATGGCCTGTTAGCCATGCAAATTATCTGCCTCATCCCAGACCTCCTTGATCCAGATCTCTGGGAGTTGAGTGCAGAAATCAGTTTGGGGGCTTTCCAGGACATTCAGGGGTACTTCCCTAGGAGACCCACTGTTACAAGAAGACCTGTGCTCCCCACTCTCATCCCCAGACAACATCAGGCACCATCATAGAGGCACTGTGTCCCTCAATACCACTGGCCCATCCCCAGGCTAGCCCATTGTGTCCCCTCTAGAACGTGGCCTGTGCTGCTCCTCAGAGGGGGTTGCTGTGGGGAGAACTCTGTGAGCCCTTGTCCAATGGAGAGCAGCACCATGCTAGCTCAAGGACTTTGGCAACTCCTTTCCCTCTCTGATAATCAGCTCCTCAGCTGTCCAATGGTGATAATAGGGCCGTCCTCACTGGATTAACATGAAGAGTCACCAAAGTAATACAAGCAAATCACATTGCATATAGTAGAGGCCCAATAAATAATCATTATTTCCTTCCACCTAAAAGAAATACCCATCTACTCTTCTATCTTAATTGTACTATGCATCATTTAACACCTGTTGTTAATGCTATTTTCTCACTTATTGTTAAAGAAAAATTTATCCAAACACTTGGTAAAAAATGGTATGGCAGACTTTATTCAGGGGGTGCATGGTGATCAGTGTAGGGACCACTGCAACGAGGGCTTGCTGTGGGGAGAGAGGCTGGGCTCAACTCTGAGCACAGCATGGGTGAGGGGATTTGCAGCCTAGAAGTAGGCAGTGGGCGGTGATGGAAAATTACTAAGAGGAAATCACAGGGACAAGGGGAATGTTGTTAGACCCACTCAATGAGACTTGTGCTGAGGTCAAGCCAGGGTGACGAGACACAGAGGGTGGTCAGATCCCAAGGGTGGGACTCTATTGATTAAGGACTCAGCAAGATTCTTGCTCAAGCTGGATTCCACAAGGAAAGAGAGGGAAACACAAGGTCAGACCTAGTCTAAAAGGACGCGGAGGAGCCTGATAAAGTTCTGGTCAAAGAGTGCCTCTTTGTCACCATAAAGATCTTCTAATACTCCAAAGGGAAGTGATCTCTCCCCTTTTTGAGCCCACTGCCAGATTTCTTAGCTCCTATGACATCCGGATTGCTTTGTTTCATTGTGATGAATAGAATTCTCTTATTTCACTATGGAACTGCAGTTGCTCCACAACGGGCATCAGTACACCTTACTCATCTCTTATCCACCCTAGTACCAGCACAAAGCCCACATGTGTCTTTAACACCTACTGGGATGTGACATCTGTATCACAATGGGATGTCCAGGCCAACATCTGATGCCTGCTTCCATTGCCCTCATTCTGTTCTACAGCAAGGAGAAGACCACACAGCTTCTCACACGAGACTATTTTCCGTGCCCTCCCCAAGATGGGGGAGAAGTCGTCTAGTGGGCTCCCACAGCTGTACTGAGTACTGCACTGCTGCAGGCTAAGTTGTGTTCTCAAAAATTTGTATGTTGAAGTCCTAACCCCAGCGCCTCAGAATGGGACTGTATTTGGAGATGGGGCTTTAAAGAGGTGATTACGTTAAATTGAGGTCTTTATAGTGAGTCCTAACCTGAACGGTGTCCTTATAAGAGATTAGGACACAGATACACACACAAGGGAAGACCATGTAAGGACACAGGGAGAAGACAGCATCTACAGGCCCAGGACAGAGGCCTCAGGAGGAACCAGCCCTGCCCACACCTTGATCTTGGAATTCCAGCCCCCGGAACTATAAGACAATGAATATCTGTTGCTTGAGCTGCCTAGGTGTGGTGTTTGCCATGCTGGCCCCAGGACACCAACAAGCCTGACCAGGTGCTCAGTGGTGCTCTTTCTCCCACCCCTGGCCAAACGCAGGAGACACAGGCCACGAGAGCTCACATCTTCCCGAGGGGAGGTGCAAGGTGAAGAGGTGGGCCTCACTCCTTTGCAAGGCATCTATGACTCCTCATCTTAATCTGATAGGAAGGATGAGGAAGAAGCTGAGAGCAAAACCACCTCTCTGGAGTGCTGGCAGTTGGCTCTGCACCCCAGGACCCTGGCATGGAAGAGGGACCACCAGACTGGCCAGGGACAGCTTCCACCAGCCCTGACTGGCCTCCTTTCCCTTCAGCTCTCAGAGCCCATTTGGCCTCAGGAATTCCTTCCTCCTTCCAGAAGTGGATGCATCATCACAGAAGCTCCAGGAGTGCTGACACTTGGCGCTCCATGGGGCCCCTGAGCTGGTGAGGGCACCCTTCACAAGTGTGCATATGAAGTGTGCCAACAAGATGCTCTTTTTTCTGATATCAAATACTTCTATATTCGATGGGTAAAAGCACACTTCACTAGCTCGGTGAGGCACTCCATGTCCTTTCCACTTCCTCCAGTTCCTTCTAGGGGTCCTGCCCCCTGGCTTTCTCAGACCATCTCCCTTCTCTCATCCCTGCAACTCCAAGGGGACTTTAGGCCACCTGCTATGGGAAGGCTGAGGCTGCTGGTTCCATTCCCCAGTCGCCCCTCGGCAGTGCTCAGGCTCACGTGACACCCCAGGCTCCAGTGCTAGCCCCTGAGAAAGAGGAAGTCCTCACCAGCTTGCTCTGGCTCTCATACAGACCCTCATGCAGCCTCGCCTTGTTCTCCCTCTGGGAGATGTCACTAACACACCTTTCAGGGCTCACCCACCTTAGTGGACATGCTCCTGGTGGAGGCTGGGCACGCACATTGTTCCTGGATAGAAGGGGCGGCCTACATTCCATCACCCTATCCCATGCACTCTTCTTTAGAACTGTGTGTCTGTCTCAACCTCATCTTTCCTGCCTTCTGTTCAGGGAGACTCTGTCACTGCTACTTTAACTGGGCCCCTAGTGAGCCACCCTCATGTCCCCACTTTGGACAAACCTTGGCATATATCATTCCAGGAGGAGGAGACCCTCAGCTGCGATGAAGAATGCCCCCATGTCACTCCTGTTGTCTGTAGCCCTTCCCTAGGCTTGCAATCAAGTTTGGAGGGGGTGGGAGGTCGATTTCACAAATGCTAAGGGAGAATACAGCTTCAGAAATAATCCTGCCAGTGAGACCCGGCCTTGCTGCCCTGGGTGCTGGTAAGAAACTGAAATGAACCACAAGGGCTTATGCTCAGAATCAAAAACTACCCCACATTTACCAATATTTTAATTCATGATGTTTATTTTCTCAGAATGGGAGAAAAACAAAGAATACATCTCATCTCTATACTTTAACCCACCTTTTTGGTCTATAGATCTTGAAAAGGTAACTTTTTTTTTTTTTTGAGATGTATTATATATCACTACCAACTAAGGCATAGATCCTCCTCCCAGCACAGGGGCCCTCCTTTTCTAGCCTAAGCAGTGTTTCCAGAAAAGACTTGACTGTCCTGTTCTTGAGTTTTCCACTTGAGAACACCGTGCCACTGGCTCTCAGATTGACCTGTCAGCCCCATTAGGATTCAGAGGTGTCTGAGCGTGTCCTTTCCCTCCCGCCCTTCCAAGCCCTCATCCCGAGTCCTGCCTCCTGCCGCGCCTGCATTCCTTGTTGCTAGCACTGGTAACTTTACTCGAGATCAGTCTTTTCCTCCTGTCTAAAGATGCCTGCTCCGCTTGCCTTCCTGCCCGTGTCTCCTCCACATCGTTTTTTGGACCTTTCCCCCGTGCAGATGCAGATGCCCACAACTGTCTCCAGGGAGAGGCACTGAACTTCCCAGGAGCTGTGTCTCCCTTACCACACGTGGGACATCAGACCCGCGAGGTGCCCGGCAAAGTGAATTCAACGCCCAACGCTGCTGCTGCGTCCAAGACAATTCACGTGGTCAACGCTGCTGCAAAGAGATTTTTGTTGCTGCTGTTCTACAGAATTCTCAAGTCGTTAGTTTCTAGCTAGGAAAGAAAGATTTCTGGAGCACTCTACGTTGGGTGAGGTAGAGATAGCAGCTCCTCCGCATGTCACCTTTGGTAGTGAAACAGGTGATCCTCCTGACTCACGCAAACCCAGGCTCTGTGTTCCCCGAGAGACAGACCCCACCGCCCAGGGAAGAGCAAAGCCTGTCAGCCCAGGGCGACTCACTGACACTGTGGAAAACAGTGCAACCCTCTCCCCACCACAGGAAGGGAGCCCTGGGCGGTTCTCCTCAAACATGGCGCCAAGGGGAGCCCGTTACCTGCCATGGGAGCTGGGGCAGAAGCAGCACTGACGGCCGCGGAAGGCTGTACCAGAAAGGCCCTCAGCCTAGATGTGCACAGCTCCCGCTCAGAACCGCAGGCAGCCCTGCGCCTCCGCCCCCAATCTGCGCCTGTGAGGGAGGGGAAGGAGGGGCAGGAGTCGAAGGAGAGAGCCTCCTCTGCCAGCATCCACGCTCGGTTGCCAGGTTACTGCTTGCTGGTCTCCATGTCGCCTGGGGTTGCGTTCCCGGCTTACAAATCCAGGGATTCTCTAAAAAGAAGAAAAGGAAGAAACGTTTTTACAAGATTTGATTGTCATGTTATTGAGCTTTACCATTTAAGAAACAAGTGTCATTGGTTTTCAAATTAAGCCTAAGTTGTCTCATTAGGATTCAGCTGTGTCTGGGCATAACCACGAGGCTATTTACAAGAGATTTTATATATACTCACATTGCATACACACACACAGAGGAGGGAGATGTACACACATGCATATGTATCTCTGTGTGTATATACATACGTGTACATATATGAAATATACAATGCATTTGCCTAAAAACAATGGGGGGAGAAACATACAGCCTGAGAAGTCCCTGGGAAAGAGCCACAGAATAGAAAAAAGCAGAGCCCTGTGGGTGCCCTGCACACTCAGAAGTCTGGCCTCCTCCTCAGCCCCCTCTCTCAGTTCTTTTACTACCCTGAAAGACAATGTCCATTTGATTCGTTTTTGGTTTATCTTCATACAGTACATAGGCCTCCCGTCTAGCCCACTGGCACAGGCATTTGCCCTTTGACCAACCCCATCCTCCTTCTCGGGAGTTATCTCAAATAGGCCAAGTAAGCACCAGCCTGTGCACAAAGCTGGACATCATAGCATAGTGAGGCAAATGGCTGGAGCCAACCCTCACATCCATTGCCAGGGGATTACATGGGGCCATGCCCACCCCCATGCAGCCCCATGCAGTTATAAGCAGGAAGAGCGCCCTCGCCACGTACATCTGGAGTGTGGTTTTCCAGTCTGTGCTGTAAAGGAAAAGGAGAGTGCAGACTGGTGCGTATAGCAGGCTGCCCTCTGTGTTAACGATGTAAAAATCCACATGAATGTGTTTGTATACACTATGCATTATATATCACATGTACTATAATATACATGTGTACACTTTATAAACTTAAAAACAGTATAAAGATAAACCAAAAACGAATCAAATGGACATTGTCTTTCAGGGTAGTAAAAGAACTGAGAGAGGGGGCTGAGAAGGAAGCCAGACTTCTGAGTGTGCCTTGTTTTAGTTTTGACTTTAGAACCGTGTAAATATTTTACAAACACAAACCAAAATAAACTAAACATATTTTCTAAAAATCCCTAAAAGTTGTAAAACTATCCAAAACAAATAGAAGCTAACCATAATTCATGTTAGTGGTACGACCATACAGAGCAGAATTATCTCGAGGGGCTTGAAAATGCATTATTTTGACTCTGCAACCTCAGTGGAATGTAGCATAAGAGTAAGAAGAACTCCACAGACAACCCTTAAACTACAGTCACCAGCTTTATTGTTGTAGTATTGGTGGTGTGTTTATATTTATACAAATAAATGCATATATGTAGCAGGACAAAGCAAATAATTATATCAATTTTCATTAAAAACAATATTCAAATAGAAGCAGATTCAAGGATAAAATCAAATAATTCAAGCATCATCCTGGCAATGCCAGGTTTGAATTGGAAATATTAGGATCAACCCCTGTTTTATGTTTCTCCCCTATATATTTGTTAGCTTTTGGAAAGGACTGAAAACAATGACAATCCAGCATTCATGAGCAGCCCCTGATATCCAAATTGTCCATAAACACATTTCCCATCCACAGAGATCAAGGGCCAGGGAGAAATGGGTGGGGCAGGAAATGTAGAAAAAGAACCTGCGAGATTTTGTTGTACCAGAAAGCAAAGAAATTGTCAAATACTACTGGGATCATATCCAAAGGGGTGAGATGTCATCTTGAAGGGGCTCAAAAGAAACAGCTTGAGTCTTCCAAATGAATAATAATTATAATGTATCTAAATACATCAGTTACATAAAAGTCATACTCAAAAAACCAAAAATGCACCAAAATACAAATATAAAAACAAACAAAAATGCTTGTTTCTCATTGGAGATCGCTGGAGCATTGATTATTATGTAAACAGAATCAAGCAACTATCTCATCTGCCTTGGACAAACTGCTTTTCTTTTTGTTTGGTGGGGGCGGGATGGAATTTCACTCTTGTTGCCCAGGCTGGAGTGCAATGGTGCAATCTCAACTCACCACAGCCTCCACCTCCCGGATTCAAGCAATTCTCCTGCCTCAGCCTCCCGAGTAGCTGGGATTACAGGTATGCGCCACCATGCTCAGCTAATTTTGTATTTTTAGTAGAGATGAGGTTTCTCCATGTTGGTCAGGCTGGTCCTGAGCTCCCAACCTCAGGTGATCTGCCCACCTCAGCCTCCCAAGGTGCAGGGATTACAGGTGTGAGCCACCGCACCAAGCCAACAAACTGTTTTTCATGACAAAAAATTGTTGAAGGAAATAATTTTAGAGAAGAATCCACATCATAAATTCAGGCTGAAATTTAGAATTTGAAGGCTCACCATTCTGAAATCACTCGTGACATGATGGGTCTAGGTGGTAGCCATCCATGACTGCTTAAACTATCATGTAAAAGGGAGATGGGGAACTTTAGTTTGCATAATCACACTGACACCACCTGAACCCACTGACTTGTGTCATCATTGGTAAAATGGACAAGCAAGCCATGTGTCTTTCAGTGGGACAGGGACACGGCATATCCCATGTTCCTGTGCTGATGGGATAGGGACACAGCCTAGTGAAACTTTCTTGCCAAAACAAGAAAAAACAATCAGCATCTGAGCAAGCCTCTAGGTCCGACTACAGATTTACAAGAAATAAAGGGTTCCAATGAGCACATGAACTGTGAAGGGTGGACCTAGTTTGGATCCTGATTTAAATAAATAAAACATGAAAAAACTTTTATGTGACAGGGAAAGAAAACTGAACACAGGGTGGGCATGAAATCATATTAAGAAATTGTTATCAATATCACTAGAAGTGATCACAGTATTGAGAATAAAGCTTGTCTATTACAGAGTCCTACTAAAGTATTTACTGGTTAAATGATATATATCTGGGATGTTCTAGCAAAAATAATAGGGGACATCTGAAAGAAAAACGACAAATGGTTGGTACTGATTGCAGTTGGATATGATTGAAATTTTCTGAAATAAAAATTAAACCAAAAGAACTGATGAGGCAGCTTGAGGGAAACAGGCCTCTCACTGACATTCCCTCTGGCAGACATGCTGGAGTTGGGGCTGAGGCCTTCAGCTCAGGGGCTGAAGGTCTGGGGAACAGAA
Source organism: Homo sapiens (assembly GCF_000001405.40). NCBI lineage: Eukaryota > Metazoa > Chordata > Mammalia > Primates > Hominidae > Homo > Homo sapiens. The sequence goes on along the minus strand of NC_000007.14, from coordinate 51,468,060 downwards.
ATGATGCCTTCCTCACCATCTCTGATGTTAGAGACTGCCCAAAGTGGGAAGATGGACAGGTTGTGTTGCCATCTTGGAAATTCCTTTTGGAGCACTTAAAGCATATAACAAAACCAGTGGCCTTAGCAGCAGACTAGGCAGGAAGACATCTGGGGCTGAAAAAAACAGGCAAAAAGAGACCACAGACAGAACTTGGGCAGGAAGACAAACCTGGGGTGACGTCAGACATGTTCTGTGGTAGCATGAAGGTGGTGGTAACCACAGCACAGATGCTAGGAAACTTGGTGTGTGTTAGGGTTTTATGCCTGTGTCCCCCCAGATTCATTTGTTGAAACCTGATCTCCAATGTGGTGGTCTTAGGAGGTGGGGCCTCTGGGAGGTGATTAGATGATAAAGACATCATGATGGGACTAATGTCCTTATCCAGGAGGCCCGAGGGAGCTCATTCACCCCTTCCAACATGAGAGGATGCAGCCAGAAGGCACTGTCTTTGAGGCACAGGCCCTCAGCAGACACCAAGTCTGCTGTCATTTTGAACTTGGACTTCTCAGCCTCCAGAACTGTGAGCAATAAATCTCTATGGTTTGTAAATTACCCAGTCTAAGGTGTTTTGTCATAGCAGCCCAAACAAACTAAGTTCAGACTCATTCTGATGGAAGTTTCTAAGGAAGGTGTACAAGAAGAGGTGGAGTTCACACGAAGCGGAAGATTGAAGAAGCAGAGAAATGCGGCCAAGGAAAATCTGAAGTATGGAGAGGATATTAAAACATGTCCCATGGGGCCTGCCTTCAAATGACAAGAAAGGCACTAGGGACTCACATAAGGAGCATTCTCAGAACTAAGCCTGTGTCAGGCGCTCCAGCATATGAATCCCCAAAGTACCCTACTGGGAGAAACACGTGAGGGTCTTCTACTTCCTTTTCCCTTTTTCACGAAAGGCAGACTTCCAGCATCTGATGCCCTGTCTGCAGAGGCTGCGGAGTGCTTCAGTTTTGAAGTGCTCCCTACAAAGGGGCTCTAAGGTTGCTTTTATTCTGCCATGGGATCCAGCATTCCATGTGGTCATGCTCCTCTTTAGGATAGCCTGGTGCACAGGGAGCTGGGCTCATGCATGCTCAGGGATGCCCACCCCATTCCCCCAACACCAGCATCCTAATAACAGAGATTCATATTACATTGCTTCATTGATACAAGCTTTATAGGATGGAACCAAGGTCCTGGCTGCCAAGAGGCCCTCCAGTAAGTATATACATGAGCCATGCAGGGATAGACCCCTAAAAGCTAACTGAGAGCTTCTTAACCCAAACCCACTATGTTACCACGCCAGTAGGAGCAGCCCCTCCTCCTCTGCAGCTCCTCCTGACTTGATAGACAACCCTGCATATGCCTTGCTGTGGAAATTAGCTTGAAAGGGAAACCTCTAGGCCTCTACTCAAATCCCACCTGCTCCAGAGACCAAAGGCAAACCCCAGAAATGACTTATACCCTAAGACAATATGATTTTGCCATTGGATGTCTGTAAAAACCCATGACCTAGATGTGAAACTGGAATCTGAAGGCATTAGACCAGGGAAGGAGTTATGCAATTTTAGATTAAGATAAATGCATTTATAGTTATGGATTTGTTTGATATTTCAAACTTCAAGTCTGAGCTCCAGCAGCTGGTGCAGACAAGATGCTAATTGCTTGCTAGGTTGGTCAACTAAAATTTGAACTGAAGGACAGTCATACGAAATAAGATGAGATACTAGAGATTCTTTAATGTAATATAAAAGATGAAATCCAAGCATTTGGGAGACAGAAATGTTGGAGTATTTTTCATCATATCTGAGCATTTATTTTTCTCCAACTCTGCAACATAAAGAAAAGCATCAGAGAGGCCTCTCAGTACCAGTGTTTCTGAGGAACAGTGATGATGATCCCCCAGCAGTCAGGGATAAAAGTGGCAGACATCCCATTAGTGGACTGTCTGGTATTAGTGGTGATTACATATTCTTTGGGTAACAAGCTTAGAAACTAGAGACAAGAAATCATTGTTACTGGAATAGGCAGCAGAGCTGGGGTGCAACTCAAAAGGGACTGATCCTAGGGAGTGCTGGGGAAGGGAGTGAGGTTTAATCGAATAGAGTTCCTAGAGCTGAAACAGGTGAGGAACTTAAGACTAAACCTGAAATCTCCCTTGATGTACATGGCAAGCTTGTTAAACAGAGACTGAAGCACCCATGGCCTTCCATCATCCTGCATCTTGTTCTGTTCATAGACTATCTTAATTATGGCAGATGAGGCTGCAGTAATAACATAAACCCCCAAATTTCAGTGCTTTAACAAAATAAGGGAGGGATGAATGTTCAAATATTATAAATCCACTCTAGCATCTCTTTCTCTCTAACATTTGGATTCCTTCGCTCAAATAACATCAAATGAGAGTGTCCTGGTTGGTGGGCAGCTCTCCTTCATGCCATAATTCAGCATTCTTCTATCTTTTGCCTCTACCATTCTCCAGGGCCTTGTCATTTTCATCCAGCTGCCAGGAGGAGAATAAGTGCATAGCGTAGGTGTCATGCTTCTCGGAAGCCTTGGTTTGGGATTACTACACAGCATTAGTCGAAATAAGTTGCATGGCCTGAAGATATATTCCCTTGCTGGCCAACCACTTCCTCGTTAGCACTGTAATGAATGTAAGGGGTGAAAAAATATTGGTCAACAGCTCCCCAACTCTGTTAGAGAGGCCCAGAGCCCCTTGGAAGGGAGGGCTGGCAAGGCTGAGGAAGCATGTGGAGTTCTTCCTGTGCAACATATATTGCAAATATTCTCCCAAGCCTTTCCCAAAGGAATCTCATTTATTTTCCAAAGTATCTAAGTGCTGTGAGAAGGGAAATAACTAGACTAATGAGAGATTGTTGGAAACTGGCTCTGAACTGATGCAACCACTAGGGACCCATATCCCTGTGGTTCATCCAATAGAACAGGGCTTTCTGTGTATCTTATGTTGACCTTTTTCATCATGAAAGGGGTAGGAATTGCTGTTCCTCTCATAACCAAGAAACATGAGTCTAGCTTTTAGGAGGTGATGATGGGAGTACACTGTGCACACTCTTCTTTTTATCCCCCACTCAACCCCCATTTCTGCAGCTCTGAGCTCTGCTGGTTTAGGCATTTTGGCACTCAGAGCAAAAATGTTTCAACCAGGTGATGGAAAAATGCTTCTACTGAATCGAAGGCTGAGACCATTGTAGGCGGTTTAGGTCCCTTGTGACAGTAGGAAGAAAAAGATACAAAAGAGAGCCTACACTGTCGACTGGAGTAATTGGGCTTGATCGTTAATGGGGATATGAGGATATATAAAGTGGAGAAGGGAAAGTGCATCTGGATCTGAGAGGTCCTGTATATTTTCCTAGTACTACAAAGGTGGACACCCAATGTTAACACTCAAAGAAAACTATAGCAATATTGTAGTTCCATGACTATCAAGGCACCAAACCCTTCAGAAAGCAAAGGGATCACCCCACCATAAGGAGCTCTAACCAGTCAAGACACTGCTGAGGGCAATGGAAACATGGGCTGTGCCAGAAAGAGGTTATCATGCTGACCATGGCTTATGGCAGGTGCAGAAGCAAGGATGTCTGTGCCCACCTCATCTTACCTCTTGCTTGGCCACACACTTATTCACAGCTGTAAGTGGGGTTGGTTTTGCCCTCTCCCATGTCTCTATCATGTATATAAATCATTTTGCCACTGTTATCTTTACTCATTAGTCTATAGGTACAAAATATCAAGCCAATTTCAGGATACCACCATAGAGGACAATCCTTGCTGAGTTTCCATGACATAACCCACTTCTCTCCATCTCCATCCCCTTGTGTATGCTCAACTCTCCTTCTTTGTCTTTTTTACAACACTTCCTTGGATTGGCATTTTGGGGTATCTAAAATGTCTCCTTACCTTTTGATCCAAAATTCATGAAAATCAGCCCTATGGTTTGAATTTAGTGAATCCCCCAACCCAAAATTCAAAAGTTGAAATCTAACCTGCATTGCAATAGTGTTATGAGCTGAGGTCTTTAGGAAGTGATTAGTGGCCCCTTATGAAAGAGTTGGACAAGAGCAGCCTTGCTCCTTCCACCATGTGAAGACACATAGAAGGCACCATCTTGGAAGCAGAAAGCAGCCTTACCAGACATCAAATCTGCCTGCATCTTGATCTTGGACTTCCCAACCTCCAGAATTGTGAGCCATAAATTTCTATTATTTGTAAATTACCCAGTCTCAGGTAAGTTTTTATGGAAGCCCAAACAGATTAAGACAATCTATCTGCACTTCATAATGACAATTCCTTAATTTCCAATCCTACCCCAGTCCTCAATAATCAGAGTTCCCTCCAGATCATTCTACTGAAATGACTTTCACTGATGCCTCTAATTAAGAAGTGCAGTAGAGACTTTTCTGGATCTGTTCCTTGGCACAGATTTTTTTGTCATATTTAACACTGTTGATTATTCCCACCTGAAACCTCTCAACTCCATTCACTTATGTCTAGGAACACAGGTGACGCTGTGACCTGGGCTCTTCCAGTTCTCTTTGTACTTTGTTAAGTTTTTCATTTAGGAAATATTTATTGGGCCCTGCACTATATTGCTGGGAAATGAGAGAGAGCTTTCTGAAAGGAGTGACAAGTAAGCTAACAGCCAAATGAGGAGTGAGAATTAATCTGGAAAGGAATGAGGGGAAGAGCATAGAAGACATTTCAGACAGAAAGAAGGGCTTTCTTAACCACAATAGTAAAATTTTTTTAAAAAAATAAGAAAGAAAGGCATACTCAGGATATTACAACTAGTAGAGACAAGGTGGAGCATCTACTTTGAGGCAGGAAATGATAAAACACGAGTTCAGATATAAACCATGAAGGGTTTTTCCATGCCATTCTCCAAAAATATGGATTTCATAGAGAGGGCAATGGATGTTCATGGAAGGTTTGTTAGCAGAGGAACAGCAAAGGATTGCACTTCAGGAAGATCACGCTTGTGGAACTGTAGGAACAGACAGCCTGAAGACCACGACAGGGAGCACAGTGGAAACCCATGCTGGTAATCTAGGTGGAAGATGCTGGTGGCTGGAATTTCCACAAGAAAGATGCAGAAAAGTAGACATACTGGAGCCACAGAATGTTTTATAGCACACAACGTTCATCACTTGAAATAGCTATAAATGATTGATTAAATGGAGAATACACTTAGTATTATATGACAGGTGCCAGTTACAGCATCAAATAATGAGAGGTAACACTGACAGACAACACTATCTATAAGGACAGAAAGCTTCCATACCAGCCACACAGCTGCTTTGAGTGGACTTGTTCTTCTTTTACCCTGATAAGAGTGGGTGAAAAGCCTCTGCTAACGATGATGCTGGTGGTGTCAGGAAACGAGAAGCCTTTCTCTTGCTCAAAAGCGAGATGGAATCAAATGCCACTAATTCAGGGACATTCTGTTTCTATTGATATGCCTACAACAATTGAAAATGCACTTATTAAAGAAATCTACAAGAGGTGCAGAAGCAAGGACAATTGTGCCTACCTCATCCTATCTCCTGCTTGGCCACACACTTACATCTGTCAGTGCGTTTGATTTTGCCCTCTCCCATGTCACTGTCTTTTATATAAATCACGTTGCTACTGTTAGCTTTATTCATTAGTCTATAGGTACAAAATATCAAGCCAAGTTCAGGATAAAACCAGAGGAAGATTATAGTAGAAACATCTGTCCTTACATTCTCAAAAGATTTAGCCCTGAATCATCTTTTCCCCTGGAGCCTTTTGTTTTTGAAATAGGAGTTCTGAGAAATGTCATAACTTTAATCTTTTTATAGAGTAGTGGTTCTGAACCAGGGGCTATTTCACTCCCAACAAAGGACATTGACAATTTCTGGAGACATTTTTGGTTGTCACAACTAGGGAGTAGGTGCTACTGGCATCTAGAAACTTACGTTCTAAATATTCTACAATGCATGTAACAGTCTTCCATAACAAAAAAGTATTTGGCCCCAAAATGTTGACAGTGCTGACCCTGCACTTAAGCCTAGATTCCCTTCTGAGTTTCAGATTATAAACTGAGGCAAAAACAGCTCTACCTTAAGGAAATTATCCCCATTTCACAGATAAAGGAACTAAGATTCAAAAATCATTACTTAATTCATCCAGGGTTTCAAAGCTGGTAAATTCTGGAGTTGATACACAGTTGAGAGATAGCTGCCCCACTACAAAACGTGGTCTCCCACATCCTTCTCCACAGTAGAGAAAGGGGCAGTGTCAGCTGTAAGCCTCTCCTAGATCAGATCAATGCCATTGTTATCTAGGATAAAGTAGCTCCATACAACTATTTTATTTTATTTTATTTTATTTTATTTTATTTTATTTTTTCTCAGATGGAGTCTCGCTCTGTTGCCCAGGCTGGAGTGCGGTGGCGTGATCTCAGCTCTCTGCAACCTCCACCTCCTGGGTCCAAGCAATTATCTGCCTCATCCTCCCAAGCAGCTGGGATTACAGGCGCCCACCACCACAGCTGGCTAATTTTTGCATTTTTAGTAGAGACAGATTTCACCATCTTGGCCAGGCTGGTCTTGAACTCCTCACCTCGTGATCTACCCACCTCAGCCTCCCGAAGTGCTGGGATTACAGGTGTGAGCCATCATGCCCAGCCTATTTATTTTAATATTTGTTAAGTTATAGCAATTTAGTTTGGATCTCAGATTCTTTTTCCCAGCTTTTCAAACTAGCAAATACTTTTAGTTTCAGATTCAAGTCCTATGATGTATGTCAGGAAATCCAGGCTTCATCCATAAGAGCAACCACAAGGCTCACGTCTTCTTCCCTTACCTGTTCACATTGCTTTGTGGCTCTGGGAGGAGCAGTCATCTTTTAGAGGTCAGCTCTTGCGGCAGCGTGCTGGGTCTCGAGCCCAGATAATAACACCTTTCTGCATACATCTTTTTATTATGAACTTATCTTTTTATTCCACCTAGTGCTGCCTGCCAGCTTGCTTCAAATCTCCTTTAGAAACAAGCATCCCAGTATTCCTTCGCAGCGTTAGTACTATAAACAAGCTGCAGTTTGCAGGCACACAATGCACTCTCAGTGAGTCTGTTCCTTTATTATTCCACGGCTGCATTTCCTAAACGGTGTTCCTTGAAATGCTCTTTAGGGAGAGATTAATAAATGTGGCAGGAAGGAAACGGAGGGGGGAGGCTGCAGTCCAAAAGTTTGACAAATGCTGCATATGAAAACTCTTCATGGAAATTCAAAAAGCATACTTGCCAACAACAGTTTCTGAGAAGCCAAAGGGAAGGATAGATAAGCCTCTTTAGCTTCATCTTACCCAGACTTTCCCAGGCTTCTTTGATTATCAAACCCATTTTTCATAACACATATTAGCCAGCAGGCCATTGTTTCATACAGCATCAGAAACGCTACCCTGAGATGGAAGAAATTAAGGTGCGGTTATGCCCATGTTACAAATGAGAAAATTGAGGCTCGAAGAAGCCACATGACCAAACTCAGTGTCACACAATAAATGCAACTTGGCACCAAGGCTGAACTCAGGGTTTATGAATCCAAAATTCTCTCTCCTCTGTACCACAGTATTTTCATTATCATGCCTCACTTTTGCAAAATTTTCATACGTGAGGAATTTCCACAAAACAGCACACTACTAGGCCATGCCTGGTCCACTCACAAAAGCCTTAAGCCTTCCACTCACACAACTGGAGACCTTTGACAGGCTCTCAGTCACCCAGGATAGTGGGATCCATCTTGGTTCATTCTTTAGGACTCATCCTGAAACAGAGAAGTGGATTGAAGAATCACTGGCTTCATATTCTGGGGCTCAACATTAAGTTAGCAGGGCTGTTGGCCAGGCCATGGACTTGTTTCCCAGTTGTGACAACTGGTCTTCTGTCATATTCCTAACTCAGGGCTCTTGCTTAGTGCCTGGTAAAGACCCCTGCACTAATTCCGCATCCAAACGCCCCTGGTGCTGCAGAGAGGTACTGCCTTGCTCTTTCTGGGAATCCTGTTCTAGAGCTGGGATATTGTTCAAGCCCTCAAGGACTTCCTATGTTAATGGCATGGCACGGCAAGTCCATTGTTGCTCACCCCAAGGTATTTTCAGCCATCCTCTGCCTGTTTGCAGAAGCAACCACCATTAGCTCAAGGAGGCTGATAGCCCCGTGCTGTTCATTACCACACTCTTCAGCTAAACATTCCTTCTGCTTCCTCCGGAATTATCTATTTCCCGACTCCCCTATGAAAAACAAACCCAGTGCCTGCTCAAAAAAAAAAAAAAAATCCATTCATCTTTTCAGTGAATGAAGCACATGGCACCCAGAAATAGTCATTCATTTAACAACTGCTGAGTGCCTCCTATGTCTCAGAGCTGGGTGCTAGAGTCCAGCTTAGGACAGCACAAAGCTCCTGCCCCTGTGAATTAATACATAACGCAAGGTCAGGTAGATACACATGCCAGACAGGAAGCCCAAGCAGGGTGAGGACCGAGAGAGTAGCCAGGATGGAGGGCCATCGGATAGTCAGGCAAGGTGGGACGATGGGACGCTGGGACAGGATCTGAATGAACAGACGCAGACTGGGGGAAGAGAGTTCCAGTCAGACAAAACACTAGCTGCAAAGATGCTGAGGTAGCAGGAACAGCAAGTAAGCCGCTGTGGTGAAGCCATGCCCTGGAACCAGAGAGTGCAGACAGGACGTCAGAAACACAGCTGGAGCCTGGGGCCTCCTGAGAGGGCAGGGGAGCCATGCTTTAGAAACACAAGTGTAATCCCAGCACTTCGGGAGGCCAAGGTGGGCAGATCACTTGAGGCCAGGAGTTCAAGACCAGCCTGGCCAACATGGTGAAACCCCATCTCTACTAAAAATACAAAAATTAGCTCGGTGTGGTGGCAGTCACCTGTAATCCCAGCTACTCGGGAGGCTGAGGCAGGAGAATCATTTGAACCTGGGAGGTGGAGATAGCAGTGAGCGGAGATCACACCATTGCACTCCAGTTGGATGACAAGAGCAAAACTCTGTCACCAAAAAAAAAAAAAAAAGAAAGAGAAAAAAAGAAAAAGAAACACAAGCAAATGGCAGATGCGGTGTTGTTCAAAGGCCACTTTGGAATGGATGGGCAGCCTGAGAGAGGAGACCTGTCCAAAGTCCAGGCAAGAGAAGAGAGTGGCTCGAATGAGGGAGACACTGGTAGAGAAAATGAGTTGTCAGACCCAGGAAAATGACTCAGGTACAAAAGGCAGGACTTCCAATCAAAAAGGATAGACAGATGTCTGAGGCCACCATGCCTGGACTCTGAAGGAGTGTGCCCAGGGTGGGGAGTTCAGATATGGGCATGCTACAAGTGGGGGCCTGTAGAAGAGGAGGTTTCTTTCCTCACCTGCCTGAGATTCAGGGCAGAGGCTCCTCTAACAAAAGACAGAGGAACAAGAGAAAAGCATGCATGTGGATTTGATGTCAGTTTTACATGACATGGAGCTTTCAGAAATGAAGACTCAAAGAAACAGGAGAATCTGTGTGTTTTTTATGCATTCTTTATGCTAGGTTTGAGGAAGAAGTGGATAGCTTTGGACAAGTATGACTGGATAAATACTCATACCATTAGTATGAGCCAATGGCAATGAACTGGCTGGTGGAGGAGACTTAGCAAGGCCTGTGTGCTCAGAGTCCCCTCTGTGTGCTTGTGTCCTCAAACATAAGAACATCCTTTCCTCCAGGGATAGGGAAGCCATGTCTCATGTGAGGCTCTGGTGGCCTGCTTCAGGGGAAGGCCAGAGCATCTGTCCTAGGTGTTATGACCTCTTCAGGGGAGAAGGGTGGGGAAAGGTCAGAGTGACATTCCTGCTTCTGCCATTGTTTTCAAATTCCTTCAGCTTAGAATGCTCAACTGGACCTATTAGACATCCAGGTGGAAATAAGAAATATGTAAATACGGAGTTTAGGGTGGGAGTCGGGGCAAGAGACAAAATTTGGAGGCCCCCAGTGGGAGATGGGATGGAGATTGCATAAGAGTGACTGAAGATTAAGAAGAGAACTGAGAAACAGGCCCTGAGGCCCTCGACCTTCTCAGTATTTAAGGGAGATCTGGAACATAAGGAACCAATCAAGGAGTTGGAAACAGAGTGGTCAGAGAAGTCAGAAGAAATCTCATGGGGAGCCAAGCAAAGAAAATGAACCCAAGGCTGAGGAGGACCGTGAAGGAATTGCTGGATGAGGGTCCTGAGCTTTGCTGGCATCCTGGGCAATAGTGCGATGGAAACAGAGCAAGAGTGGAGAGGATTTGAGATAGGATAGAGCTCAGAAAGGAAATGCAGAAAAGTTTTTTCTGGGAATTGCAGAAACTGAAGGGAAGCAAAAAAAAACAAAAAAAAATAAAGAGAGAGAGAGACTTTCTAGCTTGTTTTGTGCCTCAGTGAAAAGGGAAAAGAGAGGGGATATTAGCACAGTCAAATTTGCCATTAGGCCGGAGGATTTGGGACCCAGCGCATCAGGGCAGTTGTTGCCATAGACAAGGAGGCACATGTATGTTCCCCGTAACCACAGGGAGCAAAAAGAGGGCTCAGTCTTAGGGTGGACAGACTCGATGGTGCAGAAATGAACAGGCCCTCTTCCAATCAACTTCATTCTCTCAGTGAAATAAGGAGTGAGGCTACTGAGTGAGGAGGGGTGAGCATGACGAAGTGGACAAGAAAACAGGTGTGAAGCAATAGAGCAGATCAGAGGTCAATGGAGGAGGGTCACCTGCCCAGCAGAGCTGGACTTACTGACCAGTTTGGAAGAGAGAGAACTAGGCACGTGCCTCTTCATGATCTCATAAGCATTTTTACCCTAAAGACAAGCAACAGGGAAAGATCTTAAGGCCAAAACATTTGAATATGCGGCAGTGAATATAAACCCTCTTTGGACACATTTCAAATAGGTGCCAGCAGAGAAAATAGAAAGAAAACAAGAACAGCAAATATTTGACATCTCAAAAGACAACCTAATCCTCTTTCCATCGTAATAGCCACCTACTTATGCTGCATTCCTCTTTCTTTTTCAGACCTTTTGCAAAAGAAGACAAAAAGTCAGGCATTCTGTTACATTATGACCAGAGCCATTCAAAGAGATTAGGGCACTAAGATTACAAGACATTACCAACATTGAAAAATTTGCATTTGCACCAAATGAATAAAAGTCATTTCATTCTGTCCTAGCCTCATTAAAAAAAAAAAAAAAAGATGGGCTTGGTTAAGAGGGAACTTCAATTGCCAAGGGAATAATAACCTCAGATTTACAGAATAAATAACATTTTAGTTCATGCTCCAATTCATAATATCAAGATCACCAATGTGTACCCTTCCTCTCTTCCCAGGAGCTTAAAGTGCTTCCACACGTGGTCTAATTTATCAGTATAATAAGGCAGGAGTGGATATTTTAAAGTCTGTTTTGCAGATGGTGAAGGCATAATGTAAAAGCATTGGTATTGTTCAAGGTCATATAATTCCTCAGCACAGCTTCAACTAGACATAAATTTCTGCTACAGTGGAATTTTGAATGAAAAACAAAAACAAAATAAAATGATTCTTTAGTTTGTAACCAACCTTTCACTAGCCCTCTACAATAGACATTTCCTTTGTGTTTCTACCTAGGTAATTATTTATATTTATAAGGTAATTTTATTTTCTTATCAATCATAGTTCTTATACACATTTAAGAACTTCCTTGAAGTGATATTCCAACGTCATGGAGAAAAATTGGTTATGATATGTTGGAAAGAATTAGGTTCCCAATTTAAAAAGCAATTATTCTCATTGACATCTTATTTGGCAGGAAGCCAGGAGATGGAGCCCTGGGCTGTGTAAATAGTCACAGTAATGACAGGCAGACACGGAGAGCTCTATGCCAGGAGGCAGCAGCACGCTGAGTCCCCAACCCAGGCTGCAACAGCCAGTGGGAGGTCAAACGAGCTTCATCTCCATGTCCCAGGCCCCTCACCCTCAAATGAAACTTGCCTTCGGATCAGGTGTGGTCAAATCCTCTGATTTTTCGAGGGAAATAGCAAGTTAGGATTATGAAATGTAATCTCCAAATGTTTTAGTGTTGTCAGTTACATCCATTCTTTTTCAGCCCTTTATGTGGACCAAACCAAGCACGTATATAGGTCCAATCTCATCAGCCCCAGTTTGCAAACTCTGATCAATTCCCAACTCTGACAGTCTTTGATTCTTGGTGGTGGTGGAGGTTTTGTTCTAAGAATCCTATGCCAGGGAAATGAGCTGTTGCCTCACCCTTGTGTGACCTGCTTAGTTCTGGGACAACACTTGAACACAGATAAAACCACGGAGTCCCAGTCATTGTCCCTACCAGTGAGGCCAAGCTGCTCATGTTACTGGCCACACTGCTGCCTGGATTCCAGTTAGCATCATGGTTCCCTCGGCTGGCTCTGCCCCTTACTCCTAGGGAGGAAAGAACCATTCTAACAAGCAGCTCCTTTCATAATAAATATACTTCCTTTCTTTGTGGATTTAGTTAGGCCCCCTGTAGCCAGGGCCAAACTATCTCCTTTTCAGTGGTTTACTACACACTTCAACTCTGTCCCAAATCCATGTCACTTCAACTACAGAAATGCAAAAGGCAGGGAACTTATGCAGGAAACAAGAGTGGCCAAAGGCAGAAGATGGCACCATGGCAACCCTAACCTGCAACCATGTTCTGCCTCATGTTGTCAGGCAGATGGCAGTAGTCAGACATTCATCTTTTCAATGTAGATTCAGAGTAGACCATCCCTCTTAGGTTCATTTCTGCCAACGGCCAGCTGGGCACGACTCCACGCACCTCTGTGGGTTCCCTGATTTTCTTGAGTTTTCCATCATGCAACCAGGGCCAGCTTCCTGGGTCCCACACTCTGTTTAAAGCTCTGCCCTCATTATCTTCAAATTCCTAATAATTTTACCTTAGAACTTATGTTTTGTCTAAGTGAAATATGATGGGAAAATAAGATGTGCCCAAGAGCAGAAGAGATATGTAAAAGAGAGGGAAACTTTTATATTTTAATATCTTTAAAAGAAAAATAAATTCTGTTTTCTCTACACTCACAGCTCTTCTGACACCAAATATGTGGGTTTCCCACACACTGCAATTCTTCAATATCAGCAGACACTAATGGGGTGTCCTATGACCTAATTTAATTCTAGCACTACCTGGAGTTAGCGCAGACCCCACAACTTCAGGGCTCAGCCCCACACGACTGCCCCCACATCAATGCCCATCCCAAATCCAGGACTCCCTTCTGACTTCTGACTGATGGGCTGCAAATCAGGGGTTCCATGACTGCCTCCTCAAGTTTACTAACTTGTCAGCTATTCTAGCTCACAGGACTCAGGAAAACAGTTTACTTCCTATTACTAGTTTATTATAAAGGATGAGACTCAGGGATAGTCAGATGGAAGAGATGTGCAGGGCAAGGGCTGGGGGAGTGGGGGCAGCGTGCTGCTTTCATGCACTCTCTGGGCACACCACCCTCCCAGCACCAGGGTGTGTTCACCAATACGGAAACTCTCTGAACCCCATTGTTTGGGGGGGGGTTTATAGCTTTTCCATAATATAGGCATGACTGATGAAAGCACTGGCCATTGGGGACGGAGCTCTATCTCAGCTGCTGCCCCTGCTGGGACGCTGGGTACAGGGCTAACAGTTCCAAGCCTCTAAGCCCAGGGTTGGTTCTGGCCACCAGCCCCCAAGTGCAGGAGCCCCCTTGTTAGTACACACTCACATAGGGCTGAAAGGAGCTTTGTAGGAGTAATGACAGAAGTTCCTCTCACACCCAGCATTCAGGGAATTCCCAGGGTTTTCGAAGCAAACCAGGAGCAGAAACCAAGTGTGTGTGTTCATACCTTCACAGCACTTGCTCCCTTCCCTCTGAACAGGAGGCCCCACCACATTTGCCTCTTTGCATAGGTCCCCGCAGTTAGGTGACTAGGCCTGCCTGCAGGAATTGCCTTGTGACTGCGGCCTACATGGGAGGAGACTGTCAGGAGGAAGACAGCTCTCCCCCGTGAACACAGACTGAAACTTTTGGCCTTGTCCACTGACAACTTTAATTTACATCATCCTAACTGCAATGTCAAGACCCTGCTCCAGGCCATTTTAAGCCCAGGCTCCCTTAGAGTTTTCTTCCATCCCACCTCAGAAGGTCCCTGTGCAAGCTCTGGTAATGGTGACACCTCTACCCTTGCCTCTCCCCCTCTCACTTGGGGTCTTCTGTCTCTGCACTGACCAGCAAAATTATACCACACAGAGAAAAAGGATGCAGGAGAGAGGGCTGGATGGGGAGCCACTGGGGGGAGGAGGAGGCTTTGTAGTTGGGTGACACTCAGCAGATGTCTGAAGCTGCCTCCTTTTTGAGCCCAAGTTCCAAGTCAACCAATGTTGACACCTCTCAGAATGAGTCAAAATAAACCTTTTTTTCCATACAAACCCCTCAGGAACCTGCTAATGACACTTTCATGTGGTTTTGAGAGGGCTATTTCAAGGAATTTGGAGTGATTAAACTTGATTTCCTCCAGAACGCCCCTGCCCTGTACTCTGTGTTCAGAGTGGCCTGAATTATTTTTATTTCCTTTGTATCTCTCATAAGTTCTGTCTGTGGAAACAAATATAAGTGGACAGCATTCGTGGGCGGAGGAGGCCTGGGGGGGCAGCTATTTGGTTGTCTCTATTTTCATTATCCATAGCCAAGACTGACTCACCATTGGTTAAAATAAATAAATAAATAAATCCAGTTCAACTATTGCAAAAAAGAAAAAGAAAAAAAAAAAAAGCAAAATCCTGGAAGTAACCCCTGTCACTACAGGCACAGCCACTGAGACCAGGAGTGCTCGTCCTGCAGTACATGGACCTACAAGCAGGCCTCATGAGAGACCCTCAGGAGTCTCAGGACCCCTAAATGTGTTTGTTCAATTTCTCGTGTATGCACACATATGCACTGTTATAGAATCAAATGTTCATTGAATATCAAAAATGTGCCAGGCACTGATCTGTGCATTTTCCACACAGAAAATAAAGTATGGCCTTAAGCCCTAGTAAATTTCAACAGACTCAGCTGGGAGGTAGAGAGAGCTGGCACAGGAAGTTGTTACCACTTGCAAAGCCAAGTTATCCTCAGGAGTATTCTGACTCCTGGAGGTGTTTCAAGAAGACTCAAATCTGCTGCCTGTGGTAGTGGGAAAGTTAGATAAGCTGTCTTAGGCTGCTTCCCCATCAGTAAAGTGGGGATATTAACACATTTGCAAGAACTGCTGTGAAAATTTAATGAGATAATATGTGCAAAGGAATAGCCATGGTCAGGACCACCAGGACCTTGACAAAAGATAGCACCTCTGCCCTCTCTGGAGCCGCTTTCCTAGTTAGACAATCCTCACTGCCTGTATTGTCCACACTCCCGAGCTTTCCAATTTCCAGCAATTCTAGCAGCACGACCCTGCAGCCCAGAGATAAGATGTGATGGAATTACCTCTGCTAGTCTGATCTTTGGTCCCAATTTGATGTATAACCAATGCAGACGGCCCTTTTATCAAGGTTAGGGATTCTATGCACACCTCTGCAGCATTCCACAGCTGCGAGAGCAGAGCATACATCTCCCTTCTCCTCTCATAGCCTAGCTTGAGTCCATTGTGCCAGCCAGCGGGGACCCTGCACTGAGCCACTCAGCAATTAGCCAGCCCCCTGCTGGTCATCCCACCTGCCTGCCCACAGGGCTGCGAAGCACTCTTGTCCTAAATACGAGGCTCTCAGTCCCTGGGCCACAGAGAACAGCAGCAGCCTCCCATGGGCAGTGTCTGGCTGGAGCTGTTCTGTGCAGCCGCACTGCATTAGTGGGAGCAAGGGTTCCTCCAGGTGGGAGGTACATGCAAATGGGGCAATGGGAAAACCGTGAGGAATGAAAGCCTGAGATCAGCCCCAGACTCATGTAAGCCGGGAGTTTCCCCTTATGCTCCATTTAAGCAGGGCTACTCACCAAGAACATGGGCAGAGCCCCTTTGTCTAAAACCCTGGTTTTAGTGTCACAATGCCTGGAAAGCTGTTGGAAATACAGAATCATGGGCCCCATCCAGCCCTCCTGAATCAGAAGCCCAGGCTGGAGGCCCAGAAATCTTTGAACAGGTCCTCTCGGGTGTGAGCATTTGAGGCTCAAGCTTGAGGTTGGCGGGCTCAGGAATCTTTCCCTTCTCACCTGCCCATGCCCTGGTCTCCCTCCAGGATCTGTCCCATTATTATCTGTTTGTCTGAGGCCTTCTGGACCTCCCCATCCTCACTACACTCAGAGAAATCAACCCTTCAGAGCTCCCCCTTCAGAGCTTCATAGACCTTTTTATACTGAATTTGTGGCCCTTTTCCCAAATGGCTTACAGCCTGCTTCAGTGTTTCCCACCAACACGTGGGGAGAACCACCAAGAGCCAGCACCTGGGAGAGCGTTCCAGGAGGTAGCTCACACAGTCCTCGCGCTCCACAGCCCCAGTGAGCACTGTCCTCTGGAGATTCATCTCACACACTAGAAACCAGAAGTTCAAAGAAGTCCGAGTGCCTGGGCAGGGCCAGCTCGCAGTATGTGGCAGAGTGAGACCCAGTCTGTCGTTCACCACCTGTGCCCCTTCAGGGCGGGAACATGTCTCCTTTCTCCCAGTATTCCCAGTGCTGCACCAAGACCTGGCACAAGGAAGCCTGTGTGTTAAATGGGATTGGATCACACCCCATATTAAACCCACAGATGATCCCAAGTTAGACCAGTACCTTCAAGTCATCAAGACTAATTCTTGGCTGGGTGCGGTGGCTCATGCCTGTAATCCCAGCACTTTTGGAGGCCGAGGTGGGCAGATCACTTGAGGTCAGGAGTCCGAGACCAGCCTGGCCAACATGGTGAAACCCCGTCTCAACTAAAATTACAAAAATTAGCCATGTGTGGTGGCACGTGCCTATAATCCTAGCTACTTGGGAGGCTCAGGCAGGAGAATTGCTTGAACCCAGGAGGCGGAGGTTGCAGTGAGCCAAAATTGTGCCACTGCACTCCAGCCTGGGTGAAACAGCAAGACTCTGTCTCAAAAAAAAAAAAAAAAGACTAATTCTTAAATTCTTAGCCACCACTGGCTGTTGCACGAGGCTCCCGTCTTCCCACACACAAGGCCTGGCCTCCTGTGATGCCCAGCATTGCCAGTGCTCTGATAAGGTGAGCCACCTAATTCTCTCCCCACCCTCTGTTTCCTTTGAACTAAACATGCATCCGCTCTGGCACGCTGTTGTGAGTACATGCACACTCTTTATCAGACACACTCGGTCCTGGGTCACATTCTGCAGCTCTAGGAATTAGAGGGTCTTCTAGCCCTCCTCTGACCTCCTGCCTCCTACACTTCCAAACTGAGCTTTCCCCCATCGCCCTTAAATGGATCATTGCTCTTTTGAGGCTATGGCTTGTCCCTAACAAAAGTGGCAACCTCTGAAGCCAGGTCCTTGGCTACATTCTTTGTACGCTCCACTTTCCCAGTTGGCATAGGGCAGATTGCATGGCTGCTCTCTGGCATGGCGACCCACATGCCAGCCTACTGGATCACAGATCATTTTTTAGGATGCTGCCATGTAACATTACTGACCATGAGTTCTACCCACTTCATTCGTTCACTCATTTACTCAATGAACATAGAGTGCTTTTCATGCATGTGATGGTTCAGTTCAAACTCCCACTGTGTAACATCTCCTCTTTGGACTTATTGTTATTAATCAGTCAATGGGGCCAAATTTATTTCACTTATGTTTACTATAAAAACTTCCTGAATCAGATCCTTAACTGGTTATCTCAGAAAAGAAAGAAAAAGAGAGAGATTATTTGAGAATGGAATGTGTAAAACCAATGTTGAAATCAATCAGTTGTAGTTACCATTTTAAATAATCCCACATAATCTAAGTATAAGTGTTGGCCAGGGT
This sequence comes from Homo sapiens, assembly GCF_000001405.40. Taxonomy (NCBI): domain Eukaryota; kingdom Metazoa; phylum Chordata; class Mammalia; order Primates; family Hominidae; genus Homo; species Homo sapiens. The sequence continues at coordinate 51,450,050 of NC_000007.14, read as the reverse complement.
TCATAAGGTCCTCTATGCACCTCTGTTGGGAGAGCAGGGGGCAGAGGGACTTATAATTCTTTTTTATTTTTATTTTTGAGATGAAGTCTCACTCACTCTGTCACCCAGGCTGGAGTACAGTGATGTGATCTTGGCTCACTGCAACCTCTGCCTCCTGGGTTCAAGCAATTCTCCTGCCTCAGCCTCCCGAATAGCTGGGATTACAGGTGCCAGCGAGCACACCTGGCTGATTTTTGTTATTTTTAGTAGAGACGGGATTTCAACATGTTGTTCAGGCTGGTTTGAACTACTGACCTCAGGCGATCCACCCGCCTCGGCCTCCCAAAGTGCTGGGATTACAGGCGTGAGTCACCGTGCCCAGCCAGATTTATGATTCTTAGTTTAGTCTGGAGGATGGCGGCCTTGCTGGTGTGAGATGCAGTGCACGGATTTCGTGATCAAGGTGACGGACACAGGCCAAGCCCTTTCCCAGGAACTCATCCCTGTTCCCAACTCAGACTTTTCTGAAGCCCCAAAGTGGAAACAGTGAGAAAATGTGCCATTCCACCCCAATTCCTCTGAACTCCTTCCACACAGTATTGTCTTCCCTCTTATAATATGCCTTACAAGGAGAGTAGGCTGCTACACAGGCTGCTGCGTTGGGCCTCTCCATTTCTTGGCACCAGGCTGAGCCCGGGAAGGTGCTCAAGGTTTGCCTCACTGTGTAGTCTCAGGAACAAGACAGTATCTTCCTCTTGACCTCCTTAGTCTTCCCACCACCACACTGTGCCGTTGTGTTTGGTTTTGAATCATCAAATATCTTCAACCTCACTTGAGCACATTCAGAATCTCTTAAATGGGGCTGGGCGCGGTGGCTCATGCCTGTAATCCCAACACTTTGGGAGGCCGAGGCGGGCAGATCACGATGTCAGGAGTTCGAGAATAGCCTGGCCAACATGGCGAAACCCCGTCTCTACTAAAAATACAAAAATTAGCCTGGTGTGGTGGCGGGCGCCTGTAATCCCAGCTACTTGGGCTGAGGCAGGAGAGTCGCTTGAACCCGGGAGGCAGAGGTTGCAGTGGGCTGAGATTGTGCCACTGCACTCCAGCCTGGGCGACAAGAGCAAGACTCTGTCTCAAAAAAAAAAAAAAAAAAAAAAAAAAAAACCTCTTAAATGGTACATTCACCATACGTATTATTTAACTTAACGGGTTATTTCCACTTTATTGCAATAAATGTCTCTGCCGATGAGTACAACCCATTGACAATGAGAAATCATTAAAAGCATTTAAGCAAAGAAATGATTACATTTGCATTCCACAAAGCTCTCTGTGGCTACAGCGTGGAGAATGGATTGGAGGAAGGTGTCAGGATGGGTGTGAGAAGGCTGATCAGATGGCGAAGGTGGGAGCTTATGATGATATAGAGTGACGTCCCTGGGATAGAATGGAAAAGTATTTAGAAAGTAGACTCTACAGGACTTGGTTTCTGATTAGAGGTGGTGGCGAGGGTCAAGGAGATGCTGGCTAGGACTTCCAGACAGAATGTGCCTTAAACCTGATCTAGAGGTGCCCTTCCTGAGTCCTGTGCCTTGCAGAACTCCGGCCTCCACTGCCTGTGTTCCCCCACCAAGGGGTGAGGAATGCACAGAACCAAGGGGGTATGAGCATTTGAAATCCAGATTCTTATTCTGTGCCACACTCTGTGTGTCTTGGATCTTGTATTTCCCTTCCCAAATGTCTCTGAGTCCATTTCCAGAGCCTGTGGGGGGCTTCTGTTCTGGTCTGTCCTCCTGAGGGTGGACGTGTTCCCTGGTGTGAGTGCCCCTATGTTGCAGGACTTTTCCTTAGTTCAGTTAAATATAGGGTTCTTTTTCCCACAGCCATGAAAATTCAGGCTCGCAGACAATTTGAATGATAAGACAGGGTTTTATTGGGTGAAAATAAAGAAAAGGGGAAAACAGGAACTCTCGCAAGGCCAGAGTCCCTGCTAGAGCACTTCCCGCCTGGCCATTCGAATCCCAGGTTCCACACAGGAAGAGGAGGGGCCAGGCTTCTCCCTGCTGCAAAGGTGGTGAACTTCCTGAGGCTCCACCTCAGTGGGCAGGCTGGTTGGAGTTTCTCCAGGGGTCTCCCTTCCACCTGGCTGTCTCATTACACTCTCTAAAGAAGTACATCTAACTGCCATTAGAATAAGGATAAGGACAAAGGCCGATCTTAACTGCTTCCTCTGACAGAGAGCTCTGTTTTGGGGAAACAGCAGTCAGATCTCCCTCAAAGGCCTATCTAAGGGCTCCCAGAAGAAGGGGCCATCGTCAGAGGCTCCAGTTGCATGACCATTGGGAGTGTGATGGCCTGAAGGCAAGAACAGACAAACTAAGTTATTAGAAAACATGTATCAAAACAAAACAAGGAATGGGGTAAGGAGAGCTCAAAAATTCCAAGGCCTTTTACCAGTTTGCATGGGGAGAGGGAGGCTAAAAGCCTGACCCGTTAAAAAAGCTTTACCCGTTTTGCCAGCCTGTTGGGCTTCTTGGTTCCCTTCCCCTGAGTCCAATCCTAAACCAACCAGTTTAAGGTTTGGGAAATTAACTCTTTCCAGTTTGGATGATGCATCTGAGGGGAGTGTCTCATAGTACGGAGACACAATTACCTATCAGTGAAGAGAGAACCATGGAGAAGAAAGGAAAAAAGAAGGCTCCTTTTAAAGGAGTCCCAGTCACATAGTGTTCTCAAAACCCAAAAAGCAGTTTGTAACCTCAAAACACTTAGCAAACCTTGCATCTGACCTGCATAGTTTAGTTCATCTATTTACATTTTAATGACCCCTGCATTTTACCCATAATCTTTAAGGCTGTTTTTATTTCTCAAAGATTAGAGTCAGGTGAACTGAAAGGTACCACAGCTTTTAACTTCCTTTAAAAAAAAAGTACTTGATCCAAGGGTTTGTCTTTCTTTAGGCCAAATTAATTAGAGCTCGTTTTACAGACATCACACACAGTACACAACAGGCAGAAGAAAACCCAGTTGCTGTGTGGGGCCCTTTAAGAGACAGGGCTAGGAAAACATGCAGATACCCAACCTGAGAGGGTTCATTCCCTAAGGCAGGATTGCTAAACAAAGCCTTGCCTCCGAGTTACAAGCCATGCCCTCAGGATAAAAAACAGGATGGAGGCTTAATTTCACAATAAAAACTTTGCAGAAAATATGAACGGTGAGAGTTGTGGGGTCTGGCCGCGTAAAAATGTCTTCTAAAAGGAAAAAAAAAATTAAAGGCTAACTGCTGACGGGATGGAGAAGAGGAAAGAAAAAAGGTTTAAAATACTGGAGGAAGAACTCTTATTCTTATACAACTGGTTCTTCCACCAGGAGAAAAGCTTAATTACTGTCTGATGGAGTAAAGCCCCTTGGCTGGGGAAGGGGAAGGCTCCAGTAGTGCAAGGCGGAAAAGCCAGCCAGCTGGTTGTGTGGGACCCTTGGGCTATGCATCCCAGCCCCAGCAGGGAGGGGAGAGCAGTCAGGGACGCATCCCAGCTCCGGCAGGGAGGGGAGAGCAGTGGCGGACGCATCCCAGCCCTGGCAGGAAGGGGAGAGCGGCGGGGAGCTGCTGCTCACCGGTCGGTCCTGAAAAAGGAAGGAAAAGGCCATGAAAAGGCCCCAGAGCGACAGGGCATGATGGGGGCATGGTTTCCCTCACCCTCAGAAGTCCGAGAATGGACAAGCTTAGAAGCAACAGTGAGAGGTTTTGAGTTCCCATTTCACTCACTGGTTCTTGAGTATCACATTGGGCATCAAAAGCGTTGCAGGACTTTTCCTTAGTTCAAGCTAAAGGCAGGGTTCTTCCCACAGCCACGGAAATTCAGACTCGCAGACGAGTTGAATGGTAACCCAGGGTTTTATTGGGTGAAAATAATGAAAAGGGGGAAGCAGGAACTCTCTCCAGGCCAGAGTCCCTGCTAGAGCGTTTCCCACCCAGCCATTCGAATCCCAGGTTCCACACAGGAAGAGGAGGGGCCAGGCTCCTCCCTGCTGCTAACGTGGTGAACTTCCCCGGGCTCCACTTCAGTGGGCAGGCTAGATGGAGTTTCTCCAGGGAACCCCTCCCACCTGACTGTTTCACCTGGGCCTTAGAGTTGCCCAAAGAATGGTTGATTTCAGGGGCTGGGGCAAGAGCTTGGATTTCCAAACTGTGTTGTTCACACAAAGGTTCACGAGTCCCCTCACCATCTGGGATGGAGCCAGGGACACTCCATCAGGGATGAAGTGAAGGGAGATGGTCCAGTCAAGGGTCAAGGCAGCTGATGAGCCAGCCTTGAGACCTTGCATGTCATCATTAAGGTGCATCTACAGAAGAGGATAGAACATGCATTTTATTTTATTTTATTTTATTTTATTTTATTTTATTTTATTTATTTAGGTGCTACAAGTGTGGTGAAGTTAAATGGATATAGTGTGTGTGGTGGTAAAGTCAGGGCTTTTGATTGTAGCCGTTAAGTAATTTTTCATCCCTCACTCCCGTTCCCATTGTTCTGAATTTCTATGGTATTCCACGCTCTATGTCCATGTGTACAGGTGGTTCAGCTCCCACTTGCCAGTGAGAACATGAGAACGTGGCTTAGTTCCCACTTGTAAGTAAAAACATGTGGTATTTGACTTTCTCTTTCTGTTATTTCACTTAAGATAATGGCCTCTAGTTCCATCATTTTCTTTAACAATTGTTTAGCCTAATTTATAAGTGTCAATATTTTGGACATATGGGTTGGGGGCCTCCCTTTGTACTCTTGCTTTGGGCCCTGCAATTATTAGGTTTTCTGGCTTAAGCAGTTGAATAATGTCAGCTGCTGAGTTGGAGCTATCTACTAAGATACAGAGACAAAAAGGAGAAGAGGGAGGTTGATTCCAAGCCTTTTCAGCTGTAATTGGATACCCTGCCATTGGAGGGATCACTGTACCGTAAGATTTTTGCTGGGCTGTGTTGCAAGGACTGCTGAGAAGTAATTTCCTGCTGCAGTATACTGGACCATAGCATCTGGCAAGTGCTGATGTATAAATGTCCTCCTCCTTCTGCAATGCCCTGGCTTCTTGTCTTCAGGGTGACTCCTATTCATTAAGACCCAGCAAGCCTCACCTTTTTCTCACCAATCTTTCCCTAATTATTCAGGCAGAGTTAACTACTTTTCTACCTAAATTCCAAACAAGCTGTTTCAACGTCTACCATAGTACTTTTCATTCCACATGGTTTTATATTCCAGCTTAGATTGGGAGCTTTTTAAAAGCAAGCACGCTTTAAGACCTTGTATCTATAACATCTAACATAGATCCTGGCATATATAACTCAACCTACACTTACTCACAGAATAAATCATTAAGATTATTTTTACTAGTATGCTAACCCAGTAGATAACATAGACAGATTCCTAGAAAGCCTTCTTATACCAACACCGATATGAGAAGAAAGAAATTCTGAATACACTTCTAGCAAGTAAATAGATTGATTTAGTAATTTAAAAACTTTTTACACAAAAAAGCTCAGGCACAAATGGCTTCATTGGTGAATTCTACCAAATATTTAAGGGATAATTTATACCAATCCTTCGCAAACTCTTCCAAAACACAGAAGAGGGGAACACTTCCCTGTCCATCATATGGGGCAATAGTACTCTGATGTCAAAGCCAGACAAAATATAACAAGAAAAGTACAGAGCAACCTCCCTTATGAATATAGAAAGTCTTCAAATTATTGTATACAAAAATCTTCAAATTACTAGCAAACTAAATCCAGCAATATATTAAAAAAAGAGATAGGCCATGTGTGATGGTTAATACTGAGTGTCAACTTGATTGGATTGAAGGATGCAAAGTATTGATCCTGGGTGTGTCTGTGGGGGTGTTGCCAAAGGAGATAAACATTTGAGTCAGTGGTCTGGGGAAAGCAGACCCACCCTTAATCTGGTGGGCACAATCTAATCAGCTGCCAGCCAATATAAAGCAGGCAGAAAAATGTGAAAAGGTGAGTCTGACCTAGCCTCCCAGCCTACATCTTTCTCCTGTGCTGGATGCTTCCTGCCCTCAAACGTTGGACTCCAAGTTCTCTAGTTTTGATACTTGGACTGGCTCTCTTTGCTCCTCAAGCTTGCAGCAGCCTAATGTGGGAACTTGTGATGATGTAAGTTAATACATGTAATAATATATACATATGTAAAAGGGAGTTTATTAAGTATAGGATATATATATATATACACACACACATATCCTATTAGTTTTGTCCCTCTAGGGAATCCTGACTAATATACCATGCCTAAATGAGATATTAAACTAAGTTTAGTCTATAGCTGCCTCCTTGTAAGTTTAGCCTAAAGGTTTCTCTGTACATAGTGGACTGTAACCTAACTGGAGGTGTAAACAGACTGTAGCCTACTCTTGTAGCAATCGCCAAGTTTCAGCCAATCGAAGGCAGCCAACTGTTCAAACCATGTTTGAACAAGGCAAATGCCAAGCTGTAACCAATGAGACTCTTTCTGTACCTCAATTCTGTTTTCTGTACATCACTTTCCTTTTTCTGTCTATAAATCCTCTCTGACCATGTGGCAGTGCTGGATCCTTTCTGAACCTATTCTGGTTGGGGGGCTGCCAATTCCAGAATCATTCTTTGCTCAATTAAACTCTATTAAATTTAACTTTCTAAAGTTTTCTTCTGACAGAGATTTATGCCAGGATGCGAAGTTTAGCATACGAAAACTAATCAATGTTATATGCCATTGGAGTAGGATAAATGACAAAAAAAACAAAACAAAGCAAAACAAAAAACACATGATCACCTCAATAGACAGTGAGAAAGCATCTGACAAAATCCAGCACCTTTTCCTAATAAAAATACTTAACAAACTAGTAATAGAACAAAATTTCCTCAACCTGATAAAGAACATCTGTGAAAAACCTACAGCTAATGTTATGCAAAATGGTGAAAGAGAATGCATTTCCTGTAAGATCAGAAAGAAGACAAGTACGTTGACTCTCACAACTTCTATTCAACACTGTCCTGGAGGTTATAGCCAGGCCAATCAGTCAAAAAAAAAAAAATGAAAATCATCTAGAGTGAGAAGAAAAGAGTAAAGCTAAAACCAGCCCAATTGTCCCATAAAACTGATGTTTATGGTTCCTTTTGAATAAACATAGAAATTGCCCCTCCCAGTATTAAAACTTGACAGAGTTACATTTATCTTATCTGAGTTCCTTTCTCAGGAAACCAGCCATGAGGCCTCCCAATTAGTATCAAGGATCTGAAACTTACAAGATTACAACACCTAGACAATGAGATACCAAACCCTTCACCCTTTATGATTGCCTAACTGACCACCTGCTTAACTCCTCTTCCTTACCCCTCCCTAATTCTTATTTTCCTGCATGAAGTTACATTTCTTCCCTGCTATATAAACCCCTGATTTTAGTTGGTCAGGGAGATGTCATTGAGACTGGACTCCCATCTCCTCAGCCGCAGCACCCAATTAAAACCTTCTTCCTTGGCAATACTCATGGTCTCAGTGGTTGGCCTTCTGTGCAGGGAGCAGCAGGACCTAGAGTGAATCCCTGGTATTTCAGTAACAAAACAGTATTTTCAGATGATATCTCCAAACTTCTATTTGTATATATAAAATTCTGTGAAATTGAAACCAAAACAATTAGACAGGTCCAGCAAAATGGCAGGATACAAGGTCAATGTAAAAATATCAAGTGTATTTCTGTATACTAGCAATAAACAATCTGAAAATGAAATTAAGAAAATAAAATAGGCTGGGTGCAGTGGCTCATGCCTGTAATCCCAGCACTTTAGGAGGCCGAGGTGGGTGGATCACCTGAGGTTGGGAGTTTGAGACAAGCCTGACCAACATGTAGAAACCCCGTCTCTACTAAAAAACACAAAATTAGCAGGATGTGGTGGTGCATGCCTGTAATCTCAGCTACTTGGGAGGTTGAGGCAGGAGAATCACTTGAACCTGGGAGGTGGAGGTTGTGGTGAGCCGAGATCAATGCCATTGCACTCCAGGCTGGGCAACAAGAGTGAAACTCCATCTCAAAAAAAAAAAAAAAAGAAAAGAAAAGAAAATGCTTATAAACATAACAAAAGAGGTGTAAGATATTCACTGAAAACTAAAAAACACTGTTTAAAGAAGATTTAAATTAATGGAAGGATATCCCAAGTTTGTGAATAGAAGACAATATTTTCAAGATAGCTATGCTTCTCAAATTAATCTACAGATTCAGTGCTCTCCAAATTAACATTTCAGCTAGGATTTCATTTGAAATTTACAAGCTGACCCAAAAATTCATATGGAAATGTGAGGGACCAAAAAATAGCCAAAACAGTCTTGAAGGATAAAATTAAATAACTCATACTTCTCAATTTCAGAACTTATTACAAAGCTATAGTAATCAAGACTGTGTGCTACTAGCATAAGGATAGGCATATAGATCAATAGAATAGAACTGAGAATCCAGAAATAAATCCTTACATTTATAGTCAGTTGATCATCATGATGCCAAGACAATTCACTGGAGGAAAGGACGCTTGTTTTAACAAATAGTGTTGAGACAACTGGATATCCATATGCAGAAGAATGAAGTTTAACTATTTTTTTACACCACACGCAAACATTAACTCTAAATAGATCATATACCAAAATGTAAGAACTTTTCTTTTTTACAATTAAAACTCCTAAAAAAATATAGAAGTAAATCTTTGTGATTTTCATCTGGACAATGGTTTCTTAGATACTACATGAAAAGCATAGCAACAAAAGAAAAATAGAGAAATGGAATATCTTAACAAAGTTAAAATTTTTTGTGCTCAAAGAACACAATTAAGAATGTGAAAAGGCTGGGAGTGGTGACTCTCACCTGTAATCCCAGCACTTTGGGAGGCTGAGGCGGGCGGATCATGAGGTCAGGAGATCAAGACCATCCTGGCCAACATGGTGAAACCCCGTTTCTACTAAAAATACAAAAATTAGCCGGGCGTGGTGGCACATGCCTGTAATCCCAGCTACTCGGGAGGCTGAGGCATAAGAATTGCTTGAACCAGGGAATCAGAGGTTGCAGTGAGCTGAGATCACACCACTGCACTCCAGCCTGTTGACAGAGTGAGACTCAAAAAAAAAAAAAAAAAATGAAAAGACAGCCCACAGACTATGAGTAAATATTTGCAAATTATACATCTGACAAAGTACACGAGTCAAGAATATATAACAAATTTTTACAACTAAATAATAAAATGACAACCTAGTTAAAAAATTGAGCAGAGGATTTGAGTGGGCATTATTACAAAGAAAATATTCAAAAGGTCACTAAGCACATGAAAAGGTTGAAAAGGTGATCATTATCATTAGTCACTTGGGAAATGCAAGTCAAAAGTACAATAAGATATTATCACATGCACTAGGATGGCTAAAAATACAAAAGACAGAAAATAACAAAGGCTGACAAAAATGTGGAGAAATCAGAACCCTGGTACATTGCTGGTGGGAATGTAAAATGGTGCAGCAACTTTGGAAAATAGTTTGGCAGTTCCTCAAAATGTTAGAGTTACAATACGACTGAGCAATTTTACTCATAGAGAAGAGAAATGAAAAAATGTCACACAGCAACTTGCACATGAACTGTCATAGTAGCATTATTCATAACAGCCACAATGGAGAAACAACTCAAATGTCCATCAACCAACGCATGCATAAACAAAATGGGATCTATTCATACAATGAAATATAATTTAATAATAAAAAAGAAGGAAGTACTGATATATGTTGCAACATGGGTGAATACTGAAAACATCATGCTAAATAATATAAAACATTATGCTAATGAAGCCAGTCATGAAAGACCACATATTTTATGATTCCGTTTATATGGAATGTCCAAAAGAGGCCAGTCTGTAGAGACAGCAAGTAGATGAGCAGCTGCCTAAGGCTGGGATGGGAATAGAGGTGCAGGCAGAATGTATATTAGTTTGCTAGGGCTGCCATAATGAAGTTTCACAAACTGAGTGGTTTAAACAACAGAAATTTATCATCCCCAAGTTCTGAAGCCTGGAAGTCTGAGACCGAGCTGTGGGCAGAATTGATTCCTTCTGAGAGCTGTGAGGGAGAATCTGTTCCACACCTCTCTCCTAGCTTCTGGTGGTTGCTGACAATCTCTGGCATTCATTGCTCCCGTCTCCGCTTTCATCTTCACACAGTCTTCTTGTATGTGTCTGTGTCGAAATTTCCCCTTTGTATAAGGTCACCAGTCATATTGGATTAGGGCCACTCTAATGACCTCATCTTAGCTAATTACAACAGCAGTGGTCCTGAATTAGTCCATTCTTACATTGCTGTAAAGAAATACCCAAGGCTGGATAATTTATAAGAAAAGAAGTTTAATAGGCTCATGGCTCTGCAGGCCATACAGGGAGCATAGGGACATCTGCTTCTGGGAAGGCCTCAGAAAGCCTCCAATCATGGCACAAGGCAAAGGGGGAACAGGCATGTCACATGATGAAAGCAGGAACAAGAAAGCGAGAGAGAGTGCCGCAAAGTTTTAAAAAACCAGGTCTCCGAGAATTCACTCACTATTCTGAGGGCAGCACTGAGGGGATGGTGCAAAATGTTCATGAGAAATCCACCCCCATGACCCAGTCACCTCTCACCAGGCCGCATCTCCAACACTGGAGATTACATTTTAACATGAGATTTGGGCAGGGCAACATCCAAACTATATCAGACCATATTTCCAAATAAGGTCACAATCTAATTTACTGGGATTTAGGATTGCCACATGTAAATTTTAGAAAGATGTAATTCAACCCATAACAGAGAGTGAAAGCTGATGTTTACGGGGTCTCACTGTGCAGCGAATGAAACGTTCTAAAATTAGATAGGTTGTACAACTCAGGATATACTAAAGACCACTGAACTGTACACTTTAAATCAGCAGTCTATGGTGTATGTTTTAAGTATCAATAAAGCAGTTAATAATTAGTTTTTTTAGTGCCCCAGGGTGCTTTTACTTCTATTGTGTGATGAACTTAGCAGGATTTTTTAAAAAAATTTTATTATTTTTAAATTTTTAACTGACAAAAATTGTTTATATTTATATTTTACAAGATGATGTTTTCCAAGAGATATACCTTGTGATACACATTTGCCTTGATTAAAAGAAAAATCAAGCTAATTACCATATGCACTAACTCACATACTTAGAATTTTGTTTTTGTGGTGAGAGCACTTAAAATGTGCTCTCTTAGTGACTTTCAAGTATGCAATACATTGTTATTAACTGCAGTCATAATGTAGTGTAATAGATCTCTTGAACTTATTCTCACTGTCTAACTGAAATTTTGTGTCCTTTGACCAACATCTCCTCAATTCTCCCTCAATTCCCTCAACTCTTGTCACCATGATTCTACTCTCTGCTTCTGTGATTGTGACTTTTTAAGACTCTATAAATAAAATTATGCAAGATCTGTCTTTCTGGCTGGCTTATTTCACTTAACATAATAGATGAATCTGTCAATTTTCACTTAACAGGTTTATCTATGTTGTGTTGCAAATGACAGGATTCTTCTTTTTAAAGGCTGAATAGTATTCCATTGTGTACATATACCACATTTTCTTTATTCATTCATCTGCTGATGGCCACTTAGGTTAATCTCATATACTGGCCATTGTGAATGATGCTGCAATGAATATGGAGATGCAGATCCCTCTCTCCTACGTACTGGTTTGATTTCCTTTGACTATATACTCAGTAGTGGGATTGCTGCATCATAAGGTAGTTCTACTTTTAGTGTTTTTCTTCTATTCCACACAGTACTGGAAGTCCTAGCCAGAGAAATTAGGCAGGAAAAAAAAAAAGAAAAAAAAAGAAAAAGAAAAAGGAAATAAAAGACATTTAAATATCCAAATTGGAAAATAAAAGAAGTTAAATTGTCTCTGTTTGCAGATGACATAATCTTATATATGGAAAACACCAAAAATTGTTAAACTAATAAGCAAATTTAGTAAAGTTATAGGATACAAATCAGCATATTACAATTAGTAGTGTTTCTATGCATTAGCAACAAACTATCCAGAAAAGAAATTTTAAAAATTCAATTTACAATAGCTGGAAAAATAATACTTAAAAATAAATTTAATCAAGGTGGTGCAAGACCTGAACACTAAACATTTTTTATAAAACAGTGTTGAAGGAAATTGAAGAGAACATAAATACATAGAAAGATATTCTGTGTTCCTGGGTTAAAATAATCAACAATTTATTTCAATTATATCAAAATCTCAATGATTTTTTTTCCGCAGAAATAGAAAAAAAAATTCAAAAATTTGTATGGAACTACGAAAGACCCTGAATAGCCAAAGCAAACTTAAGTAAATAGAAAAAATCTGGATGCATCATATTTCTGGATTTCAAAATAGACTACAAAGCTGTAATAATCAAAACAGCATGGCTCTGACCAATGGAACAGAATAGAAAAGCTAGAACTAAATCTACACATTTATGGTCAATTGATTTTTGACAAAGATGCCAAAAACCCATAACTGGGAAAGGACTGTCTCTTCCATAAATGGTATTGAGAAAACTGAATATACATCTCTGGAAGAATGGAATTCAATCTTTATCTCATGCCATATACAAAAATCAACTCAAAATGATTACAGACTTAAACATAAGACCTGAAACTCTAAAACTGTTGGAAGAAAACATAGGGGAAACGCTTTATAACATTTGTTTGGGCAATGACTTTTTTGGATATGACCCCCAAAACATGGCCATCAAAAGCAAAAACAGACAAATGGGATGTGCATCAAAATAAAAAGTTTCTGCACAGCAAAGAAAGCAATCAACAAAATGAAGAGACAACCTACAGCATGGGAGAAAATATTTGCAAATCATGTGACCCATAAGGGGCTCATATCCACAATATATAAGGAACCCAACACAATAGTAAGAAAACAAATAACCCAGTTTAAAAATTGGGCAAAGGTTCTGAATAGACATTTCTCAAAAGGATACACACAAATGGCCAATAGGTATATGAAAAAAAGCTCAACATCACTAATTATTATTATTATTAGAGATAGAGTTTTGCTCTTGTTGCCCAGGCTAGAATGCAATGGCATGATCTTGGCTCACTGCAACCTCTGCCTCCCAGGTTCAAGTGATTCTCCTGCCTCAGCCTCCCAAGTAGCTGGGATTACAGGTGTACACCACCACACCCAGTTAATTTTTGTATTATTAGTAGAGACGGGGTTTCACCATGTTGGCGAGACTGGTCTCAAACTCCTGACCTCAGGTGATCCACCTGCCTCAGCCTCCCAAAGTGCTGAGATTACAGGCATGAGCCACTACACCCGGCCCAACATCACTAATTATTAGGGAAATGCAAATCAAAACCACGGTGAGACATCACTGCACACCTGTTAAAATGGTTGTTATCAAGAGACAAAAGATAAGTGTTGGAGAGGATGTGGAGAAAAGCAAAAACTTTTACATTTCTACACTGCTGGTAGAAATGTAAATCAGCACAGCCATTAGAGAAAACATTATTATGGAGGTTCCTCAAACACTAGAAAGGGTTTTAAAGATTGTGAAGTTCACCTTCAATGAAGAATTTGACATTTATTGGAAATTTATAGCTCTTTCCTTGTTTTAAAAACACTCCTAAACATCAAGTTTTGAGATATACTAAACATGAAACTTGGATCTTGGAATGAGTAATTTCTCCTTCCAAAATGAGCTTTTGTAGTTATGATTTCTAAGAATTCACAATACTGTCTTAATTCCAAGAATATGCTATGAGCCAGAACAGAATATCAAAGCTATTCATACAAGTGGTTTAAACATAGGGATATAAACTCTGCATCAAAGGAATATGACTTAAAAATTCTGAATTGAACATACTGTTGTTAACTTTAGACCATATATAGAAGAGTGAAATGCTTATTAAAAATGTTTTTTTTTCAAGCAGCACAAAAATATGCTCCCTCCTTAGCCCTGACACTCACATTTTAACCTCTCATATCTGTGGATTCCACTGCCTGCTGACACATGGGTTTGAAGACACTGTCCCAGGGTGTTAGAGACTGGAATGAGAGGTGAGTGATGTCCCAAAGGGAAAAGGGCCAGGGATGAGAGGTCTGCAAGGAATTCGCCTGGTGAGAAACTGCTTCTCCAGTGGTCTTTTGTACCCTCCACGTTAGCTCACTTCGCTGGTCATGACTGAAGCTGGTTAGTGTGCATGACTCCTCCTTTTATGTGAGTTCAAATGTTTGCTGAGGGCTCACTATGATGGAATCTATATGGGGTATGGAGGTGAAAATGGAAAGGAAGGGCAAGAAATTAAAAACACTTACTCTGGTTAATTTTGGTTCTTTTCTCATTTAACTCTTTATAATTATTTCCTTATCCTTCCCAGTTTACAGGTGAGGATGCAGAAGCTCAGAGAATTTAAGTACCTTGCTTGAGGTCAAACAAATTCTAGTGGGTCCAGGGTTTGAATTCTGTATGTTTGAAATCAAAGCTGAAACTAGTAGGGGTGGGAAGAGAGAGAGGGGAGAGAGGAGAGAGGAGAGAGGAGAGAGAGGAGAGAGAGAGAGAGAGAGAGATCTGTAATTAAGAGAGGAAGATGATCAAGAGCCAGTAAAGTTTGAGAAACCTTGTGCGTTTCAGGAGAATGTTGGTCAATATTGTCCAGGAAGACCAGCAGTTGGAAGACAATCTTGGCTCATCAAAGACCTTTGAAAGTGCAATTGTCAGGATTTCCGTCAAGGGGTTAGATGGAAGTCAGATAGCGAAAAATTAAAGAATGGACATATAGAAATAAGTAGGCAGTAGGGGTTACTTCCTAACACTTTTTTTTCTTCACTGTAGCAATGGAGAAAATGAGTTAGAAACTCGGGAGGAAAATGAGGACCTGAGAACGAAAAAAGTGCTGACAAATTTCTATGGCATGAGAAAAGAGGCAATAGGAAGGGAAAAGAGGAGAAAGGTACAAGTAGAGGTGCCCTCCACTACTCAGAGTGGGTTAATGGGCAGAATCGTCCCCCAGCCCAATGGCTCCCTCCCCAGAGCTCCACCCTTCAGGAGGAGCTTGCAGTGCAGCCCAGGAAAGAAAGGGGAGAGTGAGGGGGCATGGTCATCCCTCCCGGCCAGGTCCTGAAGGGACACAGCATTCTGCTCATTGACGACTGGATACAGGGCTCCCTGACGGCCCCTGGGTGCAAGGACAGGCCGAATGTAGCCTGCCTCTGTGCCCAGGAAGAGGAGGCGGGCTTGGTGGGCTTCGCCAAGGCAGAAATGCGGAGAGACTGGGACACAGGGGAGCAGAGGAGCAGCAATAGTGGCGAGAGTGGAGGGTGGTGCCAACAGGAGGCTGTGATTCCAGGAGAGGGGCTGGACAGGGTCAAATGTGGAAGCAAAGGTATTGGGCTGATGAGGAGGAGTTGGGCTGATAAGGAGGGCCACTTCTAAGACTGAAGAAAAGGGAGAGGAGCTACAGGTGTCAAGAAACTTTAAGCAGGAAAGAAAGGAATTTGGGCATTTATGACAAATGACTCCCACAAATGAGATCAATTCATGAGCGTGTTAGTAGTAGAATGTTTCATACATGAGAAATACTACATTAAAAGGAGGAAATGGAGAAGAGTACATTTAAGGATGGTAACCTAGCGGGAAACACAGTATGAGAATGGGAGTTGATGTCAAGTGTCCTCCATTCCCGTCTCAGCACTTCTGCTATGTGGTTTTAGGAAAGCTGTTCTCCTCTAAGCCTGAGTTTTCCCATCTGTGAAGGGGGACAATGGCCAGTGTCACACACTGTGCTGTGTCTGGAGCCAGGGAGGTCATGGGGCCAATGGCAGGTGGAGTGGCCTCAGGTAGGTTACTGAGCCTCCTTGGCCTTAGCGTCTCCTTCTGCTCACAGGGGTCAGTTCACCTCCCTGCTAAGCGGGGGCATCAGGGCAACGTTAGGTGAGGTGACACCTGCAGTGAGAATCAGCACTCAGCTCACATCAGATCCCTTTCCTAGGAGAGAACAGTAAACCCAACCAGCTTTTCTGAGGAATGAACACTGTGCTGCCATTGAAATAAGGGTGAGAGATATTTTCTACCACATTTTACTTTAGTCAAAGTGAAGGCGTGCACGTGCGCACACACACACACTTACAAAGATTTTTCTTTCTTTCTTTTTTTTTTTTTGAGATGGAGTTTCACTCTTGTTGCCCAGGCTGGAGTGCAATGGCGCGATCTCGGCTCACTGCAACCTCCGCCTTCTGGGTTCAAGTGATTCTCCTGTCTCAGCCTCCCGAGTAGCTGGTATTACAGGCATGTGCCACACGCCCAGCTAATTTTGTATTTTTGGTAGAGACGGGGTTTTGCCCTGTTGGTCAAACTGGTCTCAAACTTCTGACCTCAGGTGATCCACCCACCTCAGCCTCCCAAAGTGCTGGGATTACAGGCATGAGCCACCCATGCCCAGCCTACAATATTTTACTTTAGCCAAAGTGAACACACATACACACACATTTACAAAGATTTCTGATCTCAACCTGATATATTCATTTATCTACCCTGGAATTCTTTTGTTCATTGTCTTCATGAGTGAACTGTCTGACTTGAAAGTGTTTGGTGAAGGCAAATGGGTCCTTTAACCACTCTGTTCATTTAAATTATTATTTAAGGACTAGACAGGTGTTTCATCATGGGAACTCTTTAGTATGTGCTTCTTGTCAGCCTCAGGAATCAAAGTGATTTTAGCATTATGGAATATGTTAAAGTAAACTTAATTCTTGTTGCAAATCATGAACTTTTTATATATCAGTGAAAAGGGACTTACGTGCTGAGATATCCAGTGTATCACCCAAGACCCACCTGTATAACTTTGGATGAGTAAGGTAATTTTAATGGCCTTCTATTCCAGTGGGCTTCCTCTCTAAAGAGAGGCTGAGCAAGAACACTCCAACAAGTAACACTTCATCATATGATGCATTTTGCAAACAAGGAAAAAAAATATATCTATATATAGTGGTTTTCAAAAAAAAGGAGAAAAATAAATAACAAGTGGACTGACTTAAAATCAAAGTTGATTAGAAGAGTCCTAGGTTATTGTTATCTGTTTATTTCTTTAAAATATTGACCATATATTTAAAAAACTAATTGAAGAGTTCATTTAATTCAGTATTTCTTCAACTTTCTGTCATTCATATATTCCCTTCATGTTTCTGCCATATCTGAATATTGCTTATGCTAATTTTTGTTGATATTCTTTAAATAGATGCACACTTTTTACTTAAATTATTTATTTGATAAGAAAGATTTTAGCACTACTATGAATGTGAATCCATCATTGCTTGTCATAAATAAACAATCTGTGAGGTGTGAACCTACATGTTTCAATGACCAAGTGTTGTTGACCATTCTCCTCAGTTATGGTTGTTGCCTTGGAGTCAGGAGCCCGAGGTGGCTCTCTGTGCCCTGGAGAGGGATGGCTGGAGAGGTGGGGACACCCGTTCCCACTAAACCAAGTCTTTCTCTTTGGCATCATCAAAGATCAAGCCGAGGAACAAGGGGCCTGGTGAATCCCATCACAAGAAAGACACCAGCCTGCCTGTGCTCACCAGGAGAGTTGATTTAACTTGCTGTCCCAGGGTGCACATCATGGGTGAAGCTTGGAGCATCTCCATATGGGGGACGCCAGGGGGCCTTTTGTAAGGACTGGCTTGTGTGCGTGGCTTTAGGTGGGCCTTGCAATGTGGGAAATGCTTAGGTAGGTTGGGCAAGTTGGGGAATGCATTAACTGCAGGAATGGTCCCTTTGTAGCCAGAAGAATCTTGGCTATGGGCAGTAGCTGTGGTATGGGGACCAAGATCTCACCTAATGACCATATGTGTCACAGGGCCCATCACTGGCTTCTCAGAATTAACTTGTTAGGTATTTTATTTGATGTATGTCTAAGCATCTCCTAAAATCATCTTTTTATTCCTCAGTTATGGCATATTCCACATGTGGTGCACCTCCCAGTTTTCAAAGCATGGATCTGTTCTAACATCGGCTGACACATACATTTTCCTCCTTAACATTCCCCAAGTGCAGTTGTTTGCCTTTGCCTTAAACATTTCAGTGAAAGGAAATGCAGTGCTGGAAAAAGCCGTCACCACGCTGCTGAAGGTCTCCCAGCCCTGGAAGCCTTTTCAAGCGGTGCTTCTAGCTCTTTGCCTCCTGCAGTTTTTGTTCTTGTTCTTCTAGTTCTCTCCTCTGCAGTTATGCCGGGGGTTACTGACATGACCGTTTCTCGGCTCCCAGGACGTTACACACTTTATTAAAAAATATGAGTGATCACGAGGTCAAGAGATTGAGACCATCCTGGCCAACATGGTGAAATCCCATCTCTACTAAAAATACAAAAATTAGCTGAGCATGGTGGCGTGCACCTGTAGTCCCAGCTACTTGGGAGGCTGAGGCAGGAGAATTGCTTGAACCTGGGAGGCGGAGGTGGCAGTGAGTCGAGATTGCACCACTGCACTCCATCCTGGTGACAGAGCGAGACTCCATCTCAAATATATATATATATATATGTAGTGAGTTGGCCCTTAGAACCGCCCCCATCCCCCAGCTTCTCCCTGGCTGCTCTGAATGATTCCTCAATGTTTCTATGTAGATCCTGTCACTGTTGCCTCCCCAGTCTACATGCAAGTGTTGCGCCCTCTTGGCATCCTGTGTGCACTCAAATCAGAGAGACAGGATGGACAGGTAGTGAGTGAACCACCATCTCACGGTTACTTTGTGAAGTTTCAGGGAAGGTCTTGTCTTTCAGCCATGCTAAATATTGCCAGTATTCAGGAGTTGATTCTGTAATTGGCAGCTGTTGTTAGCCCTCAGATGTGTGTCACCCACAGTGTGTTCTGCTCCCCCAGCTGCAGCTGACCAAACACACCTGGAAGCTCTCATGCATCAATCAGCCTCCTTGGTGCATTTCTCTAGTATCCAACTCATTTACCTGTTGAGAAATTATATCCCTAAAAATCAGCACTCTTGGTTGTTTGAATCTTTGTTAAAAAAAAGTGTGCTTTTGTGAATATGGAATCCAAAATTAATACAGATGCTTGTCGACTTACCCTGGGGTTACGTCTAGATAAATTCATTTTCACTGAAAATATTGCAAATTGAAAGTATATTTTTGGACTTACAATATTTTCAACTTACGATGGGTTTACCTGAACCCCATTCTAAGTTAAGAGGCGTACAGAATGTTTATGTTTTTGTACCATCCTGAAGTAAAAAAATCTTAAGTCCAACCGTCCTAAACTGGGGACCATCTATTATGTAATCGTAAAGCTGGTGGATCCCAGTAAAGGGCTCCCAGCGATGCGATGGGTTACTACTGCCACCTGCTGGTAGAACATTTCTTTGTCGATGCAAAAATAATTCTGGAGTTAGTGGTAACATTCTGCGTCTTGAGGGGAGCTTGGATTGCGCATGCAAATACATTTGTCAGCTTACAGATACAATTCTTCCTAGAAACCAAGATGCCACCAACAATGAAGACGGCGCCTATTTGGGGATTGACTTGTTGGTTAATATATGAGAATTTCCTTGAGGTGAGGTCTCCAGTCATGTAGTTTCTGGCTCCCTTTGGATCAGCTTTAGATAGGAACAAAACAAATGTACAATAAAAAGAATCAGAGCAGTAGTTGCATCTTGGGTGAGGGTCAGGAATTTATCTGAAGGGATCCTGAGAGAGTTTTCTTGGGGTGACAGTAATGTCTTTATCATAACCAGGCTTGGGTAGCAGGGTGTGAGCATTTATTGAAATCCACTTATTTAATGGCTTACTTAAGATTTGTGCACTTCATTGTATGTGAACATTATCCCCCAAATTAAAAAAAAAAAAAAAACCATAAACAAACACTGAAGTCAAGTTAATGACATGTGGAAATAAATTGGTGTTTGTATCTTTGAAATGCATCAAAAATAATCGGATGGGTTGATGAAGCGGTGGAGGAATGATAGATGGGGGGGTAATTAATAAAGTATAGTGAAACCTTAATTGTACAATTGAGATGGGGAATATATGAAAGTTCACTGGGAAATGCTTTATACTTTTCTACATGTTTGAACAGTTTCATAATAAAATATGAGGAAACAAATAATTTCTTATCAAATGATGGGCACTTAGAACTAGCTTATATCATTAGTTTTATAATCACTCTCTGAGATAAATAGCAATATTGTTTTAAAATATATTAGGAAATGAGTTTCAGAATTTTTTTCTGTTTTTGAGATGGAGTTTCACTCTTGTTGCCCAAGCCGGAGTGCAGTGGCGTGATCTTGGCTCACTGCAATCTCTGCCTCCTGGGTTCAAGCGATTCTCCTGCCTCAGCCTCCTGACTAGCTGGGATTACAGGCGCCCGCCACCACGACTGGCTAATTTTTTTGTATTTTTAGTAGAGATGGGGTTTCTCCATGTTGGGCAGGCTGGTCTCGAACTCCTGACCTCAGGTGATCCACCTGCCTCAGTCTCCCAAAGTGCTGGGATTACAGGTGTGAGCCACCGCGCCTGGCAGAGTTTCAGAATATTTAAGGAAGTAGATTGAGCTTATACAGTTAATAGGCAGTAGAATTCACATTCACACCCATATTATCTAGGTCCAAGTTTAATGGTCTCTCTGTAAATGCCTTGCTTTTTACAAATTAAAAAACAAAGCATCTTTTGAGAATTAAGGAGAGGGTGGTGGGGCAAATTTGTCCTACCAATTGAAAAAATCAGCCTTAAGTTGCTGATGCTGAGTCAGGAGTACAGTTTGCCTTCAGAAAGAACAGCTTATCATTGAACAAGGCACTAGCATTTGAGAACTTCCAGAACATCCCTAGATTTGCCCCGTATCCGCAGCCTCCACCTCATTTCAGTATAGGAACAAGTCGCCCCTGGCACTTGATTTTATCTCCAACTTGTTTCAATATATGGAACTGCACTAATTCTCAATGTTAAGAAATTTAATATTAGTTTTAAATCCTATAGAGACCAGAAGCATATTCTTACTGCTTTCCAGACACTGCTATGCAGTCTGTCAAAATGTATCACCATGTGTTTTGATGTTATAAAATGATGACATCAAAAATAATGGCCTAAGAGGTAAGTGACCCACGTTTCTGTTCAAGTTACAAAATTGTTGGCTGAAATTGCGTGTGCATCATGCAAAGTGACTTTGCCTTGCTTGCATCCGCAAAAGGAAAGGGTGCCTCGGTGATCTGTCTCATGTCTGATTTGTCCTCTACTTCACAAGCATCATTCAATGGGCCCACGCTCTCTGGATCCAGCTGGGGTAGTTGTCACTGCGATAGGCCCTGTCGTAGCACTGGTACCTCTCTCCCCTCTGATACCATGTGGTACCAGAAAGATCTTTTGTTTCCTGGATCACCCTGGTGTAGGCCAATGGAGTGGTGGCATCAGGTCAGAACGTCCGGATGCTGCCTCCACCCATTTCTGTCCATCCTGCATTTACACCTTCCTCCCCATGGAGTAGTTTCCAACACCTGGGCCCCAAAGATGCTTCTTCCTACAATTTCCTTCACTACCATGGGATACAGGAGACATTTCTGTAGCCTGCAAGTGTCTCTAGCCACTGGGTGTCACTGCTGACCCACAGAAATCCTGGAAAAGCAGCTTCAACATGGAAAATATCATGGTTATGTTTTCAAAAGTGTTTTGCTCAGAAATAATCACTTGTTCAACAAAAATATCTTTTCCAAAACACCAGGATGGAAAGTCTGAGGGGGTGAAGAAGTTCTGGTGGACTTGTGTGCATCAGTGGCTGATGGCTGCCCCCAGGCTGTGGATCTTCATAAGGATGCTGTTAATCAGACATGACTTTAAAAAAGATTAGTATGCTTTTTATTTGAGTAGGTAAACATATTGAGAACTGAAGTGATTTTTCACCCTTAGTAAACATTGTACTGGACCTGCTTAACTCTGAAAGCTAAAAAATAATGAGCTTAAGTAATGAAAAGTAAAAGAAAATTATTCCAAATGATATGTACTAATAATCTTTAAATAATGAATTACTTAAATTATTCATTATCTGTTTTCTGTAACCTGCTGTGAACAGCATAGCCCCATTCCAGGTGGTAATTGTCCATATAGTTCATGATGCCTGGGGTGAGTTAACCCAAAGGAAATGGGAGAGAGGATGGAACTGATGTTTCAGAAATGGCAACATTCTTAAAGAATCCACTTAACTAAAGATTAGAATGCGCACAGATCCAAATTGAATATTCACATTCTTAGATGCATATTTTATCTCTTTGGTTCCATTGTGTTCACTTTACACCATATTTTCCTGAAATAATATATGAGAAAATACCCACATTTATTAAAAATAAAAGAACGTCTTGCTTATACAGCATAAATTCTGAAAATCTGATCAAAAGTCAATGCATTTGCTGTCTAGACTTGAATGTGGACAATATTAGCAGAAGTGTAAAAAGAATACTCAACCTGAAGAACAAAGCGTTTAAAAGAAGATACAGAGGATTATGCAGAACCCAGAGGAAAGAAAACCCTCTTGCCTTATTATTCTCATTCTATTATTTTCAGATAAGGAAAAAAAGACTGTAAATCAATAAATCTGTAATGAATACATGCACAGAGGCAGAAGGCATCCATGAGTTTGCACAGCATCCTCTCACGAGGGCCCAGAGAAGGCATCCTCCCAGGTCTCAGGGTCAGAATCAGCCACAGTTTTCATTTTGTAATTCCTGGAATCCTATAGCTGATTGCTTCCCTTTTTGCACCAAACAAAAAAAAAAAAACAGATATTTTCTGGAAGACGAGAACCAAGCATTTGTGGCCCACTCACAGAAACAGCCCCTGTTAAGCATTCAATTTTTTTTTTTTTTTTGAGACGGAGTCTCGCTTTGTTGCCCAGGCTGGAGTGCAGTGGCGCAATCTCCGCTCACTGCAAGCTCCACCTCCTGTTTTCACGCCATTCTCCTGCCTCAGCCTCCCGAGTAGCTGGGACTACAGGCACCCACTACCACACCCGGCTAATTTTTGTATTTTTAGTAGAGACGGGGTTTCACCATGTTGACCAGGCTGGTCTTGAACTCCTGACCTAAGGTGATCCACCTGCCTCGGTCTCCCAAAGTGCTGGGATTACAGGCATGAGCTACTGTGCCCGGCCTAAGCATTCAATTCTATTGTCTTGCTCTCCTTTTTTTAATCCCACTTTTACTCCTATTTTTATTTTATCTTAGAAAATAAGTTCTTGGAAACTGTGCCGCCTAATGACTATATGTGTTAATTTATACACCTCACCTCAATTCTTTTCTGAACTAAGGTGAAAGGTGAGATATATAAATAAGAACATAAAAGTAAAAGAGTAAAGATGCAAATTCAGTCCGTAGTCAGTGAGTACAACACAGTTGAAAGGCGCTGAAAGCGTTCTGAAACGCTTCCATCTTTCCTGCAAGAGCAAAGTGGCAGCTTTTGCAGGGTGCCTATGGGCTGTTTCTTCTGTAGCTCAGGCGAGGAAGCTCTTTGGAGAGAACAGAGCAAAGGGTGTGGAGGTCTGTTTGTATGATGGGGACAATGTTCCCTCTGACTGGGTGATACCATGTCTTGCCCTGAAGCAGGGGGAGACGAATGGCATCTTCCATCCAAATGGCACAGAGCGAGCGGACTGCGAACTCACTGTGTGAGAATTGGCGGAGCGACCACGTGAGGACGTGCAGCTGGGGCAGTGTGGCCAGTGACTTCAGTTGCCCTTCCGTCAGGCCACCTTGAGAGTGCTTTGGTAGAACTTAGACCTGTCCTGAGGAAGCCTGTGGGTAGTTTTGATGATACTGTCACTTTGCACACTGTAACATGCAAAACTCGCAGCACGCCCTGGGAAGCAGGCAGGCATGGAGAGCCTAAGTAACGGGAAGGAGAGCAACCGGCTGCACCGGGGTGGAGGTTGTTTAGGAGACAGGCTGGCAGCCATCAGGCACTTTGCCCTTTATTTCTGTCAGATGCTGCTGAAAAGAAGGCAAGGGGTCAACGTTGAGCGTGGATGCAGAAAAGAGCCCAGGGATCAGGCTGAGCCCAGAATGCTGGAACCGTAACAGAATAGGAAACAGCATGTACACAACAAAGTCCCAAACCATCTCCATATGATGATCCTGCTATTACAGGAGCAAAACTCTTGTTAAATCAGGAAGAGGGCAGGGTGTGGTGGCTCCCGCCTGTAATCTTAGCACTGTGGGAGGCCAAGGCAGGCAGATCACCTGAAGTCAGGAGTTTGAGACCAGCCTGGCCAACACGGTGAAACTCCATCTCTACCAAAAAAAAAAATGCCAAAAAATTAGCTGGGTATGGTCGTGTGTGCCTGTAATACCAGCTACTCGGGAGGCTGAGGCAAGAGAATCGCTTGAACCCAGGAGGTGGAGATTGTGCCATTGCACTCCAGCCTGGGTGACAGAGTGAGACCTTTTCTCAAAAAAAAAAAAGAAAAAAAATCAGAAAGAGACATCAGGTAAATTCAGAGAGGTTTTGTAAGCCCGTTGCAAGATAAATTCAAAAAAAAAAAAAGAAAGAAAGAAAAAAAAAAACAACACTCCAGCTACCCCAAAGGGTAAAGGAGTAGACATCAAGTGACTGCACCAAGAACTTGGGACAGGACTGAGGCTTGGCATGTCTCTATGTGTCATTCCTCACTGGCTGCCTTGGCCTCCCAAAGTGCAAGGATTACAGGCATGAGTTGCCCTGCCCAGCCAATATATTATATTCTTGAAAAAATGTAAAGAGAGCTAGTGTTATGTGTTCTTACCACAAAAATAATAACTGTGTTAGATGATGCATTTAATTAGCTGGATTTGGGTGGGCACAGTGGCTCATGCCTGTAATCCCAGCACTTTGGGAGGCTGAGGCAGGCGAATCACCTGAGGTCAGGAGTTTGAGACCAGCCTGGCCAACGTGATGAAACCCGTCTCCACTAAAAATACCAAAATTAGCTGGGCATAGTGGTGCATGTCTGTAATCCCAGCTACTCAGGAGGCTGAGGCACAAGAATTGCTTGAATCCAGGAGGCGGAGGTTGCAGTGAGCCAAGATCAGGCCATTGCACTCCAGCCTGGGCAACAGAGCTACACTCTTTCTCAAAATTCATAATAATCATAATCATAAGCTAGATATACCCATTTCACAATATATGTGTACTCCAAAACAATATTGTACATAATAAAAATGTACAATGTCATCTGTCAATTAAAAATTGTCATTTAAAAATAAATATTTTTGGCTGGGCATGGTGGCTCACACCTGTAATCCCAGCACTTTGGGAGGCCGAGGCGGGCGGATCACAAGGTCAGGAGATCGAGACCATCCTGGCGAACACAGTGAAACCCTGTCTCTACTAAAAATACAAAAAAAATTAGCTGGTTGTGGTGGCGGGCGCCTGTAGTCCCAGCCACTCAGGAGGCTGAGGCAGGAGAATGGCGTGAACCCGGGAGGCGGAGCTTGCAGTGAGCTGAGATCGCGCTACTGCACTCCAGCCTGGGCGACAGAGCAAGAGTCCATCTCAAAAAAACTGAAAAATTAAAACATAAATAAATATTTTTACCTGTCAATTAAAAATAAATAAATATATGTCAATTAAAATAAGCATTTATCTGTCAATTAAAATAAAAAAATATTTTCACCAACCTGATGCTAAAAAGAAAAAAATAAGTCAATAAATAAATAAAACTTTTCTAGATAAGCTGCACACCAGCACTCTTAGAAACATCTTTGATACATGTGTCCTAACAGAATGTATTACAATAGCTAAGAGTAGTTAATATCCCTTCCCTGAATTCACACATTCTGAATTACTTGCACAACTTACCAAGTTAGACACGTGTTTAAGATATGTGTTTTAAGTCTACTAGATGGAGTTTGAGTGATGAACACTTCTATTTACTGAAATAAAACTGTTGTAAATCAAGCATATAACTCATACCCTTAGAAACAGTCCTGGTAAGTGTGTCTTAAAAGAATGTATTAAATGAACTTAAGAATGGTGAACGCTTCTAATCAATGAAAAAAATTATTTTGAGTCATGCAGGCAAGGACTTGTGTTAGAAACTTATTTTGTACATGTGTCATACCACAGTAGTATTAAGTGCCTCAAACACATCTTTAAGCTGAAATTACACAGTTCTTAATCATGTGCACAACCAGCACTCCTAGAAGAAAGTTTACATGTGTCATAATGGAATGTAATAGATTGAGTTTTGAGTGTTGAGCGCTTCTTTTCAGTGACCCTGTTGTTCTGAATCACTACACAGCTAGAAACTTAGAAACATCTTTTGTATACTTATCTTAAAAGAGTATTAGATAGACATAAAAGTGAACACTTCCATAAAATAAAAATATTCTCAATTGAATACAACTAACACTCTTAGAGATATATTTTATACATTTGTCATAAGAGCATATTACGATATAAAAATGGTAAATATTCCCATTCACTGAAGCAACGCTGTTCTCAATCATACATGCAACACTCCTAGTAAAGTCCTTTACATATGAGTGTTACTAAGTGTTTTATGTGGAGTTAAGAGTGATTAACACATTCATTGAAATAACACTTTCAGAATCACATGTGCAACTAGAACTCACGAGAGTACTTTTCATATATGTGATTTAACATATATAATAAATTTTAAGATTTAAGAGTGGTGAATACATTGAAATCAAAGTGTGCTGAATCACTTGTGCAACTCGCATTCTTAGAAATATGGTTTGTGGATATGCCTTAACAGAGCACATTTATACAGAATTGATGAGCATTTCATTCCCTGAAATAACAGTGTCCTGAATCAGTCATGCAACTAGCAGTCTTAGAAATGTATTTTGCACATGTGCCTAGCAGAGTATATTAGATGACATAAAAGTGGAGAGACCTTCCATTCACACAAAATAACATTGTCCTGAATAATATATAAAATAGAATTCTTAGAAACATCTCATGTCTTCACAGAGTGTATTAAATACAGTTGAGTGATGAAAACATCTATCCATTGAATTAACATTGTTCTTAATCATTTACACAAGTAGTACTCTTACAAATAGCTTTTACACGTGAATCTTAATAGAGTGTGTTAGATGGAGTCAACAGAGTTGAATATGTTCATTCATTGGATTGATACTGTTCTGAACCATGCACACAATGAGTACTCCCAGAAATGCCTTTATACATGTGTCTGCCAGGATGTATTAGAAAGAGATGAGCAGCAAACTAAACCATTCACTGAAATGACACTTTCATCTATCATGCATAAATTAGCAATCTTAGAAACATCTTTCATACATGGGTCTTAATGGGGAATTTCAGATGGAGTTAAGAGTGGTGAACACTTTCATTCACTCAAAATTGTTCTGATTCATGCATCCAATTAACAATTATAGAAACATCTTTTATACATGTGTTTTGGCAAGGTATAAAAATGAAGTTAAGAGTGGTAATAACAATTCTCAAACACCACACAAATAGCTCCTTTACAAACATATTTTATACATGTGTCTCACTACAGTGTATTAAATGGAGAATGGAGTTGAGCAGTGAACACTTTCATTGAAATAATACTGGAGCACATGTGAAGCTAGCACTCTTATAAAGATCTTCTTTATATGTGCTCTATGAAAGTGTATTACATGGGCATAAAAGTGGTGAGCGCCTCCATTAACTGAAATACTGATTGGAGTAGCAAGCACAACTATCAATTGTAGAAACATTTTTACACACTTGTCTTAAAGGAGTATGCACATATTAGGTGAAGTTAAGAATAAAGAACTTTCATTAACTGAAATAATACTTTTTTGAGTCACATACATGAACTCTTGGAAACGTCTTTTATACATGTGACCTAAGAGATTTTATAAATGATGTTATGAGTGGTGAACTGCTCCATTCACTGAAATTACACTATTCTGAATCAACTGTGCAACTTGCATTCTGAGAATATCATTTATACTTATGTTTGAACAAAGTATACAAATGGAGTTAAAAATGATGAAATAGTAAGAAAACAAAAACCTGTCTGAATCATGGAAAGAACCAGCACTCCTAGAAACACCTTTTATATATGTGCATTAACAGAGTGTTGGCCATTGAAGGGCTAAACTCTGTTCACTGAAATAATGATGTTCTGAATCACATGTTCAACTTCCATCCTAAAAAACATCTTTTGTAGGTATCTTCTCAGAGTGCATTAAGTGAAGTTAAGAGGGCTGAAAACTTTCGTTCACTGAAATAAGATTGTTTTGAATCACATGCACAGCTACCACTCCTAGAAACTTTTTTCGGCCAGGGATGGTGGCTCACTCCTGTAATTCCAACACTTTGGGAGGCTGATGTGGGAGGATCGCTTGAGCCCAGGAGTTCGAGACCAGCTGGACAATATAGTGAGATCCGGTCTCTATGAAAAATAAATAAATAATATAAAGAAACTTTTTTATACATGTTGATTAATTAAATGTAATAAATATTGAATTAAAAATATTGAACACTTCCATTTGCTGAAATACTGTTGTGAATTGAGCTTGCAAAAAACACTCTTACAAACATATTTCATACATGGATCTTAACAGAGTGTATTAGAATTGTGGGTAAACACTCCATTTACTGAAATAACACTGTTCTGAAAGATACACTCAACCAGCACTTTTTAGAAACATCTTTTATTATATAGTGTTAAGAGTGTTGAACACACCCAGTGACTGAAATAACACTATTCTCAATCACCTGTCCAACTTACATTCTTAGAAATAGCTTCAATACATTGTTTTAAGAGTGTTTTAGATGAAGTTAAGAGTAGTGCACCCTTCCATTTACTAAAATAATACTATTTTCAGTTATAGTTGCAACTGGTACTATTAGAACAGTTTTTACATGTGTCTTAACAAGGTGTGTTAGATGGAGTGATGAGTGGTAAACATTTCCATTCACTGTTGTGAATCACGTAAACAAGTACCCATCTGAGAAACAACTGTCATAGAAGTGTCTTAGACAAAGGCACCAAGAAGACACAATGGGTAAAGTTTAGTCTCTTTCATATCTAGTGTTGGGAAAACTGGATATCCACATGCAAAAGGATGAAAATGGACCCTTATCTTACACCAAGAGCAAAAGTCAACTCAAAACAGATTAAAGACCTAAACATAAGACTTGAATCTGTAAAACACCTAGGAGAAAACATAGGAAAGAAGCTGATACATATTGGCCTTGGCAATGATTTTTCTGATAGGACAGGCAATGAAAGCAAGAACAAACAAGTAGGACTACATCACACTGAAAAGCTTCTACAGAGCAAAGGAAATAATCAATAAAATGGAAAGGCAATCTACAGATTAGGAGAAAATATTTGTGAACCACATATCTGATAACAGGTTACTATCCAAAAATTTAAGAAAATCAATAGCAAAAAGAAAAAAACAAAAACCCAATTAAAAAATAGGCCAAGTACCAGAATAAACAAACATTTCCCAAAAGAAGACATAAAAAGTGGCCAACAGGTATATGAAAATGTGTTCAATATCATTAATCATCAGGCAAATGCAAAGCCTATTATCAAAAAGTCAATAGATAACAAGTTGGCAAGGTATAGAGAAACAAAAACCCTTTTGCACTGTTAATGAGAATGTAAATTGGTGTAGCCATTATGGAAAACAATACAAAGATTGCTGAAAAAAATTAAACTACCATATGACCCAGCAATCCCTCTTCTGGGTATATACCCAGAGGAAATGAAATCAACACCTTGTAGAGAGATCTGCACTCCAAGGTTCATTTCAGAATTATTCATAATAGCCCAGATATGTAAATAATCTAATTGCCAAGAAATAAATAGATGAAAAATTGCGGAGGTTGTGTGTATATCTATATACAAAATTGAATATTATTCAGCCTTAGAAAAGGAGATCCAGCCATTTTTGACAACACGGATAAACCTAAAGGACATTGTACTGAGTGAAATAAGCTAGGCACAGAAAGAAAAACACTACATAACCTCTCTTGTATGTGGAATCTAAAAAAAAAATAATAAAAGTTGAATACACAGAAGCGGAGTGTAGTACTGTGATTATCAGAGGCAGGAAAGGGGAAAGGGAAATGGGGAGATTAAGTTAAAAGTATAAAGTAACAGTTAAGTGGGATGAATAAATCTACAGATGTAAAATATAGCATGAGGACTACAGTTAATATTGTTTACTGGAAATTTGTGAAGAGAGTAGATTATGTGTGCTCTTAACCACAAAAAATGGTAACTACGTGAAATCATGGATATGTTAATAGATTTGACTGCAGTAATCATTTCACTGTGTATATGTATATCAAAACATATTGTCCACTTTAAATATATACAATGAAAATATGTTTCAAAAATAAAATATAAGTGCTATACAATAGAATGTATTAGATGGAGAGTGGTGCACACTTCCATTCACCAAAATAACCATTGACTCACATATGCAACTAACACTGTTAGACATATCTTTTATACATGTGTCGTAACTGTTTACAAGATTGAGTTAAGAACAGTGAACATCATTGTTCTGAATCACTGGACAACTTATATTCTTACAAATGAGGTAGATCAACAGGACTTGTTTTCTGAGCACTGGTAATGACCCTACTGATTAAAACAGGATGCGGTAAAAAAAAAAAAAAAAAAAAAAGGAAGAAAAGAGAGAAAGAGAGAGAAAACTGGTACCTGGTGACAAAAGTGACCACTCATTGTCCTCACCCCTCATTAGCATGGGCAACAACCCAGAACTTACTCTATATGGCTCTGGGTACTCCCCTGTCCCTTTTCTAAAAAATTCTGAATAACCCACCCCTTAATTAGCATCTAATTAAGAGTGGGTATAAATATAGCTAGCTGGCAGCCCATGGGGGCTGTGGCTGTGGCTGCTGCTCTGGGCTGCTGTGCCTATGAGAGGTCAATTTGCTGTACACTATTGCTGTAATACATTTGCTTTCTTTCATTGTTAGTGTGCTCTTGAATTCTTTCCTGAGCAAAGCCAAGGACCTTCCCAGGCTAAGCCCTAATTTTGGGGTGCACCTGCATCAGAAACCTCTTTTATACATATGTCAAGAGAATACATTGCATGGGCCGGGTGCCTTGGCTCATGCCTGTAATCCCAGCACTTTGGGAGGCTGAGGCGGGTGGATCACGAGGTCAAGAGATTGAGACCATCCTGGCTAACATGGCGAAACCACGTCTCTACTAAAAATACAAAAAATTAGCTGGGCGTGGTGGCGGGCGCCTGTGGTCCCAGCTACTCGGGAGGCTGAGGCAGGAGAATGGCGTGAACCTAGGAGGTGGAGCTTGTAGTGAGCCGAGATCACACCACTGCACTCCAGCCTGGGCGACAGAGTGAGACTCCGTCTCAAAAAAAAGAAAAAAAAAAAAAGAATACATTGCATAGAGTGCTGAAAATTTCTGTTCACTAAAATAACACTGTTCTGAATCACCTGAACTACTTGCATTCTCTTAAAACATCTTTTATATATCTGTTTATCAGAAGAAGAAACTTCATGAGAGATGCCAAGCCAGAACCACCCACATAAGCTATTTCCTAATTCTTCATCCACAGAGTCTTGGAGGAAACTGAGGACGAGAGAAGTTCTAATGCTTGCCAAGTGGATTCATCTAAGGAGAATCAAGTTTCTTACAGAAAGACAGAGGCAAGGAAATATTTACTAGCAAAGTGAAACAGACTCTCCTGTCCTGGCGTAGAGAAAAGACTTTCCATTAGGAGTAGAGAGAAAATTCAATCTAGCTGTGAATCTCCTCTTTGCATGTTCATGGGAAATAAAATCTGTTTTGCCCTGGGACAGCCCTCCCCACACCCTGAAGTGAATTTCCAAAATTAGGGCAGGACATTTTCCTTATGATAGCTATTCAAAAATTATCCAGGAATGGGGTGCCTCTGCTCCCTCCCAGCCAAGGGTACAAAGATATTTTCTCAGACTGAAGGCCCTAGGGCCTATTGCTCAACATCTCATGTCAGTGTCAGTATTAGATGCTGCAGGAGAATGAGCTTAAGTCTAGCCCACTCCACTTTTCTTCCAAATTCCTCCAGTTGCTCTCCCCAAATTCATTTCCTGTCTCCCTCACCACTGAGAGCTTAGATTCCTAAAGAAAAATGTATGCAAGCCTGGGGGAACGGTATCTACCAGTTCTTGGAAACATGTTTTATTCTACATAAACATAAAGGTCAACTATAACCCCCAGAGTAAAGGGAGTCAGACTCAGAAAATAAACACTTTGTTCCCTTTCTAGTATGTTAACAGCTTTGGATTGTTGACTGCCCCCAAAAGTCACCAGAACTAAGTTTATTCAACTTAATGCTGTAAGAGAGAACTCCATCTTAACCTATTATGAGGAGTGGAAAGCCAGGAGAAGACATTTATTCATAGTGTTTTAGGGTCTGAGTTGTGTGATTTTGTGATGGGTATTTCAAGACTGAAATGTATTGGTAAAGCAAAGCCAGGGTCATGACATTAGTCTTATAAATAAGCTGTTTGGGGTGGTAGGTAAGCTGTTTTAGTCGGTTTACAATATTATTTCTGAAAGCAGTGATTCCTAGAGCAAATAGCTAAGTTATTTTTACTTGTTTTCAGTATTCTTTAAGCCAGGAAAGTATGCCTAGTCTCAGAATTGTTTAACATAAAGACACAGAATTACGTTGGTTTCAATCCTCATGACATCGAGGGAAAAAAACCCAAATTAATATCTCAGAAAGTTATCCTGCCACTGAAGTATTAGCAAAAGTCCTTCCCATTCCATCTAGCCTTTCCATAAATGAAACTTCTACCACTTTCAGCTTCAAATTTCTACAAATACATTTCTACAAAATGAACATGCTAAGGCCTTTTAGTCAATATACTGAAGTCAATAGAAACTGTTTCAATGATTCTCTAAAATATTATACTAAAGAGAAAAAACTATGTTCGAAGCAGAAGCCAGATAGATATTTAACTTCTTCCAGCTGTGGTTTCCTTAGTTAGTCGAAATAATATTATCATTATTGTGGGCATTAAAGACATAATGCATATGTATTCAGAATAATTTTGGGTGATTTCAAAGTAATGTATTTTTTACTTCAGAAATTATTAGTTACAAATCGTTCCCACAACTCACAGATATTAAGTGATATCAGAAAGAGAGTTTCTTCTATAATGAAACAAAAAATCCCTCATCCATTGTGACGGCTCTCCAAGGAGGCTTGCTGCCCCATGGTAAAAGAAGTTATGACTTGAAAGAAGAAAATGAATCCCATATTTTCTAGAATAAGGGGTTATAAAGAGATCAGGATGAGAGATAAGAGGTTAGGCACCAGGGTTCTCATTTATCCTCTTCTATTGTGGTTGTTAAAGCTTCTAGAAACATCCTGATGAGAATGGGAGAGTTCAAGAACTCCAGGGCTAATGGCTGTCTTTCTTGGGTGCACGAGTGACAAAGATTTCCTCCTTTACCAAATTTTAGTTAAGCTCCTCTGAGCCTTCTTGACTAAGCCTCTACTTTGGTCTGTCTTTAATAAGAATCCTGCTAATTCAGTTTAGTGAGAATCCTTCACCCTTGATATCTGATCAAGTTCTTCACTTCTCACCCTTGATGTCTAAATCCTTAGCCTGCCTTTAGCAAGAATCCCTCTGCCCTCTCCTCTTAGTAATTTTGCATCCACTGATGGCTTCATTGTGCTTGTTGGCTGTAACTTCCAACTCCTGTCTTTATTGTATTTGGAGTTGAGCTCAATTTCTCTTCTTTATTGCTAAGTCATGACCCCTCTTACAATAGTTTTGAATAAATCTCCCTTACCATTTTTAACAGTGTCTGAATAATTTTTCTTGAATATGAAGGGCACAAAAAGCTAAGAAAATTCTAGATGCAGCCATTTCTGCAATAGTGTGGAATAATGATGGACCAGCAGCAGTAGAAAGTGTTCAACCTCATGAGCCTAAAGAGAGTTTCCCATTCCTGTGTCTTGTGTGTGGTGTACTGGGGTTCCAGAAGCTCTCACTTGTCCTTTTAAGGACACAGGAAGAACCATACATACCCCATAGTAACCAGTCCAGGGCCACCATGGACCAGTCACTCTATAGCAGAGATGGTAATGGTTCAGAAATCTTGGCTCAGATTTAAGAGACCAACATATCCCATCCCCCCTGAAATGAAAAGACAGGAATTGCTTTGTTTATGTGCATATGTTTTGTTCATGTCTGTATCTCCAACTTATTTTTTTGTTTTTAATACAATTTATTTAATTGTAGGTTTATATAATTATATAATGGCCAGATTTAACAATTGGCTTGCACAATTCCTGAAATTTTAACAATCACTTCTTATGAACCTAAATAGACCAGCTCCAGCACAGCAATAGTAGTGATTTGAACCAGGGGATGTGAACTATACATGCCCTAAGAAGTAGGATATCGCCTCTATATTCTGAATAATTAATAGGGCTTGGTATTCTTTTGACATCTCAGACAGCACTGCAGTAGGTACCATGGTCTATAGTTCTGGTTGTATATAAAAATCTCAGCCAGCCCAGGTTACAAACAATTGTTTAGCTAACATAATAATATCTTTCATCGTGAAGTATCTTTTTAACCTCAAGATTTAGTATTAGGCACATAAGTGTTTAAGAAAATCTGAATCATGGAATTAATAATTTTTGTTAAAAAAATCTATATTTTGACCTAACATTGTAACTATATGTCAGTATTTCATATATATTAATGTATTAGTACTATAATCCAAATTAAAAACTAAAATTTTAGTAGCTGATGAAGATTTAGAATTTTAAGCTGAAATATTATGACATTTATATTTAATATTATAATATATAAGAACTTAAATTTCTCATATCTATAAGCTTAATTTACTCAATTTATAAAAATGCTTATCTACTTTGGAATATTTGTTATATTAGACAATTGCAAAACAGTATTTTAAAAGGAAGTCAAATATATTATAAATCCAATATAAAATATTAGAGTTTAATTAAGTTTTAAACTGAGATCATATAGTAAAGTCCCCTTAAAACCTTGTATTGAAATACAAAAATAGAATATGAATTTTTAAAACTAAATTTAGAAGTACAAAGAAGGCCAGGCAGGGTGACTCATGCCTATAATTCCAGTACTTTGGGAGGCCGAGGTGGGAGAATTACTTGAGCCCAGGAGTTCATAACCAGCCTGTGCAACATAACAAGACCATGTCTCTAAAACATACCCCATCCCCCCTTGAATTGAAAGGGAAAGAATTTTAAAATTTAGCTTGACATGGTAGTGCATACCTGTAGTCCCAGCTATTTGGGAGTCTGAGGTGGGAGGATCACTTGAGCCAGGGAGGTCAAGGCTGCAGTGAAACATGTTTGAGCCACTGCACTCAGCCTGGGTGACCAAGCAAGGCCCTGTCTCACACACACACAAAAAGTACAAAAAAACCTAGATATTTAAGTATACTGAATGTCAAGTTTTTAAAAGCAAATGCACTTCTGAGCATACAAGTCAATCTCAGCCGGGCACGGTGGCTCATGCCTGTAATCCCAGCACTTTGGGAGGCCGAGGCGGGTGGATCATAAGGTCAGGCGTTCAAGACCAGCCTGGCCAATATGGTGAAACCCCATCTCTACTAAAAATACAAAAATTAGCCAGGCGTGGTGGCACGTGCCTGTAGTCCCAGCTACTCAGGAGGCTGAGGCAGAGGTCGCAGTGAGCCAAGATTGCACCACTGCACTCCAGCCTGGGCAACAGAGCAAGACTACATCTCAGAAAAAAAAAAAATGTCAATCTCAAAAAACATCTCATTGGCAAACTGTTTTTCTAGGTTACTTGTGTTTGGAGATGAATGTCAATATAACATTCTGACACAAGCATGTAATTTTATTCCAGTAATATGCTTTTGAGAACACAATGTGAGTAGAAATGAAAGGCGAAGGTGGAATTCATAAAGTATAAGGCAAACCTTTAGAGCTGAGATTGGATGCAGCAAGATAATAGACATCTGGTTGAAGTACAGCAAGTTTTAGAGAGGGTTTTGAAACATTTTCAAGTAATTGTCATCACTTAGTCATTGGAAGCTTTCAGATAAAAATTAAAATTTCCAACATTTTATGAAAAATTTCATGATCAGACAATACTGAATTTGCATTTCTATATATTGACAATCAGCTGGAGATGAGAAACGCTGGCCTCCAGAAAAGAGGCCACCCTCTCTATGCACTTCACCTTGCTACTTCACTTAGTTGGTGTCTCAGACATTTGAATGTGAACTCAATTCATAGAGTCAGATGAAACTTTCAGGAGACATGTCTATTTTCAAATTCTGTTTACAAAAGCTGGTTTTATTACTTTTTTTTTAGTTTTTTGCCTTTTTATTTCAGGTATTAAGTCCTTTTTAAATTTCAACTTTTATTGTAGATTAAAGGGTACATGTGCAGGTTTGTTGCATGGGTAGATTATGTGACACTGAGGTTTGGGGTCCCAGTGATCCCATCTCCCAGGCCATAAGCTCAGTACCCAACAGGTGGTTCTTCAGCACATGCTTCCCTCCCTCCTTCCCTCATCTAGTGATCCCTAGTGTCTATTGTTACCACCTTTATGATCATGTGTCTTCAGTGTTTAGCTCCCACCTGTGAGAACATGTGTTATTTGGTTTTCTGTTCTTGTGTTAGGTCACTTAGGATAATGGCCGCCAGCTCCATCCATGTTGCTGCAAAGGGCATGCATGATTCCATTCCTTTTTATGGCTGTGTAGTATTCCATGGTGTATGTGTACCACATATCCTTTATCCAGTCCACTGTTGATGGACACTTAGGTTGTTTCTATGTCCTTGCTATTGTGAGTAGTGCTGCAATGAACATACAGGTGCATTTGTCTTGATGATAGAATGAATTATTTTCCTTTGGGTATATACCCAGTAGTGGGATTGCAGCACTGAATGGTGGTTCTGTTTTAAGGTATTTGGGAAATCTCCAAACAGCTTTGCACAGTGGCTGAACTAGCTTGCATTTCCACCAAAAGTAGATAAGCATTCTCTTTTCTCTGCAGCCTCACCGACAGCTGTTATTTTTTGACTTTTTAAATAATTGCCATTCTAACTGGTGTGAGATAGTACCTCATCTTGGTTTTGATTTGTATGTCTCTGATGATTAGTAATGTTGAGCATGTTTTTATGTTTGTTTTGGCCATGTGTATGTCTCCTTTCGAAAAGTGTTCATGTCCTTTGCTCATTCCTTAATTGGTTTTTTTTTCTCATTGATTTAAGTTCCTTGTAAATTCTGGATATTACACCTTAGATGCATAGTTTGCAAGTATTTTCTCCCATTTTGTAGGCTGTCTGTTTACTCTGTTGGTAATTTCTTTTGCTGTGCAAAAGCTCTTTAGTTTAATTAGGCCCCAATTATCAATTTTTGGTTTTGTCGTAATTGCTCTGGGGGACTTAGCATAAATGATTTGCCAAAGCCCATGTCTAGAAGGGTATTTCCTAGGTTTTCTTCTAGGATTTTTATAGTTTGTAATCGTCGATTTAAATCTTTAATCCATCTTGAGTTCATTTTTGAGTATGGTGAGAGGTAGTGGTCCAGTTTTATTTTTCTGCATATGGCTAGGCAGATATTCCACCACCATTCTTTGAATAGAGTCTCCTTTCCCTGCTGCTTATTTGTGTTGGTTTTGTCAGATGGTTGTAGGTGTGCAGGTTGATTTCTGGGTTCTCCATTCTGTTCCACTGTCTGTTTTTATACTAGTATCATGCTGTTTTGATTACGGTAGCTGTATACTGTAGTAGAGTTTGAAGTCAAGCAATATGATGCCTATGGCTTTTTTTCTTTTTTCTTATAATTGCTTTGGCTATTCGGGCTCTGTTTTTGGTTCCAAATGAATTTTAGAATAGGTTTTTCTTATTCTGTGAAAAATGATGTTGGTATTTTAATAAGAATTGCATTGAACTTGTAAATTGCTTTGGGCAGTATGGCCATTTTAACTATATTGATCATTCTAATCCATGAGCATGGAACATTTTTCCATTTATTTATTTGTATAGTCTCTGATTTCTTTCAGCAGTGCTTTGTAGTTCTCCTTGTAGAGATCTTTCACTTCCTTGGTTAGATGAATTCATAGGCATTTCATTTCCTTTGTGGCTATTGTAAATGGGATTGTGTTCTTGATTTGGTTCTCAGGTAGAATGTTATTGATGTATAAAAATGCTATTGATTTTTGTACATTGATTTTGTACCCTGAACTTTACTGAATTTGTTTATCATTTCCAGGAGCCTTTTGGCAGAGTCTTTAGGGTTTTCTTGGTGTAGAATAATATTGGCAAAGAGAGAGTTTGGACTCCTTCTTTTCCTATTCATATGCATTTTCTTTCTTTCTCTTGCCTGATTTATCTGGCCAGGACTTCCAATACTATGTTGAATAGGAGTGGTGAGAGTGGGAATCCTTGTCTTCTTCCAGTTCTCAAAGGGAATGTTTCCAGCTTTTGCCCATTCGGTATGATGTTGGTTGTGGGTTTGTCATAGATGGCTCTTATAATTTTGAGGTATATTCCTTCAATATTATATGTTGAACTCTCAGCATAATATGTTGAGAGTTTTTATCATGAAGGGATGTTGGATTTTACCAAAGGCTTTTTTCTGCATCTATTGAGATGACCTTATGGTTTTTGTCTTTAGTTCTGCTTAGTGATGAATCACATTGGTTGATTTGCATATTTTGAACCAAACTTGTATCCTAGAAATAAAGTATGCTTGATCATTGTGGTTTAACTTTTTGATGTGCTGCTGGATTTTGTTTGCTAGTATTTTGTTGAGGATTTTTTCATCTATGTTTATCAAGGATATTGGCCTGAAGTTTTTCGTTTTCATTGTGTCTCTGCTAGATTTTTGTATCAGGATGATGCTGGCTTCTTAGAATGAGTTAAGGAGAAGCCCCTCCTCCTTGATTTTCTGGAAAAGTTTCAATAGAACTGGTATCAGTTCTTCTTTGTACATCCGGTAGAATTCGGATGTGCGTGGCCGGGTGCAGTGGCTGACGCCTGTGAGCACTTTTGGAGGCCGAGGCAGGTGGATCACTTGAGGTCAGGAGTTGAAGACCAGCCTGACCAACATAGTGAAACCCCATCTCCACTGAAAATACAAAAATAATTAGCCGGGCGTAGTGGCACATGCCTGTAATCCCAGGTAATTGGGAGGCTGATGCAGGAGAATCACTTGAACCCAGGAGGTGGAAGTTGCAGTGAATCGAGATCATGCCATTGCACTCCAGCCTGGGCAACATAATGAGAACTCATGTCTAAAAGAATTTTTTTAAAAAGTCCGGGCGCGGTGGCTCACATTTGTAATCCCAGCACTTTGGGAGGTGGAGGCGGGTGGATCCCGAGGTCAGATGTTCAAGACCAGCCTGGCCAAGATGGTGAAACCCCATCTCCACTAAAAATACAAAAATTAGCCAGGTGTGGTGGTGGATGTAATCCCAGCTACTCGGGAGGCTGAGGCAGAGAATCATTTGAACCTGAAAGGCAGACATTGCAGTGAGCTGAGATCGTGCTGTTGCACTTCAGCCTGGGCGACCGAGACTCCGTCTCCAAAAAAAAAAATTAGCCAGGTGTTGTGGCATGCAGCTGTAGTTTCAGTTCCTAGGGAAGCTGAGGTGGGAGAATTGTTTAAGCCTGGGAGGTTGAAGTTGCTGTGAGCTATGATTGCACCACTGTACTCCAGCCTGGGCAATAGAGCAAGACCTTGTTTCAAAAAGAAAGAAAGAAATGAGCATGGTGGGAATGGGGACAGATGGCAATGTTAAGTAGAGTGGTCAGGGTTGGCCTCATAAGTGAATATTGAGCAAAAGTTTGAAGCAGATGATGGAGCTGGCCAAAGTGCTGAGGGAAAAGCATTGTAGGC
Organism: Homo sapiens; assembly: GCF_000001405.40. Taxonomy (NCBI): domain Eukaryota; kingdom Metazoa; phylum Chordata; class Mammalia; order Primates; family Hominidae; genus Homo; species Homo sapiens. The sequence goes on along the minus strand of NC_000007.14, from coordinate 51,410,116 downwards.
TGAGTCAACAGGATAAAGGTATTAGGAGGAAATTCCCTGGTGTGTCTGAGGCTCTGGAAGGAGGCCAGTGGAGCAAAGAGATAGAGGGAGCGAAGTCGGTGAGGAGGCCAGGGAGTTGCTGGGCTGGGATCGGTACAGATCATGTAAGCCCTGGGACACTGTTGCTGGGGCTTTGGCTTTTACTCTGACTAAAATGGGAACCACCGAGGGCTTCTGAGCCGAGAGGCGACATGATCTGTCTCCTGATTTAAAAGCACGCCCTGGCTGCCAAGTTGAGAAGACTATGGGAAGATTTGGGTAGAAGCACGGGGGCCAAGCTGTGGCAACATCCCGGTGGGAGAGGATAGTGATCCTTACTGGGTGCACGGTGGTGGTGAGAGATGGTCAGAGCCTGGATACATGTTGAAGTCAGTCAGTAGGATTTCCTGACAGACTGGATGTGAGCTGTGAGAGAAGGCAGGGGTCAAGGTTGAGTTTGATTCTAACTGAATTATTAAGTAATTTCAAAAAACACTACTGCCTTTCCCAATCCTACCAAGTAAAGGATGCTAGATAAAAGAAATCTCAAGTCAGGCCAGGTGCAGTCGCTCACACCTATAGTTCCAACAGTTTGAGAGGCAGAGATGGGAGTATGTTTTAAGGCCATGAGTTTGAGAGCAGCCTGGGCAACACAGCAAGACCGCTCTACAAAAATAAAAGAAATATATTTAATAAAATAAATATAGCCAGGCATGATGGTGTGTACCTGTGGCCCCAGTTACTCAGGAGGCTGAGATGGGAAGATCTCTTGATTCTAGGAGTTTGAGGCCAGCTTGGGCAACATATCAAGACTTCTCTCTCTACAAAAATTGAAAAAAAAAAAAAAAAAAAAAAAGCCTGACATGGTGGTACTTGCCTGTTTCCCAGGTATTGGGGTGGCTGAGGCAGGAGCATCTCTTGAGCCCAGTTGGTCAAGGCTGCAGTGAGCTATGATTATACCACTGCACTCCATCCTGGGTGACAGAGTGGGACCCTGTCTCAAAATATAAATACAAATACAAATGAAATGAATTCTCAAGTCAGACCAGTCCCTTCTAGGCTATGTAGGCCTTGCAACCACATAGCTGCGTGATCGGGTTTGTGTGGCTGTGGATGAGGAGACCCCTGCCAATTGTTATTAGCTATATAATCAGTTTATTTTTCAATATAGTAATCAAATATATTTCATCATATTTGATGGTCTCAAATATGTGTGGGTTTTGGAATTCCCCTTGGAACAGGTTGTAACATCTTATTGGCTCCATCATTCCATAATTTTTTTAATCTGATCAGTTTTTAATAAGGTCAGAATTGATATTAGACTACCTAATCAGTTTTTAATGAGAAAATGAAATTGTGTTGTTTGCACTTTATCCAAGATTGGTGTCATATTGGCTAAATCTAATCAATACTTGAACAAATGCAAAATTAGAGCTTCTTTATCATGAAACACTATGTCATTCTTTAAGAAGATGCCTTTTTTTTTTTTTTTTTTTTTTTAAGATAGAGTCTTGCTCTTGTCGCCCAGGCTGGAGTGCAGTGGTGCGATTTTGGCTCACTGCAACCCTTGCCTTCTGGGTTCAAGCAATTCTCCTGCCTTAGCCTCCCGAGTAGCTGGGATTACAGGTGCCCGCCACCCAGATGATTTTTGTATTTTTAGTAGAGATGGGGTTTCACCATGTTGGCCAGGCTCACCTCGAACTCCTGAACTCAAGTGATCTGCCTGCCTCAGCCTCCCAAAGTGCAGGGATTACAGACATGAGCCACCACTCTGGGCCTCCATTTCTTTTTTGTAGTCTTTAATAAACAGCTGCTATGATTGCAGATTTGCTATTTAGGCACTTAGGAATTTTTCACTAGAAGGCATGTAAAGAAAGACCACGGGCCTTTGTAATGAATTTAGCATTCATTCTTTGACTACGTGACTGTCCACAGAGCTATAACTTTACTAATGAATTTTTTAGAAGCCACTTAGCTAGCAACTGAGCCTAATCAGCCACTCACCCTCGTTATTCAGTGCTCTTTTATTATTGTCTATTTCTCCTCCAACTTGGCTACACTCACAAAGTGATAAAAACTTGCATTTGTTTTCTTTCCTTTTCAGAGACAGGGTCTTGCTCTGTTGCTCAGGCTGCAGTACAGTGACATGATCATGGTTCACTGAGCCTCAAACTCCTGAGCTCAAGCGGTTCTCCCACTTCAGTCTCCCAAGTAGCTGGGACTACAGACGTGTGCCACCATGTCCAGCTAATTTTTTCATTTTTTATCATAGAGACAGGATCTTGCCAGGTTGCTCAGACTGGGCTCAAAACTCCTGACTTCAAGTGATCCTCCTGCCTCAGCCTCCCAAAGTGCTGGGATTACAGGCCGGCATGACCACCTGTGCCCAGCCCCCTATTATTATTATTTTAAATAATAGCTTTATTAAAATATGATTCACATACCATTCACTTTATTTATTGAAATCTGCAATTCAGTAGGTTTTAGAATATTCACAGAGCTGTGCATCGATCACCACAGTCACTTTTAGAACCTTTCATTACCCTTTAGAGAAATCCATATCCATACCCCTTAGCCACTACCTCCTACTCCCCCAACCTGCCTTGGCCCCCAGCCTTAGGCAGCCATGATTTATTTTTTGTCACTATAGATTTGCCTAATCTGGACAAATAGAATTGTACAATATGTGATCTTTTGTGGCTTTTTTTCCCTCTTAGCACAGTGTTTTCAAAGTGCCTTTATGTCATAGTGTGTATCAATATTTCATTCCTTCTATGGCAATATTCCATGGTAGAGACACACTGCATTTTGTTTATCTGTTCATCAGTTGGTGGACATTTGGGTTGTTACCATGTATTGGCCATTATGAATAATGCTGCTATGAAGACTGTTGTACAAGTTTTTGTGTGGACATATATTTTTATTTCTCTGGGATATATGCCTAGGAGTGAAATTGTCACATTATATGATGACTGTACATTTAGGCTTTTGAGAAACTGCCACACTGTTTTCTAAAGTGGCTACACTAGTTGGGTGCAATGGCTCACACCTATAATCCCAGCTACTCAGGAGGCTCAGTTGGGAAGAATTGAGCCCGTGAATTCAAGACCAGCCTGGGCAAGATAGTGAAACCCTGTCTTGATTTAAAAAAAAAAAAATCCAATTAAAATAAAAAGAACAGAACTACCCAAAGTGTTTACACGATTTAATGTTCCCACCAGTAATGTATGTGGGTTCCAACTCCTCCACATCTTCACTGACATTTTTTTTTTCTAGATAGGGGCTTGCTCTGTCTCTCAGGCTGCAGCACAGTGACGCTATCACAGTTCATTGCAGCCTTGACCTCCCAGGCACAAGTGATTCTCTCTTCTCAGCCTCCTGAGTAGCTGAAAATTACAGGTGTATGCCACCATGCTTGGCTAATTTTTATAGATGGGATTTTACCATGTTGCCCAGGCTGGTCTCATACTCCTGGCCTCAAGTGATCTGCCCACCTCAGCCTCCCAAAGTTCTGGAATTACAGGCTGAGCCACCATGCCCAGCCTTCACCAACATTTGTCATTATGGTTTTTTTTTTCTTTATACCTTAAAGCAGTATAAGAACGAGTGTCTTCAATTATAGGAAACAATATAATCCCAGGGCACTGGGAAGCTAAGACAGGAAGATGTCTTGATGCCAGGAGTTTTTTTTTGTTTTGTTTTGTTTTGTTTTTTTTTTTTTTTAAGACAGAGTCTCACTCTGTTGCCCAGGGTGGAGTGCAGTGGTGCGATCTTGGCCCACTGCAACCTCTGCCTCAGCCTCCTGAGTAGCTGAGACTACAGGTACATGCCACTACTGCCCGGCTTATTTTTATATTTTTAATAGAGTCAGAGTTTCACCATGTCGGCCAGGCTGGTCTCGAACTCCTGACTTCAGGTGATTTGCCTGCCTCAGCCTCCCAAAGTGCTGGGATAGCAAGCATGAGCCACCATGCCCAGCCTGATGCCAGGAGTTTTAGACCAGCCTGGGCAACCTAGCAAGACCTTGTCTCTACAGAATATTTAAAAATTAGCCAAATGTGGGGGTACCTGCCTATAGTCTCTCTCCCTCTCTCTATTTTTTTTTTTTTTTTTTTTTTTACTTTTTGAGACATGGTCTGGCTCTGTCACCCAGGCTGAAGTGTAGTGGTGTGATCATGGCTCACTGCAGCCTGAAACTCCTGGGATCAAGTGATCAATCCTCCCACCTCATCCTACCAAGAAGTAGGGACCACAGGTGTATGCCACCCAGGTCTTGCTATGTTGCCCAGGCTGGTCTTGAGCTCCTGGCCTCAAGCAGTCCTCTCACCTTGGCCCCCTACAGTGCAAGGATTACAGGTATAAGCCACCATGCCTGGCCCCTACCCTGCCTATTGAGAACCAAAAGAAGGAGCCAAATTCTCCTTAGCTCAACTGGAGCCATTTTCTAATTGCTTCATCAGCAAGGTGCTGGTTATGGGTGTCCAGGCCTCCCAAGCAGCACAGAAATGAGGTGAGGGAGTTTTCCTGCTGCTTCACTCTGTGAGGAGTTGGAGGATGATGTTTACTCATTTGCAGAGAGAGATGCCTTGTAGCCACCTTAGGATGGAGGGGACCCTGATTCCAATGTCCTTTTTTTCTTTAGAAACAGGACCTTGCCCTGTCACTCAGGATGGAGTTCAGTGGTCCAATCATGGCTCATTGTAGCCTCAAACTCCCAGGCTCAAGCAATCCTACCACGTCAGCCTTCCCAGTAGCTGGTAAGCACTATGACACTCGGTGAATTTTGTTTTTATTTTTTTGTAGAGATGGGGCCGCACTATGTTGCCATGGCTGACCTTGAACTCCTGCACTCAAGGGATTTTCCTGACTCGGCCTCCCAAAGTATTGGTATTACAGGCATGAGTCATTGTGCCCACTGTCTCTGGTTCTTAACCTTCTGCCTCCCTCTTCCACTTTTAAAGAATGCTTGTAATTACATGGGCTCTCCTAGATACTCCAGGATAATCTTGTTTTAAGGTCAGCTGATGAGCAACATTAATTTTATCTGCACTCTTAATTCTCCCTTCCTATGTAATTGTGCTGTGTAACATAGGACATGAGCAATTAGTTGGCAGGGTGGGGGGTTATTACTTTGGCCACCACAGTAACTTGTGCCAGGTACTGAGCTAAGCACTGGTGAATTAAGCATGAATAACACACACTCCCTAATCTCCATCCATTCATGGGAGGAGCATCTCACCTGCCATGCTCCTGAGAATCTGGGGAGTCAAGGAAGTCTTCCATGAGGAGGTGATGCCAAAGCAGACAAGTGACAGAGGAGCTGAAGCTAGCCAGGAAGAGAGTAGAGGTTTAAGGGGAAGCGTATTATAAGCAGAGGATATCACCCACTTCAGAGACTCCCAGAGGAGAAAGAGTGTGCATTCAGGGGGCAGATGAGGCTCAGTTGGACTCCATAGCAGGTGAAATGGAGAGGGGCAAGCAGTGAGGCTGCCTTGCAAGGCAGGGCAGAGCAGGGGCTGTTAAGGAGTTTGGACTTAATCCCCGAGGCAAGGAGAAGTGATGTAAATGGGGAAGTAACATGATGAGATTCATGGATTAGAGACATGGCTCAGGCTTCTGTAGAGAAGGAACCAGGGAGAGCAGATGGCTCAATGGGTGTGCAGGAGACCTCTCACTGAGTTGAGGGAGAGGTTTTTAAAACAAGAAGTTTGAGTAATTTAAATGATGGTGGGAAGGTGCTAAAAGTGGGGGATAGGTTAAAGATACAGGAAAGTGGGAGGAAGAACTGACAAGTGAGGTTCCAGAGAGGGCAGGAGAAGAGGAGATTCCCTTAGGGGGATTAACACTTTCTTTTCTTTTTCTTTCTAAGACAGGGTCTCACTCTGTCACCCAGGCTGGAGTGCAGTGGCATGATCTTGGATCACTGTAGTGTAGACTTCCCAGCCTCAAGGGATCCTCCCACCCCAGACTCCCAAGTAGCTGGAATTACAGGTGTGCACCACCACCACACCTAGCTAATATTTTTCTCTTTTTTTGGTAGACATATAGTCTCACTGTGTTGCGCTGACAGGTCTCCAACTCCTGGCCTCAAGTGATCCTCCTGCCTAGGCTTCCCAAATTGCTGGGATTACAGGCATGAGCCATAGTGCCTGGCCTCTGCTAGTTCTGTATTCTCTAGAGTTGTCTTTACTTTGTGCTAGAGTGTCCCTCATTATGCTGATCCTCTGCTAAAATTAATACTTTTTTTTTTGAGATGGAGTTTCACTCTTGTTGCCCAGGCTGGATTGCCCAGGCTGGAGTGCAGTGGCGCTATCTTGGCTCACCGCAACCTCCGCCTGCTGGGTTCAAATGATTCTCCTGCCTCAGCCTCCCGAGTAGCTGGGATTACAGGCATGTGCCACCATGCCCAGCTAATTTTGTATTTTTAGTAGAGATGGGGTTTCTCCATGTTGGTCAGGCTGGTCTTGAACTCCTGACCTCAGGTGATCCGCCTGCCTTGGCCTCCCAAAGTGCTGGGATTACAGGCATGAGCCATGGTGCCTGGCCAAAATTAATACTTTCTATATTAAATTTACATATATATATATATTTTTCTTTTTGATACCAGGTCTCACGCTGTCACTCAGGCTGGAGTACAGTGGCACAACTTCTGCTCACTGCAGCCTCCACCTGCCAGGCTCAAGCAAGTCTCCTGACTTAGCCTCCCGAGTAGCTGGGATTACAGGTAAGTGCCGCCACACCGAGCTAATTTTTGTGTTTTTTGTAGAGATGGGGTTTCACCATGTTTCCCAGACTAGTCTCAAACTCCTGAGCTCAAAGCAATTCACCCACCTTGGCCTCCCAAAGTGCTGGGATTACAGGTGTGAGCCACCTTGCTCATTCTAGTTTAAACTTTTGAGTGGTTTGTTTCTCCTGATTGGACTCCTACAAATACAGAATTGATGGTAGGAAGCGTACCAGGAGATAGACCCACATAGATGGGATTTGGGAATAGGTTTCGTTATCCAAGGAGCAGTGCTGAGCTCCTTGCTAATGGGATATGGGATGCTGGTGATTTCCAGGAAGTGACCTCACAATGACTCAAGCTACCACTTACTGTTGATTGTGATGAAATACCAGGTGAAGGCCGGGTGCGGCGGCTCACCCCTGTAATCCCAGCACTTTGGGAGGCCAAGGCGAGTGGATCACGAGGTCAGAAGATCGAGACCATCCTGGCTAACACGGTGAAACCCCGTCTCTACTAAAAATACAAAAAATTAGCTGGGCATGGTGGCAGGCACCTATAGTCCCAGCTACTTGGGAGGCTGAGGCAGGAGAATGGCGGGAAGCTGGGAGGCAGAGCTTGCAGTGAGCCGAGATCGTGCCACTGCACTCCAGCCTGGGCGACAGAGTGAGACTCCATCTCAAAAAAAAAAAAAAAAAGAAATACCAGGTGAAGCATATGCCCTGCAAGCTTAGGGGTGCTACAGTTGACCACTGCAGCAGTAAAGATGACTGAAGAATGGCATGGGATGGATCCTTTCGAATGCACTTGAGCAGCAGTCTCCAAACACAGGGCCACAGAGCCAGAGGTGAGCAGCAGGCGAGTGAAGGGAAACTTCATCTGTATTTCTAGCCCCTCCCATCGCTTGCATGACCACCTGAGCTCCATGTCCTGTCAGATCAGCAGCAGCATTAGATTCTCATAGGAGCACGAAACCTGTTGTGAAGTGAGCATGCGAGGGATCTAGGTTGTGCGCTCCTTACGAGAATCTAATGCCTGATGTTCTGTCACTGTCTCCCATCACCCCAGATGGACAGTCTAGTTGCAGGAAAACAAGCTCAGAGATCCCACTGATTCTACATTATAGTGAGTTGTAGAATTACTTCATTATATATTACAATGTAATAGTAATGGAAATAAAGTGCACAATATTTGTAATGCACTTGAATCATCCTGAAATTATTCCCTCCACTCCCAGTCTGTGGAAAAATTGTCTTCCGCACATTCACTCTGTTTTTTAGTAGAGACAAGGTCTTAATATATTGCCCAGACTGATCTCAAACTCCTGGCCTCAAGTAATATACCTCTCTCAGCCTCCCAAAGTGCTGAGATTACAGGCATAAGCCACCACCCTCAACCAAGACCGTTTCTTAAACCAAATAAAAATTAAGTGAGATTACTTGAGCCCAGGTGGTTGAGGCTGCAGTGAGCCCTGATTGCACCACTGCACTCCAGCCTAGGTGACAGAAAATTAAAAATCAAATAAAAATAATGTCTCAAAAAATAAAGTACAGATTAACCCTTTATGACATTCCCAGTAACTTTCCTTCTAAGTGTTCCCACAAGTCTTTGAATTTTGTTTAATTTTCACATACCATTTAAGACGTTTAAGAACTTATGTCTCTTTGTGTCATCCCTTTATTTCGGAAGAATGTATTTGTCACTTCCAGCTGAATCTACCATGAAAGACTTCTGAATCCAGGAAAAGAGACTGACTGGGTAACATGTTATTCAGGTACAAAAAGACTTGGACTGTAACTCAAAAATGATCAAATAATAGTGCATGCATCAAGTGCAATGGGAAGCTCTTCCAGAGGCTGAGAGAAGTTTCCAGTTAAGGTGACACTGAAGCCAAGTCCTGAAAGATGAGGAAGAGTTGTATGAGAGTGGGGAGGGAAGGGGGAGGTGGAGGGATGGGGAATGGGCTGGAATGGGATGGAGTGAGCTGCCCAGGCAGGGAAACCAGCACTGCACAGACCTGGACAATGAAGATGGCACATTTTGTTCAGGGAATGGTGAATTAAGTGTGGCAGGAATGCTTTGTGGAGACAGTAATTTGCTTGTATGGAATTTTGCCTGAGAGATCTCACTACAGTTTCTAATTTTTTGATGTTGTCATCCATCACTGTCCTTGTCAAATAGTTTGGAATAGGTATAATTATCACAATAACACCAAGCATAATATTTCATTAATTCTCACAGAATCACAGGTAGGTGCCACAGTTATCCCCATTTTATGAATGAAGTGATGAAGACTTAGCAATAATGAGTGATTTGCCCAAGCTCACCTGGATATTAAGACTGAGTCGAATGTTGGGTCTGGTCTGACTTTAATGCTTGCTTTGTTCATGAGCACCACGTATTGCCTCTCCTATGCAGTTAAGCAGGTAGACAGGTGAAAGAAAAGCCCGTGTTTGTCTCTGCTCACACACTTCTGACTGAATGTATGTATGGAGTTTTACACCAAATTCTCCAGTGCTCTGAATATTAACTGGGTATCCCATGATTTTATTCTGACACTGCCTGGAGTTAGCACAGACCCCACAAGTTAGGGGCTCAGTCCCACGAGACCATCCTCACTTCAGATGCCAATGGCAAGTCCTAGGTTGTCACCTGTACTTTTGACCAACCTGTTACAAATCAGGGGTTCCCATAACTCTATTCTTGGGTTTAATTATTTGCTAGAACAGTTTACAGAACTCAGAAAAACAGTTTATTTTCTTTTTTTCTGAGAGAGAGGGTCTTATATTTTTGCCCAGGCTGGTGTGCAATGGTGCAGTCATAGCTCACTGCAGCCTTGACTGCCTGGGCTCCAGTGGTTCTCCCACCTCATCCTCCCTAGTAGCTGAGACTACATGCCTGCACCACCACATCTGGCTTATTTATTTTTTGTATAGATGGGGTCTTGTTGTGTTGCCCAGGCTGGCCACAAATTCCTGGTCTCAAGTGATCCTCCCACCTCTGCCTCTTAAAGTGCTAGGATTACAGATGTGAGCCACCGCGTCTGGCCAGTTCATTTCCTATTACTGGTTCATTGCAAAGGATACATTTCAGAAACAGCCAATGAAAGAGACGTACATGCTGGATGCAGTGGCTCATGCCTGTAATCTCAGAACTTTGGGAGGCCAAGTGGGAGCATCGCTTAAACTGAGGAGTTTGAGACCAGCCTCGGCAACATGGTGAAAACCTGTCTCTACAGAAAATAAAAAAAAATAATAACCGGGTGTGGTGGTGTGCACCTAGAGTTCCAACTACTAGGGATGCTGAGGTGAGAGGACACCTTGAGCTGGGGACTGGGGAGGCTTAGGTTACAGTGAGCTGAGATTGTGCCACTCCACTCTAGCTTGGACAAAAGAGCCAGACCCTATCTCAAAAAAAAAGAAAGATGCCCAAGGCAAGGTAAGTTAGGAGGAGCACAGAGCTCCCATGCCCTCTGTTGAACATGCCACCCTCCCAGCATCTCCTGTGTTCAGCAACCCCGGAAGCTCCACAAACCCTGTTCAGGGTGTTTATGGAGGCTTTATTATGCAAGCATGATTGATAAAATCTTTGGCCATTGGTGATTAAGGCAGTCTCCAGCCCCTCTTCCTCCTGGAGTTCAGTGCATGAGGCTGAAAGTTCCAAGCGTCTAATCATGTGGATGCTTCCATTGGCAATCAGCCCTCCTCCTGAAGAAATCTAGGAGCTTGCAGTCACCCAGTCATCTCAACAACATCCCCAAATGCATTCTTACCATGCTGGAGATCCCAAAGTTCTTAGAGGCTCTTGTGTTAGAAACCTGGGACCAAGACCAAATATTAAAACAAAAGATGTTCCTGTCACATCTATCACTGAGGTCTTTGTAAGAGCTTTAGAAGCTCTGTGCCAGGAACCAGGGACAGAGATTAAATATATATTTCTTTTATTTTTTTTTTTGAGACAGAATCTCCCTGTGTCATCCAGGCTGGAGTGCAGTGATGGTATCATAGCTCACTATAGCTTTGGCCTTCTGAGATCAAGTGATCCTCCCATCTCAACCTCCCAAGTAGCTAGGACTACACATGCATGTCACCTGTGCCGGCTCATTTTTGTAGAGTCGGAGTTTCACCATGTTGGCCAGATGGGGTCTTCTTTTGTTGCCCAGGCTGGCCACAAATTCCTGGGCTCAAGTGATCCTCCCACCTCGTCCTTGTAGAGATGAGATTTAGTTATGTGGTCCAGGCTGATCTCAAACTCCTGGGCTAAATCGATTGTCTCACCTCATCCTCTCAAGTAGCTGGGACTACAGGCACATACCCCCATGTCGGGCTAATATTTATTTTTATTTTTTTCTAGAGGTGGGGGTCTCACTGTGTTGTTCATTCTAGTTTCAAACTTCGGGCCTCAAGTGTTCCTCCTGCCTTGACCTCCCAAAGTGTTGGGATTCTGGGTGGGAGCCCCCATGCCCAGCAGTCACAAGGGTCTTTATAAAAGAAAGAGAGTAGGAGATTCAGAATTGGAGCAGGAGATGTGGTGATGAAAGCAGAGGTAAGAGAGGGAGATTTGAAGATGCTTCACTTCTGGCTTTGAAGATGGAGTCAGGGGCCATGATCCAAGGAATGGGGGTGGCTTCTAGAAGCTGGAAAAGCCAAGGGAACACTTTAGAGTCTCTAGAAGGAATGCAGCCCTGCTGACACCTTGACTTTAGCCTTACTAGACCTAGTTTGGGTTTCTGGCCCCTAGAACTGTAAGATGGTAGATTTGTGGTGTTTTAAGCCACTAAATGTAGGAAACTGCAAACTATGTTGCAGCAGCAAGAAGAAATGAACATAAAGCCAGTCATGATGGCTCATGCCGGTAGTCCCAGCACTTTAGGAATTTAGACAGGAGGATCACTTGAGGCCAGGAGTTCAAGACCAGTCTGGGCAACATAGTAAGACCTTGTCTCTACAAAAAATGAAAAAATTGGCCAGGCGTGGTGGCTCACACCTGTAATTCCAGCACTCTGGGGGGCCGAAGTGGGCAGATTACCTGAGGTCAGGAGTTCGAGACCAGCATGGCCAACATTGCGAAACCCCGGCTCTACTAAAAATACAAAAATTAGCTGGGCGTGGTGGCATGCACCTGTAATCCCAGCTACTTGGAAGGCTGAGGCAGGAGAATCACTTGAATCTGGGAGGTGGAGGTTGCAGTGAGCCGGGATCGCACCATTACACTACAGCCTGGGCAAGAAGAGTGAAACTCTGTCTCAAAATAAAATAAAATACTAAAAAATTTAGCCAGGCATGATGGCATGAACCTGGAGTCCCAGCTACTTGGGAGGCTGAGGTGGGAGGATCGCTTGAGCCTGGAAATTTGAGGTTGCAGTGAGCTGTGATTGCGCCACTGCACTCCAGCCTTGGTGACAGTGAGATCTTGAAAAAAGAAAGAAGAAAGTAAAGAAAGAAGAAATGAGCATGGTGGGCATGGGGACAGATGGCAGTGTTAAATAGAATGGTCAGGGGTGGCCTCCTAAGTGAAAATTGAGTAAAGACTTGAAGGAGGGGAAGGAGCTGGCCAAGGTGCTGAGGGAAGAGGATCGCAGGCAGAAACAATAGAATAAAGTGTCTGAGGTGTGTCTGAGACTCTGGAAGGAGGCCCATGGAGCAGACGGGGAGGAGAGAATTAGGGGAGGGGGCCAGGGAGTTGCTGGGTGGGGATCAGTACAGATCACATAAGCCCTGGGAGGTTATTGCTGGGGCTTTGGCTTTTACTCTGACTCAGATGGGAACTGCGGGAAGGTTCTGAGCAGAGAAGCGACATGATCTGTCTCCCGATTTAAAAGAATTCTCTGGCTGCTGAGTTGAGAAAGACTGTGGGAAGATGTGGGTAGAAGCTTGGGGGCCAAGCTTTGGCAACATCCAGGCGGGAGATGATGGTGGTCCTGACCAGGGCCATGGTGGTGTTGAGAGATGGCCAGAGGGGAGAAGTAGGGGAGGAGGCCAGGGAGTTACTGGGTGGGGATCTTTAGTACATGTCGAAGACAGTCAACAGGATTTCCTGACAGACTGGATATGGGGTGTGAGAGAAGGCAGGGGTCAAGGTTGAATTTGACTGTTACTGAAATTATTAAGTAATTTTAAAAAACACTACTGCCTTTCCCAATCCTACCAAGTATGGGATGCTAGATTAAAGAAATCTCTTCAGGCTCATTGCAGTGGCTCATGCCTGTAGTCCCAGCTGTTTGGTAACCAGAGGTGGGAGTATCTTTTAAGGGCAGGTGTTCAAGACCAGCCTGGACAACACAGCTGGATCTGCTCTTTACAAAAATATTTTTCAAAATTAAGTAAATGTAGCTAGGCATGGTGATGTGTACTTGTAGTTTCAGCTACTCAGGAGGCTGAAGTGGGCAGATCTCTTGAGGTCAGGAGTTTGAGGCCAGCTTGAGCAACATAGCAAGACCCCTCACTCTACAAAAAAATTAAAAAAATAACCAGGCATGGTGGCACTCAACTGTACTACCAGCTGCTGGGGAGCTGAGGCAGGAAGATGGCTTGAGCCCGAGGTCGAGGCTGCAGTGAGCTGTAAGTGCACAGCTGCACTCCAGTCTGGGTGACAGAGCAGGACCTGTCTCACAATACAAATAAAAATACAAGTAAAATAATGAAATCTCAAGTCAGAGCCTTTTGGTTCTGCAGCCCTTGCAACCCCTCAGCCGTGCAGTGGGGTTTGCATCACTGGGAATGAGGAGACCCCTGCCCGGTGTTGTTGCCTGACTAATCAGTGTTTTAAAACATATATTAATCGGGGTGGGCGCGGTGGCTCACACCTGTAATCCCAGCACTTAGGGAGACCCAGGCGGGTGGATCACCTGAGGTCAAGAGTTCAAGACCAGCCTTCTCTACTAAGAAAACTCCTTCTCTACTAAGAAAATACAATAATTAGCCGGACATGGTAGTGGGTGCCTGTAATCCCAGCTACTTGGGAGGCTGAGGTAGGAGAATCACTTGAAACTCTGCAGGGCGGAGGTTGCAATGAGCTGAGATTGTGCCACTTCACTCCAGCCTGGGAGAAAGAACAAGACTTTGTATCAAAGAAAAAAAAAGTATTATATCAACATGTAATGGTTTCATTATTAATATGTAATGAATATTAAATATTTTTAAAATCTTGTATTATATTAACATGTAATGGCTTTATTAATATGTGATGAATAATATTTTTAAAATTTTGTCTTATTTTCTAGTTTTAATACAATTATTTACAGAAAGAAATAGTATTAGAGATCTTCAATAAAGTTAAAAAATGTAAAGGGATGTTAGACCCCAAAAGATTGAGAATTTCTAGTTTAGAAATATTCAGAGTAAGCCACATACAACTTGCTACTTGAACTATTTTTTTTCTTTGTTTTTTTTATTTTAGGAGATGGGGTCTCACCCTGTCACCCAGGCTTGAGTACAGTAGTGCTATCACAGCTCACTGCAGCCTTGAACTCCTGGGCTAAGGATCCTCCTACCTGAGCCTCCTGAGTAGCTGGGACTGTAGGTATACATGACGATACTTGGCTAATTTTTAAATTGTTTTGTAGACATGGGGTCTCACTTTGTTAGCCAGGCTGGTGTCAAACTCATGGCCTCAAGTGACCCTTCCACCCCTGCCTCCCATCCTAGAGGTATGTGCCACCACAAGGAACACTTGTTCAATTTTCTAAAAAAAAAATTTCTAAAGTAAGGCTGTGGGATGATGGCAGGAAGATAAAAGAAAAACAGAAGAATAAGTTAAAATGACTTATTCACACATATTCTTTTGACAGTAAGAACTTTTAGTATATACTTTCCTTACAAACAAACAAAAGGCAGATAAACAATGTTGTATAGGAACTTCAACACACACTGTACAATATTCCCACTTTGCTGACATAAGTTATGGAAATTTCATGGTTTACTTGAGTGTCGCTACCAGTATTTTGCTTCTCTGATCATTTTTATCAACTTCCTCATCTGTTAACTTCTCTCCAAGGTATGTCATATCATGACATACTGCTACTGCACGAACATGGCCAGTGTCTTCCTATTAAACATGTAGAATGCTTTCCTAATTTCTCTTTTTACTCTCTGTCTTTGTGTTTTGCATTTTCCTTACTTTTATTGTCAGAAACTCCAAAAAGTCAATCGTACTAATTTATCACCATTTGCTTTATTAATTTATACTTTGCTTATATGGAATTTTGCCCAACAGACCTCATTACAATTTCTAACTTGTTTTGTTTTTTTTCTGAGACAGGGTCTCCCTCTGTTGTCCAAGGCTGGAGTGTAGTAGTGCTATCACAGCTGACTGCAGCCTCAACCTTCCAGGCTGAAGCGATCCTCCCATCTCAACCTCCCACGTGGCTGAGACTACAGGTGCTTGCCACTATGCCCAACTAATATTTGGAATTTTCCTATACGTGGATTCCAGAGGGGTGACAGCAAAACGTGAGTAAGCATGGATTTGGGTATATGCAGCAATGGGGGGCTGGAACTAATTCTGTATACTGAGGGACGACTGTATAAGTTTTTACACTGTAGGATACATACTGTTGCATAGCCTTGAAAATAATAAATTTTAATTGACTGGAAATAATATTGATAAAAGTAGCAGCTGGCCAGGTGTGGTGGCTCACACTGGTAATCACAACACTTTGGGAGGCTGAGGCAGGAGGATGGCTTGAGGCCAAGAGTTTGCGATAGGCCTTGGAAACAAAGGGAGTCACCATCCCTACAGAAAAATACATGAATTAGCCTAGTGTGGTGGCATGTTCCTGTAGTCCCAGCTACTTGGGAGGCTAAGCTGGGAGGATCACTTGAGCCCAGGGAGGCTGAGACTGCAGTGAGTCATGATCAGACCTCTGCACTCCAGCCTGGGTGACACAGTGAGACCTTGTCTCAGAACAACAAAAAAGTAGCAGCTAACATCAACTGACCTTTTACCAGGTGCCTATTGATACCATAGTTTAATTTCTTATAACTGTTTCTTATTTCACTTACCAACTCTGTCTTCAGTTACTCCCAGATTTTTACTGTTTGTACAGATGACCTTTTGTTTAGATTGAATTGTCTCCCCAGAAGTAAGATTACTGTGAGTCATGGTGAATGGACATTCTCATTACCCTTGATGTAAATTGACAAGGTTTTGGATGCCTCCCAGCTATAATCTTAGCACTTTGGGAGGCTAAGACAGGAGGATTGCTTGAGGCCAAGAGTTGGAGGAGGCAGTATGGCAGTATGGTGAGACCCTGTCTCTATTATTTTAAGAAATTGACAAGCTTTACCCTGGAAGGCTTATACACAACTTAAACACCCCTCATAGTATAACAAAGTGCCCATTTCACTGCACCTTTGCCAGCACAGGGTATTATAATTTAGTAAGTCATTTTTTTGTGTGATTATTTTAAATAGATAAAAGACCTCATATTACCTTACTTGTCACATTTCAACATCTTCCCTTAGCTTATTAGCTCTATTTCTTTTCTGTCTGTAAATGGTTGTTGTTGTTTTGTTCTTTGAGACAGGTTCTTGCTCTGTCACCAGGCTGGACTGTAGTGGCATAATCATGCCTCACTGCAGCCTTGACCTCCCAGGCTCAAACTTCAGCATTCCGAGTAGCTGGGACTACAAGTGTGCACCACTACTCCCAGCTAATTTTTTTCTTTTTTTGGATAGAGACAGGGTCTCACTGTGTTGTCCAGACCGGTCTCTAGCTCCTGACCTTAAGCAATCCTCCTGCATTAGCTTCTCAAATTGCTGGAATTTCAGGCATGAGCCACCATGCCTGGCCTGGGCTAGTCCTATATTCTCTAGAGTTCTCTTTACTTTGTGCTAGCCAATCTCTCATTATGCTGTTCACCTGTTATAGTGAATAATTCTCTGTATTAAATTTTACCACTTTAAACTTTTGAGTGGTTTATGCTTCCTGATTGGACTCTGACTAATATGTTAGGAAGGGTCCCAGGAGATAAACCCACACAGATGGGATTTGGGCATAGGTTTGGTTTCCCAGGGGGCAGTGC
The DNA here is from genome assembly GCF_000001405.40 of Homo sapiens. Classification (NCBI taxonomy): domain Eukaryota; kingdom Metazoa; phylum Chordata; class Mammalia; order Primates; family Hominidae; genus Homo; species Homo sapiens. The sequence goes on along the minus strand of NC_000007.14, from coordinate 51,393,350 downwards.
TGAGCTCTTTGCCAGTGGGAAATGGGATGCTGGTGATTTCCAGGAAGTGACCTCACAATGACTCAAGCTACCACTTACTGTTGATTGTGACGAAATGCCAGCTGAGGCACATACCTTCGGAGCTAAGTGGTTGCTGCACTTGACCACTATGAAGACTGGTGTAGGAAGGGTCATTTTGGATGCACTTCAGCAGGGGTCCCCAACCCTGAGCCATGGAGCCGTAAGGAGCCACACAGCAGGAGGTGAGTGGTGTCGAGTGAGGGAGAGAGGGAAGCTTCGTCTGTATTTACAGCCACTCCCCTTTGCTCACATTCCCGCCTGAGCTCCACCTTCTCAGATCAGCAGCAGCATTAGATTCTCATAGGAGAACACACCCTGTTGTGAACCGTGCATGTGAGGGATCTAGGTTGCACTGTCCTTATGAGAATCTAATACTTATTGATCTGTCACTTTCTCCCATCACGCTCAGGTGGGACCATCCAGTTGCAGGAAAACAAGCTTAACACGCCCACTGATTCTACATTATGGTGAGTTCTATAATTATTTTATTACATATTACAGTGTACTAATGGAAATAAAGTGCCAATAAATGTAATGTGCTTAAATCTTTTGGCCCAGCTCCTACCTCCCAGCAGCCTCGCCAGGCCCAGAACTTTCTCCAGTCAGCCTCCACAGACCAAGCTCATGACTCACAATGGCCTATTTAGGCCCATACCCTACCTCACAGCAGTCTCCGCAGATGAGGCTACTGCCTCACAACAGCCTCCACAGGCACAGCTCCACCGTTACAATGGCCTCTTTAGACCCAGCTCCTGCCTCCCAGCCTTCTCTCCAGGCCCTGAACTTTCTCAAGTCGACCTCACCAGGCCCAGCTCATGCTTCTTGGCAGCCTCTCCAGGCCCAGCTCCTGCATCTTGGCGGCCTCTCCAGGCCCAGCCTCTGCCTCCCGTCGGCCTCTACAGTCCCAACATCTGCCTCACAGCAGATTCTTCAGGCCCAGCATCTGCCTCACTGTGGACCCCCCAAGCCAAGCTCCCAACCTTTCAGCAGCTTCTACACACCCAGCTCCTGCCACCCAGTGGCCTCTTTAGGCCAAGCTCATGCCTCACAAGGGCCTTTCCAGGCCCAACTTTTGTCTCATGGCAACCTTGCCTGGCCAGATTCCTGCCTGTCTCCCAGCAGCCTAGATAGGCCCAGGTCTTGCCTCACACTGGCCTCTCTACATCCAGCTCATGCCTCACGGTGGCCTCTCCAGGCCCAGTTCCTGTCCCAGGACGTCATCTCCAGGCCCAAAACTTCCTCAAATCAGCCTCTCTAGTCCCAACTGCTGCCTTCTGGTGGCCTATGAAGGCCCAAAATCTCCTCAAGTTGACCTCTCCAGGCCCAGTTCCTGCCTCCTGTCAGCATCTACAGGCCCAACCTCTGCCTCATGGGGGCTTCTCCAGGCCCAGCTCTTCCTCTTAGCTGAGTCTACAGGCACAACTGCTGCCTCACAACAGCCTTTTTTGGCCCAGTTCCTGTCCAGCTCACGGCGGCCAATGTAGGCCCAAAACTTCCTCAAGTCAAACTCTCCAGGCCCACCTTCTGCTTCCCGGTGGCATGAACAGGCCCAGCTTTGACTTGAGAATAGCCTCTGCAGGCCCTGCTCTTGCCTCCCAGGGGCTTCTCCAGGCCCAGCTCTTGCCTCATGGCAGCTGCCCCAGGCCAAGTTTCTGCCTGCCTGCCAGCAGCCTCAACAGGCACAGCTCCTCCCTCACAGTGGCCCATTTAGGCCCAACTCATGACTGTCGGGCCATTTCCAGGCCTAGCGCCTGCCTCCTGGCTGACTCTTGAAGCCCAAAACTTCCTCGAATCAGCCTTTTGCCCAACCTCTGCCTACTGTTGGACTCTACAGGCCAGCCTCTGCCTCACAGTGGACCCTCCAGACCCAGATGGTGTCTCACTGTGGCATCCTCAGGTGAAGCTCCTGCCTTTTGGCAGCCTCTACAGGCCCAGCTCCTGCCTTGCAATGGCCTCTTTAGGCCAAGCTCATGCCCCATGGTGACTTTTCCAGGCACAGCTTTTGCCTTTTGCAGCCTGTCCAGGCCCAGAATGTCCTTAACTCGGCATCTCCAGGACGAGCTCATCCTCCCAGTGCGTCTACAGGCCCGTCTCCTGCCTCACAACAACCTTCTTTGGCCCAACTCCTGCTGAGCTGCTGGCAGCCTCTGTAGGCCACAGACTTCTTAAAGTAAAGCTTTCCAGGCCCACCTTCGGCCTCCCGGCAGCCTCAGCAATCAAACTATTCCCTCACTGCGGCCACTGAAAGCCAAGTTTCTCCCTGCCTCACGGCATCCTCCGAAAACTGAGCATTTGCCTCACAGTGGCCTCCCCAGGCCACGAATCTGCCTGCCTCCCAGGCAGCTGCTGCCTCACAATGGTCTCTTTAGGCCCAGCTCATGCTAAAAGATGGACTCTCCAGGCACAGCTCTTGCCTCCTGTCAGCCTCTGCAGGCCCAAATTCTCCAAAAGTTGGCCTCTCCTAACTCAGCTCCTGCCTCATGTTGGCCTACACAGGCCCAGACTCTTACCACACAGTAGACCCTCCAGGCCCACCACTTGCCTGAGCATAGCCTCCTAAGGCCAAGCTCCTGCCTTTCAGCAGCCTCTACAGGCCCAGCTCCTGCCTCGCAATTGCCTTTGTAGGCCAAGATCATGCCGCGAAGTGGCCTTTCCTAGCCTAACTTTTGCTTTTTGACGCATACTCCAGTCCCAAAACTTCCTCCAGTCAGCCGGTCCAGGCCAAGCTCTTCCTCCCAAAGGCTTCTGCAGGCCAAAATTGTCCTGAAGTCACCCTCTTCAGGCCCAGCTCCTACCTACAAGTGCTGTGTAGGCCAAGCTAATGCCTCACAGCAGACTTTCCAGGCTGAGCGTTTCCTTTTATGCATCCTCTCCAAGCCCTGAACTTACTCCAGTTGGCCTCTCCAGACCAAGCTCTCCCTCCCAGTGGCCTCTACAGGCCAAAATTGTCCTCAAGTCAGCCTCTCCAGGGCCAACTCCTAGCTACCGGTGGCTTCTGCAGGCCAAAATCGACCTCAAGTCAGCCTCTTCACACCCAGCTCTTGCCTCTAAGTGGCCTCTCCAGGAGCAAAACTTCCTCAAGTCGGCCTCTCCAGGCCCAGCCTCCTGCTTCCCGAGGGCGTGTACAGGCCCAGCCTCTGCCTCACAGCAGACTCTCCACACCCAGCTCTTCCCTGTCTGTGGCCTCTCCAGTCCAAAGCTGCTCCTGCCTTTCGGCAGCTTGTACAGGCCCAGCTCCTCCCTCACGGTGGCCTCTTTCGGCCCAACTCATGCCTCTTGCAACCTGCCCAAGTGTCAGTTCCTGCCTCACACTGGCCTGTTGAGGCCCAGCTCATGCCTCTCGTGGCCTCAACGGGCCCAGGCCCTGCCTGTCGGCGGCCTCTACAGGCCCGGCCTCTACCTCACAGTGGGCTCTCCAGGCCCACCTCTTCCTCACCGTGGCATCCTGGGGCAATGCTCCTCCTTCTCAGGAGCCTCTGCGGGCCCAGCTCCTGCCTCCCAGTGGCCTCTATAGGCCAAGCACGTGCCTCAGGGCAGCCTTTCCAGGCCTAGCATTTGCTGCTTTGCATCCTCTCCAGGCCCTGGACTTCTTCCAGTCGGCCTCTCCAGGCCCAGCTCTTCCTCCCAGCGGCCTCTGCAGGCCCAGACTCTCATCAAGTTGGGCTGTCCAGGGCCAGCTCTTGCCTCCCGGCGGCCTCTGCAGGCCCAAGTCGTCCTCAAGTCGGCCTCCCCAGGCCCAGCTCCGGCCTCTCGGCAGCCTCTCTGGGTGCAAATGTTCCTCGAGTCAGCCTCTCCAGGCCCACCTCCTCCTGCCTCCCAGTGGCCTCTTTCAGCCCAGCCCAGCTCATGCCTCCCGGCGGCCTTCCCAGGCCCCACTTTTGACTTTCGGCGGCCTCTGCAGGCCCAGAACTTGACCTCCAGTCAGCCTCTCCAGGCCCGGCCTCCTGCCTCCTGAAGGCCTGCACAGGCCCAGCCTCTGCCTCACAGCGGACTCTCCACGCCCAGCTAGCTCTCGCCTCACTGCAGCCTCCCGAGTCCAAAGCTCCTGCCTCTCGGCCGCTTTGGCAGGCCCAGCTCCTGCCTGCCAGTGGCCTCTTCAGGCCCATGGGGCTCATTCCTCACAATGGCCTTTCCAGGCCCAGTTTTTCCCTTCCGGCGGCCTCGCCAGGCCCAGAACCTCCTCAAGTCGGCCTCTCCGGACCCACCTGCAGCGTCCCGGCGTCCTCTCCGGGCCCAGCTCTTCCTCCCGGCTGCGTCTCCAGGCCCGACTCCGGCCTCCCAACAAGGTCTTTGGACTCAGCTCCCGCCCAGCTTCCAGCGGCCCTGGTAGGCCCACAACTTCCTGAAGCCAAGCTCCCCAGGCCCAGCTCCGGCCTCACGGTGGCCTCTCCAGGCTCAGCTCCTGCCCTCCGACGGCGTCTCCAGGCCCCAAACGGCCTCCGGTCGGTGGGCTCCTCTAGGCCCAGCTTGGGCCTCCCGGCAGCCTCTGCAGGCCCAAATCGTCCTGAAGTCGGCCTCTCCAGGCCCAGCTCCAGCCTCCCGGTGGCCTCTGCAGGCCCAAGTCATCCTCAGGTCAGCCTGGAAGTGGGCCTGGAAGAGCTGCAAGTCGGCCTCCCCGGGCCCAGCTCCGTCCTCTCGGCGGCCTCTCCAGGTGCAAAACTTCCTCGAGTCAGCCTCTCCAGGCCCAGCTCCTCCTGCCTCCCAGTGGCCTCTTTCGGCCCAGCCCAGCTCATGGCTCTCGGCGGTCTTCCCAGGCCCCGCTTTTGACTTTTGGTGGCCTCTTCAGGCCCAGAACTTGACCTCCAGTCGGCCTTGGCAGGCCCGGCCTCCTGCCTCTCGAAGGTCTGCATGGGCCCGGCCTCGGCCTCACAGAGGACTCTCCATGCCCAGCTAGCTCTTGCCTCACTGCGGCCTCCCCAGTCCAAAGCTCCTGCCTTTCGGCCACTTCGGCAGGCCCAGCTCCTGCCGGCCAGTGGCCTCTTTAGGCCCAGCTCATTCCTCACAACGGCCTTTCCAGGCCCCATTTTTCCCTTCCAGCGGCCTCTCCAGGCCCAGAACCTCCTCAAGTTGGCCTCTCCAGGCCCACTTGCACCCTCCGGGCGTCCTCTCCAGGCCCAGCTCTTCCTCCCGGCTGCGTCTCCAGGCCCGACTCCTGCCTCCCAACAACCTCTTTGGACTCAGTGCCTGCCCATCTCCTGGCGGCCTTGGTCGGCCCACAGCTTCCTCAAGCCAAGCTCCCCAGGCCCAGGTCAGGCCTCACGGTGGCCTCTCCAGGATCAGCTCCTGCCCTCCGATGGCGTCTCCAGGCCCCAAATGGTCTCCGGTCGGTGGGCTCCTCCACGCCCAGCTTGGGCCTCCCGGCGACCTCTGCAGGCCCAAGTCGTCCTGAAGTCGGCCTCTCCCGGCCCTGCCTCCCAGCAAGTAAGCAAGCTTTTTTGGCTCAGCTCCTGCCCAGCTCCCAACCGCCTTTGTAGGCCCCGAACTTTCTCCAGCCAAGCTCTTCGGGCCCACCTCCTGCCTCCCGGTGGCCTGTACAGGCCCAGCTCTGGCTGGAGAACAGCCTCTGCAGGCCACGCTCTTGCCTCCCAGGGCCTCTCCAGGCCCAGCTCTCGCCCCCACAGCGGCCTCCCGGGGCCAAGTCCCTGCCTGCCTCCCGGCAGCCCGCGTGCGCCCAGCTCCTCCCTCACGGTGGCCTGTTGATGCCCAACTCATGCCTCTGGCACCCTGCCCAGAGGCGTGAGCCCCTGCCTCATACCGGCTCCTCCCACACTGAGAGAGGTCAGCATGAGCCCCTTGCCTCACACCGGCCCCTCCCAAGCTGACAGAGGTCAGCGTGAGCCCCTTGCCTCACACCGGCCCCTCCCACGCTGACAGAGGTCAGCGTGAGCCCCTGCCTCAACAGGCCACCGTGAGGGAGGAGCAGGGCCGCACGCAGGCTGCCGGAAGGCAGGCAGGGACTTGGCCCCGGGAGGCCGCAGTGGGGCGAGAGCTTGGCCTGGAGACGCCCCTGGGAGGCAACAGCAGGGCCTGCAGACGCTCTTCTCCAGCCAGAGCTGGGACTGTACAGGCCACTGGGAGGCAGGATGTGGGCCTGAAGAGCTTGGCTGCAGAAACTTCGGGGTCTACAAACGCCGGCGAGAGCTGAGCCAAAAGAGCTTGCTTGCTGGGAGGCAGGAGCTGGGCCGGGAGATGCAGCCAGGAGGAACAGCTGGGCCTGCAGAGGCCGCCATGCGGGAGGCAGAGGCTGGGCCTCCTCAAGTCGGCCTCTCCAGACCCACCTGCAGCCTCCCGGCGTCCTCTCCGGGCCCAGCTCTTCCTCCCGGCTGCGTCTCCAGGCCAGACTCTGGCCTTCCAATAAGGTCTTTGGACTCAGCTCCCGCCCAGCTTCCAGCGGCCCTGGTAGGCCCACAACTTCCTGAAGCCAAGCTCCCCAGGCCCAGCTCCGGCCTCACGGTGGCCTCTCCAGGCTCAGCTCCTGCCCTCCGACGGCATCTCCAGGCCCCAAACGGCCTCCGGTCGGTGGGCTCCTCTAGGCCCAGCTTGGGCCTCCCGGCAGCCTCTGCAGGCCCAAATCGTCCTGAAGTCGGCCTCTCCAGGCCCAGCTCTGGCCTCCCGGCGGCCTCTGCAGGCCTAAGTCGTCCTCAAGTCGGCCTGGAAGTGGGCCTGGAAGAGCTGCAAGTCGGCCTCCCCGGGCCCAGCTCCGTCCTCTCGGCGGCCTCTCCAGGTGCAAAACTTCCTCGAGTCAGCCTCTCCAGGCCCAGCTCCTCCTGCCTCCCAGTGGCCTCTTTCGGCCCAGCCCAGCTCATGGCTCTCGGCAGTCTTCCCAGGCCCCGCTTTTGACTTTTGGTGGCCTCTTCAGGCCCAGAACTTGACCTCCAGTCGGCCTTGGCAGGCCCGGCCTCCTGCCTCTCGAAGGCCTACACGGGCCCAGCCTCGGCTTCACAGTGGACTCTCCACGCCCAGCTAGCTCTCGCCTCACTGCAGCCTCCCCAGTCCAAAGCTCCTGCCTTTCGGCCACTTCGGCAGGCCCAGCTCCTGCTGGCCAGTGGCCTCTTTAGGCCCAGCTCATTCCTCACAACGGCCTTTCCAGGCCCCGTTTTTCCCTTCTGGCAGCCTCTTGGCCTCTAATTTTTTTATCTTTCGTGTATAAATCCCAAAATATGGAATTTTGGAATATTTCCACCATTATATAAATATTTTGGTAGGTAATTTATTTGGAGTGAGTTTCTGCACCAAGCCCGAATTTTTTATTTTATTTTCCTTATTATTTGGTGTTAAAACAGGTTTAATGACGGTCATGGCAACTTTTTGGCACAATGAAAAATATCGCCCATGATCAACGTGTTCTGTTCTGGGGAAGGTGGCAAGGGCAGGGTGAATCACTTTCTTAAAAAGTACAACTCAAGTTGGGAGTGCAGAGGGAATGGGGAGAAAACCCTCCCACTGCCTGTGTCGAAGTACAGGAGCCCCCACACCCATACTCACCTGAGTCCAGCCCCTCTGGGGAAAGAAGGGGTGCATGAACTCCCCCTATTCCACAGGCGCCTCCCTGTGGCCCAAGGCCCTCTTCACACTCCATCTTGTAGCCCCAGCAGGAGCTATTTTCCGAAAAGTGAAAAGCTCTGAAGGTCCCACACTTCATGGTATGTACAGGGGCTCGGAGGAGGGAAACTGCCCAGCTTTCCCCCAGCACAGCAGCAGGGGTAGGGGGTATATATAAGAGGAGCAGGCCTTGGCCAGGCGTGGTGGCTCATGCCTGTAATCCCAGCACTTTGGGAGGTGGAAGCAGGCGGATCACGATGTCAGGAGATCGAAATCAGCCTGGCCAAGATGATGAAGCCCCGTCTGTACTAAAAATACAAAAATTAGCTGGACGTGTTAGCGTGCACCTGTAATCCCAGCTACCCAGAAGGCTGAGGCAGGAGAATGGCGTGAACACGGCAGGAAGAGGTTGCAGTGAGTCAAGATCGCACCACTGCACTCCAGCCTGGGCGACAGAGCAAGACTCCGTCTCAAAAAAAAAAAAAAAAAAAAAGAGAGAAGCAGGCCTTATTCTGTCCCAAACTGAAAGGATTAAATGGCTTTACCCGGGAGAAGATAACCGTCCTGCCCTCCATTGCTACCCCCACATAATGTCCATGTTCTCACGGGGTACTGTGAGTCCTGGGATCTTCTTTGGGGTCGCCCACCTGCCTGTGGTAGTTATGGAGGGACCCAGGTGTTGAGGCAGGGCTGGGGTGCCCCTTCCAGCCAGGCTGTCGAGGCCCCAACTCTGGGGCAGAGGCAGTGGCAGGGCAGCCAGGGTTGCGCCAGAGCCTGAGCAGGGTGAGGTGGGGTCAGGCAGGGCTGGGAGTCAGGGCAGGGGCAGCAGCAGTGGACCCGCTATGCACACATCTTCTTCTTCAAGGTTTGTGTGCAGAACATCCTGCCCATGCTGCCCCAGCAGCTTCAGTTGGCACCTGCCCCAGTCCAGCCTCTGGGACCCATGCAGCGGCTCCCAGCAGCCCTGCACCCACCACCAGCATCCGTTTCACCTGCAGTGGAAGATCCGTGAGGTGCCCAGAAGATCATGCAGTCATCAGTCCCACAGAGCAGCCCGCGAGGCTGAGGCTCCTCCCACTGGACTGCCCCCCAACTGGCACCACTGCTGCCCCTGCCCCTACTCTCAGCCTCATGTGACTCTCGGGCAGAGGCAGTGGTAGGGCAGCTTCAGAGTCTGAGCCAGGTGAGGTGGGGTCAGGACCCCTGCAGGGCTGGGAATCAGGGCAGGGGCAGAACAAACCTTGGAGGGGAAGATGTGTGTATAGTGGGCCTGGAGGGCGGCTGTGGCCTAGTGGACAGGAAGAAGCAGTGGGCCTGGAAGAGCTGCATGATCAGGGCCGGCACTAGTCCAGGGCGCATGCAGTGAAGAGGACAGCGCCTTCTCGGTCTCCAGTTCCCTGAGACCGTCCTCGGCTTCACCTGTACAGGCAAAGGGGAAGCTGTTCCCATCACACATGGCACACTTGGGGGTGTTGGGCTTTGGGCTGCAGCTGGAGCATCTTCTCATCTTGCATTTGAGCGTGGTGGGGTCCTCCAGTGCGGGATCCATGTCCGTGGGGTTCCCTCTGCCCCGACCCCCAAAGCCCAGTCAGTTTCTCCTCTTCAGGCTCTGCCCCCCGGGTGGCTCAGCCCAGCTCCTGCCTAGGAAAGCCTTAGTGTTGGGAGGGACCACGATGACTGAGGGGCCTGGTAGCTCCAGGTCGCCCACACTTTCAGATCTCTTGCACCAGAAGGTGGCAGGATCCATTGGGAGGAAACAGATCGCCTTGGAAGGCATCCCTGGGCCCCCACCCCCAGGGGTAGGGGCCGTAGGGGGCCTGCTCTGCTGCCCTGACCAGACTCCTGGGCTTTGAAGGCTCCTGGGCCCAGTAAGAAGGAGGTGGGTGCCAAGGTTGAGGAGGAAGCATCCGAGTATGTGTAGGAGGAGGACGGGGTGGGACCATAGACTTTGCCAAAAACTGCAGGTGGATCGGGGGACTCGGGGGACTCAGGATCCAGCAAGGGGCAGTAGGAGTAAAGGAGGAAGGAATGACAGGTGCAGATACCTTCCCACCAAAGCCCTTGTTGCTTTCTGGCTCCTCCCCAGAGTTGTCCCCACTCTCAGTCGGTCACCCACTCCTTGAACTTGAGATCAGTGTCAGTGGTGCTAAAGCCGTCATCAGCAATGACACCATCACCCCCTCCTCCTCATGGATGACCATGTGCTCCTCGTCACTCGCTATGTCCTCACCGGCCATGTGCTGGGAATGAGCAGCTCAGGTGGGCAGCAGCAGGGCTGCCCACTGGTCACCTCCCTCACCAGGGGCTGCAAAGTGGCCTGGAGCTCCATACTGAGTAGAAGGCTTTGGGCCAGAGTATGATGCAGTGCCAGACACCACCTGTGTCAGTTCCTGTAGTGCCTGACGGTCTATTTCCCTGCCATCCAGGCTGTGTGTACCCCCTTGTGGGAGAAGGCTTGGGCCAGGCTGAGCCAGGTTCCCTGACTGTGTGCAGCTGTTCTGCCCCCACAGAAGCTGCTCCTTGGTATCCGAGCTCAGGAGTGTCTGGGCTGCAACTGACAGGAGTTCAGAGGACACCCCAGGGGTAGTGGCAGTGCCCGTCTCTGATATGCTCCACTCCCACGATCCGTTGTACACTCCTGCTAGCCCCTGGCTTGTGGGCTTGGCCTCTGAGCTGGACTTCTTTCGGTCCTTGTTGCAAGTGGGCCACCTTCACCTGGAAGGCCAGGTCGTGGTACTTCTGCATCTCATTGGGCCCCAGGGTGTACCACCGCTCGCTCAGGATCTGGCTGATGGTCCAGTTATCCTGGTAGGGGTGACCCTGGTGCGCCCTGCCAGGGCCTGGTGCCGCTTGCTGAAGATCGTGACCGCCACTCATGGGCCACCAGATGTGGTCCTTGTCCCATTTGTTGGGGCTGCGTCCATCCTTCTCAGAAGATGAGTCCTGTTCCTTGCACAGGGCACTGAGGGACTGGGCCTGACATCATCTGAATCGTAGAGGCAACTGGGTGTCAGGAGACATGACGGAGAGGAAAGCATCATCGTGGTCATTCTCTGTCTCACTGTCCAGCAGGGACTCCCCTGAGGGCCCAGGGCTCCTCCTCCATGGTGAGAGGTGGGCTTTTACCAGGTTCCACCACCCCCAAAGTGTGTGGGGTTCCGGGCCCTGGGCTTTCAGGGCAGGTGGCTGCAGGGGGCCGCCCAGGGTCAGCACTCCCTGTCCCACCTGGTGGACACTCGTGAGCAACAGCTGCCGACTTGGCAGGTTCTTTGCTCTGGTTGGAGGCCACTGAGTGACTGGCAGGTTGCTGGGCCTCACGCGGCTGCAGGGAGGGGTCAGGAAGGGGACAGAGTACCAGGAGAACACAGCCACAGAGCAAGGTTCCACATTCCTCCACACAAACATGCTGACACCACCAGAGGCCTTGCTGGACGCAGACATCAGGGGCCTGTGGGCCAAGTACATGGTCTGGGCAGGGGGTTCCTGGCAGGGGCTCACACCTCCTCAGCCCCCTCCTCAGCCAAGGCAGCTTGGACCCACGGAAGGGGGGATGGGAGGGGAGCACGAGACCAGGCCTCAAGTTTTGTTTGTTTTTTGTTTTTTGTTTTTTGTTTTGAGATGCAGTTTGGCAGGCTGGAGTGCAGTGGTGCGATCTCAGCTCACTGAAACCTCCACTTCCTGGGTTCAAGCAATTCTCCGGCCTCAGCCTCCCAAGTATATGCAACTTTACTGCTGAATATTATATATTTTCTTATGCTTTCATGTGATTAATTAGCATTCTTTTTTTTTTCTTTTTGAGACAGTGTTGCTCTGTCGCCCAGGCTGGAGGGCAGTGGTGTGATCTTGGCTCACTGCAACCTCCGCCTCATGGTTTAATTGATTCTCCTGCCTCAGCCCCCTGAGTAGTTGGGATTACAGGCACCCGCCACCACTCCTGGCTAATTTTTTGTATTTTTAGAAGGCGTGGGTTTTTGCCATGTTGGCCTGGCTGGTCTTGACCTCCTGACCTCAAGTTATCCACCCTCCTCGGCCTCCCAAAATGCTGGGATTACAGGCATGAGCCACCACACCCAGCTGCTTTCTTTCATTTTTACTTGAAAAACTCCGTTAAGCATTTCTTTTAAAGTAGACCTAGTGCTCCTGAATTCCCTCAGCTTTTTTTGTCTAGGGAACATGTTATTTATTCATTCTTTCTGAAGGATAGCTTTGTCAAATATAGTATTAGTTGCTGGCAGTTTTTTTCTTTCAGCACTTTGAATATATTCTTCAATTCTCTCCTGACCTGCAAAGTTTCTTCTGAGAAATCTGCTGATAGTTTAATGAAGATTCTCTTGTTGGTGTCATGCCACTTTTCTCTTGCCTCTTCAACATTTTAAAAAATCTTTGGCTTTTGACTATTTGATTATATTGTGATTATATATATTTGGTTTTAACCTCCTTAGGAATCTTTAAGCTTCATGCACTTGGATGTCTAAATCTTTCCCATGATTTAGGCAGTTTCAACCATTCTTTCTTTAAATAAACTTCCTTCTCCTTTGTCTACTTTCCTTCCCAAACTCACATGACAGTGGATTGCCTAATGGTGTCTCGATGGCTTTCTTTTCTCTCTCTTTTTTTTCAAGATGGAGTCTTGCTCTGTTGCCCAGGCCAGGGTGCAATGGCATGCTCTTGGCTCACTGCAACCTCCCACTTGGGCTCTGCAGCCCAGCCTGTCTTGTAAGCACTGCCTCCTCAAAGTGACACCTGGCAGATTCTTCTTCCCTTTGAGGGAGAATCATCGTTGTTGCTTCATCGCTTCTAAGACATTTTGTAGGACATGGACAGGTTAAACAGAATGTGCTTTCCCCCCTGAGGTCTCGCTGTCACACAGGCTCCTGGGAGAATGCCACAGGGGCCATGCACTGGTCGAGCTTCTCTGTAGAACCCAGGGGCTTCAGCCCAGAACACAGCGTCTAGCCCTAAGCCTAGAGCAGGGAGGGAGTCCCGAACTTCTGCATTCACAGACCATCTCCAGAATTGTTATAACCAAAGGAATCCTGTTCTGTTATTTCACTTAAATCAACATGTTATTTTGTTTTCACTCACTCCTGGCTTTCTCCTTGTGCCGAGCCCATGTATCCATGCAGTCATGTTCACAGGCTAGTTATGTTTTCCTTCTTACACATGAAAATAAATGCATAACTGGTAGAAGCTCTTCCATGTTTCATATAAGCTCTCACACAGGTAAACTCTGGCCTTTGGTAGTAGCCCTGGAAAGATGTTTGCTGGGCATCTGCTCACTATGGCGGGGGTGTCCAAAGAGTGCTGGGGCTCAGCTCAGCAGACGGAGGGGCTCGTTTCCTGCCTCATGCCCAACACCAGAGACTGATGCTGGCCAACTCACAGGTGTGCCTCTTCTGGACAAGGGCCACCACTGACGGGGTTGGCTGCAGGGGCCTCACTAGTGCCGCCAAATGCTTCAAGAATTAACACTCAGGCTGGGCGTGGTGGCCAATGCCTGTAATTCCAGCACTTTGGGAGGCCAAGGCAGGCGGATCACCTGAGGTTGGGAGTTCAAGACCAGCCTCACCAACATGGAGAAACCCCTTCTCTACTAAAAATACAAAATTAGCTGAGCATGGTGGCACATGCCTATAATCCCAGCTACTCAGGAGGCTGGGGCAGGAGAATTACTTGAACCCAGGAGGTGGAGGTTGCAGTGAGCCTCGATCATAGCATTACACTCCAGCCTGGGCGACAGAGGGAAACTCCGTCTCGAAAAAAAAAGAATTAACACTCAGGCCAGGTGTGGTGGCCAATGCCTGTAATCCCAGCACTTTGGGAGGCTGAGGTGGGTGGATCACTTGAGGCCAGAAGTTTCAGACCATCCTGGCCAACATGGCGAAACCCCGCCTCTGCTAAAAATACAAAAATTAGCTGGGCATGGTGGCGCATGCCTCTAGTCCCAGCTACTTGGGAGGTTGAGGCAGGAGAATCCCTTGAATCTGGGAGGCAGAGGTTGCAGTGAGCTGAGATCACATCACTGCACTCCAGCCGGGGTGACACAGTGACACCCTGTCTCAAAAAAAAAAAAGAACACTCACTCCCAGGGCATGCTCCCTGCATGTAACCAGGCTGCTCTCCCTCTGCAAGCTTGCACACTGACCCCTGGGCTCCCTTCGTGGGCACAGGCCAAGAGAAAGTTTGTGGCCTGAAAGAGCACTGGCTTGGGGACAGGCCACCCAGATCTCAGACCTATCTCTGTACTCAATAGCGTGAACAAGTTAGTAACCCTCAGCCTTGATGTTCTCATCTGGAGCAATTTTTAAAAATTTTTTATTGGTGGGGCATGGTGGCTCACGCCTGTAATCCCAGCACTTTGGGAGGCAGAAGCAGGTGGATCTCCTGAGGTCAGAAGTTTGAGACCAGCCTGGCTAATGTGGTGAAACCTTGTCTCTACTAAAAATACAAAATTAGCCGGGTGTGGTGGTGTGCACCTGTAGTCCCAGCTATTCTGGAGGCTGAGGCATGAGAAATGCTTCAACCTGGGAGATGGAGGTTGCCAAGATCATGCCATTGCACCCCAGCCTGGAAAACAAGAGCAAAACTCCGTCTCAAAAAAAAAAAAAACAAAAGGTTATATATATATATATATATATATATATATATATATATATATATATATGGCCTCGTTGTAATTCCTCATGTCCTAGCATGCTTCTGTTTGGGTGTGTTTGGAGGGGTGTTACCTGGATGAAACTCTGGGAGATGCCTCTGCTTTTTGGGCTGCCCGTGTATAAATCTTTCCATAAGGGGAGCACTCAATAGTGTTTATTCACCTCCTCCACCCCAACCCTCCCAACCAATTTTCATTCCTCTTTTCTTCCTTTTCTCTGCTCTCACTTGGAGGGTGCCTGCCAAGTGTAGGCACAATCAGAACACCCCAAGCAAAGATGATTTCCCTTTTCTTTGGATAGACTCACTGGCAGAGATAAAATATACTCACTAGATTCAAAAAGATATTTGTGCACCCATGTTCATAGCAGCATTACTCACAATAGTCAAAAGGGGGAAGGAACCAAGTGTCCATCAACAGAAGAACAGATGACAAGATGTGGTCTATCTAGACAATGGAAGATTCTTCAGCCTTAAAAAGGATGGCAGGCTGGGCACGGTGGTTCACATCTGTAATCCCAGCACTTTGGGAAGCCAAGGCAGGCAGATCACTTGAGGTCAGCAGTTTGAGTCCAGCCTTGCCAACATGGTGAAATCCCACCTCTACTAAAAATACAAAAATTAGCCATTAACCAGCTGTGGTAGTGCACGCCTGTAATCCCAGCTACTCAGGAGGCTGACACAGGAGAATCGCTTGAACCCAGGAGACAGAGGTTGCAGTGTGCAAAGATCATGCCACTTCACTCCAGCCTGGGGGACAGAGCCAGACTTCATCTCAGAGAAAGACTCTGTCAAAAAAAAAAAAGAAAGAAAGAAAGTGTCCAGCCTGGGCAACATGGAGAAACTCCATCTCTACTAAAAATAGAAAAATTAGCTGGGTGTGGTGGGCACCTGTGGTCCCAGCTACTTGAGAAACTGAGGTGGAAAGATCACCTGAGCCCGGGATGCAGAGGTTGCAGTGAGCTGAGATCGCACCACGCCACTGCACTCCAGCCTGGGCCACAGAGCAAGACCCTGTCTCAAAAACAAAACAAAACAAAAAAACTAGAAAGTGAGTGATATGGATATGGAATTGCTGCAGCTGTCCTGGAGACACGCCCTTTTGAAGGGAGACCTATGTCAGGAGACTGAATTCTTCATTGGCTGAAACCCCCACTGCTAGGAGGGGCCCACCTGGAAGTCCCCATGCTGCTACCCTGCAATTCCATACTTGGGCACAGTAAGCACAGAATCAGAGATGGGACAAAGGACAGCATGGCGCACTGGGGAGCCCTGAGCCTTTCTGATGGTTACCCTGTCCCCAGGGGCCCCTTTCCTGAGGGCACACCCAGGTGTGAACTTCACTCAGCACAGGCCAGCCCCTCCAGGGCAACCCAAGCCCCTCTCTACCCTACTAGAGAGACAAATGGTGGAAATGGGGAATTGAATGGAGAGCCGAGGGGACGGGACCGGGATGGGAAGAGGGGAGGAGGCTGGGCTGATAAGTAAGAATTGTAGGGACTAAGGACATTTTCCAAGAAATTTTCTCCTAACTTTAATGTAGTTTAGGTAACAAAATAATATATGAAGTATCAATATTGACATCCTCAAAGAGGAGGAAGCTGCACATCAGAGAGCTAGTATAACTGCACGAGGCTGCACAGCAGAGACAGGATCAAAGCAGGTCCAGTGAAAACTCTATAGGCCTCCACTACAGACCCACTTCAGAAATCCACGTTCTAGAATGTTCCAGAACCGATCATGTAACACAGGTGCCAAAGTACAACTGAAAAATAAACTTTAATGTCTTGAGCTCTGCCTTTTTTTTGAAACAGGATCTCACTCTGTTGCCTCGGCTCGAGTACAGTGATGCAAACACGGCTCACTACAGCTTTGATAATCTCCTGGGCTCAAGCAGCCTTCCTACCTCAGCCTCCCGAGTAGCTGGGACTCCAAGCATGCACCTCCACACCTGGCTAATTTTTAAAATTTTTTGTAAAGATGGGGTTTTGCCATGTTGCTCAGGCTGGTCTGGAACTCTTGGCTTCAAGCAGTTTTCCTACCTCAACCTCCCAAAGTGCTGGGATTACGGGAGTGAGTCACTGTGCCCAGCTAAGACCTGCATCTTTTTTTTTTTTTTTTTTTTTTTTTTTAGAAATGAAGTCTGTGTTGCCCAGGCTGGTCTTGAACTCCTGAGCTCAAGTGATCCTCCTGCTTTGGGCTCCCAAAGTGCTAGGATTACACGCATGAGCTATCGCGCCAAGCCAAGACCTGCATCTTAAGAGGGGGACTTTAGACTGCAGGCCTCTTGCTTGCAAGTGAGATATAATTTTCCCAATCCATCCAGAAAGGTCCTTGTATCTTATATGACTCATACTAATTCTCAGAGAGTGATCATCACATTAGAGACTCTGGAGTGTACCCTGCTCATAACCTTCCTTCTGCAGAAAAAAATGTGATTCAGCAGAAAATAATGCACTATCTACACACAGCACACACTTCCTGGTTATCAGATTCTAGCCTTTTGTTGTCTTTGAGCTACTTTACAGCTCTGTAAATTGTAGGCAAATGATATATTGCCCTGTCTAGTAGAGGTTCTCCCTCACTCTCTTGTTGAAAAACCAGTTTCCATTTGCACATTCATTTCACTATTCCTGACCTGTGAATGTGACTGTTCTCAGCTGCCCTGTTGAGCTGGTTATAACGTCACCTGGCCCCCTTATGAGTTAAATAAAATGGTTAATACCTATTCATTTTCTATCTATGTGAAAGTCATAATTTCACCTTTTTTTGAAAATGATCTTGCAACACTTCCTTCATCAGGTGTTTATGACAGCTCCTTTAGGCCAGAAGAGATGCTGGGGTCCCTTGCAGGGCATCCCATCAAGTGGAGTTAAGAGCAGCCGGCAGGTAGCTTCTGTTCCCCAGGGCAGTCTCTGAATGGGAAGGGAGGCAAGGGGAGGAGGAAGAGAAGAGGGAGGGGTTCTGCCCAGTGGATGGGACAAGGTCTTAGCAAGACCTAGCTGCTTAGGCTGGGTGAAGTGGCTCATGTCTATAATCCCAGCACTTTGGGAAACAAAGCAGGGGCATCACTTCAGCCCAGGAGTTCTATTTCAGCCTGGGCAACAGAGAGAGACCCCATCTCTACAAAAACAAACAAACAAACAAACAAACAAACAAAAAACAGCCCAGCATGGTGGCTCATGTCTGTAATCCCAGCACTTTGGGATGCTGAGGCGGGTGGATCATCTGAGGTCAGGAGTTCGAGACCAGCCTGGCCAACTTGATGAAACCCCGTCTCTACTAAAAGTACAAAAATTAGCCAGGCATGGTGGTGGACGCTTGTAATCCCAACTACTCAGGAGCCTGAGACAGGAGAATCATTTGAACCTGGGAGGCAGGGGTTGCAGTGAGCCAAGATCGCGCCATTACACTCCAGCCTGGGCGACAAGAGCAAAAACTCCATCTCAAAAAACAAACAAACAAAAAAAACTAGGTTATCTCTCTGGTTAAGCTCCTAGCCAGCTATTTGACCTTGAGTTTTAACAAGGTCTTTAAGTTTTAAGGGTAAGAAAGTGTGTCAACCTCTTTAAGTTTTGAGGGTAAGGAAGGGTGTCAAAACTAACATTTATTTCCTGAGCTCTTGTTTGTCTTGTCTGGGGTGAGGCTGGAGAGGTGGGATGATTGACCACGCTGGACAAGAAGCTAGGTTTCAGCAGTTAGGCAGTCTACCTGGGATCAAGGCTCCTGATGGCGATACTGACAGTAATAACAAGAGCAGCAGGTACCATTTCTTTGGCACGCATATGCCCATATATATTATCTCATTTAGTCCCCACCACTGCCTGGAAAGAAGGATTAATCTATGATCCTATCATTCAGACAGGAAGACAAAGGCTCAAGGTCACACCACATAAATTCCGGTTCTAAATTTAGCCAAGTAATAAACCCTTTATTGCACTGCCTTCGCCTCCTAGATGTGACAGGGCAATCCTTTGGCCATTGAATCACTTCTTTCCTCACCTGTAAAAGAGAGAGAATTATTACTTTGATCATCACACGTAAAGGAATGCAATGGCAGATGACCAAATGCCATGTGGTTTCTTGAGCTGGATTCTGGAAAGGAAGAAGGGACATTAGTGGAAAAGCTGGTGAAATCCCAACAAAGTCTGGAGTTTGGTGAATCATGTTGTACCAATATCAGTTTCCTAGTTTTGACAAATGTGCCATAGTTGCGTGAGATGTTGATGGAAGGCAAACTGGTGAAGCATGTAAGAAAACTTTCTATATGATCTTTGCAATGTTTCAGTAAATCTTTTTTTTTTTTTTTTTTTTTTGAGATGGAGTCTTGCTCTATCCTCCAGGCTGGAGTGCAGTGGCATGATCTCTGCTCACTGTAACCTCTGCCTCCGGGGTTCAAGTGATTCTTCTGCCTCAGCCTCCTGAGCAGCTGGAACTACAGATGCGCACCACCACACCAGGCTAATTTTTGTATTTTTAGTAGAGACGGGGGTTTCACCGTATTGGCCAGGCTGGTCTCGAACTCCTGACCTCGTGAACCACCTGCCTTGGCCTCCCAAAGTGCTGGGATTACAGGTGTGAGCCACTGTACCCAACACTGTTTGATTTTTTTACAATAAGCCTATGATACTTTTATGATATGAATGAATATATGTTTTTAAAATTCATTTTTCTAAAAAGATAGGCTGAATCCATAAAAGAAAAAAAATAATGGACCAAAACTTAGAGAAAAGATAAGTACTGGCTGGGACTCAGAACTGTGGCCAGCCCTGGGCTGATATGTAGTTTGAGCAAACCACTGCCCTTCCCAGAGGCTCGCCTGTGAAATGGGGGTGGGCAGAAGTGGGCAGGGCAGCAACTAAGGATTGAGCTGAACTGATGACATCTCAGGCTCTTCCCAGCCTTAGCAGCTCGAGATTTTGAGGCAATCTGGATTCCCACACCTGGTTAGAGAAGCAGATTAAGGAAATGATCTGGAGTTTGGAGTTCTCTCCCTAAGAGGATAAACACCACAATATTGATAGTCCAGGCAACAAGGCCAAATTCAACCCAGAAGAATGTTTTAGATCACACCATCTCTCATCAATCCCTAATTGAACTGGAGGTATTTAACTCTTTCTTTGCCGTTTTTTATCTTCCATTCTAAATAAGTCCTTCTCAAACTAAAATGTGCATACAAATCACCTGTGAATCTTGTTAATATGAAAATGCTCAATCAACAGGTCTGAAGTGGGACCTGAAATTCTGCAATTCTAACAAGCTCCCAGGAGATGTCAGTGCTGCTGGTCCCCAGACCACTATTTAAATATCAAGTCTCAGCTGGGCACAGTGGCTCATGCCTGTAATCCCAACATTTTGGGTGACCAAGGCAGGAGGATTATTTGAGCCCAGGAGTTCCAGACCAGCCTGGGGAACATTAGTGAGACTCTGTCTGTACAAAAAATACAAAAATTGGCCAGGTTCGGTGGCATGTACCTGTACTCTCAGCTACTCAGAAGGTGGGAAGATCTCCTGAGCCTAAGAGTTCGAGGCTGCTGTGAGCTGTGATCGCATCACTGCACGCCAGTCTGAGCTACAGAGTAACACCCCGTCTCAAAAGGAAAAAAAAAAAAGTGACAAAGCAGCATCCCTTTGTCACAGAGAAAACCTGGAAACTCCATTGTACTTCACGGAATTACTAAAAAATGACACCAGACCACACAGGCTGTCTTCCCATTAACTGTTTTTCTGTTTGTTTTTGTTTTTGAGATGGAATCATTCTGTCGCCCAGGCTAGAGTGCAGTGTCTCAATCTCAGCTCACTGCAACCTCACCGCCTCCCTGGTTCAAGCGATTCTCCTGCCTCAGCCTCCCTAGTAGCTGGGATTACAGGCACACACTACCACACCTAATTTTTGTACTTTTAGTTGAGACGGGGTTTCACTATGTTGGCCAGGCTGGCCTTGAACTCCTGACCTCAGGTGATCTGCCTGCCTTGGCCTCCCAAAGTGCTGGGATTATAGGTGTGAGCCACTGCACCCGGGCCCTATTAACCTGTGACCTGTCATTTCTCTCTTGTCTTTCATTACTACTTGCTTGTTG
The DNA here is from genome assembly GCF_000001405.40 of Homo sapiens. Classification (NCBI taxonomy): domain Eukaryota; kingdom Metazoa; phylum Chordata; class Mammalia; order Primates; family Hominidae; genus Homo; species Homo sapiens. The sequence goes on along the minus strand of NC_000007.14, from coordinate 51,373,014 downwards.
TCTACCCTCTGTCCCCTCCACTGCAATGAAAATCCTTTGAAGGCAAGGACATTGCTGGGTCCCTAGCTTCTGAGTACATATTTAATTTTTTTTTTTTTTAGAGATGAAGTCTCACTCTGTCACCCAGGCTGGAGTGCAGTAGAGTGATCTCGGCTCACTGCAGCCTCTGCCTCCCAGGTTCAAGCGATTCTCCTGCCATAGCCTCCTGAGTAGCTGGGACTACAGGCACGTGCCACCGCACCTGGCTAATTTTTTGTATTTTTAGTAGAGACGGGGTTTCACCATGTTAGCCAGGATGGCATGTAGTCAATCTTAGAATAGTAAGAATGAAACATAGGTATATTCTATGGTTGTTAGATGGAGTACTCTGTAGACATCTATTAGGTTCAATTAATTGGTCACATGACGAGTTTAAGCCCAGATTTTCTTTGTCAGTTTTCAGCCTTGATGATCTGTCTTAACACTGTCAGTGGGGTGTTAAGGTCCCCCACTATTATTGTGTGACTAAGCCTTTTGTAAGTCAAGAAAAATTTGTTTTATGAATCTAGGTGCTCCTATATTGGGTACGTATATGTTTAGAATGGTCAGGTCTTCTTGTTGAATTAAACCTTTTATCATCATGTACTGCTCTTCTTTATCCTTCCTGATTGTTGTTGGTTTAAAATCTGTTTTATCTGCTATAAAAATAATAACTCCTGCTCTTTTTAGTTTTCTGTTTGCTTGGTAGATCTACTCTATCCTTTTACTTTGAACCTGTGAGTATCTTTACATGAGAGATGGGTGTCTTGAAGACAGCAGACTATCGGGGCTTGTCTTTTTGTCCAACTTGACATGCTATCCCTTTTAAGTCGGGCATTTAGACCATTTACATTCTGGGTTAGTATTGATACATGAGATTTTGAGACTGTCATTATGTTGTTGGCTGTTTATTTCGTAGACTTAGTTGTGTGGTGGCTTTACATTCTCTGTAGGCCATGTCCTTGAGTGTGTTTTTGAAGGAGCATGTTTCAGTTCTCTGTTTTCATGTTTAGCACTCCGTTAAGTACTTGCTTATCTGAGAAGTATTTTATTTCTCCTTCACTTATGAAGCTTAGTTTGATGGGACACAATATTCTTGCTTGGAAATTATTTTCTTTAAGATTGCTGAGAATAAACCTTGATTCTCCTCTGTCTTGTAAAGTTTCTGTTGCAACGTCTACTGCTAGCCTGATGGGGTTCCCTTTATAGTTGACCTGACCTTTCTCTCTAGCTGCCTTTAGGATTTTTTTCTTTTACTTTGACTTTGGTGAATCTGATGACTATGTGCCTTGGGGATGGTCATCTTGTGTAGTATCTGTAGGGTTGTCTGTATTTTTTGAATTTGTATGTTGCCCTCTCTAGCAAGTCTGGGAAATTTTTCATGGACTATGTCTTCAAATATATTCTCCAAGTTACTTCTCTTTTGGGAATGCCAATGAAATGTAGGTTTGGTCTTTTTACATAATCCTATATTTCTCAAAAGATTTTATTCACTTTTTAATTCTTTTTAAAAAATTTTTGTGGGGCTGGGCATGGTGACTCACTCCTGTAATCCCAGTACTTTGGGAGGCTGAGGTGGGTGGATCACCTGAGGTCAGGAGTTTGAGACCAGCCGAACCAAGATGGTGAAACCTCATCTCTACTAAAATTACAACAATTAGCTGAGCATGGTGGCAGGTGCCTGTAATCCCAGACACTCAGGAGGCTGAGGCAGGATAATTGCTTGAACTTGGGAGGCGGAGGGTGCAGTGAGCCGAGATTGTGCCATTGCACTCCAGCCTGGGCAACAGAGAGATACTTTGTCTCAAAAAAAAAAAAAAAAATGCTGGGCCTGAGCCATCACGCCTGTAATCCCAGCACTTTGGGAGGCCAAGGCAGGCAGATCACGAGGTCAGCAGATGGAGACCATCCTAGCTAACATGGTGAAACTCCGTCTCTACTAAAAATACAAAAAATTAGCTGGGTGTGGTGGCGGGCGCCTGTAGTCCCAGCTACTCGGGAGGCCGAGGCAGGAGAATGGTGGGAACCTGGGAGGCAGAGCTTGCAGTGAGCCGAGGTCGTGCCACTGCACTCCAGCCTGTGCAACAGAGCAAGACTCTGTCTGAAAAAAAAAAAATTTTGTCTGACTGAGTTGATTTGAAGAGCTAGACCTCAAGCTCTGAAATTCTTTCTTCAGTTTGATCTATTCTGCTACTGATGCTTCTAATTTTATTGTAGAATTCTTGAAGTAAATCTTTCAGTTTCAGAAGTTCAGTTTGGTTCTTTCTTTTTTTTTTTTTTTTTTGAGACAGAGTCTTGCTCTGTTGCCCAGGCTGGAGTGCAGTGATACAATCTTCGCTTACTGCAACCTCCACCTCCCGGGTTCAAGTGATTCTCCTGCCTCAGCCTCCCAAGTAGCTGAGAGTACAGACATGTGCCACCACGCCCGGCTAATTTTTGTATTTTAGTAGAGACAGGGTTTCATCATGTTGGCCAGGCTGGTCTCAAACTCCTGACCTCAAGTAATCCACTTGCCTTGGCCTCCCAAAGTGCTAGGATTACAGGCGTGAGCCATCACACCCGGCTGGTTCTTTCTTAAAATGGCTGTTTAATCTTTCAGCTCCTGGATTGTTTTACTGGGTTCCTTGGATTCAACTTTCTCTTTGATCCCATTGAGCTTCCTTGCCATCCAGATCTTGAATTTTATTTCCATCATTTCAGTCATCTCAATCTGGCTAAGAACCATTTCTGGGGGACTAGTGTGTTTGTTGGTAGGTAAGGGGGCACACTGGCTTTTTGAGTTGCCAGAGTTTTTGCATCGATTCTTTTTCATGTGTAAGGGTTAGTGTTCCTTTAACTGTGAAGTAAGTTGAGTACAGTCAGTTGGCTTCATTTTAGGGTGTTTTCAGAGGGTCAGGAGTATGTACAGAATGTTTATTTGTTGCTTAATCTTTGCCTTAGTTTTCACAGGTGCTGTGTACTGGCAAAATATTTTTGTGTTGTATTTTCCACCGTGATCCAGTAGGTGGCACTTAAAAGTGTTAGCCAGCGGACAGGCAGATAGGCTTTTTTCTCAGCTGCACAGCTCTTTTGTGTTTTCCTCAAGTTAGCATAGTGCTCTTTAGGGGGTGGGGTAGAGATGACCCCCTCACCTTGTCCACTCCTGAGCCTTGGAAGAGCCCCCTCTGATCACTGACTCCACGCCTGTGTTTCTTTTATTAGGTGTTCTTGTCCATGGGGCTTCCTCATGTAGGGGCCACAGTTGGCAAACAGGTCATATCCTTTCTGGAATGGCTGTACAGAGGGAGGCACAACCCACTCCTCCACTGACCTGTGAACTTGGGCATCTCACTTCTTTTAGTGATGCAAGAGTGAGGATTCCCCCACTGCTTGGGCACCACCCAAGCCAGCAAGAACTGCTTGGCTAGGAGTTGCAGGGATGAGTGGGGTCACCTAATCTGCTGTCCAGCTGCTTCGCAGGGGAACATGGAGTTGCCCCCACCTGCAGAGTTCATATAAAAGCAGGACTGCTGGGCTGGAAGCTCTAGCAGGTGTGGGCTGCTGGCTGTGAGCAGTGGCAGTGGGTGGAGTCACTCACCATGCCATTAAGGTGTTTCCTAGGGGAACAAGAGACTGTGCTTGTCAGCAGAATTCAGACAGAAGTGGTACCACGGGGCTGGAAGCTCTAGCAAGTATGGCCTGCCTGGCTACAAGTGGCGGGGATTGGGTGAAGTTGCCTATCCTGTTGTTTGGGTGTTTCCTGGAGGAACAGGAGACTGCACCTGTTGGTAAAATGAAAACAGAAGCAGGACCATTGGGCCAGAGGCTGGTGCTGAGCTTTGTCTAGTGATTTGGGGTGGAGCAATCTTACTGCTCTTGGGTACCATTACTCTCCAGTCCTGTGAGCTGGTCTGTGTGGCTGGCAGGTTTAGCTGCCTTGACCGCTCAGCTTGCTCCCTGCTCCTGCCAAGGAGGGTGTAGTTTGCCCTGGAGGAGCATGAAGATAGGAGATGAGCACCAGTCCTCAGGACAAGGTCCCATGTGCTTTCACGACCTTTGCATCACCTGGCCCTAGACCCTCTCCAGCACCTGCCTCTCCACCTCGCTGTAGTCCCAGCTATTTGGGAGGCTGAGATAGGAGAATTGCAGTGAGCCGTGTTCTTACCACTTCACTCCAGCATGGGCAACAAAGTGAGACCCTGTCTCAAAAAAAAAAAAAAATAGGAAGCAAACTGTAAGAATTAAGAAATTTTGAAAAAGTAAAAAGTGTTTTTAGGAGAGAAATCAAAGCAGGCTGTAGAGTAACCTGCTAGAGTGATTAGCATGACTAAAAGAGAGACAGATGCTATCAGAATGATGGGGGGGAAGGTCCTGAAGGCATTGTGGAAATCTTTTAGGCAGCCCCTCCCATCATAGGCCCAGAGGCTTAGCAGGACAGAATGGCTTTGGGGGCCAGGCCTGGGCTCCTCTGCCTTGCCCTGCCTCAAAATGCAGCCCCTCCCTGCATCCCAGCAGCTCTGACTTCGCCTGAGGCTCAGATGGCCCCAGATACAGCAGGCTCAGTTCCAGAGGGTGCACATTTTAAGCCTTGGTTGCTTCCACATGATGTTAAGCCTGTGGGAGCAGAGAATAAAGGGTGGCTGAGGTTTGACAGCTTCCACCTGGATTTGAAGATGTGTGAGAAAGCCTGGGTGCCCAAGCAGAGCCTGTTGCAGGGGCAGAGCCCCCACAGAGAGCTTCTATGAGGGCAGTGTGGAGGAGAAATGTGGGGTTGGAGCCCCCACACAGAATCCCCACCAGGGCATTGTCTTTGGAGCTGTGGGAAGAGGGCCACTGCCCTCTAGACCCCAGAATGGTAGATCCACCAGCAGTGTTCACCCTCAGCCTGGAAAAGCCGCAGGCACTCAACTCCAATGTGTGAGAGCAGCCACAGGGTTGCACCAAGCACAGCCATGGGGAAGGGGCTGCCCAAGCCTCAGGAACCCTGCCTTGCGCCAGTATGCCCAGGATGTGAGACATGGTGTCAAAGATTAATTTGGAGCTTTAAGGTTCATTATCTGCCTTGCTGGGTTTCATACTGCATGAGGCCCGTTGCCCCTTTCTTTTGGCTGATTTATCTCTTTTGGAATGGGAATGTTTACCTAATGGTACAGCACCATTTTATTTTGGAAGAAATAACTTGTTTTTCATTTTACAGGCTCACAGCTGTATGGAAATTACCTGCAAGTCTCAGATGAGACTTTGGACTTTGGGCTTTAGAGTTGATCCTGGAACAAGTTAGGATTTTGGCGGGCTATTGGGAAGGGATGCTTGTATTTTGCAATGTGAGAAGGACGTGAGATTTGGGGGGGCCAAGGGGACCCTAACTGGACACATGGTTTCAATTTTTATCATATTATTTTGTAAAACTACTCAGGGTTTATTTATTCATTTGTCTATTGCTTATCGATCAGTCAATTTTTAATGTGGCTTCATGATCCTAGAGAAACATTAGACACTTAGCTTTGTTTCTTGTCTAGAAAATGCTCAATTCTATTTTGAGTCAGGGACCCCCAGAATCTGCATTGCCCTACAGTTTTTTTGTGGTGTAGATGGCAGGTAAATTTCTTCAGCAGACTAAGGCTGTTGATCTGGAAGACAATTTAACCTTGGGAAGTTGGGATGGATAAGATTTGCTGGCTTGCCTGGAAGGGTCTGCAAGGTTCAGTCCTGGGCCTCCTTAGGAGAGTGCTGCAGTTCAGGCCTGCATTTTCCCTCCGTTACCACTAGATGGAAGTGGTTTCTGCGATTTTTTTCCCCCAGTATTGGAAGCCAGCATGTCTGGGGAGCTGCATGTAGCACTGCTTATCTCGGTGGAAGGTGCTTGTCCTGGTGTCTGCATTCTGCAGAACAGCTGGTCTGCTGCTTTCCAGCCGGAGGTAGCTGCCCCCTGCAACCCAACACACAGGTCCATGCAGAGAACAGCAATCAGCCTTGTCCAGGCCTTGCTGCTTACCTAGTGCTGCCTACGCACAACTATATTCTGCCCTCACAGAACACCTCTGACATTGGTGTGGTGTCATCTGCAGTTTGCAGACCAGGAACTATTCAGTGGTGCTCAGGCCCTGGGCCTGTCTGCAGTGCAGGACCCCCAGGGACATGGGCCGCCTAAGCCAATGCAGGCAGGACTTGTCAGCAAGGACTCTTTTTCCCACAAGAGCCATGAAAAGCCTCTGCCTGTGGAGTTGGACCCCTGCCGTCTGCTGCCAGCTTCAGGCTCGCTGCAATTTGTGGAGCCTGATTTTATCTGCTCCTCCAACCTCCAACTCCCAACTCCCCTCCTAGCCACTAAGTTACCTTCCCACCCGCTCATCATCTCGCCAGACTTTCCATCATCACAACCTCTCAGGTTAACAAAGCTCTCTGGCCTCATGCCTGACTTCCTGCTCCACTCACTGCATAGCTGTGCTCCTGGAGGGAAAGATAGCCCACCACACACAACTGATAAAGGGCAGGGCTGAGATTTCAAATCAGGGCCTCTAGCCCCAATTCTCACATTCTCATATACCAACTACACCTCTCCTACTCTGTCCACACCTAAAAATGCTGCTCTAGTTCCTCTGTAGAAAAGTTTCTAATCAGCTGTCAAATCAGGCAGGAGTGGCACGTGCTGTGCCCACAGCAGACATGAGTAGCTGCTCACAGCGGTTGCTCTTCACCCCGCCTGGGGGAGGCCTCATCATCCTCATCATCACGCCCGAGAGGCTGCTTGGATGTATTTGATATGGCATGATATCACACTGACTGGTCATCCCTAGACTAAGGGCACTTCTCAACCCCAGAAGAATCCTCCTTGCTCCAAGTGTCCATTATCTGAAATCAATTTAATTACCTCTTAGAAAATGCTGCTTCTTGGGCAGGTGCAGTGGTGCATGCCTGTAATCTCAGCACTTTGGGAGGCCGAGGGGGGTGGATCACCTGAGGTCAGGGGTTCGAGCCCAGCCTGACTAACATGGTGAAAGCCTGTCTCTACTAAATACAAAAAATTAGCCAGGTGTGATGCCAGGCGCCTATAATCCCAGCTACTTGCGAGGCTGAGGAAGGAGAATTGTTTGAACCTGGGAGGCAGAGCTTGCAGTGAGCTGAGATCGTGCCCATTGCACTCCAGCCTGGACAACAAGCGTGAAACCCCATCTCAAAAAAAAGAACAAGAAAATGCTGCTTCTATTAAATGTGCTACTAATGAGATCTTCGTCATATAACACAAGCAGGTGTTTCTCTGCCAGGAACATTTAGTAAATGTCTGTTCTCAGTGCCTCCTATTGGGATGTTAGCCCATTTTAATTGACCTCATTAGTAAATTCACACTCTAGGCTTAGACACAAGTCCAGGATACATGGGAGAAGGGACAAGTGTCAGAGCAGGACTGCAGACAGGCGTCTGCCGGAAGCTCCTGGAAGGTTGGAGCAGGAGACACAAGGAGTCTTTGAAAGGAACGGGGCAGGGAGTCAAATCCTGCTTCTACATTTATAAGCCTATATAATAATCTTATATAATCTCATATAAAGCCTATTGTTGCCAACACAAAGTTGTGTAAGTCCTACTATTGGTAAACAACATCCATATCCCATAAGTCATTTAGATTTTAATGTGAACACTTGTGTTGTTTATTGTGATTTGTCTTTAGTCCCTGAATTGTACGTCCCATCCCAGTCAGGCTGTGACTGTGATCTTCATCAGCCTTTCTTTCTTTCTTTTTTGCCTGTTTTACTTTGAATATAGGCATCTTTTAAACAGAAAAACGAAGAAAGTTGTAAAATGAACTTCCATGTGCCCATTACCCAACTTCAACAACTCACAGCGATAGGAATCTTTCCCACCCACTCCCATCGTTGCTCCAGATTGTGCTGAAGTAATTCCCCAATGTCAGATCGTTTGATCTGGAAATATTTTAGCAACATATACTCTTTTTTGAGACGGAGTTTCACTCTTGGTGCCCAGGCTGGAATGCCATAACACGATCTCAGCTCACTGCAACCTCCACCTCACTGATTCAAACAATTCTCCTGCCTCAGCCTCCCGACTAGCTGGGATTACATGCATGTGCCACATGTCTGGCTAATTTTTGTATTTTTAGTAGAGACGGAGTTACATCATGTTAGTCAGACTGGTCTCGAACTCCTCACCTCAGATGATCTACCCTCCTCGGCCTCCCAAAGTACTGGAATTACAGGCGTGAGCCACCATGCCCAGCCTTAGAATATACTTCTAAAAGATTAGTTCAAAAAAAAAAAAAAACTTAGAATCACTCCCAAAAAATTAACCAGTATTTCTTAATACCAGCCCATACCCAGGCAGTGTTCAAATGTCTCTGAATGTCTCTTTTTTCCTCAGTTCTTTTTCAAATAAGCTCCAAAGAATGTCTGCCCTTTGCAGCTGGTTGGTATGACTCCTAAAGGTGCCTTGTAATCTATAGGTTTCCCTCACATCTCTCTTTTTTCCTGGAAATAGACATGTGGAAAGAATGGGGTCATTTCTCCAGTATGCATGCCGATGGCATGCATCTGCCATGGTGTCCATTAGTACCCTCTGACCTTGTATTTCCCATGACTCGGTTATTGGATCTGAGGCTTCATTTAATTTAGAGTTTTTTGGTAAAAACACATAGATAGTTCTATTTCCACTCAGTGATCCATCATTTCTCTTTCTGTTATATTAATAGCAATTAAAGATTATTAACTATAAGATGGAGCACAATTGCTTCTTAAATCTTTTTTTCTTTTTTTTTTTTTTTTTTTTTTGAGATGGAGTTTCACTCTTGTTGCCCAGGCTGGAGTGCAGTGGCACAATCTCGGCTCACTGCAACCTCCGCCTCCTGGGTCCAAGTGATTCTCCTGCCTTAGCCTCCAGAGTAGCTGGGACTAAAGGCACCCACCACCATGCCCAGCTAATTTTGTATTTTTAATAGAGATGGGGTTTCACCATGTTGGCCAGGCTGGTCTCGAAATCCTGACCTCAGGTAATCCACCCACCTCGGCCTCCCAAAGTGTCGGGATTACAGGTGTGAGCCAACACACCTGGCCCTTAATTCTTAAATATTAAAAATTAAGAATAGAATTGCATCAATGTATTTATGTATGTACTCCAGGTTCAAAAAGGATTTGAGGCAAATAAAACACAAAAGCACCCCCAGAAGCCCCATAGCCAACTCACAACCCTGGATCACCATTTTATCCTGTAAGCAGAAAGAAACGTCAGCCCAGAAAACCGCCTGTTGACCCTCACAGGCTTTAGGCACTAGCACTTCCTCCCAGTTAGAAGGGCATCAACAGCTGTGGCCATACTGGGATCTAGGGAGCAGGGATTGGGGCAGAGGCAAACATAGCAGCACACACCTATAGATAAGGAGCAAATGAGAAGAAGCAGAGGCAGCTAGGAAGAGACCTGGAGAAAGGAGAAGGAGGCAAAACAGTGAGCCTACAGAGCTGAGGAAGGCTTGGATCTCCAAGTACTGCTCAGCCAGTGTGGACAGACAGAAGGTAAGGAAAGAGGTCTGTGATGCTGGGTGAAGGGAGTTCTTCGAGAGCCCTGAGCAGAGGCTCTGTGGTAAGTCTGATAGGGGTACCTGCATGGTTTGCACAGCCCCATCTCCCCTGTCCTTCCATGGTAGGGGCAGGGAGGGTTGCTTTAGCTCACTCCATGGCAGTCCACAAGTGGGATATGGATTTTTTCTATCTTCCCACCACTCCCCCAGCCACTGCAGGCTCTGCCTTCCCAATAGACTGTCTTGAAAGTTGATACAGCACCTCCCGCTTGTCATATTCCAATTTCCCACCACCACCCACAGGCCACTAAAGCTGGTTGGAATGTAGAGGCTCTATATGTCAGAAAAAGCATAGAAGAGCAAAAGGCAGATTGATTTTTATTAGGGTAACAACTGTAAATAAAAGATTAGCGTTAATGGCCTACAGCTTTGAAAGACCTGGTGGAATGGTCTCTCGGCTTCTGCTACCTGCAAGTGCTAGGTAGGTACAAGGAGCCACATGCCACATCCCAAAGAAAAGCATTGTCCTATGGTTTAAGTCGATTGGAATGATGATGGTGGTAGTGATGGTGATGGTGGTAGTGGTGATAGTAAAGATAGTCATGGTGGTGATATTGATAGTGGTAATGATAGTGGTAGTAGTGGTGATGGTGATGATGGTAGTGGTAATGATGACAGTGATGGTGGTAATAGTGATGGTTGTGATGATGATAATGGTGGTGATGATAGTGGTGATGATGGTGGTGATGGTGGTTGTGGAGGTGGTGGTGGTGGTGGTGATGGTGGGGGTGATGGTGGTAGTGATGGTGGTGGTGATGGTGGTGGTGGTGATGGTGATAGAGGTGATGATGGTGATGATGATAGTGGTGGTGGTGGTAATAGTGGTGATGGTAGTGATGGTGGTGGTGATGATGGTGGTGGTGGTGGCAGTGGTTGTGGTGATGGTGGTGGTAGTGATGGTATTGCTGATGGTGATGGTGATGGTAATGGTGGTGATGGTGGTGGTGGTGATGGTAGTGATGGTGGTGATGATGATGGTGGCAGTAGTGGTTGTGGCGATGATGGTTGTGGTGATGGTAGTGTTGATGGTGATACTAATGGTGGTCGTGGTGGTGATGGTGATGATAGTGATGACAGTGTTGGTGGTGATGGTGGTGGTGGTGGTAGTGGTTGTGGTAATGGTGGTGGTGGTGATGGTGATGATGGTAGTGTTGATGGTGATGGTGGTGGAGGTGTTGATGACATTGATTGAGCAGTTACCATATATCAGGAACAGTTGATATACATGTCTGTCACTTAAACCTTATAATAACTAATTATTGAACTTGTCCCTATCCCCCAGTGAGTGTCCTACAGGGGTCCTGTGGACCCATTAACCAGGGCAGGATCCCAGTCAGGATCAGGAGATTTGGAAAAGAGACAAAGATGTTGAGGCTATAATTGCTATGGAGTAAGGTGTTACAACTAGTCTTACAACTAGTTAAGAACTTGAGCTGCTGGGTGAGGTGCTCTGATCATATTACCATGAAGAGCAATAGAGTGACATAGATGCTTTTCAGGCATCTGGTCAACATGCTCCATTTGATATTTTACCCACACTTGGTGTGGAGTGGAAAAGCAAATGGGATTTCAAAAAGCCTTGATCACCAATCCTGAAGACCAGGAGACTCACTGAGGGCCACATGGATGGGGTAAGAAGAGTTTGCTTTGCTGGAAACTGTATCGTTCAACAGTCTCTATGACTTTCTCAAGAAAGTTTGTGCTTCTGTGAGCGCCCACACCAGTGTAGATACATTCACTCTGGCAGCCTCACCAGGCAGTCCACGTTCCCAGTTGGGAATGAAGACATGTCTAAAACACAGACACTCTCAACATCATATTCATATTGTACCCTCTCATTTGACCTATAAAGCCTCATTTCTTCTAGAAAAGCAGAAAAACAACCACTGGGGTGGTTGTTTGTATTTTTAGAAATCCATCAAGATGAAAGTAACCCACAGAGTCCAAAGTGGAGAATCCATAACTCAGACTATAAGCCTGGAAAAAATTCTATCACCCCACCTGGCCAACCCCAGCCCAGCCCCTAAAAAGACATAAAATTGGTGTTGAATCACATCTAATGCTACAATATCCCAGGGAGGCTGCCAGTGTTCTAGGGGCTATGTAGTTCCTGCACATGAGAGGCAACATTGTTGTACAAGGATAGAATAATGACGCAGGTCATGTTGAGGAGACAGTAGGGTAAACAATTGTTGAAAGGTATTCTCTTGATATAGGGTCCATGACAAAAAGGTGGAGTAGGGATGAACCCTAGAAGCATAGAGAACCCTGGAGCAGGTACAGCGATCTCATGGTATCTCACCCCATCCTTATCCAGAATATAAATGTCAGAAATGGAGGAATGACTCAGGATCATTATCCCAAAATGGAGCCAGTGGAAACCCCTGTAGGGAAAGTTTCGTGCTGTGATGAGATGACAGGTCCAGTTCCTTGCCTTGAGCCCCTGAGCAGGCTCACAGGTGCCCTCTCTCACAGCAGGTCCCCTCTGGGATCCTTCATCCCAAGGTCACCCTCAAATTTGCCCCAACAGCAGAGTATGTTTGGTGTCCACAACAACCGCTGTGCTCAACTGCAGCATTTTCCAAGTGTTAGAGCTCCCCCAACCCTGGGCACTGGGTAGGAAGACTTCCAGCAAAAGTCTTCAACCTGATAATGAGGCTGCTGACACAAATGAATGTTTCAAAAGGAGCTTCTACCTGTCCTGTTGTGAGCTGAGTTTCAGGGTTGAATGTAGCTTCCCGGGGCTGGGGTCAGAGCAGCCTGTCAACATATGTCAGCCTCTGGTGATGAGCAATCCCATTCTCAATGAGGTAGTTTAAAATTGACTTCTACTGTGGTGGAGTCCCCACGAAATAGGCACAAATGTGGGGGGCCCTACTCAGACAGCAGCATCCACCAATAAGCTGCAGGGGTCATTCCTCACTGCAAAAGCACAGACAGCATAGTCATCAATCAGCTGCCGAAACATTGCAGGTTGTCTTGGGACCCAGATATTATTCTCTCCTTTTTAAGGAGGTTGATATTTGAGACAGTTACTGTAGAAAGGAGAAGACTAAATCTAAGCCATAGAATGTCTAAGATTTTCTGGAATTTTCTCAGAAAAGGGCACATGATATGTCAGGTTGGGATGACATCCAAGCAGACCCTGAGGCCTTGGTTCAGGAGACTGTACAGTTGCTGGTTAATCAAGTGCTGAAGATGGCCCTGGCACAGTATGGCCACAGTGCCAGGATAGACTGATATTAAGACAGTCATGTCCAGAAGGATCTCCTGTGCTCATCACTGTTGCAGATACAAGCGAGGTTGGAGGCTCTTTGAAAGATAAATTTTATAAATGCGTGCATACTAAGGAGATGGTGCAGGAATGAGGGAACTGAACCAGGCCAGTCTCAGACAATGAACACAAACTTAAGGTTGTAATAATCCCTGTAAAAAAAGTTAGACTTTAATCATAAGCACATCTCTGCATTAGGTGAAGAGTACATCTAGCTAAGAGTTTGTTGGACCCTTTTCCTCAGACCTTGACCTTATCCCAGAGGCTATGGTGGATATAAGGAACTTATCCTCAGCGTCCATCCCTAACATCCCCCAGTATGCCTGTATTTGTCTCTTTGTGCAGCTATAACAAAATACTGGGCCGGGAGCAGTGGCTCACGCCTGTAATCCCAGCACTTTGGGAGGCCAAGGTGGGTGGATCACAAGGTCAGGAGTTCGAGACCAACCTGACCAACATGGTGAAACTCTGTCTCTACTAAAAATACAAATTTAGCCGGGTGTGGTGGTGTGCACCTGTAATCCCAGCTGCTCAGGAGGCTGAGGCAGGAGAATCACTTGAACCCGGAAGGTGGAGGTTGCAGTGAGCCGAGATCACGCCACTGCACTCCAGCCTGGGCTACAGAGCAAGACTCCATCAAAAAAAAACAAAAACAAACAAAAAAAAAACATCTACTGGGTAGCTTATTAACAGAAAATTGATAAGCCCTTTGCCTTTGGAGGAGGTCAAACAGATTGGTGAGATTTTGACCTCCACAATGTCAGCAGTGGCCTTTGGACTAAAAATCTTCCTGGCTGGCTGGAGTCTGTAGTTCTGTGGCAAATGCCAGCCCCATGCTCTATAGGAGTGCTCAGAGGGTGCTCCCAGAGCCTGGAGCCTGCTCCTCCAGCCCTTCCTACAGTTTCATAAGCATTCCTTCACTGTCTTCATGTCTGTTCTGTTCAAAAGCTAGACTTGTTCAGAGAAGAAACACATTCATTCAGCAAGAATTCGGCTTGCTCTCTCTCTCAACATCCATTTCAAAGATGTTGGCTTTATTCTGAATAGGAAGAGTCCTTGAAAGGCTTGGAGGAGAAAAGAGACACTACTGGTCTTATATTTTATCTTAATTTTTGTTTTCATTTTATTTTGTTTTTATTTTTATTATTTTTCTTTGAGACGGAGTTTCACTCTTGTTGCCCAGGCTGGAGTGCCATGACACCATCTCGGCTCACTGCAACCTCTGCTACTGGGGTTCAAGCGACTCTCCTGCTTCAGCCTCCTGGGTAGGTAGGATTACAGGCACCCACCACCATGCCTGGCTAATTTTGTATTTTCATATTTATTTATTTATTTTGAGACGAAATTTCGCTCTGTTGCCCAGGCTGGAGCACAGTGGAGTGATCTCATCTGACTGCAACCTCAGCCTCCCGGGTTCAAGTGATTCTTCTGCCTCAGCCTCCTGAGTAGCTGGGATTACAGGAGTGCACCACCATGCCTGGCTAATTTTTGAATTTTTAGTAGAGACGGGGTTTCACCATGTTGGTCAGGCTGGTCTCAAACTCCTGACCTCAGGTGATCCGCCCCCCTGGGCCTTCCAAAGTGCTAGGGTTACAGGCGTGAGCCACTGTGCCCGGCCTTGGACTTACATTTTAAATGAATCATTCTGCAGCCATGTGAATAGACTTATGTTTCATAAGGCTGGAATCAGGGAAGCCAGTAAGGAGGCTGTGGCCAGGATTTAGGCAAGAGATGACCATGTCTGGGATAGGCAGGATAGAATCAGTGCCTTGACAAAAGCCCAAATTCTCATATGTTTGTTTTGAAAGGACCAGAGGCTGTGACAGGCAGGGAGGACTCAAAGATGACTTCAAGGCTTTGGGTCTGAGGCCCTGGTAAAAGGGGAAGATGAGGGCAGTACTGGCGGAGTAGGTTCAGGACGAGCTAAAGCTGGAGGTGCCTAACAGGGACCCACGTGGACCTGCAGAGTAGTCGTCTGGATAAAGGCACCTGAATATCAGAAGAGAGGTCCAGATATGCTTTACATTCCCAACACAAGTGTGCATTACTTTTATATGCAGAATAAAACAATGGGATTTTTAACATAATTGAGTATCAGTAAATGTTTTGGTAGTTAAGTGTTTGTAATCATTAATCACTAGAGGGCAATATACATTAATTTTCTGCTATCTAACAGTCTCAAAAAGAGGGAATTGCTGGGAATAGTGGCTCACAACTGTCATCCCAGCACTTTGGGGGGCCAAAGCAAGGAGGGATCACGAGGTCAGGAGTTCGGGACCAGCCTGGCCAACATGGTAAAACACCGTCTCTATTAAAAAAAAAATACAAAAATTAGCCACGCATGGGGGCACAAGCCTGTAATCCCAGCTACTTGGGAGGCTGAGGCAGGAGAATTATTTGAACCCGGGGGGGGCGGAGGTTGCAGTGAGTCAAGATTGTGCCACTGCACTCCAGCCTGGGCAACAGAGCAAGACTCAGTCTCAGAAAAATAATTAATTAATTAATTAATTTAAAAAGAGGGAATTAAAGCAAGTCTGATAAAATGATGAAGAAAACCAGGGTAAAGAGTCGAGTGTTCCAGCCCAGAATGGCATTAGCTGTTTAGAGGCTGACTTTGATGATGTTGGCATCTCCACAACAGCAAGGTTTATGTCAGGCCACTGCAATTAGGGAGGCCGAAAGCTGGCACATTCAAAATGAGTGAGCAGGTCATTCTTTACTCAAGTTGGACCCACTCTTTACTTACTATATTTGCCCAAATGGCAGGCAAACTGTTCCCTCTCACTTCCGCATGACATAACATGCATATCAGTCAACACTAAGGGAACTTGGCTAAGCGTAGCTCTTTTGTCCTTGGGAAAAGGCGTGGTAAGGTCATGGCGTTCCTAAGGGACCCTGGCTCCCTTTGGTGCTCTCTTCACCTAGTTACAATTTGCTAAAGAAAACAAGCAGAGCGTACGAAGGGCAGCACATTTCCAAAGAAAGTTTCCAACCCAGAGGTCACCATGCCCAGGGAATGAGTAACCCAGTGTGGCACATTAAGGGGCAGGTTCCACCTGAGTTAGCACAGGCGGCAAAAGGGAGAAGACTCGCCATCACAGTGTGATTTAGTATGCCTGGGGGCGGGAAGAGATGAGGTTGATTTATGCAAGCCCCAGGTGGGAGCAGCATCCTGAGTAGAGAGAATGTCCAGCCTGGCCACTCAGCCCTGAGACACTGCCCTCCAGCTGCGAATAGCAGCCTGCTCAGCCCTGCTCACCAGTCTTTGTTAAGAACTACACGTCCCATGGGGGGTTACAAAACCACCAATACCTTACAGGGGTCACAAAACCGCCAATACCTTTGGACACTTTTGAAATGGAGGGAAAGGGCAAATGCAGTCTCTGAGCCTCACAGGACACCCATGCCCTCTCTCATGCCCTCTCTCAGTAACCCGGAGGAAAGTTACCTTCATGAACAAGGAAGAGGACCGAGGCATGATGCATTTCATCCAGCACATGGCTCTATGTGCCCGGATGCAGCACCTATGCTTACGTAATGAGAAAAGGTGTGAGAGGAACTTTTGTTTCATGGAGCATTGCCCAGCCCACACCACAGTCCTGTAAGTGCCCATCCTGTTTACTTTGCCATTGCTGCACTGATGGACAGCCATCTATGGAGACAAAGCCAGAGCAGGGGATGCAAAGCTGGGCTGGACCAGAAGGGTTGCCTCAGCCATCTAGAGATGGGGAGGGGACATAAATCTCTGAATCATTCTCTAGGGGGCTAAGGTCACTGATGGGAAGAGCACACAATGAGCCGCATCCAAGGGGTGGGAGGGAAACAGAAGAAGGGGTCAAGGCAGAGGCTGAGAGAGTCAAAGTGGATACATCAGGGTGGGGTGAGGAGCCCACAGAGGGGAGAGGTTTAGGTTGGAGCTACACCTCTAAATGTGTGGGGTCAGGCTGGTCCTAAGAATAGAAACAAAGCAGCTAAATAGAATCCAGCCACTAGTGGGAACAGGCATGATCCAAGGACTGAGATCTGGGAGCTTCATGCTAAAGAACTACTATGTGAATTAAATAAAGAAAATAAAGGAGTGGTCAGAGAGTGGGAAGAACAGGAAAACCTAGCTTCATAGAAGGAGGTGGAGGAGCCTGTTTCAATGAGTGGACCATTGACAATGGCCAATGCCAAAGAGAGATGAAGGAGCTTGAGAATTTAAACAGAAGGCCACTGGGCCTTATCTCATTCAAGTTTTTGTTTCACATATGAAGTTTTGGTAGAATATAGGGGCCTACATGATAGGGCTCTGAGGAGGGAAAGATCCACAGAAGAATAAATCAGTATCTATGATATGAGAGTGGGGCAGGAAAGTGCTGGGTAGAGAAAGGCAGGTCCCTGGCTAGGGCTCCACCCCCGGGCCTGTGCCCATGGACATAGGTGAGGACAGGTATTTCTGTTTTCATGCCCAAATGTTGCATTTTCCAAGACCATCTTGGCTCACCACGCCCCCAATCCTATGCCTATAAAAACCCTGAGACCCTAGTGGGAAGAGACACAAGCAGCTGGACATCGAGAGGAACACACTGGCGAAACAGCACACCGAGAGGCACCAGCAGATGCCGGCAGGTTATCGACTGCCGGGATGACACGGAGTTTGGCTGGCGTGGTCGGAGCAGAGCCCAGCCACTGGGCAGCCTGACTCTAGGGGAAAACTACCACCTTCCCATTCCATCCCCTTTCTGGCCTCTGCATCCACCTCACTGAGAGCTACCACCACTCAATAAAAAATCTTGCACTCATTCTCCAAGCCCACATGTGATCCGATTTTTCCAGTACACTAAGGCAAGAACCTGGGATACAGAAAGCCCTCTGTCCTTTCAATAAGGCAGAGGCTCTAATTGAGCTGATTAACACAAGTCCCCTATGGATGGCTAAACTGAAATAGCGCCCTGTAACACACACCCACTGGGGCCTCAGGAGCTGTAAACCTTCAACCCTACAAGCTGCCATGGGGTTGATGCTCCCCACTACCTGCCTGTCTGCATGCTCCCCCTAGAGGTTTGAGCAATGGGGCGCAGAAGAAGCGAGCCACACCCCCCAATGCAAGTTCTGCGAGGGGGATAAGGGAAACTTTGCCGTTTCATCTAGACCACAAGTTGAAACAGTTGAATAACAAAAGGAAGGAACTAAGAAGACAGATACCCAGTTGACTGAACACAGCTCTGGTAAAAATGAAGAATTATGCCTGGAGTGGAGGTGCATGGACATTTGTGTGTGGCTTCTCAAGTTTACTCTGCCATCATATCATCTCAGGGTCTTAGCTTTTCAAGTAGAAATTCAGCTCTTTCTGTGACAGACAATGATTCACATTAACTAAATTCACACAATCCAGATGTAGAAACCAAAATATTGGTTGTGATGAACATGAGTCATCAGGGAAGTGCAATTCCCATATAAACACATCAGAATGGCTAAAATGTAAAGGACTGACAATACCAAGTGTTGACAAGAATGTTGATCAAATTGATCTCTTATACTCCGCTGGTAGGAATGTAAATTGGCACATCCTCTTTGGAAAACTGTCACCAGCTTCTAACGCTAAGCATATACCTGCTCTATGATTCAGCCATTGTATTCCAAGATGTAACACTAACAACAACAAATGTTCACATTCACCAAACATACATAATAGAATGGGCATAGCAGCTTTATTCATAATGGCCAAAACTAGAATCAACCCAAATGTGAATCGTGAATACTAGATAAATTGTAAAGCATTCATGCAGTGGAATACTGCAGAGCAGTATTCCAAACAAACAGCCACTACCTGCAATACAAGTACATGGAGGAACTCACAGCAAAAATAGGCTGGGCACGGTGGCTTATGCCTGTAATCCCAGCACTTTAGGAGACCAAGGCGGGCGGATCATCTGAGGTCAGGAGTTCAAGACCAGCCTGGCTAACGTGGTGAAACCCCGTTTCTACTAAAAATGCGAAAAATTGGCTGAGCGTGGTGGCATGTGCCTGTAATCCCAGCTACTCGGGAGGCTAAGGCAGGAGAATCGCTTGAACCCGGGAGGCGGAGGTTGCAGTGAGCGGAGATCACGCCATTGCACTCTGGCTTGGGCAACAAGAGCAGAACTCTATCTTAAAAAAAAAAAAAAAAGCCACGCACAAAAGAATAAAGCGTTTCCTCTGCTGTATATGGTGATGGGGCACCAAGGGACCTTCCAGAGTGCTGAAAATGTTCTGTGTTCAGTATCTTGCCCTACAGTGTGGTAATGCAGGTATACACATTTCTAAAAACTCAAGCAGCTGTGTATTTACAAGAACTGTAAACTTGACAATATGTATAACATAATAATAAAAATTAAAAGAAAAAAGAGTTTAACTACATGGTAAATGGAAGTTGTAGAGTAAAACAAAAATTTTATTAGATGAAAAAAGTTGGTTTTACTTTTTTTTATTCTATAACTGTGCTAGATCAGAAACAGCTTCTGCCAGCAAGGGTTTCTGATGTAGTGGGAAAATTCCATGATTTATCTCCATGAGGTTCTGTTCCTGGTACCTAGAAGAGCTCCTGGAACATACTAGGCACTCATTAAATGTGTTGGTAATCAATAAACAGGATTAATACACCAGAGCTGTCCTAAAGAAATATCTCAGAGGAGCAAAACTTTGATATTAAGACTTAAGTTTAGGCCAGGTGCGGTGGCTCACACCTGTAATCCCAGAACTTTGGGAGGCCGAGGCGGCAGATTACCTGAGGTCAGGAGTTTGAGACCAGCCTGGCTAACATGGTGAAGCCCCATCTCTACTAAAAATACAAAAATTAGCTGGGCATAGTGGTGTGTGCCTGTAATCTCAGCTGTTAGGGAGGCTGAGGCAGGAGAATCGCTTGAACCCGGGAAGCAGAGGTTGCAGTGAGCTGATATCGTACCAGCCTGGGCAACAGATTGAGACTCTCTCTAAAAAAAAAAAAAGACTTGAATTTAAACAACAGTAGAAACAACAGCAAAACAGTACTTTTGTGGCTCTCTCTCTGTATATTTATTTATTGTTTAGTGACTATATCCTTTGTGGTAAAGTTGAGGCTTATATGTGTGCCTCAAATACAACTTATTTCAAATTTTATAAATCTGATACATTTACAAAACTTTATATACTAAGTTTTAATTCAATTAGGAAATCCTGGATTTTTGCCAAAAGGAACAACAGGAAATTGAAACTACTCTAAGTAATGGATAAAGGCTGCCATTGTCACGCTTCTCCAACTTAGTGAAACTTGCCTAGCAGAAAAAGTGTGGAAACTTGGATAGCAAATCCTCGCAAGCTGCCAGTTTCTGTTTGTTACAGAAAATGTTTATTGAACACACAGTATAGGTGGAATAAAATCCAAAGTAAGTTTTCCCACATGCTGCTGCTTGGAAAAACATCTCATCCAATGACACAGCACCATCCAATAGGCTGTGAAATGTTGCTTCGTGAACTGTACTAGCGTACTGTCACATCATAGGCAAAAGCCACTTCTACATGTTATCTTTACTTGTCTATCTTCTCAGGCTCCACCATTCAAACTGTAAACACCCAGCATCCACACCTCTGCCGTCAGCTCAGGAACATCAAGGACACTGTCATCTGCAGCAGGGACGTAGTGTTGGCAAATAGGTCTTATCTCATGGGACCCTTACAATGAGAAGCGTGAGCATCCCACTGGTAGTGGCTCTGGAAGCGGGCCACATCCAAGTTCCATAGGAAGCATTGCATGATGAGTTAGTGCTGCCTGCAAGAGACATGGGAGAGAGGAGTGGGTCTAAGAGCACCACTGCTGGTACTCCCTGGTAGTGCAAAGAGGACTGCACTGGAATCAGATGACGTAGCACTGATGATGTTACAGAATGATGCCAGCGAGGAGGTGGATGGTTAGTTGTGGGTGGCCCCTTTATCATTTTAGAGTCCTCTCAATTCAGGATCTTTTCACCAGCCTTCAAGTGGAAGTTGTCATGTGTGTGTGTGAGCCCAACAGTTATTTGTTTAAGGAAACTAATTCCCATTAATCAAATTCACAAGAGGCCAGTGTAAAAACCAGATATCAACTTCTTAAATTATGTTGAGATATATCAATATTCAGAGAGATATAAATCATATCCAAGAAGATGTGTCTTTCCTTCTGTTGGAAAATTTATATGGAAAACAAATTATAACCAGAAAAAGAAAATGGGATCAGAGGCAGCTGATCAGACTGAAGGCAAAACCCATGGAGTTGAAGCGGCCTGAAACCACCATTTCCCCTGGGGAGGCTGAGCTTGCTGATTGGAATGCTGTCTCCTCTGCACAGAGCTGGAGAGATCTTACCAAGTCTGATCCCGTGGCATCGCTTTGTAGACTCTATGAAAGCACTCTAGTTGCTTCTATTAACCCTCTCTGCACAGAAGTTAATAGGCCCAAGATTTTTGTACATTCAGACGTGTCCATCCATCAGGGCGATTTCTGTAGACACACAGGTTCATACATTATGTGCTGATTTTACTTGCCACACTATCAGGATATCACTTGCAAGTTCTTAGGAGCACTTCACAATGCAACATCTTATACTGCCCACAATTTCTGGTTTAATCTGACACTAATTAGCTTTGTGACTTTGAGTAAGTCAATTCACCTTTTTGGACCAAAGCTATGGAACCCATAACATTTCAGCATATAGGGCAGGACATAGACAAGATGGATTCTTGAGGTTACTCCCAACCTGAGATCAATGATTTCAAGGAGAAAAGGCCTAGAACTCGAGCATTCACACAGAGTACAGCTAGGATTTACACAGAGACCACTAGAGTTGCGGCTACTCCTCTTCTTGGAACAATTACTTATGCGTTTTCTGTTCAAACTGTCTTAGGAGTCAGTTAAGTCACATGTGAGGAAATACACGTCTTGTCATACAATGGATTCTTTGTTTTTTTTTTTTTGGAGACAGAGTCTCGCTGTGTCACCCAGGCTGAAGTTCATTGGTGCGATCTAGGCTCACTGCAACCTCCGCCTCGCGGGTTCAAGAAATTCTCCTGCCTCAGCCTCCCGAGTAGCTGAGAGTACAGGCATGCGCCACCATGCCAGACTAATTTTTGTATTTTTAGTAGAGATGGGGCTTCATCATGTTGGTCAGGCTGGTCTCGAACTCCTAACCTTGTGATCTGCCTGCCTCGGCCTCCCAAAGTGCTGGGATTCCAGACATGAGCCACTGTGCCTTGCCCCACACAATGGTTTCTAAGATCAGTTTGGCAACTTATAGTCTATAAAACTTTGCTGCTTCATAACAATTATATAAGGTATTCATTATTGTTTATCCCTACTTTATAGTTAAGAAAAATCACATCAGAAGTTTTAAGCAAGTGCCTTAGTTTCCATTCCTGAAAATTACAAGCTGTGTGTCAAACCATTCTGACCTCAAACTCCATTGCTTCTGCCAGTAAACAAGGTCCACACCCTTCAGTTCTATTTGCCTTTTCACAATTTACAGGCCATTGCAGCTCAATTTGTTCATGTAATACTCTTTTAATTCAATATGGTCCATACGTACAGCAAGCAAGATTTAAACACAAAAAATGTAAACAAGAGTTCAGTATACATTCCACACATGTCGCTCAGAAGCGGGGCTCTCCATGCTAGGAAAACATTCGCTAATGGAACATGCAACGGCTGCATGGGCCCTGTGTATCTGGAGTTTCCGGAAGGGAAGGATGCCAAGGCATACTTGACACCAGGGATCCCAAAAGTTCTTCCTTATGGATTGAAACTCAACACCTGCCTTCACAACGCACAGCCTGCCTATCCTTTTCCTTATTTGGAAGGTGCTATCACAGCTCATACTTGAAATATGAGCAGCCCTGCTACTGGACAAACAGTATTGTGTGTCATGGGAACATCAGATCCAGAGACACTGGGAGTGCTTATGTGCTCATTATGCTGTAAGGCTAAACTTAAGAATCTCCAACTTGGAGACCACTGGGTGTTTCAATGCACATACTTAGGGTCAAAGAAAAGCCAAGCAGGAAGTGTTGCCCAGCAGTTACAGCTGAATCAAGAAGCATAATAGGAAATATTTCCTCTTCTTCACATTTCATGAATGTAAACTGATTGGTTCATTAATAACTACTCCATCCAATCAAATCTATTTCTCTTTTCTTTGGAAATGTGCCTAAATTGCATCTGAGGAAGAGGAATGGAGTTTAATTACTACATCTTGTATGAGAGAAGTCAGACATCCTATGCCCTGTTATCTTCTCAAATTTTCTTCCACCGAAAGGAAAAGAGAAAGAATTTATAACACGTGCCCATTTACAAATACAAGTGAAAAATAAAATGGAATTTGAAAATGCATAATGGAGTATCTTTTATAGTGATATGACCACCAGTGATGTGAATACCAGATTTGCTTAACTCTCTACATTTGATAAGAATTGGGAAAGTACCCCACTGGTAACAATCCTAGCATATAATTTCTTGTTACATAACAGGCAATAGTTGTCCAAACCAGGATTGGTCTGGGAATGAGCGAGGTCTGAGATCATAAAACCTTCCCCTGGGCCCAGCACAGTGGCTCACGCCTGTAATCCCAGCACTTTGGGAGGCCGAGGCAGGCGGATCACAAGGTCAGGAAATCGAGACCATCCTGGCTAACACGGTGAAACCCCGTCTCTACTAAAAATACAAAAAAAAAAAAAAAATAGCTGGGCATGGTGGCAGGTGCCTGTAGTCCCAGCTACTTGGGAGGCTGATGCAGAATGGCGTGAACCCAGGAGGTGGAGCTTGCAGTGAGCCGAGATCGCACCTCCGCACTCTAGCCTAGGCAACAGAGCGAGACTCCATCTCAAAAACAAAACAAAACAAACAACAAAAAAACTTTCCCCTATACTATGAGGAGCTGAGGACAGAGCTGTGGAAAGGAGGTGGAGGCCAGCAACCATCACTTGCATGATTTTTTTAAATCTTTTGCTTTCAAAGTAAAAAATCTAATTTTTCAATTATTAATATCTCAGAGAATATTTATTCACGTGAAAGATAATTCATCTAAAGGTGTATAAAGAAAACAAATATTATAACCAAGTTTTTATTATAATCTTATTTTCAAATTATCTTGGACATTCAGAGTCTTTAACATAGGCTGTAAGAAATAAGCCAAACTATCTGTCTCAGATATATTTAGCATAAAACAAAGGTTTTAAAAATTTTTTGTGGCTTTTTTTTTCTGACAGAGTCTTGTGCTGCCACCCAGGCTGGAGTGCAGTGGCATGACAGCTCACTGCAACCTCTGCCTCCTAGGTTCAAGCGATTCTCATGCCTCGGCCTCCCAAGTAGCTGGGATTACAGGTGTCCACCACTACGCCCGGCTAATTTTTGTATTTTTAGTAGAGACAGGGTTTCACCATGTTGGCCACGCTGGTCTTGAACGCTTGGCCTCAAGTGATCCACCTGCCTCCGCCTCCCAAAGTGCTGTGATTATAGGCATCAGCCACCACGCCCAGCCTTAATTGCTGATTATTTCATATACCAACATAACCTTCAATATGAACAATTCATGCAATCCTTAGGATGGGTCCATGAGGCCAACATTTTTGTTCTCCTATTTTATAGATGGGAATTGCGGCTCCAATGGGGGCCTTTAGCACACACCCCCGGCCTGCACTAAGGGGCTAGTTCTCTGAGTAATAGCTTCACCCTGGAAGTTACACCCAATTATAAAATTATTTTAAGGCTGGGCACAGTGGTTCATGCCTGTAATCCCAGCACTTTGGGAGGCCGAGGTGGGTGGATCATTTGAGGTCAAGAGTTCGAGACCAGCCTGACCAACATGGTGAAACCCGTATCTACTAAAAATACAAAAATTAGCCGGGCATGGTGGCAGGCGCCTATAATCCCAGCTACTTGGGAGGCTGAGGCAGAAGAATTGCTTGAAGCCAGGAGGTGGAAGTTGCAGTGAGCTGACATCGTGCCAGTGTACTCCAGCCTTGGCGACAGAGTGAGACTCCACCTCAAAAAAAAAATCATTTTAAGATTAATATTTTGAAAGAAAATCATTAATTTGGGGAGTCTGTATTATTGGCTGAACCATAATCACATTTTCCGACATTTAGTAGGCATACTACATGGATGACTGAATGAATAAACTTCCAAACAACTGAAGGATGGATGAATGAATGAACCATGCCTGTTTCCTCAATTTGATCACTTGAAAAATGTCCCTGTAATATATTCACCAGCTTAGTTTCACCACTGAGAAGTGAAGAAAACTGAATCTTAGTTGACATTTTCAAGTAATTTTTAAATAACATTTTAATTTTGTAAAAGAGATACATATGCATTATATATATATCAAACAACACAAAAATTTTAAAAGTTTAAAATCACCACAAATCCCACTATCAGAAATAAGCATTTTCAACATGTTGTTGAACTATTTTAAGTCTCTCCACATATGTGTGTATACACAAATAGGATAATGCTTTCCAAGCTATAAAAGAGGCATAATGCATGTAATATCATTTCAAGAATTCAGTGAAAGAATTCCAGATGCAAAAAGCCTTATTAAATGGCCAAGATACTTTGGGCCATGTGCAGTGGCTCACACCTGTAATCCCAGAACTTAGGGAAGCCAAGGGGGGGGTGTGGATCACCTGAAGTCAGGAGTTCAAGACCAGCCTGGCCAACATGGTGAAACCCTATCTCTACTAAAAATACAAAAATTAGCTGGGTATGGCGGTGCACACCTGTAGTCCCAGCTACTCAGGAGGCTGAGGCAGGAGAATCACTTGAACCCAGGAGGCAGAGGCTGCAGTGAGCCGAGATCGCACCTCTGCACTCCAGCCTGGGTGAGACAGAGTAAGACTGTCTCAAAAAAAAAAAAAAAAATGGCCAAGATACTTTGGCAGTGATCATATTTTGATTCTAACATATCATCTCAGCCTGAATCCTAATCATACATGCAAATTCTCTAATGTGAATTTACTGTGAAAACTATAACATAACACAACTATTTCCAATATGCAGTTGTTTGTTAGAAGTTGTTTTGATGTTATATTAGATATTAAGACTGTATCAAAGTGCAGATGTTAAGTTGAAAGAAATAACCTGATATTCTTTGGAATTTCCAAATAAGCATAATTGACTAGTATTAACAAATTAAAAATACCAACTCCTTAGCTGCAGATGAAAGATCTACACCAGGCTCCAAAGTTCAGTGCAGATATTTTGTAGACAGCTTTGTTTTAGAAGCAGGTGCAGCTGAAATCTTAGGCAATGCCTCCTGACCCCTTTTCCAACTGTTCTCTCCTTCCTATGGGGGTAGAGGCATCATTGCTTTCATTTTTATTAATTTTGGTTGATTTCTGTGAAATCTGTCTGGACAGGGAATTTGGTATGTTTCTTGCTTGGTGGATGCTGGCATTCTTTCAACTCAGTAGGTGCACAGAGCAGTATAGGAAGAAGGAGGCTTAAGGATTGATGACTGAAAATGTAATGAGAGAAATGCAAATTCTCAAGGCTCATGTGTCAGCCTACTGCATGTTGACACTTTTTTGTATGATCTATCTGAATAGATAGAACTTAGGAATCACTTTTACATGTGAAACAAAGGTAAACTATGCACTCTGATCACCTTCGGTTGATGTCACCCTGAAGAGTTGTTCATCCCACTGGTTGGAGCCTCACCCCCATCAGATGAGCAGTCTTCTCCCTTGAGACAGACCAATCTCCTTGTAACCTCACAGAGGATGACAACCAGCACACAGCTCAATGGGTCTACCAGACCTTTAACACCTGTCAGACGGCAGAGTACCTGAGAACAAAGGGCTTTTGTGGGTCGGTTGGCACCATCTGTGAAATACTCCTCACAGCTGCTGTCCACATTCTATTTTTCTCCCTCCATGGAAAGTGGGAGAAAAGGAGAGCTCCGCTGGCTATCATATGACTGAGTAGCAGGGCTTTCTTTGCAAGGCAAGGAGGCAGCATCTCCATGGTCAAGCCTGGCATGAGGATCACCAGGATCACAAGCCCATGACAGAGGTGTGGGAGATCACCAGAAAATTTCTCTTATCCATCTGGTTCACTTGAGATTGACAACAGCTCACTTCTCACCCTGCTGGCAGGAGAGTTGATATTTAGTGTTACACCATTTCATGCCGTCTGCTTTAATGATGACAGCTTATTTAAAAATCCATTGTGGAGCACTGCCATTCAATGATAAAAAATAAAAGATACATTCAGCTGCTTATTGGGCTATTTTGTCAAAATCTGAGAAAATATTTTACATTGGTCCAAATGACTAATGATTATTTGTTTTCCTACTTGTGGGTTGTTTCTCTCTCTCTGAGTTTACAGCTTTTAACATAACACAATCAGAGAACAGAAAAACATCAGAACCAAATAACACATACACGAAGCCTTAAGATCTAAAGGCACAGTCTTACCGTCGTGTGAGACCACATTTACACCTTGCCAGAAAGATCAGAATTTATCTTAATTTCAAAAGTCTTTTCAAAGGGAACCTTCATTACCTCCTTTAACAACCTTTACAGTCAGGAAAACTTTGTTCTACTCTGAAAATACACTCTCCATCATTCTGGATCAATACTTCTCTACTCTCCAAGTTAAACAAATCCAGTTTGTTAATTATTTTAGTGGTTTTCTGCCACCTCGTACATAGGCTAAGAAAGACTTTAAAAGGGTGACTTTTATGATATGTGAATTGTATCTCTATTTTAAATGTACAGAAGGTGATCTCACCCCTACACACATAGTTTATTCATATAAGTATGAGGTATTTATCTACATTTCCTGCCTGTTTAGCTTTCAAAGGAAATACAATGCATATCATATAAAGATTGTCTCACACCAATGACAAAATTTTCACCTCTCTTCCATTTCGTAATGCAAAATTTTGGGTTCTCCTACACATTATAACTCCTATCTATGGCTTTTCCTCCTTTACTTACACTTAGCTCAACATTTTCTATATTTATAATTTTACTTTTTATCTGTATTGGCGTTGACTTTCCGTGACCTTAAATAATTGAATGATTGATTTTTGCTTGCTTTTGTCATCTATTTTCCATGGTATTGAGAAAATTATGCCATTTTTGCTGAATATCCCTCTGTGCCATTCACTCCTCCCAGATTAACCTTAAGATGCTCATTTCCATTGTTGAGCTGGCCACACCTTGCCCCACCCCCCTCCATTAGCCCAGTCACTTCATGAATCTCTGAGCACTGTAAAGCCACTGGTAACAATCAGTGTCAGCTCTGTACACACAGACGTCACTTGCTTTCTTGGGCTACCATTTTTGCCTGTGTTCTTGCCCATTGTTCCCAGTCAGTTGGCAAACTGCTGAAGAACAGAAAACTTTTTCTTTTGTTATCATTCTCTCTTTCCCTTAAACTGTTCTCTACCCATGAATCTAGTCAATGTATGTTTCGGAATTGTGGGAGCCATATTTGCTGAAGTCGATTTGAATTACATCTCTCCTGCAGCCGTATTTGTCTCCATCTGGCTCTGTGTCAGCTGCAAATGTATGAAGCATGCTTTCCATTCCATCTCACCCAGGTCATTGATAAAGCTGTTAAGCAATACTGGGCCCAGGTCCAAACACTGACGAACACCTGTTCTCTTATGCTAGGTATCTCAGATCTGTTGATAGCTACTCTTGGTATAGACCTCTGGCCAGTTGCACTTAATACTCACAATTCACTTTCCTCCTTGAAACTTACTGTGTCTATCTGGAAACAATTGCTTGTTCAAAGCTGTTTCATAATGGAAATCATAAGCAAAATTATAATTGTGGACTAATATTTAATGAAATGTTAAATCATTTCATATGTTTAAAAAAAGTACTATGAGGATTCATTAGTGTGTATTGCAGTAAGAGACAATAAGGCAAGGAATTGTTGCACCAGTGAACAGTGCTGGATAGCACAACCTTCACTTTCCACTTGTTAACAGGCTTCAAGACTTCTTAACAAGGTATTTGTAACATTCTCATTGTGATCAACTTCCAAGGATGGTATGGAATGGATAGCGTTCACTAACAGACTCTTTTTTCTTTTTTCTCTATGTCTGCTTTGCTTATTTAATATTGCTTTCCATTTAGTTTCTTATAATTCAAACTTTTTGTATTCAATGGCTTTTTTTAGGTGATAACTCCTACCTTAAAATAAATCTAGACAGAAATGGAACTGAAGGTTATATGAAGAGAACAAGTGTAGCCTAAATGATATCATCTAGAGTTATTTTTATTTTATTTTATTTATTTATTCATTTTGAGATGGAGTTTCACTCTTGTCACTCAGGCTGGAATGCAGTGGCACAATCTCGGCTCACTGCAACCTCCACTTTCCAGGTTCAAGCGGTTCTCCTACGTCAGCCTCCCAAGTAGCCTGGATTACAGGCACCTGCAACCACATCCAGTTAATTTTTGTATTTTTAGTAGAGACAGGATTTCACCATGTTGGCCAGGCTGGTCTCGAACCCCTGACTTCAGGTGATCCAGCCACTTTGGCCTCCCAAAGTGCTGGGATTACAGGCATGAGCCATCGCACCCGGCCTCTTTGACCTCTTTTTAAAGAGCTTTGTCAGAGATCTTCCTTTACCCAGAACTGCATCCTTGAGGTCCCAGCAGTCTGTCCCAGCCTGACACACAGTCACTGCTTGGAAAAAAATATGTGGGCTGCTGAGGTGGAGTGCTGGGGCTGAAGTTCCAACCCTGGGAATAATTGTGTGCACTTTAACATTGACAATTATTGAACTTCCCAGTTTCTTCATGTGTAAAATAGAGGAGGAAATAATTACTTTGAAAATAATTGAGAATTTTAAGTTAGTCAAGGTGTTTTTCAAAACACTTAGAATGTTGTTTGTTACAGTGTAAACAGCTTTAAAAATTTTACAAGTCTATGATATTTTTGCCAAAAATGCTTTCATCTAATTGGGTGAAAACATCAGACAAACCTGAACTGAGAACAGTCTATAAAAAACAACAGCAAAAGGCTGGGCACGGTGGCTCATGCCTATAATACCAGCATTTTGGGAGGCCAAGGTGGGTGGATCACCTGAAGCCAGGAGTTCGAGACCTGCCTGGCAAAAATGGCGAGACCCTGTCTCTACTAAAAATACAAAAAAATTAGCCAGATGTGGTGGCTCCTGCTGGTGATCCCAGCTACTCGGGAGGCTGAGATACAAGAATCACTTGAACCCGGGAGGCGGAGGCTGCAGTGAGCTGAGATCGTGCCACTGCACTCCAGCCTGGGTAACAGAGAGAGACTGCATCTCAAAAAAAAAAAAAAAAGCAAAAAAACAACTAAAAACCCACAGGAGCTGTCACCGATTGGAGGAAATACTGATGACAGGACAACTAAGTCAATGAGGGACCCTAGTTTGGATCCTGGAACACAGAACACCAGCAGGAAAACTGGTGGCTTTTCAGTAAATTCTATCATTTGCTGGGCATGGTGGCTCACGCCTGTAATCCCAGCACTTTGGGAGGCCAAGGTGGGTGGATCACCTGAGGTCAGGGGTTCGAGACCAGCCTGGCCAACATGGTGAAACCCTGTCTCTACTAAAAATACAAAAAATAGCTGGGCATGGTGTCGGGCGCCTGTAATTCCAGCTACTTGGGAGTCTGAGGCAGGAGAATCGCTTGAACCTGGGGGGCGGATGTTGCAGTGAGCCAAGATCGTGCCACTGCACTCCAGCCTAGGCAACAAGAGCGAGACTCCATCTGAAAAAAAAAACCTGTCATTTAATTACTAGCGTTGCACCAATGTCAATTTCCTGGTTTGATAATGGTGTCATTGTTTATTTAAGATATTAACATGAGAGGATGTTGGGGGAGGACTGCAAAAGAACTCTCTATGCTTTTTTTTTTTTTTTTTTGCAATTTGTCTGTAAGCCTGAAATTATTCAAAAACATTTCAAAATGTTATTTTTAAATGTAAAAACTATCTTAAAGTTATATTTAGTTCTTTTAAAACTTTGTGTTATTAAAAGTGTAATGTATTACTTCATATTATCCTTAATGCCTGAGTTACATGTGTGTCATTTTAAGCACATGCCATTTAGAGAAGGCTGCAGAGAAGGAGAGGACTAAGCACTGACCAGCATTTGCTTTGCCCACTTGCAGGACACGGGTGATTGTGGCAGGGAGCCTGCCTGCAGAAGGCCCCAGAGAGAAGGGGAGGTGGGCGCTGGAAGCAGCAGGCATGGGCAGCTCTTTCATGGAGGGTGGTTCTGGCAGATGCAGAGGGGCTGGGGGCCCCCAGTGGATAATTAAGATGGAATCCATTCCAACATCTTGGTTTGCTGATGAGAGTGATCCAGCACAAAGAGAAAATATGTTGATGGGCGGGGGGATATTGGGGCAGAATTGGAGGAGCAAAGCCCTGGGTGGGAGGAGAGATGGGCCTTAGGAGCAAGAACCCACTAAAGGAGAGATGAGAAAAGGGTTTTCTCGTTGCTTATGTGTCTTCATGCAGTGATGGCCAAAGTCACCAGCTGTTTTAGAGTTCTCCAGAGAAACAGAGCTGATAGAAGATGTGTGTGTGTGTGTGTGTGTGCGCGCGCGCACATGTGTAGGAGAGATTGATTTATTATAGATACTGGCTCCTGTGGTTATGGAGGCTGAGAAGTGCTGTCTGTAAGCCAGACTCAGGAAAGCTGGTGTGTGCTTCAGTCCAAGTCCAAAACCTTAGAAAAGGTAGAAGGGGGGCAATGGTTTAAGTGTCAGTTTGAGTCCAAAGCCCCCAGAACCAGGATCTCTGATGTCCAAGGCAAAGAGAATATGGGTGTCCCAGCTTAAGCAGAGAGAGAGATAATTTGCCCTCCCTCTGCCTTTTTGTTCATTCGGCCTGTCAGTGGAGTGGATCGTGCCTACCCGCATTTACAGGCATTCTGAGGTATAGGACACTGGTAGACTGTACTCTCCAGACAGACCCCCTATGAGGTAGAGCCCAACAAGACAGGTAAGAAACATAGGTCAGGAGTTAGAGTGTGCCTCACCTTCGGGCTTCGCTAATTCCAAACCACTGAGTTGTTTTCCTCCATATCATCTAAGGTGCATGAAGTTGGTTTTTATTTTGCCTTAAGTTCATATCAATTGTTGTTGTTGTTGTTAGGCAGAGCCTTGCTCTGTCACCCAGGCTGGAGTGCAGTGGCGTGATCTCAGCTCACTGCAATCTCCACCTCCCAGGTTCAAGCAATTCTCCTGTCTGAGCCTCCCAAGTAGCTGGGACTACAGGCGTCTGCCACCACACCCGGCTAATTTTTGTACTTTTAGTAGAGACGCGGTTTCATCATGTTGGCCAGGCTGGTTTCCAACTCCTGGCCTCAGGTGAATCCGCCTGCCTTAGGCTCCCAAAGTGCTGGGATTGCAGGTGTGAGCCACCACACCTGGCCTCATATGAAACTTTTAAACATAACAAGATTTGAAAACCACCAGGCATTCCACTTGTCCAACTAATCACTAAAGAATGCACACTCGCTGCCTGAAACTCTCCCCTTTGCACCTCCCATTTTTGTGTGCACCTTGAGTGTTGTCCTCATCTTACACTGAGGACGCTGGAGCTCAGGGACACTAAGAAGCTCACCTGGATCTAATCCCAGATCTGTTCGTTCTTAGTAAATAGCATGAAAAGAATAGCGTGATAAATACTAAGCACAGCATACCTGAAAAATCAAAAGGAAGTGTGAGCTTGGTACCAACTAAGAGATAAGGAATGGAACTCTCTGAGCTCACAGGAGGTGTGTAGACCACAGAGGGCTGTCCGGACTTTGATAAGAACCTTAATAAAGAGTAAACAGTGGATTTCCTTAGTAAACAGTAGATATTTTAAAAAGTAGTTTAAACCTAACGCTTGTATTTAGCTAGGGTATCAGCCCTGTACCAGGGATCATTGTTCAGGTGAGTCCAGGAATATGATGGGAGGTCAGATGGAGTGGAAGAGCATGCTTCGGTTAGAGCCAGCCTTCCTGCATGTTCTTTCATTTGGGGGTTACACGATTTGACTTATAGTTAGAGGAACAATAACTTCTAAACTGGACATCTTTATCTCCAGCACCCTGCTCTCCCAGATATTGAAAACAGGTGGCTTGGGATATATTTGGCCTGCAGATACATATGGTTTAGTTCATAGAGTGTTTTTAAAACAGTTTTACTTAAGTATAATTGACATATAATGAACTGCATATATTTCAAGTGTGCACATTGGTAAGCTTTTTTGTTTTATTTTTTGTTTTGTTTTTTTAAATTTATTTATTTTTGAGACAGTATCTCACTCTGTCACCCAGGCTGGAGTGCAGTGGCACAATCTCGGCTCACTGCAACCTCTGCCTCCCGAGTTCAAGCAATTATCCTGTCTCAGCCTCCCGAGTAGCTGGGACTACAGGCACATGCCACCACACCTAGCTAATTTTTATATTTTTAGCAGAGATGGGGTTTTACCATATTGGTCAGGCCGGTCTTGAACTCCTGACCTCAGGTGATCCACCCGCCTCGGCCTCCCAAAGTGCTGGGATTACAGATGTGAAGCACTGCGCCCAGCCTATGTTGGTAAGTTTTGATATACATTCACACCCATGAAACCATCACTGCAATCAAGATCATGCCCAATCCATTACCCTTTGAATTGCTCCCTCCCCACCCTTTGCTACAATCCCTCCTGAACCTGCAGTCCCCAGGCAAACACTCATCTGCTTTCTGCCACTAGAGATTAATTTGCATTTTCTAGAGTTTTATAAAATGGGATTATCCAGCATGTACTCTCCATATCTGGTTACCTTCACTCAGTAGAACTATTTGGAGGGTCTTCTATGTTGCTGCATATATAAAGAATTAATTCTTGTTTATTTATTTTTACTGAGACAGCATCTCACTCTGTCACCCATACTGGATTGCAGTGGCAAGATCACAGCTCACTGCAGCCTCTAACTCCTGAGCTCAAGTGATCCTCCAACCTCAGCCCCAAGTTGGGGCTCCCACCAAGCCTCAAGGACCTACAGGGGTACACTAGCATGCCTGGCTAATTTTTTTATTGTTTTGTGGAGACAGGGTCTCACTATATTGCCCAGGCTGGTCTTGAACTCCTGGGCTCAAGTGATCCTTTCACCTCAGCCTCCCGAAGTGCTGAGATTATAGGTGTGAGCCACTGTGCCTGGCCTAATTCTTGTGTATTGATAAGTAGTAATCCATCATATATACATACCATAATTAGTTTTGCCATTTGCCCGCTGTACGCTTGTGTTGTTTCCAGTTTGGGGCCATTACAAATAAGTCTACTTGGAACATTGGTCTATAAGTCTGGGTATAGACACATACTTTCTTTTCTCATGGGTAGAGACCTAACAGTGGAATGTTGGATCATATGGTAAGTGCATATTGAATACATTGAAGTAACTTCCAACCTGTCCTCCAAGTAGCATCATTTTACATTCTCACAAGTAGTGAATGATAGTTGTAGTCCCTCCACAACCTCTCCAACACTTAATATGGTCAGCCTCACTATTTTTCGCTATTCTAATAGGTGTGTGGTAGCATTTTGTTGTCTTTAATTTACTTTACCCTAACAACTAACAAGATTTTGAACATCGTTTCATTGCTTATTATCAATCAGTATATCCTTTTGTTAAATGTCTCTTCAAATCTTTTACCTGTGTTTTTACTGGGTTGTATTTCTGCTTATTAAACAGTTTTGAGATTACATATATAATATGATTACATATATAATATGTATTTGTGTATATTATATATATATATATATATATATATATATATATTCTGAATACAAGTCCTTTATCAGATATGTGAACTGCCAATATTTTATCCCAGTCTGTGGCTTGTGATTTCATCCTGCAGGGTCTTTCAATGAGCAGAATTTTTTAAATGTTGATAAAGTCAAATTTATAACTTTTTTATGGATTGGATTTTTGGTGTCATATCTAAGAAATATTTGTCTAATCCAAGGTGATAAAACTTTTCTTCTATGTTTTCTTCTAGAAGCTTTATAATTTTAGGCCTATAATCTGTTTTGAATTAAATTTTATATGTTGTACAAATTAGAATCAAAGTCAATTTTTTTTCATTTGGAATATTCACTTGTTCCCACACCATTTGTTGAAAATCTATCCTTTCCCTACTGAATTGTCCATTTGTTGAAAATCAGTTTTTTTATAAGTGTAGGATTACTTCTGGATTCTTTATTTTGTGACATTGATATATTTGTCTACCTTTATGCTAATATTGCATGCTTCGTGCAGTGTGCTAACCAAAATTTCTTGATGGTTATAGCTTTAGGGTAAGTCTAGAGATCAGATAATGTCAGCTCCAACATTATTCTTCTTTTTCTTTCTTTCTTTTTTTTTTTTTTGAGACAGAGTTTCACTCTTGTTGCCCAGACTAGAGTGCAATGGTGCTATCTCGGCTCACTGCAACCTCTGCCTCCCGGGATCAAGTGATTCTTCTGCCTCAGCCTCCCAAGTAGCTAGGATCACAGTCATGTGCCACCATGCCTGGCTACTTTTGTATTTTTGGTAGAGATGGGGTTTTGCCATGTTGATCTGGCTGGTCTCGAACTCCTGACCTCAGGTGATCCACCCGCCTCGGCCTCCCAAAGTGCTGGGATTACAGGTGTGAGCCACCATGCCCAGCCTTCTTTTTCTTTTCTTTCTTTCTTTTTTTTTTGAGAGGAAGTCTCACTCTTGTCACCCAGGCTGAAGTGCAATGGTGTGATCTCAGCTCACTGCAACCTCTGTCTCCCAGGTTCAAGCAATGCTCCTGCCTCAACCTCCCGAGTAGCTGGGATTACAGGTGTGAGCCACCACACCTGGCCAGATATAATTTCTACAAGAAAACCTATTGAAATTCCAGAGAAACTATACATAAATTGAGGGGAAATTGACATTTTAGTAATATTAGTCTTCTGACCTGAACATGGTGTGTGTCTCCATTTACTTGGCTCTTGCTTCATTTCCTCTTGAGACATGTTTTGTAGCCTTCAGTGTTCAAGTCGTGTACATCTTCTGTAAGATTTACTACCTCTTAATATATCATATCTTATGCTATTTTAAATAGTACTGTCTTATGAATTTCAGTTTTCTCTTGTTTGTTGCTATATTATAGAAATAAAATTAAATTTTGATATTAATCTTGTTTTCTGCAATTTTGCTAAAACTGGTAGCTTTTCTTGTAGAGTTTGTCAGATTTTTTTACATAAACAGTTGTGTATACCCTGTGTATGAATAAAGGCAGTCTTATATGTTACTTTTCAATATGGATACCTTTTATGTCTTTTTACTGTCTTATTGGAGTGGCTATAATCTCCACCATACTGTTAAGTAGAAGTTGTTACTAGGCAAATATCATTGCCTAGTAACAAATATCATTGCCTAGTTCATAATTCTAGGGAGAAAGTATTCATTCACCATTGAGTATGATGTGAACTGTAGGTTTTTCATCAATGTCCTTTATGAACTTGAGTAAGTAGACTTCTATTTCTGATTTGCTGAGTGTTTGTTTGATCAGCAATGGATGCTTGAATGTTAGCACATTTTTTCTGCATTGAGATGATCATATGGTTTTTAACATTTTATTAATATGATGAAATGCAGTGACTGCATTTTGAATATTAAATCAACCTTTGATTTTCATTTAATTTAATTCATAGGATAAATCTGGAGCCCTTCAGTCAATTCCTAGACTTGATCCAGTTTACAGACCTAGAACTCCTTGAATGTAGGGGAAGCCACATGCACTTGAGGAAGGATCGTAGTTCACTACTGAAAATTTATACTGTTAATTTTTCTCTCAGTACCCAAAGAGACTAGCATAACTATACAATGGGGAAAAGGAAATAATCGGAGAATTCGGGGACTACTGGACACTGGCTCTGAACTAACATTAATGCTGAGAGAGCCAAAATGTACCCCTGTGGCCGACCTGTCAGTGTAGAGGCTTACGGATGTCAGCTGATTAGTAGAGTTTTAGCTCAGGTCCATCTCACAGTGAACCCAGTTTGGTCCCTGGACCTAACCTATGGTTACTTTCCCAGTTCCAGATGGAGAATTGGAATAGATGTACTTAGCAGGTGGCAAAACCCCTGCATATGTCTCCTGACCTCTGGAGTGAGCGCTATTACGGTGGGAGAAGCCAAGTGAAGCCATTAAAACCACCTCTACCTAGGAAAATAATAAATCAAAAGCAATAACACCCAGGCTGGGAAACATAGTGAGACCCCATCTCTACAGTAAAAATAAAAATAAATTAGCCGGCTGGGTGCGGTGGCTCATGCCTGTAATCCCAGCACTTTGCAGGGCCGAGGTGGGCAGATCACGAGGTCAGGAGGTCGAGACCATCCTGGCTAACACGGTGAAACCCCATCTCTACTAAAAATATAAAAAAATTAGCTGGGCATGGTGGCGGGTGCCTGTAGTCCCAGCTACTCGGGAGGGTGAGGCAGGAGAATGGCGCGAACCCGGGAGGCGGAGCTCGCAGTGAGCCAAGATCCAGCCGCTGCTCTCCAGCCTGGTGACAGAGCAAGACTCCACCTAAAATAATAATAAATACATAAATAAATAAATATAAATAAATAAATTAGCCAGGCTGGGTGGTGCACAACTGTAGACCCAGCTACTCGGGAGGCTGCTTGAGCCCAGCTCAGATGGACTGCACCACTGCACTCCAGCCTAGGTGACAGAGCGACACACTATCTCTCTCTGTCTAAGAGCAATAACACATTCCTGCAAGGACTGCAGTAATTAGTGCCACCATCAAGACCCTGAAAGACGCAGAGGTGGTGATTCCCACCTCATCCCCATTCACCTCTCCTATTTGGCTTATACAGAAGACAGATGGGCCTTGGAGAATGACAGTGGATGAATCATAAGCTTAAGCAGGTGGTTACTCCAACTGCAGCTGCTCTACCAGATGTGGCTTCACTGCTTGAGCAAATGAACACATCTCCTGGTACTGATATGGAGCTACTGATCTGACAGATTTTTCTCATTACCTGTTATTAAAGACCACCAGAAGCAGTTTGCTTACAGCTGGCAAGGCAGAAACACACCTTCCCTGCTCTAGCTCAGCTCCCAGCCCTATGCCGTAATTTAGTTTGCAGGGATCTTGATAGCCTTTCCATTCTCCAAAATATGACCTGGTTCATTACCTTGATTATGTGTCAGAGGGTAGGAAACAAATCTGATGAATATTTATTTTGCAAGGAAGCCTTATGGTTAAAAAAGAGAGAGAGAGAAAGAAACTTTAGGGGCCTTCTATGGATCCAGTGGTGTGGAACATGCCAAGATATTTCTTCTAAAGTGAAGGATATGTTGTTGTATTTGGCCCCTCCTACAACCAAGACTTTCTTTAGGTGGGAGAGGCCAAGTGAACCATTAAAACTGCTTCTACCTAGGAATATCATAAATCAAAAGCAGTAACACCCAGCTTGGGCAACATAATGAGTCTCCATCTCTACAATAAAAATTTTTTTAAAAAACTAGCCAGACTAGGTGGTGTGCAACTGTAGTCCCATCTACTCTGGAGGCTGAAGTGGAAAAATTGCTTGAGCCTGGGAGATGAAGGTTGGAGTGAGCCCTCTTTAGGCACAATGTCGAAAAGGGCTTCTTGGATTTTGGAGGCAAGACATTCTTCATTTGTATGTATTACTCTGATCCATTTACAGAGTGACCTGAAAAGCTGCTAGTTTTTTTTTTTTTGGTGGGGGGTGCCCAGAACAAGAGAAGGTGCTGCAACAAGTCCTTGCTCCTGTGCCATGTGGGCCACATGACCCAGCAGATCAGATGGTGCTTGAGGTGTCAGTGGCAGTTGGAGTGGGTAGCTGCAGCAGTGCAGCCCTCTCTTGCACATCCCAAATATTTGGGATTGTCCAGATGTTGATTTTGTTATTTTTTCTAATTTAATCCTACCGTGGCCATTCCTAAAGGACAGTGGTGCGGGGAAATCTTCCCAGTGGGAAGAGCTTCAGGCAATGCACCTCGTTGTTCACTTTGCTTGGAAGAAGAAATGGGCAGATGTGCAATTATAGGCCAATTCATGGGCTGTGGCCAATAGTTTTGCTGGATAGTTAAAGACTTGGAAGAAAAATGATTGGAAAATTGATGACAAATAACTCTGGGAAAGAAATATGTGGTAGGCTTCTTTGAATGAGAAAAAAGAGAAGATATTTGTACCCAATGTGAATGCTCACCAAAGGGTAACCTCAGCCAAAGATGATTTTAATAATCAAGTGCATAGGATGACCCGTTCTGTGGATACCAGTCAGCTGCTTTCCCAGCCTCTCCTGTAATAAACCAAGTGGCCGTGGGAGTTATGCATAGGCTCCACAACACGGACTCCCACTCACCAAGATGACCCGGCCCTGGCCGCTGCTGAGTGCCCAGTCTCCCAGCTGCAGAGACTAACACTGAGACCCCAATATGGCACCACTCCCAAGATAATCAACACTACTTTTACTCAGGTGAGTAGGCTCCATCCAATCCACTGAGGGACTGGATAGAACAAAAACAAGTCCTGGCGCAGTGGCTCACGCCTATAATCCCAGCACTTTGGGAGGCCGAGGTGGGCGGGTCACCCGAGGTCAGGGGTTGGAGACCAGCCTGATCAACATGGAGAAACCCCATCTGTACTAAAAGTACAAAAATTAGCTGGGCATGGTGGAGGGCGCCTGTAATCCCAGCTACTCAGGAGGCTGAGGCAGGAGAATCTCTTGAACCCGGGAGGCGGAGGTCGCAGTGAGCCGAGATCTGGCCACTGCATTCCAGCCTGAGTGACAAGAGCAAGACTCCGCCTAAAAAAAAAAAAAAAAAAAAAAAGTGGAAGGGTGAATTCCTGTCTGTTTAAACTGGGAAATCCATCTTCTCCTGCCCTTGGACATTGATGTTCCTGGTTCTCAGGCCTTTGGGCTTGAACTAGAACTACACCACAGCTTTCCTGGGCTTCCAGCTTACAGACCAGCAGGCTGTGGGACTTCTCAGCCTCCACAATACTGTGAACCAATCCCTCCTTACAAATCTCTTTCCGTGTATCTATACACATCTTATTGATTCTGTTTCACTGGGGAACCTTAACTAATAGAGACCTTTTACACTAATGTTCGCAAAGGTCATTGATTGCAGAGTTTTGTGGTTTTCTTTAAATTCCCCTTGTAATATCTTTTTCTGCTTTTGGTGTAAGGATAATGCCAACCTCATTAATAATTAGTTAGAAACTGTTTCCTTATCTTCAGCTTTTCAGAGGAGTTTCCGTAGAATCGATATTATATTTTCTTTAAAGGTTTTGCGGAATTTATCAGTGAAATCATCCGGTCCTGGAATGTTTTTTGTTGGAAGGTGTTTTGTTTTGTTTGAGAGGGAATCTCACTCTGTCTCCCAGGCTGGAGTGCAGTGGTGCAATCTTGGCTCACTGCAGCCTCCACCTTCTGGGTTCAAGCGATTCTCCTGCCTCAGCCTCCTGAGTAGCTGGGATTATAGGCATGTACCACCATGTCTGGCTACTTTTTGTATTTTTAGTAGAGGTGGGTTTTCACCATGTTGGTCAGGCTGGTCTTGAACTCCTGACCTTGGGATCTGCCCGCCTTGGCCTCTCAAAGTGTTGGGATTACAGGCGTGAGCCACCTTGCCTGGCCTGTTGGAAGGTTTTTAGCTTCAAACTGAATGTTTTCAATAGATAATAGGGTGTTTTTTCTTCCTAAGTGTGCCGTGGCAATTTGTGTCTTTCATGAAATTAATCTACTTTATCTAAATTATCAATTTTATTGGCATGAAGTTATTGATGTTTACTTTTATCTCTTAATATCTGTGGAATCTGTAGTGATTGATCACTTTCATTCCTAATATTAGTAATCTGTATCTTTTCTTTTTTTTTCACCTGAGTAGTCTGCCTAGAGGTTTGCCAATTTTGTTGATATTCTCCAAGAAACAATGTTTGAGGTCATTGAGTTTTTTTCTGAAGTTTTCTCTGTTTTCTATTTTATTTATTTCTGCTCTGATCTTTATTACCTTATGCTTAGGTTGGGTTTAATTTGCCTTTCTTTTTTTTCTAGTTTCTTATGGTGGAAACTGAGGTCACTGGTTTAAGACTTTACTTCTTTTCTAACAGAAGTCTTTAGTGCTGTGTGATTCCCTCAAATATTGCCTTAACAGCATCCCACAGAATGTATACAGTGTGTTTTCATTCTCATTCAATCCAAAATAGTTTCTCATTTCCCTTTTGACTTCCTATTTGTTCCTTGTGTCAGAGGCATTGGAACCTGAGTGACTCCATCTTGAGCGAGGGCTAGGAAAATGAGGCTGGGACTCGCAGGGCTACATTCCCAGAAAGTTAGGTATTCCCAGCCTCTAGATGTTTATGGTTAAGGGAACAAAATGATAATGTTTACCAAACAGACCCAGACTTGGGAGTATCCTAATATCCTAATATCTTGAGAACAAAGACATTCCTAATTTTGCTTTAAAGATAATAATATCAGGCTGGGCATGGTGGCTCATGCCTGTAATCCTAGCACTCTGGGAGGCCGAGGTGGGCAGATCGCGAGGTCAGGAGATCCAGACCATCCTGGCTAACACAGGGAAACCCTGTCTCTACTAAAAATACAAAAAAATTAGCTGGGCCTGGTGGCACGTGCTTGTAGTCCCAGCTACTCGGGAGGCTGAGGCGGGAGAATTGCTTGAA
This sequence comes from Homo sapiens, assembly GCF_000001405.40. Classification (NCBI taxonomy): domain Eukaryota; kingdom Metazoa; phylum Chordata; class Mammalia; order Primates; family Hominidae; genus Homo; species Homo sapiens. Next base: position 51,331,463 of record NC_000007.14, on the reverse strand, counting down.
CCCAGGAAGCAGAGGTTGCAGTGAGCTGAGATCGCGCCACTGCACTCCAGCCTGGGCAACAGAGTGAGACTCCATCTCAAAAAAAAAAAAAAAAAAAAGAGAGAGTAATATCAATTCTTGCAAAATACAGTAATTAAGAAAATTAATCCTTTATCACAAACCCTTGAAGCAGAGCACATCTGCCTATTGTATATATATATGATTTTGTTTGTTTGTTTGTTTGTTTGAGGCAAGTCTCCCTCTTTCACCCAAGCTGGAGTGCAGTGGTGCTATCTCGGCTCACTACAACCTCTACCTCTGGGGTTCAAGGGATTCTCCTGCCTCAGCCTCCCAAGTAGCTGGGTTTACAGGCACATGCCACCACGCCCGGCTAATTTTGTATTTTTAGTAGAGACGGGGTTTCACCATGTTGGCCAGGCTGGTCTCGAACTCCCACCCTCAAGTGATCCGCCTGTCTCATCCTCCCAAAGTGCTAGGATTACAGGGGTGAGCCACCGTGCCCAGCTTCTTTTTTTATCCTATATATACGAGCATTGTACCTATGGTGGACACGTTCCTTCTCTTACTCCTTCTCTGTCTATGGAATAAGCTGTACTTTCACCACTTTACTTTCTTAAACCTTGCTTTTACTTTGCACTGTGGACTCACCCTAAATTCTTTCTCATGTGAAATCCAACAACCGTCTGTTGGGGTCTGGATCAGAACTCCTTTCCTGTAACACTTGGGTTTTTTAGATGTGTGATATTTTGTTTCCAAATATTTGGGATTTTCCAGATATTGATTTTGTATTGATTTGTAATTTAATTCCATTGTGGCCGGAGTAATACTTTGTATGACTTTAATTTGTTTATGTTTTTTGAGACTTCTCTTATGGCCCATAATATTTTTTATCTTGACAAATATTTTATGTCCACTTGAAAAGAACACATATTCTTCTATTCTTGGGATAGAGTGCTCTTTGACTTGTGTTTAGAAGAACAATAAACTCTTAATCAAGAAATGTTAGTTGTCAGCATGATCCTCTTCTAAAGGGTAAAAACTGGCAGCCTCTGAGCTTATTGGCCCTGCAGATAAATTTGGTTTTGTTCACACAGAGCATTAAAATATTTAAATAATTTCAACAGGTAAAAATTGGAGTGGCTTCCCTGCTAAAATCCTGTCTCCTAAGACCCACATAAATCCTAGCACTTAATGACCAGGCTAGCTGAAACCTTTGTCTGGGCTATCCATTTTCTCTGAAAAACAGGAGGATAAAAGAAAAGCCAAATTTATACAGGGTCAAAAATGTTATACATGTATGTTTAAACTTGACTTTTTCAGGCAGTGGGAGCCACTGAAGAATCCTAAGGCATGTGAGGATAGTGATGCTGGCTGGTAACAAAAGGTCAGACTTGTGTTTAGTAGGCCTGTCATAGGCATGTGAACCAGAGAGACTCCATCTTGAATAGGGGCTGGGAAAATAAGGCTAAGACCTGCTGGGCTGGATTTCCAGGAGGTTAAGGCATTTTTAGTCACAGGATGAGATAGGAGGTCGCCACGAGATACAGGTCATAAAGACCTTGCTGATGAAACAGGCTGCAGTAAAGAAGTGGGCTAAAACCCACGAAAACCAAGATGGTGACCTGTGGTCATCCTCACTGCTACACTCCCACCAGCACCATGACAGTTTACAAATGCCATGGCAATGTTAGGAAGTTACCCTATATGGTCTAAAAAGGGGCTGCATGAATAACCCACCCCTTGTTTAGCGTACCATCAAGAAATAACCCTAAAAATGGGCCTTCGGGGCTGCTCCGCCTATGGAGTAGCCATTCTTTTATTCATTACTTTCTTGATAAATTTGCTTTCACTTTACGGACTCACCCTGAATTCTTGCTTGCACAAGATCCAAGAAACCTTCCCTGGGGTCTGGTTCAGGACCCCTTTCCAGTAACAGACCCATCCTGAGGCAGATTAAATGGTGGTACAAGAGGCAGCGAGGCTGCCACCATCCTCCAGATGAGAAATGATGAGTGCCTGAAGTATTGGTCTAAACATCGTGAAACTGCTGGGTAACTTTTTGGCCTGGCTTAGGGGATGCGAGAGACTGTTTCGTTCTATGGCCATAAGCTCATTGCTCCAGTTGCCTCTTTGGTATTAGGCAGGTCAGGCAGGTTAAACTAAGTGGCTTTGAATGGCCTCGGGGTTTTTTCCTTGGGTCTCAAAACATCATCCTTCTGTTTATTCTCACCAACTAGAGCTGCCAGGTGAAAGGTGTCCAGAATAGATCCCTCACTGGTTGGGAATTCAGAATTTTTAGATTATTTATTCTCTTTTCTATATGTAGTAACTAACCACAGTGAAATATCCCAGTATACTTCTTTAGCATATTTGCATGCAGTTTGGGATGATAAATATTGGAACAGACTCATTTTTGTGTGTATTAGTTGCTATTCTGAGCCAAGCCATCTTACAGTCAGCATAGGCCAGGGCAAGGGGTGGTGGGGGCAGGTGCTGGACACACTTTGTTTCATCCCTAGCTAGGTGTATAGTAACACATACTGCCTATAGTGCAGAGAGGCCACATCTCCACCTGGGAGGTGAGCTTCCATTCCTCCTGGTTCTAGAACTCACAACATGGCCTAGTGAGCTTTCCCTGTAATCTCTTCAAACTCTATACAGAGATTATATTTTGTAGAAGGATAATCCATGTCTCACTGCCCTCTCAAATCAACTCCTCAAGCTCTTATGCAACACATACACACACACACATTTACCAGGTGTGACTAAAGTAGATAGGTTGATCATTTACATGTAAAAATAAACATTTAGTCACCTCCCACACTAACAGGCCCATGCTGAACCTTTGTATCACTTTGCTCTTTTTATCAGTGACCTTGACCAATATCCACTCAAACCACTCCTCCTACTCCAACTACTTGCTGTGATGGGAGCAACACACACACACACACACACACACACACACACATACACACGCACATACCACATACCCACCCATACACCCACAGTCCCTTGGCAGTAAAGTAACTAGGATGACCCAGAAGACCCATCCCCCCACTGAGAAGTGTAGAAGCCATGAGTTTCACCTTTTTTGAAACATCTGCTGATTTACATTTGCTAAGATAGTTATGTATTAGCTAGCCACCTAACAGTGAAAATAATGACATAGAAGGAAAGGGGAGAATAAGGCAACTTTATTCCTTTTCCATCCAGTCCTTCCTTCTTCGCCTGTTGGTAGAATGTGTTTGTGTCAATAAGTGAAATAAAAACAGTTGAGTACAAGCCAGGTGCGGTGGCTCACGCCTGTTAATCCCAGCACTTTGGAAGGCCGAGGCAGGTGGATCACTTGAGGTCAGGTGTTCGAGGCCAGCCTGGCCAACATGGTGAAACCCTCATCTCTACTAAAAATACCAAAATTAGCTGAGTGTGGTGGCATGCACCTGTAGTCCCAGATATTCAAGAGGCTGAGGCAGGAGAACCGCTTGAACCCAGGAGGCAGAGGTTACCGTGAGCCGAGATTGTGCCACTGCACTCTTGCCTGGGCAATGGAGCAAGATTCCATCTCAAAAAAAAAAAAAAAAAAGCAAAAAATAAAACCACACACACACAGTTGAGTACAGATAGAGTAAGTAAGTTCTCACCATCACCTCCTCTTCTTTTTAGTTTCTGGAGCTGGCAGCCTGGCTTCCCTCTCATCACTTACCCTGCAGCTACGCAGGCCCTGATCATCTTCCCTGAGGCCCTGGCACCGCGTTGCTCCCCTCATACCAGGTTAAGTCCTGCTGCCACCCTTATACTTAAGCAATGAAGGGAGGTCACTGCCCCTCTGGTGTGGATGAGCCTCTGTCTGCAAGCAGGTTTGCTATTTTCTTTTCTTTAGAGAGGGGGCCAGCTGCACCTGGGTTCAGGCAGAGGCATAGAGCCACTAAGAATTGGATTCACCTCATTCTTCCCAGAATCACTTAAGTACTTTTGTTAGTTATGCAAATGTCGGACAAGCAGGTGGCTTTGGCCCCAGAGGGGTGACCATGCAAGGCCGGCTGTGCTTTGCACAGCTTCAATCCATTGCCTTGCCTTGGTGGGAGCAGAGCTGCGGGTAGAATGAGAGGTGGACTTGGACTCCTCTGCTTTAGAATCCAAGAATCTACCCAGTACCCCAACCGTGTCCCCTGATGCCCTGGGGTCTGGTATGTGCCCTGGGAAGGGGCTCTGAAGGTTACTAGAAAGAGTTATTACCTGGGACATGTAAAGGCAAGCACCTTCCCCAGGCATCCCCCAAAGAAGCCCTGCGGCCAGCTGGAATCGGCCTGCCTCTGGGGGCCCGGCACACATGGGCTCTGGAGCACCCCGACTTGTCCACAGTCGGCAGCAATCAGTCACAGCACTGATGGGCACAGCTCCCTCTGAGATTGGTGCCGAGTGAGGACTGACCTCCCACCCCATTTAGCCCGTGGGATTCTTGGATCATTGAACAGCGATGGGGTCCTCAAAATGAAGAGAGTTGACTTCTGCCAAAAGGCATGTGATGCTCAAGTGATTAATTTGAAAAACAAAAGTAACATCTACAGAGGAGTAAACATTCCAGGGGTGCCTGCATTTGACAGATCTGTTCCCTGGGGTGAATGTTTAATCTAGAGTGTGGGAAGGAGCTATTCCTCCATAGTATCAGCATTCCTCCTTACTTTGCTATGTCCTCCCTAACACTCTCATTCCCATCTTTGCTGTTGTTTCAATCAATAACAAAAGAGGCCAGGCGCGGTGGCTCACGCCTCTAATCCCAGCACGTTGGGAGGCCGAGGCAGGCGGATCACCTCAGGTCAGGAGTTTGAGACCAGCTTGAGCAACATGGCAAAACCCCGTCTCTATTAAAAATATAAAAAATTAGCCAGGCATGGTGGTGGGGGCCTGTAATACAAGCTACTTGGGAGACTGAGGTGGGAGAATGGCTTGAACCCAGGAGGTGGAGGTTGCAGTGAGCTGAGATCGCGCCGTTGCACTCCAGCCTGGGCCTAACAGAGTGAGACTCTGTTTAAAAAAAAAAAAAAAAAAAGAAATCATATAATCATATTAGAAAATGGAATACAGTAGCCCTATGGCATTCACAGATCTGATATTTCATTCTACTTTTTAATTTAAAAAATAGCCCAGAAGGCTGCAACAAGAAGGAAGGTGTAATTCTACTGAGCACACCAGGGGAAGCTTTTGGCTGGAGAGGACACACCATCACCTCCAGCAGCCCCATCTCCACTCAGCTATGGTGTTTCTGACTCAGTAAGCATGATGCAGATGCTCTTTGGAGTAAAAACAGCTGTGTTAGTGTCTGTTGTTTGTGGGTGATGATTTGCCAATTCAAGGGACATTGAACTTTTGTTGTGAATGTTGTCATACAAGGTTGCAGAAGCCTCTCTCCTGAAATATTTATTCTGGAGAAATTGAGAAGCCTGTACCCAAATTTCCATCATCATGAATCTGCAGATTCTTGAAGGTCTCAGAAAATATTTCTGGAGAATATGTTTGTTACATAACTGAGGTTTCCTAGGCTACAGTAGCCTGTAAGTAAAAATAATGTCCAACTATAGTGGTGAGTGAGAATGCTCCTGCCTCTATCCCATTACCTTAAGGAACTCCAAGAAACTGATGGTTCTGGGACCCCCGCAAGGAAGTTCTTCCTGGACTACACAAATTAGTGCTTCCTTCATACCTGGTGGCATCCCTAGGTCCCTTTTCTTCAGCTATCTGTCCCTCGTCGCTGCCAGCGATACTACAATACTATGTCTGGCTGGTGGTGCTGACAGTTGCCCCTATGACTAAGGCCTTCCTTTACAACTTCAAAATCCATTGTAAATGAACTCCTCCCTGAGGCCTTAACTAAGAAAAACCCAGGGTGATATGGCTCAGTGCTGCTCCTTCTTGGACCTGCCGGAACCACAGGAGTCTCTGAAGGCCTGGAGGAGGTCACAATCTGCTCGACACAGTGTGAGGCCACAAATCCCCCACCCAAGATAATGAGAGACCCGCTGATCCTTGAGCTTCTCCTACGCAGCCACCCTCAACGCCCAGGATGAGCTCCTTCTAGGAGGCGCCACACTCCTCATGAGATGTGAATATCCTGGCAGCCTACATTCTCTGTCCATCCAACATGCCTGGACAAGCCTGATGCAGAAAGTAACACAGGAGAGGTGTCAGCTGGGAGCCTTCCTAAATGCTAAATATTTGGGAAGCCAGGAATAGAGAACCATTCCTTTTATTTCTTCTCCTTGATAAATGTAGCCTATAAACTCACTAAAAAGATCAAATTATAATTCTGGGAAGGAGGCCATGGATTGGCATCAAAAGCCACCATATCCAAAAACATAAATCAAAAATTTAGAATTGTAGTTATATTCCATCAGCCAACCCCTCCACTCTTGAACCATGTTAAATAATAGAGAATTGTAATATATAGTGCAGTATAAAAGAGGATATAAAATACTGCTAAAGCCATCTTTGATTTTTGGAATGACTTCGGAATTGAATAAAACTGAATAAGTATGAAGGATATAATCTTATTTGTAGATGAATATGCCCTTAACCTTCAGTTGACTTCAAACCAGACAAGTTCTCCAAGGCAAAATTATATATAAAGACAGAACATTCATCAGCACAGGTCAGAAAATCCTCTTTCGTCAAAACTACGTGGATGCATTTTCTGAAGAGGCTCATATTTCCAGAAAACACCGCAAGGAATCCTACACGCAATTGCATAATCCTTATGTGGGTGGAGGGCGTGGGTGCAATGTTACGTAAGATCATGGGCTGAACATCTCTGCAAAGAGGTGAAGAAATGCCTCCCTACACAGTGCAGGACGGGAAGCATAGCTCTCAGTGTGCTCGCACTAGCAGGAAAATTATGACAGCTGGTGGCTTAAATAAGAGCTTCATGACAAAGTGGCAGGATAGCCAAACCTACACATTCTCCTTCGTTTGCCACTTGGCAGAGAGCGCAACATGCATGTGCTGACAAACGCTAGGTGCTGGGGCTGCTTCTGCATTGAATGCTTCATGGGAGGGCTGGGTGACAGGCATAGATTAAAGTGATGCATTTGTACAATGGCCAAGAATACAGGGTCTTAGGTAAGGTTGCCTGGTATGAATCTTTGCCCTGTGTAACATTGGGTGACTTAAGTTCCCTAATTCTTGATTTTTTTCACTTATAAAATGGGGACAAGGCTGATTTTTATTATATAATTATAATATATAATAAATATACATAAAATAAAAATATAATTATATTTCATTATATTTTTATTATAAAGTTGTATAATTTTAATATAATTTTTAAAAAGGGACAACAATAGTACCTACCTTTCAGATCATTTAAAATATAAAATGATTGGCCGGGCATGGTGGCTCATGCCTATAATCCCAGCACTTTGGGAGGCCAAGGCGGGTGGATGACCTGAGGTCAGGAGTTCAGGACTAGCTTGGCCAAACATGGTGAAACCCCATCTCTACTAAAAATACAAAAATAAGCTGGGCGCGGTGGTGCGCCTGTAATCCCAGCTACTCAGGAGGGTGAAGTGGGAGAATTGCTTGAACCTGGGAGGCTGAGGCTGCAGTGAGCTGAGATTGCGCCACTGCACTCCAGCCTGGTGACAGAGTGAGACCCCGTCTCAAAAAAAATTTTTTTGTATGTATATTTATATATATACACACAATGATTAGAGTTATTAATGAGTTTAGTATAGTGCATCACATCTAGGAAGTGGTCCTTAAAAATTAACTATTAATAGGCCTGGCACGGTGGCTCATGCCTGTAATCCCAGCATTTTGGGAGGCCGAGGTGGGTGGATCACCTGAGGTCAGGACTTCATGACCAGCCTGGCCAACATGGCAAAACCCCATCTCTACCAAAAATACAAAAATTAGCCAGGCGTGGTGGTGGATGCCTACAGCGCCAACTACTCAGGAAGCTGAGGCAGGAGAATCACTTGAGCCCAGGTGGCGGAGGTTGCAGTGAGCTGAGATTGTGCCACTGCACTCCAGTCTGGGCAACAGAGCGAGACTCTGTCTCAATTAAAAAAAAAAAAAAAGAAAAGAAAAGAAAAAAGAAAAAGCAGCCAGTCATAAAAGGCCACATATTGTGTGATTCCATTTATATGAAATGACCATAGTAGGTGAATCCATAGAGACATAAAGTAAATCGTGGTTTCAGGGAGTGGAAGGATGGGGAGTGGATGCTAATGGACACAGGGTTTATTTTGGGGGGATGCGAATGTACTGAAATTAGACAATGGTAATGGTTGCACAACTCTATGTACTAAAAACCACTGAATTGAGAGAGGTGAATTTGATGGTATGTGAATTATATATTGATAAAAAGAAAGCAATCAGGCAGGGTGCGGTGGCTCACATCTGTAATCCCAGCATTTTGGGAGGCCGAGGAGAGCGAATTATGAGGTCAGGAGTTGGAGACCAGCCTGGCCAACATGGTGAAAACACGTCTCTACTAAAAATACAAAAAATTAGCAGGGCATAGTGGCGGGCGCCTGTAGTCCCAGCTACTCCCTACTCGGGAGGCTGAGGCAGGAGAGTCGCTTGAACCCAGGAGGCAGAGGTTGCAGTGAGATGAGATTGCGCCACTGCACTCTGGCCTGGCGAAAGAGTGAGAATTGGTCTCAAAAAATAAAAAAAAGAAAAGAAAAAAAGAAAGCACTCTACATAAATATTTCTTTGAGTTACTATTGTTAGTTAATGACCCCATGTAAAATATGTCCTGTTTAATAATGTACCATCCTGAAAAGAAAGTTATTCAATTCTCGCCTTAATGCAAACTTGAGAATGTAATGGGGAGAGTGGAAGGCTGGACTTGTGGGGCCCCAAACCTTTTCTCAAGGGTCTCCTTGGCCTAAATTCAACAGCTCCTCACTACAGACCCAAGCTCTTTCGCTTGTCCACAGCCACAGCTCCATAAAATGCCGAGCAGTGTCTTCTGCTGGAGAATTTACATTTTTCCCGGGGGTTTTAGGAAACAGAGGGAAGGGTTTCTAGAGCTGAGGTTGACTCGAGTACTGCAGCACACTGGCTGGAGAAGAGGACTTTGGATGCATGACTCTCCCATTCCCAAAAACAGCACCCCCAGCCGCCCCCCCGCACCACCTTGGCCCAGCTCAGGTGACATGTACACCTGCCAGAGCGCAATGACGGGTGTTTGGCTCTTGTTTCTGCTTTAAGTTCTTTTCAAGGGGCCAGGACTCTAGCTGCATGGTTGTGCAGGGAACTATGCACCAAAAGCAAGTGAACAAGTCTGAATAGTAAGAGTTATGTGGATTGATTGCTTACCAGTGTCAGGTACCACCGCAAGAAATTTGCACACTTTATCCCGTGTAATCCTCCCCCTGGGCCTGGTGAGTAGGCACTATTCTTACCCCCGGAAGGCAGAACTACTGTTATGCCATCACTTGCTCACTTGTTGTAGTAAAGTCAGCTTTGAAAAGTTGCAACTGGCCAGGCACGGTGGCTCACGCTGTAATCCTAGCACTTTGGGAGGCTGAGGCGGGTGGATCACCTGAGGTCAGGAGTTCAAGACCAGCCTGGCCAACATGGCAAAACCCTGTCTCTACTAAAAATACAAAAAAAAATTAGCCTGTCATGGTGGTGAATGCCTGTAGTCCCAGCTACTCGGGAGGCTGAGACAGGAGAATTGTTTGAACCTGGTGGGTGGAGGTTGCAGTGAGCCGAGATCATGCCACTTCACTCCAGCCTGGGCGAAAGAGTGAGACACCATCTCAAAAACAAAACAAAACAAAACAAAAAAAAGTTGCATCCATAATGGTTTAGTTTCTAAATCTGTGTTAGACTGCATGGGCTGCCATAACAAAATATCACAGACTGCGCGGCTTAAACAACAAAAATTCATTTTCTCACAGTTCTAGAGGCTGGAAGTCCATGATCAAGGTGCCACTGCGGTTGGTGAAGAAAGAGAGAGAGCTCTGTTGTCTTTTCCTCTCCCAATAAAGACACCAGCCCTATAGGATCAGGGCCCCCCCACCCTTATGACCTCACTTAAACTTACTCACTTTTCTAAGTTTCTATCTGTAATTACCCTTACACTGGTTACAGTGACAGTTTCTACTCTAATTACAGTTATATTCAACTTATGAATTTTGAGGGGAAACAATTCGGTCCATAACACATTCAAAATAAAGATCCTTTTGGTATCTAAATTTGCATTAATCATATGGTATGCTTTATTTATTTAAAAGGTCCTTACAATTTTGTAAGATTCAGGCCCTTTGAAATCTGGATCCACCCCTGAATATTCTCATTTTAGAGAGGAGGACACTAAAGCCTAGAGAGAAGTAATTTGCTCTCGGCAATACCACCAGTGAGTGGAAGATCAGGCCCGAAGATGCTCACTGTGTTTGACCCTAAACCCTCGCTACTCAAAGCGTGCTCCCTGGGCCAGCAGTCTCCACTTCCCTGGGAGCTTGTTAGAAACATAGACTCTCAGGTCCCAGCCAGACTCACTGCATCACGAACTAAATCTTAATAACATCCCAAGAAGTATCCACGTTTACGAAGCCCTGCTTTAAACTGGACTGCTTCCATCTGTGTCTTTGATGTGCTTTCTTCCTTTCATTTTCCCTCCAGAAAGAGCAGCTGGTGTGACTGCAGGCACCCACCTCGAGTCATGGAGAGCTGAGTGTACGCCGATGGGGGCTGTTGAGACCCCAGGTGTGCCTGGGAGGAGAGTTAGGAGCAAAGAAGGGGGATGGGGTTAGACCAAGGAGAGAATGTCCTTCAAGTAGCCTTACACCCTGGTCTCAGGGTAGCTCCTACTGCTTGGGGCAAGAGCTGATGCCACTGTAGTCCAGAGCTATAGCCAAGGGCACCCATTACAGCCCATATCAGGACACAAGCATGGTGTCCTGGGACAAAGAGCAGCACTCAGCCATGCTCTGTGGATGAAGGGGCAAAGGTTCTGCTTTCACGCATGTGGGAAGGCAAATCATGGAGAGTTGCGGTCTTGCTGCATCTTCTGTAACTCCCTGTTCAGTGACTTTACAACACCCTAGCTTGAAATCTGCCAAGGTGCGTTTACACTACAAAAACTGGCAAATGCTACAAATAGGGGCTCTTTTTAAAAAAATTTAAAAATATCATTTGTAAGCATTTATCAGCACATCCCTGGATGTTTGCCACACTATAAAATATAGATGATTTAGTGATGGTCGACATCTGAAAAAGTGGCTGAGTGTGGTTGCTCATGCCTGTAATCTCAGCACTTTGGGAGGCTGAGGTGGGCAGATCACTTGAGGTCAGGAGTTTGAGATCAGCCTGGCCAACAGGGTGAAACCCCATCTCTAATAAAAATACAAAAAATTAGCCGGGCGTGGTGGCAGGCGCCTGTAATCCTGGCTACTTGAGAGGCTGAGGCAGGAGAATCGCTAGAACATGAGAGGTGGAGGTTGCAGTGAGCCGAGATTGCGCCATCGCACTCCAGCCTGGGCAACAGAACGACTCCCTCTCAAAAAAAAAAAAAAAAAAGTGACAGTTTTAATAAGGACATTTAAAAGCATGTGCAGGAAAGAGTCCATAAAGAACACCTTTCCCTTTGAGTTTCCCTAGCGTGTGATTGTGCCATTTGCTCTGCTGAAGTCAGTAAGCACAGGAAGGAGTGCGTTCTGCTCAGTGACAAGTGGTAGGCTGATCTTGGTGACATCCTCTACAAGGCCCCACTCAGCCCTTTGCTTTCAGCCCATCACCTATTCCTCTTTCTCACTGTCTGTCTGGAAGAGCTCAGCCCTGTCTGTTACTGATTTCCTTGCCTAGCCCTCCCTATGAGGTGGCCACATCCACACCGCAGACAAAGGCTGGCATACAGTAGATGCTCAGAAATATCTGTTGAACTATACAATTTTGGAAAACAACTCCCCACAGTTGCATCTCTTGGGGCCCTTATCAGTCAGGGAAGTGTGGGTGGCAATATGCACAGAATCTGATCAGGTCCTAGGCCCCGCCTGCCCCCCCAGGCTCTGTGCCCCTCCCCACAGTTGACACAAGTGATCGGCAGTCCTGGCCCATTTAGATTGCAGGCCCTGGGTCACAGCGTGAAGCTCCTCCCTCTGGCAGAAGTCTGACCTTTACTCTGTGTCTCATCCTGACAGCTCTAACCAGGCTTAACCCTCCACTTCATTTCTGGAAACTGGTCCCTGTTGGGTTTCTGAGTAGATGTCTGGGGGCCTTCCAAGGATCTGAGGTTGTCCAGGCCTAGGGTCACCTGGGCCTTTTTCCTAGAACAGCAAGTTGCATCTTGGCCTGGAGGTGGCACGTCACCTCCTTCTCATTGTTTTTCTGGATGTTGAGGAGCTCTCTTACTCTTCACCATCCACCTGCTTCGGGCTTCCTGTTGCCATCTGTGCTCAGCATCTGAGACACTGGGTCACTCCGGGCTTCTTTTGCTCCATGTCCCCACCATACTTCCTCTTGCTGCCTCTGCCAGGTGCTTGGAGTATGTGTCACCTGTGAGGTGGACTTCTCCTTAGGGATTTCAATGGGGTCTGGCTCACAGTGCCTAGTCTAGTTTTCAGCTCTGGCCCCTCCTGGGCAGCCCTTCCCATGGTGGTGTCCAGAGCAAGGAGGGGCTCCCCAGATTTTGGGAGAGACTCTCTAATACCCACACCCAAGGTGCAAGAAGAGATTCATTCATTCAGTGCACCCTTTGTTTACTGAGCACTGACTCCACCCTGCTAGGCACTGCCCTAGATGCTGGGGGTGATAAATCAGACAAAGGCCCAGCGCTTGCTAAGATCACATGCTAGGGAGGAGACCAATGGCAAACACATGAGCAAAATATATGCGGAATAGGATATGTTATTTATGTTTTTTATTCCATTTATATATAATGTATATACATATTTATAAGTTTACATAAATACAAATTTTATGCATTCATATAAACATGTCTATAAATATAACACATTACATGTAAACATTTCTTTATAAACTTACATTTAAATATAAACACACACATATATACACACATACACATATACACACACACATATATATATACACATACACACATACACACACACATACAGTGACAAATGCTCAGAAGAAAATTAGGACAAGGCAGCAGTCAGGAGCTTGAGTGAGAGCTGCTTTTATTTTGTGTTTTAAGACAGGATCTCACTCCATTGTCCAGCCTGCTCCCCACTCGCCGCCCCGCCCCGTAGCTGGGATTACAGGTGTGTGCCACCATGCTCCGCTAATTTTTTTATTTTGTAGAAAGTTCTCCCAGGTTGCACAGGCTGGTCTCCGACTCCTGAGCTCAACTGCTCCTCCGGCCTTGGCTTCCCTGAGTGCTGAGGTTACAGGTGTAAGCCACTGTGCTCCGCAGGGTGCTTTTAGACAGAGAGGCCAGGAAAGGCTCCTTGGGGAGACCACGGGATGAAAAGGAGGAGGAAGAGCACTGTGGAGCAGCATCCCAGCCAGAGGCCCTGAGCCGGGAAAGCGCTCCACTCATGGGAGGCTGGGCTGCAGGGAAGTGAGCCCCAGGGCCACCTGGGGACTTAGGAAACCTTCTAGGTGGGAGCAGGGAGCACCCAAGATCTGCCAGCCACGAGTAAGGACTCACATTTTGCATATAGACTGGTCTGCCCCCCCTTCAGTTAATGAGAAAGCAGGGGATCAGAGGGAGGAAGGCTGCGCAGGCCTCTGGATACCTCATCCAATGACAAGATCGCAAGGGGAGCGTCACCCCCAACGCTATCAGGCTCGCCCGATCTGGCCTCTTGTTGGTCTTTTATTCGAGTCATTGAAACCATATGAAACTGCCACTTTTATAGGTCAGCCCATCATACCAACCAAGATCTTAGAGAGTGGAGGTGAAGTTGGGCAGATAAGGGACCTCTGGCTGACTTGCTCTGGGCCCCGGCGTGGCCGGCAGGACCTGCATATCTGCCCGCCAGCCCGCACTGGAGTGGCAGGGTTGTGCCACAGTAGCGCCCAGTGAATCAGGTTGGCAAACTTAAGCGAGCATTCACCTAGAGCGAGTGAGTTGTTAGCAAAGCGAGGCCGCGCTCCAGCCCGCACTGTTTCTGATTCCGTGGGACCTGGTGGGCCCCAGAAATCTGCATTTCTAACAAGTTCCCAGGTGTTCCTGACGCTCCCGGTCGGGACTCCCACTTTGCGACCCTACGCACTAGACATTTGCTGCACGGATAAAGGTCAGAGAGCGGTGCCGGACACTCACTTCTCACCCTCCAACGTCAGTCCTCCCGGGCTGGTCCGCCCACCTCGCCCTCGCACGGCCTCCAGGCTCCAGGTGGTTCCCCTCCCCCAACTCCGCCAGGAGGCGCCGGCCCCGGGATCCCCCACTCCGCCCAGAGAGGGTCGCGCTCCCCCCAGGGGTGGAGGAGCACGGGGAGAAGCCCTCTGCCGCACCCGCGGGTGTCGGTGCAGGGCCCAGGTGCCGGAGGATTCCTTCCCCGGACGCTCGCCGCGGGCCGGGTCGGGACTCTGAGCAGGCGGGGCGGGGCGGGGCGGGGGCGGCGCTCCGGTGGGCGCGGCAGAGCAGCCGGGGCGGGGGCGCGGCGCACCTTGCTCCCGGCGCCCCCGCCCCGCGCCGCCGCCAGCCCCTCCCTGCGCTCCCGGCGCCCCCGCCCGCTAGAGACGATTCCAGCCCCTTCCGTCCGCCGCGCTCCGCCGCTGTCCTCCGCCGGCCCGCGTGGGAGGACGATGGGTCAGCGCGGAAAAAGTGAATGAGGGCGGCAGCGGTGGCGGCGGTAGCCAGCGCCTGACTCGGCGGGCCCGGAGCACCGCCCGCGTCCCGGCCCCCGGCACCATGGACGCGCCGCGCGCCTCGGCGGCCAAGCCCCCGACCGGGTAAGCGGCCCCGCGGTCGGGCGGGGTGGAGAGGGGGCTTCCCTGGGCTCGGACGCCCGCGTCCGCACCGCGCGCTCCCGGGCAGGGCGCCCTCTCTGCCGCCCCAGCGGGTGCTGGTGGTAGTGGTGGAGCAGGTGGTGCGGTGCTGGTGTTGGGTGCTGGTGTTGGGTGGTGGTGCGTGCTGTGTACTTTGGGCACCCGGGTCGTTGCCCAGGTAACCGTGTCGGGCCGGGGCCGGAGCGCACTTTTCGCGCGGGGTGGTTTGTATGCAGGCGTCCTTATGGGGGTCCCCGCCAGCACAGCCCCCACTCAGCTCCGAGCTTTCCTCAGGCCCCCCAAGTGTTTGCCGTAGGGGTGGAGCGGGGAGCGAGGGGACGCCCGGCCTTTGACTCCGGCCTCTTCCCTGCGGGCTTGCCCCTGGCCGGTTCCCATCAAGTCTTCCCTCTCCCGGCCTCGGCGGCAGCCCCAGGATCGGCTCTCCCGGCAGCGTGGAGGGGAGGGCTCCCCGGCTTCGCAGCCGCCCGGGCCCCGCGTTCTCGGAAGGTGTTCGGATTGCCCGGAGGGTTTCATGGCAGCAGCTCTCCCTCCCTGCCTTTATTCCAGGGTCTCCCCTGGCAGTGGAAGGGGCGTCCTAGTGGGGCCAGGCCTGAGGCGCAGACATCCGTAGCGGACCCGCGAGTCTGGCGGCCCATCCCTGTCTTCGCGATTCCGCTTTTGCCCAAACCTCTCCCGGTTTCTGTTTGCTATCCCCACACCTTGCGTGCAGGGATTACACGTCACATTCAGGATTTGACTCTCAGAAAGAGTAATTTCCCTCAAACAGGACGAGCAGCCCTGCTCATTATTCAGACCCCGAGCCAGGTGCGCCGTGCTCATCCCGGCCAGCGGTGCAGGCTGGGCCGCGGGGTAGCGCGCAGTCCCGGTGGACTTTGTAGTTTTCAGCGCGGCGCGCCGGGGACCTTCGAACTCGCTCGCTCGCCTGGAGCAAATGTGTATGAGTCTTGCAAATGGAATGAGGGTTGGGGTGAGCCCTGCACCTGCTTACTGAATGGGCCCACTTTCTGCTATGGCAACTGGACTTGAAGGAGGCAGCTTTGGGGACAACAAATCTTTTTTTCTGTTACAGTTGTGTCCCACTGACTCACCCTGCCCATGTGCCCATAGGCGGGCGTGTTGCCCAAGTGTGTAAAAGACTTTCAGTCGGGCTCTTTTTAAAATTTTAAAGTTTTCCTTTAATGCCAGGAAAAGGTGAGCCAGGTTAGCAAATCAAATAATCCTGAAGCTGAGGAATGTTAAAAAGAAGTTTTCTTTCTCTCTCTCTTTTTTTTTTTTTGCAGTGCACTTACTGGTGGTTATATAATTCTCTTTGAACAAACAAATTCCCCAGAAAGAAAGTAAATGTGGGAAATCCTTTTTCATGGTAATAGGCATCCCAAAATAACAGGGAAATGTGAAACAGAGGTATCTTTAAATCTGTGGCTTTCATAGCCTATTAAATGAGCCTATTTAAGGACACTGAATTATTTTGTCACTATCACCTTATAAATAAATATGAAGACAGAGAGAACATTTAAAAGGCCGGCAAAACTGTATCCAAAGAGTATCTGTAAGATCCTTGAAGGGAGTCTAATGATAGAAGTGAAAGGACTTACCCTAAGAGCGTGGCACTCTTTTCAGCCTGGTACTGTGTGGCAAGAGGTAGTCGAGGGCTGGCCTTCTCAGGGCTTCCCAGAGCTCTGATTGGCTTTCATATTTGAATTGCAAAGTAAAACTAAGGATTTTTGCTATGGAAAACATGAAATTATTCCTGATGCATTCAGTTCTTTCCCTCACTCATATCCAGTGTCTAATTTACTTGTCCGAACATCTTTGTCCAAGAAATGTAGACATATTATTTTTAACTTCTATTGTTCTCACTTTGTCATTTGTTAATACTTTCAGTGAAGAAGCATCAAGAAAATGTTAATATCCTTATATTTTTTCAGACAAGAATTACGTGTTTAATAAGCAATTTTGTGTTCAAATCTGAGGAGATAAATGGTGTTAGGTCTTCGAATATTTTATATAATTTAGGTGTATGCTTGCTAATTATAAAGGTTAGATATTGCTGTGAAATTTGTGGCTTTAGTACATTATTGGTGGCAGGCAGATTCTGTTGGCTCTTCACTGAGATTACTCCTCTGTTCCCTGAGATTAAGGCAGTGTTTGCAGTGTGCTTGAGGGAAATTTGTTTTCCATCTGATTCTGCAACCGTTTATTATAAAATCAAACTTTCAGTAAGCCTCTGTCTTCCCACATGATAACAAACTGATGTGGTGAAGCTGTTGCTGTTGCTGAAACTACCACTCCTCCTTGTGTTGTATAGAAACAAGCTAGACTGGGTGCAGTGAATTAACGAGATTTCACCCTGTGGCCTACAAACGCTCTTCTAGAAGATTACTGAAGGGAGATAGGTTGGTGAATGTAAACTCACTGACTCTGTGTCTGGCTAAATTATTAACAGGTAGTTATTAGTTATCTTTGTGAAAAACACAAATATACGTTTTTACTTGGATTGAAATTGTATGTTTTTTACTAGGAATTTCATTAAAACAGTGATGTATGACTTCCTTGACTCCTGGGGAAAGTGTTCTTTTAGGAAAGAGGCTGTGTGCAAAAACTAACAAGTCAGACTTGATGTGACTTTTAGGGAGTTTTAGAGCTCAGTTGAAGTATAAGAATTGACAGAATACTCAGAACACAAGTAAAGGCAAATTGCCTTTTGGTGAGGTTTTGAAGTATATTTAACTCTCTACTTTATCTGTTTACTTTGCGTTTGTCTGAATATTTATAGGAGCCATCCCAGTAGTCGGCTGTTACAGAACACAGGGCTAAATTTCCCATTGGACCCTCTGTTAATAAAGGACAGAAGAAGGCTTGCTGTTTGGCAGGACCATGCTTAATTTTTTTTTTCCTATGGAGGAAAGACATGTTTCTGTAGAATACAGTAATCTCCAATGACATGAAATGTCAAAACAGCTGGTGCATTTGATCAATGGCTGTATTCAAGCAGTTTGCTCATGTAAAAATCAGTGGAAGTTTTGCTAATCAGTTTCGTCAAAATGTGGACTTCATGTACACATAGCTGTTATTCATTTCTTTGCATAAATTTATATTTATTTAATCAAGTTATTAGAACCAAAAGAAATTTTAAAAAATTAATCGAAGTGGGTAACTTGAGCTACTCTAGTCCTGTCGGTGCCGCACATAGTATTAAGTGTAGAAGGCCTGTGACTCTTGGTAGTGACATGGGGCAGCCACAGTGACATTTTGTATGAAACCCTCATAAGCATGCAGATATTAAGAAAATATTAACTCTACACCATAATAGGAAGCTTAGGTTTCTAGGCCTTTGGCTTTTGGCTAACATGTTAGAGAAAGTGTTTACATTCTTTCAAATGAGAGCATGTATAATGAACTGTTACATAAAACTTTTCCCGTTAGATTTGAGCATTATTTTTAAAAGATATTACTTCTGAGCTACTCTTTATTTTGGCAATTCATTTAAGAAAGTAAAAGTTAAGAATTGCTTGATGTAATGTGGAGAGTAGGCCTAGGAATTTTAATGTTTTGTAATTAAAATATTTACTAATAAATTAGAAGAGTTGGACATTTCTGTGTTGCAATATCACATAGTCTCAGAGCATTTTTATTATTTCTCAGTGGTTCTATAAAGGGGATAGAACTGAAGTATGATTAAAATTTGTTACAAAGGTATTTGTTAAGTGTTGCATCTCTCCTGCCCCCAGGAACTTTTGCCTGCAGTCCCTCCTGTGTTTTCTCGTGACCTCCAGTGCACAGGTGGAGTGGATTATTATTGAGTGGAACCTTGACCCAGGCAGAGCGACAGCCCCCACGTATATGCAGGCCTGGATTCTGTGGACTTCTTAATTTGGGATCCAGGGAATGAAGTCATAATCTGTGTCCACGCAAGTGCTCCTGTAATTATTAAGAAAACAATGATTATAGGATGCATCTATACACCGTAATAAGTAGTTTAGGTTTCTAGGCCTTTTGTGCTTTGTTATAAATTTATGATTAAATTTAATTTTGTAATTGATCTGCAGTTTTGAAAAGTGAGCATAAATATTTGATACCAAAGTAGTATTAATATTTAGATCAAGGACATACAAATGTGAAATATGCTAACACTTGGTTCTGATTTAGACTTGAACTTTGTAAATACACTAAGAGTTCCTGTATTTATTTATTTTTTTGGTGGGGGGACATAATCTCACCATGTCACCCAGGCTGGAGTGCAATGGTGCGATCTCAGCTCACTGCAACCTCCACTTCCTCGGTTCAAGCGATTCTCCTGCCTCAGCCTCCGGAGTAGCTGGGATTTACAGGTGTGCACCACCACACCCAGCTAATTTTTGTATTTTTTTTTTTTTAATAGAGACGAGGTTTCACCATGTTGGCCAGGCTGGTCTTGAACTCCTAACCTTGTGATCCGCCCGCCTTGGCCTCCCAAAGTGCTGGGATTACAGGTGTGAGCCACTGCCCCCGGCTGAGGTCCTGTATTTATTATATGGTGTTTTCGTACATTCCTTCATTCTCTCCCCATCCACATTTAATTATGAAGGTTTTATGCGTTGGTTAATTTTAATTGTGTGGTTTTTTTTTTCAGTTACCTTATACTATAGCTGAAAAAAAGTTGGTATTTCATGACCCACTGAAAGCTTTTACATATCTTCATCTTTGTACTTTTTCTTTATTTAAAATACTGTAGTTATTGGTTTATATTACTACATAGAGATGTATTGATAATATGCCTTTTTACACTTTTATGATTTTCATTTATTTGAGTTGTAAATTTTAGTTTCCATCTCCCCCATTTTATACTTTGCTTTCTCGCTTCCACCTTGTCACTTGAGTGTTTCTGGATTTTTCAGGGCCACTCCCTGGCTTTCTGCTTCTGAATTGATGGGAAGCCTACGTCACTTTTCTTTCAGGGTTCCATAATTCCTTATTTTTCATCTGTCTCTTGCTGGAATAGAATTAAAACTTTTTTCCTCTTGTATACTTTATATGATTCTAGTTGCTTCTTGCAAAGCTAAGGATGGTCAATACTTTCAAGACCTAGTGCTATTTATTCTAGACTAGAGTTTGCTGTCTCCTCTGGTGCGACAATAGACAATGGGTTTCCAACAGTGTGTGTATTTTCTGCTGCCTATCTCAGGGCCATCCCTGTGCTTCTGAGCCAGCCCCTCCAGAGAAGGATGGCTTTCCCCAGCAGGGAGAAACCCTGTGGCCTCTTGGGGTGTTAGCACGCTTCCCTCTGCTCTCCTCATCAGGTGGCGAGCTGCTCCCTGCCAGGGCATTGTCTTCTATAGGCCAAGTCCAATTAGAGTAATCCCCCAGCTAAAAACATTTCTATTAAAAAAGAGAAAAAGCTTTTTAAGCAACTGCCAGAGTATATTTTTCTTGGATACATTTGGTTAGACAGATTCCCAGACCACAAATACTTTTGTACAAATACTTTTGTAGATCCAGTTCCCACCTGCACCACACCAAGTGATGCCTGTAAAAAGGACATCAATTGATTTAGAGAAACCAATAAAGTCCTTATCCCTTAAAAAAAAAAAAAATACAACCGGCCGGGCTCAGTGGCTTACGCCTGTAATCCCAGCACTTTGGGAGGCCGAGGTGGGTTGATCACGAGGTCAAGAGATCGAGACCATCCTGGCCAAGATGGTGAAACCCCATCTCTACTAAAAATACAAAAATTAGCTGGGCTGGTGGCACATGCCTGTAGTCCCAGCTACTTGGGAGGCTGAGGCAGGAGAATCGCTTGAACCGGGAGGCAGAGGTTACAGTGAGCCGAGATTGTGCCACTGCACTCCACCTGATGACAGAAAGAGACTCTGTCTCAAAAAAACCAAACCAAACAAAACAAAAACAACCCTCCAAAGATAAACCAGGTAAGTCACGCGTCCTGGCTGGTCGATCCCATCTCTTGTCTTCCAGGTGCTCCTCTAGCATTCACTGCCCAAGAACCTGAATCCCCATGGGGAGCCATTGCCTTAGAGATGCTCCCACCTCTCTCCAGACAGAGGCTGCCGAGGGCCAGACAGGGCATCCTTCCCTGATTCAGAATGCCCTCTGCTTATTTGTTAATCCTATTGACTTTCTTCTATCAAAGGCAGACAGCGGGAGGATTAGTGGAAAGAAAATTGTCTCAGGAACAAGAAGCTTTGGACCCTGGTGCCAGTTGTCCAAGGTGAAATTGCTCCTTCTCCACGCAGCCTGCAGGCCCATCCTGATGGGGCCTCTCCAGACTTTTTCAGCCCAGGGCTGTCTGATGATGCTTCTGCCAGGTGCCAGTGTTCTCTGCCAGTGCTGCCAGACACAGGTGCTTCTGAACACTTGACTGGTGATTATTGCAACTGGGAGCTGAGTCTTTCACCTTTTAAAATTTTAATCCATTTAAACTTACATAGCTGTGTGCGGCTAGTTCCAGTGGACAGCGAGGCTCCAGCCTTTGGATTTGCCACTCTTTGTTTGCCACCGCAGCTTCCCAGGCCTCACCTGGGGTCTCAGGCTTTCTCTCTCACCTTGGCCTGGAGAGCTTTCTTGCCCCTTTCTCAGAATGCCTGTTGTTTAAGCTGCAGCTGGGGCTCCCCCAGGAGGCCTTCTGAGAGTATCCCTCTCACACCCCACGCCCTCCCCTGTCCGAAAACCTCCTATGGGATTATGATTGTCCCTTTACTTGCCCCTCTGACCCACTGAATTCTGAGCAGCTCCTTGGAGCCAGGACTATTACTTTGTAAGCTTTTGTGTCATTGGTTTGTGGCCTGTGATGCACAGAACAACCCCTGCTTCCTTCTTGCTGGTGGAGGGAGTTAGATAACATGATCTTAAGACTCATGTGAGCTCTAAAATCATATGATTCAGTGTTCCCAGAATATTCTAGAGTCCTCTTTCAAAAAAACTGTTTCTTAAATTGCTGCTTAAATCTTGTTTTTGCCAGCCTGTATGAGAACAGACCGATCAACTGGCACTAACATATTTGGAACTGATGTGCTTGGACTCAGCTTGCCAGCCATGCAGCCTAGTTCGGTGCAGATTTGGGAGGTGTTAAGAGGTCTTATTTTGAGGAACATAAAGTGACAGTGGCTTAAAGAGGAGATAATTCTCTCTCCTATCTAAAAGCCCACCTCGGGAGTCCTGGGCTGGTGTTGGGGTGCAGCGTTCCCAGAGACCTGCTGATTTTTATTTGGTGCTCAGCTGTGGCTGGTGTGCAGTCTCCATCTGTTCCAGCCTGGCCTGAGGAGGGGGAGATGCACCCCGTCCTTTCGTGCTCCACCTGCCAGCCATACAAGTCCCTTTGCTCATGTCCCCTTGGCCCAACCATAATCACATCGTCCTTAAAAGGGCAGCTTGGAGGCAGGGGGGATCAGAGATCTTAGCCGTTGTGATTGCATTTATGACTCCTGTGAGGGCCGGGGGAACGTAGGTGTTAAAGTGTGCAGATGGGTATGTGGCTCCTCTGCCCCTTGCCAGGGTCTTGGGAAGGGGTGCCCCTGACAGTTTCTGGCCTTTCTGAAAAACATGTCCTTAGTTTGCTGTGACACACACCCACGTTATATAGAGCTCTGACCTACAAAGCCTATGCTTTCCAGACATCTAAGGGGAGGAAGTGACGTTTAGACTGTAATCTTAAAGGCCAGTGGTAAACAGGACTTTGCATCTGCAACACATCGGGGTGCTGACGTCCTTTGCTTTTTATGATGTCTCTGTTCTCCTTGTCCATGCTACAGCCAGCCGCTTCCACTTATTCATAGTGGGCACCATCCTGGAGGAGTTGGGGAAAGAGGATCCCCCAGCCCCCAATTAGGGTAGTTGCACCTGGGAAAGTCAGAGCTTCCTGCTGGTTTGGAGGAGGTAGGCAAGTTGGAGAGACTCCTTGTTAGAATGAGGAGCATTGGCAAAGCGTTGTCTTATCATAAGTGCTCTGCTAAGTGCTCTGCGTGGCTTAAGGACTCATAGAGCTGGAAGAGGAGAAATACCAAATGGATTAACTTTGCAATTACATGTGGATGGCTTGAGCAGTTAAGTAAGTAGCAAACTAAGGCTAAGGAACATAATGGGAAAACCAGCTGTTTGTGTGAATGTATGTGTGAGTGTGTGTCTGTCTGTCTGTCTGTGTGAGAGTGGGCGTGAAGTTAAAGCTAACTTCCAGCACTTGGCAAAGCAGCAGATTACCAAATCAGTTCTGGCGGTTTTCAAACTTAATGGCTTGGGAGTTGTATTTAAAAATAGTCTTGGGTAGGAGTGTTAATGCAGCCGAAGTGTATACTTTTGTTCATGTGGCTAATTTTTTAGTCTCTAAATACAGTTTGGTTGGCTAGAACCCTCTTAATTAAGTGCAAAATCCACTAGTGTTCAATGCACAAACTGTTAGGCTGGAGGGAGACTGATCGACAGCAGCCAGAGTCTAAACATTTGCCATGCAGGGCAGGTCCTTGCCAGGCTTTCCCGTCCGCCCACCTATCCATCTGTCTTGTTGTCTATAGCTACCAGGTAGAATTGGTTTTGGGTGGAACTGAAAACTTCCTTCCTCCTGCTCCTGCCTAAACCACTTATTACGTGATAATGGTTATCTGCGCTCTGACAACATCACACGTAGGAAGAGTGAATTGCAGATCTCTCACAAGAGCCAAGCCACCCAATTGGATTTAAAAAGTGGGAATTGGGGTGATGAAGTCTGAATGTTTTTCATGCTGTGACAACGCTCTAAATTGCTACACTTTACCACTTCTCAGAAATATTTGATTGGTTTCAACGGCACAAGCCATAATCAAAGACTGTGTTCTGAATGCAGTTAATTTGTGAATTTCACAGTCAACAGAAAAGTAAGGAAAACTAGTTTGGAAGCTAGACTAAACTGAAAAATATGTCAGTTTGGAATATTTCCTTATTATTTGTCCATTTCTTTTTGCTTACCATCATGTTTCACATTTTTAGAATGATAGATTTTTCTAAAGGAGGACCCAAAAAATGTTCTTTGCAAGGACTTGCCTTATTTTGGCATTAGAGCCACTTGCCTGTTGCCATTGTCTAGCTGACAGAGATAGGAGATGGCCAGAACCTGCTCCTTGTGTGTGGGAGGTCTGGCTCTCCCATCAGGGCCCTCTGATGTTGGTAGGACAGTACTGTCCTCTCCTTTTTTTGTTTTTGTTTTTGTTTTTGTTTTTGTTTTGAGATGGAGTCTTGCTCTGGCACCCAGGCTGGAGTGCAGAGGCGTGATCTCAGCTCACTGCAACCTCTACCTCCTAGGTTCAAGCAATTCTCCTGCCTCAGCCTCCTGAGTAGCTGGGATCACAGGCCTGCACCACCACGCCTGGCTAATTTTTTTTTGTATTTTTAGTAGAGCCGGGGTTTCACCATATTGGTCAGGCTGGTCTTGAACTCCTGACTTCAAGTGATCCACCCGCCTTGGCCTCCCAGAGCACTCGGATTATGGGCCTGAGCCACTGCACCCGGCCTGTCCTCTTGGTTTTGTAGGTGAGATTGCCATGTGACTCTGACGTCTCTCGTCAGTGTCCACGTCCTCATCGTTGGCCACTCTGCTAGGCCACATTGAAGCACGGAGCTCATTTCCAAAGCTGCTTTATGAAAGCTACTGCTCTAGCTCCCTGCAGGATGAAGGAGGATGTTGCTCTGCTCTATTTCTGAAGCCCTGGAGTGTCTCAGCAGCATTTTGCCATGAAAAGCCAGTGTGCCTGCAGACATTCTTACGACTTATTCCTGGTATAGGAGCCTCATGATTACCTGTTTGATTGTGACAGAACTCATGCTTTTCTAGGATGTGCGATTCCTGAGACTCCTACGTGGGATTTT
Organism: Homo sapiens; assembly: GCF_000001405.40. Lineage (NCBI taxonomy): Eukaryota > Metazoa > Chordata > Mammalia > Primates > Hominidae > Homo > Homo sapiens. The sequence continues at coordinate 51,306,707 of NC_000007.14, read as the reverse complement.
ACTTTTTCAAAGAAATACGTGGTGTGTGATAGGAGAGGACCAAACTCAGCTGTTGCTGAGCACAGAGCAGTTATGAATTAGTGTAAGGAGTCGAATCCAGACTCCCCTTCCTCAAAGCAAGATGTTCTGCCTGATACTGGCTGATGAATTAATAAACATTGAAAAGCCTTCCCTTTTGTACTGGATGTTGGCCCAGCTCAGTGTCTTGGGCTGATACATTTAATGAAAACACAGAGCTCTGCTCTGTTCAATAAACGAGCTTCCTTCAAAGTAGAAGCTACACAGAACCCAGACCCACAAATTCGCTAATTGTGTTTTCTTTGGGTAACTTTATACAGCCCTTGCTCCAAGCTGCAAGAGCCTCAGTAATGAGCTGGGTGATGCTTTTAGGGCCTCTTCTCTGCAGGTGAGTGGGCCCTGTTGGCCTGGGTGTGCTAGTCAGTATCGGGGCTTCTAGAGGCCAGCACCCTCCAGCAGGGATGAACTGAGCACGGAGAGAAAATAGCCCTGGTGTGTGGCACTTCCAAGCCGCCTCTAGGTTCATGGTGCCTAGTGTCACTGTGTTCCTGGGGCCCCACTCATCTGCATTACAGCTCACACCTCAAGACACTCGGGAAGCAAGGGCCATCTTCATTCATCAAGTACAATGTTTGCCCCCACCCCCGCCCCAAGACAGAGTCTTGCTGCTCTGTCGCCTGGGCTGGAGTGCAGTGATGCGATCTCAGCTCACTGCAACCTCTATCTCCTGGGTTCAAGCAATTCTTCTGCCTCAGCCTCCTGAGTAGCTGGGATTACAGGCACGTGTCACCACGGCTGGCCAATTTTTTTTGTATTTTAGTAGAGACGGGTCTTCACCATGTTGGCCGGGCTGGTCTCGAACTCCTGACCTCAAGTGATCCACCGCCTTGGCCTCCCAAAGGGCTGGGATTACAGGCATGAGCCACCACGCCCAGCCATCATCGAGTACAATGTTTTAAGCGCATACCTGGTACCTGGTTTAGGGGCTTTTTAGTGCTGTGAATGAGCTGGTGTTCTTGGCTCTCCTGGGGCCTATGCAAGCAGAATGTCCCTCAATCTATTTTTTGTTTTTAACTTAGTTTTAGTCACTTTCACAAAAGTAATTTATCCTCCTTATGATGTTTCACTTACCTGTGCAGAATCCTCCTTCTGTTAGAACTGATTGTTCTAAATGACATGCACCAAGTTGGAAGATTATACCTTTTGTCTCTTTATTTTAACTGTTGATCTGTGGAAAATATTGCTTTGTAGATGAGGTATCTAGACAGCAACCTCAGAGGAAAATTATATGTTAGAAATGTTTTCTTGATGTTTACTTTTCATTTTCTGAGTTAAAAATTATATAGTATTCTTACAGTCAGGGATAAGACTGGCTGCAGAGCCTGATGGGAAGTAAAGCATGGCTTGTGTTTACGCTGGGCTGGCTTTCATGATTTACCCATGTGCCTAGGAAGGGGATGCACTTCATTTGTGTAACATTTTTTACTTAGGGCGGTGTTTTTATAATGCTAAATATTTATTGTCATGAAAAGGTGTTCTTGTTTATTTTAAACAAGTGAAAGTGACATATAATTGAAACAGATTTTCCACAAGGCTCAGCTTATGTCCCTCTTTGTTGTGTCACAGTGACATAGGGACTGGCCCTTGTATTACCTAGTGGTGCTGGCATTTGGAGGGGCGGGGGCTATGCTCTGGGGAGCACGGCTGGTTTGCAGCTCTCTGGTAACTTCTTGGTGAGGGTGTCAACCTACAGAACGTGAGTGGAAGGACAAGGCCCACACATCCGCCCTCCCCTGAAAGCTTTGTCACTTCGAGGGACTGTTTAGCCTCCTCATCCCTCATGACTAAGGCGGAGATGACTGGATTGCAGGGTTTTATGAGATGATTAGAGACCAGGAGTAACAGCATCAGTGGAGGGCCTGTCACAGGACAGTTCCTATTTTTTTTTTCCAATTATTTTTCATTATAAAATATTGTTATTTTCCCATTATTGTTTTTCTGCCAGTATTCCATCATTCTGGTCCAAGAACATATAATAGATGTGAAACTCTGTCCTGACACCTGTTTTTACAAAGACTTGCACTGCCTTTCCAGTAGGAAATATTACTGCTACCATTTGTTTTCTTATGGTAGAAATGCGGCCAATGCCACCTTGATAGGAAACTAATGATTCTAATGATCAGAAGGGATCTGTTGGTTTAGAACAGAAAAATAGCACTAGAAATACAATACAAATCATAGCTTGTATTCACAAATTGTTTTTCAGTGGATGTTGTAAACACAGGTTTGTACCAGGACCAGGTGGGTCACACCGATGAGGAAGTCATGGGCTGGACAGGGTGGGTTGGGGACTGTGGGGAGAATGAATGGTGACTCCCATCCCACTGGAAGAGCTTTGTTAGAAGGCTGGACCTGCCTGTGACCTCTGCCTCCCCACTTCTAAATAGAGGTCATTGTGTTTTGCCCTTTGTTTTGCTCTCCTAGCAGTTCTTGGATGTTGTGAGGGCGAGACCACGATTCCTCCATCATGCAGGTGTGGCTGCCTCTCTCACACCATCACTTTCCAAGCTGACCTTGGTGCTGGCGACAACATGGGACTGGATTCTGGTCTCCTGACTGTTGGACCAGTGAGTGGTTTTGGGGGAGCATTAGTGTCTGGGGACTTCCTCTGAACTTCAAGGTGCCGCCAGCGTTATTCCATGATACCCTTTACCCATTAAAAATAATATAAAAATAAATGTCTGAGTTTAGTGTTGGTGTGCATGCAGTCAGCAGCCTGTCCCATATGTTCTGTCGGCGGCTCTGCAGACCACTCAGAGAAAAATAACAGCATTGGGTGACCACCTTTAAAAATGATGTTTGGATATTGGATAAAATACTCAGCCAGTCTGTAGACCCACTGGGAAAAGTATAAGGAAAGGATCCATACAGAACGGATCAGTATACATTTGTACCTTCCCTGTTTGGAGTTGGGTCAGCAGATAAGCTGAATTTTGATACATGTCTGTGTTTGTCACATGTAACATCTAAGAGCTTGGTAAAATCCCTCTCCCAGGCACATTAACTTCATATAAATAAATAGGTGCTCATGAACACCAGTTGCTTTGACACACTTCCTTGTGGAATGAGTCTGTTTTTGCTAGAGGAAAGTAATGACAAGTGATGCCTCTGTTTCTGTGGCTCCCTCCATCCGGGAGGGCTGGGGATGTCACCCTGTCACCTCTCACCTCCAGTGGCCGTCTCTGCATGCATGGTCAAGTCAGGTGCGCACAGAGACCGGATTGCTGGTTTTGTATTTTTGTTTGTTTGTAGAGATGGGTTTTGCTGGTCTTGAGCTCCTGAGTCAGGCAATCTGGCCGCCTTGGCCTCCCAGAGGGCTGGGATTACAGGTGTGAGCCACCACGCCCGGCCCGGGATTGTTGATTTTGGATGATGGGCTTTCCTGTCCACATTCGATTAGGTTTTGTGTCCCCAGATTTTATAAAAGGGTATAAAGCATTTGTGTCTATCTCTGCATCCGAATGTAAAAGCATAAATCTGAAAGTATGATCTATTGTGTTAACTTTGTCATGAGGCTCGGGGAAACATTAATGTATTGTATTTTAAAACATTCTAATTTGTGAAGTGCAGGTTTCTATTGCAGTGATAAAACAGTAGCTTGTTTCTGAGCCGGCAGCCCTGTGAGTGGGGTATTGTTGTCATAGTTGCAGCATTGCGTTGGGAAGACTGAGCTGGTGATTTAGCACATGCCAAAAACTGAGTCACCACAGCCGTTTGGTTGGGGGTGAGGGGTGAGGCGTCTGTAACACTCTCTGATAACAGTGCTTGGTGCCCTGTATAGCGTCATCTTTAAAAATGGTAATTTATTATCAGCGAGTAAAACTGATCTCAGTTAAGTTCCAGTATTTTCAAAGCACAATTATTACCAGAATTGTGAATTATTATTATTTTTTTCTTAGAAATAGGGTCTTGCTGCATTGACCAGGCCAGTCTTGAACTCCTGGCCTTAAGCAATCCTCCCTGTCTTGGCTCCCCAAAGTGTTGGGATTACAGGCCTGAGCGACCACACCCAGCCCAGAATTGTGAATCTTTTTTTTTTTTTTTTTTTGAGACGGAGTTTCGCTCTTGTTGCCCAGGCTGGAGTGCAATGGCGCAATATCGGCTCACCACAACCTCCGCCTCCCGGGTTCAAGCGATTCTCCTGCCTCAGCCTCCTGAGTAGCTGGGATTACAGGCATGCACCACCACATCTGGCTAATTTTGTATTTTTAGTAGAGATAGGGTTTCTCCATGTTGGCTAGGTTGGTCTCGAACTCCCGACCTCAGGTGATCCACCCACCTCGGCTTTCCAAAATGCTAGGATTACAGGTGTGAGCCACTGCGCCCAGTCCAGAATTGTGAATCTTTAGGAAAAAAATTAATGGTCTTATCAATTTACTTTAGCAGTAGAATTTCTTACAAAACTTAACTGCTAGGAAATGATGGCATCATTGCTTTATTTATGTGACCCCCTCCAAATTTATTATGCTGGGAGGGAGGCCAGGCCTTTGCCCTTGTTAGCCCAGCAGTCTTCACCTAGTTTGTAAGCACCTCCTAGGATGGGGCCAGGCTGTGGAGACATGCAGCTCGGCGGCTGCCCTCGGGGAGGGCCACGACACTGAAGACCTGTCAGAGCCAACCAGGGGAGAGGCCCCTGGCTCTGACTGTTCAGGAGCCATGCCTCTTTGAAGCTGGGAGAGGCAAAGCTACCAGGTTTTGAGCTGGGGGTTGAAAACTAGATAAAATGTAAAATGTGGCTGGGCAGAGAGGCAGGCATGGACTGACTGCCAGGAGTGGAAGCCCAAGGATGGAGGAATGCACAGGGGTTCCCAGCACAGTGGGACCCACAGAGTGGAGGAACCTGCAGTCCACTGGAGGGGACACTGAGGACAGCAGATGGCTTAGATGCCTGGATCTGCGCTGGAATCTGTGGCTTGGAACCACGTAGCGGTGGGCAGGCAATGTGGGGGTTTGGATTTTCTCTGGAAGAGCTGGGGGATTGGTCAGAGGCCTTAAGCAGAGGAGCAGCTTGCTTACAGAGGAAGATTGTTCTTCGAATATTAGACCGACACTCAGGTGTGAGGGAAGTCCCGGAGGAAAGAAGAGAGGGTGGGGCCCGGCAGGGACGGCTGGTAGGACACGGCCCAGGCCTGAGAGACAAGGGCTTGGCCTTGCCACCCACAGTACGGCTGTGAAGGAAGGGGCAGTGCCACTGTGTTGTGAGTTCCGCGCTGAGGTACAGGTGATGGGGGCCCAGGCAGTTCCCCGTCACAGAGTGGAGAGCACGGGCTGTGAGGCTCCTGCTCAGATAGGAAGGAGATGCCAGGCGCGGTAGTTGAAGTTCCCTCACTTACTTTTCTTTGGCGTATTAGTGCTGAGGGTGCTGCCTGCCCAGAAGAGGATAAAGGGTGAGCGTCCTCCAGAGGCTCCAGTCTCAGAGAGGAGACAGATCTGCCAGGGAGCCCCAGAGGAGGGGAGGGTGGCCCAGGGCAGCGCCGGAGGGAGCCGGTGGAGGGGGCCGCTTCAGAGCAGCAGCCTGCGCGGTGCGTGTATCCCACCGCACTCACTCCTCATCTCAGCGTGCGGGGTGAGGGTGCTCTTCCCATTTTAACAGTGAGGCACGTGGGACACAAGATAGCAACATGGTGACCAAGGGCAGCTGATGGAGCGGTTAACCCCACATCTGGACCCCGCGGTCACACAGCCCAGTGCACACTCCTGACCCAGTCACATGCACCTCAGATATCCCTGGAAAAGATCCCAGGGGCCCTGATGACAGTTGTGAGTCTGAGCCAGAAGTGGGGAAAGGGTGGGAAGGGTTTTCCAGGAACTGTGAATGGCAGGAACGAGTAAGGTTCTTGGGAGGGTGTGAGTATCCCAAGAGGAAGTGAGTGCGGTGGCAGGCTCCGTCCTAGGTCCTAGCAGGTGGACTGGCAGTTATCATTTCCTCTCCAGAGCTCCCTGGAGAAGGCATTCTCCCATTTTACCCACGAGTACAATGAGCCCCAGACCGCGTTCCTGCGTCACTTGGGCAGTGGTGACAGGATGCAGACCCAGGCCTGTAGGAGCAGGCAGCTCCTTCTGACATACCACATGGCTCCTTCTAACACACCACGTGACACTCTGGGTAAGAAGGGTCCAGACCCAGGCCAGGTGTGAGAGGCTTCCCCGCTTTAATAACCTCTGTTTCGGCCAGGTATGGTGGCTCATGCCTATAATCCCAGCACTTCGGGAGGCTAAGGCAGGCAGATCACCTGAGGTCAGGAGTTTGAGACCAGCCTGGCCAACATGGTGAAACCCCATCGCTACTAAAAATATAAAAATAAGCCAGGTGTGGTGGTGGGTGCCTGTAATCTCAGCTACTTGGGAGGCTGAGGCAGGAGAATTGCTTGAACCCAGGAGACAGAGGTTGCAGTGAGCCGACATGATGCCACTGCACTCCAGCTTGGGTGACAGAGTGAGACTCTGTCTCAAAAAACAAAACAAAACAAAACAAAACAAAACAAAACAGAAAAGCAAACCTCAGTTTTGATTCTGAAATCTAAGGCAAGCATGAGCACATGTAATAGGGAAGTAAGGAAGGCACAGCGGCAATAGACTGGGTCATGGGGATCAGAGATGCATGGCCTGTTTGCAGGGCCTTGAGGCCAGCACTAGTCCAGGTGTGGTCCGTGGACTGGTCTGCAGTAAGATGAGTGCACCACTAGGAGTGAGCATCTGCAGACTTTCATAGCAGCTTAATGTTGTTGCGATATTTAAGTGCATGGTCATTGATGGTGCCTCAAGTAGGGTACAGATGACCTGTCTTGTGGAGTCATGGGTCACCTGTGACATGGAGAGCTTTTCCTGTATTATGTTCCTCATCCCCCTAGTAGACCTGTACATAGGTGCTGTTACTGTCACTTTCTTGAAGAGGAGGACACTGAGTGTCAGAGAGGTTGAGCAGCTTGCTCAGGATGACAGCCCACCCCTATAGCCATGAAGCCTGGCAGCGGCCTCTCCCTCAGCACCATTTCAGCTCTTCATGTTTCATTGTTCTCAGAGCAGGACTGCCAGCCTCTTCCTGGGCCCAGGGCTGCAGCACCCTTCCTCCTTAGAGAGCGCCAACTGGGTTTGAGGAGTGCCAGCATGCTATGGGTCAGTCCCCCTGAAACCTGGACTCATATGCTAGGGATTATTAACCATTCAGTCCCTTTGAAACTTGTGACTTTTGGGAAGAAAGAGAGACAGATAGGAGAAGATAGGTAAAATTTGGATGTCCATAGTCTCCATTGATTTACCTTCTTTTCTGTTCTAGCAAATCGAAGCAAAGGATTTGCACAAGTTCTTTGGAATATAATACTTTCTAAACAGCCAGTGCTGCACCTCCTGGGCAGACAGGCAGTGGACACCGCTGTGTGTGACTGTTGCTGGCTCACGCATTCGTTAGTGTCTTAAGGATGTCCAGCCCTGGAGGAGTGTGTGTGTGTGTGTGTGTGTATGTATGTGTGCTCATAGACTTGGAACGTTGTGTGGCTCATCTTTGGGAGGTGTGCTGTGCAGCCTGTCTGGCCTAAGGGCAGAAAGATATGAGGTGCCCACCGGCAACACCTCCCCTTGGCTTTCCTGGCCTATGCCATTCATGGGTGAGGAAAGCTGTTCAGATGTTGCCTCCCTGACTCCATGAAGATTGATTGTGCTGGGGAGAGTCTGAGTGGAGAGTATCTTGGGGTAGAGGAGGAAGAGGAGAGCTGAGATATGAGAAAGGGCTTATGTGCTCGGACAAGTGGATTTGACCTCAGAGCTTCGATGTCATCTGTGCTCAGACAAAGGCACTGTAGGCTTGTTTACAGTTTTGGATGGTACAGTATCATGTTAGTGGTGCAGTTGTTGTTATTAACTCCTGAGGTAGGATGAGACTCATGCAGCATGTGAAGTGACAGGGTCAACAGTGAAAATTTACACATTTGCACCATTTTGCAGCTTTCGGAGTCCCAACATCTGTGTATTCATTTGACATGACATGCTCATGAGCCTGGTGGGCAAGCATTTCTTTCCCTACTTTTCAGATGGTGAATGAGCCATGAGCTAAGTAAGAGCAATGGAGTGGCCTGCCTTGCTCACATCTGCTTTGTTGCTGGGGTGGGGGATGCCCTGTGGCCCCAGCCCATGTGTTAGGAGGTCAGAGCTCAGAAATGGTGGAGAATGTCATTGCAGGAGCATGCACAGGCAGCAAGCTGCACAATTAGCCCTGAATAGCAGGCCACCTCTTAAAGCATGCCCTGACAACAAAGGTGACTGGGTTGAAGTCTGTAGGTGTAGTAGTTACCTATTGCTACGTAGCAAGTCTCCCTAATCTTAGCAGCTTAGCAGTGGGAATGGCTTTACTGGGTGGTTCTGATGAGAATTTTAGGTTGTAACTATGCTTAGAGTCATATGCAGTGGCTGGACAGTGGCTCAGTTTTTGCCAACTTTTGTCAGGATGCCTCAGCTCTTTGCCATGTGGCCTCTCCGTATGCCTGAGTGTCTTCACAAAATGGCAGCTGACTTCCTGTAGAGCATGTGATTCAAGAGGGGGTGCAAGGAGCAATGCAAGGCCTTTTATGACCTAGCCTTAGAAGTGATACACTGTCACTGGCTTCATACTTTGTCAGAAGCAAGTCACTAAGTCCAGCCCACACTCGGGAGGGAAATTAGGCCCCATCTTTGGAAGAGATTAGTCTGAAACATTTGTGGTCATACTTTGACTTACCATAGGGCAATATGGTCTTGATTGTCTTTTCCCAAAGCAACTTGGTTAAGCTCCTAGTGAAGACGCATTAAAAACATACATCGAGTGGCCTCTGAAGAGGAGACTTTTTATAACCAAATCCCACTGATACAAACCTTTCTGATGGTTGGCTTTTCCATGTATCAAGGGCTGCATGTGGTAGTTTTCTTTATAGAAGTATGTATTGTTGTTTATGTAAAGATTTTCAAGGCCAGGCATGGTGGCTCAAGCCTGTAATCCTAGCACTTTGGGAGGCTGAGGCGGGCAGATCACCTGAGGTCAGGAGTTCGAGACCAGTCTGGCCAACGTGGCAAAACCCCGTCTCTACTAAACATACAAAAAATTAGCTGGGCATAGTGGCAGGTGCCTTTAATCCCAGCTACTTGGGAGGCTGAGGCAGGAGAATTGCTTGAACCCGGGAGACGGAGGTTGCAGTGAGCTGAGATCGCACCATTGCACTCCAGCCTGCATGACAGAGTGAGACTCCATCTCAAAAAAAAAAAAAAAAAAGATTTTCAAAATGATGAAACTTAGCTTACCATGTTAAGAACAACAACAAAAGATCTCAGGTACTGAAAGGTGATCACATGCCACAGTTGGGACAGTCCCAGTTAACACCTGGTGTGATTCCTAATAATGCCTATTTCACCTACCACATTGCCCTGTCTGGACTATACATGTTATGATTGCTCAGCCTTGATGCTGAGTCTACCTACGTAAAAATGAGGGTGGGATTCTTCCCCGGTGGGTGTTAACCAGGGATGTGCAGCCGAGTCACCGAGGAGCTTTGGAGTAGAAACATACCTCAGCTCTTTGCAGGGGGATGCTGCCTGGGCCAGCAGAGAGGGGACTCAAAAGAGGGTTTGAGGGTGCTTCCCTGGTGATTCAGACGTCCAGCCTTGGCTAAAGATGATCCTTTCATTCATCATTCAGTATTACACCCAGCCATCAATTCCTTAAATGTGTATTAGTTGAGATGTTGTTCCAGCTCCCAAGGTGGCCAGCCTGGGAGTTCTATTTAGTTGAAAAGACCTGAGTGCATACAGCATGGTCGTTTTCCAGTACAAGAATTTCCTCTTCAAGAAATATGTGTTTGTAACGCACTTCACATGGTTTAACCAAATTGCTTTGGAAAAAGGCGGTCCAGCCCAGATTGAAAGCAAGCTCTCGTCCTATACTTAGCACCTCCCTGTGAGTAATCAGCAACATCAAAATGCCCATACATCCTTGCAAGCAAACATCTACCATGAAACAAAAACTATTCCGTAAAATACTTTCAGAGTCATTTATCAAATTGATTTGCTGCAGTATTATTTGCCCCCCAAAAAAGTTATCTTAAGTTGTTGATCAAAAAAGAAATGAAATATTTAACTTGTGTAAAATAACTTTACACAAGTTAACTTTGGTAAAAAAGCAAAACCAAAAACAAAAGAATAGAAGAAGAAAGTAAAGCCAAGCTTAATTAAAAAAAAATATTGCACGCCTTCATTTAATCAAACATCTCCCATGTTAGGACAAACTTTACATTAAAATAATATGTGTATGATTGTCTCTGTGTTGTCATATTGTCCTACATATTATGAAGGTTTAAATATGAAATGATCCATTTTTCTGATGTAGGATCATTTTAAAATGGATTTATTTAATTGGCTCATGAGTTTAAAAAACTCAGTATTAATTAAAATTCACCTATGTGCTGATATCATGGGTGTCCCTGCTCTGACAGATCCCACAATAAAGAAGGGAGGACTGATCTCTAAAGTCCATTACAACAAGTGTTATCATAGAGATATGTGCAAAGTGCTTCATGAACACCCAGAAAAGAAGGAGCGGAGCAGTTAGTTCTACTTGTAGGGTGGGGCTTAGATAAGTCAGGTTTATTTTTATGGAAGGCCTTCTCAGAAAATCATTTTGCTGAAGCAGTTCTTAAATATAACACTCCTTCCAGACCTAAGCCCCAGCCAGGCCAGACAAGCTGTAACTATCCCTAAGATTAGCTTATGTAAATAGTAGCTTAGGGATTACTCAGTGAGGGTTTTTAAATTTTCATTGATCACTTAGGAGGGTAAAGAAGTATGGAGAAGTGCAGACTTCTGTGAGGCTGCCAGGATTTGAAATTTTTCGGAAAGGTTAACAAGAAAGTTGAGATTAGGTTGGCCACAAGTTCTTGGGCTTTGATGGCAGTTGTTGGACACATCATCTGTAGGGACCTACAGAAGGCCAGAGGCACAGAACAGTTAACACAGAATGTGAACTGATGGCCCTGGAAGGGTGTTGTACATATCCTTGTCTCCAGGATGTCGTGTTTGCTTTGCTGGGTGTGTCCCAATCCTTGCAAAGTAGTTGTTGTCAGTGACAGTCTGAAAGGACAGGCCTGTATCAGTGACTCTGTACTACATATCTAGGCATTTGCAAGATTATTTCATTGGTCCCAGTTAATTGGGCAGTATTTTTTTTGAAAAATGTTTTTTAATGTATGTATTTTTAATCGTTATTTTTTTGCCCTAATTTCTGGGATACATGTGCAGAATGTGCAGGTTTTTTATGTAGGTATACATGTGCCATGGTGGTTTGCTACACCTACTAACCTGTCATGTAGGTTGTTTTTTTTTTTTTGAGCCAGAGTCTTGCCCTGTCACCCAGGCTGGAGTGCAGTGGTGCGATATCAGCTCACGACAACCTCTGCCTCCCCGGTTCAAGCGATTCTCCCTCCTCAGCCTCCTGAGTAGCTGGGATTACAGGCATCTGCCATCATGCCTGGCTAATTTTTGTATTTTTGTAGAGATGGGGTTTCAACACGTTGGCCAGGCTGGTCTTGAACTCCTGACCTCAGGTGATCTGCCTGCCTCGGTCTCCCAAAGTGCTGGGATTATGATTGAGAGCCATTGTGCCCGGCCCGTCATTTAGGTTTTAAGCCCCTCATGCATTAGGTATTTGTCCTAATGCTCTCCCTCCCCTTGCCCCTACCCCGCAACAGGCCCCAGTGTGTGCTTTTCCCTAATTGGGCAATATTTTTTAAAATAAACAATTTTGATAACTTTAAATAAGTGATACCAGTAAAACTTTAAATTCTATATAAATGGAGCATAGACCATGTACAAGGACAATGCTAGATCTACAGGGGGTATAAAAACATGCTTATATTGCTGGACCCCAAGGATGACATGGTTTGGTTAGAGGCTAGCAATATCAAGTACAGAAAAATATTAAACCTTTACTTAGAATTAAGACCAAAATGGTTTTTTTTTTTTTTTTTTTGAGATGGAGTTTCACTCTTGTCGCCCAAGCTGGAGTGCAATGGTGCGATCTCAGCTCACTGCAACTTCTGCCTCCCAGGCACAAGTGATTCTCCCACCTCAGCCTCCTGAGTAGCTGGGATTATAGGCATGTGCCTCCACACCCAGCTACTTTTATTTTTTTTTTGTATTTTTAGTAGAAATAGGGTTTCACCATGTGGGCCAGGCTGGTCTCTACCTTCTGAGCTCAGGTGATCCACCTGCCTTGGCCTCCTAAAGTACTGGGATTACAGGCATGAGCTCTGCGCCCTGCCTTTTATTTATTTATTTATTTTTATTTATTTATTTATTTATTTATTTATTTATTTATGTTTTGAGATGGAGTCTCACTCTGTTGCCCAGGCTGGAGTGCAGTGGCATGATCTCTGCTCAGTGCAGCCTCTGTCTCCCAGGTTCAAGTGATTCTCCTGCCTCAGCCTCCTGAGTAGCTGGGACTACAGGCATGTGCCACCATGCCTGGCTAATTTTTGTATTTTTAGTAGAGATGGGGTTTCACCATGTTGGCCAGGCTGGTCTCGAATTCCTGACCTCAAGTGATCTGCCAGCCTTTGCCTCCCAAAGTGCTGAGATTATAGGCATGAGCCACCTCGCCCAGCCTAAGGTAGTTCTTGACTGTTGAAAAACTTAGGCAAATAGCTACAGACTGAGTGCCTGTCACTTATATACTGGGAGCACTGTGCATGATCCAGCACCCTTACCGAGCATGGGACGACCTGGGAGCACTGTGCGTGACCCAGGACCCCTTACCAAGCATAGAATGACCTGGGAACACTATGCATGATCCAGCACCCCTTACTGAGCATGGGACAGCCTGCCTTGTAGCCAGTGTCTGTTGGTTCTCACTTATGGATGAATTTCTTCTTTTTCCTCTTTGTGATTGAGAAGGTGTACTGTATTTTGGAGCTACTTTACTGAGGGATATTTATGTACAATAAACTATACATATTAAGGCATACAGCTTTATGAATTTTGATGTGTGTGACACCCTTGAAACTGTTACCACAGTTGAGATACAGAAGTTTTTCTGTTGCTGCTCAAAGGTTTCTTGTGCTTCTTTGCAATCCATTCCTCCCTCTCCTGCGCCCCTCAACCACCATTGATCTGTTTTATTTATGTAGGTGGCATCTTTTTGTCAAATTTTTTCACTTGGCATGATGATTTCATGGTGTCTCTATTGTTCATCCCTCTTTATTGATGAACAGTATACCATCATTAATTTACAACAATTTGTTCTCCCATTGATTGACATTTAGGTTGTTTTGGGGTTTTAGCTATTACAAATAAAGCTATTATGAACATTCATTTATAGTTTTTGTATGGACATGTATTCCCTTTCTTTGAGGTAAATACCAAGGAGTGGAATGGCTGAGTCACATTGTAGATGTTATGTTTCATGTTTTACAAAACTGCCAGGGTTTCTTAGCTGAAAAGTAATTTGGTGAAAACAAAACAAAGCAAACAAACAACTACAAAAATGCCAGGCTGTTTTCCAAAGTAATTGTTTCTTCCTCTTCTAGCAGTGGATGAGAATTAACAGTTGTTGGGTCAGTCTTTAATTTTCACCATTCTAGTGTGTGTGAAGTTTATTGAATTTTAAATCTAAACTTTTTGATTTGGCGCATCACATGTGTTTAGTAACTTATTCCTTCAATTCTGTCATTGTGTCACTCAAGGGAAAGTGGAATCCTGGCCCCAGGGTAGCAGCAGCCTTGGCTGTGGGGTGCATGAAACCTGTGTGCCCAGGCCTGGGATACGTGGGCATCCCTAGAGGGCCCTGCTCCTCTTTACTCAGGGCTGCTCGGGGCCTGCAGGGGCTGCAAAGAGTTGGGCTTGGGCAAGCCACGGGCCTTGGAAGGAGCTTTGCTTTCTAGGCTCTGGAGTGTGGAGGGAGGAGGGGACAGAACAAGATCCCAGACAGGAGGGACCCTCCACACAGGGGAGTGCTCAGCCTGGTCTCCCTCAGAGCTGGCAGCAGGTCTCACAGATGTGTGCTGAAGAGGCTAAAGGAGAACAGCTACCTAGAAATGCACAAGAATGCCTTTTGCGTCAGCAAATAGAATGTGTCCCTTTCTAATACCTGGCTTCAGGAAATAAAGGGGCCATTTAAAGAATGTGATTAGGTTGGCTGAATTATGTTTTTCCAGCTTCTGATGGACGTTTTTTAATGTCTTTATCAGTCATATTTAAATAGTACTCATTCTAATCAGATTCTTTAAAACATAATACTCTTGGAATGGATGACTTTTTATGGGATTTCCTCAAATATAATAATCAACAGTCATTGATTTGAAGATTCATTTCATTCCATTCAGTGGGTACCTTAAAATGACAAAATGGACATGGAACCTTTCAAATGTAAATAAAAGCAGAGAACATAGTAAAGAAATCGTATGGGTCCATTAATGAGCTTTGGCAGTTTTTAACATTTGGCAATTCTCCCACTTTTTTTTTTTTTTTTTGAGTCAAAGTCTCATTCTGTTGCCCAGGCTGGAGTGCAGTGGCACAATCTCGGCTCACTACAGCCTCCGCCTCCTGGGTTCAAGAGATTCTCCTGCTCAGCCTCCCAAATAGCGCCCTCCACCACACCCAGCCAATTTTGTGTTTTCAGTAGAGACAGGGTTTCACCATGTTGGTCAGGCTGGTCCACAGCTCCTGACCTCAGGTAATATACCTGTTTCAGCCTCCCAGCAATGCTGGGATTACAGGTGTGAGCCACTGTGCCTGGCCCCACTTCTTATTTTTATTTTTGGCTTGAACGTTTTAAGGCAAAAGCTCCCCATTCTATCTTTTCATTTGTAAATACTTCTGTGCTGATTGTGCACTGATAAATCTTACTTTTTTTTTTGAGACGGAGTCTCGATTTGTTGCCCTGGCTGGAGTGCAATGGCGTGGTCTCGGCTCACTGCAACCTCCACTTCCTGGGTTCAAGTGATTCCCCTTCCTCAGCCACCCGAGTAGCTGGGATTACAGGCATCCACCACCACACCCAGCTAATTTTTGTATTTTTAGCAGAGAGAGGGTTTCACCATGTTGGCCAAGCTGGTCTTGAACTCCTGATCTCAGGTGATCCGCCTGCCTCAGCCTCCCAAAGTGTTAGGATTACAGGCATGAGCCACCATGCCTGGCTTGATAAAGCTTGCTTTTTTATGACTGTCACCTCATTACCCTGCCTGACAGTAATTCCTTAATGACAGCTAATTTCCTGTCCATACTTAAATTTCCCAGATTGTGTTCAAGGTAACTTTTTACAGTTGTATATGATCCTTGTGCTAGGACTCCTGGCTAGGACTTTGGAAGACACAGAGGTTGGCCTCAGCAATCTCCTTTCTGGTGACTCTGTGAATGTGCCCTCACAGTTCATGTCTGTATCTTCTGGTCACTCAGACACCCCTTGTGTGTCTGTGTGCCTCAGCCTTGCTTGTGGTCCCCGAGATGCCTGTTCCCCGCTGTGCCCCTCAGTCTTTCTTCGCTGCCTCGCGATGGCTTGCTGGCTCTAACAGGGATTTCTGCTTTCCTTGCTCTGGCGCTCCATGCAGCTAGCCGTTCATCTGTTTATTCAGTCATACCCCAAGGGTTGTGAGCCCCTGGCAGGAATGGGCACTGTGCAAGGTGCTGGAGACCTAAAGAAGACGTGGCCTTTGCTCTTGGGGAGGATGGTGAGGGGCAGAGGCAGATTCCATGCAGTACAGTGTGGTGTTGCTATGGCAGACACCAGCCGGAGGGAAGGGCACACACCTGGGGAGGCACCCTGCTTCAGGGAGTGGCACTGGAGTTCCTACCTGAGGTCAAGGTGTTCACATGGAGAGGGGAGTATGCATGGTGCCAGAAAGGGTGCTGGCCCAGGTGTCTGGGGGAAGTGGGATTTAGCATATTAGTATTCAGGGTTATTATTTGAGCAGTTTAATCTTCCTGAAACTCACAAGGAGGGGCCGAGGCTGAGGTTGTGTGGGAAGCTGGAGAGAAAGTCAGGGCAGTAGGGAGCCCAGGAAGGCTTAAGCAGGGTGGGGCGAGCCTAAATTTGAATTTAGAAAGATAGCACACATCTTTCACGCACCCTTTGTTCTGATATCTGTGTTTATTTAGGGGTAAACTAACTTCTGATTAAGACAAGATTTAAAGGAAGGCTGAGCACAAATCATTTTACAATGTAGACAAGCTTTTTCCAAGCCAGCAATCTGAGTTGTGACATTGCAGGTTTCACATTATCTCTGCTGGAAAGGACCCTGGTGATCACCCGGCCAGGCATTCTAGTTTGCCTGTTCCTTCAGAATCCATGTTCCCCAATGATTAGCAGTCAGATTTCAAAATAATGCAAATTAGATGTGCTGATGGCACACATTGTCCTCTGGTAACCAGTAGCACATAATTTATGCCACTGGCATTGTGACTTGCCCATTCTATTGAGTCTCTGTGATTGGTGTATGCATTTGATTGTGTTTGCTCAAGTCCAAGTGTTGATCTTGAGCAGTCACCACCTTTCATTCAGGTTGCAAATATGACCACCCTAAGGTTACTGCTGCTCATGTGGAACATTTTGCTTTGCAGCATCTTAGGGGTATTTCTGTTTTCCTGAGCTGCCATTTTTCTCTGTATCTCATTTGTTTTCCCAAGGCCCTCGTATAGGGCTGGCATGCAGGAGGATGAACAAAAATAGACACAGGAAACCAGGCCAAAGAAAGGCAGAGAGGGGAGAGATATCAGCCATGAAAGCAAATCTGTGTCCTGCAATTGAACATCAGTTCGGTCTTTATGTTTCTGACAAGCTGGGCAACAGGGAAACAATAATTTCCATAGTTCTCATTATTGAAAGTAGGACAAGTTGCGTTTCCTCAAAGGAGGCGTCATTGTTTTTGGCACTGAAAGGTAATTACTTGTAGTTGTTTGTTCTGATCACTGCTGTTCACTTCCATTCTGTGGCTTGCTGGGAGTGTTCACATATAATTTGCAGACATTGTTAGCACAGCTACTGTGTGCAAGGCACAGAAGTGTTTGAGACTGAGTCTTATTTCTGGAATAAGGAGAGGTGGCACTCTAGGACGGGAGGTAAGCAGGAGAGCAGATGGGCAGGATCAGCACATGAAGGTCCTCTGAGCCCTGCTGCCCGGCAGAGCTCCGTTGTAGGCAGTGGAGGAGCCATGGAAGATCATAAGCTCCTGTTTTAGAAAACAAGCTCTGGCTGCTTTGTGGAGGGCCACACCCGAGTGCAGTGACACAGGATCCAGGGAGGGCTGAGAGGAAGTGTCAGCAGGAGGGCAGTGAGGTCTGTGGCTCTGGGAGCCTAGAGTCACTTGGGAGGTGACTTAGGAGAGCAGACAATGAGAACACAGAGAGGGAAGGACACAAGTATGTAGAACGACTTGCAAAATAATCAAATGATAGACTTGTTCCCAATTGTTATAACATCATTTGTTGAAAAGACTATTTGGGAAAGAATAACAATTTAAAAAGGAAACTGTTATGAAACAATCAGTTGCTGTCCATTCCTCACTGGACCCTGAGCACCAGTGCGGTGGGCATGCTGGGAGGAGATGCTGCTGACTTTAGACTATGCAGGGCTCTGTTCTCCTTTCTCTCTGTGCTATCATTATGCACAAGTGGAAACAAGACGTTTTGGCCCTGCACTCCTGAGGACTATTTTATATTGTTCTTTACAGTTTTAACCCTGATGACTTCTTATATTGTTCTTGTTCATATTTTAACAAGGACAGGTTGAGTAAATTAGTTGCATACAATTAGTTGAGTAGGTAGAAGAGTATTTCCATAGATATCCATCTTGAAGACTAGTATTTGAATTCAGTTCTTATTTCCCATTTGTATTTTCTAAAATTATTATTTATTTATTTTATTTTTTGAGACTGAGTTTTGCTCTTGTTGCCCAGGCTGAAGTACAATAACGTGATCTCAGCTCACTGCAACCTCCACCTCCTGGGTTTAAGCGATTCTCCTGCCTCAGCCTCCCGAGTAGCTGGGATTACAGGCACCCCCCAACCATGCCTGGCTAATTACTGTATTTTTAGTAGAGACAGGGTTTCACCATGTTGGCCAGGCTGGTCTCGAACTCCTGACCTCAGGTGAGCCACCTGCCTCGGCCTCACAAAGTGCTGGGATTACAGGTGTGAGTCATCACGCCCAGCCCCATTTTCATTATTGTTGTTTTTTCTTTCTTTCTTTTTTTTTTTTTTTGGAGACTGTTGCCCAGGCTGGAGTGCAGTGGCGGGATCTCAGCTCACTGCAACCTCTGCCTCCCGGGTTCAAGCAATTCTCTTGTTTCAGCCTCCCAAATAGCTGGGACTACAGGCGCCTGCCACCATGCCTGGCTAATTTTTGTATTTTTAGTAGAGACAAGGTTTCACCTTGTTGGTCAGGCTGATCTCGAACTCCTGAACTCAGGTGATCCACCCGCCTCGGCCTCCCAAAGTGCTGGGATTACAGACGTGAGCCATCATGCCTGGCCCCCATTTGTATTTTTTAAATTTTACTTTTTAAACCAAAATGGAGTCCAGTTGACTTCTTTCATAATTCCATGAATTTTAACATGTGCATAGATACCACAATTAGCACACAGAACACTTTCATCACCCCAGCATTTTCTTTTGTTCTCTTCCTGGCAACCACTGATTTGTTCTCCATCACTATAATCTTTTTTGAGAATGCCCTATAAATGGAATTGTAGGGTATAACCTAACCTCTTTCGCACAGCATACTGCCTTTGAGATTCAGCTCCTTTCAGTCAACTGTCAGTAGTTCATTCATTTTTTTTTCTTTTTTTTTGAGACAGAGTCTCACTTTGTAGCCCAGTTATTATGCAGAGTCATCTTCTATCATATGGGTCCACCACTGTTTGTTTACCCATCCACCCATTGCAGGACATCTGGGTTTTCTCCAGTGTTTTGTGAGTGTGAATAGAGCTGCTATAAACATTCATGTACAGGTGTTTGTGTGAACCTACAGTTTCATTTCTTTAGGGTAAATACCCAGGAGTGGGAGTGCTGGGTCATAACTATATGCATAAAGTGTTTAACATTTTAGGAAATTGCCAAATGGTTTCCCAGAGTGTCTGTACCATTTTGCATTCCCACCAGCAGTGCATGAGAGCTCCAATTGCTTTGTATCCTCACCAGCACTTGATATTTTTAAGATTGTTTCATTTTAGCTATTCTTATATATTAGTATTACATCATGGTTTTAACTTGCATTTACCTAAAGGCTAACGATGGCGAAGCTTTATGTGTTTATTTACCATCCATATGTCTTTTTGGGGGAAATCTTTTGCCTGTCTTTTAAGTCTTTTGCCTGTTTTTCAAAGGGTTGTTTGTTTTCTTATTCTGTGGGATTGTTTTTATTTTTTGATTTTTCAACTTTTATTTTGGAATAAGAGGGTTCATATGCAGTTTTGTTACATGGGTATATTGCGGGATGCTGAGGTTTGGGGAATGGCTGATCCTATTATCCAGGTAGTGAGTGTGGTACCCATGCTCCTCTCCTTTCCTCCCCACCTCCAACATCGCCAGTGTCTGTTGTTCCCATCTTTGTGTCCATGTGTACTCAATGTTTAGCTCCCGCTTGTAAGTAACAACATGCAGTATTTGGTTTTCTGTTCCTGCATTAATTCACTTAGGATAGTGGCATCCAGCTGCATCCATGTTGCTGCAAAGGACATGATTTAATTCTTTTTTATGGCTGTGTAGTATTCGATGGTGTATATGTACCATATTTTTTTAATCCAGTCCACCATTGATGGGCACTTAGGTTGATTCCATGTCTTTCCTATTGTGAATAGTGTTGCAGTGAACATATGAGTGGCATGTGTCTTTTTGGCACAATGGTTTCTTTTCCTTTGGATATATATCCAGTAATGGGATTGCTTCATTGAATGGTAGTTATGCTTAAGTTCTTTGAGAAATCTCTAAACTACTTTCCACAGTGGCTGAACTAATTTGCATTCCCATCAACAGTGTATGTATTCCCCTTTCTCTACAGTCTCACCAACATCTGTTATTTTTTGACTTTTTGATAATCACCGTCCTGACTAGTGTGAGATGGCATCTCATTGTGGTTTTGATTTGCATTTCTCTGATGATTAATGATGATGAACAGTTTTTTCATATGTTTCTTGGCTGTTTGGATATTTTATTTTAAGAAGTATCTGTTCATGTCCTTTGCCATTTTAAAATTAGATTTTTTTTTGCTTTTTTTTTTTTAGTTACTTGAAGTTTCTTTATATAATGTGGATACAGCTCCTAGGTCATATGTGATTTGCAGATTTTTTTTTTTCAGTCAGTATCTTGTGTTTTTATTCTTTAGCAGTGTCTTTGGAAGAGTAGAAAATTTTAATTATGAAGAAGTACAGCTTTTTTTTTTTTTTAAACTTTATGCTCTAGACATGATTTAGGCACCATATCTAGGAACTCTTGCCTAACCCAGGCCATGAATATTTTCTTGGATGTTTCTTCTGAAGGTTTTATACCTTTACTTTTCCATTTAGATCAGTGGTCCATTTTGAGTTAATTGTTGTATAAGGCATGTGACTTAGGTCGAAGTTCTTCTGCTACTTCTCATTTTTCTTTGGCATAGGGTATCCAATTGTTATAATACCATTTGTTGAAAAGACTGTCTTTCGTCTATTTAATTGCCTTTACACCTTCATAAAAAATCACTTGAATATATTTATGTGGATCTATTTCTTGATTGTCAGTCTTGTTTAATTGATTTATAACTGTTGCTTCACCAATATCACACTATCTTGAATACTGTAGCTTTATAGTAAGTCTTAAGGCTATGTAATGTGATTCCTCCAACATTCTTATTTTTCAAAATTAGTTTGGCTCTTCTCATTTCTTTGCCTTTCCATATAAATTTTCAGATCAGTTTGTCTATGTCTACAAAAACAGCCATGCTGAGAATTTGAAATTTTGTTAAATCTGTAAATCAATTTGAGTCGTCTGACCAATGAATATATGTCTCTCCATTTTTCTAGGTTTTCTTTGATTTCATTAACCAGTGTTTTGTAGTTCTCAGCATACAATCTTACCCATGTCAACTAGACTTATACCTAAATACTTTACTTTTTTGGTAGATGTTTGTAAATGGCATTTTAAAATTTTAATTCCTAATTATGGATTGTTAGTATAGAAATATACTTGATTTTTGTGTGTTGACTTTGTATTCCATGAGCTTGCTTTAAACTCTATCAATTCTGTGAGGATTTTTGCTTTTTTTTTTTTTCTTTGCAGATTCCTTGGGATTTGCTATGTATGTCTAGAAAAAAGGTGTGGTTTATTTCTCTCTGTCCAAATTTGATGCCTTTTATTTGTTTTTCTCTTCTTATTGTACAGTGTAGATTTCCAGTAAGAAGTTGAATAGCTGGGCACGGTGGCTTATGCCTGTAATCCCAGCACTTTAGGAGGCTGAGGCGGGTGGATCACGAGGTCAGGAGTTCAAGACCAGCCTGGCCAAGATGTTGAAACCCTGTCTGTACTAAAAATACAAAAATTAGCCAGGTGTGCTGGCACGCTCCTGTTTTCCCAGCTACTTAGGAGTCTGAGGCAGAGATTTGCTTAAAACCAGGAGGTAGAGGTTGCAGTGAGCCAAGATTGTGCCACTGCACTCTAGCCTGGGTGACAGACCAAGACTCTGTCTCAAAAAAAAAAAAAAAAGTTGGATGGAAGTAGTGAGAATACACACTCTTACCTTGTTCCTGATCTTAGGGGAAAACATTCAGTCTTTCTTTGTGAAGCTTGATATTGGAGGTAGGTTTTTTTATACCTTTTTTTTTTTTTGAGACGGAGTCTTGCTTTGTTGCCCAGGCTGGAGTGCAGTGGTACGATCTTGGCTCACCACAACCTCTGCCTCCTGGGTTCAAGTGATTCTCCTGCCTCAGCCTCCTGAGTAGCTGGGAGTACAGATGCATGCCACCATGCCCAGCTAATTTTTGTATTTTTAGTAGTGATGGGGTTTCACTATGTTGGCCAGGCTGGTCTCGAACTCCTGACCTCATGATCCACCTGCCTCGGCCTCCCAAAGTGCTGGGATTACAGGCATGAGCCACCATGCCTGGCCTTATAGCTATAGTTTAATAGGCTTAGGAAGTTTTTTTTTTTTATTTCTAATTTACTGAGACTTGTTGATACTGAATTATATCAAATGCTTGTCTTTGCTTTGATTGATACACGCATGTGATTTTTCTTCTTTAAACTGTCAGTATGGTGAATTACATGAACTGATTTTCAAATATTGAACCAGCCTTGCATTCCTGAGATTAAACCTCCTTGATTGTAGTGTATTATTCTTTTTTCTTTTTTTTTTGAGACGGAGTCTTGCTCTGTTGCCCAGGCTGGAGTGCAGTGGCGCAATCTCTGCTCACTGCAAGCTCTGCCTCCCAGGTTCACACCATTCTCCTGCCTCAGCCTCCCGAGTAGCTGGGACTACAGGCACCCGCCACCATGCCTAGTGCTTTTTTTTTTTTTTTTTTTTTTTGTATTTTTGGTAGAGACGAGGTTTCACTCTGTTAGCCAGGATGGTCTCGATCTCCTGACTTTGTGATCCGCCCACCTTGGCCTCCCAAAGTGCTGGGATTACAGGCATGAGCCACCGTGCCCAGCCTATTCTTTTTATATATTGCTAGATTCTATTTTTTTGAGGAATTTTGCATCTGTATTCATGAGAGATATTTGTGTATAGTTTTCTTGTGATGTGTCTGTCTGATGTTATTGGTGTTTTTTCATTTTTTGTTTTTCATTTTAAATGCTTAGTAAAATTGGCCAGTGAAACCACCTGGGTCTAAAAATTTCTTTTTTCATAATGTTCTTAAGCTACAGATTTGGCCAGATGCGGTGGCTCACAACTATAATCCCAGCACTCTGGGAGGCCGAGGCAGGCGGATCATCTGAGGTCAGGTGTTTGAGATAAGCCTGACCAACATGGTGAAACCCCGTCTCTACTAAAAATACAAAAATTAGCTGGGCGTGGTGGTGCGCACATGTAATCCCAGCTACTCAGGAGGCTGAGGCAGGAGAATTGCTTGAACCCAGGAGGCACAGGCAGCAGTGAGCCAGGATCGCGCCCCTGCACTCCAGCCTGGGCAACAAGAGCGAAACTCCATCTCACAAAAAAACAAACAAACAAAAACTACAGATTCAAATTTTTAAATGGGTACATTTGAATTATCTATTTAATCTTTAATGAGTGTATGTTGGTAGTGATTTTTGAGAAATTGATCTGTGTCATTTAAAGTTGCTGAATTTATGTGTGTAGATATGTTCATAGCATTCCCTTATTATTCTTGTATTGTCTGTGGTCTCTGTAGTGATATCTTCTTTTTTATTCCTCATGTTAGTAATTAGTGTCTTCTCTCTTCTTTGTCATTCTTTTTATAGGTTTCTCAGATTTATTATAAAAAATCTTTTGTGGTCATTGTTTTCTATTGCCTTTTTTCTGTTTCAGCAATTTCCTTGTATATGATTTGGGTTTGTTTTGCTCTACTTTTTCAAATTTGATTTAAATGGAGGTTTAAATGATTAGTTTGAGAATTTTCCTCTCTTATATACGCAGTTAATGCTCTACATTTCCTTCTAAGCACTTCTTTATCATCATCCCACCAGTCATGATTTTTAAAAGCTGTATGCTCAAGTCCCTCAGAGTTCTCTTTCTCCATGCATTCTGTAGTCATATATGATTACATTTCCAAGTGTTTATAGATTTTATGGTTATCTTTGTTACTGATTTCCGGTCTAATTTCAGTATGGTTAGAGAACATACTTTTGTATGCCTTGTAATTTTTTTTTTTTATATTTGGTAAGGTTTGTTTTATGTCCCAGGAGATTGTCTATCTTGGTTAGTGTTCTATTTGCTGTTGAAAACAATGTATTTTCTGGTACAGTTGGGTAGAATTCTAGTAATGTCAATTAAATCAAGTTGGTTGATTGTATTTGTGAGTTCTTCTATATTCCTGTTGATTTTCTGTGTATGAGTTGTATTGATTTGTAAGAGAGTATTGTCTCAAAAGTTAATTGTGGTTTTATCTATTTCATTGTTGTTGTATCTATTTCAAAGCTTCATTGTCAGGTGTATTGAAGTTTAGGATTGTTATATCTTCTTGTTGAATTGACTCTTTTATGTAATGTCTCTCTTTATCCCTGGTAATTTTCTTTGATTTGTCTGATGTCTGTACTTTGATATTAATATAACCATCCCAGCTTTCTTTTGAGTAATATTTGTAGGTGTGGTTTTTCATCAGTTTACCTCTAACCACCTACATAATCATATTTAAAGTGAGTTTTTTGAAGATAGCATGTAGTTAAATAATATCTGTCTTTTAGTTGGATTGTTTAGACCATTTACATTAAATAATTATATTAAACTATTACGTTACATCAAATCATTTGCATAAATGAAGGATAATGGCCTATCATCTCTACTGATATTTTTGGATTTAGATCAACCATTTAACTATTTTTTTCTTTGTTGCCTGACTTGCATTCTTGTTTCTTCTTTCCAATCTTTGAGTTGTTTGAGATTTTTTAGTATCTTATTTTAATGTATCTACTGGGATTTTTAGTATATCCCTTTGTTTATTTTCGTGGGTTTTCTAGGGATTAAAATAATCAAACTTCTCACAGTCTCCTTAGAATCAGTATTTTACCATTTATGTGGAGTATAACTTACTATTACATAGGTATCCTTCATGGTTATGTGTTACATCTACATTTTAAAGAACTCAAAAAAGAAGAATCATGTATTGGCCTAGATGTTTAACATGTCTGTTCCTCCTCATGTTCCAAGTTTTCTTTCCATACTATTTCTATTCTATCTGAAGAACTTACTTTAACAATTATTCTAGAACAGGCCTGCTGGCAGTGAATTCTCTTTGCCTTCATTTGAGAATATCTTTGTTTCACTGTCATACTTGAAGGATATATTTACTGGATATAGTAACATGGTTTACAGTTTTTTTTTTTTTTATCTCAGTACTTTAAAAGTTGTTTCGACTTCATTCTAGCCATTGTAGTTTCTGTAGTCATTCAGATTATTTCCATTTAAGAAATGTCACTTTGTTTTGGTGATTCTCAAGGTTTTTTCCGTGTTTTTAGTTTTAAGCACTTTGATAATGATGTCCCAGAGTGTGGGCTTTTTTTGTACTCATCCTGTATAGGGTTTGCTGAACTACTTGAATCTGTTTTCTTTCAGGAAGTTTTGTGAAATTTGAAAAGTTTTCTGTTAATTTGTGAAATATGTTTTGTGTACCACATTATTTTTCCTTTCTTTCTAGGATCCCATTGACATGAAAATTAGACCTGTTGGTATTGCCCCATAGGTCCCTATGCCTGTTCATTTTTACAGTCCTTCCTCTTTATGTTGTTCAGATTAGATGATTTCTGTTGACCTGTATGCAAAGTCAGTGAGTCTGCTGTTGAGCCCATTCCTTGAGTTTTTCATTTTAGTTATTGTATTTTCAAATCTAAAATTTTCTTTTGTTTCTTCGTTATATCTTCTATTTCTTTGCCAAGACTTACTAAGTTTTCATTCATTTCAAGCGTTCTTGCCCTTAACTTAGAGCATTTTTATAACCTGTATTATTTCCTAGTCATTTTGTAAACCTCTATTATTTCCTAGACATTTTGACTATTTCATTATGGTACTCTGGCTCTTATTTAAAGCTTATGGAGAATGTTGACATATATAATTTTTAAATCTGGCAATTGACCTAGTTGGGTTCGTGTTTAAATTTCTGCTGGGCCCTTTGTGCTTGTCATTTCAATGGTAGTTAAGTTTGAAAGTCTGTACAGTGCTCTTCAGATCTTCTCATGTTTCTGCTACCGGTGGCCAGTCTGGGAACTTGGGTGGTGGTCTGTTCAGTTCTTAAAGCCACCCAGGACCAGATCCATACGTGTGCAGTTTGGGGACGCACCCAGGAGTTCACAAATGACTTTATGTTGTTCCTCCCTCTCCAAAGTGTCTCAGTGCTTTCTACTTCCCTAGACCTTTCCTTTTTGTGCTCCAGCCAGAAAACTAGGCTTTATTTACCCTGCTTTGCTGCACATATCCTGTGACTGCACCTACAGACGGGGCAAAGCAGCAGCAGAAAAGAGAAAGGAGAAAAAAGCAGTGGGGTTTACTCCATCCTCTTGGGACCACAGCTCCTCTGATCCGAGAGAAGAGTTTTCCTCTTTTTGTGTTTGAAGCTTTGCGAGTCCCTGTGCTGCCACTGTTGCTGTCACCCACTCTGCCACCTCAGGACTGCTTGTGGACTGGGGCTCATAGGAGCAGGGAGATGAGCATAATAGAGAATTCTCCCTCCTCATTAAACATTAGGGGACCCATTCCCTTCTCTTTAGCCCAGCACTAGAAGGTTTCTCTTGTAGCTCTCTCTGTCTAAGCCATTGCCCACTGCCCAGGTTTCAGGCTGCATTGAATCCAGGATTGGGAAAAAAAAAATGTTAAACTGAGTGCTGTTTTCGTGGTACTTCGAATTCTGGTCTCTAATCCCAACTTCTCAGAGTCATCAAATAGCTGTTCCTTGCATTCTGGCCAGATTTTTTTTGCTGCTCTATGTGGAGGAGAGAGGGCACAATGTGTTATTCCATCTAAATGATTTTTCTTATAAAGTGCATGTTCCTGTTATATTCAGGCAATGGAATATTATTTAATGCTAAAAAGAAATGAGCCATCAAGCCATAGAAAGACATGGAAAAACCTTAAATACATGTTACCAAGTGAAAGAAGCCAATCTGAAAAGGCCACATGCTGTATGATTCCAACTCTGTGACATTCTGGAAAAGGCAAGATAAGATCAGTGTTTGCTGTTGCCAGGGGTCAGGAGGGGGAAAGAGCAGGAACAGAGGATTTTTAGGGAAATGAAAATACTCTGTATGATACTATGATGATGAATACGTGTCATTGTACATTTGTCCTAACCCACAGAATGTGCGACACCACAGGTGAACCTTAATGTAGGTTGTGGACGCTGGGTGATAATAATGTGTCCACAGAGGTTCATCAGTGGCAACAGATGTTCCAGTCTGGTGGGGCGTGGGTTGTCGGGGAGGCTCTGCATGTGTAAGGTCAGAGGGAATACGGGCAATCTCTGCACCTCCCTCTCAACTTTGCTTTGAACTTAAAACTGCTAAAAGAAAAAAGTCTATTTTAGAAAAATGTGCCAGTTGATTTCATATTAAAATAATTGGAGAACCTGGTGAATATAGTTAAAAATTTCAGGTGATTTATTTAATAACAAAGAGGAAACAGAATTATTAAAGAAAGTATAATGCACGTTGGAAGTACATGGAGTAAATGCCACCCATTCCCTTTAGTCTTTAGTAGTTAGTCATGGCTCTCTTAATTAGCTTCTTCCATACATTTTTGGGATTATATCCCTTATGACCAGGGATTTAGTGTAGCTACTTTGAAAGATGCTGAAACTTCATGATGAATTTAAAATGTGTGCCACGCCTTTCCCATACATTTGTCAGGCAGCCTCTCTGTGTATCACTGGGTTTTTAGAAAGCCAAGCCATAGGATTATTCACTGTCAGTGCAGGACTAGTACACAGGGCAGGCCCTGATGGTAATTTGAGTATGACAACAGCTGTATCACTCCTTACAGGACTGCAAGTGTCTTAGGAGAAAAGCATTTCCCCGGCCACCTGCCGCCTGCTGCGTGGGTGCTGTGATTAGTCACAATGTGCATTGTGCTGGGTGTGTTTTGTAGTTTTGTTGTTCCTGTAATTGACAGTTATCTCCAAACTGAAATCGTCTGGAAAAGCAGATGCTACACGTTGGGGGATTTTAATTTTCCTGTTCTCTAGATGATTGGTGTCATTTTCATACTGTAAAAAAGTGTGCTGTTATTTTTGCTTTTGGTAGAAGGGCACATGGTGGGGCTGGTCTATCACTGCCTGGATTTGGAGGCTTGAGTCAAGAACCTGTCTAGGCCAGGTGCCGTGGCTCACGCCTGTAATCCCAGCACTTTGGGAGGCTGAGGTGGGTAGATCACCTGAGGTCAGGAGTTCGAGACCAGCCTGGCCAACATGGTGAAACCCCGACTCTAATAAAAATACAAAATTAGCTGGGCGTGGTGGCACACGCCTGTAATCCCAGCTACTTGGGAGGATGAGGCAGGAGAATTACTTAGAACATGGGAGGCAGAGGTTGCAGTGAGCCGAGATCGCGCCATTGCACTCCAGCCTGGCGACAGAGTGAGACTGTGTCTCAAAAAAAAAAAAAAAAAAAGATCCTGTCTAAATATAGCATGCTTGTCTCCCCAGGCAGCTGGGAGGAGGGGCCTGCATGATCATAGATGAGGGTGCCTTGTCCACCTGGCTCTGGGCTCTCACTGAGCATGCTCTTCCTTGGGACGGCTTCTCAATTCAGCTAATCTCCAGATTAGATTCACCCTGTTTGGTGTGCATGTGTGTGGGAGTCTCTGTGAATGTGGAGCTTCTAAATTTATTTATCATTTGATACGGGTATTGCGTTCTAGTATTTGCAGAGCTGGCACTCAAGGCTGGCCACTATGTTTTTAGTTCAGAGATATGATTCAGAGAGATGATTGTAGTTGAGACGTCCCTAGGGGCCCGCTGTTGATTTGTTGTGTCTCTCTGCTGTACTTCACGCAGGCACAGAGAAGAGATCAGTAAATAACGAAATGAATCTGCCCTATGATGTTGACAGATATGTCCTCTCTTACTTGCTAGTTCCTCAGAGGCAGCTTGGGAATATTGTTGGGTGGTCAGAAAGTATTTAGAGAGTCTGGGCTACAAGTGACATGACTTGTCTGTCCATCTGCTGTGCCTCTTGAGTGTTCTTACCTGGCTCTGTGCCCCCTGCTCTCACAATGCCCTGCCGTGCTGGATCCCTGTAGCAACACTGTAGGGGCGGCATTGTTACCACCTCCATTTGGCAGTGTAGAAACTACAATGGGCAGAGTATTCCACCCTTGTATCTCTCTAGCAGCCCGTCCATCCCTTCCTCTAGCCCGCTGTCCAACTTGCTATTTGTTAGTGTCTAATATACACACCATGAATTAGCCCAAAGTCGGGTGGGCGGGATGAGGGCACCGACTCTTGCTGCGTGTGAGCTGAAGTATCAGAGAGAGATTACCACTGTGTGCTCAACAGTCCTGTCGTCAATTTTTAAAGATATATTTTTTAACTTTTTATTTTGGAATAACAAAGAATTCCCACGTCGTCTTCAGCTAGATGCCACAGATGTTAACAGGTGTGTTTGCTCTATTCTCTCTCTCCTTCCCTCACAAGCACATGTGTGTATTTACACTTCTGCATGCACACATGCACACACACAGATGCACACACATACCTTCTCTCTTAGAGCAAGGCACACATATTCATGAACTCACCCTCAGGCTTCCGTGAGAGCAGACCTAGCCCATTTTAACTTAGTCGGTCATTGGCTTGGGTCCCTGCGCATGTGTGGCCGTCATGGAAACAGGGAAGGCCTTGTTCTGTGCCTTGGCAATGAGCATCCCTGGCCTGGCTCTGGGAAGGATGACTGGCCTGTGATCCTTTCCTCCAGGTGCTGCTTTGGTAGAGGTTGATGATGGGGCCTCAGTGGAGCTGGTGTGAGGACAGGAGGGCTGTGTCATTGTCTTCTGGCCCTCACCATCTGTGTGTTCGCTGCTCCCAGATGCATCTCCTTTTCTGTGGTGCCCTCTCCTACATTTCACCTCTTAGCTGGTCAAATCTTATGAGCCTCAGCTGACTCCTCTCCCTTGTATGGTAAAAGCCACCTCTGAACTCTTCCCTTTCTGGGCCCAGGCACCCTTAAGGGCCAGCCAACACCAGCGTCCAGCTTTCCAGAATGCCCTTGGGTTTTCCTCCCATCTCCTGGAGGTGTCTTCCTTCTTACCTGCCTGCTCACTCTGCAAGGCCTGTTCACATCTCCCCTTTGCCCCACACAGCTGCAGCTCCCAGCCACCCCAGCTCAGCCCTGGCAGTGTTTACTGCGGGCAGTGGGTTGTGTCTGTGTCTCCTTTCATCCCCCACACCTTGTGCAGTCCCTGGCGGGTTGGAGGTGTTCCTTAAAGCTTGTGGAAGGTTTGAACGATAAATGACAAGGACTGGCATTATCAAGAGGGGAAGGAAAAGCCTGAAAAGCAAGAAAGCCCACAGTGGATAGGGCTTGTGGCAGGCAAGGCCACCTGTGTGCAGTCCCTGGGTATGGCCCGTCCCCGGCCGGAGGAGCTTCCACAGGGTGACTCCTTTCATAGAAGCTCAGGTTCCATTCGCCTTTCCCAGAAGGAACCCCAGGACAGGGCTCCCAGGAAGCCACAGCAGGACCAACTTACATAGCTCTTGGTGCTGCTGCCTTTTACTGCCACGACAGTCCCCAGCCTCCCTGAAACAGTTACTCATGGATTAAGAAATGTCTGAGAACAGCTTCAAAATGTGCTGTGCATGAGTGCTGTCACCCAGCCCATATCTGTGAATGCCAATTAAAATGGGCTCCTTAGAATTCCTGTGTTATTGTAAACAGAAGAAGTTGCATGGTCCCAGAGCCTCAGTGCACATTTTCATTTATGAGCTTGATATTTGTTTCTTCAAACAATTCTTCCCCCAATGTTTATCATTTAGAAAAGCCAAAGGGCTTTTGTAGGAAAAAGGATGAGGCTCATTTCCATTGAAGAGTAAATATAAGGAAGATAAGGGCTTCTTTATTAAAACAGACAACCTCACAAAACCCCGGCAGAGCAGGTCAGAGGAAAAGAAAACAAGCAGGGGAGAGAGAGGCCTACAGCCCCTAATCAGGCTGTGGAAACATTCTCATCAATCAGCATGGAGACAGGGGCCTTGATTTTCCACTGTGAGGGGAAGGTGGAATCGCCAGCCTTCTGGGCTCTGTGTTTTCACCGTTGTTGGGACAGGCCTCCTGGGTGGGCTGCGTGCGGAGCTCACAAGAGCAGTCACGGCTGGTGGTGGCTGGTGGCGGCTGGTGGTGGTTGGTGGCGGCTGGTGGTGGCTGGTGGCAGCTGATGCCAGTGGCGGTGGTGGTGGTGGCAGGTGGAGCTGGAGTGCACTGTTGCTGAGGGTGCCTTGAGAGAGACCCAGGGGAGAATTCCCCCCAGACCTGCTCTGCATGGGCTGCGGTGACCACATGTGGCCGTGGAGCTGGGATCTCAGAACAGCCAGGCCCTGTCAGACAGAACTGGAGGCAGTGGTTCCCCAGCAATCAAAAACAAATCCTCGTTGTAAAAAGGGAGTACTGAACCTTGACATAGAACTTTCTTCAATTTCGCACAGCATTACTGGCAGAGGGAAAAAACCAGGAGGATGGAGGGGACTTGTGCCTCAAAATTTGGATACAAATCAGCCTTGTTCTTGCCTCTCCCTCAGGTCCTTTGCAGGAGGGCAGCCTGGACACTGTGCAACTGTCCCCTCCACAGCCAGCCCTTGGGCCTCTCCCCTCCAGCCCGCAGGGGTGACCCCTCTCTCTCATGTGCAGAGCAGAACAAACATGGAGCGGCTCCACGTGCGTCCCTCACCTGTCCTGAGCCTCTCCCGTCCTCTTCAGCCCTGTCTTTGTTGCTTCTCACTGCTCTGTCTCCCTGGAAGATGGAGGTTCAGGCAGCAAAGAGTTGAATTGCACGGCCAGATGATTTGTATTTTAATTTGTTAATATCGGTGTTTCCCACTTCAGACAAAGCCATGTGCGTACATATGCAGACCTAAAAATCAAATCAAATGATTGCTATCAGAGAATTCTTTTTACTGAAAGTATCTCAGAAAACCCTGAAAGTATCTCAGATTCCCAAATGCTGATCTTCTATCTTATATTTTAAAACATGACTGGTTTACAAAAATTAATACTTACACTGTTGTTTTCTAGAATACGTCTGTTGTACAAGGCATGGCATCCCTGAACTTGGAGTTTTCATATGAAAGTCATTTATTGAATGAAAATCCTCCACTGCACAAATAGGAAAGGACATTTTGAGCCTACGCACAAAAGTGTGCTTAATGATGGGCTAGAGTATTTCAGCTGAGCTCCTGAGGCTCAGCCTTCCATAGTAAAGTCACTGCATCTGTGAAAAAGTGGTCTTCTCTGCCCAGCACCAGACATCCATTCTGTGGGGTACAATTCTTTCCTTCTTTCATGGATAATGAATGGTCAGCTTGGCTGGTTTCTTTGAAAGCAAAGACTAAGAAGTGGAATGCAGTCAGGAGCCTGTTGTGTTGATGAGACAAACAGATGAAGGGGAGCTCACCTAGAGCTGCCTCAGGACCATGCCCAGGAGGACACATTCAAGATTTTGGCGGTGATACAGTCAGCACTGGAGGACAAAGGACAGGGTGCTCTTCTCCTGCGAGCAGTGAGGGTCATGTGCAGTGTGTTTGGGAGGGAAGGTGTGTTTGGGAGGGAAGGCGTTGCAGCAAGGCTGGGTGTGAGTTTGAAGTGCTGTGTGTCTACCGTGTGGGGAGTGAAGCGGGAGGCGGCCCATGCGATGCACAGCTGGCAGCTGCAGGTCCTGTGCTGGGGAAGGGGAGCGAGGGCCTCACTTAAGGCATGGACTGGGGGGAACTGTGAGCATGGTGGTATTCGAGGCTACGATGTCCTGTGGTCTAAGGAGAGCATTACAGGGAAGGGAGGAGAGCCCAGAACAGATGACTGAAGAAGATCGCATTTGATGGGTGAGGGGGACCCAACTGCTACAGGGGGAGTTGGCGTCACCAGAGAAAACAGCACTGGGTACGTGAACTGTGGCGGTTCGATGACACTTCAAAATATAAACACCTAAAATAGGTTTTATGAGGCGTTGGCATTCCCAAAACACTGAAGTGTTTAAGTATTTTGGGAATTGTATTTAATTATTGAACAATTTAGGCAAGTTAGCTATTTTCAAATAGGTAAAATTAGTTTGTCTCTCTGGTAGAACTTGTCATTCATTTTTAGAATCTTGAGTTTTAAATGCCAGATAGATCCAGCTGCTATAAATATGCTGCAGATGTAGCTGTCCAGTCACTCAGACAGGCAAGAGCTGATGATTGAGGACTAATTTTCAGTCTAACGGCAGAAGCAGGTGTCACAAGGTAAGTCAGCTTCAAGGCTTCATTCCCTGATGTCAATGATGACTTCCTTAGGAATGTCACTGCAGATATGGGTTTGTTTTTGTTTTTTGGTAAATGAGGAATTTTAGATAGTGGTAGCTACTGTTCACCACACATAACCTTTGTAACAAGCTAGAATATACATTAAAAATTCACAAAGTATGCAGCTTTGTATTTTGAGATAACTTTCTTTTCTTTTTCTTTTTTTTTTTTTTTTTTTGAGATGGAGTCTTATTCTGTTGCCCAGGCTGGAGTGCAGTGGCACGATCTCAGCTCACTGCAACCTCTGCCTCCAGGTTCAAGCGATTCTCCTGCCTCAGCCTCCCAAGTAGCTGGGATTACAGGCATGTGCCACCATGCCCGGCTGATTTTTGTATTTTTAGTAGAGGTGGGGTTTCACCATGTTGGCCAGGCTGATCCTGAACTCCTGACCTCAAGTGATCCTCCTACCTTGGCCTCCCAAAGTGCTGGGATTATAGGCATGAGCCACTGCGCCTGGCTTTGAGGTAACTTTTCAATGCCCTATTATTTGACTTTTATTCCTTAAGAGAAGGATGTTTTTGTTGTTGTTGTTGTTGTTGTTGTTGTTGTTGTTGTTGGTATTGTGTTCCATAGATGAAAACGCAGACATAGAGAGGGGGAGAAATGACTGGACTTGTGTAGTATTAAGTTGTCTTTACCTGCAGATAAGAGCAGAATTGTGACCCTAGAATTGTGAATTACATGTCTTAGCCCAATGGCTTGTCTTGGGCTTTAATTTAGACATGGGGAGACTCCCAAAGTACAAGCTTTGGTGTGGAAATGCCAGAAAAACATCATTTGAAGAAATGCCTCAGGCCCTGTGTGTCCAATTTGTGCAACCCTTTGCCTCTTTGAGTGTTTTAGAGGTCCAAGCGCAATTTCACTGATATTTTCAGATCTAGATTGGAACTTGAAGAGCCATGGATTAGTCTCTTTCCTGAGTGTGCATGTTCCCAATATTCTGAATTTTCCTTTTTAAAGCTCCAAATTTAAATGATTTTTTTCTTGCGTCGCCCATGATGGAGTGATAAATAGGGAGATAAATACTGATGATTCTTCTAATTTTAACTATTTTGTAGTTCTGGCTTCCCTGGAGTGAGTATAATAGAGTAGTTGATGAGGATTGCCTCTTGGAATCGGACTGCCTGGGATGAAACATACACTATGAATTGTGAGACCTTGCGAAGTTATTAAAACCCAAGCTCAATGTTATAATCTGCAAAATGGGGATAAAATCTAGCCTACTGGAAAAAAATCATACCTTGAGTGGGGTGTACTTGTATGAAACAACAGGGAGCGGAGGGAACTGAAGCATGCAATAGTAGAAACCATTTATGTGCCCTGATTGGCACTGAAGATTGCTCACTTAGTTAAATGAGTGAGTTTAAAATGTTAAATGCTTAAAAAATATGCATTTACATGTATTGAGCAATCTTTTGATAGAGGGCCATGTCCAGAATTCATTGTTTCAGTTTGTTTGTTTATTTATTTATTTATATTGAGACAGTCTTGCTCTGTCACCCAGACTGGAGTGCAGTGATACGATCTTGGCTCACTGTAGCCTCTGTCTCCTGGGTTCAAGCGATTCTCCTGCCTCAGCCTCCCGAGTAGCTGGGATTACAGGCACACGCCACCATGCCCATAATTTTTGTATTTTTCATAGATATGGGGTTTCACCATGTTGGCCAAACTGGTCTTAGAACTCCTGACCTCAAGTGATCCTCCTGCCTCGGTCTTCCAAAGTGTTGGGATTACAGGTGTGAGCCACTGTGTCCGACTGGTTTCAGTTTCTTTAAAGCCAGCTAAGAGCATGCAAATAATTGTGATTAAAATCTGAGTGCAGAATCCTGAAACTGATGAGTTTTTTCCCTCCTCAGTCTTTTTCAGTTTCCTCTCCATCACCTAAGTAAACTTTTATCGATTTACTCATTTTATAAAGCAGCTCACCTTTGTTTTTCTTAAATATTTAATGTAGGTTTCATGAGACTCATGCTACGCTTTCTCTGTGCACCCATTACCTTCTGTAAAATTAACTAGTGGGATTAAAGCAGTTAACCGTGACTGACGTAAGTAGTTGCCTCCTGGTGAGAATATCCCCAAACTGGTGAGAACAGAAGTGTTGGGGCTTACTAAGGAGTAGCCCAGCAGCTCCAAGGACCAGCCAGTGGGTTTACAAAAAGCAATGAGGAAAGTGTGGAATGAAGTGGTGCATTGAGCAGGAGCCAGTCTAGGTTTAGGTTCAGGAGAGCATGGTGTGCCCTGCAAGCTTTCCTGCTTTATCCTGTGGGTCAGGAATCAGCAGATATTTGCAGCTTTGTGGCCCTGTGTTTCTGGTGACGACGCAACCCTGCCATTATATGGAGAAAGCAGCCATGGACAGGTGACACGCACTGAGGCTGGTGAAACAATACACAGACTCCCCAGCGTGGAGATACACCAGGCCTGGCGGCCTGTCCCAAGCATTCCTGGGAGTAGCAGGGCCTGTGCAGACCCTAAAGGATGTAGAGGATTTAGGTTGATGCAGAGGAGGAAGACTGGCTTGTACACACTCCTTAGCTCATGACCCCCCTACTGTCTGTATAGGAATAATTAAATTGAACAAAAATAAGTTAATATGTCAGTACTATGTACCAGGAACAAACATACATACTTGCAAATTTCTAAAATCTGATTTCTTGTTTTTTTTTGGTTTTGATTTTTTTTTAAGTCGAATAATAAAATGTATTTTAGGCACATAGTAATTATTGAGCAAATTGCCATCAAGTCAATTTTGAAAAAAAGACCTTTGGGTCTTTCAGAATTCTTTTTGCATAACTTTAGTGTCCGTATTTATTATTTCTCCTTTTAGCACCTCTGTTTTCTCTAGAAATATTCTGCCTTTAAAGTCCAGTCTCAAGGTAGCATCTGATGATGGTGATTAAATTTATGTTGTCTCTCCCAGGAATATTTGTATTTGCATTATCTGTTTATCCAGTGAAAAAACATTGTGTCTTTAAAAAATTATTTAAGTGTAAGGAAGCCGGATGTTTTTGTCTTCTGCCAAAATTCACCCTATGTTCCCTTACCCTCTCTTCCCCACGAGGCTCCTGAGAACAGTGCCTGGCACGTAGTGGGCACATCATAGATATGTGAATGAATGAGCATATTGAGGAAATTCAGGACTCTAACCAAGAATTTGCATCTTTGGAGGAGATCTTGTTTTGAAATCTTTCTTGAACGGAACTACCACTATTCAGCACCTCAGAGCCAGTCTTGGCTCTGAGTTTTGCTATATTTGGGCCGTATAAAGAAATCTTTCTAGGGTAAACATCTTCTATTTCCCTCTTAAAAGGGTGCATTTTATTTCGCTCCAGCCAAGCCCTGTGTGCTCAGACAGGTGTCCAGATTCAGCTCCTGTCACAGGTTATGCCTGGCAAAAGTGCTCATGCAACAACACAGGTGCTTTAGAACCTGAGTCCATTTCAGGGCATATAAATAGGCCGCAGCTGAAAACATGTCCGTTGGGAACTTTTCAGAGCCTCTGTATTTTCTTAACTTGCTGACTTGATGAAGTTCAGCTAGAGGGAAGGAGAAGCTGTGCACAGGTGGGGGTGTTATTCCCTGTGTCAGTATGGCCGCCAGCAGGCTCAGGATTTTCTTTGGTGCTTTCTCCTGCCACGTCCTCAGTCTGGAGACAGAGCACCTCTTGTCTCTTGACCAGGGTTTCTTGGATGGGGAGCATTGGTGTAACTGTGAACATCAATTTTCTAATTGAGGCTGAGAAAACTAATAGAAAGGGTCTATAAAGAACCTCTAGAAAAGCAGTTTCCCTTTCCTCACTCTGGCCTTCATAAAATACAGGGTCGTTATGGTGAAACCAAGTGGCTGTGGCATTTGCTGTCCTCTGGTTTAAGCTGAGTGTATCTTGTGTGTTTACCTGGAAGCAGCCACGGGCAAGGAGAGCAGTGGCCGGAGCAGGGGCAGGGCTGTGACATGGAGCCCACGCTCCTGAGCACACCTCTGCCCCCCACGTCCTGCCGATGCACCACCCAGACCTGCCTAGTGCCCGACTCTGGAGGTGAGGGACATTGCGTGGCAGTTGCGTCTGGACCCTGTGCCACTTACCAGCAGCACGGCATGACAAGTGCTGGCCTCCCATCTCCTTCTTACCTGGGTCACTGATGCATGATGTGACTTAGGACCCCACTGCTGTACTGTTTTCTGTCCCCTGTGTGGATGCATCCTGGCTTATTCAGCCAGGCCCCTAAAGGAAAAATGAGCCACTTCTGCCCTCCCATTGTGAGGAAAAGATCCCCAACACATGGGCTTTTGTACCCGTCCTTCCTTCCCTGCAGTTTTGATCCAGCAGTTCTGAGGCTTGGTGGGGGGCTGCAATTTGGACACAGAAGCACTCCCCATCCCAGGAGTGCTTGGGGACACAGCAGCTATACAGAGCCTGCTGCAGCGGGTGGCTGGGTGCTGGCGCCTTCTGGCTGGCCTCCCTCCATCAACCTCGCTTCCCTGGGGTGCACTCCCTGCTGAAGGGCTGGCACAACTGCTCCAGCTCCAGCTGTGTCTTCTGGGAAGCCTGAATTTTTTTTTTTTTTTTTTTTTTATTGAGACGGGGTCTCACTCTGTCACCCAGGCTGGAGTGCAATGGCGCGATCTTGGCTCACCACAACCTCCACCTCCTGAGTTCGAGCGATTCTCCTGCCTCAGCCTCCTGAGTAGCTGGGACTACAGGAACCTGCCACCATGCCTGGCTAATTTTTGTATTTTTAGTAGAAGCGGGGTTTCACCATATTGGCCAGGCTGGTCTCGAACTCCCGACCTTGTGATCCACCTACCTTGGCCTCCCAAAATGCTGGGGTTATGGGCATGAGCCACCGTGCCCAGCTGGGGAGCCTGATAAAGACACCTGTGTTCTTATTTCCACATCTGCAAAAGGGAATTACTCTGTGATCCACCTGCTTCACAGGGCTGTGAAGATCACATCCCTTAAACATACCTAACGCTGCCTTGCACAGAGTGAATGCTTAGTAACTCTTCTTCTCAGCGTTCATCTGCGTTGCAGGAAGGGTGGTAGGAAAGACTTTTTGAGGAGGAATTAAGTGTCCAGTGGGTGGAAGTGTCTAGTGGGTGGATGGTGAGGCTGTTAGTGAAGGAGCTTGAGGGTCCAGAGGGCAGAGCTTTGGCAGAGGTGATTTTTCCCACAGTGGAGGGTTACCATGGTGCAGGGTGCATTGATTGCATTTTCCTTTTAGACAAATTACTGGGAATAGTGATCATGCTCTCTTCTAGTCCTGGATCTATTGTAACACTCATTCATAATAAAATTCCTTGTTACATATTTGCCTTCCTGGAGTGCTGAGGAAGAGATTTCTTTATTGAGAGTGGGCGAGAACAGTGCCCCAGACGGCACGTGGAACTGAGGACACCCGCAGCGGACACAGCGCCTGCAGGGCAGGAGGG
Source organism: Homo sapiens (assembly GCF_000001405.40). NCBI lineage: Eukaryota > Metazoa > Chordata > Mammalia > Primates > Hominidae > Homo > Homo sapiens. The sequence goes on along the minus strand of NC_000007.14, from coordinate 51,268,075 downwards.
AGGAAGGCTGTCCAGTCCTCATCTCTACCACCAATACCAGATACCAGGGCAGGGATCTTCCACTTGATAAAGTAATAGAGCCGTGGTCTCAAAAGTGGAGGTACAGGCCCCCGGGTGTGCTTCGTGATCCATTTGGGATAAGGAGGAAGTGAATAAATTTGGGAAGAGAATATTTGTTGTTTCTTTCCAAAGTTCTTTTTTTGGCCGGGTGTGGTGGCTCACACCTGTAATCCCAGCACTTTGGGAGGCTGAGGCAGGCGGATCACTTGTGGTCAGGAATTTGAGACCAGCCTGGGCAACATGGTGAAACCCCGCCTCTACTAAAAATACAAAACTTAGCTGGGCATGGTGGCAGGTGCCTGTAATCCCAGCTTCTTGGAGGCTGAGGCACGAGAATTGCTTGAAACTGGGAGGCAGAGGCTGCAGTGAGCTGAGATTGCGCTACTGTACTCCAGCCTGGGTGACAGAGAGCAACCCTGTCTCAAAAACAACAACAACAAAAGTTCTTTTTTTGTGTGTAATTTCTGTAATGTTCTCAATATACTAGTAACATGTATAATATACTCTCAATATACTAGTAATATATATATATATAAAAATACAAATAAATGAATGTATGAAAATGGAAGTAGAGGCCTCAAGTCTTTGCGGATGGGGCTGTGCTGTGGAGGTTCTCTTGAGCCCCTGCTCACCAGTGCAGGTGGCTGTGAGTCAGGTCCTGCGCTGGTTTTGTTCTGGCTCATCTGTGTGCCTCAGAAGGCCTGACACTCCTCAGGCCAGAGTGCCTGCCTGAACAGAGGAAAATCTTTCATAAAGTTTTTTACAGCAGGGGTTTGGGAAAGGGTACCAGGTTTGGCATTGTTAAAAATGTAGAAATAACAAGGGTTTCAGATTTTTATTTACTGAAAAATCAAAGTAAATGAGATACTTATTTTTGTTCAAGGTTTTCTTCCAACATGGGCCTTTGTGTGGCCTCTGTATTTATGCGGTGGGAGAGTGGTGGTGAGCGGAGATTTCTAAAAATTGAGAGGGTATCTTTGATACCTTTTGGGTTTATCGCAAAGCCCTGTGGAAATCCTGACCATGATACAATGTTATATGCTTTTTATTTGTAATCGTATGTTATTAAGAAGCAGAGGGCATTGATGTCGAAATGTAAGTTAATAGGGAATATAAAAATGGGACTCATTTTGCAAATTTGCCTTGGGACTCCTCCCAAGGGCAACTCCTCCCAACCCTGAATTGGGTTATCTCAATAAAAATGTTAGGTTTCTTGGTCTAGGTGTCCATAGCACTCAAAAAACATGTGGAAAAAAACTGTGTGTGGGTGCTTGTGTCGTAGAGTCCTTTCCTTCCGTCCATTTGTGGGAAACAGGGACAGCCCTTGCATATGCCATGTTATTTGTGTAGAAGTACTTGCAAGCAGCAGCCAGAAAAGCCGTTTCTCACTTTGTCATTTAAAATAAGAATCAGTTGATCTTTTTTTTGTTTTGTTTTGAGATGGAGTCTCGCTCTTGTTGCCCAGGCTGGAGTGCAATGGTGCGATCTTGGCTCACCGCAACCTCTGCCTCCCGGGTTCAAGGGATTCTCCTGCCTCAGCCTCTTGAATAGCTGGGATTACAGGAATGCGCCACCATGCCCAGCTAATTTTGTATTTTTAGTAGAGATGGGGTTTCTCCATGTTGGTCAGGATGGTCTCAAACTCCCGACCTCAGGTGATCCACCTGCCTCGGCCTCCCAGAATGCTGGGATTATAGGCTTGAGCCACTGCACCTGGCAATCAGTTGCTCTTTAAAGCAAAACTAAAAAGTCAGAAATTAAGTTAATGACAGCAGCTTTTGCCTATAATACAATTAGTTTTCAATCTATATTTTACCATGTATTTAGTGTCCATACAGAAGATGAGATAATTTATTGTTTTGTAATTAATTTGCCCACATGTGATTGTTTCTTACAAAATTAAAATGTTTTAGCAGCATGTGTCACTAATTACTTAAAACATCAGAATTTGCCTTTCTGTGTAATGAATATTATTAAATATTATGTTAATCCCAGGGGGCTTTTAAGGTTGTATATTACTGTGAAAGGAATTGTGAATTGAAAAAAAAATGGTAGGGAAACGCCAATTCACTGGATCACATCGATCCACTGGATCACATCTGGCTGTAACTTTCATTATAAATTCAGAGGTGTAATGGAAATCGCATATGACTGTTTCTTGAGAATGTGAGTGGATGTACATTTTATGTGGCAAAACATCTGCCAGTCCACGTGGACAGTTGATCCACATGGACTTTGAGCCTGTCATAGAAGCCTGAGAGCCGGGGCAGGGAGGGAGGGTTGCAGAGGAACAGGCACAGGCTGCCCTGGCAGGGACAGGTGTCCGGAGAAGCCAGCCCACCTACCTGCCCCTTCTTCCCCTCTGGGCACCTCAGGTATCACATCATCCAGGGCTTTCTCCTGGTTGGGGTTCTGTGGGTGGCCCTGGCTGAGGGGCATGCTCTCCTTTTCACTGTCCTCTGTGCACATGTGCTTTGGGTCTTTGAACTGAGATAAGTTCTATTCCTAGGGCTGCAAACACCCTGCCTCACCTCGACCTGTGACCTTGCTAGAGCAGAGGTGCAGCCTGTCCCCATCCAGCCTGGGGAGCCTTCTGCCCTAAGCCTGGTGGCGGTTTGCCTGGTGGGTGTGGCTGGGCGTGCTGGGGTCAGTGGATGGGGAACAGCCCCTGCTCTGGGTTTCTCTGGAACCCAGTTCTTCTGGTTCTCCCCTCTCCACAGCTATTTAACTCCCAACCCCCACCTGCTTTCCCAGGTCTTTAAAAGCAGGTGTGGATGCAGATGTGGCACTACCCTTGTAAAGCAGCAGTGAGGCTGAAACAGATGAGCACGCGGTTGTTAAAGGACTGGGAACACACACAGAAAGGTGTCAGAAATGCCCTGAGGTTCTGCTGTGTAGACTTTCTTGAGTGGGGCATCAGAAGTGCTGCCGCTGGTTGTCGGGCATCGGGCTGCTGTTGCATGCCCCTTCAGGAGGCCTTCACATTGGAAACGTGAGCATGAGTGACCTACTGAGGGCCAGAGGCCTCTGGGCATTCTGGGATGAGAAGGAAGCTGCACTTGACATCTAAGTCCTCTTCCATCCCACAGTTTAAAATGGCATACAGTTATGGGATATTTCCTATGGATATGAAATCTGATTTCATATGCACATGTGTATGAGAGAGAACAATGTAATGAACCTTTGGTGTACACTCCAACATGGTATATTTTATTTCATTGTATACCCCACTTGCCCTCTACCTCAGCTGGTGTGTTTTGATGTTATCAATGTGCATTTAAAAGCATTTTGTTCATTTTTCTTCAAGTGTTAGAGGTTGCTTTTTTTTTTTTTTTTTTTTTTTGGGAGATGGAGTTTTGCTCTGTCACCCAGGCTGGAGTGCAGTGGTGTGATCTTGGCTCACTACAACCTCCACCTCCCGGGTTCAAGCGATTCTCCTTCCTCAGCCTCCCGAGTAGCTGGGATTACAGGTGTGCACCACCAAGACCGGCTAATTTTTGTATTTTTAGTAGAGACGGGGTTTTGCCATGTTGACCAGGCTGGTCTCGAACTCCTCACCTCAGGTGATCCACCCGTGTTGACCTCCCAAATTGGTAGGATTACAGGCGTGAGCCACCATGCCTGGCCGGGGGTTGCTTTTTAATTATATTTTGTTTTGCAATTATGTAAAACATCCAACTGTTACGTAGAGGTGTCCTCACTCTCTGTGCCCTGTGTGGCTGCATCCTGGCTTATTCAGCCAGGCCCCTAAAGGAAGAACGTTTGAGCCCCTTCTGCCCTGCCATTGTGAGGAACAGATCCCCAACACATGGGCTTTTGCACCCATCCTTCCTTGCCTGCAGTTTTGATCCAGCAGTTCTGAGGCTTGGGGGCTGCGATTGGAACTCAGAAGGCATCTCATGGGGACCAAGCTCAGATAGACCTGGGCCGGCGTCCTGGCTCTCTTCCTCACTAGTTTTGTTGTCTTTTGACAGCTACATAATCTAGGTTTCAGTTTCATCTTCTATAAAAGTGGAATAACAGCACCTCCCTTGTGAGCTGTCATGAAAACTAGTTGGGACACTAAGAACCTACCACAGTGCCAAACTCATGGTTAGCATTCCATCAACTTTAGTTATCTCCTGTCCTCATTTGAAATGGGGATCATAGTCCTTATGTCAACTGTTTTTGTATAGGAATCATATCAAAATATTTAGTAGTTGCCAAGAAAGTGTTCAGTGACATAAAAATTGTGTCATTATCAGCAGCACAATCCAATAAAACCAGTCTGGCTGGTTCTGTCTCCCAGGCCTTGCTGGGCAGCCCTTGAACTTAACAATCAGACCTGCTGGTGCTGACACCAGTGAGCTGGACAGCCACGCCTGGGAACTCTTCATCCTCCCAGGTACTAAAGCTTCAACTAAAAGCACTCAGGTGTGGGCTCCATAATTCCCCACCAAAGTGGGGACCTCCACCCACTGTGTGAAAAAAAAAAAGAACTTTTTTTTCTGTTTTATTGTCTTGGTTCATAGCTCAGGCCCTTGCCAGCACTTTGCAGGGCTTCTGAAATGCTCTTCTGATTTCCTTCCTCCAGCCTCCTACTTTCCTTATCCACCCCCCATATTGCTGCCAAAAGCAGTTTGTGAAACATATCCCACTGACCATTTATCTTCCTGCTTAAAACAATCCATTTGCTCCCTCCTTCTCACACGTGGGAGTGCATGAGTGTGAGACCTCGTGGGCCCTCCCCAGGCCTCCTGGCCTGTGTGCTCTTGCTCATAGGAGCCTAGGGCTGGAGGGTGTCTCTTGCACCTTTCCCCAGTGCAGTGTAGATGACAGGTGCTGTTCACAGGTAGGACCTGCTCCCAGGGCCACCCTCGGCTTGCGGGTGGCTTCCGGTGAGCTGGGGGGAACTCCCCAACTCCACACACCACCACTTTGTATTAATGAGAATGTGGCTGGCGACACCTCCATGTCTCTTAACACTGCGTCAGGGCCCCACTGATGTCAGTTCCACCTGCCCTGGTGTGGAGACGAGGCTCGTCCGTGCCTCACCTTGCCCAGCTTACCTGCTGGACACTGACTTCTTTTTCCAGATGCAGCCCAGGGCTGCTGCCGGTTCCAGTTCCCAGGCTCCTGGCAAGTTGGGTCTCAATGCCTCTGGGCCCTGCCCTGCCTCCTACCAGGGGTTGCTGGTAGGGCGTGGGCAGTGAGGGAAGGACAGCTTCTTCATTATTGCCCTCTTCATCCTTGTATCCCAGCACTCACTCCACAGCCACTGAGACTGCCCTGGGACCAACCGGCCCCTGGTTCATGCTTTAATACTGGCATGTCTTCACACACATCTGTCATGTAAATCACTTTGATTGTTTGCCCCAGACGTCCATGTGATGGTGACTGCATGGCGAATGTTGCCGCCAGCACCCTGTTGGTTCACAGGCATGGCGACTTGGCGCTGCCTGTCGTGACTTCCCAGTGCATCCTTCCTGTGCGCTCTTACTAGGCTGTCCTAACCGGGCCATTTTCCCTGAGGGTCTCAGACCCAGTCCTGAGTCGCAGGAGTCCTTTCCCATGGCCACCTCGCTGTGGAACTGTTTGTATGGTCCTACTGACTTCCTCTCTTCAGCTTCTGACTCTGACACGGTTTCGTCCGGAAACTTCCTTTTCTGACCTTCCTGGCCAGGGTCTCCCTCCTCACTTTCCTGTCACCTCCTGGGGCTCCTTTGAAGAGTCTGCCCCTCCTCTGTCCCTGCCTGAGACATTGGGGTTCCCAGGTGTGCCCCTGTCTTGCACCTGCACTTCTTCTTCTGCCTTGTGTTCTCGAGGATGTGGCCTCCTGGGGCTGGGCCACTGTCAGACTCCACTTTGGCTCTGTGCCCTGAGCCAGCCAGGGCTGCTGTGCGGTGAGTGCGGTGAGCCTGGCAGGAGCGCTGCCACTGGCCACATTCTTCCTGCACCATCAGCACGGGCCCACCCCTCTCCAGCTCCATCCCAACCCCTCTCCTGGCAGCTTTGGACTTGCCTGCCCAGAGGGTGCCTCACAGAATCTGGAGCTTAGCGTTCCTCAGGCTGCCTTCTTTTTTGTTTTGAGATGGAGTTTCACTCTTGTTGCCCAGGTTGGAGTGCAATGGCGTGATCTTGGCTCACTGCAACCTCCGCCTCCTGGGTTCAAGTGATTCTCCTGCTTCAGCCTCCCTAGTAAGGCAGATGCCACAATTCCCAGCTAATTTTTGTAGAGAGGGGGTTTCACGATGTTGGTCAAGGCTGGTTTCAAACTCCTGACCTCAGGTGATCCGCCTACTTCGGCCTCTCAAAGTGCTGGGACTACAGGCGTGAGCCACCGCGCCTGGCCCCTCGGGCTGCCTTCTTTCAACACCTCCAGGGCCTGTACAACTGGGCTTGGTGCACAGGCCAGCCATCCTCCCTGTCAGGCATCACCTCAGATTCCTCCATTCCCTGGTGCGTCAGCTCTCCACCAAACATGTCATCACACTGCTGTGTTCTTAGCTCAGACGAAATCACCATTGGTGTTTTGTGTTTCGCAGTAGCTTTTGACTCTAGTCTCACCTTCATTCATTCATTGCACAGATATTTACTGTGAGCCTGCTACTCACCAGCATTTTATGCCCTGGGAACACAGCCATGAATATGACAGGTGAGGTCTCCCTGCAACTCTGACACATTATGTTCTAGTGGGGGAGATAGAGAGTAAATAAATAAAGTATAATTTCTGGAAGTGATACTGAGTTGGAAGAGAGTTGCAAGGGCTGCAGTTTTTTTATAGGCGTGTGCCACCACGCCCAGCCAAAGGCTGCCGTTTTGGATGGGCTGTCAGGAGAGCTTCTTTGAGGAGGTTTTGCTGTACATGTACGCCTCTCAGTGAAGAGAGGAGTAAGCCATCTACTGTGTACGGCAGCATGTGCACATCTCCTGCGGTGGGGCTGAGCTTGGCGTGTGTGAGCAGCAGGAAGGCAGGCAGTGTGGCAGGAGTAGTGGGGCTCTGGGGAGAATGGCTGGAGGTGAAGCAGGAGAGATGGGCAATGGAGAAGGGGTATGGAGGTTTATAAAGTTCATGAGATGCCCTCAGAAGGTTTTGGGGAAAGGCAGGATGTGATCTGAGCCTACCCTCCCTATCCCTCCAGAGAAGTCATGGCTAAATGCAAGTGCCCTGTTATTGACCTGCCTGGAGTCCTCTGAGGGTTTCTGCCACCTCTGGGATAAGATCCAGGCTCTGCCGCCTGGTCCCTGCATCCTTTCCATGGCTGCCCTGCTGCACACTGTCAGTCCCCAGCTGCAGCTTACCTGCGATCCCAGTTCTTCACACATCCCACAACCTTTCCCATCTTCTCCTGTAGCGACCCTTCCTTATGCTAGACATGTCCTTATCCCATTCTGCAACACATAGCTCAACCAGTGCCTTGGAATTGTCCCCTCAGGCCACTACCCTCTTTCCTAGAAAGAGCATCTGCTCCACGAGCATTGTATATGAGCCTTTCTCATGGCACAAGCCTTGGTGTCTTGAGTGTTTGTTTATCTGTGTTTCCTACCAGTGATGGACTTGCATCAGGGAGGGATCCTGTTATCCTCATTTGTGGATGTTTAGAATCTATCCCAGATACTGACCCATGGAAGATAAATAGTAAATGTCTTTTGAGTGAATGAAAGAATGAATACAAATCATGTGATCTTTCTCCCTTTTTATTTTCAATGCAAACTTTACATATTATCCTGTTCTATAAATGAGATAGACAAAAGCCACTTCATAATTTATTTTAGGTCTTTAAAAATAGTATATGGTCTTGATAGAGTGAGTGCCATCTTCCCCATGTGGTAGAGTTACGCATGATCAGTAGCTACAACTCTAGAAAGATAATGGAGCAAGAGCAAAGAAAAATCCCTTTGGTTCCAGAAAATCTCCTGAAAAAGAGGAAGGCTTATCAAGTCCTCAAAGCCACCCAGGCAAAGCAGACACTTTTGGAGAAGAAGGAGCAGAGGAAAGGAAAAGGGCTCAAGTTAAACGACTGGAATCATTCCTATATGATTCCTGGTGGCAGAAACGTGACAAGATGCATCTCAGATGACTAGAAGTGAAACCTCATGCCTTGGAATTGCCAGATAACATTCCTTGGCCTTTATTGTACGCATTGAAAGGATTAATGACATGAGTTTACTGGTGCAGAGAACCATGGCAAGACTTCGCCTAAAGAAAATTTTTAGTGGTATCTTTGTAAAAGTCACCCCCCAGAACCTAAAAATGCTGCCCATAGTGGAAACTTATGTGATCTGGGTATTTCCACATCTGAAGTCTGCCTGGGAACTCATTTTGAAATGTGGATGAGCCAAGGTCAAGAATAAGACCATCCCTCAGACAGACAACACAGTGATGAGGAGCACCAGGGGAATTTTGGTGTCATTTGCTTGGAAGACCTCATTCATGAAATTGCCTTCCTGGAGAAGCATTTCCAGGAGATCTCATGGTTTTTGCGCCCTTTCCACTTCTCAGTGGCCCATCTTGCTACCACAAATAGAGTGGGTTTCCTCAAGGAGATGGGCCCCACCTGGCTGTCGGGGTGAACACATCAATCAGCTCATCCACCAGCTGAACTAGACCCAGGTGAGGCAGGGCTGAAAACTGCCCTTGGGCTGACTTTTGATGGGTCATGCCTTGCCACTTAAAAGTGCTTTTTGCAGTTACTAGTATTCCTATTAGTAACCGTGAGATTGGGTTACTCTTTTTTTTTTTTTTTTTTGAGCTGGAGTCTCACTCTGTTCCCCAGCCTGGAGTGCGGTTGTGTGATCTCGGCTCACTGCAACCTCCACCTCCCAGGTTCAAGCGATTCTTCTGCCTCAGCCTCCCGAGTAGCTGGGATTACAGGCAATCGCCACTGCATCTGGCTAATTTTGTATTTTTAGTAGAGACAGGGTTTCACCATGTTGGTCAGGCTGGTCTTGAACTCCTGACCTCAGGTGATCCACCTGCCTGGGCCTCCCAAAGTGCTGGGATTACAGGCATGAGCCACCGCGCTCGGCCGAGATTGGGTTACTATTAAGGGTAACTTTGAGATTGGGATGACAGAGGAGGCTGGTACTAATAGATGGGAGACCTTCTGGGAGCGATGAATGCCTGATTAGGACATTAGGCTATGCATAGCCTAAGAGTTATAAGCTTAAAGATGTTGAGTGACTAAAAACTGTATTGCTGTGGTCATTTAGATGGAAATGGGGAAGGAATAATATTAATAACTGATTTCAAAAAGGACTTAAAGATATGAATCATTTATTTTGCTGAAGAAATCTTAACTCTTTTTGAAATTACTTTTTATTGCTATTTGTTATTACTCTTAAGTGCCACACTGCAGTAAATTTTTTTCAATGCAGTAGAAGCATGTGTTTTTGCTTTTTTGGGGAATTTTTATCAAGTATGTTCAAAGAAGATTATTTCCTGCTTTATCTTCAAAAGCTGGAAAGGAAGGGTCAAAGAAAAGACAGTAGGTTATGTTCATGGCAAGCACCTCTCATCACAGTCCAATTCCAAGGAAAAATTTCAGTGTTTTCTACATTGGCTGCCGCCTCGTCTGAAATCAGTACATTCCATGGAGGAAGGAGTCCTGCTTTGTTGTGTCATCTGTCCTAGGGTTTAATGTCGGTAAATGAGTAACTCTACCATTTGTCCAAGGGTCCCTAAGACTCCTGCAGTGATCAACCAAGCCCAGGGACATAATTGAATCTGGAGATTCCTGGGGCTTTGTTTTGAAAAAGACTTGAAATATACATAGGAAGAATGGCACAAAAATAAATGTTCACTTGTCTCTTCAAAAAAAAAAGTATATGGTTTTAACCATTCATTGAAGAGTTATACACTTTTAAATAATAGCTTGTTCTTTTAATTTATTTAGGGTAGTCAGTTATAACTGTCTTCACTAATTAAGTGTTGCTTCTAGTTATAAAAAAGTATATTTTGAAAAGAGCTACCTTATTTCTAGGAAAGTAATTTAAAAATTAGCAAACAAGTACACTATATTACAGGTAAATAAATAATACATTTTCCTTGTTACAACGAATACACTGTGTCTTAAAGCTTAGCTTTAAAGTTTAATTTCATTAATCAAAACATTTCCTCATTGATTATCAATACCTGCTTGCAGGTCTTATAGGAATAGACAGGGAAGATTTCATCAAAATCTGAGTGAACTTTTAGTGCTTTTGTTAATCTATCTGTTTTTTTAAAGATCAGATTATTTTACTAAATATTAAAATGGCTCTAGTGTACAAATTCTTTCATATTTGGTGTGATTAATGCCAAATATTAGCAATATTTTTAGAAAACAGAATTTTAACTGAAATATATTTTATGTATACATCTTATAAAATTATGTATATTTATATATAGGTTTATCTATAAATATACATAATCCCAGAATAAGTAACTTGGTCTCAAATGAAAGCATATTCAATCTAAACATTGAAGTGTATAAGCCTACTTTCTTATGCAGAATGAACCTTTGCATATTGCTTGACGGTATTCTGGATATACCAAATTAATTCCATGATTTATAAAATCGTGGTGGTGCTTGATACAGTTCAGTGTATGTGTCCACTGTGTTCTATTCCTCTACTTTCTTTAGATATGCTATCGTTTATCCTCAGTCAAGCCAAACCAGAAGAATGGCATATTCGACTGCATTGTTTGGTCTCTGTATTTAATGACTTCTACTGAGTGGAGTCTTGGTGTGATGTAGGTTTTATTGAGGGGAGAAGCAACTGTTGGAAAACCATCTTTGTATTTTTGTTTTTTGGCACGTTGTTGGGGACGTAATTCACTATTGCACACCATGTCTCCAGCATGAGGGCTGCAGGGCACTGGTTCTCTGGATCTGTCTTCTTTTATCTTGAGACATGGGAGCTTTGAATCTGGCTTTGCATCTCATCTTTGCCATGACCGCTAGGAAGCTCAGAGCCTCATCTTGCTACTCTGGAATGCAGGCTATGCAACAATATATGTGACACTTCCACTGGACTGGTTTAGTTTCTGCTCTTCTGGGCTTCCTCATTCCCTGTTCAAGTCTCGTGTATATTTTATATAATATAATAAATGAGTAAGGAAAATTAGTAAAGGAATCCTTAGCTCTGCTCTGGTGCTATATGTAAAATTCCATGTCTAAGAAGAGTGGAATTACTCACTTTAAGCAGTAAATCCGGGAAGCAGCTGTCAGACAGGAAATATTTTTGAGTAAAACAATATAGTGAGGTAATAAAACTTCTCATTAGAGCACCTATCATCATTTAGCCAGTTGGTGACCTTCATCAAGTCTCACAGCTTCTCTGGGCTTTCATTTCCTCACTGGTGGTGGTAGTAACACTTGCCCTGCCTCTGCCTGGGATCTGTGAAACCACGTGACGCTTGCAGGAGTGCTCTGGAGGCCCTACTAGGGCGATTGAGTGGATGTGGATCCGGGTAGTGGTGCTGCCCCAGGGCATCTTCCACGGTGTTTTTCCATGAGATCCGAACTCCTGAGTGAAAGCCCAGGCCCACGTGGGTGTGGTCATTGCCTCTTCGTTGTGTTCTGAAATTGGACACAGCCTGTGAGTTATTGTGTGCACTGAAAGCCCCAGCAGTGGGCCCTCCTGACACACAAAGACTTGCTTGTGGCCCTGGGAGTCAGCTTTCCAAAGAGCCTGAGAGTGGAATGGTGGGACCCGGGCTCCTGCAGGGAATTTCATGGCCTGACCTTTTGTGCCTCGGCTCCAGCCCTTTATTTAGTGTGCTACAGTATATATAGATTGAGAATGCTAATTTGTTCTTTGCCAGCTAAAGTACCCAGGGCAATATGATGAGGAGTCAATTTAAAGGACTGCTGTCTTGGGTGGGCCGCCTGGAAACACTCCTGCCTTTGTGCTTGTGCTTGATAGTGCAGCTGCTACGACAGTGTGACATGGAATTCAGGGTCTCAGCTGAGCCACACGGCATTCCAGAACACATTTCAGAAATCCTTTAAGCATGGGTGTGTTAGAACAAGGAGTAAAAATAGAGACCAAGCTTTTGGTGGAGAGAAGGCTAGGTGCTGGCCCGGGTCCCCAGGCCTCTGGTTGTGAGATCTGGCCTTGCCCTCAGGAGCTGGGCTTCTCAAACTCTGCACAATCTAAGGGACAAAGCAGGGGCTGGGCTGGAGTCTCATCGGTCAGCTGAGTGGCCGCATCAGGTGGGGCAACATTCAGGGCCTGCATTGCTCCTGCATCGGCACACCACCTTGATGTGAGGTCATCGGAACCTCCTGAGGTGACACCACTGAGTGCCTGGCTCACTGCAGCCCCGTGATTCATTGTGAGTCTCTGCTCTCTACCCTAAGCCCTGTGGAGCCCTTGTTTTTGCCAGGAGGAAGTGATCTCGGCAGAGAACTTTCCTAGTCGTGCCACTGGTCATTGCTAGAGTATGCTCAGTCCCCTTCTTTGTTCTCTTCCATGGGTGAACCCAGGCCTGGCCAAACTTCTGAGCATGTTCCTCCAGACCCTCAAATATGCAGACCCTCCCTCATGGGATGAACACGATGCGGGAATGAAAGACAACTGGTCTCACTGCAAGTGAAGGAGGCCCTGGAGGATACTGTTCCACATTGTTTCTCTAGTTTGGTCCCTAATAATTTTATAAAGAGGAGATATAGGAAGGGCTGCATTGTGGTTGTTGATGAGTTTCCCAGAGAATGAATCTTAAGAGTCACACAATGGGTTGGATGTTACTGTCTCTGACAGTAACACTGATGACACTGCCCAGCAGTGCCTCGGGCAGCAGTTCCTCATTTTATCTTTGTAACAGCTGAAGGAGGTCGCTAGGATTATTCTTCTCTTAATTGCATCATGTATTTTAAATGTTTGTTTATACGCAAGGGAAGCTTGCATATTCTACAAAGCAGGGTCAGAAATAGTGTAAAATATTCAGATTGATTCAGGCTTCACATGGATCCTGTGATTTAGTGTTTAGTGTGACTTAGCTTTCAGAAATATATGTTTGGGTAGCAGCTTGAACTATCCACAACGTACTTTTTAATTGAGTGGGGAGGGATACATAGAGATTGAATCATGGTATAAGATGTAACTTTTTAAGTATTGTTAGAGCTTTTAAATAGTAATCAGCAACTGAGAAACCAGTACATCAACCACATTTATTCAGCCCTTTGATAAGGTCTGAGGAAGATCACGAGAAAATGTAACACAAATTGAAATCAGCTGCCCAAGGGTTGATGTTTTTCACCTTATGCAGTCCCCTTCATGAGGTCAGATGGTGGCTGTGGAGCTTATGAAAAAGCTGGTGTTCATAGACATCAGTGCATCTTGGCTGCTGGACTCATAAGAACTCAGTAGGCCACTTTCTAGAGAATTCTAGGTAGTCAACCATTCTAGAATCTGATTGAGAAGAGTGGTGGAGAGGATTGGGGGTCCACCTGTACCTCAAAGAGGATGGAAAAATGGGGGATGGAAAGAGAGGGAAGGAAGACAGATAACAAGGGTATATGTGCACATTACCAGGATGTTGTTTGAATGTTGGCCAATTTGTTTTGGTTTGGTTTAGTTCAGTTTTAGATTTGATGTTGAAAGTAGTTTTTGTCTATTTGTTGCAAGTGAATAGTGTGTTTTCCCTTATATACAAGTCTATATGTAGGACTCAGTTTAGCACAAATAATACTTCTGTACCAGAAGGACTACAGTATAATCATCGGAGGTCATACGCCTCTCATCCTTCCATTTTCTTCTAAAACAGTTGGTCACAGTCTTGCCTCATCTATGAAGGTCACTTTACATCAGCCATAAAAGTGAAAGGGAAAAATCATTATGAGCTGACATGGAGTGATTTGCAGTAATCATTGTCAATGAAGAGGGGACATGGAAATTGTTTATGGTATATATCTTTGTGCAAGAAAGAAGAGAAAATAAGAATAAACACATATTTGCTTTCTTTTGACAAAAAAAAAACAACTCAAAAAGGAAGAATGAGGATGTGTGGGAATGAGGTATCCAACATAAAAATAGGAATTAGATTTCTTTGAATATGGCTTGCTTATATAATTTTGATTTTGAACTACACAAGTTTTTATATATTCAGAAAACAGAATAGCATCAAAATTGAAAAAGGAAATTTTAAAGTTGAAAAACAGAAACAAAGGAATCTAACTGTCTAAAGTTGATAACACAACTGCCCAGAATAAAGACTTAATTCTGATAATTTTGAACAGTTTTCTGACCATATATCTTTATTGGAACATATTTTAAGAACAAAAGAAATGGCAAATAACTGTTGAGATTTATCTGGTACAATTATAGTTGGTAATGGTGTTGTGTTGTAATTCTTAAATTATTTTGTAGGTATTGTAGGTGGTACAAAAAATAAAATACAATGATGTTATTGGGAATGGAAGTTCTAACTGTGGAAGAAGGGCTACAAGCAGTGTGAATTCTCTCACTCTCCTTTTCACTCTCTCTATAATTAGAAATACAAAATAAATAGCAATGATACCTTTCCAATAGTTACATTAACTACAGTTTCCCACATGGATCCTTGGAGAAATGGCTGATTACAGATCTTGACAAGGTTGTGCCTGGGGTATCTTGTGCTAGAAAGCAAGAAGGTGTTCAAAGGCCTGTGGAGTACATCAAAACAAACCCAGGAGTAGGCTTGCAGGGCCTCCTGCTGGCAAGAGTAATCGTATTAATAGATTGTAATATATTAAAAGATTCAGGAGTCTGAAGTGTTACTCAAATAGAGAGAATGTCACCTTAATAAATTCAGAAGAAATAATGCATTTTATTTATTTATTTATTATTTTTTTGAGACGGAGTCTGTTGCCCAGACTGGAGTGCAGTGGCCCCATCTCGGCTTACTGCAACCTCCGCCTCCTGGGTTCAAGCAGTTGTCCTGCCTCAGCCTCTTGAGTAGCTGGGATCACAGGTGCCCGCCACCATGACTGGGTAATTTTTGTATTTTTTAGTAGAGACGGGGTTTTGTCATGTTGAGCAGTCTGGTCTCGAACTCCTGACCTCAGGTGATCTGCCCGCCTCGGCCTCCCAAGGTGCTGCGATTACAGGCGTGAACCACTGTGCCTGGCTAAAATTATGCATTTTAAAAATCATCATTTTGCAACCTTGACCTGGGCAAGAATCATGTTTGAGTGCTAAAATCACCGGGTGAAAGATTGTTGGAGAATGAGATATTTATGCGTTCTCAAATATTATCTCACAGATTACTACTTATAAAAGAGAAAAAAACCATTACATTGGAATAATCTAGAGGCCAGCCTCTTAACCTACTGCTTAAATTGAACCCCTCCTGCTGGGGACAACCTGATACTATGTGCCAATATTATACCCTTGTATAATGCTAGGAGAAATCACCTGTACTCCTCTGTAGTGTTCTTGCCCCAAAAAGCTTTTAATCTGAATTATGAAGAAACAGTTGAACAAATTGAGAGTCTTTTTCAAAACAGCTGCAGTGAAGTCTCCTCAGAGAACTCAGAACCTTCAAAACATTAGGCTAAGTGAAAGAAGCCAGTCACAGAGCATGCGTATTGTATGATTTCACTTATGTGAAATGTCCAGAACAGGCAAATCCATAGAGATGCAAAGTATTAATACTGGATCAGTGGTTGTCTAGGGCTGGGGAGATTGGAAGAAAAAAAGGGGGTGACTGCTGATGCTAATGGGTTTGGGATTTCCTTTGGGGATGATAAAAAGAGTCTAAAATTGTGGTGATGGTCCCGCAACTCAGTGAATATATGAAAAACATGTACAATATATTGAATTGTACAATGTAAATGGGCAAATTATATGGTGTGTGAATTATATCTCAATAAGCCTGTTTTTAAAAAGCCAGTGTCATGAAAACAAAACAAAAGCACAGGGGAGAGTGTTCTAAAGAGATCTAATAATGAAATGCAGTGCACGAACCTTGATTGTATCCTGGATTGAAAAAAAAAGCTGTAAAAGAGCACATAAGGACATCGAGGAAGTTTGTGTTTGAATTATATGTAGGATCCTATTTTCTTAGCTGTGATAAAGGTATTGAGCTTATGTAGAGACTGCTCTTACTCTTAGGAGACATGTGCTAAAGGACTTTAGAGTGCAGAACTGTTTTTTCAGCAACTTTCAAATAATTCAGAAAGCAAAAATGGTTGTGTGTGTGTGTGTGTATACACATGCAAGTATGCATAGAAAGGGAAAATGGATCATGGAGTAGTTTGAGGGTAGTTCATTGTACCAATCTTTCAACATTTTTTTAGGCTTGAAAATTTCAGTTGCTTCTCATCACTGTGTGTTCAATCTGACAGATATTGGTTGAGTGTACACCGTATGTCTGGTACTGTGATCTGGGCATGCAGTGGGGACAGTAAACATTGATGTCCATGCCAGGCAATAATCTCTGAAGGATAGAGAATGCAATATAACTTAGAGATATGATCCCTGCCTTCAAGGATCTTGATATGGATCTAAATCTTGATAACTAGTGCTAGAAATAAATTCTAAGCAAATCTAAACTTTTGTAAGCTAGGAGCAGCTTTGTATGAGTCATTCGGCAGAGGTCATTTGAGAATGATCACACATGGGTGGTTTAAGTTGTCACACCTTTGTATAGCTGGCAGCGTCCTGAAACGACAGCACAGAATCCTCTCTCACCAACAAGTTCCCTGTAACACAAAGTTGTTAACATTCAGCCTTCACCCCTGGAATATTATGAGCTAATATCGTGTTGGATATATTTTGTTCTTTGAGCTCCTAGAGTTAATAGCTATGTAGTTTACAGGAAGCAAAATACCTGGCATGTCATATACATTCTCTTGGTGTCCTTTTCTTAGTATATTTTACGTGTTCTAATTTGCAGGTTCGACCCCGGTCCTCTGCCACTCAGGTGACCTTTAACAGTTGCTGCTCGAGATGTTACTATTTAAAATTTAGAATGTATACTGTTATCTATTATTAGAATATGATTATCATTAAGTAGATTTAATAGCACTGTAAAAATCATCACAAATAGGTCAATTATTTTCAATAGTAATTTAAAGCAGGGAACCATAAAATATAACAAGTAATACCTTAGTTATTTTAATGAAAACTTAGAGGTATGTTTATTGGCCAATTCTTTGATGTGGCTGAGGCCCCTCTTTTGCGTGTGGGCAGAGCTGCTGTATCAGTCTTTTGGGCCTTCCAGCATAAGGGTTCCCAGTCAAGGGAGCAAGAGGGACTGAAATCCAGCCCATTGTCACTCAGCAAGCTGTGCATCCATAGCTTTGTGTGTGAAGGACTGCCACCTTTTTCCAGCTTACATAATACCTTAGTTATTTTATTTATGATGGCTTAGCCATATGGGTCCAATGTTTAAGGTTCAAGGACAACTTCGTAAACCATTTTAGTAATATATGAACTAGAAATTTCAGTTTGTTTTTTAAAAGTACCTGGACAATAAAAGATACTTGCACACAAATTTGAGAAGTAAATGCCTCTGTATTTTTATAATTCCTCCCACTCTGTCATTTTCAGTTTTCTTGCCCACACTCAATTAAATAATATTTTTTAAAAATAAAGATAGCCTTTATAAAATTTGTCCACAGCATTTTACAAAGTTTTCTTGGAACCATCAACTATTTTTATTTTCAAACTTTAATTTCATCAGTTTACATAATATTTAATTACATTTTATAATTATAATAGCATAGGCAACTGGCAGTAATAAATTGGTGAGCAAGACTTCTATGCTTTGGGAATTGTAAAGGCCACCTTGTAGGATGAGTTCTCTGAGTGTGTACCAGTCACTTTCTGGCTGCAAGGCTGTTTGGTGCGGGGTGGACACAGGCCCATCAGAAAGAGGGCAGAGCTGTGATTACCAGGCTGGCCAGCTGGTGGAGGTTTGTCAAGGGAGTGTCTACTCTGTATTTTCTTTCTTCTTTTTTTTTTTGAAATGGAGTCTCACTGTGTTGCCCAGGCTGGAGTGCAGTGGTGCGATCTTGGCTTACTGTAACCTCCACCTCCCGGGTTCTAGTAATTCTCCTGCCTCAGCCTCCTGAGTAGCTGGGATTACAAGCAAGCGCCACCACACCTGGCTAATTTTTGTATTTTTAGTAGAGACAGGGTTTCCCCACATTGGCCAGGCTGGTCTCGAACTCCTGGCCTCAAATGATCTGCCCGCCTCAACCTCTCAAAGTGCTGGGATTACAGGTGTTTGAAAAATGTTCTTCTTCAAGCCAGTTCCTGGTTCAGTTTTCACAGCCAGCTCTGCAGAGGGTTTGAATGTGAGCCTCTGTGCCCAGTTTAGGTCTGGTGGCTCCTGGCAGCATTGTCTGGTAATCCAGTTGTTATTCTGATCAACAGAAGAATTGTAGGGTGGTGAAAGTGGAAAAATAAAGCTTTTATTGAGGAGCAAAAGTAAAAGGAAGGTGTCAAATCAGAACAAAGGTGATTACGAAGAAATGTGGGTATTCTCTGCTTGGAGAAGAGAAGTTACAAAATTTATTATGTTAATAAAAATGTAATTAGAAGGAGTGACATTGGAATCTTTCCTTGTCTAATCTATCTTTGAAGGATTTAGGAAGACATGTCCATTTCTGGATTCCATGCTCTGCCCTCATCTCAGACATGACTCATCCTGTGAGAATGGTTTCACGCTCACCTTTCCAGGCATATGTCCTGTGGGAAGGATGATGAGAGATTTCCAGGAATGTTTCATGCTTAGGGTTAAGCAATAGATTTTCTGTGTCTGTTTGTTGTGTTCACCTCATTGCCTTCCCTTTCAAGGATTCTGTTTTGGGGTTGCACGTCCTCATGTCACCTAATGGATAGTTCCCTGGATGGGGGCCCCCTCACTCACCACAGGTCACAGATAGCCTTGCCTTGAACACCATTCATCTGGATCTGATACACAGGAGTTCTGAGAGACAAGAGATTCACAAATGGGTTCAAAAGTTCCATCATTTAAACATATTTAATAGGTATATATGCAGACTTGGATAAATAAATTATACTATGTCTGTTTTAGAAAAAGATATGTTCAGAATGGGTCTTAACCTGGTTTATCTCAGTATCTTTTCCAAATCTTAATTACATAATGGGCTTAGAAAAAGTAAATTTTTGTTCAGACGATAAAGATTGTA
This sequence comes from Homo sapiens, assembly GCF_000001405.40. Lineage (NCBI taxonomy): Eukaryota > Metazoa > Chordata > Mammalia > Primates > Hominidae > Homo > Homo sapiens. The sequence continues at coordinate 51,248,909 of NC_000007.14, read as the reverse complement.
AAGTTATCCCTGAATAAATTTGTATCTGAGGTACTTTTGTAGCTTTGGGGATGACTGAATAATTTTCTCCTTAAAAATTTAATCACTAGGCAACATTGTTGTGCCTATGCCCATTATTCTGTCTGAGGCATCTTTCATTTTTATTTTTTAAAATTTTGTTGTTAAAATATATTTCCTAGTTCTTTTAAATTAAAATGATTTGTATTTAGATATTTACAAAGACTGGGTAGATTGAGGAGTGTTAAAACTGATATAAACCAAAGACATTTTGTGCCATTAGAAAATAATCTCCAAAGAATCATTTGTGTCCTATTTGTAAAATGGGGAGTAATTTACCACTTGTGTAATTTACATGCACTCAAAATACACATTTTTAGACCCCTATCCTCCGTCTTGTACCATCCAACTGAATGTGAGGTTGAATAACAAGAACCAATGGATCGTCTGACAGTTTTTTTTAGGGGGCTGGCTGTGGTTCCTGGGGTCTTCTGAAGTGTCTTGCTGGTGTCTCCTTGAGGAACTGCAAAGCCCATGGTCGGGACATTTTGCTGTTCTTCTCTTCCCTTCCAATTAAGTGTAGTCTTCCCCATAAAATCGTATCTCTTATTTCATATTCTAAATCAACGAGATAGAGCAATATTATTTTATATGTAAGTTTTATGATATGAATCGTTTCATAACCACGGATGCACAGTAGGAGGAAAATTCTTTATATTAAACTCTTATCTTTTGTGCCTCAAAGTGGTAGACTCTGTGTTACAATTCTGTGTGCAAAGCCTGTTTTGCTCTGTCGCCTGGGCTTGAGTGTAGTGGCGTGATCTCGGCTCACTGCAGCCTCCCCCTCCCTGACTCAGACAATTCTCCCACCTCAGCCTCCCGAGTAGGTGGGATTATAGGCGTGCACCACCATGCCCAGCTAACTTTTGTATGTTTAGTAGAGACGGGGGTTTCACCATGTTGGCCAGGCTGGTCTTGAACTCCTGACCTCAAGTGATCCACCACCTCAGCCTCCCAAAGTGCAGGGATTACAGTGCTGGAATTACAGACATGAGCCATTGCGCCTGGCCTTGTGTTTGTTGTTTATTTATTTTTAACTTAAGTAGAATAACCCTTTGGCGTCTTCTTTCAGCAGTAACTCAGCTGATTGGTCTGCCTTAGGATAATTTCAATAGGGTCGAATATGGCAAGAACCAGCCTGGCCACTGTTTGCTGGAGTGATGCAGACCTTCTAAAGATCACTTTGAATAGGTGGAGGAGAAAGACTCCCCACCCCCTGCCATGAATGCCTTTATGTTATGGGAGATGGGAGCAAGCTTCAGCCATGAGATGCTTCCATAGTCACCTTGTCCCTACCTGTCCAGTGTCCACCTTTGTATACTTTCTTCAAAAGAAAAATAAAGCCACCATCTCCCCAATTCATCCAACCAGTTGTCTTGAAGTGTAAGATTTTAAAAATTCCTATTTCGTTTCCAATTTTCAACACTTCCAGGGAATCTGTTATTTATACCTTGCTAGCAGGAACCTCAGGAGATCCTGTCCAAAAGACTGGTTCTGATAGTTGAGAGGGAACAGAGAACATGATTCCACTGGCTGTGGGTAACATGAAGAGACAGCACCACTGAGAAAGCAGAGTGGCCCCGAAAGAAGAGAGACTCCAAGCTCATGGTGTTTGTTAGGGCCAATCCCAATTGGGAGTCATTTGGGAGAGTCTTCTCCATGGATGGCCTCTGGCCTTTAAGGTGCAAGCCTGTGACTTAACGTGGCAGATGGGAGGTAGAAAGGAGCTGAGGCTTCTGCCTTGGGCATGGAAGGGTGCACGGTCACCACAAGATTCCGCGATGACCACAGGTATCCGCTGGTTTTGTGAGGCACTGAGTCCTGCAGGCCCGCACTGCTTGGTGTTTGCAGGGAGGCTGCATCTGTGTTGGCTATGGTGACTTACTGGGGCGTGCTGGGCTCTAATGTTTAGGACTTGGTGGGGACAGGGGTCCACCCTAGGCTATTTTGGGAACACACTCTGATTTTTCTTTGAATCGTTCAATGTAGTCATTTATTGTTCATGTAGTTTAAAAATAATTAAAAATGTAAATGAGTCATCTGCACAAAAAAAGCCCATTTGTTCTTGCCAAACTCTGGAAGAAGTCTGCAAGTATGACAATCTGTGTAACTGATAGAATCTACAAATCAAGGACATCATGGAATTGCAACCACAATAACTCTTTCTTCATAAACATTATAATGCTTCATTAATCAGCGTTTCTGCATTTTATTTGAATGAGATAGAAGTTATATGGCCCAGATCTAATAGCATGGCCTGTGCTACACTGTACGGTGTGCAGGCAGGATTCTCTCTCCACCTCACGGGGGCTGACAGCCAGACCAGCAGGGATGTTGGGGCTGGGACAAGGTCAGGGCTGGGCTGTGTGCCAGGGGAGAATTTTCTCCTGGAGCTTTGGGGAGTGAGCCATGATTGGAAGTGGGATGAGAGGATGGGCAGGAGGCCCAGGGGAGGGGAATTGCTTGGTGCATGTGTCCTGCTGACAACAAACAGCATTTACTATGGGCTTCTGAGCTGTCAGGGACAGAGGAGGCGGCCCCTGCTGATGGAGATGGAGCTCCTGCTTGGATAGACTTGCTGCAGGCCATTTGTCTCCCTGGTCCAAATTATACAAGAAAATGCCATCTTCTTCATAGAGTCTTTTGTCTTTTTATTTCAAGTAGGAAACTTACATACTTGCTTTTCTGCATTAAGGCTAGGATATTTATTTTTTTAGTTTTAAATTCATGGAGTGATAAAAAGAAGTGTGAAATATTTTCTAAATGCTACTAGATATTTTTAGGCCTTTCTACTTAAAAATAAATGACACATACATACCACATGGTATAATTCATAGATATCTTCTTTGCATTTGCAGAGATCTTTGCCATAATGAAAACTAAGTCTTTGGATAATATATTATTTTTGCTAAAATCATTTCCTCACAAAATTTCAAGTTACTCTGCAGGCAGGATTTGTCCCTTACCTAACTTTGTTTTGCATAATTTGATAATGTCAATAAGAAAACTTTAAAAGTGCCCCAATGTTTGAATAGTGCCATATGGTTTGCGAGGTGCCTTTTGCTTATTTCACATCACTTAATCCCAGCCTTGCTTTTAGCTAAACAGTTGTGTCTATCTTATTGCCCCTCTAGAACCTTTCTGAGATCTGAGACCATACACTGTACTATCATTTATGTTATAGACTCCCTAGGAATTACCTTGTAAATGGTAGGTCCTGATACATGTTTGTAGAATGAATGAAACTGTATTTCTAATTTTATATATTTTTATATATCATTTCTTCTATGGATGTAATTCATTCATTGGACAGATACCTGTTGAGCTCACACTTCAGCAAGCTGCTGTTAGCTAGTCTGGTGGTTGAGACAGAATTGTCCAATCCAAGGGAGGAAGGGAATCAGTACAAATGTTGTAGAGCTGTGGAGAAAGTGTTTAGTACCGCAGAATTGGAATCTTAATTTAGGGTTTGCAGAAAATACTTCTAATTTCAGCAGGAGTGGGTAGGGATGAGGAGAAAGTGAAGATGAAAGAGTATGGGCTGGGTTTTAGAAGGGGCTGGTGTTTTGTTGGACTTTGATGGCAATTCCAGGTAGAAGAACAGCATCCACAAGACTCTGGAGATGTGAAAGCAGGAGTTTCAGGGAGCTGTGGACTTGCAGGAGAAGGGCGTGTGGGAGGCAGGGAAGGTCATCATGGGAAGAGGCAACTGATCAGGTCCGTTAGAGTGTGGAGGAAGCCTGGCTGTAAAGGCGCGGGTTTCGGAAGCTATGAGGAAATTGGGACATTGGGTGTAGGGCTCCTCTTTGGAGGCGTTTCCTCTTTTGAATGGAAGGAGGTGTGGAAAGAGGAAGGAAAGAACAGTCTCAGCTAGCGAGCCAAGACAGGGAGAGACTAAAGATAGGAGAGCAGAGAAAAAAATGGGTGAAGCCTTAGAAGAGATGTGAGCTTAGCCCTTTTCTGGAACTGCGTTCCTTGCAGGAACTCCCTGGGGTCTCTGCAGACAGAGGCGTGGTGAAGGTGGAGCCCAGGACAAGAACATGTTGGGCGAGGTCTTCCGGGACTTGGAATGGCTGCAGCAATGATATAATGGGGCTGAGAGCAATGAGCAGGAACATCTACCTGAGGGCCCTGTTGGGGTCACCGCACGTGACTTTGTGGGGAGGGCCTGTTTCCTCTGGCAGTGTCTTGCAGCCTGGGGGAAAGCTGAGGCACTTAGGGATTGGAACTGGAGCATGCTGTGGGTGAGAGAGAGTGGCCGTAGGAGAGGCTGGGCCCCATGAGACCCTATCGGTTTGGTGTGAAAGGGAGGAAGTACCTCTGTATTGTCAAATGGCAGCATCCACACAACTCTCTCTATCTGTGGCCAGAATATAGAGTTCCCTAATTGAAGGTTTTGGACATGTGAGTGGCTATTACAGCAGCCTGGCAAAGAAGGCCGTGTGATTGAACAAGTCAAGAAACCATGAAGTATTTGAAAAGTCAGTGTTTCTGTTTATGCCTTGGTGGATGACAGCAGGTGTACAGGAAGGAGGACAGCAAATACCCACTACAGTCATGGGGCACCGGGGCATGCTGGTCCAGGCGTCTGTAGAGGACTTAGACATTCTCCTTGGAGTGCGGCCTATTCTTGTGTTTACATTTTGCAGTGGAACATGGTTTGCAGCCTCAGTTCTCATTGGCAGGTTGTGCACTGGGTTTCATCCTGGAGCCTTGAGGGTGGGAGCTGAGCACACATGTGTGTGCAGAAAACTGTGCTGGAGAGGAGGGCGTGGGCAGAGCCATCTTGCAGGGACCAACATGGGGAAAGCATTTTCACATGATGGTTTATCTTTCCTTAGCTGATATATTTTTTAATTTTTAATTTTGAAGATTCACAGGAGGTTAGAAAGCTGGCACAGAGGTCCTGGTACCCTCCCCAGTTTCCCCGTGGTTGTGTCATCTGTAGTATAGGACAATACCAAAACCAAGAAGAGGACACTGGCACGGGTGCCCGCCACGTGCACGTCCTCACACCTGAAGGTCCATGCAGGCCAGACACGGCACCGCTCCTTCACCCCAAGACCTCCCTCTACCCCCTTTCAGGCACAGCCACCTCCTCCTGCCGTCCCCAACTCCGACAATCACTAGTCTGTTTTCCATTGCTATGATTTTTGTCATTTTGAGGATTTTATATCAGTAGGATCATACTGTACGTGACCTTCCAAGACTGCTTTTTTTCACCCAGCGTAACGTTCTTGGGCTCCACCCAGCTTGCTATGTTGCCTCCTTTTTCCTGCTGAGGGCTAGCCCGTGGCACGGGTGCACCAGAGTTTAACTGTTCACCATGATCCCCACATCATGTTTTCATAGATATATACAAGATTATACCTTAGCTCATTTTTAATTGTGTGGTGAGTATATAATTTTAAATTTCCAATAGATCCCGTAGTAGCAGCTGGTATTGAGTGCTTTGCAGTCCCATGAGGGCAGTGACATCACCGTCACCCCTGTGTCACCACTGGAACCGGAGGTACAGAGGGGTGAGGTGACTCGCACATAAGGGGGACAGGAAGTCACACCCCAGCGTCAGCTCCAGTACTTCTGCTCCCCGCACACAGCTGCCTTCACATCAGTGCAGCGAGGCCACAACATCTTTTCAGCTTCATGGAATAGCGTCCAGAATAGCCCCCACCTCAGCACGTTGGCTTGAACGTGTTCTCTTACATCAGTTCATGCCATGTTTTGCCCATCCGTCCTTAGTGGGACCAACGGGACTGGCTCACTCATCCAAGCAGTGCCACCAAGGCGAGTTTAACAAGCGCAGAAAATTGGTCTGGTCCCAGCTCTGTGTCCCTTCATACCTGGTCATCCCCTCCTGGGTGCCTGGTGACTTTGGGCAGCTTCCCAAGGGAGCACCCAGCCCTTCTTCTTTGGGGCCTGGACTTCCCTTGGTAGCGGTTACCCTGGGCTTTCCTCGGTGTCAGGTACCTTGTTGGATGAACCAGCTGTGCGGAGGTGATAATGTTGGCATTCGACAGGGCCTCCCAGAGAGGAAGCACCTGGGCGAGTGGGCCTCTTCTACCCAGGAGTCGGGTTCAGCTCTGTCTCCAGCTCTTCCAGGGCCCAATTCTCAGAACAGAGCAGATGGTGGGTATCTAGCTGTGTTCAAATCCTAAGTTAACATTTTCTGTTTGTGGATCTTATGAACCTGAAGATCATAACATTCAACAGCATCAAGTAGGTGACCTCAGAGATCAGAGTCAATTTATGGGTGAGGAATTGGCGTATAGCAGGGTCGGTGGACAGCTCAGGTTGATGACACTCTGGAACTTTCTGGCACCTTTTTTATACTGTACAACATGGAGCTGAGTCCAGCCAGGACAGCCTGTGATACCAGCAGAGGGTGTCCAGCTTCCTGTGTCTTGAGCAAAGAATTGGACAAAATGCACAAACAAAGCAAGGAAAGAATGAAGCAATGAAAGCAGAGATTTATCAAAAATCAAAGTACATTCCACAGGGTTGGAGTGCACCCGAGCAAGCAGCTCAAGAGCCTGGTTACAGAATTTTCTGGGGTTTAAATACCCTCTGAAGATTTCCCATTGGTTACTTGGTGTACACCCTGTGTAAATGAAGTAGTGGCCCACAGTCAGTCTGATTGGTTGTGGGAGGGGACCAATCAGAGGCTGAAGTGAAGTTATAAAGTTACACCCTATGCAAACTTCTGATTGATTGCAGAAAGTGACCAATCAGAAGCTGAAGTGAAGTTACAAAGTTATACTCTTACGCAAATGAAGACTTGGCCTGAGACCAGACTGGTTGTGAGAGGGGACCAGTCAGAGGTGCTTTCAGTTTTTCATCTGTACGCAGGAAAGGGGAGTAGCCTCTGGTCTTTTTGTTACTTGGGAGTGCAAAGTTGGGGTTTTCCTTTTGATTTAGGTCTAGGAAGTCAGCGTGAATTGGCCTTAGGGTCCCTGTCTCCAGACATTACTCTCCTGCCTCACCTGTGTTATCTTATCCCATGTGAGAGGACTCCTCCCTGAAGGACCCCTAGCACTTCTCTGCAGGATGGACCTTGTGAGCAGCTGAGGAACGAGGATCATGAGTCTGGAAGAGGCTTTGTTACCTTTTTAAAACCATGTGAAGTGAGGAAATACTGACACACAGCAGTGTTTGGCTGCCAGAGTTGTCAGCCTCCATTTCTCCTTGCCATACGTGTTCATTTGTCACATGTACAGACTTCCATTTCATCAAACTGCTCTTCCAATGACAGTGACTTTTATTTTTTTAAAAAATATAGATTAACTTGTTTCTCTTCCTCTGGAGCAGGAGCTACATCACTAAAATGTTAATCGGTGATCGTGGGAACGGCCGAGGAGCATTGGTTTCTTAATGGGATCTGCACAGGGGAGCACCCAGGCCTTCCGAGGGGACCAGCTCTGCCCAGCACTGAGTGCCTGTGGGGAGATATGTTCTCACTGGCATTTGGTTCATTTATGTTCTAAAATGAGTTTAGACACTGAATTGTTGTCATGAATAACATGCAAAATAGTGTGTATTGGGCTGCAAATATAGACATACTAAGTATCAGTTAGTAAAAGAATGTTTAAAAGTTTGTGTGTAATCTTTTGTTATTGGAGGGACACGTTGAGACTTCATTGAAGCATTTACCACATTGTGATCAAAACTGGAATTTGCTCTCTCTAATAATCCTTAAAAAACAACAGATGGTGCAGGACCAAGGTGCTGTGCCCACTCGTGTTTGTTTACTTAGCCTGAACACCAGCAGGGTTACCAGGTCCTATTCTGGGGCAGGGAAAGGCTGGATCAGATACAGCTCTGCCTTTAAAGCACTCACTGCCTGGAAGTGGGTGGGTGGCAAGGCCCACTGCTCACCAGTCACCATCAGTACCTCTGGGATAGCCCTTGCTAGGCTAGGAACTGTTGAACAGCCAGCTCTCCGAGGAAAGGGTGGTCTCGTAAATTTCACTTATAAAAAGGATGTGTAGTACCTAATTTAAAATAATAGTAGGCTGGGCACGGTGGTTCATGCCTGTAATCCCAGCATTTTGGGAAGCCGAGGTGGGTAGATCACCTGAGGTCAGGAGTTCAAGACCAGCCTGGCCAACATGCTGAAACCCCGTATTACTTAAAATACAAAAAGCCAGGAGTGGTGGTGCGTGCCTGTAATCCCAGCTACTCTGGAGGCTGAGGCAGGAGAATTGCTTGAACCCAGGAGGTGGAGGTTGTAGTGAGCCGCGATCGCGCCAGTGCACTCCAGCCTGGGCAAAAAGGGTCAAACTCTGTCTCAAAAAAATAAAATAAAAAAAAAATATGTTCAGTACTCTTTAATGCAATTTCCGTAGAGCCAGTTGCTGATCATAGATGCTTTTGTTCACTTGAGCCGCACTCAAGTCCATGGCCACGCTGTGGCTGCTCTGATGAAGGAGCTCAGTTCTGACATGAATGTTGATGGATATTTTCACTTACAATGAGTAAAGCAAAGTGAGAAAGCGAATGTTAGAATGTCCTCTTTCCTTCAGTGATATGAGACTTTGCTGACCTGGATTAAGTGTATGAATACTCACAGTGTTTCCTTAAATTATTATGTGATTCACAATGTGGAAGTGACAGGCAGGACCACTTGTGAGTGTGATCTGCATTGTCAAGATTTTCTCATCACCATCCTAGGTCTTGGACCAAGGCTTGGCAAGCTGTGGTCAACAGGCCAGATCCTGTTTTGGTACAGCCTGCAATCTAAGAGTGGTTCTTGCATGTTTAAAGGTATTTTTTAAAAAAATTAACAGGAAAATAATATTTTGTAATATATAAAAAAATTATATGAGATTCAAAATTGTGTCCATAAGTGAGATTGTATTGGAACACAGCCAAGTTCATTCATTTATATATTGCATTTTTGCCACAGTGGCTAAGCTGAGTAGCTGTGACAGAGATCATATGGCCCACAAAGCCTAAAATGTTTACTATGTAGCTATTTATGGAAAATGTTGCTGATCCCTGATCTAGACAATCAATAAAACAACGTGTGCCTTGATTTGTCACATTTGCTCATTTCCATGGCAAAATACCATGACCGTTAACCAGCCACTAAAGTGAGACATGAGTGTGGAGCTGGGCAGAGGCTGTGGCAACTCCCATCGAGTAGTATTCTTACCAGAAAGGGGTCTGATCCAAACCCCAAGAAAAGGTTCTTGGATCTCATGCAAGAAAGAATTGGAGGCAAATCTGTAGAGTAAGGTGAAAGCAAGTTTATTAGAGAAGTAAAGAAACAAAAGAATGGCTACTCCATAGGCAGAGCAGTAGCGCGAGTCCTGGTTGGCCATTTTTATGATTATTTCTTGATTATGTGCTAAACAAGGTGTGGATTATTAATAAGTTTTCCTGGAAAGGGGTGGGCAATTCCTGGAACTGAGGGTTCACCCCCTTTTTTGACATACAGGGTAACTTCTGGACATTGCCATGGCATTTGTAAACTGTCATGGTGCTGGTGGGAGTGTAGGAGTGAGGACGAACAAAGGTCACTCTTGTGGCCTCATGGCTTTGGTGGGATTTAGCCAGTTTCTTTACTGCAACCTGTAATCAGCAAGGTCTTTACGACTTGTATTTTGTGCAGACCTCCTATCTCATCCTGTGACTAAGAATGTCACCCAGCAGGTCTCAGCCTAATTTTACCCAGCCCCTATTCGAGATGGAATCGCTCTGGGTCAGATGCCTCTGACAGTATTTCTAGCCCCAGACAGAATGGATTTTAATAACCCCAAAGGTACAGATAACAGTGAAATCAGTAGGAAGTGATAAGGGCTGCATATTTATTACCCTTATTTTTAATGTATTTTATTTAACCATAAGTTTATATAATTTACTTTTTAATAATGAGTACGCTACCAGCATTCCAGAAGATTTAACAGTTGGCTCTTGAGAGCCCTATGAGCTGGTTTTAGGGCATCTGTAGCTGGGTGGAGGGGAGGCTCCTTCACCGGGGACTCCCGGGAAGAAGAATTTCCTGACTGGTATATTTAGGGATGAGGCAGGGTTGCCAGGGAAATAAGAGGTAAGACTTCTCTGCAGAGGAGACAGCAGTCAGGGTCACAGGGGGAAAGAGGAGCACAGGGTCAGGGGCCAGGAGCATTGTGGTGGGGGCTGGGAGGCTGCTGGATACACCCTGCACTGAAGCCTTGAGTAAAAACACAAAAAAGACTGGCTAGTGTGTATTCAAAACCAACATTTTTCCCCCTTTGCTTTAACATAAGAAAAGACACAGCCTTATTTTACCCATCCCCTATTCAAGATGGAGTTGCTCTGGTTCGGAGGCCTCTGACAATTTTGTTAGGGCTGGCGGACAAAGAGTAACTTCAGTGTAAGTTACAACTGCTCTACCCGGTGTTGCTGCAACTGAAGAGAGGTTTTCACAGGGGAAATGAGAGCTCTGCCCCGCTACTGTCATTTACTGAGGGCTTCACACAGAAGCCCAGGGAAGGGCAGGGGTCTCCTTCTCATGAGACCCAGTATGTGGAGGGAACTGCAGGGAAAGGACCCCGGAGTGGCCTAGCCATCCTTGCTCCAAAGAACAGCACTTCTGTTGTTCTCTAAGGTACTCAGGTGTGGAAGTCATGTGGCTTCCGTGCTTCAGGATACAAAACTGGTAGTTGAACAAATCTACCATGGCAAATCCAAACCAGTACAGTGGAAGGCCTGGAGGCGGCCAAGGGAGACCCCCAAAGCCGCTTGGTCCCAGCGTCCTCTCTGGTCACTGCTGGCTGTCAGCATGGTGGCTGGCGTGGGCCATCTTGGTCAGATCAGGCTCAGGTGGAACTTCCTTTTCCTTCTTCGTTCCCCTTTGGTACCTGAGGGGCATGCCCTGGAGGGTGTAGCCCTGGCAGGTTGTGAGGATGTCAACAGAGCCACCTGTGACATCAGCAGTTACTTCCTGGGCTGGACTTCCAGGTGTAAGCAGACAGCTCCCAGCCTTCAGAGAGAACCACAAAGCTTCAGGAACAGAAATCCTGTCACACCCTTTTGGGGACCTGGTCACTGTATAAAACACCATGTAAATATTGGTCTATTCTAATACACGTTTTGTTTTCATTACTGAACACGTTCCTGTTTCTGAAATAGAGGCAGCCCTTGAATTTTTTTGTTTTTAACGGACCATGACATGGCCCAAGGCACCCTAGCATGGGGAAAATATGACAAGCATTCTGTGTTTTTAATAATACTACATTAAACTTTCAAAAGCTAGTGGCAAAAATGTAGACATATGGCATATGTATTACTACACCCTCTCCTATTTTGGAAGTTTTTTTTTTTTTTTTTTAAGAAAAAAAAAGGGTTAAGGGACTCACAGTTTATGTATATTGAGATCGGCAAACCGTAAAAGTAAATTCAGCTGTTACATCTTAGTGAACTTATTTTTCAATATTATTGTCATTTGTGTTTTAAACTTTAGTAAAGTTACAATGTAATATTATTTTCAACATAGGAAACAAAAGTGTTGTCTATGGACAAATTATTATGAGGATGCAGAGAAGTAAACTCCTTTATTTGCTTAAAATCTTTGTTTTTTTTCTAATAGGCTAGAATTAAGATGAAAAAATTAACTTTCAGCTCTTGTGAGTTATTAAAGAATTAGTTTACTTTGTGAGTGCTAAGTCAAAGCAAATGAGGGACAGGGTGGCAGATCTGGAGTCTGGGGAGGGGTACCATTGAACTCATGCACATTGAGGACTTCCTTGGGCCAGGCCCAGAGCTGGGCATTTCGCTTCATCATTTCTGTTTTGATTTGAAAGAAGCAGTCAGGGAGAAACTGCAAGGAAGGAAATATTCCCTGGGTTTTCCTCAGGCCAGTCCAGTGCAGACCGGAAGCAGGGCACACAGAACCAAATGAGGTGGTTCCTTCCCCACACAGCCCTGTCAAGCTCAGCTGTGAAGAGGCGAGACCGTTGACCCCCTGAGTTCCTGCTACAGAGGGAGGGCAGTGGAGGATGGAGACAGGGCAGAGGTGGGTTTAGGACACCGACCCTGCTGCATTCATCGCAGACATGCCTTGTTTTTTGAGTGCATCGTGTACCAGATGCCTTGACCACATTATTTTATATACTACGCATTGCACCTGGGAAGTAGGTATTCCCATTCCCCTTTACAGGTGAGGAATGTGAGCTGCAGAGGGACAGCTGGGAAGTAGCAGACCTAGGATTTCAACCCAAGCCCCTCCCTGTTAGTGCCCAGGCTCTTTCCCAAGGCACTACCCTAAATTTCAGCTCAAGCCAGGGACTTTGAGTTTGGTTCTGGCTGATGAGAACACCAAGCAATAAAAAGTGTAAGTTTCCAGTCATGAGCTGCTTCATTCAGAAGGGGATGGATCCCTAAGTTTTCTTAAAGTCTCCTTCACCAGGAGTGAATGGGTGTACCCTCCTGCTGAGCCCCAAGCCTCCTCCCCGTGACCCAGAGCCCTGCCCTGTCCTGTCCTCTGTGAGGCCTTCATGCATCTCCCCTGGAAAAATTGTCTCTTCCTCTGAATGGTTCATAAGATTTCTCATTTCTGCCCAGTGCCTGTTGCACTGTAACCTCTACCTCTGAATCCCCCTCTATGTTTTAAATCACTTGCAAACAGAAACTGGATTTTTCCATTTCTTAGATTGTCCCAGCACTCCTTGTAAGGGCTCTGGGCCTCAGTTTTCTGTCTGTTAAGTGGGATGACCGTTCCTGGCTAGGTTGCCGTCAGAGGCTTGGTATGTTGGTACATTTGAGTGTTGGTCAGCGTTAGTTTCCTTCCACTGGAGGACACACCAAGTGAGCCCAGGCCCCTGCTTACGTAAAAGGGGAAGGGTTTTTTTTGAAAACATTATGTTTTTTTTCCAAGGGGATGTCGGGGTTTCTGTTAAGTTTTTCTCATTTCTTTAGCCAAGCTGAAGTGTTCTGCCTTGGCGGGGAGTAGAAGGTGGACTGTGTGAATGGTGGGGGCCCTCTCGGCCCAGGAAGAGTGCAGGAGGGGGTGGGTAGTCAGCTGGAAAAGTGGTCTGTGTTTTTGCTGAGGCTAGAGAGTCAGGGCCTCCCATGTTGGGCCAAGCTCACTGCCTGACTTACAATGTTTGTTGTGCTTTTGTGTTCTTTATCTTAAAGAGGCCTCTCAGACTGTTAACTTCAGGCCCCTCCAAACCAGCACCTGCCCTGTGGTGCAGGGTTTTGTCCAGCCAATGGGAAGCCGTGGGTGGTGGGCAAAGGGAAGCCTTCTCAAGGTCAGGGATGTCCGCGGCTGTTTCCGGTGCTTGGCTTTAGGCTGAGGTGATATAATTGCTCTCTGGAAATCACGCACTTGCAGCAAAAGTTCTGGATATAAAAGTTCTGCAACAAAAACTCCCACCACAGTTTTGTATCTGGTTGTTCAAGGTGTCTGGGGGCTAAAGGAAGGGCCCAAGAGGTTCTTGGACGTAGGAAGAGATGCAGGGCAGCTGCACTTGCTTAGCCACATCACACAGTCCCTTCAGATCCCTGACCTGTCAGCTGTCACAGCACAGCAGACCTAACACTGGATTCCCTCAATCCAATCAAGAAAGACTGGGTACATCAAGGAATCGCCCGTCCTCCAAACCTGGGGGCCACGATATAAAACTGAGAGGGGTTAACTTGGAGAATTGTGGTGTTAGGGTGCATACGAAGATGGTGTGTTTCTTCGTGGGCTGTCAACAGGTTGGGCTGCTTGACTTCAGAGCATGGTGGAGATTGGAAGTGCAGATTAGTGGAGGAGGAAATGCCAGGCCAAGGCTGGAGATATCCATAGGAACAGGCATGAGCGTTGTGAGGGCTGCAGACTGTCCCTCAGGACCCCCAGAGACAGGTTGTGGAGGGAACAGAACTTTTGGAGTGGAATAGCCTCAGAGATAAAGTCTTCTCTTTCTCCCTCCATCCTTTTCTCCCTCTCTTCTCTCTCCCTCCCTCACCTCCTCTAGTGCTCTTTCTCTCTGTCTCTCTCTTTCCAAAGGTAACTGAGGTTCAGGTGGCCCCAGATCAATCAGTAAACCCAAGCGACGTGTTCCACAGCATGTGCCCTGGTCTAGTCCAGCCTGCTGTCCAGCCCTGGCCCTTCAGTCAGGGTTCTGTGTTCTGAACTTTCTTTTCTTTTTCTTTCTTTCTTTCTTTTTTTTTTTTTTTTTCTGAAACAGGGCCTTGATCTGTCACCCAGGCTAGAGTGGAGTGGTGCCATCTCTGCTCACTTCAGCCTCCACCTCCTGGGCCCAAGCAATTCTTCCACCTCAGCCACCAGAATAGTTGGGGCTACAGGCACACACCAACACGCCCGGCTAGTTTTTGTATTTTTCGTAGAGAGGGGGTTTTTCTGTGTTGCCCAGGCTGGTCTCGAACTCCTAAGCTCAAGTGATTTGCCTGCCTAGGCCTCCCAGAGTGCTGGGATTACAGGCGTGAGTCACTGCGCTCGGCCTTTTCGGAACTCTTGATGGTGGTGTTATTTGGGAAGTGGGCGAGCCCGATGCCAGGTCTGGCCTTGCCGGGCAGGGCTGTGCCTGAGGGTGGGTGGCCGCAGGTCTAACAGTGGACAAGAAGTGCCCAGAGGCCACATGGTTGCTCAGCAGTGCCTGTCAGAGCCACTCAGCTCAGGTTTCGCCAGCCCAGGGATCCTCTGGGAGGCCCAGTCTCTATTTTGAGAGACAGTTCACGATGAGGTGATCAAGTGTCATATTTTCAACGGAGAATTAAAGGTACCCAACACTTAGCTCTTAGCTCAGAAAACACCAGTATCAAAACAGGCTGGCTCTGGGCCTCTTATTTCTGCATATTTTCACATACCCTTCTTTTCTGCTTTTCTTACTGGAAAGTATCTTTCAGTGTAGAATAATTCATCCTAAATAAAATACTTTTGCCATTTATTTTAAGCAGTGAAACTTCTACTTATTAATAGAGGCAGAAATAAGATTGTAAGGTGATTACATTTGAGGTAATAAATAACACAGTCTGGTTGTTTTTATAGCAAACATGCACAAGTTTGTTAGTGGGATTGCAACGAAGTAGTCAAAAACAAGGCCTGGAAATCAGGCTCTCTCCATTAGACATTGGCATGTGCACATCCTGAAAACGTCCGTTTCCCTGAACTGTGGTGTCATGTGAGTCCGTGGCCCCAAGTGAAGGGAGTTGGGGTTCATTTTCCTGAGAAATTCTCACAGTCCGTTGAGTTCCAATCAGTTATGCGCTGTGTGGAGAGCGGGCTAGTCAGATTTCACTGCTTTTCAGTTATTGACAAAAGTACATAGAAATGGACGGGGCTTATCAGCAGGCGGCAGAGATGCCTTTCAGAGCGCACGGCCTGCTGTCTCACGTCTCGCTCTGCAGTTTTTGTCTTAGGATTTCCACTCGGTTTGGTTCTCTTTTCCACACTTTGCTGGAAGGAACTCAATACAGCTCTGCTCCTTTTTTTTCCCCCCACTGAAGGAAAAAACAAACATTTTGGGTGCCTTGGTGAAGGCAAATCACCATCCTTAATATGTTCTTGCCTTCTAGGTCTGGCGTTTCTGTTCTGTTGACTTTTCTTGCCCCTTGCTGGCTCTGTGAGTTGAATCCAGAAGAAAACTGTCGGTTTTGCCATGGGTCTTCTGAGCTGAAGGCAGCACTGATTTGGCCAGCCTGTCTCTGCAGATGCTCATGGAAAACCAAGGTGTTTTCTGTCACTATACATAATTAGATGCCTGTTATGCCCCAAATACATGATGAAGCCATTAAATAATTTTTAAAATTAATATTTGTAAAAATTCATTCTGACATATTCAAGTGCTTAATGGCTGTTTGTATTTATTTTCTCTTATACCTCTTGTGGACTATTTGTCATGACCATTATGTGTGGTTAAATTTACTCCTGATCACTTGCATAGTTATCTACGATTTAATGCCTTAATCATTAAACTAACACACAGCGTCTCTGGTACTTTTCATGTGATGTGGATGTTCATGGCCAAACAACCCAGGAAGAAATTGAATAAATGTTCAGGAGAAAGTCATAAAAATATCTGATTGCTCTTTCTTTCTTTCTTTTTTTTTTGTGGTGGGGTCTCTCTCTGTCATCCAGGCTGGAGTGCAGTGGCACGATCTTGGCTCACTGCAACCTCCGTCTCCCAGGTTCAAGCAATTCTTCTGCCTCAGCCTCCCAAGTGTCTGGGACTACAGATGCCCGCCACCACGCCCAGCTGATTTTTTGTATTTTTAGTAGAGGCAGGGTTTCACTGTGTTAGCCAGGATGGTCTCGATCTCCTGACCTCATGATCCGCCCGCCTTGGCCTCCCAAAGTACTGGGATTGCAGGTGTGAGCCACCGTGCCTGGCCCTGATTGTTATTTCTTAAGAAAATAAGAATCCCCCTGCTGGCTGAATCTCAATGTAGGGATGCACTGGTGGGGTCCTCTCCATGGCTCTGCTTTCTCGGTCATCAGTGTGGCTCCATTTTCACCCCTTCCAGAGCCCACAGCCAGATGGGTTGTGGGAACTCTCAACTCTGCCCTCCCCTCATGGTCCCCCAGAAAAGGCAAAAGGAAGAGACTGATATTGTATGGTGATTCTGTGCTTTTCCTTTTTTATTGTTTTCTTCTTCCTTTTTTGGGGGGATGAGGGGAGAGTTCCATTTTTGACTAAGAAAGTGATGATGAAGAAGGTGACCATGTGTAGTGGTTTGTAGAATGGATTAGACTCAACAGATTGTAGTCATTCTTTCCTGATTCTCTATCTGGGATGGTGTTTTGGCAGCCCATAGCACTCAGCTCTGCATCGTCTACCAGAACGGTCCTATTTCTCAGAGGTTAGGAAGTTCAGCCTCTTCTGAATGACAGCGTCAATCCCACATCCAGCTGAAGCTCTCCCCTTCCCACCCTCTACTGCACTCAGGTCCGACCATGGCAGGAGCTCAGGCCTGGGTGGCTGTGGTTAGACTTGGGTCCCCTCCCCCCGAGGTGCTGCTTCCATGGCTGGGTGGGGATGAGGGGCAGGGTCTCTTCTTTGCTGGTGGTCAGCATACCTTCTGGTGCTACAGGTCTGGTGCCACATGCTCTTGTGGCGTTTATCTGCGGGTGTGTGGGGGTCCCACCCTCAGCTTCTGCCTTGTGAGCCCACAGCCTCTCCTGGCTCGGCCCACCCTGCACCCAGCCCTCTGGTTCAGGCCCCTTCTAAGTCCTCTTGGGTCACCTGAGCCCTGCAGCAGCTACCTGCTTCCAGGAACCACCTTCTGACCTCTCTGTCGCATGCTGCTGTGGACAGCCCTGGCCAGCCACCCTCTGGCGCTCCTTAGGACACAGGCATTTGTTTCAAGCTCCTGCACTTCCCCGATCCAGAGACTCACATCACAGTGCTCCCGGGCAGCTTCAGGCCTGCAGTTCTGCAGCTCCATGTCTGTGGCCCTTGACCCAGCCCTGCATATGGCTCCCCAGGAACCCCTGCTTGGTTTGGTAGAGGATGGAGAGGCACCAGGTGAGGGGAGGAGGCCACTGTGATGTCCTTACTAGACAGACCTGCTGGCCATGGAGACACTTCTTTTTGCTGATCATTCATCATCTCTTTAGCATGTTAGAGGGGGAAGGGAAGCACACTGGGGTTTCCTCTGCACTAGAGCAAATAGGTAAGAACAGAAGGGTTTGATTCCACACTGGGTTACAATACTTACACTAACTGAAGGCTTAGATCCCAGCCACTGTGGTATGGGTTTTACAAGAATGAAATTACTTAATTTTTGCCTAATCCTGTGGAGAAGGTGTAGTTATCCCAAATACAACCCAAAGGAAGTTAAATACATTGTGTTAGTTCACTCACTAGTTAGCGGTGGTGCTGAGATTTGAACCCAGGCAGTGTTAACCCCTCTCCCAGTCACTTCCCTAAAGTCTTCTCTCCCGTAGTACCCCTTTGATCTCCACTGCCATTGTGGGACACTTCTAGAGTCAAGTCTTGTGTGACTTCCTCTTTTGTGACTTTACTCCATTCATTCACTCACTGAAGGCTGGTGAGGGTTGATGGAGACAGGATAGCAGGGGATCTGCCCCACGTGCAGAAACACCAGGGTTCAAGTAACCACGATGTGGGCGATGAGGGGTGTGGTGGAAATAGCCTTGAAGTTAGAGGCAGATCAGACAGAGGAGTTTGGGCTTCACCCAGTGGGCAGAGGGACCACTAACGTGTTTGCATTAGGAAGAATGGCCAGATGGAGCCGTCCTTGAGGAATATTCATCTTCAGTGTGTGGAAATGGGACTCAAGAAGGGGAGGCAGGTGATGCAGGAGATTCCTTCAGAGTCCACTGTAAGAGTCTGGGGGAGAGAAGACAATGCCCCGAGCAGCAGTGGAGCAGGGGTGGTGGGAAGGGGCCAGCAGGAAGTCAGATAGAATCCCATGTGTGGGGAAAGGAGCAACAGTGGAGCAGGAACGGGGTAAAGGAGGGGCTGGGTTTGAGCCTTGGCAGAGCTGGAATCAGCTTGGCAGTCTTTGGCCTTGGGAGGAAGAAGAGACAGAGATGACAATGAGGTAGAAACCTTGGCACATAATGAAGCCATGACTGAAATGGAGAGGCAGGAGAGGCAGTGGTGCCCCGGAGAGCTCTTCATTGGGTGTTGTTAGGCCTAGAAACCAGCAGACTGGTACAGTCTCCTCAGGTTGTGGCAGCGAGGTGGCAGTGTGCTGCAGGTGTGGTGTCCACGTAGGAGAGAAGCTTGGAGGAGGTGTGTGTCTGATGGGGGCAGCTGGGGGCACACTCCTTGCTTCTCAGGGCTGTGCTGGCCTGGCCATGCCTCTTCCCTGCTGGGGGAGCGAGGTCAACCAGAGCTCTGGGGTCTGCCAGTCAGGGACACGGTTAAATTCAGGTGATACTGCAGCCTGCACAGATAAGGCAGCAGGGGCTAAAGGTAGGGGTGTGATCTAGAGGCATGACCAGATCCCTCCATCCCCAAACCTACTGTGCCCTTGCTGGGACCTTCGGGCCCTTGCTTGGACAGGAGCTGGGAGCCCGTCAAGCTCACGGTGTATCCATCTGCACATATTGAGCAGTTTGGCCGTGTCTTTGTAGTCCTGGGACAATGGTTGGCAGAAACCAAATACGGCTTTCAAGCTTGAAAATCCATGCTGCCACATAGAGACTGGCTGCAAGAAAGCAGTGAGCTTCTGGTTGCGTAGTTTTGGGGGATAAGAGAAGAAAAAAATCAAAACTCCTTTAGGAAAAGAATGTACTAAATCATGCCTGAGAGGTGGCAAGAATTGCTTTATACAAATTCAGCAAATGCCGAGGTTGGTCAGCTAAGGTACAGAGCTGACTTGGCTCTCCGGGAATAATTAGGCTTTCTCCTGAAGGGATCACCTGGGCTGCCTGCCCTGGAAAACTCCAAGAAGGTGGTGGACGAATGCACCTTGGGAAAAGGAAGTAAGGTTGCTGCCAGGCATCCCGATGAAAGGCGAGCTCAGCCCTTCCTCCCTCACAACTCTCGCGGTCTCATTCTCATTTTCCAGGCTTGGAGGGTTTGTGAACAAGTGAACCAAGACAATTCACTCACTGTCTTTCTGCAAAATGACTTGAGATTTCCGTTGCCGGGAGTACAGGCGCCGGCACCGCGGGCTTGCTCGGGGAAAAGCTGCATCGGGTGGCACATTTATGAATAAGTCACTAGCTGAATTGGATCGGATGCCTCTGCTAGTTCTCAGGGCACTGCTTCACTCTGCACTCCTCGTCCAGGGAAGCCCAAGGAGCGGTTTCTGTCCGTTAGCTCCTGGAACAGCGTTGGCTGTGCGGTAGAAAGCCCTTTGTGCTCCTTTTAGGGGGCAAAGCAAACCCACTCCAGGCAAGGGCAGGGGACAGCTTGGGATGTATGCAAACATTGCCTGGTGGTTTGGGAATCAGTAAGTTTTCTCTGATCTATTCCATTTCATTTGTTAAGAATGTTCAAACTTCAGTAAACTAGCACTGCTTTTTTTTTTGAAGGAGATATCCTTTTTCTATAATATTGAACAATGTAGTAACTCAGGGTTTTATCTGAAACTTGGAACAGGGGTTGCTCTGCTCAGCATGAGCATGGAGTATTTGCCGATAGTTAAGTGATCCTCACCGACAGGCTCTTTCTTCACTTGCTGGGAGTTGAGTAATAGCTGTGGGACTGGGCTCTCAAATGTTCCTCTTTGAATATTTACTTGATGTGTTGTGAGATATCAGTGTTCCCATATCTACAGGCCCTGGAGTTTAGTTTGGTGAGTGTTATGGATATGTTTTGTTATTATGTCTTAGAGAATCCTATCTAGAAAGCTAATCTTTTTATGTTGAGTTACTGAAAGCTTCCCCCACCCCCAGGTCAAAACTGTGAAATTCTATTGTGTAGGATTTCTTAGGCAGTTATGAATGCATTTGCTGCATAAATGAGCTTTTATTAGGCATTTTGAGGAGCCAGCTTCTACTCTACCCTCGCAGAGACAAGAGGCCTGCTTCTTTTTTTTTTAATCCAAAAGAGTAAGCGTGCTAATAATAATAGTAAAAAAATTTGTAATTACCACCAGTCATTGAGTGCTACCTGTGTCTCGGTGCCATACCAGAAACTTTACAGGGGTCATCTCATTTAATCCTCCCATTTACTCAGCTGATAAAAGCTGAAATCTCTCTCTGTTCAGCTCTTGGGGAAACTGAGGCCTACAGATTACAGGAGCTTATCTGGGGGAGATGCACAGCGTGGCCACGTCGTGGCTGGATTTGACCTGATGTTTTTCCAGCTCTAGAGCATGTAACCAGGATGTGGTGGATGGTGTACAGCTGTGGAGTGTCCTGGGGCAGACTTTCAACAGACAGTGCCTTTGTGTGCCCTGAAATGTGGCGTTTTGATGGGTAAAGTCGTTTCTCCCTGGCTTATTGCTCCAGTGTGATATTTATTGTTTTTATGCCACAATTCTGTGGGCTGCAGTGTGATTGTTTCATAGACACATATTTCAGCCCTTACTTATCTGGATCTTCTGTTGACTGTTTTTCTGGCTTTCCGTTTTGTTTGCAGGGGCCAAGACAGTGGGGAAAGCTTTGATGGGATTTTCCTCTGATAGCTCTTCTCCTCTATTAGAAGGAATTCTTGTCTTCACAGGAACATTGCCCTGAGCTTGGGAGGTGCTGAGCTCCAAGAAAAGGTATTACATGGATTCTTAATCTGGAGTCCCTGGTCATCAGGGTGGTTTGCAGAAATAATGTACAAGGAAGAGGCTTAGGAGTCTGAGACTCAGGGGCATGTGGCAGTTTAAAAAGAGCAGGGTCTCTGCACAAGTCTAAGGAAGTCATCAGAGCTGGGATCTTTTCTAGCTCCTGCTGGGCACACCCATAGCAGGTGCTCCTGGCTGGTGGCAAGCAGGCTGGAGTGCATCTTGCCTGGAAGAAGGTCCATGGCCTTCATCAGATACTCAAAGAAGTACCTGACCCTAAAGGTGTATTCAGGGATGCTTGAGACTAATCTGGGGTCTGTTCCAGCTCTGCCACCTACCTCATGTCATGCCGGGGCACGTCCTTCCATCTCCCTGTGACTCCAGTCTTCCTCTGTCTCCTGAGGCAGTTGAACACAGTCCCCATGCGTCCATCTGAGCCTCGTGGAACCTTGAGCACTGAAGGAAGTTCTTGGAGGCCCAACTCAGTTTGCAAATAAGGCTTGTCCAGACCCCACATCAGAGTAAAGGGGGCGTCTCTACAACTGTGTGCTGGAAACCTTCACTGAAGAGTATTCTCTAACCTCACCGCTCATCAGCCGGCACTGCAGGGCACCAGCGTTCTAGTATGTGTCAAGGAGTCCAAACATCCTAGCATCAGTCTGCCAGGAACCCCGGTGCTTGTTTTCAAGAAGTAATTAAGGCTGGAGGCGGTGCAAAGTGTGTAGGTGGTGTCCTAGGCTCAGAAAGACCTGGGCTAGAATTCCAGTCTTTTCCAGCTGTGTGATTGTGAGAAGGTTACTTAACTGGTTGGATACTCAGCCACCCTGTCTGTAAAATGGGGAGAATACACTTGCATATGAAGTTGCCAGGGGTATTGAACATACACAGTGTGGCATGGTGGCTGGATCATGGCATGTTTAGAAAATGAGGGCTTAAATCAGATTAGTGTTGGACTCAGGGATGTGGGAGCTGGTACAGGATGCGAGGATTCCTCATTCCCCTCTTTGGTAACCAGTTCTGCAGGCTGCGGTAGCACTCAGCTGTCTTCTGGGCATTTGTTTCTGGACATCTTTCTGACTTTTTATTATTGCTGAGAAAACTGGGCACTGACTTGGCAGCTGAATCCCAACTCACTCCCTCACTCACTCACTTACTCACTCACTTAGTCACTCACTTACTCACTCACTCACTCACTCACTCAACGCAGTGGTGACCGAATTCCTTCCCTGGGCCCAGCACTTCACTTACCAGTGATGAACAAGAAAGTCATGGTTCCTCTTCCCTTGGTAGAGGGAAGTCTACAACTGTGGCTGCAAATAAATAGCCAGACACAAACCAGACGCAGCTTATGTACCGCTTGTAAACAGGATGAAGCAAACATCCTATTGCTGAAGAATCTCATGGAGAGAGAATGGCAACTCCCTTCTGCCTGCAGCATAAACAGACTCTCTTAGCCAGGAGAGCCGGGTGTGCCTGGTTTCTCTCTGAAATTCCCTTTAAGCACATGCGGTTTGCCAGCAGCCAGCCAGAGTAGCCAACATGGTAAACAGGCACCCATGGTGTAGAGGTGCCATTCAGGTCAGCTGGCCTCAGCATCACTGTGGATTTCCCAGTCCACTTTTCTTGGACAGTAAGAAATTGTTATACCTTCAGGTCCACAGATGACATTTCCAACTGGAAAGATGGAAGATGTAAAGCATAGTGCTTTTGAACTCAGGGTCTGGGAAAGTACAGAGACGCATGAATTTTCCCTTTTCAGCATGCAGTCCCTGTCTACCTCAGCCTGACCAGCCTGGCTGGGCAGTGGCTGTCACCTATAGAGTTAGGTTTTAATTCAGCTACCTGGGCCTCACACCTGCGATTTGCATTCACTGCACCATGTCACCTAAGACCCTCTGACTTTCAGTGAGTGGATTTCAAGCCTTCTGCTGAATGTTGAAGAGCTCTCAGAATAAAAACCCAGCTGGGAGCTTCCAGCTGATGTGGGAATTAACAAGCGTCATCCTGAAACTTAGTAAATGTGTGATGGTTTTAAGCTAAAATCATTTAGAGCTATGGTTGATGACCTTGGAAATGGCAGAAATGTTTTCATATATATACTTTTTCATTTTATAAACAGTTCCTGCCAGGGCACACCCAGGTTTTTCAACCTGAATAGATCAAAGGAAGCTTGAGTTGTGTGTGCTGTGATTCATTCCCTGCTGAGTCCCAAGGACCTGCCCTGCCTCCTACTGGAGGGGGTGAGAGGAAGGAAAGCTGGATTACCCAGCCTGTGTGCACTGCCAGCCGGGAGCACCTGCGATGGGTGTGCCCAGCAGGAGCCGGGCAAGGTCCCAGGTCTGATGGCCTCTTTAGACTTGTGCAGAAGGCCTACTCTTTTTAAACTGCCACATGCATCTGAGTCTCAGACTCAACCACATGACATCTGCACAGATGTTTGAGAAAGGCATCCCCTGCTTGGTAAGCTAATGACTTTTCACAACCGAGTACAGATGTGGAGTCCCCACGTAAATAGCAGCCATTCTTTCCCAGGCTGAGCCACTCACAGGCAGAGGAAGCCAGGCGTTTTCTGTTTTGTGCTGTGACTGTGTTAGCTGCAGGATGGTGCCTGCGTTTAACAGAAGCCACACTGAAAGCACGAAACAGACAATGGGGAACAAGCCTGGTCTAAACCTGTGCAGGCCATCCACGTGCACAGGCCATCCACACACACAGTCCACCCACACACACAGTCCACCCACACTCACAGCCTGCCCACATGCACGGGCCGCCCCCGCATGCACGGGCCGCCCACACGCACAGGTCACCCACATGCAGGCGGATCACCTGAGGTCAGGAGTAGCCTGACCAACATGGTGTAACCCCATCTCTACTAAAAATACCAAATTAGCCGGGTATGGTGGCAAATTTGGTAGCCGGGTATGCCTGTAATCCCAGCTACTTGGGAGGCTGAGGCAGGAGAATCACTTGAACCTGGGAGGCAGAGGTTACAGTGAGCCAAGATTGCGCCATTGCCGTCCATCTCAAAAAAAGAAAAAATAATAATAAAATAAAAAACCCAGACACCGTGGTGTGCTGTCTGTCAGTTGTCCCTAGCCCGGGCATGCTGTTTTAGCGTCTTCTCCTGTGATGTGCAGTACAGCATTTTTTTTTTTCCTTTTTCTCTTTGGGGACTTCTCCTCCTGCCCCAGGCTTTGTCTCTTTTTCTCATATATGAAATTTCTGCTCATCTTTAAGACTGTTCAAGGCCACCTCGGCTAGGGTGTTAGGGTGGATACTCCACTAATGAGGTCCACACAGGTTTTTTCTCCCTCAGAAAGCTTGGCTCGTTTGGAACATTTATTCTGCAATCTCTTTTTCATTCCTATCTCAGGCTTTTATAAGTACGCAGTGTTTCTTGTAAGCAGGAACTATGTATAATTTTCAGCAGTGTCAATATCATCATCATCAATAAGCATTTTTAAGTACGGTCATACATAGCTTAATGATAGGGGCGCACTCTGAGAAATGTATCCTTAAGGGACTTCATCCTTGGGTGAACATCACAGAATGTACCCAACACATACCTACATGGTAGAGCCTACTACACACCTAGCTGTATGCTGTAGCCTATTGTTCCTGGGCTGCAAACCTGTGCGGCATGTTACTGTGCTGAACACTGTAGGCAAGTGTAACACAATAGTAAGCATTTGTATGTCTCAACATATCTAACCATAGGAAAGGTATTACAGTCTTAGGGGACTACCTTTATATATGTGGTCTGTCAGTGACTGAAGCATTATGTGGTAGATGTCTGCACCCACAAATATGAACTACATTATGCTACATATTGAGAATACAAATGTCCTTGCTGCCTTCTAGAATTGTTAAATAATAATTGAATTGGTATTCAGATTTAATTGGTCCATGATAGGACCTGGGCATATTTTAAGCTCCCCAAGTGCTTCCAGCCACAGTGCAGCCAACGTAGATATCACTGATCTCAGCTATGTGTGTGCCCAGGCCTGGAGCACCCAGAAATGGGTTCTCTGACGACATAGTTTTGAGCCATGTCTTTGAGAGCAGAACAAGTGAGGCAGAGAGTACAGTGAGGCCAAGGCAGTTGGGGGACTGGTTGGTTTCCTGGAAACTGGAGCTGTAGGCCAATTGCCAGAAGAGTGGAGGATATTGAAGAATGGTTCAGGTCTAGGGCTGGTGGAGATCTTCAGACTCTCTGGAAGTTTGGATGTGAGTTTATAGCCCTACAGGGCACAGATGTGTGACGTCACTGAGCCAACAGGTCCAGTGGTCAATAGGTCCAGATGGAAACACACAGCCGTTTTTTACTGTGAAGATGTCCAGGCATCATCAAACCTTTTTTCCCCAAAAGCAGCCCAAAATTCATTTTGTTAGTGTGACATATTACAATTTTTTAAATGTTGGCTAACTTTAATGTGTACACGTGCACACGCAGGCACACACACATGCATGTACACACTAATGCTCACAGCACTCTGCTGGGCAAACAAACCTCCCTGCCGCCCTTGCAGCCTGCTGGTTGCAGCTTAGGCCACAGCCAGTGGGCCCTGCCAGGCGTGTAAGCAGTGCGTGCCCCGAGCAAAGTCAGGCCTGAGAAGACAACAGCCCTCGCAGGCTGCTCCTAGTCACACTGTGGAGGGAAGGGTGGAGTACACACCGTATGTGATTCACGTGACTCCACCTTTGTGTGTGCTGTAGAGATGAGGGCTTGGACCAGGGTGTTGACACTGGACGTGGGGAGGGAGGGTGGATAAAATTCTATTACAAGGGTGCCTCTGGGTAGCTGGGGACAGATTATTTGTTGGGGATAAGTGTGGGGCAGTCAAAACCTCTCCCGACTCTCTCCAGCCTCTCACTCCCATTGTGGTGCCGGCTAAATGAATAAATGCTGCTTCCTATTTGAACTGGTGAGTTCTAAAGGAGTCCAAGCCAGCTAAATTGGAAAAGATACTCTTTTCCTAAAAATGAAAAACACTTTTTTTTTTTTCCCCTGAAAACACCTTTGGGAGGTAATGCTAATGTCTCCGAGCCTGGGCCTCTACCCCTAGACCAAAGGGTGGTTAATGAAAGAATCCATAAGCTGTTTCTCTCTGTCTTGATTTTTTCCATCTCTGAAATGGTATGGAATCTGTTCTTTCTAATAATGACTGAATAACATAGTGGTTAAAATTTCAGGCTTTGAAACCAAATTGTCTTCAGTTTGTCAGTTTTACCTCTCTGTGACATTGGGAAGGTGTGCTCACACTTTCAGCTATAAAATAGGAATATCAGTAATACCTCCTTAAAGTGGTATACTGAGGAATTGAATAAATATTTAGTCCTTACAATGGTGCCATATATGTTGACTATTTTATTTTTATTTCTATAAATTGAAAGAAGTATATAATGGATAAAGATATAACAAAAATTATAAATATTGTAAGTATAAGCCTTTTAATAAGAAAAAGAGAATTTATACCTACTTATAGCAGAGGATGAGATCTGAATGTTATTTTATTATTATTATTATTATTTTTGAGACGGAGTTTCACTCTTGTTGCCCAGGCTGGGGTGCAGTGGTGCGATCTCGGCTCACTGCAACCTCTGCTTCCCAGGTTCAAGTGATTCTCCTGCCTGAGGCTCCCAACTGGCTGGGATTACAGGCATCTGCCACCACGCCTGGCTAATTTTTTGTATTTTTAGTAGAGACAGAATTTCACCGTGTTGACCAGGCTGGACTTGAGCTCCTGAGTCAGGCAGTCTGGCTGCCTTGGCCTCCCATAAATGCTGGGATTACAGGCATGAGCCACCACACCTGGCCCCTGAATGTTATTTTAATGACGTGAATGTGCGTAACTTTACATTAACCAGTGACATGAATGTCAGTAAGTTTACAGCCTCATCTAATCACTTTTGCTGTCGTTTTAAATGACCTCTTTCATTTTATAAGTAATACATATACAAGTGATAACTATGGAACAATTAGGAAATGTGTAGAAATAAAAATAGCAAAACATATGTCATACTACCCATCACCCAAGGTCATTTTTGCCAATTCTTTATCTTTCTAAACTGCTATATGATCCATTGCTATAATTAATGTAGACCTCTCTTTAAAAATAGAATTTTCCTAAACAAATAATATTCTGAAACTTGTTATTTTAAAAAGCCTGTATTGAGCATTTTTGCACATAAAACAATATACTTTTAGGATATGTTTGCCTAGTTCTGGTATAACATAATTTATTGACATTGTCTTTCATTGATGCATGATTAGATTATTTGTTTGATGTGTTAATTTATTAATGTATGGTTGGGTTATTTGTTTGCCATTAGAATTTATGTCGTGATGACCATCTTTGAGCCTCCCACAATGCTGTCTTGTGGGATTGTTTAGAGTAAATTTCTAGGAAAGGAATTCCTGTGTCTCTGATCCCTCATGCCAAATGCCTTTGGAAGACCACTCTGAGCAGAGGTGAAGGTGTGCTGAGGCTCTCACTGCCTCTCTGTGGACCCTCTAACTAGGGTATGGCCAGAGCGGGAGGGAGGCAGCGGGAGCAAACCCTCTGGAGTCAGCCAGGTCTGAGTTCCATGTCTGTGCAGGCACCGGATAATTGTATGCCTTTAGGTGAGCCACAGATCTCTCAATAAGGTAAACTTGGTAAGGTTATTATTAGCATAGGTCCTAGTGGATGTTAAGTATCGAGTAAGTACTCGACCTGCTACCACGACAATAAAATACCAGGGCCTATATAAAGTAAGGTTCTTAAATCAAAATATGTACATACATATATATACACACATATATATGTATTCTATGTATAAAATAAGGTACCTGTATAAAACAAGGCCAGTTGCTTTCCCTGGCTAATCTGGCGGAAACAAGAATTTCTAAAAATGTTCATCAGAACCAGGGCCTACTTGAGGGCGGAAGGTGGGAGGAGGGTGAGGATTGAAAAACCGCCTGTTGGGTACTGTGCTCACTACCTGGGTGATGGAATAATCTGTACACCTAACCCTGGTGACACGCAATTTACCTGCACGTGGACCCCTGAACCTAAAATAAATGTTAAAAGAAAATGTTCCTCAGTGTGGGTGACTCATCAGGTGTTTAGAAATACCCCACGAGGTGAATTGAGCATTTGAAGCACAGTCTGAAATAAGGTGAAAACAAAGGCAAAGGGGGTTATGCGTTAGTAATCCCTTTACCATCACCCGCATCCTTTCCCTGCCAAACAGCCGCATCTGTCCACGGTGGCCGTGTGGACAGGTGGTGGTGTGATCGACTTTCTGGCTAATTTAGCACAACACATCCTCGAGATCATGGATCCATGGACTCCAGATCCTCAGAACTGGCCATAGATTTGGAGCTGGGGCAAGATTTAATAAAGTGTCACATGTGTTAGTGAGCCCACCTGATTCATTGTGATCATTAATTCGTGTGATGTGTCATCCCTGTGACAATTCAGAAAGGGTCGGGCGAAACCCTGCTGCACCCACCCTCCCCTTGACCAGATCCTGTGAATACAGGCTTGTGTACCTCCCTGACAGCAAGCATGTTTTTAAGGTGTTTCTTTCCGGGAATGCTTCCTTTTAATAACCCTTTCTCTATTTTGTTTACTTTATTAGTTTTTACTTGTTTGGGGGACATTGATTTTAAAAAGGCCGTGGCACTTGGAAGGTGCTCCTGAAGACAGACCTGAGTATGTGTAAGAACGAATTATTCCGAGGCAGGTAGGAACATTGCCACTGACTCTGTGCCTTTGTGTTGTTGTTTTTAAGGAGGAAGATGAAGGCTCGTGCTCCCCCACCTCCTGGAAAGGCTGCCACTCTGCATGTGCACAGTGACCAGAAGCCCCCCCACGATGGGGCCCTCGGGTCGCAGCAGAACTTGGTTCGCATGAAGGAGGCGCTGAGGGCCAGCACCATGGACGTCACCGTGGTCCTGCCTAGTGGGCTGGAGAAGAGGAGCGTGCTCAATGGGAGGTGAGAGCCGGTGCTGCAGGAGGAGTCGCTGTACTCACTTTGCGAGTATAGCGGGGAGAATGGAAAGGCGGATGTTGATGTATTGCATTTTCCTCCTCATCAGGTCTGACCTCAGGAACCTCATGGATATAAATCGGGCTTAGTGACTACTTAGAGCAGGCTGAACTGTCTGTCTTACCTGGGGTGGGCTTATGCTAATTGATCCAGCCATGATGGCTCACCAGATGCTTAGGAGAGCTGGGGCTCCAGGGCTGCCTCCTATGAGGAGGCAGGCTCAGAAACGAGGGCAGGTACAGCGGTGACCTACACCCCTGGGTGGGACAGCAGCCACAGTGTGCCTCAGGTATCCTCAGCTCTGAAGGGACGCAGCCAGGAGGGCAGCCTCCTAAATTAACCATTCCCACACCTACTTGCAGCAATATGTGGAGGTGTGTGTACAACTGGCAATCAACTTTCTAAAGTGAAAATATTTCAGGTTTAGATGAAGGAATAAACCAACCCAATCATGGATTTCCAATTTAAGGGCTTGAATTTGAGACCCTCAGTTCCCACATGCACTCTTCTCAGGACTGATCTGCCCGTGGCTGAGTGTCTCACTGCACTTCACTCACAAAAGGTGCGGCTGAAACATTGGCAAAGTCTCCTTCATCATAGCATTTTGAGTTTGTGACCAATAGATTTGCACATTTTATGTTTGACAGTGATCAAAATAATCATGATTTTATTGTTTAAATAGTTTTGTGCTATTCTTACTGATACTTTTAGTGATAACCCAATGTATAATAAAAAAACTAACAAAGTCACAGAAAAAAGTTAACTATAATTTATACGTTTTACTGAAGAGAAGTATGATAGAATGATTAATTACAAAAACTTTCAAGCATTCATACATATTTGTATGATTCTGATGCAGCAGTGAATTGAAGCAGCATTTATAAGAAAACAAGGAGAATAAGAAATGATATAAAATGGGCTGGGCACGGTGGCCTGTAGTCCCATCACTTTGGGAGGCTGAGGCAGGCGAATCACTTGAGGTCAGAAGTATGAGACCAGCCTGGCCAAAATGGTGAAACCCCATTTCTACTAAAAATGCAAAATAATTAGCCAGGCATAGAGGTGCATGCCTGTAGTCCCAGCTACTTGGGAGGCTGAGGCAGGATAATTGCTTGAACCCAGGAGACAGAGGTTGCAGTGAACCGAGATTGTGCCATTGCACTCCAGCCTGGGCAACGAGTGAAACTTCATCTCCAGAAAAAAAGAAATGATATAAAATGTTTTATTCTTATGAAGCAGTTTGCTTGAGTAATTTTAATGGATAACGGTGAAAATTAAATCACTCTGGGTGTTTTTATTCTCACAGATGCCTTTTAAAAAGTGATGTAAGCATTTTATTTTAAAATACCAGTATTTAGATTATAGTTGAAATTACCTAATCCTTTGCAACTATTTTGTTACTTTATCAAATTAACCAGTTTATAATCAAAATTCCAGGTGACAGTCTAATTGGCAAAGGGGTGCATACATTTTTCAAAAGTATTTTATGAGATAAGTGAATAAAAATTTGGGGAGCATTGCTCGAGGCCTCGGAATATACCTAGGATTGGAACTGTTGAGTCATGGGATACAGTATTTCAGCTGCACCAGGTGAGGCCAGCCTGCTCTCCAGTGTGGTGCCACTGGGCTAGAATGGGAGGTTGCTCCTCAGTGGGGGCCCTGTGGCTGTGATCATAGCAGGAGGGCTCAGGCGCAATTAACTGTCTACAGTGGATCAAGGTGGGAGGTGCCTGGGCTCAAAGCCTGGTCCACCGGAAGCCACTATCTCTTGCGGCAGTTCGATAGGCTTTCCCCCCAGGGTTCATGCACAGTGGAGAGACAGGAGTTTCTGTGAGTTTCTTTGTTTTATAAAGTAGTCATAGGCCAAAGTACACTTTTCCTATATAACTTTGTAACGTAAGAAATTAGTCGCATTATTATAGTTTTAAAAAACACTTTAGTATATGCATGAAATTTTCTCAGTGGGTATATTAGGGTTTACTCGCCATTCTTATATTTTAGCCCAATTCCTAGGTACATATTTTGTTTAGAAAATGGCATTGTGGGCCAGGCATGGTGGCTCACGCCTGTAATCCCAGCACTTTGGGAGGCTGAGGTAGGTGGATCACCTGATGTCAGGAGTTTGAGACCAGCCTGGCCAACATGGTGAAACCCCGTCTCTAATAAAAATACAAAAAATTAGCCAGGCGTGGTGGCGCATGCCTGTAATCCCAGCTACTCGGGAGGCTGAGGTAGGAGAATCACTTGAACCCGGGAGATGGAGACTGTGGTGAGCCGAGATCACGCCATTGCATTACAGCCTGGGCAACAAGAGAGAAACTCCATCTCAAAAAAAAAAAAAAAAAAGAAAAAGAAAAGAAAATGGCATTGTGGATCATGTCTTAATTCTGCAGTCCATGGATCCAGTTTTACAAATGCACAAGGAAAGAATAGAATGCGCATTCTAAAAGTAAAAATATTATTTTAAAAGAATGCTTTCATTTCTTTTATTTCCCTTATAAAGTAGAGGTTGCCACCATGAAGTTTTGTAATGTAGTGACTGAGAATAGGTGCAGCCTTAGAGATGGAGTGTTAAAATAATGTTATCTTTCTTAAGTAGTGAATTATTATCCCTTCTCATGGTTTCCTGAAGCATCAGTGAGTTATAGCAGCAGCTGTGAGCTGCCTCCAGTGGGTCTTTGGTGGGATAACTATTGCGGATGCAGTAGCTCCTTGCTTTGGGAATTGGTTTTATGTTATGCTCTTTATTAATATAAGAGTGGGCTGCAGTTAAATTCCTGACCCTTGCTTAAAATAGATCTACTTGTTTTTTGTCATTGTGGTTTCTCTTCTGTCTTAAAAAGTGGGTTTAGTAAAGAACATGCAACCTTTTCATAGGGTAAGCAAGGAGTTTGTAATTTATAGTCAGCCCCTTAACTGTGTTATTTCCTGACATGAAGGATTCCACAAAGGAAACACATTAGTAATTGGATGCTGATAATCCCATATGGAAAATCAGTGAATTTTTTTTTTTTAGCTTCCCTTGAATTAAGAAACATAAATAAAAGTTGAAGTCTGTTCTTACAGATTAAGACATGAGAATTGGTGCTCTGAGCCGTTCATAGGGGAAATGTTCTGGCCTACCTTAAGGATGGTATTACCAGCACCCCACACAGCTGCTGGACAGAGGCCACAATCCCATCATTTTAATTGAGGCACAAGAACAGAAGATCTTTTGGTCAGGTGCAGTGGCTCATGCCTGTAATCCCAGCACTTTGAGAGGCTGAGGTGGGCGGATCACCTGAGGTCAGGAGTTTGAGACCAGCCTGGCCAACCTGTCTCTACTAAAAGTAAAGAAAATTAGCTGGGTGTGGTGGTGCTTCCCTGTAACCCCAGCTACTCGGAAAGTTGAGGCAGGAGAATCACTTGAACCTGGGAGGCAGAGGTTACAATGAGCTGAGATTGTGCCTGTGCACTCCGGCCTGGGCAACAGAGTTGAGACTCCGTCAAAAAAAAGAAAAGATCTTCAAAGAGCCCTTTACAAAAGGGTGTCAGGTATTTAGTGTGCTAGGCTGTGTCATTATGATATGGTCAGTGCCTTGTGTCCAAACTGGTGTTCAAGGCCAAGGGCTAGGGCAGAAGAAGGCAAGCCTTCCTTTTGCAGAAGAGAGGAAATCTGCCTCATATTCAGTCCTGTGATTCTGCCTTTACAGGCCATTGCATCCCCTTTACAACAGACAAGCTTAGACCTGTGCAGGGAGTTTTAGGTCCCTGTCTGTGTGAAACAGCACAGGACTCTTGCAGCAGCAGGTGTTGGGTCTCCATGTTCCTTCTGTAGAGGGCTCACCTGTTCTCAGGTGCAAGGGAAGGGAGGCTGGGAGGGACCCTCATCCCTCTCTGTCCTGTGAAGGTATTGATGGAGCACATGTACAGCCTCTGAAAGGTCATGGCCTTGGCCTTGCACTCTTGGATGTGAGGTCCTGGCCCCAGAGGCTGAAGGAAGTAACTTTCGAGAGGACAGCTTTGCTGCCATGCACTGTTGAGTAGGCCCCAAGAAGGCTGTTCCAAAAGTCACAAGGTTAAAAGTCAGGTGCACCTTGGTGTGATTATGCTTCTATTCGAAGACTACCCATTACAATAGAGTAAATTCCTGTGAGCCAGAGCCCACTTTGGTAACCTGAGCTAGAAGTGAGTCTTGGTATGTTCAGTGGGTATGATCATCTGGATCTTCACTCATCATTTCTAATGCCCGCCTTCCCAACCTCCCTGTGATGTTTCTGCCTCATTAAGGCTTTATTTGTGTGGGCTTAATCCAAACAAAGCTGAAAAAAACAAAAACATGCCAAAAAGCCCACTGTGATTTGCAGAATGCTATCAACATCCGATTTCTAATATGTTTTCTTTACGAAAATCTTTTTTGTGGGGAAGTGACAAGGTTAAGGAGCTGGCTATAAACTATGAACTGCTTATCTTCACAAAAGGTGGACACATTCTTCCTAAACGTTCACAGAAGGTGCTGTTGGTGTTTTTGACATTGGTGTTATACCAGTTATACGTAAGGGAGGTCTCATGGTGTGAGATCTTGATGGATTAAAGCATGTGATCATGCTTATTTATTCATGGGTCAAAATATATACTGAGTTTATTGCTAACTTTCGTGAGGCACTGTGAAGAAGACTCCTCAGCAAGTAGAAAAAAAAAATAACACTTGCAAAATGCCGGTTTATGTGAGAAGCAGGGCATTCAATATTGCTTGAAGCTAGGCTGAGAAGCAGGAGGTATGTTGGCCTGGACACTGGTATGGCCTGTACTGAAGAGTATCCTGTAGGCCTCCCTGCAGCTCCACCGATCTCAAACAAGACTGCGTGTGCCACTGGGAACAGTGCTAGGCAAGCAATGAGGAAGCTGTTGCATCGCAGTATTAATTTTCTTCAAACACAGGAAAAATAGTTTTATATGAAAAGTAGCATACAAAATTGACATGCATTTTTAAGCCCAACACTAACAGATGATTTTAAGGGTAACTGGGCTATGTCAGGGGCCCCCAGGGTACATGTTGATTGATCTGCTGAGTGAGAATCACATAGAAAACAACTAACTTGCTTATAATCTGGACACAGAAGGCTCTAGATTATGAAGTAAGGTGACCTCCAAGATGTAGGCCAAAAAATGAGGAGATCAGAATTAAGAAAGGTCACAGTTACTGTGGTCAGCAAAGGGATTCCTTCAAGGCTGAAGCCAACCAGAATGCACTCCATGTCTGAGATCGCCTGTTCACACCTGTCCAGGTAACACATCCCATCTGGACAGGGTAACTGGTGGTTTTCCCAGGTTCCCAGACTCTGCACATCACCTCTCTCCATGTCAAAGGACACAACCAGCATTGTCTTTATTTATTTATTTATTTATTTATTTATTTATTTATTTATTTATTTTTAATAGATGAAGTCTTGCTCTGTTGCCCAGGCTACAGTGCAGTGGCGGCACAATCTCGGCTCACTGCAACCTCTGCCTCCGAGGTTCAAGTGATTCTCTTGCCTCAGCCTCCCGAGTAGCTGGGATTGCAGATGCGTGCCACCACGTCCAGCTAATATTTGCATTTTTAGTAGAGACGGGGTTTCACCATGTTGGCCAGGCTGGTCTGGAACTCCTGACCTCAAGTGATCTGCCTGCCTCGGCCTCCCAAAGTGCTGGGATTACAGGCGTGAGCCACCGTGCCCACAGCCAGCATTGTCTTTTAACAGTTTTGAAATGCGGATGCCTTTATAGAAGGCATTCCCTTTCCAGTTAGCAGCAACCCCCGCCCCCACTAAATTCACATCATGAGAGCCCTCACAGACTGGTAGCAGCTGCTTGGCCCCAGGAGGTGTGTGGGTTTGTGAGGGCTTGGCCAACTCTCTGAGGTCTGACACCGTCCTCCTCACTGTGGCTCTGTTGTTAGTCATGGGTTCTGTTTCCGGCGATGTGGCTTCTGATTTGCATCTGCGAGGTAGGCCCCTACTCACCTCAGTTGACAGGCCCGGGACCCAGGCCTCTCAGAAACTGCATCCTTACAGAGACCTCAGCCTCACACCTAGACTTCCCTGGTTCTGGGCTTCCTCAGGTCACCTGTCTCCACACTGACCCTTTTTGTGTTCTGCTGATGTGTCCCTTTGTGTAGGGCCCCGTCAGCACGAACTGCCTGTAGTGCAGTGGGCCACAAGCTTTTTGGCATCAGGGACTGGTTTTGTGGAAGACAGTTTTTCCACAGACCAGGCTGGGGATGGCTTCGGGATGATTCAAGCGCATTATGTGTATCACTAGGTTCTCATAAGGAGCACATACGCAGTTCACAATAGGGTTGACTCTCCTATGAGAATCGAATGCCACTGCGGTTGGACGGGAGATGGAGCTCAGGGGGAAATGCTTACTTGTTCACTGCTCACCTGCTGTGCGACCTGGCTTCTAACACACCGTTGACTGGTCCTCGTCTGTGGCAGGCGGTTGGGGACCGCTGCTGTAGAGGACCCATATTAAGCTGTCAGACTGGACTCTCTCCCAGGGCTTGACTCTGTTATGCCAGAGTCTGCCTCATCCAGAGCTTAGGGCCACAGAGTGGCCTTGGTCCCACACAAGAAACTAGGCCACTCTGGACCAGTTTAAGATTTGACAGTTCATGCAAATTAAATTTGTTTTAACATTGTGTTGGGAAGTAGCTACAGCTACTTTAAAGTGATTTGTAAACTTGGCACTGAGTTACCTATTTACTTAACACATACATACTAAGTGTGCACGTCCTGGGTACTTAGAGTCTAGCAATTCTCAAAGTGGGGTTCCAGACCAGCAACAATGGCCTCACTTGAGAACTTGTTAGAAATGCAAATTCCCAGCCCTTCCCCAGACCTGAGTAGAAATGCTGGGGAGGAGCCCAGCAATCTGTATTTCAGCAAGCCCTGAAGGTTCAGATTGCGTGTTAAAGTTTGCAATCCCTTGCTATGGTGCATGCCACTAGCTCTGCTAGATGTCAGGGATACTCGATGAGTACGCAGTCCTAAGAATGAGCCCAAGGTCTCACTGGTGGGGTGGCATGAACAGGGGGACTGTAGGAATGATTTGTGTCAGCGGCTCAAGAACGGCCCTTGGCAGCCTCATCACAGAGTATTTTTCAGTCCATTTCCACACTGAATGGGGTCTGAGGATCTGGTAGGACAGCTGGCTTGTAATGTAGATCGAAGTCCCCTCAATTAGAGAAGGGTAATTCATTAATTGGCCAGGGTCTGATGGAAATGGAAGTAGGACTTGGCTTCTCTGACATTGTGTGTTCCCCAAGCAGTCTTTTGCTGTTGCCTACTTTCTGAGGGGCAGTGGCCCCTCTGCACTAGGACGGGTATTGGCACAGGCTCTCCGTTTCTTGTCTAGGGCTCTGCTAAGATTTCAAAAAGAACCACCTACAAAAGAAAACCAGTTTTTTTCTAATTGAAGTCACTGACTCAAAAAAATTTTTTGAAGTCTGTACACATTTGGAAAATATTATTTTTAAAGAAGTATAATAATTCTATTAAGTTTAAAATCAGAGACCACAACAAATACAAAAAAAATAACATTTACCTCTATCTTATGAGCACTTAAAAGGCATTTGGGGTAACAGAGGTAAAGACGTTAGAGGTAAAAATGATGTCGCGGAGGAAGGGGAGAGAAACCTGAAAGGCCTGCTCTCATAACCCCCTCCACCCCTGCTCTCTTGATTTTAAGGTAATCATTCCATTTTGTTACTGTCTTTTATCCTTCCATTGAACCTGAGATTTAACCTGAATGTAGATAGATGATGAGAGAGAGAGAGGAGAGGCAGAGAGAGAAGGAGAGAGATGAGATTTTTCTTGATGTCTGTGTAGTCAATGAAAATGGCGATCCTATGGGATCATCCCTGAGGCCAGGGAGAGCCCTAGACCTAGTCACTTTCCTAACATACCTGACTCTTTGTTTGACATTCTGAGAGGGTCTGATTGTCTTAGTTTTATTCTTTGTACAATTGGAGAAACTCTATTCTGCATTGCTTCAAAGATGTTGCTTTGAAAGGGTCTAATATCTTGGT
This sequence comes from Homo sapiens, assembly GCF_000001405.40. NCBI lineage: Eukaryota > Metazoa > Chordata > Mammalia > Primates > Hominidae > Homo > Homo sapiens. Next base: position 51,211,636 of record NC_000007.14, on the reverse strand, counting down.
ATTTGCTGAGAGCAGGATGGTGTTTGGCAACATACAGATAGGTGATCCTCTGCCCTGAGCTAGGCGAATGCCTTACTATGTAGAATCCAAAATAGAAAAGGTGGGAGCAAATTAACTCATTTATTTAGCAAGTACTGACCTTGTGCCTACCACATGCCTGGCACTGTGCTCGGTGCCTTAAAAATGTTACTTCACGTAAAACTCTATCCACCCTGTGAGGTGGGCACTGTCATTCTGCTCTCACCAGTAATAAAGCTGAGGCACAGAGGATGCAGTCAGCCCCACCCAGGTCAGAGAGGCAGTGAGCAGTGGTACCAGGATTCCATCCCAGGCAGGCTGTTCTGAGCGCCATCACTGCACCCAGTGCTGATGTGGGAAATCACGCCCAATCCCTAATCAATGGGCAAAGCTGCAGATCAGGATGGGGCTGCTCCATCAGAGGTGGTGAGGAGGAGAGGTCAGACCCAGGAGGTGGTGAGAATGTGTGAGTGGCCAGGCAGCCTCTTCCACTTGCCCATGGCCCAGTGGCACAGTGACCTACTGAGGTCTTGTGGAGGGATGCACTTGTAACACCCAATTAGAGAATCATTAATCCTTTGTCCTCAGGAGATGAGAGGCAGGTTGGGATCTGATGAGCGTGTAAGGAAAACCCACAGAGAGTAGGCAGCAGCTGTGCCTCTCTGTCCATTGTTGGGCACTGCCATTGTCCCAAGGGTGGCCTCTCTGGGTGAATTCTCCAGTAGCATCAAAGGAGGCTAGAAAGAACTGGCTGTTTGGAGTTTGGCATTTGAAAATGTCAGCCAGTAGCAACTTAAAGGGCGTGGTGCAAAGTAGCAGAAACGGCATTCCCTCACACCTTGCTGTGCAAAGACGTGCTCCAGAAAAGTGTGTAGTGGAAAAGTAGTCAATCGAGCTGAATTTTACATGAGACTGGGAAGGGTCACACCAAGTTTCAAACCCTGCAGGAAACATCATAAGACGAGTTCCTGCTTTTGGACCCATGTCCTCACAGGGTTGAGCTTGTGTGTGTCCAGGTTCTTTAATGCCACCAAGTCAGGTCTTCCTTAGAAAGCTGTGTTTACCTGACACAAATAGAGGCAGCCCCAGAGAGAGCAAAGCAAGAGCCAAAGCTGGAGCTCCTGGCAGCCCCCAAACCTCCCACTTTCATGTGGAAGCCCCGCTGTCCTGGGTGCGGGTTCCAGCCCTGGGAAGGGATGGTGTCTGAGGTTTCCTCCAGGTTGAGAGGGTAACTGTGCCCTGCAAGTAACTTAAGCATGTCTGATAACTCATGTCTGTGGGGACTGGGTTTTAGTATCATGTCCTTATAGGGTTTGGGGGTGGAGTTTTGCCTCCCCCCAATTTAAATTTGGGCAGGTGGGTTGTTGATGATCTACTCCCACCCTCGACTGCTGAAGATATCATGGCAGCTTTCACATGAGGAGCACTTGCTGGGCAGAGCTGCCTTCACAGGGTGGGGCAGGGGTGTAAAGGCCCACATTGTGGAGTATTGACCAGCAGATTGTGGAGATCCATTTGGCACACAAGGTGGAGATTTGGGCACTCAATTATTTATTTGGCTGCAATTAATATACTCCTCTGTGAGCACACTGCATACTGGCTTCTGCCGTGGCCAGGTGGGATCATTCTCTGTGCTGGGGAAAAGCTGTGGAGCCCCGGGCTGTCCACTCCCTTTCACCTCTCTAGATGCTCCAAACCTGTCACCAGTTATTGGACTAAAAGAACAGAGGATCACAGTAGTTGCATTCGTGTAATTTTTGTGTTTGACAACTGATTTGTATCTGTTTACTGGGTAGAGACAGCCTCTTGGTGGGGATTAGAGGGAAAGCAAGTCAGGTCAGACAAGAGTGGACCCCAGCTCCCTTGCCTCATGGAAATCCAGGGACCCACTCCCCATCCTCAGACCGCAGGAGGACTGGAGGACACCATGGGCAGTGCATGGTGTGGCCACAGGCTCATCACAGATACACAGGATGTGGTCAGGAGCCTGTGGTGTTCGCATTTTTAAGAAGTCTGTTCGCTATGCTGAGGGTTCTCTGTGGACTGTCGTGTCTGCATGTGCATAGTGATGTTCTCCCTGTTTTGTTTCCTGGAGCTCTTCATTGAGTTGAAGGTTTTTACCCAGTATCTGAAAGAATCAGAACTCATGGTAGTTATTAACCTGCACGCCCCGCTGTGGGGTTCTGGAGGGTTGGGGCTGCCCAGGCCGCACCAGGTGCTCCCACTGCCACCAGCACCCACTTCCCAGGGGTGTCTAGTATCTTCCTTACTGGCACCTGCTCTTCCTTAATCACTTCCTGGAGAGTGGATGAGGGTAAATATTGTCATGGAGATAGCTTTGAGCGTTGTTTGTATCAATGAGAACATTATTGATGCTCTTTTCTTGTAGCATTGGCATGAGAAAGAGGGCACTTTAGGGATTCTTGTAGGATTGGGTTTGCCTGTGGGTTTATGGTTCAGTGTTAGGGCCCTGCAGCTCATGCTCAGGGTCACGGAGGAATGAACGAGTGCCTCTGGCTGATCAGGCACCTAGGGCTTTGCAAATGTTTTTTTTTTTTTTTTTTTTTTTTTTAATTGATCATTCTTGGGTGTTTCTCACAGAGGGGGATTTGGCAGGGTCATAGGACAATAGTGGAGGGAAGGTCAGCAGATAAACAAGTGAACAAAGGTCTCTGGTTTTCCTAGGCAGAGGACCCTGCGGCCTTCTGCAGTGTTTGTGTCCCTGGGTACTTGAGATTAGGGAGTGGTGATGACTCTGCCTTCAAGCATCTGTTTAACAAAGCACATCTTGCACCGCCCTTAATCCATTTAACCCTGAGTGGACACAGCACATGTTTCAGAGAGCACAGGGTTGGGGGTAAGGTCACAGATCAATAGGATCCCAAGGCAGAAGAATTTTTCTTAGTACAGAACAAAATGAAAAGTCTCCCATGTCTACTTCTTTCTACACAGACACGGCAACCATCCGATTTCTCAGTCTTTTCCCCACCTTTCCCCGCTTTCCATTGCACAAAACCGCCACTGTCATCATGGCCCGTTCTCAATGAGCCGCTGGGCACGCCTCCCAGATGGGGTGGTGGCCGGGCAGAGGGGCTCCTCACTTCCCAGCAGGGGCAGCCGGGCAGAGGCGCCCCTCACCTCCCGGATGGGGTGGCTGGCCGGGCGGGGGGCTGACCCCCCCCACCTCCCTCCCGGACGGGGCGGCTGGCCGGGCGGGGGGCTGACCCCCCCCACCTCCCTCCCAGACGGGGCGGCTGGCCTGGCGGGGGGCTGACCCCCTACCTCCCTCCTGGACGGGGTGGCTGCCGGGCGGAGACGCTCCTCACTTCCCAGACGGGGTGGCTGCCGGGCGGAGGGGCTCCTCACTTCTCAGACGGGGCGGCTGCCGGGCGGAGGGGCTCCTCACTTCTCAGACGGGGCGGTTGCCAGGCAGAGGGTCTCCTCTCTTCTCAGACGGGGCGGCCAGGCAGAGACGCTCCTCACCTCCCAGACGGGGTCACGGCCGGGCAGAGGCGCTCCTCACATTCCAGACGGGGCGGCGGGGCAGAGGCGCTCCCCACATCTCAGACAATGGGCGGCCAGGCAGAGATGCTCCTCACTTCCTAGATGGGATGGCGGCCGGGAAGAGGCTCTCCTCACTTCCTAGATGGGATGGCGGCCAGGCAGAGACGCTCCTCACTTTCCAGACTGGGCAGCCAGGCAGAGGGGCTCCTCACATCCCAGACGATGGGCGGCCAGGCAGAGACGCTCCTCACTTCCCAGACGGGGTGGTGGCCGGGCAGAGGCTGCAATCTCGGCACTTTGGGAGGCCAAGGCAGGCGGCTGGGAGGTGGAGGTTGTAGCGAGCTGAGATCACGTCACTGCACTCCAGCCTGGGCACCATTGAGCACTGAGTGAACGAGACTCCGTCTGCAATCCCGGCACCTCGGGAGGCCGAGGCTGGCGGATCACTCGCGGTTAGGAGCTGGAGACCAGCCCGGCCAACACAGTGAAACCCCGTCTCCACCAAAAAAATACGAAAACCAGTCAGGTGTGGTGGCGCTTGCCTGCAATCGCAGGCACTCGGCAGGCTGAGGCAGGAGAATCAGGCAGGGAGGTTGCAGTGAGCCGAGATGGCAGCAGTACCGTCCTGCTTCGGCTCGGCATCAGAGGGAGACCGTGGAAAGAGAGGGAGAGGGAGACCATGGGGCAAGTGCGAGGGAGAGGGAGAGGGAGACTGCAAATGTTTTGAGTTCAGAGACAAAATTTTATTTATTTTAGAGTCTTCCAATTGACCTAGTAACACATTGTACCCACTAGGTGATCTGTAATCGCTTGTTAAATTAAATGTGTACTTTTATGTCAGTTTCCTTCCATTTCCTTAACCAAAAAAAAAAAAAAATGTCCGCTGTACCAAGTACCTATTGGGAAAAGTGATTTTCTTTTTTTTCTTGTGTTTTATTTTCAGCTTTATTGGGAGTGTAATTGACAGATAGAAATGGTATATACTGAAGGTGTATAACTTGATGTTGATATACATATATATTTGTGAAATAGCCACAAAGTAGTTAACACATCCTTCACTTTACAGACTTGTGTGTGTATGTGTGTGTGTGTAGTGAGAACACTGAAGGTTGACTCTCTTAGCACATTTCAAGTATACAGTGCAGTATTGTCAGCTGCAGTCCTCATGGTGGACATTAGACACCAGATCTCCAGAGCTTACTTGTCCTTCGTAACAGAAACTGTGTGTCTTTGACCACCTCCCTATTGCCCAGCCCCTGCAACCACTCTTCTGTTCTCTGCTTCTGGGAGTTCAACTATTTTAGATTCCACATATAAGTGAATCAGGTGGTGTGTTTGTCTTTCTGTCTGGCTTTTACTTAGTGTAGTGTCCTCCAGCTTCATCCATGTTGTCACACGTGGCAGGATTTCCTTCTCTTTTAAGGCTGTGTAATACTTCATTGTATATACGTAACCACATTTTCTTTATCCATTCATCCATTGATAGTCATTTAGGTTACTTCCACTTCTTGGCTATTGTGAATACTGCTGCAATAGATACTGCGAATAGCGCTGCAATAGATATGGGAGTGCAGATATCTCTTAAAAATTCTGATTTCATTTTCTTTCTTTTTTTTTTTTTTTGAGACAGAGTCTCGCTCTGTCAACCAGGCTGGAATATAGTGGCGCGATCTCGGCTCAGTGCAATCTTTGCCTCCTGGGTTCAAGCAATTCTCCTGCCTCAGCCTTCCGAGTAGCTGGGATTACAGGCATGTGCCACCACGCCTGGCTAATTTTTGTATTTTTAGTGGAGATAGGGTTTTGTGTTGTTGGCCAGGCTGGTCTTGAACTCTTGACCTCAGGTGATCCACCCACCTTGGCCTCCCAAAGTGCTAGGATTACAGGTGTGAACCACCGTGCCTGGCCCATTTTCTTTAGAAATATGTACCCAGAACTGGGATTGGTGGGTTATATGGTAATTCTATTTTTAATTTTTTGAAGAACCACCAGACTGTTTTCCATAATGGCTGTACCAATTTACATTCCTGCCAGCAATGTTCAAGGTTTTCCTTTTCTCCACATTCTCACCAACACTTGCTATTTTTTGTCTTTTTGATAAAATTGCCATTCTAACAGGTGTGAGGTGATATTGTGGTTTTGAATTGCACTTTCCTGATGGTGATGTTCAGTATACCTGTTGACCATTTGTATGTCTTATTTTGAGAAATATCTATTCAGATCCTTGGCCCATTTTAAGGGAGTTATTTGCTATTGAGTTGTTTGAGTTCTTTATCTATTTTGGATATTAACCCCTTAATTGGATATGTGGCTGTCAAGTATTTTCTCCCATTCCATAGATTGCACTTCTCTCTGTTGACTGTTCCTTTGCTGGACAGAAAGAAGCCTTTTAGCTTGATGCAGTCCTATTTGTCTATTTTTGCTTTTGCTCTCTATGCTTTTAGTGTCATATCTGTAAAAAAAAAAAAAACAAAAAACCAAAAAACAAAAACAAACAAACAAAAAACTGCCCAGACCAATGTCATGAAGCTTTTTCCTGTGTTTTCTTCTCACAGTTTTATGGCTTCAAATCTTATATTTAAGTGTTTATAATCTATTTTGAGTTTTTTTTTTTCTGTATAGAGTGAGATAAGGGTCAGATTTCATTTTTCTGCATATGGATATTCAGTTTTCCTGGCACTATTTATTGAAGAGATGGTACTTTCCCCATTGTGACTTCTTGGCATCCTTGGCAAAGATCTGCTGACTCTTAATGCATGGATTTATTTTTGGGCTCTCTATTTTGTTCCATTAGTCTACATGTTTGATTTTCTGCAAGTACCATGCTGTTTTGTACACTATAGCTGTGTAAGATATTTTGAAGTCAGGATGTTTGATACCTCCAGGTTTGTTCTTCTTTCTTAAGATATCTTTGAGTATTCAAGATCTTTTGTTGTTCTTTATGAGTTTTTGCATTGTTTCTTCTCTGTTTCTGTAAAGAATGCCAATGGGATTTTGATAGGGATTGCATTGAATCTGTAGATCTTTTTGTGAGATATGGAAATTGTAACAATATTAATTCTTCTAATCCATGAACACAGGACAGCTTTACATTTATCTGTGTCTCCTTTGATTTCTTTCATCAATGTATTATAATGTTCAGTGTACCAATCTTTCACCTGTTTGGTTAAGTTTATTTCTAAGTATTTTATTATTTATTATTGCTATTTTCCTACTTTCTTAATTTCCTTTTTAAATGGTTTATGTATAGAAATGCCACTGATTTTTTTGGCTGGGTGTGGTGGCTCACACCTGTAATCCCAGCACATTGGGAGGCCAAGGCGGATGGATCACGAGGTCAAGAGATCGAGACCATCCTGGCCAACATGGTGAATCCCTGTCTCTACGAAAAATACAAAAATTAGCTGGGCGTGGTGGTGCATACCTGTAGTCCTAGCTACTTGGGAGGCTGAGGCAGCAGAATTGCTTGAACCCGGGAGGCGGAGGTTGCAGTGAGCCGAGATAGCACCATGCACTCCAGCCTGGCGACAGAGTGAGACTCTGTCTTAAAAAAAAAAAAAAAAGCCACTGATTTTTTTGTATTGATTTTATAATAAGCAACTTTAAATTGTTTATTACTTTTAACGGTTTTTTCTTGTTGTTGAGTTTTCAGAGCTTTCTATGTGTATGATCATATCACTTGTAACCCGGGATAATTTCAGTTATTTTTTGATGTATGTGCCTTTTATTTATTTTTCTTGTCCAATGCCTCTGGCTAGGACTACCAGTACTGTATTGAATAGAAGTTGTGAGAGCGGACATCCTTGCTTTGTATGGACCTTAAAAGCTTTCAGTTTTTCTCCATTGATTATAATGTTAGCTGTGAGCTTTTTGTATATGGTTTTTATAATGTTGAAGTAAATTCCTTCTCTGCCTTTTTTTGGTGAGAGTTTCAGCATGCATGGATATTGAGTTTTGTCAGATGCTTTTTCTGTATCCATTGAGATGATTATGTAGTTTCTATGTTTCCTTGTGTTGATGTGTTGTATCACATTGATTAATTTGCAAATGTTGAACCATCCTTGCATCTCAGGGAGAAATCCTACTTAGTTGTGGAGTATAATCCTTTAAATGTGCTGTTGAATTTTGTATGCTAGTATTTTATTGAGGATTTCTGCATCCATGTTCGTCAGGGATATTAGCCTATAATATTCTTTTATTTTGGGATCTTTGACTTTGGTGTCAGCATGATTCTAGCCTCATAAAATTTGTTTGGAAATAGGCCCTCTTTTTCTATTTTTTTGGAAGAGTTTAAAAAGCACTAGTATCAATTATTCCTTGACTGTTTGATAGTGTTCTTCATTGAATCGATTTGGTCCTGGACTTTTCCGTTTGTGATGAGATTTAATTGCTAATATAATCTCTGTATTTGTTATTGGTCTCTTCAGGATTTCTGTTTCTCCTTGACTCAATTTTGGTACATGTCGAGGAATTTATCCATTTTTTTCTTTTTTTTTAGGGATGATGTGATTTGTTAGTGTATTTTTGTAATACTGCCTAGTGATCTTTTTTATTCATATTTCTAAGATATTTGTTATAATAGCTCCTCTTTCAGATTTTAAGTCTTCTCTCTTTTTTTAATGCAGCCAAGAGTTTTTTTTTTTTTTTTTTTTTTTTGAGACGGAGTCTCGCTCTGTCGCCCAGGCTGGAGTGCAGTGGCGCGATCTCGGCTCACTGCAAGCTCCGCCTCCCGGGTTCACGCCATTCTCCTGCCTCAGCCTCCCGAGTAGCTGGGACTACAGGCGCCCGCCACTACACCCGGCTAATTTTTTGTATTTTTAGTAGAGACGGGGTTTCACCGTGTTAGCCAGGATGGTCTCGATCTCCTGACCTCGTGATCCGCCCGCCTCGGCCTCCCAAGAGTTTTTTTTTTAATTTTTCTGTTCTCTATTTCAGTTATCTTTGCTGTAATCTTTATTATTAACTTCCTTATGCTAACTTTGGGCTCAGTTTGTTTTTATTCTTGTTCCCTGAAGTGTAAAGTTAGGTTGTTTATTTGAGATCTTCCTCCTCCTCCTCCTCATTATTCTTATTTTTCCAGACAGAGTCTCGCTCTGTCACCCAGGCTGGAGTGCAGTGGTGCGATCGCGGATCACTGCAAGCTCTGCCCTCTAGGTTCAAACAATTCTCCTGCCTCAGCCTTCCAAGTAGCTGGGATTACAGGCCCGTGCCACCATGCTCAGCTAATTTTTATATTTTTAATAGAGATGGGGTTTTACTATGTTGGCCAGGCTGGTCTCTAACTCCTGACCTCAAGTGATCCACCTGCCTTGGCCTCCCAAAGTGCTGGGATTACAGGCGTGAGCCACTGTGCCCGGCCCTTCCTTCTTTTTAAATGTAGGATCTTACTGCTATAAACTTCCCTATTAGTATTAGTTTTGTTCCATCCCATAAGTTTTGACAACTTTTGTTTCCATGTTCATTTGTCTCAAGATATTTTCTAAATTCCCTTTTGATTTCTCCTTTGACTCAGTGGTTGCTCAAGATTGTGTTGTGTAGTTTCCATGTACCGTAGTCCTCCCTTTCTGTGGGGGATTTGTTCTAAAACCTCTGGTGGATGCTTGAAACCACAGATCGTACTAAAGTTTATATATACCATGTTTTTTCCTATGCATACACATCTATAATAAAATTTAATTATAAATTGGATATAGTAAAAGATTGACAATGAATCAATTTAAAAATAAAATATAACAATTGTAACCATATTGTTATAATAGTTATCATACACCGTGGCTATAACTTTTGCAGATTGAGGCACAACTGCAAAACTAGCATGAATATCTTTTTTCTTCTTCACAATTTTAGGGATAGAAGATTCATTTTTACCCTAGATCTTAGCAACCTCAGTGTACTTTTTTTTCTTTCCTTATTAAGTCAGGAACTTTTACCTTTTCACTTAATGGATGCACTTTATGGCTTTTCTTTGGCATCCAAAGAACCAGCATCATTACTCTTGAGGTCTGAGGCCATTATTAAGTAAAGTAAGGGTGACTGAAACACAAGCACTGCAATACCATGACAAGCGATCTGATAACGGAGATGGCCATGAAGTGACTAGTAGGTGGGTAGAGTATACAGTGTGAATACATTGGACAAAGGGATGGTTGATGTCCCAGGCAGGATGAGGCAGGATGGTGCAAGATTTCATCACACTGATTAAATTTGTGAGTTGTTCATTTATGAAATTTTCCATTTAATATCTTCAGACTGTGGGTAAAATGATATCACAGAAGGTGAATTCCATGTTTGTATTTTTTTTTCATTCTTAGAAATACTGTTATTGATTGCTAATGTCATTCCATTATGGCTGGAAAAGGCACTTGGAAGATTTTGATCTTACTAAAATTTTCAGACCTCTTTTGACACCTAACTTGTTATATACCCTGAAGAATGTTCCACATGCTCTTGAGAAGAATCTGTATTCTTCTGATATTAGATGGACATTATATATATTAGGTCAATGTGGTCTATAGTGTTTTTCAGTTATTCTGTTTACTTATTGATTGATCTTTCTACCAGAATGGTCTATCCATTATAGAGAGTAAAGTTTTGAAGTCTCTTCATATTATTGTATTATTATTGTATTGCTGTCTCTTTCTCCCTTCAGATTTATGAATGTTTACTTTACATATTTAGGTGCTTTCATGTTGGTGGTTTAAGTATTAATATTTATAACTATTGGGTCTTTCTGTTGAATTGTCCCTTATATCATTATATAATGACGTTTGTCACTTGTGAGAGTTTTGACTTAAACCCTATTTTATTTAATGACAATATAGCTACCCCTGCTCTCCTTTCTTTTCTTTCATTCTTTCTTTCTTTTTTTTTTTTTTTTTGAGACGGAGTCTCACTCTGTCACCCAGGCTGGAGTGCAGTGGCACCATCTCGGCTTACTGCAATCTCTGTCTCCTGGGTTCAAGCAATTCTTCTGCCTCAGCCTCCCAAGTAGCAGGGATTAAAGGCGCCCACCACCACGCCCAGCTAATTTTTGGTATTTTTAGTAAAGATGGGGTTTCACCATGTTGGCCAGGCTGGTCTCGAACTCCTGACATCGTGATCTGCCCGCCTCGGCCTCCCAAAGTGTTGGGATTGCAGGTGTGAGCCACCATGCCGGGCTCCTTTCTTTAACCTTTTTCATGAAATATCATTCTTCATTCTTTATTTTCAACCTCTATGTGTCCTTAAATCTAAAATGAGTCTCTTGTAGACAGCATAGTTTATTATTATTATTTTATTTGTTCATCTACGGTATTTCTTTTGATTGGAGAGTTTAGTACATTTGAATTTCAAATAATTATTAATAGGTAAGGACTTACTCTTGCCATTTTGTCATTTGTTTTCTACCTTTATTATAGTTCTCTTACTCCTCTTGGTATCTTTCTTTGTGGTTTGATTATCGTAGCAGTGTACTTTGATTCTTCTCTCTTAATCTTTTTTGCATCTACTGTACATCGTGTGTGTATTTGTGTGTGGTTACCATAGAGTTTACACTGAATAATTTATAGTTACAGCAGTCTGTTTGAAGCTGATATCCACTTCACTTCAATCATATACAGGCGCTCTACAGTTTACTTCCCCCTCCCACAGACACTTTATGTAACTGATGTCAGATTTTATTTTTCTGTGTTGTATTTCCATTAGCAAATTTATGTGGGTATATTTATTCTGACAACTTGCCTTCTAATTTGTATACTAGTGTTTAAAGAGATTTGTGTGTACCATTTCAGTATTACAATATTCTGTGTTTACCTTTAGCAGTGAGATTCATATTTTCATATGCTTTCATGATGCTGTTTATCATCTTTTCATTTCAGCTTGAAAAACTAACTTTAGCAGGTCTAGTGGTGACAAACTTCCTAGTTTTGACAGGGGAAGACTTATCTCTCCTTCATCCTTAAACTACAGTTTTTCTGGATAAAGTATTCTTGTTTGGCATTTTTTTCTTTCAGTACTTTGCTGTATCATCCCATTGTCTCCTGGCCTGCAAGGTTTCTGCTGATAAATCTTACAATGTTTCCCTTGTGTGTGACAAGGTGCCTTTCTCTTGCTGCTTTCAAAATTGTCTCTTTGTCTTTTATTTCTGAAAAACTCTTAATATTTGAGACAAACTATAATGTGCTTCAGAGTAGTGCTCTTTTTGTTTAATATATTTGAAGATCTTAGGACTTTATGTCAACTTCCCTCTGTAGAGTTGGGAAGATTTTTGCCATTATTTCTTTAAATAGGCTTTCCACCACTTTGATGGTGTTCTGTAAGTTTCATAGGCTTTCTTCACTTTTTCTTTTTTTTTTTTTCTTCTAACTGGTTAATTTCAAATGACCAGGCTTCAGATTTACTGATTCTTTTTCCTACACGATCAGGTTTTCTGTTGAAGCTGTCTATTGGGTTTTTCAGTTCAATCATTGTATTCTTCAGCTGCAAGATTTCTGTTTGGTTTCTTCTTGATGCTTCTGTTTCATTATTAAATTTCTCATTTTGTTCATGTATTGATTTCCTGATTTCATTTAGTTTTAAAATCTGTATTCTCCTGAAGCTCATTGAGCTTCTTTAAGATGGCTATTTTGGATTCCTTTTCAGGTAATTTATGGATCTCCACTTTTCTGGGGTTGGTTACTGGGGTTTTGTTAGTTAACTTTGGTGGTGTTATGTTTACCTAATGCTTTGTGGTCCATGTAAACGTGTGTGTGTCTGTGCATTTGAAGGAGCAGACATCTCCAGTCTTTACAGACTGGTTTTGGCAAGTAAGGATCTACTCCTAGCTCACCAGACTGATGTTATTGCCTCTGGTATCTCAGTCAAGCTGAGTTTGGAGTCAGGTAAGTTGGCCGTTTCAGGGTCTGCAGTTGGGACTGAGCTTGGGGAACCTGTCACCAAGGGTATGAATAGACGTGTCTCCCAGCAGGCCACAGTGGAGAGGGGCTGAAGCCAGGTCACATGACTACTTTAGTATCTGCAGTTGGGTCTGAGGTCAGCGAGCATGTTATTGGGGGGATAGGTTGGGTATGGCCCCTCTCAGGAAATGGAAGATGGGACTTTTGGAAGCACCACAGCTCCTTGTGGTTGGAGCTGAGTTCATAGGAGGACAGGGATGCTTTCAGTCCATAGCTGGTACCAAAGCCTATGAGCCTGCCAGCAGGCTGTGGGCCTGATTTCTCAGTGTATCCCTCCTCAGTCTGGGGCTCTACCAGGGTTTCACAACCTCCTATCTGGATCCCAAAGCTCTTACAAAGGAACTTCTGTGCATGGCAGGCTGCCAAATCATTTTTTTCTGTTGGGGTACATGAGCCAGAGACTTCCTGTTCTACTGTCTTACTGATGTCACTCGCACCTGTGTGTTTACCAGTGCCCTGTGAGTTCCCAATCTTCAATTTATTTGGTAACATCTGGAAACCATAATTATGTCCTGCAAGAATTATGCAAGTTACTTATTAAGGAATAGATCAGAGGAAAAAAACCTGTGCCCAACTTCTTGGGAAATTCATAGGAAAAGAGAGTTTAGCTTTAAATAAATAGAAACATTCTGCTAGGAAAATGTAAAAGAAATAAATGCAGAGAATCCCAATAAGACACTTCACAAGAAGATCCCTCCTAAGATACATAATCATCAGATTCTCCAAGGTCAAAATGAAAGAAAAAATGTTAAAGGCAGCTAGAGAGAAAAATCAGGTCATCTGTAAAGGGAAGCCCATGAGACTAAAAATGGACCTCTTAGCAGAAACCCTGCAAGCCAAAAGAGATTGGGGGCCAATATTCAATATCCTTAAAGAAAAGAAATTCCAACCCAGAATTTCATATCTGGACAAACTAAGCTTCATAAGCAAAGGAGAAATAAGATCTGTTTCAAATAAGCAAATGCTGAAGGAATTCCTTACCTCCAAACCTGCCTTACAGGAGCTCCTGAAGCAAGCACTAAATATGGAAAGGAAACACCATTACCAGCTACTAACACTAAAGTACACAGACTACTGACACTATAAAGCAACCACTAAACAAGTCTGCAAAATAACCAGCTAACATCATGATAACAGGATCAAATCCACATATATCAATACTAACCTTGAATGTAAATGAGCTAAATGCCCCAATTAAAAGGCACAGAGTAGTAAGCTGGATAAAGAACCAAGACCCATTGGTATGCTATCTTCAAGAAACCTGTCTTACATGCAGTGACACACGTAAGCTCAAAACAAAAGGGACTGAGAAAAATCTACCAAGCAAATGGAAAACAGAAGAAAGCAGGAGGTGCAATACTAATTTCAGACACAACAGATTTTAAATCAACAACGATAAAAAAAGACAAAGAAGGGCATTACATAATGGTAAAGGGTTAAATTCAGCAAGAAGACATAATTGTTTTAAATATATATGCACATAATACAGGAGCACTCTGACTCATAAAGCAGTTTCTTAATGACCTTCAAAGAAACTTAAACTCCCACACATTAATAGTGGGAGACTTTAACACCCCACTGACAATATTAGACCATAAAGACAAAAAATTAACAAAGATATTCAGGACCTGAACTCAGCACTGGATCAGATGGACCTGGTAGACAGCTACAGAACTTTTCATCCTAAAACAACAGAATATACATTTTTTCATTGCCACATGGCTTATACTCTAAAATCGATCACATAATCAGAAATAAAAGACTCCTCAGCAAATGCAAAACTTAAATAATAACAACCAATCTCTCAGACCACAGAGAATCAAATTAGAAATCAAGACTAATAAATTCACTCAAAACCATACAATTACATGGAAATTGAATAATCTGCTCCTGACTTACTTTTGGTTAAATAATGAAAGGAAGGGGAAAATCAAGAAGTTCTTTTAAACTAATGAGATCAAAGATACAACATACCAGAATCTCTGGGACACAGCTAAGGCAGTTTTAAGAGAGAAATTTATAGCAGCAAATGCCTACATCAAAAAGTTAGATCTCAGTTTAACAACCTAACACTACAATTGAAAGAGCTAGATAACTAAGAGAAAACCAACCCTAAAGCTAGCAGAAGACAAGAAATAACCAAAATCAGAGCTGAACTGAAGGAGATTGAGACACGAAAAATTATTCAAAGGATCAGTGAATCCTGGAGCTGTTTTTTTTTTGAAAAAATTAATAAAATAGACTGCTAGCTAGGCTAATAAAGAAGAAAAGAGAGGAGATGTATATAAACACAACCAGAAATAGCAAGTGAGGTGTCACCACTGACCCCATAGAAATACAAATAATCATCAAAATATTATGAACACTTCTATGCACATAAACTAGAAAATCTGGAAGAAATGGATAAATTCCTGGACACACACACACTCTCCCAAGACTGAACCAGGAAGAAATTGAATCTCTGAACAGACCAGTAACAAGATCTGAAATAGAATCAGTAATAAATAGCCTACCAACCAAAAAAAAAGAAAAGAAAAAGCCCAGGAGCAAACGGATTCACAGCTGAATTCTACCAGATATACAAAGAAGAACTGGTACTATTACTACTGAAACTGTTCCAAATAAATAAATAAATAAATAAAGAGGAAGGACTCCTCTCTAACTCATTTTGTGAGGCCAACATCATCCTGATACCAAAAACTGACAGGGACACCACACACAAAAAGAAAACTTCAGGCCACTATCCTTGATGAACATCAGCGCAGAAATCCTCAACAAAATACTGGCAAACTGAATCCAGCAGCACATCAAAAATCTTGTCCACCACGATCAAGTAGTCTTTATTCCTGGGATGTAAGGTTGGTTCAACATATGCAAATCAATAAATGTATTTCATCACATAAACAGAACAAAAGACAAACACCACATGATTATTTCAAAAGATGCAGAAGAGGCTTTTGATAAAATTCAACATCCCTTCATGTTAAAAACTCTGAATAAACTAGGTATTGAAGGAATATACCTCAAAATAATAAGAGCCATATATGACAAATTCACAGCCAAGATCATACTGAATGGGCAAAAGCTGGAAGTATTTCCCTTGAAAACCAGCATAAAACAAGGATGCCCCCTCTCACCACTCCTATTCAACATAGTACTGGAAATTTTGGCCAGGGCAGTCAGGCAAGAAAAAGAAATAAAGGGCATACAAATAGGAAGAGAGGAAGTCAAACTATCTCCATTTGCAGATGATATGATCCTATATCTAGAACACCCTATAGTCTTGGCCCTAAAGCTTCTTAAGCTGGTAAAACAATTTCAGCAAAGTCTCAGTATACAAAATCGATGTACAAAAACCCCTAGCATTCCTAAAAACCAATAACAGTTAAACTGAGAGCCAAATCAGGAATGCAGTCTCATTCACAATTGCCACAAAAAAATTATAAAATACCTAGGAATGAAGCTAACCAGCGAGGTGAAAGATTTCTACAAGGAGACTACAAAACACTGCTCAAAGAAATCAGAAATGTTACAAACAAATGGAAAGGAAGGATCAATATTGTTAAAAATGGCCATATTGCCCAAAGCAATTTATAGATTTAATGCTATGCCTATTAAACTATCAATGACATTCTTCACAGAACTAGAAAAAACTATTTTAAAATTCACAAAGAACCAAAAAACAAACCCAAATAGCCAAGGCCATCCTAAGCAAAAGAACAAAGCTGGAGGCATCATGCTACTTGACTTAAAACTATACTATAGGGCTACAGTAACCAAACAGCATGCTATTTATACAAAAACAGACACATAGGGCAATGGAACAGAATGGAGAACCCAAAAATAAGATCACACACCTACAACTATCTGATCTTTGATGAAGCTGACAAAAACAAGCAATGGGGAAATAACTCCCTATTCAATAAATGGTGCTGGGAGAACTGGCTAGCCATATGCAGAAGATTGAAACTAGACCCCTTCCACATACCATGTACAAAAGATAACTCAAGATGGATTAAAGACTTAAATTTAAAACCTAAACTATAAAAACCCTGGAAGACAACCTAGGCAATACCATTCTGGACATAGGAACAGTCAAAATTTTATGACGAAGACTCCGAAACCAATTGCAACAAAAGCAAAACCTGACAAATGGAATCTAATTAAACTACAGAGCTTCTGCACAGCAAAAGAAACTATCAACAGAGTAAACAGATAACCTACAAAATAGGAGAAAATGTTTTCCAACTATGCATCTGACAAAGGTCTAATATCCAGCATCTAAAAGGAACTTAAACAAATTTACAAGAAAAAAAAACAAAACCCATTAAAAACCTGCACGTTGTGCACATGTACCCTAAAACTTAAAGTATAATAATAAAAAAGAAAAAGTGGGCAAAGGACATGAACAGACACTTTTCAAAAGAAGACACACATGAGGCCAACAAACATGAAAAAAAGCTCAACATCAGTGATCATTAGAGAAATGCAAATCAAAACCGCAATGAGATACCATCTTACACCAGTCAGAAGGGCTATCATGAAAAAGTCAAAAACCAACAGATGCTGGTAAGGTTGCAGAGAAAAAGGAACACTTATACACTGTTGATGGGATTGTAAATTAGTTCAACCATTGTGGAAGAGACAGTGTGGCAATTCCTCCAAGACCTAAAAGCAGAACTACCATTCAACCCAGCAATCCCATTACTGGGTGTATACCCAAAGGAATATAAATCATTCTGTCATAAAGACACATGCATGTGTATGTTCATTGCAGCACTATTCACAATAGCAAAGACATGGAATCAACCTAAAGACCCATCAATAGTATGTTGGATAAAGAAAATGTAGTACAGATACACCATGGACTACTATGCATCCATTAAAAAAAAGAACAAGATCATGTCCTTTGTAAAAACATGGATGGAGCTAGAGGTCATTATCCTTAGCAAACTAATGCAACAACAGAGAACCAAATACTGCATGTTCTCACTTATAGGTGGGAGCTAAATGATGTCAACACATGGACACATAGAGGGGAACAACAACAAACACTGGAGTCTCTCAGAGGATGGAGGGTGGGAGGAGGGAAAGGATCAGAAAAAATAACTAATGGGTACTAGGATTAATACCTGGTTGATAAAATAAGCTGTACAACAAGCCCCCATGACACAAGTTTAGCTGTGTAACAAACCTGCACATGTACCCCTGAACTTAAAAGTTAAATCAAAAAGATACATTATATTTCTGAATAACTGAAAATTTAGTGTCTTGTATGCATGAAAAATATTTGTGCTAACAGACCTTAGATGATCCAACTCAACATACCCTTGGATTTAACTAAAAATATAACTATTTTCCAAGCTATTAATTATGATTTTTCTCTTTCAATAGTGTTGTTTGTTAGTGCTGAAAATGTTAACATATTGCTCTACAACCATGCAGAAGGAATTAATGAGCTTCTGTTGTCTTTTTTCATAAGCATATCTAATTTGCTCATTCATCCACTTGTTCATTTGTTCTACCCTTATTTAGCCAGGCAAAAGAGAGAGTGCAGTCATTCCTAATAATCATGATTTGTTTTCCTTTTTTCAGCCATGCGATGATGGACCTACTGGTTGAACTTTGCCTTCAGAACCACCTGAATCCATCCCACCATGCCCTTGAAATTCGGTCTTCAGAAACCCAACAACCTTTGAGTTTTAAGCCAAATACTTTGATTGGGACCCTGAATGTGCATACTGTGTTTCTGAAAGAAAAAGTTCCTGAAGAGAAGGTTAAGCCTGGTCCCCCTAAGGTGCCTGAGGTTAGTAGGTACCTACATGGAAATACCTGTGTCTGAATGTGTGGCAGGTCCTGAGTAGGGGCCAGTGTGGCTCTTCTTATCAAAGTACAGTGCAGAGAGCTGTGGCTGAGGCTGCTACTTTCATGCCAGGCAAAGCTAGGCACTAAACAGAGTTTGTTTTAGGAGACAAAATGTACACAATTGAATAATGTTTATTGTTGTAACATTGCTTCTTTATATATTATAGAAGAGGAATTGATCTACAGTGGAGCTATCCATTAGACCTTCATTCAAAGAGGGGCATGGTCTTTAATTCTGTACTTTCTTATATGATAGCCACTGGCTGCATGCAGCTTTTTTAAAAATTTGGTATGTTTATTATAACTTAAATATCTAAAATATTCATGTAGATTTTTCTTTTTTCATTTTAATTGACACAGCTTTTGAACACTTGAAATGTGGCAGGTATGATTGAGAAACTGAATTTTTAATTTAATTTTAACTTTAAATTTAAATTGCCACTAGCTAATGGCTACCTGATTGGACAGTGTAGTTCTAGAATTCTTCCTGACTCAGGAAGCAGTTGGTATCCATAGAAGATTTAAACATCTTCCCAGAGGAAGAGAAAAGAAAGGGAAAAAAACTTTTTTGAAAAACTGATGTCAGAAATATTTATTCATTGCATTTGGAGAATATCTTATATACATAGCTATATTCCAGGCTTTTGTTTATTAATTAAAATTAATTCTAGTAGCTTATTATATACTTTTATTGTTTTTGTTGTTGTTGTTTTGAGACGGAGCTTCACTCTTGTTGCCCAGGCTGGAATGCAGTGGTGTGATCTTGGCTCACTGCTACCTCTGCCTCCCAGGTTCAAGCAGTTCTTCTGCCTCAGCCTCCTGAGTAGCTGGGACTACAGGTGCATGCCACCACACCCGGCTAATTTGTGTATTTAGTAGAGACAAGGTTTCACCATGTTGGCCAGTCTGGTCTTGAACTCCTGACCTCAGGTGATCCACCCACCTCAGCCTCCCAAAGTGCTGGGATTACAGGCCTGAACCACCATACCCAGCTTTATTGTACTTTTAAATAAGGCTTTGATATTAATCTTTTAGCTAAAATTAAAAGCAATGTTACTTTCATATTCTTAGCAGACCTTCTAAATTTTCCTGCTTTTAAAAATGGTAATGCAGCCAACATTAATCTCCTATTAATTTCTAGGATTGATTGGTTAGTGCATTCTCACTGTTATCTGGAACACTCTGACCAGAGATTTCCCCTTATTCCTCAAGTAAACAGTGTTTGAGGCAGAGCATCTCTGTATATACCTTGCGTCTTCCCTTGACTTCCTGCTTCTCAGGGCAGGTGAGCCCAGGCATCTGCATGATTCCACTTGTTAGGGCAGGAGAGGACCAGTAAAGGAGCAGTAGGTTCCGTCTTTTCTCCCAAAATGCATTGTTATCCCAGCCACTGGGCCCTGGTACGCAGGCTGGAAGAGAGCGTGAGGCCTTCCTTTGCTGCTCTTTTGTTCAATCTACATTTACTGTGTCCAGCTCTACAGTGTCTTAGCACAATTAGAGTGATCAGTAAAAGCGGAAGAAAAATAATCAAAAAGTGGGAGAAAAATGACTACCACTTTATCTGCAGTCATTTAGAATTAGCATTAGTCAACTGAGTGTTTTTCTTCCTGATTATTATATATGCCTGGTGTTTTTTAAAATATATTTATAGCTTAAATACGTGTGTGTAGTGTGTATACATAAATACATGTAGGTCTGTGTACACACTGTATATGTTTCATATATGTGTGTATATAGTACATATATACAGTATATATGTATTTATATATATATATATCTATGTACATATATAGATATTCCTGTATTTATGTGGATATTTTGACTCCTTAAAACTTTGATGTCATGTTTTTGGAGGGTTTTTCTTTAAATTATTCATACTGCTTCCAAACTTTTTTTTTTAGAAAATGCATATAAGTGCCATGTGTTCACATCTGGCCAGAACCCTTGGAAGACAGTAAAGTATATGTGTTGGATTTTAAATGTAGAGTCTTCCCTGATGTTTATTTCGCTGTGTTGTTAGCAGCTTGTTCACTAGCAAGAGATTCTAAACCAGATTTATTATTCTAGACATTTGTTTTTCAATATTCATTATGCTGTTTTCCCCCATTACTCACTCAATTTGTGGAAGAAGGATTCAGGCTACACACAATCCTGCCACACCCAATTGTCAAATTGACACAAGAGTTGAAGGCTTGTGGGAGGATATCTTACTGAATTCTTTTTGCCTGTGTGTTCTTCCAGAAATCTGTGCGTTTGGTCGTGAATTACCTGCGGACACAAAAAGCTGTTGTGCGTGTGAGCCCTGAGGTTCCTCTCCAGAATATTCTCCCAGTCATTTGTGCAAAGTGTGAGGTCAGCCCAGAGCACGTGGTTCTCCTCAGGGACAACATTGCCGGAGAGGAGCTGGAGCTGTCCAAGTCCCTGAACGAGCTCGGGATAAAGGAGCTCTACGCGTGGGACAACAGAAGAGGTGAGGCCCCGCTGCGTCTCACGCACCTGCCCATAATCACACGGATGCGCGGCGTGTACATGTCCCCTGTTGGCTCTCCCCAGCACTCTCAGTAGCGCCAGGGAGAGATGGGTACATGAAGTTCCAGGCAAGTCAAGTTGAAGTAGGCAAAAAAGAAATCTGGCCTGTTTTCATTCCTCTGGATTGAGCTGTGCCTCCTTTCTCCCAGCCCTGAACATGTCCTTTATCCTTTGTCTCCCTGCAAACTTCCACGACATAAGTAAAAGGGGAAAAGGTGAGGTGAGATTAGAGCTTATGCTCTGAAGTAACTACTCCAAACCATCTATAATACTTTCTTGTGGGTTGGTGGCTCACACTTGTAATCCTGGCACTTTGAGAGGCTGAGGCAGGAGAATGGCTTGAGCTCAGGAGTTCAAGACCAGCCTGGACAAAATAGTGAGACCCCGTCTCTACAAAAAAATTTTAAAATTAGCCAGACGTGGTGGTGCATCCCCATTCCTGTAGTCCCATCTACTGGAGAGGCTGAGGCTGGAGGATTGGTTGAACCCAGGAGGTTGAAGCTGCACTGAGCTATGATTGCACCATTGCCCTCAGCCTAGGTGACAGAGTGAGACCCTGTCTCTTTAAAAAAAAAATTATCTTGATTTTCTTTTTCAGTTGCCATTAACTGCTGTTCCCAGGTTTCAAACATTGCTCATGTCTAAAACCAGTGGCAGAAATTCATTTAGCTGTTCTCTAAAACTGAACAATTACAGTGCGTGAGATCCATTCCTGAAGATAACTTTAGGGCCACCTTAGGCCTCCTCACTGTGTTGCCAGTGTCATCCTGCTTGCTCATCATGTGAAACTGGCTTTTAGTATGAGGCCACAGTTAGAGCCACTGGTGAGAGTGGCAGCCCAGAGGCCTTGCTGGTGCAGAGACTGTTATGTTGTGTAAGCACATGTTTCTGATTGATATAGAGTGCTAACTGCTACTGTCAGGCCAAAGGAAATGTTATATTCCTTGACCTTAGAATGATCAAAATGGACTTCGTAAAAGTTTCTCTTCTAATAAGCCTCATTTGATGTCTGTTGTCTCTGTTTCATTATTCCACAAATATTGAATAGGTTGAGTTTAAAAAATATATACATATTCAAGTTTTTCCTGTTTTTCTATGACTTTTTTTTCTAATTTTTTCCAACAAAAATGTATTTTTTCTCTTTTTTTTATTTTTTGAGATGGAATTTCACTCTTATAGCCCAGGCTGTAGTGCAATGGTGCAATATCGGCTCACTGCAACCTCCACCTCCCAGGTTCAAGTGATTCTCCTGCCTCAGCCTCCTGAGTAGCTGGGATTACAGGCACCTCCCACCATGCCCGGCTAATTTTTGTGTTTTTAGTAGAGACGGGGTTTCACCACGTTGGCCAGGCTGGTCTCGAACTCCTGACCTCAGGTGATCCGCCTGCCTTGGCCTCCCAAAATGCTGGGATTACAGGCCTGAGCCACTGCGCCTGGCCATATTTTTTCTTAATACCAAGTTTATTGTGAAATCCATGATCATAGTGGAATCTCTGTCCAGCCTTCCTCTCCCCGCCAAGTCCGCCCTTGTCTTCCTGGGTATCTGGCATCTAGATCTGATTTGACATTCAAGAGAGGGTTTTGGCTCAGTTGAGTATAAGATACATGGACTGTTTATTTCTTCAAAAAAAGTACTCTGACATTTGAGAATAATGCATCTTGTGTTTTATCCAGTGTCTTTTTTAAAACACAGACAGAAATAGTCTCAGTATTGCTGCAAAGGCCTGGTGGCACTGAGTATATCAGCACTATTTAAATTTGGTTTACATGACTCTTTGGAAACAGCTTCCATTTGTTAAGATAAAAAGAAAAATAAAGGGAAAACTGTTTCACGTTCAGGTATCTGAAATAAAAAGGCTTACAAGTGTTTCTGTTACATGCTACCACTTGGATGTATCTTGAAAGGTAGATGTTGAACCTGGCACTTGGGAGAAGTGATATAAAACCTGCCTGTCTGTGAAGGAGAGGACCCAGGATAGCCCATGGTCATTGGGAATGTAGGAGCTGAAGTGTTCATGTGGTCAGGGGCCCAGAGCATCTCTTCTGATCCTCATATGGGACAGAGCAGAACAAGCCGGTGCGGTCAGCTTGGCCGTTCAGATTTGGAAGCACTTCTGCCCTTGGTTGGAACTAGCTGCTCCCAAACCTCCAAGTCCCCCTCTCTACTCCTTTGGACATTTTGGCCCTTTCCACCCCACCCCCAAGGCACCACGAGCTTCCCCACCATGGGGGCTCTGCTCCAGCCTTGTGGCCAGCACCCCTTTCGTCTGGACCATGCCTGTGCCATGCCAGCTGTGACATTTGATTACCGTCCCTGCCAAATGCCTGCCTCCTGCTCACTGTCAAATATTCGAAAAGAAAAGACACTTGTCCAGAGGCCATCTCCGAGGCTCCCTTTCTCCCCTACAACCGCCCTGGGCAGGCCTGCTGGGTACTGCTGGAGGAGCCCTTACTTTCAATCCTCTTGGTAGGCACTTGGAGGGGACAGACGTCCACTCCTGAGCCCTACCACTGCTGGAGAACAGAAGGGCAGCTGGCAGGAGGTGAGGCATTGCTACGCAGAGGCCTGCCCTCCCCTGGAATCCCCGGTGGGAGCATCTTGATAAAGCCAAGGGCTCTGCTGCCACCTGCGTCCTCAGCGGTGCTTAGCAGGCTATGCAGCTGTGGCCCTGAGAGGGCCAGCCCAGAGAGGCAAGCTGACCCAGCAAGAGACCTTCTCACTGCTGCAGCAGGACAGCCCCCCTCTGAGGCTTGTGAGGGCCAAGGCCTGGGTCAGGGACTCCCACACATCTCAAAGCTGGACCTCACTCTCTCATTGCCTGCCTTTTCCAGTTCGTCTGAGCAAAACTCAGTCCGAGCCTTCCCTGAGCTGTCAAGGTACAGTGAACCTGGGGCTTCCCGCTCCCGCTGTGAGGCTGCACTATGCATGGCTCTGGGGTCAGAGCTGCACAGAGGTGATGTTTTTGTGCCAGACTCCAAGGAATGGAAGTTTGGCTTGGGGCCCTCCTGAAGGTGCATGCGAGGCTGACATGAGATTTTGGTTTGGTTTCTTGATTCCCTGGTTGGTTCAGATAAGAATGCTTCTTAGGAGAATTTGCTGTGTGGCTCTAATTGATGAGAAATGAGGGAGGCTGTTACAGAAAACAAATTCTGTTGCCCAATAATTCAGGGCAGATCAGAAGTGGTGTGCGCAGGAAAGGCACCCTTTCCTTTTCACCTCTGCCTGCCCATGCTTACCTGCCCCTGAAGGCCATCCTGCATGCTACAGAATTTGGGACAGTATGGATTTTAAAATTTAACCTTTTCTGTCATAGACAAGTATGCAAATGATTAGTCCAGATTTTGCATTTATTCCAACATCTATTTAAGTTTCATAGAGATATTTCTATACAGAAAGAGATGTTTATATGTATATATAGGCAGATATAGATATATGTGTGTGTGTGTGTGTGTGTGTGTATATATATATATATATATATACTTAAACATATACATATATGTATATACATATGTAGAATGCCCATTGTACATTTGCAGATGTTGACCTGGTCCCCCGCTTCCATTTACTCCTTATGGCCTTGTTCTGGTCACTGAGTCTCCTCCTCTAGACAAGTGAGTGGTTTGGACTCGTTGGTCTTTAAGGGTCCTTCATCCTTCTCTGCCACTCTGCAATTCATCTTTAACATTTTTCAAATCATTGTAATGCTTCAGAAAGTAAAACTTTCTTGCAGACTGTGTGAGTTCCCACACTTTTCTTAATATTTAATTACGTGTAAATTAGAGTAAATTCAAACAAAATAAATGCCACCCTCAGCTTATCATACCATAGGCACCATGGGTTCTAGAGCTCACTTGCGTGTGTTCGAGGGCTGGCTATGCATCAGTTGTTCATTGTTGCTCTGCTTTATAGCTGGGCAGCCTCTGGAAATTTTGGCTGATGGGAACACTGAGTTCTCCTACTTTGCTCCCAAACCAGTTCTTCTTCAGTGTCTGCCAAGCCTCTAGAGGCCTCATAGGAGGCCCCTATCAGTCAGTGACTGAGACCAAAGCCTCACCTCTAAAAATAGACCATCAGTGTTAGGCGCAGCTCAGCACTGTGAGTCACAGGCCCCTGGTGCCTCCAGACAGCTGCAGGCTGTAGCTGCATGAGAAAGTGTCTCTCCCACTATTGAGGGGCATTCTGGTGCCGGGGCTGTCCTGGACCCTTCGTCAGGGAGCCGACCTCAGTCCTTAGAGGTGATGATCAGCCACTGTCCTCATTCAAGAAGAGAAACAACAGGCTAGATCTCATTGCAGTTTTCTGATGCAGTCTGTCCTTTCTGTGGTCGGTGTAATACAGCTTGTGTACTAGGAAAATGCTCTACTTCTCGATTATCAGTAGGATACTATGATGTCATCTGTTTCAACATAGACAATTTCTCAACTTAAGATTTTTCAACTTTACCATGGTGTGAAAGTGCTATGCATTCAATATGCTCCTGGACTTACGATGGGGTCACATCTGGATAAAGCCGTCGTGAACTGAAAGTGTAACCCCATCGTCAGTTCGTGAGCATCCGTTGGTCCATGTCACATACCACTCAATTCTAGAAACATCCTTGGTTATAAACATACATATTAAAGCATATAATAGTTTAGATGCAGTCTTAACTGTGTGCTCTGTTTTCCTCTTTATAGCTCTGTACCTAATAGAGGGCTTGCTGCAACTAACTTTACAGCGCGTTTGCACACATGCATTGGTGCTGCTGCACCATGTTGCAGTGGGCCCTCTGATTTGGGTACTGTGCGATGTGGAGCCTGCTCAGTGCCTCCACTGGAGCCTCCTGCATGTAACCAAGTGTCCTGGCCCTGCCCTGGTGGCTAGGATGTGCACCTTTGCTCCTACAGCGTGATATCAGGAGCGTGTGTGCTGGGTTTTTGCTTTGCTGTGTGGACGCTATCAGTGTTCACGCCTGTGTTATTAATGCACTGACTGCTGTGTGTGTTCTCTAACTCAAATGTGAAATCATATATTAGCAGGTCAAGAAGTTAATTGAGGGTTACCTTGTTTGCATTAATAGTCTGATGGCAGAATTTGTAAAATCCCAGTCCATGATTCTGCCACCAATGGTATAGAGCTCTTGCTATCAGTTGGCAGTGATATGGGAAAAATCATTTTTCTATCCTCCAGGAACACCTCCACTTTCCTTCTTCTTGTCATATCTGTATGCCCTGGCAGAGAAGAATGGAATGAAGTAATGACAAAGGCCTTTCCTGAGCAAATCATGACACTAGTGAGCAGTGTGCTGAGCTGTGTGAGTGCCGTCTGCGTGCTTGATGCACTCACCCTCAACCTGCAGATGAAGCTGCTGAGGCTTGGAGGAGCTAAGTGGTTTTCCGAAGTGTGCCTCACACATGGGCGCTCTTAATCTCTCAGCACCACTCCCAAGCGTGTTCTCCAGACCCTCAGCTTAAGCCTCCTTAGGGGCTAGTTTGACTGTGTAGTGCTGGGCCCTGCACCCAGCGTTTCTTATTCTGGGGGTCTGGAGTGGGCCCAAGCATTCGCATCTCTCATAAGTTCCCAGCGATGCTGATGCTGCAGGTTCCATCTCGCTTTGGGAACCACATCCCATGGCTGTCTTGTCAGCTGACAGACACATCTGGGCTTCAGTGTGCTTGTCTGGAATTTGGAAGGTTCCAACCTGGCTCTAGAATCCTGATGAAGAAAAATTCAAGAGGGGTTGAGGATTTAGAGCTTCAGGAAAAAGAAAGAAGAAAACAATTGCTCCCCTAGAGAATGTAATTTGAAAGGAAAACGTTCTGGATGCAGCAGAGGAAGGAAAATCTGGAAAGGTGGTTCCTGGGAGATTTGATGCAGTTGTTTCAAATACCACCTGGGGAGCCCATAGCTGTTACTCCATTTTCTGGAAATGAGCAGGAAAGCTGCTGATTTATTTCATTTAGTTAAAGTTTGTACCTCACTCATAATTCTTAAAGCAGGTGTATTGCACTGATGTCGCAGTCTTAGAGCTGTGCTGATTTGGCAGCCACAGGCCTCATGTGGCTCTTGCATGTACCGAGTCCACACTGATATGCTGTAAGCCTAAAGGGCTGCTGGATTGTGAAGACTTAGCACCAAAACCAATGTAAAATATCTCATCAATACTTTTTATATGGACTGCATGATAGAATGACAATATTTTAGATGTATTGGATTAAATGAAATTATTACAATTAATTTTACTTGGTTCTTTTTAATGTAGCCACTAGGAAATGTAAAATTACATGTGTGGTCTGGTTTAGCTTTCTGTTGGACAGCTCTGCCCTAGAACTTTATTTATTTTGTCATTCTCCAAAAGGGCACAACCACACCCAGAGAAAATGCCTCCATCATTCCTAAAAGACTGTGTAAGAACCTGTAGTGATTTCCCAAATGGACCTGAGGACTTGAAGTGGCTCGGACAGCTTTGAAAGAAATAGTTGATGGCTTTCCCTCTCTTACAAGAACTAAAAGTTTAAGAGTAGAGGATTCATTTATTAAGATTTTTTAAGTAAAGTATTGAATCTCTTGTTTCAGATGCTGAAAAATAACTTAGTGCTTTTTTTTTCCAGAAACCTTTAGGAAATCATCACTTGGCAATGATGAGACAGATAAAGAGAAGAAAAAATTTCTGGGATTTTTCAAAGTTAATAAAAGAAGCAATAGTAAGGTAATGGATTAAATACACATATGATTTTGTATCATGTAAAAAAAATAGTCTCTTGAAATACATGCATTCAACCTGTCCTGGAACTTTTCTAAACAATTCTATTTAAGAATACTAATTCCTTCAGGTAAAAGAGAGCTTATTAGTATGCACTGGAATGACAGGCTGTGCTTCCACACTTGATTCCAAAAGGAGTAATCTTGGGTGATGGTGGTTTATTCACTAGGGGGACAGGAAGCCTGTGGGCTCCTGATGACCGGGGCCATGAGCCCTTCTGCCTGTGGGTGTTCCGGTACTTCCACAGAACTCTGCCTGTGGCTGAAACTCAGTAAATCTTGTTTAGATTAATGAATGAGTGAATGGATGTTATAGTTAAGTGTAAATAGCCAATATTGCTATCAGTGAACTGTAGCTTATGCCTCGTGGCAGAGAAGAGTATCAGTCATTGAACTTGTCTTCTTGCTAGTAATTTTTAGATGTTCTTTGGTCCTCCTGATATGATCTGGGAATGTACTATGTGATAAGTTAATTTTATTGATTTTGTTGGTGTTTATGAAACACATCTCAGAGTCATATTTTGGATACAGTATTCTAGAGTAATTAAGTCATAGTACCCAGAATAAAAATGAAGATTTTTATAATTAATTATAAGATTATCAAACCCATAAATGCCTTCTGACTACCAAGAAAAGAAAATGCTCATTATCCGTATTTATATTTGCTTCACAAGTATATTTTACTAATATCTAGTATTTTATCCTTACTAATAAGTAAGACTAAAAAAGACAAAACTGTTCCAGTGAATGTTAGGTTTTAATTCCACTAGCTCAGTTTGGAAGTGTGCTCCATCTGTATATTTCTACAAGAGATGTGAAGACTGGGGACTCAAGTTTGTGTGCAGACCTTCTCAGTGCCATGGTGCAGATAGGTGCATGTAGCCCAAGGCCGGACACCTGATTTCCTGCCCTTCAGTGGCCTGTGGTGCAGCCTCTGCTGTTAGAATTGTGGTTTACCCAGGTTTGCTGATGAGGATACCAGGGCTCAGAGAAATAAAGTAACCTTCTTAGTGTCCCAGGCTTAGACACAGATGTGTCTGCGTGCAGAGCCAGCACGTCCCTGTAGCCCTGTGGTGTTTGGGAAGGGAGGAGGAGAGTGAGAGCCAGATGAGAACAGAAGGTCCAGTGGAGCTCGGCCGAACTGGCAGACTTCCTGTCTTTAAGAGTTTTTCACAAACCTCAGATTCACCTCTGCTGAAGCTTCGGTAATGGTTTTGTGATTCTCTTGTACTTAAGAGATTGAGCTTTTCCCCATGTTGTGCTTTTCTCCATGTTTCTGCATGTCCTTTGAAAAATCTGTACTCCATGCATGTCTATGTAAGACCTTTGGCTCCCTGACATTTTCTATCCCCTCCCACTCTCCAACTATCCCTTCCTCTCCCCCTCTCTTCCCCCCTACTCTCCCTCCTCCTCTCCTAGCTTCCTTTCCTGTCAGAATTACTTGAAATCACAGAAGCAGAATTTTGTGGCCGGGCGCGGTGGCTCACAACTGTAATCCCAGCACTTTGGGAGGCTGAGGTGGGCAGGTCACCTGAGGTCAGGAGTTCGAGACCAGCCTGGCCAATGCAGTGAAACCCCGTCTCTGCTAAAAATACAAAAAGTAGCCAGGTGTGGTGGCAGGTACCTGTAACCCCAGCTACTTGAGAGGCTGAGGCAGGAGAATCGCTTGAATCCGGGAGGCAGAGGTTGCAGTGAGATGAGAACATGCTAGCGCACTCCAGCCTGGGCGACAGAGCGAGACTCCATCTCAAAAAAAAAAAAAAGAGAATCAGAATTTTGTATTTGAATTTTTGCTCACTCTTTGAATGTTGTCTTGTTGGTTTTTTTTTCCTGACGTTTTTGAGATAAGTTGGCTGGGACTGTGTTCACCCTTGTCCTCCTTGATCCTGAGGACACCAGTTCACAGTAAAATCCACCATTCCTCATTCCTCATTCCTCACCCTTAGACCTCAAGTAGTTGTTCTCTTTGTGTCTTCTTCCTTGTAAAAGATGAAATGGCCAGAAAAACCAAGTAAAAAATCTAGAAAGACTTTCGTTTTTAGCAAAGTAAGGTCACCTAAAAAGCTGGAGATGTGGAGACTGACTCAGCTTCTGATAGTTCAGGGTGTGGGGAGACACCACATCTGGCAACACAGCAGTGAAGGCGCAGTCAGTGATCCAGTCCCGTCCGTGGATTGCAAGGGACTTTCTGTCTTTCACCATTTCGATACAGCAGTGAAGGCGCAGTCAGTGATCCAGTCCCGTTCGTGGATTGCAAGGGACTTTCTGTTTTTCACCATTGTCGACACAGCAGTGAAGGCGCAGTCAGTGATCGAGTCCTCTCTGTGGATTGCAAGGGGCTGTTTTTCACCATTGTCAACCTAAAGAAAGAAACTGACTCAAAATTAATATAGATAGTTTATCTGGGCCAAGGTTGAGGACTGTAGCCTGGGACACACTTCGTTTGCCTTGGGGAATGCTCCATTCAGCCGTAGTTACAAGAAGGTTTTTTAGGGCAAAAAGGAAGAAGGTGTGGCTGACACAAAGTTGTTTGACAAGGATTCTCACTAGTTTACAGAAATAACGCTGATTGGTGATTGACTGTACACTCCTGAACTGCGGCAGATGAGTTATGGCATCCAGTGTATGGCATTTTGTAGCTACTTGGCAAAAAATTCACTCAGTGTTACAGCTCAAGTAGCAATTGGCTTTAAGAGCTAATTATTTAGCTCAGGCGGGTGTGGGACATGACCACCACTGCATTTCAATGCTTCCCTGGGCCTGATAATTAAAAGGAGCTCACATTCTGTGGATAAAAAGTGTATTTATTTCATTTCCCTCTTTTGATACAAAATATTTCTTCTTGAAAGCATTGATGATTAAACGCTGAGTGTCAAGGGGTCCCTTGTCACTGGGAAGGGTGATTCTCAGATAGCCCTGTCCCATGTTAGGGAGGAAAGAAAAGATGTTTTAGTGAGGAATTTTAAGGGAACCCCAAAGCCAAATTAGGATGGCATTACAGAGTGGCAAGAATGAAACCTCAGTCACGTCAGAAATTTATTAGCTGCTGTTGCTTGTTGAATCATCTCTAGTCTTTGGAATACCATTTTAGTTTTCTCAGAAGAAATAAAACCACAAGCAATATATAGTATTAATAATCTGAACAGTAAAAGCGTAATGCACACAGGATTGGATTATAGTCAGAAAGATAATTTATATGCCAGATCAAACAAACCTGAATTCCATTAGGGAACAACTGAAAACATCAGGCAGAACATTACATCCTGCTTCTTCTTTAGAGACTTGTAGCCAGGAGGTAATTCAGGATTCAGTCCAAATTGTGGGCAAATAATAATATCACAAAAACAATAGTCTGCTAGAACTGAATAACAGGTGGGTTATTGAAAAATAATTTTTCCAGTTCCTCCAGTTTTACCAAAGATAAATCATAGTAGAACCAGTTTATTTGTAAAATTAGTTTTACACTTATTATACTTGGCATGATTATTTGCATAAGATGCAGCAATAAGAGTGGCCATACTGACTCATTTTAGTTGGCTTTGCTGGAACTTTTTGGTTAAGGAATCTCAGATTAGATTTTTAAAAGCCTCTTGTGGCTAGGAAGCCAAGTTAAGGATTTACCATCTAACTGTGCCGGTAATACCTGTATGAATTCAGTGAATTTCTTTCTTCTCGAGATCTCAAAATATCTTGAGATTACTGGGCCTGTCAGAAAGTGACATGCTTTTACTTACTGCAAGGTCAGCAACCTTGTAAGGGAACCATGTCGACAAGGAACCGGGCCAGCCATTTTCTAAGTCCACTGGCTATAAAGTCAACTTCAGCCCTTCAAACCAGTCTGGTCATATCTGAAAATCTGTCATTCCAGTCTAAGCCTTGTAAAATAACCAGTGCTTTCAATGTGTCTTGTTAAAAAAGAAAACAGATCCTTGTTGAACTTATGCAAGTAAGTATATTGCCATAAAATGAAAATACAAATAGTTTCTGAATTTTGGAGAAATCAGGTAGAATGAAAGATAAATGTCTCAGTTTGCCCACCATAGTGTACTTTACCCAATTGCTGTAAGCTATAAATAGCTCAAAAAGAAAAGTTTTCTTGATGCTAGAAAACAAAACATGAAAAGAACCTACTGTGTTTCAAACAAAAAGAAGTCACAAAAATCATTTCAGTGCTCTGTCACTTCAGTGCCATGTACTTAGCTTTTATTCTGCTTGAAGTTGGGTTAGCGATCTTTATGAACTCATCAGGTTTGAAATTAGATTACTGGATTTTTTCTTTTTGCGTTGTTCAACGGCATGATCTCCAAAATTATCAGAAACTTGTATTCAGAGTGCTTTTTGTGATCTTCTTCATAAGGTTCCTTGAAGATACAATGCTTTGGCATTTACAAAGAACTTTTAGGAAAAGAGAGCATCAGAATAAAGCAATTTACTGTTTATGTCAAGACACATCAAATTTTTCGGTATCTTTTATAATTATAGAATGCATATTAATAGCATATTCATATAAAAATAACCTGAAGAAAGTTAAGCACCATCTCTTGGCTGGGCGCGGTGGCTCACACCTGTATTCCCAGCACTTTGGGAGGCCGAGGCAGGTGGATCACCTGAGGTCAGGAGTTTGAGACCAGCCTGGCCAACATGGTGAAACCCCATCTCTACTGAGGAGTACTAAATACAAAAATACAAAATACTAAAATACAAAAATTGCTTGAACCTGGGAGGCGAAGGTTGCAGCGAGCCAAGATTGTGCCACTGCACTCCAGCCTGGGTGAAAGAGCAAGACTCTGTCCCCAAAAAAACCAACCAACCAAACAAACAAAAAAGAAAGTTAAACACTCTTATTTAACAATGCTTCCAGTATGATTTTCACATACCAAATATGCCTAATATGCCGCTTTTGGAGTTCCAGGGTCCCTGTTTGGATTTCCAGGAGCCCTAATCTCCAAAAGTTAGTTCAATGTGAGAAAGACTCATTAGAATTTGAAGTTTCATTTTAGGAAGTTTGTCAAATGTCAAAGGCTTGAAACACTTGATTTCAAAATGAGATCACAGTAAAATAATATTCATTTAGTCAAAGTGATTTTTTTCAAAGATTTCAAAAAGCAAAAACATTTACTCTTTGATTAAGAGGAGACTTGGCTGGGCACAGTAGGTCATGCCTGTAATCCCAGCACTTTGGGAGGCCAAGGCGGGTGGATCGCCTGAGGTCGGGAGTTGGAGACCAGCCTGACCAGCTTGGAGAAACCCCGTCTCTACTAAAAATACAAAAATTAGCCGGGCATGGTGGCAGGCACCTGTATTCCCAGCTACTCGGGAAACTGAGGCAGGAGACTAGGTTGAACCCAGGGGGCGGAGGTTGCAGTGAGCCAAGATCATATCCAGCCTGGGCAACAGAGCGAGACTGTCTCAAAAAAAAAGAAGAGAGACTCAGTTTTCAGACCTAATAAAGACACGGTGAGTGTGTCTTCCTCTCTCTTCTTTTTTTATTGCAGCTTATTCAAAAGGTAAATAAAACCTTTTATTATTTTTTATCAATACTATATGAAAACCCTGTTCAAAAGAGAAAAACAAGTTTTGCCTTTGTATTAATGTATTATTACCAATAAACCTAATTTTAATAAAACCTTATAAACAAATCCATCCAACCTCATTCAGCTTTGACCACACAGATAAGTTTTCTATAAATCTTTTATAACCTTTTGCAATATTTTTCATTTTTTTCTAACTTCCTATACCCATTTAGTTTTATCTATCATTTTTGTATTTCATTAATTTAAAACAGCTTTTAAATAACCTTTAAGCCATGCAAAATTGTTGTTCCTTTAGCAAAAACCACATAAAACCACATGTATATATATATATATAGAGAGAGAGAGGGAGAGAGAGAGACAGAGAGTGAGAGAGTGTGTTTCACTCTTGTTGCCCAGCCTGGAATGCAATGGCATGATCTTGGCTCACTGCAACCTCCATATCCCAGATTCAAGTGATTCTCCTGCTCCAGCCTCCGCAGTAGCTGAGATGACAGGCACGAACCACCATGCCCAGCTAATTTTTGTATTTTTAGTAGAGACCGGGTTTCACCATATTGGCCAGGCTCGTCTCAAACTCCTGACTCTCATGTGATCCACCCACCTCAACCTCTCAAAGTGCTGGGATTACAGGCATGAGCCACCGTGCCCGGCCAACAAAAACTATATTTTTATGTCTTTTTTATAACCTTTTAAATTTTTATTTATTTATTTATTTATTTATTTATTTATTTATTTATTTTTTTGAGACAGAGTCCTCTCTGTCGCCCAGACTGGAGTGCAGTGGCATGATCTCAGCTCACTGCAACCTCTGCCTCCTGGGTTCAAGTGATTCTCCTGCCTCAGCCTCTCAAGTAGCTGGGATCACAGGCGCCTGCTACCATGGCTGGCTAATTTTTGTATTTTTAGTAGAGGTGGGGTTTCACATGTCAGCCAGGCTGGTCTCGAACTCCTGACCTCAGGTGATCTGCCCGCCTCAGCCCCCCAGAGTGCTGGGATTACAGGCGTGAGCCACTGCACCTGGCTATAATCTTCTTTAAAACCAAAAATGCATTTTACTTTTCTTGTGCTCTTTGGATACAAATTGTTTCTCTTTTATCTAGTAGATTTAATTACATATATTAATTTCAATGTTAACTCTTAGTATCCCAAATATTTGTGAAAAGTCTTAAGAAGTAAGCAATTTTAATTATGTATCTTGATACAGAGCCCAGAAAAAAGGACAGAGTTATGAAAGCAATGCCTGGAGAACCAACCCCTCCCAGCATTTTCAGGAGGCACAAGTGAGCCAGGGAAGACATGTAGCGTAGCTCTGCCCCACAGCTCTTGGCCTAGGTGCTGCAGACATCCACGTGTCCCCAGGCCTTCCCGTGGCCACTTGTCTATACCCCAGAATCAAACAGGTATCAACAATATCACAGAAGCAACAGTTTTATGACCTTAAACACCTACCAGAAATAGGCTAAACCTATTTGACTAGTAGACCCAGGCAAAAATCTCTAAATTAAATTCTGAAAATATTTCTATTTTATTTTACCAACAATTTTAAAACTAGCCTCATTTACCAAAGATTACTGAAGTCACATGAACTTGAAAAGCATTTGGGCTTATTTACTAAATTTATGAGAACTGATTTACTTATAAGTCAGTTTGGTACCATGTAGACAATATACAAACACAGACGTGTACACATGTATACATACAAACATAGACAAAAATAAAGATTTCATAGCTTTGATTTTAAGATTTTAGCCACGAGTCAGGTGAAATTCACTAGTTCAAAAGGACATTTGGATTCAAACTGTGCCTTTGTAAATGGAACAAGTTAAAGTTTATCTGTCTCATATGCCTAAAGCCCTCACAAAATTTAACAAGGTAGCAAATTTACATTTCAAAGCAGAGAGAGAATTTAAGCTTTTGTAAATACCAATGAATTTTACATTATCTTTGGCAAAAATCATGTCCTCAAAAGGGAAGCAGACCAAGGGAGTATATTTGGTTAGCAGGGGTTTAAGAAGAAAGAGATTCAATCAACTGAGAAACTTTTATAGAGAGAACAGAGGACTCAAAAAATATGGGTGCATATATGTGTGTGTGTGTGTGTGTGTCTGTGTGTGTATACATATATATCCCAAATATCAGTTATTCATTAAGTTACCTTTTGACTAGAGAGCTCCTGAATCTTTTCAGTCTCTTATCAGATTTTAGCCAGGACAAATCAGCCAATATCCTTGCTTTTGTATTTTTTAATTTTTTCCTCTTTTAAACCAAAGGTACCTTTCCAAGTGACTCACCAAAACTAACACGACTTAACCAAGGTTATGATTTAACCAGAGACTTGCCAAGTATCTCCAAAGAGGTGCAACACAGTCCTCACAAGACCCAGAGCCACCAGAAAAACTTCAAAATAAGGAAGGTTTTGCTAGCTGCAAATGGGGTACAAGCCCCATCTGTCCTGTCTAGCGTATTCCCTAGGGTCTCAGCTTCTCAGCTGACCGTCTGTATACAAGGTCCAGACTGAGGATTTAAAGAGACAGTGGGAAAGACAGGAAAACAAAAGCTGCCCGTGGGGGTAGTGCCAAAAGGCAGGAAAACGTGGGAAGGTAAATTTATGGGATGAATAAAGACTGCACCTAGATTCCCTGGCACTGCTGTCTCTGAGCCCATAAGCAAGTCTTATAATGGAGCCTATCTTTAGGTGAGAATGGCAGGCAGGAAAACCTTTGTCTTTCTAAATTGCCTCTCTGCCATCAGGCAAGCCAGAGGAAGGGGCAGTGTCTCCCTGGATGTTAACCTTCTTCAGCTACCAATCACCAGTACTTAGGAGAGGAATATTTTGGTTTCCTTCAGTAGATAGGATTATAAATGAGTATCCGAGACAAATAATTCAAATTAATTTCTTATAAATGTTTCTTTCCTGAGCAAGAGATACCCACTGAGGAAATAAATGTTGTGGTATGTCCCAAGAACATTAACGATGTATCAAACCTGTTCTCAGCTGGAATGCTGCTTAGCTAATACAATGCATGTTAACATTTCCAAGACATGGTAAGATTTACATCTCCAAGGGACTGAGAAAGGTCTGCAGGCAGTTTAGGCATTTAAAGAGTTTTTCTGGGGGTTTAAGGAGCGGTCTCTAAAAAAATTCTCAAATCTCTTAATATGGGGGTGAGAGAACTCACGTTCATGCACCTTTTGGTATAAAACTAATAGGAATTGGTCACAAATTTTTTAAAGTCCAAATTATAAACAGTAGAAAGCAGCTGCAGTTTTAAAAGCGTGCTATGTAAAGTGATATCAGCAGTGCAAAACTGCCAATACCTTGACCTACCTGCTCCAAGGTGGAAAAGGTAGTTTTCCTCTTTAATCACTGATGCCTGAATCACTTGCCTGCAAGGCAAAGATAGAACCTCCATTCCAGAAAGGGAGCAGTGGAAAGGGCAGCCCAGGTGAAAATCATAGGGTGGTCCGGATTCAGGAGGTCTCACCCTTTGCACCCCGGGATCCTCTGGAGCTGGGGACCCAATATGTTGCTGGTACCAAGAGCTGGGTCTGAGAGAAAACGCTGGGTGCTGTTGTGAGGAGCACTCTGAATGCTGCCGACTTAGACCAGATATGTCGGCCTAAAAAAAGAAACTGAGGCAAGATTAATGTAGAGAGTTTGTTGGGCAAAAGGTGAGCCTCACTGCCTAGGACACACTTTCAGGTTGCCTTGGAGAGATTCAGCCATGGTTATAAGAAGGTTTTTAAAGGCAAAGGGGGACAAGGAGTGGGCTGATACAAAGTTGTTCCACAGGAATTGTCACTGGTTTACAGAGATGACATTGGTTAGTGATTGGCTATCCCTTGTTGGGCTATAGGGTAGGAGTTATGGTGTCCAGTGTGTGGCATTTTATGGCTCCTTGGCATCAGTTAGACTGGAGCCCACATAGCAGATGGCCTCAAGAAGTCACCATTTGGTTCAAGGGTAGAGTGAGACATGACTGATGTGCATTTCACTGCCTCTTATTTTTCATTTCTCTATACCTTATCTTTCATTTATCACTTTCCTTCTCATTTATTTTACTATATTTTTCTCTAGACATCCCTTCTTCAGTCTTATCTTTATTGGATAATTTGTTATTGTTTTGTGTTAAATTTTAGCTTCTTGTTTCTCTTGATTTTTATGGTTTGAGGTACCGTGCTAAATGCAGCCTCATTTAGTTTATCTAGAAACCTGGTGAGAGAGGCATTATCAGCTCCATTTTGCAGGGAAGAAACTTAGGCTGAGCAGCTCCAAGCCGAGCATAGTGCGGGTAAATGCCGGAATTCATAAACACCAGAATTCAAACCCAAGCCTGTCTTTCCAAAGTCCTTGCCATTAATCACTGGTTTACATTGTATGGTGTGGTATCAATTTCTTTATCAAGAAAAAGGATTGGAAACAAATAATTTTTTAAAATAATTTGTAAAATCCTGTGATGTCAGTCTGCAGAGGTCTCAGTGAACAGATGCTAAGAATGGAGAATTATTGAGGCATTTAAAACTTAAGGTGACTCTTTACTACATCACCTTAAAGGAAAAAAAATTATAGGTATGTGTGTATATGTGTATGTGTCATATGTGTGTGAATGTGTGTATAAAATATTAATAGGAAATATACTTAAAGGAATATGATACTGGCTAAAATAAAGGATAGCAAATATCTTTTTTGTTTTAAAGCTTTTGTGTTTTAAAGTTTTAAAAGCATTATAGTTTTATATCATCTTGACATTATTTATTCTCCTAACACAGCAGTTCTCAAAAGTACCTAAGAATCACCTTGAGACCTAGTTTAAACATTGGATTGTTGGGTCATGTACCCAAATATTCTCATTTGAGAGGCCAGGTTGGGGTCTAGAAATTGAATTTTCCAATTGCACCAGATGATTTTGGTACAATAGAAAGAAATATTACCATTTTTCTTTTCTGGATCATATGGAGTGAGATATTTGGTGAAATTTTTCTGTGTACACCCAATGAATTAGCTGGGCAGTGATTAAAACTGAAGTCCTTGGGCCAGGAGCGGTGGCCAACACCTGTAATCCTAGCACTTTTGGAGGCTGAGGTGGGCAGATTGCCTGAGCTCAGGGGTTTGAGAACAGCCTGGGCAACAAGGTGAAACCCTGCCTCTACTAAAATACAAAAAAATTTATCCTGGTGTGGTGGCATGTGCCTGTAGTCCCAGCTACTCGGGAGGCTGAGGCAGGAGAATGCTTGAACCTGGGAGGTAGAGGTTGCAGTGAGCCAAGATAGCACCACTGCACTCCAACCTGGGCAACAGAGTGAGACTCTGCTCAAAACAAAAAACAAAAAACAAAAAACTTTGAAGTCCTCAAAACCTAATTAATTTGCTTGCTGACCTAACTCCATCACTTCAGGCCCACTACTGTTTTAAAATTGCATATTTTTGCTGGGTGAGGTGGCTCACACCTGTAATCCTAGCATTTTGGGAGGCCAAGGTGGGCAGATCACCCAAGGTCAGGAGTTCGAGAACAGCCTGGCCAACATGGTGAAACCCTGTCTCTACTAAAAATACAAAAATTAGCTGGGTGTGGTGATACACACTTGTAATCCCAGCTACTTGGGAGGCTGAGGCAGGAGAATCACTCAAACCCAGGAGGTGGAGATTGCAGTGAACTGAGATCATGCCACTACACTCCAGCCCGGGCGACACAGCAAGACACTGTCAAAAAAAAAGGAAAGAGAGAAAGAAAAGAAAGAAAAAAAGAAAGAAAGAAAACTCATTCCTATGAGTGTGGATTTCAAAATTGTGATTTCCGAATCAGGGAGCACTTTGGTTCAGGTCTGTTCATAAACTGGCAGAAGTGGTAAAGATTACACCTATTAAGTGAAGGGTTTGCTGCCTTGTGGCCACACTGGCATTTTTGCCTTAATGATCGCTAAGGACTATGTTTTCTGTCTGAACTTTCACCTGGAGATGATGTGGCCTGGTGCTTGTGTTCCAGGCTGAGCAGCTCGTGCTGTCGGGTGCAGACAGCGATGAGGACACCTCCAGGGCTGCCCCAGGAAGGGGTTTGAACGTGAGTACTAATGCCCCAGCAGGTGCTTCCGCTAATTGCTTGGAACTTCTTGCTTTGCGCGACCTTCCAGATAGTGAAATCACAGACTGGTTTAGTTTGGTGATTTGTTTTTTGTAGTCTAGATAGAGTCGAAAGCCGCCTATTGATTCTTTTTTAGTTGCCCATGCTACTTTTGGAATACGTGGAATATTTTAGTTTCTACTTTTCTATTTGCCAGTCAGTGTGATCAGGAGAAGCCTTCATTAGGGTAATTGAATTCATGCTTCCCGAAACTACCATCATAAGGAGTAGCCTGGTGGTTTTGGAGCTACTCAGTCCTGTTTTCCAACCCTATAGCTCTCAGCTGCTAAACTCTGAGCCTACGCTCTGTTCACGGAGCCTTTGAAAGGATTTCTGAAAACTACCTGTGCCCTCACATTGCACAGTTGGCATCTATAAAGTTTCTTCATAGTTTCAAATACTCAAGAGAATGTAATTCATGACATCTTATAAATATTGACATTTTAAATGTATCTAATAAAAGTTGGATCTTTACTATCACCTATTAAAAATTACATGGAAAGACTCTTCTGTATCAGTAAGAAAGTTTATATTTTCTTGATTTCACATTTCCAGGTCAGTCCCCATGTAAAATTTTATTCTATTCAATTCATATTTTATGCTTGAAAGTCTTTAATACGGACTTTAAGTAAAATATGTTATAAAATTAAAATATCTAAGTTATATTTTTTATTTGATGTGATTATAAAACTGTAAGTAGAAGAATATTTTTCTGGGATGAGTTCTCATAAAAATTACAAAATAAATCAAAACAGTATAAATATATTACAACTATTGACATAATTGTTAAACATGGAAAGTAAATTTTTCTTGAAAAGACATTAATAAGATGAAAGACAATTAAAAAATTTCATGTATCCATTGTGTTTGAACGTGATTTACTGATAAGAAAAGGTTCAACATTAATTATGTGACTCTTCATTTTTATTGAAGTAAGCCCCCAGGAAACACTTTACATAGATAGTATATAAGGATAAAAGTTCTCTTATAGCAGTGCTTTTTAATTCCTCAAGTTCTCAGGATCTAACATGCCAAAAATCACATAGAGACCTGTCCTCAAAAATTATCTTGAATGATCCTTTGATGATCCTTGAATGATACCTGATTAGATTATCTTTCAAATTTGTCAATAGCTAAAATTTGGGAGCCATCCGACTTGCAAAGTGATTTGTTACTCATTCACACTGGATATTAACTTCTGGCAGGTATAAGAAAAAAATGCCTTATTAAGACTTATAAAATGACAATTATACTTAAGGCTCTTTTGCTCATAGGCACTCTTTTGGAGAAAAGAGGGTGTGGCAATGGCTCTTTAAAATTTTCTTAAATTTGATTTTATTTTTAATTGATTCATAATCATTGTACATATTTATGGGGTAAAGTATGATGGTTTTGATACATGTTCACATTGTGTAGTCATCATCAGGATAAGTAGCAAATCCATTACCTCAAACATTAATTATTTCCTTGTGGTAAGAACATTCAGAACCCTTTCTTCTAGCTGTTTTGAAATGTGTAATACATTATTATTAACTGTAGTCACACAACTGTATGATAGAATACCAGAGAGTATTCCTCTTGTCTAACTGTAACATTGTACCTGTTGACCAATCTCTCCCCATCCTTCTACTCCGCTCTCCAGCTTCTCTCTACTTCTGTGAGATCAACTTTTTAGATTCCACATATGGGAGCATGGAATATTTTTCTTTCTATGTCTGGATAATTTCACTTAACATAATGTCCTCCAGTTTCATCCACGCTGACACAAATGACAGGATTGTTTTCTTTTTTAAGGCTAAATTATATTTCATTATATATATATGTGATACATATGTGACATATATATATGTATGTGATATATATTTATATATATATATATATATATATATCACAGTGTCAGGTTTTGTTTCAGAGCTAAGTTAATTATAAAGTTTTCTTGGAAAAATAAGCAAGAATAAGGAAAACCCCGAAAAGCATGAGGAATGGGTAAGCCTTACCAGTTTTAAAAATAGGTTTTAGCACCTTTATAATTACAGTAATTATAATTACAATTATACTAGCTCAATGAAGCAGAATAGAACATGTAGAGCTAATTGTATATCGAAGCATGGTATACAACAGGGTCAACACATCAAATTTGTGGGGGGAAATAAACTGATAAGTAGAGTTGTGATCATCGAATAGCCATAAGGAAAAAAGAAAAGTGTAGATGTTTTCATTGTATACAGTAGGAAAAAAAATCGAATGAATCAGAAATCTAAGTGTGCAAATGGAAACCATATAAATACTAGCAGAAGATATAAGTGAATTCATCTATATAATGAGAGTGGGTAATGCTTTTCCAATTATGACTAAAAATCCAAATGTGATAATGGAAAACATTGATAAATTTGTTTTTTTAATCCATTTTTAATTGTGGGTATAGACTAGGTATATATATTTATGGGGTACAGGAGATACTTTGATGCCTCCATGCCATGTGAAATAATAACATCATGTAGAATGGAGTATCCATCCCCTCAAGCATTTATATTTTGTGTTACAAACAATTCAGTTACACTCTTAGTTATTTAAAAATGTACAAGTAAGTAATTATTGACTATAGACACCCTGTCGTGCTATTAAATAGTAGGCCTTATTCATTCTTTATATACTTTTTTGTACCCATTAACCATCCCCACCTCCCCAGTGAGTTCCCCACTACCTGTGCCATCCTTCTACTCTCTGTCAATGAGTTCAGTCACTTTGACTTTCAGATCTCACAAATAAGTGAGAACATGTGGTATTTGTCTTTCTGTGTCTGCCTTATTTCACTTAACAAGATGATCTCTAGTTCCACTCCTGTTGTTGCAAATGACAAGATCTCATTCTTTTTCATAGTTGACTAGCACTCCATTGTGTATATTGGAAACCAAAAAGTAACTGAAAT
This sequence comes from Homo sapiens, assembly GCF_000001405.40. Taxonomy (NCBI): domain Eukaryota; kingdom Metazoa; phylum Chordata; class Mammalia; order Primates; family Hominidae; genus Homo; species Homo sapiens. Next base: position 51,169,466 of record NC_000007.14, on the reverse strand, counting down.
AAGTCTCAATCAATTTAGAAAGTTTATTTTGCTAAGGTTAAGGATGCACTCATGACACAGCCTCAGGAGGTCCTGACGACATGTGCCTGAGGGGGTTGGGGTACAGCTTGCTTTTATACATTTTGGGGGGACATAATACATCAATCAGTACACGTAAGATTCACATTGGTTCAATCTGGAAGGGCAGAACAACTCAAACCAGGGTGTTGGGGGACTTCCAGCTCATAGGTAGATTTAAACATATTCTGATTGGCAGTCTGTTGAAAGCATTATTATCAGTAGAAAGGAATGTCTGGATTAAAATAAGGGGTTGTGGATACCAAGGTTTTATGCAGATGAAGCCTCCGGGTAGCAGGCTTCAGAGAGAATATATTGTAAATGTTTCCTAGCAGACTTAAGGTCTGAGTTGATGTTAATGCTGGAGGGTGTAATGAGGCATGTCCAACCCCCTCTTCTGTCATGGCCTGAACTAGATTTTTAAGTTAACTCTGGAATCCCCTTGGCTGAGAAGAGGGGTCCATTCAGATGGTTAGGGAGCCTTAGAATTTCATTTTTGGTTTACAATATGTACCACATTTTCTTTATCCATTCATCTGCTGATGGACACTTAGGTCTTAGCTATTGTGAACAGTGCTGCAACAAACATGGGAGAATGCAGATATCTCTTCAATATACTAATTTCCTTTCTTTTGGGTATGTACCCAGTAGTGGGATTGCTGGATCATATGCTAGCTTTATTTTAGGTTTTTGAGGAACCACCAAACAGTTCTCCATAATAGTTATGCCAATTTACATTCTCACCAACAGTGTATGAGGGTTCCCTTTTCTCCACATCTTCACCAGCATTTGTTTTTGCCTGTCTTTTGGATATAAGCCATTTTAACTGAGGTGAAAGGATATCTCATTGTAATTTTGATTTGCATTTCTCTGATGATCATTGATGTTGACCATCTTTTCATATGCCTGTTTGCCATTTGTATGTCTTCTTTTGAGAAATGTCTATTTAAATCTTTTGCCCATTTTTTTTTTTTGAAACGGAGTCTCGCTCTGTCACTGGTGCTGGAGTGCAGTGGTGCGATCTCGGCTCACTGCAGCCTCCACCTTCTGGATTCAAGTGATTCTCCTGCCTCAGCCTCTCAAGTAGCTGGGACTACAGGCATGTACCAGCATGCCCAAAGTGCTGGGAGTACAGGCGTAAGCTACAGCGCCCGGCCTTTTGCCCATTTTTTGATAGGATTATTAGACTTTTTCCTGTGGAGTTGTTTGAGCTCCTTATATATTCTGGTTATTAATCCCTTGTCAGATGAGTAGTTTGCAAGTGTTTTCTCCTATTATCTGGGTTGTCTCTTCATTTTGTGGGTTGTTTCCTTTGCCGTGTAGAAGCTTTTAAACTTGATGTGATCCCACTTGTTCATATTTGCTTTGGTTGCCTATACTTGTGGGGTACTGCTCAAGAAATTTTTGCCCAGACCAATATCCTGGAGATTTTCCCCAATTTTTTTTGTAGTAGTTTCATAGCTTCAGGTCTTAGATTTAAGTCTTAAATCAATTTTGATTTGATTTTTGTATATGGCAAGAGGTAGGAGTCTAGTTTTATTCTTCTGCATATGAATATCCAGACCATTTATTAAAGAGACGCTGTTATCCCCAGTGTATGTTCTTGGCACCTTTGTTGAAAATGACTTCGCTGTAAGTATGTGGATTTGTTTCTGAGTTCTCTCTTCTGTTGGTGTGTGTGTCTGTTTTTATGCCAGTACCATGCTGTTTTGGTTATAATAATTCTGTAGTATAATTTGAAGTCAGGTAATGTGATTCCTTCAGTTTTGTTATTTTTGCTTAGGATAGCTTTGACTATTCTCGCTCTTTTATAGTTCCATATAAATTTTAGGATTTTTTTTTCTATTTCTGTGAAGAATGTCATTGGTATTTTGATAGACATTGCATTGAATTTGTAGAATGCTTACGGTAGTATGGAAATTTTAGCAATACATAAGCATGGAATATTTTTCAATTTTTTGGTATCCTCTTTAATTTCTTTCATCAGTATTTTATAGTTTAAATTATAGAGATCTTTCACTTCTTTAGTTAATTCCTAAGTATTTAATATTATTTTTGACTACTGTAAATGGGATTACTTTTTAATTTCTTTTTCAAATTGTTCACTGTTGGCATATAGAAATGCTACTGATTTTTGTAGGTTGATTTTGTATCCTGCAACATTACTGAATTTATTAGTTCTAATAGGTTTTTTGTGAAACTTTAGGTTTTTCCAAATGTAAGATCCTATCATCTGCAAACAAGGATAATTTGACTTCTTCCTTTCCAATTTGAATGCCCTTTATATCTTTCTCTTGTCTGGTTGCCTAGCCAGGACTTCCAGTATTATGTTGAATTACAGTGGTGAAAGTGGGCATCCTTGTCATGTTCCAGATCTTAGGGGAAAGGCTTTCAGTTTTTCTCCATTCAGTAAGATACTAGCTGTGGGTCTATTGTATATGGCTTTTATTATGTTAAGATATGTTACTTCTATCCCCAGTTTTTTGAGAATTTTTATCATGAAGGGATGTTGAATGTTATCAAATGCTTTTCAATATCGATTGAAATGATCATATGGTTTTTATCCTTCATTCTGTTGATGTAATGTATCACACTGATTGATTTGCATATGTTGAACTATCCTTGCATCCCCAGGGATAAATGTCTCTTGACCACAATGAATGATCTTTCTAATGTATTGTTGAATTCAGTTTGCTAGTATTTTGTTGAGGATTTTTGCATTTATATTCATCAGAGATATTGGCCTGTAGTTTTCTTTTGTTGATGTGTCATTGTCTGGTTTTGGTATCAGGGTAATACTGGCCTCATAGAATGAGTTTGGAAGTATTCATCCTCCCCTGTTTTTTGGAATAGTTTGAATAGGATTGGTATTAGTTCTTGTTTAAATGTTTGGGAGAATTTAGCAGTGAAGACACCAGGCCTCAGGCTTTTCTTTACTGGGAGACTTTTTATTATGGCTTCAATATTGTTACTTGTTATTAATTTGTTTTAGTTTTAAATTTCTCCCTGATTCAATCTTGGTACACTGTATGTGTCTAGGAATTTCTCCTTTTCTTCTAGATTTTTCAATTTATTGGCATATTGTTGCTCATAGTAGCCACCAATGATCCTTTGAATTTCTGCGGTGTTAGTTGTAATGTCTCCCTTTTCATTTCTGATTTTATTTGTATCTTCTCTCTTTTTTTCTTCATCTGGCTGAAGGTTTGTCAATTTTGTTTAACTTTTAAAAAATCAACGTTTTGTTTCATTGATCTTTTGTATTATTGTCTTCATTTTAATTTCATTTATTTCTGCTCTGATTATTATTTCTTTTTCCTACTAATTTTGGGTTTGATTTGCTCTTGCTTTTCTAATTCTTTAAGATGCATAGTTAGATTGTTTGTTTGAGGTTTTTCTTCTTTTTTGACATAGGCATATATGACTATAAACTTCCCTCTTAGTACTCCTTTTGCTGTATCCCATAGGTTTTGGTATGTTGTGTTTTCATTATTATTTGTTCCAAGAAGGTTTTTAATTTCCTTCTTAATTGCTTCCTTGACCCAGTGGTAATTCAGGAGCATGTTGTTTAATTCCCATTATTTGTATAGTTTCCAAAATTCCTCTTATTACTGATATGTAGTTTTATTCCATTGTGGTCAGAGAAGATGCTTGATATTATTTCAGTTTTTAAAAATGTTTTAAGACTTGTTTTGTGACTTAACATATGGTCTGTCCTTGAGAATGATCCATGTACTGAGGAAAATAATGTGTATTCTGCAGCCATTAGATGAAATATTCTGTACATATCTATTAGATCCATTCGATCTACACTGTAGATTAAGTCTGATGTTTCTTTGTTGCTTTTTGTTTGGAAGATCTGTCCAGTGCTGAAATTGGGGTGTTGAAATCTCCAGATATTATTTTATTGGGTCCTATCTCTCTCTTTAGCTCTAATAATATTTGCTTTATATATCTGGATGCTTCAGTGTTTGGTGCCTGTATATTTAAAATTGTTATATGCTCTTGCTGAATTAACCCCTTTATCATTACATAATGACTTTCTTAATCTCTTCTTACAGTTTTGGTCTTGAAATCTATTTTGTCTAAGTATAGCTACTCCTGCTCTTTTTTTGGTTTCCATTGGCATGGAATATCTTTTTCCATCCCTTTATTTTCAGTTGAGGTGTATTTTTATAGGTGAAGTGTGTTTCTTGTAGGCAACAGATCAGTGGGTCTTGTTTTTTCATTCATACAGCCAGTCTGTTTTTTGAGAGTTTAGTATATTTACATTCAATGTTATTGATAAGTAAGGACTCAATCCTGTTATTTTGTTATCTGTTTTCTGGTCCTCTCTCCCTCCCTCCCTTCCTGTCTTCCTTTAGTGAAGGTGTTTTTCTCTGGTGGTATGATTCAATTTCTTCCTTTTTATTTTTGTGTAACCATTGTATGTTATTTCGTTGGAAGTTACCATGAGGCTTGCAAATACTATTTTAGAACATAACGCTGCATAAACAAATAAGCAAAAAGAAAATGAATAAAAATTATGCTTTAACTTCATCTCCCCACTTTTTTACTTTTCGTTGTTTCTATTTATATCTTATTGTACTGTCTATGTCTTTAAAAGTTGCTGTAGTTATCATTTTTGATTGATTCATTGTTTAGTCTTTCTACTTAGGATAAGAGTAGTTTATACACCATAGTTACAGTGTTATCATATTCTGTGTTTTTCTGTGTTCTTACTATTACCCGTGAGTTTTGTACCTTCAAGTAATTACTTATTGCTCATTAATGTCTGTTTTTTTCTGATTAAAGTATTCCCTTTAGCATTTCTTGTAGGTCAGATTTGAGAAATTCCCCAGCTTTTGTTTGAGGGAAGTCTTTATTTCTCCTTTATGTCCGAAGGATATTTTCGCCGAATATACTATTCTAGGGTAAAAGTATTTTTTCATTCAGAACTTTAAATATGTTATGTCACTCTCTCCTGGCCTGTAAGGTTTTCCCTTGAAAAGTCTGCTGCCAGACATATTGTAGCTTCATTGTATATTATTCCTTTTCTCTTCCTGCTTTTAGGATCCTTTCTTTATCCTTGACTTTTGGGAGTTTCATTAGTAACTGCCTTGCAGTAGTATTTGGGTTAAATCTACTTGGTATTCTATTACCTTCTTTGGATATCGGTAACTTTCTCTAGGTTTAAGATGTTCTCTGATATTATCCTTTTCAATACATTGATAAATTTGACCTCAGAGAAAATATTAATAAATTTGATTTTAGGGAAAACAAACAAAAAACCCTCTTGAATGACAAAAAAGAGAAAATGAAAATAAATAAAGGAAAGAGATAAAACTCTTACTCATAATGAGAAATGTAAATGAACTACAGTGAACACTGTTCATCACCTATGGGATTGGCAAAAGCCCAAAAGTTTGTTACTACACCTTTTTCATTAAACTGTGGGGCCCTTAAATGCATTGCTGAGCAAAATGCAAAGTGCTAGCTTTATGGTGGTGAATTTGGCAGTATCTAGCCAAATTACACATACATTTAGTTTTTGACACAGAAATCCTAGTTTTAGAAATCTACCCTGAAGACTCACTGGCAAAAATCTAAAATGATTCATGTGTAAGGCTGTTTATTGTGGCATTATTTGTAACAACAGGAGATGAAAGCAATGTTCATGCCCATCAGGAGGGGATTGGTAGATGAAGCTATGGTACATGAAGATGTGGTATAGCTACATGATTGAATACTATGAATCTGTGAAAGAAGGAAGAAGTTTGTTATATTATTGATATGAGGTGTTTTCTGGGATATATTTTTTCCACTTTTAAAAATCAAGGGTGACTTTTCCTATGAATCAAAGTAATAAGGCTTCAATGTGATAGATTAATATTAACTCATAAATAAGAATATACTGGGTTTCAAGCCCTAGGGCAGTACAGCACTTAAAATAATAATGGCTCCCAGTGATGACCATGCCTGCTGCTTCAGTCCTGTCTGTTCTAGGCACTGTGCTTAGTTGTGTGGGCTTATTTGATCTTCCTTATATAGACACAGAAAATATCCAAATGCCAGAGGTGAATTGGTTGATCAGATTTATTGATATCTACTTATGTTGGCTATGATGCTCTCTTCAATTAAGGATGTTAGTGACGTAATATTTCTGAAGAGCACTCTGCCGTTGTTTTTACATATTTTTTCCACGCCATTGATCCTAGTCTGCACATTTTGATGCCAGTGCTTGCTTAATCTTACCAGAAGAGGGGATCAAACGGAGGCATGAGTCACATCATCCTTTTGCTGCTTTGAATGTCCTCTATTTTAAGGGATTTTGCAGCTCTTCCTTCCCTTAGTTCACTGTCTGGGCTGTGAGAGGCACTCCTTTTGTGTATATCCGGTGATAAAATGTAACACTGATCCATCTCCTTGTGAATTCCTTCCTTCCTTAGCTTAGCGCTTAGCTTAGCACTTCTTGCTTTACAGGAAACATTGCAGTGAGTATTGGCTTTATTGGTGCTCCCCCTGCTGGCTGTTTCTATGTCTTTGTGCAAACAGGGTAACAGCTTCAGCTTCAAGTCATAGTGAATCTCTGATGAGCACAGAGGCTTAGCCTGGCGGAGGCCGAGGGCAAGCCTACATCATTGGGGTGTTAAAGCCGAGCTTTCAATTCTGGCCCAGCATGCAGAACCTATCTTCACTTTCCTCATCTGCTAAACTGCCCACTTTGTAGGTTCATTGTAGCGATTAGAAATTATATAGCTCATCTGACACTCATAGGAAATGTTCTGAAATGGTGAGTAAACCTGACCGGAGCCCTCCAGAAAGTTTGCAGATACTATTATGTATTATTTTTTCTTGAGAAAATGTAAGTGGTTTATTATGTCTGTAACTTGAAGACTCTATGAGAATAGATTTGCATTAAAAAAATCCTAATGTAGATGGTCAAAGAAATTTGATCTTCTCTGGAAAAGTTAGTGAATTTCTTAGAAACTGAAGTTTACTCTGTTCCAAGATATATCTTCACTGTCTTAATCAAAGGGCGCTTGAATCATAGCAAATATTCTCATCTTTCAACTAACTTTAAGTAGTTTTCCTGGAATTTTACATTTTCCAGAAAACACTCCTTTCTGTATCTGTGAAAGAAAGTGTGCCTCAGGCTGTAAACTGGGCTGCACTGGACACCTGCGGGGGACTCTGGCTTAGTGGGGACATGGTCAGTATTGATTTTCCTCAAACTCAGCCTGTGTAGCTGTGAAAGCATGGAACAGATTACACTGCAGTTAACGTCATCCCACACATCTGGACTCCAAGACACGGGGAGGTCACATAGTCAGTTGTGGATGCCGGTTAATGATAAGGTGTGAGTTAGCTCTCGGGTCTCTGTTTCCTAAGTCACACAAACAGCAGTGATAAACTGTGCTAACGGATGAGACAAGGTACCTGAGTTAATTTGCAATTCAGCACACAAAAATGGAAAAGAAATTATTATATCAGTCTGATAAAGTGCAAATGTTCTGATGTAGGAGTAAAGTGACGTGGGTTCTAATCCTGGTTCTGTTATTCACCAGGACAACAGACCAGTCATTAGCAGGCCTTTCTCTGAAGAATGAACTTTTGAAAGTAACTGGCCTTTTATGGGCCCTGCTTCTTGGTTTCTTGGTTTTTTAAAAAATCCAAATTCTATAAATTTGACCAATCTAAAGGTATTACTACATGCTTCATCAGATATCTCTGCATTTCTTGATACCATAAAGTTAAAGTTCTTCTGGTAAAAGAGTTAAAAATCACTGCCTTATAAAACAAGCAAACAACAAAATAAACCTGTCTGGAGACATTTTGTCCATTTGCCCTGTTCAGGCAGTGACAGAAATAGTGTCATTATAGTGTTTCACAGATGGACGGAGCTTACATTTGAAGTGATTTCCATAGCAAAAGCCCTAAAAAAGTTTCCAGAATTCGTGTTGAGTGGCGTTGTTTCTGATGGAAGCCTCTGCAGTATTGGAGGCAGGCATTTACAGGGAAGCCCACCAGTAAAATAAAATTTTCAGAAAAAGTTATTAAAAGCTACATTTTAAAGGAAACTCCATAATTTCAGCTGCCCTGAGTCCTATGCTTACAGAGAGCCTGCATTTCCACCCAGCTGATCCGGGTCTCCAGGGGGATTACAGAGAACTTGCAAATGCGGCCCAAAGCATGTGTGGAGCTGTGCTGCCACAGGGTGGCAGTGTTGTCACACACACAGCAAATCCCCTCGCGAGCTTTTCTGGGCCTGGAAAAGCTCAAATCTGTTCTGTTTTTGGAGTGTTCATCAGTTGAGAACAGGAAAATGTGTTCCGAGGGCTGAGCCACGTGTTTATGAGGTAGAACTAATTTTTGTTATACATCAGTTGTGTAGAGATATTTTTAAAATTTAGCTTGTACCTTTAGAAAATGCTTTATAAGGCAGAGGTTGCAGTGAGCCTCGATTGCGCCACTGCACTCCAGCCTGGGCGACAGAGTGAGACTCCATCTCAAAAAAAAAAAAGCTTTATATTCAAAACAAAATAAATTGCATATGGCAGGTTTTAAGAGTAGAGTAGGAGAATCATGTCCAGTGCCTACAAGTCTAACAGAGTTTCTTGTTCCTTGTTCTCCTGAGCCTTTCTCAGTATCTGCATAGTTCTTTTAAAGGTTGTATGATCTTCTGTGTAAAGGGAAAAGCGTGGCTTTTGTTTTTGTTTGCTTGAATTTGGATTCTGAATTATTCACATACAGTTTGTGACCTCTTAGAGCCTTGTCTTCCCGTGTGTACCGTGAGCTCATAATCACCAGCACCCAGCATTCTTATGAGGATTAAATGAGTGCCAAGCACAGGAAGGAGCTCACAGCTAGCACTCGATGAAGGTTGGCTCGGCCCTGTTGCTCATTGCTTCTTTTATTCTGGTATAAGTAATGTGAAAGTCACTTTATCCCAAAAGCCTTTTTTCATTTGGGAGGTTTTCTTTATGAAAGACACCTGCAAATGTATTCGTGAATCAAAGGATATGACAACTTTATGGCATTACTGCATTGTTTCCCTTGATGACTGTGTCATCAACAACAAATAACAATATGTTATTATGGCCACTCAACTCTCCATTTCTGATTCAGAGCCTTGTGTATATAAAACTCCTATCAACTATTGGAAAGTAAATAGACCTTAATGTGTAATCTAGAAAAATCATTCTAAGGTTCTTTCCATACCTATTTGACCATTAAAAATAGGCCAGACATGGTGGCTCATGCCTGTAATCCCAGCACTTTGGGAGGCCGAGGTGGGTGGATCACCTGAGGTCAGGAGTTTGAGACCAGCCTGACCAATATGGCAAAACCCCATCTGTACTAAAAATACAAAATTAGCTGGACGTGGTGGCAGGTGTCTGTAGTCCCAGCTACTCAGGAGGCTGAGGCAGGAGAATCACTTGAACTCGGGAGGCGGAGGTTGTAGTGAGCTGAGATCGTGCCATTGCACTCCAGCCTGGGCAACAATAGTGAAACTGTCTCAAAACAACAACAAAAAAATAGTTTTAAAAATATTCTTATCATATGATCTCTAATGCAAACCTGGAACCCATCAGAGGAGGGTTTTGGTTTTAAAGCTTTGATGAATTTTTTTCCCAGAGTGTTCGATTCTTACAATGGGAGTAGTATACACATAGATCCTGAAGAGTTGATAAACAGGGCCTAATGCCAGTACCAGTTCTCGGAGGGAAAAAAATAAATGTAGATTTTTCACCACTTGGCTGAAAATGTGATGTTTGTAAGGATACTGAGGTAGAAAACGTCCCTTTCAAATACTGGTTTTCCGTATGTTCCCCTAAAACATGACTATTATTTCCACTGTCTATGTTTCCTTTCTGGCCTTCCCCTGCTCTTTGTCAGACAAGTATAAAACAAGAATCTCACTTGCCTGCACATGGATTTAAGTTGCTTCAGAGACCAGAGAAGGTGAGAAGCAGAGCTCTCTGTCCCTCGGTATCCTTTCCTGTCTAGGAGATGACATCTCCGCCATCACAGTGCCTCGGGCCAGAACCCTGGGGTCCTCTTTGCCCCCTTTGCTCTCCCACTCCACCTGCAACCCTCATAGCGTCTGTCGCCTTCAAGATACATCTAGGATCTCACCACTTCACACAGCCTGGCCTTGTCACCTGGCCCAGGCCTCCTGGCGGCTCCACTTCCCAGCACCTGTGGTCTCCAAAGCCTCCTCCCCACCTCCCTGCTTTGCGCCCTGCGGTTTCACGCGGCATCCAGAGCGCAGCGCGCGCGGCCGCCAGGTGCGCGCGGCCGGGGGCTGCAGAGAGCCTGCAACGCCGCCCCCGCTGCCCTCCTCCAAGCTCCTGGCCAGCTCTTCGTGTGTCTTGATCCAGGTTCTTAAAAAAAGGAAGTGGACTATAGACAGGGTGTCCCACACACTGGCAGTCCCAGGGTCGGCCCTTGGGGCTGCTGTTTCTCAGCTCGCCTCCCTGCCCACACAGCCCCTGCACCCCCGCGCTGTGCCTTCCCTGTCCCCGGCGCTGTGCCTTCCCTGTCCCCCACGCCTTCCCTGTCTCCCACCCCGTGCCTCGCTTTCCCTGTCCCCCGCCCTATGGACACCCCTGGCTCAGGCCAGTGTGCTTGTCCCAGCATCGCGCTCATCTCCTGTTTTTATTTGATGTTACAGATTTCATTTCATTAGGAATGAGTGTTTCCTCCCCGACTTTTGCCTGCATTCTTTTCCAGCTCCTCCCTGGAAAAGGGCAGGGGCGGACACTTTCCCAGCCTCCCACCGTGCTCTGTTCCTAGTGGCACCTGCCCCAGGGTCTGGGCCCCTAGGGATGCGTCCTCTACCCTGGAGACTGGGATCTTCTTAAATCCCCACTGCTCCCTTGTTGTCTCCTCAGCTAGCACCACCTTTGCTTCCTCTTCCAGGGTTGTCACATTTTCTTGATTTCTGCATCTTAAATATGTCCCAGGCGGACCTATAGTCCTTCCCTTTTCTTCCTGTTGAGCGATGGTTACAGGCTGTGGACGCGTGTGAGTGAGGAGGCTCCTCCCCGACCCTGCCCTTCCGCCATCCGGTAGGTTTGGGTCCATTCTTCTCCATTCTTTCAACATAAACTGCACCTTGAGGGTCTCTTCTCCTTTTTGAAATTTTGCATGGTACCAATTCATAGTAGATTACAGAGTAAAATAAATAAAATAAACAAATAGAAAATACATAGAAATAGTAAAATAAAAAGAATAATAAATAAACAGTCCCATATCAATCATCCACCATTAACAAATGTTAATGTGTGTTTAGCTACATTTGCTGCATTGTCTTTTTGTTAACGACTAAGAAACACAGCAGACACAGATGACACTGCCTCTCTAACACAACAACTGGCTCTCTTCTTCCTTCCCCAGGGGCAGCAACCCTTTTAAAAGTTTTATATTTTAAGAAGTATAGTGAAAGGCTGTCTGTCCATTAACAACACAGAGCATATTTTGTATGTTTTAACAATGTGTGTGATGATTGTCTGTATTTTGTTTATTTCAATTGACAAATAAAAATTATATATCAGTGCATTGTGCAACAGCTAAATCAAGCTAATTACCATATCCATGACCTCACATACTTATATTTTTGTGGTAACATTTAAAGTCTACCGTTTTAGTAATTTTCAAGTATATAATACATTCTTAGTAGTTATAGTCACCATATAGTACAATAAATAGACTTCCTGAAGTGATTATTTATTTTCCAAAGTCTGAATTTTGACTTAGAGAATAAGAACAATGAATATTGAGGGGGAAAAAATAAGGAAAGAAAGAAGGAGAAAAGAAAAGGGAGAAGAGAGCAGAGTGCCTCCACTAAAATCCCTCCCCACATAGACACTCGCCTCTCCAACCACTTGCCCTGGGCACACTTTGAGTCTGTCCCATCAGCAGACCAGGGGGCACTGGAGACACACAGAGGAGCCAGGCCAACCCCCTGCCCTCAGAAGACACCAAGGAACCCCTTGCCGGTGCTACTGAAACTCCAAATTCTCTGGCATTGCCAGGGGCCTTGTTTATTTTTTTTGAGGCGGAGTCTTGCTGTGTTGCCCAGGCTGGAGTGCAGTGGCATGATCTTGACTCACTGCAACCTCTGCCTCCTGGGTTTAAGCAGTTCTCCTGCCTCAGCCTCCCAGGTAGCTGGGATTACAGGCCCACACCACCACGCCTGGCTAATTTTTTTGTATTTTTAGTAGAGATGGGGTTTCACCATGTTGGCCAGGCTGGTTTTGAACTCCTGACCTTAAGTGATCCGCCTGCCTCGGCCTTTCAAAGCGCTAGGATTACAGGCGTGAGCCACCGTGTCTGGCTAGCCCTGGCCTTGTTAAAACTCTGATTTGAGGTATTGGGGCAGATGAGGCAATAGGAGAATCAAGCCTGAGGCCCTGGCGAGGAGGTAGAGTCAGAGGGCTCGGTTCTCCTTGTGAGAAGGGCGAAGGAAGGTCTGTACAGAGAAGGCAAAGCCTCAGCTAAGCTGCGGATGCAGCTGTGTGGCTCCCTCTCTGAGAGGGGAATCCAGCTTAGGGGCACCTGTGTTTCTATTTTAAGTACAGAACAGTTTAAGGGGGAGAGGAAGGAGAAGGGTTAAGAAATGAAAGTTCCCATTCTTCAGCAGTTCCATTTAGTGATTTGAAAGTGCACCTTAACTACAGTTCATTGTGTGTGTGTGTGTGTGTGTGTGTGTGTGTGTGTGTGTGTGTGAAGGGTGGTTTTTTATTGACTGTACATTGGAAATGTGTGTTTAAAAATAGCCTGAACAAATGACTAGCTATTTCTCAATATTTGACCCTCCATGTGGGGTGAGAAGGATCAGAGAATTCTTTTATTTGCTTGGCTAAGAATGTTTGCCATCCGAGATGATATATTCTGGATCTGTAATTATATGGTGAGCGTAACTCCTTTGAATGACAGCCTCCAATAAAACTGAATAATTCTGGGTGATGCTTCCTGCTGGGTGATTCCTGGGGAACCTGATGTCTCCTTCAGAAGAGACACTTCGGTGAGCTTTCAGAAAGGGACATTTCGGAAGTATTGGCTCTGAGCTTCAAACTGAGATAATTTGATAAACTTGGACAAGAATAACTACTGTCTGGACATCATGGGGAGATAAAAAAGAGGAAAAGAACCACAACAAGAAAAATAAAAGGGTAAGAAAGGAATTAATTTGCCTTCTTGGCTTGTAAATTTTGTGTGTGTGTGTGTGTGTGCAGAGTATTTTGGTTGAACTACAAAAATCAACATTTAGTGATATATCCTAAGTGGACTGTCTTTGATATTTGTTTTCTTTTAGCACAATGAATTTCTGTTCTATGTCGTCTGGATGATTTTCTAGCTTTATAGCAAAAACTATAAGCAAATTATAAATACAGGTGTTTATGAAGCTTATTTCTTTGAAAATACAGTGGTTTATGGAGAAACTATGATTCCCAGTTGCATTTGAATTTCCTTGATCTCTCTGTGTTTTGCTTGGTTGCATGGAGATTGGCAGAAGTCAATGTTGATATTTTCATTACTGATGATGCAGGCTCCCTTCCGTAAGAACCATCACAATGGGACCTAGAGTAGATGCTTCAGGTCAGTTCTAAGCAATTCACACAGGAGGGCTTAAATAGTCCTGAGCAGATAACGTTTTTCTGTTTAGGTTTACTGACTTGGATACCACTCTGTTTAACACACACTACCCCATAGGTGTAGAGCTTCTGAGTGTTCCTTCATTTATGGTTAGGGGAGTTGAAATCTGTAGAAATGAAACCAGGGCTATATAGGAACTGTGCAGTCTTCTTTTTTTTTTTTTTTTTTTTTTTTTTTTTGAGATGGAGTCTTGCTCTGTCACCTAGGCTGGAGTGCAGTGGCATGATCTCAGCTCACTGCAACCTCCGCCTCCCAGGTTCAAATGATTCTCCTGCCTCAGCCTCCTGAGTAGCTGGGATTACAGGTGTGTGCCACCATGCCCAGCTAATTTTTTTGTATTTTTAGTAGAGATGGGGTTTCACCATGTTGGCCAGGCTGGTCTGAAATCCCTGACCTCGTGATTCACCCATCTCAGCCTCCCAAAGTGCTGGGATTACAGGTGTGAGCCACTGCTCCCGGCTGGAACTGTACAGTCTTTCTATTACCAAGTAAAACTCTTTATTGTCCTAAATATTGCATATTTTATGTCCCAGGCAGAGTGGCTTCTGATCCTGTCTTTGCAGCCATATATTGGTAATTGGTTTGGCTGTGTCCAAAACCATTTCTGCCCCTTCTTCCAGAGGTTATCTTCTGACCTCAACAACCATTTATAGCTGAATTTTGTTAAAACATTGGAGTTAATTGGAAGCAAACAGGTGAAGTGAATTTAAGCTCTATGAGGACAGAGTCATTTATTATTAATATTATTGCTATTATTTCTGATTGTTCAACTAATGCAGTGCCTGGAAACAAGAGTAGGAACTTAGATGTGTTCATTGAACGCATGCCTGCTTTGGTCAGAAGTATAGCCAATGAGAATTGATCTCTGGCGCAGTTTGTTAATACTTTATATCCCATGTCAGAGACAGTCTCCAGTAGTGTAAGCAAAAGTTACACACGGAAAAAGGAAAATGGTGAATGCTGAAGCAGATGGCCTGGTTGCCCAGAACTCTCAATTTTGATGCAGAGATTTTGAATGATATTTTCTTGAGTGTTTTGTGAAAATTGCCCATGCCCATTCCTCTCCTCTTACCTGCTGGCTCCACACCTTTAGGTTGGGATTGGGATGTGTGCCAGTGACGCAGACCCTAATGATACCCATGGCCCAGCCACGGATTCTCAGAGAGGAGGGGAGGTGCCCACATCCCACCGGGAGTTATTCGTACAGAGGCTGATGAAAGAGAAGCCTCATTTTAATGCTTTTGCTGGGATATAATGACATCTATTGTTTTATTGAAGTACAGTCATGCCCCAGATCAGGATTTGCTGCCTCCATTAGAATCCTATTTGCTCCCATGGAACTGTGAGTGATGTCAGCTCTGTGGCACCCTTGCTCTAAGCCTCTCAAAGCCCCTTTGTGCCTTGGCCCTCCGTGCCCTGACCATGTTCTCTGCTTCAGTTTGCGCTCATAGCACATTGGTCTGTGCCTGTTCTTATGAGGTCCAGCAGCCAGCCTTAGGGCTGTAGCTTAAAACCACCCTCATGGTTTTTCCTCTGGCTTCCTTCTATGTGTGGAGAATATGCATGGAACTCTGACTCCCTTGACTGTGGCCAACATGTTAGTAAGCCTGGGCTAAGCTGCTCTCATAAAGGAAATCCCCAGAATTCAGAAGCTTGGATTCAGAGGCTGTTGGTGACTCTCAGGGTACTTGGAAGGTTGCATCTGCCAAGGTTGGAGGCACTCATCTTTCAGCGACACGGGCCTCCACGATGAACACGGCCATCTGCTTCTCCATCAGTTGGAGGGGACGCCATGGAAGGACACATCTGTGAGGTCTCTACAGGCCAGTCTGGAAGTTACATGTACCTCCCATCCAGTCTCATTTTATTGGCGAGAACTTAAGGACATGGCTCTATATTGCTGCAAAGGAGTCTGGGAAATAAAAACGTTAGCTGGCCGCTGCGTGACAGCACTGATATTGGAATCACTGAAAGGGAGAATAGAGGTGCTACTCAGCTGGCTGTCCTGACGTTACCCACCAAGCAGGGCCAGAGACCCTGCGGCCTCCTTACCACAGCAGCTTCCATGGTCTTGTCCCCATTTCCTTGATGACAAGGAAGGGAAGGATGTAAAGAAGTCGTGTGAGTTCACTGGCTATCAGCAGTCATATTGCCCATCTACTGTGTAAAAGAAGAGAAGAGAAGCCTATCTATGAGATTGTAGGTCACGGAGCATGCTGTTCACAGCAAATAGCAGTCACAATGAAATCTTCAGCAATGTTATTTAAATAACACATACCTGCAGGCAGCTTCTCAGTAATGAAACATTAATATACAAATGCATTAGGAATGATTACATTTATGGTTGCTTTTTAGCATAGAATAGGGATGACTTCTTGTTTTTACTTTATTCTAGTTATTTTAAAATTATTTGCTAACCATCTTAATTATTAGCTAGATATCTTTAATTATCAGTAATAATTAATTGGTAACAATAAAGCAAAATTAACAGTACTATATTATTGAGAAACAAGAGTCATAGCATTTTAAAGCCTAAGACCAACTTTTGTATGATGCCAGTGATGTGCTAATAAAAAAGTATCTTTTTTTTATGCTATGAGCTTCTCACCGGAGTGTGCACACATTTGATAAGATCTTTACAATCCCCCATGGCAGCTGGGACCCACAGAAGAGGACAAAATTAGAATCCAGAGTAAATTCTAACTATGTATGAATTTAACCTTACGATATACAATAGTAGGCTAGTGATAAGTAGCTCTTAGCCATATGTAAAAATGAAAATCTTCATAACAAAGGATTGTGGTTTGGTTCAGTTCATTGCTTGCTCTTTCAGAGGATTCTTGATCTGGGGGCCATGGATGGCAGATCTAAGTTAGAGAATGCCTGGGCTGAACCGTTGGAGCATTCCCATTCAGGCATGAGAAACAGAAATGTCCCTAAGACCATCGCCAGCCTCTGCCCCAACAGGGCCCTGAATCCACCAGACAAATCATACAACAAGGATGAGAAAAGATGCTGCTTTCAAGCCTGTTTATATTGTCAATTAACTTGTATATGAAACCACTTTTAGTTTTGGAATTATTTTCTGCCTTTGCCAACTCTTAGCAACAGAAAACATAGGTAGGGTTGTAGGAAGCAACAGAGAAAGCTCACAGCAGTGGATTTAACTGAAGGAGAAGAATACCTGGGAAACCTTGAAAATGTTAATAGCTTATTGCCATTTTTTTCTCTTGCTTTAGGTCTGACAAATGTGCCAACAGAAGGGGCTGGACAGAGATGGTTTCTATAAAAATGCAATCAGCCCTGTAAATGTAAATGTGGGAGTCGGCAGCTTGGGGGTTTCATGAGGCTTAGGAGGATGGGACAAAAGTGAACCATGGTACCAACTAAATTTGACTGGAGTGGGATTCAGGGTAGCTAAGAAACAAGCTACAGATGTGAGAACTTTCCTAGTATTGCAAAATAATTGATTTTTATTTGACTTATGGTTAAATGGTCCCCTCTTCCTAAATTTTGTCTTACCTTAAATCAGAATTGAACAGCTGTCTCTGGAGCGCTGGTCATCTCTGCTCATTTGTCTTGGGCCTGTCCCTTGTGCGTAGCCAGAGTGTTCCTTTTCTGGTCTTGGAGTATTAGTCTATCTTGGCACTTTCCTGTAATGCCATAGTCCTTAAACCTTTAAGGCATCGTTATGGAATGTGTGCATCACAAAGTGTGACTTTTTGAATAAGAGCAGAGTTTGTCCTGAGATCATATGATTTGTGAGCAGGAAATGGCTATTAAGCCAAAATCAGATCATTAAAGAGATGTTTTGCTAATACACTGAGTTAAGGAATGGCCACAGGCGGCTGAGGGTGCTGGCCATTGGTGAACAGCTGGTGGGCGACCCTGGCTTGTCCGTGGGGTCTCCCAGGAGGACGCTGTGTGTCTAGCCTGAGCCAGGCACACAGAGCCCTTTCTGCTCTTGAAGAAATGATTCAAAGCTCTGTCCTAACCAAGGAAGCTGGGAAATATTCCTTTTAGTATTTGCTGGTATGATTGTTTTTCAGTTTGTCCTAAAGCCTGAGCTTCCTCTTGACCAGGAAATTACAGGGCTTACTGGACTTTGATGCAGGCCAGCTGTAATTACCCTAAATGTTTATTCCGCCTCTCTTTGTATGCTTTTGTGAAGCTACCAGGTCATGAAGGATATACTCTGAATGGTTAACAAGGCTCAAATCTCTTTTTTAAAAAATCAGAACGTTAGTTTTTCACCTTCTTCTACATTCTTAGCCACACCAGTCACTTGTTAATATCTTATGGGGAGACTCTGGAAGGGCAGGTGCGACGCCAGAGTGGGGGCAGATTTCTTCCAGTGGGCATTTTTTCCTGATCTGTGAAAGCCTAGAGGAGAGATGTCCACTTGCATCCCAGGGCACGGGAACTCAACATACTTCCAGGCCGCAGGTTGTAGATAAAGCAGAACTGGGTGGGATAGCTGCTGAGCTGACATACAGCGTTTATACAGATCTTAGTTGCCTGTGATGCAAGGCCAGAGGACTTGAACATAAATCAGTGCATCAAGGCTGAAAATGTTTCGCCTATGTACAGCAGCTGAACTGAGATAGGATTTGACAATAGTATGGGAAAGAGCCGAGGATTTTCAGTGGCAGAAAGATCCACATCTGAAAGAGCTGTGTTTTTGTCTGCTTCATGCAAGCACAGGGTGCTTACTGACTCATTTTCTTGCCCTGACCATGGTCAGAGGTCAGAACAATATTGGGAGGAGTTGTCAGTGCTGATTTGGGGCGGGGAGGGGGGCAGGTGACTCTTGCTCCTGAAGAAGGGGCTCTCTGCGACTAGAAAGAACCAACTGAGCATCTGAAAAGAGTTTAAGCGTGGGCCCATATCTGGGTAAGAACATGACATCCCAGCTATAATTTTGTGCTAAGAAAAATAGAGCACTCTCCCCAAGATCTAGTACCTCTTGGCCAGAAGCAGACACTTCCCTTTGAGTTGTGCAGCCTGTGGTCTCTGCCCAATCTTGAGCAGCCATAGGTGGTCTTCATCTGGACAATGAACTCAACTAGAATCATCTACTGAAAGTGGCGAAGTAGTTGTGTCAACCTGGTCTCATTGCTGTAGGCTGAAAGAAGGTCAGTTATAGTTTCTGTTTTCTCCTGGAGGATTGGAGAATTGCCTGACTCCCATAGTTTCTCCAGGAAACCAAGAGAAATGTTGCCATTTATGTTGAGGACAATCAAAATGTGAGAAGAGGAGTATAGCCATGTAATAATAATGATGATGATTCACGGCAGCTCTGTGTATTGGGGGAGCTTCCTGAAACACTGAATGGAGAAGGTTGCTGGGGTTGACTAGTGATGTCTCTCTTGGTGTGGGATGAGTATGAGAGGCATGCCGAGTGACTTCTCTTCCTTTCCTAACACCTACGTTCAATCATGAGCACTATCAGAAATGTAGGAAGCTGTCTAGGCTGCAGGCCTTCTGAGTAAGAGCAGTAGACACTGGACTATCAGAGACTGTAGTGGACCAGAAGGTTGGGCTACTCTGCTAAGGCACTTCTGGGATACACAAGTCACTTAGCTGATGAGTGAGCCCAAGGTGTACCCATCGTTCTGTAGCTCAGAGGGGCTCGGCTCCTCTCCCTTCCCCTTGCAGTGTTTTTTGTGTGTGTGTTTTCTGTGGAAGGGAGACTTACCTTGTTTTCTGTATGAGAACTTGTGCATGCATGCCTGGAAGTATCTCCCTGGAAAATGCCAGCTGCCAGGGTTTAATGGAAGTAAAGAAAACATGAGAAGTTCCAAAGGAAGTGATCATTTTTGTATTCTTATTTTAGACATTCTGGGCTGGTTGCAGTGGCTCATGCCTGTAATCCCAGCACTTTCGGAGGCTGAGGTGGGCGGATCACCTGAGGTCAGGAGTTCAAGACCAGCCTGGCCAACAAAGGTGCTATTTACAAAGATGCTGAAACCGCAGCTCTACGAAGAATACAATAATTAGCCAGGCGTGGTGGTGGGCACATGTAATCCCAGCTACTCAGAGGCTGAGGCAGGAGAATCTCTCGAACTTGGGAGGAGGAGGTAGCAGTGAGCTGAGGTTGCGCCACTGCACTCCAGCCTGGGCGACACAGTGAGACTCTGTCTCAAAAACAAAATACAAAACAAAAAGACATTCTGAGACAAATAGTGAAATAATAAATTTGGAACTGGGTTAAATCCATGTAAGAGTAAGTTCACCAAACACTCTAAAAGCAATGAGAAAATCAGTTTATTTGCTTATTTTTGCAAGTGTACCAGCCAGTTTAAAAGTTGCTCAGAAAGTGGGAGATAAAATTGTAGACAAAGTAGGGATGGGGTTTTGCTTGTAGTGTGAAGATAGGTTCAGGAACACATGGCCCTTGAAGAAAGTGTGACTGGGGAGGAAGCCTGGAGCCTGGACAGACCTGTCTTTGACCACAGGTGGGGAAAGCACCACAGACGCCAGTTCCTGTCCTTTCAGGAGAAGTGATGTGCCCCTGTGGTATTCAGAAAATGGGTGTCTGCAGCCCTCCGGCAAGCATCAGGAGATGACTCTGTTCATGAGAAGTGACAGACACTTGCACTTCACATTGCCTCACAGAAATGGAAACAAAATCAAGCCAAGCAGCAGAGCAGTGTAGCTGTGGGGCCATATGGGGAAGATAAATGCCCCTTCGGGCTTGGGGTTTATAGCAAACCTTGACATAGAGGATGTCTCAGGAACTTGGAAAACCACACCACCCAGAAATAGGGAGGTGTGGTCCCTGTATTAAAATTGGAATTGTGGGCTCGAGTGTTTACAAAGATAAGAGATTTTTTTGTGGTGGGGTGAAGTTATATATGTGTATACATGTTTACACACACACAGAGTAAATGATAAGGGGGTTGGGGATGCCTGGAGCAGTGGTCCTCCGGGGGGTGTCTGAATGGCCAGCCCTGGCTTGCCTCTGCTACAGCCCCCGCTGCCAGCACCCCACCTCCCTTCCCACACCTTGGCCTGGCTCTGAAGGGGTATTCAGGGGAGTGGATCTCAGACAGGTGAGGTCAGAATGCCAAGAGCCATGGTCATGGAGGGATATGCATTTCCAGTTGGTAGGATTCCCAGGAAAGGGAGCTAAGGAAATTCAGGAATGAGCCACGGAAAGTCAAGAAAATTTGGGAGTAAGTCAAGGGCATTTATGGCAGCTAGGCAGGAGAGGGGCCAGGACAAGACCTTAGCGACATGGACAGCATCCATGGGCCAAGGCCTTGGAAGCCGCTGTGTCAGAGAGAAGATGGAGGGCAACAGGACCCAGTGGGCCGCTGAGGGGTACCTGCAACTTGGGGAGAGGGAGACATTGAATAGCACCTATAGTTTTGCTTAAAAGCCAGTAGAGTTGTACCTTAGAAACCAACCAAAAGAGAATCTAACAGGAGCTGAGGTGGAGCGTGAGCTGTGAGAGAAAGACAAAGCGAGGGAAGATGAGGGGAAATGGGTCCCCTTCCCTTTGTAGCCCACCCCCCAGTCACTCTGGCTGCCTCCCACCTGCCCTGTGCACAAACGTGTAAATAGTAAAATAGAGGTTCCTCTTCAAAGAGACTCTCCTCTCCGTCTAATTAGGAATAAATAGTAACTTCTCTTAGAAGCAATATTTATTCAAAGACCTGTGCTAACATTCTTAAATATCTGCTAGCCGTAATAAATCAATGTGGCTGGGTGTGGTGGCTCACACCTGTAATCCCAGCACTTTCGGAGGCCAAGGTGGGCGGATCACGAGATCCGGAGATCGTGACCATCCTGGCTAACACGGTAAAACCCCGTCTATACTAAAAATAAAATAAAAATGCAAAAAACTTAGCTGGGTGTGGTGGCGGGTGCCTGTATTCCCAGCTACTTGGGAGGCTGAGGCAGGAGACTAGTGTGAACCTGGGAGGCGGAGCTTGCAGTGAGCCGAGATCGCGCCACTGCACTCCAGCCTGGATGACAGAGTGAGACTCTGTATCAAAAAAAAAAAAAAAGAAAAGAAAAATCAACGTACTTTATGTTCTTAGGTCCCGCAATTTCGCCTAAATATTTGCCCTGGCATGCTTATACTAGTCCAAGCGGGCGTTAGGTCATAGCCTATTCCTCTTCCTTATTTGGAGGTGTTTTCACCTTTCTCAGCATTCCACAAGTTACTTCCTCCTCCCTTTGTTCTCCTCTACCTTTGCTCTTTTAAAAAGTTCTAAGTTGCTAGCCAATCAGGACAAATACAGAAAGCGAGGTCCTGTTCTGGCCAGTGGAAACCAGATACAGCAGTAAGGTGAACGCGTCAGGTTATAAATGACCCTGTCTCCTTTGTTCGGTGTACTCTCCTGGCAAAACTGCTGGTGAGTGTACCCTTTCTGCAGAAAGTAAAAATGACCTTGCTGAGAAAATTAAATTTATGTTCAAGTGCTATTTCTTTACAGCACCAAGTAACAAGCATTTCTAACAAATGTGACCCATACAAGGCTGAGGGACCTTTTTGTGAGCTAGGACAAGGAAGGGCTTAGTGGATGGCCATGGGCAGGTTCTCAGTGCGCTGGCTCCCAGCTGTTCTCTAGAGAGGGAAGGCCACACCCAGCCACATGCAAGTCCAGGGCTGACACAGCTTGGAGGTCACAGCTGCCCCAGGGCTGCGGAGTCCTGACTGGATTCTGAGAGGAAAGCCATTCCCCTCCCCTCTGCAGTGCCTTCTGCTGTCCCTATGCAGGGACCCTGGCCTGCAGAACACTTCCTGCAGGTTAATGAGCAACCCCCTGCTGGCTCCCCATCACCATGCCCAAGGTGGGGAGCTGAGAATGTCACACCCCTCCTGGGGCTGCCAGGGGATCAGCAGCCGTATCTGCTCTCCAACTTCCCAATGGATCACAGCCCTCCTATTAAGTAACTTTTGTAGGTCTTGGGTTTTCCTCCTGACTGCTCTGACCTGCTCATCTTGAGTTGGAAAGAAGTGAGGGAATATCCCGTATTCCTTGCGACTCCCCCTCTGCACCACCTGCCTTTATATGAGAAAATGCACAGCTCTTCATCAGGCCTTATTTCTAACTCTCCCAGCTTCCTAGAAATCTGGGCTATTGCCCCCCTCCCCCCGCCCCCACATTCCTGCACTAGCAGCTCCACAGCGGTCACCTTCCTCTGTCTCCTCTTTTTATTTCCAACAAGAGATAATATCTTAATGGGAGAACGGAGTGGGGCATGGCAGAAGCGCTACAGAATCTGAGTCCCACAGGTCATGCTAGAAAATAGGAAAGGACTGAGGTTAAATGACAAGATTGCCAAGAGAACCTCAAGGAAACTGCCGATCGCTTTGAAGGTGAACTTCATGGGTGACCTTGAGATGAGTATGCCTGGCAGCCCCTCCCTGCAGTCATGGGGATGTGCACTTGACCAGCCGTTATGCTTTGCAGCAATTCTAAAAGGAGGTGGCAAGGGAGCCCCAAGGAGGGGCTGATTAATTATTTGTTAATTAATAATAGAGTACCCAAATTTGTGAGTGATTTACTTAAACAGACAAAAGCCATTCAGTTTCACCTGGAAAACATGATTATTCCCTCTCTGATACACTTTTTGAAGAAGACAGAAGGATGGAGTTGCAGCTCTTGCACAGATGCTGCTCAGAGGCTGGCACCTTGCATGTGAAACCCATGCATATGAAATCATGGGGCTTGGGGCCAGTAAAAATATTGATGGCTGATGCTCTAAGGCACTGTTCCTTAAGAGAGAATAAAAATGAGCCACCTCCAGCCTGGGCAGTGTGCTGTGATGGTCAGGAGCAAAGGTGAGAGCGGTGGGGCCCACTCTTGATTCCCAAACACAGATGCCTAGTGGGAGTAAACAAACGGAAAGATGCCTCCACCTCATTAGTAGTGGGGGAAGTGCAGTTCAAAACCATAGTGAGACACCGCTTCACACACACGAAAGACGGCTGTTCAAACAAAAGGAAAACAAATGTTGGCCAGGACGTGGATAAACTGGAACCCTTGTTCATTGCTGGTGAGAATGTAAAATGGTACAGCCACTGTGGAAAGCACTTTGGCTGTTCCTCAGTAAGTTAAACAGAGGAATAACAGGCCAGGTGTGGCGGCTCACTCCTGTTATCCCAGCACTTTGGGAGGCCGAGGTGGGCAGATCACCTGAGGTCAGGAGTTTGACACCAGCCTAGCCAACATGGCGAAACCCCATCTCTACTAAAAGCACAAAAATTAGCTGGGCATGGTGGCGGGTACCTGTAATCCCAGCTACTCAGGAAGCGGAGGCAGGAGAAGCTTGAACCCGGGAGGTAGAGGTTGCAGTGAACTGAGTTCGTGCCACTGCACTCCAGCCTGGGCGACAGGAGTGACACTCCATCTCGGAAAAAAAAGAAAAAAAAAAGAAAAGGAATAACATATGAGCCACAATTCTCCTAGGAATATACCCAAAAGAATTAAAAACAGGCCGGGCATGGTGGCTCACACCTATGATCCCAGCACTTTGGGAGGCTGAGGCGGGCTGATCACTTGAGGTCAAGAGTTCAAGACCAGCCTGGCCAACATGGTGAAACCCTGTCTCTACTGAAAATACAAAAAATTAGTTGGGCGTGATGGTGGGCACCTATAATCCCAGCTACTCAGGAGGCTGAGGCAGGAGAATCGCTTGAACCTGGGAGGCAGAGGTTTCAGTAAGCTGAGATCGCACCACTGCACTCCAGCCTGGGCGACAAGAGCAAGACTCTGTCTAGAAAAAAAGAATTAAAAACAAGTGAATAGTACACAAATGCTTGTAGCAGCTCTGTTCACAGTAGCCAAAAAGTAGAAACAATTCTAATGCCCATGAACAGATGAGTGGATAAGAATGTGGTATATACATCAAACATTCGGCCTTAACAAGGAATGAAATACTGATGCATGCTGCAATGTGAGCAAACCTTCAAAACATTATGCTAAGTGAAAGCCAAACACAAAGATCATATATTGTTTGATTTCATTTATATGAAACATATGGAACAGGTAAATCCATAGAGTCTAAAAGCAAACTGGGGTTTGTCCAGGACTGGGGTGGGGAAAGGGGATTGGGGAGTGTCTGCTTAATGGGTACAAGGTCTCCTTTTGGGATGATGAAAACATTCTGAAACTAGATAGTGGTGATGTCTGGATGATAGTGTCAATGTACTTAACACCACGGATTGTATGCTTTAAAATGGCTAACACGGTTAATTTTATGTTATTACACACATTTTGTTATCATAATTTAAAAAAGGAAAACAGCCAATGCTTGATCTGGCTCCGGGGTTTCGGATATGCTTGGATTGGTGTGCAGCCTGGGTGTGTGCATCATTAAAGCTCCAGGGAGTTCCGTGCAGCTGAGTTTTCGAACCTCTGCCCCAGAGCCAGCCTGTCTGGCTCCACCACTTCCTAGTGTGTGACCTTGGGCAACCAGTAACTCGCTGTACCTGAGTTTCCTTAGCTGTGAAATGAGGACCATGTAATTACCTTCCTATAGAGCTGGTATGAGGGTCAAGTGGGTTCATATATGTAAAATACATGTCTGCACACGAATCTATCACCATTTTCTGAGCCTGGAGTTTAGATTTCCTCCCTAACCGGCTTAGTTGTTCTCTTTGCACCTGGCAGGTGTCAGCTCACATGCCGCCCAGGTGGAGAGACCACACTTCTGCTAGCCTGGGACAGTCCCAGCAATGCTGATGTCACTGCATTCTTTCCCATTAGGCTTACTTTAGATCACTTGAAAAATAGTTCTATTTTGGATAATAAATTATGTGGCCACCCTCTTAACCCTCTTCTATAGCATGCTACATATAGGTAGTGATGAATGGTAAGTCCCTTAGAAGATTAGAGAGGGCAACATTATAAACAGTGCATCAGAGAATTAGTCTGCTCCCCCAGAAGAGAGGCTCTTGAACCACACAGCTACTTTTCCTGCTTCTTAAAAAATAAATCCTACTTTTCTTGAAAAGAAGTTTTGCCAAGGAAGAAATCTGATCAGCTTTTTTCCTCCACTCATGACTCAGTTACCTGGAGTTACAGGGAAGCCTTCCTGATTTGGTACACGTTTTAGAAACAATCATATTTATTGCACAGGAATTGTTCCCTTTTTTGTTTTGTTTCTGTGTCCTGTAGTGGTGCCCTTTCAGTCGGCACCCAGACCTGCCCCATGCACATCTACAGCCGAGTTTCTCATTCCTTTCCTGATCTAGTCCATGGTATTATTAAAATGCTCATTAACAGAATGCCCACTTAACACGAAATACTTGGTTTCGTTTGGAGAAATCCATTTATCTGGAGGAGGGCTACACATAAAGTATCACTCTTGATGAAGTATAGAAAACTGAACTTATAAGTCAGTTATTCAAAATGTGTCACCACATAAATTATGGCAAATTTTACATGTGCATTTGAGAGGGAAAAACCTTCCCTTTTTCATTAGGATTGTATTATTTTTATAAGTTGGAACCTCATTTTTCCCTGAAACTGTATCTAATTGAGTTTGCCTCAGCTGAAATCTCGCATCTGACCGCAAGCAGTCACACAGACACACACACACGCATGCAGATTGAGGCATGCCCTGTGAACATCCTTTCCCTGATGCTCTTCTCTGCTGCTGCCAAGCCCCCACTCCTTGCTTTTTAATTCTGGTCAGTCACTATGCTGCACATTATGACTTAACTTTTCATAACATTCTCTTGCCTTATCCTTCCCCTTTGATGCCCTTCCTCTTACTTTTCCTCCTCCACCTGCCCTGATGAAGTTTGCACCATGCACTGCATCTCTCCCTCCCCCTGGCTTGGCTGGAAATGAGCTTCTGCGGTCTGCTGTGGCCACTGTCACAGGATCCTGCCTGCCTGAGGACACACATCGCATGTCATCCATCTTTGAAGCACCCCGGGGCTCATTTCCTTTTAATTTACAAGCTTTTCAGAAACTTCTGCCTTTCTGAAATTGTCATTGTTAAGCATTCTAAACATTCAAATGCCTGGCAGATGGTCCTGCTTCATAAGACTGAAATACTGTCTGATAGCTCACCTTCAATCATGTCTTCCAGTTATGTTAAGGGAAAATAAAATACCAGCTCGGGCGCTGTAGCTCATGCCTGCAATCCCAGCACTTTGGGAGGCCAAGGCGGGTGGATCACTTGAGTTCAGCAGTTCGAGACCAGCCTTTCCAAGATGGCAAAACCCTGTCTCTAGTAAAAATACAAAAATTAGCCGGGCGTGGTGGCACGCTCCTGTAATCCCAGTTACTCAGGAGGCTGAGGCAGGAGAATCCCTTGAACCAGGGAGGCAGAGGTTGCAGTGAGCCCAGACCACACCATTGCACTCCGGCCTGGGTGACAGATTCTGTCTCAAAAAAAAAAAAAAAAAAAAAAAATCAAATACCAGTTGGATACTCTTTGTTTGCTCATTTTAAGAAAATGTCTTGCCAGGCGAGAAACCATCAGAGAGCTTGTGTGACACGGTATTTTGTTGGCTGAAGTATGCATCCAGACCAAATAGCTTCTGCCACTTTTCTTCTTCTAAATACTTAAAATGCCATCCCCCAGGCATTCCATGGGGTACTTGGCCAAAAAAGAGCGATCATTTCCTACTCGCCTCACCCTCTAGAAATGAGATTCCTAAGTTCCATTGTCCTGCCCATTCATGGTGATCAGTTCACATGAAGCTGGCATGCTTCATGGTTCTTTCTTTGCCGCTTCCTCGGAATCAGTGCAGGATTTCCAGGATGCCAGAAGACAGCTCAGGATTTGGCTCAGGGATTCAGCTTAAGGAGTGTCTGTCAGGAAGGCTGTGCCCTGAGGATAAGGAAATGCAAAGACAAAGACAGAGAACACCCTCTTGGGAAGGAAAGTTGGCCTTGCCCTTACCCAAGACTGTGCCAGCCACCACAGATGAGAAGCAGCATTCTCCCCATTCTCACCTCACCAGGAGCTTTGACAGACCTGAGCTGCTCTGCCCAACAGACCCCAGGGAGTGCCCGTTCGCCTCATCTGGTTTATGTCACATTGTTCTGCCTTGAGTCCTGTCAACACCTGTATCTGAAGAAAAGCCAGTGTGGATAACAGGTTCTGGAATCTTCCCTCCCACTCGATTCTTTAACAAAGCCTTAAAAAAAAAAAAAAAAGTTGTAAAGCCTTTCAAAAGGGGGCAGCATCGTCTAAGGAGAGGAGGCTGCAGGCAGCAACAGGAACATATTTCTAGTTTCATCTTTCTAGTTTATTCTATCACTAGGGAGCTGAGCCATCCTGAGTAGCTCTGTCTGGGCCTCAGTTTTTCTAATTTATTATATCACTAGGGCACAGAGCCATCTTGAGTAGCTCTGTCTGGGCCTCAGTTTTTCTCACCATCAAAACAGCAAACATCATGTCCTTCTAAGAGGATCTGATCCCATTTAGAAGAGCCTCTGCTGAGAGGATTGTTGATTGCCAGCTCAGAGTATACTTATTGTAACCAAAACATATCCCTTAACCTTGAAACAGAAATCAACATCTGAATTCCTCAATAGCCATGTCAAAAGATCTACTCAGGCTTTTAGTAGACTTGATTAAATGAGTCAAGGTATAATTGTATTTGTAGGATGGACACCTTTGAGAAATGGAAACAAAATGACCATTTCTCTTTTTTTTTTTTTAAATCGATTTAAACAGAAAGATTTCAGGTACAGCATCTCCTGTTTGTCCCTGGAAGTGTATTGTGCAGTACAGTAAGGGGTTGAAGTACACCAAGCCCCTTTTTGTTGTATGAACAGATTGATCCATCTTAGGCTGTGTGATGGGTGTGCTCGTGAGGCAGCTCTGTGAGGATATCTTCAAGAATTTTGGCAAAGGGAAATGGACCATGGCAGTCTGTGCTGACTCGAAATAGGGATGTTTACGTTGAACATGCTCAGCTTCTTGTCTGGTACTGATCTCTGATCAATTATAAGTCAATGAGCGAGGGAGACAACGTGTTCTCTGCGGTACCTGTGAGCCCTGAAAGTATTCCAGGAACACCCTGCACTCTCAGTGCCCTATCAGGTTCTATGGGGCACTTGTGCTGTCAGGGCCGTGCCCCTGCTGCCTGGTGCTAGATCTGCATAGCTCCTTGTCCCTGTCAGTGGAGTAGTGTTTTGTCGTCACAATGAAAGTCAAATAAAAGGAAAATAAGCTTTGCTGAGATGAGTACATTTTAAACAGAAGCAATCAAATATGTACATATATATATACGCACACACACACCCATGCATACATAAATGTTTGTGTGTGTGTAAATTTAAAATTAGGACCCATGTCAAAAGCACTTGTGGCAGATGATACTGGTTTTATTTTGAGCTGGCACTCAGATCTGGAAACGGTTAGCTTCCTCTTCTTCCTGTCTTCTCTCCCCAGATGCGCGTATGAGAGTCAAATCACTGATGTTTTACACTGAATGTAAGGAGTTAATTGGCTATCAGTGGTGTGGTGACATGGACACAGAGAGTTTTGCATTGTCTTTGGTGGGCGCCATTGAATTCGACTATCCATTGAATGACAGCAGCTGGCCTGGAGGAAGTTTAAATCCCACCAACCTAAGTCCCATGAAGCCTGAGATAGAAGGTTCTGTTTGCTTAGTTTTCTTTTCTGTTATTCATTGCTTTTTCTTAATGATTTATCTGGTTGCACTTGCAACTCCTGAGAAAATTTGATAAGATCATGACTGCCAACATCTGTGGATTTTGGTGCCAACCTTTGGTGAGAGCTATGACTCACTTCCCTACAAAAAAAGAACTTGATATTAAAAACATGTATATATTGACAAGCTTGGACAGGAAATCAAACCTCTCTTGCAGGCAAGCAGTGGCCTGTCCCTCATGAACTTTGCCACTTTGTAGCAGGAGACAACCAAGGAAACTGGGATAATAGGGGGGGCCAAGCTGTTTTGACTCCAGACTGCATGCATTAAGCTCTTGGTTTTCCCTTTGACTTCGTATTGATATGAGTCAGGACTTTAAAGGACTCAATACTTCACAATGTTTTCCTCCCACATTATTCTGTGGATTGCTTTCTAAATTCTGCGCACAAATTCCAAAAGTAGGGAAAGAAGATAGAAATGAAGCACAAGTATTCGCTGGACAACATAAAGTTTTTGGCTTCCCATGGGTTGAAGGTTGAGAAACACTGTTGAGTAGCAGAACTGAGAAGAGGGTCTGGTGGCTCAGGACCACTGGACCCTGCAATCGACCTCCTTGGGAGCATTGTGGGAGGTGGGAAGAGATATTTGTTAATTGTGTAGAGCAAATTAGGGGAGAAAAATCATCTGTTCTATTGAAATTCAGTTAAGTTCCAGAGTCACAGATGAAGGCCTCATGAGGAGCCCATTGTCTGAAGATAATCAATATCAGAACTTCTAGGAGGACTGGGATGGGGTGCACTTCCGCCTTCTGACTTTCTGCCATTCAAGGTCATCTCAGTGTGGCCCTCATGAGGTCATGGCCACCCAAAATAGGTATCAGAGAAGAAGGAAACCACATATATTAGACACTTCTAATGTGCTTTATCTAAATTACTTCATTTAATGCTTGTAACAACTTTGAAGGAAATGGATTTTTCCCCATTTTAAAGATGGGGATGTACCTACTTTATGGGGTCTATTCCCATTCCTTACCTTAAAAAATAGATAATGCAAAATGTCCAGGATGCTTATGACAGCAAAAAAAATTATGAATTAAAACCTGAAATCAATATGAAATGGAAGGGGGCTGTAAAGTTCTTTTAAGGGAGTATTCTGCACAGACCTTCCTTAAGTGCTCAGGGCACTTACAGGACAGAGGTGGATTCACAGCAGTATTGATTGATCAGTCAGGCAGGCATAGTTGTGGTGAGGACCGAGGACAAGAGGAACTGGGAGTTCCATGTCTAGACAGGGTGGAATGAAGACAAGCAATTAGATATGTGGTTGTGGAATGCACTGCCATGGACATCGTGTTTCTGGGACGTCAGATGGGGCATGTGTGCTTTAGAGATAGCAGGTGGCATGGGTACAGGTGTGTAGTTCTTTGACTACCACAGCTTTAAGCATCCTCCAAAATGTGTGTTCACATGTGTGAGTGCACGTTTGTGAGTGTGTGCACATGTGCGTGAGTGTGTGCATGTGCAGTCACTGTCAGCAGACGTTATGGATGAGGAAACAGAACAGTGTGGAAGGTCCCAGTGTCCATGCTCTGGCCATATGCTAAGTGACTACTGATGAGGAAAGATGGGGTTTGCATTCCCCCTGGATCTGGGGGTGTTTGTACAAACCAGCCATCCAGCAAAACACCTTTCCAGCTCCAGAACTGTGAATAGCAAAATCCCTTCTCTGGTTTGCTTCCTGTGCTTCATTTAGTCTTCTAGATCCTGCAGGGTTAAATAAATCTTGAGTTGCATCTCCCTGAGTCCTCCCTGTTGCCATGGAGGTGGATGTAAGGCAGAGTTTATTTTGCATGGCTTATTTGCTTAGTAATGACTATGATGGCTGCAGAACTCAAGGACTCAAGGGAACAATTTACATTTTTCTGTAGGAGCCTAAATAGGCATTGACGAGTGTTCTGGGTGTTAGTTTCTTTTCTGTTATATCACCGTCACCTGTTTCCTATGGGAACTCTGCACCTGATAGCCAAAGCATCGGGCATCGTTGATATTCAGTGTCTGCAGGGAAGCACTAATGGCGTAAAAAGCAGCCTTCATGGAGTGCTTTGTCCTTTGGCTTTAATATTTAAGCACAAGAAAATCTGTGACTCAATTTTTTTTCAGGAAAACAAATGATAGTATAACTGGTAGAGCAACAGCATTTGTGTCTGAGCACAAATAATACTGGGCTATTGTTTAATATGATGGATTTCCTTTATATCTTCATTTTAAATATGGAGAACTAGTTGTTCAAATGAAATCTTACCCACAAGCTTATTATGTAAAATATGAAAGCATAGTGACCCAGAGGGTCATCTGTCTATTCATTGTCTCAGGAAGGTTGACTGAAGGGCCCTCCACCTACCAGGAACTGTTTGGAGCTGGGATTACATACAGTTCTCAGTAAAAATCAGTGATAATTACTGTCTTCATTGAGTTCACATCTTAATGGGAGACAAAGATACAAACAAGCAAGTGTAATAATCATAATAGCTAACACATATTGGGTACTTACTTTGTGCCAAGAACTCCTTTTTTTTTTTTTAAAGAAGTGGGATCTCACTCTGTCTTCCAATGACACCAGCATGGCTCACTACAGCCTCAAACTCAGGCTCAAGAGATCCTCCCACCTTAGCATCCCAAGTAGCTAGCACTAAAGGTGAGCATGACCACACCCAGCCAATGTGCCAAGAACTCTTTCAAGCTCTTTTACATCCAGTCACTCATTTGATTCACATGATAGCTTTGTAATGCAGGAACTATTATTTACCCCAGTTTTACAGGAGATAAACTGGGGTAGGGAGAAATTAAAAATTTGCCCAAGGTTTGTATCTTACTCCTGACACCAAAAAATACCTCGTCTAAGGTCAAAAGAAGGAATCAAACCCAGGTAGTGTCTCCAAGGTCTGTGGGCTTAACCCCTATACTGCATTGGCTCTCAGTGTTGACTGTGTCCATGGTAACAGGTGGAAGATCTGCCAGGGCTAGGAGAGAAGAGGCACCAGGACACAGCATGGTACCATCTTGTTTTCAGTTTGAAGTTAGAGTGCTGGTTCTGCTGGTTCCCCGAATGCTTTCTGCACTAGCACTTACATGATTCTATTAAGCAGACCTTAGGGAGAAAAAAGATTCAAAAAGTTTGTGTGTCCTGTAGCCTGCTCCGCCTGGTGTAGAAATTGTCCCTTGAGAGCAATTAGTGTGTTGGCTTGTATTTCTTTCAGCTTATTGGGTATCTGTCACTAAGTACGGTACTGATGGTCCTAGACAGTCTTCACAGCATACTGCTTATACCACATTGTCAGTTTTCATAACTTCTGAAAATTAGAAGAAACATAAGCCCCCTCCTGGCAACAAGTGGAGTACTTCCCAAGATGACCAAGACTGTTGGTGTCTTCCTCATGAAGATGTATTTCTTGATCAGTTCCTTCCTCTTTTTAGTGTCTAAGAGCTCATTCTGACAATGGGTTAAAGTTTTAAGGAGGCCAGTTCACACCTGCAGGTTGGTCAAGAAGTTTAAATGATTCTAGCTGCTAAGTGTTCTCTTAATGGCTTAAAGAGTCTGCCATGGCCTTCATGATTAAGAAAGGGAGCCTCACAGCATGAGTCTGTCCTGCAGCATCTTCTCCAGTTTTCCCTGGAAAGCTACAGGCAGGGCTTGCTCAGACCATTCAAGCTGACTGTAGAAACAGCTGCCGTTCAAGCTCAGGTGGACGGATTGGAACTTTGTCTTCATGTGAGCATTCATACGGGGAGAAGTCATCTCATACTGATTTGGTTTTCTGTTTGTCTCTTCCCCAACAGGGCTGTTTAACGACCCCCAACTCCCCATCCATGCACTCACGTTCTCTTACGCTGGGTCCATCCCTCTCGCTGGGCAGCATCTCAGGGGTGTCCGTGAAGTCGGAGATGAAGAAGCGCCGAGCCCCTCCTCCTCCAGGTTCAGGGCCACCTGTGCAAGACAAGGCATCGGAAAAGGTAGGGCAGTGGGCTGTTCTCACAACCAAAGCATCTTTTCAGTGACACAGTTGATTGTTCCAAAGCTCCCTGGGAACACAGTAATCCTTCATGTTTGTGGCTGTAGCGACTGGAGTGTTGGGGGCAAGTATTTAAGCTTTATTTAAAAGTAAAGGCAAGATGCCAGGAAGGGCTCATGATTTTAACTCTGAGAAGCTGAGTTCCCCAAGGCAGTCAGGATACACCCAGCAGCCCAGTCCTGCTCCCCACATACCCTAATATGTCAGATCCACCATGCAGCTGTAAAGATAAGGATGCAGTCTTCTTCCCTGGACTGAGATTTTTCTGACTGACTGCATCCCAGCTTCCTGTGGAGGCAGCATGCCACAAATGCCAACATTTACAGAAAGCAAATTCAGAGTCCATTCATTCTGTGGCAGAACTTTATTTCCTAACTCTTGCCGCATGTGTCATGTGGCCTAGCCCAGTTGCATAGTTTGAGAGTGTCACGCCCCTGCTAGTCTTTAGGTTCAAAGCCCCTTTTTGCTCATTTGCTCTCAAAATACCCTAAAAACTAAGTCTGTGCCTCCTGAATGTGAGGCTTGGTCCCTGGATCTTGATAAAAAGTTATAGCAGCAGATACCAAATGGCGGGGTCCTGACATGTCATGTAATTTCCTTATCAGCCTGCTTGTCGTTCTGTCCAGGTATGTCCGTCTGTCCATCTATTTTTGCAAGTCGGTCCTCTGGTCATCCATCTCTGTTCCTTCATGGTTGTTCTTTATCCCTGGGTCTCAGAGACCATCCTGCTTCCATCCTTAGTCCTTCATATCCCTAAAAATCTATCTGAAAAGCCTGTAGTGGAACACATTTTCAAAGAAAATATTTTTATTTTTGCATCTCTTAAATATTTTCTAGGCCGGGTGCAGTAGCTCACGCCTGTAATCCCGGCGCTTTGGGAGGCCAAGGCAGGAGGATCACCTGAGGTCAGGAGTTCAAGACCAACCATGGCCAACATGGTGAAATCCCGTCTCTACTAAAAATACAAAATTAGCCAGGCATGGTGGTGCACGCCTATTGTCCCAGCTACTCAGAAGGCTGAGGCAGGAGAATTGCTTGAACCCAGGAGGCAGAGGTTGCAGTGAGCCAAGATCACGCCACTGCACTCTAGCCTGGGTGACAAGAGAGAAACTCTGTCTCAAAAATAAAAAATAAAAAAAAAAGGAATGTATACATATATCCTAATGTAACTGACTTATTTTGAGTTCTTCATGATATATTAGCTGTGTTTTCATAAAAATAAATTTAGGCACAAATGGTACCTTTTTGTTGTATGCATCCATGATAAGATGATGCAAATGGAAAACACAAAGCTATTTCTTCTGATTTTCTGCAGTGTGTCTCATTAATTTGCTTGGATGTAGATTCTGAACTTTTTTATAATATGCAGACCATATTGATAGCATTGGCCTTTCCCAGCTACATGCCCCTGGGAATATCTTTTTGCTTTGGCTTAGGATAGGTTTCTTTAGTTAGTAATAAAAAGTATGACTTCCAGGATCAATATTATGTCAGCTTTTTTCTTTTAATAAGAATTGTATTTTGTTAATGCGATAAAATGTAGATGGTGAACTGTACCAGCATTTTAAAAATTTCTTCCACCCAGAAGAGATGTTGTATTTTTCTGCATTTAATGTGCTTACCCACAGTGGATAAAGCCTGCTTGAGTGGGAAAATGTGCAGTAAGTAGAGAATTGGGAATTCTGAATGAAAAATAAATAGTACTTTATACCCTGTAGAATGAACAGAGTTTCCTCTGAGGCAGTAAAAGCTTTTTGCTGAAATCTGTTTTATTTGGCACAGAATGCGTGGAGAAATTGGCTCATGGAAACCATCTTCCTTTTTAAGCATATGAGTGGCATATGGATTAGATTTAAGCATTTGCTATGAACATGCTTTTTTAAACTGAAAGGTATTTTGTTATTTACTAATTTCTGGAAAAGGAACCCAAAAATGTATTGTCGTCGTTGTTGGGGAAGAACGTCAATTCCTTCTTCATGAACTTCCTTCCATATAAAGATAAGATGTTTGTTTGGGAAGCCTTATTTATATGCAACTGTTACTAACACCAGTGTCCTGAACAAGGAGGAAAGGTTCATTTTCAGGGACATGACTAGTTTGTAAGAAAATGAGAATGCCTACATTTGTATATTTTAAAATATTATTTTGTATCAACTAGTTTAAAAAATTCAATATTTGCTTCTTCAAGTCCTAACGGTGGGATAATATTAGCCATCCTCCAGTTCATCTGAAAATTTTCTAAAATTTGTAACCATAGTTAGTATTTGTCACCTGATTATGTATTCATAATTTGATCATGTGTGTTTATTATTTCTAAAGGTATTTTTTGAAGAGGTTTTCCCAGAGGTGTTAGAGCCTGGAGGTGACCGAATGCTCTTCTCAGATCCCATGGCTCTTCCCACAGTACTGTGAATGCAGCTTTTATTATGTGGAAACTTCAGACCAGAATGATTGATTGTACACATTAAGGCACCTTATGCTCTCAGGATTTCTGAGACTTGAGCGGGCATCAGATCACCCAAAGGGCTTGTTAAAACACATTTTCCTGGGCCCCACCTGAGCGCTGATTCAGTAGGTCTGGATGGGGCCTGAACATTTGCATCTTAAGTGCTGCCGCTCCGGTGAACCCCACTTTGAGAACCACCCCTTCATAGCAAACTACCTCCCTCAGCTGCTGGCTCTGAATTTTGACTACTCAAAGGCAACAGATCTGCTAAGAGATTCTTCAGTAGGAAAGTTACCTCAAAATGAATCCATCTGTGCTGTAGAATAATAATTATATGCAGTTTTCCATAAAGTTAGCTTAGGCCTAAAGTTATGTGTTAAAACACATCAGTAGCGTCCACTCCTTCTCACTGGGACCCAGGGAACCCTCATCTGGGAGGACAGACGAATTGTCTGTTCTGCACAGGATTTTCTTCCTGCTTCATCTCCTGGGGCCCACACTGTCCTCTCACCATCGTGCTGTGTAGAGACGGTGAACTCTCCCTTTGTCCTGGACCCTAGGCAGCTGCTGGAATTCTTGCTCGCTGCTCTTGCATTTGGGTTAGAGCCCCCTTCCTATACTGAGTGATATGGTTTGGATGTTTGTCCCCTCCAAATCTCATGTTGAAATGTGATCCCAGTTGGAGGTGGGGCCTGGTGGGAGGTGTTTGGGTCATGGAGATGGATCCCTCATGAATGGCTTGGTGCCATCCCCATGGGGATGAGTGAGTTCTCTCTCTGGTAGTTTACCTGAGATCTGATTGTTTAAAAGTGTGTGGCAGCCCCTCCGTCCTTGCTCCCTCTCTCACCATGTGACATGCCTAATCCGCCTTTGCCTTTCACCATGAGTAAAAGCTTCCTGAGGCCTCACCAGAAGGTGAGCAGATGCTGGCATCTGCTTCCCGTACAGTCTATGGAACCATGAGCCAATTAAACCCTTTTTCTTTGTAAATTACCCAGTCTCAGGTGTTTCTTTAGAGCAACACAGACTGACTAACACACCAAGTCTTTAGTAACCCATCCCGAAGGAGAGTTTGTTTTCCTCTTATTTGCTCATGGTTTCCTCACTTGTTCTGCTCTTGAGCCAGGATTAAGATTGTGAGTAGGGGCTGTCAACACAGATGCCTGGGTGGGCATCCCTCTGCTTATCTCCAGTCCTCAGTTTCCTCTGTAAAATGGGAACAGTAAGAACAGCACTAGCCAGTGATTGCTGTAGTGATCAGACATAGATCTCATGGCATTTGCCTGGGTTCCGATCCCAGCTTGGCCAGCAGTAGAAATGGGAGCTTGGATGAGATCACCCTTCTCTGTGCCTTGTGTCCTTAGGTGTGTGCTCTGCATAAAGCTGGGAGATGAGAGCTGGCCACAGTGCAGTGGGGGACAGAAGTAGCCAGCATGCCTAAAGCAGGGAGGGCTGGGCAGAGGGAATGAAGGGTCCATGGCCCCAGCCGGGGTTCTGTGTTAACCAAGTAGCAGATTATATTTAAAAATCAAATTTGCTGTTGCTGCAAATACCAAATGTACAATTAAAAAATCACCAAGGCGCTGCAGCAGGTTCATTCTGTTAAACAATACCAGCATCCTCTCCTCTGTTGGTGGTATTTTCCCTTCTCAGCCACAAACTACAAACACCCTACTCACTATTCCATACCTTCTGAGGATTCTAGAGAAGAGAGTTGCTCATCCCTTTCAGTCCTGATAGCTTCTGTTTAAGAAGAAAAATCACCGGGCATGGTGGCTCATGCCTGTAATCCCAGCACTTTGGGAGGCCAAGGTGGGCAGATCACAAGGTCAGGAGTTTGAGTTAAGCCCAGCCAACATGGTGAAACCTCATCCCTACTAAAAATACAAAAATTAGCTGGGCGTGGTGGCGGATGCCTGTAATCCCAGCTGCTTGGGAGGCTGAGGCGGGAGAATCACTTGAAACTGGAAGGTGGGGGTTGCAGTGGGCCGAGATCGTGCCACTGCACTCTAGCCTGGGCGAAAGAGTGAAACTCCATTTCAGAAAAAAAAAAAAAAAAGAAGAAGAATCAATTACTGTCAAGACACCCTTGTGTAGGGGACTCAGTTTACCTATTAAAGATTGACACAATACTCTATATTATTCTTGCTGGCATCTTTCTTTGTATAATACCTGGCATGTTACAGAGCAGGTTTTTAAAACTTTTTTGGTATTTCATTTAAGTGATTAAAAATAAGTAACTTGTGGAAGTTTACTAATCTGTGTTATCTAATTTTAGTTTTCATTATCCACAAATATATAATACATAGTTATTCATTTATTCAGTCAATATACAGTTATATGCTTACTTTTGTGCAGATACAACTATAAATCCATTTTTATTGTAATTGACAAGTAATTCAAAAATATTTTAAAGTTATTCCAGCTTTCTTTTTTCACTATTATTTGAATTATTGCTTTTATTATGTTCAACACTATAAAATTCCAACTTGAGAAGTCTGTTTCTCTGTGATCTCAAGATTATTGCATTGGGACTGAAATTGCTAGTGATGGTTGGCCATTAAAATAAGTGATGATGGAGGCTGTGTTATGATCAGTTATTAGTATAACCCAAAATAGACTTTTCTATGAAAAATTTGCTTGTGTATTCAATGAATATTGAATAACTGCTATGCACAAGGCCTTGCACTTGAAAGCATGAATTGGTATTTATTACTCTAATATCTCAGCACAGTGTATACATAAAAAGATAGTATTTCACACTGTGTGAAGACTGAGGACGATCTGTGTATGTTAGACATTTAATGGAAAGCATTATTACTTGAAGTTCCATTTCCTGGATCTGGTAACTAGAATAATACAGGAAGTGATAAAACTATGCTGACCAGACTCCCAAAGACACGTTTCATCAAGAACTGAAGTGTCCATTTGATCATCATCAGTCACTCTGGTGTGTTCTTGATCCTGTTCCGCAGAGAGGACACCCAGGGGGAGGCAGGTCCTGGCAGCCCCTGTACTGGGAAGGCCCTGAGAGCTGGGCTGCAGACCACTTGGCCAATGGATGCCAGACTCAAGTGTCCTCTCTGCATTTAGGCCTGATATTTTTTGCTTATTAAAATGAGCATTCTTATTTCCCATCTCTGTGAGCTGTGGTGTTGAGGTCATTGCAATACTCATCTTTGCAGACTTCTTCCTGCTGTCCTTCTCCTGGAGTGAAGTCTGCCTTCTGTTTCTTATCACATGGCTTGTGGTGGTGGTGAATTGGTTACTGATAAAGTGGATGATGCTTGGAGACATTGAAAAATTACTTTTCACACTAATTAGAGGGCTCTGATCTTTGCCGGGTGTGTCTCATGGCCACTCCTCAGCCAGTTGGCCTCCTGGAGTGCTTTGTTCGGAAGGAAGGACTCAGGTCGGCTGAGGCTCAGCAAAGTAGAGAGAGTCCTTCAGTTTACCATGCGCTCAGGAGGGGAGGATCATCTGGGCTCACCCAGAGTATGAGATGATGAGGACAGACTCTTTAGACCCACCTTGATGGTGTCTCTTCTTGTACACATCAACCACATCAACCTGTCAGGGAATCCTGCCTGTTTTCCTTTGAAGTGTATCCAGAATCCAGCCATTTCCCTTTGCTCCCACCTGCACTCCCGGGCTCAAGCACTCCCATGCCCCTCTGAGATGTTTCCTGGTGCACTGGCTTCCTAACTAGACCCTGCTTCTGCTCATGCTCCTCTACCCTGGAGAATCTTCTTTACACCTTCGCTAGAGCAACAGGTATCTAAACAGAGACAGGGTCATGTCATGCTTTAAAGCCTCTGCTGGCCTCACGTCACAGTTGACTGTGCCAGCTGCATCTCTCCTGCTTCTCCCCACACCCAGCAGAGCCTTTCACCTGCCTCTCCCTAGCATCCTGTTCACCTCCTCACTGCACCAGACCCTGCTTGGCAGTCACTGCATCCATGAAGTCTCGCTGGCCACCTCCACCCTCTGGTAACTGCCCCCTTCCCTGGTTTCAGGTTTCTTTCAGACCCTGCCAGACTAAGCTCAGGAAGCCAGGAATTCTGTGTTCCCTGACACACCTACAGTGTCTAACACTGTGCTCATTAAACCAGTAAATATTTATATGAACTTACTTTACGTGTACATGATTTATTTACCAAACATGTGTGGGTCATCTCTGCTGTGCTCTAAATGTTGGCGTCCTCCAAAACTCAGATGTCAGAATCCTAACTCCAAACATGATAATGTTTGGGGAGTGATGAGGTCATGAGGGTTGAACCTCATGATGGGATTAGTGTCCTTATAAAAGAGAGCCCAGAGAGCTCCCCCGCCCCTTCCACCATGTGAGCGCAAAGCAAGAAGGCGCCCTCTGAAGCAGGAAGCCGGCCCTCCAGACACAAGTCTGTCCACACCATGATCTTGGACTTCAGCCTCCAGAACTGTGAGAAATCAGCGTCTGTTGTTTATAAGCCTCCCAATCTATGGTATTTTGTTATGGCAGCCTGAAGGGACTAACACAGTTTCTCAGTGAAAAAAGCATGATTTCAAAATGTGCGCAAATAGCGAAAGAATTGCTTTCCTCAAGGATGTGACAGAATTTAAGGAATAAGTCATGGCAACTTTGATGAGGACTTGGAATATTTACTCCTCACTAAGAAAAAGAGTTGTAAATGGGCCATGAAAAGTGCGAGTGCCAGAGCTAGAGAACGATCTTATTTCCCTCAGTGCGAGGTCGGGCAGGGACAGTCTGTCTGGGCACAGGTAGGAGTAAGGGCACAAGCAGGCCCATTTGCAGTTTGCATGCCACCTCTCAGACCAGAGCTGCTGCTGCTGCTGCTGGAATGGCCAGGGAGGCACCTGCCCACCCGCCCTTAGGAGGGCCAGAGCACATGGGGGTGCATGGCACAGCACTGTCTTATGGAGCCTCCTTGAGGGGCTTGAGGGGCACAGGACCCTGGCAGCAGAGGGGAGGCCGCAGGAGCAGCCGTGTGGGCTGGAGGCTGACATTGCCACTTATCACACAGTGAGCGGCCGAGCTTCTGCTTTCTGTAAATGGGTGCAATGGCCACACAAAATATGAAGATAAGGTGGGAGGATTCTTCAGCACCTGCTCCCCGCCCCTCCCTCTCATTTCTCTCCCCTCCCCGCTCTGTGTTTGGTGCTTTTCTGCATCTGAGATTTTTTTTCTCTTAGCTATCTGGCTGTCTTTTTAAATTCCCTTCACTCAGTTTGGTCTTCCAATGTCTCTTAACCATGTCTCTTTAAAATACACACACACACATACACGCACACATATCCCACTTACTTTGCTGTGCATAAAATGTCTCCCCATGACTTGTTAGATCTAACCCTCACAGCCATCCTGGCATCCTTGCTAATTATGATGTCTGTTGTTATCTGAGTTGTGGAAACTGAGTCTCAGACCAGGCTGAGCTGCATGTCAGAGATGCCTGCAAAAGAAGAGCAAAGAAGTAAATCTGGGTTTAGAGCAGGGACACTTTCCCTCTACAACTTTGTATGGGATGAATAAAAACCTTAGGGAGGAAGAAGGTGTCGCCATCAAGGTGGGGTTTCTATGTATCCAGGGACCCATCTTAGAGTTTAACATACTTCAGATCATATACACAAACTAGCTGCCAAGACTTTCTTTCAGATGTGGCAGAAGTTTTCCCACTTCCTCCACTGTGAACTGAATAACCCAGCTTCATATTCTGGAATACCGTGGGAGCACTCTGTTTCCTTTTAATGTTATAGTGTCCATCCTCCAGTGAAGGTCAAGAACAATGAGTGGTATTACCATTTTGTGTTTTGCCAGCGGTTGGTAACTCAATGGCACATTGTTCTGTCCCCCAAAAGAGCTGAGGGAGTCCGGATCACCCCTTTGCTCTCTGGGACTGCTCTTAAGTAAAACACCCCCAGCCTTCACACACCCAGCCTTCAGGCCAGAGGGAGGTTTCCTTTATAGCCACGCCCCCCAGACTTTTCAGCTTCTTTTGTGTGTTTGTTCCTATGTCTTTTGGGGCCTATTGTGAATGCTTTAGTCTTTCAGAAAGTCAAAAGTCTGCCTTGAACACAAGGCCACCGTACACTCTGTTCCCACAACAACATCCTTTCCCCGACCTCATACATTTTTGTCCAAAGCAAAATGCAGCCAGTGACTTCTGTACAGGAACCTGCACCCTCCCCAGTTGCGTCTGTCCCTGTAGCAGAGGGAAAAATACTCTTGGTTTGTTCCCTGTTCTTCTGGGTTCCAGAATTCTTTCCAAAGTCATAAGTCATGCTCCGCTGTTTAGTTGTGGGCAGCAGCCTAACAAGCTGGGGACTTGGGTGTCTGTCACATCAGTGGCCCCGTCCCCCCTGCTGGCATGATGAGCTCTTTCAAGAAACCGGACTCTGGGTGTAGCTCACGTTTGTGACTTTCCAGTTCTGTGTCTTTGTAGCAGCCACCCATGTTGTCACTCATCTCGTAGTACTCCTTGGAGAAGGTAGTGATAGACGGATATGAGGTGGGACCACAAGCGACGAGGTTGAGACAGATCCAGGGCCCTCCACGTCCCACGGCCTTGAGCACACAGCTTGTATTTGCCATCCACTTGGCTGACTCCCCAGCTTGGGACCGTGACTTGTTCCCCGTGGTGTCCCCAGTCATAAGCATATGCCTGGTGTGTGGTGGACCCTCAGTAGACATTTATGAGCGGGTGAACATGGCCTCAATGTCAGACAGCTAAGGAGGCTCATGCGAGACGAATGGGCCATTGTCTTTCTGGAGGGAGGTCTCTGGTGACACTGAAGAGGGGGAGCACCTTGAATTAACCAGCGACTTGGATGATGTTCTGCTACAGCTGCAGGGTTTGGTGAATGGAGAGCAAATAGGGCAGCATTAGGGTCCAGAGTGGTTCCCTAAGCCAGGCAGATCCTCTGGGAGATGACATTTGGGAGGGGTGAGTGACTCAGACTCTCAGGGTCTCTGACGACGTCCAGATCAGTCACTTCCTTGCTACACATGCCATGGACTGTGAATGAGAGGAGTCCCACGTCCAGGTCCAACCCAGGCTCCTCCATGTACCTCAGTCCAAGGCTGACCCCAGAAGCCCTTCAATTTCAAGTCTAAGAATGAGGGTGCCCTGATAAATGGCACACCCAAGAAGGGCACTCAGGCAGTTTGGTGGGGCTAGGAGCCAGTGAAGGCTGTGAAAGGGGTACAGTGGCCCAGCCTGTCCTAACAGAAGCATGAAGATCAGGATGAGGGTGGGGTGGTGCCGCTCTATTCGGTGCTGGCCACATCTGTTCCTTCAGTGAGTAGGTCTCTGAACACTTTTTTTTTTGAGACGGAGTCTCGCTCTGTTGCCCAGGCTGGAGTGCAGTGGCACTATCCTGGCTCACTGCAAGCTCCACCTCCCAGGTTCAAGCGATTCTCCTGCCTCAGCCTCCCATACTGCTGGGATTGCAGGCGCATGCTACCACGGCTGGCTAATTTTTATATTTCTAGTTGAGATGGGGTTTCGCCATGTTGGCAAAGCTGGTCTTGAACTCCTGACCTCAAGTAATCTGTTCACCTCGGCCTCCCAGAGTGCTGGGATTACAGTGTGAGCCACCACACTCAGCCTGAACACCATATTTTAAGAGAAAAAAACTAAAAGGCATTCAGAGGAGAACATTCTTGGAATCGAAGCGTCTAGAAGTTACCATCCCTTACTTAAACGATATAGAAATTACAAAATTTTAGCTGAAAAATGGAAAGATTCACTGGGAAACAATCGCTACATCCAGATGTTTAATTTCTGTCCCAAGACAGTGGGGTGACGTCTCAGTGCCCCAGAAGACAGGACTTGAATGAGTACGCGGATGTTCTGAAAACATTTGTTTTAGTTGACTATAGAAAAAAAATTTCTCTCAGGCCATATTGGGGCAAGAGAGCTATGAATATGTGGGGAAAGTGCCACGTGGCAGTTATATTTAGTGTTTTCCTATAGTATCTTATTTAATCCTTCCCAAATCCCCACAAGATAGGGACTGTCATCTCTGTTTTATAGGTGATAGGGCACAGAGAGGCTGAGTGATTGCCCGGCTCCATGACAGTTTGTAAAACAGAAGACCAAGTCTAAAACATAGTCTGGAGGAGTAGATCATAGTTTGAATTTTTACAAGCATAATTACTGCCTTAACATTTAAGTGAAAGGGTGTGTAAGTTTTCTAGGGCTGCCAAAACCTAAATACCGCCGACTGGGTGGTTTCAACAGAAATTTATTTCTCACAGTCCTGGAGGCTGGAAGTTCAAGACCAAGGTGTCAGCAAGGTTGGTTCCTCCTGAGGCTCCTCCTTGGCTTGCAGACAGCTGTCTTGCTGCCGTGGCCTTGCAGGGCCTTTGTGGTACCTGTGCATCCCAGGTGTCCCTTCCTCTTCTTATAAGTACAGTCATATTGGATTAGAGCCTACCTTAATGACCTCATTTTAATTTAGTTACTTCTTTAGAGGCCCCATCTCCAAATATAGTCACACACTGGGGATTAGGGCTTCAACACACAAATTTTGGTGGGAGAGGCCAGGCACCGTGGCTCACGCCTGTAATCCCAGCACTTTGGGAGCCTGAGGCTGATAGATCACTTAAGGTCAGGAGTTCAAGACCAGCCTGGCC
Organism: Homo sapiens; assembly: GCF_000001405.40. Classification (NCBI taxonomy): domain Eukaryota; kingdom Metazoa; phylum Chordata; class Mammalia; order Primates; family Hominidae; genus Homo; species Homo sapiens. The sequence continues at coordinate 51,125,017 of NC_000007.14, read as the reverse complement.
AAATGGGAAAACCTTGTCTCTACTAAAAATACGAAGAAATTAGCTGGATGTGGTGGCATATGCCTGTAATCCCAGCTACTCAGGAAGCTGAGACACGAGAATCACCTGAACAGAGGTTGCAATGAGCTGAGGTCACGCCGCTGCACTCTAGCCTAGGCAATAGAGTGAGACTCTGTCAAAGAAAAAACAAAAATAAAGAAAGAAAGAAAGAAAAAAAATTGGAAACAAATTCAGATCATAACAAAGGAAAATGGGGTTCCTGTCTACAGGCAGAATAGTTTCCATGAGGAACTGAAGGGTGTGTAAGACTCAGCCCTTTGAAGGCACTCAGCACTGAATTGGAGCACTTTATGTCCCCAAAATACAGAGAACGCTTGTCTTTTGGGTAGATTACGACATAGGTGTCCAGGACAGTGGCAGCAGCCGTCGCCATGGGAAGTTCCCACTAGCAACATTAGTTTGTATGGTTCCAGTCTAATTCCCATCCCAGAGAAGCCATCAGTGTTGGAAAGGCCATCTCATTCCAGTTGGGAGCCAGAGATACACTGGGTGAGGGTGTCACTTCCAAATTCTTTCTTGGTAAGTGGCATGCAACTCATGGAAGAAGTCCAAGCAGACAGAAGTTATTCATCTCTGCTGGTCATATTTTAATTGCTAAATCAATTGGAGATTGCTAATCTCCAATTGCTAATGAATTAGATTGCTAATGAAAGGCCATTGTGCCAGACAAATTGCATGTGGAAGTACACTGGCCAGCAGGAAGACAGCAAAGGCACCGTCATCCAGTCGTCGGCCAACTGGTCCCATGATGCAGGTCCCAAGTTAAGCACAATAGCAATTAGAGAGACCCAGCAACAGTTCAGTTCTTCTTGCATCCCAGGCACTCTGCTAGGACTTTTATGCACATCATCTCATATAACTTCATCTTTACAATATCCTTATAAGGCAGGTTCTGTTATCTTCATTTTACCAATGAGGACACTGAGGTTTACAAAGGGAAAGTGAGGTCCCAGGGCTGCTACTACTGCCAGTAAGCAACAGAATATGGGCCTGTCTGATGTCTTTTCTGCATGGAGCCATCATGCATTGATGCTGATTCAATCCAAGAGAGTTGTGTAACACTTGGCAGAGGGGGGTGCAGGGTGACTGTGGCTCTGCAGCCTCTGCCTGGGGTGATGTGGGTGAGGAGGTGGCATGGTGCTGTCACATGGCGTAGCACTGCAATGAGTCACTTCAACATGATCTTGTTAGACATAGAGATTCTGAAATGAAGAAAATGTTTGACTCATTTACTCGTCATTGACAGGGAAGTCATGCATTTGCTGGTTGAGAATCAAAACTCAAAGATTTAAAAACAATTGTATGCATCTTCTTGAAGGAAAAATGTACCCCTGCTCCATCATTCACAGCCTCCTTGAATTTTTCACTGGAGTGTTTTCTTAGCACTGTCTGTTCATGGTGCTCTTTCTCAGCAGCCTGTTCTGCTTGTGCAGAAAGTCCTACTGCAGTTGAAACATCCTGGCAGAAAATGAAAGAATTGGTTCACCTCCACACATGGCCTCTTGTCAAAAAAATTAAGCAAAACTGGCAAGTTAGCGACAAGGGATACAAGGCTCTTGTTCTGTAGAACTCTGTTCCCTTGATGGAACTACTTAGTAAATGGGGTTAACTTCATCAGGCTAGCCAGCTCCAAATATACATAAACTCAAGAAGTCTGGAACCCATGTCAAATTCATGTTAAAAGGCATGAACTGCCAAGCCATTACTGTAGGCATAGCCAAATACATTGTAAATATATCTGTCAGTTTTGCTCAGATACGGATATCTGCCTGTTTTTTGAGATGCTTCCTTTTGTTTTGGCTTTACCCAACTTCCAAAAATCTGTCTGTCTGCTCATACAGTATGTTATGAGACTTTAAAAGTCTTGATAGGGACAACAAATAAAACAAGTAGGATTCTTTCAGGCCTAACTAAACTGTCTTTGAGTCTACATTTTACAAAAATAATTATGTCATTCAATTTTTTTTTTTTTTTTGAGATGGAGTCTCGCTCTGTCGCCCAGGCTGGAGTGCAGTCAGTGGTGCGATCTCAGCCTACTGCAGCCTCCTCCTCCTGGGTTCAAGCGATTCTCCTGCATCAGCCTCCTGAGTCGCTGGGATTATAGCCATGCGCCACCATGCCCTGCTAATTTTTGTGTTTGTAGTAGAGACAGGGTTTTGCCATGTTGCACAGGCTGGTCTCGAACTCCTGACCTCAGGTGATCCACCAACCTCGGCTTCCCAAAGGGCTGGGATTACAGGTGTGAGCCACTGTGCCTGGCCTGACATTTAAATGTTAAATGTGCCAGATGTAAAGCATATCTGCCATTTTAGTAAATTAACAAAACTAGCAAAGAGCTAAATAACTGAATTGATACTAATGCATTTTGTAATAAACAGCCAAGTATAGGTTGTATTTATATTCTACAATGTGGAGACGAAAAAACAACACTTATGATGGTACAAAACAACCTTTCTAAAAATACTGGGGAAATAGAAGTGCTGCAGAGATCATCTCTGGCGTCCAGCTGCCTCCTCCCATCCTGGAGATGGTGAAGATGAGGACAGCATTGTGTTCAGAGGCACAAAGGAAGCCGAGTTCCTGTCCGACACAAACATCCCTGGGAACCTGTGGCACCTCCCACTGCAGAGCCTGTGAAAACAGCCAGGCTGCAAGGATCCTCCTTGGTGGAAATAGCCGGGCAGCTAACGCCAGTGTGCAGAGAAAGGAAGCTGGAGCTATTTTAGTTGCTTAACGTCTACCTTTTGTTTGTGGATCGTTTCCTCTCTGACACTTGTGGCTAAAGAAGCAAGTGTTGTTTGAAGGAGATTAGAGTCTTAAGTATTTTTAACACTCACTAGAGTGTGACATTGTATGGGAGCTCTCTGTGATAAAATCAAAATGAAAGGTGAGCTCGCCACTCTCCTGCACGTTGACAGTTTAGCAACATGGAGGAAGTGGGAAGCTGGCTTTGTGTTAGAGAGTTATGCTGTTCAAATATCCATCATTTAAGTATGCTGTTCTTATCCTTGTACTTCGTCATACTTTGTCACTTTGGTTTTGCCTGTCAGTCACGTCAACAGTCAGTATGTTTTTCACTATGAAGGGAAACTGCTGGAAGAGTGAGTTCATTATTTCTCTCACCTTTACATTTTGCAACTTTATATGTATATTCATGATTCTGTCCAGCCACCTTGATAATCCACAATCAGAAAAGTGGGTTTTCAAATATAAATCAGGATTTTAAATTTGCAGCAGTGTAAAAAGATCCAATTCCTGTCTTTGAGGCACTGTTCAGGATTTGGAAACTGAAGCTGGGTGCAGAGCCTCCTAGGCACCATCTCGTCTTGAACTTACATTCTGAACTCAGCCTTGACTGCTCTGGGTTCATTGTGGTTAACTAACCTTCAGCTTCAAAGACATTTGATTTACTCCTCAACCAAACTTACAAAATTTTAGTATCTGCAAAGCTTTTACTTTTGTGCACCAAAGGACACAGTCAACAGATTAAAAAGGCAACCCGCAGAATGGGAGAAGATATTTGCAAATTATGTATGTGATAAGGGATGTGTTGTATGGAGAACTCCTTCAACTCAACAACAAAAAACAAACAACTCAATTAAAAAATGAGCAAAGGGCTTAAATAGACATTTCTCCAAAGAAAATATACAAGTCAGCAAGCACATGAAAAGATGCTCAGCATCACTAATCGTAAGAGAAATGCAAATCAAAACCACAATGAGATACCATCTCATACCCATTAGGATGGCTGCTATGAGAAAAAACACAAAAGAAAAGATGCGTTGGCGGGGATGTAGAGAAATTGGAACCCTTGTGCATTGTTGGTGGGAGTGTAAAATGGTGCAGCCACTGTGGAAAACAGTATGACAGGTCCTCAGAAAATCCAAAATAGAATTCCCCATAGGATCTAGCAATTTCACTTCCGGGCATATATCCAAAATAATTGAAAGCAGGGCCTCAGACAGATACCTGTACACCCATGTTCATCGCAGCATGATTCATAATAGCTGAAACATGGAGGTAACACAGGTGTCCATCGATGGATGAATAGATAAACTGTGGTTTGTTCATTTGTTTACAATGAAATATTATTCTGTAATAATACAAAAATAAATACTTAAACATTTAAAAGGAAGGAAATTTTGATACATGCATCATCATGGATGTACCTTGAAGACATCATGCTAAGTGAAACAAGCCTGTCACAAAAAGACAAATACACAAATGCCATGTGATTCCACTTAGATGAGGCACTTACAGTAGTCAGATTCATGGAGACAAAAAGTAGGATGATGGTTGCCAGGGCCTGGGGGGTGGGAATTGGGGAGTTATTGTGGGATGGGTAGAGTTTCAGTTTTACAAGATGAAAAGAGTTTTGGAGATTGGTGGCACAACAATGTGAATGTACTTAACACTACTGAACTGTACAATTAAAAGTGGTTAAGATGGTAAATTTTATAGTATGTGTATTTACCATAATTAATGATAAAATTTAAAAAATTATTTAACCACTTCCTTTAAAAGGTATAACCTTAAGTAAGATCTTTTTACTTAAATATGGTAAATATAGTTTCTCCAAATGCCTTACGTGTGTTATATTTTTGAGTAAAATATTTTCAGTGAACCTAAGAAGGTTCACTGATGCCTGAAACATTTTTAGTGGGTAAATTTATTTGACAGTGAAATAACTTATATTTTAGGCCATTTACCCTCCCTCTCCATGTATTTTCTTTCTCCTTTGTATGTTATACCATTTGACAACACTGTTTTGACCCCCTTGTTTGATCCTTGCAAGCTAGAGTTATAAAGGATTCTGTTGTTTTCTATTTTTTCTATACTACCATATTTATTATATTTACTTATTTCAATATATTAAGATTGCCAAACAGGACTGTGGCCAAAAATCTGAAAGCATGTAGCATATCTTTGCTGAGGGAGCCAACAATTAAGAACAGACATCTTGTATTTAATGAGATCTACTGGTTTAGAGGCTGTGTGGTCTGTCTCATCCTTTCACAACTTCTGTACAACTTTGGGCAAGTCACTCAAAAGGACTTGCCAATCAACTTTTCTGAGTTCTATTTCCTTAGAAGTCAAATAATATCCTTACCTATCTACTTAACTAAGGTTTTGAAGAGTTAATGTATTAATAGAATTTGTAATAGTACTTACAAAAATAGTAAAGATTTTCAAATATTTTAAGTCCTATATTGATGAATATTTTTAAGTGAATGGTTTTGTCATGGGAATAATTTGGTGAACATCTAAATAATATTTGACCCGTTGATGTGGAGGACCACACAGGCTTACTATAAAGACTTGAATTCCACAGACATTTGACCTGTATTTGTGATACAAAAATCTTGTTTTTCCTCTTAAAAACTTTACTTACTACCCAGTTTCCATATTAGAGAAGCTCGTGGTGCAGTGTCTAATTTTAGAGGAAAAGGGCCTTGAATCATGAACACAGCTTCGCTCCCTCCTCCTTTTACTTTACAAACACAGGCCCAAGGTAAATGGACTTCCCTCACAAGCCAGCTGTGAGTTTGTTTGTCAAAAATAATTTGGTTCCCTTGGTTCTTAGAGGATGATGGTTTTATAGCTGTTACTTACAAAACCAATGTTTCCCTTAGTATTGAGCTACCTCTTTATTTAAACTATTAGAAAATGTGTCGCCATATATATCACTAGGATATATATGGTAATGAGAACCTAGATTAGGTAGCCTAAATACTATGGTACCTTAGAAGAGGTAATAATATCACCAGGGAAACTTAGTTTATAACCAAACTGACAGAATCTCTGTATTTGTCAGATAATGTCCCTGTAACTTTGGTAGGTATGTTTTAACCTTTTTATGTGTCTGAATTAAACTGTGTCATTTGTAAAACTTTCCTATGTGATGTAATCTCTGGTGACTTTAATTGTATATTAGAAAATAAGATGTTTTCAAGTGACTCTGGGACTGAGGAAACTAATTTTATATTTGGGTATTTTGAGCTGCAGACATGGGTCTGACATCCCACATGGCTGCAGGAAAGCTGGACAGCATCGATTTGCAGATACTGTGCTCTGGCTGTGGATTCCTCTCTGTGGCTGGGTCCAGCCTGCTCCAGCAGTGTAGAGCGTAGTTTGCTTGTTGAATGTAGGAGGGATATTTGGAGGACATAGGCTTTGCCTGGATTTGAATCCATCCCAGACTCCACCAACACTAACCTATACAACCTTGGGGAAGTTATTGAACCTCCAAGGGCCCCAGATTATAGAAGCGTAAAACATACTTTTGGTCTTCGTGACCAACACACCCTAATGTGACACCCCTCCCCCTCTCCCCCCCAGTGATTCACATCCTTGTATGAGCCCTTCTCCTTGAGTGAATTGGAATTTGGAACTTGCTTCTAACTTACAAGATATGGCAAAGATGATGGGATGTCACTCCCTGTGATTATAAAAGATTGTGAAATGCAGGTGGCCCCTAGGATGCGAGGATTGTCTCTGCTTAACAGTCAGTAAAAGGCCAAGTCTCTCAGTCTTGAACCCGCCAGAGAAGCAATTTTCAACAACCCCACTGAGCCTTCCCAATCAAACCTCCAGATAGAAACACAGCCTGCTGACACCTTGATTGCAGCCTTGTGAGACCCTGAGCAGAGGACCCGGCTAAGCCATGCTTGGACTCCCAACCGCTGGAAACTGAGATAACAAATGTGTGTGTTTGTGTTTAAACTACCAAGCTAATGGTAATGTGATATGCAGCAACAGAAAATTAATACAGTAGTCAATAGATTATATGTAAACTCAGGAAAGTAACTTGTGGTGCCCATTTGTTCTAGCCTAATTCAGAACTATGTGGCCAGAATTCAGGACAGCCACCGCCCTCTGGAAAGTGAGGAAAGAATACTAGAAAGGAGAAAGCCAGAGAGGGACAGCCATAAATTCTGTGGATAAATTCTGGCTAAATCTCTGGCTCAGCCTTGAACCATGCATGAAAAGGACAGATACCAAGCAGCCTGGCTAAGAACTAAAGAGCTGAACTGAGATTTGATTGCTGCTCAAGAAACAGGACTTAAAGTGAATCCAGTCAGCTTATTATTGCCCGTGAAGACAAAGTAATTTACAGTCTCCTGAGGAATATGAGGGAATCTAGAACCTCCTAAGCATAACACTCAACAATGTCCAGGATGCAGGCCAAAATTATTTAACATATGAAGAACCAGGAAAATGCGACCTATTCGAAAATGTGAAAAAGATAGTCAATAGAAACCAATCTGTAGATGACTGAGATGTTGGAATTAGCAGATAAGAATTTTACGACTGCTTGTAACTGTGGTAACAACATAATGGGAAATATGCTCATAATGAATGAAAAAAAGAAAAAATCTCATATGGTTAATAAGAACTATAAATAAGAACCAAGTAGAAATTCTAGAATGGAAGAACACAATAGCCAATATAAAAATTTCACTGATGGGCCCAACAACAGAATGAAGGTAACAAAAGAAAAAGGCAGTGAAGTTGAAAATAAATCAATTTGAAATATCCAGTTTCAAGAAGAAGAGAAAAATTTTGGAAAAAAAAGTAGATCCCCAAAGATTTATTTTTTCTATTTATTTATTTTTTCTTTTTATTCTGGGACTCTATTGACTCCAGAATAAGAAGAGAAAAAAATATTTGAAAAAACAAGGGCCAAAAGTTTTTTACATTTTGTGAGACAAAATTTACAAATTAAAGAGGTTTGGTGAATCCAAATCAAAATAAATAAGAAGAAAACTGTGCATAGCTACATAGGTACTTTATAATGAAATTACTTAAAAATAGACTTAAGGAGAAAATCTTATACACAAGTAGAGAAAAATGCCATATTTTGTGCAGGGGGAGGGGGGAGGGATAGCATTAGGAGATATACCTAATGTAAATGACGAGTTAATGGGTGTAGCACACCAACATGGCACATGTGTACATATGTAACAAACCTGCACGTTGTGCACATGTACCCTAGAACTTAAAGTATTATTAAAAATATATATATAAAAGAAAGTGAATCACTTTATCATCAGAAACAGTAGAATCTGGGTAACAATGGGACATCTTTAAAGTGCTGAAGAGACAAAACAACTGGTAATTCAGAATTACCTACCCAGCAAAAATATCCTTCAAGGATAAGGCAAAATAAAGACATTTTCAAATAAAATATAAAGAATTGCCATTAGACCTCCATAAAAGAAACACTTAACAGAAATTCTTCAGGCTGAAGATAAATGATATCAGATGGAAACTTGGACTCTTAGAAAGACATAAAGAGTGTCAGAAATGGTACATAGCTAGATAAACATAAAAAAACTATTTTTTCTCTTAATTTCTTTCCAATATATGTGATATATTTCTTTCCAAAATATATAAGATTACTTCCAATATATGTGATTGCTTAAAAATTATAATATTGTCTTTGGGGTTTATAATCTCTATAAGTGTAATACATAAGACAACTATAGCATAAAGCATGGAAGGGCTGGGTAAATGGACCTATGTGATTGTAAGTTATCCACATTTGATGTGAAGGGTTATAATACTTAATCTAATTTGACTGTAAAAGTTGAGCACACATATTATAATTGTTGGAACAACCATTAAACCAAATAATGCAAAGAGGTACAACTAATCCAGTGGTTAAATTTTTAAAACCCAAAAGTAAAGTAAGAACAGAGAAACAATAAACAGGAGCAACAACAGGAAACAAACTGGTTTATCTAAATTCAGCCATATCAATAATTACATTAAATGTTAACAGACTAAACACTCCAGTTAAAAGGTAGAGATTGTCAGAATGGATAAGAATGTTGTCTATAAGAACCTATTTTGAATAAAAAGACAGATACTGATTAAAAGTGAATGGGTAGAAAAGGATACCATTTAAACAGTAAGCATGAGAAAACTGGAGTGACTAGATGGGTAGCAGGTAAAATAGCCTTACATATTACTAGAGTTTAAGATGGACATTTCATAATGATTAAAGAATCAATACATCAGGAAGATTTCATACTCATATATATGTGTATGTACCTAATAACAGAACTTCAAAATACATGAAGATTTGACAAAATTAGGAGAAATAGACACATCCACCATCATATTGGAGAACAGCATGACTGAGAACAATCTCTCAGATAGAACAACTAGACAAAAAAAATGAGTGAAGAGATAGAGGATCTGACCAACACTACCAACTATCCATATAAATGATATTTATAGAACACTATATCCAACCACTACAGAGTACACATTGTTTTCTAGTACAATGTGGTATGTTTACCAACACATCTCAATATACTTAAAAGGATTTATATCATGTGGAGTATTACATTAGAAATCAACAGTAACAATATGTCTAGGACAACCCTCAAATATTTGGCAAACAACATACTTTTAAGTAATCTAAGTCAAAAAAGAAATCACAAAGGAAATTAGAAACTATTTTGAACTGAAGGAAAAAATATACAATATATTAAAATTTGTGGGATCTAGCTACAGCAGTCCTTAGAGGAAAATTTATAACTTTAAATGTCATATAGAAAAAACTAAAGGTTAAGAATCAAAGACTTAAGATTCCATCTTAAGATGCTAAAAAAAAGTAGAACAAAATAAATCCAAGAAAGAGAGATATAATAAAAATAAAAGCAGAGATCAGTGAAATCGAAAGCAGTAGTAGAGAAAATGCATAAAATCAGAGCTCTTTCTGTCTTTCACATGATCAACCATATGATCAACATATCTAGATTGATCCAGGGAAAAAAGAACATAAATTAATATCAATTTTAAAAGATGGCTTATTAATATGATTCTATAGACATTAAGATGAGGAAATGTGAACTTTTTACCAAAAATTTTGAAAACTTAGATGAAATGGAGAAATTCCTTGAAAAATGCAACTTACCATTTGACACAAGCTGAAACAAAAATCTGAATCACACATTTACTGTGGTGGTGATGGTAATTGCAGTGAATATTTATCATTAGTGTATGCATTCATCCATTCAGCTGAATAATTTAAGTGCCTGCTTTGTGCTACAGGAGATAGCTAAAATTGGAGCTAGTGTTGGGATGTAGAAAATAAACAAGTAAACAAATCCATACAATACTTCAGATATCAGTAAGTTATCACAAGGAATATGTTGGGGACATGATTAAGAGTGACGTAACAGGGTAGTTAGTTTCAATTCCAACTTGAGGAACTCTGCTCTGTGCTAAGGAATAAATGCTTAGGAGGAACTGGCCTTGTGACAATCTGGGGGAAGAAAATCCCAAGCAAGGGACCCCTATTGCAAAGGCCTGAGGTCAGGACAAACTTCTGATCAAGGACAGAGAATGGCAGATACATCATTTCTGTAAGAAAACTTCCAGGTTAGTCTTTTCTCTCATCTCTCTCCAGATTTACTGTCTTATAGAAACAGTATTAGGATGAGATTCTGGCTAACTGTGATTTCTTTCCTTTTTTAAAGTTTTATTCTAAGTATGAGATTTTTGTTTTAGTAAATGTTTCTTATGTTAAATACCCAATTTGAAACACTTATTATCTCTGGATTTTTTTTTTTTCTGGAGTACGTAAGAACCAGCCCTCAGAATTTGACCGTGTATAACAGTGAGGAAGGGGCAGCACGGTAGAGAGACAGGGGACTCCTCACACTGATTTGCCTTTGATGGGTGGAGCTGAGAAAAAAGTCATCCCTGGGGGTTCTGCTGTTGTGTTAGGAGTCACCCCCTCCTGACTGTGTTGGAGGGGCCGCCCCAGCTTCCAGCCTTGTGGCAAGCGTAGACTTGTGTTAGACCTCCCCAGCAGGCTCCCTGCACATATAAAGGTGGAGATCGCTTATGTAGACCCAAAGTCTAGGTTTTGGATCTTTCACAGCAGTTCAGAGTGTTGGCCACATTTTAAAATATCTAATTGTCAGTACTGAGAGGATCACACGGAATAACCTAGAAAACACGCACATTTCCCAAGGCCACCATTTGGCCTGTAACTATAGAGGGCAAGGAGTGATTTGTGTCTATAGATTGAGGTCAGTTGGAAATCTTTCAGCGCAATCACAGGCCTTGATTATTTTTAGACAATGAATATAAAACAGACAACCTTAGGTTATGTGAAGAGAACCACACTTAATTCCATCAAATTCAAGTTTGTTTCATATTTCTCATAAACTAAACCATTAAGTGCTGAGAACAGCAAATAACACATTTCTGATATGGAAGAGAAATTTATTCCAAATAATATTGAAAAGGACTGATTTCTTTAAAAAGCACTCATTCAGACATATTTTTTTTCCAAAATCTATTGTTTTGGTAGAAATAATTATAATAAAAGAAGCACAATATTTTTGTGTTTTTCTATTTAGCCTTCTACATTTGCCAAGGAATAAATGTTAAGGAACCACTTTAGTAATTTTAAGCCGTGGAATTGAGTGACAGTAAAAGCTTCCAGTGACTAAAAACTTTCTTAACAATGTTTTTTAAGAGAGGATAGAATATTATTGGAGAGAGATTAGACAAAATGAAGAGTCAGATTTCTTAATGGACACTTTATAAACAATAGCCATGGTAGCTCATAAAAGCTTTTACTTTTCATTATACAGTTCTAACAGTTGATAGAACAGTAAGCCTGGTAAGTCTTCCTTATTTATGTGGTTTGTATTTTATTTCCTTCATATATTCTGAGTAGTACTTTGCACCTTTGCACTTGACACATCTGCTTTTGCCATTCTCTTAAGAATATTGCCAGAATCCTGCTAGAAACTTGTGATGAAGCATAGATGCTCCAAATGAGCTGTCATCCTGGGTGGAAGTCTATTCCCTGGATGTGTGGGACCAGTACCTCTCCAAGAGATGTTACTGTGCAGAGGGAGTGCATTTCACACCCTAGACCTGTGCCAAAGGATTTTTATCATTTCCGGAAGGTTAAGATGTCTGCAGCTTCCACGTCTTATGGGAGCACATCACCATTAATAAATTTATTTTCGGTTGTAGGAGTTTTTATATTTTGTTTGTGGTTGCCACATATGGGAAGAAGATGATACTTGAGTATGCTTGTCTAAGAAGTGTCTGAAGCTGTTGGCATCAAGAGCACAATTATTATGTTCAAAACAGATCTAGATGGGGCAACTGAAGCTAATGAGAAACCTGATTGTGCCTTCCTGCCTGCAGCGTTGACCTAAGCCCTAGGCACCAGCATTCTTATGCAAGGACCCCAAGGGCCCCTCCTCTGTGGACTGCAAAGCAAGGCCAGACTAGTTTTACTTCTGATGAGACCCAAAGGTGCAAAGGACAGCCGACCCCATGCAAGGCCTAAATGAGGGGAGGATTTCAGCTATTAGTCAAATACTGGTGCTCAGGAAAGAGATCTGTAGAAACTCCCTGAAAGATCTGTGTGCAGAAGTGAATATTGTAACCTATGCATCTGCAGGGACACCCCAACATGAATGGGAGCTTAGAAAGGAAACAGTGCTCATTGATCATGAAGCACTGCTTGCTTCTGGAGGTAACATTGTGTTAATAAGTAGTTTTTAAGTTACATATTAATCATAAACTATATATTTTTAAATGGTCCATATCTTAGAAGTTCTCTGTGGTCCTTTGCTTCCAATGTTTCTTTAGGGCAAAAAATAAAAATAATCCACAGGACACTGAGGAGAGCAATACAATTTCCATCAGTGATGAATTGGAATAGAAATGCTGATGTATAGCAAAGATACTTACTCTATGTACAGAATCTACTTTGTAATCCCACTTCATGGCATTCTAGTTTCTCCTCTCTTATGCTTTTGCAACCATTAAATTGTTTCCAAGCCTTGTACAGTTGACTGTTATGTGTGTGGGAGTCTTTAGTAAAAATAGAAATAGACATCCACCTGAAAATTGCCTGGACTTGTTCTTAGTGGTCCCCGTGCCATGCAAGTGAACTGGATTCCTTTGATGATATTGATGAGGATATTACCTAATCTTCACCTCTTCCTAGGAACACACTTTACCATATGTCCCTGTGAAGTAAGTGTTAAGAGAGTAAAATAAATAAATCGCATTATGTACACAGGCCCTTTCTGCCCAGTCTTGCCATTCAGAAATGCACTCATTTAATCTCCTAGTTGTGAACACTTGCTGGGGCCCATCACATGCCCTGGCTGGCACTGCACAGTGCTGAGCAGCACAGATGGATACAGCTCCTCCTGGTATTGAGGAGGCCCCGTCTAAGAAGATACACAGATGTTACCATGAAGTCAAGGAGCATGCAGGGGCCCAGGCACGGGGGAGAGGCAGCTGTTTCTTTTCTGTGACATGTAGTATTGAGATGGGCCTTGAAGGATGGATGGGTCGTGAGGACAGGACAGTTCAGCGAGAGAGGACACTCCGTGCTGAGGCTGAGGTGGGGCCGGCGGGGAGAATCAGGGCCACTGGAAGAGCAGGATGCCACACTGCACACACCATTTGAGTAGGATCCTGCTTACAATTATGCAGCTAGTGACAGTGAATACAAACCAAGCTTCTTTCCAATGCCAATAATGCCATACTGGCCTCCCATCTGTTCCTCTTGTAGTATGTAAAAGGCCAAGTTAGAAGGGCTTGTTATCAAAGAGAGAAAAAGCAAATGCTGGCAAGGATATGGAGAAAGGGGATGCTTATGCACTCTTGGTGGGAATGTAAGTTAGTATAGCCATTATGAAAAATAGTATGGGGGTTCCTCAAAAACCTAAATGATGCAGCAATCCCACCACTAGGTATTTATCCAAAAGAAATGAAATTAGTATGTTGAAGAGATGTCTGCACCCCCATGTTTATTGCAGCATTATTCACAGTAGTCAAGATATGGTATCACCTTAAAGAACTAAAAGTAGAACTACCATTTGATCCAGCAATCCCACTACTGGGCATCTACCCAGAGGAAAAGAAGTCATTATTCGAAAAAGATACTTGCACACGCATGTTTATAGCAGCACAATTCACAATTGCAAAATCGTGGAACCAACCCAAATGCCCATCGATCAATGAGTGGATAAAGAAACTGTGCTATATACATATGATGGAATACTATGCAGTCATAAAAAGGAATAAATTAACAGCATTTGCAGTGACCTGGATGAGATTGGAGACTATGATTGTAAGTGAAGTAACTCAGGAATGGAAAACCAAACATCGTATGTTCTCACTGATATGTGGGAGCTAAGCTATGAGGACACAAAGGCATAAGAATGATACAGTGGACTTTGGGGACTTGTGGGCAAGAGTGGAAGGTTGGTTAAGGGATAAAAGACAACAAATATGGTGCAGTATATACCGCTTGGGTGATGGGTGTACCAAAACCTCACAGATCACAACTGAAGAACTTATGTAACCAAATACCACCTGTACCCCGATAACTTATTGAAAAATAAAATAAAGATATGGAATCAACCTAAGTGTCCGTCAGCGGATGAATGGTTAGAGAAGATGTGGTATATATACACAATAGAGTACTATTCTGCTATAAAGGAAAAAATGAAATCCTGTCATTTACAGCGACATGGATGGAACTGGAGGCCATTATATTAAGTGAAATAAACCAGGCACAGAAGGAGAAATAATGCAGGTTCTCACTCTTACGTGGGAGCTAAAAAAGTGGATCTCATGAAGGTAGAGAGTAGATTGGTGGTTACCAGAGGCTGCGCAGGGTGGAGGGGAGAGGGAGGAAGAGGGAATGCTTAATGGATATAAAAGTTCAATTAGGTCGAAGGAATAAGTTCTAGTGTTTGGTAGCATAGTCGGATGACTATTGTTAACAATAACTATTGTATAGTTTGAAATAGAAAAGATTTTAAATGTTTACAATACAAAGAAATGCTAAATGTTTGAGGTTAAAGATATCCCAATTACCCTGGTTTGATTATTACACATTGTAAGCTTGTATCAAAATACCACATGTACCCCATAAATATGTACAATTATTATGTATCAATTTTTTTAAAGAAAAAAGAAGAGGCCAAGCAGTTTCCATCCCCTTGCTCTCGCCTGTGTCATTCTTCCTCGTACCTTTGCACAGGTGGCCTGTTTCTTTCACTGCCTCAGCGCTCCATCCTCAGCCACGGAAACATGTGGCTGCCTTTCGTTTCTGTGGAAGGTGGCACTACTAACATGATGCAGTGGTTTCTTTCTGTCTTCCCCTCACGAGACATACATTCTGTGAGTGCAGGGAAGGAGTTTGCTGTCTTTTTTGAGGCTCCCCTTCCTTTGTGGAGAACAGTGCCTGGCATGTAGTCAGTTTTTTTAGTAAAATTTTTGAGAAATAAATGAGTGATCGAGCCTGGTAGCACAGTGGTAACTGACTCTGAGAGACAGAACGACAGAGAGGGAAGAAGCATTTAAGATAACTCAGGCAGGAAATGCAAAGGGCCTGAATAAAAGCAGGGGTAGCCAGGGGTGGGGGGCAAGGAGGGAGATGGGATTTTAGGACTGTCACAGCAAGAACTGAGGTGCTTCAGGAGCAGTGCAGTGAAGGTGGCGAGCGAGATGGAAGTGGCAAAGAATCCAACCTTTAAAGATTATCCAGAAGGGTCCGCAGATGCAGATGATGATGCAGAACCAGTTGGAGCTGAAATGTCTACAGGAACCGCACTGGCAGTTGTCTGGAGCTCACAGGGTGGTGCATTCACACAGGTGGTTTGAAAATGACCACCAGTAGGTGGTAGTTGGGGAAATAAGAATGGATGAAAACCAGAGATGAAGAGAAGAGGCAGCCCTGCGGAGCACCATGCCCAGGATGGGGAGCAGCCCGAGAGTGTGCAGAAACTCGCATAGTGCAAGGAGGGAAGAGGCTGCCTGGTGGGAACTCACAGGACCTTTGGATGTGACCATCAGAACACTGGGCCATTCACACAGGTGCCACACTAGGCAGGAGGCCAGTGGCAAGGAAGGTGGGGTGACCGAGACTAAGGAAAAGGAAGTTGAAGTGGAACCAGTTCTTTCAGTAAACTTCATGGGGCAGGGGGTGTGTGTGTGTGTGTGTGTGTGTGTGTGTGTGTGTGTGTCTATGTGTCAGTGTGTGTATCTTTGTGTGACGGCTCCATGATGGGAGAAGTAGGCAGGTGTCTTTGATAAGGAGGTACTGGAGAGCTATACAAGAGCTCAGGGTGACCTCCCCAAGGCTGGCTCCAGCGCCCCAGGGAGGGCTGAGTTTGGGGGAAGCAGCTTTCCTTTGGAGAATGGGGCCCAGTGTCTGAGAGCTGGCTCCTGCCTGGGACCTCCACTTTTTCTGAGTTATGGGGTAAGATCATCTGCTAACAGGGAAGGGAACGAAGGTGGAGTAACCCAGGAGGCCACAGGATGGGAATACATGTTTGGAATTTGCAGATGGGAAAAGCAAACAGAAGGAATGAGAATAAGGATTTCTAAACAATCACTTTGCAAAACTGTTTGCCAGCGACTTCAATAGCTGGTCACACACCCCATGACCCAAGCACCTCCAACTGTGTGCACCTCCAACAGTTGCACCAAGCCATGCACGTGAGTATTCACAGCAGCACTGTTGACAGCATCCCCAGGCTCACCCCAACCGAATCCCTTTCCACAGTCCAGCACATAAAGCGTGGTGTATTCACACCGAGTGCCACTGCACAGCAACGAGCCACACAGCAGCGGATGAGCCTCAGAGCAAAAGAAGCCAGATATCATGATACAAAGCCCCAAAACAGGCAGAGCCAGCCTCCACTCATGCCACCAGGAGAGTGGCTGCTGTCAGGAGAGGGTGGGGAATCAGAATGTTGGCCCGAGGATCCTTGGTGAGCTTGGCCCACAGTGGCAGGGAAGAGGAACAGAGTTAGGAGTGCTGGAGGCTGGAAGCGTGGCCTCTGGGTGAGCCCTGGATCTGACTTAGAGGCACCAGGCAGGATGGAAACATGTAGGCAGTGGAATATTCTCTTTTCCTCTGAAGACATACTCCAGGTTTCTGCTGAGGGAGAGGGTGGGCTGCAGGAAGGATGACACTGCAGGAGGAGGAAGAATCAGTGGGAAGTGGTGGCTGCTAGCAGGACACCCATTCTCTTGGACTGGGGGATATTTTGCTGCAAGTGGCAGATGCTATTAAATCTCTTGGCTTGATTTACATATCTTCCTTCCTGTTTATTAAGGAGATTCCCTGCTGCTTTGGCATCTTGTATTCCCCAGGGGACTGTGAGGTGGATCCTGTCCTGTGCCTCTAAGGGCCTCTTTGGGTTCTGCTCTCTCTGGGTCCTGAGTGCAGCCCGGGTACGGAGAGGTGAGAGGTCTGCCCATGGTATGTTGGTACTGGTGATTGGCAACTTGTATACATGCACCAGTGTACAATTTTAAAAGAAGCAGTATCTTCCCACATTATTTTAAAAAAGTAAAAAGATTATAAACGTCTGCACATATTTCTAGCTAAAACAATTTTAGCAGAAAAATTAATCCTTAACAAATATTGATATTTACTGAAGTGGGAATATGAAACCATGTAGTTGTATAATATTTACTGAACTGGGATATACATATTGGAAAATATGAAGAGATCTCCATGTTAAAACCTCTATTTAAAAATACTAGGGCTGGGTGTGGTGGCTCACACCTGTAATCCCAGCACTTTGGGAGGTGGGCAAATCACGAGGTCAGGAGTTCCAGACCAGCCTGACCAATATGGTGAAACCCCGTCTCTACTAAAAATACAAATATTAGCTGGGCATGGTGGCGTGCGCCTGTAGTCCCAGCTACTCAGGAGGCTGAGGCAGGAGAATCACTTGAACCTGGGAGGTGGAGGTTGCAGTGAGCCAAGATCACACCACTGCAGTCCAGCCTGGGTGACAGAGTGAGATTCTGTCTCAAAAAAAAAAAAAAAAAAAACAAACAAACTAGGATCACAAAAAAAGTGTTAAGTATTTGAGGTGAGGGATATGTAAGCTTGCTTGATTTAATTATTCTACATTGTATTTACAGATCATAACATCAACTTTGTATCATAAATTTATACGATTATAAGCTGTCAATTTGTAATGAAAATAAACTAGGAGCACATTAGTATTCTGTTTCAGGGCATTTTGTTCTCAGTCAGGTAGAAAAAAAAAGGACTTAAACAGCAACTTTTGTTTCTCCTCATAACTTTCCATGAAGCATGCCCAGTATTTTTCTTTCTGTAATTAACAAGAATGATGATGATAGAAACTGTTTTCCCTGCCAGCATGCCTGTGCCCACCTGTGAAGAGGCCTTTCATTTTACCAAGTGGAACATCAAGAACTGCAGGGAATCATTTGGTTGACCTAAGGCATCAGCATTTGATGGGAGTCTTTTCAACCTTGCTTAGGAGCCTCAAGAATAAAGCAGAATCGATGGCAGAAAATATAGTGATTTTATATTTATCTAACAGCAAATGACTAGTAAAAACTTCCTATACCTTGGGTACAGGCCTATGATGTGTGGTTTGTGCAGTCCCTGGGAGAACTCTTTTCTTGTTTCGGATTTGGGATTGAAATGGCGACATGTCACTTAAATTAGAATTTTCCTCCTCCATCTGCCAGGATGACACCAGCCGGGATACTGCTTCCAGCAAACATGCCCCTTACACACAGGGGTCGGCACTGCTTTATTACAGTGACCAAATAAAAGCATAGCTTGTTCTCGACAGGAAGATTCACTTTTGAAATTAAGACTATACAGGAACATGTAAGGTTCAGAATCCCCAGGTTTCATATTTCACAGATGACTGGGGTGGATGTATTTTTTTTTTTTTTTTTTTTTGAGACATCTCGCTCTGTCACCCAGGCTGGAGTGCGATGGCACGATCTCGGCTCACTGCAACCTCCACCACCCTGGTTCAAGCAATTCCCCTGCCTCAGCCTCCTGAGTAGCTGGGATTACAGGTGCGTGCCACCACCCCCGACAATTTTTTTTTTTTTTTTTGTATTTTTAGTAGAGACAGGGTTTCACCATGTTGGCCAGACTGGTCTCGAACTCCTGACCTCAGGCAGTGGGGTGGATGTATTCTTTCTGGTGTGATTTGGCAAACCTTGCAAGGTGCCAGGTGCTCCCAAATTATTCCTGTAAGATCAGGATGTCACCATTTCCTTCACTCCTCCTGAAATTCTGCGGAATTAAAGTCGTTCTTTTGTATTAGTACTTAAGCCTTGTTTTCCCAGGCCTCTCTCAGCCTAGGAGGGAACCCAGGAGGACAGAGGGTGGATCTGAGATGGGGTCTTGTTCTGTTGCCCAGGCTGGAGTGCAGTGCAGTAGAACGATCACAGCTCACTGCAGCCTCGAACTACTGGGCTCAATCAATCCTCCTGCCTCAGCCTCCTGTGTAGCTGGGACCACAGGTGCATGTCACCACACCCAGCTAATTTGTTTGTATTTTTAGTAGAGATGGGGTTTTGCTATGTTGCCCAGGCTGGTCTCAAATTCCTGGGCTCAAGTGATTTGCTTGCCTCAGCCTCCCAAAGTGCTGGGGTTACAGGTGTGAGCCACCCCACCCAGCCAACTCATTTAATTCTTACACCAACCCTGCAGTAGGCATGCTATCATTATCCCATTTAAAATGAGGGAACCAAGGCACAGAGAGGTTTGGTATTTGAGCAAGTTCGCGCAGCAGGTGGTGGGTAGCAGGGCAGGCAGGCTGCTGCAGAGCCTGTGCGTCCTTGTCTTTCTGTAGGGTGGTACTGACTGTGAGAAACACGCATTCACCCGTCCAAACCCAAAGAATGGGCTCGGAGACACGAAAAACAGCAGAAGCGAGACTTTTAATGGCGGTCTTGGAAGATCGGGCGTCTTGTAGGCAGGCACACCCGGGGCAGGTACAGCAGGTAATTTATCTCCTAGCATGGAAGTCCCTCCCCAGTTTCTCAGTGGTCGAGTAATATGGGGTTACAATTTTCCTTGACGTCACCTAAGTTTCATTACCTTCCTTTAAGGTTATACCCCGTCCCCTTCCCTGCTTAAGTTTCGATTTCCCAATAACAAAATTTTCTTCCCTTTTATGGGCTGACCCCCACTCTACATTGTGTTCGCTTATTGTGACTTTCTAGACGCATGAACTTGCGGTTGGTTACATTCTCAGGCTGGCTGCTCATACTTAGATTTATCATGCCTTGAAAATGGACCATTTAAAATGTTTTCTTACATGTCAATGCATTTAGCCTCAAGAAACTTAACCAGGTGACAGAGGATGACTGAATTCTCTCAGGACCCTGGTGTGCCCTACAGGAGTGAGACCAAGATCTAGGTAGTTCATATCTGTTTCTGGGGGTGATGTCAGGGTCTCCAGGCTCCCCTTAGACTGCCGACTGTTGGTTAGGGGAGTGATTAGGGTGATGGTGAGAAGAAAACTTCAGAATAACCTGCCCACCAGTGAGGGCACTGGTTTCTGTACTTTTCATGTTATTACTTACTTAATCCTAACAGTAAACAAGGGAGGCAGGTAGTATTTTTGTCCACGTTTTACAGATGGAGAAATTGAGGCACAGAGAGGTTAAGCAACTTATCCACCATCACACAGCTAATGGTGGACACCAGACTCTAAGCCCTGCAATCTGGCTCCAGGGTGTGAGTGGGGCCACCACGCTGTGCTCTCATCTCTTGCTCTGCTTTTCTAGGCTGTTCTGGCTCATAATCTTTTTGGTCATCATCTTAAAAATACAAGTATATTTAGAGGAAATTACATATAATCATCATGTAAAAGATTAATAGGTTAAAATGTAGGTTTAAAAATTTAATTCAGAGTAGCTTCATTATACTAAAATGTTAGCCTCCTGGTGTCTCTGGAAAATGAGAATATGATAAAGAAATAACTACATTAGGTATTGAGGATTTATCCTGTTATGTACAAATCTCTTTTAAGAAATTACTTAAGCACTTTAGAGGGAACTCTTTCTAGAATGAATCACAAAACTTTTCTGAATTCTCAGACTTGACCCTGACTCTCTCAGGAAACTTTGGGCTTATTGATTAGTGGAAAGGGAATTAGATAACTTTGGTGACAAAGTTAGGCAGGCGCTGCAAAGTGGCCGCCAAGGCCTGGGTTGAGGCTGGGGCCGAGGCCAGGTGCGGGCAGGCCTGTCGGGAAGGGCACCCCTCTGATTTGAGTTAGATATTCCAGCTCTGCATGGTTTGAGTCTGTGTTCTGAATAGGTAAGATTTCCAGCAAGCCAGATTCTCCATGGATGAGATGCCACTTTATACTTTAGTTAGTGAAGGAAATGTCAAAAGTTGTAATATTATTGTAATGTGTTTTATTGTTGTACAGGTATCTGCAGGTTTATAAAATAAACATCTTCATTGTAAGCTAATCATTTGGAGGAAATGTAGAGCACATAGCAAAATTAAATCCAGGTTTATTTAAAGTAAAATGGTAAAAAAAACTAAATCATAAAGCCACTTTAAAATAGTACGAATTTTAAAAACTTCGAATCAAGTCCCTTTCTTAGTATGCCACATGGTGAGAAACCAAAAAAGGGCGGAGAGAACCCTGACAGATTGAATCAGATAAAATTTTACCTTCTGAAAAAGTAAAATTTAGAAAATTCAAGGCCATGACAAACTAGGGAAAATATTTACAATATATATGCTATTTAGAGGATATTGCTAAGAGCACATGGACACCACAGTAGGAAAAAAAATTGATGTGAACAACCAATTCTCTCTCTTTCTCACACACAAACACATAAATAATAAGCATTAAACATTGCTAATCCTAATATGTGAAAAAATGTAAATTTTTAAAGTATTCAGAACACTTACACTTTGATAAAAAAACAAGCATGGTCATTGATACTCTGTGTTGTTGAATGGGGGATAGGGGCTGCTGATGACTTAAACTAATAGCCTTTCTGAAAGCCTGTTTACAGCATGAATCACAGTTTTTAAGAATGTTATTTTTTTGTGGTAGGAACACTGAACATGAGATCTTCCCTCTGAACAAAGTGTGAAATGCACAAGAGTGTTGTCACTCTGAGCACAGCCTGTGCAGCGGATCTCTAGAGCTTATTCATCCTGCATCAGTGGAACTTTGTACCCCTTCAACAGCAACTCCCATTTCCCTCTTCCCCTCATCGCCTGGCAACCACCTTTCCACTCTTTGGTTCTATGATTTGACTATATTAGAAGAAATCCACCTGGTTTTCCTTCGCTTGTGTGTATTATTTGCCCATGGGCCTTGGCACTGAGGAGACCCACATGTGAATGAATGAACAAATCAACAAACAAGCGAACAAATGAATATGTAAATGGATGCAAGGTGCTGAATCCTGCTCATTTTCTTATTATACAGACCAAGGCTCTGTGGATGTCTGTCTTCTTTAGCTAAACAAGTGAGACCTTAAGGAGTGTCTTCACTTCCCCTAAGAATAACGTGAACCTAATGTATGTGTACAGATGAAAGGCATAAAGGGACATGGAAGATAAACACACCAGCATTTAATCACCTTTTACTAAGTTCCTATGAAGTGCCACTCCCAGAGTGAGGTATAGAACCAAGGTCGGGAGTGGGAGCGTGAGGCTGTGTCTGGTGGTGAGAGTTCTTATCTGTCCTCTTTAAGTTAGAACTTCCCTCCCCCTTAAACACTTCTGACCTCGAGGATGATGTACATAATTGGCACAATGAGATTATGAGACCAAAGAAACCAAAGTGGAGCAAATGCTTCCAAAAATGACCCAGAAATCCGTCACTGTTTCTGCTATTGGGGAAAGTTTCCTTCCTACCATATGCCAGACGGGAGGCATTTAAAAATCAGTCCTGACCAAGCAAAAGAGGTGTCTTAGCTCACACTGCTATAGAAAATATAAACTGGATGGGTTAAACAACCATTATTTCTCACAGTTTTGGAGGCTAGAAAGTCCACGATCATGGCGCCAGAAGACTCGGTGACTGATGAGTGATCTCTTCCTGGTTTTCTGACAACTCTTTTTTTGCTGTGTCCTCATATGGCAGAAAAAGAGCTAGAGAGCTTTTTGTGGTCCCTTGTAAGGGCTCTAATGCCATTCATGAAGGCTTCACCAACTTACCACTTCCCAAAGGCTCCACCTTCTAATATCACCTTGGAGGTTAGGATTTCCACACCTGAATTTTGGGGGAACACACACATTCAGTCCATAACGAGAAGGCACTAGATTTCCTGGTTGCGGGAAGGAAAAGGGCTAGCTGCATGCTTTGGAAATCAGGCAGGACTAGATATTAAGTGTTCCTCATAGAATATGCTAAAGATAGACTTTTAAAGTATTTTCTAAAGCAACACTTTGAAGCACAAACTGGTTTCTAATATGCCCAGTAGGTGGGTGCTTTACTAGGTGAGAAATCCATGGGCTTTAGTCACTATGGTATCATAAAAATAAACATTTCCATTCAAAACTGCAGCAGTTATTTCTTCCTGACCTATCAGCCTGAGGCTGGGAAGGCAAGGTAAGGACAGTGGTTAAAGAGGATGGGCTTAGAGTCAAACCAAAGCTAAATCCTCACTCTGCTCACTTATTACTTGTATGATCTTGGACAAGTTATCTTTCGTAATCTTCAGTTTCTTCCTTTATAAAAATAGATATAGTAAAATTACCTCCCTTTGGGGGGATTTGAGTCATATGAGATACAATTAACACCCTGAGTAAATGTTTAATAAATATTTATGGCTGACAATGTTAATATTTGCTTGAAGTCTCTAAATACATCTACCAGAATCCTTTTGTTTAAGCACCTTAAACTAACACAAACTCCCATTAGACCTTGTCTTTATTGAAGGGTCTCTGACTTTGCCAGACATTTTTCAAGCATGTTATCTTAATTTACCAGGAGTAGCACCATGACTGGGAAATACATGGTATTCAATAATTGTTTGTTGAATAGATGTTATTAACTTTGGGAGAAGAACTTCCAGAGGCAAAGCTAGGCAATTTTGGCAAAGCCTCAAGGAGTTTAATGCTTCTCCAAATTGTGTAACAATGAGTGAGCCAGAACCATCTTTCAACAGGTGAAATTGCTTTTTCAAGTTGGGTAAACAATTTGAAAAAGAGCTGCTGCTGCGTTTTTTTTTGTTGTTGTTTTTTTTTTGTTTCTTATTGAAGACGGAGTCTTGCTGTGTCACCCAGGCTGGAGTGCAGTGGCAGGATCTCAGCTCACTGCAAACTCTGCTGCCCGGGTTCAAGTGATTCTTGTGCCTCAGCCTCTTGAGTAGCTGGGACTACAGGTGTGGGCCACCATGCCCTGATAATTTTTTTGTATTTTTAGTAGAGATGGGGTTTCACCATGTTGGTCAGGCTGGTCTCAAACTCCTGACCTCATGTGATCTGCCTGCCTCAGCCTCCCAAAGTGCTGGGATTACTGGCGTGAGCCACTGCACTCAGCCAAAAGAGCTGCTTCTATGCCCTCCTTTTCTAATTAATTACCTTCAGCTTAATGTGGACCCTTAAGAGAATTCTGGAATATGTCGTTATTATTACAGCCATCAGTGAGAGCTTAGAGGGCTTCAGCTAACCAATGTGGATTCATAGAACAAAGCAAGTCCCCAAGTAGGATACAAATGGTAGTTTTTGGTAGTGTTTCCAACCTGGTAGATTGTGTGAATGCTATAGAATTATCTCTCCTCCATTAGACTTTGAACAGCTTGAGGTCAGGAACGTTTTACATCTTTGAATCCACTACAGTTCCTATCACAGAGAAAGGACTCAGCAGCCCCTTGCTAGTTAATTGAAGGAGTAAGTGAAATCGTGGCATTTAACAAAGTCTCTCAATATTTTAAGGAGAGAATGAGAAATAGAGACTAGAAAATAATACGTGGGCAAACCTATAACATTTGAACAATCACCATTAGTTAATAGATTGATGTCAACTCTGAAGGAAGAAGTCTAGTAACTAAAGCCAAGGTGTTATGGCTTTCAGTGTTATCAACAAATAGGGTGGAAATAATAGGCAGGATTACCACAGTGGAGGTGGTGGCAAGGCCAGGCATCTCATCTCTTCCTAAGAACTCTTGAATACTCAGGTATAAGGTCGAGTCAGGGCTTCTAAAAGACTAGAACACCACATCACACCAGCCTCTAGGCCTAGAAAAGTCTTACAAGTTAGAACAGTGGGCTAAAGTGATAAGTAGGTATTAACAGAAAAAATGGAAAGGTTTCATATCCATTTATTTGAAAGAATTCTGGTGATATTATCACAAACCGAATGTGAGCTAACCAGATGACAAGGACTCTTTATTATTAATAATAATGGTGGTTAAAAAATTGTGGTTAAAAAAACCACATAGCATGAAATGTATAATCTTAATCATTTTTAAGTGTCATGTTTAATATAGGCACCTCTAGATCACTAGAACTTTTTCATATTGCATAACTGAAATTTTATACCCATTGAAAAATAATTCATCTTTTCCCCCTCCCTCAAGCTCCTGGCAACCACCATTCTACTTTCTAAAGTTTGACTACTTTATATAGCTCATGTAAATGGAATTATGCGATTATTTGTCTTTTTGTGACTGGCTTATTTCACTTAGCATAACCTTTTCAAAGTTTCTCTAAGTTACAGCATGTGTCAGAATTTCCTTGATAATGTTCCACTCTGTGTATAGACCACATTTTCTTTATGCATTCATCCATCAATAGATATTTATGTTGCTTCCACCTCTTGGTTATTGTGAACTGTGCTGCAGTGAACAAGAACACATCTCTTTGAAATTCTGTTTGCTGTTCTTTTGGATGTATATCCAGAAGTGGGATTGCTAGATTATGTGGTAATTCTATTTTTAATTTTTTGAGGTACTTTATACTTATTCCATAGTACTTGTATCATTCCACATTCCTACTAACAATGCATAAGAATTCTAATTTCTCCGCATCCTCACCAACACTTGTTTTCTCTCTTTTTTTTTTTTTTTGATAGTGGCCATCCTAGTGGAAGTGAGGTGATATCTTATTGTAATTTTGATTTGCATTTCCCAGATGATTAGTGATGTTGAGCATCTTTTCATATGCTTTGTGGCCATTTGTATATCTTCCTTGGAGAAACGTCTCTTCAAATTCTTTGCCTCTTTGTAAATCAGATTGTTTGCTTATTGTCATTGTTGACTTGATGCTCTTTATATAGTCTATATATTAACCCCCTTTCAGACATATGGTTTATAGATATTTTCTCTCATTCTATAGGTTCCCTCTTCACTCTGTTGATTGTTTCCTTTGTTGCACAATAGCTTTTAAGTATGATATACTCACATTAGTCTATTTTTGCTTTTGTTGTCTGTACTTTTGGTGCCATATCTAAGAAACCATTGCCAAATAGAATGTCATAAAGATTTCCCTCTATGTTTTCTTCTAGGAACTTTATAATTTCAGGTCTTACATTTGGATGTTTAATCCATTTTAATTTTTTTATATGGTTAACGGTAAGGGCCCAATTTCATTCTTTTGTATTTGAATATTTTGCATTTTCCAAACACCATTTGTTGAAGAAACTATCTTCCACATTGTGTTAACACCTTTATCAAAGATCATTAGATTATATACATGAAAGTTTATTTTTGAGCTCCTTATTCTGTTTCATTGATTTACACATTGTTCTCTATGTCAGTACCATACTGTTTTCATTATAGTAGCTTTGTAATATGTTTTGAAACCAGAAAGTGTGAGGCTTCCAGCTATGTTTTATTGTTTTCTTCCCCTCAAGATTGCTTTGGTTATTTGGAGTACTTTGAGATTCCATCATGACCTTTAGGATTTGTTTTTCCTATTTCTCCAAAAAAAAAAAAGAAACTGCTATTGGGATTTTGGTAGTGATTGCTTTGAATGTATAGATTGTTTTGGGTAGCATGGACATTTTAACATTATTAATACTTTCATGAAAATATTTATTGTGTCTTCTCTAATTCCAGCAATGTTTTGTAGTTTTCAGTGTGCAAGTCTTTTTTATCTCCTTGATTAAGCTTATTGCTTTTTTTTTTTTTTTTTTTGAGATGGAGTCTCGCTCTGTTGTCCAGGCTGGAGTGCAGTGGCGCAATCTTGGCTCACTGCAATCTCCGCCTGCCGGGTTCATGCCATTCTCCTGCCTCAGCCTCCTGAGTAGCTGGGACTACAGGTGCCCGCCACCATGCCCGGATAATTTTTTTGTATTTTTAGTAGAGACAGGGTTTCACTGTGTTAGCCAGGATGGTCTCGATCTGCTGACCTTGTGATCCACCCGCCTCGGCCTCCCAAAGTGCTGGGATTACAGGTGTGAGCCACTGCACCCAGCCTGATTAAGCTTATTTCTAAGTATTTTATTATTTTTAATGCAACTGCAAATTAAATTATTTTCTTAATTTCCTTTTTAGATTGTTTATTGTTAGTGTATAAAAACAAAACTGATTTTTTGGAATTGATTTTGTATCCTGCAACTTTGCTGAATGTATGTATTAGTTCTAACAGCATTTTTGTCAAATCTTTAGGATTTTCTACATATAAAATCATGTATATGCAAAAGGAATAATTTCACTTCTTCCGTTTTCAATTTAGATGCCTTATATTTCTTTTTCTTGCCTAATTGTTATGGCTAGGACTCCCAACACTATTTTCAATAGAAATGGGAAGAGAAGGTATTCTTTCCTTCTTCCTCGTCTTAAAGAGAAAGCTTTCAGTTTTTCACAATTGAGTATGATGTCAGCTGTGGGATTTTTATGTGTGGACTTTGTTAAGTTTAGGTAATTTCCTTTGATTCCTAGTTGTTGAGTGTTTTTTTAAATCATAAAAGGGTGTTGAGTTTTGTATGGTTTTTGTCTTTCACTGTGGCATATTACATTGATTGATGTTTTTATATTGAAGCATTCTTACCTTCCAGGAATAAATCCCGTGTGATTGTAGTGTATAATCCTTTTATTGTGATGTTGAATTCTGTTTGCTAGTGCTTGGTTGAGAATTTTTATACCAATGTTTCATCAGGGATACTGGTCTGTAATTTTCTTATACTATCTTTGTCTTATTTTTGGTGTCAGGGTCCTGCTGGCATCATAAAATGAGTCTGGAAGTCTTCCTCCTCATCAATATTTGGAAAGATTTTGAAAAGAATTTGTATTTGTTCTTTAAGTATTTGGTAGAATTCTCCATTGAAGCCATCTGGTTGTGGGCTTTTCTTTGTTGGAAGGTTTTTGGTTACTGATTCGATTTCCTGACTGCTTATAGGTTATGTCCAGAATTTTTGTTTCTTTATAACTCAGTCTTAGTAGGATATATGTTTGTAGAAATCTATCCATTTCTTCTAGGTTATCCAATTGGTTGGTGTGTAATTATTCACAATAGCCTCCTATGATCTTTTTTGTTTTTGTAGCATCACTTGTAATGTCTCTTTCTAATTTTTAAAATATGAGTCTTCTCTCATTTTTTACTTACTGTAACTAAGGGTAGTCAATTTTGTTGATCTTTTAAAAAAACTGAAATTCTGTTAATATTTTAACCAAAGTTCTTTTTTCCTTTTTCTATTTTCTATTTCATTTATTTCTGCCTTAATCTTTCTATTAAATGTTGGTTTAATTTGTTCTTTCAGTTTCCTGAGGTACAAAGTCATATTGCTGATGAGCTCTTTCGTTGTTTTTCATATGGGTGTTTATTATTACAAGCTTTCCTCTTAGAATTGCTTTGCCTGAATCCCATGAGTTTTGGCATATTATGGTTTTATTTTCATTTGTCTCAATATATTTTCTGACTACCCTTGTGATTTCTTCTTTGAACCATTGGTTGTTCAAGATTGTATTATTCAGTTTCCACATATTTGTGACTTTTTCACTTTTCGTTTTACTATTGATTTCTAGCTTCATTCCATTATTTATAGTCAGAAAAGATATTTGATATGATTTTCATATTTTTAATCTTGTTAAGACTTCTTTTGTGGCTTTAAATGTGATCTATCATAGAGAATGTTCTATATAACATAGAGACAGAGAAAGAGACAGAGATAGGTATCTGTTAGATCCCATTGGTCTATATTGTTGTTCAAGTCCTCTATTACTTATGGATCTCTCTGGTTAATCTATTCATTATTGAAAGTGGAGCATTGAAATATCCTACTTTAATTGTGTTTCTGTCTATTTCTACTTTCAATTATGTCAATGTTTGCTTTATGTATTTGAATACACTGCTGGTAGATGCGCATGTATTTATAGTTTTTATACCTTCCTAGTGAGTAGATCGTTTATCATTATATAAGGTCCTTCTTTGTTTTATGACAGTTTTTGACTTGAAGTCTATCTTATTTGATGTAATTATGGCCATATTCACTCTTTTAGTTACTATTTGCATGGAATATCTTTTTCCCTCCTTTTACTTCCAGCCTATTTATGTCCTTATATCCAGAGTGAATCTTTTGTAGACAGTGTATAGTTGGATCTTGTTTTTTAATCCATTCAGCCATGAATGGATTAAATATTTTGATTATATATTTTGATTGGGGAGTTTAATCCATTTACATTTAATTATTTACTAATAGAGAAGGACTTGTTACTATTTTGTTAATTGGTTTCCGTATATCTTGTAGTTTTGTTGCTCTTTTATTCTGTTGGCACTCTCCTTTGTATTTTGTTGACGTTTGTAGTTACATAGTAATATGGTTTGGCTGTGTCCCCCACTCAAATCTCATCTTCAGTTTTAGCTCCCATAGTTCTCACGTGTCGTGAGAGGGACCCAATGGGAGGTCATTGAATCATGGTGGTGGATCTGTCCCTTGCTGTTCTCATGATAGTGAATAAGTCCCATGAGATCTGATGGTTTTATAAAGGGGAGTTCCCCTGCACATGCTGTCTTTGCCTGCCGCCATGTAAGACATGATTTTGCTCCTCATTCACCTTCCACTGTGATTGTGAGGCCTCCCCACCCATGTGGAACTGTAAGTTAATTAAACCTCCTTCCTTTATAAATTGCCCATTCTTTGGTATGCCTTTATTAATTAGCAGCATGAGAACAGACTAATACACAGACTTTGATTCCTTTTCATTTCTCCTGTGCATCTTTTGTAGGTATTTTCTTTGTGCTTACCATGAGGATTACATAAAAATCTTATAACAATCTCTTTTAAATTGATAACAATTTAACTTCAGTAACATACAAAAGCTGTTTTCCTTTGCATTTCACCCTATACACATCATATTTTGATGTCACAAAGTACATATTTTCATACTTTGTATTTATTCACAGTTTTATACTTATATTTTTATGCTTTTATTTTTTAAATTCTCTACCAGAATTAAAAATTATTCACACACTATTGTGAACATATTATATTCCAGGATTATGTATTTGTCTATATAGTTACTCCATCAGAGAGTAACTTTATATATTCATATGCTTTCATGTTGCTAACTAGTGTCCTTTCCTTTCAACTTGACAGACTTCCTTTACCAATTCTTGTAATGCAGGTCTAGAGATGATCAACTTCATCAGCTTTTATTTATCTAGCTAGGTCTTTATTTCTCCTTTATTTTAAAAATTTATTTACTTTTAATTGATAAATAATAATTGTTTATATTTATGGGGTACAATGTGATTTTTAATCTATGTATGCATTGTCAAAATATTCAATCAAGCTAATTAATGTATATATATTACCTCACTAACTTTTTTTTGTGGTGAGATTATTAAAATTATATTCTTTAAGCAATTATGGGATATACAACACATTGTTATTAACTATGGTCACCATGCAGGGCACTGAAACTTATTCCTCCAGTTTAACTGAAACTTGGCACCCTTTAACCAATGTCTCCTCTTTTCCTCTCTCTCCTCTACTCCTCAGCTTCTGGTTGCCACCTTTCTATTATGTTTCTATGAGATCAACTGTTTTAGATTCCACATATAAGTGAGAACATACAGTATTTGTCTCTTTGTGCTGTCTTATTTTACTTAGCATAATGTCCTCCAGTTCCACCCATGATGTCACAAATCACAGAATTTTCTTCTTTTTAAAGGCTGTGTATTGTTACATATATATGTAATATAAATATATGTGTTTTATATACATATATATATATGTATATAAAAAACAATTTATCCAAGTATCTGTTGATTGCCACTTAGGGTAATTCTATATCTTGACTATACTTTTTTTTTTTTTCTTTTGGTGTCAGGGCCTGGTGCCATCGCCCAGGCTGGAATGCAGTGATATCATCATGGCCTCCTGCAGCCTTCAATCCCTGGGCTCAGGCAATCCTCCTGACTCAGCCTCCTGAGTAGCTGAAATTACAGGCACATGCCACCATACCTGGCTAAACTTTAAAACATTTTTTGTAGTGACAGGGTCTTGCAGTGTTGCCCAGGCTGGTCTCAAACTCCTGGCTTCAAGAGATCTCCCTGCTCAACCTCCCAAAGTGCTAGGATTACAGGTGTGAGCCATTGTGCCCTGCTGTGGGGATAGTTGGCTCATACAGCCCTGCTGTGGCATTCATAATAATGTTGAAATGAACATAGAAGTGCAGATGTCTTTTGATGTACTAATTTCAATTTTTTTGGATAGTACTCAGAAGTGGGGATGGTTGGATCCCACGGTAGTTCTATTTTTAGTTTTTTGGGGAACCTTCAACATATTTTCCAAAATGGCTGTACTAATTTACATTTTCACCAACAATACACAAGGGTTCATTCATCTTTTTTTGTCATAGCCATTCTAACAAGTGTGAGGTGATACCTCACTGTAGATTTTACTTTGCATTTCTCATATGGTTAGCGATATTGAACATTTTTTCATATGTATGTTGGTCATTCGTATCTCTCTTTTTTTTGCAAAATGTCTGTTCACATTCTTTGCCCACTTTTTAATTCAGTTATTTAGTTTTTTGCTATTGAGTTTCAGTTTCTTACATATTTTGGTTATTAGCCTTTTATCAGCTATATGGTTTGCAAATATTTTCTAACAAATCCATGGATTGTCTCTTCACTCTGTTCATTGTTTTCTTTGCTGTGCAGGAGCTATTTAGTTTAATGCATTCCTATTTATGAATTTTTGTATGTGTTAATTTAAACAAGGAGGTGAAAGATCTGTACACTGAAAACTATATAGCATGCTGAAAAATTGGAAAGGGCACACAAAAATGGAAAGATGTTTCATGTTCATGGATTAAAATAATTAATATTGTTAAAATGTCCGTACTACCCAAAGTGATCCTACACATTTAATGCAATTTTTATCAAAATTCCAATGTCTTTTTTCAAAGAAATAGAAAAAAACAATTCTTAAATTACTGTGGAACCAGAAAAGAATCCAAATCTTGAGCAAAAAGAACAAAGGTGGAGGCATCACACTCCCTGATTTCGAAATGTAAAGCTATTGTAGTCAATAGCTTTGACTACAGCATGGTACTGGCTAAAAAACAGACATATCAACCAATGGAACAGTACAGAAAGCCCAGAAATAAACCCAAGTGTTTATGGTCAATTGATTTTTGACAAAGGTATCAAGAACACACAATGGGGAAAGAACAGTCTCTTCAGTAAATGATGTTGGTAAAGTTTGATATCCACATATGGAAGAATGAAATTGGGGCCTTATTTCAGGCCATATACAAAAATCTACTTAAAATGGTTTTTAAAAAGTTAAATGTAAGGCCTGCAACTATAAAGCTACTAGAAGAAAACATAGAGGGAAGCTCTATGACATTGGCCTCGGCATTGATTTATTGAATGAGTCGACTTCACTTTTGAAATATAGTTTTGCCAGATGAAGCAGTAGTCCCCACCCTTTGTGGCACCAGGGACCAGTTTTGTGGAAGACAATTTTTCCACGGACCAGTGGGGCAGGGATGGTTTCGGGATAAAACTGTTCCACCTCAGATCATCAGACATTAGATTCCCATAAGGAGTGCACAATCTAGATCCCATGCATGCACAGTTCACAATAGGGTTTGCGCTCCTAAGAGAATCTAACGTGGCCACTCATGTGATGTGAGGCAGAGCTCAGGCAGTAATGCTTGTTCACTTACCACTCACCTCTTGCTGTGCAGCTTGGTTCCTATCAAGCCACGAATTGGTACTGGTCTGTGGCCCAGGGTTTGGGAACCCCTGAGATAAACTATTCTTGGTTGGAAGTTTTTAAGTATCCTTGATTGGCAGGTGGCGTTTTTTTTCTCCGTTTTTAGCACTTTGAATATGTCATTCCACCCTCTTCTGGCTTGCAAAGTTTTTACTGAGAAACCTACTGATAATATTATAAGACTCCCTTGAAAGTGATGAATCAATTTCTCTTGCTGTTTTCAAGTTTCTTTCTTTGTCTTTGACTATTGATAGCTTGATTTTAATGAATTGTGGTATGGTCCTCTTTGGGTTTATTCTAGTTGGAGTCCTTTGAGCTTTTAAAATTTTGTATGTCTATTTCCTTCCTCCAATTTGGAGAATTGTCAGACATTACTTCTCCAGATCAACTCTCTGCCCCTTTCTCTCTTCTCCTTCTCTGATCCCCATAATGCATATTTTCATCCCCTTGGCATTGTCCCATAAAGTCCTTAAGGCTGTGTTCAATTTTTGAATTTTTTTTTATTCCTTTACTCAATAATTTCAACTGACCTGTCTTTTAGTTCACTGATTATTTCTTCTTCTTCTTAATACAGCCTGCTGTTGAACTCCTCCAGTGAACTTTTTAGTTCGGTTATTTTATTTTTCAGCTTCAGAACTTCTGTTTTTTATAGTTTCTGTCTCTTTATTGATATGATTCTATTCATGCATAGTTTTGCTGATTTTGTTTAGCTGTCTTTCTGAGTATTCTCTTGTAGTGCACTGAACTTTAATTTTTTTGTCTTTTCTGGCCATAGATTTCCATTTATTGTTATTTCTCTCTAGATGTTTATTTTGTTCCTTTAATTGGGCCATGTTTCCCTGTTTCTTCATGTACCTTGTTATTTTTTAATGTAATTTGTGCATTTGACAAAATAGCCACCTCTTCCAGCCTTTACGGACTGGCTTCTTACAGTGTAATAACATGTCAGTCAGCTCAGCTAGAGATTCTTGGGGCCTCTCAACCCTTTTCTGGATATCCATCTTCCCTGGGCTTGTTGGTGTATTTTCCAATTAGAAGGTTTGCTGATTTCTTCTTTATGAGCTTGTAATCTCGTGCTCTCTCTTGCATCTGTCTATGGTACTGCAGATTTTCTGGCACTGCGGCCAGCTTCTGAGCTCTCTTATTTTCTAAAGCCTTCAGTCATCCATAGTATTTCAGTTTTGTCTGTATTCCTGGTCAACTGAGACAGAAATCAGTCCCTGAACAAGCCTCCCCACAAATCCAGAACATTGCATGTACTTTTTACTCATTTCCTCCCGAGGGATAAGCAGTGAGCTGGGTGCTTTCTCTTGATTGCACTGAGCTGTGCTGGCCTTTGCCTGTGGCACTGGCAGATCTCTGCTGTTGCAACCAGCCTCTGAGCTCCTTTTTTCTCAGTAGCTCCCAGGCATTCAAAGTGTGCCAGTTTCCCATCAGTGCTCCCAGTCAGTCGAGACATAAACTAGTCCCTCAGGCAGCCCCCCTGAAAAGCTGGAATGTTAGATGTACATTCCATTCTTCTCTTTTCTTCCCAAGGGAAAAGCCATGAATTGGGCTTTTCTCCTGCAGACACTGAGCGATACTGGGTTAGGGGAAGGGCTGTCACAGTTGAGGTGAAATGGCTTTTCTTACCCATTTCAGCATGGCCATTCTTGGCATTAAGCTTGCCTATGGTCCTGTGCCTTCTTAACTGGTTTCTGGAGTTCTCATAAAAGCTTCTGGATTACAAATTGCTGTTAAGTTGATGTCTTTGTGGGGAAACTGAGGTGCGGGGCTTCCTTTTCTGCTATCTAGTCAACATCACTTCTTCATGACAAGGAGTCTTAAAATTGAGATAGCAATTTTAGGATCTTGTCTCTTCACTGAATTTTATGTGTTGTATACCTGAGGAGTTTTAGTAAATGGATTTATTGAAAACTCGAAAAATAAAGAGAGAAAAAGAAATGTGAGGAAAAGATAAAATTACAGAGTGTTTTAAGAAGTTTAATTTGTTATTGCCAAAACCAAATAATTTTAATATTTAGCTAAAGGCAATAGGGGCTAATTTAGTTAATTATGGCTCATCAATTCTGTGGAGTACTAGGCAGCCATTAAAAAATAGTTGAAATTCTGCTAAGAGGGTTGATTTTAAGTGTTTTTACCACAAAGGAAAAAAAAAAAGATAAATGGTAATGATGTGAACTGATAGATATGTTAATTAGCTTGCTTGTGATTATTTCACTATAGATATGTATATCAGATCATCAGTTGTATACCATACACACACACAATGTTTACTTGTTTGTTCCTCAGTAAAGCTGAAAAATTACAGGAAAATATATGGCTAACAAAACAAATCTATGTCTCTCCCTCTGAAACTCCACTAAAAAAAAGTATTACTTCACTGTGACAAAGACGAGAGAAGCAATGGCCACTGATGACAGTTTTCAGTAGACACTTTGGGGACTACAGTGTTTTGTTTTTTGTTTTTTTTTAAGACGGAGTCTTGCCCTGTTGCCCAGGCTGGAGTGCACTGGCATGATCTCGGCTCACTGCAACCTCCATCTCCCAGGTTCAAATTATCCTCCCGCCTCAGCTTCCCGAGTAGCTGGGCTTATAGGTGCCCGCCACCACGCCTGGCTAATTTTTATATATTCAGTAGAGACAAGGTTTTGCCATGTTGACCAGGCTGGTCTCAAAACTCCTCACCTCAAGTAATCCACCCGCCTCAGCCTCCCAAAGTGCTGGGATTACAGGCATGAGTCACTGTGCCCAGCCTGCGGTGTATTTAGATTGTGATAAATACCTAGTAAAGCAGAAGAAGCTGAAACTTGACTGCTGGGTGAAAGAGGCCCAGCAGAAGACGCCAGATCCTAGGACACTCAGGAATTTGGGGCACATGTTTGTTTGCACATGACCGTGGAACGAGCTGATGATGAAGGAATGGCTGAATGCCTGCATGTGAAACAGTAAGATCTCCATACCCCTGCCTGCCCACCACAACCAGATGTCTGCACTGCCACCCCCTGCAGTGGCAGAACTAAGAGGCTCTGACTTCAGGACATCAGGCACAACCAAGTCTGCACCGACACAGGGATAAGCGAAAACCCACATGCCACAGGAGAGCTTCAAGGCCCTCTCACCAGAGTACTCGGGAAGGCCTAGTTTCCCTCAGGCAGGAGCTGGGCTTCCCCTGTGCAGAAGATGGCCGAGCTAGCAGACAATCCTGCAGGTATGAATATCTGGGGATCTCTCAGCTACTGCATTTCTGCCCAGATCCCCACTGGGAATCCCATTACTGTGTGAACAGACTCTAGACACAGAAACATACATATTATAAACAATCAGTCATGAATTTGAGGAAGACTCAAAATATGATAAGCAGAGGCCAAGACAGAGAGCAGAAAGGATGCTGGAGGAAAGTGCGATGCATATGGCTGAAGAAAATGGAAATTAAAATGTGGTCTTGAAAAAGATATAAAGCATAAAGCATAGCTTCTGAGAGGAAAGAGAAGCTATGGTATCCAGGAAACAAGACCATGATGCTATTTTTAAAATACATAACAAGAAGGGGCTCTTGGAAATTAAAAACAAAAAACAAAAAAAAAACAGTAACTAATTTAAAAATTCATGAGTCTTACAATGGAGAAAATTTCCAAGAGGGGGGGAAATCAGAAAAAATTTAGGCAAGAGTACTCAAGAAAAAAATAGACAATTGAATTAGAATCCTCAGTGTTGAATTAATTGAAATCCCAGAGAGAAAGAAACAGAGGAAAGAAAAAGTTGAAAAGAATAACACTAAAAAATTCTGCAGAATTAAGGATATTCAGATTGCAGGGGTCAGTGAATGCCCCAGACAATGAATGAAAAGAGCCCCACCCAGCACTTGCCATCATGAAACTTCCCAGCAGGAAGGACTCAGAAGCCCCTGAGCCTGCAGAGGAAAAGCAGATACTATGCAGAAGATTGAGCCCCACTCTGGATCCGGGTGTCTCAGCTGAACAGTTCCAAACTAGGAGACAGTGGAGTAATGGCTTAGCATTTTGAGGGACAATTCTTTTCATCCTAGGTTCCTGTAGGCATCTATACTGACTGTCCAGTATAGTAGAATAAAAACATTCTTACATTTTGAAGGTCTCAAAAATCTTCCTCATACGCATCTTGTGTCAGAAAGTTGCTGGAAACTGGGAACCACTAAGATGCAGAGAATTAAAAAAAAAAAAAAAAAAAAGGCGGGGCCGGGCACAGTGGCTCATACCTGTAATCCCAGCAATTCGGGAGGCCGAGGCGGGTGCATCACTGGAGCCCAGGAGTTCAAGACCAGTCTGGCCAACATGGCAAAACCCCATCTCCACTGAAAATACAAAAATTAGCCCGGCGTGGTGGCAGTGCCTGTAGTCCCAGCTACTCAGGAGGCTGAGGCAGGAGAATCACTGGAACCCGAGATCGCGCCACTGCACTTCAGCCTGGGCGACAGAGTGAGACTCTGTCTCAAAAAAAACAAGCAACAACAACAACCAAAAAAACCCCACACAAAACAGGTGGAATATCCATAAGGATCAGAACTGAATAGAGGGAATGGGAATTTCCAGGAAATGCAATTAAAGAAAAAAGCTAGAAAACAAATCAGTTATCAGGTTCAGGGAAAACAAAAAGGTAATTTAGAAATTGTAATTATGATATACATTATACATCTCAGGAGGAGAAAATTCCTGCTGAAGAAAACTTATATTTTTCATAATTTTGATATCTACTATAACTAAATATATATAACTAAATAGTAAATATTAATTTAAATCTTTTGCTATAATTTTTTGGAAAATGGAGAGGAAAAGTATGAGTCTGTGCGTGTGTGTGTGTGTGTATGTCTCTGTGTGTGTGTGTGTGTGTTTGTGTGTATGTGTGTGTCTTAAAGAACCAAATCCTCATCTTCTGGAGTAGATGCCAATACCTAACATGGAAAAATCAAGAAACAGTACAATAAGCTTCTTATTTAGAAAAACGGAATAAATGCCAAAAAAAAAATGTGAAATGCTTACTGCTGGAGAGGGGGTGGTGGACAATAAATTGCTGGTTTTGACTCATCTTTATGGGGTTATTTACTTTCTGTTATGTCCATGTTTTATGTAAAATATATTACAGAATTTTAGAGGTATAGGAGGTGGTTATAATATACTATAACAGAAGGAAAGAAAAAAATATTTTTAGAAGAAAAAATAGTCTAGAAAAACATGCCAATTGTTAGTAGTTTGAGTATTAATAAAGTGATTATGTTCTTCCTTTTACATATATTTTTTAACTTTTTTGCAATAAATGTGTACTGCTGATAAAAATTAAAAGGAGACTTTTTACACACACACACTCTCTCTCTCTCTCTCTCCCTCTCATTGTCTCTCTCCCCCTTTCTCTCTCCCATATACGTGGTACACATGGTGCAAGCATGAGTTAATAAACCAGAGAGCACCAAGGTCAGAGTTGAAGTGGCAGAGGCAGGGTGTTGCAGGCACCATTCCTATGATGAGCCCTTGGAAGGCCAGGAAGTACTTGGACTGGAGGTACAGACTTGGCTCTGAGCTACTAGAGAGCAGGACAGCTCTTGTCATATGATAGTCACCATGTTCATTCTTTTTTTTTTTTTTTTTTTTTTTTTTCTGAGACACAGTCTTGCTACATCACCCAGGCTGGAGTGCAGTGGCGTGATCTCGGCTCACTGCAACCTCCACCTCCTGGGTTCAAGCGATTCTCCTGCCTCAGCCTCCTGAGTAGCTGAGACTACAAGTGTCCACCACCATGCCTGGCCCATTCTTTGCACATACTCTGCACTGCTCTATACACAATGTTCTTTAATCAATGAATTTTAATCAATGA
The DNA here is from genome assembly GCF_000001405.40 of Homo sapiens. Lineage (NCBI taxonomy): Eukaryota > Metazoa > Chordata > Mammalia > Primates > Hominidae > Homo > Homo sapiens. The sequence goes on along the minus strand of NC_000007.14, from coordinate 51,086,141 downwards.
GAGTGAACGAATAAAAACTTTCGCCCTAATGAGGAGGAGAGGAGAGTAGGATTATGTAGTCCTTCAGAAACAAAGAAATGGAATCAGTGAATTCAATTTTACAGACAAAACAGATTTCACATTCAGCAATTAGACCTGCCCAGTATTCATGAGCTGCCTTTAGAAGCTGTGTGTCTTTCACTGTTGAAAGCTGTGAGCAGGAGCTGGATTTCTGCTGTGGTTGGGGGCTAATGTCCCATACACCGATCTAATAACCCATATACTAAGAAACTTCATTGCGATTCTGGATCAAGATGTGTCCACCTGTGGACCATTAGATAGTCTTGGCTGCAGCTGCTCTGGAACGTGAACATGCAGTCAGGGAAACAAACCTAAGTCAGAGCAGGGTGAGGTCTGAGCTGCCCCCATCAGCTCTTCCTCTGTGTGATCACAATTCACGGCAGCCCATCCTGTTCCAGAAGGAATTGTTCTCCTTACATTTAATGAAGGACTATGGGTCTCATTCTCTTGTGTGACAGGGAAGTTTACCAACTCTCCAGACTTGCCTGGAGTCCCTAGAAAATATGAGCTCCCTGCTCATAGGGGTCTTTGGGGTGTCTATGAGCAACACTGTGCCACCTCCAGGCCACTCCTTGGACATCCGCTGGTCTCTCGCCTCATGGCCTCCCCTGCCTGTGTGGGAGGACCTGGAAAGGGAACTGGCCATCTAACAACCCTCCTGGAGCACCACCTTCCGGTGCAGGTCCCTGCCCCAGCACAATCACCCTAATACTGCCTTCTTTGTACTTCATAGGTACAAAGTACTTTGATTGTACTTTCCTTCTTTGTACTTCATAGGTATCTCTTGGGTCACAGATTGATTTACAGAAGAAGAAGCGGCGAGCGCCAGCTCCCCCTCCACCACAGCCACCACCACCGAGTCCCCTGATCCCCAACCGCACTGAGGATAAGGAGGAGAACAGGAAGAGCACGATGGGTGAGTGAGGCTCGGCCTGCCGTCTGCATGCGGGGATGCTTGCTCTGTCCTGGAATGTCAGCTCTGATGTGAACTCCTGCAGTGGCCTCATCCATAATGACATTAACCCAAAAAATATTAATGCTAAAGAAAGAAGGGCTGGAAAGAAATAATTGCAAGTTCACTTCATATCTTACTAGCAGTATTTGGTGGGCATTATGTGAGCATTTAGGAGGCGGGGGACGGTGGAAGGGGAGAAACGGCTGCAGGAGCCGGGAGAGGGTGAAAATGGAAAGCCTGTGAGTGTGAGTGTGCGACGTGTGTCTCTGATGGCAAAAGGAGAAGTTCCTAGGGTGACATCGTGGAAACTGCTTTGAAGGACATTTGGCATTTCAAAGAGATCTTAGGCCACAGGTGATGTATAGACAAGTTGACATCAGCTCAGTAATTTTTGGACCATCCTGTTTGAAATTGATCTCCACTTATATTACCTGGTACACATTTAGCAAAGACCCTGATTTTCTTTGAGGGAAAGAGAGCCCAGAGGAAAGAAGATGGAATTATACTATCTGTGAGCAGAAAGAGACCTATTAGATCATCATAGCCCACCCCTCGTGCTACAGGCGAGGTGGAGAGAAGCTGAATGATGGCGCTGTCCAGGTCCAGGGGAGTCAAGGGTTCATTTTCTTTTTAAATCATTCAGCATTTGTTATTTCACTTATGTTGGAACAGAAATGGCTCTTCCATGGAGTGGTTGGAAAATGGCAGCCTAGGAGTCACACCTTCCTGAGCTGAGAGCCCCAAGAATGGCGTGTGTCAGTGCTCACGACGAAGCCACCAGCACTCACAGGCCACTCACCATGCCCTTTAACCCACCCAGGCAGCCCCGCGTTTTGCCTTTGCCCTAAGGTCTGCAGCTGCAGGAGGGAAAGTCCTTCTGAGATAAGTGGCTGCCTTGGCAGTTTCTGGACCTTTAGTGAGAGCTCCGTGGCAGTTTGTCAGCGTCTTTCCCCTTAGTCAGTTCCTCGCTTTTAATGTGTTAGCATTTCAGCCTGGGAGTCAGTTACCTTAAGAAGCAATAACCTGTATTCCATGTCAGCTCATCCTCTTTCCCAAAGGACTGAAAGAAAACATTATCAGTGGATCATTAAAATAAACCTGGTTTTCTCCTGTTTCGTGAAGAGCCCCCCATTCTCCCTTCCAAGCTCTCTCCCCATTTTTCATAAATGGACAAAAGCCCCTGGTTTAAATTTTAAGTGGCATCCACTGTAAATGGCTGTATGTGGTTGGATCGTGCCAATCCCTAGGCCAGTCACTTCAACCCAGGGCAGGACCCCCTGATTCCGCCCTGGAGGCCTGAGTCCTTGTGTCCCATGTGCTTGGGACAACATCCCCACCCTCTCTACAACTCAGGACATTCTTCAAAACAAACTTGGAGAACTATTATTCTAAACAACCAAAGGGGTTGAAAAGTATAAATGGACTCAGGAGATAAGCTAAATGAATGCTTAATCTAGCCAGAATAGGTCAGTGGCTCTAGAAAAGCAACAAGAGTAGGCTAAAAACAGATCTGTGAACCTGAAAAAGACTAACATTAATAAAAGGAGTTCCTTTAAACTTGACAAAGCTCTGTCGAGGGTGTTGAAGAATAGTTTTCAAGCCCAGCATTTATGTAGTTGTGTCTGTTAAAAAGAAATTGCAACCAGGCACATCTTTCCAAACTGCTCCAATGATAGAACACTACGTATGTAAAATGTTAAAGTGTGAGTGTGGTTGGATGTGGTTGGTGCCAGATGAGAATGGATTAGGTGCTGGATATGACTGGATCTGGTGTTAGGTGTGGCTGGATCTGGTGTTGAGTGTGGCTGGATCTGGTGCCCAGTGAGGTTGGATTTGGTGCCTAGTGAGTGACGGCTTGGTTTAACCTGCTGAAGTAACTCCCTGTTGATTCCATATAGGTGGTGGACGGCAGGTGCCACAAAAGCCTCCCAGAGGCACTGCTCGGGGTCCACCCCAGTTAGTGCTTCCCCCACCCCCGCCCTACCCTCCTCCCGACACAGACGTGGTGGAGCCTCTCAGCTTTCCCGGGGAAGGCGCTGGTTCCGAGGCCTCAGACCCGATACCCAAACGTATGTTCCTCTTGCTTCATTCCGACTGTGTTAACTGTTCATCTCTCTGAGCACTGCGATGTCAGGGCTGGGTTTCCAGATTTTCCATTCTTGTCTTTGGATGTGTGTGCCTTTCCTTCTCAGCTCTTGTTTCCCAATGCTGAATGCAGTGTGTCTGATTTCACAGAGAACACACTCTGGAGAATTTAACCAGGTAATCATGCCTATCTGTGGTCAGACTTCAGCTAAACACACACCTTGTGGTTGTAGAGATGTCAGCTAGGAGCCAGTGTTCTCATATTAGAATGAACCTCAGAGTGTCTGTAGAGAGAGACAGCTGTCCGGCACAGCCGTCGTGTGATCTGGATGGTGGGCTAACTCAGGCAGGCTGTGGGCACACCTGTAGAGATCGCACTCAAGAGCTGGGAGGACGTCCTTCGTAAGTTAGCTGTGGAACTCTGTCGCCAGCGGCCAAGCATGAGCACTGCTTCTCTATGGAAAAGGAAACTGAGGTGTACGAGAAGGGGAAGCAGCTCACTTTGAGTGTACTAATAAGCCAGAATTGAAGTCCTGCTTTGCTTCTGTTTCCTGGCACACCCTGTTTGAGATGGGGCTCTCTTTGTTTCCTGGGGTTCTTTTGGACTTTAGTAAGTAGAGATAGCATTCCCACCTCCGGACAGGCATAGTTTTATACACTTACTCTCTACACTCCATGGCATTATGGGCACGTCGGGCCTGCGCTTGGACCGCTTCAGTATGTCTCAGCTGGGCGGCGACACTTCTGATAAAGCAAGTGCCATCCTGGGCTGTGTACACGGAGCAGCGCAATATCACTGTGCATGCGGCCAGGAGCCCTGCTGGTGCCCACATGAGTGTGCACAGCCCTCTAGTTAGGAAGTTCATACTTTTCTGCCACTGGACTGCTTTATCTTTTTCTGTCTTCTTTGGAAGTGTTGACTAGCTGCCTGCCAGCTTCTGGGTAAAGAAGATAATTGTTGGATTACTTATTGACTTTCTCTAGGCAAAATAATCCTGATTCATTTTATCTTTCTTCACAAGTACTTCTTTTCCACCCTTAAAATACATTTGATCATCTTGACATTAGACATGCTTCCGAATGCAAATGAATTTTTTAGGGCATTCAAAAAGGAAGGGTTAGGCTTATCAATCAGAAAGACTGCAGCCGTGGCGTGGATGGCTCCAGAGCCATTTCATCTCTGAAGACAGTGGGTTTTAAGCCCCACACACCAAGGCCATGAGAGTCGGTGCTCTCTCCTGTGGCCGCTGTGCTCACCTACAGAATTTCCTTCCTGCAGGAAAAAGTGAGGGAAAGATAGCTGGATGAAAGCTATAAAGCCAAGTACAGCCTGTTGGCAGTCACAGAACGGGCCCAGCACCAGTGGCTCTGTGGCAGCCTGCACAGGATGGGAGAGCTGGGTGCAAACTTGCAGACCCTCGCTTTCTCCTGGGCTCCCTGTGTGTTGGGGGCACTCACTGTTCAGGTGCAGCATCTGCTGGGGCAACGGGCAGACAAGATGTGGGAGGGGTACTTACCAAGGCAGCATCAGGCTTCCTCCTGCATCTCTGCAGAGCAGTGGAACCTCCCCACCTGCTGCCCTTAGACCTTTGGACAGGTCTGAGCCGGAAGGAGAGCGAAGTGGCGGAGAGAAAACCAGACTCACCTTCGTCTTGCCTTGTGGCTCCATTTCCTCCTTGTGCCCTCTTGCCAACTCCATACCAGTTCATTCCCCCAGGTACAGGCACCTGGGACTTCCTTTGCCCTCAGCGTCATAATTCACCTTCTCCCTCTCTTCCCCTCTCATGCCCACAGCAATGGAGTTGGGGGAAGAGGAGGTTGGGATGGGGAGGCCCCAGGAGGTGTTAGATGGAGTGCACTGATTTCAACTCCACCTCCCCTTCAGACCAGGCAAGCGCCTTGCCCTTCTTGGGACTCAGAGTCTCCCCTCCCTCTCCTGCCCCGCTCCTGCCCCGCGCTCCTGGCTGCCAGCGCACCACATGTTCAAGCATCTCGGAGCTTTTATGTTGCTAATTAGCAGAACCAGCCTGCCCATTGTTTATGGCTTTACAAACTAGGATTCCCCGCCTAAGCAGGCAGAATGCAACTTGCCTTCAGGACTTAAAAAAGTTAAGGAAAATGAATCTTTTCATTTGTTGTATCGTTTTTCATAATGTTGAAATCTGGGTGCTCCTTCCACCCATCCCCAGTGAGGCACAGGCTGTTGGCGCCTGAGTGCTGGGTGTGAATGTGCGTCCCTGTGGCCCATGTTCACCCCTGGGCTCCTGAGCAAACTTCCGGCTATTTTTGGCTGTGTGGAAGCTCAGTGGAGACATTTTAATGCCAGCTACAAGCACTTGCCTATCTCCTCTTGAGTTCAGTTTTAAAACTATGTTCCTCACATAACAAACGCTGTGTTTATAGGGGAGCTTACCCTGAGTACATATGAGGCCCAGCCGGTCCACCAGGCATCTCACAGAAGCTCTCTCACTGCTTCGTAGGGTATGCACAGACACCATGGGGAAACCGAGGCAGGAGGCCTTACCACCATAAGCGGTACAGAGGGGTTTCTCTTTATGGGATCTCGGACTCTCAATCTTTGCTTCATCCATCACCCTGCACTTCTCTTCTGCCACTGCAGGAACTCCCAGGGGACACTGTGGCTTTCACATCCATTGTGATTGCTACAGCAGATGGTATACTCCACTTAGGTTGTTAAAAAGGAGAAATACACTTTTTTGAAAACCAGTGTCCACTAACCTAAATAAGATTAAAAGATTCAAAAAGCTAATGGATAATGGATTTGTGCGCAGATTTAAGAGGGTGAGGAGAAGACATAAATAAGTCCTATACAACTTCACCCTTTATTTTATCTCTTCAACTCTGAGCCATTCTGTTCCAGCCATTCCCCTGTCTCCTCCCTGACCTCTGTAAGGTCTTGACCCACTCATAGGCCTGATGGCTTTGCTGGGGTCCCAGTAGGCCTACTGCCAGCCTCCCTTCCACAGCCAGCCTCCTGCCAGCCTGCCTGGAACTCAGCCCAAGCACAAAGCCCTCACTCCAATTTTGATGCTGAAACTGTTATTAGTACTTGATATTTGGTCATGAAAACCACATTTACCTGGAACAAAGGCCAAATGGAGAAAACTGTGTGCTCAGATGTTCAGTGCCATGTATATGTGGGGCTTCTGAACTCTTTTGAACAAATACATGGTTTGTATCAAGAGTTCAGAAGAGGTGGAGCAACCACCTTCCCCGGGTGTATGTGGCTCTAAGAGGCCACCTCTCGGCAGCCGGCTCTGCAGCTCACCCAGCCCATGTGCAGATTGCTCTGAGCTGCGTGCCTGCTCAAGCCACAGCTGCACAGGGCAAGTTCTCTGTGCACACCCTGTGGCCACCTCAGGTGCCTGTCTCTGGCAAGCCTCTCACTCCCTCCAGTGGGAATTCCTCCCACTGCCCTCTAGGCATTTATCCTTTACTGTACTCACTATACCATATTACACACACCTGTTATGTGCCTCCTCTACTAGTTTAAGCTATTAATACTTGGAGGCTTAACTGTTTTATTCATATTTATATCCGTCCTTCAGATAGGTGCCTGACACATAGCATAAATTTAATAAAGAAATATACCAGAATTTATCTCACCATGTGAATTACAAGTATCAAATTATAGTGGAATGTGCTATTCTATTCAGCTTCATTAAACATGTTTTCCAGGCTAAAGAGCATCTAGTACCCAGCATTTTAGGTCTGTCTGTAGGACATCCCTCAAGAGTCAACAGTGCATCAAAGACCTGTTGCAGTTATACTTGAGAAAGATGTGAAAATCTCCGTGGATTTCAGCATCCAGCCTTGGCACCTTCTCGAGTGGTTTCTTGGTCTGGCCTTGCTGCTGGATGCCTTCAGTTGTGTGTTGGCCTCTCTGAAGTGGCTCTCAGTGATCCCCACCTCCTGTGTTCACCCCCTAGCCTCTTGTAGCCTCTTGCCACGAATGCTGACTGTACTTAGTGACTCCTATCTAAGGAATAGAATATGGCAAAGGTAGTGGGATGTCACTTCTTACATCCAAGATTAGGGTTGAAAAGGACTGTGGTCTCCATCTTGGGCACCCTCGCTCACTTGCTCACTCTGAGGAAAGCCAGCCACCACGCTGTGAGCTGCTCTACGGAGACCCACATGGCAAGGAGCTGAGGGAGACTTCAGCCAACTGCCAGCGAGGCGCTGAGGCCCTTTGTCCACTGATCATGAGCCTAGAAACCTGCCAACAGCCACTTGAGTGAAGTTGGGGGCAGATCCTTCCCCAGTAGAGCCTACAGATGAGACCATAGTCCTGATCCACACCTGCACTGTAGCCTGGTGAGAGGCCATGAGTCAGAGGCACCCAGCAAAGCCATGCTTAGATTCTAGACTCACAGAAACTATGGAATAGTCAATGCTTACTGTTTTAAGCCTCTACATTTTAGGATAATTTGTTCTGCAGCAATAGATAACTAAAACAAGTTTCAAGTAAGTGAAACCCATCTCAAACCTACTTCAACAGTTAGGGAATGTCTTATCTCATGGAACAGGAATCCCAGAGTGGAGTAGCATTCAGTATTAGTTGAATCTGAAGCCCAAGTTGTCATCAAGGATCTTAGTTCTTCCTAATTCTTCTCTGTATCATCTTTGGGGTCAGCTTCCCCCTAAGGCTGGGAGCAATGGGTCTGTGGCTGTTCCATGTATCATATCCAGACACTAGAATTTTCATAAGAGGAAGAGAGACTATCTCTTTTAATAGTTTTGTAGGAGAAAGGAAACCTTTCCCAGAAAGCCCCCACTAAAGAGTTCCTCTCATATTTCATTGACTACAATTGAGTAATACACTGACCCAATTCTTTGGCAAGAATGGAATGACCTTAGATGAGCCAGGCCCATCTGGCAGACGGGGATGGGGTCAGCTTTCTCTGAGGTACGTGGAAGTCACTGGTCAATACTGGAGTTCTGTTAACTTGGAAGTATGGGCAACATATGCTATGTGAACAGCCAGCAGTGCGCACTACACATGGGTTGCAGCCTTCAGTTTGATTTTAGTCTGGAGCATGTAGGATGTGTGATGAGTAGGTACAGAGAGGATGGTGAATCACTGTTGAAGAGCAAGTGGGTGATTTGGCTCAAAAACAGTAAGGCCAAGCATCTGAAAGTCAAAAGTCACCAAGGAACCATCCTCCTTGAGGGACGATTTCAGTGCAGAACTGGCCACTTCAAATCTAGCCTCCACCTACACTTCTCATTTTCTGCTTTTCTGGAGCAGAGGAACTATTAGAAATGCTCCTAGCAGTAGAATATGCCTATTCAGCGTTCAGGAACTAAAGCATCTGCTTTCTTGATAGTCTTTGTAGTAAGAGGTGTGTTCATCACATGAATCTGAAGAATACTGGATCTCACTTAAAATTACTTCCTGCTGTAGAAAGCATAATCTTGTCTCTTCCAGAGTTAGTTTACAGTGGACAAAGTGCAGCCTTTTTAAAGGCAACATAGGGCAAGTGTGAAGGTGTGTGTGGCCAAAGAACAAACTCGTGCTCCCTGCTGTCACCTTGTATAGAACTGAGATTTCTGTTGCCTGATCCAGGCTGTCCATGTCTTCCTGGCTGTCATGGTCAGGACAACTTGCAGAGTCTGAGTTGATAAATATCACACATATAGGAGAAGGGCTACTAAGCTATGTAACCTCTCAAAGCTGCATGTCACAAAGGGCATCACTAGTAGGGTTTTGGTGTGTGTTTGATGTTTCCCAGCATGGTTTTAAGAACAATGGAAGACTGGCTCCCAGGTCTGTGGTCTTTAATCATGTTTTTTCTTATTAATAAGATTTTGCATTAAACTTCAGATATCTAATCATGTACACAGATGCTTTATGTGCATGTCTAAACCAATACAGTTGTGTGCATACGGATTTTTCATCATAACTTTCGAATCAGCTTGCTTTCTGCCGCCATTTGATTTCAGTTGAACCTTCATTGTGAATCACCATAATGGAGCCTATTCCCTTAGTGCATTGAATTGTTTATTTACAAGATTTGCAGTGCTGATTATAATTAGGTTATTAACAAGTTATGAATTATCTATTTTAATTAGCAGACCTTGGAGATTTAAAGATCAATGCATATGGAGCTCAAATTACAGATCCTCAATTTACTTTACATTTTTAAAATGAAAATATTCAGTGACTGTCATTTTCTTACACATTTTTCTACACCAGGCTTAAGCAAATAAATCTTTCCTTGGGCATACATTTACAGGGTAATTGACAAAAGATCAAAAGGCATAAAGGGAAGATAGGTCATTGTCTCCTGTTCTAAGCAACCCCCCCCAACAAGGGATACTATTTCTAGCTAATTGATTTTAAATTTGTGACCAAGTATCCAATTCTAAAGAACTTTAAGGAAATTCTAAAACAAGGAAATAAAATGAGAGGAATGAACTATCTATTTTGAATTAGAAGAGAGTATCTTGAGTTTGATCAATGCAGAAATAATAATAATAATGATTTACATTTTAAGCAAGTGATCGAGCAGAGGAACTGCGAATTGCGAATCTAGAAATACTTGTGGCACAGCTTGAAATATTTGGTGGCTACAATCCTATCTCTACACTTGGGGACCAGATGCTCACTAAGGGCTGCTGGCTCGGTGAACAGCCATGTGCTGCTTGAGCAGAGGGCGTGGAACTGGAGAAGGTAGGACGGGAATTTGGCTGATGGCCCTTAGGTTGGGACCAGTCCTCATTAGAGTCCCCTAATGCCTTATTCTCAAATTTGAGCCCAAACTAAGTACTTTTCCTATTTCAAAACGAAGCAGTTAGTTCTAAAGCTTGTGACACAAACACAGTTCTGTGAGTCCTGTTTGTTGTGGGAAACACCCATGAAACACTACAGGTGTGGAGCTCAGAGCAAGCCCTGGGAAGCATTCTTGCCCTTGGCTGGTGTTTATTTGCCACTTTCCTTCCCTGGCAGGAGAGCCAGCCACACAGCTGTTCCTGCTGCCACGGGGCAGGCATGGCATCCAGGAAAACAGGAAGTGGGTCGTGAGCAAATGGGCCTTTTCATAAAATGGAAGGAAATCGTCAACTGTGGGAGCAGAATCTGTCCCTACTCAAAAGTACATTAGAAAAAAACGGAACTGAACTTTTAACCTGTTACTATTGTACCTTGAAAACCATTAAGTCAACCCAACATAGACTGAAGATTGGATGTAGCTTAGAAGTGAAGTAGTGAGAATCAAAATAGATCTATATATAGCTTTTCAAAAAAACCTTATGAGCCTATTTCTTTTTGCTAATTACTTCTTAGTCTTTTATTTACAAGGTACAATGTCCCTAACTTGAGAGAATTAAAGAACTTAGTGACAACTCAGTGGAACAGAACAGCACTTTGCCAGCTCATAAAAGCAGATCGTTAAAATTTCAGGAATTTTGCAAACCAATGGCTGAACAGATCCACTATTAAAAAGTAAATTATATAGACATACAATTAAATAAATAATATTAAAAACAGAGGTAACAAATACTAAAAACTCATCACTTCCTAATTATTTTAGTACATTTCATTACTATTTCAGTGTTCTTGAGGTTGTTTACATGTATCGGATCTGTAGGATTTAATGCTTTAGAATAGTAAAAATATATCATAGTGTGCTACTACACATCTCTTCACAGCACCGCATTCAGTGACTGATGTCAATAGCAGGAAATCAACCATCAAGAAACTATTTATAGCATAGGAATTAGCAAATGTTACAAATCAGATATTGATTGGTCTTGTTAATTGTCTAGATATAAGACAGTGATTGGGAAATGTAATAATACAGATTAAATAGAAAAGTATGTCATATCTGTAGCCAATACATTGTGAATAGCAGAAAAAATTGAGTTGTACATCCATTTTCCAAAAACCATGATCAATTCAGCCAAGTCATTCATGGGATTGACAAATGAGTAAAATTCCAACATATATCTTTCTGGTTTTATTCTCATCTTACTGTCTGATGCCATCATGTTGAAGTTATACTTCTTTGTTAACGGTAATAATTGACTGGCTACAGGTTAAAGAATCTGGGAAAAATTAATGAAAGCATTCTATGAGAATCAACTGGTAATACAGAATTTACAAAAAATAGTATTATGCATTTTATTATTACTTATAAATTTTGTGCTACTTATCCTTTATATAAGTAAAACTGATTATAACTATTTATACCTTTTTCCTCCAAAGAGCTGGTTACTAACCATTTACCAAAATACCACTGCAAAGTAGTAACAAATATGAATAGAAATGGTGAAAAGAAGTAATATTATTTAGTTAAGAAACCTGAGAACAGATTTCTTTGATTTTCATGAGTGCTCAAGCCCTAAGCTGATGCAAATAATCACAACTGTATTTTGTTTCCTTGAGCTTTAACTAGTAGCATGTACTCAGGTTACGTATAAAAACCATGTTGAAGAACTTCTCTTTGGGTTTATATAAATTTGAGTCCTTCCCAGAAATAAGGCATAAACATCTTGATTTTTCAACAATGGTTTGAAGTTGTTATTAAATATCATTACCTTCACGCCTGTAATCCCAGCACTTTGGGAGGCTGAGGCGGGTGGATCACGAGGTCAGGAGATCGAGACCATCCTGGCCAATATAGTGAAACCCCATCTCTACTAAAAATACAAAAATTAGCCAGGCATGGCGGTGCATGCCTATAATCCCAGCTACTCTGGAGGCAAAGGCAGGAGAATCCCTTGAATCAGGGAGTTGGAGGTTGCAGTGAGCCGAGATCGCGCCACAGCACTCTAGCCTGGCAACAGAGCGAGACTCTGTCTCAAAAAAAAAAAAAAAAAAAAAAATCATTACCTTGTTTTACTAGTTAAGAAGTAAATAGAGATTATGAATCAGGCATTCTCTTATGACAATAGTCTTCTAAACTGTTTGTCTCAGGAGGTTTTGGGTGCTGATGTGCACTCAGGCATGGCCCTTCTTTATTTTAATCCCTTTCCCCCAAGGCCTTCAGAGATTTAAAGCTACTCTCATGTAATAGCCCTTTGCACCACAGGTCAGTCTCCCACTAGAGAAAACAGCAGCACTCAAGAGGAGTTTGCTCCACAGGTACTTGGAGTTGATATCCATCTCCAACTCAGTAAATCAACCAGTATTCTCTAAGTTTATATGTGGGGCCTGCCCAGTGTCACCATTATCAAGATGGGATACACTGAAATTGAGGGCATCACAAAGCCATATGGTCTGTTTTCCTCTGGAGTTCTACAAGTAACTTAGACTGTTTTTCAAGAGGTAAGAAATAAATGACTTGCCTACCAGCTGCTTCGTGTCTCGGCTTGTAAGGACCTTAGGTTTCATACCAAATCCAAATAATTTTATGTGGCAACCTGAAAGACCAACCATGAGGGAAGTGATGCTTATGATATGGTTCTTACAGGAGGCAGAATCATATCTGTTGGATCAATAGGCCCTTTCCACAGCTGGCATACAAAAAGACTAAATGGAAAGGAAGAAAACAATAACAATATGCTTTGGCTGATAGAACGCTTGCTATGCAGTGTTAAATCTCCAGGGGCTGGAAAATGAATGATAATGGCAGATATTTATTTCACCGCAAGTGTGCGTTCACATTTTGCCATTTATTTTCCCCCCGCAGTTTATTGCTGTGCGTCATTCCCTACTCAGGCCAAGCGCTTCTGATGGACGGGCCTCTTCCTGACCTCGGACCTTTCCCAGTGTCTCTTCTGCCCTGGCTCTGATTTTCCTGTTGTTCTTCCTCCTTTCAGGATAAAAGGGCTCATTGTATACCCAGAATTTACTTCCTTTGGGGTTTACATATAAATGCATTAATAACAGAGATTTGTTTGATTGAGGTTTATATTTTTTTGAAGGAGGTAAATTATATGCAAATTTTAGGTTGATAATATTCACCTGTCTGAAATTCACTGATACTTGGAAATGTTCCTGTGAAGAACTCTGCTTTATTTTAATTCATTATTAATTCATGTTTTTCTTATTGGATATTCAGTTCCAGAATTTATTGCCAATTTTTCTTAAAACTAGATTGTATCCATAAATTGACCAGTATAGTCAATTTGGATAGAACTGAAACTTTCTGTCTACCTGGTAAAACTAAGTGCCTAAAAACATGAACTATAAATGTAGTTACTAGGAACTCACAACTTATATATACTATCCATTCAATGATACATAGGACCCAATGTCTTTGTGTTTTTGAGGTTTTCCTGTTACTGTGTACTTTGCCATTTTACATAGTTCACTAAAAAGAAAGAAGTGGGAGAAGAAGGGTGTTCTATTCATTATTCTATATTATGATTCTCTTCATTATTCTGTTCTCTTCATTATTCTATTCATTTCTTCACCCATTTATTCACTAAACAGTGACATAGTACTTACTTGATGCTAGGTATTACACCAGTTTTGTGGGCTATAAGAGTGAATAACAAGCACGTGACCTCTGGCCTTGGATTTTACTACCTGTGGCTCCCCAGGCACATGAAAAGAAGTAAAGATGGTTCCATTTGATAAGTACTAGTCACAAGGGTTGTACATGTGATAAAGATGCCAGAGGTTGTGACCACCATGTCTGTGCAGAGGTGCTGCTGGCTCCTCTTTGAGTGTGAGATCCCTCTGCAGTCACACAACCTCACCCAGTTACGAAGAGCTAGTCACCTCAACTGCATTGTCCCAAGACAGGCAGAGTAGGTAAAAATAGTCATATGTTAAAATTCAAGGTTTAGATAAAAAGACAACTAGTTCTTGCTTGCTTTGATTAACTTTTATTATGCAGATGCATTTGAACTGGAGAAGCTTGTCATGTTTCTCTCTAAAAGATGTTTTTAAATGTTATTGCTCAAAATGGAAAAAAAAAAAAAGAATCAGTAAGTATTCCTGACATGTAGGATTGTTGCCTGGCTGATCACAATGAAAATGTTAGCTATGACTAATGAAGGAATTATCACAACTTACATTGGTATTAATAATAAACAAATATAAGCCAAAGCTATATATAACCAATTTAGTGCTATGTATTGGTGAAAAAAACAGAAAGTTACAGAAATTACTCACAATGAAACATAGAACAAGTTAGAAAGGGCCTTTTTTTTTTTTGAAATAAAGGACTTTTGTCTGATAAGTAGCAGTCATTTGACCTCAAATCATTAAATGGGGAAAGTCTAAACAAGAAAAGGTAATGTTTACCTGAATGTTGGGGAAAGCATTAGGATTTATGGCCCAGACTTAAAGATTGTAGAAGATTGTATATAATTACAGCAATAAGCATTTGTGTAAGAAGTAGCTATTATGCTGAAGAAAGATGGGCACACAAAATCTCTAGGCAAATCCTTGGAACAGGGGAAAGTGATACTGCTCATAGAATTATTGGTTCGAGAGGCAGCAAATATGATGCAATAAGTATATCAAACTCAATTAAAAATAGAGGACAGAGGTATGTGGTGGGGGAAAACAAATGCAATAGGGCTAAGTCAGCTTACAGGGGGTGAATATAATTTGAACATGGCACCCCCAATTTACTTGATCATAAAGTTAGCCAAAGACATGAGTGGTCGATCTTTGACAATACTCTAGTGATCTCCATGAGAGATGGCCTGATAGATGTTGGATAGAATGAAGGGCCATTTGATGAACAAGTTTTGTAGATTTACATGTGACTTGGCACTGTGCTGACATTAGAGCCTTCTAAGAATCAGATAAATTAATTAGGTGAAACATTTTTTCCCAAAGCACTTGCATTTCAGAAAGTTTCTCATTTCTGACTCAGCTTAGAACCCATCCCTTGTTACAGGTCATTTCTCCTCCTTATAAGCCATGTCTGTTTCTTTTTTCCATCATGTCATACACCCTATCCACAAAAGATGGTAGCTCACGTTTTCTAACTAGAGACGTGCAGGCAAGTTGAGAGCATGAAGAATCCCTTGGGAATACCAATTCTGTAGCAAATGCTAAGGTAAAAGAAAAACTATGCATTATTTTTCAACTATAGTTGGCTTAAATTCTTAGTTTCACCCTGGAGACCATGTTGCCAGTGGACAATTGAGCATGCTGTGATTTATAAAATGCAAGCTAGTTTATATGATAATGTTTGCCATCTCACTTTACCAGTACTGTTGACCTTTTCATATGATTCTAAAATCACTTACTTGTAAATAAATACTCCTAGTTCTGTAGATGAAACAATTTGGAAAAGTCGTTACTGTTTACTCACTGACATTTTATTTTAGCACCCATTATAATCAGTCACACATCGCATCTGTGTTTGTGATGCTTATCAACTGTTAATTTTCACAGTTTTCATGCTAATTTGGATCCATAAAATGATACAGTTTGTTCACAACTTCCATAGCTCATGTAATGTAATTCAAAACGTTTCCACGTGCAGACTAACATTTCCCATAACAAAACAAACTTTTCTACCATAGGGATAAGAGTGCATCTTCCAAAAATTACAAGAGAAAGTGAGGGCCTTTCAAACAAGTATTCAAGATGTCTTGAGTCATCATAACCAATTACAGATTATCCAGACCCAGAAATTAATCCACATACAGAGCACTTGCTTCCTCTGGCTTCTCGGAATTTTGTGTGTGTGTGTGTGTGTGTGTGTGTGTGTGTTTTAACTGTTTCATCCTTCATACCCAAGGAATGTGGAGCAGGAGAAAAACCCAAAATAGCTTTTGCACCTTATTAGTCACCATGGTAAAATGACAACAAGCAAACTTCAAACACTTCAGTGAAGACAGAGGTTCAAGTATTAAATAAAATGAGGCTCAGGAGTTATCTGTATATTTTTGGTTTCTTTGCTTTATTTGTCACCAATAGCAACGCATAATTGGTAACCCTTTTGCCGAATAACTCCCTTTGCTGGAAGTTTTGTGATTTAAATTTACTGTTACTTCTGTGTTGATTTTACCCTTAAAGGCTTTATGTTATAACCCTTCTTTTTCCTTCTTATTAAGAAAATAACAAACTTTTATTACGTGAACGAAGCTGCATAAAATAAGGCTCTGAGTATATTTTTCAGTAAAGGGAAAAAGAAACCCCCCCAAAAGAGATTAGATCTATTGAGATTATTTAGACTGGACACACTGTTTCCTGGTTGATAAATCTGCTACAGGGCTTCAGGGCAGGAAGTGAGGAGAAAAAATAACCAAAACATAAAACCCAAACGCAAATGGAATAGTCAGTATCTATCATACTTTCTTCTTTGGCCCATAAGGGACAAGATTTAAAGAGTGGATGCATCCTTTCCTTGTATGTTTTGTGTGAATAAGAAGTGGTAGGGAGGAATATAAAGACATCCTGAATCACACAAATCATCAACCACAGGATGGAAATGGATGGCAGATTGCCATGTCTAGCCCACACACACATCCTCTCTGCCAGGTAAAGTTGCCAATATTAAAAGTCAGATTTGGCTTGAAATTCTGGTTCTTCCTGGAATGTGTAAAGAGCCTTCCCAAAGGGCTCACATCCTTCAAGTAAGCCTTGAGCATAGCTTGGCAGCAGGTGCTCCCTGAGCACAGGCCGGCACTTGCCATGCACTGCGGAGCCCACCAATCCCACAGCTAACACCCAGGCTAAGAATCCAGTATTTTCAGGCTCATGTTTTTCCAAAAAGAAATTTAAAGGGAAAGTGATTATGTCCTATAGTCAGGAGCCTGAGAGGACCAGAGAGGCAGATGCAGCACAAACTTACAGAGTTGCTGTTCCAACAAGAGAAGTGTAGTTGGTGGTGGAAGTAAGCATATTTGTATCTCTGGCCTGTTTCTGCCTCATCCCTGCGCCCTTCGCTTGGCCCTTCTCTCTCAATCATTTCTCTCTCCTACCTGGTCTCTCATATGGGCAAACCCCGAATCTGCACCCACAGTGGTGTATTGGCAGAGCTGTGCAGGGAATGCCCCAGAAGGCAAATTACCTTTCATGTCTGCTGGCTCCATTCTGCCCCTTTACATTGTCATTGTCATATTAGTGAGGATTGGGTGCGATCAGGCCGAGGGCAACGTTTTGATGAGCTGGAACTGTCACTCACTGCACAAGTGGCCTACATTTGGAGTCTTCAGGCTCCATAGCAGAAACCTTAGATGTGAAGAGTGAGTTACTTAAGTTCAATAAATATAAAATAATAGTAAATGGTTATAAATTGAGACGTTTAGCTTCTAGTAGGAAAACTACAAGTCTCCATTTAATATTGCAAAGTGAAGTGTAGGAAGAACATTGATGGGGATTTCTGGGTTTTATGCTATTTTTTATATTTCACAGCTTTATAGGAGTGTAATTGACACACAAAAAACTGCATATGTACAAAGAAAGTATATAATATAATCAGTTTCGACTCTTGTATACACCATGAAACCATCACTCACCATCGAGTAATAAACATCCATCACCCTCAAGTTTCCTTGCATCCCTTAGTCATCATTTTTAATCTGCGTATGTGTATGTATATGTGTATATGTACATAAGACATGCACACAACTATATATATTACTTTATGACAGTACTGTACATCGAATGGGAAAGTTAGCAAAATATAGGTTTTAATAACAAATCCTAAATTAATTGAGAAGTAAAACTTCATTCTAGCTAATTGGGAAATTGTTTAAAAGGAGAACATTAAGTGTTAAAATTGATGACCCTAATGATAAAGCGAGTATTTGATCTGAGGAGAAAGAAAGCTGGTCGCAGCATTTTAATAGTCATCTGAATGCATCCTTTGTGAAGTGAAAATGTGGGGATGTGAGTGCACATACAACCTTTGGAACTATTTCTCCCCTATCCAAGTTTTCAAGAGGAAACAAAGGTAATTTCTCCACTTAATTTTCTTCTGCTAAAGAAGCATGAGTGTGTTCTTTAAACCATGTTTACCAAAAGTAGCTGAGAGGAGGTCAGCCCACCGCCTCTGCCGCTCAAGCCTGGCTTGAGAACCGCTGACCAGGATTGCTGGCTCTAGTCAGGAGCCCAGCTGCCAGGCTGGGGCTAGGCAGCGGCAGGCACCAGGGCAGCATCTGTCTTGGGCTCCACTGCAGTGGCCAGCTGCCCACTGACCCTCACTCCGTCTCTGCCAGGTTAGCAAGCAGTCGAAGGGGCTGCTTATTTAAGAGACAAGAGATTCTTGGATGACTTTACCCGCACATTTCAGCCACCAGGGGGAACCCTGATTATCCCATTGATAGACAGAGTTGAAGAGAATGGAAAGAAACATACAAGAAGTTAACATTGGGGCTTTGCTGCATTTATGCCAATATTATGTTGCAGCTAGTCACACAACAATTTAGTGACTGTAATTATAGGATTGAGTTCTCTCATTTACAAAGAGGGGAAAGTGAGTCAAGAAGAGTCTAGTAACTTGCCTAAGATCATGCAGCTAAGAAGGGTCTGTGCTCAGATGGCTGACTCCCCATCCTCTGTTACAGTGTGACTAGTGGTTCTAAAAAGGGATGTGTGTGTATGTGTATACATGCACACATACATGTGCATACATGCATGTGCACCCATGGTGCATGCATATCTAGACTCATGTACATGTGCATAGATGTATATACAGTGCATGTATGCATACCCACACAATACATGTGCACATTGTGTATCTTAAACATCTATGCATACATACACAAGTGTGTACAAAATATTTGTGTATATATACACATGCATACATATATGCCTACACATGGTGTACATATTCATGTTTGTATATATTCATGCATACATGCACATCTATATACATTTGTAACTTGTGTGCAAATATACATAACACGTGCGTGCACTCATACATCCATGTGTATACACTGTGTGTGTGTGCCTGCACGTGTGTGAAGATATGAGGCCAAGGACAGTATGTGGCTATATTAGCTTGTTGCTGCCAGTATGCTTCCCCACCCCCACGCCACCCCACACACAATATATCTCTGAGCCTGGTGCTTCGGTCACTGGCAGGCTTTGCAAGGATTCTGAACTTGTCCACTTTGGCCTCCCAGAAGTTATTGTCAGGCCTCTTGTTTGGTGCCTAATTTATGACTTGGAAGAGATTTAAAGATTAAAGAGAATATGGCCAGTTAGTTGTTTAAATGAATAGTCTTCCATAGTTAGATAGGGCAGAAATCCAAATCAACCATGTTAGTAAACTCAAACCTCATCTTTCGTCTCTGCCCTTGCACTTATGTCTGCCTCCATCTGGCTATTTATTAGCCAGGAGGCACCTTGCCATGAAGGAGGTGGCCTCTGCTTGAGTGCAGACTGCACAGTGGGACTACAGGAAGGTACAGCCCATGGAGGGGTGGGGGTCTTAGTCTTCATAGATTCGCTGCCAGCGGGGTCGGGGCAGGAAGTGATGATGGCTAAAGTGGCACCCCCTTCCCATGCACTTTTCCTGGAGTAACCCTTAAATCTATACCACAGCCCTATGAGGTCACTGCTGTTGTTATCATCCTCATTTTACAAATAAGAAAACAGCACGTAGATGATAAGAAACTTGTCTGCAACCAAAAGCAAGTTAATATTTAAGCCAGGACTTGAACCTTGCCAGTCTGGTCCCAAGCACCTGCTTAACTTCCATATCCCTCCTCCCTACTCTGTGTCCTGTTAGTCTGTAGGGAGGGCTACAAGGCTCTAACCCTGCTCATATCTCCCCAGGAAGCCATTCCCTGTGTCCACAGAGGAAGGAGAAAGTGGAGGAGGTGGTGCGTGCTGTTTGAGCTTTATGGGAGGATCTCTCATGTGCAAGCCCACCTAAGCCCACAGCCAACAACAAGTATGGGGCTGCACAAAAATACCAGGAAGGAGGGGCTTGACTCCAGAGGAAGGAAGATCAGAGGACACCACAGAGACTGAGACAGTCACCATGTGTGGGCCTGTCAAGCCACAGACACTGTCGTGGACTTCAATTACTTTAATATTTTCATCACAGTGCGCAGCAACACAGTGCACTGATATGTTAGTCTGCTAGGGCTGCCATGATATCATACCACAGAATGGGTGGAAATTTATTCTCTCACTGTCCTGGAGGCTGGAAGTCCGAGATCAAAGTGTCGGCAGGGTTGGTTTCTCCTGAGGCCTCTTTCCTTGGCTTGCAGATGGCTGCCTTATCCCTGGGTCTTCCCTTGTTGTGTGTCTGTGTCCTAACATTCTCTTATAAGGACACCAGTCCTGTTGGATGAGGCCTCCACCCGAATGGCTTCATTTTAACTTAAACATCGTTTAAAAGACCTTATCCTAATAATGTTACATTCTGAAGTACTGGAGGTTCCGACTTCAACATATAAATTTTTAGGGAACACAGTTCAGCCCATAGCACCTGGTGTGCATTAGCCTGTGTGCTGATGACGACAGAGGCTGGAGAGCTTCTGTTGTACCCAGGTGGATGCACAGGGGAGACCCGGACTCTGACTCCAGGGCTTGGCCCTGTTGGAGGCCTGGGCCCTGCCACCTTTCTGGCAAGCTGTGCTGATTTTGCCCAAAGCTGGCTGTAGCCCACCCTAGCCCAACACTGTATGTGAACCACCATTCCTGCGTGCATTCGGCCTCTGCCCTGACTTTGAATTTCCTCCTTGCCCCTACAGTTTATGGAGCAGCTGAAGCTGTGATAAGACTTCTGAGCTTGCTTCTGAATACCACAGCCCCGGGCACAGCAAAGCCAAGAACCCTGTGGATGAGTGAGGGCCGCAGTTCTCTACACAATCCTGAAATCAAGTGTTCCTGTTTCTCTTCCTCCTCCCCATTTCCCCAGTCACTGCTCAGCCTTCTCTTGGGTCTTTCAAGCATTTGTGAATGCATGTGCACACTTAGACACACACACGCACACACACACAACCCATCTTGTGTCTTACCTACCTCTGAAATATTGGCATTTGGGAGACAATCCCTAATCAGCTAACACTTGTTTTTTTCTATCCTCTGTGTGCTTGTTAGAATACTGTGAAGGTGTTTTCTATGGACCGACTTCTAAATGTTCCTCCTGAAATCAGTGTTATTCACACAGTTCTAATGTAATGAATTCTGTCTGTCTGAAAGCTTGCCATATTGTCCCTGGTTTCTCCCAGCTAATAGAGAGGAAAATGAGCCTGAATATGAACCCGTCACCACAGACCGCACTGCATCCTTTCCAGGCAGCAGGGCCCTGGAGACTGTGCTCAGGCCTGGCAGCCTCTGTGTTTCACTTAGGCTTGTTTTGCTCAACCCAGGCAAGACTTTTAAAATTGTTTGAATAAGCTGCAGCATCAGTATGCTTTTTTAAATTGTGATTTAAAAAAAAATATAAAATGTCCCATTCCTTCCATTTTCAAATGCATACTTCAGTAGATTTAAGTATATTCACAATGCTGTGAAACCGATCTCCAGGACCTCATCGTCCTGCAAATCTGATACTCTACTCACTGAACAGCAACTCCCCTTTGCCTGCTTGTCTTTTTGCGCCTGGCTTATTTCACTTAGCACAATTTCCTCGAAGTTTATCCATATTGTAGCATATAACAGAATTCCCTTCCCTTTTAAAGCTAAATATCTTTCAAGTATATGTATAGACCACATTTTCTTTATCCATCCATTGTCAGTGGACATTTAAGTTGTTCCCGCTTCATGGTTATTGTGAATGATGCTGCACAGGTATGCAAATATCTGAGACTCTGCTTTCATTTCTTGGGGATATATACCTAGAAGTGGGATTGCTGGTGAATCCAGCATATCTTTGCCTGAAAAAAAAAAAAAAGCCACTCAAGCTGAGTTAATGCACAGGGATATATATGGGATCCTATACTGCACCTATAGGGGTTGTGTCAGCTCACTTACCCCACATCAGCCACATGCGAGTTCCTGAACCAATCACAGTAGCCAAGGGAGTGCCACACACCCATTGGCTTAGGCCAGAATGCACTGATCAATTGTCAGGGAGAACAGGATTACTGTGTTTGATTGGATAATCAGGGTTCATCTCCCAGACAACCAGGTTGCTCCACAAAGGGGATGGGGCAGAAAGGGTGCTGAGGGTCTTGCACTGTCCAGAGAAGTACATAGCATGGGGCTAGAGCCAGGCTGCATGGACTCAGGGTTTGGGTCTGTTACTGGGTGATTTCAGGCAACTTGCTTAACTTCTCTGTGCCTGAGTTTCTTCATATTGAAAGAAAAAGTGCTTTTGAGAATTACACATACAAATACATGTAGAACATTTAGAAATGTTTCGGGGGCTGCTGGGTTGGAGTCAACAGATCCTAATTATTATGAAAATAGCCATAATTTAAAATGCAGAAGATCGTGCATTAAAATCTTGATTTCTTCTTTTTAAAAAAAGTTAGAGATAAGGCAACACCAGTTTTACTGCATGAAAGGAAGTGTGGGATGCATACTAGCTGCTTCTTGCAGGCACATGTAGGCACCAGGTTTCCTCAGGGTCTTCGTGGGGCCACACCTGGCCCTCAGCCTGCCTCCTACTGCTGTCTGCAGACCTCTGTAGATGGATCAGTGCAGGTTCCCTGATTCAGTCATACTGGAGAAATGAAGTCACTCAAACCCTCATTTTTAAAAAGTCAGAAATATAAAGATTATGTTGTCAAATACTGCACAACCCTTAAAGAAAATGTTAGGCCGGGCACAGTGGCTCACGCCTGTAATCCCAGCACTTTGGGAGGCCGAGGCAGGCGGATCACCTGAGGTCAGGAGTTCGAAGCCAGCCTGGCCAATATGGCAAAACCCCATCTCTACTGAAAATACAAAAATTAGCCGGGCGCGGTGGTGGGTGCCTGTAATCCCAGCTACTCAGGAGGCTGAGGCAGGAGAATTGCTTGAACCCGGGAGGTGGAGGTTGCAGTGCGCCAAGATCACGCCATTGTACTCCAGCCTAGGTGACAGAGTGAGACTTCATCTAAAAAAAAAAAAAAAGAGAGAGAAAATGTTTAATTTTCTACTTCATACAGTCACACAAGTGATGTAGAGCAATTTCTGTCTTCCTTTTTCTTAGGAAGTTTAATAACTGTGCGTATTGCCTTTGACAGAGTGCTGAAGGTGTGCCCCCTACAGCTTATAAAAATGAAGTGCCTGCCCTGCAGTGCAGAGCGTCTCACTGTTTTGGGGGCTGCTGGGTTGGAGTCCTGAGCAAATGCATGTCAAGGACTCAGGACTTCACCGTGGTTGCTCCTGTGTGTGCCCCAGCGCTCTCCACGGGTGTCTCACAGCCTCTTCCAGGACAGCTGAGCCGGGACCAGCAGCCTTGCTCATGCCACCCCCTGCAGACGCAGTCCCTGGTGCTGGCAGGCACGACTCCTGGGATGGCAGGCTGAGAGCTTCCTCAGATGGCACATTGAGCCATGCCCCTGGCTGACAAGGGAAAGATCATTTTCTCCTCCAGCCCCTGCAGATCAGCAAGCGCCCACGTTTCCATGCAATGATGAAACACACAAGTAAATAAGCCATGATGTTGTCTGGGAATGCTTCAGCCAGTGTGGCTGGTCTTAAACTGGTCTAGTTTAGTTGAGACACTTGGAGTGGCCACTTGTTGGCCACTTCAGAGAAACCAGCAGTGTTAATTGGAAGCCTCTCTCCAAGTCTCAGCAGGCCAGCCGAGCGCCGGGACACCATGGCTCTGACTTAAGCCTTTGCCCTGAAGTCATGCTGTGACTCAGGGGCTGACCCAGAGCTTGGGATTATGGAGGCTTTGGAGAAGCAGCTGCACCTTCAAGCAAGTTTCCTTGGATGTATCTCCTGCCACCTCTCACAGACGCAAATTAAAGAGAGAGAGAGAGAGAGAGAGAGACATGAACTGTTGTTACTGCAGCAAACATCCACACTGTATCTGCTGTCAGGGTTGCATCCTGGGAAAGCTAATTTTGTAGACTTAAAGTAATGAATAATTAGACCATTGCTAAATGTATGTTTTATTTTCTGAACAAATTCAAAGCATTAGAAAGATAATGAAGATTTTCTTAAAATTAGGCCTATTTTAACCCTCCCTACTGTTTAGCCCTAATGGAATATTTATTCCAAAATCTCTATTAGTCAGGCTTCTCCAGAGATACAGAACAATAGGATATATTTATGAGTGTGTGTGTGTGTGTGTGTGTGTGTGTGTGTATCTATGGTGGGGAGAGATTTTTTTTTATAGGGATGGCCTTGTGTAATTATAGAAACCAAGAAGTTTGACCATTTGCCATCTGTAAGCTGGAGACCCCGGAAAGCTGGTGATGAGATTCTATCCAAGTCTCAAGGCCCCACAACCTGGAGCTCTGATGCTCAAGCACAGGAGAAGATGGGTGTCCCAGCTCAAACACAGAGAACACATTCACCCTTCCCTGCCTTTTTGTTCTGTTCAGACCCTCAGCAGATAGGATGCCTGCCCACAGCGGTAAGGGCACATCTTCCTTACTGTCTGTCAATTCAGATGCTGATCACTCTGGTAAACAGCCTCACAGACACACCCAGAAATAACGTTTCACCACGTACCCGAACACCCCTTGCTTAGCCATTGCAAATTCACCCCTTGCCAACTCGCCCCCTATATGCATGTCTTTTTCTCCAGAGAAAGACAAAACAAGGTCACAATTCCAACTGGCATGACACTGCTGTCCTGTATACAACCGAAAATGCACTCATCCCTTCCAGAAGAGAAGGTAAAGTCCTTGAGTTGATGTTTACTCTCTCCTGATATCCTGTAACTTAAAATACTATGATGTAAAATTATCAACAATTAGACACTGCTATGGAAGTCGCGTATGTCCCATGTTAAGGGAATAAGGGGAAAGAAAACAAAGATATTTATATGTATATATACATATATACACACACACACACACAAACATATTCTTAACAAAATGAGAAGGAAATACTCATTGACAATTACTGTTTTCATTTCTAAAACTAGTCACATCACAGCTGGTATTTATAATGTCTTCTACCCATTCTGTATTCCCCTTGCCTTCAGCAAGCACCTCAGCTGGTTGTGGTTCTTTACCTGGTGGTGTGATGCAAACCATCATTCCTGAAGGGTCTGGGCCATTAGTGGTACTACCTGGATTGGGTCAGGGTAGTTTTCATTGACCTTCATCGCAGGGCTTACTAAGGGAAGTCCTAAGGGATCTCCTACATCCCATACTGTTCCTTACCTCCATTCTAGAGCAGTAGTCTATTTTCCCCTGGATAGTCTGGGTCAGTCACCCAGCCAACACCATAAACCCCTTCTTCGCCTGTTGACTCAAAAGCCTGAGGAGCCCAGACTGACCATGTGGCATCTTAACTTCCAGTTCGGTGGAATCATTGTTGTGCCCCCTGGTGGAATAATTTGTTTCTCTGGACCTAAGACCCATCGGCCAATAGAACATAAAAGTCATGAGGAAAACGTTTTGCTAGTGGGTCACTAGGGATAATGATGGTGCCACTCCCTTTTTAACCTCTTGATTCCTGGACCCTATGGGAGAAACAGCACCATATATTGGACATCATTCAGAGCATACACAGCCTTCTGGAGAACATCACCCGAGCCCTCTAAGGTACTGCTACCTCTCTGACCCTGTAACTGAGTTTTCAAAAGGCCACTCTACTGTTCTATCAAACCAGCTGCTTCAAGGTAGTGGGGAACTTGGTAAGACCAGTGAGTTCCATGCACAGGCTCATTGCTGCACTCCTTTGGCTGGGAAGCGAGTTCCTTGATCAGAAGCAATGCTCTCTGGAATACCATGACAATGGATAAGGCCTACTGTAAGTCAAGCTACTGATAGTAGTTTTGGCAGAACTTACATTCTGTAAGCTACTGATGGAGAAGCAAGTGGGAAACTTTTCTTCCCAAGAAGTAGTTTCCTGCAGAGATTGCTTTGATAACTGTGAAGAAAATGCAACCTGTTAAGACCTTTCATTGTGAGATCTGGGCTGGTGTTCATGTGCTCAGAGACCTGTGGAGTGTTGGAAAACACCTGGAGGAGGCACTGCTGTCAGACAGCCAGGGTGAAGCGTGTGCACTGAAGACGAGATCAGATCGACTCATGGAGGCATCCGGCAGAGCTTACGGCAGGACCCATGATGAAGGGAGGGCCTGTGGAGGGTTTATTCAAGACAAATCAGGAGCAGATGTCTCCATTTCAATCCTACACAGGCATGGAGGACCACATGCTCCCTGTGAGGGGTGAGATGAGGATTGAACAGTTAGCAAAAAACAGGCCACGTTGGGTAATGCTAAGAAGTAGAAAAACTTCAGATCCCACTGGGACTAGAGAATAGCACATAGAAGGCAATCATCTTGGCTGTATTTCTGGGTGGAGTTAGTGCAAACAGCAGGATGAGGGAACAGTGGCGGGGTAGCTGGGAGACAGTGCCCTCACCAACTCCTCCCTGCCTGGCTCGGACTCATTTATGCGAACAGGGCCAGCCCTCACCCTCCCACCCACCCCTACCTGACCAGGCTTGTTTGATCTACAAACAATCCCAAGGCTTCCTGGGACTCCCTCCTAGAAACCCATGTGTTTCAGGCCCCCCCTTCTCCCTGTTCTCTCCCATTCCTGGGAAAGTTCCCCAAAGCCTTAAGATTGCAGTTTCTGCAGCCCCCACATAATCACATTTGTTCTTTAATTTCCAGTCTTTCTAAAGATCATGACCACTAATGAATGATTATACAGTAAGTCCTCACTTACCATCATCAATAGGTTAGGTTTTTGGAAACCGCAGCTTTATGCAGAACAATAGATAATGAAAGCAGTTTTACCATAGGCCAACTGATAAAAATGAGTTAAGTTCCTAGCATATATTTCTGGTCACCAAAACATCGAAATAAAGACCAAAACACTTCTAAATAAAGACCAAACACTACTAATATTAAACATTGAAATAAATACGAGCTATACATACATTTAAGAAAGATTAATAAAAGCAAGTAATGTGATGATTTACCCAGTTTTTCCAGTTCAGGGTCACAGGTGGCCGCAGCCTACCGTGGCAGCACAGGGGGCAAGGTAGAAGCCAGCCCTGGACTGGCCCCCATCCCATTGCAGGTGCACTTATACTCACCCACATGGGGACAATTCGGACACCCCAGTGACCCTAACATGTGCAGTCTGGGGACATGGGAGGACATGAGCGCAGCCAGAGAAAACCCATGCAGACCTGCCGAGAAGGTGTAATCTGCACAGACAGTAGCCCCGGCCTGGGATAATAAGATGACGCTGAACGAAAGTCGTTGGAGGACCTGCCATTATCAGCCTGTAGGCTGAAAACAGATGGGAATCTCAGCAATCAGACTCGCTCTAACAGCCCACGCTCAGAGGCTCCGGCTGTCCATGCTCTGTCAGGCTTTCCCTGCCTCATCACGCCTCTCCATGAAGCTCCTGAGTGAATGAATACTGTTATTCTTATCCCCGTTTTACAGATGAGAAGCCATAGCCTGTAAGCACTGATTTGCTGGAGGCCACAGTTGAATCCGCACAGTGTCATGTAATTGTTTTGGGGGGTTGTGTTGTTGTTGTTGTTGTTGTTGTTGTTGTTGTTTTGAGACATGGTCTTGCTCTGTCACCCAGGTTGGAGTGCATTAGTGCAATCATAGTTCACTGCAGCCTCGATTTCCCAGGCTCAAGCAGTCCTCCTGCCTCAGCCTCCCAAGTAGCTAGGACTACAAGAACGCTCTACCATGCCTGGATAATTTTTAAAACTTTTTGTAGAGACAGACAGGGTCTCGCTTTGTTGCTGAGGCTGGTCTCACATTCCTGGGCTCAAGTGATCCTCCCACCTCGGCCTCCCAAAGTGCTGGGATTACAGATGCGAGTCACGGTACCCATAATTGTTTAAATTGACACAAAAGATGGAGAAAAATGTGTCTTTAATCTGTTGAGTACAAAGTGCATACATAAACATAGAAGGGCAATGTATCTGATTTTCTTCAAACATTTAAGAAATTTTGTTACGTTTATCCAAAAAGCTTCTAAAAAAAAAAGATTACCAAAAAAAGCAACCTAATGTAAACCATGGTTATCTTGGGGATAAGTGATTATTTTCTTTCCAAATGTTTGTGTTTTCCTTACTTTCTATATGAAAGAAAAAGAAAACAAACTTCATTTTAAAAACTAAAATAATCCTAATTTAAAAACTCTGGTAGAATGTGGTCATAGGAGGGTATCCGTAATAAGAGGAATGGAAGAGGTGAGGTGTGGCCATCTATCCTTTCAGGGCATGGAGGGGAAAATGGGGTCCCTGCCTCGCAAGGGGACAGCATCCAACTTCCAGTCCCTGGGACAGACCCTGAAACCCTAAGGCTGGAGCCCCAGCATCTCATGTAGGTTATTTTGAGTGTTGGTGGGTTTTGCTGAGGTGAGTGTTTTCTGGCCAATAAAGCCAAGTTATTTTGGGCCACCATAATTGTGAGTTAGACAGGTGGTTTGTGTGTGAAACATTTAATTTGCTGGCTGTGTAGTCTGTTGACTTTGGATAAGGCTAGAAACAATTCTATACTAGTTTCCCAAAATGATGGGCCCTGATGCTGATCTTATCACTGTTACAAGCAGACGCACAGTGCCAAGGCAGGCTGGACTACGGGAGGGGAGCTCTAGAGAAAAATCTTGTTACTATTCATTGCTTTTATGCTGACTACTCTACTGTATTTGAGTACCTTTTAAGTATAGTAGTCCCCTGCTTATTCACAGGGGGATATGTTTCAGGACCTTCCATGGATGCCTGAAACCTCAGCACTGAATATATGTGTGTGTGTGTGTGTGTATGTGTGTGCGTGCACGCATATATATATACTGTTTTTTTCCTATGCATACATACCTGTGATAAAGTTTAATTTCTGCATTAGGCACAGTGAGCAACAATGACTAGCAATGAAATAGGACAATTATAACAATATGCCAACATCAGTACTCTTGTGCTTTGGGCCATTATTAAGTACAGTAAGGGCCCCTGAACACAATCTCTGCAACCTTGAGACAGTCCGTCTGAGAACCAAGACCACTGCTAAGTGACTCACAGGCAGGGGAGGAGACAGTGTGGATCCACTGGAAAAAGGGAAGATTCCCATTCATGGTGGGACAGGACAGGATGGCAGATTTCACCAGGCTACTCAGAAGGACACGTGATTCAAAACTGACCAAGTGTTTATTTCTGCAATTGTTCATTTAATATCTTGGTTGATCACAAGTAACAAACTGCAGAAAGCAAAACCTCCAACAAGGAGGGACTACTATGATGGTTTTTGCCGTGTGTGTGTGTGTGTGTGTGTGTGTGTGTGTGTGTGTTGGGAGAGCACTGTATACAAGCATAGTTATTAGTCATTTCGCTTTTCTCCACTCACTTTTAATGGTATGTTAGCATTGTGTGATTTCTAAAAATACTCAGAAGAGAACTCATCTTGGAACAAGCCCCGATTAGAGTATCTTTTCAATATTAAAAGATATGTTTTATTCCTTAGTCCAGAACCAGGTAACAGTTTAAATTAGTCATCTTCACAGTCTTTGCTATTTAATCTGACCCAAACTTCAGGCAATTGATACAAATAACTAATAAGGCAAAAATAACCCAGCTGGCCAGGAAACTGATGCCCTGAGGTTGCAGATGGAGGCACTGATGCAGAGACACCAGACAGGTCATCCTTGGAGACTCAGGTTTCAATGCTGCCATTGATGAGGGCTCATTTCCCCCGGTGACGATACAGGCACCTCTCACTAGCCTTTTGACAGCCTTTTGACACCTGGGATGTAGAGGCTCTTTGCTGCCTCTCCTCTGTTTTCTCCAGCATCTCGGGGTCCCATTTGCTCACACTCAGGCTGTGCCACCCCTACCCTGCTCAGCTCTCCTCCCCCTGCTCTTCCTCATGCCCCCACTTCATCATGCACCCCCCCATATTGTTTCTTTGCTCTTTGTTTTTGACGTAGTTTACAAACATTTGGAATGTGTTTTATTTTTGTAAGTAATTTCCTCATTCTGTCTTTCTGAAACTATTCTATTATAGTTTCCGCAAGTAATTATTTCAGCTCTACTTCTGTCTGAAGAAAAATGACATTTGTAACTTTGTTGAGGGCATTTTGGGACAAGTTCCCATGAAACAGGAGACATGTGAAGAGCACTGAGATGGGAAATGGAATCTGCTAATTTTAGAAAAAGGCAAATACTCCTGCCTTTTGAGAGCAGGGACTGAATGTGACTTTTTAAAACTGGTCGTCCGTTAACTCCAGCGCCTGTTGTTGGAGACAGCTGTCTTTGAACTATTGCAGGGAATAGGTTTCAGTAAGATGACAACAGAAAGCTACATGGGGATACAAAGCTTAAATGTAGGTGGTTCTCACCTGCAGCCCAGTGAGGGGAGAAAGCCGGCTGGCCAGGAACTCTGGGGGAGGTACGAAGGAAGCCCTCCCATGTGTCGCCCAGGCCGGCCGGCCGGCAGCAGCAACACCTGGGAACATGCACCCCTGGGCCCACCCCAGCCCCACTGAATCAGAAACTCATGGGGGTATGGGGTCTGGACAATCTCTATTTTAACAAGCCCTCCAGGGCGTTCTGACACGGGCCAAGTGCAAGACCATCATCTTCTCAGAGAACTTAGGATGTTTATGGACAGCCAGGCAGCTAGGCCCAGCGCCTGTGATAATTTTAGCTACC
Organism: Homo sapiens; assembly: GCF_000001405.40. Classification (NCBI taxonomy): domain Eukaryota; kingdom Metazoa; phylum Chordata; class Mammalia; order Primates; family Hominidae; genus Homo; species Homo sapiens. The sequence goes on along the minus strand of NC_000007.14, from coordinate 51,055,452 downwards.
ATTACTGAGCATTGACCCTGTGCCCTGCTAGCTCCTTCATAAGTGCTGTCTCGTTTAATCTTCACTAAGTCCTTAGAGAGAGGAATTCGGCCTTGTGGATGAGGACGTTAAGAGATGAGTTTGAGTTTCCCGCAGCCCTTGAGGGGCTGAGCGCCAAGCTGGAAGGACATGCTATTAGTGCAACAGGAAAGAGTGGCAGTAGCGTGGGCTTTGCGAGTCCAGGAAGGATGCGCGCTGGGGCCCCTGGAGACACCAACCTCATGGAGGAGGGAGGGCCTGAGCCGCCCTTGCGGGAAGATAAGGACTTTCAAGAGGAAAGAGAAGGACTTGTTCTGAGAACTCCGGCTGGGGATGCGTGCAGTAGCCAACCCTGGGGTCATATCTGCAAGTCCTCTTCTCTCTGAACCTGCTCCCTTGGCTCCTAAAAGGCACCCCCTGTCTCCTGGCTCCCCATCTGTCCCCTCAACTCTCCAGGCTGCTCCAGGGAAGAAAGGTTTGGATCCTGGATAGCGGACCACCTTCTCTGCTGAAACGAGGAAGGCTGTGGAAAGGAAACGATGTTTTACATTGAAAGCAAGTTCCGTTTTCTTATATTTCCAGCCATATCATGGGTGATGTGCCCCGAAAACCCCTCCTGCTACCAAGCATCTTGAAAGGCTGGGTTTTCTGTCGTGGACATCATTGTAAATGCGTAGCCAAGCTTTGTGTTGCACAGAAAATGAGAAGGAAATCATAAAACAGAAGCGTGAGGGAGAGCTGAGATGCTGGGGGCTTCTGAGGAGGCTGGGGCTGGTCTTAGTCATCTGGGGCCTCCCTTAGGGGTTCCGAGGGCCCCTGGCCAAGCGGCAGAGAGGAACGGGGCCCACAGCAGTCCCCAGTGCAGGGAGATGCCATGGAGAAAAAACATCAGAAAGTCACTCCTCTCCAGGCCAGGCAGTCAGAAAGGAAAAAAAGTTACAGTAGCTTCAGTTCACCTGAAACATGGCCATCTCCCAACAAGCCCAGCACACATACGAGGAAGGCCCATGAAGAGTCCTTCACCTTCAAGGAGCGTGAAGAGGCCTGCACAGCAAAACGGGAACTGTGGGGCCAACCCAGTGGAAATCTCACAAACTCAGTAGATTTTATAGATGGCAAAATTTAAAAAGCCGTCCATAAGGAAATAAAAGAACTGGCCAAGAAAGAAGTTTGTAATTTATGTGAAAAGAAAAAAAAAGCGAAAAGTTTCCTTTTTATGTGTTCTTTGTTTGTTTGTTTGTTTGATTGATTGAGACAGAGTCTCACTCTGTCCCCTAGGCTGGAGTGCAGTTGCAGCACGATCCCAGCTCACTGCAACCTCTGTCTCCTGGGTTCAAGCAATTCTTCTGCCTCAGCCTCCCGAGTAGCTGGGATTACAGGCACACACCACCACTTCCAGCTAATTTTTATATTTTTTGTAAAGACAGGGTTTCACCATGTTGGCCAGGCTGGTCTCGAAATCCTGACCTCAAGTCATCCACCCACCTCGGCCTCCCAAAGTGCTGGGATTACAGGCGTAAGCCACTGCGCCCAGCCCTTTTTATGTTGTAATTTTTCTTTAAAACAGCTAATAAAATGTTGCATTGCAGAGGAACAGTGACAATTTTGTCTGTTACCACCAACCTCCACTTTTAGGTACAAGGGAAGGAGGAGCAGAGACACAAAGACGAGAAGCTAAGATTGGCCGGGCCCGGCCGAGGGGCCCTGTGCCAGGTGGGGAGGCACCTCTCAGGGGCAGGCGAGGCACAGGGACGGGCGCTTGGGATGACTGACATTACAGGGTGGCATTACAGCACACCCGGACATCTTCTCTGAGTTATAGAAAGTGACCTGTAATATTGTCTGTTCTTCAGCATGCAAGAGACGAGGCTCAGATATCTGGATTCTTAGCTTTTGTCAAAGAATGCTCTTTTCTGTTATTGCACACTAAACGTTGATTATATTATTGAGAATTTACATTGCACAGTGTGCCAGCTTGAGGAGGCCTTCCTGACTGGGTGAGATGCCCTGAACTCCAAGTGCCCATTTGAACGGGGTCAGCCTGGGTCCCTGAGGGCAGCACAGGGCAGGGCACACAGCTTGCCCAGAAGATGCCATCTGCCTGTCAGGCAAGAGGATGGTCTGACTCCTTTCCTCTCTTATCATCCGTAGAGATCTATTTTATTTCTTATTTAAATCACAGTGAATTTCAAAGGGGATTGTAGGCAGCTTTTTGTGTCAGTATTATTCAAATTAGAAAAGTCTAGAAAAAGGAATAATTTTTATTTTAAATGATTGGAAATAAAAATATGTTAATTAATGCTATTTTTGAAATCTACATTTTCCTTAAGTGGTTAGAAGTAAACACTAGGAGAGCTCAGAAATATATGTGCTGGGAAGGGAGAGGGAGAAGGAAATGCAGTTAAAGGCAGCCACAAAGGCACAGCTCGGTCCTGCCTTCTTGGGAAACAAGGCCAAAGGGATCAGAGAGGATGCTGTGTCAAACAGCACTCATTTATTTAATAATTTGGTCATTTTTATATCAAATTTACATCCAGAGTGATAGATGAACAGTGTGTTATGGAAAGCTAAGTAAAAGTAGGCCACATACTTTATTCTCTAGAGTTCTGATGATAAAAGGATAGAAGTTGGAAGAAAGCAGCAGAAGGAGGGATGGCATTTTTCTTAGGTTGCCCATCTCAGATGGTGGCTGCCTCACCTTTGCTTCATAATAGACCCAAAGCATAGTCAATTTGAGATTGAGTCCCTTGGCACCTTGGCAGGTCCCTGAACCTCTCTTTCTGAGGCATTGATTAAATAAAATTTATGTGTTTTAATAGATAGACAACCTGGAGACAGAGTTTCTATTTTGACAATGAAAACTAAGACACCAGCTTTGTTCTTGCCAGCAGGGATGGCCATCCACTGCCCCACACTTCCCTCAAAGGTGAGGCCCCAGAAATGTGTAAAAAAGGACTGAAGGTTTTTGCCTCAAGAAATGGTTTCAAATATGTTGAGATTCCCAGATAAATGGATCCAAGATTTGTTCCATAGAACATGGAAGAAAATCTTTTGGCTTAGAAAAGTCTAAATGCAGATATACTCAGTAGGATTCATGTAACACGTTGGTTAAAGAACCTTAATTTGACTCCTGCCCACCATGTGGGTTTTTTATGAGGTTTGAATGAACTTGCCCTTTTTATAAGCTGAGCAGAGTGTTTCTGCAACACACACCCTCAGGGATAGGTGACATAATTTGTTGGTTGGGGCTTCTTGTATAATTTGCAAAATAGGAATAATAATAATATCCACACTACAGGGGGCATGTGGACTAAATAAGGAGGTAGGTAAATATTATCCATTTGAACACTGCAGAATGTCAAAACCCAATTACCGTTATGTGGTTTGCAAATATCAGTGTTGAGCTGTACTGTCTGATAGTAAATTAGCCAATAGTGTAATACTTTAGACTACTCTTAAAGCCCATGACAGTGGCATAGAGAAGGAATCCTGTTTAACTATTGGCTTAAAAACAACAACAACAAAAAGCACATTACAATAAAATGAAACTTCAGTTTCAGGGTAGCTGAACTGATTCTAAGCATCATCAGCCAAAGCCAGCATTGTGGCTACAGAGAAAAACTGGCCACCCTATCCAGATGGAATCCTTGCCCCGGAATGCAAGCGTCCGTCTCTGTCCCTGTGGAACTTCACTTAGTCCAGTCCTGGTTCATGCACCGCACCCATGACTGTTGTTGATAGGCTTTCTGATCCATAGTAAGGAAACAGGAATATTCACGTGCGGCAAAGAAATTCACTCCGTACCATCGCTGATACCCCCATTTAAACACAGGAAAGACAGCCAAGAGTTGGTAGACAATTTTGTTTTTAATGCATGAAAGAAGGACAACAAAGTGGTCAGAGAAATTTACTCCAAAGGAAGTAGAGTTAAGTTAGGAAATAGAACAGAACTTTAAAATAAATACTTTTAGTCATTGCCTCAGAAAATTTCAGTAGATCATCACATAAAACAAGAGCAGGCTATTATTGAAAAACAAATAAGCATCAAAACATTCTTGGAAATTAAATACACATCTTTAGAAATGTGCACATTTAGACACATTCAGGTAAAAATTTTAAAAATCCACAGATAAAATTTTACTAGCTTCTAGAGAGGGATTATATATAGCTATAAACAAATCATGTGAACATATGCCTTCTCATCTATGACACAAGATGCTAGAAAACAGAGAAGCGGAGAAGACAGTCTTAAAGAAGAAGGATTTTCATCTGAATCTTCCTTTGGTTTAGCCATATACTGGTAGTCAAGGATAACAAGTAAATGGAGCCAGCCTTCAGACGCAAGAGAGCTTCGAGAGTATACCCTCCTAAGTTAGATTATACTCAAGTGTATAATCCAAATAACGGAAAATAAATCTAGGAAAGGGAAAGACATATATGTAGCTGTCCAATTTAATATGTAATTTAATATAAAATAATGGTTCCTATAATAGAAATACCATAATGTTACATAGATATATGTGCAAAATAAAGGAAATTTAGACATTTATTAGACAAGACTCCTCAGTTCTCAGAAACAGAAGTATGTCTTGACCAGTTATGCATAATTGGGTTTTGTGGCGATTTTTTAGCTCACATAACTGGCACTTCCAAGAGACTAATCTTTATTATGGGCATGGTTGGGGCCAGGAGCTGAAACATTGTCTTAGAACTATGTTCCTCTGCAGTCCGTGGATAAGTTCTTCCCTGTGCTGGTTAAAATGGCAGCCATTTATCCAAAACTTGTACCCAATCCATTTATTCCAGCCCGATTGGACCATCTTCCTGAACACCTCTGGTGGAAAGGTTCTGAGAAGGACTTTGATTGGTCCAGCATGGAACACATACTCATCTTTGGATATAACATTGTCCTAGGGAAATAGTTAGGGGCAGATAGTCTCACCCAGATATGATAAATTGGTTACCTGCAAGAGGACAGAATTCTTTTAACACAAACAGAGTGAGAGTGGTGGGCAGAGAAAAACAGCAGCTGTTTATTATATGTTTTTAAAAGAACAGCAGTTGGAACACAGCTCTGTGTTACAGTGGAATAACTTGGAATTTTCTCTGCCCAGGGACTCTAATAGGCACGTTAAGATTCTAGGACTAGAGTTTGGTTCAGGTAGTGAAGAAATAGGAGCTGACTGATACCAAGAATACATCACTTGACTCTTAAGAGAATCCAGGTCTAATTTTAGATCCATAAATGTTTTTCAGTCCTTCATTATCTTGCCTTCTTGAAAAGATAAAAATGTGTGTGTGTGTATATAGTAGTGCTCTGGAGTCAACTGATTACCTTCATCATGCAGTGTCTTTGAGGAGCCCAGGTCTATGGGATTTTTGACAAGAGCATTAATATAAAACGTTATTAAATAGTGCCCATCAAACTAAAGAGGCTGTGATTTTGACAAGGAATGAACAGGCAAACTTCACTTGGAGGAAACTGTGCCTAGGAAATCAATTAGAGAAAAAGAGGGGAACAAAGTTTGAGGTGCCTACTCAGAGCAGAATCTATATAATGCTGGTGGCAGAGGGTCTCTCAAAGGCGAATCCTAAACCCAGCCTCTCCAAACCGTGCCTCCTGAACATTTGCACACCCGTGTGTGCACACAGACACTAGGGATTCCAACCACTCAACAGTATTTGATGTTTCTCATGCAGCCTGGCATTTCTCTGCTTTTTCCCATCTTTTGACCCAACTGTCCTCTACCTGCCAAAATCATGCTTGTGTTCAGACGCAGTCCAATGGTCACTTTCCTGTGTCCTCTAATTAGAATGAGTGACCCCACTTCTGTATTCCTGTGGTATTGTCCATGAATCCCACCTTCGCAACTCTTAAATTGACTGAAATGTATTGTGTACATTGGTGGGTTTAAACTGGGTACACGTTCTTCTGGGAGAATCAGGACTTTCCAAGGGAATCCACTTCCAAATGTTATACCTCCACATGTATTCTTTCCTGGAATTCATGTGCCTGAGAACTCACCTGTGACCAGCATCATTCCAAGTCTTTTTCCCCAATGCCAGTTTTACAGATGCCCTCCTTCTCCTTCATAAAAGACAGACATACCCCTCACCCATCAGGAAACTCACTGGGGTGCACTTTCCTGAGATGGGCAAACCTTATTCCTGATCTCAAACAAAAGAACAAATGGAAATATTGGTATAAGATCAAGCAGATAAATTAATGAGTTGGTGGCGAATCTTTTTGAACATCAGGTGGTTTCCCAATTTTTCTTTCCAACCAAATTGACAAAGGATCTAACTGAGTTGTCAGATTATAGATCATTAAGCATAATTTTTGTGACAGATTAATGAAGTGATTTTTGACATATATTAGAGGAAAAGTTTTAGAAACCTAATGGAATGATGTAACCATAACAAAAGTCCCTTAATTTACCTTCGTATGTGACAAGCTTTGCCTAGTGCTTATATCTATAAGAGGAAAAGTAGACCTGAATTTATGCCAAACCCTGCCTCATGCTAGCAATAAGTAATCCAGTCATTTTTAAGGAATTAATTGAAAAAGCCTCACTCACTTATGAAATGCAGTTCCAAATGATATTTTACCATTTTGCTTAAGAAATGTCAAAGTTTCTAAGAACATTTATGTAATTTTGGTTGGCTGTTTTCTATTAGCACAAGGATAAACAATATAAAAAGGAATTTAATACAACTTGCTTATGGTGAGGGAAAATGAAAATTACATTTTAACTTAGATACATATTCTATACAAAGAGGCTTGATGAATAAAAAAAAAAACTCAAGCATAAAGTACATTCAGTTAGGATAAGATTCTGTTAGGTAGTGAAATGGAAATAAGTTCAAGGAAGAAGAGACATGCTCTAAAATTCTGCCTGTTAAAGGAAGAACTCATTTACTAATTTTTACGTGGAGGGGCCTGGGCATGAAAATACTATGATATCCAGATTCCTTTGTTTATATTTTTAAATGGCAAAATATTTTTGCCATTGTAAATGGCAATTTACAATTAATTTAGTTGTAAATGGCATATTAAACAGTAATACAATTTAAAAAATTACAATATTTTTAAATTGTAAAATATTAGTATTTATAACACAATTAAAATGTACATCTGTTGCAACCAACTGAACTCATGATGGAAATTTTCAGACGTCAATGAAAAATGGAAGGAGATGCATGATTGTTCAAAATTATTTGGAGGGATATGCCAAAAAATTATTTCTATTTATTTATTTATTTATTTTTGAGATGGAGTCTTGCTCTGTCGCCCAGGCTGGAGTGCAGTGGTGTGATCTCGGCTCACTGCAGCCTCCGCCTCTCAGGTTCAAGCAATTCTCTGCCTCAACTTCCCGAGTAGCTGGGATTACAGGTGTGCACCACCACACCTCGCTATTTTTTGTATTTTTAGTAGAGACAAGGTTTTGCCATGTTGGCCACGCTGGTCTCGAACTCCTGGCCTCAAGTGATCCGCCCACGTCAGCCTCCCAACGTGCTGGGATTACAGGTGTGAGCCACTGCACCTGGCCCCCACAAAATTATTGAAATGCTTTATGTCAGTTTGTATCACTAGTTCAGAAGCACTTTACCTTGTAATTTTTCCCTTTCTTCCAAGTGCCTAGAACATAGAGAACAAAGTCAACACAGGTTAAGATGAAGTGCAGCTTTGCTTGTTGGTTGTGAGTGGCCGTGGGACCCACAGGCAGCAGTGTGAGGTGGCGAGGTAGCTTTTCTTTCATTGAAACATTTTCTCTGGGCCATATAAATTTGGTGGAACTGGCTTTTGAGAAATCCTCTTTCTTAATGAACCACAAAAAAAGCAATATCATAGGACACAAGATCTTTAATTTGCGTTTAATAAAACAATAAAATGAATCCATTCCAAAATTACTTGGAAGATACTTACATTTAGTGATGGAATTATCTTTGCTGACTCTGTAAAAGAAAAACTAGTACCGAACTGAGAATAATTGTGTTCAACTTGAGGAACTAGTAGCCCTAAGTTAGCATTTTCTTCTTTATACTTGAGCTGAAGAATTTACCAAAGCTCATTCAGAGATATGTAATGGCCTCTGAACCATGGGATTATATAATTTAGGTGGAGGACAATAGAAGGGTTAATATTCCTTACTCAGGCTCTGTGGCTATTCATTTAGAAGAGAATTAAATCATGAATTTATATTAGGCTTCTGCGAAAGACAAAGTAAGTGTGCTTTTTCACATTTGCAAAAATCCTGCAGTAATAACTTTTTAGTTCAAAGAGATTGTTCATGCCTTAAGAGAATAGCAAAGTTGCCAGTGCATTAATTAACTCAAAAATAATGACTTACCCTCTCAGGGAAGACAGAATATAGCAGAAAGGACAAAGCCAATGTTGTATTCCTTTTAAAGATTCCTAATTAGTCACTGGTCAGTTGTAAAAATGAGTGTTTACATCCTATATTTTGATTTGGCATTTCAAAGACTGTTAACAGTTCCACTCTAGAAGGGATTTTAGAGCCCGTCAGAGCCAACTGCTTATTTTACAGAAAGGGGAAAGGGGATTGTTCAGAGTGCAATTTGGGCTTTCAATTCAGCCCTCCTCCTGCTGCCCCTGGGTTTCAGGCTGGGGTCCCTGGATCGCTGGCTCTAGGGAAGCCCCTCAGAGGCTGGACAGAGGGTGGGAAATGGGACACACACAGGATCTGGAGGACAGGACCTGGGCCCCCAACCTCGATGCAGCCCAAGCAGCTCCACGTTTTCCTTTTATGTTCTGAGTTTCCGTTTAGCATTGATGAAGAAAAAAAAAGTCTCCTGCACCATTATCTCATTCAGAAATTGTCAAAACATGTTACAGTTCATGGGGTTAATCATCGGAACCAGCTGAAGGAAGAAAAGAGATGTGGGGTGGGGGCAGGATGAGTGAGATGGGCATGTCTGATTCCAAACAAAAGATGCCCAGGACAGAGCAGACCTCGGAAAGGAGGGATCAGAAATTGCCTGAAAACTCACACCAACACAGGTTGGGGCTTCACAGGAATATCTGCCCTTCTCTTCAGATCTGTGCTCTCTCTGACAGCTCACCAGGAAGCTTCTCTGGAAAGTTCCCCACTCAGCCTCCATCACCCTCCTCAAAGCCTTTGCAGGTGCTCCCCCTTGGCCACACCCTGCCCCACCCTATACTCCGAGCAGGTGCCGGCATCACTGTGGGGAGGTCTGCCTGGTCTTTCCTGGACGGGTCCCACCCCTTTGGCAGAAGGCCTTTCACCCATGTTCCCTCTCCTCCCAGCATTTAGACAGTTGTCTTTTCAATTCCTGTGCCACTCTTCTCCCTAGACGCAGATAAACCTCCTGAGAGCAGGCCCCCCCACCCCCACCTGCTTCTGCACCAATGGCATGAATGGTGTCGCAGGGCTGTGGCCAGGCCACACGGGCCATGGGAAGATTATCCACATGGAGAGCAGGAGGGCTGGCCTGGGCAAAAGGGGAGCTCTGGTAATAGCACTCGCATTAGTCATTTTGTAAATGGTTTAACACGTGTGTGCACCAAATATGTGACCTCTCACTCCATGTTGATTTAAGGCTTTGCAGGTGGCTTAATTTAGACCACAGGCTCTCAACTTTTTTTTATTGCCTCAAAACTTCTGAGGAATATATATGTATCACCCGACAAGCATTCCTGATCTTATAACTGGCTAGAGAAGGGGTGGAGGTGGGTTAGAGTCCCTCTGCCCTGCGATGTGTTCTGTGCCTCCAGAGGGCATGTACCAGGTGCTCTGAGGGCCTCCTCCAAGGGGCCTGGCAGCAGACAGCTAGTGGGGACACATTTGTTAAGGTCACTTTGCGCCTCAGCGATAATCCCTGGAGAGGGAAGAGGGTAAGCCAGGCTAAACCAGCATTTGTGTGGCCCCTACTGTGTGCCACCACCTCGCTCAGTCCAGCCTGCCACACTCTGCCTATGGGAGCACACCGAGAGTTGGTGTGACCATACAGCACTGTCATTCTTTGCGTACGTGTCTGTCCCTTCAGAAGCTGTGAGTGCCAGAGAGCCCACATGCTTGGATTGGAAATATGTGTCCCCAGGCCCTGTCACAGGGCCGTTCACATTCAGGCACCCACTTAGCAACAGGGACCCTGTGGGCAGCAGCATTACCTTACTCCACCAGGGTGTGAATCCAGGTCTCTGTGACCTGAGAGTTTTACTCTTGTCATACTTTTTATATACAACATAGACAGAAAAAACGTGCTGGTTTTATTGTTCAGTGATGGCAGCAAAAGGGAAGGCAAGAGAGGAGTGATGGGAAACAGGGAGCTACAGCGACGTTTCTTCTCAATATTTGTCTTGAACAAGAGTCTAGCCCCAAAAGCTGGGGAGAGAACTAGAAGAGCGAGGTCGCAGCAGACCAGCATCACTGCATTCAGCATATCTCCTCGTACGTTTACACTGCTCTAAACTATTCCTTTTTTTCGTTCTATTCTTTACCTTGGAGCTCTTTAGTGAAATGTATATTCTTTAAACTGTTGTTCTTTCATTTGTTTTATTGTTTGGAATCTCAAATATACCATCACCTGATGGGATTTTCTTTTGGTTTCGTGGTGATAAGTTGTTAGTCTCCTGTCCAGTTAAAATGTTGGTGATGTTGAGTGCAATTGTGATGTCACTTCACTCTCAGTGCATGATTTTGTGGAGTGAGCACTCCCAGAGGAGTCTTAATTCACTTTGGGCATCCAGTGACTATTTAGGGGAAGAATGACTTTAAAACAAAATACACTGGGACTGCAACAAAACACAGTGCTTGTTTTCTGGACTGTTATAAATAGTGCTTAGATCATATGTCCTGAAGTGTCTTGAAGTTTAAAATCTATTTTTATTAAAAAACAATAACAACTCTAATATACATCTGGGCTAGACTTGTGTGTTTTTGTCCTTCAAATTTCATCTCTTTGCATAGAGGCTTCTGTGATTTTAGAGAATCTAGAAGCTCAGTAAGAGAAAAATAATGACCTCCCATTACTTACACTTAATGTATTGCTATCTACAAATAGCTAGGTAGTTGCGCAGAATAGCCATAGTGCTACCCATCATTAGTATTAAGGCTTGACAGAACTTGGCTTGGAGAGCAAGTTGCCACTCTATGCATCTCACCAAACTCCTGCAGCGAATCACATTTAGTGCATAGGAGCCAGGTAACCTCAACCACAGAAACTGGCCTCACATGTAAAAATTAAGGGAGAGCCAAAAGCTGGGGAGTAGGGCCGTGAATCTTCCAGGCCAGATTTCAAATATGAAATACACGTCAGATGTGTCCAAACTGATACTTATGTCTGCTTATTTATATTTCCAAAAACTCTAATTGTCTTAATGTTTTTCTAAAGATCTCACATTAAACAAGTTCCATTAAGCCAAAGGCCAGCCTAGAAACAATTGCATTCAACATGTCATTAGTTTGAATTTTTAAATGTGCTTGCCCATAGCCATAGAGAGGAGACCAATGTAAAAGGCTAATTAATCAAATACTGATTTTTGAGGGAAAATTTTGCCCTCAATCTTACACAAATGACTCCCTGTGAGTTAAAATGTTTCAGGAGTATTCAGCAGTATTTGAATGAGGTTCTTCCTTTACTTTGAGCACCCTGAATCCCAAATTTTAGAGCGGGGCCGACAGACTGATGTCACACTTGTTAGGCAGTATGGACGCCAGAGTGGTTTGGGCTGACCTGTCCTTGCCGTGTCTTGTCCAGTAAGCCTGCCCCTGGGGTCTGGCAGCCACTGCAGCCCGGATGGAGCCCCGCAGGTGCTGTCAGAGGCGGAGGAGACCGTGTCAGTTGGCAGCTGTTTTGCGTCGGAGGACACGACCGAGGACTCAGGAGTGATGAGTTCCCCCTCAGACATCGTCTCTCTGGACTCGCAGCAGGACAGCATGAAATACAAAGACAAGTGGGCCACAGACCAGGAAGACTGCAGTGACCAGGACCTCGCTGGAACCCCAGACCTGGGTCCCCAGAAGAGCCCCTTGTGGGAGAAGAATGGCTCTGAGAACTCACATCTGAGGTGAGTCACGGGAAGGATGGGTGGGTACGGAAGTCACAGCCACATCTGTGTCTCTAAAGAGGGTCTTTTGTCATGGGATCCAACACGTGCTATCACAACCTGCTCTGCACCAGGGGCCCCGACCCTGATTCACAGCAGCTGCTCTCAGGCATGTCTCTGTGCTGTCTATACATCTGCAGTAACTTACAAAGACTGTGTAAGAGTGGCTTGTTTGCTTTGGTACCATACCCTTAAGTATATTTTTCTACTCAATATCATGTTTGTAAGATTTATCCATGATGATATCTGTGTTGTTCATTCATTTATTTACCTGTTTTCCTGATAATGAACACTTAGATTGTTCTAGTTTTTCAGGGCTAGAAACAATGAGCAAGAAACATATGTCTCTATTTACATGTAGAGACTTTTCTAGAAGAGGAAAGTGACAGGAAAGAGACTCATCTTCAGCTTTATGGGATACCTGAAATGCTTATGCAGTTGGCGGGCCCCCCAGTGTCTGCAAGGTCCCCTTGTTGCACACCGATGCCAGTGATTAAGGTCAGTAGACATCTTGAGCTTTGCCAGCATGTAGGCGTCAGATGGCATCTCATGTAGCTTTCATTTACATTTCTCTGATTAGGAAGGATGAGCATCTTGTCATATATTCATTAGCAATTTGGGCCTTATATTGGATTAATTGCCGTTTCATAGCCTTTGCTCTTTTAAAAAACATGCCACGTTTGGCCTGGCATGGTGGCTCATGCCCGTAATCCCAACATTTTGAGAGGCTGAAACAGGAGGATTGCTTGAGCCCAGGAGTTCAAGACCAGCATGGTCAATATAGTGAGACCTTTTCTCTACAAAAAAAATTTAAAAATTAGCTGAGTGTGGTAGCATGTGCCTGTAGTCCCAGCTACTCTGGAGGCTGAGATGGGAGGATTGCTTGAGCCCAGGAGGTGAAGGTTGCAGTGAGTTGAGATTGTACCACTATACTCCATCCTGGGCAATAGAACAAGACTCAGTCTCAAAAAGAATTGAATTAAATTAAACATTGTTATGTTTACTTTTTTTGATTATTAAATTCTCCTTTGTCAGTTATTTACACATGGAACATTTCTAAGCCTGTGGCTTGAACTTAATTAATGTTTTCTTTTCTTGTACAATGATTGTCTTTACATTCTAATATTATTTAATTTTTCCTTTTTCTCTCAGATGTATATAATCTTTGCCTATTTAAGAGATCCTTCCCGTACCCTAAAAGACTAAAGATAGTCTGAATTTCTTGTAAAACTGCTCTCTCACATTTGGGCCCTCTTGTACCTGGGGTTTATTTTTGGGTGTGATATGAAGAAGGATCTATTTTTTCCCACTGATTCCTGTCCCCACTATGGTCAGACATCAAGTGTCCATGTGCACGTTGTTCTGTTCCAGTGCTCTTTTTGTAGCACTGGTGTATTTGTCCATCTCTGTACCAACACCACACTGTCAGGATTCCTTTCTTTATTATATAGAAAGGCATATTGATTCTCTTCAGCCCGCCAATGTTTTTCGTCTTTTAGATAAGTGTAAGAACTCATCAAATAAATATTATGGAAATGTTAACAGAAATAAGGTAAAATGGGCTGGGTGCAGCGGCTCAAGCCTATAATCCCAGCACTTTGGGAGGCTCAGGTGGGCGGATCACCTGAGGTCAGGAGTTCAAGACCTGCCTGGCCAACATGGTGAAACCTCATCTCTACTAAAAATACAAAAATTGGCTGGGTGTGGTGGCACTTGCCTGTAGTCCCAGCTGCTTGGGAGGCTGAGGCAAGAGAATCGCTTGAACACTGGAGGCAGAGGTTGCAGTGAACCGAGATCGCGCCATTGCATTCCTGCCTGGGTGACAGAGTGAGACTCTGTCTCAAAAAAAAAAAAAAAAAAAAAAAGGAAAGAAATAAGGTAAACTGATTTAAAGAAATAGTTCATAAGCCAGTCACCAAAATGAATGAATGCTTTTATAATATATTTTTCAGGTTTTGTTCCAACCCTATTCATATGAACTCACAAATCTGTATCTGGTTAGTGTAATTGTCTTATCAATAATACTTTATATTTCTTTGTACCTAACAGTTTGTCATGAGCACTTCCCCATGTTGTTATACACATCCCTAATAATGTTAAAGTATAGCTCTTCAATTCTTAGGATGACTCCAAGACCAAGTTTATATTTCATCAGAAAGGAAATTCAAAGGCAGCAACTGGTTCCTTCCTGCCTACCCCACACAAGATGCATTTTGCTGAGGTTGGCCTGTGTTGTTTACATCTGTGAGAACAGAGCAAAATTATGGCATTTTTCCTTTTAGTCATTTAACATAAAGAAAAACCACTTTCTACTGTAATCTCCACGTCTGTTCTGCAGTTTGCATGGGGATTGCACAGGTTTGCATTCCACATCTGAAACTAATCAGACATGCGTTACTCTGCACCCCGCGGGATGCTGCGCATAGGACTCATTGTTTGCTTTGCTGGTGCTGACCGTTGATGTAAAATCTTGCTGATTTCTATCCAAATAATGAGGGTTAATATTGACTATGGCCACAGCCAGAATAATCATTGAGTCTTTGGAACCTGATGCTTTATGCAAACAGGGAATATGGCGTGTTTTCCTGCCCTCATCTCTGGGGTGCCACTGAATTTGAGAGTACTGTGGTGGGGAGGGAGGGAGTTCGGGAACCTGATAGACCTACAATGGAATCTTACCACCACTAACTAGCTGTTTGGCCTTTAAGAGTCCACTTAATTTTGCCAAACATTACCTTTTGATCATACACAGTGCAGATATGCCACCTATCTATCAGAGTTGTCATGAGCCTGGGAAAAGCCCAGCACAGATGATACCATGCATGTTGCATATATAATAAGTAGTACCCATTGTCAGAACTACTGCCCTTAGTTTTTAGGAAATGGGGGCACCATGAATTGCCCTGGACAATCACTTTCCTTCACTGGGATGTGGTCAGCTCATCAGTCAGATGAGGATGAAGATGCTCTTTGAGTCCCTCAGCCCTGTCTGTGATGCTGGGTTATTTGCCAAAGAGTTGGGATTGACTCTGCCCTTGCATGGAATTACTATAGTTTTGTGTGTGTGTGTGTGTGTTTTTGAGGGGAGGGGGGATTTCATAGAATGAATCTAGTTTTTTGGGCACCATTTTGAGGTTTTTTTTTTTTTTTTAACAGAAATTATCTCAACTGACAAATTAGACATATTCAGAGATTTCAGCATGGTATATCACATTTTTTCCCAAATACATGATTTTCAATAAATTTCAGGATTACTTAAAAGCAGTGCCTCCCATGCAATGCAGGGGTTGCAAATATGGATGCTTTAGGGGTAAGGCAGGGGTTAGGCGAGGTTGAGGGAGGCTCAGCTGGTGAGAGATCACAGGCAGTGTGGAAAACACATGCTTTCTCTAAAGAGAGCAGCCCTGCTCCCTCTGTCCAACTGTCACCCTGTGGGTTACAGACCCAGTGTGGCCAGTTTTTGAAGAGAAGCCAGAAATCTAGATTTTTATGTGATGTCTCTCAAATTGTAAATGTTGGCAACCAATTCAGGCACTCAGGGTGAAACGGAACACATATGCAAGCTGGATGTGGCCTGTTCCCAGACTTACACCCTCCTGAGGACTGAAGGCTGCATCGATTGTTGCACTTCTCTTTGGGAGAAACAAGATTACTTTGCTTGCCTATTTGTCAGCTTTGGAATACACTTGTCGCTACTGAAGTATTCCCTGTGCTATATTGCTTGAAAAATATCGATTCACACATAAGGTTGGGAACGTAGAGAGAATCTGCCTCTTTTGATGAAAATAGTGTGTTCCAGGGACAGGCTTGGCATTCACATCTGGAGTGAACCCTGTCGAAAGCCTAGGCAGCACAGGGGTGGTAAAGGCAGGGCTGGCAGGGAGCTGCCCAGGCAGCAGAACTCAGGTGTGGCCCGATGGAGCAGGCCTGTCAGGTGGTCACGATCCCTACAGTGAGGACCCATGCCTGGGGGCTGACAGCCCAGACTCAAGGTGAACTTGTGAGAGCGCAGAACCCACCACTGTTCACAGGGATGTGGCCCTAACCTTGGCCACCTGCACAGAGGAACCCTATTAGAACACTAAACAGCAGCATCCATGTTCAGACTCTGGCGGTTGAGAGAAACAATAGCAAAGAGGAGGTTTTCTGACAGGCAGTGTGAGCAAAAGCCTGGCAGAGCGTCCCTAGTTGGCACCTCAAGCTCCTCTTTCATTGTGCCCCTGAAACATATACCCAACACCACCTTGATCAAGAGGAGGCTGCCCAGAGAGGGCATGATCACCGTTCCTGGTGCCCTGTGCCTGGTCCCTGAGTCGAGCCTCCTGGCCCTACCCTGGATGACCCCCTATACCTGGTTTCCACAACTCATCCTGAGCTGCCCATTTGTGCTCCCAGAACCCGTGTTTGTCTTACATGGCAAACGACAAAGATGTAGGACCTAGCTGTGACATGAGCCCTCTCCATCCCCTCTGAATGACAGGCCTTGGGGCTCAGGCAAAGCAGAAGTCACCCTCTGTCTGGCTGGCAAGGCCAGGCCTCTAGGCTGAGAGTGGAGTTGGATAGGTTGTGAAGCTGTCCCTGATAGCCCCAGACATCTTCAGCTTGCAGAAAGTCTCTGCAGTAGTCCCAGTCATCAAGAAAATGAGGATTTCTCATAGTTTATCAACTTGGCCAAGGTGGTGTCTTCTATTGCTACCCCTCTGTTACTTGGGTATTCACTAAACACGGTTTGGGAACAGCCTTAAGACCCTTCATCACCTGGAAAGACCCAAGTGTGTAAGGTCTACCTCGCTATGTTCTAGTTTTCTTAGCTATTTCTCCTTTCCCTGCACCCTATGAAGGTCAAAATCATCTAGACTCCTTTGGCTAGGGATGCCTGGGTTCACACATTGACAAGCTGGAGGCAAACACCATTTCCTCAAGAGCTCTGCCACCTGTCCAAGGAGAGAGCCATGTTGGGCTGGCCACAGCTAAAAACTGTCCTGGCCCAGTGGCATCTTCACTGCTTGGGTTGTGTGCAGTTGTATTTAGAGGTTCGACTGGCCTCGCTGCTGCTGCAGCACCTGCTTCATACATGGCAGCATTGGTGGGCTCCATTCGGTGTCCTTGGAGCCAAGGCATTAAATTGAAGAGTCTCAAGAATACCATGCTTCTAAGAAGAGCAAGTGTGAATGCTTGGTAATAATTAGAATATGTTACACGTTGGGCTCACGCCTGTACTCCCAGCACTTTGAGAGGCCGAGGCAGGTGGATCACCTAAGGTCAGGAGTTCAAGACCAGCCTGGCCAACGCAGTGAAACCCCATCTCTACTAAAATTACAAAAAATAGCCAGGCGTGCTGTTGGGCGCCTGTAATCCCAGCTACTAGGGAGGCTGAGGCAGGAGAATCACTTGAACCCAGGAGGCAGAGGTTGCAGTGAGCTGAGATCACACCACTGCACTCCAGCCTGGGTGACAAGAGTAAAACTCCATCTCAAAAAATAATAATTATTAGAATATGTTATATGTGCTGCTGCAATTTGAAAAGCGTATGTTTTCATCCAGTCATGTGATGGTATCCGATTATAATTTTTCACTGCAGAATAAATCTCAGTTGAAATTTGACCTTGTAAAGGGAACATCAGAGTCCCAGAGTCTTCCTCTCAACATAGTACAGCCAGTGAAGAAACTCCTAAGGAAGAGCTCAGCCCAAGATCTGAACAGGAATAATAGAAATGTGCATGTGGTGGTTGCATTTCATTCTGGGGACACCTGGGCATGGCCCTCAGGGAAGGTCCTGTGTGCCTCACACACAGCTCTGCCCTGGACTTCATGGACTCACAGACTCTTCCGAAAGGCATCTGTCCCTTACATATGACCCCAGCCAATGCTCCTAATAGTTAAAGAATCACTTAATCTGAAGATTGAAGAGTCTGCATTTAGACTGCTTAGGGAAGGAACTGCCCATGGCTGGCAGTGGTGTGCCCAGTGACTTCACCTCTTGGTTCAATTTCCTGGTCAGTAAAATTGAGATATGCACTACCTCCTCCTTACAATAGTGCCTGATACATTGCTAGCCTTCAACAATTGGTAGCTGGTGTTATTGTTGCTGGTATTGTTATGTACAACTGACTGAGGAAGGGGAGAAATTTGATTTGCTAGGTAATCTTTGTAACTTGTATCTAGCTCTGATCATCTTCCTCTTTATTTATAACATGTTTGAAAAATAGATAAATAGACACATATATATGTGTGCATGCGTATATGTGCATGTATGTGTATATAAGAGAGAGAGAGACAGAGAGAGAGAGATGGATGGGGAAGTAGAGGAGACTGTATCTCCTCCTACCTGCAGGGAAGGAACAGTGGAACTAGCACTGATTATAAACTCTTGAATTCTGAAAGCAACCTTGCTATAACCAGGCAATATCTAACTGTGTATAATTATTGTGAAAATCTGAGTTCTAGGGTTCCTTTTGGGAACATCAATTCCACAGGAATGCTGTGAGAAGTAAAAGAGAGAGATCGAATAAGTGGGTGTCAGGCTTTTTCTTTTTTAACAGTAAGGCCAAACTGAAATCATATGCAGAGCCACCAAAGGTAGAGAGTGTAGCTTCTCCAGTTGAAGGGAGCCTCCCTGGAGTGCCCGATGTCCCATTTCAGCCTGGCAGCCTGTACATTTCCTTCTCAGCCCCCACTTGTTGGTGCCTGCTGGGGATGATGGCTGCAGAAGCACTTTGTGAGGAGCTGTGCTGTTACCTGCAGGCTTGTGGCTATGAGGATCCTTATGGGACTGAGGGCCTGTAGTGAGAGGTGCAGAGGGACCCAGATCACACCAGCCAACCTCTGAAACCTGCTGACTGCAGAAACTTTGTGACACAGGAGCATTTAGAAACATTTGGCACCACCTAGAACCTTGAAACTTCATTGTTGACTGAAAGATGAGTATGCAGCTCATGACTGTGTAAGAGTGCATAGATTATATGCAAATACTATGCTTTTTTTTTTTTTTTTTTTTTTTTTTTTTTGAGACGGAGTCTCACTCTGTCACCCAGGCTGTAGTGCAGTGGTGCGATCTTGGCTCACTGCATCCTCCCCCTCCTGGGTTCAGGCGATTTTCCTGCCTCAGCCTCCTGAGTAGCTGGGATTACAGGCACACGCCACCATGCTAATTTTTGTATTTTTAGTAGAGATGGGGTTTCGCCCTGTTGGCCAGGCTGGTCTCAAACTCCTGACCTCAAGTGATCTGCCCACCTTGGCCTCCCAAAGTGCTAGGATTACAGGCGTGAGCCACCGCACCCAGCTACTATGCCATTTTATACAAAGGAGTTGAGCATCCGCAGAATTTGGTATCTATGGGGGATCCTGGAACCAATCCCCCTTTCCTCAGATACAGAGAGAGGATTGCATAAGAACTTTGTGACTGCGGAATCATTGAGAAACATTTTCTACATTCCAGACCGCTTCTAGAACTCTGAAACTTTGTGACTGCATTTACAAAGGAGTGTTTAAAACACATGTGAGACCTTGGAGAGCTGCACCGTCCAGTATGTGTGTGGCTGCCGAGCGCTTGCCAAGTGTCTGGTCCAAATTGACATGTGCTGTTAAGTGTAAAATATACATCAAATCTGGTACAGAAAGAAATAATTTTATATTAATTATTGGCAGAAATCACTAAATTGTTTTATTAAAATTCTACCTATTTCTTTATACATTTTCAATGTTATTATAAAAATATTTTAAATTATACATGTGGCTCATGTTATATTGGGCACCATTGTTCTAGGACTCTGAAGCTTTGCTAATACAGGAACATTTACAAATGGAAGGGGGAGGTTAAGCACATACGACTATCATCAACTGCATATTTTCCCAGGCTTCTTGCCTTTAGTTAATCAAGTAATCACTTTGAAATCACAGGAGTTGGTTTGGTTGTCATTAGCAAATTGGATTGCTACCTAAAAGCAACATCTCTCTCCTCTCAGACTTTTTTTTTTTTTCATTAATTCTGCCACTGTACTAGCCTCATCAAAAAGAAAAAGTGACCTCATGTGCTATGAACCCATCTTGTACATTTCGGATTGGTCAGATTCAGCCCATTCTCCCTCATAGCAAATGAAAACAACAAATCAAAAAGCGCTTTTGGCTCCTGGCACTAACTGAATTTGACTGTCCCTAGTTCTCGTTTTTGCTGGAGGCTGGGGTATGAATGCAGAGGCTCAGCAAGCCCTGCACACACCCGGCTGGGTGGATCGGTCAGCCTGCCACCCTCCGACCATCCCAAGAGGCTGGGCCCAAGGACGCAGGTCCACTTCCTGGGCAGACTCTGGTTTGAAACTTGCCGGTGCTGAGCTGTGTCCCTCATATTGCATGCCCCAGTAGCCTAAACATTCACATTCCCTGCAGAGTCCCCAACTCCGTGTGAGAAAATAACTGCAATACTTATTCAACACATGCAGCCTGATATCAAAATGTCTTCCCTGTGTTTGTTTGCATTTATTTCCTTGATCTTAAGCCAGAACAAACTGTCAATAAGGAACGTTTCTAAAGATTGAGGTATGTGTTGGTGGGGGGGAAGGAAGCCCGGGAGAAAAACATCTGGGCAGGTTTACTTTAAGCTAACAGAGGCTGATGTTTCTTGCTGACTGCTAACTCTTCAGGGACACATACCTAGGGCTCCCCTGCTAAGCCCACAGGGAACTGGCCTCCAAGCCCAGTGACTAAGGGCATAAATCTGGTGGTTTTGCAAAGAGAGAGGAATGTTTATAATCCATTAGTAACCCTTTGGAGAGAAGTAGATGGGAGTTAGTAAGGAAGGAAAATACTGCTGTCTCTCCCTCCTGCTTTCTTACACTGGAAAGTAAAATCACTACATTGCCATTGGCTCTGGCTTTTGCTAGATAATCCATTCATACATGCTCAGAACACAGCCGCCCTGTTTTGCATCAAAAGAAGAGCAGGCTGCTCCTCTTTCCTCTCTCAGAGATGCCAGGAGCTTGGCAGCCTCAGGAGGAACACCAAACAAGGTCCTGGGCTGCGTGGTGGCCAGACCTTCCCTCACTCCACGGTGCACACAGGCTGGGAGCTCCTAGCTCATGTCCACTCTTTCTTTCAGGGCAAGCAGGGCCCCAAGGAGCCAGCCCCACACTGAAGTGTGGGGGAGCAAAGCTGGAGCAGAGGTGGGATGCAGAGGTACCAGCATTGCCTGGAACCAAGCAGCAGCGTCCGGGGCAACCTCTATAGAGTGCCAAGTGAGGCCAGTGGTGGGAGGGAGCTGGACAGGAAAAAACACAGGGATGAAGGACTAGGGCTGAGCACAGGGTCCCCAGACTCCAGAAAGGCAGCTGTAACTGGTGGATAGGGGAGAAACCAGCTCAGAAGCAGCCCCAAGCGCCTGGAGCTGGGCTCCTGCTGTTTCTAGAGGGCAGGGAGCCCGGAGCCTGGGAGGAGGAAGGTGTTGAAGGGCTGAGACTGTTCAGACCTTGTACAGCCTCTCTGTTACAGTTTCAGGCTGACAGCCACGCACTAAGATTGCTAGGCACTCAGTAACAAAATAAAGTGCTTACTGTGTGCAGTGTAAGAAGAATGCAGACTCCTTTGCAGGAAAGAATTCTTGTTCACTAAAGGACAAAATTATCCTTTTAAATTTTGCTGGCTAAAAATTTGCTCTGTCACTCAAGCTGCTTTGAACTCAACCAAGCACAGTTCTAAAGAAAAAGGGTAAAATATTCATCCTAATTCATCCTTTTCCTTAAGTCATGCTGGTTGGTTTCTTGTTAGATTTCTGTCTCCGCCTTGTCCAAAGGTATTTGCTATTTTTAAATCATCACAGTGTTTCTATATATGTGTGTGCTGATTTCTTCACATAACATGCTAACATAAGCATGGATGTGTGTTTCTACATAGACTTAATGATCATCATATTTACTGATTTTAATGCCCTTTGAAATATATATGTAATAATTTAGGTAACTGCCTAGTGCTGGACATTTCTAGAATTCTTACATGAACTTTGTTGTATTTATATTTTTCCTTCTATAGGGTTTCCTTAAAGCAGATTATTAAAAAAGAGATTAATGGGCCAAAGTTCTTACAAAGATAACGTGATTTTTGTTTGTGTGTTTTTTGATATGTATTTCCACATTGCTTTCCAATTAAAACCTGTAGCAACAAGTGTGGGTCTGTCAGATTCATCACATCTTCATCAGCTTGGGGTGGGTTTTTGTTTTGTTTTGTTTTGTTTTGCTATTTTGCAAAATGGTAGAATCAGTGGAGTTTTTATCTTATTATTTTTTTTAATTCTTATTGATATCATTATGTTCCATGTCTCATAGTGACGTGATCAAGCATACTTTAAAATAAAGGCAAATACTTTGAAGTAAAAGTATGTCTGTAATTTTGTTTGGCTGGGCTTTAAGCATCCTAAACTAAGAGCAAGCATTTAAAAAGTTTTCCATCTTTCCAAGTATTTAAATCTCTTTTCCATTTCAGATTGCTCTTTTATATGGCAATTTCCATTTTTCTCTGCCATATATTTTATTAAAAATTTAAATGTATTTAAACCATCTCATTCCATGAAAGAGAAAAGCAGAACTTTAGTAAAGTGCATTCAAATAATTAAAGTCCATGGCAAAAGCAATAGGGAAGACAGTCATGCACCTCTTGTGGTCCTTATTAATGGGTCCACATGCACACACATCTCCAACCAGCCCCCTTTGTGTAGCTTGTCAGAGGACATTAGCTGAGACTAATCTGGAAGCCACTTCCTGGCTCCCAAATGGACATAGTCACCAAATCAGAAAGACTCATTTATCAGAATAAAAACTTTGCTACGTGAGGATTGTGCAAAGCTTATTTCATGCATCATTATCTGGGCCTGATTAGCAGTGATGGAAATTGGTCCTCAATTTTTAACAATCAGCGGAAAACAAACCTTCAGCTTTCACTGAAGATAGACAATTGCCATAGACATGTCTCTGTGTTTTCTGCACAATAGGAAAATAGAGGCAAGAGCCCTTGCAAAGACAGTTTTTAAATTGTTTTGGCAGCAGTTGTCTCACAGATGCCATTGTCCCTGTGACGCAAATGAAGCCAGATCCCGCTCTCTGAGCAGACGGGTTGACATCTTCCTGGATGCCCCGTGCCACAGGGGCCACATTATTATGTGTTGTGGCCCCAGATGCAGCTGGTCCTTCTTGGGCTTTGGGGGCAGGCAGGCCTGGTTCCAGATGCCAGTGTGACCTGGGCAGCTCTGTAGTCTCTCCGTACATAGTTTCATCACTGTACAACAGTGACAACAACACTACCTGCCTGAAAAACTGTGAGGGTTATAATAAGATAATTTATGCAAAAGAGCTCTGTGCGGGGGCTGGCACAAAGGCATGCAGACAGGCCTCACACTGCTAGGAGCTTCCTCCTGTTAAGTCTGAGAGGAGGCCCTTGGGAAGGGTCTTGCGGAGTCAAGGGTGGAGCAGTTACTCCTGCTACTGTTGCTGTGAGGTTTTTTGGCCATCCTTATTGTCCTTATGTCCCAGTTCAAGATTCTAGGGAGTACAGCTCTTCAAGTGGCATTATCAGGCCCCCAAGCCCTGCCCCTGCAAGTGGCATTATCAGGCTCCCTGTCACCCACCAAGGGTAGGAATTAAGCCAAAGTAAACATAGAGTCTGTAAAAGTCATTTATAGTAGAGGAGTGAAATTTCTCGTTTTCTGAGTCTGGCAGGGTGGGCTACTGCTAGGGTGGACACAGATGGAGGCTGAGCTTATGAAGTTGGTGGGACTTCTGGGAACACTCCCCCATGCAGCCCTGCACAACCCTCCCCACGGACCTCCTAACAGCAGGCAGATCCTGCACCAGAGGTATGTAGCCTTTATCACTGGGACCTTGAACGACGCTGCACTCAAATCCGCAAGTGCCAAGGAACAGCCGGGCTGTGCAGTGTTGAGGTGAGGTGGACCAGCCTCCAGCCACGTGCACATGCTTGGCCTCCAGATGGCTTCACTCCTTCTTGCCAGGTGCCAGGTGCAGGGGACTGCTGTAGCGCAAGGCACAGATGCAAGCAAATCCTGGATCACGTGAACCGTCTTTTGTGCGGTGGAATTAAAACTTTGACTTCAGTCTGCAGAGTGAATGAAAGCTGTGTGTGGTTTGGTTACTGTAACACTTTGGGGCCCCACACACACACCATATATCACATGTCCACCACATACAAGACATATACTCCACACATGCACACACGCTACACGCATCCCACACATACCTGTGCACACACATGGGGGACACACACACCCATGAACAATCTGCGTCTCCGTAGTTCTGAGGACAACAGCAGTACAGTGAGTATGTGACTGCTTGAATTTGAGTATGAGCTGTTCTATCCTCAGATATTCCTGGAAAGGAGTACATTAAATCAATAGTAAGAGAAATGAGTGCTCCTTTCTCTTTGGTCTTCCCTAGAACTGAAAAAGCTGTCACAGCCTCAAATGATGAAGAAGACCTATTAATTGCTGGAGAGTTCCGTAAAACCCTTGCAGAACTTGATGAAGACCTGGAAGGTAAGAACCACCTGATCCGCTACTCTGATATTATGCTGCATGAAAGTAGGTGCCAACAGTAACTTCCTCTGAGCATACTTTGATGTATCTATGTGAGGAAACAGCCTTCAGAAGGAATTCCAGGTCAGTTTGGTGAAAGTCTGGATGTGAGGCGCACACAGGTTTCCGGTAGACTGCTTTTTATCTGGGCTGCCAAGCAGTACCTGGAAACATCCAGACAACTGCTTACAGTGTGCTCTGAATAATACTAATTCAGTGCATTAAAAAAGTATGCCACACATGTTAAAGAATAAAAAGGGTGGCGCAAAAAATAAACAGATTTCCTCATTAAGACTTCTCTTAATTTGTTGATATATGGCATATCTGTCAATGAGAAATACTCAGCCTTTTGACCACAATGAAGCCATTTATAATGGAGCATCTCATGGCACTGCTATTATATTGATATATTTTGGGGAAATAATACTGGAAGGCCAAAGCAGATGGCAAATAGTTGCAGTAAACAGCTAGGGAATCTTTCAAACAAAGCAGCTATGTTATTTTCTCCAATGCACATGTTGAAAATAAACTAAAAATTAGATATTTATCATGCCTTAGAGAGAAGATAACAGACTGCAAAACTGACGAGTAGTTTTTGTCTGACTCACTTTTCAGTTTCCTGTCCTGAGAATGTATAGTTGACAGAGCTAAAAATTTGAATCAGCCATAGTGTGTCCCGCAGGTTCTGACCCCATGACCATTGCATAATTTGGTGCTTGGAAGAGCCATGGTAATTCTGAGATACTCAAGATTTAGTCATCTGCTTCCTTAAGAAGTTAAAGCTACAGCCCGTGGTCCTCTGGATTTTGTTGTGCTTCTAGTGGACATGAGAAACATGGAGGTCAAAACCCAAAACTCATTTTCATGTTTCTGTGTTGAGACAGTTTTTCCAGAGGCTTGGATCTACAAATCAGTTTTTTAAGTGAAGGATGTTGGCAGCACATTGTAACTGAATACCTTGCCTTGAAACATCATGGATCTGCAAACAGCTGTGTTGAGTAATGAAAGTTGAGCTTCTGGCCCCAGGCATATTATGTAGATTACAAACCCAAATAACATTTTAAAACGTATATAAATAATGTATTCAAAAGTAACCTCAGGGAAATCAAAGTCATGGCTGCAGTTACACTAAGTAATTGGTGTGGGAAACATCTGTGATTTGTGTTTGTCCCTCTTTGCAGAAATGGAAGACAGCTATGAAACAGACACCAGCTCCCTCACCAGCTCCATCCATGGTGCATCCAACCACTGCCCACAGGATGCCATGATCCCTCACGGCGACACAGATGCAATCCCAGTAACATTCATAGGGGAAGTTTCAGATGATCCTGTGGATTCGGGGTTGTTTTCCAATAGAAACAACAATGCTGGGTCTTTCGACTCGGAGGGTGTTGCCAGCAGGAGAGACTCCCTGGCGCCACTTCAAGCTGAGCACAGCCAGCCCCATGAAAAGGCAAGGGAGGAAGTACCTGCCCTGCACCCCGCTTCCCATGACGTCGGAAAAGGAATCCGTGTGGCCTTATCTAACATCTCTAAAGATGGGAATCTAATGGAAACGGCGCCCAGGGTGACTTCTTTTGCTTCGAATCTTCACACAGACAACCTAAATGCAAAAGTGAAAGACAAAGTGTATGGCTGTGCTGACGGGGAGAGGACTCAAGCCACAGAGAGAGTGAATTCCCAACCGGTGAATGAAAAGGACAGCAACGATAAAAACGCTGCCTTGGCACCAACATCATGGCACCAACGAGGCCAAAACCCAGGGAAAAGCTACAGACTTAAGCACGGCCTCACAACGTATAAAATCATTCCTCCAAAGTCAGAGATGCGATGTTACGACAGAGATGTGTCCCTCTCCACCGGAGCCATTAAGATTGACGAGCTGGGGAACTTGGTGAGTCCTCACGCCACCGGCATCAGGATCATTTCCCTGTCTTCGTCTGTGCCTGAAGCAGAATCTCAGCCCATTGGGAAAGTCAGAGAGTTCTGGAGGTGCAACTCTGTGGAAAAACACCTGGGCCGACCCTCAGAGAGCTCTGCCAGGGGACCCCCCTCCACCCCTGTGCCCACGCAGACGCAGAATCCAGAGAGCAGACTCCAAGCAGACCCCAAGCCAATATCGCCCCAGCAGAAGTCTGCCCACCATGAGGGCCGGAACCCCCTAGGGGAGGGGAGAAACCAGCCCCCCACCATGGGCATGGGTCACGTGAGGGTGCCAGCAGCTCACACCACAGAAGTCACATTTCTCAAGCCTCAGAGAAGAACGTCCAGCCAGTATGTGGCCTCTGCCATTGCCAAGCGCATAGGAGCCCCAAAAGTCCATGCTGATGTGGTGAGGCCACACGGTTATGCCGAGAAGGGTTATGCAGGCAAGGCGCCAGTGCTGGCTGCACCACCTGTCACTGTGAAAGATGACAGGACATCCAGCCCACACTCAGAGACACAAGGATGGAAGGATGGTGCCCAGTGGCCCTGTGTCACTCCTCCCAACAACCACGGGGAAGATTTGGCAGTGGGAGCCCCTCCTAGGGGGGAGGTCATTGGCCCACACAGGAAGTTGTCTACTCAGGACAGACCTGCTGCTATCCACAGAAGCTCCTGTTTCTCACTGGTTCAGTCTTCCCAGAGGGATCGTGTTTCTGTGGGACAGAGCTGTGGTTTCAGTGGAAAGCAAAGCACAAGTAGCCAGGAGGCCAGCTCAGCATCTGAGCCCAGACGCGCACCTGATGGTACAGACCCACCCCCTCCACACACATCTGACACTCAGGCCTGCAGCAGGGAGCTGGTCAATGGCTCTGTGCGCGCCCCAGGCCACGGCGAGCCTTCCCACCCTCCAGGAGGGTCTGGCACAGAAAGCCACATTCTCCTAGAAAGAGAGGAAAAGCCCAGTGTGTTCTCTACAGATGGAAATGAAACAGACAGTATTTGGCCACCCAGCATTTTTGGGCCGAAGAAAAAATTCAAACCTGTTGTCCAGAGACCAGTCCCAAAAGACACATCCCTGCACTCTGCCCTGATGGAAGCCATCCACTCTGCGGGAGGGAAGGACAGACTACGCAAGGTGAGGATGGCGGCTTCCGGGGCAGGCCTTCCACACCTGCCCACTTCAGTGCACTGGTCTCAGAGTCTCAGAATAAAGCGGAGGAGAGAGAGAGACGGGATTAGGATAACAGTGAGGCTTACCACACAGGTTTCATTTTAACTAGAATTCCCATCATACTGCCTCCAGATATTTGTACTGAACTATTAAAGGGACAAAATGGATGGGTGTGAGGCTAGTCCACACTGACTTCAGGCCCCTGGCTGCCCTGTGGGAAAGGTAACAGCCAGTGATGTCCATCCACAGGGCCAGAGGAATGGAGAGGCCAGGGGCAGGCCCATCCATATGGTTATCCTTGAACAATGGAACAGAGGAGAAAATTCAGGCAGGGCCACTTCTTTCCCATATGCATTTGTAGCAGCAGCGAACTGTCATTCTTCAGTAACACAGGAGTAATTGTAGGACACGCCTTGCCCATTGTCTAGGCACTTAACACACCACAAGTATTATCTCATTTGCATGCTACACCAATGCTAATAATGAGATATTTCTTCCATTTTGCAGATGAAACTGAGGCACAGTGAGGCCAAGGGGCCTCGTCCAAGGTCAGGCACTAGTTAGTGGGGGCCATGGATTCTCTTCTGGGTCTGCAAGATGTAAACACACACATCGGCTCTGGAACACTGGGATGAATAGCAGGAGTGGTCTGCCATTAAGAGGCAGTTTGAAACTACGTAGCCTTTGATTCTTATGTGTGCCTTCTCATAGACAGGGTGTAAAACTGACCCTATAGGCCTCGGCTGACATGAGTGGATTTTCTTTCTTTTTTTTTCCTGAGACGGAGACTCACTCTGTGGCCCAGGCTGGAGTACAGTGGCACAATCTTGGCTCACTGCAACCTCTGCCTCCCGGGTTCAAACAATTCTGGTGCCACAGCCTCCCGAGTAGATGGGATTACAGGCATGAGCCACCGTGCCTGGCCCATGAGTGGGTTTTCTCATGAGCTGCATTACAGTTCACATTTCTCCATGTTCTCAGTGAAATGTGTGACACTGTTAATATTCTAGACGGCAGAACACACCGGGGAGGGCAGGCCAGCGAAACTGTCCTACACGGAGGCAGAGGGCGAACGATCTGCACTGCTGGCAGCTATCCGCGGGCACAGCGGCACCTGCAGCCTGAGGAAGGTAAGAGGTGAAGGGCCTTCCATGGCGCCAGGAGCTCAAACCCACCCACCCCTTCTTCCGAGGCACTTGGGTGGTGGCTGCAGAAGCTTCTGTCCTTCCGATTGGATGGTGAACCATCTGTCTTTAGAGTGGCCATCCCAGCCTGTGTGAGACACTGGGGTGGACACCCTGCTCCAAGAGCCTGGGGCAGCCATGGCAAGGAGCAGCAAGAGCTTCCAGACACTCTCTCAGCCTTTGCTGAAGCACAGTTCCTTCCTGTGCCTAGAACTGAGCACTTTTCCAAATTCACTTGGACACCTAGGGTGGTTTCCAGGCTTCACTAACTGGACAACCAGAACTGAAGCCATTGCACACCTGGAAAAAAGTTGTTGCATGAATATAGCGCTGGTTTTTGCACATCCTTGGGAGCCAGTATGGACTCGAGTTTAGGGCAGAATGGTCTCATCTTAGTTTCCATGCACAGAAATTGAGGAGCAATGTGATTTGTACATTACTCATTAGGTTCTGACTGCATGTCTTGCCCCCAGTAATGGGTTGGATGTATGTGTCCAGCCTCTATGTCTATTCTTATATGCCAAGAAAAGTCATGAGGTCAGAGAGTTCTCAGTAAGGCAGGACTGCCAACTTCTAGTCTCTGGGATCAGTTACTTGGCTGCCAACAGAGCATGGGGGCAGATGTCTCGGCCGTGGAGTGGACAAACTTCCTGGGCTTATTGCAAAAGAACTGTCTCAGGTCCAGGGGTAAGATAATCAGCTGTGTGCTGCTCTCTCAGAACCTTTGGGGACAGTGTCACTGCCTTAGTCTGTTTGGGCTGCTATACCAGAATCTGACAGACTGGGTGGCTTGTAAATGACAGAATTTTATTGCTCACAGTTCTGGATGCTCAAAGTCTAAGATCAAGGCACCAGCAGATTCAGTATCTTGTGAGGGCCCACATTCTGGTTCATAGACAGTGCCTTCTCTCTGCATCCTCATATAGTAGCAGAGGTGAGAGAGCTCCCTGGAGCCTTTTTTGTATAAGAGCACTAATCCCATTCATGAGGGCTCCACCTCATGACCTAGTCACCCCCAATCCTCATCTCCTCATGCCACTACCTTGGGCGTTGGGATTTCACAGCTGAATTTTGGGAGACATTCACTCTATAGCAGTCATTTAATCATCTCATTGCCAGGTGGCATCCTCTGCTTCTGAGGAGCTCCAGAGCTTCCGAGATGCCGCACTCTCTGCTCAGGGCTCGGAAAGTCCTCTGCTAGAAGACCTTGGTCTTCTGTCCCCACCAGCCATTCCCCCACCACCCCCTCCACCCTCCCAGGCTCTCTCTGCACCAAGGACGGCCTCCAGGTTCAGCACGGGCACCCTCAGCAACACCGCAGACGCAAGGCAAGCCTTGATGGACGCCATCCGCTCCGGCACAGGGGCTGCGAGACTGAGAAAGGTGATGGCGACTGTGTGTGCGCATTTCAATGGGGCCAGAGGGTTGGAGGTGCAGCGTAGATCCAGGGACACGCTTGCCTGTGGGCAGGAGCTGCGAGGCGGTCACATGGGAGTGGGTTGAGAGAGAGCCGGCGTCACTGTGTCTCTCACATGTGCTGACCAGAGTGGCAGATGAAGGCTCCAGTCCACAGGTGAGAAAGTCAGCCTCCTGCATGGTAGGTGCCAGCTCCAGTCCTCAGCTCCTTGGTGATGATGACAGGTGGAATCTAAACCCCACTGTAACCCAAGCTCAGTTCCACCCTAACCCACAGTTTCTACTGGTCCATGGAGAGGATGGAAGATCATCCATTTGGGGCCCCACAGAGCACACATCACAAACTCATGGCCCTCAGCTGGCACGGAAGCCGCCAGTCTTATTCATTCATTCATTCATTCATTCATTCATTCATTCATTCACTCGTACATGCTTGCATTCCAGCCTAATGTTGGACAGTTACGGAATCTGAAGTCCCTTGGGCAGAGCATGCACTTTCTGGATTTCCCCGGCTTCTCCATTTTGGTCTTGTGCTGGTCTGCACATTACTGCCCACCTGGCCCCTGCAATGGAATTCCTAGATTAAAGGGCTGCTTGGGCCAGATGGCTTCTGAGACGTGTTTCAATTCTGACATGATTCAGTAATGGATTGACCCTCCGTCCCTGCCCATTCCTAGTGGGTGTGGGGAGTTATGCTAATAATTGGGAGGTTGGAAAAAGATTTTATTTTATTTTATTATTTTATTTATTTATTTATTTATTTATCTGAGACGGAGTCTCACTCTGTCGCCCAGGTTGGAGTGCAGTGACGCGATCTCGGCTCACTGCAAGCTCCGCCTCCCGGGTTCATGCCATTCTCCTGCCTCAGCCTCCTGAGTAGCTGGGACTACAGGCGCCCGCCACCACGCCCGGCTAATTTTTTGTGGTTTTAGTCGAGATGGAGTTTCACTGTGTTAGCCAGGATGGTCTCGATCTCCTGACCTCATGATCCGCCTGTCTCGGCCTCCCAAAGTGCTGGGATTACAGGCGTGAGCCACTGCGCCCGGCAAAGATTTTATTTTCTGAGTGATTATTTCCAGATCCTAAGCTTATGTTTTCACTTGTACCCAAGCATTCGGTGCTAAAGATTATCCTCACTTTCTATATAAAGTGGGCCAGGCTCAGAGGAGTGAGTCGCTTGGCTTGGTCACACAGGGCCTGGACTTAGACACGGATCAGTTTGGGCACAAGAAGTGCTCATCCCCAGGTCACAAGCTGTGTGCTCCGTAGAGAGCAGGTAACCCAGGAGACGCTGGGTAAGCTACTCTCATGTAGGACTGCTGGCACAATGGAGAAGGGAGACAGCTCTCCAGATCTCCCACTCAGAAGCCTCGGGGCACTGAGAATGGAGGAGGCCCCACACCCGGCCGGCAGCCTTGCTGTGAAAGGCACTGCCTGGAGGGATGAGTCCCTGTGGACACCCAGAGGTCACAACTTTGTTGCCCTGTGCAAGAACAGCCTGAGCGCCCACTGATTCGGTGGCTCTCTGAGCTCCCCAGGGGCCATTTGTGATGGCTCTTGGGTCAGCTCCCCAGAGCTTGTCCCAGTGTGAGGGTGGGGCATTCATAGCTGTGTGATGTGGCCCTGAGACATCAGCCAGCAAAGATGCTAGCCAGTCATCATTGAATGCACAGCCCACCCATGGATGCTGGGGAGAAAAGTCTCCTTACCCAGATGGCAAGGGATATGGCAAGTTTTATGCCATCTCCTCAGGATAGGGGCAATTAGAAATTACTTAAGGCTCTTTGGTTTTCTTTATGCTTTTTTATTCCTGTGGAATTTATGTGTTGATGAATGTGTGTACTTATGTAAAATGAGGGAAAAGTGAAGAAATTGGGGTGAATGGCTAAATAGGGGTCATAAAAATGAGCACAAATTCTGTTGAAGATGGCTCTTGAAGTGCAGCTCCGAGGCATCCTGTCTGCCCCACACACATGACAGCCACCGATTTCAAGGGCTGATCATCGGAAGGCTCTCTGGAGGAGTCTGAAGCAGTGCGATTGGGATCAGCTCTGTCACTCTACTGATCCCAGGGTACATTTCTGAGATTCTAAAGCTGTTTCTCAATGTAGGTCCATAGGACATCTGTATCTTGAATCACATTTTTCAGCCTATGAATCTGCAATTTTCCATTGCTATCCAAGTGACTTTACATTAAGGTTGGAGACGATTGTCTATCTCATTTGAGCCTTTCATGCATTTTGAATTGCACCGACTGGGATCCTGTGAAGGCCATGACCACACTCTGTACTCACTGCTTTATAAAAGTCATCTCAGTGACTGGTTTCTGTATCTTTTTCTTTTACCCTCTCCATCTTGTGCAGAGTCATGAAGGGCCTGGGGCCCAGAGATGCTGAAAGCTGGCCCGAGGTCCACAACCAGCAAGCGGAGGAGATAATAACATTGGGACTTTTGGCTTCTGAGAATGCGTTCCTCTGCCTTACAGAAAGGAAAAAAAAAATAAGTTTTGACTAGCCCGAAAGAACAGAGGAAGTTGTGCTGTGAGAAAGAAAGTGGGGAGAAATGCACAGGCCACGGAGAGAGAGAGGCCGGGCCTGGATGAAGCCGTGGGCGTTGGTGCCGTGCGAGGCCCAGGCATGCTTGGAGGAAAGGTCACCGTGGCTGTAAAGTGCTAGCCAGGGCGGGAGCCGGGCTTGTGTTTCTCGCACAGTCTCAGCCATCTGTCAGCTGCTTCAAAGGGCATTCAAAAGTCCAGGTTTTGATTGTTTCTTGGATTAGTCTGAGTCGTGTGGCCTGCCTTATCCACCCTGGAAAGTTCTAGGCAATTAATATTTATGTGGCATTTCTGAGGTTTTGATGCCCCGAGCCGTTTACAAGATGCTCCCGGGCTGAAAGCTGGGCCCTGAGTTCCTTGGCTGAGTCCTACGTTGGAAACCACGTTCCCCTCAGTCTCATTATCACTACCATGCCCGGTGATCCCAGAGCCTTCCTACACTTGACGCTTTATCACAGAACCACAACAAATCTGAAGAAAGCCTGCCCTAGGAGGGCAGGAATTGGGTGATCGACCTGCCCTCCTGGCCTCTGTTCAGCATTCATCAGGGAGACTCAGGTGCAGGGGGCCAAGGTGGCCTCACCTGGACCAATGATTCATTCTTTTGAAGGCATTAACCAACTGCATTTCCTAGAAGTTTGCCCTGTCTACTCATTTGTGTTGAGAGTAGACCTGTGGTCACAGGAGACATTTGCGATTTGGGAAATGAATTACAATTTTTCTAATAAGCCTGGTTAGATGGCACTTTTCTGCTATGCATGGATCCTGGAGGTTATATTGTCTTCATAGCAAATACACTTTCGTGTATATTATGGCATGCGAACATCAAATTATATGGACTTTGCCTCTTATGATTTAGTTTTATTTCACCTTTTGGACTTTTAAAGCTATGCTGGCTGGGCATAGTGGCTCACAGCTGTAATCCTAACACTTTGGGAGGCTGAGGCAAGAGGATTGCTTGAGGCCAGGAGTTTGAGACCAGTCTGGGCAACATAACAAGACCCCCATCTCTACAATACAGAAATGAGCCAGGTGTGGTGGCACGGGCCTGTAGTCCCAGCTCCTTGGGAGGTGAAGGTAGGAGGATTGTTTGAGCTCAGGAGTTCAAGGCTGTAGTGAGCTATGATCATACCACTGAGCTTGCATCAGCCTGGGTGACAAAGCAAGATCCTTTCTCTTTAAAAAATAATAAAAGAAATTTTTTTAAAAAAGTAAAATGTTAAAAGCTATGTTAACCTTGAGGAAAATACAATAAATTCAGGGGCTCCCAGTGCGTGCAGTGTTGGTTGTTTCTCCATAGGTTCTCAGTAGATGTAGAGTTTCCTGGGTCTTCTTTTGGGTGTTCAGCAACGGCTCCAGAACAGCATTGCTGGGAGCACATCCTGCAATGGAGGGGTGTCCTTGGCTTTCCCAGCAAGGCAGTGCATGAATCTGTAGGTGCTCCTCCTCCCCTTAGCAGTGCAGCCTCCTCCTTTCAATGAGGGTGCCCAGCTATGCTGGGAAGGTTTTCTGGGACAGTCGCAGGCAAATTGGGTGATTGGTCACCCAACCTGTAATACACAAATTTCACATTGGCAGTAAGCTGCCCATGATCAAATACAAAAGGGTAAATTTGATGTAGGAGGAATAATTACCTTAACAGTGACGTTGCCATTTTTCAAGGCAATTGAAATTACATTTGCCTTCACGGTGTGAATCCAATGATGTCTCTGCCTCTGTATTTGTGGCTGCCAGAGAAACTTCCAGCTGTGTTTCTCCTCCAGCTCCAAATAAGAGCATTTGCAGCTCGGCTGCATGTGCACCCACTTCCTCAGTGGAACACCCACTCCTCCTGAAGGCAGTGTTCAGATCTGCCCCCACCCCACACTCAGTGCTTGCTTCCACTCAGCCCTGCGTTCTTATTAAAGGCAAAGCTGTATGCGTCTGACTGTCTTTGTCGATCTGTTTTAAATGCATTATTTCAGAAGGCCTGGAATGTACAAGTACCCTCCTAATCCATGTGTATATTTAAAACATTCATGTCTAGTGCTTCATTCTACAAGCATTTCCGGAGAACCTACTAGGGTCCGGGCACTGTCGGAGCTGCTTGTGATAGACGAAAGAAGCTTCATCTGTGCCCTCAGGACCTCTCAGCCAGAGGAAGGGGGCAGGGGTGCGGGGTCTGCTATTGACCTTAGGAACTTTTCCAAAGAAGCTGGGACAGGCTAATCCCGATGACTTGTGGATCTTTCCTCCCAGGAGGGCAGCGGGGCAAGCATCTACCCCGACACCTTCCTGGAAGTCAAGGTCGTAGCTCCCCTTTGACAGGTGCGAAAATGGGGCACAGACATCATAAGTGACTTCTCCCAGCCCTTCCGTGTGTCCTGCTGCTGCTGGGCCCAGACACCTTATCAGCTCCTAGCCGCTTTGGGAAACGTCCTATTGAACTGAGTTCCAGTCTCTTGTCTGGGCCCTCAGGTGCCTGTTTTCCCACGGCAGGAATTAATTGATGCGGGCCACACGCGTCATGACACTTGGCCTTGACCACAGACCTTGTAAGAAATGATTAGACATGTGACAGTAACAGGAGGCCCCAAACCAGGAAAGAGAAAAAACACACCAACTCTCTTTTCATCTAAGCCCTAGGTCCTCATATGTGCATTAGAGAACTCCAAGTTGCTGTGACGAGGGAATAGCAATTTCTATCAGGATGTGAATGTGACCCACAATACAATTGCATCACCCCTGGTTTAGTTGCTCGTAATGTAAACCTGTGGTGTGCTTTGGTTAATGTGAAATTGTTCTGAGGCCTAGGGGTCAGTTCTGTCTTTGCAGACTCTTTGCGTGTGACTGTTCTGCTTATTGCAGCTCTACTGAGTCAGCTGCCTCTTCTGCAGGTAGAACGGGGAGGAGCCTCCTGGGAGAAGCACACCTACCACAGTGACCATCCTCAGGGCCAGCAAATGCTGTTCTCCACTCCTCCAGAGCTGTTCCCCACATTTGACCAGCTCATTCCTGACTCATCCCTTTGTTCCTTTATTAACCTCACGTCTTCAGAAAGCCTCCCTCAGTCTAGATTAGGTTCCCAATACAGCGTCACATAATTTTTCCTTCATAATGCAAACCACAGCTCTAATTTCTCTAGCAGTTGGTGTGGTTTTTGTTGGATGCTTGCCTTCCCTTCCACATCACAAGTTCCATGAGTCTTGCCCATCGTGTCATGTGATGGAAGGGTAGACACGCTCCCTGGTGCCTCCTTGATAAGGCCACCAATCCCTTCATGAGGTTCAACCCCCATGACCTCATCAAATTCCAGAGTCCCACCTCCTAATACCACCATCTTGGAGGTTGGGATTTCAGCATGTGAATTTGGGAGCACACAAGCATTCAGACTGTAACACTCCCCCTATTAATAAGTGGGGCCCTCAGGAAACATCTGGCTAAGTGGAGCACTGTGTTTGTACAAGTAGATCAGAGGTGTCTGATCTTTTGCCTTCCCTAGGCCACACTGGAAGACAAATTGTGTTGTACCACATATAAAAAACACTAACGATAGCTGGTGAGCTTAAAAAAAATTGCAAAAAAAATCATATATATATATATATATATATATATATATATATATATATATATATATTTTTTTTTTTTTTTGAGATGGAGTTTCTCTCTTGTTGCCCAGGCTGGAGTGCAATGGTGCGATCTCAGCTCATGCAACCTCTACCTCCCGGGTTCAAGCTATTCTCTTGCCTCAGCCTTCTGAGTAGCTGGCATTACAGGCATGTGCCATCATGCCCAGCTAATTTTTTATTTTTAGTAGAGACGGGATTTCTCCATGTTGGTCAGGCTGGTTTCGAACTCCCGACCTCAGGTGATCTGCCCGCCTTGGCCTCCCAAAGTGCTGGGATTTCAGGTGTGAGCCACTATGCCCACCCTCATAATGTTTTAAGAAAGTTGACGAATTTGTATTGGGATACATTTAAAGTGGTCCCAGGCCATGAGTTGGACAGGCTTGAAGTAGATGTTAAATCCCCACCATGGGAGTTCAGGAAGAGGGCCCGAGAGAACCTAGAGAAGAGAGGGATATGGAGGAGCATCAGGAAAAGGGCAGGTGCGCCCAGTGTCAAGACAGACCCGGGTGGTGTCGATCCTCCCAGTTCTTCTGGGCCTTGGGGCTTCACTTCCTCATCTGTAAGATTGATGCGAGGGATGTGTGAGAGAGCATGCACAGGGCAGGGTCTGCATCACCACCACCATCACCATCACCATCACCATCACCACCACCACCACCATCGTCACCACCACAGTTACCACCACCATCACCACTGCCACAACCACCGCCATCACCACCACCACGATTACCATAACCACCGTTACCACTGCCACCACCACCACAATTAACCACCATCACCACATGGAAAGTACCTAGAATACTTCCTGTGTGCTTACCATGTGCCAGACACCATTTAAAGTGTGACACAAGTCCACTCATTAAAACATCAGCTTAACCAAACAAGCAGTTTATTATTGTCATTATTATGGGTATGTCTCCAATATAAAGATGAAGAAACTGAAGTTATAGAGGGTAACTCGTCCCACATCAAATGTTAGTCACGATCCTCTCAGGCACACCTGAGCAGAGGGCAAGGCCTCAGATGCGTACCCACACAGCCCAAGAGGCAGTGTCCTCTGTCTGGACCAGGACCCCAGGGCCCACCTCCCAGTTCCCTTGACCTCGGGCCTCTGCATCCTGCTAGTCGTCCTTCCCTGGCAGCTTTTACGAGGAAGCTGGAGCGTGAGAAGGTCTGTGAGGACAGCCCTGATCACAGCCTCCTTTCTGCAGGTCAAAGGAACTGGGAAGGGGGTTCCAGGAGTACTATTGCAAGAGTGGCTGTGCACAGAGCTCTCTAGCACCAGAAGATCTGCATCCTGGGCTTATTGACATACCAAATAACTGTGAATCTCTCTTCCCTGCAGGTGCCCTTGCTCGTGTGAATGAACAGAGGCCAGAGAATTGCAGAAACCCACCTGTAATATGCCCACAGGCGTCACTCAAGGAGTCTGCATAGCCAGGAACATCAAGTTTTGGTGTTACTTTCTTGTCTACAGGCCAAATGCGCACAGTTGATTTTCGGTGTGTTCCTGTATAACGGCTTGAAAGGAAAGGAGAAGATGCTGTGTCGCTGCGCAGCTCGTGTGCCAAGGAAATGTGTTTTGCCTCTGAATATCTTAAGTTGCTAATAAACGATTCTTGTTGGCAGGTTAATGGGACTATAAATGCTGGAGCCCAGCACTCACACTTAATTATATTTATGGGCAAAGTAAAAAGAATCATGCCTTAGACTGATTTTGGACCTTTGAGACTTTTACCACATACAGATGGATGAAACTACTTACTGATTTAAGATCTTTTGAATTTTAGAAAAAACATATGAATCAGATGGAACAATCTGAATGTGATATGCTCCATGATGCTGTGTGTTTTGGTAGTAAGAAAAAAAAATTGGGAGGCTTTTCAAAGGTGGCTTTGTTAGGTAGTAAAACTGCTGGATTCTTCTTCCTCAAATATTTGGGGCTAACACTTCACAGAGGGTCACAGTCCATGATCTGACCAACTAAGCTTTTAAAAATCAACTATTACCACCCAGAAAACAGTCCTACGTGATCATGTGGCCAGGGCATGCCCGAGTCCTGCAAGGGTGGCGGGTGGCTGAGGTCACACCACCACTGGAGTGGATGGGCAGTGCCCCACATGGACAGCCATTCCCCAGGCTATGAAGTGACATAGGCCTCCCCCACGGTGCCTGTGTACGGAGCCTGATGACTTCACTGGGAGCCTTCTGGAATCCTGCAGAGGGTCAAGGAGCAGGGATGTTGGATGCCCACCTGTCAAGAGTTCAGATCAAAGTTGCGCTGAGAGCATCACAATTTTGGTTCAGCCTTGACGCGTTTGTCCAACAGCTCATTGGCTCCCTTTGTATGATATCGTGGTCTTCTCACATGGTGCCCAGTCACCAATATTTATAATGAGGTCTAACTACAGCAGTAGTTTTTCATATATATCTCTAAAACATTTTGTTATATTGAAAAAAGTAATAGAAATCAAGATGTGTTGATGAAATAAAATGTGTATCTGAGTGAGAAAACAAGTATGGTGAGGTCACTTTAATGTTTCACAGCGATCTCAGATCTAGGCCTCAGGTAGAATGGAAGCTGTTCTGCATTCACTGATTAACGTTGCTAAACTCTTGGTGAGGCACGAGCTACCAGCCAATTGCTCTTCATCACAGCTATCTGTCTTTTAGTGCCACAAATAAAAGAAAATCAAATCTTAGCTGTTGTGTGAATTTCATACTACAGTTGGTTTGGATACCCCTCTTCCAAAATGGGAAGGACGGATTCAGTTATTCAACCAACACACGTTTCTGGCTCCCTCCTGCACTCCTCCATTCCCTGGGTTACATGCAGCTGACAAACAGGCAAAAATCCCCACACTTGTGAAATTCATGTTATGTTACTATGGAGGAGACAGACCATAGATGTGATATAAGTTAGCAAAATGTTGAGTACATTTAGGCGCTGATAAGTGTAAAGAAGAAAAACCATCGGGAAAGTGGGACAAAGGAGACGGGGATGAAGAAAGGCCCAGTGAGAAGGTGACCGTTGAGTAAAACCCTGAAGGAAGTGAGGGAGCAAACTCCGGATGGACGCATGACTGGCAGCGAGAAGAGTGAGTGCAAAGGCCCTGGGGGCAGGACGCTGCCTGGGTGTTAGGGGCACAAGGAGGCCATTGTCAGGAATGGGAGGTCGAGCAGATACAATGTTGCTGGCCTGTGCCCCTGGTCTTCACATACTGCATGGTGTTCCCCTTCTCAGAGCAGCCCTGCTCCCTGGCCAGACCAAGGGGGCAGCAGACAGAAGGGGCCCAGAGGTGGGCCTCGGGAAGGACGAGAGGTTGCCCACCTCCCTAGTTCATTTTCCTTGTGAGGGGAGGGGACCCACTTTAGGCTAAATCTACTTTTGAAATTGTCTTGCCTTCTGTATCTCAAGCTGCAAGCTGCGCAGAAGCCTGGGTTTTGAAGTGTGGAATATGGAATAATGACAGCCTCTGGCCTTACTTTGGTCTTTTTGCAGAGTGTTTCATGATTATTCTTGGTTCATCTTCTCAGTGAGCCCAGGTGGTATGAAGGCAACATCTTCCAGATGAGCACACTGAAGGTCCAGACGATTAAGTACCTCAGTGATGTTCTTAGTGTTGAAACATGCTTCTGTGACTCTGGATTGCCTACAGAGTTAAGTCTAAACCACTCACCTACAGGACTCTTAGTGCCTAGATCCACACTGCCTACACACACAGACACTACCCGCATCCCACGTCCCCGGCCCCCGCCCCCATGTCCCGTATCAACATCAAGCCACCACCAAGTTCCTGAATGCACCCGGGAGCTCCTCTGTGCCCCCGTCGCATTAACATGCCAGAGATGTCAGCACCACCCCTGCCCACTCGCATAGACCAGAAGTGCCAACCCTGTCCTCGAGACGCAGTCCTCTGTGTGTCTCCGTCACAGTCAAGGTCAAGCCCTCCTTGCTGCTCCCTCTGCGCCCACGTCTGCCTCTGTTCCCTCTGCCTGACCCCCACGTTATCTTCCCATCTGGGGCTCACACCTGCCTTTCTGATTATAGCCAGGAGCCGGGGCAGCATGCAGCTCTGAACTTTCCAGGCCAAGTTCCCAGGAAAAGGCCTGGTCATGTTGGTTATCCCAGCATATTATTACTGGCATTCTCTCCTTCCCAAAATGTCCCAGTTTAGGTCATAAATCCTATGGTATTTTTATTGTCTGGCTCAGGTGAGGTATTCAGTAAATGTTCAATGAAAGGGTGAATATCCGAGGGGAAGCAGCAGGGGGAATCTGGCCTGGTCCGGACTTCACATTTTCTCCCTGCCTCTATATTACACATTACACCCAGAAGGGAGCACACGTGGGTCCTTCCAGGCCTCCCACCAGGCTGTGGAGAACCTCCCCAATGGGTCTAGTTTCCGAAACCTGCTGATTGTCCTGAGGCAGGACCTGGATCATGCCTCCTGCCCTGGTCTAGACAGGGCGGGTGCATGTGCAGTCTGCCTGAGAATCCCACACTGCCTCTTGGACACTGGTGCTGTAATGTCCTCCTGCTCTAGGCATCTCTGCGTAGCGTCAGACTATCCTTTCTGTGCTGACAGTCCCCACACTTAGCCCTGGGCAGCTTTTCACTGAAGCTCCTGATCTCAAATTTTAGTTACCTACAGAATCTCTCCCTCGCATGCCCGGCCAACTCGCAGTGCCTCGCCTGAGCAGTAGTTGCACCCTGCCCCACTGCCCGCACCAGCGGGGACGGCCTTCCTTGGTGGCCATTCAGGCAGGAGGAAGGAGGAAGCAGCTCCCCCATCTCCACGGGCATCTCCCGCAGCCATCAGGCGTCTGCTGCTTCCACTCCGTGGCCTCTCTTGTCACCGTCCTAACAGTGTGGCCTCTGACCTGTTCCCCTCTTCCTTACACTGACCTCAGAGCTAACCAAGCGCCAGAGCCTTCCCAGACCCGAGCTCACTGAGGGCAGCTCACCGTGCTCAGGTGAGGAGTCGGGGAGCGATAGGGGACCCAGTGCTGAGCCATGGGGCAAGCTGACCTTTATCATCCTGACTTCAGCGTCAGATTTCTCAACTGGTTTGGAACTTAAAAGGAACAAAAGTGTCATCACATCAGTTAACAAGGGAGAAAGAAAAGAAAAGGGGCAAAGAGAAAGACCAATACGACCACCGAACCCAAAGCCCAGCAGGGCCGTCCTCCCAGCCCGCAAGTCCACCGCTGTGTTCACCCCTTCTTATCTCGACCCTGTGGGGGACGAGGGGAGGAGGCAGACTGAGTGCATGACGCCAAGTTGGCCCTGGACAGGTCCCGTGGCAGCTCCCACTCACTTGTTTCAGGAGCCTTTCGACACACAGCGACATCACCAGAGTGCAGTTCTGAAATCTAACAAATCGGGAAGCTTCCTCCGGGATGGCGGCACGGGGAGAGCAAGGACAGGGAGGGAAGAGGGGCATCCAAGAAGGCTGCCCTTCCCTGCTTCACTCCCCACATCTTCCTGACTCCTGTGCTGTGTAAGGGAGCTTTCCAGGGCCCAAACACCTCCGCAGATTGGGTTGCAGCCATGGTTGCTCCTCGTTTGATGTACTATGTGGGGATGTGGCATCTGGGCACAGGTGTGCCTGCTCCTGTGGACTTGGATTTAGAGCACTGACTGATCCCAGCTTTTGCCCCAGACTAATGGGCTTTATTGGAGTGGAGATCTATGGATGCTTTTCTTACTCTTAAGAATTTTATTTTTTCCTATCACAAAGAACCATACTGTAACCGGGGAGGGGACTGGACTGGCTTCTGGGAGGCAGGAGGGAGGGCTGGGAAGATCCAGGCAGGGGACAGCATGCGGGATTTGGACAGTGGCTATCTAGGAAATGAGGGGAGGCTGAGCCCTGTCTGCGTGTGGCAGGGTGTGGTGTCCACTTGCTTGATTGGGAAGGAAGGGGACGGGGCAGATGGGAGGTTTCCAGCAGTCTGAGGCACCAGGCTGTACCGCTGGCCCTGACAGGGCATGGAGGCTGGGGCTGCAGTTGTCTTTGGTGTGCTGTTCTCAGGCAGATCCTCCTCAGCTCCCAGAGGCACCTCCCAAGGGGCTGAACATCAAGCATAGCAAAGCCTCCCTCTGCCACCCATCTCCTAACAGGTGCCATGGAGCTCTCCACGGGACATCTATGGCACCAGGTCCTACAAATGGGAGCCAGGGCCAACGTCACCACCCCCTTCTCTGTAGTCCAGTGCCAGGAGGCAGGCACTGGGCCCTGGCCTGATGGTGATGCCAGCAGCCAGCAGGATCCAAATAAGAGATGTGGACCTGATGGGGATGTCCCAGTGGGAGGGCCACCCGCAGCCTTGGGGTAAAGTGCTTCAGGGACTGAAGCAACCTTGCCTTTCCGTTGTCACCAAAGGTCTCCTTCCTTTCCTTCCTTCCTTTCTCTGTCTTCCTTCCTCTCCCTCCTTTGCTTCCTCTCTTTCCCTTCTTTCCACCTTCCCTTCTTCCCTTCTGTTCCTCCTCCCTTCCTTCCCTCCTTCCTTCCTTTTGTCTTTTCTTCCAACCAACACTAAGAGAGCTTCTCTAAGCCAGACCCTGTGATGAGTGCTAGGGGGAAATTACAAATTAATTTAGTCTCTGCCTTCCAATAAGCCCACTAGTAGAGGGGCCACATGGCATTGGCCAAT
Organism: Homo sapiens; assembly: GCF_000001405.40. Classification (NCBI taxonomy): domain Eukaryota; kingdom Metazoa; phylum Chordata; class Mammalia; order Primates; family Hominidae; genus Homo; species Homo sapiens. The sequence goes on along the minus strand of NC_000007.14, from coordinate 51,012,253 downwards.
CACGGTGAGTGAGCCTGGTGTCCCAAGAGAGGGGAGACACAGGGGAGAGGCAGGGAATTCTTCCAGAGGAGGGGCTGGGCAGAAGCTGTGAGCTGATGAGCGTGGAAGAGTCCAGTCATTCTCAGCAGGGTGAAAGAGCAGTGGCAGCCAGCCAGGCAGAGGAGCAATACCTGAAAATGTCCAGAGGCCGGGAACACATGCCAGGACCTTTCAGGGGTGTGCTCCTGGGGGAACGCAGGGTGATTCCGTGCCATGTTATTTCCACCACTGAGACAGGCCCAGGATGGAGATTGTCACCTGGAAATCCAGAAGTTTCACTGAAGATGCAAAGGTGTTCAAAGCTGAAGAGTCAGGAAGTGATGAACTTGGCTCCTGCTCATGAGTGATTAGGCCAAGCGCCCAACCGGGGCTCTGGTTAAGTAAGAACAGGGGGAAGTAGCTCCTGCAGGGCTGGCTGGAGCCCACTCTCATTCCTAAAGGAAAAAGCCATGTGTTACAGTGGTTGCACTCAATTTCCAGACCCTTCATATAGATGCAGAGACCTTGAGGAGCATAAGTGAGGTACAAAGGTGAAATTCTCAGCCCGTTGCTGTCCATGCATTGCTGTCCCACCCATGTCCTTAGCAGGGGCTCTCTGGGTCTCCTGAGGACAGGGTCGGTGGCTTCTGCCCAAGCCCCACCCTTACACACAGACCCCCTGCTTCCTCCCCTGGCATCTGGGTACCCCACACTGCAGACTGTGTGGTGGGCCAGCCCTGATGGAGAGACCCGCCCAGGAAAGCAAAGGGCTAGCAAGGCACGCGGTGAGTTGGTGGCAAGACTGTGGCTTCAGTTGGTGCCTCTCCACTCAACTTGGAAAACACCGAGCTATGTGTGTTTCCCCAGACACACCATGTGGACTCTTCCATGCTTTGCACTAGAACTCCTATTCATCCTCCAAAGCCCAGCCACGTCCCATGGGAGACCAGGCATCCTCATGCCGCTGCCCTGTGGAAGGTGGCACCTCAGGTTGCTGTGGCACCTCAGGTTGCTGTGGCCACTGCACACTAGAATCCACGGGCTTCTGTGACTTGGCACTCTGGGGCCAGGTCTCACTCACGTGGGGCCTTTAGGCCTAGGAACACAGTGCTAGCACTATATGTGTTTTATGAAGGGAACTGAGCAGGCTGCAACATGACCTGAGGCAGATTCTGATGGAGCAGAGGGCAGACGGTTCCAGACCATGGGGCCTGGCACGATGTGAGTGGAGGGGAAGGCGGATGTGCGGCACCAGAACAGGGAAGGGTCAGACAGAAGATGGCCTTGGGCTGTCAGAACTCAGCAGAAGGACCAAAGTGCCAGGGACCAACTGCCAGGGTTCCAGGAGGCTGAGAAGGGTTCAAAGAGGATGTACAAGAAGGGCTCCAAGTCGAGCATCCCCACCCCAGTCCTGTCCCAGAGCCTCTGATGGGCTCAGGAAGTCAAGGCTCCTTCCTCCCATCTGACAGCGTCATTACTAAGGAAGGCGGGGACTGATTTTTCTATTTTCCTGCACTACGCCCATTTCCTAATCTGCAGCTGGACCCCGTGGCCAGGGCAGTGGCAGTTTGGTCTCTGTTGTGGATTTCTAGAACAGCACCTCATTCCTAAGAAGTCAGCTTGAAAAGGAGTTTCCTGGCACAGGTTGTCATCATGCAGCTGCTCCCATGCCTCTACGGGGGACTGCGGGAGAAGCTGCATCCCCAGGCTGCCGCTCACCCTCTTGACCAAAGCCCAGGTGGGTCGGCCCAGCAGTGGCCCTCCCCATGCCTTGCCAAGCCTTGAGGCAGTGAAATGGATCAACCCCACAGCCCCTGCCTCAGGTAGAAAGCTCCGAAATGACCCACTCATCCCATGACTAATGAGCACATGCCCGATTGTGGGGAGAAACAGAGCCCTCATATGAGGTATCTCAGAGGACCTGGACAGACTCCAAATTGCAGTGAAGGGGGGTGGCCAGGGCGGGAGAGTGGAGTCATTGGCGGGTGTCCAGTCAAAGGGCACAGCAGGCCAAACTCCAGGCCTGGGCAGGGAGGCTGAAAGCAAGGAGAGCATCGGGAGCCGTGAGGTGGGCGCTCAGAGTGAGGGAGCAGACAAGCAGCTCGGAAGGACCTGTGAGCAGTGAGGCCGCTGGACCTCCAGGACACCCACAGCATGGAGGGAGAGTCACGGGCGCGCCAGAAAGGCTCTGGCCTGGAAATCCCATCAGAGTTTTCATCCCGAATAGTGCATGTCCTACAGCAAACGAGCCTGCCGTGAAGAGCTCCTGTCCCCAAGCTGTGATGTAGGCAGGACATTCACCACCCCAGATTGCCCTGTGGCTGGCTAGATCCTGGATGACAGAGCAAAGCAAGACCAAAGGCCGAGTGGCTGCTCACTGAAGGCTTGTTTTCCAAGTGCTGAGAACAGTGGAATTTTACAACTCCTTCCTGCCCTGAGGGTCTACCTGCCTGTGTGGCATCCTTGTCCATACTAGGGCAAGAGGGCAGGTAGCAGGAGCCACCTCTTCTTCTCCTTCTCCTCTTCTGAGTTTACTTTGCCTTTTTTTTTTTTTTTTTTGGAGACAGAGCCTTGCTCTGTCACCCAGGCTGGAGAGCAGTGGCGCAATCTCAGCTCACTGGAACCTCCGCCTCCCAGGCTCAAGCGATTCTCCTGCCTCAGCCTCCCGAGTAGCTGCATTTTTATCTTCCCTTATATAAATCAGAACCACATGAGTAGTTAACCTCAACAGGCCAGACAACTGGGATTCCTAAAAGTTCTGATGATTCAGCCAAGTGGAGTTCACAAGCCATTCCTGGGACAATGCCAAGACACTGGTCCACGCGCTCACATACGTGGTCTCCTAACATCTGCTTTCCCCATTTTATAGCTGAGCAAGAGGCCCCAAGACATGTAGTTACTTGTCCGTGGTCACACAGCTGTGTTCCCCTCACACTGGTGTGGCCCCAAATCTCACTCTCCCCTCATGGTACCCCAGGAAGTGTTTCTGTCTCAGGAGACAGAGGCACGAGGCATTTTTTTGTTTTTGTTTTTGTTTTTTTGAGACAGTGTCTTGCCCTGTAGCCCAGGCTGGAGTGCAGTGGCGCAGTCTTGGCTCATTTCAACCTCCACCTCCCGAGATCAAGAGATCTTCCCACTTCAACCTCCCAAGTAGCTAGGACCACAGGCATGTGCCACCATGCCCAGCTAATTTTTATATTTTTTGTAAAGACAACGTCTCACTACGTTTCCCAGGTTGGTCTGGAACTCCTGAGCTCAAGTGATCCACCCACCTCGGCCTCCCAGAGTGCTGGGATTACAGGTGTGTAATCGTGCCCAGCCCACGAAGCATTTTTAAAGTAGTGGAAAGGAAATGCCCACCTCCTTTTCATTCACCAGAGCTAGGGTCGGGAAGGGCTCCTGTCCCGAGCATTGTCTTATGGGCTCGAAGTGGGCCTGTGTATCAAAGGTGTGTCTGGCTGGGGGAAGCAGGGTCTCTACTACTGACATTCTAGAACCAGGGACCTCGCAGAAGCTTGAGTTCCTCACTTGAGGATCACAGCTGCACCCCTGTCCCCCAGGAGGGACTACATCAGCATTTAGCCAGGACTGGGGTCCTGTGGGTGATCTCATCCTGCTTGTGTTTTTAGGGCAGCTGAGCAGTAAGGCCTCACTTCTAAGAAATATGTTTTTAGTGAACCAGTGAGGACACATGCAGCTTCCTGGGAGTAGGCGCATGACCTAATCTAAACATCCCCTGGCACCGCGGATTGACACTAAGAGAATCCACACAAGAAGCCTCGCGAAGAAGGCAGCATCGGAATCTGACTTAGGAAGGTGACCACCAGAAAACCCAGGATCCATGGGTCCGACCAGGGCTGCAGCTTTCCATGGTGGGTGGGAGGTCCCGGCCAGGGGAATTGGGTAAAGATGAGATGAGGGGAGCCCTGGTGAGCAGTGAGAGGGGAGCGGGATTCCCTAGCTGGGCCATGCTTTCCAGCAAAAATGCAGCTGGAGGACAGGGCGCTGTGAGATGGCGAGACCTGCACAGGCAGAGCTGACCATGCTCCTCTTACAGATACAGAAACTGAAGCTCAGAAAAGAGGCATGGCTTGCTGAAGGTGGCACAGATCCTGAGTGTCCCATTCCCTGCTGCTTCTGGAGTCCTTGGGGAGCCACAGGGCAGCAGGCCCAGGTGTGGGGCCCAGAAGGGACTTGGCAGTGCACTCCCTCGTAGCTTCTCTGCCACACCCTGCATCCGGGATATCCCCCTTTCCCCGCCAGACACGAATGTCCCAAACCATGGGCTCTTGTGGCAAACATGGTGACATTCCTGAGCTGAAAAAGTTTCTTTTCTTTTCTCCACTTCCTCATTTCTACCAGATTTTCTTTATTAAGCAAATACTGATTTAATCATGTGGAAAATAGCTATGGACAGTGTCTGTGTGTAATTCTTTAAGATTCCTTGAGTGAAAGAGACAGCTTTTGGTGGAATCATGTCCAAGTGCTTCCCAGATCCCTGGTTCCCATGATCGGGACGGTTTCCCGGTTCTGACTCTGGACTCCAGCTTGGCTCCCAACCTTGGGCCACTCCCTGAGCATCTCCCAGGGGCTTCTGTCAGCCCCCGTTTTCTCAGGGGCTTCTGCCTGACGAGGGTAAACTTTCTGGTGCGGTCCATCCCATTGGAACTGCCATTTTCACCGGGGCGAGCCACTAAATGGTGAGAGAAGCATAGGAACCAACTCCACACTTGCCAGCTGACCACACGGCCCCACAACCTTTCCATGCTCACGGCAGCTCTCTTGGCCTAAACATCATTTGACCTTTATTCTGGCCTCTTAGATATTATTTGGTTTCAGATTCAGCACACATCATGGGTCTTGGCCAAAGGTACCTTACAGGGTGGTCTAAACATGACTTTCTTGTCAGAAAGATCCAGGTGGGAATCCTGGGCTGTCACACATTACCCCAAGCTGTGTGACTGGGGACACAGAATTTAGCTCGACTTTCCCAATCAACAACATCAGCAAACATGCAGGAACTGCATCATATGGTTGGGAGAGCTGAAGATGATAAACAAATACACTTAGCACATGCCCACCACCTAGGAAGCCCTCAGTAAAAGCTAACTAATGTAATAGTGGTAATAGTTGCTATTAATAAGCAAGCTCAACTATTTGATTCATGCCATTTGGCACCAAAGTAGGAATGCTAGTCTGAAAATACAAGTGCTGTGGGTTCCAGTCTTGGCTATGCTGTCAACGGCTACATAGCAGGTGGCAAGCCATCATTTCTCTGTGAGCTTCAGTCTCTTCCTTTGCAAGGTGAGGAACTTGGAGGAAGTGACCTCTAAATACTTGGTGTTCTGGAATTGAATTTTTTGATGTGAATGTCAGCCAGAGTCCCAGGAAACAAATGGCCCTCTGAAATGGGTGATTTTGGGGAAACTTAATGCTGGGATTATATACCAAGGTGAGAACAGGGTTCAAGAAAACCAACAAAGGCTGGCAACCGGGAGGTTCTTTACCACTCCTCAGTCTGAAAGGGCAAGGTGAGGTGCAGTTCCACAGCCTGGCCACCATTCTGTCCATAGCAGGGGGCTGCTAGACAGGACATGGCCTTTGAGGGAGAAACACAGCCATCACCTTGGGCTGGCTGTGACAGTAAACATCCCATCCTCTCTCTTCTCCTGCCTCCCATCTCGTCCAGTGTTTCCTGTTGAATTCACAAAGGAAGAGAAGTTGTTGAGGCAGTCCATACTGGGCAGCTTCTCAGGGCAGAGAGCAGGGTAGGGAGAGGGAGAAAGACATTCTGGGAGGGCCAGTGGAGGGTCTCCCGCACGCCTAAGGAGGGAGAGGCAAAGCAAAGCAAAGCAAACCCCAATACGTCATCAGAATAGAGGTGTGGTAAAGTGCAAAAGATGACTTTGAATTAACGACACAAGTGAATATCTGAATTCAATTTGAGTTTGTAATTCTTCCAAGTAAAACAGAGTTTAATCTTTCTTTATACCAACTAGAGGTTTGCAGTTTTCTTTTTCCTCTCACAATATTGCAACAGTGGAAATGTGCCTCCACCTCTCTTTTTTACCAAAAGTTAATCATTCATTCATTTTCCTTCCTAAATATTGCATGTGGCCAAGAAGTTTAAAGCTGCTCCAACCTTACCTTGCAATTAGCAAGCTTGTCTGAGTGTGAAGATAGAAAGACAGTCTCATATTTTAATCATTATGCTTCAACAAGCCACTTTATTTCTCACTCATAATGGCCTGAAGTGACCCAACACCAAGGAAAAAAAGAAATGTTTAAAAAATTAGACCATATTGATGAATTGCAGATTTATTGCAAAGGGTGGTGGTTCATTAGTAATGTGGAATTTCCAGGGACCGAAATGGGACAAGCGGGGAAGATGCCAGCAGAATGAATTGGGCACCAGCATTTCCAATTAGTAATTTTATGGCCATGTGACAAATAAATCAGCTTGGGAACGCTTAGGAGATTTTGAGAATGAAGGGAGGAGAGGACAAGTTTTGAGCAAAGATAGAAATAAGTGGGGCCTAAATAGGACTGTACTCTTCCTCCTCCTTAAGTTCAACAACTGCTGAGGGCCCTTCTGTGCCAGGTCTTGGGCCTCATGGTGGGGAACAGGAGTGTCGGAGCCACTGCCCTTCTCAGAAGGAGCTCAGCCTCGCAGAGGAGGCAAGACGAGTGGCAAAGATGTTATGATAGGTGCACAGAGTGCTAGTGACACTGGGAATAGAGGTCCCAAATTCCAGCTAGGGTGTCAAGAAAGCTGCTGGAAAGGGTGACACCTGAGTGGAGAGCCAAAAAATGAGAAGGGGTTAGTTAGTCATTCTAGACAGAGAGATAGTGTTCAGCAGAGCCAGGCACCATGGGCAAGGTACAAAGTTTCAGAAAATGACCTTCAGAGAAGATGACTGAATGCTTTGGAGCCTTCTAAGCCACAGCTTGGATTTTATCCTGAAGGCATGAGGAGTCACTGAAGTCTTTGAGGAGGGCATAACAAGATTAATTTAGAAACATCGCTCTGACTACAGAATGCTTGATGGAGCAGACAGGAGCAAGAGTGGAGAAAGGAAAGCAACTATAAAGTGATGGCTAGCAACTCAAGCAAGTGAGGAGAGAGGTGAGAACTTCAGTTTGTCTGGGGCGAAGGAAAGGGAGTTTTCCTGGCTACCTACAAGATCGCACTCATGCAGTCGAGTCCTGGAAAGTGCCAGAAGCTGAAAATAGACACAAGTTCTTTGAGATATCCCATACAAGACTAAAACATAAATCAAGCACCAGTGACCATAGATAAGGTGGAATAAAGTACGGATAACGTATAATAAACTGAGAAGCCACAAGATTTCCCATCACGAAGCCAGCACATGTGAAATCAGCACAAGTGATTGTCCATATGAAATCAACACAATTAACATCATTATAGATGACATTGTGTTTTCGTTTATTACATTTTTTTTGCAACTACAGGGGAGCTTCTTTTGCACTCCCAGTATTCCAAAGGTAACTGAGAATGGGCACTAGGTAGTACCTTTTGCCACCTCACCCCACCACATTAGCCAGAAACCCAAGAAACACTCTCAACACCTCCCTCTCTCTCATCCCCACAGCCAATCCATCAACAAAATGCTCCATTTTGTTTCATAAAAACCAAGAGTAACTTCATCCTGTTCATTTTTCTCCTCCTCAACTGCCAACTCTCTACTTGTCCATATGCAATTGTATTTATTTACTTCTGAGATTCCTCTTCTGCTTCACTGTCTGTCTGCCTATGCATAAATGACACAGTTTTATTCATAGAGACTTGCTATTATTATGTTTTCATGTACCAAAGGGCTAACCCTCCACAAAAAGCTCATTTTTAGGATTTTCTGGCTATGCTAGATCATGTAATCTTCCAAGTCAATGTTTAAATCAACTTGCTTAACTTCAGGGAAAAAAATGGTATTTTTGTTGAGATAGTCATAAATTATAAGTTGAATTTAAGAAAATAGACATGCTATCCCTACAAGTAGATATGATGTACACGGATATGCATTTGTCCATGTCCATTTTTGTTTTATAGATTTCTTCATAAATATTCTGCACATTATTTTGCTAGCTTTATTCTTATTTTATTTTATTAAATTTTTGCTGTTGTAACTACACATATTTGCTATTCCATGTATCTGCTAAGAGTTTTGTTTATATATATGAAGATTGCTGATATTACCTTACTCATTCTATTGTTTGTAGTAGTGTTTTCTATAATTGCAGGTAAACAATGCTGTCACTTACAGAGATGGTTTTATCTTTTTCTTTCCAATTCTTGTGTCTAATTGCATTGCTTTAATGCCACCAATATGCTGTTAAATAGTAGTGCAGATTGCAGACATCCTTGCTTCTTTCATTTTTTTCTGGAACTGCCTCTAAGGTTCCCCCATTATAAGAAGCTGACTTTTGATAGGAATTATGTAATTTTTTTAAGAAAGAATCTATCCATATTCTTTCATTAACTTTTTTTTAAAAATCATGAATGAGCATTGAATTTTATTAAATGCTTTTTTGACATCTATTGAGATGATGATAGAATTTTTCTCAGACTTTTAATATACTGAATGATATTAATAGATTGTCAGTATTGAATCATTTTTTTGTTTCTAGCATAAGCATCATGTGGTCAGAATGAATTCATATTTAAATGAGATGTTGGATTCTAGTTATCATTATTTCATTTAATATTTTTGCACTGATATTAATATGTGAGATTGGCCTATAATTACTTTTTCATATTACATTTGTTAAGTTTTGATATCCGTGTCATACTCATATCATGTCACTCCTTTTTAAAGATTTGGAATATTTTCTGCTGGGCACAGTGGCTCACGCCTGCAATCCCAGCGCTTTGGGAGGCTGATGCTGGTGGATCACCTGAGGTCAGAAGTTCGAGACCAGCCTGGCCCACATGGTGAAACCTCGTCTCTACTAAAAACACAAAAAGTAGCTAGGCGTGATGGTGCACACCTGTGGTCCCAGCTACTTGGGTGGCTGAGGCCTGAGAATCACTTGAACCTGGGAGGCAGAGACTGCAGTGAGCTGAGGTCATACCACTGCACTCCAACCTGGGCAACAGAGCAAGACCCCGTCTCAAAAAAAAAAAAAAAAGCTCTGGAATATTTTGGGTAGCACTGCAATTTTCTGATTTTTCATGATTTGGTGGAATTTTTTATTAAATTGTCTGGTCATAGTGCTTACTTATAAAGAAACATTTTTACAACTTTCTCTATTTCTTGTATGGGAATTGGTCCTGATTAAACTTTCTATCTGTACTGGGGCCAGCTTTGATAAATTATATTTTACAGAAAGTAACCCATTTTATTTAAGTTGTCAAATTTATTTGCAGAACATTCTGCTAAATGTAGAACCTCATTTTATCTCCTCTCTTTTGATAGTTACTTTGTATCATCTCTTACTTTGTGTACTTGTACTTCATTTATTGTATTAATCTGGGTAGTAGTTTGTCAGCTTTGTTGCTGTTGTTTCCTAAGAACAAGATTTATATTTTCTTATTAACTCTGCTGTGGGTTTTTTCCCTACATTTTAATCTGCTTTTATTGTCATTGATTTTCTTTTTCTTTTTTCTGTCAGTTTACTTTGTTGCTTTTTTTTCTAGCTTTTTGCCTGGGCGATTTATTTTCATTTTTACTGTAATAAGTATTTACTGCTATGAATTTTAGATTTTGATGTATTGTGTTTTCATTTTTGCTATTTTCTAGAAGTTCTAAAATTTAATTTTATATTTCCCCATTGAGCCAAGATTGTTTAACAGCCAACCATTGCTTAATGAAATGATCCCTGACAGAAAGGAAAGTAAGGTGATCTCTACAACTGCCCTGGCCTACTGTTTAGAGAAAGTTTTACTGCTTTGAGCTTGTTTTCAAATTGTTGGAGGGCCTTTAAAAATTGTTAGTATACAATTTTTATTTTACTGTATTATGGTCATAAATGCTGTTAGTGTTATTTTACTTTTTAGAGCTACTCAAGGTTTTTGGGAGGTGTTCTAAAATAGGGTCAACTTTTAAGGAAGCTCCATCTGTACTTGAAAGGAAGTATATTCTCAATAGCCTGGTTTCAGAGTACCATGTATATCTATAAAAGTTAACCTACTGAACTTGTTAACTAGGTATTTTATATCCTTGTTAAATGTTTTATCTACTTCATCTGTCTTAGATTGAGTAGAAGTTTCCTACTATGAATGTGTTTTAGTCTACTTTTATTTACATCTTCTCTAGTTTCTTGCTTCATAAAGGTGATTGATCTGATATTGAATACATAGATATTTATAACTTCCTTACAAATTTTAATATTAGCATTATTGATGTTTGTGTTTGTTGTGTTTTGGTTTGTTTTGTGGGGGCTGAATTTTGCCTTTTCTGTTATCTTCTTGGTTTGGGTTCCCGTTAAGTAGATCCTGAGACAAGGATTCCAGTGCAAGTGATTTATTTGGGAAGTGGAGAAAACATTGATAAGCAAAGGGGAAAGTGAGTCAGGAAAGGGTGGGAAAGTAAATGATGCATTCTAAAGCCATTTACTACTGTGGACAGCTTGTGATGGTTAATACTGAGTGTCAACTTGACTGGATTGAAGAAGGCAAAGTATTGTTCCTGGGTGAGTCTGTGATGGTGTTGCCAAAGGAGATTAACATTTGAGTCAGTGGACTGGGAAAGGCAGACCCACCCTCAATCTGGGTGGGCACAATCTAATCCAATGCCAGCGCAGCCAGAATAAAAGCAGGCAGAACATGGAAAGACTAGACTGGTTTAGTCTTCTGGCCTACATCTTTCTCCCATGCTAGATGCTTCCTGCCCTTGAACATGGGACTCCAAGCTCTTCAGCACTGGGACTGAGACTGGCTTCCTTGCTCTTCAGCTTGCAGAGAGCCTATTGTGGGACCTCATCTTGTGATCCTGTGAGTTAATACTCCTTAATAAACTCCTCTTTATATATACATCTGTCCTATTAGTCCTGTCCTTCTAGAGAAGCCTAATACACAGCTGGAGCTTTATTCCACTTGGAAACTCTAAGTGTCAGCGTAATACACATGCCTCAGAGCTATTCCATCCAAAGGAGAGGGAGCTGGGGTATTTATATACCGACCAACCATCACTGATTGATTGGGAGCTGCTGTGAGAGAATACTGATTCTTCAGCACCTCTGATCAGCCCATGGGAAACAAAGAAGACTCTGGATGCCAGAGAAAGCCAGCATGCAAAGAATGAGGGGCGAGAAAGTGGAATTTTGAGCTGATGCACAGCACAGTAGAAAGAATAAAGAGATACGAGCAGGGCCCTGACACATCTGCTGTAGCTACCAAGAACATAAATTCTGCTTTCTTGCTATTTATGTTTACCTAGTATATCAATCATTGTCTATCACTTTTATATTGAACCTTCTGAATCTCTTTATTTTAGCTGTATCTTATAAACAGAAGAGGGCTGAATTTTGCTTTGTTGGTCCATCCAGTAATCTTTTCCTATTATGTAAGTTAAGCCAATTTTATACTTATTAATCCAACCAATATGTTTGACCTTTAATACTGTTTGTTATATTTCAATATGTATTTTATATTTAAATATTATGTCTTGTAAACTTCCACTTCTTATCAAAATGGAATTATAGGAAATAGATTTTACCTCCTAGATGAAAACAACGAAAAAACGGACAAAATAAATGAGACAATTTTTTTTAGCGATTGAATGCCCAGCAATTAAGTGATTCTCTGACAGAAAGAAAACAAATAGATGAGCCCTGCAACTTCCTAGCTTCTTGCTTTGGGAGAGTTTCCAGGACGAGATGCAAGCAAAGCCTGGTGGACTCCTTGAATAGAGGAGATGGAGCTGAGAGTCCAAGGAGAACAGAAGGGAAGGAGAGCTGCACAAGGTGAAAACCAGAGCTCTGTAGAGGGCCCCTCTGGAACACTCAGCTGAGTCATAATCAATGAATGCACACGAGGAAATTACCTGAGGCCAGAGCAAGAACCATTCCCAAGGATTCAAGAGAACAGAACTGGACCCTCATCCAAGGCTGAGAATAGTATCCTGTCTCCACAAGCTAGGCTGGAAAATCTTAGGTCTCATGGGACATTGGGTAGAGTATGCAAAAGGGTCTTGCCTCAGTTGTGTGGAATGATTAATCTGAAAGTCACAAACTAAGCAATAGTGAAGCGTTAACTAAATGGATCACCAACCTAAATGTAAGATTTTTATGGAAACTTTCAGCATAATGACTTTAATATTCATCTTTGATATCACATGAACAAATAGTTGATTGTTTTTTATTACTAAATAGTATTCCACTATATAGACATATTGGTGGTTTATCTCGTCATCTGTTGATGGCCATTGGGTTGCTTCCACTTCCTGGTTATTGCAGTCAGAGCTGCTGTGGACTTTTGTGTACAAGTCCTTTCATGGACATATGCTTTCATTTCTCCTGGGAAAAATTCCAGGAGTGGAATGGCTGGAACATATGGTAGGCGTACATTTAACTTTTTTTTTTTTTTTTTTTTTTTTTTTTTTGAGACAGAGTCTCTGTCGCCCAGGCTAGAGAGCAGTAGCACCATCTCGGCTCACTGCAACTTCCACCTCCCAGGTTCAATCAGTCCTCCAGCCTCAGCCTCCTGAGTAGCTGGGGCCACAGGCACAAGCCACCATTCCTAGCTAATTTTTGTATTTTTTTTTTTTTTGTAGAGACAGGGTTTCTCTATGTTGCCCAGGCTGGTCTCAAATTCCTGAGCTCAAAGTGATCCACCTGCATCGGTGTCCCAAAGTGCTGGGATTACAGGCATGAGCCACTGCACCCGGCCACATTTAACTTTTGAAGACACTGTCAGACTGTCTTCCTAAGTGGTTATATCATTTTACATTCCCACCAGCAGTGTTTGAGAGTTCCAGTTCCACCAAATCCTCATCAATACTTGGTATTGTCATCTTTTTAATTTTAGTCACTTTCATAGGTATGTTTACTAAGACTTCTAAAGTGTATTTTTAGTGTTTGAGAAAGTTTTTCACTTTAATGATATTTTATACTAATGCTTTTATATAATACACCTATGTTCCCCATTTCTGACACTATTCATTCCGAATAGTCACAATAAAATTAAATTGACCCACGTATTTCCCCCCTTTACTCTCTCTCAAGTATCTAATTGAATGTGATAAGCTTTTATTCCCAATTTATCCCTATGAAGCAGTCAGCAAGCTTGTTCTATAAATTTTCCCATTCTTGATGTATCTTTGTTAGCTGTAACACATTCATTGAATCAGAACATGCAATACATAAATTCTATTCTGTCACCTGTATCACAATTAATCTTTAGTCCAGTAAACCAATGCCTACCACCATAATCTATGTTGATGCTTCAGTGATCTCTTGGTCATCTGAAGCTCAACAAATTGATTCCTCAGGAATAACTTATGGGAAGAGCAATATGTCCTGAGTTCTCGAATGCTCATAGTTGTTTTTCTAGTGAATTTAAAATTGAAGGGAAGTTTGGCTAGGGTTTCAGACACCTTCCACTTGCCCTTCCACAGCCCTCTTTGCCCTGCTTTATAATGTGGGATGCTGACCTCAATGGACAGTGTCCCCTGGTCCCATTGTCCTTTGACTTAAGTTAGGTCCAACCAAGGGAAGCCACCAGCAAGAGATTCAAGAGTGAAAACATAACAAGATTTGGACATTTCTTCCCTGGCCCCCGTGAGACTGTGGTTTGATCAAGGGCTATCTCACCTTCACATATGCCCTCTGAAACAGCTTTCCAATCTTTCATAGATGAGCATTTTATCTCCTATTAGACTATACTTTCCCTGAAAGCAAGGATTCCATTTAGCATCTCCCACCCCAACACACACACACACACACACACACACACACACACACGTGCACGCATTCTTGCTCATGTATTAGGAATTATATTGATTAGGTGTTAGTGATGCTTCAAGGCTCATAAACCATAATTGGTAAACTTGATAAACTCTATAATTTGATTAGAAGAACAATAGGTGAGGACATATGTCTGAATTCTCATGGAAGCATGTGCAATATCAGATTCTCTACCGAAATAAGACACCCCTGTGCCCACAAGTATCAGAAAATGTTCATTCCACCTGGACCTTTTTGCACTTGGTCTTAGGTTGGCAACTATTATGTTTTATAATAATTTCAAATATTTTATTTGAATCCTGTAATTACTTCTATGGCTTTCAAACAAAAGAATATAAGACAAAAGAATTCTTCTTTTTTAAATAGACTTATGAATATTTTTGCCCCAGCTAAAAATAATTGAATTATGAGACTAACAATGGCAGATAATTTAATTTGTCCTGAATGTGAAAATTAAAGAACTGATACGTGATGGAAAGTAATAAAGTGGTCAGATTTTTATGTTGTCATTTTTTTGATATATACAATAAGCCATATTTATTATCTAATGTTACCTATATAAAAATATCATTTCAGTTGACTGTCATCAAGAATTCACTCACAGGGGACATATACTGTCCACCTGAGAAAGAGCATCAATAGAATGATTAAAATGGAAATATAATTGCTTATTAAGATCTGATTCAAATATTGTCATAGCATCATTCCATCTTTGCCCTTAGAAGAAAATGATTGAATTTTTTTTTTTTTTTTTTGCAATTCTTTTTTCTTTGCTTTCCAGCATTCCAAAGCAAACACTGTTGGATGGCAGCTGCTGAAAACCAAGAGGAGACTTTAAGCAGATGAAATCGGTGTCCTGTCTTTGAGAGGTAAAAGAATGTTGCTTTAGTCAGGCCATGGACCTTGTTGTAGCAAAGATCACTCTCTGCCCATTACCAACTGTGCAGTATAAATAAAAAACCTTTGAAAAAAATAAAATAAAATAATAAAATAACTGTTTTATTAAAAGCTGGTGGAAAAAAATCTTACAAAAATCATATCAGGTTTTCTGTTACTGCATAAATTCACTTAGGATAATGGCCTCCAGCTGCATCTGTGTTGCTTCAAAGGACATAATTTCATTATTTTTAATGGCTGCATAGTATTCCATGGTGTATATGTAGCATATTTTCTTTATCCAGTCCAACTTTGATGGGCTCCTGGGTTGATTCCACATCTTTGTTATTGTGGATAGTGTTGCAATGAACAAGTACAAGCGTGTGTGTGTCTTTTTGATAGAATGATTTGTTTTTCTTTTGGATATATACCCAGTAATGGGATTGCTGGGTTGAATGGTAGCCCTGTTTTAAGTTCTTTGAGAAATCTCCAAACTGCTTTCCACAGTGGCTGAACTAATTTACATTCCTATCAACAGTGTATAATGTTCCCCTTTCTCCATAGTCTTTGCCAACATCTGTTGTTTTTTGACTTTTTAATAATTGCCATTCTGACTGTGGTGAAATGGTACCTAGTTGTAAGTGGGAGCTAAACACTGGGGACTCATAGATGTACAGATGCAACAATAGACACTGGGGACTACTGGGAGGGAGGGGAGCAAGGCTTGAAAAACTGTTGGGTACTGTGCTAGGTACCTGGGGGATGGGGCCATTTATATGCCAAACCCAAGCATCACACAATATACCCAGGTAACACACCTGGACAGGTACTACCCTGAATCGACAATAAAAGTTGAAAAAAATTAAAAATTAAAAAAATTTAAAGATACTTGCATCCACATGTTTATCACAGAGCTATTCACAATAGCAGAGATATGGAATCAACCTAAGTATCTATCAGCAGACTACTGGATAAATAAAATATGATATATATATGTATATATATATACACCATGGAATACTGTTCAGCCCTAAGAAAGAATGAAAGCATGACTTCGCAGCAACATGGGTAGCACTGAAGGCCATTATCTTAAGTAAAACCACTCAGACACAGAAAGGCAAATGTCACATGTTCTCACTTATAAGTGAGAGCTAAATAACATGTACACATGGACATAGAGTGTGGAATGAGAGTCAAAAGGGGGAAGTAGACAGGAGTGGAGTAGATGATGAGAATTTACTTAATGGGTTCAATGTACATTATTTGGGTGGTTGGGTGATGGATACCCCAAAAGCCCAGACCTCATCATTATGCAATACATCCATGTAATAAAATTGCACTTGTACCCCTTAAATTCATATAAATAAAATAAAACATATACTGAAATAGTCTTATCAGGAGAGATAAGAGGCCAGGTGTGGTGGTTCATGCCTGTAATCCCAGCACTTTGGGAGGCCGAGAAGGGTGGATCACCTGAGGCCAGGAGTTCGAGACCAGCCTTGCTAACATGGTGAAACCCCGTCTCTACAAAAAGCACAAAAATTAGCTGGGCATGGTGGTGCGTGCCTGTAATCCCAGCTACTCAGGAGGCTGAGGCAGGAGAATCACTTGAACTCGGGAGGTGGAGGTTGCAGTGAGCCAAGATCGTGCCATTACACTCCAGCCTGGGCGACGAGAGCGGAACTCCACCTCAAAAAAAAAAAAAAAGGAAAGATAAGACAGACTTCTTACTAATTAGCCCCATGGAATATAAAATGGTCAACTCTTATTCATCTTCACTAAATGTAAATAGAACAGTGGTAATAAAAATACACAATACATCACATAATATTCAGGTTGGAGAGGAGCAGCTGGACAAGAGGCCCCTATCATAAATCTATAAACATCGAGAACACTTTAAGGACCATCAAAGCCAAGCTAACTGTGGGTTCTCTCCCCAGCGATGCCTATGCTTTATGTCATCCATTTATTCGACAAACACATTCTGAGCATCCACTCTCCTTCACTGGAACAAAGAAGAGAAACACAGTCCCAGCCTCCTGGAACTTGGGCACACGGCATAGCTCTGTTCTCTGCAAGAACCCTCATTCTGTCCTCCCTGGCAAGAGCAGGGTGTGGCTGTAAGCAACCTCAGAGCTTCAAGGACAAAGTTATCTTTTGTTTCCTTGGTTGGTGTCATTTCCCATCCCCAGGTGAACATGGGCTACAGGATTTTTAAAAGGTGACCAACAGGCTGTCAATAATGCTAGGAAAGAAAAGTGGCCTCTATTGCTAAAAGGAGAACTGAAACTCAGTGAGCATCCTGAGGGCAGTTTCGTGCCCCACAGAAGGGAGGGTGCAGGCTGTAGAAGGAAGGCCAAGCTCAGCAGGCAAACAGGCAGATGGCCCTAGGAAGGCAGGAGCTAGGATGCCGGCCCAAGCCAGCCTCCATAGGAGCAGTGGGACAGGTAGGGCAGAGAACTCAGGTCACTGTTGAAGGATGTGGCTCTTTCCTCACTGGACCGCAAGCTCTTTAGACAGGATTGTCACTTCTGTGCCCCCAAGCTCCTAGCAAAGGGATGCATGAGAGTGGCCTAAGAAAGCCGTGCTGTGATATGGATATCTATGCTTCAAATGGCTTCTCTGCCCTAGACATAATGAATTTGTGGAAATGAGTGACCGTGAGAAATCTCAGAGCAAATAAAACCTGTCCTTCATTCATTCCTTTTTTAAAATCTTTTTATTATTTTAATTTTACTTTAAGTTCTGGGATACAAGTGCAGAATGTGCAGGTCTGTTAAATAGGTATACATGTGCCATGGTGGTTTGCTCTTCATTCATTCTATGCACACTGATTGAGCACCTTCTCTTGGCCAAGTATTGGGCTGTACTGGATTATATCCCTTATGGTGGAAAATCTGTAATGCAGATGAATAGGAAGGTGAGAAAAGGACTAATGGGAGCTTGAGTGTGTTGTGTTTTAAATATTAGCGAAGAAAAGAGGCTTGGGAAAGACAGAGGAAGGCATGGTCCCTGCTGGCTGCAGGACTGAGGAGGGCTCGCATAAAAGGATCCACCCACAGTACACTGAGAAGTGAGGGGCTCAGGCAGAGGAGGAAGGTTTTGGGAATGTGGGCCACAAGCAAGTCAGAATTCCACGTCAGGCACGGGTGGGAAGAGACCGGGGGCTGGGGGCCCACACGCCTGGCTAGGGAGTCTTACCCACTGTGGCTCCTTAACTCCGTCTATATTCTCACTCAATTCTTAGCTCCATCTCCTACAGTCTCACACTAAAGTTGACTCTGGTCCAGTTCATGTTTCAATCTAACAATTTCCTCAAATTATTGACTTTGCTCTAGATTTTCCTGGGGTTTTTTTTTGTATTAGTACTAACTTAATCTTCAGCAACAGCTATTTTTTAAAAAATTGAAGGATGGGCTCGGCATGGTGGCCACACCTGTAATCCCAGCACTTTGGGAGGCTGAGGCGGGTGAATCGCCTGATGTCAGGAGCTTGATGCCAGCCTGGCCAACATGGTGAAGCCCCATCTCTACTAAAAATACAAAAATTAGCTGGGCGTGGTGGTGGGCACCTGTAATCCCAACTACTCAGAAGGCTGAGGCAGGAGGATCACTTGAACCTGGGAGGTGGAGATTGCAGTGAGCTGAGATCACGCCACTGCCCTCCAGCCTGGGCAACGGAGTGAGATGCCATTTCAAAAAAATAAAATAAATAAAAATAAAAAATGGAAGGATGTATTGTTGTATTTGTAATACCTTTATTTAGATGTAATTAACATGTGATAAATATAAAAATTCTATATTAAAATATAGCATTAGATGAGTTTTTGACCTATGTATATATCCACGAAATGATCACCAGAATCAAGACAGCAAACATGTCTATCAGCCCCAATGTTTCCTCATGTTTCTTCATAATCTCTCCTTTTCCCTCCCCAACCCCACCCATATTTCAAGTCATTGCTCTACATAAGCTTGCAATTTCTAGAATATTAGATAAATTAATCATACAGTATCTTTTGTCTGTTTTCTTTCACTCATCATAATTAAGTTGAAATTAATCCATTATGAATAATCAATAGTGCATCCCTTTCTTGCTGTATAATTCATTGTGTGGATATAGTACTACAGTTTGTTTATGCATTCACCTGTTGATGGACATTTAGGTTGTTTTGAGAGATTACATTTTTTGGGAGATTACAAATAACATGGCTATAAACACTGTGTACAATCTTTGAATGAATGTATGCTTGCTTTACTCTTGAATAAGTACCTAGGAGTAGAAAGATCATACGATAGATGTAGGTTATCTTTTTAAGAAACTTACAAACTGTTTTCCAAAATTCTTGCACCAGTTACATTTTCATCAGTAGTGTGTGAGAGTTTCACTTGTTCCACATCCTTGCAAACACATGGTATAGCTAGCTATTAATCAGGGTTCTCCAGAGAAATAGAACCAACAGGACATGTATATAAATGTAGAAAGATTTATTTTAAGAATTGGCTCATGTGATTATGGAAGCTGCCAAGTCCAAAATTTGCAGGGTGGGCCAACAGGCTGGAGACCCAGGAGGAGCCAATGTTCAGTGCATGTGTAAAGACAGCCTGCTGTGGGATTCTGTCTGGATGGGAAGAGGTCAGGCCCTCAGCTGGTTGAATGAAGCCAACCCACTTTATAGAAGACAATCTTCTTGACTCAGTGTCTGCCAGTGTAATGTTAATCTCATCCGAAAACACCCTCAGAGAAGCATGCAGAATATTTGACCACATAACAGGGCACTATGGCCCAGATGAGTTGACATATAAAATTAATCATTACAGTTACACTTTTAAAATTGTAACCACTATAATAGGTGTTTATCTCATTTTTGTTTTAATTTGCATTTTCATAACTAATAATGTGGAGTATTTTTTCAAGTGCTCATTTACCACTTGCATATCTTCTTTGAAGAAGTGTATGTTCAAATGTTTTGCCCACTTTTAACTGGATTTTCTTATTAGTGAACTTGAGAATTATTTCTATATTCTGGATATAAGTCTTTTACCATACAGGTGACTGGCATAGTCTATGTCTTGTGTTTTCATTCTCTTCTGAAATGCATACATTTTTAATTTTGATAAAGTTCAATTTATCAATTTTCTGTTTTTTAGGTCATGTTTCTGGTGGCATAGCTAAGCTATCTTTACTTAACCCAAGTCACAAAAGTTTTCTCCTATTTTTTTCTCTACAACTTTTATACTTTTAGATTTTACATTTCGATTTATGATCCATTTTGTATTAAATGCTGTCTATGGTTCAAGGTATGGCTTGAAGTTGCCTCTTTTTCTTTGATCTGCCATATAAATTTTAGAGTAAGCTTGGTCAATTTTTACAAAATCTGTCTGCTAAGATTATGATTGGCATTGTTTTGAAATTATTCATCAATCTTAACAATATCAAGTGTCCCAAACTATAAGCATGGTAATTTTTCCATTTATTTAAGTATTCTTTAATTTTCTCAACAATTTTTTGTAGATTTCAAAGTACGTGTCTTTACTTCTCCTGTCAGACTTGTTCATAAGTATGACATATTTTAGGTACTATTGTAAATAATATTTCCATTTCTGATTCTTCATTGCTAGTTATAGAAAGACAATTGATTGTTGTATATTGCTATTGTGTCCTGAAACATTTCTAAGTTCAGTTACCAGCTCTGGTAGCTTTTTTGTTAATTCCATCTGACTTTCTACATAGATAATCCTGTCATCCATGAATAAACACATTTTTTATTTCTCTCTTTCCAATCTAGTTGCCTTTTATTTATTTATTTTGCCTTACCGTATAGGCTATTCACTGAATTCAGTGTTGAATCATAGCAGTGGACATTCTTGTTCCTTATCTTAGGGGAAAAGCGTACAATCTTTAATAATAAGTATAATGTTATCTGTAGGCTTTTTATAGATGCCTTTTATCAAGTTGAGGAAATTTTCTTCTATGATGACATTGCTGAGAGATGTTATCAGGAATGGATGTCTATATCTACTAAGATGACTATATGGTTTTTCTTTTTTAACTTGTTAAGATGATGGATTATATTGATTACTTGGCAAATATTAAAACAATCTTGCATTCTGGAGGTAAAACCCACTTCGTTATGGTGTATGATAATTTTTAATGTATTGCTAGATTCAATTTCTGAAAACTGGTTTTAGAATTTTATGTCCATGTTCATGAGTGATATGAGTTTGTAGTTATCTTTTCTTATAATGTCTTTGTCTGATTTTCATCTCAGGGTAACACTGACTTCATGGGATCAGTTGGAAAGTATACCTTCTTTAAATTTCTTGAAGAGTTGATGTAGAATTGTTATTATTTCTTCCCTGAAAGATTGATAGATTTCACCAGTGAAGCCATCGAGTCCTGTAGTTTTCTTTGAGGGAAAGTTTTTATTTTTAAATTTAATTTCTTTAATATATAAAGGGCTATGTAGATTAGGTATTTTTCTCTTGTGTAAACTTTGACACTTTGTGTGTGATTCAAGGTGTTGGTCAATTTCATCTACATTGTCAAATGTATTGGCATAAAGTTGTCCATGAAATTCTCTTACTATTCTTTTCGTATCTGTAGAATCTATAGTGATGCCACCATGCTCATTTCTGATATTTGTAATCTGTGTTGCCTCTCTCTGTCTTGATCGACCTGGCTAAAAGTTTATCAATTTTATTGGCCTTCCCAAAAACCAGCTTTGGATTCATTGATTTCGTCTATTGTTTTTTTCTTTCTTTTTTTTTCACTCATGTTTATTATTTCCTTGCTTCTTTTTACTTTGGGCTTAGTTCTCTAAGGTGGAAGCTGAGGTCAATGATTTGAAACCTTTCTTCTTTTTAATATAGTTTAGTGTTATAAATTTCCCTTTTGAAGCATCTCGCAAGTTTTATGTTGTTTTCATTTTCATTCAGTTCAAAGTACTTCCTAGTTTCACTTTTGATTTTGTCTTGCCCCACATTTTATTTAGAAGTGTGTTGCCATATACACAATGGAATACTATGCAGCCATAAAAAAGGATGAGTTCATGTCCTTTGAAGGGACATGGATGAAGCTGGAAATCATCATTCTCAGCAAACTATCACAAGGACAGAAAACTAAACACTGCATGTTCTCACTCATAGGTGGGAATTGAACAATGAGATCACTTGGAGACAGGGCAGAGAACATCACAAACTGAGGCCTGTTAGGGGCTGGGGGGCTGGGGGAGGGATAGCACTAGGAGAAATACCTAATGTAAATGACGAGTTGATGGGTGCAGCAAACCAACATGGCACGTGTATACCTATGCATCAAACCTGTATGTTGTGCACATGTACCCTAGAACTTAAAGTAAAATAAATAAATAAATAAGAAGTGCGTTGCATCATTTAAAAACATTTGGAGATTTATCTTTAATCATTTCTGAGTTAATTCCATTATGGTCAGAAAATATAAGTTGTATGACTTGAATCCTTTCAAACATATTAAGGTTTGTTTTCTAACTCAGAATGTTGTCTATCTTGGTAAATGTTCCACAGGCACTTGAGGGGAAGGTGTATTCTATTGTTATGTGGATTGTTCTATAAGTGTCAATTAGGTCAATTTAGTTGATACTGCTGTTAAATATTCTATATTCTTTACTCTCTCTCTTTTTTTTTTTTTACCTTTTTTTCTATCAATTTTTGAGAAAGAGATATTAAAATTTATTTTATGGTTGTAGACTTGTCTATCTCTCCATGGAGTTATTACTTATACCAGTTTTTGCTTCAGGTATTTTGAAGCTCTGTCATTAGGTCCATAAATGTTTAAGATTTCTATGTCCTCTGGACAAACTTACCCTTTTATTGTTATGAAATGACTTTCTTTGTCCCTATAAATATTCTTTGTTCTGAAATCCACTTTGTCCAATATCAATATAGCCATTGCAGGTTTGTTTTGTTTTCTTCTGTTTTTAGTATTAACATTATATAACTTTTTCCATCTTTTTGCTTTTGACCCACCTGTGTATTTATATTTGACATGAATTTCTTATAGGCAACTCTCAAGTTTTTTCTGACACCAAATAGGTGGTATATTTTCCAACACCAATTCTCTAGCTTGCTGATCCCCAACACAAACTGGGTGTCGTACAATTCAGTCCTATTCTGACACTGGCCACCTAGAGTTGGCATCAAGCTCCACAGGTTTAAGGGAGACTTCCCCCACTTCAGATGCCAACCACAAGCACTTGATTTCCAGGTTACCAGCACTTCTGTCTGACTTGGCTAAAAGTTTGGGAGTCCTCACAATCTCCTCCCCTGCACTCCTTGCCAGGTTTTATGATTTACTAGAGTCAAAGAACTCAGGAAAATTCTGTACTTGCTATTACAGTTTATTATAAATGATACATATGAACAACTAGGTGAGGAGGCTCACAGAGCAAGGTCAGAGCACAGGAGCCTCTGTCCTGGTGAAGTTGTGAGCCACCCTCCCAGCACACAAATTTGTTGGAAGCTCCTGGGACCCTGCCTTTTAGGGTTTCTATGGAGGTTTCATTATATTGGCGTGATTGATCAAATCACTGGCCATTGGCAATTGAACTTAACCCCCCACCCCACCACCACCACTGATTCCTCCCTCCTCCATGGAGATTGGACGTGGCGCTAGAATTTCCAGCCATCTAATCAAGGTTTGGCCTTTCTGGTGACCAGCGCCCATCCTGAAGCTACCTAGGGGCTCTCCAACAGTCCTCATTAGCATAATGCCAGGCATGGTGGAAAGGGGCTCATTACGAATAACAAAAGTGCCTATCAACCCCTTCACTCAGGAAATTCCAAGGGTTTTAGGAGCTCTCTGCCAGGGACTGAGGACAAAGACCAAATAGAGTCAGCCCTCCGCATCTATGGGTTTCAAATCCATGGGTTCAATCAACCGTGGATCAAAAATATTCAGGGGGAAAAGAAAGGATGGTTGTGTCTGTGCTGAACATGTACAGACTGATTTTCTTGTCATGATTCCCTAAACAATACAGTATAAGAACTATTTACACAGCATTGACATTTTATTAGGTATTATAAGTAATCTAGAGATATTTGGTATCCATAAGGAGTCCCGGAACCAATCCCCCGGGAATACTGAGGAATGACTATATATATTTCCTATTGTACCACAGCAACATAGAGTTGGTCTTGCTTTTCTGTGTGACCTGCAATCTCTGCTTTTTCTTCTGCTTCCTTTTGGATTAATAGGTAATATTAATTAATATTTTTATGGATATCTGCATTACTTTTTTTTTACTTATTAGCTATAACACTTTGTTTTGTTATTTTAGTGGTTCCTTTAGGGTTTATAATATACATATATGTTTAACTTACCACAATCTACTTTTGATGGATACTACCCCCTTTACTTATAATATAATGTTATATTAGCACACTTCCATTTTTCTTCTCCCATTCTTTTTTTCTGTTCTTGTCATATATTTTAGTTTTACATATGTTATAAACCCTATATTACATTGTTATTATTTTTGTTTGAACAATCAGTTATCTTTTCAAGAAATTTAAATAATAGGAAAAAAATCTTATTTATTTATATGCCATTTCCAGAGCTCTTCACTCATTTGTGTGGATCTGTATTTCCCTCCAATATTGACTTCCTTTTGACTGAAGGACTTCCTTTAACATTTCTCATAGCACAGGTCTGCCAGGGATGCATTCTTTCGGCTTTGGTATGCTTGAAAAAATACTTCCTTGTGTTTTAGTTTTTGAAGACATTTTCACTGAATATAAAAGCCTAGGTTACCAGATTTTTTTCCTTTCCATACTTCCCTACATTGTCTTCTTGTTCATAGTTTCTGATGAGACATCTGCTTGTTATCCATATATTTGTTCTGCTATACAAATGTCTTTTTTCTCTGGCACAATATATATATAATATGTTATGTATACAATATAATACTAATATAATATAATATAATAACATATAATATAGACATATACATATGTATATGTATATTATGCTTCTTGAAACTATACCACAATTCACTGATGGCTATGTTCATTTTATTTATTATTTATTTATTACCTTTTCTTTCTGTATTTCTTTGTGTATCTAATTTTGAATAGTTTCTATTCTTCAAGTTCATTAAAATGTTCTTCTGCAATGTCTAATCATCTGCCATTAATTCTATCTAATGTATTTTTTTCATCCCACATATTCCAATTTTCAACTCTAGAATTTTAATTTGGGCATTTTTTAATACTTTCCATGTTTCTACTTAATTTTTTAAAACATATAAAGTTATCATCCTGTCTTAATATTCTTGCCTGCTAATCCAAGCATCTGTGTCAGTTCTGTGTTACTTTTCACTGATGGATTTATATCATTATGAGATACAGAAGCTACTTAAAACTGGTTAGGGGCCGGGAGCGGTGGCTCATGCCTGTAATCCCAGCACTTTGGGAGGCCGAGGCAGGTGGATCACCTGAGGTCAGGAGATGGAGACCAGCCTGGCCAACGTAGTGAAACCCCATCTCTACTAAAAATACAAAAATTAGCCAGGCATGGTGGTATGCACCTGCAGTCCCAGCTACTTGGGAGGCTGAGGCAGGACAATTGCTTGAATCTGGGAGGCAAAGGTTGCAGTGAGCCGAGGTAGCGCCACTGCACTCCAGCCTGGGTGACAGAGCAGGACTCCTTCACAAACAAACAAACAAACAAAAAACTGGTTAGGTGGAACTGAGAGTGCTCATCCTAGCACTAATAATTTTTTTCCTATTTAGTCAAGACTTCTCTGCTTGTTTTACCTAGTTCCACATGGACATAGAGGTTTTCCAGTCTGGCTGGTCAATGTTATTCCTTGACCTGGGTGAGTGCTGGGTATTGCTACTCAAATTCTTTTGGGTGGCTCTTTCCCTAGCCTCAGAGACCTTCGTCTTGCATAGGATTCAGCTGAATGCTCAAGGGGAACCCTCTGCAGATCTCAGGAAGGCTCTCTCTCTGCAGCTTTCCTTCTTGGCCTTCCCTTACTCTCTTCTTTGTCTCATCTCAGGGTGTCCTGGCCTCTCTCTGAACATCCTTGAGAGATCAGTTGAGGTCTGGAAACTCTCAAGGCAGGAAGATTAGGAAATTGTAGGGCTCACTTGGTTTGTTTCCCATCTTTCACGGACCACTATCCTTCATTGCTTAATGCCCAGTGTCTTGCAAACCAATGTTTCATACCTTTTGCCTTGTGTTTGGTAGCTTTATAAAGGAAGGTAAATCTAGTTCCTGTTTTTCCATCTTGAAATTAAATGCAAGTCTCAGACAATATTAATTAACAAAAAGCCACAACAAGGTAACCAAGGATTTGAAGGGAAAAATTAAAAGTTTGAAACCTGAACAATCCAAGTGTAAGAGGTTCCCAAATTCAATGCCATCATAATGACCACTAGGTTATGCGGCCTGGAGAAGGAGAATCAGGAGAAGCACCAAGAATGGAGGCAGCTGTCAGAAGAAGGATTCGATTTAGAGCTCGAGATTTCATCTTTCCTTGTGCCTCCCTTCTGATCCCTTTCTGTTCCACTTCACCCTGGCTCCAGCCTATGGGCAGCTACAATCATGTCACAAAAAGCCCAGTGCTCTCCTCTCTCTTCCCAACTCTCATCTAAGTAAATGTGCCCCTTTCCCATTCTTAAACAGGCTTGTGTGGTGATTTACTTATTTAATGAAGATGATGAGCTGAAACGTGCAAAGCAAGTCATGGAGCACAATAGCTTATGACGGTCTGCCCTCTAGGAAACTCTGCTGCCTTATTGAGGGCCAAAGCCCCCGGCTCACAACAGGATGATAATGTTACCGGAAAGGGGTCCCAGTTCAGACCCCAAGAGAAGGTTCTTGAACTGCGTGCAAGAAACAATTTAGGGCTAGTCCATAGAGTAAAGTGAAAGCAAGTTTATTAGGAAAGTAAAGGAATGAAAGAATGGCTATTCCATAGGCAGAGCAGTGGCATGGGCTGCTGGACTGAGTATACTCATAGTTGTTTCTTGATTATATGCTAAACAGGGGTGCATTATTCATGAGTTTTCCAAGAAAGGGGTAGGTAATTCTCGGAACTGAGGGTTCCTCCCCTTTTTAGACCATATAGGGTAACTTCCTGACATTTCCATGGCATCTGTGAACTATCATGGCATGAGTGGGAGTGTCTTTCAGCATGTGAATGCATTATAATTAGCATATAATAAACAGTGAGGACGACCAGAAGTCACTTTCCTCACCATCTTGGTCTTGGTGGGTTTTGGCCGGCTTCTTTGCTGCAACGTGTTTTATCAGCAAGGTCTTCATGACCTGCATCTTTTGCCAACTTCCTATCTCATCCTGTTACTTAGAATGCCTAACCTCCTGGGAATGCAGCCCAGCAGATCTCAGTCTTATTTTACCCAGCCCCTATTCAAGATGGAGTCACTCTGGTTCAAATACCTCTGACAATAATGATGGGATAGTTAAGTAGGGACTGGCTGGTGGTGGCAAGTCTGCATAAACAACTAGTTATTTCTCTTCTGGAGAAGACCAGCTCCTGCATCAGGACTTTTCAGAGCAGGACCCAA
This sequence comes from Homo sapiens, assembly GCF_000001405.40. Lineage (NCBI taxonomy): Eukaryota > Metazoa > Chordata > Mammalia > Primates > Hominidae > Homo > Homo sapiens. The sequence goes on along the minus strand of NC_000007.14, from coordinate 50,984,864 downwards.
GGAGCCCAGTTTTCTGCCTTCATGCCCCTTGCTCAGCCAGGCCTCAAAGGCTGGAATGAATATGAGCAGACACTTGACAATAATGAAGATGAAGGAGGAACAGTAGAGGCCCAGTTGGCCCTGCAGTCGGAATTAAAAATCTGGATGTCAGTGTTGACACTGTCAAAAGGTCAACTCACCCCCTCTGCATCTCCATTTCCACACCAGTAAAATGAAGATGATAACAATTGCCCACAACTGTGAGCTATAAATGAATGATGGTAGCATTAGCCTTACTCTGGTGGCGGGATGGTTCCTATAGATTTAGTGGTCATACTAGCCTATGGGTAGGAAGGTGAGAAGACAACAGGATTCTAGGGTTACCTCTGTAGGTACCTAAATGGATATCATTTCAGGGATAAGTTGACCCTTTTCATTTGGGAAAATCTGCGAATTTAACAAGGATCTGCTTATGAAGTCACTTGGGGTATGCAGAATCATCACCGTGAACCCCATTACACTAACACTAATGCCACCATAGAATAGAGAGGGTTGTTCAGAATGGCCACAGTATTGTCAAAAAGAAACCTCCAGTTACACCAGGAGATGGCTACCATCAGCGATGTTCAAATCTTGCCTTCATTTTTAATAAAAACCAAACTATCTCATGCCTCTTATTGTCAATCAGTGTTCTCAGATAATTAAGACTCTATTAATTCATGGCAAAAAGTGTAATTAAGAGGCTTAATTATGTCTGTGTGGAGTAAGGGGACTCAGCAGGGCATAAGGCAGAGGCTCTCAAATTTTAATTGCATTAGCATCACCCGGGGAGCTTGTTAAAAATGCAAATTCCTTGGCTCTTTGCCAAGGTATTCTGATTCAGTGGGTCTGGGTGGGATTCAAGAATGTGCATATTTCTTCTGCATGTAAATTGACAGGTAATTCTAGTGCATTTGTGTGGGGACACAACTTTGAAAAACACTGGTCTAATAAAAAGAAAAACAATATTTGAAGGCAGAAAAGATCTGTGTGTTAGAGATTCAGCGATGCAGTTCGGTCAGTGTTTATAAGAGGGATCCAGAAGATTTCCCGGAGTAAGAATCAAAATGTCTTTGGGAATGCAATACACATTTTAATGTGCCTTGTACACCTCCTCCCCAAAGCCACAGTCTATTGAACTCTTACCATGAACCCAACACAAAGTGCTAAGTGGCCCCTTAATCCTTTAATACTTTCACATGTGAGATCAATATTATTACTCCTGTTGTACAAAAGAGGAAACTAGAGAGGACAAATGGCTTTCACGCGGTCACCTAGATCTTCCATTACTAAGGAGAAAAGTATTAATATTAGTTAGGGTTCCCCAGAAAAACAGAGCCAATAGGACATGTATGTGTATATGTGTGTGTGTGTGTGTGTGTGTGTGTGTGTGTGTGTGTGTATATATACGGATATCAACATAAAGAGGTTTATTATAAGGAATATGTTCATGTTATTGCAGAAATAAGAAGTACAGACCCAGAAGAGCCAATGGTACCATTCCAGGTCAGGTTTGAGTCTGAAGGCAGGAGAAGACTGATGCCCCAGTGAGGACAGTCAGGCAGAGAGGGAAGGTTCTGTCCACTCGGCCGTTTATTCTTTTTTTTTTTTTTTTTGAGACAGAGTCTCGCTTTGTCACCCAGGCTGGATTGCAGTGGTGCAATCTTGGCTCACTGCAACCTCCGCCTCCCGGGTTCAAGCAATTCTCCTGCCTCAGCCTCCCAAGTAGCTGGGACTACAGGTGCTGTTTATTCGATTCAGGCCCTAAATGGACAGGATGAGCCCCATACGGTGGGGAGGGCCATCTGCTTTACTCAGTTGGCCATTTCAGATGTTAATCCAGAACTGCCCTCACAGAGATGCCCAGAAATAATGTTTCAGCAAACATCTGGGCACCTTGTGACTCAGTCAACTTGACAGCTACCCATCCACCAGCACAGTCCCTGCACGGGGTCTTTGTTATTCAGCATCTCCACACTGAGGGCAGCAGAAGCAAGGGCAGGCTCCCTATTTTCTGGTCTCTGCATTATTACCTACTGCTTGTGGATGGCAGGCTGTGACAGAGCAGGATGCCTTTGGAGGGGACAGGCATTGTGCCATGGGAATGGAAGTCCCGTCCTCACCACAGGCCACATCCTATGAGCTGGGCTTGGGGAGGCACACCCTTCCCACCACTCCTCATGCTCTGTGAGGCAGATGTACCATGTCCCCAGGGTGTTGCTCTGGCAACTCCAGAGGCTGTGACCCCTGCAGGAGTTCCTGGTTCAGGTAACAGCTTTGGGGAAGAGGAGAGGGAGCAGGAACAACACATTCAGAAATTCAGTCCATCCTCTACTCCTGGGGAGAAAATAGATTCCAGGACTGTTCAGAGATCAATTTGCTATAAAAACAGGACAAAGAAGGTGGTAGACCAGCAGGTGACCTCTCTGATCCCCTGCTACTGTTGCTGAAAACATTACACACTCCACGGGATGCAGTCATGAAGTCCCAGCATTTCATGCCCACAAAAACGCAGAGTGGCGAGCATTCTTACCTGCCTGTCTTTTACAGATGAGGAAACTGAGGCGGGGGGAAAGTAAATGGTGAAGACAGAACGTACATTTGCACCTGCCCCCCCCTAAATTGTATCCTCTCTTATTGAAGCTGAACACCGAAAAGTCCCAAGAATCACTAGAAGAGAGGTCTGGGCCGAGTTCAAATGCCTGGGATGGAACAGGGGAATGTCACTTTCAGAATTCAGCAACTTTAAGATTTAAGTTCATAGAAAATCTGCAGAGCAATGGGGCTATTGGTTGGACCTTAAAGTCATACTGTCAAACAGGCAGAGGATGGCGACACTTTACAGTGAGTGTTTGGACTCCACAGCTGTGAAGACAGGGGTGATGGTGCCCTCATGGGGACGCTCTCCTGGGTAGGGTAGCAGAGAGGGAGGCAGCGTGTGGGGAGATGCAGAGGCCAGAGCAGGGGAAAGCCGGAGCAAACACAAGCCTGAAAGCCTGGCCCCAGTATGGATCCCCACCATGAAGTCAACACCATGCTCAGGTCTCAGAGTTGGGTCAGGAATGCGGGCGTAGCTGAAGGTGCCTGAACATTGAAGTTGCACACTGAGAGGACGCAGGAGAATTAGGGAAAGCAGATCAAAGCCGACACAACCTTGTAAGCTGTTGAGGAAATCTATATGGCCTACGACTGCAAGTTTTAATAGTGAAAAATCAGTTTTCTAGGGTTTACAGAAAGTGCAAATTAAAACAACAGTGAGGGAATAGAATCACCTTCAAAGTTACTTGAGGCAAAAAATTATATTGTTGAAGGTGTTGGGAGATGAGTACTGTCTCATGTAGCTACTGGTGAAAATATAAATTATAACAATGCTTCTGTCACACAATTTGAAAATATTGTTCAGCCCTAAAAAGGGTGTATTTTTGATTTAGTGTTTATTTTCAAAATTTAGCACAAGTGAAGAGAAAAGAGCATGAAGATGTACATACAAAGAAATGTTCAATCATAGGGAATTGGTATAATAAATTATGGTTTAGTTATACAAAAGAGAACTCTGTAGCCATTGAAAATGGTGTTGTTGAAATGATTATTTAAATGGAAAGGTATTTAAAAATATTAAGTGAAAAGGAACAATTAGGAAACCTCATATATTATTTTACAATTCTATCTATCTGAGAAAAATGTTTCCCCAGTAAATTTGTTTGAACGAATTAACAATAGCTAAAAATGGCAATCACATCTGCTACAGTTTTAGGTCTTCAACAGAATAGTGATATCTGTTGACAACACACAGCCTGGCAGAATGTGTGCTTGATGCCAGGAGCTCTTTCTTGGTCATGGAAAGGTCAATGTGAGGAGAGCCCTGTGGTTGTGCTCCTACAAATTCCAGGAGGCGACATAGGATTTGATTCTGGACACAGACTCATCCACACTCCTAAGTCTTTCCCGCCCTTGACTTTTACCTTACGTTACATCTGACAATGAGTGGGTTGAACATGGGGCACTGGTGACACTAATTGTATGTGGCCAATTCACCAAATCAGAACTTCTGGCTCATGAGGGACCCATGTGAATGGGACATTTCAGCAGCACCAACCACAGCCATAGAGATTTTAGTCACCAGTCAACCCACTGAAAGCAATCCATTTCAAAAAAACCCAACTTGGCTGAATTTTCCTTAAAACCTGGCTACACTGTAATTAAACAGAATGCTGTATTTCATTATGGCAATGGGCCACCAAAACAATCCTGTAGGTAAAATCCCATAAATATTTAAACATACGTACAGTAGGAGAAATGAGTAATTCATTCTGTCAGCTGCGTAACATTTAATTCCCTTTCTAATCCCTATTTGGATCAGCCTTTGCGACTACTAATTACATAGTACTGAAGAAAATATGAACATAATCAAGGAGTAATATCACAATCCACTGCTTTTTGAATTTCTCTTTCTGTCCAAAGAACATGTTTATTACTCTGTGGGATACTGGAATAAAGTACAGAGTACCTGGATTATTATAATGTGCAAAGAGCAAGGGTGAGTATGTATGCAAGTGTCACTGTTGTGCCTGGATTCCTTTTGAAAGCTCTTTGATCTCAGCAGGGTTTTGAACCAAAAGACTTCAAAAAGCCTCATCAGCATCAGCGAACACAAACAGCAGTTGTGGAGGTGGACAGACCCTTGTTATTTATTTATTTTTTAACTGGAAGTGTGCAGAAATTTTAGTCAAATAATATTTATCATATACTGGTCAAAGTTACTGATTTCAAGACAAAGTGGAAATGGGTTTCAGATTTTTAATGTTATCTTTAAATTATAGTATTTTCTTCTGTGTCTTGTTGGAGTGCTAAGAACAAGCATGGGAGCCCTTTGATTTTCCACATGCTTTTAGGTAGCTTAAGGAATGCCGTGGGATGATAGTATTTATCATAGATAAAACTATTAAGTCTGAAAGCCCAGGCAATTGAAAACTGAAAACTTCTCTGTGTGTTTGCCAATGTCAAGGCACATATCCATTCCATTTGCTTGCAATTTAAAGACTTAGCTGTATTGCTAATATACATTTCTATTAAGAATTAAAGACACATGTACTTGTAAGTTCATCACAGCACTATTCACAATAGCAAAGACATGGAATCAGCCTAGGTGCCCATCAACAGTGGATTGGATAAAGACAATGTGGTGCATATACACCGTGGAATACCATGCAGCCATAAAAAAGAACAAAGTCCTGTCCTTTGCAGCAACATAGATACAACTGGAGCCCACTATCCTAAGCAAATTAATGCAGAAACAGATACCACATGTTCTCACGAGTGGGAGCTAAATATTGGGTACTCATAGACATTAAGATGGGAACAACAGACATTGGGGACTATTAGAGCAGGGAGGTAGAGAAGGGGGCAAGGGTTGAAAAACTACCTATCGGGTACTATGCTCACTAACTGGGTGATGGGTTCTATCACACCACAAACCTCAACATCATGCAATATGCTCTCGTAACAAACCTGTGCATGCACCCTCTGAATCTAAAATAAAAGCTGAAAAAAAAGAATATATTTGTATCCCATTTTTGTTTGATTATTCTTTCATTTAGTTTTCTATGGTTTAAAAACAGATATTGCAATGTTCTTTCGTTCTTCCTTGCCTTATATCTTTTCCTCTTTCTGCTAACAGCACTCTTTTTTCCTCTAGGAAACCACAAGCCTCCTACTTCAAATGGTCCTGGTCAGACTGCTAATACCCTGCTTTATCCTCTATCTTGCTCTATGCTTTCACCACAGAAGCCTTCAAGTGCCCCAGCTGGTCATTTAGTGAACCACATCCCTGGACAGGCTGCAGTTGAGCCCTGATTATCATGGTTACTCATGAGTTTCTCTGTTCATTGAGCTCAATAATTAGAAAAACAGTTGGCAAGCTTTTTCTGTAAAGCGCCAAATAGTAACTATTTTAGTTTTGTGGGCCATATGGTCTGTTGTGATGACTCAATGCTGCCATTGTACCAAGAAAGCCACAGACAATATGTAAACATATGGGCACAGCTGAGCTCCCATAAAACTTTATTGACAAATGCAGGCAGTGGACTGGGTTTGGCTCACAGGCCATAATTTGCCAACCCTGGTTTGAGGGTATTACTTTGAAAACTATGTTCTGAAGAGATTCCTCAAGTAAAAGAAGGAGTTGGGGGTGGTATCTCCCACTCCAACTTACTTTACCCTTGGGGAATCAGAGCAGCCTCTCTTTCCTCTGTTTATGTATTGATATCCATTTTCAATCTTCAATTTGTTTAAAATGATATTGTTTAGCTCATAAAAGTTTTGAAAGTCAATGACAAGATGATACATGACATGTGTTACTAATCATTTAACTTTGGTTCAGGGTTCTGAGAGGGAAGGAGTAACATTTAGAGAGTTTTCTGTGGTCAGGCACAGTGTGTTGGAGACTATCACACATGACATCTCATGTATTTCTGATAGAACAGCTTATAGATGAGTGAGCTAGAATATCCAGCATGTACACACATCACAGCATGACTTGTCTTCATCAACTTTGTTGCAACTTTTGTTAACATGATCTAAAGGAATCATTTGATTTTTTTTTAACTGGATATAGTAGGGAAATTGATATATTAGGATGGCAAAGCAGGACAAATATTAATGAAATATATATTTTATGGGCCTACTGTTGAAAAAGAAAGTAGAAGAAAGCCATCTTATTGGAAAAATATGGAGATAATTATTTGTACTTTTTTATTTTTATTTTTTTTGAGACAGGGTCTCACACGCTCTTGCTCAGGCTGGAGGGCAGTGGCATGATCATGGCTCACTGCAATCTCTGTCTCCCAGGCTCAAGCTATAATCCTGCCTCAGCCTCCTGAGTCCAGCTAATTTTTTTAATCTTTTTGCAGAGACGGAGTTTCTCCATGTTGCTCAGGCTGGTCTTGAACTCCTAGACTTAAGCAATCCACCTGCCTCCACCTCTCAAAGTACTGGGGTTACAGGTGTGAGCCACTGTGCCCAGCCTGTTTGTACTTTTAAAAAAGGCTTTCATAGGAAGAAATCGGAATTCTTCTGCACTGCTAGAGTGAATGTAAAATGGCACAGCCACTATGGAAAACAGCCACTATGGAAAACAGCATGATAGTTCCTTAAAAAATTAAAAATAGAATTACCATATGATCCAGCCATTTCACTTCTGGGTATATCTCCAAAGGAACTGAAAACAGAATCTTGAACAGATATTTGTACACCCATGTTCATAGCAACATTATTCACAATAGCCAAAAAGTGGAAGCAATTCAAGTGTCCATCTGTGAATGAGTGGATAAACAAAATGTGGTATAAACATATCATGTAATATTGTTCAACCTTAGAAAGGAAAGAAATTCTGCCACATTCTACAACATGGATAAACCTTGAAGACATTGTGTTAAATGAAAGAAGCCAGTCACAAATACTGAATGATTCCCCACATGGGAAGTATTCTATAGTAATTAAATACATTGTGAAAGGAAAATAAATCTTGGGGCCCCAAAATCACTGAGAAAAATGAAAACGTCAAGCTGGGAACTGCTTAGGGCAAACCTGCTTCCCATTCTATTCAAAGTCACCCCTCTGTTCACTGAACAAATGCATATCTAATTGCCTCCTTTGGACAGGCTAATCAGAAACTCAGAAGAATGCTGCTATTTGTTTCTTATCTACTTATGACCTGGAAGCCCCCTCCCCGCTTTGAGTTGTCCCACTTTTCCGGACGGAACCAATGCTTATCTTACATATGCTGACTGATGTCTCATGTCTCCCTAAAATGTACAAAACCAAACTGTGCTCTGATCACCTTGGGCACATGTTGTCAGGACCTCCTGAGGTTGTGTCATGGGTGCGTGTCCTCAATCTTGGGAAAATAAACTTTCTAAATTAACTGAGACCTGTCTCAGATTTTCAGGGTTCACAAAATAAAGACAGAAAGTGTAATGGTGGTTTCCAGAGGCTCGGGGATGGGAGACTAAGGAGTTGCTTTTGTTTTTTTTTTTGTTGTTGTGTTGTTGTTGTTTTGAGAGGGAGTCTCACTCTGTTGCCCAGGCTGGAGTGCAGTGGCGCCATCTCAGCTCACTGCAACCTCCATTTCCCAGGTTCAAGCTATTCTCCTGCCTCAGCCTACTGAGTAGCTGGGACTACAGGCGCACACCATGCCTGGCTAATTTTTGTATTTTTAGTAGAGATGGGTTTCATTATGTTGGCCAGGCTGGTCTTGAATTCCTGACCTCAAGCGATCCACCCACCTCGGCCCCTCAAAGTGCTGGGATTACAGGTGTGAGCCACCAAGCCTGGCCAGGAGTTGTTTTTAATGGAAATGGAGTTTCCACATGAGAAGATAAAAAAAGTTCTGGAGATGGATGGTGGTAATAATCGTACAACAAGATGAATGTATTTAATTCCACTGCACCATACACTTATAGTTAAAACAGTAAATTGTACGTTATGTTTATTTTACCATAATTTTTAAAAATAAAAAAAGTCTTTCATGATGTATTTAATGAACTGGCAATCTGTGTCCGGCTGGATTTCAGAATTGCTGTGGGCCAGTGACAGTGTGTGTTTTCCTCCCCCATAACCCGCAGTGGAACAGGACTCTTAATTGCAGTCCATTAGTCTCCTAGGCTGCTGTAACAAATTACCACACACATGGTGGCTTAAAACAATGGAAATTCATTTTCTCACAGTTTGGGAGACCAGAAGTATAAAATCAATGTGTTGGGAGGGATGGACTCTCTCTGAAGGTGCTAGAAGAGAACCCTTCTTTGTCTCTTCTGTCTTCTTGTGGCACCATATGTTCCTTGGCTTAGAGATGGATGACGTTAATCTCTACCTCCCTCATTATATGGCCTTCTTCTCTGGGTCTCTGGATCCCAAATCTTCCTCTTTCTTCCTCTTATAAGGATACTTATAATTGGATTTAGGAACATCCCTAAATCCAGGATGATCTCATCTCAAGATCTTTAACTTACATCTGCAAAGACTTTTTTTTCCAAGTAAGATTGTATTCACAGATTCCCGGGTTAGGACTTGGACATATCTTTTTTGGCAGAGTGTGTTGGAGGGCGGTGACCATTTGACCCACTACAAGGAGTTATCCTACACCTGTCCCACAATTACATGTTGGTTAAATGGGATTCAGATGACCTGTGTCTTTAGATTTCCTGGGGCATCAGACCAGAAAGGACAGCACTCAAGGTATTTCATGCAAGGTGCCTCCAACAAACCTGAACCTAACTTAGATGATGAGCTTTTGGACCTTGAAGCTGGGCCTGTTGCTGTAATGGAACAAGACATTGAGGAGCTTTTGGAAAGGGTAGGTGTATTTTTCATATGGTTGGAGTATAAATAATTTTTAGTCAGAGGGCACAGAAGGCCAGAAGGCAGTTTGAAAACATGTCTGCTTAAGGTTATGATCCTCCAACATAAAGAGGTAGGACCTACATCCTCTCCCCTTGAACCTCGGTGGGTTTGTGGTTGATCCATCAAATAGAATAGGGTGGATGTGCCGTGTGACTTCAGAGGCTAAGACATAAAGAACTTTAAAGCTACCACCCAATTTTGGGGGACCTTCTCTCTGAGGAAAGTCAGCCACCACATGAGAAGTTCAACCATGGCAACAGCATCCCACTGAAGAGGTAACATGCAGGGGCCATGGACAGCCGTCCCTGCTGACTTCTGAGCTAACAGAGATCAAAAACCGTGAGCCATGGCAGACATCCCCGCCAGTCAGGCCTTCAGAAGCCAGCATCCACAGCCAACATTGGGCTGCAAGAGCCTGAGAGGCTCCAAGAAAAAAACTTACGGACAGAGATGTTCATTACAGTGTGATTTAGAGATGTAAAATTGTAGAAATTGCCTAACCATCCAACAACAAAGAAACAACTATGAAACTGAAGTACCTCACTTTAATGCTTAGTCTGTAGCCATTAACAATTCTCATTGTGAAGACATGGAAAATTTTTCCATGATAAAACTACTATGCAAAATATAAACACAGTAGAATCCACTTGTTTATATAGCACAAATGCATTGTAGTTCATCATTTCAGAATAAAATCTGAAAAATAATACACTAAAATGTTCCAAGGTTAACTACCAGAGATGGAAATCTTGGTTATTTTTTCCTGACTAAAATCCTGTATTTCTTTAACTTCTCAGCATTCACAGCAAGATCACCTTAATGTGAGATGCTGCAATGAATCATTAGACACACTTCACATTTTCAATCTATTGTGTAAATAAGTATTGTGTCCCTATTTGCAGAGGAAAGAGTACAGTGGTTTCTCCCACTTCCTCTGCCACCACTTTTGTCCAAACCATCATCAGAACGCAGAGAACTGTCATGGTCCCCACCCAATCTTCCTGTTTCCATTCCCTGCCATACTCCACCCACATCAACCTGCTGTCCACGCAGCAACTGAGAGATCACCACAGTTCCCTGCTTACAATCTCTCAACAGTTTCCCCTTGACGCTAGGATAAGGAAGAATATACTAGAAACACTTTGCTGTGGTTCTGCCCACTAGGCACCTCGCCTGGCCCCTCACCTCATCTCATACCTCTCCTTCCGGATTGCAGGACCTCACCCCACTGCCCTACATGGCTGCCCTCCAGTTCCTGCCCTCCCTGGGGTGCAACTTTCCTGCTCCTCGACTGAGTGTCCTCCATGTAATCCTGCTGACATGGTTTACACATGACTCCAACCAGAGTGCCTTCCCCTCCCAGGCTCAGCCCCAGTGGATGGCAGTGCTCCCCACCGTGCCATCCTACCCTCAGTGCTCAACCCCTGCGCCTCAGCACCTGGCAGGTGGCCCGGTCCTTGCAGATCCTAATTGGATGTGTCTTGAATGAACAAGTACGTAGAGAGCTGCAGGCGGGAGCAAGACCTGGGCAGTGGGTCCCAAAGCTTTCTGCTAGAGAAATCTCTCAGGCATCCCACTGCAACCCACTGTACTCCTTACATAGGGACAAGAGGCCACCTCTCAACTAAAATGCAGGACCTCACCATGGAAAACTGGCCTGATGAGAAAAACCAGGTTCATGAATGTGTGCATGCAAGCTTTGTTCTCGGTAGGAAATGACTGCGTAGTTGACAACTCTGAGAGATTCCCAAAGTACTTTTGACTGTGCTGTTCCAACGGAATCTAGCAGTGTTTTTGAATGTTTGATAGAGCCACAGAGGGACGGGTGAGGCTGGACACATTGAGACAACAGCAAACCTCAAGTCGTCTCATAAACTTGACAGTTGTGCACAGGTAGTGATAAAAAGGAAACAAGGTCTGTGTTGACAGTATAGACTTTAGCAATTGTCTTCACACAACCTTGTTCTCATTGTGAATTTGATTGGTAGAGCGAAGACTAGTAACTTGTATGTGTTCCTGGACAAATCCAACTAAAATAGTTCACTTGAGCACCAAGTTTTTTACTGCTGAGCAAAGCTCAGTTATTTTTCTGTAAAGAAAAATGTGACTGCCCTCTCCATAAGGCACTCACCTATCCTAGCTGCAATGTAAGCCTCTTGGCCATCATCATTAGGGAGCAGGCCTGTTATTAAACCAATCTCCATGGCCCCTTGCTATTGTCCAGCTTGGTTGCTTACTTTCTCTGCAAACTGGTATCAAACTAGAAATAACTGTGGAACAATGCTGATATTTCACTTCTATCTTATTTCCTGCTGTGACTATTTAGTTTGTTGTTAAATGTCTCCCTGTCTGGATGGGGTCTGGGGGCACAGACAAGAGGGAAGGGGAATGAGGACTTAGAAATTCATCCTGAACTCTTGTTAGCTGCAGCAGTGGCATGAGTTAAGCAGCCTGAAACTCTATTCGATGTGTTTTAGGAGTGAGCAAATGAATGAACGTGTTGGATTGATAAGAGCCAGGGTTCTCACTGTGTAAGAAGAAACACACGAATTTGAAATGGGGAGAGGCAAGAAAGGTCCCAGCCTGTGGAATGGAATCAGAGGCTCTAGCTCTGTCCACATAAAGGTCAAGAGTATGGAGCACACTTAGGGCTCAAGTTTAGTCTCTTAGGGGGCCAGGGCTACTTGGGGAAATGGCGGCCTCCAGATTGGAGAAAAGCAGCTGGGTATGGAACAGCTTGTTATGCCGGAAAGTAAGGAGGCGCTCGCTCTTCTTCACTTCCTTAGGTGAAACATGCCACAAAGATGCGTGAGCGCCTGGGTCACTGATTTGATTATGAAAACAATCAGGTGAAGTAATGAATTATAAAACATTGGGGAAATGAGAATGCAGAGGAATACAATAATAGACAGATTGATTAAGTACTGTTGAGGGCCAGAGGTAAGGGTTAAGAGATGCATAATTTCAATCTATGTCAAGGAAACATCAGATGAAGCCAAAATGAGGAATATCCTATTAAAAAGGGAAGGAAATGTTGGGATCTGTGTTCTTCAAGAATGTCAAAGTTAATCCCAGCTATTGGGAGGCTGAGGCGGCAGGATCATTTTAGCCCAAGAGACTGAGGTTGCAGTGAGCCATGAGTACACCACTGCACTCCAGCCTGGGCTATAGAGCAAGACCCCATCTCAAAAAAATTATTTTAAAATTTCAAAATTACAGAAGAGGAGGGAAGATTAGAAATGTCCTGGATTAAGCAAGGCTAAAGAGACATGACAAGGAAAAAATGTAATCCCTGCCCTTAGACTCTACTGGAGAGGAAAACGTTCAAGCAGACATTGCTGGGTTAAGTGGCATAGAAACGGTGGATAACAGTTTTGTCTCAGTTTAAACACATGGACGTTGGCACTGTGGCCAGGTAGGAGAGCCCCCTGCTCCTAGGAGCACACACTGAAGTATTTAGGACCACAATGTGTGTAACTTACAAAATAAACAGAGAGAGAGTAGACAATAAAGCAAAGAGAAAAATATAATAGCAGGTACATTGATTATTTACATTACATTTATGACATTATACATGATATTATTTACATCATGCATATTACATTTGTATTATAAATGTCAGAGTAGAAATCCAGGCAAAGATATCCAAGTATTCTTTATGCTACTTTTATTTTTGAAAATGTTTTATAATTCTTAAATTAAGTATTTTATTTCCTCTCTTGTCTTCCTAAACTCATTCCCCTTTGACGATTGAGGTAGAGTTTCTGCCACACAGCATCACACAAACTGCCCACAATTGTCATGGCGAGTGATTAGAAATAGAAGACAGAGCATTTTGCTCGCCCACGTGAAGGGCCCCAGCCAGGGCACCCTCTGGACTTGTGTGACTGGGAGAAAACCCTGATTCTGAAGAATATCTGTGGCCTTCCACCCACGCTCACCTTGGCTGAACCTTGTTCAAGAAAAAAAATCAATACTTTCATCGATGCTAAGACATGAATAGCTGAAGAAAACTCATTGGATTACTCCATCCAGACATCTACACTTCATGGGGATGTTTTGAGGCAAAGATATTTTATCTCCAAGGATTTCATGTCCAATGGATGACCCTTTGGGGTTTGCTCAAGTCCTACCATGGAGGTGACACATGCCAGTCCCCTCAGCCTGGGGATGGAGAAGCAGCCACCTGCGCCTGTCCGTGAACTCAGCTTCCTCTTGGGTCTGTTTGCCCTTGACTTTATGCCCCTCACTCCTGCTGCAAATACCCTCTGGAAAAGCTTTGTTTCTCCCATCAACAAAATCCCTTCATTAAATTAGGAGTAGATGCTTTGGTCATATTAGACCAGCTCCCGCCAACTACAAGGCCCTTCTACAGTAATAACCTTTATTTTTTATTTTATTTTATTTTATTTTATTTTGTTTTTGAGACAGGGTCTCACTCTCTCGCCTAGACTGGAGTGCAGTGGCATCATCTCAGCTCACTGCAACCTTCGTCTCCCACGCTCAAGCGATTCTACTGCCTCAGCCTCCCGAGTAGTTGGGAATATAGATGACTGCCACTACCACTCAGCTAATTTGTGTATTTTTAGTAGAGACAGGGTTTCACCATGTTGGCCAGGCTGGTCTCAAACTCCTGACTTCAAATGATACACCTGCCTTGGCCTCCCAAAGTGCTGGGATTACAGGTGTGATCTACTGCACCAGGCCTTATTTTTATATAATTAAAATATATACATGCTCATTAGGGAAAACAGAAAATACAAAATATATACAGAAAAAAAAATCCCTCATGATCCTGTGATTAGGGATAATCTGTTATAAATCTGGGGCTTTCTCCTTTTACTCTTTTTTCCTATGCATGAAGGAAGGGGGAAGAATGATACTTGCTATTTAAAGTTTCCAGTGGCTTCTGAAGGGCACATTGAATTAAATCACAGCATTCCTTCCCAGTCCTCTGTGCGGCTAAGAACCTGGAAAGGTGGTGGGTTCCCAAAGGCAGACTGGAACTTGGCTTTCCAAGAAGCTGCTCAAGAGCAGGCGGTGCATGTGAGCTGGTGAGAGAATCTTAGTGGGAGGGAGGGAGGAGCAGGAAGCAAGAGGAGAGGAGTGAGGCGGAGCCTGAGAAGAGGTACAAGCTCAAGCTGCTTCTTTGGAGCAGGTGACAGCTAAACGTTGCCTGGTCAGGCGCCTTGGAGCAGCAGGCTCCAGTGCAGGCGGCAAGCCCAGCTAGAATTCCTTCCTTGGCGCCTTGCCCTGCCCACCTGACACCCCACATCAGCCAATTCTCTGTTCCTGAAGCCTGAACTTGCCTCCTCACAGGAAGCCACTGCCCTGACCACTGTCACCTGTGCCCTTTCCCAAGCTTAGAGGATCACACCAGCGTGTACCCACTTCCAGGGACAGAACCCAAAGGGGGAAACCACGGAGTCACCTGTGCAGGACCCAAATCTCCTGGGAGAAGAAGACTTTTCCCATTTGGCCCCAAACAATACTCTCCCTGGCCCCATCCCCAAACTTTCCCCCACCCTGCCATCTCCTTGTCCCAGCTCCTTCACTAGCCAGTCCTAAGGTATCTCAGGGCCCCGTTCCCCCTAGGGAGGAAAACACAGGGAGGCCACGAGTACAGGAGAAAATAAGAAGTGAATCAAGTGACTGCAAATTTCAATAAGTGCCTGGGATGAAACGTGAGGGCATGATGGGAGATGAAAAATGTTCATCGGGTGGTCAGGGAAGAAAGTCCTTTGAGGAGGTGACATTAAGCGGAGAACAAGACAACCATGAGAAGACTGGGGAAGCAGAAGAAGGTTTGGAGGTGGGGAGAGCTCTGTGTGTTCTAGAACTGACCAACACCTTAATGTCACCTCCTCAAAGGACTTTCTTCCCTGACCACCCGATGAACATTTCTCATCTCCAGGATACCATCCTCTTGTTGGGAGAAAATTCCCTGGTTAGTTTTACCTCAGGTTCCAATGGGATCACAGTTCTAAAAGTGTGGAGAGACCCTTCTTAGTTGCGAGACCATGAACCCAAAGCGCAAAATCCCGAAGTTTTGTTGTAGTGTGGATGGCAAGGACAGTCTTTCTTCAATGTTCTCAGAAGATCCAAACCTAAAAACCTTCTTTTTTACGTGCTGAAAATACAATGTAGCTTAATAATCTACTGTTATAACATCAGCCCTCTTGCATGGGAAAGCTTTTATACAACCAGAAAACATGCAATGAAAATAACAATTGAATTAAATCCCTTCATAAAATGTTTAAATGGCCAACCAGGTGATTAAATGTACCTGAAGCTTGTTTTCCCAGGAATATGGGATCGAGCATTGGCCATAAACTATTTTAAACAATTTCAGCATTAGCTGGTTTAACATGAAAGTATTTTCTTGATACTTAATTAACTTTTTGGTCTTACTTGGGTTAGTAGCTTTATGCAAGGAAATTTGGTTATTTCTGTGGTTTATAATAACTTAGCATAATAACTATAATTGTGATTGGTAGCATATATTTAGACAGTAGATTTTTAGAAATCTCATACAGTTTTGGAATATATATTAGTATTATTCACAAAAATATAACCTAAAGAAGATTGAACATCATTTTGGCAATCCCATATACCTAAACACATTAAATAATCCTGTTGACCTCTTTTCTGGATGTTTTCAGGGGCTCTCTGATCCATCCAGAAACCCAGGCATTAGGAAAGACAATTTTGAAACTGAAGTTTGATCTTGGAATTTCAGATTACCATAAATTATTTATTTTGCCAAAATGATGACTCAAATTTTAAAGAAGCAAAAACCTTTTATAACCTTTAATGAAAAAAAAAACACACTCTACTGCTTTTACACACCTTGCATGTAAAATTGTTTCTAATAGTCTTGATTGCATGTTACAATGGCGACTCTTAGCAATTTCAATTTTAATATAAAACCTGGTAAGTTATGTTCTGATAAGGTTTGACTGTTTCCAGCATAGCTAGGGGTGTGGCCAACTCCACTTGTCCCCAGGCCTTACCTAGCTGGAAAGCAGGCAAGTTAAACAATTTTCAAAAGCCAAAGAAGCAGCTTATGACCTTAAAGCATATAGCGAACCTAATATTTGAACATAATTTAAACCACATGTTTACATTTTTAAGACAATTGTATTTTGCCAATAATCTTTAAAACTGTCTTTATTTGTCAAAGATTGCTGAAGTCATGTGAACTAAAAGGCATTATACTTTCTACATTTCTGACAAAATATTTGATTTAAGCTCTTATTATTATTAAACCAATTAATTTAAAACTTTACAGAGGGGATAAACAGTGACTTTTTCTTTATATTTAACCAGTTTGCACAGAGAGAAAGAGGCCAGGGACTGACTGGTAAGAAATTCTTACCCTTTTGCCAGCATGCCAGATTTCTGGGTTCTCTCTCCCTGAGTGGCCCTGGCAGCCATGCTTGACTGTATGCAAACAAACGCATTGCCATGAATTAAGAGTATTCACAAATAGTTTACAAATTTTGGAGAAATTAGGCAGAGAGAGAAATATGACTCAAATTCTAGTTGTGAGAGTATACTAAACACAAAGTATCAGGAAGGCTAAAATCCAAAAAATTAGTTTAAGGAAAAAAAAGCTGGTGTGCCCCATTAATTCCTGCAGGCCCAACAAAAGTAGCTTAGGAATTCTAGAAAAATGGAATGAATCATGACTTGCTAGAAATGCATAGGAACACAGAACTAAATGAAAGCATTCCACCAGGAACTAAAAAAAAAAAAAATCATAGTTTTATACATACGCATACACAAGCAAAGCCAGAGGAGAAATAAACAACAAACGAATGAAAACTAGAAGCAAAAACAAATAAGCACCAAACCAACCCTGAGTTTTCCTACTCAATTTACCCTGGAGTATACAGCATTACCTAGGGCCCCAGAAAACCAACATAATGAATATTTTATTCCTGATACACAATTCAACATCCCCAAGTTCATCATACATCCTGTGCAATCAAGAAATCCACTTTAGGCACATGAGCAATAAGTACTCCAGCACTATCCATGCAAAACAGTCAACATAGTGTGAAGCAATGCAAGCATATATGTAAAATTTGGCTTTACACTAAATCCAGCTTCATGCTTAACTGTATTAAAAAACAATTGCCAAACTACTGATGCATTTTTACAATACTTCTTATTTTAATCAAGACTAAGAGCTTTAACTATGAAAATGTTAATTAGCCAAATGTTTCCAATTCTTTATCAGGTTTTAAAGTATATTTTATTATTTAAACTTTTTCCACATCTTTCTCCCCTACTTAATGATTCCTTACTACACTGTTTCATAAATAACCTTTCCAAATCTGCAATTTGAACTAACTTTTAGATAACTTCTGAATTCAACAAAATTACTTTTTTTCCCCACTAATAACATAACCCTTTCTGTTATGTTATCAACATAACAGAAATTACGTCTTAATAATAACCACAGAATTACATCTTAACTAGAATTTTATCCTTAGTAACCTAAAACTTTAGTGAAACCCTAAAAGGCAAGAAATCCTGAACTATTAGATATGAGCATTTATATATAAGAACAATTCCATAATTTCAGAAACATATTTCTACATATTACAACCCTTTCTTAATTGGAAATGACCTAGATATTAAATGAGTGTTAAAAATAACTTTAAGATTTTAATTTACACAAAAAGTTTACCTAAAACATTTATCCCATTCACTGTACTTAAATTTTTACTTTTAAGGAGATACATGAGACATCAATTAACATATGTAAAATGAGCATTGGTTTTGTCCGGGACAACTCAAAGTGAGGAGGGGACTTGGGGGCTTTCAGATCATAAACAGTTGCATTCTTTGGAGTTTCTGATGAGCCTTTCCAAAGGAAGTGACCAGATATGCATTTATCTCAGTGAGACTTTGAATAGAATGGGAGGCAGGCTCACCCCAAGCAGCTCCCAGCTTGAATTAACATTGACATTTTAAAATATCTAGCAAAGACAAACATAAAATTCAGACAAAACGTATGCTGACAATTCTGAAGGCATTTCTATTTTTATTCCACCAATAATCTTAAAGCTAGTTTGTTTAGTAAAGTAATACTTTAAGTCACGTGAACTTGAAAATGGCTTAGACTTAACCAAAATTTCGGGTAAAGCAGTCTCCAAGGCAGTTTGATTTTTAAAGGCCAAACCTCCCCAGACTCCAGTGGGCACTGGGCCAAACTGTACCAAAGGAGGGCATCACACGTTAACCAGGCCCCCTGCTTAGAACTGCAGCACAGAAGCCTGGGTACATGCAATGCCATTCCACTTTCCATTCAACGGTAAACTCCAGATTCCAAACAATGTTAGGGCCAAACAGCATTGCAACTATGAGAGAAAATTCTGAGGAGGGTTAAAACTAGACCTCAGAACCTCTGCCGAGAGTGTCCTCTTTGGAGTGGCTGGGATCCACAGAACCCACACAGCATCCTCCTGTGGGGTCCAATCTTAGAGTTCCAGATGTCTCTGGCCTCAGGTGGGTGCCACATGCAGGTTTTCCTCTCCAGAGCCTACTATGAGCTTTATAGGAATAGCCATGAACTGTAATGAGAAGGACTGGATGCCGGGTGGGCCTTTTTGTTCCTCAGCCAGTTGAATATGATAAGTAAAGAATTTAGCATAAGAAAAGTTTATGTCCCCTGAAACACATGTGAGTTTGCCCTGAGCTGTGGTGCATGTAGGGATCAGGGACCACACTTGGAAAAGATAAAAAAACTTTTTAATGATTGCCATTCTAACTGGTGTGAGATGGTATCTCATTGTGGTTTTGATTTGCATTTCTCTGATGGCCAGTGATGGTGAGCATTTTTTCATGTGTTTTTTGGCTGCATAAATGTCTTCTTTTGAGAAGCGTCTGTTCATGTCCTTCGCCCACTTTTTGATAGGGTTGTTTGTTTTTTTCTTGTAAATTTGTTTGAGTTCATTGTAGATTCTGGATATTAGCCCTTTGTCAGATGAGTAGGTTGCAAAAATTTTCTCCCATTTTGTAGGTTGCCTGTTCACTCTGATGGTAGTTTCTTTTGCTGTGCAGAAGCTCTTTAGTTTAATTAGATCCTATTTGTCAATTTTGGCTTTTGTTGCCATTACTTTTGGTGTTTTAGACATGAAGTCCTTGCCCATGCCTATACTATGCAGCCATAAAAAATGATGAGCTCTTGTCCTTTGTAGGGACATGGATGAAATTGGAAATCATCATTCTCAGTAAACTATCGCAAGAACAAAAAACCAAAACCACATATTCTCACTCATAGGTGGGAATTGAACAATGAGAACACATGGACACAGGAAGGGGAACATCACACTCTGGGGACTGTTGTGCGGTGGGGGGAGGGGGAAGGGATAGCTTTAGGAGATATACCTAATGCTAAATGACGAGTTAATGGGTGCAGCACACCAGCATGGCACATGTATACAGATGTAACTAACCCGCACATTGTGCACATGTACCCTAAAACTTAAAGTATAATAATAATAAAATAAAAATAAAGAAAGAAAGAAAGAAAGAAATAACAAAAAAAGAAAAGATAAAAAAACAACTCCTTCCCACTTGGGGCAGGGCAATTATACCCATTCATTCTTAGGCCTTCAGGCAGTACTAGGGAGTGACCCCAGCCGATTGCCCTCAATTTCCAAGGAGCCAGTAGGCAACAGCCTCTGAAAGACTGAAAAAGAAAGTGGGATGGGAGTGGGGGGCGGGAAGGTGGAAATGAAAAAGACCAAGGTTCCTTAAGCTAATGAAGAGGTGGCGGTCAGCCTTCTCCACATGGAAACCCCTTAGTTTCACTGGCCATGGCCAGAAACCTGCAGTTGCTTCCATGTTTACCTGCTTCCCACCAAGGGTCCCAAGTTGGAAAGGAAAAGAGAGAGGGAGAGAGAGAGAGAGAGCCCCTGAATGGAGCAGAAAGGAAAGGGAGAAAAATGAATCCCAAACTTTGGGCTTATCTCTTCCTTCTGGCTGGCTCGCCAAAATATGTTAATGGTGGAAGGTGTCTAGGCTCTTGACGTCCTCAACAAAGAGTTGGACAAAATGCACAAAGCAAGGAGGGAAGGGTTTTATTGAAAATGAAAGCACACTCCACAATGTGGGAGCGGGCCTGAGCATAGGGGATCAAAGGCCCTGTTACAGAGGTTTTTTGAGTTTAAATATCCACTAGAGGATTACATTGGTGACTTGGTGTACACCCCATGTAAAGGGAGAGGATGAAATAAAGTTACAAAGTCATTTATAGTGTATGCCCTATGGAGAGGATATTTCCTGTTATAGCTCAAGTGTGAACTAGCCTCATATTCTCTGCCTCCAGACCCTATTTTCCTGCCTCGTTAGGACAGCTATGTTATTGTGGCTAGGCCAGAAGTTCCTGCTCATCCCTCACTGTGGTGTAAATGCTACAACATCCTTCCCACTTCACAGATGAGCAAAGGCAGTCTCAGAGACATTGAGAGACATGCCTGGGTTCACACTGTAAAGTTTTTGCAACGCAATAGCTTAAACATTAAAAATATTGATTTAACACGTTACCATTTTTTATGTCAGCAATAAGGGAGATTTGCATAAAGGAGTCAGATGTTCCTTGTACTAGTTTTCTGTTTGTAATTTTTGTAGCTTTGACATTATCTCCAAATTAAAGTTTACAGAAAAAGTGATCATGTTTTGACTCCCACTAAAGCCAGCCCTCGGGCTCCATGCTTTTCATGCATTGTCTGCAATTCTCCTATGGCTTGCACGTGGACATCAGTCCACTCCACAGATGGGGAAACTGAGGCTTGGTGTAGGTGGGCAACCTGCCACAGGTCCTGATGGAACTGGTTAGGCGTCTGCACCCAGGTGCCTGTGCCTCCCAAGCCCATATTCTTTCCATCCCCTTGAGTGGCCTCTGTAGTCAGTCTTCAAAGACCTGTCCTTTAGGGTTTAAATAAAGTGTTCACAATTTGGGACTCAGTTGTCCTGTGTCCCCAGATTTGGAAACCTCTCCCTGTTTGGTGCCTTCCACCCTTCAGAAGTCAGCTCAGCCTCTCTCTTCAGAAACAAGATCTGAAGTCCTCATTATCCAGCAAAGATGAGGAGGAGGAGGAGGAGGAGGAGGAGGGGGAGGGCCAAGAGGAGGTCTCAGTGGCTTCACTGATGACAAAGAGGCAGCTGGAGGCTCCCTGAAGAGACCAAAGCCCAGGAGCAAAGGCTGGAAACCTTCCAGAAGCGGAACCAGAGCCAACAATAGAGGAGCAGCAATTAAAACTCCACTGGCCTGGGCCCAAGGGGCGGCACCTCCCAGTGCCTTGTGCCTGCCTGGGGAGGTCCTGCCTGCGGAGATGACTCAGCACAGCCCAGGGGCAGGCCTGCAGCGACCTGTGGGGCAAAACCCAGAGCAGAGGTGGGGCCATTCAGCACCACTTTCCCACCCAGCTGAGAGCTGGCAGACCACACCAGGCACCACCACCAGGCTTCCTGCAGGGCAATGCAGGCACCAAGAGAAGAACCCCAGCGGTGGACACATCTCACTCATTTTAAAGCTCTAAACAGAAGTCGTTGTTTAATCTCCCATTGAAGTTGGATTATCTCTGCTTCTGCTAATAAAAGCTGTCATTTATGGAGCACTTACACCAGCAACATTTTATCAAAGGGAATATGATGTTCCTCATGTTGAAGGTGAGGCTCGGGTCATTTAAATAATTTTCTCAAATCATGTGGCTAAGAGGAACAGAAACTATTGCTTACACAAAAATCTCCTTTATACCAAATCTCATGCTTTTGACCAGTGGTCAGACTGCTGGTGTTGGTCTTCACATGTGCTGCAGCCTACATGGTCGGGCGTCCAGCCCTCCCATGGGTCGAGTCCTCATTCTAATCTATCCCTTAGGGGCTGTGCACTCATCTGGCCACTCTGGTCCTCTTGAAAGGCTTTGCTGGTTGACTCACACTCCGCGGGTTTCCTCCTGAACGGCACACATTTTGGCGGCTCCCCTCCCCTCCTCACCCTCTGGGTGCTGGATGCCCAGGGCTCCCTCCCAGCCTTCCTTCCATCCCGGCCCTCACTCCCTGCCTTGGTGTTCTGGCTCACTTGTACCCATAGCTCTATGGACCCTCTCCCCCAGCCTCTCAGCCTCCCTCTCCAGTCTGGACTCAAGATTGGAATCTCTGCCAGGACATCTTGTAACATCTCAGACCTCTTTTTTTTTTTTTTTTTTTTGAGAGTCTCACTCTGTTGTGTAGGCTGGAGTGCGGTGGCATGATCTCAACTCACTGCAACCTCTGCCTCCCAGGTTCAAGAGATTCTCCTGTCTCAGTCTCCTGAGTAGCTGGGACTACAGGTGTGCACCACCACACCCAGCTAATTTATTTATTTATGTTTTGTATTTTTAGTAGAGATGGGGTTTCACCACATTGGCCAGGCTGGTCTTGAACTTCTGGCTTCAAGTGTTCTCCACCTGCCTCAGCCTCCCAAAGTGCTGGGATTACAGGCGTGAGCTGCCACACCCAGCCTCTGACCTCTTATACTATCTCAGACCTCATGTGCCCAGGCCAGAAGTCTCCACTTTCTCCCCCACACCTGTTTTTATGCCAGTATTTCCCATTGCAGTTAACAGCGTCAACTTTACTCAGATGCCCAAGCCCCAACCTAGGACACACCCTTAATTTCTACTTTTTCTTCACCTGCCTCCTCCAGCCAGGGAACCAGAAAGCTGTTGGGCCTCTGTCTTCCAAACATACCCCAACTCTATCCACTTATCCCACGGGTTTTCCACCACCTGGTCAGGCTCCAGCCGTGCAGCCAGGACCCCTTGCCTCAGTTTCCCACCTGGACCCCCTTGTCGCCTATGAGCCTTTCTCTATAGGGCACTGGCATGTGGCTCTGTGAAATGCGCTCCCCGGTCCTCCCCTCCCATGGTTTCCACCCTCTGAGGAACATCCAGACGCTTACGTTTACCCCAGGACCCTGACGAGTCTGCCTCCTCCTCCTGCCCTGAGCCATATCCTTCCCAATCTCCCAGGGCGCCTTCTGCTGCTGCCTTTGTTGCCTTCCTGGAAACTTTGAAATATTTCTCAAGCTGGGATCCCTGGATGAGCAGCATCAGCATCCCCTGGGACCTTGCTAGAAATGCAAATTCTCGGATCTCAACCCAGACCTACTGCCTCAGAAGTTCTGGGGATGTGCCTGGCAACGCGCATTTAACAATGTTAAGTAGACTCAATTGTGTCCTCCAAAATTCATACGTTGAAGCCCTAAGCCCAGTGTGACTGTGTTGGAGATAGGCCTTTAAAGAGGTAATTAAGGTTAAATGATGTCATTAGGGCGGGTCCTAATCTGGTAGCACCTGTGTCCTTTTAAAGAGAGGAGGACACAGACACACACGGCGGAAAGTCCATGTAAGGACGCAGGGAGAAGACGGCTGTCTGCAAGCCAAGGAGAGAGGCCTCAGGAGAAACCCCCTTGCCCACACCTTGATCTTGGACTTCCAGCCTCCAGGACCATGAGAGAATGCATTCCTGTTGTTTCAGCCCACCAGTCTGTGTCTTTGTCACAGTGGCCTGAACAGGCTAAGATGGGGTGGGTCTGGGAAGCTCCGCCCTAGCATGCCAAGCTGGGTCCTGCCTGGGCATCTTCACCGGAGCTTTGCCTCTGCTGGACGCAGCTGCTTCCACTCTCCTACAGCTGGCTTCTTCACTGCAGAGAGGCCTGCAATGGGATGTTGTTCTCTTGAAGGACCCCTCCCTGATGTCTAAGGACAGTGGCCCTGCCACAGCCCTGCTCAGTCCCCCACCTTCCCCTGCTTTCCAGCGATCGCCCTGTGTCCCCTCCAGCAGACAGTCTATCACTATGAATCCTCTTGCTTCTTTGTGGCTGTTTGCCCTGTGTATCCTGCACACTATGACATGAAATACTTAAAAGCAGGATTCTCATTTCTTGTTCAACATTTAATTTCCAGCACCAAAGATAGTTCCTTCAATAGACAGTAAGTGCTCGATAGTTGGTGAATGGAAAGGAAACCTCCCTCTTGATATAACAGAGATGGGAAAGGTCAGGGAGGCCTGGGAGTACATTTTGAATGGCTTCTAGCCTTGGATGCCCAGATACCACACATACATTCAAGGACCCAACCTACAAGGGCAGGTACATGAACTCTGAAGCTGGACTCCTGGAATCCAGATCTGGGCTCAGCCACTGACCAGTCTCATGTTATGTGACCTCAGTTATGTGACCTCAACTCTCTAATAATAGGAAATGGTTCTATTGCTGTTACCATGATGATGATGATTGAAGCACAGAAAGAAAAGCCAAATGCCATGAATTCTTGTTCCTCTGAATGTCTGAGCAAGTGAGGATCAGAGGAGGACTGTGGAGGGAACCACTCCTTTAATAAAAATTCTGTGGCCCTTCCTCTGAAAGCCACTCCAGACCCCACCGAGTCCTGGCTGTCACGCTGCACAGCACAGGGGCCAGCATCCACACTGCACCTGTGTGGCCCTCCTTGGGCGTACAGACCACCTACCAGACCCCCAACTTGCAGCACTGAGTCCCAGGACCATGGAGACTGGGAGCCTCTTCTGCATGCAAGGACGGGCTTAGTGTTGATGAGCCTGGGGAAACATCTTTGCTGTCAAGTCTTCCATTTCTGCAGAAGGGATTCAGCCATGAAAACTTGACAGGAAAATCATGACTTCCAAATTACATATGCAAATTCCTTTCCTTTCTAGATGTTGATGTCTCTCCAAATCTCTCGCGGTTCATGCATTGGATACCTTGCCTGACCCAGCAGGCTGCAGGATGAGGAGCACAGTGAGGAGCTGGGGTCTCACTCCCACAGGTGGGCCCCAGAAGCACAGAGCAGGGGCAGGAGCAGACTGGATGATGGATGGCACAGGGTCCCTCCGGGATCAGAGGTTTCTTTTTGGCCTGGCAGCAGAGGTGGTTATCCCAAGACTAGCTCATGTCTTGTTGTGGCACCCACTTCTACATTCTGGAGAATTCAAGGTGAGAATACACATGTAGTGAGAATATGTGAATTACTGATTTTTTAACTTCTATGAACTTTTTGGCTCCAGGCTGCTTACTGACTGCTTTATATTGCTGTAATCTTTAGTATTTCTGGCTGGATTTTGTCATTTTAAAATATGAGATGATAAACCACTACAATTGATTTTGGTTTTGATTAAATTTGGAGTAATATGGTCCTATCAGTGAGGATTAAATTTGGACTGTAGGCTGGCATAAAACTCAGCCAACTGCTATTTGTGGGAGAGTAACAAAAAGTATTTCTCCCCTTAGTAAGAGACTTCTATGGCTAAAGCATCGCCTACATACTCTTGTTCATCCCACACCTGACCACCCCCTGAAAATACATCTTCTTAGCTAAATATGGCCTCCTGGATGAACTGTTTATGGACAGGCTCACTGATGGATGCATGGATGGATGGATGGGTGGATGGAGATTTTAGAGGATAATTCTATTAGGGGATAAATTCACACATGAGCTGCAAAAGTCAGATAAGATTCAAAGTGTTCTGAGTTCTTGTGAAGTGAGACTTTTCCCACTAAAAGTGCATTTGAAGAATGAGCAGAATTTGCAGAGCAACAATTTATACTCTGGATGCCCTATGTATAATGAGACGAAAGGAAACAATGTCTGTTCCCAACAGGATAGAGTTCCAGTGAAAAGACATTCTACTTTCTATTCAAAGACATGTTTTAAGGCTCCAAATGGGTGAATCCACATTGCATATACCTGGATGGTTTCTGATATGTTAGGTTTATGTCTGTAAGAAGCTAGTATCGGCTGACAGAGGAAGCACTGTCTGGAAGACGTCCTTGCAGAAAGGGGTGTCCTATGACCTAGGACTCTTTTTCTGAGTTTCAGAGAAAAAAAAATTTTTCCCCTAAGCTTTGCTGAATATTATGTCTTTTTAAGATTTTTTTTTAGTCTAAAAGCTTAGATTAGTAAGTACTATATGGCAGAAATTCTGCTAAACACTTTCCCTGAAATGTGAGTACAACAAGTAATTCCCATTTTACAGATGAGGAGAGGAAGATTTAAGGAACATTCCAATGTAGATCTAATTCCAAAACTTGTGCTCTTAACAGCAAGCTCTACAGAATGTATCACTTTTTCCTGCCTTAATTGTGGCAGCCCCAGTTATTTATACTAACCCTACTGCTCATAGCAATAAAAAAACCTGGTGAAATATGTGTGAATCCTCTTAGAAGCAAGAAAGAGCTAGTTGATAGGTAGAACTGCCAAACCTGAAGAGCAGCCTGAAGGCATTTCCTGCATAGGGATTCGAACATTTGTTTTGGAAGGTCTCATGGAACACAGGTACAGACATCAAAGTCCAAGGCTCACACCAGGTAAAAAGTCCAACAGATTTCCCGCAATGAGCCAGGACCTCAGGGCTTGGCTCTGAGGGTGGGGGTGAACAAGAAGAGGGCCAGGCCTTCAGGAAATATAGTCTCTCTCAAAATAAAAAATGCAAAACCAAATTTAAAACTCCGTGGATAGGTGTGACAGAAGATTAGACACAGCTAAAGACAGAATTTATGATCTGGTGAGGAAGAGATTGTATAGACACGATCTCTATACATTTCATACACAAACGAGTTGGGGGGAAGAGGGGGGGGTGGAGAGAGAGAGAGAAAGAGAGAGAGAGAGAGACTGGGATGAGTAAAAAGAAATTGCATACATCTACTCAGAGTCCCAGCAGGAAAGGAGAGGAAATGAGGCTGAACAAATATTTAAAGAGGTAATGGCTGAGACGTTTCCTGAGCCACTGAAAGGCATTGTCTTAGCCCGGTAGGGCTGCCATAACAAATTATCACAAGCTTGGTGGCTTAAAACAACAGAAATGTCTTATCTCACATTTCTGGGGGCTGAAGTCCACACTCGAGGGGCCAGCAGGTCTGCACTCCTCTGAAGGCTCTAGGGAAGAACCCTTCCGGGCCTCTTCCAGCTTCTGATGGCTCCTGGTAATTCCTTTTCTTTTCGGTTCCTTCTCAGATCTGAGTCTTTCCTCCTACATTTTACTTTAAGCACCAAGGAGAAACCAGGACATGACTTCAACACTTTGCTTGGAAATCTCCTAAGTCCATGTTCATCAGCAACAAGCTTTACTTTCCATAAAAAGTTGAGGGCTCACCGAAAGATGATCTCATCTTAATTAATTACAGCTGCAAAGACCCTGTTTTCAAATAAGGTCATGAACTCTGAAGTTCCAGGCGGACTCGTATTTTGGTGGGGGAACACCATTCTACCCAGCATAGACATTAATCCACCCATTTCAGAAGCCTAGTGCATCCCTAGAAGGAAAATTAAGGAAGTCCACACCTAGAAAAATCACAGTGCAACTGCACAAGGCCAAAGATAGAGTGTCTCAGAAGCCGTAAGAGAAAGAGGTCAGAAGTCATCAAGTGAAGTGTGAAGTTTTTGCAGACATGTCAAGCATGATTGAAAATACCCAATTATAGAATGTACCAAGTTTTTCACTGCTTGAGGTGAAAAAAATGCTTTGAGGTTGGGAGAGCAGAAAGGAGGGTGGCTCTGACCCTGTGAATCCTCAGACAAATTGGAAGTCCTTTGTCTCCTTATTTGTAAAGTACAGCATTGGGCAAAATCGTCTCACATTACCTAAAGCTAAAAGCCCTACCATCACTCCTAGAATGACTGTTGTGCAACTTCACTTTTGGCAGGTGCGATAGGGATGAGGAGTGTGGCGTACTGTTCCCTCTCACGCGACAAGAGGACATGCTGAAATGTGCATGGTCAAGGTTTAAAAATACTAAGAAAGACAGTCTCACAAGGTGCACCTGTGTGTGCCCTTGTGTTGTCTTCATGTAAGTCGGGGCGTGTACTCTTTCATGGGTTCCAGACTCCTTGACTATAGTGACCCTTTGTTGGTATTTTCTCTCTCTGGCTTCTGATCTCCTCTGATCTTCCTCCAGAGGGAGGTTTGCTACCTCCTGTGGTATTGGACACAGTAGTATTTCATACATTGAAAGCTAGGGCAGAGGAGTGTTTCCGCCTTCTCCATCACCCACTTCCAGGGCACGGACGCCTGCCCCAGGTCAGCTGGATGGACACCTCCCGACCTGCCACCCCACAGGGCTCCGAAGCCAGAACAGCGGGAGGAGGGGCATCTCGCAGCAATGGGAGCAGCCTCCTACCTCTGTTCTGCCTGCTGCTCCACCCCCAGCACCCCTGTAGCCCCCAGCAGTACACCCTTCCCCTCCCTCTGCGTCCTGTCTTGTAGTACAAGATAGATGGCTGCTCCTGCTCTCAGACCCCAGGACAATTTCCATTCCCACCTTCTCTCTGAGACTGGCTCTCCCATGAGTGTCCTCACACCCACTCCTTTTCTGCCCTGAGGTTTGCCACTACATCCTGCAACCAGGAATCTCACCAAGATGGCACTTCTGCAAGGTCAGACCTGGTGCCTGGCAGCGAGGCCCCACCGGAAGGGCAGTTGCCATACAAAGGGACCCTTCTGGGAAAAAACTCTCTTTAGCCTGCTGATGTAGTTTGAATATATGTCCCCACCAAATCTCATATCAAAATGTAACACCGAGTGTCAGAGATGGGGCCTGGCCAGAGATGTTTGGCTCATAGGGGTGGACCCCCCATTGCTTTGTGCTGTCCTCATGGTAGTGAGTCCTCAGGAGATCTGGTTAAGTGTGTGGCATCTCCCCACTCGCTCTCTCTCTCTTGCTCCTGCTCTGCCATGTGAGGTGCCTGCTCCCCCTTCACCTTCTGCCGTGAGTAAATTCTCCCTGAGGCCTCCCCAGAAGCTGAGCAGATGTCCCTGCTGTGCTTTCTGTACAGCCTGCAGAATCATCAGCCAATGAAGCCTCTTATCTTTATAAATTACCTAGACTCAGGTATTTCTTTCTTTCTTTTTTTTTTTGAGATGGAGTTTCACTCCTGTCACCCAGGCCAGAGTGCAATGGTGCGATCTCGGCTCACTGCAAACTTCGCCTCCCAGGTTCAAGCGATTCTCTTGCCTCAGCCTCCTGAGTAGCTGGGATTACAGATGCCCGCCAACATGCCCAGCTAATTTTTGTATTTTTAGTAGAGATGGGGTTTCATCAAGTTGGCCAGTTTGGTCTCGAACTCCTGACCTCAGGTGATCCGCCCGCCTCAGCCTCTCAAAGTGCTGGGATTACGTGAACTATAATTGAGGTATATACACCACATACAAACACCACTAGTTAGATCTTCTTGCTGCTCCCCTTTTCCTACTGAAAATCGTTCTTCTGCAACACTTTGCAGCGCTCACTGTTCCAGCCTCAGCCCTGCCCTCTTGCATGGGCCTCACAGGGCTGGGCAGAGGAACCTGGGATCAGGGATCCCCCTGGACTCGATGCAGATGTCTGCCCATCGGGTGCACTGAGAGAGCCTGGAACAAGCTGGTTCATCTGCCCGGCCTTCTTAGCAAGTTGTTCAGGCACTTGTGACATAGGCAGAAGCAGAGTCATAGAAGTTCCTGTTTCCCCTGGAGCTGGGCATGAGTCCCAATGGGGCCATTTGGTCTTCCTGTTGCATCCTTGTCCTGTCCCTGGGCCAGACTTCCTCCTCCTGTGACCATTGGACAGATCCTCACAGAGAAGCTTCGGGGGCAGTCTTATTCTCAGAATTGGGGATTTGCTGCTATCGAATACCTCCAGCCATGCAAATACTAATACTTGTATGATCACCAATACTAACAGTAGAGCTCACTCACACGCAGGCACGGGCTAAGGGTAAAAATTAGACTCAGCTCTATCACTGTTAACTCTCCCAATAACCCTGTGCAATAGGCACTATTAGTACAGTTTGCATTCTGTAAATGAGGAAAGGGAGACTCAGAAAGGTCAGGCAACATCCCCTAGGTTGCCCCAGCCAGTGCGTGGGGAGCTCCAAGTGCCTGCCTCCGAGGCCTGGGTCTTTACTGCTCAAGCATGGCTCCCACACAGCCTCCCTTCTCCCCTGAAGCCACCTGTGGCATTCACCAGATGGGTATGAACCAACCATCAGTACTCACAGGAGGTGCTGCAGACGTTTTAAGACTGAAACGTGTTTTCTATTGCACCTGTTTCTTTCCATTAAGAAAGGAAAAAATCAGTTTTCTACCTAATCTCAAACTACAAATCACTAAGACACTGGTCAAAGGGAATGGCCCAGATATACACCTTTAGCCCCAACATAAAACTCACTAGAAAAGTGTAAGGGAGAATTTACTTAATCATTCAGGAGTTGCCGTCTACATTGCAGAGCCAGGAAAAGTGAAATAAGGCACAGTGACTGGGCCCTAATTTCACTGCCTGACCCAGCCTGGTGAGTAAGAAAGGCCTGAGGGGGTTAGACTGACCTTTGTCTGTCCTGTAGCTCCATCAGTCTCACTCACAATAGGGGCAGAGACCAGTCCCTCAAGCCACTGAAACCAGCTTCCTGACCTACGTGAGTCACCCCTCTCTCTCTGGGTGCTCATTCAGTCTAGCTTTGCAGCACACAAAGGAAGCTGAGGAAAAGACTCAGGAAGTCTTCATAGCACTTTCAGCCAAGCTCTTTCCCACATCTGTGCCATCGATTAGGGGACTGGAGGACAATAATGTAGGTTTATTCCTGATTTTTAAAAGATCATTGAGTTCAATACTCAATTCTTTCCTCCAGCCCTTAAAGGAGCTGGGGTGTCCCCCTTGTTTATTGGCCTCCAAAGCACTCCAAGTGTCTTAGGAGCATGCATGGCAGGACAGAGACATATGCATGGAGCACTTCTCTCCCTCCACAGTGGAGCCCCCCACAGGTTGCAATGACCTGTGGCCATTGGTTGGCCGTGGCTGTTCTGCCATTTGCTAATCTGCCTAAACTCGCTCTTGTACTTTTCTTTTAAAGTTTTCCCTCGTGCCCTGCACCATTCTTCTCCACTGATGCAATAATTTACTGGAACGTCATGAACTAAGTGTTCCAAAAGAATTACCCAAGTGTCTGTCTGCTTTGGAAAACATTTTATTTATGTTATCTGTGTAAGGCAAGTGACAAAACTCTCCCACGCTCTGGGAGTCCAGACTGCCCCAGGTGGTGTGGAGAGACAGAGTCCGGCCAAGAAGTGCTTGGCAGAGGCAGGTGGAGAAGGACAAACCCCTGTCCATGTTACCAGCACAGGAGCCTGGGAAAAGGGAATCAGTACAAACTATGGTCATCTCAAGGTTTTCCTTCAGGCCCAAGGATGTAATCTCAAATTACTCCCCACTGCGAAAGTTTTGTTCTCATGTGTGCCTTGACTTTCCCAGTGCTTTGTGGAGCACAAAATAGCATGGAGAAATGTCTTTCTCAGTGCAACATGGAGCCCTGTGGCAAGCTTAAAATATCATTTCCCTCTGGGCACCACAGAGTCTCTTTTTCAAAGAAGAATTCAACCACCAGTCTGCCTTCCAGTTTGCAAAATTATTTTTTCACATGTTGCCAAGAAAGGACGCATTGCCAAGCAAGCTTGGTGGTAATTAAAATGTGATGGCACCTCTCACAGAGAAGTCCTCAAATCCTTCCCATAGAACTGTGCATGGACCAGCCCTGCTCCCCCCGGGCAGGTACCTGCTTCCACATCTACACTGCCAATGCCGGCACCCACAGCCAACTCTCAGTTTCAAAAATCAGCTCTCTAATGTGCATGTGACTTCTCATTGCTTAACAGAGCACTTTTTAAATAGTGAAAGTTTGTAGTGAGCTTGTGAGATTATCAAAATACAAACAATAGGAAACAGTGAAGGGGATGGTGAGGGCTTTATTCAGCTGGCATCTTCTCAGGCGTGTTTGGCTGCATCTACATGGGGAGTCCTTGACAGGCCTGGATTAAGTAGCAAGTAAAAGAGGTAAATGAACAATGCTGGCATCAGTTCCTGTCACACAAAAGGCTCAAGCAGGTAGTAATGTCCAAGGCATTCCAGCTTGACCCTGAGTAAGAGAGTTTCTACCTGCACTGAAACCAAATTTGCAAAAAGAAGACTTCCCATGCATTACTTCTTTAGTCCTCAGTGTCTCTACAAGCTAAGTGGTAGTCGATGTCCCCACTTAACAGATAAGGAAATATAGAGCACACAAATACTGCCTACAACCTCATGTTGAGTAAAAGGCAAAGCTGGAAGCAAACCCAGGTCTACCCAGCCCCAAAGCCTGTGTTTTTAATTGTGAAGGACACTATTTAGAGGTTACAAAGCCTTTCACTTGCAAAAAAAAAAAAAAGGACTGTTTGCCATTAGAAACAATTTTTAACTCAGGAAAATTGTTTGCTATGGTAGAAATTCTAAATATTCACATCCAGGAATAATTTCATAGTAAAGGGCAGGGTTTCATGCCAGTTCTCTTCTTAGTAGATTTTTCTAGGAAAATTAGGTAGGGGAGTCTTTGAGAAGGATGTTCTCCCTTGCTCTCCTTATCTGTGTCTGCCCTTACCAGGTGGAACTTGGCAAATTGTGAGAAGCTGTAGAAAAGTCAGAAAATTTTTTCAGAATTCGTGTCTCTTGTCAGCACAGGCATTCCTGTGACCATATTTTTCAATTAAGGATGTCTAATTAGTACTTTTTTGCATACAAAAGTATATTTATAATTTCTATCTGGTTTTAGTCATAGTTTGGATTATTATGTATATCTACAGTTACAACTCTAAGCAATTCCAAAAACTCACGTTGAAGTCTTTGTCAGATTATTCTTTTCATTTAACCAAAACTAATTTTACCAAGTTGAGTTGATTATCAGAATTTTCTATTGTGAAATTTGCCCAAGAGTTTCTAAATTTTTATTTCATACACATTTTGAGTTGGAAAGATTTTCTCTCTCTTTCCCTCTCTCCTCCCCACCTCTTCCTGTTTAATAAATTTGTCATTGTCCTTTTCTTGCCCCTTGATGGTCCCAGTCCAAGATCCCATAGCATGCTAATGGTTCAAGACTTCTGCTGGTATTGATAATGGAGAAATCTCTGATTCAAGAGCTAGATGACAAGTTTCTTGGTTATTCCCGTGT
Source organism: Homo sapiens (assembly GCF_000001405.40). Lineage (NCBI taxonomy): Eukaryota > Metazoa > Chordata > Mammalia > Primates > Hominidae > Homo > Homo sapiens. The sequence goes on along the minus strand of NC_000007.14, from coordinate 50,951,427 downwards.
GTGTGTTTTATGTGTGTGTTCTTCATTATTAATAGGCATACAGCTTCATAAGTCAACTTTCTCAAACCTATCACATAAACCACCCCATTGTTAAATAACTATTTTAAATTGCCACTCTACTGTCCTAAAATATAATTCATCAGTAATGCAATTTACAAATAAATGTAATTAAAAAAACATGTACATGCAGCTTTATTTCTGAGTTTTCTATTCTGTTCCATTGGCTTATATGTCTGTTTTTGTACCAATACCATGCTGTTTTGGTTATTACAGTCTTACAATATAGTTTGAAGTCAGGAATTGTGATGCCCTCACTCCTGGACTTTTTTTAATGTGAGACTTTATATTATATATTCTCTCTGATTACTCACAATTGGTCTGTTTAAGTTCTTTATTTCTTCTTGGTTCAAGCTTCGTAGGTTGTATGTAACCAGACATTTATCCATTTCATCTAGGTTTTTAAATTCATTAGCAAATAATTGTTCATAACAGTCTCTAATGAGCCTTTATATTTCTGTGGTATCAGGTGTAATTGCTCCTTTTTCATTTCTAGTTTTATTTATTTGGGTATTTTCTCTTTTTTCTTGGTTATTCTAGCTAGTGATTTGTTGGTTTTATTTTTCCAAAAAAAACACAACTTTTTGTGTCATTGATCTTTTGTTTTGCTTTTAGTCTCAATTTCATTTATTTCTTCTCTGATCTGTATTATTTGTTTCCTTCTACTAATTTGGGGTTTAGTTTGTTCTTGCTTTTCTCTAGTTCCTTGAGATGTATCATTAGGTTGTTTATTTGAAATCGTTCTACTTTTGTTGATGTAGGAGTTTATTATTCTAATCTTCCCTCTTAATACTGCTTCTATTGTATCTCCAAAGTTTTGGTAAATTGTGTTTCTATTTTCATTTATAATAATTTTTAAAAATTTCTTTCTTAATTTCTTCATTGACCCATTTGGTGTTCAGGAACATGTTGTTTAAATTCCATATATTTGTACATTTTCCAAAGTACCTCTCATTGATTTCTAGTTTTAGTCCATTGCAGTCAGAAAAGACACTCAATATGATTTCAATTCTCTTAAATGTGTTGAGACTTCTTTTGTGGCCTACCATGTGGTCAATCCTGATGAAAGATAGACCACATTTTGCAGTTGTTGAATGAAATGTTTGTAATTGTCTGTTCGGTCCATTTTGTCTACAATGCAGTTTAAATCCAACGTTTCTTTGTTGACTTTCTGTCACCTGTCTGATGCTGAGAGTGGGGTGTTCAAGTCTCCAGCTCTTATTTTATTGGAGTGTATCTCTGCCTTTAGATCTAGTAATATTTGCTTTATATATCTGGGTGCACTGCTATTAGGTGCATATATATTTACAATTGTTGTAGCCTCTTGCTGAATGAATCTTGATCATAGTGCAATGACCATCTTTGTCTCTTTTTACAGTTTTTAATTTAAAGTGTTTTATTTGATGTACATACAACTACTCCTGCTTGCTATTGGCTTCTGTTTGCATGGAATATCCTTTTGCATCCCTTCACTTTTAGTCTATGTGTCTTTTCAGCTGACATTTCTTTTAGGCAGCATATAGTTGGGTAATTTTTAAAAATCCATTCATCCAGTCTATATCTTTTAAGTAAGGAATTTATCCATTTATATTCAAGGTTATTACGATAGGTGAGGACCTAATACTGTCATTTTGTTAATTATTTTCTGCTTGTTTTGTAAATGCTTTGTTTCTTCTCTCTTAATGTTCATCATTGTGGTTTGGTGGTTTTATAGGAGTAATGTGGCTTGATGGTAGTAATATATGGCTTGATTCTTTTTCTCTTTGTGTAACTGCTCTAACAATGAGTTTTATACTTGTACATGTTTTCATGGTAATGATTATCATCTTTTTGCTTCTAGTTGTAGGATTCTCTTGAGAATTTCTTGTAAATCCTGTTTAGTGGTGATGAATTCCCTCAGTTTTTGTCTGTGAAAAACTATTTCTTCCTCATTTCTGAAGCACAGCTTTGCCAAGTATAGCAGTATTCTTGGCTGACAATTTTTTTTCTTTCATCACTTTGATTATCTCATTTTCTCCTGGCTTGTAAGGTTTCTGCAAATAACTCTTCTGTTAGTCTAATAATTATTCCCTTGTATGTGACTTGACACTTTTCTCTTGCTATTTTTAGAATTTTCTTGTCTTTGACTTGACAATTTGACCATAATATGCCTCAGGAAGGACATTTTTGGGTTGATCCACTTGAGGATTTTTCCTTTTTCTGGATCTAGACCACATCTCTCCCAAGATTTGGAAAGTTTTTAGCTATTACTTTATTAAATAGGTTTTCTATGTATTTTTTCTTATTTTATCCTTCTGAAACTCCCATATCATATTTTGGTTTTTTTGATGTTTATTTAATGGTATCTTGTAAGTCTTGTAGGCTTTCTTCACTGTTTTGCTTTTCTTTTACCTGACTAGGCACTTTCAAACTACCTATCTTCAAGTTCAGAGATTATTTCTTCTGTTTGATCAAGTATGCTATTGGAGTGCTCTATTGTATTTTTTTTATTTCATTAATTGAATTATTCAGCTGCAAGATTTCTATTTGGTGCTTTTCTATGATTTCTATTTGTTTGTTGAATTTCTCATTCATATCATAAATTGTTTTCCTGATATCATTGAGTTACCTATCTGTATTGTTTTGCATCTTGAGTTTCCTTAAGATCATTATTTTGAATTTCTTTTCTGGAATTGCATTGATTTCCTTTTAATTGGGGTTTGTTACTAGAGAGTTATTATATTCCTTTGGTGATGTCATATTTCCTCGCCTTTTCAAGTTTCTATGTCCCTTCATTGATGTCTGTGCACCTGGTGAAATAACTGAAATTCTAAAATTTCTAGAGTGGCTTTCATAGAGAAACACTTTCACCTGCAATTAGGTCTTAGTGTGCCAATTGAGAAGGTTGTGCTGACTCTGTTTTCAAGTAGGTGCAGTGGTATAGTATTTGTGCAGATTTGTTGGCTATGCTCAAGGTCAACAATAACTGTGGGTGCCTCAGTGGCCTAGGCTGTAGAGGTTTGTGGCAGCAGTGGTGGTAGCATAGGTTGTTGAGGTTCTTAATGTCATGGCTTTTGTGGTCCTCCTATTCTTATTTTTCCCACAATGGGGACTTAGCCAAGGAGATCCATCTTTGCATCAAATCTAACTTGTCCTACAAGCAGCTGTAGTGGCTCTGAGTTCCAGGTGCACGTGCGTGAAGTGATTATGGCATCAGCATCCTATGCTCTGGGTTTTGTGAATCTATTGTGGCACCTGAGTCTTGGAGAGCAGGTTTACTCTCTGTGGCAAAGTTGGATGTGGGTTGCCTAGAACATCATAGGATCTGTGATGTGGAGGCACTCCCTAGCAGCTCAGGACCAGGAAGCTCGGTTATAGCTCAGATTCTGACCCTGGGGGCAGGACACAGCACTGACATGGCTCTGGGGAGGAAGAGGTGCCTGGAGATTTAGGCCCAGAGAGCAGAGGATGCTTGCAATTTAGGAACCTGAGCCCATAGAAGTTAGTGGCAACTTGGGTCACAGGAAATGAGGCTTGCTGGAGTGGCAATGGTAGACTCTGGGATGGTGGGACTTGGCAGTGACCCAGACTCTTTGAGGCCAGGTGCAGCAGTAGCAAGGACCCCAAAATGAGAGCACAGATGTCGTTTGGGCCCTGCAGAGAAAGGACTAACGCAGCTATGAGTACTCCCCAGGAAGAAGGGTGTCTCAGCAGCTCAAACTTTAGGGGGTGAGTCCAGCTCCAGGAAAGTAGGGTACTTGAATGGTTTGGCTATAGGGCAAGGGTCTCAGCTGAGCCACTGCTCTGTTTCTCTGGGACATAGGGTACTCCATCAGCTCAGCCTTGGGATATGCAGCTGCTTAGCTCAGCCAAGGGAACCAATTCCCTATGGGGCAATGCACTGTTTCAGCTGAAGCCTGTGGGGTATGACTGCTCTGGGCTGCCCAGGCCCATTTCCCTGGGATATGGTGCACTGATTCAGCTTTGGTATTGTGGTGCATGACCACTTTGGGTGGCCAAGACACAATTTCCTGAGAGGCAGAGCACTGCTTCACCCTAGGCTCCAGGGAGGCATGACTGCTCTGGGTGGCCAAGTTATTTTCCTTGGAGGCAGGGTACCACTTCGGCTCAGGCACAGAGAGGTATAGGCAGCCACAGCACCGTTTCCCCAAGACACTAAGTATCGCTTCAGCTCGAGCACGGGAGGGCAAGGTACAGCAGTGTCTACTAGGGGTATGTGGGGATCACCAAATAGTACCCTTGGAGGTTTCAGCTTGAGTCCCATGGGGCAGGACACAGCTGCAACTTGGAGAGGTTTTCGGAGCAGCTCCGCCAGGGCACTGTTTCCTCTGGAGGCAGTGTTCAGCTTTAGCTCCAGTGCCCAGGTGCAATGGGAGTGTGCACCTTCAGCTCCAGCCTGAGGGGTTAGGGTGCATTCATGACTGGGAGGGTGAGGTGGAGCAGCTCTACCACTGCTCGGCCTCACAGGGAAGGGTGTAATTGCTGCTTGCAGCTCAGCTTGGGGATGTTGGGCCACCAACAGAGGTGCTTCAGTGGCACCTTGGCCTCAGGGATGAAAGGGTGCCATGGTCACTCACAGCTGGAGCAAGACATCCTCCAGCAGCAGTTCCGTTGCCAAGATGGTGTAGCACAGTAGCTGCATGGGACACAGGGGATGGGCAGTGTTGGCTCCTTCTCTGGGAGGAGCACAGCTGTGTGGACTCCAGGCAGCTCCCTCAGCTGAGCTTAGTGCCCGTAGTGGTGAGAGCTGTAGATATCTGATACAGTTTGGATGTTGTCCCTGCCCAAATCTCATGTGGAAATGTAAGCCCTGATGTTGGAGGTGGGGCCTTGCGGGAGGTGTTTGAGTCATGAGGACAGATCCCTCATGGCTTGGTGCTGTCCTCATGATAGTGAGTTCTCACACCATCTGGTTGTTAAAAAGCATGGCACCTCCCCCCACCTCTCTCTTGCTCCTTCTTTCGCCATGTGACATACAAGCTCCAGCTTCACCTTTGGCCATGACTAAAAGCTCCCTGAGGCCTTCCCAGAAGTTGAGCAGATGCTGGCACCATGCTTGTGTAGCCTGCAGAACCATGAGCTAATTAAACCTCTTTTCTTATAAATGACCCAGTCTCAGGTATTTCTTTATAGCAATGCAAGAACAAACTAATATAACATTCAGGGTGTTGACGGGGTTTGCTGGGATCCTCTTGCTTACTTTTTCCCTGCAGGGAGAAGATACTTCTGGGTCCCAGATGATCCCAGATGGGGCATGGGTGCTGAAGGCTGGGTGTGTCCTTCCATTCTCCATTCTGAGTTTCTGTGCTCTCACCAGGGTTTCTGTCACTCCTTTGATGTACTCTGGTGCTCTCCTCCCATTATTTTCATCAAAAAGTAATTGCTTATTCATTGTTTTAGTTGTTTTTGTGCACAAGACAAGCAGTAGGGCTTTCCAGTCTGCCATCTTGCTCTCATAATCTGAATGTCTTAGTTCCACAACTTCTAGCCTGAGGGCAGCCCCTGTCTACATGCCACAGAATGGCTAAAACTCCAGTAGAAAACCTTCATGCCAGCTTTCCTTGTTTTTTTGTTTTGTTTTGTTTTTTGTTTTTGTTTTTTTTGAGATGGAGTCTCACCCTGTTGCCCAGGCTGGAGTGCAATGGTGTGATCTTGGCTCACTGCAGCCTCTGACTCCTGGATTCAAGCTATTCTCCTGCCTCAGCCTCCAGAGTAGCTGGGATTACAGGCACACGCCACTACGCCCAGCTAATTTTTTGGTATCTTTAGTAGAGACTGGGTTTCAACACGTTGGCCAGGCTGGTCTCGAACGCCTAACCTCATGATCTGCCCTCCTTGGCCTCCCAAAGTGTTGGGAAAAAGGCGTGAGCCACCATGCCTGGCCCGTGCCAGCTTTCTAAGGAAGAACCAGAGGGTAAAATTCAGGACAACCAGGGCCGTTGGAAAGTGAGAGGGTATGTCAGAAAGGAGAGAGCCAGAGAAAGGGAGCCGCAAACCCTGTTCTGGCCAAGTCTCTGGCTGACCCTTGAAGCACATGTTCAGGACAGACTTCAAGGAGTTCAGCCAGGTCTGAAAGAACAGACCTGAGATGTGAGTTGCTTCACAAGAGATAGTTTGCAGGTTGAATTTAACGAAGTTATTTACCTTCTAAACAAAAGTCAAGTCTTTGAAGGGATATAAGAAAATTCAGGGTCTTATATGTAATAAAATTCAACATAACATTCACAATGTCCAAGCTATGATACAAAATTACTCAACATCTAAAGAATAAGAGAGAAAAGACAATCAGCAGAGAGCAGCTCAGGACGACCTAGATACTGGAATAAGTGGGTAAAGGTATTAGTTATTATAACTCTCCTCAATTACCTAAATGAAAATATGATTATAATTAATTGACTGATATGAAATCACAGCAGAGAAATAGAAATTAATTGTAAAAATAGAAATTCTAAAATGAAAAAATATAATATTTGAAATAAAAGTAAACATGGGATAAACTTTACAGCAGAATAAGAAATTACCCAAAAAAAGTCATGTAACTTTTAAATAGATTAATAGAAATTATTCAGCCTGAACATCAGAGAGGAAGAAAAGATTGAAAAGAAAATGAACACAGCCTTAGGGACTTCTGGGACAATATCTTGGAGTATTGAAGAAAAGCAGTGAAAGGATGGGCAGAACAAAATGTTTGAGAAAAAGTTTAAAAATTATAAGCCATTTCTGCACAAGAAGCACAAGAAAAGGAAACAGTGGAGATAGGATGGACACAGATTAAAAATAATCGACAGGATAAGTAATAACAGAGCACATTTGTTTGTATGGATGGAGAAAAGGAGGAAATTATTTTAATTACACTGGTGAGAACACATCAAGACAAACTACAGACAGTCAAAGTGAAAAAGAGAGGAGCACCATGATATTCTCACGAATGGGCTGGGCCTTGTTAGGAGAAAGTGTGGAAGTCACTCCCTAAGTGATGGTATGGCATGGAACAGCAAGGAGGGTGAGCACACATGCTCTTTTCCTTCCACAGCTGAAAGCAAATACAGCCTCCAGAGTAGCTGGGATCACAGGATTACAGACAACATATTTATTTTTTAAAAAATGAATAGATGGAGAGATACTTTTGCAGGTCTTGAAGAACTAAGCTGTCATGTTGTGAGTGAGCGAGGATACAGCCAACCTCTACGAGTCAAGAACAGGCCCTGGTTAACACTGAGCAAGAAAACAGGGATCTCAGTCCTACAACAGCAAGAAACTGAATTTGAATTTTTCCAATGACCGTATGAGCTGGGAAGAGGACCACAGACTCTGGAAAGGAAAGCAATCCAATCACCTCCTAGATTGCTGACTAATTAGATTGTGAGCAGAAGACTCAGCCACATGGTACCTGGACTCTTGACCCATGGAAAATAAGAGAAAATAACTGTGTAGTTTTAAGCCACTTAACAAAAAAAATTGACAATACTTTTTTGTTCCCACATAAGCTTCTCTTTTCCTAACAATCTTCTACAACATCGATGGAAATTTTATCTTATAAAAACTTTTCTGTATTATCATATTCTAAAATATCATCAATTTCTAGGTATAATAAATTTAGTCTGTTGGGACATTCAGAACAGATCAATTTTGCCGATCTGTGGGTGGCAGAAGGTCTAGTATTACTTGCTCCTCTACTTAAAGACTAGAGGGGCTTCCCCAATCATGACAACCAAAAATAGCCCCAATTTTCAAGAAGGCCCTGGCATGTGTCAACCTCTTTGAGAAGGAACAACAGTCCAGCATGTAGCAGAGGTCTCATAATTTTCTCCTTAATAAGAGAGGTCACTTCAGACCTCATCTCTGGTGGAGCAAGTCTAGCTCCCTGCAGGGATTTCCTGAATTTCCAGCCACATCAGCCCACTCTCAGACCCAACGAGCTGTCCACCCTCCACCACAGCCCTGCTCAGCACTGCCATGCTTTGCAATTCTCTGTCTGGGGTTTTGTCTATTTTTCTGGTTCATGAAAATATTTATCTTGTTTTGAATTTGAATGTTTTAGTTTTCTCTTTTTACATTTCATCTATCCTTACTAGAAATTTGGAACACAATGGGTTGTGGCAAAGCGTATATTTTACTGAGCCATCTTGACCAGATGCTCCCCTGCCCCAAACCCAAAAAAAGGATCAGCAAACTATGGCCCTCAACCAAATCTAGTAGATCATCTGCTTTTGTAAATAAAGTTTTATTGGAATATAGCCACGCCTGTGCATTTACTAATGATTATGGCAGTTCTAGAGCTACACTGGCAGAGTTCAGTAGTTGAAACATTGACTGTATGTGGCCCACAAAGCCAGATATGTTTACTCTGGTTCTTTACAAAAAATTTTTGCTGCCCCCTGACCTAAAACTCCTTTCTTATACCTGACATTCACCATTTGTGGTTCTATCTATGTGTCTTTCTTTTTCTTTCTCTCTCCCTCTGTTTCTCTTTCTCTCCCTCCTTCCTTCAACTTTATTATTAGACTTGTCAAGGATTTTTCTATTTTATTGATCTTTTCAAAGAACCTAATTATGGCTTTCTTGATCAAGCCTACCATAATTTGACTGTTCCATTTCATTACATATGTACTTTTGGCTTTGTTTTATTTTGTTGTTCATTTTCATAGCTTCTTTAGTTAAACCATTAGCTAACTTGTCTTCATTATTTTATAGTTTTGATTTCTGCCCTTTGGAGGGTATATTAAGCTTTTCTTTGTGGCATGGTAAGTTTCTATAAATATCCCATGGGTAAACTCTTTCTCTGTTGTATTATGTTCTAAAAATACATGTGATAAAAATATAAAATTTATATTTTTTCCTGATTAGATAGTTCAGATTGTAGATATAAAATTTAAAATTCTGTATTTTTACTTATTTTTATCTAACAGCTTTTGAGTTACTAGATTTCAATGTCATTGTGTTGGGTGATTAAAGTTTTATATATTTGGAGGAATATCACTTTCATCAATAGAAAATATACCTCTTTGATCCATGTAATGTTTTTTGCCTAGATTCTACTTTTATGGTTATATAACTTTAAGCTTCATTTTCTAAAACATTTGCTTTTATATCTTTGCCCATCCCCATTTTTAACCTTTCTGTGTAATTTAATTTTGATATTTGTCTTATAAAGAGCACATCATTAGACTGTTTTCACACCACATTTGTGTCTCCCTTTGTTTTATGTTTACTTCTAATATTTTCACAAACCTAAGACCACACATTTTGTTCCACATCAAGAATTGATCATAGTTGATTATTTCCTCTACTCTCCAAGAAACATAAGAATCTTATCACACTTTTCCCTTTTCCCACCCCACTTAGCTTGGGAGTATTGCTGAAATTGTCTACAATTTTAGTGCTCATGTTTTTCTACATTATGCCTTTTTCCACCTAAGAAAAATTTCTTAATAATTTTTCATCAGTGAGTGTCATGTATTGCCAAATACAGATACATACCGCTCTGGCTAGCCTGAGCCTAAGCTCCCAGGGAGCTCCCATTGCATTCGGGAAAGCTGGAGAATAAGGTTTGGGGTTCCCCTCACTTCCAAACATAATTTCCTAACTGCTGTTTCTTCCACAGTCAAATCCTCATCAGGAGAACCTGACTGGCCAATCTCCTGTCACGTGACCATACCCTGGCTGGCATTCTAGGATTTTTCCTGCATTAGATGATGGGGAAGGTGTGAGTGTAGATGGGACCTCTTCTCCAGTCTCACTGAGAAGGGGAGGTCCCACTGCCCTCCCCAAGATCACCAGGGTGGCCCACACCCCAGCCCAGCCACTCTTATCCCATCCCCCTGCGCTGTGTTCTTTGTAGAACTCACCACCCCTGAAATGCCTCACGGGAGTGTTTGTTCAGGAGACTGTCTTGCTCATTGTTGTCTTCCTGGTGCCTGACCCAGAATAAGCACACAATGGTAGCTGCCGAATAAATCAGAGTAGGCGAGTCAACAGCCAATCAGTACCCTCACTTGCCAGTCACCTGGCCAAGCATCTAGATCCACCTATGGCCCATTTAAAAACCATCGACATCCTTGCTCTGCAGAAGGGGAGGCTGCACCTTGCCGAAGCCGGCTGTGTGGAACAGCCCCCAAGACTCAGCCTCTCCTCTATCGCACCAGCTATCTCCTGTGCACAGGAGGCTTGAACATCATCTCTCTGCTTTCCTGGTGGAGGCACCAGGGCCCAGAACCATGCCACCATATCTGTGGATGAAGAGAGGAAACGGTGGGGAGGTGGGGGGTCCCTGGCATCGTGGTCAGCACATCTTTCTGAGGCCTGACACTGCTAGGCTTCACAGTGAGTCCAGAAAGAAGAATGTGGCAGGCCCATAACTAAAGTCAAAGCAAAAGGGCCCAGACTCTAGGTGCAGCAGATCCAGAAGGCACAGCCACGTGCCTCCCTCTCTGTCCCCTACTTGAAGACAGGGAGCTGCAGTCCCCATAATTCAAACCTTCCCCTTGCGTGTGCCAGAGTTCACAGCTGCAAAACACGTGCCCACATTCTTGACTCCAAAGATAAAATAACAGCCGAACGTTTTGTGTCTTTGCTATTTCAAAAGCCACAAATGCCTTGAAGGCTTCTCTTTGTCAGGGGAGGAAGCAGGCATCCCTGAACTGGTTACTAATCTGGAGGCACACTGTCCATAAAACAACAAGAGGAGAGAGGCCAAAGAATCCTGAAATAAGAAGGGGTGGCGATTGGCAGGAATCAGCAGGTTTCTCAGAGACAAAATTCCTCAACATAGAGCCCTGCTGAAGCCTGCGGGGAGCACAGGGGCTCCAAGCCCCTCCCACTCTCGCACCCCTTCAGCATCCAGGGTGCCTAATGAGGCCTCTCTTTCCAACTGCTGCTCCTAACCCCCACCTGTCTGCCCATGGACCTCCTCTGTGCACCCACCTGCTCCTGACCAAATTTACACTTCCACTAGGAAGAGAGAGGGGTCTCAGAGAGCCTAGACATGCGATTGCTCTCTCTCTCTGCAAACCTCACATATAGAAATAGAAGTGAGGCAGGACCAAAAGATGGAGAAATTTGGAACTCCCACTCAGCCATCCTTACTATGCCATTCCCTGGGACCAAATTCTGCAGCAAATCTAAATTGATGGTGGGCAAATTCAGGGAGATTTTTAAAAATGTTTTCTTTAAAAGGGGCAAGTTGGCCGGGTGCAGTGGCTCACACCTGTAATCGCAGCACTTTGGGAGGCCGAGGCGGGCAGATCACGAGGTCAGGAGATCGAGACCATCCTGGCTAACACAGTGAAACCCTGTCTCTACTAAAAATACAACAAAAAAAAAAATTAGCTGGGCATGGTGGTGGGCACCTGAAGTCCCAGCTACTCAGGAGGCTGAGGCAGAAGAATGGAGTGAACCCAGGAGGCAGAGCTTGCAGTGAGCCGAGATCATGCCACTGCACTCCAGCCTGGACAACAGAGTGAGAACCTGTGTCAAAAAAAAAAAATGACAAGTTTACCAAGTATTATTAGATAGATTCCTGAATAATGGTATGATTTACATGCAATTTTTTTGCTAATGTATTCTATAAAATGGACAATATCTATGAGACATTTTTGGGCCAAGAGCCTCCTTGGACTCTCCTGGGACTCCACCCATTGTTTCTTTTTGTTTTGTTTTGTTTTGTTTTGTTTGAGATGGAGACTCGCTCTGTCGCCAGGTTGGAGTGCAGTGGCGTGATCTCGGCTCACTGCAACCTCCACCTCCCGGGTTCAAGTGATTCTCCTGCCTCAGCCTCCTGAGTAGCTGGGACTACAGGTACATGCCACCACACTCAACTAATTTTTGTATTTTTAGTAGAGACAGGGTTTCACCATGTTGGCCAGGATGGTCTCAATCTCTTGACCTCACGATCCGCCCACCTTGGCCTCCCAAAGTGCTGGGATTACAGGCATGAGCCAGCATGCCTGGCCTCCTCCCATTCTTAATTCTGCCTTTGCTCTCTCAGGGTTTCCATCAGAGAGCACAGGTTGGCAGCTCTTTTCCCTGAAGGCTCCTGGGCCAGCCCACCTCACTCCAAAACTGCTAAACAAGGGCTCCTCTCAGCCTTGACCACATCCAGAGTCAGACGTGGCTCAGTGCTGCTCCACAGCTGCTAGCCTCCAGCTGACATGTCCCCACTCAGAGTCGAATTTCAATTCTGTGGTCGTGGAAAACAGCTGGTCTGCAGGACTCAGCAGACTGGCAGCTGGAGAAACTATTTTCAATTGCACATAGCACTAATGCCTTAAAACACCTAATTCTTATGATATGAACAAATGAGCACTCCAAGAAATGAGATGACACCACGCCCTCACATCCCTGGGACAGTGCCCTGCCAACCTCGGTTGGGCAGGGGCGCCGCCGAGGTGGGGCCATGGCTGGAAATAGAATTTCAAATTATGGTGGGCACTGCTATAAAGGGGGATAAAGACAGGGCTTGTTTTTGTAAATATTGAAGCTCAAAGAAGTGTTTTATAAAAATTAAAACTTACCTTATCTTTTAAAACAACTAATTTGTGTTTTATTCTAAAATACATAAAAGGATAAAAATACAAATCAGTAAAGAGAGAGACTAGAACAAAGCCCAGCCCTGAAACCTTCCAGTCACCTCTAAATCCCAGCAGGCAACAGGCAGATGCAGCTTTTAAAAACCACAACCTTTGGGATTTTAATTATATCCAATAGAATATGCTGAACCATCTTCAGCATCCTTCATTATTTATAATAGCAAAAAAAAAGCATTCAAAATCAAATTGCACCCTGACATTCTGTAATTTGTACTTGCATCTATCTCTAAAGTAGATTTATATTAACAATCACTACCAAACCCTGGCCTGAGCTGTGCCGTGAATCTTAAGGCAAATGTGATGGAATGCCTGTATTATCAAAACCTGGCTTTGAAGCCTACAATTGAATGTGAACTAGAAACTTTTGGCAGTTGTTAGAGACAAGATGCATAAAATCAGATATTCCTGTCAAACCATGATAATGCTCCCTAATAATTAGAAAAGGAGATGAGAACGCCTAAATTTTTCAGGTTACTGAGCATGTGTGAGAGGATGAAGACAGCATCAAAATTAAAGCGGCTACGTGTAGCTGGGAAATGTCTAATTATACCCTTGCTATCTAGCACATTGGAAAAGCCTCTGAACCCAAGTATTTCTAACCATTAAACAATGGTAGAGGAGGCTTTTTGCCAGAGCTAAAGTAAGGTGGCCACTGAGCCTGGGCCCCAGGTATCCCTGAAAACCCTGGGCTTCATCTGCTCACTTTAGCCACAAGTAGATGGACAAGAAGGGCCTGTGTCCCTGACCTGTCCACCACTGCAACCTGAAGGTGAGGACATGATCATTCCAGTTTGTCATGGGGCTCAGTGTTGACACGTGGTAAGTGAAAAGATGAACATAAGGGTTGGATGAAAGTCTGGGACATGTGGTTTTAGATCCACTTAGATCACTGTTGAGTACAGGGACCTGCCACGAGTCATTACTGAAACACTGAAGTGTGGCCTCACTGATATGAAATGGAGAGCTGGAGCTGTGAGATACTGGAAGTTGCATGGGTTACTTCCAGCCTCATTGTTCATGTTGAACAAGTACCTGCAATGGACTACACCAGCTGACAGCACACAGGATGCAGGCACTGTTCTCAACCCTTAGACACTTATTTGATACCCACAGCACACAAACAGATAGATACTCTGATGATCCCCCTTTTATAGATGAGGAAACAAAGCACAGAGGGATTAAGTAATTTACCCAAGTTACACAGCTATTAAATAGCACTGCTGGAATTTGAGCCAGCAGCCTGTGAACTTAGTGATGGCACCGTACTGCAAGTTTGCTGCTTCACAATCATTCAGGGGTGAGATTGTCACTGAGCATCCTGTATGTGCAATGTACTCTGTAAGGCCGTGGTTACGCTAGTGAACAAAACACACACATTCTTTCCCTCATGGAGCTTCCAGTCTAGCAAATGTGCAACACTAAACCTGGCAGCATCAAAAATTAATGAATAAATAAGTTAGAAGGCAATTATAGCTCCTTAAGAGGATCTTATGGCCAGGACTGAGTTTTTAGAAAAGATTTCTTGAACAAATGACACATAAGGTGAAACCTGACCCTTGTTAGGCAGGTAGAGAAGTATAGGAGGGGTGTTCTGGACACAGGAGAAGCACTTGTGAGACACTGAAGTGGGAGGCTTTAATGCCTCTGAAGGCTCTGTGAGATAGCCGTAATGACTAAAGAGCAATGAACAGGGAGAAGGCGACCCTTTGAACAAATTTCAGACTGCTTTTCTGTAGAAGTGGGAATGTTCATGACATGCAGGACCCTGTGGGCCATGTCTTAATCTCAAGAACAAAGAAGAAAGCTTCAGGAGGTTCTGAACAAGGATGTCAACCATGAAACATGAAAGAGTTTGAGACCCTAGAAATCTGCACAATGTTCCCATTATTTTGCAGATGAGAAAACTGAGGCTTCCAGAAGATATGGGAAACTCCATGGTAATTCTCATTCAGCTGGTCAAGAGCTGCCTGGATCACCCTTCAACACTGGCAGTGGATACTGGTCATTTGCCTCCCCAGCATGTCTTCCCCTTCTAATCATAATATTTTAATTTTAATTTTGAGTTCCTCTCCTGCTCCACTTCCATCCCCGCACTCTAGAAAGTCCACACTAGGAGTGCAGCATGTGACCAACCCTAAGTTAATCAAAGTATTGCAGTCCTGTAGCACGGTGATGGCTTTAGAGATAAGTCCATGACCTGAGCCTACGCAATCAGAGTGAACCTTAGAATTATTTCTTAAATCCCAAGTTAAAGATGCAGTCTAACTCTGACAGTAAATTTAAACCTAGAAGGATATGACCCTAGAGCAGATTTTCTTTCTTAAGTCACTTGGGAACACATTAATGGCAGGTTTTTACGAAATCGGAATCATGTTAACAAATAGTATAAGCACAAACATAGTATGATTTCCATTCCATCACCTGAGGAATACCTGTTTACCCTCCCATGATAAACAACTAGAAAACTGGACAAAATGTATGAAACAATTTTGTGGATATTGATCAATAAGCAGAACCTATGATAGCTGGGAGGAGAAGAAGGAAGGTAAATTCTTATAATAACCTTGGTTTTTCTGCATGGTGGATATTTTCAGACTGTGGCACAGGGAGGAAAATAAAACAGCTTGGCAATCTTGCTGAGTAGAAGAAACAGATTAAAGTTCAGGGAAGTCAAAGTAGCTAGAATTTTCAGAGCAAAGTACCAGGAAGAGGGGAGCTAAACAGACAGAGTCCACTTTTGTGGAGGTCAAACATCCCCCTAATTTGTTGTATCAATAAAAATTCAGGCACACATAAATGAAATTTCTGGAGGCCAGGCAAAGAAAAACAACTGAGGAAACAACTAGGGAGCTACAAGCCAGAAGATTTCCAGAACTCATACAGTGCTCAGTTCCCATCAGCCAGAGTAGCCAGATCTTGAGAAATATATGGACATTCAGGAGAGACTCTGAAAGGTTCCTGACTTAAAAGTGGTGGCAGAATTCAGTTAAAAAATTACTGGACATATGAAGTAGCAAAAGTACGTGTACTAGAATCAGTCAGTAGAAACAGAACCAGAAATAACCAAAAAATATGAAATTAGCAAACAAAAACCCTAAAACAGCTATTATAATTTTTAAAAATATACTCAAAGATTTAAAGGAAAACATGAACATAATTAGGAAAGAAATAGAAGATATAAGAAAGAACCAAATGGAACAGCTAAAAGGAAAAAACTACAAAATATGGAGTACAAAAATCACTAAGATTTTAAAAATTAAAAGCAAATTAAACCCTAAAGAAACAAAGACCTATCAAAAGTTACTTTTTGTGGGGTGGAAGTTTTTAAAATAACCTTTACCTACGTGGGCTGTTTTGGAAAATAAAGAAAAGACCACACTCAGCAGAGGGCTATACCCCTTAGTATAGTTCACCACTATTTTGCAGCTTATATTACATAAGTGAAAAAGAAAAAAAAGGAAATAAAGATCAATGAGCCTGAAGTCATAGCAATAGAAAGGATTGAAACTAAGGCAGAGAGTAAAAAGGAAAAAACAGGGAAGACAGAGGAGGAGGAGGGGAAGAAGGAGAAGAAAAGCTTCTGTGGCCTGTGGAACAACAGCAAATGTTCTAACAGCTGTGCTGTTGGAGTTCTAGAAACTGAGAAGAGAAAGAAAGAAACATAAAAATTAGTGAAAGAAATCATGGCCAAAACATTACCAAATTTGATGAAAACTATCCACCATAGATCCAAGAAGTTCTATCAACCCAAAGCTAGATTTAAAAAAAAAACACACATAGACACAAAATCAAAGTAAATTATAATTAAATTGATGAAATCATTGATATAAAAACCCTAAAAGCACCCAGAAAAAAATATACAGAGAAAAAAATAAAAATTTACAGATTCCTTGTCAGAAACTAATGCAAGTCAAAAGATAATAAATGTTACCATTAAAATGTTTAAAGAAGAAAAAAAATCTACCAACCTATCAATCTACCAAAGCTATACTCAGTGAAAATATATTTCAAAATTGAAATTGAACAAGATCGTCTGTAGACAAACAAAACCTGAATTTCTTTACCAGCAGAAATAAACAGCTTTTAAAAGAAGATCCTCAGATCGAGTAAAAATGATACTAGAAGAAAGTATAGTACACAAAGAAGGAAAGGGTGCTAGAAATTTTTTCTCATTTCACTTTTCTTCTTTAAAAAATTTTTTGGAAAGTTAATTAACCATTTAAAGCAGAACTTATAGCAATATCTCTTGGGATTTATAGCTAGTAGAAGTAAAACGTATAACAACATAAAAAACAGAAAGAAGGAAATAGATTATACTGCCGTAATTCTTACATCATACATGCAGTGGCATAATATTATTTAAAGGTAGACTGTGATAAGTTAAGTACATGTAACCCTTAATCAGTGGTTCTCAAACATTAGTGTAAACTAAAATCACTTGACATTTCCAGTTCAGTAGGTCTAGAGAACAGCCCAATAATTTGTGTTTGCAACAAGTCAGAGATCATCAGATTTGATGAAAAATCCAGATATTATGTTAATTATCTTGACTTAAGTATCTCACAATGTATATATATTTTTAAAACATCACATTGTACTCCATAAATAAATAACATTTTACTTATCAGTTATATATCTTTAAAAAACCTGAAAAAATCAAGATGTAAGTTATGTTACCTACAAAAACCATACTTAAATATAAAGATACAGTATGTTAAAAGCAAAAAAGATGGTAAAGGAAATGCCATTCAAACACTGACTGTAAGAAAGCTAGAGTAACTATATTTACATTCACAAGATAGATTTTAAAACTAGACATAGTATGAGGAGGCAAGCAGGGACATTACATAATGATGAGGGGTCAATTCATCAAGTCATTGAATTCTTAAATATATGCAACTAATAATAGAGTTTCAAAATACATGAAGCAAAATAATAACAGAAATTATGGGAGAAACAGTCAAATTCAGTCATGTTGGAGATTTTATCATTCTACTCTGAAGAACCAGTAGACATAATACCAGTAAGATACAGAAACATGGAAAGCACTATAAACTAAATACATTTCTTACAAAGGGTAAAGAATAAAAATGACACTGACTCCTTAACGGCAACACCAAGGACTAAAAGATCAAATTTCTCAAAATTCACTAGAATTACCCTCCTATTTATAATGAGTAATACTTGGATTAAAACTATCTCACCAAGAATAACTATCAAATACAAAGTCAATTGTGGATATGGAGATTTCTTAAAGAACTTAAAAGTAGAACTACCATTCAATCCAGCAATCCCACTACTGGGTATCTATCCACAGAAAAAGAAGTCATTGTTTGAAAAAGACATATGCACATGCATCTTTATAGCAGCTCAATTCACAATTGCAAAGATATGAAACCAACCTAAGTGCCCATCAACCAATGAGTGGATAAAGAAAATGTGGTATGTATATGCCATGGAATACTACTCAGCCATAAAATGGGATGAAATAATGTCTTTTGCAGCAACTTGGATGAAGCTGGAGGCCATTATTCTAAGTGAAGTAACTCAAGAATGGAAAACCAAATATTATGTGTTCTCATTGTTCTCATTTATAAGTGGGAGCTAAGCTATGAGGATGCAAAGGCATCAGAATGACATAATGGACTTGGGGGACTTGGAAGGGGAAGGTTGGGGCGGGGCAAGGGATAAAAGACTACATATTGGGTACAGTGTACATTGCTCAGGTGATGGGCACACCAAAATCTCAGAAATCACCACTAAAGAAATTATGCACATAACAAGAAACCACCTGCACCCCAAAACTACTAAAATAAAAAAATTGTTTTAAAAAGTCAACTATGGAAAGCACTAGAGAATAAGAAAAGGAATCAGGATTTGAAAAATCAAGATCTTTGTAAGAAGAGAAAAAGATTGAGGTAAGCCTTATTTGCTACAGTTTTCTCCTCGCAGCTCAGGGCAAAGAAGTTGAACCCAAAACTGTGTCCCAGAGCTTGCTGCAGACCCACTGAACAGGGAAGAAAAAAATCGGAGTTGAAGGCTAATAAGAAGCCCAGACTTTAGGTAGCAATTTGCTAGAAAAAAGGATATATTTTTATTTTTAAAAATGAGCTAAGATACTCTGTATGAAATCTCCTCTAAAGGCATTTGCCAACTCCTAAGCTGTATATTCTAGGGGTAAGACAGATCAAACCAGAATAATGGCTTCTAAATCTGTGCAGAGAAGTTGGAGGTCTCATAGTGCTGGGGAGAAAAAAAATCAGATTTCAGGGCCTGCTAAGAAGGAAGAACACTGGTAGACACTCTAGGATTTCAACAAAATCCAAGAAGAGCTACACTTTAGAAGTAAGGGCAATATGGAGACAGACCAGCCTGTTTCACAGTGATCTGCTCATATATTATCTGCCAGCCAGAAGAAATTAAATTGTCCTTAGAAAAGGATAACAGCTTCCAGAGCCTCAACAATTCTTTGTACACAATGTCCACTATTCAATCAAAAATTACCAGAAACAGACCTGAGATGCAATTATTTTTTATTACATGTCATTCATGCAATTAAAAATAACAATAGTTATGATTATAAAAATAGATGAAACTGGTTTTAGCAGAAAAATTACCAAAATCAAATGAAAATTCTAAAATAAAAAAGTACAAAAAATGAAAAAAACAATTCAGTAGATAGGTTTAAATATCATACTAGACACAAAAGAGAACATTATTGAAATATGTTAGATTAGTAGAAGTTTTCAGATTGGGGCATGCAGAAGAAAACCCCAGGGTAGAAATTACACACAAGATGTGTAGCACAAGATGAATAGGTCCAATGGATGTATAATTGAAATCCCATAAGGACAGGAGGGAAAGACAGGGTTAGAAGACTTGTTTAAAGCATAATTGGTCAAAAATTTTCCAAAATTGACAAAGGACATCAAGACACAGAATTAAGAATTTTGAAAAGCTCAAACAGGATAAATACAAAGCACACATGCACACACACACACATACCTTATAGTTAAAGAGAAAATCTTGCAAAGGAAAAATAATTCTTAAAAAGGAAAAAGCAGGCTGGGCATGGTGGCTCCACACCTATAATCCCAGCACTTTGGGAAGCCAAGGCGAAAGAATTGCTTGAGCTCAGGAGTTCAAGATCAGCCTGGACAACAGAGTGAACCCTGTCTCAAAAAAAAAAAAAAAAAAAGAAAAAAGAAAAAAAAGTAAGGAAGAAAAAGAAAGAAAGAAAGAAAGAAAAACAAATCTTCTATTCAGCCAGAGAGAACTAAACATCTTACTTTCAAAAAAAATGACCAAAAAAAACCTGATAGCTGAATTTTTAACAGAAACTATGGAAACCAGAAAATAAAATCTTTACAAATGTTGGAAAAATAAAATAATCCTACCAACAATTCTAAACCTAGTGAAACCATGTACACTCCAGGAAATACTAAAAGGAGACGTTCATGCAGATGGAAAATGATCTCCATGGAAGCACAGTGACACAGGAAGAAAACATCACTGCCAGAGATGGTAACTATGCTGGTAAGTACAAATGAATATTAAAGATTTTAGTAAGACTAGTAATATACTAAGTAAAATTAAAATATCTGATAAATATCAAAAAAGGTAAAAGAAGCATTGGATTGAAGTGTTATAAGATTCTTATATTTTTGCCGGAATTGCTAAAAGCACTAACTTAAGGTAGAATTAAATATGCATATTGTAATCTATGAAAACAACTAAAAGAAGACTAATAGAATTCATAGGAGTATTCAAAATAAGAGAGGAAAAAATAAATAAAATGTACATGATTAATACAAAAGAAAGAAAAATAAAAGGTAGAAAGTACAGATAAGACAAAAAATAGGAAGACGGTAGATTAAATCTAAAGATATTAGTAATTACATGAAGTATAAATGGAAAAAATGCTACTCATTAAATAATAAGATTGTCAGACTGGATTTTTAAATATCTTATAATGGTACTCAGAGACATACCTTAAACAATAAGGACACAGAAATGTTCAAAGTAAAATGATAAAAAAGGTATATTGTACAAACCCTATACCAATTGCATACAAGGCAGGCTTTAAGTTAATACACATTAAGAAATTAAAGAGGACACTAAAAGTGTAGAACAATACTAAATTTGCATGCATTTAATAGCATCAAAATATATTTTGAAAAATTACCACAACTAAAAGAACAAATCAGCAAATTCACAATCACAATTAAAGACTTTTACAAATCTTCTCTGTGACTGGATAGAACAAGCCAACAATCAGTAAGGGCACAGAAGCTCTTAACACTTGATCTATTTGAGAAACTT
The DNA here is from genome assembly GCF_000001405.40 of Homo sapiens. Classification (NCBI taxonomy): domain Eukaryota; kingdom Metazoa; phylum Chordata; class Mammalia; order Primates; family Hominidae; genus Homo; species Homo sapiens. The sequence goes on along the minus strand of NC_000007.14, from coordinate 50,930,461 downwards.
GATCTATTTGACATATATGGAGCACTATAGCTCCAAATTGCAAAATACACATTCTTTTCAAGGACACATAGAACATTAACTAAAATAACCATACACCAGGTCTTAGAGGATTAAAGTCATACAGTGCAGATTCTCTACTGCATTAGAATTAAGCCAGAAGTAAAAAGTAGAAAGATAACCAGGAAAATACCCAAACATTTTGCAAGAAAGCAATACTTCTTTATAACCCATGGATCAAAGAAGAAATCAAAATGAAAAATTAGAAAATATATTGAACTAAATAATAACAAAAATATGATACATCAAAACTGGTGGGATACTGCTAACATAGATTTAAAGGGACACTGATAATCTTAAATGCTATAAAAAGAACGAGTTGTTAAAAATAAGTCAGATTGATAATCAGTGATCTAACATTTATCTCAAGATGCTTGAAAAAGAAAAGCAAATTAAACTCAAAGTGGAAGGAGCCAGTACCAATAAAAGCAAGTACTAAGAGAATAGGGGGGAAAATGCATATAACAGAGAAAATCAAGAAAGTCAAAATATTTGCCAATAAGACTAATAAAATTCATAACCTCCTAGCAACATTGATCGAGAAAAAACAAATTATTAATATCTCTATGTAAAAGGTATACTGGAATTAAGATTCTGCAGGTTTTACATAAGAAGAAATATGAACAATATATTTATAATTTCTTCCAGAGCCTAGAAGAGGAGTGAATAATTAATAACTCCTTTTCTGAATCCAGGGTAATCTTGATAACAAATCCAGACCAGAGCATTACAAAAATGGCCAATCCCCTTTGTAAACAAAGTAGCAAATATCAAAGCTGCCAATATATTTAAAAGACTAATATATCATGAGTAAGTTTCTGGGAATAAAAACTTGGTTTCACATTTAAAAATCAATCATAACTTACCGCATTAACAGGGCATATGAAAAAAATATATAAACATCACAATTGATAAGATACAAATGCATTGGCTAATATTCAAGACCTATTAATAATTAGCTTTAAAAAATCAGCAAACTAGGATAAAAAGAGCTTTGTAAATCTGATAACAAGTACCTACCTACCAAAAAGAGGAGAGAAAAAACCTACAATAAACAACATATTTAATCATGAAATACTGAAAGCTTTCTCCATTACATAAGGAATGAGACAAGAATATCTACTGTGTTATGGCTCTCTAGGGAATCAGAACCAATAAAATGTATATACACATACAAACATATATCTCTATACACACACACACACACACACACACATAAATATACAGGGAGAGAGAGAGATTGTAAGGAATGAGCCCACATGACTGTGGAGGCTGGAAAGTCTGAAATCTGCAGAGCAGGCCCGCAAGCTGGAGACCAGGGAAGCGTTGACGTTACAGCTCAAGTCCAAAGGCAGTCCAGTGGCAGGGCTCCCTCTGTCTTGGAGGATCTCAGTCTTTTCTCTATTAAGATCTTCAGCTGTGAGGCCCACCCATTTTTAGGGAGGGCAAACTGCTTTACTTAAAGTCCACTGATTTACATGTTAATCACATCTAAAAAATACTGGCCAGACGCAGTGGCTCATGCCTGTAATCCCAGCACTTTGGAAGGCTGAAGTGGGTGGATCACCTGAGGTCAGGAGTTCAAGACCAGCCTGGCCAACATGGTGAAACCGCATCTCTACTAAAAATATAAAAATTCGCTGGGAAATTAAGGCAGGAGAATCGCTTGAACCTAGGAGGTGTAGGTTGCAGTGAACCGAGATCGCGCCACTGTACTCCAGCCTGGGTGACAGAGTGAGACTCTGTCTCAAAAAAACAAAACAAAACAAACAAACAAAAAAAACCTTCTCAGCAACATCTAGAGTGCTGTGTAAAAAAAAATAGGGTACACTGTGAACTAGCCAAGTTGACACATAAAATTAACAATCACAGCCACTATCCTCACTTACCTTTGGTATTTTACAAGAGGCTCTAGCCAGTGTGATCAAGGCAAAGAAAAGAAAAAGGTAAGTGAACTGGAAGAAAAGAAGTTAAACTGCAATTATTCACAAATGATGTAATGATATATGGGAATAATCCAAAATAATTCACAAACTATTAGAATTAATCCATAAATTTATTAAAGTCATTGGATATAGTACCAATATACAAAATAAGTGGTTTTTCTATATTCTAGCAATAAACAAACAGAAAGTAAAATTTTAATAGTATAAAAAAATCAGCCACCTAGGAATAAATCTAATAAAACGTGTGCAAACCTCTACACAGAAAAAGACCAAAGATTACTAAGAGGAACTAAGGACCCAAATTTAGAGGGAAATACAATCAATTCTTATTATTCACAGTAGTTATTCTGTAAAGTCACCACTAACACTGAATTAGCAAATAATGACCATCGCTCCTAGGAGAAATAAGAGTGTTAGGTTCCTGTGAGCCTCTGGTCACAGCATATTTGTCAACTGGTCAATATATAACCTTGTTTCACTTGTGCTTCTGTTTAAAGACACAGTATTTAATCTATTTCATTAATCCAGTTTATATTGAACGCAGAGCCAGTGGCAGTATAACTTGTGCCTGAATGGAACTTAACTGACAGGTCTTTTCTTCATAATGCAGATGGAGAAACACAGCCTTCTTATACTTAGAAATTCTTACAGCCTTCTTACACTTAGAAATTCTAAACATCACCTCAGCACTACACTTGGAGGCCATTTTAAACAGAAAAATTATCATTAAAAACCACAAAAATGAAAAAAGAACAAACTATGAAAAAGGACATTTGTTTACTGCGAATATGAGAGCTGGAACAAGAAGGCAGGGTGTGGCCTTGTTCTTCCTCAGCCAGGAACATGCCTGTCAGGCAACATACATTCTTCACAACTATGTGTGTTCACAGGTACCACAAAAGTGCCACAAGTATTGATTCTGAGGTTACACAAATAAATTTTAGCAAGTAGGTGAATTCAGAAATACAGAATTCATAATAAGGATCAATTCTACCTTTGAGGACTGAAAGACTAAATGAACATCAAACCATTTGATTTGATTATCCTCAAATCAATCTATATGTTCAATGAAATCTCGGTTGGTATCCTAGTACACTTTTCCAAGGAAATTGATAAGATTCCAAAATTCAGGTGGGAATGCAATTGACTAGAAAAAGCAAAGACAACCTGGAAGAAACACATTAAAGCTGGAGCATTGACACCACTGGATCACAAGACTTTTCCAGAGCTACCTTAATTACAGCATTGTGATATTAATGCACAGATAGAAAACTGTACCAATGGAAAAGGTAGAGTTCAGAAACTGATCCACACATAAATGGTCATCCAATTTACAACACATACATCATTGCAATCCACCAAAGTTGACAAAAAAGATACATAACCTAATCAAAACAGGTAAAAGATTTGTCTAGATCCTTCACAAAAGAGGATCCAAATGATCACTACCATGGAAAATCCCAAGATGGAATCTGTGTAAAAGACCTAGCCAGCTGGGCTAAGGACCTGGACATTATTTATTAGCAGGAAAACACAAAATACAATGGTGAGATACAAAATACAACCATCAGAATAAGTAAAATTTTTTAAACTGGGACAATATCTAGTGTTGGAAGAATGTAGATCAATTGGAACTGTCATAAATTGCTGATGGAAATATAAATTGAAAAAAATCAGCTCAGAAAACCATTTGGCAGCATCTATTAAAGCTGTAAAAGTACAACCTTATCACTCAGAAATTCCTCTGTTAGTTCTATACCTAATAAAAATGCCCCCAAATTCACTAAAAGACATGTACAAGAATGCCCATAACAGCACTGTTTATGGTAGCTCAAAATTGGAAACAACCCAAATGTCCATCAAAAATAGAATGGATAAATACAGTTTGGTATATTTAAGCAATGAAATGTATAGCACAGAAAAGAATAAATACAACAAAACACCATGGATGAATATTGCTGTGGTTTGAATGTGTCCCCCCACCGAATTCAAAAATTGAAAGCTAATTCATAATGTGGTAGTATTAAGAGGTGGAGGCTTCATGAATGGGATCAATGCCCTGATTAAAAAAAAAAAAAGCCTGGGGGGACGTGTTTTCCCCTCCTGCCATGTGAGTATATAGCAAGAAGGAACAAACTTTGTAGCAGAAAGCAAGCCCTCACCAGACACTGAATCTGCTGGCACCTGATCTTGGACTCCTCAGCCTTCAGAACTGTGAGCAATACATTTTGTTTGTTTATAAATTATCCAGCCTAAGGTATTTGGTATAGCAGGCCAAATGAACTAAGAGAAATATGACTAATATTTCATTGAGAGAATGAAGATAGACACAAAGAATTATGTATTACATGATTTCATTAATAAAAATGTATATTAGGTGAAACTGAATTATAGCAACATAGAATAAAGGCAATGGTTAAGGGGAGGGTAATGGCTTGAGGGGGTGGTAGGGTGGTTTCTGAGGTCCTGGTACTGTTCTAGATCTTGATTTGGGCCGTGGCCACACAAGCGTGAATGTTTGGAAAATCAAGTTCTACACTTACTTTTACTACAGTGTACTTTATTATAAATGCTTCAATAAAATATGTATTCAAAGTTTCTGAGAGAAACTATTTTTCAACCTAGAAATCTCTATCCAGCCAAACTGGCAATTATGGGTGAAAATACAAAAAACAGTTTAGGCTTTTTAAAAAAGTCTAAATGTCTAAAAATGTTTAAAATGTCTTAAAAAAATCTATATATTTTTCTCTGTAGCCTTTCTAGAAAACTGGGAGGATGTGCTTGACAAAATGATAGAGTAAATCAGGATCTGGCAAAATTTTTCCATTAATAACCAGATGGTGAATATGTTAGGCTTTGTGGCTGTACTGCCTCTGTCTCAGTGATTCAGCTTTACCACTGTGGACTGAAAGCATCCACAGACAACACACAAATAAATGGGCATGGTGGTGCCCCAATAAAATTTTATTTTCAAAGACAGATATGGGGCCACAGTATTCTGACCTTTGGGTTAAACCAGGAAAGAAGCAGGCAGGAGGGACAGGGAAGGGAGTAGGAATGAAAATACTTAGAATAATGAAAAAGAAAAATCCCAAGATAGAATCTGTGTAAAAAATCTAGCCAGCCAGGCATAGTAGCTCATGCCTATAATTCCAACACTTTGGGGAGGCTGAGGTGGGAGGATCACCTGAGGCCAGGGATTTGAGACCAGCCTGGGCCATGTAGCCACCCCATCTCTACAAAAAAAAAAAAAAAAAAAAATAGCCAGGCTTGGTGGCATGTGCCTGTAATCCCAGCTACTTGGGAGGCTGAGACAGGAGAATCAGTTTTGCTTAGTAGTTTGAGGCTGGAGTGAGCCATAACTGTGCCACTGCACTCCAGCCTGGGCAACAGAGCAAGACACTGTCTCAAAAAAAAAAAAAAATCTAGCCATCAACAAATCCATATTGGAGCAAACTAAAGGCAAACAGGACAGGAAAATTATTAACTCCAGGAAAACAAGACTTTGAAGGAATAGAAAATTATGGTATACTACATAGCTCAATCGTCCATAATATTTATAAAATCATAATAATGGGAGCACTAAATGTTTATTCAACCAAAATTATGGTGTAACTGTTGGGTAGATAGTGACATAGGAATTATGCACCTACGTAGAGGCCAGAGTGAGACTAAATCCTCATCTTTTGTTTTGGGAAGTTAATAGGTAACACCTAAAACTGAAAAGTCATTAGTAGCAATACATGCCTGTTATTTATAGATGTGGATGCAAATATCAAAAGAATTGGAGGACGGGCGCAGTAGCTCTTGCCCATAATCCCAGCACTTTGGAAAGCCAAGGCAGGCGGATCACTTGAGGTCAGGAGTTTAGTTTGAGACCAGGCTGGCCAACATGGTGAAACCCCGTCTCTACTAAAAATACAAAAATTAGCCAGGCGTGGTGGTACACGCCTGTAATCCTAGCTACTCGGGAGGCTGAGGCAGGAGAATCGCTTGAGCCTGAGAGGTGGAGGTTGCAGTGAGCCGAGATCATGCCACTGCACTCCAGCCTGGGCAACAGAGCAATACTCCATCTCAAAAAAAAAAAAAAAAAAAAAAGAATAAAAAGAATTGGTAAAGAAGTTAAAAGTTATTTCCTCTGGTGGATGAGGACATGGTAGCAGTAGAGAGAGTAAGATTATGACAGTTTTTTATAGTAAGCCTTGCAGACCTTATGAATATCTTACCGTTTAATCCTTTTTCTATTTGCCCAGAGAATTCTCATGCAACTTACGGCTGCAGCATTGACCCCAAAATAACTTTGTCACAAAATATCTCGCTTTTATTATTATTTCACATCACTCTAGCATATCGACTTTGGAAACAAAAGTTTTGGAAACAAAAGACATCACCCTATTTATAGCATTCTGTATTTAGTGGGTATTTCCATTTACAAAATATAGTAATTCTTGATCACTGAAAATGTCAAATCCTGGAAAACGTAGCATTCCTATGCATGATGTTAAGACCATTCTCAAACAATCGTTGGCCAAAGATTCATTCATTTGATGAATCTGATTTTTCCAAAATAGATGATTCTGATGATTCAAACGATTCTGATGTTAGTTCTGTTTAGAAATAACTCCAAGAACAATTTTTATATTTTACTTTCACATTGAAAATCAGTCAGATTTGCTTCAACCTCAAAGAGTGTGTTTATGTAAGATTAAATGAGTGCTGGCAGTGAGCTGCACTTTTTTTTTCTAAACGAGATCAAACCACATGCATGTATAATCTTGATAGTAATAAAAACCACACAAAAAGTAGAAACTGGATGGGTAGCCCCAGGATACGAAATCATCTGAAATCAAACTCAACATGGGTTGACACAGCTTAAAATTTCTTTGAAGTTTTATCTTAAAAATTCAGTGTTACGCCCCATTCTATTACCATGATGTTTGTGCTTCAAAAGATCTAACCCTTATGTCACAAATAGATCTAACCCCTATGTCTAACCCTCATGTCTTTCTGTAGAAACACCTGTGACTACAGAAAAGAAGTTATACCTTTCATTTTTATATTCAAATTATGAGATGGGGGCATCACACTTTTATTTCTGAGATATTCCCATTTCGAATTAATACAGAAATGGATCATTTCTTGCTATCTCCCTTCTGTATTTGCTATTCATTTATTCAAAGAATATTATGCACACACGATTCTAGGCACTGTGGATTCGTCAGTGAGTAAGATGAAGAGGGGCCTATTCTCACTGAATTACATTCATAGGGGATGGGCGTGGCCAGTGGAAAGAGAACACACAGACAAGGAAGAGCTCCTCCATCTTAAGGGAGAAGCTTAACCAAACAGGCACTCGTGTGCTCCCCTGCAGAAGCCACGTCTTTGCTGCTCTGTTGTCAAAGACCATTTATGAGGCAGTGGAGCCTCCAACACAGCTGTCCTACTGCACGAAAGCTTCCTAGTCTGCGCCCAAGAAGTGGAATCTGCTCTTCCCTGGGCTTAGAGGTGGAGGTGGAAAAAAAGCCTTCCTAATTCTCCGAGCACTACCTAGCCTGGGCTGTAATGTTGAAGGAGATTTGCTAAAGGCTGGAGGTAGAGATTTAGACACAGGATCCAATGTTCCTCACCAGAATGGCTCTATGCCATGCTGGGGGCCTCAGCTCAGTCGCCAGCACCGAGGGTTGCCTGGCACCCCGTGCTTTGGAGTCCAGGTGAGATCCAGGTAGCCACATGTAAGATGCCAACAAGGAGCCCAGCCCAGGGAATACTCTGGCAGCCCAGGCTGGCCCAGATCCACCATGTGACAAAGAACACACAAGGCCTCTGGTCCAAGCAAACCCCCATTTCTTAGAAACAAAACACAACAACAAGCACGGAGCAACAAAATTGCAATAGCAAGTAGCACACTGCCAGCCATCTCTACAAGAACGCTGAAAGTTAGAACAGCCTAGGTCTAGACTTGGAAGGGGTGGGGGCATGTTTCCATGAAATATTTCACAAACTTGAGTCATTCAAGACAGAACCTCACAGATTTTCCGGATCCATTGTGGTGGACATGCTGATTTCTCCGCAGCATCCCATCTCCATTCCTCTTGCTTTACACGATCCTGCAATTCTCAGCTGGGCAATGTTGGCCACCTTGGTCCCACCCTCAACTCCAGGGTGGCCAGGGGGATTCGTTCCTGAGTGTGATGCCATCATCCTAGACACAGGTTAGAGAAGTGTTGGAAACACAGGCGTAAGCCAACAGATGCATCGCATATTGTAAGTATCCAGTCAGAAGGGTTGGAGGAGAAGAGACTTTGTTTTCTATTTGGGGGAAGTTCTGGATGAGGCTGCGGAAGCCGTGGCCCTCAGAGCCCTGGAAGCCATCCTGCTCCCAGGAGGGAATCATCTGTGGAGAGGTTGGGGCCCAAGGAAGGCAGGGCTGAGCAAACCTCCAAGACAAAGGTGCCTCTTTGATGAACACACTGCCTCCAGATCAGCCCGTGGCTGCGGCCTCTGCTGTTCCTGGATTTTCAGTTTCATAAGCTACAAAATTGTATAAAATAAGCCAGTTTCAAATGGATTTTTGGTGACTTGTGGCAAGCATCCTAAGTGATATCTCCATGTGACATAAATCATGTGCTGTTTTTCTTTGAGTACACTCACTTTTACCTAGATCTGTCCTACTTAATAGCATTGATTTCTTGGGGTTAATGTGCAAGATACTCCTTTCCTAATGTATATAGTCATCAAAATAAAACCATTTTTTCATGCTTATCACTTCATGCCCAGTTGAACCAGCACGTCATTTTGGCAAACACTGTTTGAGTGGAAATAATCGCAAGGCCTCTAAGCCTAGTGATTGACACTTGGAGCCTGAGACACAGAATATCTGTGCAATCTTACTGCCATCTGGATGGGACCTTCTTTTAGATTTGTCACTAAAAGTTCTGCTCAAGGGGATAATGAGCCCAAAAGCTAATTCCTTTCTCCACACTAAAAGGCAGGGCTGCTCATACCTTTCACACATTTCAATCAGGCAGTTTCATGTAAAACCACAATCAAGCACCACAGGTACATGTAAAAAAGGTACTGTACCAGTTACATTGCATATCTCCCCTCCTCCAACCTTGGAGTTCAATTGATCTCTGTAGAGGCTGGCTCTCCATTTCACTCCCACGCTCCCCACCCACCCTACATGACTCACAGGAGGTAAGCAAATCTTGGCAAAGCAGGTTACACCTGCAGATAATTATCCTAGCTTATAGTGCTTCAAGTCACTTCATGCCTTGCAGCAATGACCCCCTACAAGAGATCGGGAACTCTTTATTCTTATTTTTTCATAGCAAATTTTAAACTAAGTCCCAGTTGATTAGGGATCTCGGCTAAAATCAAACATTCACTTGTATAGTGACACACGTACAAATAAAACTCAGGTCCCCTAAATCTTGGTTTTGCTCTATCTCCATCTCTCCAATATGAGTGACATGAGACAGGCACTATGTCTGTCTAATTTTTTTAACACTTTACCCTCAAGATCTTGTATGGAGCCCCCAACATACTTGGCACTCAATGAATGTGTCGTGAAGGGGAAGCGGAGGGGAGGCAGGGAGGGGAAGGGGGAAGGAAGCATTGGGGTGAAAGAGGTGAAGTGGGGGGATGTGGGGGGAAGGGAGGAGAGTGCGGAAAGGAAGGAAGGAAGGCTGTTAAAAGTTGGCATCTATTTACAGAATGAATAGCAAATCCATAGTGATTTACCTCAAAAAGTCTTCTCTCCATTTTTCCCTTCTTCCTCCTTTTCCCTTGACAGGTGAATTTTATCAAGTCTAAAATCTGGCATCAATTTGTCATTCAGTTGCTACGTTCTCTTTTCCCTCATCCCACCCTTGTTAACCACAAGAGAGGCAGTTTGGTTTTGAAGGAGCTGGAAGCATTGTATTATTCACAGAAACAATCTGGAAGCAGCAAGAGAGCCTGTCATCCAAATCTCATCAATTATAATATTTCAACATTCCTTATCATCCCAAAATCTCACCCTGTGCATCACAGACGCTTCAGCTTCCCTGTGAGCTTCCCAGGTCAGGCTGGCAGGTTGTCTGGGCAGCTGGAGTTTGAGAACATTTGTTAGTAAGACCTTTGGGTTGTGGTTTACTTGCTGTCCAAAGCTTTCAGTTACAATCCGGTCATTCTGTTTTGACCTCTGAAAATGCAAGTGTCTTTCTAGAACATGAGTGGCACCTGAATACACCTGGCATCTTGTTATGTGAGGCAAAAACCACATCCAAGAATAGGTTGAGACTATCGTTACCGTTAAAACTGCCGGACAAGCTTCTCATAGATCAAGCCACGTGGTTTTTCAGAGACCATGTTCAGGTCTTTTCACCCTTTACCACAGAATGATTCTTCTTATTCTCTCTTTTTTGTTGTTCATCACATACTCTACTGTGAAAACTGCAGGATTTCCCAACTCCTGTACTACTAATACCCTGGGGAAGACTCCCCAGGGTCGAGGTGCATATGTGACCACCAGCTTCCAACAGTCAGCAAGAGCCCACAGCCCTTTTGTCATCAGCTATAGGCTGTAAGGATGGATTCACATACTTTCCAATGATGGCATTTTGTCTAAAAATCTGTACTCAGATCTACTTGTCTATGTCATGAGTAAACATGGGAAAATCGCAAGGTGAAATCATACCAGAATGTCATTTTCTTGTGACACTAGAACCTCAGCAATGTATCTTTTATATTTCATCTTATTGACATCATCTAAGAACCAAAACGGGATTTAAGGATCAAAAGTGAGATGACTAAACACTGTGATGGTTGAGTTCGATTATGCTGATATTAATATTTAATGGAAAAGTAGACACGTTTTGTTTTATGAAACAGTAAGCCAAGTCCTGAATAGATTAACCCTGATGGTAGGATGAAGGGTGCACTTGGATTTGAGAGTCAATGACTGGGTAAAATATGGGAAGAAAGGAAATTTCTGAAGCAAACAGAACTGTATTTGCAATGGTCATGAAAACTGATTGAGAAAAAAAGTGCATATCTTTCTCCCACTGAGTGTTTGCATTTCCCTCTAGCTGACTTTCTTCAGCCTCGATATCACTGTGCTCTCTGAAGAAAAAGGCAGCAAAAGGGGCTGACCCTCCCCTGGGGCTTTGTCATTGACCGTGGCCAGAGCCCAGGGGACATGTAACAAGCAAGAATACCCAGCCCTGAGGAGGAAATGCACTCTAGGAGCCAAGGCTTCCCACTCCAGACCACACAGCAGAAGCTCAATCACCTTTGCTTCCCCTAGCCCCACCAAGATCAAGGTTCCAAGACTCTGGGGGAACTCAGGCACAGGTATCTAAAAAAAATCTCTCAAGCAACTTGAATGTTCAGCCAGGGTTAAGAACTGCTGAAGTGGAGGATGAGATTTGTTGGTCTGACCATCCATGGGACCACCCATAGCCTCAGTTTTCTCAACCACAAAATGGGATGACCATAGCAAATATCTCGTCATGGTCTCATAAAAATTAAATGGTATAATTGTGCAAAGTGCTCAAACACAGTGCCTAGCAAATATAAGTGCTCAGAAGCCACCTCCACTGGCTCAGGGAGTCTGGGGGCTTTGGGAAGGTACCCGGACTCTGGGCAGTACCAGTGTACAGATGAGCAATAGGTTGCCTCCTTTGTGAATGGGAGTCCCTTGAAACTGTCCCCAAAGCTGGGTGCTGGAGGGGCCATCGGCTTGTGCAGGTTGTGGACAACATCGGCTTGTGCAGGTTGTGGACAACATCGGCTTGTGCGAGGATGTCACCCACAGGAAAAGCTTCTGGGAGGGTGCTGTCCAGCAGTGTGTGCAGGCCTTTGCTTATCCCACAAGGTCCCAGGAGAGTCCATCCAAATGTCCTTCAGCATCTCTGGGACAGGCGCTGCTCCTCAGCCACATCTCAAGGGCTTCTTTTAACTCTGAATAAGACAAAGTTGACTGTTGGAAAGTGATTGAGCCCACGCTCCACTAATGAAGACACGACCCAGTCATCAGCTATTTGTCTCCTCTAGACGCTGCCTTGACACGCAGGGTAGAGCTGAGTCCCGCCTGGCTCCAGATGGGCCATCCCCATCTGGAGCGTTGCCCCTGCATGGAGGGCTGGGACTCACAGAGCCGTGCTGGCCTTGCTGAAACTGGGGTTGGCCACACTTTGCCAGCACAGGCCCTAGACTGTGTAGACTGGACACAGGGCCTCCCCAGTTAGCTTCTGCTGCTACAGCTTTTCTGATGGTCTTTTGGTGCAAACTCGGTGTTAGATTCCTCATTGGCCAAGGGAGCACTTTGTTGATGTGTTCTGCAACAGGGCTGCAGAAACGCGTCTTCCATCCAGGAACGGGCTCTGAAGCTCCCTGGCGGCTGCAGAGAAGGGTGCTTCCTGCGCCGTTGATATGGGAACAGCCTTGAGTGTTTTCTAATGCCCTCAGCGTTGGTGACCAATGCTCTGGGAAGTGATTCCTCATCACTCAGAGGGGTTGGTGATCTGGTGACTTCCTTTCTCCTAGGATCAGTCACCCTGCAGCAGCAAACGATGAGAACCTCAAGGCCAGCACTGATGAGTCTGCTGCTCACTAAGGTTTCAGTGTCCATATTTCACCCTTGCTTCCATGTAAATTACACAAACTTGAACCGGATCCCTGAGCTCTGGGGTTCAAGGGAGGGGGTCAATACTTATGGCTTATAAGTCTTGAGTAGTCCACTCCTCTCCTTGCTAGGAAAGATGGGGAGGAACTGATGTTCACAGGGGGCCCATATGTGCCGGGGACCTTACACTGATGACATGACTTAGTGTCCCGACATGACTTAGTGTCCCAACATACCAGAGGTGAGTGTGGCCATCTCTGTGACAGAAGGAAACTGAGGCTCAGAGAGATGATGTGACGTGTCCGGTTACATACAAGCAGGGAGTCCCTTCCATATATGGCTGGTTGGGGGGTCCCTGATCCTTCCACCTCATCACTTCCTCCATGGAGCAGTTGTATCCCATCCTCCCATTCCTCCCCACCCACCCAGGACAAAGAATAAAAATGTTACCAAAAAAGAAATCTGAAGAATTTTTAGGTGCCTTCAGAGATGAGTAATTTTGTATAATGACTATTATGGAAATGAGACCCTCAGAGACCAAATCCATCCCTGATATCTCCTGAACTAAGCCCCCAGCCCCTTCCACGGAGAGTTCCCTGCCCACATTTCTCTGCTGAGGGGCAGCATTCACTCTGCAATGCATTCTGGACCATGCTCCCCTTCCTTCTGCCTCACAACACCCACATCTAGACTAAGAGACCAGACCCATGGAGCTAACCCAGGAAGCCCAGGCAGGGTGCAGGGAATGAGACACTAAAGCACTGGTCAAAGAGATTCCCTCTTGTAGCTGTTTCCAGTTTGTGTGGCATCTCACTCATATTAACTCCTCAAAGGGCCACTGGCTCCATCTAAAACATCAAGCATAGCGCACCAAAAATTCTCTCATCTGCTTGCCTTCCTTTTCCCCTATAAAAAATAATTTATGGTTGGGCATGGAGGCTCACGCCTGTCATCCCAGCACTTTGGGAGGCCAAGGCGGGCAGAACACTTGAGGTCAGGAGTTCGAGACCAGCCTGGCCAACATGGTGAAACCTCGTCTCTACTACAGACACAAAAATTAGCTGGGTGTGGGGGCGGGCTCCTATAATCCCATCTACTAGGGAGGCTGAGGCAGGAGAATCACTTGAACCTGGGAGGTGGAGGTTGCAGTGAGTGGAGATCCAGCCACTGCACTCCAGACTGGGCGACAGAGCGAGATACCATCTCAAAAGAAAAAAAGAAAAGAAAAGAAAAGAAAAAGAATGTATGGAGCACTTGGCCTGCACTTTGTATTTTACAAGGGACTAGTGATTTTACCTACGAATAGGACATGGCTTATGACCTCAGAAGGATCACTATAGAACCAACAAGATGAACAATTTAATAATTCAGATACATTGCTACAGATGCATAGACTTGTGAACAGGGTCCCAGGAAGGAGGGTATGAAAACAAAGACATCCCAGAGGATGGAATCACAATTGTCTTGGGAGATTGTGAGACCATTTAGCTGCTTGTGTGTCCCTAATGGTGCATGGGAAAGAGTGGAATTGTAGCAACATTCAGGGCTGAAGGGTACCCGTAAGCAAGTTTCAAAATCAAGGATCTTTGATTATGTCATTAAGTCTCTGAATTAGCTAACTCTGAGGCCCTTTTATCTTCAGATCTCTTGTCATATAAGATAATAAATTCCTTATTGTTTAAACAAGTTGAGTTGAAGTTTTCTATTACAAATAGCTGAAAGAATCTAACCTTATTTGGGAAAGAAAAAAGAAACACAAATATAGAACTTCCTATCTAAGAAATGTCAATGCATAGGGACATATTTCCATATAACTTTTTGGTAAGTGCCAGAATTTTGGGACCAATTTGTGTGAAATGATTCACAGGTCCAGAGAACAATCAGGAAAAGGGAACTGGGGCTGGGAGCTAAGAGCAATGGTGTGATGGCAAGAGGCTTTTCAGACAAAGCTTGGAAGAGCTTGGTACAAATAAGTGCAAGGAAACATAGTTCTTGGATGCAAAACTGAAATGTGTGCATAAGGTGCCAAGAACACATGTTTTGCCACCAAGTTGTCTGACAGAGCCAAGAGGAGATGCTGGTGCTTGTTAGGAATAACGATGTATGTTCACCCTTGCTCTGTGCAGGGCCCTGCTGTGCATTTCACACTCGCCATCTCCATCAGCCCTCGAAACAAGGACAGGAAATGCTTGCTGCGATTGCCTCCGTTTTACTGACAGGAAAACTAAGCCTTCTAGAGTACACTTGGTCACTTGGCTAAGGAAGCATAGGTTGGTGGAGTTCTTAGGACTAGAACTCAGATGGTCTGAGCATGGATGCCACACTGTCACCTCCAGGAGATGGAACCGGATAAGTACCTACCTGGTCACCAATGCTGAGGTTGTTAGAAAACACTTAAGGCTGTTCCCATATCAAATATCCAAGTACCAGGCCCTCAGATGGGACCCAAGAAACAGGAAGCAAAAATTCTGATTCATAACACCAGAAAAATATTGAATATTTTGATGGGGGACCCCACACATAGATGAAAATGCCTCTTACTACGCATATTACCTGTATCAGAGCAAAAATGTGGACAAACCATCTCATTGGAATTCCTGGGGCAGTGTTTCTAGCATCTCTGGCAAGTAAGGAATCTTGAGAAAGTAATTTTACAGAACTGTTTGTTATCCATTTAAGATGGGAAGTATCATTTATCATCCCTTTCAGCATTCTGATTTTTTACTGCACATAATTAATATTTATGAGGACTCCTCGTCTGTTTTCTCTGGAGTTTAAGCATGTCAGTTGCAAATTCTCTCCCCATCAGGTTTTTGACTAACTTACTTTTGCTGTTGGTGATGGACTATTGTACATACATGACAAAATAAACAGAAGCCACACCTCCAGAAATGTAGTGAAAGAGTGCTATGTAGGTGGAAATTATTAGATAGATTAAACTAGGAGGAGACCTGTGGAATTATTCTGATAAAGATGCTATTACAGGTAAAACAAAGATCAACCAACCAAAGGAATTATCTGAAATAGTTGAGAACTTAACTTGCCAAGGGAATGAGACAAAATCACAGCAACAATGAGCTTGTTGTTTTAGGCCTCAGTTCAGCTTGGGAGTGTGGTCTGGTCTTATCTGGGAACGCCACACCTGATGAAGAGATGACACAGCAAACCCTTCCCTTGGCCTTCAGTTCGAAAGACAGAGAGAGAGAAGATGCTTTTAAATGCTATGCATAAGAGACCTGTGATGTTACTCAGTATGCTATTTCCACATAAAAGAGCAACGAACTTTCTATTTACCAATTTCTGACTCACTTCATCAAAGGGGCAAAAGTGGAGCAAATAAAACTGGAAAGTTGTTCTTGCCTGGTTTTCCTAACATCATATTTTCCAGTGATTCAATTCAATTCCCATGATATTGTGTCTTTGAGATTGTCCCCAGTGAAGCTCAGCATAAACACAGCTCTCAAAGTTGAGCCAAGAATGCCAGTGGAGAAACCTGCCTTTCTGATATGCGAGGCAGAAGAATCTGAATAGCGGAACATTACCTTTTAATTAGATTCAGACTCTTTTATTCATGTGCCATGCTGCGGTGAATATCAATTTCTAAGCTTTAAAATTCAAACAATAGTAAGTAGTCTACCAAAATAACACGTAACCTTTCGGGAATACCTCATTGTTTTCAGTGGACATTTTAACATCTGTGGACCCTGGTTTTGACCCTCAAGCTAATGCCACCATATAGGCAGCATAGTTATTATGATACCCGCATTACAGAGAAGGAGGCTGAGGGTCAAAAACACTAAGTAATTTTACAAATTCACACAGCAAATAAATAGCATAGCCAAGAACAGAATCCACATCTCTATTCTGGTATGTTTTCTTCTCTAAAGGACAAAGACACAGAAAAGTGTTATCAGAAATTCTAAAGCCAAAAAGAAACTGATGCTCAGAAATATATTTAGGATAGTTGGGTGGGATGTGTTTTCAGTTATGTTTAAAACAAGAAAAAGGAATAGGATGGGCAAGTTGATGGGCTGGGCTTGAAGGTGTGAATAAATGATGGAGAAGGAAGCTGTTCTGCCTCTCTTCCCTGCCCAACTTCTCAGTCAGTGACTCAGATTTTTAAACTGGGTATAAATAAAAAAAAGGGGAAATTCAAATCAAGTCCAGAGATAAAGGGAAGGTGAGCAAGTCATCTGGGCAGGGCACCTCTAAAAGATCCTTGAGCCTGTTGGTACAGCCTGAGGAACTGGAGGTACAAAATGATGTGTGGGATGAGAAGCTCTGGAATACACATTCTCAACACTAACAAAAAGAAAGGGGAAGGAACTTCTACACAGGGGCTTGGGATTGTAAAGTTCATCTGATCAAGATTCCAAAACTAATTTCCTAAGGATCGTTTATGTACTCAATAGACTCGAAATCCCTTGAGATTATTTTGTCTTCCTGGTGATGACCACAATGACTTACATATAACAGCACTCAAACATTTGCTGAGCTAACCTAAACGTAGAAAACAAGGTGGTGACCATTAGCAACCCCACGCAGCTTCACTAAGAAAGCGCAGAGAAGCCTCAGGACTTTTTGATACAATTCCTAGACTGGTAAATAGTCTGTATACTTGGATTCCAACAAGACTTTGGAACAAGGATATCATATCTCTATAGGCAAGGTTGGGAAGAATGGCTTGGGAAATGAGTCAGCTATATGGATTAAAAATGGGTTGAAAATGCATACTCCCAGGGTGAATAACTGAAAAACATAAACATGAATTCTCTAGGACCATGTCTTTAGCCCGGATTTTTTTTTCAACTTTTTATCCTTCACATTGATATGAACGTTGCAGATGATTTCTGCTCTAAATGGTGCACAAAGTTAGTTTTCAGAATTACTAGCATTTTTCATGGGATTATGTTACCTTGCTTAATTATACTCCACAACTCTTTTAAAAATATGTTGTTTTGTAAATTAAGACTTTATCTTTTAGAGCAGTTTTAGATTCACAGCAAAACTGAGCAGAAAATAGAATTCCCACACCTTCCTTCCCCCACCCAAACACAGACACCCCTGTCGTCAGCATCCCCTTGAGAATGGGACATTTGTAACAATGGATGCATCATTATCACTCAGAGTCCATAGTTTACATTGAGATTCACTCTCGATGTTGGAAATTCTATGATTTTAACAAAGTATAATGACATGTATCCACCACTGTAGTATCATACAGAATCATTCCACTCACCTGAAGTCCTGGGTGCTCTACCTATCTATCGTTTTACACCCCCAACTCCTGGCAACCCCTGATCCCTTTACCGACTCCATAGTTTGCCTTTTTCAGGATATCATTTGGTGGAATCATACAGCATTTGGCTTTTTTAGGTTGGTTCCTTTCACTTAGTCATATACATTTAAGTTTCCTCTGTCTTTTCATGGCTTGATGGTTCATTTCTTTTTAGTGCTGAATAATATTCCATTTTCTGAATGTAGCACAGTTTATTCACTCACTTATTAAAATAGATCTTGTTTACTTCCAAGGTTTGGCAGTTATGAATAAAGCTACTATAAACATCCACATGCAGATTTTTGTGTAGACCTAAGTTTTCAGTTCATTTGAGTAAATACCAAGGAACACAATTGCTGGATCTAATGGTTTTGTAAGAAACTGCCAAACTGTCTGCCAAAATGGCTGTACCCTTGTGCATTCCAGCACGCAATGAATGAGAATTCCTGTTGCTTCACATTTTTGCCAGCATTTTCTGTTGTCAGTGTTTGGGATTCAGTAGATGTGTAACGGTTTCTCATTATTTTTTTTGTGTGTGTGTTTCTTTGTCTGTTTGTTTGTTTTTTGAGACAGAGTCTCACTCTGTTACCCAGGCTGGAGTGCAGTGGTGCAATCTTGGCTCACTGAAACGTTCACCTCTCAGGTTCAAGCGATTCTTTTGACTCAGCCTCCCAGGTAGCTGAGATTACAGACATGTGCCACCACACCCAGCTAATTTTTGTATTTTTAGTACAGATAGGGTTTCACCATGTTGGTCAGGCTGGTCTTGATCTCTTGACCTCAGGTGGTCCGTCTGCCTCGGCCTCCCAAAGTGCTGGGATTACAGGTGTGAACCACCATGCCTGGCCTCATTATTGTTTTAATGTACAGTTCCCTAATGACATGTGATGTCAAGCATCTTTTCATGTGCTTATTGATCTTTAAAAAGAGAAAAAGATGAAGGACTTCTTTTATCAAATTTCAAGACTTAACTGTAGGATTCAAGATAGTGTGGCATTGATGTATTGACACATGTATAGACCAATGGAACCAAATACAGAATGCCTAGAAATAGAGCTTCACTTATATGGCCAATTGGGCTTTGACCATAAGGATAATCTTTACACAAAATGTTACTGGAACAATTGGATATCTGTATGATAATAAATTAACCTCAACATTTATTTCCACCACATTAAAAAAAAAAATACTGACCTTAAACCTAAATATAATAGCTAAGTTATAAAACTCCTAGAAGAAGTCTGGGCGTGGTGGCTCACGCCTGTAATCCCAGCACTTTGGGAGGCCGAGGCAGGCAGATCACGAGATCAGGTGCTCGAGACCATCCTAGCTAACATGGTGAAACTCCGTCTCTACTGAAAATACAAAAAAATTAGCTGGGCGTGGTGGCATGCAGGTGTAGCCCCAGCTACTCGGGAGGCTGAGGCAGGAGAATCACTTGAACCAGGAGGTGGAGGTTGCAGTGAGCCGAGGTCACATCACTGCACTCCAGCCTGGGCAATAGAGCAAGACTTCGTCTCAAAATAAATAAATAAATAAATATAAAACTCCCAGAAGAATACAGAGGAGAAAAATCATTGTGACCTTGCATTAGGCAATAATGATTTAAACAGGACACAAAAAGTCAAATCACAGAACAAAATATTAATAAAATAAACTTCATCAAAATTAAAAATTTTGCTTTAAAAAAGGAGGCAAGAAAATGAAAAGATAAGCCACAGCATGAGAGAAAATATTCAAAGAGCATGTATTTGATAAAGGATTTATATCCAGAATATATAAAGCCAACAAATACATTAAAACATATACAAGATCACTGGTTATCAGGAAAATAAAAAAGCCACAATGAGATACTGTTACACATCCATTAGAGTGGCTAAATTTTAAAAGATTGACAATATCAAGTGTTGATGAGGATGTGGAGCAAATGGAAATCTCATACGTTCTGTTTAAAACGTAAAATGACACAACAACTTTGGAAAACAGTTTAACAGTGTTTTATAAACCTAAACATATACCTATCATATCATCCAGCAAATTCCATTCCTAGATACTTATCCAAGAGATAAATGAAAACATGTCCACATCAAATATTTATACATGAATGCTTATAGCATCATCATAAACTAGGAACATCCTAAGGGTTCATCAATAAATGAATGAGTAAATTACAGTATATCACACACACACACACACACAAAATGGAATACTTGTTCACTTTTGTTTTTGTTGCCTGTGCTTCTGGTGTCATGTCCATAAGATTATTACCAAGACCAATGTCATTAAGCTCTTCCCCTATGTGTTCTTCTAGCAGTTTTACATTGTCAAGTCTTATGTTTGTCTTTAATCTATTTTAAGTTCACTCCTGTGTATGGTACAACACAAGGGTCCAATTTCATTCTTTTACATGTAGATATCCAGTTTTTCTGACAACATCTGTCAAAGAGACTATCCTTTCCCCATTGTTTATTCTTGGCAGTCTTGTCAAAGACTAGTTGACCATAAATGCATGAATTTATTTCTAGTCTCTCTATTCTGTTCTATTGGTCTATATGTCTGTCATTATGCCAGCATTGATTATTGTAGCCTTTTGATATAGTTTGAAATCAAGCTATTGTAATGCTTCTAGCTTTATTCTTCCTTCTCAAGATTGGTTTGACTAGTCTTGATCTTTTGTGGTTTCATATGAGTTCTAGATTTGTTTTTTCTATTTCTGTAAAAAATACCATTGGAATATTGATAAGGATTGCACTGATTCTGGAGACTGCTTTGGGTAATATGAACATTTTAACAATATTAAGTCTTCCAACCCATGAACACAGGATGTGTTTACTTTATTTGTGCCTTCTTTAGTGTCTTTTCTCAACAGTTTGTATTTTTCGCTATACGAGCCTTTCAGCTTCTTAGTTAAGTATATTCCTAAAGTATTTTTGGTGGTATTATAAATAAAGTTACCTTTGTAAACTTGCTTTATAGATAGTTTATTGTTAGTGTATAGAAATGTAAATGATTTCTGCATGTTGATTTTGTATCCTGCAACTTTACTGAGTTTGTTCAATAGATAAATTGATGTTGAGCTGTTAACATGTTTTTTAATGGAATCTTTAGAGTTTTCTATTATATCAGATGTTGTCTACAAACTGAAAATGTTCTAAATTGAAAAGGAAAAAAGTCTGGAAAGGCAATGTACAGAATGGGACAAAATATTTGCAAACCATATGCATAAGAGATTAATCTCCAAAATATACAAGGAACTCTTACAACTCAATAGGAAAACACTAATAACCAAATGTAAAAATGGGCTAAGAATTTGAACAGACATTTATCCAAAGAAAACGTACAAATGGCCAACAGACATATAAAAAAATGCTCAACATCACTCATCCTGAGGGAAATGCAAATCAGAACCACAATGTGATGTCACCTCATATCCATTAGTATGGCCATTATTAAAAGAAAAAGACAACAAAGATATAGAGAAACTAGAAGAACCATTGTACACTGTTGGTGGGAATGCAAAATTGTGCAACCACTGTGAAAAACAGTATGGAGCTTTCTCTAAAACTTAAAAATAGAACCACCATATGATCCAGTAATCCCACTTCTGAATATTTATTCAAAATAATTGAAGTCAGAATCTCAAAGATATATTATCACTCTTAAATTTCCACTGACAGATGAATAAAGAGAATGTGGTGTTTACATGCAAAGGAATATGACTCAGTCTTAAAAAAGAAGGGACTTCTGCCATATGTGACAACGAGGATGAACCTAGAGGTCACACTGCTAAGTGAAATAAACCAGAGACAGAAAGACAAACACTGTGTGATTCCATTTAGAGGAGGTAACTAAAATAGTCAAATTCATAGAATCAGAGTGGAATTGTGGTTATCAGAGGCTGAAAAGGGGGGGAAATGGGGAGTTACTAATCAATGGACACAAAGTTTTAGTCAAGCAAGAAGAATAAGCTCTGGAGAACTGCTGTACAACACTTTGCCTATAGTCAACAATAAAGTATTTTTTTTTAACTTTTAAGTTCAGGGGTACATGTGTAGGATGTGCAGGTTTGTTACATAGGTAAACGTATGTCATGGGTTTTTTTTTTTTTGGTACAAATTATTTCATCACCCAGGTATTAAGCCTAGTACCCATGAATTGTTTCCCCTGATCCTCTCCCTCTTCCCACCCTCAACCCTCCAAAAGGCCCCAGTGCGTGTTGTTCTCCTCTATGTGTCAGTGTATTCTCATCGTTTAGCTCCCACTTATAAGTGAGAACACGTGGTGCTTGGTTTTCTGTTCCTGTGTTAGTTTGCTAAGAATAATTGCCTTCAGCTCCATCCATGTCCCTGCAAAGGACTTGATCTCATTCCTTTTTATAGCTACATAGTATTCCATGGTGTATACATATCACATTGCCTTTGTCCAGTCTATCATTGATGGACATTTAGGTTGATTCCATATCTTTGCTATTGTGGCTAGTGCTGCAATGAGCATACACATGCATGTGTCTCTATAATAGAATGATTTATACTCCTTTGGGTGTATACCCACCAATGGGATTGCTGGATCAAATCGTATTTCTGCTTTCAGCTCTTTGAGGAATTGCTACACTGTCTTCTACTATGGTTGAACTACTTTACACTCCCACCAAAAGATTAAAAGCATTCCTTCTCCCCTACAACCTTGCCAGCTTCTGTTATTTTTTGACTTTTTATTAATAGCCCTTCTCAGTGGTGTGAGATGGTATCTCATTGTGGTTTTGACTTGCATTTCTCTAATGATCAGTGATGTTGAGCTTTTTTTCATACGCTCGTGGGCCACATGTTTGTCTTCTTTTGAGAAGTGCCTGTTCATATCATTTGCCCACTTTTTAATTGGTTTTGTGTTTTTCCTGTAAATTTGTTTAAGTTCCTTGTAGACTCCGGATATTAGACCTTTGTCAGATGCATAGTTTGCAAAAATTTTCTCCCATTCTGTAGGTTGTCTTTTCACTCTGATGATAGTGTCTTTTGCTGTGCAGAAGAGCTTTAGTTTAAATGGCTCCCATTTGTCAATTTTTGCTTTTGTTGCAATTGTTTTGGGCATCTTCATCATGAAATCTTTTCCCGTGCCTATGTCCTGAATGGTATTGCCTAGGTTTTCTTCTAGGGTTTGTTTGTTTGTTTGTTTTTGACACAGAGTCTCGCTCTGTCACCCAGGTTGGAGTGCAGTGGCGCGATCTCCCCTGACTGCAAGCTCCGCCTCCCAGGTTCATGCCTTTCTCCTGCCTCAGCCTCCCGAGTAGCTGGGACTACAGGCACCCATCACCACGCCTGGCTAATTTTTTTGTATTTTTAGTAGAGACAGGGTTTCACTGTGTTAGCCAGTATGGTCTCCATCTCCTGACCTCATGATCCACCCGCCTCAGCCTCCCAAAGTGCTGGGATTACAGGCATGAGCCACCATGCCCAGCCCCTTCTAGGGTTTTTATAGTTTTGGGTTTCACATTTAAGTCTTTAATCCATATTGTGTTGATTTTTGTATATGGTGTAAGGAAGGGGTCCAGTTTCAATTTTCTGCATATGGCTAGCCACTTATCCCAGCACCATTTATTTAATAGGGAATACTTTCTCCATTGCTTGTTTTTGTCAGGTTTGTCAAAGATCAGATAGTTGTAAGTGTGTGGTCTTATTTCTGGGTTCTCTATTCTGTTCCATTTGTTTATGTGTCTGTTCTTGTACCAATACCATGCTGTTTTGGTTACCATAGTCCTGTAGCATAGTTTGAAATTGGGTAGCATGATGCCTCCAGCTTTGTTCTTTTTGCTTAGGTTTGCTTTGGCTATTTGGGCTTTTGGGTTTTTTTGGGGGGGCATGTGGGGTTCCATACAAATTTCAAAATAGTTTTTCCTAGTACTGTGAAGAATGTCAATGATAGTTTAATGGGAATAGCATTGAATCTGTAAATTGCCCTTGGGTGGTATGATCATTTTCAAGATATTGATTCTTCCTATCCATGACCATGGAATGTTTTTCCATTTGTTTGTGTCATCTCTGATTTCATTGAGCGATGGTTTATAGTTCTCCTTTTAGAGGCCCTTCACTTCCCTTGTTAGCTGTATTCCCAGGTATAACAATAAAGTATTATACACTTAAAAATTTGTTGGCCAAGTGCAGTGGCTCATGCTTGTAATCCCAGTACTTTGGGAGGCCAAGACAGGCAGATCACTTCAGCCTGGGAGTTCGAGACCATCCTGAGAAACACAGCAAGACATTGTCTCTACAAAAAATACGAAAATTAGCAAGGCATGGTGGTATGTACCTGTAGTCCCAGCTACTCAGGAGGCTGAGGCAGGAAGATCAATTGAGCCTGGGAGGCAGAGATTGCAGTAGGTCAAGATCAGACCACTGCACTCCAGTCTGGGTGACAGAGTAAGACTCTATCTCAAAATAATAATAATAATAAATATATATACAGAGAGAAGATAGATTTCATTTTAAGTGTTCTGACCACATAAAGTATTATTTTTTTAAATGAAAAGATATATATATGTATACCCTCAGACTAAAGAATATAGAATACTACTCAGCAATAAAAACAAATTATTGATGTATGCAACAACATGGATAAATCAAAAACATTGAAAACATTATGCTACATGAAAGAAGTTAAAGGCAATAGATTACATACTATATGATTGCTAGAAAAAGCAAAGCTATTTATTTTTCATTTCAACTTTTGTTTTAGATTCAGGGGGTACATTTGCAGGTTTGTTACCCAGGTATATTGTGTGATGCTGAGGTTTGAAGTACGATGGACCCATCACCCAGGTAGTGAGCAAAGTACCTAATAGGTAGTTTTTCAACCCTTGCCTCCCTCTTTTCCTCCCTCCTCCACCCATAGTAGTCTCCAGTATCTGTTGTTCCCATATTTATGTCCATGAGTACCCAATGTTTAGCTCCCACATATAAGTGAAACCTTTGTCAGATGCATAGTTTGCAGATATTTTCTCCCATTCTGTAGGTTGTCTGTTTACTCTGTTGATAGTTTCTTTTGCTGTGCAGAAGCTCTTCAGTTTGATTAGGTCCCACTTGTCAATTTTTGTTTTCATTGCAATTGCTTTTAAGGATTAGTCATAAATTCCTTGCCAAGGCCAATGTCCGGAAGGGTATCTCCTAGGTTTTCTTCTAAGATTTCTATAGTTTTTGATCTTACATTTAAGTCTTTAATCCATTTTCCATAAATTTTTGTATAGAATGATAGATAGGTGTCAGTTTCATTCTTCTGCATATGGATAGCCAGTTATCCCAGCACCGTTGCTTATTTTTGTCAACTTTTTCAAAGATCTCTTGGATGTAGGTGTGCCGCTTTATTTCTGGATTCTGTATTCTGCTCCATTGGTCTATGTGTCTGTTGTTGTACCAGTACCATGCTGTTTTTGGTTACTGTAGCTCTGCAGCATAGTTTGAAGTTGGGGATTGTGATGCCTCTGGCTTTGTCCTTTTTGCTTAGGACTGCCTTGACTATTCGAGCTCTTTTTTTAGTTCCATATGAATTTTAGAATAGTTTTTTCTAATTCTGTGAAAAATAACATGGCTAGTTTTATAGAAATAGCATTAAATCTGTAGATTGCTTTGGGCAATATGACCACTTCAACAATATTGCTTCTTTAAATCTATGCATATGGGATATTTTTTCATTTTTTCATTTGTGATTTCTTTTTATTTTTTTATTATACTTTAAGTTTTAGGGTACATGTGCACATTGTGCAGGTTAGTTACATATGTATACATGTGCCATGCTGGTGCACTGCACCCACTAACTCGTCATCTAGCATTAGGTATATCTCCCAATGCTATCCCTCCCCCCTCCCCCCACCCCACCACAGTCCCCAGAGTGTGATATTCCCCTTCCTGTGTCCATGTGATCTCATTGTTCAATTCCCACCTATGAGTGAGAATATGTGGTGTTTGGTTTTTTGCTCTTGCGATAGTTTACTGAGAATGATGATTTCCAATTTCATCCATGTCCCTACAAAGGACACGAACTCATCATTTTTTATGGCTGCATAGTACTCCATGGTGTATATGTGCCACGTTTTCTTAATCCAGTCTATCATTGTTGCACATTTGGGTTGGTTCCAAGTCTTTGCTATTGTGAATAATGCCACAATAAACATACGTGTGCATGTGTCTTTATAGCAGCATGATTTATAGTCTTTTGGGTATATACCCAGTAATGGGATGGCTGGGTCAAATGGTATTTCTAGTTCTAGATCTCTGAGGAATCGCCACACTGACTTCCACAATGGTTGAACTAGTTTACAGTCCCACCAACAGTGTAAAAGTGTTCCTATTTCTCCACATCCTCTCCAGCACCTGTTGTTTCCTGACTTTTTAATAATTGCCATTCTAACTGGTGTGAGATGGTATCTCATAGTGTTTTTGATTTGCATTTCTCTGATGGCCAGTGATGATGAGCATTTTTTCATGTGTTTTTTGGCTGCATAAATGTCTTCTTTTGAGAGGTGTCTGTACATGTCCTTCGCCCACTTTTTGATGGGGTTGTTTGTTTTTTTCTTGTAAATTTGTTTGAGTTCATTGTAGATTCTGGATATTAGCCCTTTGTTAGATGAGTAGGTTGCGAAAATTTTCTCCCATTTTGTAGGTTGCCTGTTCACTCTGATGGTAGTTTCTTTTGCTGTGCAGAAGCTCTTTAGTTTAATTAGATCCCATTTGTCAATTTTGTCTTTTGTTGCCATTGCTTTTGGTGTTTTGGACATGAAGTCCTTGCCCATGCCTATGTCCTGAATGGTAATGCCTAGGTTTTCTTGTAGGGTTTTTATGGTTTTAGGTCTAACGTTTAAATCTTTAATCCATCTTGAATTGATTTTTGTATAAGGTGTAAGGAAGGGATCCAGTTTCAGCTTTCTATATATGGCTAGCCAGTTTTCCCAGCACCATTTATTAAATAGGGAATCCTTTCCCCATTGCTTGTTTTTCTCAGGTTTGTCAAAGATCAGATAGTTGTAGATATGCGGCGTTATTTCTGAGGGCTCTGTTCTGTTCCATTGATCTATATCTCTGTTTTGGTACCAGTACCATGCTGTTTTGGTTACTGTAGCCTTGTAGTATAGTTTGAAGTCAGGTAGCGTGATGCCTCCAGCTTTGTTCTTTTGGCTTAGGATTGACTTGGCGATGCGGGCTCTTTTTTTGTTCCTTATGAACTTTAAAGTAGTTTTTTCCAATTCTGTGAAGAAAGTCATTGGTAGCTTGATGGGGATGGCATTGAATCTGTAAATTACCTTGGGCAGTATGGCCATTTTCAAGATATTGATTCTTCCTACCCATGAGCATGGAATGTTCTTCCATTTGTTTGTATCCTCTTTTATTTCATTGAGCAGTGGTTTGTAGTTCTCCTTGAAGAGGTCCTTCACATCCCTTGTAAGTTGGATTCCTAGGTATTTTATTCTCTTTGAAGCAATCGTGAATGGGAGTTCACTCATGATTTGGCTCTCTGTTTGTCTGTTGTTGGTGTATAAGAATGCTTGTGATTTTTGTACATTGATTTTTTATCCTGAGACTTTGCTGAAGTTCCTTATCAGCTGAAGGAGATTTTGGGCTGAGACAATGGGGTTTTCTAGATATACAATCATGTCGTCTGCAAACAGGGACAATTTGACTTCCTCTTTTCCTAATTGAATACCCTTTATTTCCTTCTCCTGCCTAATTGCCCTGGCCAGAACTTCCAACACTATGTTGAATAGGAGTGGTGAGAGATGGCATCCCTGTCTTGTGCCAGTTTTCAAAGGGAATGCTTCCAGTTTTTGCCCATTCAGTATGATATTGGCTGTGGGTTTGTCATAGATAGCTCTTATTATTTTGAAATACGTCCCATCAATACCTAATTTATTGAGAGTTTTTAGCATGAAGGGTTGTTGAATTTTGTCAAAGGCCTTTTCTGCATCTATTGAGATAATCATGTGGTTTTTGTCTTTGGCTCTGTTTATATGCTGGATTACATTTATTGATTTGCGTATATTGAACCAGCCTTGCATCCCAGGGATGAAGCCCACTTGATCATGGTGGATAAGCTTTTTGATGTGCTCCTGGATTCGTTTTGCCAGTATTTTATTGAGGATTTTTGCATCAATGTTCATCAAGGATATCGGTCTAAAATTCTCTTTTTTGGTTGTGTCTCTGCCCAGCTTTGGTATCAGAATGATGCTGGCCTCATAAAATGAGTTAGGGAGGATTCCCTCTTTTTCTATTGATTGGAATAGTTTCAGAAGGAATGGTACCAGTTCCTCCTTTTACCTCTGGTAGAATTCAGCTGTGAATCCATCTGGTCCTGGACTCTTTTTGGTTGGTAAACTATTGATTATTGCCACAATTTCAGCTCCTGTTATTGGTCTATTCAGAGATTCAACTTCTTCCTGGTTTAGTCTTGGGAGAGTGTATGTGTTGAGGAATTTATCCATTTCTTCTAGATTTTCTAGTTTATTTGCATAGAGGTGTTTGTAGTATTCTCTGATGGTAGTTTGTATTTCTGTGGGATCGGTGGTGATATCACCTTTATCATTTTTTATTGTGTCTATTTGATTCTTCTCTCTTTTTTTCTTTATTAGTCTTGCTAGCGGTCTATCAATTTTGTTGATCCTTTCAAAAAAACCAGCTCCTGGATTCATTGATTTTTTGAAGGGTTTTTTGTGTCTCTATTTCCTTCAGTTCTGCTCTGATTTTAGTTATTTCTTGCCTTCTGCTAGCTTTTGAATGTGTTTGCTCTTGCTTTTCTAGTTCTTTTAATTGTGATGTTAGGGTGTCAATTTTGGATCTTTCCTGCTTTCTCTTGTGGGCATTTAGTGCTATAAATTTCCCTCTACACACTGCTTTGAATGCGTCCGAGAGATTCTGGTATGTTGTGTCTTTGTTCTCGTTGGTTTCAAAGAACATCTTTATTTCTGCCTTCATTTCGTTATGTACCCAGTAGTCATTCAGGAGCAGGTTGTTCAGTTTCCATGTAGTTGAGCGGCTTTGAGTGAGATTCTTAATCCTGAGTTCTAGTTTGATTGCACTGTGGTCTGAGAGATAGTTTGTTATAATTTCTGTTCTTTTACATTTGCTGAGGAGAGCTTTACTTCCAGGTATGTGGTCAATTTTGGAATAGGTGTGGTGTGGTGCTGAAAAAAATGTATATTCTGTAGATTTGGGGTGGAGAGTTCTGTAGATGTCTATTAGGTCCACTTGGTGCAGAGCTGAGTTCAATTCCTGGGTATCCTTGTTGACTTTCTGTCTCATTGATCTGTCTAATGTTGACAGTGGGGTGTTAAAGTCTCCCATTATTAATGTGTGGGAGTCTAAGTCTCTTTGTAGGTCACTCAGGACTTGCTTTATGAATCTGGGTGCTCCTGTATTGGGTTCATATATATTTAGGATAGTTAGCTCTTCTTGTTGAATTGATCCCTTTACCATTATGTAATGGCCTTCTTTGTCTCTTTTGATCTTTGTTGGTTAAAGTCTGTTTTATCAGAGACTAGGATTGCAACCCCTGCCTTTTTTTGTTTTCCATTTGCTTGGTAGATCTTCCTCCATCCTTTTATTTTGAGCCTATGTCTGTCTCTGCACGTGAGATGGGTTTCCTGAATACAGCACACTGATGGATCTTGACTCTTTATCCAATTTGCCAGTCTGTGTCTTTTAATTGGAGAATTTAGTCCATTTACATTTAAAGTTAATATTGTTATGTGTGAATTTGATCCTGTCATTATGATGTTAGCTGGTGATTTTGCTCGTTAGTTGATGCAGTTTCTTCCTAGTCTCGATGGTCTTTACATTTTGGCATGATTTTGCAGCAGCTGGTACCGGTTGTTCCTTTCCATGCTTAGCACTTCCTTCAGGAGCTCTTTTAGGGCAGGCCTGGTGGTGACAAAATCTCTCAGCATTTGCTTGTCTGTGAAGTATTTTATTTCTCCTTCACTTATGAAGCTTAGTTTGGCTGGATATGCAATTCTGGGTTGCAAATTCTTTTCTTTAAGAATGTTGAATATTGGCCCCCACTCTCTTCTGGCTTGTAGGGTTTCTGCCAAGAGATCCGCTGTTAGTCTGATGGGCTTCCCTTTGAGGGTAACCCGACCTTTCTCTCTGGCTGCCCTTAACATTTTTTCCTTCATTTCAACTTTGGTGAATCTGACAATTATGAGTCTTGGAGTTACTCTTCTCGAAGAGTATCTTTGTGGCGTTCTCTGTATTTCCTGAATCTGAACGTTGGCCTGCCTTGCTAGATTGGGGAAGTTCTCCTGGATAATATCCTGCAGAGTGTTTTCCAACTTGGTTCCATTCTCCCCATCACTTTCAGGTACACCAATCAGACGTAGATTTGGTCTTTTCACATAGTCCCATATTTCTTGGAGGCTTTGCTCATTCCTTTTTATTCTTTTTTCTCTAAACTTCCCTTCTCGCTTGATTTCATTCATTTCATCTTCCATTGCTGATACCCTTTCTTCCAGTTGATCGCATCGGCTCCTGAGGCTTCTGCATTCTTCACATAGTTCTCGAGCCTTGGTTTTCAGCTCCATCAGCTCCTTTAAGCACTTCTCTGTATTGGTTATTCTAGTTATACATTCTTCGAAATTTTTTTCAAAGTTTTCAACTTCTTTGCCTTTGGCTTGAATGTCCTCCCGTAGCTCAGAGTAATTTGATCGTCTGAAGCCTTCTTCTCTCAGCACGTCAAAGTCATTCTCCATCCAGCTTTGTTCCGTTGCTGGTGAGGAACTGCGTTCCTTTGGAGGAGGAGAGGCGCTCTGCATTTTAGAGTTTCCAGTTTTTCTGTTCTGTTTTTTCCCCATCTTTGTGGTTTTATCTACTTTTGGTCTTTGATGATGGTGATGTACAGATGGGTTTTCGGTGTGGATGTCCTTTCTGTTTGTTAGTTTTCCTTCTAACAGACAGGACCCTCAGCTGCAGGTCTGTTGGAATACCCTGCAGTGTGAGGTGTCAGTGTGCCCCTGCTGGGGGGTGCCTCCCAGTTAGGCTGCTCGGGGGTCAGGGGTCAGGGACGCACTTGAGGAGGCAGTCTGCCGGTTCTCAGATCTCCAGCTGCGTGCTGGGAGAACCACTGCTCTCTTCAAAGCTGTCAGACAGGGACACTTAAGTCTGCAGAGGTTACTGCTGTCTTTTCGTTTGTCTGTGCCCTGCCCCCAGAGGTGGAGCCTACAGAGGCAGGCAGGCCTCCTTGAGCTGTGGTGGGCTCCACCCAGTTCAAGCTTCCTGGCTGCTTTGTTTACCTAAGCAAGCCTGGGCAATGGCGGGCGCCCCTCCCCCAGCCTCGCTGCCGCCTTAAAGTTTGATCTCAGACTGCTGTGCTAGCAATCAGCGAGATTCCGTGGGCGTAGGACCCTCCGAGCCAGGTGTGGGATATAATCTTGTGGTTCACCGTTTTTTAAGCCGGTCTGAAAAGCGCAATATTCGGGTTGGAGTGACCCGATTTTCCAGGTGCGTCCGTCACCTCTTTCTTTGACTCGGAAAGGGAACTCCCTGGCCCCTTGCGCTTCCCAAGTGAGGCAATGCCTCGCCCTGCTTCGGCTTGCGCACGGTGCGCGCACCCACTGGCCTGCGCCCACTGTCTGGCACTCCCTAGTGAGATGAACCCGGTACCTCAGATGGAAAGGCAGAAATCACCCGTCTTCTGCGTCGCTCACACTGGGAGCTGTAGACTGGAGCTGTTCCTATTCGGCCATCTTGGCTCCTCCCCCCATTTGTGATTTCTTTCAGCAGCATTTTGTAGTTCTTGCAGAGATGTTTCACATCCTTGGTAAGATATATTCCTAGCTATTTTTTTTTGTGGTTACTGTAAATGGGATTGCATTCCTGTTTGTCACTCAGCTTGAATGCAATTGGTGTGTAGAAATGCTGCTGAAGGGCTAGGTGCAGCGGCTCATGCCTGTAATCTCAATACTTTGGGAGGCCAAGGTGGGAGGATTGCTTGAGGCCAGGAGTTTGAGACCAGCCTGGGCAACGTAGTGAAACCCCATCTCTAAAAAAATTTTTTTAAATTGGCCAGTTAGCAGGAATTTCTGACGTTAAAAAAAATTAGCCAAGCAAAGTGGTGCATCCCTTAGTCCCAGCTACTCAGGAGGGTGAGGTGGGAGGATCGCTTGAGCCCACAAGGTCAAGGCTGAAGTGAGCTGTGATCACACCACTACACTCCAGCCTGGGCAACAAAGTGAGACTCTGTCTCAAAAAAAATTTTTTTACGGATTTTTTACATTGATTTTGTATCCTGAACTTTACTGAAGTTATTTATCAATTTCAAGAGGCTTCTGGCAGAGCCTTTTGGGTTTTCTAGGCATAGAATCATATAATTAGCAAAGAGAGACAATTTGACTTCTTTTCCTTTTATTTCTTTCTGTTGCCTGATTTCTCTGGCTAGGACTTACAGAACTATGTTGAACAGGCGTGATGAGAGTGAGCATCCTCGTCTCGTTCCAGTTCTTAAGGAGAATGTTTCCATCCTTTGCCCATTCAGTATGATGATGGCTCCTATTATTTTGAAGTATGTTCCTTCAGTGCCTAGTTTGTTGAGGGTGTTTATGATTTTATGAAAAGTACTTTCTGTGTCTATTGAGAAAATCAGGTGGTTTTTGTTTTTAATTCTGTTTATGTGGCGAATCACATTCATTGATTTTGTATGTTGAACCAACCCTTGCATCACAGGAATGAAGCCTACTTGACTGTAGGTGAATTAACCTTTTTTATGTCCTGCTGGATTCAGTTTGCTAGTATTTTAGAGAGGATTTTTGTGTCTATGTTCATCAGATACTGGCCTGTAGTTTTCTTTTTTCATTGTGTCTTTGCCAGGTTTTGTTATCTGGGTGATGCTGGCTTCATAGAATGAGTTAGAGAGGAGTGCTTCCTCCTCAATTTTTTTGAATAGTTTCAGTAGGCTTGGTACCACCTCTTCTTTGTACATCTGATAGAATTAAGTTGTGAATTCATCTGATCTGGGGCTTTTTGTTGTCGTTGTTGGTAGGTTTTTTAAATTATTGATTCAATTTCAGAACTCAATATTAGTCTGTTTACGGTTTCTTATCTTCCTGATTCAGTCTTGGGAGGTTGTGTGTTTCCAGGAATTTATCCACTTCCTCTAGATTTTCTAGTTTATGTGCATAGAGATGTTCATAATCACCTCTGGGGATCTTTTGTATTTCTGTAGGATCAGTTGTAATGTTACCTTTGTCATTTCTGATAGCACTTATTTGGATCTTCTCCTTTTTTCTGTTAACCTAGCTAGTAGTCTACAGATCTTGTTTATCCTTTCAAATAATGCAATTTTGATTTCCTTGACCTTTTGTGTGGATTTGTGGGTCTCAATTTTGTTCAATCCTGCTCTGACTTCCTCTAGGATGTGATGTTAGCTTGTTAATTTGAGATCATTCAAACTTTCTGACATAGATGCTTACAGCTACAAACTTTACTTTTAACACTGCTTTTGCTGTGTCCCAGAGATTTTGGTACATTATGTCTCTGTTTTCATTTATTTCAAATATTTTTTTAATTTCTGCCTTAATTTCATTGTTTACCCAAAAGTCATTTAGGAGCAAGTTGTTTAGTTTCCATGTAATTGTGTGGTTTTGAGACACTTTCTTGGTATTGATTTCTATTTTTCTTTCACTGAGGTCTGTGAGCATGGTTGGCGTTTTGATTGTTTTGAATTTATTGAGACTTGCTTTATGGCCAAGCATGTGGTCCATCTTAGAGTATGTTCCATGTGCAAATGAAAAGAATGTGTATTATGTGGTTGTTGGGTGGAGTATTCTGTAGGTGTCTATTAGGTCCAATTGGTAAAGTGTCAAACTTAAGTCCAGAATATCTTTGTTAGTTTTCTGTCTTGTTGATCTAACTCAGTCAGTGGAGTGTTGAAGTCTCCCACTATTATTGTATGGCTAAGTCTTTTTTGCAGGTCTAGAGGTACTTGTTTTAGGAATCGAGGTGCTCTGATGTTGGGTGCACAAATGTTTACAATTGTTTTCTTGTTTAATTGAGCCCTTTATCATTATGTAATGCCCTCCTTTGTCTTGATGTTGGTTTAAAGTCTGTTCTATCAGATATAATCGCGACCCCTGCTCTTTTTTGTTTACCATTTGTGTGATAGATCTTTCTCCATCTCCTTACTTTGAGCCTATGTGTATTATTATGAGATTGGATTCTTGAAGACAGAAGATGGTTGAGTCTTGGTTTTTTGTTTTTAATGCACTTGGAAAGGCAAAACTTTAGTAACAGAAAGCAGATTAGTTGTTTCCTGAGGCTAAGAGTCTGGAAAGGAATTGACTACAAACGGACATAAGGAAATTTTCCTGGGTATTAGAAATGTTCAATATCTTGATTGTTGCCATGGTTATAAAACTGTTTACAACTGGCAAATTTTATCAAACTATACACTTACAATAAGTGATGCAAATTATGCCTAAGTAAACTGGGAAAAAGCAAGCAGTGAAAAAAAAGGTAGATATTTAAATATTCAAGATTCTTAGAAACAAAGAATATAGACATTAAAAATACAATAAATCAAAAAATAGAATAAATTCCAAAGTGGAGGCCAAAAGAGAATTAGAGAGCTGGAAGCTAGCAATGAAAAATTTACCCGGAACTTGTACTAGGGAAATAGAGACTTTATTTTACTTAAGGAACAGTTAAGGGATAAAAAGCATAGATTTAAAGGGAACAATATATTTTTTAGGAATTTCACTAAAAGCAAGTAAAGAGAATAACAGGAACTAAATATTTCATAAGATAATCACCAAGAACGGTTTAGAATTGTAGAAATACCTGATCGCTCAGACAATTTACACTGAATTCGAATAAGGGTAAATAAAAACAAAACCTCAGCCGCACATGGCTATGAAATGGCAAAACGTCAATAATAAAGAGAACATCTTCCAGCTAACACATAAAAAAGATAGATTAACACAAAAGAATAACAAATTAGTAGCAGACTTCTAATCAGCAATAATAGAATATTATCTTCAAATTGCCAAGGAAAACTAATTGTCAACTTCTAACTTTGAACATGATCATTCTTCAAATGAAAGTGCAAACTAAAGACATTGTCTGATTTAAAAGACTAAAAGTGTTTACCACCTACAGCTTACCAAAGAACAAATTAAGAACACTCTTCTCTTCAGCAGCAAAATGAAACCCAGAGGAAAAGACTGAGCTAAGGAAACACTGGTGAGCACAGAAACAGATCATTAAATTTAATTAGCCATTGACTGTGAAAAATTACTGCTTTGTGGTTTAAAATATTAAAATAAAAGTTACCATAAGAAATGAGGGTGGGAACCTCTCCCGTTCTAGAGGAAGATAAAACTAGCACTCAGAATAATGTTAGACTCTGCTGGAAAAATTTATACTGAAACATGACACCAAATATAATGGTGATCATTAAAACAAATTTTATCAAGTGAAAAATCAAAAATGACCAAGCCATATAAATATATGAGATTTTGGTGCTATATCTCCATCTCATTTAGGGGTCTGTGTACTCCACAGACTTAACTCCATCTACCCCAGGAAAATGTCATTTTTAACATGATATTTTTCCCTGGTTCCCAAATTACCACCTAAACTAATTGAAGCCTTTGAAATTTAGCTATAAACCTGGAAGATGAGATTCATTTATAATATATCTGCAGTTTGAATTTAGGTGTTGATGTTATTACATTAGAGCTACAAGTGTAACTGCCTTTTAGCTACTCACTCACCCAACTCTGGCAGAATTACTTTAAAAATTATTTTTGCTATTTTTGTTGTTGTTGTTATGTCTCTTTAGTTTTTCAGTTTCTTAATTTTTTATGACATATCACACATATAGAAGAGGGGACAGATAATAAAATTTTCAATTCAGTTATCACAAAGTGAACCTAATTATGTAAACACCACTCAGGTCAAGAAATAGAACATCACCAGAACTCAAGAAACCCTCTTGTGGCTCCTCCTTCCTCCCAAAAGCTTGCAAATACTCTTATTGCTGTAGTTTAATTTTGCCTGTTACATGGGGTGTGTGTGTGTGTGTGTGTGTGTGCGTGTGTGCAGTTTTATACTATATATTCTATGTCTGGCTTTGTTCACTTCACATTTTTGTGAGATTTGTCCATATTGCCATGTGTTTGTTTTTATTGCTATATAGTACTATATGGAGTGCCTATCGCATAAAATATCCAATCTTCTGTTGAACAATTATACATTTCTTGCTAAATATGTTAATGCATTTCTATAGGGTATTTGATTAGAAGTGGGATTTGGGAGTTTTCAAGTACACGTAGTTCAGCTTTAGTAGATAATACCAGCTTTACCAATAGTCACTCCCACCAACAATGTCTAAGAGTTCCTGTTGCTCCTCATTGTCACCAAGACTTGGGTTTGCCAGGATTTTAAATTTGGGTCATGTTAGTGGATGTAGAGTGACTTCTCATAGGGCTTTTAATTTGCATTTCTTGCGTTACTAATAAGATTATGTTCTTCTTCATATATGTATTGGTCACTTGAGCATCCTCCTTTATGAAGTGCCTCAAAGTCTCTTATGCATTTTTCTATTACATTATTTTTGTTTTTCTTATTGATGTGAAAGATTTCTTTATACATTCTAGATATAAACCCCTTTGTCAATTATACACACTGTAAATCTCTTCTTCCACCCTGTGTTATCTTGATGCTATCTTTCAATCATTTTGGACTTTTAAAAAATGTTTTCATTTGCAATAATTTCACATTTACAGCCAAGTTGCACTAGTACAAAGAATTCTCATATGCCCCATATCTAGATTCTCCAAGTGTTGATATTTTACCATATTTGCTCTACTATTTTCCATCTTTTCTGAACCACTTGAGTATATATTTAGTTAACGTCTAAATACTTGTGTGTATTTTCTGAAAACCAAGGATAATCTCTTATGTAACCATAGTACAGCTGTAAAAATAAGGAAATTTACAGGGGTACTGTACTATTATCTAATCTACAGATCTTATTCAAATTTCACCAATTGTCATAATAATGTTCTTTATAGCAATAGAAAAAGATGTTTCTGATCCTGGATCTAACTCAGAATTATCATGCTTTATGTTTAGTTACCATGTGACACGGTTTGGCTGTGTCCCCACCCAAATTTTATCTTGAATTGTAGTTCCCATAATTCCCACCTGTCATGGGGGAACCTGGTGGGAGGTAATTTAATCATGGGGGTGGTTACCCTTATGCTATTCTCGTGGTAGTGAGCTCTCATGAGATCTGATGGTTTTACAAGGGGCCCCCTTCATTCAGTTCATGAGGACATGAAATGTGAGGACATGAGATTTGTGAGGGTACAGAAGCAGAATGATATGGTTTGGCTGTGTCCCCACCCAAATCTCATCTTGAATTGTAGTTCCCATGATCCCCATGTGTTGTGGGAAGGACCCGGTAGGAGGTATTTTAATCATGGTATAGTTACCCTCATGCTATTCTCATGATGGTGAGTAAGTTCTCATGAGATCCGATGGTTTTATAAGGGGCTTCCCCCAGCTCAGTTCTCATACTTCCCCTTCCTGCCACCATGAGAAGAAGGACATGTTTGCTTCCCTTTCCACCGTGATTGTAAGTTTCCTGAGGCCTCTCCAGCCCTGTGGAACTGTGAGTCAATTAAACCCCTCTCCTTTACAAATTACCCAGTCTCCGGCAGCTCTTTATAGCAGCAGGAGAACAGATGAATACACCATGCCTCTTTAAACTCCCTTAATCTTGGTTTCTCATGTTTTATGTTTCATCACATTGACATTTTTTAAAGAAATCAAATCAATTATTTCATAGAATGTCCCTCTAGTGGATTTATCTAATGTTTTCTTATAATTTAACTCATTAATCCATTTCTAGCAGGGGAAATAAAGAAGTGATAGTATATTCTTCTCGATATATAATATCAAAGGCACAAAATATCAGTTTGTCACAATATTGGTGACCCATTCATTTTAGCCACTGATGATTCTTGCCTGAATCAATTATTACTATAATTTTTGCCAAGTGGTGATTTTTTTTATTATTATTATACTTAAAGTTCCAGGGTACATGTGCACAACGTGCAGGTTTGATACATAGGTATATATGTGCTATGTTGGTTTGCTGCATCCATCAACTCATCATTTACATTAGGTATTTCTCCCCCAGCCCCCCACCCCCTGACAGGCCCCAGTGTGTGATGTTCCCCGCCCTGTATCCAAGTGATCTCATTGTTCAATTCCCACCCATAAGTGAGAACATGCGGTGTTTGGTTTTCTGTCCCTGTGATAGTTTGCTGAGAATGATGGTTTCCAGCTTCATCCATGTCCCTGCAAAGGACATGAACTCATCATTTTTTATGGCTGCATAGTAGTCCATGGTGTATATGTGCCACATTTCCTTAATCCAGTCTATCACTGATGGACATTTGGGTTGGTTCCAAGTCTTTGCTATTGTGAGTAGTGCCACAATAAACATATGTGTGCATGTGTCTTTATAGCAGCATGATTTAGAATCATTTGAGTGTATACCAAGTAATGGGATTGCTGGGTCAAATGATAATTCTAGTTCTAGATCCTTGAGGAATTGCCACACTGTCTTCTACAATGATTGAACCAATTTACACTCCCACCAACACTGTAAAAGCTTTCCTATTTCTTCACATCCTCTCCAGCATCTGTTGTTTCCTGACTTTTTAATGATTGCCATTCTAACTGGTGTGAGATGCTATCTCATTGTGGTTTTGATTTGCTTTTCTCTGATGACCAGTGATGATGAGCATTTTTTCATGTGTCTGTTGGCTCCATAGATGTCTTCTTTTGACAAGTGTCTGTTCATATCCTTTGCCCACTTTTTGATGGGGTTGTTTGTTTTTTTCTTGTAAATTTGTGTGAGTTTTTTGTCTATATCTCTGTTTTGGTACCAGTACCATGCTGCTTTGGTTGCTGTAGCCTTGTAGTATAGTTTGAAGTCAGGTAGCATGATGCCTCCAGCTTTGTTCTTTTTGCTTAGGATTGTCTTGGCAATGTGGGCTCTTTTTTGGTTCCATATGAACTTTAAAGTAGCTTTTTCCAATTCTGTGAAGAAAGTCATTGGTAGCTTG
The DNA here is from genome assembly GCF_000001405.40 of Homo sapiens. Lineage (NCBI taxonomy): Eukaryota > Metazoa > Chordata > Mammalia > Primates > Hominidae > Homo > Homo sapiens. Next base: position 50,891,465 of record NC_000007.14, on the reverse strand, counting down.
ATGGGGATGGCATTGAATCTGTAAATTAATTTGGGCAGTATGGCCATTTTCATGATATTGATTCCTCTTATCCATGAGCATGGAATATTCTTCCATTTGTTTGTGTCCTCTTTTATTTTGTTGAGCAGTGGTTTGTAGTTCTCCTTGAAGAGGTCCTTCACATCTGTTGTAAGTTGGATTCCTAGGTATTTTATTCTCTTTGTATGAATTGTGAATGGGAGTTCGCTCATGATTTGGCTCTCTGTTTGTCTGTTAATGGTGTATAGGAATGCTTGTGATTTTTTTGCACATTGATTTTGTATCCTGAGACTTTGCTGAAGTTACTTACCAGCTTGAGGAGATTTTGGGCTGAGACGATGGAGTTTTCTAAATATACAGTCATGTCATCTGCAAACAGGGACAATTTGACTTCCTCATTTTCTAATTGAATATCCTTTATTTCTTTCTCTTGCCTGATTGCCCTGGCCAGAATGCCCCATACTATGTTGAATAGGAGTGGCAAGAGAGGGCATCCTTGTCTTGTGCTGGTTTTCAAAGGGAATGCTTCTAGTTTTTGCCCATTCAGTATGATATTGGCTGTGGGTTTGTCATAAATAGCTCTTATTATTTTGAGATACATTCCATCAATACCTAGCTTATTGAGAGTTTTCAGCATTGAGGGCTGTTGAATTTTGTCAAAGGCCTTTTCTGCATCTATTGAGATACTCATGTGGTTTTTGTTGTTGGTTCTATTAATGTGATGGATTATGTGTATTGATTTGCGTATGCTGAACCAGCCTTGCATCCCAGGGATGAAGCTGAGTTGATCGTGGTGGATAAGCTTTTTGATGTGCTGGTGGATTCAGTTTGCCAGTATTTTATTGAGGATTTTCATATCAATGTTCATCAGGGATATTGGTCTAAAATTCTCTTTTTTTGTTGTGTCTCCACCAGGCTTTGGTATCAGGATGATGTTGGCCTCATAAAATGAGTTAGGGAAGATTCCCTCTTTTTCTATTGATTGGAATAGTTTCAGAAGGAATAGTAGCAGCCCCTCTTTGTACCTCTGGTAGTATTTGACTGTGAATCCATCTGGCCCTGGACATTTTTTGTTGGTAGGCTATAAATTATTGCCTCAATTTCAGAGCCTGTCATTGGTCTATTCAGAGGTTCAACTTCTTCCTGGTTCAGTATTGGGAGAGTGTATGTGTCCAGGAATTTCTCCATTTCTTCTAGATTTTCTAGTTTATTTGCATAGAGATGTTTATAGTATTCTGATGGTAGTTTGTATTTCTGTGGGATCGGTGGTGATATCACCTTTATCATTTTTTATTGTGTTTATTTGATTCTTCTCTCTTTTTTTCTTTATTAGTCTTGCTAGCGGTCTATCAATTTTGTTGATCTTTTCAAAAAACCAGTTCCTGCATTCATTGATTTTTTGAAGGGTTTTTTGTGTCCCTATCTCCTTCAGTTCTGCTCTGATCTTAGTTATTTCTTGCCTTCTGCTAGCTTTTGAATTTGTTTGCTCTTGTTTCTCTAGTTCTTTTCATTGTGATGTTAGGGTGTCTACTTTGGATCTTTCCTGCTTTCTCTTGTGGGCATTTAGTGCTATAAATTTCCCTCTACACACTACTTTAAATGTATCCCAGAGATTCTGGTATGTTGTGTCTTTGTTCTCATTGGTTTCAAAGAACATCTTTATTTCTGCCTTCATTTCGTTATTTACCCAGTAGTCATTCAGGAGCAAGTTGTTCAGTTTCCATGTAGTTGTGCGGTTTTGAGTGTTTCTTAATCCTGAGTTCTAATTTGATTGTACTGTGGTCTGAGAGACTGTTTATTGTGATGTCTGTTCTTTCACATTTGCTGAGGAGTGCTTTACTTCCAATTATGTGGTAAACTTTTGAAATAAGTACGATGTAGTGGTGAGAAGAATGTATATTCTGTTGATTTGGGGTGGAGAGTTCTGTAGATGTCTATTAGGTCTGCTTGTTGCAGAGCTGAGTTCAGGTCCTGGATATCCTTGTTAATCTTCTGTCTCCTTGATCTGTCTAATATTGACAGTGGGGTGTTAAAGTCTCCCATTATTATTGTGTGGGAGTCTAAGTCTCTTTGTAGGTCTATAAGGACTTGCTTTATGAATCTGGGTGCTCTTGTATTGGGTGCATATATATTTAGGATAATTAGCTCTTCTTGTTGAATTGATCCCTTTACCATTGTGTAATGGCCTTCTTTGTCTCTTTTGATCTTTGTTGGTTTAAAGTCTGTTTTATCAGAGACTAGGATTGCAATGCCTGCTTTTTTTTGCTTTCCATTTGCTTGGTAGATCTTCCTCCATCCCTTTATTTTGAGTCTATGTGCACCTTTGCACAAGAGATGGGTTTCCTGAATACAGCACACTGATGGGTCTTGACTCTTTATCCAATTTGCCAGTCTGTGTCTTTTAATTGGGGCATTTAGCCCATTTACTTTTAAGGTTAATATTGTTATGTGTGAATTTGATGCTGTCATTATGATGCTCGCTGATTACTTTGCCCGTTAATTGATGCAGTTTCTTCATGGCATCAATGGTCTTTACAATTTGGCATGTTTTTGCAGTGGCTGGTACCAGTTGTTTCTTTCCATGTTTAGTGCTTCCTTCAGGAGATCTTATAAGGCAGGCCTGGTGGTGACAAAACCTCTCAGCATTTGCTTGTCTGTAAAGGATTTTATTTCTCCTTCACTTATGAAGCTTAGTTTGACTGGATATGAAATTCTGGATTGAAAATTATTTTCTTTAAGAATGTTGAATATTGGGCCCCACTCTCTTCTGGCTTGTAGGGTTTCTGCTGAGAGATCTGCTGTTAGTCTGATGGGCTTCCCTTTGTGGGTAACTCGACCTTTCCCTCTGGCTGCCCTTAACAGTTTTTCCTTCATTTCAACCTTGGTGAATCTGACAATTAAGTGTCTTGGGGTTGCTCTTCTCAAGGAGTATCTTTGTGGTATTCTCTGTATTTCCCGAATTTGAATGTTGGCCTGCCTTGCTAGGTTTGGGAAGTTCTCCTGGATAATATCCTGAAGAGTGTTTTCCAGCTTGGTTCCATTCTGTCCATCATTTTCAAGTACACCAATCAAACATAGATTTGGTCTTTTCACATAGTCCCATATTTCTTGGAGGCTTTTTTCATTTCTTTTTACTCTTTTTTCTCTAACCTTGTCTTCTTGCTTTATTTCATTAATTTGATCTTCAATCACTGATATCCTTTCTTCCACTTGATTAAATCGGCTATTGAAGCTTGTGCATGTGTCACGAAGTTCTTGTGCCATGGTTTTCAGCTCCATCAGGTCATTTAAGGTCTTCTCTGCACTGTTTATTCTAGTTAGCCATTCGTCTAATCTTTTTCAAGGCTTTTAGCTTCTTTGTGATGGGTTCAAACATCCTCCTTTGCTTGGAAAAGTTTGTTATTACCGACCTTCTGAAGCGTACTTCTATCAACTTGTCAAAGTCATTCTCCATCCAGCTTTGTTCCATTGCTGGTGAGGAGCTGCAATCCTTTGGAGGAGAAGAGGTGCTCTGATTTTTAGAATTTTCAGCTTTTCTGCTCTGGTTTCTCCCCATCTTTGTGGTTTTATCTACCTTTGGTCTTTGATTTTGGTGATCTACAGATGGGGTTTTGGTGTAGATGATCTTTTTGTTGATGTTGATGCTATTCCTTTCTGATTGTTAGTTTTCCTTCTAATAGTCAGGTCCCTTAGCTGCAGGTCTGTTGGAGTTTGCTGGAGTTCCACTCCAGACGCTGTTTGCCTGGGTATCACCAGCAGAGGCTGCAGAACAGCAAATATTGCAGAACGCAAAATATTGCTGCCTGATTCTTCCTCTGGAAGCTTCGTCCCAGATGGGCTGCCGCCTATATGAGGTGTCTGTCAGACCCTACTGGGAGGTGTCTCCCAGTTAGGCTACACAGGGGTCAGGGACCCACTTGAGGAAGCAGTCTGTCCATTCTCAAAGCTCAAACGCTGTGCTGGGAGAATGACTGCTCTCTTCAGAGCTGTCAGACAGGGACTTACTTTTAAGTCTGCAGAAGTTGTTTGCTGCCTTTTGTTCAGTTATGCCCTGCCCACAGAGGTGGAGTCTAGAGGCAGTAGGCCTTGTTGAGCTGCTGTGGGCTCCGTCCAGTTCGAGCTTCCTGGCCGCTTTGTTTACCTACTCAAGCCTCAGCAATGGTGGACACCCCTCCCCCAGCCAGGCTGCCACCTCATAGATCGATCTCAGACTGCTGCACTAGCAGTGAGCAAGGGTTCCATGGGTGTGGGACCTGCCGAGCCAGGCATGGGAGAGACTCACCTTGTCTGCCAGTTGCTAAGACCTTGGTAAAAGCACAGTATTTGGGTGGGGAGTGTCCCGTTTTTCCAGGTAGTCTGTCATGGCTTCCCTTGGCTAGGAAAGGGAAATCCCCTGAACCCTCGTGCTTCCCTGGTGAGGCAATGCCCCACCCTGCTTCAGCTTGCGCTTCGTGGGCTGCACCAACTGTCCAACCAGTCCCAATGAGATGAACCAGGTACCTCAGTTGGAAATGCAGAAAACCAAGTGGTGATTTTCCAATGTCATCATCATTTATTGATTGATATTTTACAGTAATAAATATATTTTCATTCTCTGATTTATTCCTTTTTTATTCATTAGTTTCTATTAGTATGGACTTATAGAATCATCTTCTTCAACAGATGATGATCCATTGCTAACATTATTGATTTGGTTGTTCAAATTGTTCCAGGCTTTGCCAATGAAGTCCCTTAAAACTGGCTATGTATCTTTTTGAAATGTCACCCTGAATCTTTGAGCTATTTCTAACTTTCCTGAACAGTAAGATATTCTGGACTTGTGTTGTACTTTGCCAGTTCCAGTCTTGGAATGAGCTTATTTATCAAAGGAGCTCTGTTTCTTTTTGATGAATAGTATATTTAGAAATGAAGATCTTGGCACTAGGTGTGCTCATTGTTGCTGGGGTGTCATTGCTTTAGCCTGTAGTGGACAGAGCTAAAAAGTAAATACATAAAGATAAACAGGCTGATAATATGTATCATGAGTTTTTTACTGATTCTTTCAATTCCAACATCTAATTACACTTAAATAACATAGGATTCATTCCACATTTTCTTATCCATATTTATAATTGCCTTTTCCAACAGTGAGAAACCTGGTTCCCATTGTCCTCATCTATTTACTTATTGCTTAATCCTAGGATACACTAGAATGCACAGAAAGTAATTTTGGAAATGCTAACCCATGCAAAACTTCCTACCCTAAAGTTCAATCTTTCTTTATAATTTTTGTCTTTAGTCTGAAGATATAGTCAAAATATTGTATTCAAAAATTACTTGAGTTAATATTTTTCTCCTTCAATGGGGTTCTTACATATAGATAAGTCTGTTTGTCTCATTTTGTGTACTTTTCAGGTTTTCTTTTCACATCTTTATTTTATTTATTGTTTATGCAAAATATTAATATAGCTCCAAACATCTGAATTACATAAAAAGGAAGACTCAAAAAGTATAACTCTTCACTGTTCACCCCCCACCTCACCACACACATCATCTTTTCTACCCTGTTCCTCATGATCTTCTGTAAATAAACAGTTTTGCAGTTGGGAATTTATCAACTTCATCTCTATTTTCAGATTCTTTTCATAGAGAGCTGCAAAATAATCTTTTGTATTCTTAAAAACTTCTGTTTCAATATTATTTCCCCCATCATTTCATATTTTGTACATTTTTCCTTTCTCCCCCCTTGTTCTTATTTAAACTAGCTAATGCTTCATCTATTTTGTTCATTTTTTAAAAAATCAAAATTTTGATTAACTAGATGTACTGTTTTCTATTCTCTACTTCATTTAATTTATGCTTTTGTTTTTACTTTTTTCTTAGTTTTGCTCTCATGTAGTTTACTTTGTTGTTCTTTTTCTAATTTTGGAGTTGAAATTTTAATTTGTTGTTATTCTTTTATGTTTATTGGTATATTTAAGGCAACGGATTTTCCTCTAATGATCTTAAATGTATACTGTAGATTCTAATATAGAGTGTTTTTAGTATCATTAATTTTTAGAAGTTATTTGATTTCTGTTTATATTTTCCCTTTTGCCCAATAGTTATTTCATAGGAGCTTTTTTTTTTTTTTTTTTTTTTTCCAAATTTCCAGAGGTCAGGGAAAAGACCCTTTATTTTCTGATTAATTTCTAATTTTATCACCTTGTGATCAGAGAGTGTTATAATATTTATACAATACAAACATCCTGAATCTTTCTTTATAACCTAATATGTCTTCAACTTTGCTCGGTGCTGCATATATGTTTAAGAAAAGCTGTTTTCTCTTTTATAAGAATATACTGTTCATATATAAATAGAAGATCTACTTTATTGATTGTGTCATGTAGGTCTCCTATGGCCTTTTTTATTTTTTTGTTTAATCTGCCTTGTACTAAGAACGCCTATTATGTTCTCCACTCTTAGCACATTTCTATGTCTCATTGCATCTCCTGTAGTTTCTGCTTTATAAAGGTGGTTATTGTATTACTTGGTGCATAGATGTTTATAACTATTATATATTCTTTGTGAATTGTGGCTTTTAGCATTAAAAAGTGTCATTTTTAGTCAGGTATAATGTTTTTGGCTTGAATTATACTTTGCTGACATCATGATTGCAACCCCTGCATTTTTTCTGGCAGAATTTTGCCTATCTCTTTATCTTTAGTCTTTTTGTGCCACTGATTATTTTGAGGTAAGATGTGTTTTTTGTATGCCAGAGCTGTATCTTGTTTTGTGAGCCATGTTTAAAATATTTTTAATAAGTCAGTTAAGCCCATTCACATTTAGAATGACTGCTATATTTGATCTCAACTGTGTCATATTAATTTTGTTATAACTGTACTGTGTATGATATTTTCTCTTTTTGATGTGATGTTTTCCTTATGCTTTAAAAAATATTATTTTTATTTAATAACATTATTTGTAGCTTTGCACTTAAAATTTTACTGTCTAGTTTATCAGCTTTTTAATCAGTCAGTTATATGAGTCCCATCTATTAAATTTTAGCGGTCTAAAATATCAGCATTCCTTTTCAGCTTTTTAAAACTTGTTTTTTAAAAAATATTTAAAATGGATTTTTAAAATGGCTTTAATTCAGTCTTGTTTTTCCTCTTCTGTATTCTATGTGGCTTTTTAAAGATCTTACCTTGTTCTCTGCAAGTCTGGGGGTACAAACTTAAGAAAATAGCCCCACTAGAAAATGATGCTTATGTTTAGTATTTAGGAGGTATGAAGTTATAGTGCATTCTGTTTTCCTATTATGTTGAGAAAGTATGCAAGGTGTGACATTTTTGTCTTTCAAGGTGTGAAAGACAATTTTATTTGCCTTTCTTATTGATTTCTATTGTTTTTGGAGGTAGTGTGGACCACCTGGACCTTGGCTTTTCCAGATGTTCCATCTGTAAAGTTATAAAAGATGGCAGGCTATTGTCCCTGGTCCCTGGATGCTTAGCTACTCTAGTAGAGAGTTGGGGTCAGATAATCCATTTCTCCATATTACTCTGAGGCAAAATTCCATACCCCTTGAGATCATCAATACAATGACTATTCTCCTCCAGACCAGATAAGAAATGAATCCAATTTCTTAGGGACCCATATTCATAGACTGAACTATGCCACCGCTCTTAATTCACTTGTCTTGGGGATTCTCCTAATTCTCAGGAAGATGGGAGGAGACATTGTAATATCCTTACTTTTACTTCACCCATCCATGTGATTTTGTTTCTTATAAGAGCCACCATCCTCAGAAGTTCCTCTTTCGGCATTAAGAAGTCAGTTCTTAACTAGACCAATAAAATCATTCATCATTTCTAGTTAGGCAAGTGTCACATTTCAATAAAATGAAACAAGCATTTCTTTGACTTTCAAAATGATAAAATCTTTCTCACTGTGGGTACCGAAGTATAAGCAGGTGGTCCTAAAGGCTTTTCATAATCTATTCTTGCCTAACATTACACTAGATCCATTATTTCTTTAGAGTAAAAGTGTAGAATTCAGATGATTTTATGCAAATATTTTTATAATTTGGCAGAGGATTCACCCAGATTCTGTCAACTCTATTCATTCTTTCCTGCAGGTTGCAGTTCCAGAGTTCTCTGTTTGCAACTTTGGATCAATAGACAGAATATTCTTTTTGAAAGTTGGAATTCACGTGCATAAATCCCTAGAGGGGGAATAACACTCTAAGTGTGCTCAATTGTCTCTATTGTACTTTTGCTTTCATATCTGGGCCATTACAGACCCATTTGATGTACTTTAAAAGCCAGTGCAGATGGATAGAATTCATGGGATAATGAATATTCATCCTCAAAAACCAAACCAGGAATCTATGCAGTCATGATACTGTTATGCAAGCATCACCTGTCAAATAGCCCATTCATTCCATTTGCTTTTCCATGTGTAAGGAAATGCTCTGTTTCTCAGGATCTCAATCTCTCTCTTTCTGTCTCTGTCCATATCATGATCGCTCATGTTCTCTCTCCCTCACCCTCCCTTCTGATCCCCTCTTTCTTTCTCTACCTCTTTAATTTTCTCTCCCTCTGCGTATTTTAATGTAGTTTTAAGATCAGCTCAATGTTATGATAACGTTTTGTAAACGTGTGGACTTTCATAAGGATTGTAAAGCAATTTTCAGACTTTACCTTACACTTGTAAGTGGGAACTGAACAATGAGAACACATGGACACAGAGAAGGCAATAGGAAGGGCATTCTCACTTCCTGATAAGCTTTCTACATAATGAAAACAACAATGAAAAGAGACGGGGGAAATACATAGAACTTAACAAGTCACTTGAAATCAAACAAAATTTCAAAAATTTACAAATAAAATTCCATTTTTGTATTAAATAAGCTGCCTCTATTGGAAAAAAGTACGATTAGAAAGAAAATACAGAAGTCCAAAATAAGTGTTCGGCAATGTTAGCAATTTCAAAAATTATTTAAAAAGTAATAAACTATGATTTGTTTATCACATTAATGAAATGCTAATATTGTTGAAGACAGCTGGAGAAACAAGCCCTCTCACACGTGGCTAGTGGGCAGGCAAATGTCCCAGGCCACTCTGGCGGGTAAGCGGCAGCACACATCAAACAGCCAAGCCATGCTTCATAGGGCTGGACCAAGTAATTCCATTGCTAGTCTTTCATCTTAAAGAAATAATTGTGAATACGAACAAAGAATTAGCTAATAGGATGTTTATGACATATTAGTATTGACAGCAACGAATAAGTAAGCAAGTAGACAGAATAATCTAAAGCCCCCCAAAGGAAAATAAATAGCCATGCACATTGTACCTTTTTTCTACCCAGTGCCAATTCTGTTCCCCCAAGGATCCAGGTGATAACGTTCCCATCTGTCTCTGCACCAACACCAGCACCCCTGCTTAGAGATTTCCACTTGTCAACTGTCAGCCACTCTTCCATCAGCCACCATGTTCAAACCACTATTCACGAAGCCACCTCTGCTCCAGCCACAGGAAAGTAAACAAATGGGACAGCACCCTCCCGTCAGCCCCATCCCCTCAGTCACCACTGACTCTAAACTCACCCAGGCCATATGAAATTGCTTATATTCAACTGTTTTTGACCCCAAAAATCAACAGTTTCATAAGGTTCAGCCTAACGTAAAATTCCACCATTCTGTCTTCACTTCCCATTAGACATCCCTGGCTGGGTTGTCAGTACATTTGATTGACACTAATATTTTACTTCAATGGGAGGCATTCACTCTGCTGGCAACTCCTCAGCACCTAGCACGAAACCAGAAGCAAAGCGCTCAATAAATACCAGCTCCAAGATTGACAGAAGTAATTGTAAGGATCACCAAGAATGTGGACGAAGAGCCGAAAATGAGACTTGGTGTGCCAAGATCTGACCAAAAGTAGGTGCTGCTGGAGAGTAGTTGCTGGGGAATAAGGGGCAGAATTGTTCAATAAGGAGTGATGGAAGAACTAAGATGCTGGGACAAGGAATTTAGACTGGATAGACTGTTTTAACACAGGAAGAAATACAAGAAAAAAGTGTTTCATTACTTTTTGGTACAAAGTTAATGAGATTAGAGCAGAGATTCTCAGCGTAAAGATTTGGGAGTCTTTGAGAGGCTGGTGAGTGTAGGTTTGGAGAAAGCTTCAGTGTGAATGGCAATTCCCAGAAAATCTGCACAGATGGTTCATGGCTTGAAAATTATATTGCTAAGGAACCAGAAGAAAAGACTCCAAGAAACTGGGGTTCTGGTGGTGCCACTGATGTAAATGGGAAGTTTGGGGTAGGAAGGCTATTTTATAGGATTTGATGAAGCTTCCTGCTAACCCAGGTGTGAGGCTCAGTTTTCTGTGTCAACTCGGCTAGGTTCTACTACCCAGTTAAAAATCAAACACTAATCTATGTGTTAATGTGATTGTGATTGTCAGCTACAGTTTATTGACTTTAGGTAAGGGTTACCCTACACAATCTAGGAGGGCTATACCCAATCAACTGAAAGGCTTTAAGAGCAGAACCGAGGTTTCCCTGAGGCAGAGAAAAATCCCATCTGTGGACTGTGGCTTCAGTTCCTCCTGAGAGCTGTTGCCTATCCTTGTTGACGACCTGCCCTGTAGATTTCAGTCTTGTATAATACCATAAGCCACACAATAATCTCTCTATATATCCATCTATCTAATCTTCCTATCAACTATCTCTATTTATATATATTTATCATCTATCTATATCTATCATCTATCTGTATCTTCTATCATCTATCTATATCTTCTATTATCTATCATCTACCTATTATCTATAATTATCTATATCTTCTATTCTCTATCATCTATCTCTATCACTTATCTTTATCTATCATCTATTATATATCATCTATCTTTTATTATCTATCTTTATCTATCTATATCTATCCTCTATTATCTATCACCTATCTCTATCTGTCTATCATCTACCTATCACCTATCTATATCTGTCATCTAACTATCTCTATCATCTAGCAATACCTATATGTGTCTATTATCTGTCACCTATCTATATCTCTATCTATCTCTATCATCCATTCTGCTGGTTCTCTTTTCCTGGTGGAACCTTAACTGACACACCAGGTCAAGTTATTCTGGACAAATTCTCAGTCCTTCTCTTTTACCAAGGAAACACCATGTTGCTCCCCTCCCCAGATCACTGGTGGTTCTCTGCGTGATTGTAAGTGAAGCCCCTTCCCACACCCACTGCTCTGCCTGGAAAAGAATGAGCTTCTCTGTTTTATAAGACTCTCTGGAGAAGGACACAGAGCTCCTGGGATGTGGGATTCCATACCCTGCTCCCCCTATCCTTGTTTCTCAGAACCGCCTTCAGCCCATAGCCCCCCATAGCCCCCCATAGCCCATCACTCCCCACTCGCCCCCACAACCCTCACCAGCAGCCCTCACTTGCAGCCCGCTCCTCCTGCCAGATAGCTCACCAGGGCTATCACAGTTGTGCAGACAGGCCTGCACCACTGCCCTTGCCCAGCTTCCAATGTGCCCCACTGTTGTGCATCTCTCTCTTGTCTGTCTCCCAGGTTTCTAGCATTTCCTGAAGTTACTGCCTCCTTGCCTTGGGAAGAGAGGGTTGGCATTTCAGTAGCTTCTTTCTGCTTTTAGTTGGAAGGAAAGCCCCTAAACCTGTGGTTTTCAGCCCCTCCAGCACATTCAAATCACCTCTAAATCTTTTCTAAAGCGCTGATGACAGGAGCCTCCCTCAGGAACAATCCAATCAGAATTTCTGGGGATGGAGTCCTGGCACAGGAGATCTCTCAAAGCTACCTGAGCAATTTTAATGGTCACTAATATAAACACTTTTCTTTTCTTTCTTTTTTTTAATTAAATTTAATTTAATTTTAAGTTCCAGGATACATGTGCAGGTTTGTTACATAGGTAAACGTGTGCCATGGTGGTTTGCACACCTATCAACCCATCACCTAGGTATTAAGCCCCACATGCATTAGCTATTTTTCCTGATGCTCTCCCTCCCCCAAACCCTCACTCACTCCATCCTGACAGGCCCCAATGTGTGTTGTTGCCCTCCCTATGTCCATGTGTTCTCGTTGTTCAGCTCCCACCTACAAGTGAGAATATGCAATGTTTGGTTTTCTGTTCCTGCATTAGTTTGCTGAGGATAATAGCTTTGAGCTCCAGCCATGTCCCTGAAAAGGCTTTTTATGGCTGCATAATATTCTATGGTATATATGTACTACATTTTCTTTATCCAGTCTATCATCGATGGGCATTTGGGTTGATTTCATGTCTTTGTTATTGTGAATAGTGCTGCAATGAATGTCACTGTGCATGTATCTTTATAATAGAATGATTTATATTCCTTTGGGCATATACCCAGTAATGGGATTGCTGGGTCAAATGGTATTTCTGGTTCCAGGTCTTTGAGGAATCACTACACCGTCTTCCACAATGGTTGAGCTAATTTAGATTTCCACTCACAGTGTAAAAGCATTCCTGTTTCTCCACAGCCTCACCAATATCTGTTCTTTCTTGACTTTTTAATAATTGCCATTCTGACTGGCATGATATGGTATCTCATTGTGATTTTGATTTGCATTTCTCTAATGATCAGTGATGTTGAGCTTTTTTTCTTATGTTTGCTGGCCACATAAATGACTTCTTTTGAAAAGTGTCTGTTTATGTCCTTTGCCCACTTTTTCATGGGGTTGTTTGTTTTTTTCTTGTAAATTTGTTTAAGTTCCTTGTAGATTCTAGATATTAGACCTTTGTCAGATGGATAGATTGCAAACATTTTCTCCCATTATGTAGGTTGTCTGTTCACTCTGATGCTTGTTTCTTTTGCTGTGCTGAAGCTCTTTAGTTTAATTAGATCCCATTTGTCAATGTTTGCTTTTGTTGCAATTGCTTTTGACATTTTCATCATGAAATCTTTTCCTGTGCCTATGTCCTGAAGAGGGTATTGCCTAGATTTTCTTCTAGGGTTTTTATAGTTTTGGGTTTTACATTTAAGTCTTTAATCCATGTTGAGTTAATTTTTGTATAAGGTGAAAAGAAGGAGTCCAGTTTCAATGTTCTGCATATGGCCAGCCAGTTATCCCAGCACCATTTATTTAATCGAGAATCCTTTCCCCATTGCTTTTGTCAGGTTTGTTGAAGACCAGATGGTTGTAGATGTGCAGTCTTATTTCTGAGATTTCCATTCTGTTTCATTGGTCTATGCATCTGTTCTTATATCAGTACTATGCTGTTTTGGTTACCGTAGCCTTGTAGTATAGTTTGAAGTCTGGTAGTGTGATGCCTCCAGCTTTGCTCTTTTTGCTTAGGATTGTCTTGACTATACAGGCTCCTTTTTTGTTCCATATGAATTTCAAAATAGTTTTTTTCTAGTACTGTGAAGAGTGTCAATGGTAGTTTAATGAGAATAGCATTGAATCTATGAATTGCCTTGGGCGTCATGGCCATTTTCAAGATACTGATTCTTCCTATCCATGAGCATGGAATGTTTTTCCATTTGTTTGTGTCCCCTCTGATTTCTTTATTATTATTATTATTATTATTATAATACTTTAAGTTTTAGGGTACATGTACACAATGTGCAGGTTAGTTACATATGTATACATGTGCCATGCTGGTGTGCTGCACCCATTAACTCGTCATTTAGCATTAGGTATATCTCCTAATGCTATCCCTCCCCCCTTCCCCCACCCCACAACAGTCCCCAGAGTGTGATGTTCCCCTTCCTGTATCCATGTGTCCTCATTGTTCAATTCCCATCTATGAGTGAGAACATGTGATGTTTGGTTTTTTGTCCTTGCGATAGTTTGCTGAGAATGATGATTTCCAATTTCATCCATGTCCCTACAAAGGACATGAACTCATCATTTTTTATGGCTGCATAGTATTCCATGGTGTATATGTGCCACATTTTCTTAATCCAGTCTATCATTGTTGGACATTTGGGTTGGTTCCAAGTCTTTGGTATTGTGAATAGTGCCACAATAAACATACGTGTGCATGTGTCTTTATAGCAGCATGATTTATAGTCTTTTGGGTATATACCCAGTAATGGGATGGCTGGGTCAAATGGTATTTCTAGTTCTAGATCCCTGAGGAATCGCCACACTGATGTCCACAATGGTTGAACTAGTTTACAGTCCCACCAACCGTGTAAAAGTGTTCCTATTTCTCCACATCCTCTCCAGCACCTGTTGTTTCCTGACTTTTTAATGATTGCCATTCTAACTGGCGTGAGATGGTATCTCATTGTCGTTTTGATTTGCATTTCTCTGATGGCCAGTGATGGTGAACATTTTTTCATGTGTCTTTTGGCTGCATAAATGTCTTCTTTTGAGAAGTGTCTGTTCATATCCTTTGCCCACTTTTTGATGGGGTTGTTTGTTTTTTTCTCATAAATTTGTTTGAGTTCATTGTAGATTCTGGATATTAGCCCTTTGTCAGATGAGTAGGTTGCGAAAATTTTATCCCATTTTGTAGGTTGCCTGTTCACTCTGATGCAAATGGGATCTAATTAAACTAAAGAGCTTCTGCACAGCAAAAGAAATTACCATCAGAGTGTCCTCTCTGATTTCTTTGAGCAGTGGTTTGTAGTTCTCCTTGTAGAAGTCCTTCACTTCCCTTGTTAGCTGTATTCCTAGGTATTTTATTCTCTTTGTGGCAATTGTGAATGGGAGTTCATTTGTGACTTGGCTCTCTGCTTGTCTATTGTTGGTGTATAGGAATGCTTGTGAGTTTTGCCCCTTGACTTTGTATACTGAGAGTTTGCTGAAGTTGCTTATCAGCTTAAGAAGCTTTTGAGCTGAGATGATAGGGTTTTCTAGATATAGGATCATGTCATCCACAAACAGAGACACTTTGACTTCCTCTCTTCCTATTTGAATACGCTTTATTTCTTTATCTTGCCTAATTGTCCTGGCCAGAACTTCCAATACTACGTTGAATAAGAGTAGTGAGAGAAGGCATCCTTGTCTTATGCCAGTTTTCAAGGGGAATGCTTCCAGCTTTTGCCCAATCAGTATGATATTGACTCTGCGTTTGTCATAAATGCTTCTTATTATTTTGAGGTATGTTCCATCAATACTAGTTTATTAAGAGTTTTTAACATAAAGGGATGTTGAATTTTATTGAAGGCCTTCCTGCATCTATTGAGATAATCATGTCGTTTTTGTCTTCAGTTCTGTTTATGTGATGAATTACGTTTACTGATTTGTGTATGTTGAACCAGCCTTGCATCCCATGGATGAAACAGACCTGATTGTGGCAGATAAACTTTTGATGTGCTGCTGGATTCGGTTTGTCAGCATTTTATTGAGGATTTTTGCATTGATGTTCATCAAGCATATTGGCTGGAAGTATTCCTTTTTTGTTGTGTCTCTGCCAGGTTTTAGTATCAGGATGATGCTGGCCCCATAAAATGAGTTAGGGAGGAGTCCCTCCTTTTTAATTGTTTGGAGTAGTTTCAGAAGAAATAGTACCAGTTCCTCTTTGTACCTCTGGAAAAATTCAGCTATATTCTGGTAGAATTTGTCTAGTCCTGGGCTTTTTGTTGTTATTGTTGTTGTTGTTAGGCTTTTTATTAATGTCTCAATTTCAGAACTTGTTAATGGTCTATTCAGGGATTCTACTTCTTTCTGTTTCAGTCTTGGGAGGATGTATGTGTCCAGGAATGTATCCATTTCTTTTATATTTGCTAGTGTATTTGCATACAGGTATTTATAGTATTCTCTGATGGTTGTTTGTATTTCTGTGAGGTCAGTGGTGATATCCCCTTTATCATTTTTATTGTGTCTATTTGATTCTTCTCTCTTTTCTTCTTTATTAATCTAGCTGGAAGTCTATTTTATTTATTTTTTCCAAAAAAAAAAAAAACCCAGCTCCTGAATTCACTGATTTTTTTGATGGTTTTTCTCTATCTCCTTCAGTTCCACTCTGATCTTGTTTATTTCTTGTCTTCTGCTAGCTGTGGGGTTTGTTTGCTCTTGATTCTCTAGTTCTTTTAGTTGTGATGTTAGGACGTCAATTTGAGATCTTTCTAGCCTTTTGATGTGAGCATTTAGTGCTATAAATTTCCCTCTTAACACCAATTTAACTGTATCCCAGAGATTCTGGTATGTTGTCTCTTTGTTCTCATTGGTTTCGAAGAACTTCTTGATTTGTCCCTTAATTTCATTATTTACCCAGGAGTCATTCAGGAGCAGGTTGTTCAATTTCCATGTAGTTGTGTGGTTTTGAGTGAGTTTCTTAATCTTGAGTTCTAATTTGATTGCGCTGTGGTCTAAGAGGGTGTTTGTTATTATTTCAGTTCTTTTGCATTTTCTGAGGAGTATTTTACTTCCAAATATGTGATCAATTTTAGAGTAAGTGCCATGTGGCACCAAGAAGAATGTACATTCTGTTGTTTTAGGGTGGAGAGTTCTATATTTATCTATCAGTTTCACTTGATCCAGAGCTAAGTTCAAGTCCTGAATATCCTTGTTAATCTTTAGTCTTGATGATCTTTCTAATATTGATGGTGGGGTGTTAAACTCTCCCACTATTATGTGTGGGAGTTGAAGTCTCTTTGTAGGTATCTAAGAACTTGTTTTATGAATCTGGGTGCTCCTGTATTAGGTCCATTAATATTTAGGATAGTTAGCTCTTCTTGTTGAATTGAACCCTTTACCATCACATAATGCCCTTCTTTGTCTTTTTTGATCTTTGTTGTTTTGAAGTCTATTTCATCAGAAACTAGGATTGCAACCCCTGTTCTTTTCTAATTTCCACTTTCTTGGTAAATTTTCCTCCATCCCTTTATTTTGACCGTATGTGTGTCTTTGCACATGAGATAGGTCTCTTCAATACAGCATATGATACATCTTAGTTCTTCAGCTTGCAATTCTGTGTCTTTTAATTGGGGCATTTAACCCATTTACATTTAAGGTTAGTATTGTTATGTGTGAATTTGATCCCGTCATCATGATGCTAGCTGGTTATTTTGCAGACTCATTGATGTAGTTTCATCATAGTGTCATTGGTCTTTGTATTTCAGTGTGCTTTGTAGTGGCTGGTGATGGTTTTTTCTTTTCATATTTAGTGTTTCCTTCAGAAGCTCTTGCAAGGCAGCCCTGATGGTGACAAATTCCCTCAGCATTTGCTTGCTTGAAGAAGATTTTATTTCTCCTTCATTTATGAAGCTTAGTTTGGCCAGATATGAAATTCTGATTTGGAAATTCTTTTCTTTAAGAATGCTGAATATCGGCCCCCAATCTCTTCTGGCTTATAGGGTTTCTGCTGAGAGGTCTGCTGTTAGTCTGATGGGCTTCTCTTTTCAGGTGACCTGGCCTTTTTCTCTGGCTGCACTTAACATTTTTTCCTTCATTTCAACCTTGGAGAATCTGATGATTACGTGTCTTGCGGTTGATATTCTCATGGAGTATCTTACTGGGGTTCTATAGATTTCCTGAATTTGAATGTTGGCTTGTCTTGGAAGGTTGGGGAAGTTATCTTGGATGATATCCTGAAGTATGTTTTCCAACTTGGTTCCATGCTTTTCGTCTCTTTCAGGTACCCCAATCAGTCGTAGGTTCAGTCTTTTTACATAATCCTGTAGTTCTCAGAGGTTTTGTTCATTCCTTTTCATTCTTTTTTCTCTAATCTTGTCTGCCTATCTTATTTCAGCAAGACAGTCTTCAAGCTCTGAAATTCTTTCCTCCACTTGGTCTATTGGGCTATTGATACTTGTGGTTGCATTGTGAAGTTCTTGTGTTGTGTTTTTCAGCTCCATCAGGTAATTTATATTCCTCTCTCTAAACTGGTTATTCTGGTTCACAGCTACTGTAATATTTTATCATGGTTCTTAGCTTATTTGCATTGGGTTAGAACATGCTCCTTTAGCTCAGCAAAGTTCGTTATTACCCACTTTCCGAAGCCTACTTCTGTCAATTCATTCATCTCAGCCTCCACCCAGTTCTGTGCCCTTGCCGGAGAGGTGTTGTGATCATTTAGAGGAGAAGAGGCACTCTGGCTTTTTGAGTTTTCAGTGGTTTTCATTGATTCCTTCTCATCTTCATGAATTTATCTAGCTTCGATCTTTGAGGCTGCTGCCCTTTGGATGGGGTTTTGTGGAGACTTCTTTTGTTGATGCTGTTGTTGTCGTTGCTTTCTGTTTATTTGTTTTTCCTTTAACAGTCAGGCCTCTCTTCTGTAGGGCTGCTGCAGTTTGCTGGAAATCCACTCCAGACCCTATTCGCCTGGGTCCCTCCCACACCTAGAGATGTCACCAGTGGAGGCTGCAGAACAGCAAAGATGGCTGCCTGCTCTTTCTTCAGGGAGCTGCCTTCCAAAAGGGCGCCAGACCTATCCCAGTGGGAAGGCTCCCGTATAAGGTGCCTGGCAACCCCTGTTGTGGGTTCTCACTTAGTCAGGAGGCACAGAATCCAGGACCCACTTAACAAAACACTCTGGCTGCCCCTTAGCAGAGGGGGTGTGCTGCGCTGGGGGGAGTCCCGCTTGTCTGAACTCCCCAGATTCTTCAGAGCCAGCAGGGGGAAAGACTAAATCTGCTGATCTGCCGAGAGTGTGGCCCCCTCCCCACAGGAGCTCAGTCCCAGGGAGATCAGAATTCTGTCCGTAAACCCCTGGCTGGGGTAGCTGAAATTCCTGCAGGGAGGCCCCGCCCAGCGAGGAGGGCTGGGTCACAGTCCAGCCTAAAGAGGCAGTCTGGCCATGATCTGCCACAGCCACTGTGCTGTGCTGTGGGGAATTCCTCCTGGGTCCAAACTGCTCAGTCTCCCCAGAAGAAGCAGGGAATAATGGCAGACTGTAGCTGTAGTGAAGGCCACCGCCCTTCCCTCCAGGAACTTGTAGTCTTAAGCAGTCTCCAGCCTAGTGGCAGCAGAGAATTTGCACAGCTCTGTGCTTGGGACCCAAGGCCCTGGTGGCATGGGCTCATGAGGGGGATTTCCTGATCTGTGGGTTGCACAGATTTATGGAAAAAGAGTGGTTTCCCAGGTGGGGTAGCACAATCACCCAATGCTTCTCTTGGCTGAGGGTGGGGGCTCCCCTTGCCCCATATGACTACCAGGTGGGCATGGCTCCACCCTGCTTTTCCTCGCTTTCCATGAGTTGCACCAACCGCATAGTCAGTCCCAGGATTCCTCAGTTGCTGGTTCAGGATTCGCTCGCCATTTTCATTCTTCTCAGTGAGAGCCTCTGACTGCAGCTGTTTCTACTAGGCCATCTTAGCCCCTATGCTCAAGAACCACTTTTCTAAATCAAATATTTATAGTTGTGTGAAAGGAAAATAAATCTCAGACCCCAAAATCACTAAATCAAGAGGAAAGTCAAGCTGGAAACTACATCAGGCAAACCTGCCTCCCAATTTATTCCTAAGTAAGATAGCTACAAATATATATATATATTTTTTAAAGCTACATATCTCCCTCGCAATTTACCCACAAGGAAACTCATGTGGGCCTCGAGACCTTCATCCCTAAAACAGTTCTGTTGAATTTCACCCTGGCAATGTAAACTGACAGCTTATCTTCACAGATGCAGGACAGAAAGTCATCCCTCTGCTCACCTGAGACAAATGCATATCTGATTGCTTCCTCTGCCCTATTGTTTATGTGAAAATACAGATTCACCGAGCCAGGCTAAACTGTGTATTCAGGGAAAGGCTGATCAAGGACTCAAAAGAATGTGACCTGGCACTGCCCTGGCCCTGTCCCACCTTTCCAGACAGAACCAATGTACATATTACGCATATTGATTGATATTTCATGTTTCTCTAAAATGTATTCAAGCAAGCTGTACCCCAGACACCCTGGGCACATGTCGTCAGAAATTCCTGGGGCTGTGTCGTGGGCACGTCCTTAACCTTGGCAAAATAAACTTTATAAATTGATTGAGACCTCTCTCAGATATCCTGGGTTCACAGTTGGTACTAACTATTCTCTTCTACCCACATCCTTCTGATGTGTACCCGTCTGATTTCTTTGGTTGCTTATCCAAGTGACCTTAGGTTCTTGGCTGACACATTCCCCGAGCAACACACCTCTCTATGGAGACATACAAGGCGTCAATAATAGACAAATTCTCTTTGTGGAATTCTTGCCCTAGCATTTCACAGCGAGAGATGCCCTCCCGTACCTCCATCACAACAGAGGAATCTGGAGTTCTGTGGCTGCCCACCCAGTTATCATAGGGACCCCGGAAGAACTCAACTAGCTGTCTCCAAATATAGTGAAACCTGGCATGTCCAAGCCAGCCAAAAAGGAGAGACAGAAACAAAGAAATGCTTAGAATATCTTGGGCTCTGCCAGGCATTTGATGTCTCCCATGATGTTTTTAAAACTATACTTAAACATCACCCCCTACTTCTGTCTTTTCTGTTCTCCAGCAAAACAAACCCTATATTCTTAGGAGATCCAGGGTCTTTGTAGGCTTTATAAAGGTGGGTAGGCCATGTGACCTTAAGGGGGCTCCATGTTCAGAGACGTGTTGAAAATGGTTGTGTTGAATTTATACTCAAGTCTCTGCTGTGGCTGCCTCACAGTAGGCAGACCATAATATTGCCTTCCCCTCTGATCTGGTTCCAGTGCCCTTGATTTTAAACTCAAGGCTTCCTCCCTTCACTCTGGACTCTGTAACAGAAAGCACAACAGTTCTTCAGTTACACAGACCTCCATGCCACCCCTTCCAGGATGTGTGACTCCAGGAATAAACTTCAACTACTTTATCTGGATCCACTTCTCAAATTTTTCTGCCAAAATATCTCTGAGTGGATTACACAGGGAAGCCCAGGAGCAGAGTCTAAAACTACAACCATAACATGTCCCTAACTTGCATGTTTTATTGTTCACATGAATTTGGCTTTCTAGTCCATTTGCTTTCATAGAAAATTTTCATTGTAAATTATCTACCCACCAAGTAAAATTGAAGCTCTAGGAAGATATGCCATGATTATACTGGACTATGAATTCATACCTTTAGGGGGAGTATGCATGGTTGAAAAAAATTAGATAAAGCATACAGTTGGTGTATAATAAATGTTGGTTAGTTAACATAGGTAATTTAGACAGTGGTCCAGGAATGGCCCCCCATGGTTGCCCTTATGCTGTCATGTCCTTGGTGCATATCCTTCTAACAGGGGTCCATGAAACCCCTTCCAATCCACTAAGCCAGGGCCAGAGAAGAAGCCTGTTTGCTGTCCCTGTTCTAGGCCCTCATTGGTCACCACCACTTCTATGATCCAAGACAGGGTTCCTATTTCCTGCCTTCTCCCATCTGCAAAATTAGGAGGATGGATTAATTTGTTCTTTTGGCTCCAAATTTCTATCCTGTGCATAGAATAACCTTGTACGAGACTTTCAAGTTTTCTCCCTAGTGGAACTGCTTTAAAAATAGATAAGGATTATTTGTAATTAATTTCCAACTACTTCTATGTAAATAAATATCTGCAAAATGCTTAACTCTCTCAGGTAAATGTTTTTTCTGAAGTATCAATAGTCACTCATTTGCTGAAAAAATCTTTTCCCTTGGTCCCTGCAGGTGTAAATTCCTGCTCCAGTCACCTGTAGAAGTTACCTCCAGTTCCAAACCCATGAAAATTATGCTAAGGAGATATCCCTCTACCTGCATTCGTGACACATGTCATCAGCAAGTCACGACTCTGACTTCAGAAAATTCATGATCAATTTCACACTCTATCTGTTGCTGAGGAGGATTCAATTCATTTTAGGCAAAGCCCAAATGACACTGCATTTTGTCTTTTTTCCCGTTGCCGATGCAGGAGGATTTGGAAGAATAACATTTTAATGGCTTGGAAACTGTTCCCAACAGAATTATCAGAGAGAGAATTTTTCAAGGGTTGCATCACTAAATGACCAAACAAAGACACAGTGTCTGGCTACCACCCACATGACTCGACTGTGAGCCATGTTTTCATAATGATGCAGTGAGATTTAGACACACCTCTTTTATATGTGATAAAAGGAATATTAGCAAGGAAATAAACTTACCTCAGAACTAAGAAGCTATCAAAAAGTAAACCCCACTTTGTGGTTTGTTCTTAATAATAATACGTGCACAAATGTCTTGGGCACATTGAGTGCATAATACACATCACCTCATGTGACCCTCATGCAAGCCCATTGGGATGAGTCCTGTTATTGTCCTCAGTGTACAGAAGGGGAAACCACAGGCTTCAAGAGGCTGGCTAACTTGACCAGCCACCAAGATGAAAGATGGGGAGGAACCCCAGGTAAATAAGACTCCAAAGTTCCTGCTCTCTGCTGTTGATTCGAATTCAGCAAGTCTGAATTAAAAGACTAAATTAAAGAAAAGGCTGAGGTATAGAAAGTACTATAGCAATGAAATGTTGCATTTCTCTACATATAAATGATTTAACTTTATTAAAGTATAAGCTTGAAGTTTTTAGAAAGCCCTTTTAGAGAGATAAAGAGAATTTATTTGAATTAAACAGAACTGTGTTGGCTTTAAGGGCATTTACAAGAGGTTTTGTTTCTTTAATAGGTTACATATTCTGCCCCAGGGCTGTCTCCAGCTGACCAACATAGTAATGAAATCCCCTTTTCTTGTTTAAAGGACCAGAGTTGATTTATTTAAAGCTTGGGTTGTCTCCATCAGCTTCTCTAGGGGAATGAACCTCTCCTCCACCCCTCTTCTCCCTATACATCACATTTCCCTCTTGCCCATCTCAAAGAAGTGTGAACCGATTCACAACAGGATGCTCCTGGGGGCTTAAGACTGACCCTCTCTGAGCAGAGCACTTGAGTAACAGATGCATGGCAAATGTCTGTAACACTCTGAGGAACTGGCATTGAGGTTAGCATTGCAGAGACATACAAAGGCACAATCCCTTCCTGGAATAATCTGCCGCTGGGCCCAGTTTTCCCACTCACACCTTTTGTGACATAATTTTGCCTCTCATTCTGGATGACTGTGGTAGACTTGTTCATTTCTCCTCACAGACTCAGGGCTCCAGTCCCATGGAACGTTTGCTGTTCCCTGAAATCATGATGCGGATCCCCACCCCTTGCCTTTGTTGCCTCTTCTACCTGGGCTGGCTTTTCCTTTGCCTCAACTCTGTTTTGTGGGAAAAAGGCAAGTCCCTAGGAAATGGCAGATCCAGTAGATTATGGAAAAATGTAGCATCCACTCATGGAGAGTGGGAGAGAGGTCCAAAGCACCCTCAGTGAATGAGTGCATATCACAGTTATTACTAATTTGCAAATGGTGTGTGGCACACAGGCAGTATGGGTCTGCATTCCCTTTCTCTTCCAATATGGAAAAAAATGTGTGTCACGCAGGGATTTTTTTTCCACACTGGAGGAGAAAGGGAACGTAGAGCCACATTATGGAGCCCCATCTCATAGAGGAGGCTCCCAGCACCAAGGAGACAGACCTGCTGCCCAAGAAGGCAAGAGCTTCCCGGCTGCAGACCCAGAGACTCGGTTGGCCTCACTGCCTTTGCTGCATCTGCTGCCGCGGTTCCCCATCGTGTCAAGACCTAAAGCCCTGCGACCACTGCCACCCCAGCCCACTGCCATACTTAGCCAGTCAGGTATTGTGCGTCTCAGTCTCAACCGTGCTCTTTTCGAAAGAGATACATCTTAGAATCCTTCATCCAAAAAGCCTCATCTCGCCAGTCAGTTCACAGAAGCCAGGCCATCCCCTGCGCCCCTGGAAGCTGTGTTCCTGCACCCGTGCTGCCTTTTATATGAGCTTTAGGGGCCTCTACGAGGTGACTAGGTCATGGGTGGGATTCACAGTCCCTTCTGAATGGGATCATAGCCCTTATAAAGTAGGCTACACAGAGTTTGCCCCCTTTGCTTTCCGCCGCAGGACGGAAGACACGGCGCTCACTCCCGGGAAGGGCAGCAACAGGCGCCCCTTGGAAGCAGCCTTCAGCGGACACCTGAACGAATCCGAGACTTTCCGACCACCAGAAGGGCAAAAAAATAATTTTCTGTTGTTTGTAAACAACAGAGATTTTTCATAACAGTCCAAACAAACTAAAACATATATTAATAGTTTGGGGCTTATGCTAGCATATCTGGAAGCATTGACTGCTGTATAATGTTATTTCTTTTGTCATTATGTAATGCAACTGATGCAGGCATGTGTGATACAACTTAAAAGAAGACAAAACCTTGGGGTCGGGGAGAGCGTATGGTAGACTCTGCCCCCACCCTCATCCCCGCTGAGAGACTGAATATACAAATGACAATGGCCAGACCATCTATAAAAATAGAATCTGACCCACATCCCCCAGCAACCTGCCCGGGAAGCCAGCCCCAGGGCTCTAGCAACCAGCCAAAAAAGCCAAACAATAGCCAGTGCAACAATCAGTCCCAAACAGTGAGACCTCATTAATAACTGACAGCCTCCTTAATTTTTGCCCCCAGGTCCAACTTAGGACCAACCTGAGAAAGCCAAATTTGCCCAGGACGGCACCATGGGTTTTGGCTGGAGCACAGTATTGCTGTTTGCTGTGATGGGAAGTCCACAGAAGGATCTCTCTTCTCCAGGGCTACTCAGAGTGTAGTCTGCGGAATCGACGCTGGTCCAGGAACTCTTTGCTACTGTATTACACCTTCTTGGGTTGCTGTAAAGAAATACCTGAGGCTGGGTAACTTATAAAGAAAAGAGGTTTAATTGGCTCACAGTTCTGCAGGCTGTACAGGAAGCATGGCGCTGGTATCTGCTTCTGGTGCGGGCCTCAGGGAATTTACAATCGTGGCAGAAGGTGAAGGAGAAGCAGGCACGTCCCATGGCAAAAAAGGGAGCAAGAGATAGAGAGAGGAGGTGCCACACACTTTTAAACAACCAGCTCTCACGTGAACTCACTCATCACCAAGACAATGGTGCTAAGCCATTCGTGAGGGGTCCACCCCCATGATCCACTACCGCCCACCAGGCCCCACCTCCAGCACAGGAGATTACATCTCAACATGAGATTTAGAGGGGATGAATATCCAAACCATCAGTTACCAAGCTGCAATTGAGATGTATATTGACAATGTTCAGAAACTTTCAGAGCAATTGTGGCATAGTTATGGTAATTATACCTATTGAATGTATGTTGAACCTAATAATTAGAAGTTGGGATTTATCATTTGCATCTTTTTTTAGTAATTTATTTCTATTTTACTTTATAAAAAGATTAATCTGCAATGAGTCAAAAATAAAAATCAAACTGATCTTTCACTACAAAGAATTTGAGAACCCTTGTGGCTGTTCTCCTTATAGAAATGAATGGAGTCAAAGGTAGTGGATGACAGTGGGTTATCGATAGATACAATGGAAACTCCTTGCATTAATAAATAAATGTGTGAGTTGAGTGAGAAAATGAATAATTGTTTATCCAATACATATGAGGTCAGCATAATTTTGAGAGGTTAAGATACCTACCCCAAGATTCCCAATGGAAGCTCAGGCCCTTTGTGCTATAGGTTTTTCTGCAATAATACCAACGCTCTTAGGAGCTAGAAAGTTAGTCACTGTAAAACATAAACCATAAGCAATTTAGCCAGCATACTTTATCAGTAAATTGCAGTGGAAAACTAAACAAGTAAAAGGTTTGAATTATGTTTCTGGAAATAAAATAGTAACAGAAATACAGAGATATCAAAGGTATTAGTATCATGTTAGCACATAAGGCTATTTCTAATTCAAAACAACTATTTTAAAGGGAGCAATCTAGCTCCATATACTAGAACGTACCAGGGCCACTCCCTGTGGATCTGGGAAACATTCCCTCAGGATACGTCCTATTCAAAGCGCTGAGCTGGCAAGAGAATTTGTGTAGAAAGAGCGTTTGGAAAGTCCCATTGCTGTACCTGCCAATGTGCACAGGACTTTTACCAATCCTGTGTCCAATTTCAGAATCTGCTTCCTTGTTATTTCCTTAGCCAAAAAAACATTGACAAGAATAATAATGACAATTAGCATGCTGTGAGGAATACCCTGCTAAAAACGAACAGTGTCCAAGTAGCTGACTCAACATTTGCATCAACAGGCCCCCACTCATGTGATCACTGCCATCTCAGGTTCACACCTGTTTCCATCGCGAAGCACGCAGCACTCGTGGTCTGCTAAGCCTGGAGATCTCAATATTGTATCCGCCACGACATGTGATGACGCTTCCTTACAGGACCCCCTGCCTTGGGCAATATGAAGTTTTATAAAGTTATACACAATTCCAGAGGCAGCTTCTGTAACCCAGGAGTATATCACGGTATGCAGGTTAATGATGGGATGTGATGGAGGGGCTATTCTAGTTGTTTGTTAGTAAATCATCCACAAACTTTGGTGCTTTACTAGCATCAAACTTTGCCACTCTTAACAAATGAGCACGACCCACCAGCATGTTACAGCTCTGGGACTGCAAACCGTCTCTTGATTCCTTATTGCTGTGGACTGAATTGCACTCCATCCCCATGCATCCGTTGAAGCCCTAATCCCTGAGGATACTGTGTATTTGGCAGTAGGGCCTTTAGGGAGGCAATTAAGGTTAATGAGGTCATCAAGGGGGGGCCCTGATTCAATAGCACTGCAGTCCTTGTGAGAAAGGAAGAGACGCAGAGCACTCTCTCTCACTGCAGGAACCCAGAGGAAAGGCCATGGGAGGACATAGTGGTGAGAAGGGGGCATCACAGGCCAGGAAAGGAGCCCCACCAGAAACAATTTTCTGTCACCTTGACAGTGGGCTTCTAAGCCTCCAGAACTGTGAGAAGATAAGTGTCTGTTGTTTAAGTGTACCCACTTAGGGGGACTTTGTTGCAGCAGCCTCTGAGGAATGCGCACTGTTTGCTCCTATCCTCTCACAACACAGAACACTTCTGTGACCAGGTGTGTGGGGTTTTCTCCTACACACCAAGCAATTATCCAGTGGACACCAAATGGATGTCCTACAATTCAGTTCCATTCTATCTACCTGGAGACAGCATCAGATCCCATGGGAGAAGGGCTCAGTCCCATAGGGCTGTCCCCACCCCGCCCCAACCCGGCTTCAGATGCCAATCACAAGGCCCAGGCTGTGACCTGTGCTTCTGACCAACATGCTATAAATTAGTGTTCCCATGACTGCCCTCATGGGTCCAATAATTTAGGAGGATGGCTCACAGAACTCAGGGAGACACTTAACTTATGTTTACTGATTTATTATAAAGGATAAAGATAGCCACTGGAATAAAGAGGTACATGGGGCAAGGTCTGGAAGGGTCCTGAGTGCAGAAACATTTGTCCTCGTGGAGTGGGAGTCCACTATCCTCTCGGCACAGGGATGTATTCTCCAATCCAGAAGCTCCTCAAACATCATTGTTCAAGAGTTTTTATTGACCTTAATCTCCAGCTCCCCCAACTTTTTGGAAGTTGGTGGATGGGGCTGAAAGTTCCAACCCTCTATTTTTCTGATCACTTGGTCTTTTGAGTGACTGGTCCCAGCCTGAGGCTACATAGGGACCCCACCCCAAATCACCGCCTGAGCATTATGCCTTTGGCTAACACCTGAGTGTTAGCCAAAGGGGCTCATTATGAATAACAAGAGACACTCATCACTCAGGCAATTTCCAGAGTTCAAGGAGCTGTGGGACAGGAACCTGGGACAGAGACCAAACATACTTTTGATTATACCCCACAGCCGGAGCAGACTAATAGACTTATCTGCAATGATGGTGACACATTCATCAGGGCTTGGGGTGGGCGTGACACCAGAGCAATGGAACCGTAGTCTTCCAATCATTCATTTCATAACCATGCATTCTGGGCCTATTGAGTATTGGACTCTCTACAACATAAGGAAGACAGAAATTGAATAAAACTAGGAACTTTATCCTCAAGAAGCTTGCAGCCAGTGGGAGAGCCAGCTTAGGGAGCCATCAACACATGCCAGTGTAGACAAGATATTGAAAGGTGATAAAGATGCAGGGGTCTCTGTAGACCTGAGTCTCAGCTGTGATGTTTGGCACTTGGAAGCAGAATGTAATTGAAATGTCTGGCTGTTCCACAAAGTATGGTTTTCTTAGTTTCACTTTAATTATATATGTGCCCTTCTGTCCCTAAAGGGCAGAGAAGCTAATTAATGTGTCACAAGGGTAAATCAGGTAAGACATATAGACATTGAAATGACTGTCATGAAGGAAGATATTGATACTCAGAGTTTCCTAGAAGCCGGAAGCATGACACACCATGCAGGTCACATGGGGAAGAACCAGGGTCCACCAGGAGGCCAAAGGAGCTGGGGAAGTGTGGGCAGGGGCCTTTGGTGTGGTTTCCACAGGAAGGAACCAGAAAAACAAGTGGCTTAGGATTGGCTACTTTGAAATTTTTCAACAGATTCTGAGGCATAGAATCTTTTTTTTTTTTTTGAGACGGAGTCTCGCTCTGTCACCCAAACTGGAGTGCAGTGGTGCAATCTCGGCTCACTGCAGCCTCCGCCTCCTGGGTTCAAGTGATTCTCGTGCCTCAGCCTCCTGAGTAGCTGAGACTACAGGCATGTGCCACCACACCTGGCTAAGTTTTGTATTTTTAGTACAGATGGTGTTTCACCATGTTGCCCAGGCTGGTCTTGAACTCCTGACCTCAAGTGATCCACCCTGAGGCATAGATTTTAATTGCCCTTAATTGCCTGGTACCTGACCTGGGGGATGAGGACAGGTACATAGTGGACCAGAGTGTAAGAGCTCGATAAAGAAGGTCTCCATAAAGAAGATAAGGGTTCTGGCCTGGTTGGTTTGCATATGCAAGGCAGGAAGTCATTCCATCTAGCCCTGGGAAGGGTAGTTGAGAGTCACCAAAACCCCAGATGTCAAAGTATCAAAAATCTCAGAAAGAAAAGGACCTGATTAATACAGATGGCCAGTGTCCTTGGTGTGGCTTACCGTCCATCACACCCCTGCTGGCAGAGTCTATCTACATTTCAGGAAACCTGCAGGGGAGAATATTACCAAATGCTTTTTCACATCTTGGAGGATGCAAATGGACACAGTGTCATGAAAAACAGATCCCATCAACTATGTTCAGGAGCTATGAGATCATATTATTTCAGACAACTTTCAGCTAAAGAACCAGAGAGGAAACTTGGATGTCTAAACCATCAATTTTGAAAATTTTGAGGGGATTTGTGAAGGATCTTCATTTCCTTCCAGTAGATTCCACAAAACTTCATCCTTCTCTCCGTTAACAGAGTTGCACCATCTGCCTCCTAAAAGGCTACCGTGGACCCTCTACTCTTCCAGTGACTTCATGTCTATTTCTTGCATTTAATCCTCACAACCACCCATGAGGTGGAAGTCATGTTTATTTTACAGATGAGGAAATTGAAGGGAAAGGTTAAGTAATTTACCCAAGTTTACAAAGCTAGAAACCTAAGGCTCCAGGATTGGTCCCCGAGGGTCTGACTCTACCTTCCTACTTCACAGGGTCTGTCCCGCTGTTCTGATTTGATAAGGGTGTGCTCAAGCTGACACGATTTCCTCCAAGTCTTTTTCCAATGGTTCTTTATAATGCATCATGGCCATAGTGGAAGAGGAGGACTTGAACCTGTCCTATTGATCTGCACCAGCTCAGCAAGCCACAGGGCTCCCTGTTCATTGCATACTTTTATGCAGGACTGTGAGAGAATTCACCATTGGATAACAGCAATGAGCATCTACTTATCAAGTATCAGGCAATGGGCTCCGTGAATAATATGCTCGTTCGCATGATAGCAGTGGGAGGCAGATATCATCTGGTCTAATGTCTAAGAACTCATCCTTATTTCTGGTTTCTGGATACAATCCATAATACTCCTTGATGTTTCCACCCCACTCCTGTTTGAAGAGGGCATTTATATTTCTTAAGTTATTCGTGTGTGTCAGGTGCTCTCCATATATCATCTCATTAAAGCTCAAATCACCTCTGTGAAAAAGGTTGCCTAAATAAGAATGGTTGAGGAGCTTGCCTAGGGTCACACAGCTCATAAAGGTCAGATGCTGGATTCTAACCTGGAAGGGTTGGAATTCTAACCTAGAAAACCATATTCTTTCCGCAGACAAGATCATAAGCTTTAGCATGAGGTATACCTGGCTGTCTGGGGCTTGACGGCCCAACTTGTCCTTTTTGAATTTTGGTTTGCAGCTGCCCTGTGGGTCCCAGAGAGGTGTGAGTGGGCTGCCTTGGCTCTGACTGGCATTGTCAGTATGACACCACAGCTCCTTCCTCCTCAATTTCCAACACAGCATCCCTCAGTCACCTCTCATTGAAGGAAGATTATGTCAACTTCCAGGTAAGTGAGGACTTGCTGTCATCAAAGTTTGTGCTGGAAACAGTGTCCTGGAAGCCTGGGTGGGGACAAGGGAATGAGGAGTGGCTAAGATCTAGAGGAAGATATATGAACCACCGATAACATAATATCCCTTCAAAATGTCACTCCTGAAATATGAGTTCGTTGTGGGTAGAAAGAAAGCAAGATTTTATATTAATATAAACTGCTGAAGTCCTCATCTGCAGAACATTGAACCCTTACACCGCTTCTGTCTCCAGGATTGCATGCCCTCCTCGCCATGTTATGCTGGTTTGACCTGGGTTTCTGGGAAAGCAAAGGCTGAAGCCAAAGTATACATGGGATACTTGATCAGGGAGGACAAGCCCAGGCTGGCAGGAGTTGGGGAGAATAGGAGGGAGGTTGGATTGGGGGAGGACAAATAGGAGATGCATCCCCACATTGGCCACTACTCAGTATCAAGGGCCATCCTTTAAGTCTCACAGGCCACACTCAGAGTAGCCAAGCACCACTTGGTCTCAGGGGAGTCAGTGCAGGGAGATAGGAGAGAGGAAGAGAGAAGAATTTAACCTGCCAACTCCCAGCCCCAGTAGTCAAAGTTCCTAACATGGCAGTTAATATTTCAGACACATTCCCTCTGTGTGCGTGGTGTGGCAGCACCCCAAGTTCCCAGCAGTAATCCATAAGGGCAGTAAGTCCTTGCTTTCCTTGTGAGTTCACTTGAGCCGGGTGGGAGTTGACCTTTACGTTTCCACAGAGCCCTTACTTTGTCCTGTCACCCTGGGGACGCAGTTTCCCCTGGAACCAGGCCTTTTAACCAAGCAGAGCCTGTGTTGACAGGGACAGAAAGCACAGACTCCAAAAGGGGTTCCTGGAAGTGATGGGGAGAAGGATCAATCCCACTTCCACCCCTGACTTCTCAGATGCACTTACTCTAGCTGTTGGGAACGTGGCACCATATGTTGGCCATTGACTGATCTTGGCTCAGTTTTCCACAGGCCATTCACTGTTCTCATAGGCCAGTTGCTTCTGTGTGGAAAGTATATGAAGTACATGGTCAGAGCAGTGGATCCTGCGGTCACGTGCCTATTGTTGCACGTATTTTGCTATTAAATTGATTCATTGGTGTCTTCGTCTGTTTGGGTTGCTATAACAAAACACCATTGACCAGGTGGCTTATAAACAATGGAAATGTACTGGTGGCTGGGATATTCAAGGCCAAGGCACCGGTAGTTTCAGTGTCAGGTGAGACCCTGCTTCCTGGTTCACAGCCTGTCTTCCTGCTGTGTCCACATGAAGGAAGGGGCAAGGGAGCTCTCTGGGGTCTCCTTTCTAAGGCCACTGAGTCCATTTATGAAGGCTCTACCCTCATGACCTAATGACCTCTCCAATTCCCTGTCTCCACATCACCTTAGGATGAAGGTTTCAACGTGTGAATTTTCAGAGAAACCTAGACGTTCAGTCTGCAGCACTTGGTATATTCGTTTCCTGGGGCTTCCCAAACAAAGTTTCATAAATTGGATGGTTTGTAACAACCAAAATGGATTTTTTCCCAAATCTGGGGCTAAAAACCTGAAATCCACCTCTTCACAGAGTTGGTTCCCCTTGTAGGTTTCGAGGGAGATTGTTCCAAGCCTGTCTCCTCTCTGATGGTTTTAGCAATGCCCGGTATTTCTTGTCATGCAATCCCATCCCTCCAGTCTGCCATTGTCCTCCCATGGTCGTGTACCTCTCTGTGTGTCTGTGCATCTTCCCCTTGTCTTATGAGGGTTCTAGTTAAGCCGGCCCACCCTCATCCAGTATGACCTCACCTTTACTTGATTATATTTAGGAAGGTCCTATTTCCAAGTAAGGTCGCATTCACAGATACCAGGGGTTAGGCCTTCAGCATGTCTTTTGGGAGGGCACAATTCAACCTGCAACACTTGGTCTGGAAGGAAGATCATGTAAAGGATTACTCGGTCAACCTTGAGCTGGTGATGCTGGCAGAGATGGTAGGGACTAGAAAGGCAGATTCACACCCACAGTGGGTATGGTGAACATAGATGGGTGCTCCTCCATGGTGGAAGGTGTCCAATGCCATTGACCTTTCGCCAAGTGACTAGTTGGTCTCCTCAAGGCACAATGCCACTGAGGGCCCCGCATTGGCCCTTGCTACTGACAAGTTGGGTGTTCTGCTATAACTGCAGCTGGTTGAGACTTTATGATGAAGAGTTCATGCCTTTGAGCTCACACAAAGCTACTCACGTTGCTATCATGGCATCCCCATCATGGGGAGCCATAGAGCAGCAAGCATGCCTAGGAGAGATACTGGCTGGCATGGCAGTAGGAACAGTCCAGTCCAGCTGTGGTTCAGCAGCTCTTCTGGTGGCATCAACACACAGCACAAAGATGTGTGTTCAGATCCACAGGTGTACCACACAACCCCTGCCCAGCTTTCCTTGTCCCCAGTCTTCCAGTCTTGTCCCTTCCCAGTCCTGTCCAACTCATTTCTTTTCCAAGACCCAGGAGTCCACACATATCTGTACCTTAGGCCTCCTGTCTCACTGTATGAAGCAAATAATGACTTCTGCCCACCTGGAGGACTTTCCTTCATCCCTGTCTCAGGTCACCCTGGGTGGGGCTGCAATGCAGCAGTCACCCATTTCACCTACCAGCAGCATATGGCACAAGCCTGCCTTCAACCTCGGCCAGTTTAGGAAAATGCCACAGAGATGAAGCCAAGAAATAAATCACCGACTTCTGCTCATTCCTCCTCTGATCTCTAGCAGGTGTGAACCGAACTGTATTTCCGGGGGAAGGACAGTCTATTAATGTGGCCCATACTGTCCAGCCTCCTGGAGCACAGAGCAGTGGACAAACAGAGCTGAGTGTATCTTGGGGGCAAATGGAACACTCTATGCATATAAAAAACACTTGCATGTACTCCATAAATATGTAAAACATTATGTATCAATAAAAGAAAAAATCTAGCTCAAACAGTAAACACTCCTGCCACTCCTGAAACTGACATTTCCTTAAGAGGGACATCCAACTGTGACCTAAACACAATGCATCCTGTCCCCTCCCAGAAGCTGAGGTGTCCATACTCACAGAGGGTCCCTTTGACAGCTGGTAATGGCTCCCAGAGTCTCTTCCTGGAAGGCACATTGAGCCTGGCAGGCACCCAAGGGCACATGAATCTGACCTCTCTGGGGATTGCTGTCAGCTGCTGCAGATGGAAGGTGCTGCCTCTGCGGCATCTCACCACGGAGCTCCCATTCCTCAGCAACCCCCCATACCTGCTGGCCAAACTGGGGGAATAGAGACATGAGGGACTTTGACCTGAATCCCAAGTAAAATTACTCCAAAATATTTGAAAATTTGAAACAACAAATCATCCCATCTCAAAAAAAAAAAAGAAAAAAACACAAAAAAACAAACAAACAAAAACCTACCCTTTGAAGCTCAGTCTTCTTCTGTCTCCCTACACAGGAAGGTGACATAGCAGGTTCCTTACAGTCAGGGAGAAATTGGAATGGAGAGAGGGGGACTTGGTTAGGCTATCCTCCGTGCTGGTGGAGACAGCTGTGTGTCTGTGTCCTGTCTCTCCAGTAGTCAGGGAGACACTGCCCCACCAGTTTGCCCTTGGCTGGAGCCACCCTGGGTATTGAACACTAAAGCATAAATAAGGCTAAGAAAGAATTGTTAGCTTGGGGCACAGTAGGCTGTCTTTCCCAAAGATGGCTGTAACAATATTTGTCACTCCAATGCTGTCTTATTGTGTGAGTGACTTGGGCATTCCTTGCAGTGAGGGTGCATCTGTGTCTCCACCCTTTGCATCTGAGGATGCTTGTTGCTGTGTCCACCAATAGCATGAGACAGAAGTGATGAGCTGATCTTCAAGGCTTGTTCAGAGAAGTTTGTGCAGCTCTCTGGGGACCTCTGCTCCCTGGAATGCCCTTCTCTGCCCATTCCCACTCGGGACCAGAATACCACACTCTGAGAATCTGAGCCACATGAAGAGGTCACAGGTAGGTGCTCTGGTCTCAGAGGAGCACCCCCCACCCCCCACCTCAGCCATTCCGGCACAGGCTGTGGACAGTGAGTGAGGAAGCCACCTGGAAAGGGGCCCGCAGCCCTGGCTGTCTGCCTCGTCCCAGGCATTCCAGTCTTCCCAGCTAGCCCCAGTCACCAGGGAGCAGAGAAAGGCCTTCCCAGGCCCTGATTCCCGACCCATGGATTCCTGAGCATAAGGAAGTGACTATCTTATGCCACTGAGTTTGGGGTGGTTTGCATGAAGCAATAGTGGGCTCCTTTCCAGGTGGCTTCCTCACTCACTGTCCACAGCCTGTGCCGGAATGGCTGAGGTGTGGGCAGGGGGTGCTCCTCTGAGACCAGAGCACCTACCTGTGGCCCCTTCATGTGTCTCAGATTCTCAGAGTGTGGCATCCTGGTCCTGAGTGGGAATGGCCAGAGAAGGGCACTCTAGGGAGCACAGGTCCCCTCTCTCTGAAGCAACAAGTCAGGTCTTGTAGAAGCCCCTCTCCAGCTGCAGTTGTTTCTGATATCCCTGGGGTGCTGGCCACCTACAGTGGCCAAGATGAAGTCAGAGTGTGAGGTGCCTGAACTGGGAACTCATCCCTGTGTTCAAGAAACCTGCGGTGGCAGCGGGTGCCATCAATGGCATGGCCTGCAGAAGGAACTGGAGCTCTGGGGCTTGAGGGTGCCACGGAGGAGGACTGTCCTGCCTCTCACCTGGGAGAAGCTATCACTGCCTGGAAGATGCAGGCTGACCTGCTCAGAGCCCGCAGAAGTCCATAGGAACCAGGTCCCAGGGCAGCCAACTTTGTCAGCTTTGTCACTGGAGAGAAAGGGAGTGGCAAAAAAGAGAGATGGGAGCCAAGTTCTAATTCACACAGGTACCTCCACAGATCTACAGGATCTCCAAGGCTGCTTAGACCTGGCTTCGTTCCAGCCCTGGCCAGAATTTTTTAACTAGAATTTGTTTTCTAAGCACCCCAGAGATACAAAAATGAAAGGAGAAGGTCTGTAAAGGACCTGACTTGCCATATTGGAGAGGGGACCTAAAGTCACTGGCTTATCAGGCTGCATTTGCATTCATGGCCTGGTCAAGCCTGGTCCTGTGGGTCACGGCTGCATGAGTGGAACACTGGACGTCTATGTGGAAGGTCAGGCTGTGGACTCAGCTCTGCAACGGAGCAGTCTTGTGCCTATGCACTAGCCCATCATGCCATGATACCACCCAGCACAGACAAGGTTGCCTAAATGTAAGTTGAAGCCCAGTGTTTTCAAAGACTTGCTGTGAGGAGTCCTACCTCTGGCAAACCCGCTCAGTGAGTGACCTGGACTGCACCTGTCCTCTGAGCGGTAGCCTCAGACCTCCAGTGGTCCGCAGCTCTATGTGCTATCATGAGCTGCCCCAGCCTCTGGAGAAGACTCCATTCTGCTGTCCAGCCTGCCTCAGAGGCTGAGGATGGGGAAGGTGAAGGAGCATGCTCAACAGGCAAATCAGATTCTTTCTCTATGAAAAATTTGAACTAAGAGATAAGGGGGCTCAGGACAGCTTTTGATGCTAGCAGTAGCTGGAGGCTCTCGGTCCTTTGGGGCTGTGTGCGCTGATGAGGAAGAGGAGAGCTCTGCTGCAGAGTGAGGCTGGAGGCTATCACAGATAGAGCACGCAGAGCAGAGAGACTAGAGGAAGTAGCCCCAAGGACAGTGCAAGAACTGCGAAAACCACTGCTCCTGTCTCCTGATGGATTTCCACTCCCAGTTCCTGCCACTGGGAAAGGCCTGGAGACCCCTACCTGGACTTCATCAGGTACTCACCTTGTCGAGCTTGAGGGGCTTCTGTTTCTTGTGACCATCACTGTCTCCCTCAGACACCCATGTGTCAGAGCACTCAGAAACTTCTAGGCTGGGCTTCCTGATGTGTCCCAAGAATGTGCAAAACTTATTTGCTCATCATAGGAGGCTGGATCATGGACAGGAGGAAGTGAGGTGGTGGTTGTCTGCTGGGAGGATATAGCATCATTCTTTGGGCCCTGCCATTTACCTGGTGACGACAATCTTCAGAGAAATGCCTGGGCTCGGGATATCAGCAACCCTTCCTAAATCACCCCCAGGATGTTTGCTAAATATAAGGAAACCTGGCAGAACAGGTTCTCCCCATAATCCAACAATCAGTCCGTCAGGCCTAGAATCATCCTTGAGCCACAGCTCACCATTTCCCAGTTCTTTGCTTAGTATGGGAAAACAAAAGAGCACCCAGACACCCCAAAATGCAAAGTGGCAAACTAGCTAAGTTCCTGGGGTGAAAACAGCCATAGGGATAGAAGGAGATGACTGGCCTCAGTGCCGGGCAGCTCAGGGGTGTATTTTGTCATGACTGAAGGGGACTGAGAGGAGTGTGTGTGACATGGAGGGACGTGGCATCTGCTGGCGACCTGCTGTGTGCAGGAATTGTGCTTGGCACTCTGTCATTCCTGCAAATCCTCACCATACCCTGATGACGTAGGTACTACAGGAACCCCAGTTCTGGAGCTCATCTAAAACGAGAGGCAGCCAGGATATGAACCGTGTCTGTCTGCCCCAGAGCCTGTGTCTGTCCTCCTGGGCCACACTGCCTCTATCTGCCAACGGAGTGCACCCAGTCCTCACTTAGCTGTCTTGGAAGCTCCTGGGGCCAGTCAGAGCAGGGGCAACCTCCGAAAGCCTCTGCTTCCCACCTGTCTGAAGTCAAGCCTCTTGGACCATGGACAGAGAAGGCAGGTGTGCCCTGCCTGGACCTATGCTGGGGGCAGACAAATGTCCCAGCCCTGCAGGTGCCCTTGCTTCCTGTCTATCCCCTACCTCTAGGGCCTGCGCTGAACCTGACCTCCGCCCAGGACTGGCCCTTTGTTTCATCTTCACTGTTTCCACCTCTCCATCTTCCTTTTCTTCTCTCAAACATTTATTTAGCAACAGGTAATATAGCAGCAACTGTCCTCTGAAGACATGGAGGTGAACTGCCATTATCTAAAATCAGAAGGTGAAACTGACAGGAAATAGACAAAGAACAGTATAGACAAAAGAGCCAGGGGATGTGGTATAGTGTCCATGGCTGCCTTGGGCTAATCTAGAACACAACCTGTGTATTACAGAAGAAT
Source organism: Homo sapiens (assembly GCF_000001405.40). Classification (NCBI taxonomy): domain Eukaryota; kingdom Metazoa; phylum Chordata; class Mammalia; order Primates; family Hominidae; genus Homo; species Homo sapiens. The sequence goes on along the minus strand of NC_000007.14, from coordinate 50,854,023 downwards.
CTCCTGGTGGGGAGGAAGCCTGGTTAAAGAAATTCAGATTCCTTGGCCCTACCCAGACCATCTGCTTCAATACCTCTGAAAACTTGGGAGGATGTGGCAGCTTTACAAATATCAGAAGGACTTACCATAGGGTAGAAGGACTGGACTAGAGATTGCAATGGAACCAGGCTCTGTGGGCAGAAGGAGAAGCAGTTCTTCAACCCAGAGAGGAAAATGCAAACCCAGGCTGGACAGCCACGGTATCAGTCCAGGGGCCCTGGGGAGTGGAGCCACCACCACCGTGAGCATGGTGGAAATGCAACTTGCCTTATTGGAGTTAAGCCTTACCCACATGCTGGGGAGTAAAGGTCTGGAAAGGGAGCCACCAACCAGCCTGCCTTAGAATGGTGTGAGTAGCCATATGGGAGCATGTCAGGAAAGCCAGGAGGCCAATAGCATGTCCAGCCAGCAAAGTGACTGCAGCAGGGAGCTCAGGGAGAAGCTTTTGAGGAGCTGATGCCTCTGGTGGCGGCTGCCCCTCTGGGTCTGCACAGGTGTCTGGTTGTTAGCCTGGGGCACTCTTGGCCAGCAGCGGCTGAAGGCAGGAAGAAGAGCTGGGTGCAGAGCATAGAATGCAGGTGGGAGACACAGAGCATCCTGCATCTGTCTGTCGCCACGTCTGAGCAAGATGGCCTTCTCAGAGTCATGGCAGCCACTTCACTCCTGCCTCTCAAATATCTCACAAGTTCCTCTTTTGTTCACCCTTACCCAAAACTATCCTACTAGGGCAAGAGATTCTAGGAAATATTGTTGCAGCCTAGCCAAGTGTCCAGGGCCCATCCAGCACTCCCACTGGTGGGTTTGCAGGGGTGCAAGAACTGGCAGGAGAATTGGATTGGGAAGACAGATGAGTCAGCCTGAAGCTCTGAGCCTGACTCCAGTGAGGACCCACATTCCTTTAGGAAATTCCTGCCAGGTGGTCCTAAGGGGTGGAAGTTAAGTGAGCCACACACATGCACCCACACACACATGCACACAGACACAAACATAGAGACACACTCACACAGAGACACACATAAATACATACACACACAGAACTATATATACTCACATATACACAGGCAGAGACACACACAGACACAAACACAGAGACACACTCACACAGAGACACACATGAACACATACACACACAGACATATATATACTCACATATACACAGGCAAAGACATGCACACAGACACAAACACAGAGACACACACAGTCACACATAAAGACATACACAGAAACACACATACATAAACACACATTTATATACACACAGACACACATAAAGAGACACACATACACACAAAAACATACACTCAGACTTGCACACAGACATACAGAAACACACTCATACATAAAGACACACAGATAAACACATACACACATACACAGACACACAGAGATACATACATAAATCACACAGACTTTCACACATACAAATCGGCACACACACACACACAAACACACAGATTCACAGACACACTAAAGAGACACACACACCCATAGCCATACACACACTTACACACACAGATATACAGACTCACAGACACACACACATATACACGGACACAGACACAGTTACACACACAAATAGACACAGACACATATAGACACATATACACAAGCACATAAAGACACACATGGACACACACACTTGCACACAGACACACAGGCCGACACACTCACATGCACACCTCTGCTATCTCCCTTGCCCCTGATTTTGTAACTCCTCAGCCCTGCCCTCCTGGTTCCAGTGCCTATCTCCTTTGTCCTCCATTTCCCAACTTCAGGAATCCTACCCAAGAACCTCCTTTGCCCCGCTTTCCACCTGGAGAAGGTCTAGTTCCCGACCACACCCAGCTGGAATATTAGCTCCTGCAGGAGGCTTCCCTCAGCCACAGCTAGCAGAGCAGTCAGTGGCTCCCTGCCAGCACGGACACACTTCAGATGCACCGCCATTAGATCACAACACACAATCTCAGCCTTCATGAAACTCTTCCACCCACCTTTGGCCACCGCTCTCTGAAGGAAAAATTCACTGTATTCATCTCACCCAAGAGAGACATAGTATGTTGTTCAGTAAACGTAGATAAGTGGGTACTTTTCAGGTGATGCTTCTTCCATAGTCCTGTACATTTTAATCAGTTAATTTTAATGTCAGTCAATTATTAACAGCTGGAGTTGTTGGTGAAAGTTATGCCCTGGGAAGGAGTCATGGTGAGATGTTCACGGCTGGAAGCCTCCCCCATGACCAGAGTTTCCACCCCACCTGCTCTCTGGGGTGGGAAGCTGGGGTGGAGACAGATGGAACCACACATATAGACCGGAAAGTGGCAAGCGGCAAGCGCATGATTGAAACCTGCTTCTGCTCTGCTTCCCACCCCCCGCCCAAAAGGGAAGCCTCTCTTTGGTTTTCCATAAGGAGTGTCTGTGTTTGGTCACCAGACAACTCTTACTCATTGAAGGGTGCGTAGGAGTTGGCAGGAAAACTCCACTATGAAACTTCCTAGCTTCGTAAGGAAAATGCCTCCTCTATGAACAGAGGATCTAGTTTAGAGCTTGAAAGAGGCAATGCCAGATTTTAAGAGTAACCTCTGGTTAAATCAAAATAGAATAGGGAATGAACATTTTTTTAGCTTACAACAGACCAGACCTTAGGAATTTTAGCAACTGTTATCTAAGTTAATTTTAATAACCTTATAAATGGCCACAGTTGAGGAAGCCAAGGCCCAGGGATGTTAAATAACTTTTCTCAGGATGGCCAGGGAGAGCACAGCTCCTTTCATTCTCTACATCTCATGGCAGTTTCAAAGACTTTCAGACAAAATTATACACTTGCACGGTATAGGATGCCCAGCAGTGACCTTCTCTTTGCTACAGAGTTGGACTTAACTTGCTTAATAGAACAAATAAGAATTCTTTGAAATAATTTCTAGAAACAAAATTCTTTTTTCATTTTTTTGAGACATAGTTTCATTCTGTTGCCCAGGCTAGAGACACAATCATTTCTCACTGCAGCCTTAATGTCTTGGGCTCAAGCAATCCTCCCCTCTTGGCCTCCCAAAGTGCTGGAATTACAGGCATAAGCCACCATGCCTGGCACAGGAACAGAATTCTCAAGTGACATATTCTTGGGTTTTGCTGTCTTTCAGGTCTCAGGGACATTGACTATAAATAGAGAAGTCATTCATGAAGCAAAATGACCAAGGAGGATGCCTGGTAATTTAAATTCTTCTTGGGAAGAATGTAACAGTGTTAATTTTTTCACTTACTTATTCTTTTCCTTCTTGCCTACCATATTTTTTTCAACTTTGGGTAAAAATGTAATAAGTTGTATTGCAATTTTTAACAAGTGTTACCCACATCAATATTGAAGGGTCAGTTGCTTCACAAATTTACCAAACAATACTCTTCACCAAAACACTATTGTTGGAAAGGGACCACCTCAACTAAGAGCCCCTCAAAACCAAATCCCCAGTGGGTTACATCACCCCATAACCTCTTGTTACTCATCTTCTTCATATCCACTTGTCTTTTTACAATGTTCCACTATACTTGTTGGTATAAAGATCAGTAATCCATGGTTCTAGCCTTTGAGGGGCTTGTGAGAGAAAGACATGGCATGCCATGGACCAACTTAGTGGAGGTACAAGTGTCCCTGGAGCACAGAAAGGGAGGAACTACATCTCCCCAGGGGAGTTCCAGAAGTTGCCACAGACTGTGACCTGGGCTTTGAAGGGTGAGTAGGAGTTGGCAGGGGAAGGAGAGGGGGAGAATGTGGAAGGACTGGGAGCAGTCATGGCCTGAGGGGAGACAGGACCCCTTGGCACAGAGATGGCATCTATGGCCATGCAACTAACTCGGGAGGTCACCTGGGCAGGCTGTGTTGGCCAGAGAAGAGCAATGGGTTCCATGGATCCTAGGTCAATTCAACAGTCAGCAACCACACAGGAGAGAGGGCCTCCAGACTGAAACCTACCAACTGTGGGAATGTGAGGCTGAAGTCAAGTAAAATCAGAACGTGAAGAGGTGAGAAGGGCGCTGGGTGGGTTATCCGCATGGAGGCTGTGATCACCAAGGCCTGGGACAGGGGTAGAGGACGAGAGGAAGACAGGGAGCTGGCCCTGAAATCCTCAGGATGAGGAAGAAGGAGGGTGGTAACAACAAGGAGCATGGAGGCATGAGGGGCTAGGGGTTTTAGAGAAAAGGGAAAGAAATGGTTGAGAGACAGAAAGTGGAGCAAGGAGGACACAGCCCAAACCACTAGGCATTGGCTATGTTGAGTATGAGAAAAGAAAAGGCCTTTCTCGTGTGGGCTTCAGAGAAAGCAGAGACCTTGGAGGACAGAGAAGTTTCTGTTAGGACAGGGAGGGGATATGCAGAGAACAGGCTGAAGATAGAGGGGAATCACTGTTGGACCTGGAATTCCAGGGGTACAGTGGGAGGCCAAGGACATGCACAGGGAGCAGGGCTGGAGGATGTTGGACACCCTGCAGGGCTTGTGTTTCTGCAGGTGGCTGAGGAAGACAGGGATGGGGATGCTGGAGGATCGGTCCTGATTATGTCTTCAGGGAAAGAGGGAAATATTAAGTCCAGATGGCATGGGGCCATTCTTTCCTGCAGGGCCCCATCCTTTCACAGAGAGCTGTTCTCCCAGGCAATGAAATGCTTCTGGCACCACCAGGCTCTGCTCTCTACCAGCACAGGTGGGTCGCAATAGCCAGGGGGTGAGCTGTGCAGTGGAGTGGACCTGCAGGAGCCCAAGCCTCGAGGGGAGGATGAAGGCTTTCGGGATGAGGCATTGTCTACGCTGCATCTTCAATGTATCAGAAGGTGTTAACAAGGCGAAGAGGGTTGTAGGCAAAGGGAAGAATGCCTGCAAAAACCCAGATTCCTGAAATGCCACTCAATGATCAGTTTGACCTCACCAGCTCATGTGTGGAGAGGCGAGTGATGCATCTGGGATGCCAAGGTGAGAAGTGGTCACCTAATAATATAAGGCCCAGGGAGCTCCAAAACAGAGTTAAGAACAAGATGAACAACTCACACATCCAGTTTCTCTTTCACCATTCTCTTCCCTGTAGAGTCACATCGCATCTAAGCCCCATTGGGGAACTTATGCATTCTTGGCTTACACCTGGCAGGGCTGATAAGACTCAAAGCGGATAATTGTGTGTTGCTATGGACTGAATGTTTCCGTCCTCCACCCCCTAAAATATGCTGATGCCCTAACCCCATTGTGACGGTATGTAGAGATGGGGTCTTTGGATGAGGTCATGGGAGTGTAGCCCCTATGATGAGATCAGCACCCTTATAAGAGGCAGAAGAGACCAAAGCACAGTTTTTTTTCTCTCTCTCTCTCTCTTTCTCATTCTTTCCTCCCACCATATAAGCACCTAGCAAGAAGGTGGCCATCTACAACGAGAGCCCTCATCAAACACTGGGTCTACCAGCAGCTTGATCTTGGATTTCCCAGCCTCCAAAACTATGGTAAATATATTTCTTGTTTAAGCCACCCAGTCTATGGCATTTTGTTATGGCAGCCCAAATTGACAAAGACATGTGAATGTACTTTGTAAACCATAAAATGCTATGCATTTGTTTATTATTCATGGTTGGGTGTTTGAGTCATTTCCAGCTTGTAAATACTATATTATAAAGATTCCTGTGCAAATAGATTTTGGGTTATTTTTGAGGTCTATTTTCCACAGCATGATTGCCTGGCTAAAGACTGTGGTCTCTTTTATGGTTAGTGTTTTAGCTCCTACTTTATGGCTCTGTTTTCTTACGTTATCTCAATTGATGTCAAGTTGAATTTCAGCATATTGGTTTATCCTATTTTTACTATAAAAGTCATTTGAGGAAGGAGAGCAGGAAAAGTTGTTTGGTTTTTTTTAACCTGTAACACAAGTTCATAGAATGAGGGCTGAATATTCTGATTTAGATGAGCTTTCTCTAGAAACAATGCCACAAATGCATCCAGATGAATGTAACCATATTTACAATCTATTTAGACTCATTTAGAGCTCAGTACCTTTCTAGCTAGGTCACTTTGAACAAATTATTTAACTTCTCTAAGCCCCAGTATCCTCACTAGAAAATGGAAGAAAATACCTACTTCTTTGAGATCATTTTGAGGTGCTTTTTGATAAGACATTGTGTTGAGTTCTTAGACTGTTACTTGGCCCATAATAAGACTGCTGTAACAACTTGCTGAGGTTTTAGATTGGACTACATGAAGCATCATTTTTATACATTTAATATCAAACATCAGAGAGTTCAAATAGCTCAGCCCATTTTTTTTTCAACAAGAAGAAAGAGTTTAACTTTTCTTTCAGCAGCTCTTTGATACCATCAGAGACCCAGGCTCCTTCGAAATCACTACTCCACTACCCATAATTCTTTTTTTGCTTTTATTATTATTTGTAGTCAGCATATTATAATTGTACATATTTGCATTGTACAATGTGATATTTTGACATGTGTATACGATGCATAATGATCAAATGAGGGTAATTAACATATCCAACACCTCAAGCACTTATCATTTCCTTGTGTTGAAAACAGAAAATCTGCTCTTTTAGCTACTTAAAAATATTCAGTAAATTGTTGTTAGTCACAGTCATCCTACAGTGCTATACAACACTAGAACTGATTTCTCCTGTCTAGCTATAACTTTGTATTCATTAACTGAACTTTGTCAGCCTGTTTTTATTAATCCCAAAATAATCATCGTTTTTGTTGTCACCCACAGTCCATCTTCCCCTTCTCTTTGGCTAAGTGCACCTGAGGCTATGGAATACTCACCAAAGACCCTTGGGCAACCAACTGAAGGGCATTCACTACAAATTCTGAAGCCCTCCTGACACTGATCTTCCTGAGAATGAGTCTAAAGTCAAAGCCCTTGGCCCACATCCATTGCCCCCATCCTCTCACAATGACATTCTCCCACCTTAAAAATTGAGAATTGCATACCCCAAGGTGTCAAATCCTCCAGAACACCAAGTAAGGGGCAATCCAGAATTCTGGTGGCAGAAATCCTGCTTTGATCAAGACACCAAAAGTCTTTGAATCCACCCAAAACAAGGGCTTTGAGATAAAAGTTAACCTTTGTATCTAATAACTATTGATCAACATTTAAAATGTCCATTAATTTGACCAGTTGTGTACTAATACTAACTGTATGTATAACTCAATTCAAAAGAAAAATTTTTTAAACATTTATGGTCACCAAAATTTTTTTAAATTTCTTTTTATTTTATTTTATTTATTTTTTATTATTATTATACTTTTAAGTTTCAGGGTACATGTGCACAATGTGCAGGTTAGTTACATATGTATACATGTGCCATGCTGGTGTGCTGCACCCATTAACTCGTCATTTAGCATTAGGTATATCTCCTAATGCTATCCCTCCCCCCTCCCCCCACCCCATTAAATTTCTATTATACACATACCCAACATTAAAGATGAACTTGCTATGTTTGTTTGTTTTTGTAATAGATAATGGTGGGTATAAAATTATTTGGGTATTTGTATTCCATTTGTGTGTAGGCTGTTTTTTTTTTTTTTTTTTTTTTTTTGAGATGGAGTTTCGCTCTTGTTGCCCAGGCTGGTGTGCAATGGCACGATCTCGGCTCACCACAACCTCCATCCACTGGGTTCAATCAATTCTCCTGCCTCAGCCTCCCAAGTAGCTAGGATTACAATCATGCACCACCACACCTGGCTAATTTTGTATTTTTTTTTTAGTAGAGACAGGGTTTCTCCATGTCGGTCAGGCTAGTCCCGAACTCCTGACTATCGGGGAACCTGCCCCGATACTCACACAGGTTCTTTTCTATCTTCCCTAAGCGTTGGCTGGTTTGAGAAATAAAGGGACAGAGTACAAAAGAGAGAAATTTTAAAGCTGGGCATCCGGGGGAGACATCACATGTCGGTAGGTTGTGTGATGCCCCACAAGCCGCAAAACCAGCAAGTTTTTATTAGGAATTTTCAAAAGGGGAGGGAGTGTATGAATAGGGTGTGGGTCACAAAGATCACGTACTTCACAAGGTAATAGAATATCACAAGGCAAATGGAGGCAGGGCAAGATCACAGGACCACAGGACCGGGGCGAAATTAAAATTGCTAATGAAGTTTCGGGCACCATTGTCATTGATAACATCTTATCAGGAGACAGTGTTTTGAGAGCAACTGGTCTGACCAAAATTTATTAGGCAGTAATTTCCTCTTCCTAATAAGCCTGGGGGCGCTATGGGAGACTGGGATTTATTTCACCCCTACAGTCTCCACCATAGAAGACAGCCATACCCAGGGGGCCATCTATAGACCCACCCCAGGTGCTTATTCTCTTTCCCAGGGATGTTCCTTGCTGAGAAAAAGAATTCAGTGATATTTCTCCCATTTGCTTTTGAAAGAAGAGAAATATGGCTCTGTTCCACCCGGCTCACTGGCGGTCAGAGTTTAAGGTTGTCTCTCTTGTTCCCTGAACAATTGCTGTTATCCTGTTCTTTTTTCAAGGTGCCCAGATTTCATATTGTTTAAACACACATGCTCTACAATTTGTGCAGTTAATGCAATTATCACAGGGTCCTGAGGTGACGTACATCCTCCTCGGCTTATGAGATGACAGGAGTAAGAGATTAAAGTAAAGACAGGCATAGGAAATCAAAAGGGTATTGATTGGGGAAGTGATAAGTGTCCATGAAATCTTCACAATTTATGTTTAGAGATTGCAGTAAAGACAGGCATAAGAAATTATAAAAGTATTAATTTGGGGAACTAATAAATGTCCATGAAATCTTCACAATCCACGTTCTTCTGCCATGGCTTCAGTTGGTCCCTCTGTTTTGGGTCCCTGACTTCCCACAACACCTGACCTCAGGTGATCCGCCCGCCTCGGCCTCCCAAGGGCTGGGATTACAGGCATGAGCCACCGCGCCTGGCCATCATAGGCTGTTCTTGAATTGCTATAAAGAAATACCAGAGGCTGGGTAATTTGTAAAGAAAAAAGGTTTATTTGGCTCCTGCTTCTGCAGGCTGTACAGGAAGCATGGCACGGGCATCTGCTCAGCTTCTGGGAAGGCTTCAGGAAGCTCCCAATCATGCCAGAAGGTAAAGGGGGAGCAGGCATCTCACACGGCAGGAGCGGGAGCAAGGGAGAACGATGGGGAAGATGCCACACACTTTTAAACAACCAGATCGTGTGAGAAATCAGTATCACGAGGAGAGCGCCAAGGGGATGGTGCTAAACTATTTTTGAGAAATCCACCATCATGATCCAGTCACCTCCCACCAGGCCCCACCTCCAACACTGGGGATTACATCTCAACATGAGATTTGGCTGAGACAAATATCCAAATCATATCACCACTGTTACATTTTAAAGGAGAAATATAATTATTTTTATTTAAAATGTCCATGTTCACATATTAGTATAAAAGGCATCCTTTGCCACTGCTTAAACTTATCAAAAAATTTTAGATGTTGACTTAAAAACACACACAAAAGATAAATAGTTTCTCAAAATTCATTTTGAGGGTAAAAAATATGAAGGACCATTGTCCTAGAGAAGCTTGGCCAAAGGTGGGGACAGAGAGGAGGCAAAGCTGTCCTTTCCTTCCTTCAACATGTCCCCTGGCAGAAGCCACTGCTGGTTTGGAGGGAAGAAGTCCAGTGAGAATTCAGCAATGGGGTGAGTGATACCTGGTCTCCCAGGCTGGGGAGGGGAGCCATGAGCTCCCCCAGAGCAAATGGGCAGAGAGAATTCTGGAGTTTCCATTAAGCAGCAGATAAGACAAACAGGGAACTTTGTCCCCCTTCTACCAAGCACTCACAACCAGGGCTGTCTTCTCTTCCCTTGCGCACTTCCCACAGCCTCCCCAGACACCCTGGCTTACAGAGATCTGCTCTCACAAGCCCACACTGTTTCTCAAGTTCTCCAAAGTTTCCAGGCATCCTGTACCCACAGAAAAAAGCCTACGTCCCTTTGTTGAAATTCAAGGTCATTGGAGGCAGCTTAGCTTTCACCAGCCAAACAGATTCACTTGCCTTCTTGCTTCTGACCATGCTCACATCGTTCCTCACACTGCAGCATCCTACCTGGGAAAAGCCCTGCAGGCCCATTGAGAACACTCTCCTTTCCACAAAGCTGTCTGGATGCCCAGCTAACTGGAGTTCAGAGTCAGGCCCCAGAGAATCTTAAAAGTGCATGATCTGGCTTTCTCCGCCATCATGGTGTGGGTGGGTGACTCCATTTCTCCCCATTTCTTCTCACAAGACTTCCAGGGTCAAGCGATTCCTGGCCAAGAAACAAAAGCAAAATTGTCCCATTCCCCAATGGATTCAGATGAAAACTGGTGATAAGTCAGGTGCAACTCCAAGAGGAGACATTGGAGAAGAACCAAGCTGGGTCTGTAAGGAATTGCACATGAGATGGCACACATATTTATGCTGCATCAAGGTCATCATTGCCATGTCAAGCTGAAAATGTCACCATTATCTGGACACTTGGACATGTTTTACTGGGAATATATTTTTTTCTCTTTGTTTATATGTTCTGCACTAGTCAGATGGGTTCATTAATAAATTTGTGAGAACTTTCATTAAAAAAAAAAGTGTACATATCTGTAGGACCTGGAGAAGATGGGGACTGTCACATGAGGAGCAGGGCAGGGTGTGTGGGCTCAGGAGAGGGGTTGGAGGCAGTGCCTTAGGTGGCTCCCCGGTCGGTACTTTGAGGCCATATCTAAGGGATTCCCAAGGCGTCACTGTTGGGAAGGAAGAGACGAGTTTGTGACAGCCACTTAGCCTCCTCCAAACTTTCTCCCCAGAAACCATTCTTTTTTTTTTTTTTTTTTTTTTTTTTGAGAGGGAGTCTTGCTCTGTCACCCAGGCTGGAGTACAGTGGCGCGATCTCGGCTCGCTGCAACTTCCGCCCCCCGGGTTCGAGCGATTCTCCCACCTCAGCCTCCTGAGTAGCTGGGATTACAGACATGCTGTAATTTTTTTTTTTGTATTTTTAGTAGAGACAGGGTTTCACCATCTTGGCCAGGCTGGTCTTGAACTCCTGACCTCATAATCCACCCGCCTCAGCCTCCCAAAGTGCTGGGATTACAGGCGTGAGCCACCGCGTCCGGCCCAGAAACCATTCTTATAGGTGTCACATCATCAGACCCCAGCAAGTTCAAAGAGTTCAGCCTATTATTGTTAATCTGATGATAACCATCACGGTTGTTCTCACCACGACTTGATTATTTTCACTCCACTTCGCTACGCACATTCTGCTTACCAAGAAAACAAAGGCACTGACCTTCCCCTGGCCCCTGTTTCAACAGTCTAATGCAAGCCCTTCTTTCTCTCCCTTCCCCATCAGTTTCAGAGAAACAGGTACACTGCCCTGTCCACTGGGACCCGCAGCCCTGCCTTTGCTATACATCTCTCCTGCTGTCCCTCTGTTATTCCTTGGTTTGCCTTTATATTTAACCTTTTCCTGCCTACTCTCTTCCCTTTTTATAATGAGAAACCCTCTGAAGTCTCTCCCATTCTTTGGAAAACAAAACAACCCTTTGACTTCCAATTCCCCATCTACCAACTGTATCTCTCCTTCCCTTCTCAGCCACACCTCCAGAAGTTCCCATCTTTAGGGGCTGACTTTGCCTCCTATCCTTTCCTCTGCCCACTGTTTCTCTGGAACTGCTGGTCAGGAGCCACTAGCAGCCTCCACACGTCCCCACAGGAATTGTCCTCCTGGGATTCCCACACCGGCCTTTCGGCAACAGCTCACGCACCCCTCCTCTCCACAGCAAGACTGCCTGTCTTACTCATCACCCTACTCTTGGGCCAGTCACAGTGCCTGAAACTGTAGGTCCCAAAATATCTGTTGAGTGAATCCAGGAATGAGTGAATATGCGCCACAGCCTCTTTCTCGAGACTTCTTCCCTTGGTTTCCCCAATATCCTTTCTTTCTGGTTTTCTCTGGCCTTTTCTTCCCAGGATCCTGTGGTAAATCCCTCCTCTCCACGCTCAAGCATCTCTGGGTCTCCTTTCCAGGCCGGACAGTAGCGCACGCAGGGACTGTGCCACCAGACAGAGGGGCGGCTCAGCTCCCAGATGCAGTAGCCACGATCACTTGGGCAAGTTACAAAGCCACTCTGAGACTGCGTCCTTCCCACAAAAATGAAGGTAATCATACCTATCACAGAAGACTGTGGTAAGAAAATGAACTATTGATAATAAGTGCTTAGTACAATGCCAGGCAGGTTGTGAAGTCAATAGATGGTAATGATGATGATGGTGACAACAGTGTCCCTAGACGATCTCCTGCACTCCTGACATTTTACTTTATTTTGTTTATTTTTGAGACAAAGTCTCACTCTGTGGTTCAGGCTGGAGTGCAGTGGTGCCATCTCGGTTCACTGCAACCTCTGCCTCCTGAATTAAACTGATTCTCCTGCCTCAGCCTCCGGAGTAGCTGGGATTATAGGCACAAGCCGACACGCCCACCTAATTTTTGTATTTTTAGTAGAGACGGGGTTTCACCATGTTGGCCAGGCTGGTCTCAAACTCCTGACCTCAGATGATCCACCTACCTCAGCCTCCCAAAGTGCTGATATTACAGGTGTGAGCCACTGCACCCGGCCCACTCCTAACATTTTAGCTACTGCCTCTGGTCTGACAGCTCCCAAATATGTACCATTAGTCCTGACTTCTCTGCTAAGCTCCAGACCTACGTTCAGAATTCATAGGATGGAACTTGTTTTCCTTCTCAAAACTTGCTCTTCACCCTACACTGCCATTCTCAGTGAATTGTACCATGATCTACTCAATTCATTGCCAGAGTGAGTAGTAAGAAAGAAAGAAAGAAAGAAAAAAAACCAGAAAGTAGATTTAGTTCACTTATTGAAGAACTGACTCAAATAGCTATAAAAGACATTTTAGAGACAACTGGGAAAATTTTCATATGAACCGAATGTTCGATTATATTTAGGAATTATTGTCAATCTTCTTGCTCATGGTGGTAGGATGGTGATTATATAAGAGGTGTCCTTGTTCCTGGATGATGTAGGCTAAAAGTGTTTGAGGATAGAGTACCTTGATATCTACAATTTACTTTTAAATTGCTCTGAAAAAATGTACACATATACATATACACACATACACATACAGTGCATATTCTTACACACATGCACACATACACAAACATATACAGATATATACATATATTCTAACATACACACATATGAATGAATAAAGCAAATACGGCAAATTGTTAAAAACTGTTGTTTCTATGTGGTAAACATACAAGTGTTCATTGTAGTATAATTTCAACTTTTCTATATGTTTGAAATTTGTTATAATAAAAAGTTGGGATAAAAAGCAGAAAGGAACTGTTTGAAATGAACACCTGTGCTGTGGTTGACATATGTCCCCAGTAGACTGGAAATTTTTTCCTCATTCTAGGTATTACAATTTTAATCAAGCAGCTGAAGATCAGATTGGCCATTTTGGCAACCACATGATTAAATCTTGCTTACCTGCTGTGATCTAAACCCTAACTCTATTTTTATGCTCATGTGCTGTTCTATAATCCCACCCATGCCAGCCTGCACAAGGACAGTGGGGTGGGGACTGTAGCCCAATAACAGTTGTTCACTTTGAATGATTCTTTTCAGGTTTGTGTTACATACATTTTTTGATATTTGTAACTTCCTTATCTTTCTCCAAATCATTGGGGGAAAAGGTGAAAAGAAGGTCAGGTTTGCGGATATAGCCCTTGCCATAGTCCTAGAAACTTCATTCCAGGATTATCCTTTGGTGCTGAAACCTAAAAATCTACCTGATCATATTTCTGCTCAGAGCATCTCTCCATCTTCTCCATAGAATCTCTCTCTCTTTGTTGTTTTTGAGAATTGCAATGATACTGTTCATTTTCAGTTTCATAGCACCACTTAGGTTCTCTAGGATTCCTTCCAGATCATCCACAGAAGTTCAATGTTGTCAATTTCAAGGTCTCTCAGTCCCTGGGGATTATGTCAGGAGACTTGGATGGATTTAGAGCACTTATATCAGGGATCCCAAACTCAGATGTCTATAGGACCCAAGCATGGGTGGTGGGTGGGAGGGAGACAGTGAGGAACTGGTGACACCCATTGAAAGTTAGCGGCACCCATCCGATTTTGCCATCCAGGAAGAAGTGCCCAACATTGCCAAATTGCCTAACTTTGCAAGAAACACCAGAAATGCCAGGGTTCTTTTGTTTTTGTTTTAAAAGAAGAAACATGTGGATTTTAAAATATTTGGTTTCCACTTTAAACTTGCAATTCCATGCAGGTCCCACAAAACTCATCACAAGGATGCATCCTGAGAGCAGCTGCTTTGGAGGAAGGTTCTCCCTGACCTGCTCGTTCTTCCATGGGATTCATCTTCCCCACACCATGGTGCTGGAATGTTCTGCTTGACTTACGGCGAAAGAGTTGTCTTATTTGTTGTTGTTGTTGTTGTCATCTGGTTTTTGTGTGTGTGTCATTTTCGCCATCTGTCCTGATTGCCCTACAGGCCACAAGCCACAGACCTGCTTCATCCTTGTTCTTCTCTCCTAGCTCTTTTTGTTGCCTTAGGAGTTTCTGTAACCCCAGTACACATCAGGCCTTAGTCTTCCTAGTGCTATTGTCATAAACTCACATGCCTCTCCTATTCCCCAGAGAATATGATGCCATTTCTCTCCGTTTTATTCATGTGCTATTTAAATCTGAGCTCACCAGAGAGTTCCTTGGGCTGCCTTGCTGTTTTATTTTATTGTGTGCCCTGTCCCTGACCTTTTAAGTAATTCTGACTCAAGCACAAGCCCGCCAGGAGCCAGTAGGTGACGGCATTCGAGGCAACAGCTCAGGCCCAGCCCCTCCACCCACCTCCCTTCCGTTCTAAAACTGGCTGCTTCTTGGCTCTATTTCCACCTGAACTCTGAACTCTTATCACCTAGACCCTGGTGCGTATGTCGGGCTCCTTCAACTTACCCATCCTTCCCTATTTGAAAGCGGGCTGTCTCTGATAGACTTGGTCTTGGCTCATTCCTTTAGTGTCTGATGTGTTTGGAAGTAACTTCATACGGTCTTCCTGTTCCCAGAAGACATCAAATCCTGACCCACTCCAAGTTCCACCTGTAAGACAAGTCTCATCTCTTCCTTCTCTGCTCTGCCTGCACAGAGGAGCTAGTGGACTCATCTTATATAACCTCTCCTTTGCCTTCTTCACAGGGAACATAAGAATGAACCCCTTAGCGAGCACTTCTCAAGTGCCAAGCACATGCCTAAGTACTTTACCTGGATTGCCTCACTCAATCCCAAGCTCAGCCCTACGAGAGAAGAACCCTCACTTCTCCATTATGGGTAAGGAAATGGAGTCCCAGAGAAATGCAGTAACTTGTCTGAGGTCACACAGAGAGGACCCCGCTGAACTGAAATTTGAACCTAACTCTTGGCTCCTGTGCCATTTTTCTCTCACTGACAAAAGCTGGCTGTGGAGGCAAAGTACAACCAACCAGCCAAGAGACCAACCTAGATGCTTGGACACCAGGCTCTTGGCCCTAAAATGAACTCCAGACTCTTGCATGTGCACACACACAGGCACACACACGTACTTCTTAGAATGTCAAAGGAGCCAGGAAGAATTCTCCATATTGGAGCCCTTGAGAAACAGCTCAGGAAAGAAGGCACCGATGGCAATGAAGTCTGATTTTCAGTATGAACTCATTCTATAAACATTGACTAAGCGTCAGTGACACGTCCGGCTTTGAGCCGACAATGGGAACAAAGCAGTCAAAAGAGACACTCAGGCCTTGCCTTCATGGAACTGTCTTCCCCGTGCACTGAATGAGCTGTTGGGAAATTTTCTTCACACGCACTCACTCACATCCGCTGCACATACTCCATTCAGAGAGACCGCCTCTGGTCACAGACATCGAGGCAGAGGGAGACCACTTTAGTTCTTATTCCAACTGGATCCCTACCAAGTAGCTCCATTTTCATGGTTCTTTTTAATGATGTCCAAGAATCTTATAACCCACAGTGAGGTTATGTTTTTATAGTCTTTTATGGTCTTACTTCTATGATATCACCACATTCAATTTTGCAGTTTCTTTCTTTTAAACGTGTGCTCGGGGATCTCTGGCAGGCCTTCTATTTCTTTCATTTATTCCCAACCCTGGTCCATGAGCATACATTGAATTGTTAGTTTCCTGATACCTCATTCATATGATGATTACTTTTACAGTTTTCCAGTAAATAGCTCCTGTTACTTTTGCCCGGGTTCTGCTTCCTGCTGTCATACAGACCATTTAGCACAGGTATGGGGCTTGTATAACCTGCACCTACTTGGTTGCAATGAGCTTGGCTGCAGTTAGACTTGAGGTCTTTCCATCTGCAGCTGGACGGGCTAATAGGGCAGGTTGGGGATGGTAGCCTCTCTCTTCTCAGGACATTCATTTATTTCATTCATTCAATTTTTGTTTGCTGACTATGTGCCAGGACTACTGGGGATACAGCACTAAAAGTAGACAAAAGGTCAAATATTCCTACCCTCATGGAGTTTATTTTCAAGGCAGAAGAAATCACAGAAACAAAATGAGCAAGAGATATATGAGTAATATATAGAGTGTGTTAGCTCTATACAGTTGATGATTCCAGGTTAGCTGAGGATAAGTGCCATGATAAAAAAAAATAATAAAGCAGAAAATGGCGAGGGAGGGCTACTGAGAAGGTGGCATCTGAGTGGAGACCAGGGCAGGAAGGGGGTGACCATGCCATCATCCATGTGGGAAGTTAGAGGATGAGGAAAGAGTACATGTAGAGGCCAAGTTGTGGGCACCTACCTGGCATATGCAGGCATAGCAATGCAGAGAGGGATAGGAGATGGAGTCAGAGAGATCAAGGGGTGTAAGATCAAGGAGAGACTTACGAGCCATTGTAAAGACTTTGGTTTCCACTCAGGATAAAGGGAAATCATCAGAGAGTTTTTAGTGGACAAGGGACATGCTACACATAACAGGCCCACTCAGGTTGCTGTGCAGAGAACAGCCTAGATAGACATGAACAAGGGTGGGAGGGAGCCAGC
The DNA here is from genome assembly GCF_000001405.40 of Homo sapiens. Lineage (NCBI taxonomy): Eukaryota > Metazoa > Chordata > Mammalia > Primates > Hominidae > Homo > Homo sapiens. Next base: position 50,836,887 of record NC_000007.14, on the reverse strand, counting down.
ACTCTTACCCCATCTGTGGGTTCCTTCTGTGCCTTCTGCCACAGACACCTGGAAACTGGCACATGTGATGGAGTCCCACCCACCAGGGGGTCTCTCCTGTCAATCACTGCTGGGATTTCTAGGCCAACTCCCTTCTCTTTCTCTGAGCTTGAACCTCCTGGTGCTGGACAGACCTGTCCCTAAGCAAAGCTGTGACCAGGGTCTATGGTTCACCACAGGTACGTGTCCTTAGATGGGATGGAGGGAATTTGAACATGTATCTTGTGCCAGCTTCAGCACATTCCAGGCACCTGACATATGCCATCTGATTTAATCTTCACAAAAACCTATAAAATAATCACCACAGAACAGTTGATGATTCAGGGTGGATTTTGGTATGCAAATTCCACCTCTTGACCGTCTTGTCCTCTTGGGGTCTCACTGGTCTGAAACAAGGCAAAGCGAATGATTAACTTGATCATAGAAGTTCGGCCTCCCTTGAAAGCCAATGGGACTTCACATATAAGTTTTCAGCTTAGACCTCAGGAGCTGATAGACTCAAGATGACCCATTTGGTCACAGGCTAGGCTAAGCCCTACCTCAGGGAGCTGGCCACAGGATAAAGATGAAGCCACTGATGAGTGGAAACTTGAACCCATTAAAAATGTGCCTGAAAGCATGGCAGCATGTCACTGTCATTCTTCCCTTACTTACAAGGCATGAGCAGACACAAGGAGAAGCACCTAGATTCACCTCTTGCTGGATTATTTGGGGTGAGGTAGGAGAGAACGAGGTCAGGTTGGAGGAACATGGCTGTGATGGCTTAAACTCCCACCCAGTCGAGGATAGCCTGGCCCTTCCCTTTGAGATGCTCAATTTTTGAGTGTATGTGGAGGGAGAAAGGGAGACTTCTATTGTTCCTACCCCCCATCCTTCAGGCAGCATTCACTGAAGGTCAGGACAACATGTGTCACCTGCTGGCTGATTCCTAGAGGTCTGGAGGGTCAGTCACAGCCCAATGAACTCTTCCAGCAATGGAGAGACGTTATCAGAGATCTCAGTTCTAGGCTCTGATCTCCCGCGCAGGGAAGAATGATCATGGATCATGACGGTGTGAGCATTCTGAATAAGCACTGGGAGGTGGGGCATCAGTTCACCCACAGGGTCTTGAGGTCACTGTTAAAGGCTAAATTGTGTCCCCCAAAATTCATATGTTGGAGTCCTAATCCCCAAGACCTCAGAATGTGATTGAATTATGGTAACATGAGGCCATTAGGGTGGGCCTTAACCCAATCTGACTGGTGTCCTCATAAAGAGAGAGGTTGGGACACAGACACACTCAGAAGGAAGACCATACGAGGACACAGACAGAAGGCAAGCCAAGGAGAGAGGCCTCAGGAGAAACCAATCCTGCCTGCACCTTGATCTTGGATTTCCAGCCTCCAGGACTGCAGGACAATACATTTCTGTGGTTGAAGTCCCCCAGCTGTGGTGCTTTGTTATGGCGACCAGAGCAAACAAACCCAGGCACCTTGATGCCAATGCTGGAGAATTTGGATTTCTGAGCAGCAGCCTGGCTCTAATGCCCCAAAAGAGATAAAATCTCATATCAACATGACTCAGCTATAGGGTTGTAATTGTGAGTGAATGGAGTTGTGAATATCTTTGCTCCAATTTTATTCCTGTGGCCTTGATTCTACTGCTTAATCCTATCAGCCCTGGTTTTCTCCTCTCAACCACCATGTCACACTCCGCTCCTCTCCACCACCGCAACTCCAGATTGTTCTCTCAGTCCCTCATCACTGGACGTTACACACACCATGCCATGTTTTTTCCAGAATGTGGAGATGTACCCGGCATGAGCAAAAGCCTCATTTTTATTCCATGGCTTTGGCAGAATCTCTTTATCTGGACTTCTTCTTCCACTCTCTATCATTACTGATTTGAATCCTCTTTACTCTTTTGGAATCTGCACTTCCCTATTTTCTGACTGTGTCCATATGGTCAGAACGGAAGCCCTGATCCACTCCTGATTCTGTACCCATGCCAGACATCACTGAGCAACCTGGCATCCCCAGCCATTAAGCTGATTCAGGCATGAAAATCGTTCTCGATGGTGACTCGAGGTGCCTCTGCCAACAGATCAGAATAGTTAAGAAAAGGGAAAGCTTCTCACCTTCTGTGATCAGTATGTGGGAAGAGGGCGAGTTCTCAAGAATCTTCTTCTACTTTAGCTGGGAGCACAGAACACACACACACAAGTACGTGCGCACACTCACACACTCACATGCAATGGGGAGACTTCCCTCAGCAAAAAGATGTAGGCGTCCTGCCTACTGGTCACTGGATGTGTCCACTGACCTTACACACTTCTCCATTGTGTCTGAATGGTGGAGTGAAATTCTTCTCCTCCATGGCTCCCTTCAGTAATTCCCTAATTTCCTCAGTAAAGCCTCCATTCCCTCTCCAGCCCTGTTGGCACTTAGCATTGAGATTTCCTAATGGAAACCACTCTCTTCTGTTGGAATCTCAGGGTGTAATTAGCAGTCTGGGATTTCAGTTCCCTTGCTTTCCTTAGGATGAAGGCCAAGCCATTGCCAAAAATGCTGTCACCGTCAGTGCAGCTCCTCCTGGAAGAGAGCATAGGGGGGAGTTGTTTCATGTTGACTGTCTCCTGTATATTTATTGACTGAAACATTTGAGCTGTTGCTCTTCACATTTGTAATTTTAGATCACAGATGCCTAGCATGTTTAATCATACAGCAAAGCTCACATTAATGAGGAAAATGTCACATATATTGTTATCCACCATAAAAGCTGTGAAAAAATATCTCTGCCATCTGCAATGTGCCTTCTGCTGCTGCCTCTAACAATTTTACTAGTAACAATACAAAATTAACAGCAGGGCAAACACTTAAAAATGGAAACTTATTGAACTTCCTCCTTGCTCTACAAAACCAGATAGAAGTACAGACCACCTCTCAAAGTCATGTTGTGATACCTCGCCTGGGTTCCTGCAGCAACCCGCTACTGGATCTCCCGGCAGCCAGCACCCTCCAAATACATCTTTAACGTTTCTGCCAGAATGATTTTCTAAATCTGAGATCTGGAATATCAACCACTACTTAGAAATGTGGTGACGCCTCTGTGGTCCCGCCATGCCAGCCAGAACACACTGTGACCCAGTCCCATCCTGTCCTTCGGCTTTCCCTCCCACCAGCCCCCTCTCATACCCCACCTTCCAGCCAGGCCACATTGCCAGTGACTAACTGGGCCCACCATGCCCTCTCCAGCCTCCACGCAGTCTCTGACTACAACATTGTCCCCATCCTGTGCCTGGCAATTCCTATGCATCCTGTAACATCTGCCTCAAATGTCCGCTCTTCTGGGAAGTCTTCTGTGACCTGTGCAGGCAGAATCCATTGGTCCTCGTGTCCATGAAGTGATTCGTGACTTCCTCCATCTGGAGGACTTCTCACGGGGAATCTTCATGCTCTGTTTGCCAGTGTCGTCTTCTTCCACTCTGAGCTCCTTTATCACAAGGACAGTATTTCAACCACTGTTGCCTCCCAGCCCAACACAGCCATGGCTGCTTTTGTAACTGATTTGGATGCTACAGAATCACAGTGAATGGGGCAAGATGGGTAAGGATTCTTACCCAGGAACGCGCTCTTTTGACTTTGGCAACACAAAACCTTGCCATTACGCAGGCCGTGTTTATTTCTAGGGTTTCTCTCTGTACTTTAGCCCTTTCTGCTACCAAAAGAAATAACAGCCCTGTCAGTCATAGAGCAATTGATAGTGATAAAAATTCTCCTTTTAGACAGTGAGTTCACTTGTTCTTAAGTCATTCTTTGCCACAAACTGCAGGCTCATTATATGAGGAAAATGTGGTATCTCTGAGAAGCCACACTCTTAGAAGTTTATAATTTACCTCAACTGATGACTAAGGTCTCGAGGTTTTTACTGCTTATTTGAGTGTGGTTTGGGTGGGGAAGTGATGATAAACAAAGCTTCGTCTTACTCACTGGAGCTGGTCTGGAAACCACGGAGCAATACCTGTTCTTTGGAAAGGCACCTACTGCTTGCTTGGGGGTGTGGAGAGAAAAGGAGCAGTCCTCTCAAACTTAATCTCTGCTCTGAGCAGGTGCTCACTGTCCAGGATACTCCACCCTCCTATTCTTGTGCTCCATGCCCTGTCTGCTTCTGAGTTTCAGCCAAGACTTGCAGTTGCAAAAGGCTATTCCACCTGACATGACTTTGGGCAAGAAAAAATGGAATTTTGGGCAGGATATTGGGTGATCTCCACAAACCCAAAGAAAGGACACACGTGCAGATTTCAGATAGAAGTGAAATTCGGAAACAGGGAGCAGGAAATGCAACTCGGGCTGGCTTTTGCTCCCCGCAGTCTCTCCACACCCTCTTTGGTTAAATACAACCATCCCTGAAGCCTCAAGTTCATGGTCCTCCGTTCAGACTGACCAGATTCTCTCCACCCTATTTCTGAATTTCCAGTGCTAATGTATTCCAGAATTTCTCCCAGGAATCCACATTGGACAGAAGATAGGTGAATGTCATATGCGCAGAGCCCATCCCCACAGTGGGAAAAAGTGTGGGCTTCACAGACACCCTCAACGCTGATGGCAACCCCCTGCTATCCTTTCTTTTCCCCACACCATGTGAACAGACCTCCCTCAGCACCCGTAGAAGGAACCAACCCTGCCAACCCGACACCTGGATCTTCGACTTCTCACCTCCAGAACTGCGAGACAATACATTTCTCTTGTTTGAGCCACATGGCTTGTTATGGCAGCACCGTTTGAAGGGCAGCACACTGCCCTTCAAAAAGAGGAGACAGACAAGCTGGGCAGGGCAAAGGAGATCTCCCCAACATTGTAGGAGATCAGAATGGCTTGGCCATCATTGCTGAGGCCATAACTTACCTTTAACATGGATGGCCCCTTAAGTGGAGTATGAGGCAATTCAATTGAAGAGATTTTAAGAGTACATATGTCTATACCTATATCTGTATTTATACAGTGCTCATTAGCCAATGCGACTAGTGGCTACCATATTGGACAGCACAGATACAGAACATTTTCATCATCACAGAAGGTTCTGCTGTACAATAATGCTCATGAGAAGCAAATGATGTGAAAGTCATGAGACTAGGGCTCTAGAGCCCTGGCTGGGTTCCAATCCTCCTCCTCCTCTCCAATTTCGTGTGTGTGTGTGTGTGTTTGTGTGTTTGTGTGTGTGTGTGTTTATCATACCCACGCTTACCATGGAAGTCACTTAGGAACAGAGAACCTCAAGGTCAAACTACTCTTTGCCAAGGCTTGAAATTCATGGCTGTTTTTAAGAACACTTATTTACTTGATCATTTTTATTGTTGATCTTTTAATCTACTTTTCCTAAATTTCATCTTGGTTTTTTTTATTTTAGACAGTCTTCTTTCTGTTTGGCAAAACTATTGGTTGGACACTTTTGTTGAATTTCTTCTTTGTTCAGAAATCAACAAAAAACCCCTCAGGTTCAGAACTTCTTTTCTGTTGAGCATGTGCAGTTCAAGGGTTGAAAAAGACAAGGGCTCTGTCTTCAACAGTATGGAGCTGGGCTGTCCAATATGGTAGCCAATGGTCACATGTAGCTATTTAGGTTTAGGTTTAAATTAGTTTAAATTAAGTATGGAAGTCCCCAGTCACACTGATCAAGTGCTCAGTAGCCACATGAGACTAGTGGCTACCATACTGGACAGCACAGATATAGAAGATTTGTATCCTCACAGAAGTTTCTGCTGGACAGTACTGCTCATGAGAAGCAAATGATGTGGAAGACCTAGAGCCCTGGCTGGGTTTCCGTCCTTGTCTCCAATTTCCTGATCATTCATCTTAGGCAAAACATTTGATATTTTTCACTTTTTTTCCCTCTTCCTACTAAAAGAGAAGGAAAACTAGCTTGCTTACATAATGGACGTAGTTTGTGAAATAAAAGATATGTATACAATTTAGTGCAAAAAATATTTATAGAACAATTACCGTGAGCCAGGTATCACGGTAAGTCTGCAGACCAAACACATATAACACATTCTGCTAGCCTCATGGAGCTTGCAGTCAAAGAAGACAAAAATGAGGCCAAAAATAATTATAATACAAGCAATAACAAATATGCACAAGATATTGAAACTGGACAAAATGATACAAAGGTGGAATGATTAATTTGAGGGCAGTGCAGACATTTGCAGGAAGACCTCATATAGGAAGTGTTTCTGAAAGAGAAAGTTTGGAAGATGAATTGGAGTTTGATAAGTTGCACCCGAGTTTTGTGTATGGACTGTATACAATAAAATTCAGGTCTCTCCAGGCGCTGTGGCTCATGCCTGTAATCCCAGCACTTTGGGAGGCTGAGGCAGGTGAATCACGAGGTCAGGAGTTCAAGACCATCCTGGCCAAGATGGTGAAACCCCGTAACTACTAAAACTACAAAAATTAGCCAGGCATGGTGGCTAATCCCAGCTACTCAAGAGCCTGAGGCAGAGAATTGCTTGAACCTGAGAGACAGAGGTTGCAGTGAGCCGAGATCGTGCCACTGCACTCCAGCCTGGGCGACAGAGCAAGACTCCATCTCAAAAAATAAAATAAAATAAAAAAATAAAATCCAGGTCTCTTCTTTCCTCCTCCATTTCTTTCCTCCTCCATTTTCTTTACTGTGATCACAGCTCTACATCTGAAGTGTTCAAACCTTGGGCCGGGTGCAGTGGCTCACGTCTGTAATCCCAGCACTTAGGGAAGCCGAGGAAGGCAGATCACCTGAGGTCAGAAGTTCGAGACCAGCCTGACCAACATGGTGAAACCCTGTCTCTACTAAAAATACAAAGTTAACCGGATGAGGTGGCACATGCCTGTAATCCTTGCTATTCAGAAGGCTGAGGCAGGAGAATCGCTTGAACATGGGAGGCAGAGGTTGCAGTGAGCCAAGATCATGCCATTGCACTCCAGCCTGGGCAACAAGAGTGAAACTCCATCTCAAAAAAAAAAAAGTGTTCAAACTTTGTAGCCGAGCTGAAGAACACACTATTCAAACAGTCTTATGTGAAAGCAAAATGTGTAAAATGTATAAATGCAATGTAGGGTTCCACTTTGGGCCAACATAGAGTAACAGGTATCACATTTATCCTCTTGATGAAAATAATAACAACAACAATAAAACAAGTTAAAAACACCATCAGCTTTCAAGATACTAGACACCACCTGATGCAGGACAGTGATCACCATGAGGCAGGAAGCAAACCATGCAAGCCTTAACATTGCCCCTCTCTTGAAAGAGCTCCCAGGTAACAGTGCAGAGGGAGGAACCCACATGCCAGAAGACTCCATAATTTGATGAGACAGAGCTGAGAGGTTATATGGTTCCATTTACGTGAGATGTGCAGAAGAGGCAGACTTATGGAGCCTGAAAGTAGACAACTAGTTCCATGGGCTGGGAGGAGAGGCAAGTGAGGAGTGACTGTTAATGGCATTTCTTTTTGGAGTGATAAAAATGTTGTGGACCTAGACAGTGGTTAGGGTTGCATAACTTTGTGAATACACTAAAAAATTAACTGTATTGTACACTCAATAAGGGTGAATTTTATAGTATGTGAATTGTATCTCAATAAAACATTTACAAGATATAGTATTAAAGGCCAGGGAGAAATGAAACTATATTATACAGCTATTAAGTCACCAAGGATGTATTCTGTTATTTTGTTTCTTTGTTGTTTTTATTTCATCCTCTTTAGTAGACATCACTGCTGTTCATCAATTATTTCCAGTATTTTTCACTTCCGGAGGTATGCTAGGCTTGTACCTCTCTGCCCATGTGTTAGTCAGCTCAGGCTTCCAGAATAGAATACCACAGACTGTGTGTGCCTTAAACAACAGAAATTTATTTCCTCACAGTTCTGGAGGCTGGAAGCCCAAGATCAACAAGGTGCAGGTAGTGTCATTTCTGGTGAGGGCTCTTTTCCTGGCTTATAGACGGCTGCCTTCTCACCATGTCCTCACATCCCTTTCCTCTGTCCACACACTCCTGGGGGCCCTTATTCTAAGTCATAATAACTTAACCTGTCCCGAGTAATGCAGCCTCCATAATAAATATCATTATCTTGCTTGAGTTTCTTCATGTTTATAATTTTTAAAAATCATATAACATTTCAAAGAGTTAAGGTTTCACTTAAAAAAAAAAAGACCCCATTGTGGAACACATAAATTGTTTCCCATATTTCTCTATTAAATAATCAGACTGCAAAAAACTTATGAATCTGTCTTTAAAAAAACTTTTTTAAATTCCTTAGGTTACATCCACAAGTGAGATTATTAGATCAAAAATCCCACAATTTTATGGATGTTGATTTGTATAACCTTTTACTCTATTACTTATATAAATGTACCTATTCCACTATATCTTTATGATCATTAGGTTGTAGTATTGTTTTCGCCTTATTAAAGTGATATACAGATAATCCCCAACTTACGATGGTTCAACTTAAGGTTTTTCAACTTTACAATGGTGCAAAAGTGATACACATGTAGTAGAAACTGTACTTTGAGTACTTATACAGCCATTCTTAGTTTCGCTTTCAGTACAGTACTCAATAAATCACATAAGATATTCTCCACTTTTTGTAATAGGCTTTGGATTAGATGATTTTGCCCAGGTGTAGGCTAATGTCAGTGTTCTGAGAATGTTTTAGTCTCAGCTACAATGCTCAGTAGGTTAGGTGTATTAAATGCATTTTCAACTCACTATATTTTCAACTTATGATGGATTTATTGGGAAGTAGCTCCATTGTAAGTTCAGGAGCATCTGTATTTATACTTAGATTTGTGCAAAAATTCATTAAAAATCTGTGTAATTTTGCATAAAGCATAAATCAAGGGTGATTACTAGATTCTAAAAAGTAGTCTTCTGAAGTGCTTTTAAAGTTTGATTTGTTTCAATCAGCATAATGGGTGTGTCTAGGTCAAGTGTGAGGATTATATTTTGGTGTCCATCGAAGTAGGTGGGGTGTAAATTCTATGAAGGGCCGGACTGGCAGAAAGATGTGGTCCTCATGCTAGGTACTTCATGTAGTCATATGCACAATGAGCTTAAAAAGCAATTGGAGTGTCTTGGTCCATGTAGGTGGAACATTGAAGAGTGTCAAGAAGAGCTGGATGGGAGGTGCTGTCATACAGGCAGGGCTCTCTCTCAAGGTCAGCTCTGCCTCCTGTTGTATTGGCTTCTTCTGAAGGCAAGTTCTCTCATGAAGTGGGGAAGATGGCCACCACCAGCTTCCCAGTTTAGCAGCACAGGGAAAGTGAAACTCTCCTTCCCAACATACACATAGCCACCTCAAGGGAGGCCCTCCTGGCCCTGTGGAAATGCATACCCTTTGCATCAGTCCTTCCTCCTGTGGCCCACTGGGGGTGGTGTGCTGATGGACAACCTAGGACCACAAGGGATGGGGAGATGAGTTCTTCCAGGGATGGGGGATCCTGGACAGACCAAACAATAAAAGTCCCCTGTGTCATGCATCCTCATACAATCCTATGGCTGAATTAATAACTGAATTAAGGGAAATTCCAGATCAGCCTGAAGCATCCTGTAGCATCAGAGGACATGCTTTAAAAAATAGGAACACATCAAAAGCACACAGGAGTCATCCTGAAACAGTACCCAATGGCCAAAGCTGGAACAATCCATGAGTCTATGCCAATATAAGTAAACATGTGAATAAGCAAATACATAGGGAAAAAGAGACAAATCTTTCTCACAGAAGCACCACAAGTAATACAGGGGAGCATTGATGCAGCCACTTCTCCAGGAGGTGGGGCTTCATTGCTCTCCTAGTGAGTGTGGACTGGACCTGGTGACTCACTTCCTCTAGAAGGGTATGGAAAGAGAAAAATAGCAACTTCACAATGCAGTAATCTAGCGGATGCCACCACAACCAAGGGCTCAAGGTTAACATCACCAGACTTGAGTCATGGTGAAGTCATGTGCCCCCGAGGCGAGGCAATGAGAAGGGCACTTCACCCCATGGCACTCACCCCCAAAACATAACCCCAATCGATCACAGAAAACATCAGCCGAACTCAAAGCGATGCACATCATCCAGAATGCCTGATCAGCACTCCTCCAAAGGGTGATGGTCTTGAAAAAGAAACAAAGTCCCAGAAATGGGCATAGATGGGAGGAGATTAAGGAGACAGCCTAAATGCACTGTGGGATCCCGGATGGAATCCTGGAACAGAAAAGAGGCATGAGTGAAAAAAACTGGTGAAATACAAAAAAAGTCTGGAGTTTAGTTAGTAGTATTGTGCCAGTGTTAATTTCATAGTTGTGACAAACATGCTGCGGATATGTAAGATGTTAACAATTACAGGAAACTGGATGGAGAGTATAGGGAAACTCCCTGTATTATCTTTACAGCTTTTCTCTAAATCTAAAATTATTCCAAAATAAAAAGTTTGAGAAATTAACAGTGATTACCCATTCCATACTAGGCACTGATTTAAGGGCTATGCATATATTAACTTTTAAAAATCTTAACAATAACATTGAGGTATCTGCTATTATGATTACCACGCTAATTTTATGGATGAGGCTACCAAATCTGAGAGGTTTAGCGACTATCTATAGTCACGTGGTTCTGAGTGTGTGATTAGCGCCTAGGCAGTTTGGTTCTAAAGCCTGTAATCTGCAATCTTTAACTCTACATAACAAACTTTCAAGGAAGAGTTAATATCTGCACATTGTTTTTCCTCTTGAACACCCTTACCTTAGGAGAAAAACCTGTTCTGGTCTGCACAGCTCACAGGGGGTTCCCCTCCACTTATTCCCTTTGCATACACCTTCCTAAGACACAGGCTTTCAGATTGCAAGTGTTCCTAATCCCTAATACCCAGGCCCCACAATACTGAAAATTTCCAGAAAAGAAATGGAGTCAGCTTAGAAAAGAGAATTGAGAGAGAAAGAACCAACAAAAGGGAAATAATAAAATTTAGTGGGGGAAAGTATGAAAAGCAGTGCAAACTTGATTCCCTTACCAGAGTAACTCAGGGATTGAGGAGAAATGGCTTGCTGCCTTAGGTGTTGGTTAGAGACCCCAAATCACCCACGAGAAAAGTGCAGTGGGCCTTCAGCCTCCTGCTTTCACTCACGAAAAGCACCTGTTTTCTGCTCTGATAGAGATCAGTGAATACCAGCCACTGAATGACTCTCACGTGATATGCCTTGTGCTGTTAGTTAAAGCTCGTGCTCCTGAATTCTCACAATATTGTGCGTTTTATGCCCCCGTAGAGCAGGGGTCTCAGCCCAAACATGTCCACCACCTGATTTCATAGGGCCCACGAGCTAAGAACAGTTGTTATGTGACTAAATGGTTGAAAAATACATCTATGAAGACTATTGTGTGACACGTGAAAATTAGACCGAATTCAAACTTCAGTGTTCATAACTGAAGTTTTATAAACATAGCCTTGCCCATTTATTTACATATTGTCTACGACTGCTTTGACACCAGAGAGTGTGACCATATGGCTTGCAAAGCCTGAAATATTTACTATTTACTATCTAGCCCCTTGCAGAAAATATTAGTTGAGCCCTGGTATAGACAAAGAAACTGTGGCCTGGAGAGATTGAAAGAACTCATCTATAAGGATGCAAAAGAAACTGTTTTCTGGATGAGCCCTGGGGCATAGGTGTTCCTTACGGGGCAGGCAGGGAAGGAGGCGTGGGTGAGAAGGCTGGGTGTTTGCATCGTACCCTTCTGTGCTGAGGGTTACTCTACAGTGAGCATGGACTGCTTTGATCTTCAGGGGCCGCAAGTGGTGAGGCATCCTTCAAACCCAGACAGCTCAGCAAAGCCCACCCACTGAGTAAATAGGACTCATCCCAAGACATGAGGTTGAGGACAGTCACTCAGTTTGAATTTTTTCAGATCCTGGGTCATTTTGGAATATGACTGGGAGAATAAAAACTCCAGAAAGGCAATAAACTGATAGAATTGTAAAGGCAATAAACTGATAGAATTGTAAAGTGAAGTAAATCTTAAATGCTTTTAAATAAGTGAAAAGCAACCAAATAAGTCTCAATATATTTTCCCTCCAATAGTTAAAACACAAATTTAATGCCAAAATAAATGCACATGAATAGCCAAAACTTCCTTAAGACCTCGAATTCTTAATGCTCCAGGACTGAACTTATATTCCATGTGGTATCCCAAGGACAAGGTGTGTAAGAGGCATGAAAGAAGGCTTGGAAAAGCAAGGAAAATGTCCCCACGAATTAGAGACCAGTGTCTTGATAGTAGAGGTTTCCTGGATTCGGGATGTCCCCTCCTCAAGGCCACGGTAGAGGAAACTGACTACTCATTCATTCAACAAATATTAGGTAAGGGTCTGCTCTGTTCTAGCAGTTGCTCATAGAGCAAGACTGAGACAGGCAAGGTCCCTGCTCTTCTGAAACTTACATTCTAGTGGAGGAGAAAGGGAATAAATAAGACAACAAATTTTAAAACATCATTTCAGGCAGGAGTGAGTCCATGAAGCAAGCAAGCAGAGTGATAGGACAAAGATGAGGTGTCAGGTGCACTTAGGCTGAGTGGCCCAGGAAGGCTCTCTGGGCAGAGCCCTGAAGAAGAAGATGTCAGCTGTTTGGAGACCAGGGTAGGATTATTACAGACAGAGGGAGAAGGCAAGAGAAAGGCTCAAGGGGAGAAAGAGTAAGGCCTACTCAAGAAATAGGAAGTACACATGGAGCAGTATCAGTGGGGAGGGTGCCTGAGAGGGTGTTGGGAAGGGAGGGAGAAGCCATACGAGTGGGCCTTGGAGGCAAGAACAAAGAGGTCAGTTTTCATTCTGGGTAAGATGGTGTGGTGGGTTTAACTGTGTCCCCCAAAGATAGGTTCAAGCCCTAAGCTCTGGTGCCTGTGAATGTGACCTTATTTGAAGACAGGGTCTTTGCGAATGTAATCAAGATAAAATGAGGTCATACTGGAAACAGAGGGGCCTTAAATCCAATAATGGGTGTTCTTATAAGAAGAGGGAGGACTGGGAGGCCAAGGCAGGTGGATCACGAAATTAGGAGTTCGAGACCAGCCTGGCCAATATGGTGAAACCCCCGTCTCTACTAAAAATACGAAAATTAGCCAGGTGTGGTGGCGCACACCTGTAGTCCCAGCTGCTCGGGAGGCTGAGGCAGGAGAATTGCTTGAACCCAGGAGGTGGAGATTGCAGTGAGTCGAGATCGCACCATGGCACCCCAGTTTGGGTGATAGAGCGAGACTCTGTCTCAAAAGAAAAAAGAAGAGGAGGGGACACACCAGATACACACAGGGAGAATGACAGAGACAGAGATTGAATGATGCAGCTACAGGCCAAGGAGCACAGTGGATGGAAGGGCAGGGTGGATTCTGCCCGGGAGCCTTTGGAGGGAGCGTGGCCCTTCTGATACCTTGATTTTGGACTTCCAGCCTCTGAAACCGTGAGAGAATAAAGTTCTGTTTTTTTAAGCTTCTCAGTTTGTGGCACCTCGTCATGGGAGCCCTAAGAAACTAACACAGATGGGAAGCCACCAGAGGGCTTTACCAGAGGGCATGATCTTAAACCATAACAGGTGTTGTGGCTGTCATGCTGAGAATGGAATCAAAGAGGCTGTGAAGGGGGTGATGGTCAGGGTCAACTCACAGGTCAGAAGTGGCAGCAAACCTTGTCAGGAGCTGGGCTCCCATGGCACAGCCAAAATTCTGTAAAGGCTGCCAGGCACGATGCAGTCACACACGGATGCATCCACCTACATTCTTGAGGACCAAAAATTATAGAACCCAGATTAAGGCAGGAAATTGCAAATACTGGCCCTGACATACACAAAGCTCCCTGGAGAAGAGTTTCTTCGGGACAGATGCCATGGTTTTCCATTGTTTTGCATCTCCACTGATTTTTACAGAGGGTTAAGTGCATAGTCTAGTTAGTCACCAGTTATTCTCATGCATACTCGCCTACTCATGCATACTCTAGTAAAGGCCTGCTGAGTGCTTCTGGATGGGTTGAAGAGAAAAGGTGGAGGACCGAGTCCTAGAAGCCGATCTTTTACACATGCCACCAAGACTCCATTTTCTTTCTCTTTCATGTTCTCCTTCAACCTTACTAGAATTCATCTATTGCACATATTTAAAAAGTGACTACATTTTATCCTGAAATATAGTGGTTGTCAAGAATATATGGGCTCATTCTGCCTTTTACTTGGGATGAGAAAATTTTGACTCTTTTACTTGGAATCAGTGACAATAAAGACCAACTAACAATGACTGGACTATGTTTTGATGAACTAATCAGGGATTCCATCACAATGAAAATTAAGGCCACCTGGTTAGTTTCACAGGGGTGAACAGTAGATGTTCCCATCAGGTCTTGGTATCCATTTCCCTTTAATAGCAAATTTTAAAAAGCTACTCTCGTGGTCATGATGGAGAGATTTACAGATGTTTCAATGAAAATCTTCGTTTGGAATTTATGTAGCAACGTACATATTGACTTTGTGTCACTGAGAATACCAAGATTTATTATTCTTGAAGATAAGTAATAACCTTGACTTTGCCTTGGTCAATATTTATCTCATGAGTCGATAAATCTCCTGCAATAAATGTCAACTAAATCCTAAACTTTCTGGTACTGGACTGTATTCTCTGCTCTTTTTCTTAGGGAACCAGTGGTCAAACCTGTGGAAATATTCTCAGATGTACGTTATTTTTAGTGAATTCAGACTGGTTATGACGGCGGACTTTTATCCAAATAACTTAATGTGGGTGGGAAAATTACAGACTCTGAATCTTTTTGTCTTCTTTTCAATAGTTATGACCAATGAATCTCCTCCCCAGTTCAGCTTTTTCTAAAGCTGATCCCAAGTGCTAACATCAGACACCAGCCTGATCAGGCTGAAGGAAAAGCCTGTCTGCAAATAAAGGCGATATATGACACCGGCCATTTGTGTGCCTGTCACTGCAGGCATTATCTGAGCTCCCCTTTTATATTTTAGCAGTGCATGATCTCATACTAACTTTCCATAAGCTCAAAATACTTTTTTGGTGTTGGCCGGTCAAATAGTTTGTCACTGTCTAAAGCTACAGTGTGCCCTGTGAGCAACCAAAGACAGTTGTTCTCATCTGGCTGGAAGTGAGATGATGGTTCTGTCCCCAGATGACTCAGCTTCTGCAGCCGGAAAGGACCTTTCCCTACAATGACGTTCCAGGCAATCCCCTCTCCTCCACATTCTCCACGTGGAGCACGTACCACAGTTTGTCAGCGTGCACATAACAACACGGCTGACAGTATGCTGTCTCTTTCCTTCTCCTTCAGGGAGCACACGCATAGGGGTGCCCGCTTTCCACATGATTTTTGGACCTTACCAGGTTACTGAAGCCCAAAGGAGCTGATTCACAGAGAAGATTCCTTGGCGTGACTCTCCTCATGGCCCACCCGCTGTGTCTCCTCCTGCTTCGAAGAGGCCCATTCTAATGTGTTGGCAGATGAATCTGCAGATAAAGATAGGCTTTAATAGCCAGTAGCTCTGCACCTTACCACCTGAGATTTTCCATCTAATGATAATTTTAGGAAGAATATTTTTCAGCTGTCCTACATCCACATTTTCGTCCATCAGAAGGCTTTATTGTTTTGTTTGTTTCTGTGTTTCATTTTGTTTGGAGCCAGGTTTATTTGATTTTATTTATTTGTTTGTTTTGCCAGAATTGCTAGAGAAGCTAGGGTTACTGATGAACTTCCCTGGAAAATCTAAAACACACACTTAGATTATATCAAAATGATCTCAACCAACTAATCAATCATTGAACATGGAGAGATATTCCTTAGATATGAGGATGTTTCTTTTCTAATGTTGATGTTGAGGGAGAGTAGCAAATAAAAGCAAAGATTCTAGAGCCAGACTGCCTATATGTGGATCCAGTCTCTCCCACTTACCAGCTGTGTGACTTTGGGCAAAGTTACTGTCTCTTTGTGCTTGTTTCCTCATGAGTAAAACTGGGATCATTGTAGGACTATGCATTAATTGATAATTAATTTAGTTAATATTTTAAAAGTATATAGAATAGTGCCTGGCACCTAATAAGTGCTATATTAAGTGTTTGATAAATACCTACAGTGACATCTTGCCAACAGTAATGACTTTTATTTATTAAATACCTACTCTCATGCAGCCACTTTATGCACTTTATTACATCTAATCCTCATAACCATGCTCCAAGGCATATCATTTTGAAGATGAAGAACCAGATTCAAGAGGTCAGATGGTTTGTCTGAGGTGACAGAGCAGGTGATAAGAGCTGGGATTGGAATTTGGGACTTTTGAGCCTAAAAACTGATCGCATGTTTCTTACAGCATTGCCCCTGATAGGATTTAAAAGTCACTTTTACTGAGTACTTATTATATATCTACCAATTTCACATATGTTGCTTCAAGGACTGCAACAACCCCTCTGGGTTGCTTGCTTCTATTTTCAGGCAAAGAACTGGGGCTCAGGGAAGGAAGGTACCTATGTGAGTAGTAGACCCAGGATTTGAATGCAGGTCTTTTGAGCCAAAGTTTTGCACTTTCCACATATTCCCAAAACCATAAGTATTCACATTTGTTGAACATGTACTCTGAGTAGCTTCCATGTTGTTATCCTCCCACGTTCCAGCTTTTCAATTAGAAAATCGTAAAGCCTATGGAGAAATTGAAAGAATAGAACAATGAATATCTAAATAACCTTCAACTAGTTTCAACAATTATTTTTATAACAAGAGGTTTCAAACATACAGAAAAGTTGCAAAGAAATATTAAATGAGACCAAGAAGGTCATGTTTCAATGATAAAGGGTACAACATGCACTAAGATCTAACTGTGATAAATATGTACACACTTAATAACAGCATCAAGCCGGGCGTGGTGGCTCACGCCTGTAATCCCAGCACTTTGGGAGGCCAAGGTGGTGGATCACAAGGTCAGGAGATCGAGACCATCCTGGCTAACACGGTGAAACCCCGTCTCTACTAAAAATACAAAAAAAATTAGCCAGGCGTCGTGGTGGGTGCCTGTAGTCCCAGCTACTCTGGAGGCTGAGGCAGGAGAATGGCGTGAACCCGGAAAGTGGAGCTTGCAGTGAGCCGAGATCGCGCCACTGGACTCCAGCCTGGGCGACAGAGCGAGACTCCATCTCAAAAAAATAAGTAAATAAAAATAAAAAATAACAGCATCAAAATCCATGAAGTAACTACCATAGGCGCATTAAGAGAACAAACAGAAACACATCAGGTATGAGACTTCATTTCTCTCACCTGTGAAAGATCAAATAAGGATGCAAAACATATGTAAGACTGAAACAAGGAGAGATGCTTAAAAGAGCATTGGGAGCATGGTGGAGGGCAGGGAAAGTCCTAATCCAGAGTGGCCGAGTGGGACAGTAATGAGCGAGTAAGCTTGGAAAGATGAGTATTCCAATCAAAGGGAGTGCTTAAGGACTGTACCTATTGCCTGAGAGAAGGCAATAAACTCCAAACTACTAACTGACAACATGAAAACACCAGCCCTTGGAGAAACTCCTCTCCTGCCTAAGTACAGATTCCCTTTCCCTCAACAAAGTGGCTTCTGCTTAAATAGTCAGGGTCAGATGTCTTCAGAAGTCAGGTAGATCAACATGTAAAGGACAAGGAAGCAGTTGACCGGCACTAAAGAACACAGCTCTGCCTAAAGACCATGTGGGCATTTGTTAAGCAAAGTGTAAGTCAAACAGTACACACCTGGAGACGATATTCTTTTCCAAGGGCCACAGCTTTTGTCCCCTGATTTGTACTTCAGTATTTTTTTTTTTTTTTACTTCTCCGGCCAAGGTCTGAGACAGAGATTATTTGAGATAGTTTACTACGTTGGGTAGAGAAAGAGATGTTTAAGGGGTGTAAGGTGTAGAGGTGTAATTGCATAAGGGATGTGCCAATCCCTGAACTGGATAAGGGTCCATGAGCAGAAATTCCAGGCATCTCTGGCTCCCCATAAATCCAATAAAGTGTTTTATTTGTATGTTCTAAACTATAACCTACAGCCATTAAACACACCCAAATAAAATGCAAGTACAAAATATTATATTCTATTTCAATGAATGTTATGATTTCTAAGTGTGTTGGTACCCATCGCCTTCTCTAAGCCTCACACACTCAAGATGTGAAGTATCTGCTTCATAATTCAGTCCAGATGTCAGCATCATGGCTGGGAGGAGAGTATGATGGAGACTGAATCCTCCGCCAAATATAATTCTCCACCTTTAGTGCCACTGGTGTGCTTGAGTGAGTGAACTAGTAGGGAAGTATGCCAGAGGAGGTTGCAAATCTTTGGAGGAAACCTGGCATGCGGCCACCACAAAGACAACAGCGGAAGGTGTATAGACAGCTGAGCTCATGGCATTTTTCTTGGCTACCTATGGTCTATGTAGTGCATATAAGTGACTCAAAAGTTCCCGGGTACCCGAGTAACACAGTATGCAAATGCTAAAACTATTATTGTAATGACAGAGGCCTGAGGTCATGATAAAGGTCACTACTAATAAGGACTCAAAACTGAGAAAAGGATTTCAGCTTCTGGCCAAGATAGAATAACAGGAACCAGATTTACCCTCCCATATGAAACAATTTAAAAACTAGACAAGATCCATGGAACAACAGCAGACTTCTTGTCGGAAGTATACAAACCAGAAACATTGAAACAACATCTTTTTTAAAAAAAACTCTTTATAGAGTTCCAAGTCTAATAATTTGTTTTCAGAAATAAAGGCAAATAAAAACATTTTCAGGCACTAAAAAGCTTCCAAACCATTCATTACCAGCAGAATCACAGTAAAGATGGAAATCTGTATTTATACAAAGGAATGAAGAGTATCAGGAATGATAGGTGGGCAAATATAAAATAACTTTTTCATGATTTAAAAAAATATTTTAAAAACATAATTGACTATTTAAACCAAAACAAATAAAAATGTTTTATGAGGTCTACAACATGGAGTAAGATGTATGACAAGAACAGCACAGAGGCCAAGAGGGAGAAAGAACGTCCTTGCTGTAAGGTTTGCTGTGCAAAGACACTGGACTTGGAGTTGAGGAAACATCTGAAATCATGGTTTCCTGTGGAATGTGGAGAGACTGTGGGAAAGTCAGGTAACTCTTCTGAGCCTCAGCTTTTTTCTTTTTTAAAATTGTAAATTGACAATTCATAATTGTATATAATTATGGGATAAAGAGTGACATAATGTATAAATACAATGTGGAATAATAAAATCAAGCTAGTGGCCGGGTGCGGTGGCTCACTCCTGTAATCCCAGCACTTTGGGATGCCAAAGTGGGCAGATCACCTGAGGTCAGGAGTTTGAGACCAGCTGGCCAACATGGTGAAATCCCGTCTCTACTGAAAATACAAACAAAGTAGGCAGGCATGGTGGCCGGCACCTGTAATCCCAGCTACTCGGGAGGCTGAGGCAGGAGAATTGCTTGAACCCAGGAGATGGAGATTGCAGTGAGCCAAGATCACACCACTGCACTCCAGCCTGGGTGACAGATCAAGACTCAGTCTCAAAAAAAAAAAAAAAGCTAGTTAACATATCCATCACCTTAAATACTAAACAATTTTTTGTGCTAAGAACATTTGAAATTTACTTTCAGTAATTTGGAAATGTACAAAACTCTATTATTAACTATATTCACCATGCTCTGCAATAGAACTCAAAAAAGAAGAAAAAATACTCTTCCTATTTATCTGAGATTTTGTACCCATTGATCATCATATTTCCTCCTTCTCCCACCCCCAGGCCCCGTAACCACCATTCTAGTCTCTGCTTCTTTAAGTTCAGTTGTTTTAGATTCCACATATAAGTGAGAACATGCGGTGTCTGTCTTTCTGTGGCTGACTTATTTCATTTAGCACAATGTTTTCCAATTCCATCCATGTTGTCACAAGTGACAGAATTTCCCCCTTTTTTAAAGCTAAATAGTATTCCACTGTGTGTATATGTACCACATTTTCTTTATTCATCTGTTAATGGACACTTAGATTGATTCCATAACTTGGCTATTGCAAACAGTGCTATAGCAAACACAGGGGCGCAGACATCTGTTCCACGAACTGACTTCAGATCTTTTAGGTAAATACCCAGAAGTGAGATTGCCAAATCATATGGCAATTCTATTTTTAGTTCTTTGAGGGACCTCCATATTGTTTCTCATAATGGCTGTACTCATGTACATTCCCACCAACAGTGTATGAGGGGTGCATTCCTCCACATCTTTGTCAACACTTATTATCTTTCACCTTTTTGACATTCTGACAGGTGTGAGATTATATATTATTGTGGTTTTAATATGCATTTCCCTAATGATTGTCCATGTTGAGCATTTTTTCATTATCTGTTGGCCATTTGTATGTCTTCTTTTGAGAAATGTCTATTTAGGTCCCTTGCCTATTTTTTTTTTATTTTCTTGTTATTGAGTTGCTTGAGCTCCATATATATATATTGGATATTAACCCCTTATCAGATGTATGGCTTGCAAATATTTTCTCCCAATCAGTAGGTTGTCTCCATACACTGTTGTTTCCTTTGCTGTGTAGAAGCTTTATAGTGTGATCTAAACCCATTTATTTATGCCTATGTTGCCTATACTTTGGGAGTTAACTCCAAACACTCATTTCAAAGACCAATGTTGTACAGTTTTTCCCCTATGCCGTCTAGTAGTTTTAGTGTCTCGTCTTATGTTGAAGTCTTTAGTCCATTTTGAGCTGATTTTTGTACACGGGGTGAGATTCTGTGAAAACTGGAATTCCACATGCAGAATAAGAATTTGAGACTCTGTCTCAAAAAAAAAAAGTCTCTTTTGCTCCAATTTTTTAAAGCAACAGAAATCTCTACCAATGTTATAACTTTCAGATATAAAAATCATGAATAAAATGAGAATTCGTCTGCATGTGGAATTCCAGTTTTCATGGAATGAATGAATTCTTCTGCATGTGGAATTCCAGTTTTCACAACATCACCATTTATTAGAGGCTGTCCTTTTCCTATTGCATATTTTCATGGAAACCTTTTCAAAAGTCTATTGACTATATATGCATGAGTTCATTTCTGGACTTGCTATTCTGTTCCACTGGTCAATGTATCTATTTTTTGCCAGTACCATGCTGTGTTAATTAATATAGCTTTGTAGTATAGCTTGAAATCAGGTCGTATGATACCTTCAGCTTTGTTCTTTTTGCTCATGATTGCCTTGGTATTTGGGGTTTTTTGTAGTTCCATATGAATTTTAGGATTTTTAAAAAATTCTATAAAAATAACTTTTGAGATGACTACTCTGTATTAATCTGTTCTCATACTGCTAATAAAGACATACCCAAGACTCACAGTTCCACATGGCTGGGGAGGCCTCATAATCATGGTGGAAGAGCAAGGGAGGTCTTACATAGCAGCAAGCAAGAGAGGGCTTGTGCAGGGGAATTCCCCTTTATAAAACCATCAGATCCTGTGAGACTTATTTGCTATCACATGAACAGCAAGGCAAAGACCCGCCCCTATGATTCAATTGCCTCCCCCTGGGTCCCTCCATGACATATAGTAATTGTGGGAGCTACAGTTCAAGATGCGATTTCGGTGGGGACACAGCCAAACAATATCATACTTAATGTATAGTCCATGAAGCATTTAAAACATTTCCATTGGCCAGGCGTGGTGGCTCACGCCTGTAATCCCAACACTTTGGGAGGCCAAGGCAGGCGGATCACCTGAGGTCGGGAGTTCGAGACCAGCCTGACCAACATGGAGAAACCCCATCTCTACTAAAAATACAAAAAAAATTAGCCGGGCATGGTGGCACATGCCTGTAATCCCAGCTACTCAGGAGGCTGATGCAGGAGAATCACCTGAACCCGGGAGGCGGAGGTTGCAGTGAGCCGAGATCACGCCATTGCACTCCAGCCTGGGCAACAAGAGCGAAACTCCGTCTCAAATAAATAAGTAAATAAATAAAATAAAACATTTCCAACTCAGGCCCTCCCTCAAATCTACTGAATCAGAATTTTCATTTTAACAGGTTTCCCACGTGACTCATAGGTACTGTCAATCAACGAAAATGACCAAGAAAGTCTCAATCATTTTAGGAGGTTTATTTGTCAAAGTTAAGGATGTGCTGAAAGACATGTCTATGCCTTTCTCTAAAGATGACTTTGAGAGCTTCAATATTTAAATGGGGAAGGGTGGGATATTGAGAAATACACAATTTTCATGTGAGAGGGCAGTAGGGGAAAACAGTCATTCATGCCTTTGTCTGGCTCAGTGAATCTGCATTTTTACATAAGATAATGGAAACAATAGGGCAGAGGAAACAATCAGATATGCATTTGTCTCAGGTGGGCAGAGGGATGTCTTTGAGTTCTGTCCTATGTCTCTGCACCTGTGAAGATAAGCTATCAATTTACGTTACCATGGTGAACTCTAACCGATAAGCTTTAGGGTAAAGCTCTTGGGGCCTGCAGGGAATTTCCTCGTGGCAAAATGTGAGGGAGGTATGTAGCCTTTCCTCTTTGTAGTCATCTTATTCAGGAACCAAAATGGGAGGCAGGTATGCATGACCCAGTTCCCAGCTTGACTTTTCCCTTTTGCTGAATGAGTTTGAGGTCCCAAGATTTATTTTCCTTTCACAGTACCATGAAGATTGAGAATCAATGCAATAGGACTCAGTTGACATGGTGTATAAACAGACACTTTTTAAAACTAAACACTGTATTAATGTTTTGTAATAACCAAGAAAATAGAAACTGGGCATTTCTCATTTATCATTATGATTGTATATGCAATAATTTTTCACTTTATTTTCAGCTTGAGATAATAGGCAGTTTTAAAATGAAAATTATAAAGCCTCAGGATTAACATGTTCATTGCTATTAAGAAAGTCTGGGGGCCGGGCATGGTGGCTCACAAACTGTAATCCCAGAACTTTGGGAGGCCGAGGTGGGTGGATCACATGAGGTCAGGAGTTCAACACCAGCCTGGCCATCATGATGAAACCCCGTCTCTACTAAAAACACAAAAAAATGTAAGCAGGCATGGTGGCGGGTGCCTGTAATCCCAGCTACTCTGGAGACTGAGGCAGGAGAATGGCTTGAACTTGGGAGGCAGAGATTGCAGTGAGCCAAGATCGCGCCAATGCAATCCAGCCTGGGCGACAGAGTGAAACTGTGACTCAAAAAAAAAAAAAAAAAAGGTGTCTGTTTTGCTCCAATTTTTTAAGGAACAGAAATATTTACCAATGTTACACCTTTCAAATATAAAAATCATGAATAAAATGAGGATTCAATCAACTACATCCTTGTTTCCCCAAGTTGGCTGATAATAAAAATAACTGCACTCTTTGTTGGTTTTATTCTTAAGTGTGAGTTACTTTAGTTTGAAACTGCTGTAGATTAGGGAGGGTGGAGTACAAGTAGTGTTAACCATGGGGAAGAGAAGATTCCTTGGCTGTGGCCAGAGCAGGGCCTTCCTACACCTGGAGGGAGCAGAGCAGAAGCTTCCTGCAGCTCCTGAGCTCAGAGACAGCAGTGGCTTCTCTGTGCAGGATGCTGAGTTCACTTCACGGGCTTTGTGAATTCTACAAGGCTACAGTTGATATGTAAGGCTGTCTATTTCTTTTTGTAGCATAAAACAGGAGGGGAACCCTGTGCTCCAGGAGGTTGCTGCTTCCTTTCTCATTTTGAAGGATGAACAAGTGGCCTCTGGTCACCTAAGGGTGTAGGCCTCAGGACCTGATGTCATCTTGGTTCCTGGCCAAGGCTGGGAGTTTCCTGGAATGTGGGCAGGGCCTGGGCCTTGGAGTTCCCATTACTGCATGCTACATGATGCATGGACAGGCAAATTGGGTCTGGTAAGCTTGCTGCAAGTTGGCCCTTTGGGACTGGATTTTCATTTGGGTTATCTTCTCAGGACCCTGGCTATGATTCCCTTGCCTCTGGAGGGGTGGGGGAGGTAGGGAATATTCCACAGTTTAGGGTAGGGATAAAAAATCTACTTATAACTATTGCCCCAGGTAAATGGCCTGCTTGAGTTTCTGATTCAGTAGTCTGGGTCTGGGGCTTGCACTGAGAAATTGCTTTTCCAAGGAGTTCCCAAGTAATCTTGATCCTGCTGGTTGGCAAATCTCACTTTGAAAACAACTGATCTAGGAAGTGATTAACAGTTTATAAAGCCCTTTCATGCATTCTATTGTGACTGAGTACCCCCGTTTTTCTAAGAGATTGTTTAATTATATTTTTCTTCTTTTCCTGTTTCTGTTTCCCCACTTCCTCACCTTTCCGAAATGCAAATATATAGCCTTTTACCCCCGCTCCCCCACTCCATCTCCGTAGGGAGATGCCTCCATCTCCCTAAGGGGGCAAGTTCATCTAACTATGGGCTTCAAGGTGGAACCCCTGAGAGTTAACAGTTGATTTACAAAACAAAGTATCCCCACTAGGGAGCTCTCACCCTACAGGAGGTTGCCTTGAGGGATAACAGCCTGCCCACGAATGCGCTAGCAGTCACTGGTGGCACTGGAGCTGGCATGCAGAGCTCTCTGCCCTTGCTCACTTCCTCCCCTGCCTTTTAAAAGTGGTCGCTTTCTGCTCCAAAAGTGAAGTGGCACATTTAAAGGCAGGATGCCTGTGCCTCTTCCCCTAAGCTAGTTTGAGAATAAATCACTTTCTTTATACCAGACTCTGCATGCGGTAAGCAACTAACCTGCTTATTGCTAACCTGTCTCATTGAATCCAGGTAACTAAAAAAGTATTAAGTTAAAATGGACTGGATTTCAGGAGTGCTGTGAATAATTCTGGTGGGAATACTATAAGACAGAGGGAAGGGTGAGAGTTTTGAATAGCTAATGTTCACTGAGCACTGCTTTGTTCCAGGCGCTGGGGAAACACTGGTTCAGAGAAGTTAGATAATTTGCCTGAGATTGACCAGCTGGAAATAAGAACAATTTGAACTCCAGAAGTCTGGCTCCTAGGTCCATGACCACCTTCATACCCTGGTGTTGCCTTTATTACAAATGACAATAAAATACTTGCTACTCCAAAAGTACTGGTGATAATTAAGCTTAAATTCCAGATCCTGGCACAGTCCAGCGGCTTGTAGTTTTAAAGAACAGTTTCTTTTAGTTTCAAAAAACACAGGCTCACTCAAATTTACCTTGGGTAAAGCAAGAAACGTGTAGACTAAATCTCAAAAGTTGCAGAAAGCAAATGAGCTTCATCAACCAATTCTCTCTCTCTCTCATTGTAGGCTCTTCCTTGTGTTACCTTAGCAAATCTCCATTTTCTTCTATTTTTGGGTTTCCACTGCTTATTCACATGTGATCTCATGACATTGTGTTGTCTGATACCCTCACTGTAAACTAGGTCAGTCCTACCCTATTTCCCAAATAGATGTTCTAGGCAAGAATTAGAGAGATTGGGGGATTGTTTCAATCTTGGCCATCTCACTGGTCATTCACTGGCCTCTGAATTGGCTACCTTGGCTCTGGTGACTATCAATGGCCTAATTAGCTATGGTGGTCTCATTGTATAAATCACAGCAGAGTGCAATAAGTTTGCTCATTAAATGAATTATTTCAACTTTGAAATAAAAATGTTTTGAGATATCACATATACCCTATTATAGTGAAGGCATACTTATTTCCACTAAGCCCCTTTTCTGGGTGCAACCGTGCCTTGTGCTATTTCTGCAGAGCTCAGTGTGGGGAAGGCTGCCAGGGACTCTCCCAAGGTCCAGAACAAGGGACCAAGGTCATAGCTGCCCTCCATAGCTGCTGCCACATAAACCCATTTCCTCAGGGACTGGGACAAATTGCATGGCACACCTACTATTTGTCTAGGAGTGAAAACGTAGTTTATGTAAATATCAAATGCAGTCTTAACCAATGGAATCTGCACCAGGAAATCTACCTGGAGCACTGAGGAGATAGCAATGCTGCAGGGAGATGCTGTCCTGGAAAGTCACAGATGTGTGTCAACTGTTGTCTCCTGTCCTCACAAGCAACTACAGAACCCAACAAAGTCACAGGCCTGGGGAAGTGGTCAAATTTTTCACACATCAGGACATCTCTGGCACTAAGGTAACCGTTTTGAACCAATATCATGACTGCAGTTCAGTTTGAAGCATTGGAGCCCCTCCTTAAAGCCAGACAGGTGTCAGTGCTGGTGTAAAAGGAGAGTGGGATTGAATCTGGGCCCCCAGAGCCCTGTTAGATGGGGAAGATGGACATTAAATAGCCCAGCTATGTCTGGGATGACTTCTGGGTCTTGATCTTTCTACGCCAGTTGTTCTCAAAGGCCAGCATGCCAGAACTGGTTAGGGCACAGATCTCTGGAGCACCCCCACAAAGATCTGATTTTGCAGGTCTGGGTAGGGCCCAGGAATTCACATTTCTACTAAGTTTGCAAGAGGCGTGGATGCTGCTGGGCTGAGGACAACACTTTGAGGAACAGCTCTACTCAGCGTAGCCTGGGGCAGGTTATTCTGCCTCCTGCTCAGGCGTGCAGGTGCAGTCAGTTGTGGCACCAATGACTGCAAGAAGAAAGGAGTCTGGGATGACAAGCTCCATGTGGGACATGCCATGCTTGAAGTGTGTGCAGGGGGCCCGGGGGAAAATGTCTGGAAGGTGGTTGCAAACAAGAGTCTGGAGCTCAGGGAGTAGGCTGAATTGCAGCCATTGGCACATCAGTGGAAAGGAAGGTGGCATGACTCGGGAAGAGTTACAGGGTTCGACAAGGAGGACTCATTCTCATGGTCTCACCCTCCCTCCCCCACACACACCCTGGCCATTTGTCTTCAGCACTCCGCATTCATGGCATTCCCTGGAGCACGGACAGGACCCAGATCGTGGGGACCTGTCAGGCACCTGCTTCCTGAAACTTCTCTTTGTAAGTCTTGCCTCAGTTTGTGGCCTGGTCTGGCCCTGCAGGTGTCCCTCCTGGAGGTTCCAGGCCAGCCCTGGCACCCTACCTAGAATTCCTCAGCCTTGGTTCCTGGGCAGTAAAAATGCTGGGATGGAACAAGGGGACCTGGGGGCAGGTAAGTGGTAGAACCTAGAGGAACAGGGAGGAAGAGGAGGAGGGACAGAGGATGCAGCTGGACAGAATGCAAGTCCTGTTTCTGCAGAGGGAAAAGGCCAGCTTCTGACGTGGCTGAAGACTCAATCTAAGGCCTCTTCCAGGAGGATGCTTCAAGGATCTTTTGATCAAGGATGACCACTGGAGGCCAGCACACACTAGACCACAGGTCTTGGTTTAGGTGGAGGGGAAGTAAATAATTCCATTACTCTTCAAGCCTAGGAAATTCTGAAAAGCAGCTAAAAAAAAGCAAAAGGTGACCTGTGGCCAGGGTTGGAAGCCACCACTGCAAGAGGACATGCATAGAGCAGTGAGCTGGGGATGCTGTGGACTGAGCTGTATCCCCTAAAATCCATAAGTTGAAGCCCAAACCCCAATGTGACTGTATTTGAAGATAGGGTCTAGAAGGTGGTAATTAAGGTGAAAGGAGGTCATAAGAGTAGGCCCTAATCCAACCTAACTAGTGTCCTTATAAAAGGAGATTGGGACACGGACACTCAGTGGGCAGACCCTGTAAGAACACAGGTGCATGGGCTGGGGAGAAACTAGTCCTGCCCACGCCTTGGGCAGGCTTTTTTCTCGGACTTTGGCTTCCAGAAGCATGAGAAAATAAGGGTCTATTGTTTAAGCCCCTCAGTCTGTGATATGTTCTTATGGGAGCCTGAGCTGGCTAAGACACTCCATGGGAGAGACTCCAGGTGGGTCAGTGAAGACCACATTTGTAGGCGGTGCCGTGTGGGGATCACCACTTGAGAACAAGCCTTGAGGCTTTTGTCACTGCTGCGAGATCCATGTCAGGAAGTCTTAGACCAGAAAGAGGGTGGTTTATGACCTGTGAATGTGGTTGGTCTCCCCTAAATTCAGGCTGTTAGGGGAGGCTGCCCATTGATGAGACTGCAGCTGATCCAGGGTGTAGCAGTTAAGCTTGCAGACAAATGCCTGCGACAGAAAACCCCAATATATATGTCAAAGAGGCGGGGCACCCAGACATCTGTGGATTAGTTCTCACCAGCGTTCATAGTACTGGACTGGACAAGCCTCAGCAGGCCTGCCAGGGCCACGCTCCTTCCAGGGGAAGCTGCTGTGCCCGCAGACCTGCTGCTCGGGCAGCTGTGCTTCCCTGTGGTTGCGTGGCTCTTTCATGGTAACACCCCTACTGCAAGGGTGCAAGGAAGGAGATGTGACCGGGGTGGCATGCGGATGCCAGGCCACCCAGCCCAATCCCCCTTCTTCGACGAATGGGCTCACTCTTCCAGCTGCTGCCAGTGTGAGTGGCCAGCCGTGCCCAGTGGAGTCCCTCTGCAAGGCGTGCCTGCGCTCAGGTGCCCTTGCTGGGGGCAGCCACATCCAATGGCTGACTGACAGGGGAGTGGTCATCATGAGAACCCCACCTCTTTGCCCCAATTTAGGAGATGCCAACACAGAGCTGCCCACAGGGTCAGCTGAGACTTCTGTGACAGTGTTGCCATTCAACACCATCTTCAACTCTTACTTTGTTCCTTCCCTCCCACAGGTGATCCTGAGAACACCCTCCAGTGACTGTCCTGTGCACTGATCTCCACCTCTAAGTTGGCTTCTCTCACCTCAGAGCAGACCATCTATGGGCCGACCCTATAACCAGACTTATAACCAGAGGTTTGGGGGGCCAGTAGAGGCCCATTTCACTTCTATTTTTACAGGCACCTGGTATAGAAAAATGAAAAAAAAAAGCTATATCAGGATTACAAAATTTGTGGTACATTTTCAATGTTTATATTAAATATGTTAAAACTTTTTAAAAAGTAGACAAATGTAATATGATCTTGCTATGCATGAGATAATTATAAGGCTTAATAAAAGATATGCATTCACAGTGACCACATACAGAAATGAGACCTGGTTTAAAGTAGTATGTTTAAAGTAGTATGTTTAGTGTAAAGCAGTATGTATCTTCTTTCAAACTTTCCAGGTTTCGTATGAAGTTTCATGCACATGTGTTGTAAAGTGTTAAGGCAACAGCTCCCAAAGCACACTAAGTCACATGTCTGCACCCACGGGCATCACTCTCCCAAACTGGCCAACATAACCCTAGCAAATAAGATGCAGCAGGAGCACGGAGAGCCCCTGGCCACCAGGACTTGCCCTCTCCACCTCCCTGAGACAACGTCCTGCAAGTGCAGGACGATATCCCATGGAGGAACACAGCGGATGTTCCACCTCAGGCCCCCGGCCTGCACACCCCAGCAGGCGGCCCCAGCCCCAGCCCCAGGGCAGGAAGGATCCCAGGGGAGGCCGGCAGAAGCACCGTGCTGTTAGGCCCAGTCTAAATCACTGGTCTAGAAAATTGTGAACAAATTAGATGGTGGTGGTTTTCAGTCACTAAGTTTTGGGCGTGGTTTGTAAAATCCCATTTGGAGATCAAATTTCAGTTGACCCTTGAACAACACTGGGGCTAGGAGCACTGACCCCTGCACAGTCAAAAATTCACACATAACTTTTGACTCCCCACCAACTTAACTACGAATAGCTGTTGGCTGGAAGACTTACCGACCACATAAGCAGTTGATTCACACATATTTCATTACATGTGTCATATTCTGTATTCTAACACTAAAGTAAGCTAGAGAGAAAAAGAATAACATTAAAAAGGCTGGGCGCAGTGGTTCATGCCTGTAATCCCAGCACTTTGGGAGGCCGAGCCAGGTGGATCACCTGAGGTCAGGAGTTCGAGACCAGCCTGGCCAACTTGGCGAAACCCCATCTCTACTGAAAATACAAAAATGAGCCTGGCATGGTGTCGCACACCTGTCATCCCAGCTACTTGAGAGGCTGAGACAGGAAAATCGCTTGAACCTGGGAGGTGGAGGTTATAGTGAACTGAGATCGCGCCATTGCACTCCAGCCTGGGCAACAGAGCGAGACTTCATCTCAAAAAAAATAAATAAATAAAAATTTTTAAAAATTAAAAAATAAAGTTAGAGAAAAGAAAATGTTATTATAAAACTTATAAGCAAGAGAAAATGTATTTATTCTTTGATAAGTGGAAGTGGATCATCGTAAAGGTCTTCAGCTTCGTCTTCACCTTGAGGCTGAGGAAGAGGAAGAGGAAGAGGAGGGGTTGTTCTTGGTGCCTCAGGAGTGGCAGAGGAGAATGAAAACCCATGCCTAAGTGGACCCACCCAGTTCAAACCCATGTGGCCAAAGGGTCGACTGTCAACTAAATTTGATTCCTTTCATGACCGAGCCCTCCTGCCCCATCATAGGCCCTACCCGTGCCCTGGCCTTGTGTGAAATCAGACTTAGACTAAGGAGACAGCCAGTTGAGGAATATGGACTATGGAATCTGACAGATTGAGCTTGCTGAAGGTGGAAATCAACACTGCAAGGAAATCGGCCAGTTGGTGCCGCAGGAGCCACAGCCGTCCTCATGAAAGCCAGTGATGAGGGGCAGACCACAGGGAGCAGGTGCCAGCCAGCAGACCTGGACGCAGGAGAAGGGAAGGGGGCAAGGTGTGGCGGCACCCACCAGCAACAGCGACCCCCCTGCACTCACCAGCAACAGTGACCCCCCTAGAACAGCTGCTGCCTGTCCTCCCAGAAAGATTCCCCTTAATGAGCCCTTTCTGTTCAGTTAGCTGGCATAAGTCCTTTCTTCCTCGACTCTAATAAAAGAAGAAAAGGAAACAGCAATGTTCTAGTGAGATGTGTAATGGATTTGAAAAAAAAAAAATGGCTTGCCCAGGGGCATTTCTTGCGGTGCTATTCATAGCAGCCAAAAACTGGAAAAGGGCCAAGTGCCCCACAGACATGCATGTGGAGGGTGTCAATTCATAGAAAGGGGTGCCTGGAGGCAGCTGAAACCAAAACAGAATGCGAAACTCACTTCTGGCTATTGAGATGGAAACATGTACATCATATTTATTGGGAAGTGGCAAAAGGTTATCCAAATAGTTGACATTTCATGTATTTTTAACTCTTCCTGTAAAGTTGTGAATACAAGGGAAATTTAAATTAAATGATAGCTCTTCTTTCACAGATGGCTATAAAACGAGATGCTCAGTGCCAGGCAGCCTTGCTTCCTCTTTCTCTTTCTTTGGTGTATATCCACCAAAGTCGAGTTCCCCCATCTGGCTCTAGCTAGATGATGCCACAAGGGCTGAATGGTGGACCAGAGGATATGTGTGGTGAGTCCCTGTCAGCTGAGATTAGGGTGCCCAGCTCAAAACTCACCTTGCAGGCAGCCCTGCCCAGCCCTTCAAAGGACCTGTCAACATATCAGGGTGGGAACAGGCACAGGATGTCCTGTCCCATGCACAGAGTACTTACCTAGGTGGTCCATTCCTTGGACACTGCCATCGACTGACCAGGCTGTCATTCTGAGTCTCTTCTTCCCCAGAGAAGAAAGTAACTGAGGGCCATCCCTGGTCAAGCCATTCTCCTGGCAGGATGAGCCTGATGAACCATGGGCCTGGGAGTCAGGAGGATCCCAAGCATGTATTTATGGCTCACCTGGAGGGATGGTCCCCAGAGTTTATTGCTGGTGACACCACAGATCATTCCATTACATACATACAAATTTAATCCTAAGAAGCCACCCTATGGAGTAGGTGCTGTTATTTCCCCATCTCACAGATGAGGAAAGGAGGCAGAATAGGGGTCTCACCAGTGGTCGAGCAGGAACTGAACCTACTCCAGATATTACTAAGTTCCTCCACATGATGGAGGAAGTATAATCCCTGCTGACTGAGTCTTACCATGAGCCGCTATCTTGCTAGGCACTTCAGACCCATGGTCTACTTGATTTTGCCCACAGTAGATGGTCTCTGTATGATAACTGAGAATACTGAAGCTTGGAGTCATTGGGTGGCCAGCCTATGACCCATGGCAAATAAGGGGTGTGGCTGTATTGACCCCCAAATCTGTCCTCTTTACTGTGATAGGATTTCTCAGTAGCCCTTCTGGAAGAATGATTGTGCTTCATGACATATTCCTGAAAGACCCTAACTTGAGCATTCAGTTATAGCTCTGACTCTGGGATAGTGGGGGGTCCCTGAGTAGTGTCTCTTTGGGGGCTATGAAGGCATTTTGGCATCAAGTGTTGGAGAGTTCTGCTTAAGACTTTAGACAATTGATTAAGATGCTAGGAATGAATGAGGCTGACCCTGTTCCCTAAAATGCTTTGGAAAGCAAAGTGTTAACTGTGTAAAGATTTTTTTTTCCAAAACAACACAAATAGAGCAGAGCAGAATGGTAAGTGTATCTTCCAAAACACCCATGCTGTTTCAGGCCAGAGTCTCTGGGGGGAACTATAGGGTAGGGTGAATGGTCCACAGTCTCAGTGGAGGATTTGCACCCCTTTCCAGCCCCCACTCAGAGTTTGTGGCTTCCTGATGCACCTTCCCTGGCTGGGGACACTTCCTCCCTAGAAAAGAGTAGGTTAAATAATCAAGCAGCCCTGCCTTTTTCATGAATATTGGTATACCTGATGCTGTGATGGCAAAATGAACAGCAGCTTCTGTGCAGAAAGGCAACTCCATGATACTGCTCCTCTTTATAGAGTGGTTACCCCATGTTATCATAGTGAACAATCATATTAGTCATGATGCTTTAATCCTCAAGTAAAAACAGTAGTCCATGAGCCAGGTGTCAGGGCATGTGTCTGTAGTCTCAGTTACTCAGGGGGCTGAGGTGGGAGGATTGCTTGATCCTAGGAGTTCAAGAACAGCCGGGGCAACACAGCAAGACCCTGTCTCAAAACAAAAAACAAAAAACAGTAAGGATGTTTATTGACTCTCAGAATGTGAAGTCCAGGGTGGGATGGTCTGTGATGACCTCAGATGCCCATGTTTCCTCTGCTCCCTTACGTTGAGGCCCACAGGGTCAGCTTCCTCCTCAGTGGACTATCCTTAGAGCCAGGGAGGCTGCCAGTGCACCTGAGGTTCCACACTTTCTCATTCATAGCTCGTGTCCTACATAACAAAGGAACGGAAACTCCTTTTCTAGACACCCCCAGTAAACTTCCTCCCCCTCACTCTTCTTTGGCCTGAGTTGATTCCCAGGCCCATTCCTAAGCCAACCACTATATCTCTGGGACACAGGGATGGATGACTCTGATTGCCAGGCATGGTAGAGAAGAGGCAAGCTGGCTGTCCTCACTGCGCCATGCATGACTTACTGACTCATAGTTGTGCAAACAAAACAAAATGATGTTTGTTTTATGCCACTCTATTTGGGGTGGTTTATTATGCTGCATTATATTTTAACTCATTACAGACAAAAGTAAGGTATAAAAATCCACTAAAACAACACTATTAGGTAAGAATTATCATCCTGACTCTACAGCTGAGGAAGTTGAGTTAGGGAGTCTGTGTAATTTATCCACAGTCCCACAACTAACAAGAAGGAAAGTTAGAATTTGAACCTGGGTCAAATTCCTGGTTCCAAAACATATGTCCTTAACTAGAACTGAATGAATATGGAGCCCCCAACCGAATGCTTTACTAGGGCATTGTGACAAACTTCCTCCACAGGTGATGGCCTCTATACAAAAAGTCCTCATGGAGTTTTTCAGACATGCAGACATGGAGGCTCTGAGAGACAGAGCAGCTGCTAACTGCTGCCCTCACCGACTGGTCTCTCAGAGCCCCAGCTGGAACCCTGGACTCTTGACGACCGAGACACTTAGGGCCCCTGGGCAGTTTGGAAAGTCTGTGCATCCCTCCCTGGGAAGAGTCTTTCTGGTATACATCTGCCCTTGTCATCATACAGGCCCCCAAAGAGTCTGTCCCAGCCTCTCAGAGTCCTGTTGCAGGAGCCTTTGTAAGGCCATCAATGCCAACATCTTGACTGCCTCTGGACTGCTTTGCACCTACCTGCAATGCTGCAGGTAGTCAGCATTCAATCAGTGTCTGTTAATTGAATGAGTTATCACTGATGGTCTTTAGGACTTCCCTTCCATTCCCTTCCCTTTCCCTTTCCCTTTCCCTTTCCCTTTCCCTTTCCCTTTCCCTCCCCTCCCTTTCCTTTTCTTTTCCATGGACTCTCACTCTGTTGCCCAGGCTGGAGTGCAGTGGTGCGATCTTGGCTCACTGCAGCCTCTGCCTCCCTGGTTCAAGCAATTCTTGTGTCTCAGCCTCCCAAGTAGCTGGGATTACAGGCACCCGCCACCACACCCAGCTAATTTTTGTTATTTTTAGCAGAGACGGGG
This sequence comes from Homo sapiens, assembly GCF_000001405.40. Lineage (NCBI taxonomy): Eukaryota > Metazoa > Chordata > Mammalia > Primates > Hominidae > Homo > Homo sapiens. The sequence continues at coordinate 50,802,536 of NC_000007.14, read as the reverse complement.
TTTCGCCATGTTGGCCTGGCTGGTGTTGAACTCCTGACCTCAAATGATCCACCCACCTCAGCCTCCTCAAATGCCGGGATTACAGCTGTACTAGGCACCTGGCCTAGTACAAGCATTCTGAGTTGCATTACTTCCTTCCCCCTTATTCCTCCTCTCCTCCCTCAAAGAGTCCCTGCAGACACTGGCATTCCTCTCCTAAGGGAATACTGAAGGAGTGTCACGGGGTGCTCGGGGACTCAGGTCCTCTACAGACTTGTTTCCTAGTTCTTGCAGTGGGGCACCAACTTTTACTGTGAACAGTCTTGATCTCCTAACTCACTTCCTGCTGGATGGAAGCCCTATCTTGTTCTTTCCCAGGGACTGAATATCTGCCACTGGACTTCCATCTGTGAGCAGACCTTGCTAGCTCCTTCTGTCCACCAGGTGTCTCATCACCATGAGGGTCACTCATCTGCAGGACATCTACCTCTTTTGCACTTTTTGGATATATTGTCTGGCTGCATCATCACTGACCCAGCTCCACCCACTCTAGGGTTGGCTCTTCCCACCGCCCATTTCTGGAGCTGCCTGTCATGGTGCCATCCCCATCCTGTGGGTGTCTCTGGTCTCCAGGAGGTCAGAATTCCCAAGGTAGCATCAGAGCCAAGTAAGTCAAACTCCCTAACAGTAGGAGGGCAAGGAGGGTGGTTAAGTGTGAGATTAAAATCCCTAACTTGAATAAATAAAAGACTTTAATATCTTCCTCCCATGACCCTCCCCTTCCTCCACCTTGGATTCAGGGACACATGCTTAAATAGAAATGAGATCACATTTTAGGATCCAAAAATAAACGAGAACACCTTTCCTAAAGAGGGAGAACTTTATTATACTGAAATCTAATTGCAGACTTTTGCACAAAAGACATCCCATTAGGTCATACACTTAAATAACTGGTTACATGGAAAATAATCAAATGACAAGAAATGACAGTAGAGACAGCCAGGAATAGTGGGAAGAAGGTAGAAGGGACTGAGAGTCAGACAAAGGGGGCTTCAAATGCCAGCCCTGCCACTGATTTGTTAAGTGACCTTGAGAAGCCATGTAGCTTCCCTGAGTCTGCTTCCTTGACTATAAAACTAAGAAAACAATATTTGCCTCAAATTTATTATGAGGATTAACTGAAATACATATATAAAGTGCCTGGTACAGTGTCTAATGTAAGGTACACATTAAACATATATCACCTGTTTATGCTGAAGCAGGCACTTAGGGATGGTGCTTGTTTTGAGAATGAAGAGGGAGGAGAAGAAAGAGGAGAAGATAATAGCTAAGGGAAGAAGAAGAAAAAATACTGTTTCTCCTAGAAAAATCTGTCACATACAGTCACTCGATCTTTAAATCTGATGAGTCCTAAAAAATAATGACCCTGGGCTACACTTACATATAAATGAATGAGAAGGACTCTCTGCAAATTATTGTAAAATATAATTCTCTCCTGTGCAACTGAACATCCAGACTTGGCTAACAGAAGTGCGAGCCCAAAGTGAATGCAAACACTCACGTGATCGCCCTCCACCTGGACAGGGTTCCTCACTGCTGTAAGTACGAATTGTGGGATATCTAACAGGTTCATCTCCAGGATTAGCTGTTCTATTTTCTGTGTAGTCTCGTACCTCATGCAGGCAGATTAATCCTCTTAAAGAATGTATGCTGACTAACTGAAGCAGCTTCTGGCTTTAACATCTTAAACATTAACTTTAAGGTGCTGTCTCAAAAACATACATTCACTTCCCCTCACACACCGTGCAGGTTATGCTAATACTAAATCCCCAGTAGCTCTAAATAATTTTTACCAATTAAAAGTTTTTGTTCTTATTTTGGATTCTCCTACTAGCTCTGGAACTTTGGTTATTAAAATCATGAAGTGTACTGGGATGGAGATATATTTTATTAAGTAAAGTTTGTGCTACATTCATGGTTAATTAACTTCTAATGGGGTTAAGGTGCTGAAATGATTTTTTTTTTAAGTGGCTGGAAAGGAGCTCGTGTTTTAGAGATATAACTAGGTTTGGATGCCTAGGGATTTAGAATTGCATGCCATCCCTAGGATCCTAATTCCCAGGCTGCATTTATTTAGGAAGCTCCTTCTAAACTAGAGGGGTTCTCAGCTCTTCATTGCCAAAAAGGCCATCTGCTATTGGCCACGTCCTTTTGGTGGTCCATTTACCAGCCACCCCCATCCCTGATCCTTCTTTCTTGCTGGTAGAAGCTGCCCCCACAATACAGAAGTTAAAGATGCGTGATGCTTACATTCTCACCTTCCTTCCCGCTAGGGCACGGGCCTGAGACCATGTTCTAGATCCTGAAATGTGAGAAGAAATCTCCTAGTGGATTCTGGCATGAGGCAAGGGAGGAGAATGTCCCCTTTGTGCCCTTGGACACAGTTATCAGGGGAACTGACGCCTGGAACTGCATCTGCATTGTGATCTTGACACTACCGGGGCAAGCATTAGGCAAAGCCATGGCCCTGAGAATGACGTGGACAGAAATCCTGGACAAGGCTGGTAAGCTCTGCTCTGTTCCCTGCAGCCCAAAGCATCCTAATGGGTGCAGTGTTGTTTCAACTAAGAGGGAGACGTCTCAGCCAGAGTGCCCGGGGGAGGGTGCTGAGCTTGCTCCATGATGGAATCTTCCTGCAGCAACATGGCCATGCGCTCTCCCTGCTCTGTGCCTCCCTCCCTCTGTGCCAGGCACTGTGCTCACTGCCACAGTCTCATCTAAGCCCAGGGCCACCAGAAGGGCAGAGACTTGCTGTGATACATACGTCCTATACTCACCCCAATCTGTTCATTATTGTTCCTCCCCTCTGTCACAGCTCAACATCATCCTCACCTACCAGTCTCCCAACTGGTCTGTTGGCTCCACTGTAGCTGGATCGAGCATTCTAAAACAAAACTGGGATCACCTAACAACTTCAAATCACCCAGTGGGACAAGCAGACATCCATATGCCACAAAAAAGAACCTTCACCCTTGTTTCACACGGTCTACAAAAATCAGTTACAATTGAATTATATCTCTAAATGTAAGAGCCAAAACTATACAACTTCTGGAAGAAAACATAAAAGAAAATCACTGCAGTATTGGTCTAGGAAAGAATTTCTTAGATAGGATACAAAAAACAATCCAGGAAAGGACAAATTGATAATTTAACTTACAAAACAAAAAACTTCTGCTGGCTGGGCGCAGTGGCTCATGCCTGTAATCTCAGCACTTTGGGAGGCCGAGGCGGGCGGATCATGAGGTCAGGAGATTGAGACTATCCCAGCTAACATGGTGAAACCCCGTCTCTACTAAAAATACAAAAAATTAGCCAGGCGTGGTGGCGGGCACCTGTAGTCCCAGCTACTTGGGAGGCTGAGGCAGGAGAATGGCATGAACCTGGGAGGCGGAGCTTGCGGTGAGCCGAGATAGTGCCACTCCAGCCTGGGCGACAGTGCAAGACTGTCTCAAAAAAAATAAAAAAATAAAAAATAAAAAAATAAAAAAACTTCTGCTGTTTGAAAGGTACCATTTAAAAAGTGAAAAGAATGGAGAAAATACTGGCAAAACACATCTCTACTAAAGGATTGGTAATATAAATAACTCTCAGCACTCAATGATAAGAAAAAAACACACAAAAAGATGGGCACATGATTTGAATAGACACTATACAAAACACTGTATATGCACAGCAAATAAGCACATGAAGAAGTGCTCAACATTATTAGCCATGAAGGAAATGCAAATTAAAATCAGAATGAGATACCACTACACAACATTAGAAGCTGCCCCCACAATATCAGGATGGCAGAAATGAAAAAGACAAACAACAGCAAGTGTTGGGCAAGATGTAGAGCAACTGGAACTCTTACACATTTTTGGTGCAGACACAAATAATATACTCACTTTGAAAATAGTTTGACAGTTCCTGGTAAACATATACTGAGATATGACCTAGCGGTCTCTCTTTTAGTTATTTACCCAAGAGAAATGAAAACTTACATTTCCAGAAAAACCTTTACCCAAATACTCATAGCAGTTTTATTCATAATTGCCCAAAACTGGTACTAGCCTAAATTTTCGCCAGCCAGAGAATGGCTGAACAAGTGGATGTACACCTACCCTAATTAAAGTATCATGCTATCCAGTCACTAAACATGGATGATTCACAAGGACATTATGCCAAGTTAACTACTGTGTGATTCCATTCAGATGACAATCTTGAGAGCAACATGGCTGGGTGTGGTGACTCACACCTGTAACCCCAGCACTTTGGGAGGCTGAGGAGGGAGGATTGCTTTGAGGCCAAGAGTTCAAGACCAGCGTGGGTAACACAGGGAGATCTCCATCTCTCCAAAAAACAAAAAAAGAAAGAAAGAAAAGAAAAGCAAAACCTAAGAACTGAAAGAGGATCAGTTGCCTGGAGTAGGAAGGGGGACTGACAAGGAGCATGAGAAAACTTTTTGGGGTGAAAACTATTTGTATTAATGTCTTTACTGGTTCCATAACTATATACCTTTCCAAACTCCACAAATTGTACATTAAAAAATGATAAATTTTCTGGTCAGCAAATTATACCTAAGTAACCAGCCTGAATAAACATCTTTCTGTGAGCCTCTGTTCTGGTTGTAAAGACATTTTGATCCAAGCAACTTCAGAAAAGGAGAGTTGATATTAAGACAATATAAGGAAAATGGGGCCAGGTGTGGTGGCTCACACCTGTAATCCCAGCACTTTGGGAGGCCGAGGCAGGTGGATCACCTGAGGTTGGGAGTTCAAGACCAGCCTGATCAACATGGTGAAACCCTGTCTGTACTACATATATAAAAAATCAGCTGGGGATAGTGGCGCATGCCTGTAATCCCAGCTACTTGGGAGGCTGAGACATGAGAATTGCTTGAACCTGGGAGGTGGAGGTTGCAGTGAGCTGAGATTGCGCCACTGCAGTCTGGCCTAGGCGACAGAGCCAGACTCTGTCCCTACCCCCTCCAACCCCCCACCAAAATCAAAACAAAACAAACAAATAAACAATGACGGAAAATGGAATTCTATGGAAGTTCAAAACAATAGCTGTACCAGCCTGGGCCCAGAGAGACGGGAGGCACGACGGCATCTGTTTGGGTCTTTGTACTTTACACCATCCTTATGCTGAGCCCAACTCGCCGTTCCTCACCTGGTCTCCATTGTGCAGATCCCACCAGTACTTCAAGTTCAGAATCCCAGGTGCAGGCTTCTGATTGGTTGGGTCACCCTTCCGCCCACTGGCCCACCTACCTACAGAATGGGAATCTCTGGGCCAAGCGTCATCCCTGACCAATTTAATTGGTACTTAGGAATCAAGGAAAACCAGGGTTGTGGGGAAACTCTAGACAGAGCAGGGCTAGCTGGGGGGCACTGTGCTGGTAGGCCCCATAACAGACATATCCGGTGCTCTCATCGCCATATAAGCCTATACTTGACAAATAAGTATAAATAGTTAAATATAAATCTGACAAATAAGTCCCTTCTTACCCCTCCAGCTTGGTGTGTTATCAAAACTCTAACCCCAGACCCAGCAGCAACATTCTGTGACTAAATGCAACTACTTGGTACTGCGCCCTGAGGGAGCCAAGGTCTTTCATGGGTTTGGTCTGAGAGACACGCCTGTCCCTCAACCCCAAAGGCCTTTTCTTCAGTTCTCTTTGCCTAACTTACCATCTTTGATGTTCTAGGGTGCCATGGGGGCATGGCAACCACTGGGAAGCCTTCCTTGAATGCTGCCAGGCTCCCCACCTCTAGACTCCAGGGTGGCCTGTCCATCTCGTTTTGGAGTGTTTGGAATACTGGTGTGGATGTAGATCGTGCATCATGCAGGAGTCTATTAAAAATGGGCTGGGCGTGTTGGCTCACGCCTGTAATCCCAGCACTTTGGGAGGCCGAGGTGGGCGGATCATGAGGTCAGGAGATAGAGACCATCCTGGCTGACACAGTGAAAGCCCGTCTCTACTGAAACAATACAAAACAATTAGCTGGGGGTGGTGGCAGTCGCCTGTAGCCCCAGCTACTCAGGAGGCTGAGGCAGGAGAATGGCGTGAACCCGGAAGGCGGAGCTTGCAGTGAGCTGAGATCGCGCCACTGCACTCCAGCCTGGGTGACAGAGTGAGACTCCGTCTCAAAAAAAAAATTGCAGATGAACCCTGGAAGTGTGAACTCTCCAGAGCTTGGGTGGGCCCAGGGATGTGTAGTGCAAGCAGGCTCCTCAGGTATTCTGGGGCAGGCACTATGATTATATTATGACTATAGACTACCCCCTTCCCCTTGCAGGGGTGGGCAGGCGGCTGCTTTCCAGACATGTGCTCGCATGTCCACATGGGCCGCATGGGATGGTGGCTGGGCCGTGTGACTAGCAGTGGCTCATGAGAGCAGAGGCGAGGGCCACTGCTGCTCAAAGCAGTTAGCTGTCAGGGTGCCATTCACCCTGACTACTTTCCCTTTGTCAAGGTTACTGGCAATGTTTGAGACAGTGCCCAGGTCTCAGAGGCTCCTGAGAAATTAATTCACTGGACAGTATTCCCCAGTAATGACTATTCACTTAGTGCCCTCTCTGTCCCAGGCACTCCACCTGCTGGAAGGACACTAGTGAAGGGGCACAGAGTTGCCACAGTCACCATGCTTACAGTCAACAGGGGAAGACAGATGTTAATCAATTCATTACTAATTAAAAATTAGAGTCTATCAGATTCTCTACTTTCAGCTGAAGGAGGCTTCTAGCTCATGTTTAGATAATTGAATTTCTCACTATCACGGAATCCTGTGTCCTGACACCTAATTCCAGCTTATATGTTTCCCCTTGGGGAAGTGCTTGAACTACAAGCCTCCCTGTCTTGCCCAGTATGCTGAGCTCTCCAGGATAACGTATAGGCTGCATGGCTAGATTCCACTGTGGCTGCCACCCTGTTGAGAGGGAGCATTGTGCGTGGGCAGGGGCATCTGGAGTTTGGGGGAAGGGAAGGCTATAAGATACAATCTGTATATAGGATTGGCTCATCCAGGATCACTGCACAGAGGACAGCTGCAGCTTCTGCAGCCACAAGAGTGACAAGTTCATGAACTTGCATCAGAAAGTGTCTCTGAATGGGTTCTGCCCACTGATGTCTACAGAGAGCCAGGAAATGTAGGGAATGAGGGCCTGTCCTAGGAATTCTAGAGACCTATGCTAGCAGGAAAACACTTAAGGACATTTATCTTGATCACTTCTCTGTGAATAGTAATGTCTGAAAACCCATACATTTTGAGACAACTAAATGCAATACCTGACTCTAGACCTCAATAGTGGATCTTGTAACAGAGGGAAAGAAATACTATGGAAGACATAGTCAGATCAACTGACTATACCGGAATATGGACCTAGATTGGATACAAGTATTTTATCAATATAAATTTACGAATTTGGTGACTATTGTGGTTATGCACATAATATCTCTACTCTTAGGAAAGACACATCAATGTATTTAGGGGTAAAGGGGCCATAGTGTATGGAATTTACCCACAAGTGATTCCAAAAGAACATATGTCTATGTATCAAGGAACTTTTGAAACCTCTATCAAAGCCTCCTTGCCTATCAGGCTATCTGACTGGTGTAGGCATGGATTGCTGTTTGGACCTTCAGCAGAAGCTAGAAGGTTCAAAGCTGATGCATTTGTGAGAAGTTGGCTCAAACTGAGTTTTCTGTTCTTTAATTTTCTTTTGAGTCCTTTGTCTGCAACAGGAGTCCTCTGTGTTCCTTTCTTCTAGGAATCTAAAATCCTTTGATATCATCCTCTCTTGATTTTCATCTTACGTGTTTCTGAGCTTGGACCAATAGGCAAAAATTTAGGGAGGTCTGTTTCAGTTACAGGGAAGGATGACCTTTCCATGAGTAACATCTGTCTAAGGTGGAATAACTCCTGCTAGAAGCAGGTGCCTACGAGGGGCTTTGGTACAATACCGTACATGGCTTCCAATCCTTGCTCTGCACTTACCAGCTACTTGACTTTCAGCAAGTCACTTAACCTCTCCAAGATTCAGTTTCCCAGTCCGTACACAGTGGGACTCTAACAGTAACACCTAGAGGGCCACAGTGGGGGTTACATGCAAGGATTCATGAAGGTTTTGCACAAAGTGCACGCTCTATGAAGGCAAGATATTGTCGCAGCTGCGTTTAGAACGCCAAGACCCAGGAAAAGACATACTTATCGTTATGCTATGTGTATTAGAGTTTTGACTCGGTAGAGATATTAAGAATCACACTAACGACAATGGCTTCCGTCAATTGGGGGGTAGGGGAGTCTTTTTCGCAGTCACTTTATGTTCCCAGTATGACCTCATTTAATCCCCAGGACACCAACCCTCAGGCGGGCGTTATTAGCCCATTGTAAAGATAAGGACACCAGGCTTGGCAGCATTAAGAAAAAATGAAGGGCCTCTCACTCCACCCGCACTTCGATACTCATACGCAGATGGGGCAAACTGAGGCTCAAAGAGGTGAGGCCCCAGACCTGGCTGGCTGTGAGCAAACCCAGGTTTCCTTTTCCCAGGCCGGGTGCCTTCAGCCCACGACAGAGTACGGGGCAGCCCCAGCTCTTCCGTCCCGTCCTGCTGCGCCCAGGATAAAGGATCTGGACTGCGCAGTTAATACTTTGTGCGTTTCAAACAGTTCGCTTATAAATTGTCTTTCGGGACAGGTCCAATTTGTCCTTTCACTGGCGAAGCCTCCTGAGCCGCGGCGGTCGTGGTCCCGCGCCCGAGTCCCGAGGACAGCAGGAGGGGGGAACCCGCTCAGCAGCCCGGGGCAGGAACCTCCGGGAGCTTCTGGCCCCCCGGCCGTCCGGCCCGCGGCCCGCGCCCCCGCGCCACGCCCTGCGCCCAGGCCCCGGCTCCTCCCGCGCTGGCGGCCGCCGAGCGGTCCGGGCGGCGGCGGCGGGAGGAGGAGCAGGAAAAGTAGCCGGGGGAGGAGGCGGAGGCGGAGGCGGCGGCGGCGGCAGAGGCGGGGAGGGCGGGCGGGGCCGGGCGAGTTTAAAGCCCATCGAGGGGGTGGGGAGGTCGGGAGGAGGCAGAGAGGGAAGCGAGCTGCGGCCGGGCGGGCTCGGCGCTCGGAGACCCGGTGGAGCCCAAAGTTTCCGCGCAGCCCCTGGGTGGCGGCAGCGCCGGCGGCGCGGGGCGCCCGGGACAGTCTTGAGCGCCGGCCTCGCCCCGCGGGGACCCGCGCCCGCCGCCGGCCACGCCGAGTGTCGCCCGCAGCCACGCGGAGGCGGCGGGGAGCCGCGCGCGGCAGGTACGGAGTTGGGCGGGGAGCGCGGCGGCAAGTTACTTTGTGGTTGGCGTCCCCGCGGGGCCCGGGACGGCCAGGCGGGTCCCCGCGCCGTCATTGTCTGAGCGCTGGGCGGCCGCGGCCGGGGACGCCGGGCCCCGCGGAGGCGCGGCGGGCGGAAGGGCGTCGCCTCCGGGCCGGGGGCTCCGGCGCCCCGGGCCCGCAGCGGGCGGTGCTCGGAGGCGGGACTGGGGCTGCGGGCGCGCGGCGGAGGCGGAGGCAGCCGGGCGCCCCGCGGGGCTCTCCGCGCTGCGTTCCCGACCCCTGGGGGGAGGTGTGGAGTCCAAGCGGTGCATTCTTGAACCATCTTGTCAGACGCCGGCGGCTCGCGGGCTGTGGCGGGGGCTGCGGTCAAGGCCGCGCTCCTGGGGGCCGCCGCCTGGGAGGGTGGGCGCCCAGGCGTCCCTGCAGCCCCGGGTGCTCCGACTGCGCGGCGGGGCCGCGGCGCGCGCGCCCGGGCGTCCGGGCGTCCGGGACAGTGGTGCCAGACACTCCCAAATCCCGAGCCGGCCCAGCCTCGTACGGAGGACCTTTTTTTTGGTTCTGTTGGTGACCCGTTAGCCGCCGCTGGGGCCTAACACCAAGTTGAGGGCTCGCGGATTAGCCGCCCGCCAGCCGTGGAAATGTGATAAGAGCGGTACCGTTTGCAGAAGGAAATTTCTGATGCAACTCTTCGCCTTTGCTGATTGCCTCTCCAAACGCCTGCCTGACGACTGCCTTGGAGCATGTGCGTTATGGAAATTAGGGTATCCTTTACTTTTTATTGTGTGCGTCTTTTCTTGGGATTGGAAGAAACGCGAACTTTTTATGGTTTGCTTTCACCGAAACGTTGGGTAATGTAAGAGAGCCACAGGTGATTTTTACAGGGTCCTGGATCTTTACAATGCGTTTGAAAGAATATTTTCTTGCAAACTTGGTGCCCAGTTTCATTCAAGAGATGGGGGGGAGGGGGGAAAGACCAAAACAAGGAGAGCTCGTGAGTAAATATGCGTTATTGCACAACTTGCTCGTTGCTGCTGTTTAAAAGGCCAGGCCTAGAACACTTTGTTTCTGAAAATGCTGATTCAGCCGTTTGGAGCCCCCGAGTTTCAGAAATGGTGGTCTATTTAAAGTTTCAAGCAGTTTTACCAAGAACACATGTTGTTAGCGCAGCAACCGGAGTTGACTAGGGTTTACAACACAATGCTGGCAATATTTTAACGAGCTGACCCCGAGTTCCTCTCTTTCCAGGAGGAAAGAGTTAGAATCAAGAGTTTCTACAGCAGTGGGACTTCTGGCTGTGACAGCGGTGAAGTGTCTTTTAGGAGAGTATTTTAAGTAAAAGCACTGAAAACCAACTATGTTTCCAGGAATGATTCTAGATGTCTAGGTTTTTCTCTTAAAAATCAAAACTCTAGGATCACTGCATGTAATATTTGAGTTTTACTGGGAGCACTTGAAAGAGAAGGGCAACACAGGCCAATCCCCAGATTACAGGGAGGGAATTTGAGGACAGAGTTACACGCCCAGCAGGCATTGCTCCTGTAACTGAGAAGTGTAGCGACTGATACTTCTGTAGCATTTCACAGTTTACAAGGCACTTTCAAAAGCCTTGTTGCTTTTAATCCCCTCTACAACCTCCTGATCCCCATTTTACAGGTCTGAAAACCAAGGCTCAGGAGGTTAATTGGCATGCCCGAGGTCATACTGTCAGCAAGTGACAAAGCTGTCACTAGAACCTAAGCTTTGGATCATTTTAGTCTTGTGTTTTATTTGCAAAAGTACATCCACTTCTGAAAGGGAAATGGCGTGGGTCAGGTATGTATAGCCTGCCAGTCACACACTCGGAGAATGATGATTGCCTGGTCTGGGGGCTCCCAGCCTTCAAGGTTAATGCCATGTTACCAGAGCATTCTAGATATTTCCTTTTAGTTCACTCACTTTTTACATTTAAATACACATTTATTTTGGGAAGGAATTTTGATATCCATGAAGTCATGAGTTTTGATGTGGTAGTTATGTTTACTGTAATTAGAAAAGTTGTGTACCCCTAAAGTCATCTATTGCATATTATCTGTTTGGTCACTTTTGGGGCAGCGTTGGCCCACTCAAAATGCTTTTCATTTGTGGATCAGGAACCCAGAACTGGGCAGGTTCATGCCAGCTACTTGTCCAGAGCTTTGTATGGTGATGGCCACCAGGACTGGGACCAAGGGCAGCCCTGACCCAGTTTAAAGAGCTATGTCTGTGTCTACTCAGCCTCCAGTAGGAGAAGAGAGCAGAGTCAGACTCGAAGAGTTAGCTCAGAACTTGATTTTGGTGATCTTTCCGGGTACAGGCTATATTATGTGTAGAAATCAAACTCCAGCTTGAACACAGTCATCTATTGTGCCTTCAGCTTCATTTTAGAGCTGTAGAAATTCTTGATTGGTTTATCTGGTAAAACCGAATGCTTTAAAGGTGGCATAATTTAAGGAATGGAATCTATTTCCTTGGAATTCTGTCCGACTCTTAACTGCAAGGGGAAGAGAAACCTACGGGATCGTAGAATGTATTTGAGCTTGTATCTAGGGTTAGGTTGCCAGCCTGTCAGAGCTCAGAGCTAAATGCAGGGGATTTTGGTCCTGCTCCCTGGAGGGGAAGCCTGTGCCTTTGCACGTTTGCTCCGTAATCCCCGCGTCTGTTTCTCAGTTTATTAAACCAACGTGGCATTGTATGGCTTGTGAGGAGAACATATTTGCCTTGTCTTTCATTTGAGTAATCAGTCCTTCAAAGTTTAAATAAACTTTTTTTTTTCCTGGTAGTGGAGACTTTTCTTTTAACCTGTGCTATTTTATTTTTTATATAACTGTAGAAGTACAGAAGTGTGGGAGATTATGGAAGAAATTAAGGTCGTCCAACTACTTGGTGGGTGAGACTTGGCAGACAGGTACTTTGGAGTTCTAGGGATCACTTTCAGAGTTTGCATACTATTAGGGGTATAACTGGTCTGATCCATTCAGCCCCTGGCTGGTATTTAATTTGTGTGAATATTTTAGCTGCACACTTTTAGGGAGCTGTATCTGTTTTCACTCCTTGTTCCTCTTGGCTGGGACACCTTTGCATCAGACTCCCACCCCCAACCTGGACCACTTCTGAACTGATCTCTGAGAAATGAGCTTTCCTGCACTTTTGTCTTCTGGAGGCTTTTGTCCATGCTCCTGGTGATCACAGGGCCTGCTAACTGCAGGGAGATAAAAGCAGTCAAAGCTTAAAACCACCCGCTTACTCGTGGAAAGGCAGGCTGATGGCTCTTCTTTAATAATGGATTGAAAAATGGTGTGATTGTCCTTTGAGATGGCAACAGAAGAAGCCATTTCCTGGGGTTATCAAAAATAATCTCAGAGGTAGAAATGAGTGGTTCTGATTTTTTTGCTTTTAGGATATAGTGACTCTAAGGAGATTTTTTCTTTTCCCCTGTATTAGAATATTCATATTTTTGAACCATCTACTTTACATATGGATTTCTGGGGAGATTCTTCTAGTCTTTTCAGATCCCTAATTTGAGGGGCTTATTATTTGGGCTGGACCCAGCAACAGAGTGGACTTTTTGTTGTTAACGTCAAGCCTGAGAACGGGCGCTGGGGAGGAATAACCCCTCCCACCATATCGTTTCTTTTCTGCTCTATTTGACCAGGGCAGCAGGCACACTGCCTCAGTTGACTCCTGGTTGTACTACTTACTAGTTTGGCCAGGCTGAACAAGTGAACCAACTTGATCCGTTAAAATGGAAGCCATAGGCGTGTTTATCCCCACGGCTTGTTGGGAAGGTAGCACGAGGTGTGATGTGTGTGATTGGCACGATGCAGAGCTCATGCAGTCTTTGTGGCGATGTCTGTAGGCACTTTGCCGTCAGCCTTGTCTTAGAGCAGTTTGTGGACTTGATATCCTGCTTGCTATTAATTTATAAGGTTGGTTAGAAAGGGGACTTGGCTTTTGTATTTTTGTCTTCCAGTGCTTTGTACATGCTAGTTGCACAAAATCTTGTTTGAATTTATCTGAATGTTCTTTGAGCCACAGTCAGTGCTCAGAAGAATCCTTTTGTTGACTGTGTTTAGCGTGACAGTTTGAACTCCTCACAGGTAGAATTCTAAGAGCAAAGATAGCTGGTGTACTGCAGACTTCACTTGGCTGCAAACCATTTGAACCAGATAATAGTGAATAGCAGGTGTCAAAAATTGGTTTCCTTCAACCAGGAGCAGAAGTTGTGAAGACCCCTGCAGTGCGTAAGCTCTGATGGGCAGCAGCATTGGGTGTGGAGACAGATCTCTGGTCTCCAGGCCTGTGGAGCCTGTGGCATTTGTCTTCAGGCCCCCACGGTTGGTGTCTGGACTCTTACAGAGGCACTTATCCTAGCTGGGACTGAAATGACTGTGGACCGCTTATCCTGGTCAGGCTGATGTGCCCCTGGGATGTGGCTCCGAGCTCTATCCAGGGCTGTGCTAGTGGGCAGTCCTGCTTCTCCCTGAAGTTCTTGAAAGGTTTTGTATTAGGTAAATGGAACTGGGCATGAACAGTGGCAGTCTTGCCTATTAACATGGGTTTCCCAAAGTACTTGGCACTTTGGCGTGTGTTGGTCCTCATCATTGTGTCATTAAGGTCACTAGAGCTAATGTGGGGTTGGGGGCTGGGATCCTCATGTGCTGGGTCAGTGCAGGTGGCACTGCGTTGGGGACTGCTCTCTGTCTGGTCCTGTCTGTGAGCTGTCAGGGGTCTCACTCTGGGAGCTCCAAGGGGACGTCTGAGCAATAGAGGACCATGAGGGATAGCTGAAGACCCGCTTTCTACCTTCTCTTGTCCTTTCACATGGGAGTCGAGGGTCAGGAACCTCCAAGGCTGCTCACTGCAAGCTACCTGGGCCCCACTGAGATGGCAGGTCCCCACTTCTCTGATGTGCAGGGCCTTTAGTTTACTTATTTGATTTTTAACTTTCATCCCTGGGAGTATTTAGGCAGTGGCTTCCAGCCTTTTGTAAGTGAAGAGTTCCCTTTAGTATAAAAACCTTTATAATACCACATACCTCATAGAATAATTTTTGGATTCCCTGCTTTGAGAAGCTACCATGAATTGAGTAACTTTTAAATTCAGAAGTTTGTACCACAGCTTCCTGCCCAGGGACAGTGCCTGGTGCTGAGCCTGGGGCCCTGCTTGAGATCGCTGTTCCTAGACGGTCTTCACATCCTGTGGGAAGTTGAGCTGGCTGGGTCATGTTCAGTGCCCTCTAATTGTCCCGTATGGGCTGATTTGAGCCAGAGGGCACCTCCCCCGCCCATCTTTTCACCCTGGCCACACCACCCTGGCCCAGGACAGGCTGCAGGGGTGTTACCTGAGCTTCCAGGTGTCTGTTCTAGGGTACCGCACTCCCTCTTCTGAAGAAAATCACGTGCATCTCACAGAATCCCCTCCAGAGAGGAGAACGTTGAGTGTCTTGGCCTGCGATCCTAGTGAGGTGATGGAGCGACGCAGGAGGGATAAGTCAGGAGGGCTTCCTAGTGTCATTGTCGCCTCATCTCTCCATCACAGGTCTCCCCGGCCTTCTCCCCACCTAGGCCTGCAGGGCAGTGAGTGGACACAGGCTGTCCCTGTCCTGACCCACCGTCCCTGCCCAGGGCACTGTCCCCCTGCTGTCCTTGCCTGTCCATATCACACAGTGTTTCTGTTCTCTTCGTCTGAAGGGTCACCTGGTTTCCTAATTCCTCAACACCCAGAGCAAACTATTTTAAAATTTAGTTTGGATTTTTAAAATCAGAGTGATATGTAGACATAGGTTAAAGATGAAATAATTCCCCAGAAGTAACTTATCAGCAGATTTTTTTCTGTACGTACTTCCATATTTCTGAAGAGGTCTAGACAATAGATTGCGATTCCTGGCAACCTCCTCCTCCTCCTCCTCCTCCTCCTGCTCTCCAGAGCCCCATTTTTCATGTGATTCTTGATTTCAAACTCCATGGAAGGTGAGGATGATGCCCTTTGTCCCATCCCCACCCTACACTCACTCTTGTCTCTTCATCGTCTCTTCTGGTCCATTCAGCTCCATCAGTATGCAGTGTTGGGATGGTCCCCTAATGCTGCTCATAGCTGAGCCATGTAGTATACTGTGATAACTGTGATTTTCTCCTAGGACATTTTGTTTTCTCCTGGAGTTGTTTTTGCCTAGTTTTTAAAATGTACTTACCATTCTTCCCTCCAAACTTACAGAGTTGTGTGAATCTCTTTTCCAAGGCCTAAGGTGATCTGCAGTTTTATCTTTGGAAGCAGTTCCTTGTGTGCCTTTCTGCTTTCAGCAGGCTGGGTTGCTCTGAGGCTCCCTGCACAGCTGTTGTCTTGGAGTCTTTCTTCTCCATTGTCCCAGGAATGCCCCTTTGCCTTTCTCTTGGATCTCATGACTTTTCTTCTTGGTTTATTTCCAAAATTTGATGGAGTACTTTCTATAGAAGCTTCCAAAAAGTGGTGCACAAGATGTCAACTTTTTGAGACCTTGCATGTCTGGGAAAATGTCCATCTACTCTCACAGTTTACGGTTTGTCTGAATATGGATTTCTAAATTAAAGATAGTTTTCCCTAAAACATTTAGAGGCTTCCATTGCCTTTAGGCAGAATGGGGTTGAGAAAGAAGCTCTTCTGATTCTTGATTCTGTGTATGAAAGAGTACCAGAGTGGTTTTTTGGTTTGTTTTTTGTTTTGTTTTGTCATGTCTGGACACTTGTAGGATATTCTCTGTGCCTTTGTTCCGAAGTTCCTTGAAGATGAGTCTTGTTGGGTCTCCACTTTGTGTGTGGGGTATGTTGAGGGCCCATTGAAGCTGGAATCTCAGATCTTTCTGGTCTTGGACATGTTTTTGAATTAATCCTTTCATTTCTTTTCTTCCATTTTCCTCTTCTCTCTTTCTAGGATGGCAGTTATTTGGTTTTTAGCCACCTGGATTGGTTCTCTGTATTTTTTATCTAATAGTCTGTGTCTGTTGTGTTGTTTTTAGGTTTTGGGATATGTCCTCAATTTGACCTTTTAACTTTTCTGTTGGATTTTGTTTCTATTTTCATTTTGAATTTCTTAGGATCTCTCTCTATATATATATTTATATTCTTTTTAAAAAACAGACTTTAGAGCAGTTTCAGGTTTACAGCAAAACTGAATGGAAGGTCCAGAGATTTCCTACATGCCCTCTGCCCCACACACGCACAGCCTCTCCCACTACTGGGAATCCTGTACATTTGTTACAGTTGACTATTGACACATTATTGACATTCAAAGTGAGTATTCTTTTTTTAATGGCATAATATTCTTATTTCATAGATACGTCTATCTCATTTGTAGATATTAATTTTTAAAAACTTTTTGTGTATCGTTTCTTCTCTCCCATTTGTAAATGATTTACTTTTAATTTTTCTGTTTGTTTGTGTCCAGCTTACCCGGAAAGCAGAGCCTATGGCAAAGCCTTCTGTGCTTCTATTGTAGGAGGGTGTGCCAGCCTGGTGGAGGGAGGCTGGAAGGAGGGAACCTGGGTGCAGGGTGAGGCGGGGTGCCCGCGGTGGGCAGTGCCTAGAATTGAGTGAAGCCAATGGTTCCACATGTGGGGCTGGCTTGTGTCACGAGCTCCCAGTCCTCCAGACAGTGCTGGGAAGGGGTTGGGGTGGAGGATGTATCTCCTGTCAGTGCCCGTCACCATGGGCCAGGGTTGCATCTGGGCTACATCCCTGCAGGTGCTGGGTGTACAGGCTCTTCAGAGCCCTGGTAGGAGGAGGCTGTGCTGCAGGACATAGGGGTCCCATCAGATGCGGCTCAATAGAGCTGTGGACAGGGCCCAGGGAGGTGAGGCATAGGAAGTGTTTGTCCCATGCAATTTGGCCACATCTTTCACCTTAGAGGCTTCGCTTAGCTGTCTGGGGTCTTCCCACTTTCAAAAGGACATTGCTCAGAAGCTGACAGGAGCCCTGTGTGAGTGAGCATTTAACTGTGGCCTCTGTGGATGGACGCCTGGTTGCTTGTTGTGGGGCTCATGCTTTTGGGTCTCTTCTCAGCTCTGCAGGAGCCTCTTTCAGTTCTGTTGGAGGTGCTGCTCCAGGAGCTGCTGGGGATGGTGGTGGGATTCATATGGCAGCTAGCATGTGATCCACCAAATCTTTCTGGGACTAAAGGCATGGCTGTGTCTGCTGATCCTGGTCCAGAGACCTGTGTCCCTGCTTCCAGAAAAGAAGTCACCTAGCTGATGGAGCTGGGGAGAGGACCCGGGATGAAATGGGGCCCAGCTATTCCTGACACTTCCGATTAATCTTCTTGTTTTGGACTCTACGTTTCCCATTTCCAGAGGTGAATGGTAGTTCTCATTCCTGAGACTTTCTGGGCTTCCACTGAGTATATCATCAGGCTTCATCTCCACTTTCCAGCTTAGCCTTCATCTCTTTTGCCTTTGCTGTCAGTTACTTCTTGACCACTGGCTTTTATGCCTTTTCAAAGATTCTGTTCTTGTTCTAGTAAAGCAAAATGTGTGTCCTGTCAGCCATTCAGTGAAGGTCTGGCTTTTCAAGATTCCTTGTCCATCATTAGATCATTTCTCTCTTGCTCTTCCCACATCCAGGAACAGCTGCTTCGAACTGGGACCTCTGGCATTTTGTAATAGAGGGGAGTGTGGCAGGGAAGCCCTCTGTCCTGCACAACCTGTTGTTCTAGCCCAGGAGATGGCAGGGTGCGTGGGATGTTCAGGCAAAGGAGTTCACCATCCAGGCTGGGAGCTGCTGGGCAGGGAGGCAGAGGAACACTCGAGCCACCTTTGTGGGGTTGACTGCAGAGGTGGAAGAAGCCACTGTGTCAGACCGCAGAAAAGTCTCATATCTGGAGTCTGGAAGGAAAGCCAAGTTCTCCCAGTCAGTAACCTGCTCTGGACTTTGGATAAGTTACATAATTTCTCCACACTTTGGTTTCTCCCCGAATCTCAGGGTTTGATTCTGTGCTTCCATTTCCCATTCTGTGCCTTGCGATGTTCACTATGTGACATCTTCTCTGAGGGGTGCGCAGTTAGAGTCAAAAGCGCTAACACCTTCAATGTTTCTTGCAGTAGCCAGGCCATATGTGGTCAGCCCGGACTGTGAGAAAAGAAAGCCTTGTGTTACCCTTTGTGTTGTGTTGAAAACTGCTCTTGGCTGCTTTCAGAACCAGCCTTAACTCTGCTTTTGTTTGATCGACTTAAACATATTGGAATTTTGTGGTCATGACCACCGTGGAACCTCTCCTTTTGGAGTGCATATCTGCACTTTTTCCAGCCTCCTCCTCCAGTGACCTTCAGGGGCCTGACCTGGCCTCCGAGCAGTTGGACTAGGGTAGCTTTTCCACTCTTTGAACCCCAGACTGAGATGGGGTTTTCCCAGCGCCCTGCCCCTTAACGTGTGTGAATGCAGTATAGGATCTCAGTTTCAGAATCCATTGTCCACTGTTGACTGTTAGGTTCTTACTGCTGTCTACAATGTCTAGCTTTTCCTACCATGTTCTCTGCTAGAGGGGAGTAGAAAATCTGCTTACTGCTTACTGTGGCCTTGTAAACGGCAGTGAATATCTCCAAACGTTCTGTTTTGCTTCCATCATTGCAGGCTCGTGTGTATGTCTGTGGTGTATGTGTGTGCGGGGGTGGGGGAGTATGTGTGATGTGTGTGTGTGGTGTATGTGTGTGTGTGGTGTGTATGTATGTGTGTGGTGTGTATGTATGTGAGTGGGTGGGTGGGATGTGTGTGGTGTGTGTGTGAGGTGTGTGTGGGGTGTGTGTGTGTGTGAAGTGACTAGCACATAGCAGATGCTTGGTATGTATAGGATCTGTTCTTTCCCTCGCTGACTCTCAGTTTAAATGGGACCCTACTTTGTCCTCGTTGTTCAGTAACGTTATGCCTGTGGCTTCCAGAAAGAGCCTCTCCCTTCCTGGTTCTTGCTCTGACATTTTGGGGAGAAGGGTGAGACGAGAGTGATCCTGGAAGAGTAGAACTGGCCGGCCCTGCAGGTGGAAGGTTGCTCGAGCAGGCGGCATCTCTAGCTTGCCGCGGCCGCGATGTCCCCCGCCTGTCTGCGAATGCGGCGTAGCGGGTAGACATGGAGGGCTTTCGGCATCGTCAGAGTGGCCAGTGTGCGCGTCCTTGCCCATCAGGCGGGGGGGCTGTGGGGGAGGAGAGGAGGCAGTGGAGGGAACAAGGGGTTCTTCAGGGTTGCCATGAGAACCAGGGATCCGGGGATTGGGCAGCAGAGGGCCCCCGCCGGGCGTTGGGGCGTGGCCGCGTCACATGGGTTTGGTCCTGGGATTCCTGTTGTGCTCCAGGACCGGGCGCTGCTCCGTCGTCCTCCCGCTCCTCAGGAGCGCCCAGTCCCTCGGAGGCTGAGTATTGCAGCCGGGCGGCAGCCGGCTCCGCGGAGGGGCCCCCGGGCACCTGCGTGGTGATGGCGCTGGGAGCCCCCGGGCACGCTCGGGCGGTGGCGCGGCATCCCACCCTCGCCCGGATGGCGTCCCCAGAGGCGGCGTTGGCCCGCTTTTCGTGCTAGCGCGTTCGCCTGGCGCGCGGTGGCCCCGAGGCCCCGGGTCGGTTTTCTGCGCCGCAGGCCCCTGGCCGGGGCGGAGCCGTGGAGGACCAGCCCGGCCCGGCTCCGAGCGCTGTCCATGCGGAGCGCTGTCCACGCGCCGGGCACTGCGGGGGCCGGGCCCCGAAGCCCTACCCGGGCCGGCGGCGCACACGCAGCGACCCCGTGCGGCCAGTGCTGCCGCCCGCTCTCCAGGTACTCAGGTGGGCTCCGCCGCGGGCGCTGGGCGGTGGGCGGTGGGCGGTGGGCGCGAGCCGGGGCGGCGGGCGGATCGGCCTGCGCAGGCTGCAGAGGCCCCGGCCGCGGCGGACAGGGCCCGGGAGGGAGGCGGGGAGGTCTTGCCGCGCGGCCCCCTGCCCGCCTGCCGCGGGCTCGCTGCAGTCCGAGATCCCGAGCTTCGTTGCCGCCAGCCATAGGACAGTATTATGTAACCATTTTTAATCTTAATTGTTTAATATTATGTAACGAGTAATAACTGTACCCACGGAAACCCGTGACGACGATTCGAGCGAACCTCGCCCGCTCCTTCCTCGCCAGGTGGTGGGCAGCGGGTGTGGGAACCGGTTTGGGAAATGAGTGGATCTGGGCATCCGGGCTACTGCACCGGCTTTTTCTGTGAAAAACATAATGCTAGAGCCTGCCTGGAATTCTCTTAAACCTGGATGGCATATAGTCCGGTATAAAAAAGCTTTGAGTAAACACGTATAGTCAACGTTGCCTCTTTCTCCATGAAAACCTCTTTCTCCCTGGAAGGTGCATATCAGACAATGTGAATTGAGCAGTGAAGATGTGGGCATGGGGTTCGTGTTCTTGATGGAGTTCAAAAAATTGTGCATATGAACACGTAGGACGTCCTAGCCCTTGCTCTTTAGAAAAACAATCGGATCACCTGTTCCACACGCCAGTCGCCTCCTTGGTCGGCTGCCATTTGTCTGTTGATGGTACAGTCCCTGCCAGGGTGCTGGGGGGACCTCGTCTGCGGAGCCGGCACACAGGTGGCTATGGGCGGGGGAGACTGCAGTCTAAACCCGCAAAGCTCTCCTTCCTAGCCCAGTGAGGGGAAGCGTGGGTGTCTTTCCTCATTGTTCTTTTTAAGTCTGAAAGGCAGCGACTGCAGGGATTATGACGTGCTGGCGGCCAGGGCCTCGGGTGCTGCCTGGAGTCTCCTGCGTGTCTCTGCTCCTTTGATGTCAGCATCGGGGGTGGGAGCAGGGCCCACGCATTCCCCCTTTGGCCTGGGTGGGAACAGGGGAGGTGGTGGGCAGGGCCAGAAGGGCTTACTGGGATTTTCTTTCTCTCTGTCACTCCAGAGAAAGGTGGTAAAGAACACTTGTTTCAGTTTGAGGTGCTCGGCAGCCACGCGCTGAAGGACGGTTTTTAATTGTAGGGTGGGGTGTGAGTGCAGTGTGGTTCAGTCCCCTCCCCATCTTGTGCTACCTGCCGTTGTACCTGGACCTGTGAATCAGGGATAATAGTTACTATCTTGTAGGACTGAGAATGGTGCATACTAACTGCTGAGGAACATGGTGAATGGAGTTATGGTAATTGCACGATTGGCATGAAGGGGTGAGAGAAGTTCCAGATTGGTCGATTAAAATGTGAGTTATTTTTAGTGTCTCCTAAGGATTTCCATCACCAGTTGCTCCTCCAGCCATCATGTAATTACCACCCCAGAACTAGGCTTCCAAACTTCGAGAGAACACTGCATCTTTCGAATTTTGGAGGTTAGGCTCCAAAATTTGCATATTTAGGCCACAGCCTAAATTCACTGACACTTGTGTTCCCACAAAAGCCAGGCAGCTTCTTGGAGTATGTACTTGTGACTTAGTAAGAATGTCTTAGGAAACTCGCTTGGACTAGAATGGTTTTACCTTTCTTTCAGACTTGGGAGGCTGCATTCTGATAATTCTCAGGAGGAAGAATGTATAGGAGAGACCAGGGTTTTTAAGGTGTGACCTCTGAACCACCTACATCAGAGCTGACTGCCTCTCGGTATGTATCCCCAGGCCCCAGCTCTGAGCTACGAAACTGACTTTCTGGGCTTGGGACCTGGAATTCTTTGTCTTTGTAAAGCATGCCAGGTGATTCTTACAAGTATAAAGTCTGAGAACTGATGTGGTGTTCTGGGCCTTGTAACTACTGGGGCTTCTGGTGATTCAGTTAGAAAGTTAGCAGCTCCTGTCTGAAGGGTCAAGGGCAGAATGAGGGGAGGCCTTGAGGCAGTATGAGTCCTGTGGACCCTAGGAGGTCTGGGAGCACATGTCAAAAGAGGCCTTTATGTGGGCCTTTTGCTTCTGTCAGATTAAATAACTTGGCACATCTGGTAGTGGGCATGGCCATGCATCACGTGCAGAACTGGTGTGATGGACCATATTTTCTCATATTTCACAGAATTCACTGGCTGGGCATGATCCACAAAGTCCTAACCCATCCCAAACCCTGGAACCCTTTCCATGACGGTTTATTCTGATTTGTTCAGGAGACACATTTCTTCTGTTTTCATGTGGAATGGGCTTTGTTCCTCTCACGGCCGGCAGAGGTTAAATTAAAGGGGCCAGAAAATGCTGAGCTGTGACTAGGATTGGGGGGCCAGTAGGCATTTATTGGCCCCGTTTGCTTCTTTCTTCCCTTTTTTTCTCTGCCTCCTCGGTCAGGGGGTCCAGGACTATCTCTCCAGGGGCATTTCTGGTCTGTGGAGACTTGCCTGAAGGCAGCTGGAAGAGTCTGGGCTGAACTCTAGATGCCTCAGGCTCAAATCTCATATTAGTGAGGGAAGAAAATTCTAAATGTGTAAATGGTACCTGTAAGTCACCTACAAATAATTTTTTTCCTTTCCTGTGCAGTGTCTGGGAGCCAGCTTCTGAGTGTTGTCAAGGTAGTCCTGGTGGCTTGAGACTGGTGATGTGCCGTTGCCAACAATGGCTGTGTAATTCTGAGCAGTTGTTCAGCACTCAAGTGGGATGAGAATGGCAAGGAGTGCTCTGGGTGGCTTTTGACAAGGGACCCCGCCTGTCATTCACTCAACAGGTGTTTGAGGAGCCAGTCTGTCTCCGTCATCTGTTCCTGCCTTACTTAGATGGAAAATAATGAAATCTGTGTAGGAAGGGAGGGTGAGTAGAGGGATGGCCTGTGTTGACTGAACAATAAAATAGTGATGTTAATATATTTTGCTTATTTATTTTCTTAAAGGGAGCTGGCACGTTTCAGTTCTGATACAAGTTAAATATTAACAATGTCTGAAAATACCACAACTTAAACTTTAATATGCATGGGAATCTCCTGGGGCTGATAATAAAATGCAGCTTCTAATTTAGTTGGTCTTGGTTGGGACCTGAGGTTTTGGGTTTCTGACCAGCTCCCAGGTGTTATGCTTGCAGTTGGTCAGTGGCCCACACTTTGTGCAGTAAGGTCTTAATGCATTTCCCCCTGTGTTCACTTTAGTGTCTTTTTCTCTAGAAATTCTCTGAAGAGGACACTTTACCTGGTAAGAACTATTATTAATAATGCTATTACTTAATCTAAGAATTTTTGTACCAAGAATTTTCTAGTGATTAGCCCTACATTGTTGTAAATGACATTCTTAAATGTGTCCATACTTTATTCCAGGGGCAAATATTTGTACAGTGTCCTGCTTTGACATTTGTTTGGATTCCTGTGGATTTTATTTAGTGGTTTCTCTTTTGTTTATGATGATAGAACACTTTTAGAAAGGTTTGAAACCTTTTGAATCTTGAGCGGATTTGGAAGCCCCACCTGCCTTCTTTTAAGAATGTAGGAATTGTATCTGCTTTGAGCTTGTGCATGCTAACACCCCACTTCTTCCAAGGTCCTTGCTCAGTGCCTTCATGTCTCAGCATCACAGCCTGGAACCTGGAAGGCCTCCAAGCCATAGAAAGAAGCAATAAAGATGTCCCAGTGGGGCTTCTGGCTGGGGCCCTTGCCTGTTTCTGTCAGCGTTAGCCCGACCCTACCCTTGGAGGTAGGGTTGGGTTGTCCCATTATTTCCCTGTCAGGGTAGGTGGTATTAAAGCAGCTTTTGTCTTGCTTGCACTGTGAGTCTGTTCTGTGTATAAGGCTCCACTGTGTGGATCACCTCTACTTAATGCCACCTTTTGAAAAATTCTACCACCAAAGTTCTTCCTTGGATAGCAAAGACATTTTTGAATGTTTGTATTTGTGCCTGCCCTAGTTGATCAGTAAATGCATTGATGGGCTCCATGGGACTTTGGACCCATTCCTTTGTCATCTTTCATTAACAGTCTTCCTAGGCTGGTGGTGATGTTGGGCAACTTAATGCTTCCTGAAGGTTTTAGATACTACAGGAGCTAATAATTTATTGCCAAATAAGTGAGGAAACTTTGGATTAGATAAAGTTGGTTTCTTTATGGCACAACATTTCAGAAAATTTTGTGTGCCACAATGTATTATGACACTTTAAGAGGAAGATGGCTAGACTATGGTGGTTCCAAATTTTGGGGGGTCGGGGTGGAGTTAGAACCCCTCTTGTGCTGATTATTTCATTAGGCTAGTTTTTTCTTTCTTTAGTTCCGGGATACATGTGTAGAACGTGCAGGTTTGCTACATAGGTATACGTGTACCATGGTGGTTTGCTACATCTATCAACCTGTCATCTAGATTTTAAGCCCCCCAAGCATTAACTATTTGTCCTGATGTTTTCCCTCCCCTCAGTCCCTCTCCCCTCCCTGACAGGCCCTGGTGTGTGTTATTCCCCTCCCTGTGTCCATGTGCTCTCATTGTTTAGCTCCCACTTATGAGTGAGAACATGCAGTGTTTGGTTTTCTGTTCCTGTGTTAGTTTGTTGAGGATGATGGCTTCCAGCTTCATCCATGTCCCTGCAAAGGACATGATCTCATTCCTTTTTGTGGCTGCATAGTATTCCACGGTGTATATGTACCACATTTTCTTTATCCAGTCTATCATTAATGGGCATTTGGGTTGGTTCCATGTCTTTGCTTTTGTAAGTAGTGCTGCAATAAACATAGGTGTGCATGTATCTTTATGGGCTAGTTTTTTCATACAGTCCTCTCTTAAAAAAAAAAGCTGTATTGAGGTATAATTCACATACCATACAATTTACTCATTTAAATTTGAAGTATATAATTCAATTATAATTAGTATATTTACAGATATGTGCAATGGTGTGTGTGTGTGTGTGTGTGTGTGTGTGTATACAGATTGCTGTGGTCTGAATGTATCACCCAAAATTCATGTGTTGAAACCTAATGGCCAACGTGATGTTATTAAGAGGTGGGGCCTTTAGGAGGTGTTTAAGTCATAAGAGTGGACATAGATGGGATTAGGGCCCTTTTAAAAGGGCCTGAGGGGGAATGGGTTTGCTCTCTTCTGCTCTTCCACCATATGAGGATACAGCATTTGTTCCCCTCTGGAGGGTGTGGCAACAAGGCACCATCTTGGAAGCAGAGAGAGGCCCTCACCAGACACTGAACCCCAGTGCCTTGATCTTGGACTTCCTCTCTTCCAGAACCATGAGAAGTAAATTTCTATTATTTATAAATTACCTAACCTGTGGATTTTGTTATAGCAGCACAGACAGAAATTGATACTGAGAGTGGGTGTTGTTATAGCAAATACTTAAAAGAAAAGTGGAATTGGGTAATGGGTAGAGGATGGAACAGTTTGGAAGTGTTTGCTAGAAAAAGCCTAAATTTCTGTGAACAGAGCATTAAGAATGATTCTGGTGAGGGCCCAGAAGAAGAGGAGAGCCGTAGAGATAACCAGTGTCTTCTTAGAAACTTCTAAGTGGCTGTGATCAGAATGCTGGTAGTATTATAGACAGTAAAGCCCGTTCTGCTGTGGTCGTATATGGAAATGAATATCTTATTGGAAACTGGAGGAAAGACAGTCCTTGCTACAAAGGCGCAAAGAACTTGGCTGAATTGTGCCCATACTCTAGGGCTTTGGGGAAGGCAGAATTTAAGAGTGACAACCTAGGATATTTGGTGGAAGAAATCCGTGAGCATAGTATTCAGTATGCTGCATGACTTCTCTTAATTGCTTACAGTAAAATGTGAGAGAAATGAATTGAAAATGGAATTTATAATCCAAAGGGAAGCAGAGGCTGGGCACTATGGCTCATGCCTGTAATCCCAGCACTTTGAGAGGCCAAGGTGAGAGGATTGCTTAAGCTCAGGAGTTCAAGACCAGCCTGGGCAATATAATGAGACCTTATCTCTACTAAAAGTAAAAAAAAAAAAAAATTAGCGGAGTGTGGTGGTGTGCACTTAGCCCCAGCTACTCAAGGGGACTGAAGTGGGAAGATCACTTGAGTCTGGGAGGTCAAGGCTACAGTGAGCCATGATTCTGCTGCTGCGCTCTAGCCTGCGTGACAGAATGAGACCCTGTTTCCAAAAAAGAAAAGGAAGCAGAATTTAAGGATATGGAAAATTTTTAGCTTGCCCAGGTTGTAAAAACATGTTTGGGAGAAAACACTAAGGGTGTGGCCAAGTGACCTTTTGATAAGGAGATTAGTATGGATAGAAGGAAGCCAGATGCTATTCATCAAGATAATGGAAGAATGATCCTGAAGGCATTTCAGAGATTATCAGTGCTGCCCCTCCCATCAGAGGCCCAGAGTACCAAGGCCCAGGGAACAGAACTTATGTCAAAGGAGAGGCCTTGGGCGTCTGCAGGACCTCAGCATTCACTGCCTGGCATCACTTCTCTGCTCTCTGCATTACAGTGCAGCCCTCCTTGGATATCCCAGCTGTAGCTCAAGGGGGCTCAAGTGCAGCTAGTTCCATTGCTGTGGAAGGCACAGGGCATAAGCCTAGGTGGCATCCACATGGCGCTAAGTCTGCAAGTATGCAGAGTGCAAGAGCTGTGGATGCATGGCTACCTTCACCTAGATTTGAAAGGATGCCTCAGAGAGTCTTGGGCTCAGACAGAGAATTGCTGCAGGATAGGTCTGCTGCAGAGACTCCCTGCTAGGATAATGCCTAATAGAGCCATGGGGCAGGAGTGCCAAAAAGAGCCCCCACTAGGGCAATGTCCAGCAGAGTCTTGAGGCTGGGGGCACACTAGCGAGCTCCCACAAGGACAATGCCTAATGGAGCTGTGGGGGTGGGGCTGCCCTCGAGAGCCTGTAACTGTAGAGTTACCCGTGTGTAGTGCCAGCCTGGGAGAGCTGCAGGTACCCAACTGCAACCTGTGAGAGCTGCTATGAGGGCTGTGCCCAGCAGTTGGCTGCAGGGCTGCCCAGGTCCTTGGGAACCCAACTCCTGCCCCATTGTGTCTGGAAGGCAGGACATGGAACCAAAGATTTATTCTCCAGCCTTACCATTGATTTAATGTTTGTCCTGTTTGGTTTTGGATTTGGTTGGGAAATGTTACCTCTTTTTTCTTTCCTATTTCTCCCTTTTGTAATGGGAATGTCTGTTCTTTGTCTGTTCCACTGTTTTTTTTTGTTTTTTTTTTTTGGAGACAGGATCTCACTGTGTCATTCAGGCTGGAGTACAGTGGTGTGATCTCGGCTCACTGCAACCTCTGCCTCCTGGGCTCAAGCTATCTTCCCACTTCAGCCTGCTGAGTAGCTGGGACTACAGGCGTGTGCCATCACGCCCAGCTAGTTTTTTTTTTTGTTTTGTTTTGTTTTTGGTATTAGAGATGGGGTTTTGCCATGTTGCCCAGGCTGGTCTCGACCTCCTGGGCTCAAGAAGTCCGGCCGCCTCAACCTCCGACAGTGCTGAGATTACAGGAGTGAGCCACTGCTGAAGTCTGAAGTACTTTGCCTCAGGTTGAAACACATCTTTGAGTCTCACATGTCTGATTTAGATGAAATTTTAGACTTCAGACTTTTGAATTGATCCTGGCCTGAGATAAGACATTGGGGCTATTGGGATGGAATGAATGTATTTTGTATGTGAGAAAGACATAAATTTGGGGGACTTGGGGTGGAATGCCATGGTTTGAATGTTTGTGTCTCCTTATGGCCTTATCACTTCCCCAACGCAACTCTATTAAGAGGTATGGCTTTTGGGAAGTGATAAGGTCATGAGGGCTCCAGTCCCATGAATGGATTCTTGCCCCCATCAAAGGGCTGGAGAGAACTAGCTAGGATCCCCTTTTTGCACTTCTGCATTCTGCCATGTGAGGGCACAGCAAGAAGGCCCTCACCAGACACCAAGTGCTGGCATCTTGATCTTGAACTTCCCAGCTTCTAGAACTGTGAGAAATAGATTTTGTTCTTTATAAGTTATCCAGTCTCAAGTATTTTGTTATAACTGCAGAAATGAATAAACACACACACATACATTGTATATAGTGTTCAATTAATATATTCACAGCTATGTGCAACCGCCACCATAGTCAATTTTAGAACAAAAAGAGACCCTGCACCCTTTAGCTATCATACCCCCACTCCCTGCCATCCCATTGCTCCCCCTGCTTTCCCAACCCTAAGGAACTCTACTTTCTGTCTGCATAGATTTCCCTGTCCAGGACATTTCATGTGAATAGAATCGTCTGTGGTTTTTGTGAGTGTCTTCTTTCACTTAGCATAATGTTTTCATGGTTAATCTATGTTGTAGCATGCATTAGTACTTCATTCCTTTTTATGGCTGAATAATATTCCCTTGTATGTGTAGTCCCAGCTGCTTGGGAGGTTGAGGCAGGAGAATGGCATGAACCCGGGAGGCGGAGCTTGCAGTGAGCTGAGATCACGCCACTGCACTCCAGCCTGGGTGATAGAGCGAGACTTCGTCTCAAAATAAATAAATAAATAAACAAACAAATAAATTCCCTTGTATGTATATACTACTTTTTGTTTATTCAACTGTTGATGGACATTTATGTTTCTACCTTTTGGGTATTGTGAATAATGCTTCTGTAAACATTGGTGTATAACTATCTTTGAGTACTTGCTTTCCATGTTTTTGTATATATGTCTAGATTATAATTGCTTCATTATATGGTAATTCTATGCTTAGCTTTTTGAGGAACTGCCAAACTGTTTTCTAGAGCAGCTGCACCATTTTACATTCCCAATAATAATGCACAAGGGTTTCAGTTTCTCCACATTCTTGCCAACACTTGGCATTTTTCGTTTCCTGTCCTCTCCTCTCCTCTCCTCTCCCCTCCCCTCCCCTCCCCTCCCCTGCCTTCCCCTCCCCTGCCTTCCCCTCCCCTCCCTTCCCCTTTCTCCCCTTCCCCTTCCCTTCCCCGTCCCCTTCCCCTTCCCCTTCCCTTCCCCTTCCCTTCCCATTCCGCTTCCTCTTCCCTTGCCTTTCTTCCCCTTCCCCTTCCCCTTTCTTTCCTTATAGCTGTCCTAATAGGTGTTACATCGTTTGGCTGTGTCCCAAATCTCATCTTGAATTGTAGCTCCCATAATTTCCACATGCTATGGGAGGGACCTGGTGGGAGGTAATTGAATCACGGGGTTGGGTCTTTCCCATGCTATTCTAGTGATAGTGAATAAGTCTCATGAGATCTGATGGTTTTATAAAGGGGAGTTTCTCTGCACAAGTTCTCTTCTCTTGTCTGCCACCATGTGAGACATGCCTTTCACCTTCTGTCATGATTTTGAGGCCTCCTCAGCCACGTGGAAATATGAGTCCATTAAACTTCTTTCTTTTGTAAATTGCCCAGTTCTCTGATATGTCTTTATCAGCAGCATGAAAACGGACTAATACAAGGCATCAGATGATTGCTCATTGTGGTTTTGATTTGCTTTTTGTTACTCAGTTGTAGGAATTTATATATTCTAGATATTAATACTCTTATCAGTTATGTGATACGCAACTGTTTTGTCCTTTTCTGCAGGCTGTCTTTTCACTGTCTTCGTAGTGTCCTATGACGCACAAAAATTTTTAATTTTTGATGAAGTTCATTTATTTTATTCTTTTGTTGCCTGTGCTGTTGGTGTCATATCTGAGTAGTCATTGTCAAATCCAATGTCCATATAAAGATTTTTGCATATGTTTTCTTCTAAGAGTTTAACAGATAATTTTATTTCTTCCTTTCCAATTTGGATGGCTTTCATTTCTTTTTCTTACTTAATTGCTCTGGCTAGAGCTTCCAATACTGTGTTAAGTAGAAGTGACAAAAGCAAGAATTCTGTCTTGTTTCCACTCTTTGGGGAAAAGCTTTCACTATTTCGCCATTGAGTATGATGTTTGCTGTGGAATTTATAACAGACATTAACAGATATTTAATTCCCTTGCCTTGGTGGAATGTTTCGGGAATGATTCTGTATTCTTTGACTGTCCTGGGACTCTTGCATCGAGAATGTGGTCTAGAAGACCAGAACGAGGTGGCTGGGGAGTTGGGAGACACAAGTAACATGATTTTGTTTTATGTTATAGTGTGGCGTCAGTTCACCTTTCTTTCCAGACCTAGTGGCCATTTTGTGGTCTTGAGGGTTACAGCAAATGCCTTAGGTTTTGAGTGTCTTTCAGAGGCAAGGGGGGTTCTTATACCAAGGTTCTCACAACTTTTTTCCCTTTTTGTCTTAAAATGATTGAGACCATAGGGCCGTGGTGGTGTTGAAGGAGGTCGCCTGAATAGATCCACATCCGCATCACAATTTCACTTCGCCTCTTGTACTTCAGTACCAGGTTTAGGGGACACATGTGCCATTCAAGTGAGGTTGGCTTTGTAATGACTTTTCAGGGTGGATTTTGGCTTCCTACAGGTAAGAACTTTCTACCTTTGTAATATCCTGACTCATGAGTTGAAACAATAGATATGATGAAGGCCCATGCCCCGTTTAGAAGAGTAAGTCTCATGTTGCCAGGTCAGAAATAGATCCTCTTTCCTCTTGTTAAGCATTGTGCTGAATCCTGAGAGTGGTAATCCTGCAGCAGGCAGAGAGAGGAGGACGTTGCCCTGAAGCTGTGGGGAGGCCTGGGGTTCATTCCTACTGGGCTGCGGGTTCTGGTCTCTTCTACCAGTTTAAACAAAATGGCACAGATAGCCAAGAGCAGTATCAGTTGAGAGTAGCACGAATCTTGGGCGCTGATGTGTGCTGTTTAGTTTTGGCTCCTGTTTTAACACAGGGAGAGGGCAGATGGTGAAGCTCTGGCCACCTGTGAGTGTTGGCAACCCCAGGGGGGCAGTCCGTCCTGCTGGCTGTACTTTGAACTGGAAATACTGGACATATGACATTTTCCTTCTGACTCTCGCTGTTCGTGTGGCTTATGCAGGAGGCAGGGGAGGAACATTCTAAATGACCTGGAGCTATGCATCTTGCCAGAATCAACAAGCAGGACAAACCTTTGGGGAGAACAGTTGAGCCACTTTTCAAAGGCAGTGACCCTCTGGGACCCCCTACTTCAAACTGGCCCTGGAGGAGTAGACTGGTGGAGTGGACCGGAATGGAATGTCCTGCTGATTGTGTGGAGCAGGCTGAGTAGCACATGGTTTCTGGCCAGTGATGTTCATTTGTGTGGCCAGGTCTCAAATTCAATATTGTTTTTAAGAAAATCTTTCTGAATGAAGAAGTCTCCATGGACTCTTACTCCATAAAAACTAAGATTCTTTGCAGAGTTTCACTGGGCAGCAGTTCCATGTCTAGGGGTGGAGGTTTGGCTTCTGTCAGACTGTTCCACAGGGCACATTGAAGTCCTGGGTGCTGGGCAGGGCTGAGATTCCCAGGGGAGCACCCCCAGGGCTGGGTCCTAGGGCGCCTTGACACTGTTAAAAATTACTGAAGGCCCCAAAGAGCTGTGGTTATGTGGCTGTATATATTGAAATTTACTATTTTAGGAATTGACAGGCATTTAAAAAATATTTTTTCTCCATGTAAAAAGAATATTCACCCATTATATGTAAACATAACATCTTTTATGGAAAAAAGCTGTATTTTCAAAAACAAAAAAAATGGGAAGAGTGTCATTGTTTTGTACTTTTTAAATCCCTTTAATGTCTGCTTTAAGAGAAGGTAGTTGGATCCCCCCATCCCCCTGCCACCTGCAATCAGTCTTATGCTATTTGGCCTCTAGAAAACTCCGCTGTGCATTCGCGACGGAATGCAAGGGACAAGGACACATCGTATCTTACTATCTTGAAGATAATTTTGGCTTTACCACTCCTGGAGGTCTTGCCATAGGGGTGAGGTCACTCATACCAGGGTACCATGTGAGAGGCTACCACAGGTGGAAGCACAGGTGTGGGGATTTAGGCAGAGACCTTGGAGGCCAGGGGCTGCAACACCCCCTCACTGAATTCAGATAGATGCTTGGGAACCACCAGTTCCTCTGCTTGTTCTCTTGTGTCTGTTGTTTGAATCAGAAACTCAGCAGCTTAGGCCTCAGAGAGATCTTGAGGATACTTGGTCCGTAACTATTATGTGCCAAATGAGGGAACTTACTTCTTCAGTCTTCTAGAAAAATTTTATCCCTTTTTGTGTTAAAACGTGGATGCAGCCTGGAAGTGGTAATGCTAGATGCTGCATACCACCTTGATGGAACTAGATGAAGTGATTAGCTTCAGTCGCCTGAGTCTAGAGAGCCTGGGACCAGGCAGGGCAGCAGCATTTGAGGGACTCTTGGGAAGCTTGGCACAGCTTGAGTGTGGGGGCTGTGATGCACAAGCATAGGCAGCTGTCTCTCTGTCTCTTCCCCCAGTGTTTGTTGAGCCAGTGTGATGTGTCCTGTGTTGGCTGCCCAGGTATATACGACCGTTTCTATCCTCAGGTCACCTTTACTGGGGGGAAGACTGAAGGTTTGTAAAAGAAACTGTGATACCAACGTCATTCGATCATCCACCCGAGAGTGCCTTGGAACAAAGGAGTGTTAATCGACAGCAACGGGAGAATAAGAAGGCTGGCTTTTTTTTTTTACCTGACATGTAAAGGAGCTGAGGAGAGAAGGGTGTTGCAGAGAAAGCAGGGATCTGCATTCTCTTCCTCCCCACTGCTGTTGCAGGCTGACAGTCTTTGAGTACACACACAGATGTGGCTGTGTTGTGCCCTGTCAGAGGCCCTGTGAGTCTCACCACCTCCTGAAGCACAAAGGTCCTTAGTGTGGTGCTCAGAGACCCCTGAACCATGGGGTACAGGGTGCACAAAACTGGCCATGAGCTGACTTTGTAGAAGGGCAGCCTTGGAGGGAGGGTGAGACATTCATGACCGTGGACCCATTTTCCTCTGTCAGGAAGGATGGGGGAAGTGAAGAGGACCTGATCTATATTTGCCAAGAGAAGCTAAGCAGGTGGTTTTGGTGGATATGAAGGACAGGTTCTTTCTCGGGTCCCAGGACTCTCTTTCCTCCTGGGAAGCCCGACCTCCTGTGTGGCTCCATGGCTCTGGTCAGATTCCTGACTACTTAGCATCACAACAGTGGAGGACAATGGAATTCTAAAAAGATTCAGAGGAAACTTAGTAATGTTAACAGGAGACAGTTTGAAATTCGATTGTTGTGACTCTTTCAATGGCTCAAATTGCGGAGAGGAGGATGTGTAATGAAATGCTAAGAGTGGATTTTGATGGAGTGAAGGAAGTTTGAATTAGCTTTGATTAGAACACAGCCTCATCATGGGGACTCCATTCTCATGGGGAGTAGTGGATGCTTTAAGATGGATTCCCCTGAGTTCAGAGGTGGGCATCAGAATGATTTGCCTGCATACCAGTCGTGTCTGTGGTCCCGGGTAGCTTTCTGTTCATCAGCCCAGTGAATGGGGCTCCACTTTTCTCCCTTTGGCTTTGCCTCTGTTCCAAGAAGTAAACGTCCTGAAATAGAAAAGGAGGAGCTGTTCTTTGGCCAATGATTTGAGAATAGCTAGAACTAAAGTTACCAACTGTGGAGGGCGGTTCCCTGTGGGCCTCATCAACAGCTGAGGGCCCCCTTTCAGACACTTGTGAACAAGCTCCTCCAGAATCCTTGCATGCAGCTTTTGCAGAACTGATAAAAGCAATGGTCGGTCATGCTTGCCACAAGCTGCTTCTGTTGAGATCATCATTCTACGATCTTGACCAATGGGTGAAGTTTGGTTGCACTTTTGGCATCTTGCATTCACAGACCTACAGAAACCAGATTAGGGAGCATGTTGGAGGTGGCTCTGTAAGTGACAATGCTAAGATTGAGAACATAGTGATGACATGGTAAGTGTGTACTGAGTGAATTAATGAAAGAATACTGAATTTCAGGACTAAGGGGAAACATAGAGGTGATTATAAAGGAAGTGAAAACAGAACTCCCAGCTGACCACAATGAACCTGGGGGTTTATGAAGGCCTTATTAGGGCAATTGAAGTCTTAATTTGGGGATTGAAGGAGGTAGCAATGGAGTCTTAAACTTTTCTACCCAAGTTACAAGAGCCAGGTAAAAAGAGAATTAGTGCAGAATCTGGTATTTGAGCTTCCTGCATCGATTTTTCTAAATTATTTGCCAAATTACAGGTTGTTTACTTTCTTTAGCTAAGGCACCACTCAGGGTTTGCCTTTATCGTTGCACAGTTTGTCGCCAGGTCATGGGAGCTGAGGCTGTGTCTAGGTGGCTGCAGGCCTGAGAGGTGTCAATGATGGAGTGGAGCTGGGGGTGTTGGGAGAGGTTTGAGCGGACCCAGCTGGGCAGCACCATAGGGCTGCTGGGTAGGTATTTTTGGGAAGCAGAATGCTGAGCTCTCACTCAGAACCCCAGTGTAGGAGGCAGATGATTACCTGAGGCCCTCTGCACAGAGAAGGAACCAGCTTTGGAGAGCATCATGGGTTTCTGCTGCTTCCTCAACTGGTCTCCCCAGTTCCAGGAAGGCAGAACAGGTCATTGAGAGGCACAGCTTGGGCTTCTCGATTGCAACACAGGAGCAAAGTGGTAGATGGGTCATGTCTGTGAACGAGGTGTGAGCAGCCCAGTGTAGGACACAGTCAGGGTCCCCAACATGGCGGGCCTAGTGGCTCACTGCTGGGTCTGATTTAAGAAAGATACCTGGATAGGACGATGTAAGAACTGTCTTTGGGTCCCCAAGGATGGGTTGGGAGCTGAAATGTACCCCCTGCTGGCCAGGAGCCGCAGGGACTCTTGTAGGTATGGAGGGTATGGCATGGGGGCTGCCATACTGTGACTCAAGAGTGCGATGGGTGGATGTGGGCCTCAAAGTGGGCCAGCTCTGCCCAGACCAGAGCATTCTGCTTCCTGTGGAGCATCCCTGAAGTCCTTGTGACCGTGTGGCCAGAGAGCATGGTCTTGGGGCAGGCAGATGACAAGAGGCCGTACCAGGATGGAAGTCGTCTGCATTTGGAGGCAGGAAACAACACAGGACTCCCTGCAGTTGTTAAGTGTACTCTTAAGGTGTCCCATGCTTGCCTGCACCTGCCTGCCCTATACCTTCAGGATCCAGGTGTCCTTTTGGAACTGGAGGATCAGGAGCCAGAGGGGCCGGCAGTCTGGTACTCCTGCCTTGGGCATCTGTGCGGGCATTCTGGTATTCCTGCCTTGGACTTCCCGGCAGCCAGGCAGTGGGTACCTGGGAGGATGTTGCACCAGTCTGTGCAGGAGACCAAGAGAACTAAATACTGGAGATCATGCACACTCATTAAAAAAGAATACTGCAGAAAAGTTCGATTACATTGCTAGATAAAGTCATTTTTAATGTGTCCATACCCTGTGTCAGTTTTCAATCTTGTGCTACTGTATGATAGTGATGCATTTCAGAGCCATTAATCATTGTTTACCAACCATTCCTGTTTGTAGGAACCCTCTGTTTCCATTGTCTTTGCAAAATTCTTGATTTTCTGAGTTGAGGATTGGTTTTCCTTATTCATGTTTATATAGACATTACCCTGAAAACCTAGAACACACAGTAGTTACTTACTGAATGTACTAATGATATAGAGAATGAAAAGATATCATCATCTTTAGAATAGAATGCCAGGCCCTAGTGGGCTCTGGTGTGTGTGCTGGTGATGGGCTAATGTTGATAACTGGCTGTTTGGGGGTGGTGATAAAGCGTCCAAAGCACATTGACTGTTTCCCTACAGCTTTCTTCATTGAGGAGAGGAGAGATCTTTATCAACTGTGCACGCCTCTCCACTCCAAACTATTTACTCCTCGCACAGTTTTAACGATTACAATTACATTATGTTTCCTCCACAAGCAAGAATGTCTTTCCTCTTTACTTTTGAGGTGTATCCTTTTTTCTTTAACCCGCCCCTTTTTTTTAAAACTCCTTTAACTTTTTTTAAAACTCCTTTAAGGGAAGAAGAAAAGGAAAAGAAAGGAAGAAAAAGAAAAGAAAATAGAAGGGCAAAGTCTTTCAGTATTTCCAGAAGCTGCCTGTATAGAAAAGGGCCTGTGCAGTTAATATTCATGTGACTTGGCCTCAAGCACTTAATAGCCTCATTGTGTTTAGGTATAGAGCAGTGATTTCTCTGGAATTCCTAGAAAGGGAGGGGGAGCCCTCCACAAGGGCAGAGGGGGATCACAAGGGACCCTGAGTATAGGTTTTTGTGTGAGGAGAAGCATATAGGACCCTTGGCCTGAAACTGGATGAAAACATTCTTTCTTAGATAAATTTTAAAGTTGCATGAGTAATTTGTGATCTTTATTTTAAATAGTCGAACCCAGAAGTCTGTAGAGAGTGAAATTCTCACTTCACTTCTCATGGCCCTCCTTTGAGGTTGGTGTTCAGGGTTCTTTTGGCTCCTTTTGCTCTGCGGAATTAACTAATTACTTTTTAATTGATGCATAATAGATAAACATAGTTTCAAGGTACATGAGATAATTTAATGCATGCATGTAATTTGTAAAGGTCAAATCAGTGTACTTAATATACCCACCACCTTAAATATTTGTCTTAACTTTAGAAACATTCAAATTCTTCTCTTCTTGCTATTTTGAAGTGTACAATAGATTATTGTAGACGGTAGTCACCTTATTGATTTATTTAATTAAGTGTACTTATTTCAAGAATGAGCAGAAATAAGGCCTAGTATTATATAAATCAATAAGGTGACCATATATTTGTACTCATTAATCAACTTTTTTTTAATCCTCCATACCCCCCTACTCTTCCCTGTCTCTGGTAACCACCAATCTACTCTCTGTCTTCATGAGATCCACTTCATAGCTTGCACATGAGTGAGAACATGTCATATGTCTTTCTATGCCTGTCTTCCAGGTTAATGCATGCTGTTGCAAATGATAGAATTTCACTCCTTTTTTATGGTTGAATAGCACTCCACTGTGTGTATGTACCACCTTTTTTAAATGAGTTCATTGTTGTTGGACACTTAGATCGATTCCATATCTTGGCTATTGTGAATAATGCTGCAGTAAACACGGGTGTGCAGATATCTTTTTGATACAGATCCTTTCTTTTGGGTATATACCCAGCAGTGAAATTGCTGGATCATATGATAGTTCTATTTTTAGTTTTCTGAGGAACCTCCATATTGTTCTCCATGGGGGCTGCACTAATTTACATTCCCACCGGCAGAGTATAGGGGGTCCCCTTTGGTACATTCTCCCCAGTATCCATTATTCCCTTTTTGATAATAGTCATTTTAACTGGGGTGAGATGATATCTTATTGTGGTTTTGATTTGTATTTCCCTGATAAATATTGGTGTTGAGCATTTTTTGGATACACCTGTTGGCTCTTTGTATGTCTTCTTTTAGAGATGTCTGTTCACATGTTTTGCCCATTTTTAAATTGAGTTACTTGTTTTTTTGCTATGGAATTGTTTGAACTCCTTATACATTCTGGTTATTAATCTCTTGTCAGATGAGTAGTTTGCAAATAGTTTCTCTCATTTTCTCTGTTTGGAATTCCTGGGTGCAGACACCCACAGATATACTGCTTTCCCCTTTTTACGGCAGTGTTGCTTATTCCTGGTGCTTAGCTCTTTGCCTCCTTTATTAAACACTTGCCTTCTGTCAGTGCTGTGTGAAGCACTCTGTGGGAATTGCATCATTTCATCCTTGCATGAAGTTGGGACGGTTTTGTTCTCAGTTTACAGTTGAGGAAATTGAGGCAGAGAGTGGCTGAGCGCTTGTGCAGGCTGCCCCCACCCCAGCTGGTGGAGGCTGGGTTCTGAGCCACTTTCACAGCTGCCTCCCACAGACCAGAGCTCATGTCCCTGTGGCTCCTTTAGAGCTTTTGCGTGCCTTCCAGTGCTGCTTTCCATGCTGGAGGAGTACTGTGCTCTACTATATTTAAGTCGGCTCCTGTCCAGGCATTTTTTTCCATAAGTTCAGCAAAGATTTGAGCCACTTGGCCCTGTGCTAAGAGATGGGATACAGCAGTAGTCAGGACAGATAGAGTTCTCGGCCTCAGAGCTACCTCTTCTTGGGAAAGGGACACAAAAAAAGTTGGCAGGAAGAAGAACAGCACTAGCAAGCCTGATGTGTTCTGCAGAAGAGGCAGCCAAGGGCTGAGCTATAGACCCATGTGGAGAGGGTCTGGAGTGGGTCAGGCGGCCTGATCCCTCAGGGTGGACAGGGACAGGACAGGGTGGATGGGGAGCCTTGGTTCTCTGAGGAGGCTACCAGCAGGGGAAGGTGGAAGGCAGCTGGGGCCACAGGTGTTTGAAAAAATTCCAAATACAAGGCAGAGAGCATGCAAAGGCCATGAGGGAGGATAGAGTCTGAGAACCTGGAGGAGGCCAGGCTGGTGAGTGAGGTGACTCCAGCATGGGACAGCAGTGTCTGGGCAGCCTGGAGAGGAGGCAGGGGCCACACGCGTCAGGCCTGGCAGCTGTCGCTGAGAATTTGGGTGCATTTGAAGTACAGAGGGCAATGGTGTCACCTCATGGGCTCCCCAGAGCTAGGGCTGGTTAAGTGGGAAGCAGTGAGGATGCTTAGAGACAGGGCAGCTGAGTCCCAGTTCAGATGAGGGGCAGAGGCCTGGAGTTGGCAGCAGAGATGGAAGGGAGTGGATGACTCTCAGATGCTTCCGCAGCCAATGAGCTGGGCTAGCGGATTACATGGATGGAAGGCAGAAGAGAAAGTTAGGAATGGAGAGCTCTTGTTTCTGCCTTGTGCAGTTTGGTGGGTGCCATGAACTGGGGGAGAGGAGGGATTTGGGCAGCCACATTTAGGTTGCTTCCAGTTTTTCTGTCTTAAAGTGTGTAGTAAACATTCCGTGTGTGTGTATGCACGCGTGTGTATGCATGTGAGTCTTTCTGTAGGATAAGCTATTCCAAGAAGGATGCCTGTGCCTAAGACTAAAGTCTGAAAGCTGCTGCCCCCACTCCAGCGGGCCTCCCCATGCCTGTACAGTGTGATCCCACCTCCGGTTTAGGGGAGCCCTGTTGCTGTTCAGCCATCCTCAACTCTGGGTAGTCCCAGTCCTTTTAATTTTCAGCTATCAATTATAGCTCATGTGTTTGTATATGTCTCCCTGGCTCCTAGTGAAGTTTAGCATGTTTCACATGTCTGTTTTGCAAATTGTTTGCTTCTATCCTCTCCCCATTTTTATGTTGGGCTGCTTACATCCTATCTCTTATTTCAGTAAAGAAGAGATTAAATTCAGATTGTTGGCTGTGTGGTAATGGAAATATTTTGTCCCAAGGCTTTTTTTTTTTTTTGGAGACGGAGTCTTGCTCTGTCGCCCAGAGTGGAGTGCAGTGGCACGATCTCGGCTCGCTGCAAGCTCCGCCTCCCAGGTTCATGCCATTCTCCTGCCTCAGCCTCCTGAGTAGCTGGGACTACAGGCGTCCACCACCATGCTCAGCTAATTTTTTTGTATTTTTAGTAGAGATGGGGTTTCACCGTGTTAGCCAGGATCGTCTCCATCTCCTGACCTCATGATCCACCTGCCTCAGCCTCCCAAAGTACAGGGATTACAGGCGTGAGCCACTGCGCCCCGCCGGCTTTTTGCCTGTCTTTTGATTTGTCTATAGGGTCTTTTGCTGAACAGAAGTTAGTTTTTTCTTCATGGCTTCTAGGTTGAGAATCTTGCTTATGAAGATCTTCCTCACTCAGATTTTATAACATTTTTCTTCTGTACTATCTCTTAGTAGTTTAGTAGTTCTTGTAATGTTTAAGGCACATATGGAAGGTGAGGATATGACCGTGGGATCTTACTGAGCATAAGTTGCCAGCTATCCATGATCTTATTTTTAATTTATGTGTCATCATTCACCTCTGGCTGCATTCTCTTACTTTTATTCTGTAAATGGACATGTCTGTTCCTGTATCTGTAAATCAGCAAGCTGAGTTCCTTGAAGACAGGGCCTTCCTTGGGATGATATTGCTTTAACTTACTGAAGTGGAGGTGGAGTGTCCGTCAGCAATGTGAGGGCTTCCCTTTAAAGGAGGTGGTGCATTTCTAACCCTTCTGATCTTCTTTTGGCTTCCTCAAAAATTTTTTATTTTCTTCAAAGGATCTCGTATGTATTCTTAAGTGTGTTGTTTTGGTTGCTTCTGCTAATTAAATCATTTTCACCATTAGACTTCCTAGGTGTCTTGGAGCTGCTGTGCAGAAGGGCTGGGGAGGGTTTGTAGTTTGCTCTGGGATCGCAATCTTACTAAACGTTCAGATCGGTTCTAATTATTTTTCAGTGCATGGTCTTACATTTCATCTGTAAATAGTGACGGTGTATTAGTCTGTTCTTGCACTACTACAAAGGAATAGTTGAGACTGGGTAATTCATAAAGAAAAGAGGTTTAATTCACTCTTGATTCCGCAGGCTGGACAGGAAGCACGGCAGCATCTACTCGGCTTCTGAGGCGTCCTCAGGAAACCTACAATCAAGGTGGAAGGCGACAGGGGAAGCAGACATGTTTTATGTGGCTGGAGGAAGAGGAAGAGAAGTGGGGGGAGGTGCCACACACTTAAACAACCAGGTCTCTTGAGAACTCCATCACAACAGCACCACGAGGATGGTGCTAAACCATTCATGAAGGATCCACCACCACAGTCCAGTCACCTTCCACCAGGCTCCACCTCCAACACTGGGGGTTACAATTTGAAATGAGATTTGGTAGGGACACAGAACCAAACCATATCAGACAGTTCTTAAAAATCTTTTTCAATTTAACATTTACACCTCGTTTCTGTTTCTTCACTGTGTTTTCTAGAACCCTAGAACAGTTACATCTGATACTGCCATTGTGAGCTTTCCGGCCCTAATGTTAATGGGGATGTCATTTTTGCTTCTTCATTACCTGTGCCACTTGCCTGCTGGAAGTTTTGGATAGATGCTTTTTATCAGGTTAAGGGGGTTCCTTATTTATACCTCACCACTAAAATCTTTCATTCCTGGCATGCAGGGGATTTTAAAAGAAATTCTGTTATCTTCTATGCTTTGGATTTCAGGCTCACTCTAGTAGATTTTCTTTTCCCTAAAAGGAAATGATAAAATCTGTTCCAGCAAGTGATTGAAAGAATCAAAATGAAGAGAAACTTTACAATTATTGTAAAAGTTTTCTATTTTTTTCCTTATGGTAGAAATGATATTTTATTAAAATCACAAACCGTGTGGCAGGGATTCATACATCCAGGTATCTGTTGACTTGCATCTTCGCTCTGCCATTGATTAACTGTGTGGCCTTGGCATATAATTACCGTCTCCTAGCCTTGGTTTCTGCATCTGTAAAATGAGGTAACAGTGCTGCCTCAAAGGATTGATATCTAGTTGTTCTTAATTAAAACCCACCTATCTTTGCATGTTGTGTTTTGTGTCTCACATGCCTTTACTTCCTTCAATTTGATCTTCAAAAAGCCCTCCCATGAGAGATTGTAAAGCATTTGGTAAGATTCTGACAGGTAATAGGTTGTCAATCAAGGGTGGCTGCCATTGCCCTGAGTACAGTTATCATAGCTGTCACCACCATCTTGGGTGGCATCATCTGGAGAGTCAGGAATGGCTGTGAGCCCTGGGATTCTAGTCCCAGGGATCCTGTGTGCTCGATTGTGGAGTGAAGACACGTGCCCACTCTTGTTTCAGTGTAGCTTGTATAGCACATGGTGCCATGATAAAAATACTCATGTTCGTATTTGCAGATTTGACTCTTCTGGATGAACAGTAGCATGTATTTTTGTGCCAAGTACACACTATTTTAACTACTTTTGCTTTAGGGTGCATTTTACTAGATGATGAGTAATTCTCCCTTAATGCTCTATGATTGACCATCTTACCGCTTATTTTATTTTGTTAGTTTTAGGATTATTCCACTAGTTCTAAGAAAAAAACTGCTTGAATTTAGATAGATACATACTACATTTCATTTATAAAGTTGTTTTGGATATTTATATTACTTTTAAGAGAATTAATCCTTATGATGTTTAATCTTTCCATTTAGGAACTTAGCGTGTTTCCATTCATTTAGGTCTTTTTATATCTCCTAAGTGCTATGATATTTTATGGTTTGTATAGGATTATTCTTAGGGCTAACCTAAAATATGCATACCTATGTATATAAACTATTGTGAGTGTGGTCTTTTCTGTAGGTTTTCTGCTCAGTCGCTGTTCTGTGCATGTGTGCATGTATATTTATCCTGCCTCTCACCGCTCTGCTGGCCTTTGGCTAGTTTTAGAGCTGTGTGCTGCCTCTTTCAGGTAGGCAGCCTCTGACCTCCCTGTGCTTCTGGTCTGCATGGCCGTAGAGGGAAGCACGCTCTCTGGCTAACCCATCTTTGTGCTTGCTCGGCTGGTGGCTCCTGGAGGCCCCACACTGAGGATTATTGGGCCTGTTGGTCCTGCTTGACCCTGAAATTGAGACCTAGATGGAGTCTGGGCCTGTTTACACATTTTGGCTAAGTTTTGTTGGTTTCAGTGATGGTGGCAGTTCAGAAGCTGCTCCCGGGGTGTCCGCGCTCTGCCCCCTGGCCATTCACTGTCTCTGTGGCCCTCTCCTGGTGTCTGCTGGTGGACAGGTTAGTGAGGGAAGAAGGGCCTTCCTGGGATTGGGCAGATGACTGGGTCCCTGGCAGCTGAGTTGCTGCTGAGCCTTTCTGTATGTTTGGTGATTTGAAAGTACAGCCGCTCTGCTATTCCACAGCTTGTGCGTCTGTGGGTTCCACATCCTTGGATTCAACTAACCATGGATAAAAATATTCAGTCCCCCCATAAACAATCAAATATAACAATAAAACAATAAAATAATTCAAATAAAAACAATACAGCATAAACAATATAGCATTTACATCATGTCAGGTATTGTAATTAATCTAGAAATGTTTTAAAGTGAATGGAAGTGTGTAGGTCATATCCAAATACTACGCCATTTTATACCAGGGACTGGAGCATCCTCTGATGGATTTTGGTGTCTCTGGTGTCCTGGAACCGATCCGCCATAGGTGCTGAGAGATGATGTTGGCAGTGAGGTGGGATGGTTTCTGTTTTCGCTTCCATCTGCTGCCCGCTTCTGTGGGCCTCCTGTTCTATCATCTTCACCAGGAAAGGAGCTGTGGCTGCTGGATTTGCATTACTGAATGAAGAGGCCAGAAGATACACCTGATAAAAGTGGTGTGAAGTTTGGCATTTCTTTTCTTTTTTTTTTTTTTTTTGAGGCAGAGTCTCACTCTGTCACCCAGGCTGGAGTGCATTGGTGTGATCTCAGCTCACTGCAGCCTCGACTTCCTGGGCTCAAGCGATCCTCCCACCTAAGCCTCCTAAGTAGCTGGGACTACAGTCACCCACCACCACACCCAGCTAATTTTTAAAAGAAGATTTTTATTTGTAGAAACAGGGTCACGCTATATGCCATAACTGGTCTTGAACTCCTGAGCTCAAGCAGTCTTCTAGCCTTGGCTTCCCAAAGTGTTGGGTTTACAGGTGTGAGCCACTGTGCCTGGCCTGTATTTCATAGTTGTTGTTTCAGCTTTAAGCTGTCCACAGGTCCTGGCAATAACATTCTGAAATTTTATAATTACTTTTTAGAAATGTTCCTTTTAATTCCATTCTATTTACATATTTCTCAATTTGTCTTCATAAGCACCCTCTTACTCTGGGAAAACACAGTCATCTCTGAGTCTCTGATATCAGTACAATATGGAGTTTAATTTTTTTGTTTAACTAAAAGTATTCTGTCCCCTTCTGAGAAGGCCTAGACTTCACTCCAGAGCTCTCTGGCCGAACAGGCTGAATACCCTCGTCATGAAAGTTAGGATTTGTTGAGTGTCTAAATAGTCACTGTTATTACTCTAAATATTTAGTGTGAGAAAACTAGGCAGAAGGAAAACTTTATATTAGCTCAGGAATTTTTGGAAGATACCAAAGATACTAAACAGAAATCAAGAGGCCCTTTGTTTCTGGGATATTTTGGAAGTAAGTTAAGACATTATTTATTTTTCCCCAGGTTAGTATATTCTTTAAGATCTCAAGTTTAAGTCGTATCTAACTGGAAACTGCCTAAGAAATCTCTCCTGACTGATAGGGAAATAGCTGAGTGAGCCCTTTAGACTCTGTAACTTCTGTCCAGTGGTCCGGGTCAGCGTGTGAAGTGTGCTGGTCTACTCTCGGGGTGTTGGTGGTCTGGGTGTCGGTGCCAGATGAGGCTACTGTAAACAGAGCCGAGAGGTTGTGTTTGCAGCAGGCTTTCCCCTGTGTGTTGATGGGCGGACACTGAGGTTATTGAGGAGGCATTGTATCTTACTAACTCTTCAGTTTATCAGGTTCAAAGAGCATGTTGTCTTTGTTTTGTCAACTGTAAAGACTAATATCAACTTCCTAGAAAATAGACAAAAATGGATGAAGTGATGATGGGTTTGACAGGACAAGTATATTTCACTTTACCTCAGTGATGTATTTAATTTATCGTGCCCATGAGAAAAAGCAAACCTTTCAAGCACATGTCTTACATTTGAAGCCACATGCCTGAAGATGCCTTGGGAAGTGGTCCTGGGCATTTGAATCAGAATTGGGGAAAAGATTAGGCTCTCTAGAGATGGGACACACATCAGGATAT
The DNA here is from genome assembly GCF_000001405.40 of Homo sapiens. Lineage (NCBI taxonomy): Eukaryota > Metazoa > Chordata > Mammalia > Primates > Hominidae > Homo > Homo sapiens. The sequence continues at coordinate 50,757,792 of NC_000007.14, read as the reverse complement.
GAGAATTAGCAGTGATTCGTATGCTGTTGTGATGGTGACCGTAAGTCCATTTCCCAGTGTTCCCATTGCCATGTCACAGACCCTCATACTTGTTTGCCCATGCACCCTTTTTTCTTATCTTTTAGTCACTTAAGCTACTAGAACTTAGAAATATTCTAGTCGACATAATCATCTTGATACTTTCCAAACTTCCAAATTCTTTGAGACGGTTAAAGCGATACCCTTAATAAAATGCTTTTGCATAGGCAGGTGATGTTCAACTTTGATCAGTCTCATAATCATGTATCACATATCTCCCCTTTTGGTCCTAAAAAGACCAGCATCCCCTTTAAACATTAGCAAGCTTCATAGCTTGCAGGTGGCTGGTGTGTTTCACACCTGAAAATGGGAGAATTATTTGGCATGTTGTAGTTAATGATGAGTATACATTTGTTTAACGTTTGCTATACGTTGAACCCTGTCCTAAGCCTTTATATGCATTAGCTCATTTAATCCTAATAAAAGCTCCGTGAGAGAGATACTATTTTCATGCTGATTTTATAGCTGGGAACACTGAACCCCAATGACTCAATAATTTGCCCAGACATCAGCCGCTAAGGGGTGGCATCTGGAGATGAACCAAGACTCTCTGGTGCCTGGATTTTTAGCAAGCATGTTCAGCGGGACCTGTTTCAAAAAACAGCCATTTGACTGGTCTTCTTATATCTGGGCCCAGGACTTCTTGATGTCAGGTAAGAGGCAGGGGCAGGTTTCATTTTCACCGTTTAACAATTAGGAAAATTTAGCTTCTGACTCTTCCATGGAGGGATCTGTTGAGATCACCCACGTTGCAGGCAGGGGACCTCCTCCAGCCCAACAGCGATAGGAGGCTCCTGGATGGCACCCTTGCTGCATGCCAGTCACACTGCTAAGCCATTCTCTGTGTATTTCATTTAAACATGTTGGAATCCAGTGGCATTCCAATGCAGTGTATTAAAATCCTCAGTGAGGTGGGTTTCATCCCCATGCTCTGCAGTGGGACCAGAGCCTGGGAAGACCAGTGAGTTGCCCAGGTCACTATAAAGTCTCCTCCGGTAGGGGTTTCAATTGGTCTCCACCCTCTTCTCCATGCCTAGAACCCACCTGTGAACTGAGGGCTCTGCGCCTTGAGCTCTCAGTTCATAGGACTTGAGTGATGAATCAAAGATCAGAGCCAGAATTGGAACCCCAGGTCTGCCTGCTCTGCACCCCTCTCGTGGAACACATGTGCTCCATGCAGAGTGCCCAGCGGAATCTCTGCTGAGAACAGTACCAGGCATTGTGGGCTGGGGCCAGGTCTGACATGGAGGCAGGTTCCTGCTGGGTGGGCCGAAGGTTGTAGCCTGGGAGGACCCTGACCTGGGCCCGAAGTGAATTCTAGGTAACTTTGCCTTGCAAGAGGGCAAAGGTCTGTGTGCTTTGTACCCCGCCTGCCTTGGAGGCAGCGTGCTTTGGAGACGCAGAGATGTGTGGGCAGTGAGCGTAGAGCCCAGTGCATCTTCCCTCTGTCCTCTGTCTCTGGGCATCATGTGACAACTAGAAACCTACATCTTACTTAGTCACGTCCTTGTTTTGTTCTTCAGAACACTCTTAAATGATCTTCTTGGAAAAAAATATTCTTTCATGTCTGTTTTAAAAGTTTTATTCCTGGGCTCAGAGTATAAGTTCATTTGTATAAATTCTACGGAAGTTCAGTGATGGCCCGTTTGACTTTCCAGCTTTGGCGCTGACCACAATGCTGAGCAGGAAGCAGCAGCTGCAGGCCCAGTGACTGGTAGCTCAGTGACCAGCAGCCCAGTGACCGGCAGCCAGGTCCTCACCTGGGTCCTCTCAGTGAAGCCAGGGTGGCCGCCCCAGCAGACAGTGCTACAGAGCCAACTCCTGACAGGTAAGCCCTATGCATGACACTAGTCACTAGTGCCTTTCTTTGCAGGAGAGTCGCCTGTTCAGTATTGATTAAGGTGGTCAGTGAATGCGTGTCACTGTAGGTAGAGGCCTGATACTAGAACCTTTATTCCAAGGTTCCCAAAGAGAGTCTCCCGTCTCTGTCCTCTCTCTCCCTCTCCTCCTTGGCTCGGCTCTGCCTGGGAACACCGGGCTGAGTCGGGTAGGGATGGGAGGACCTGGGCTGCAGCAGAGCCGGGCTGCGCACACTCTCCTCGCGGACATGCCTCTGGGCCTCACTGGTCTCCTTGTGCCCTTCCATATGGTGGGGGTGATGCTGCCTGCCTCCTGGGTCACTCTGGGCACTCCTCGTGAGCCTCAGGAGTTGGTAGCTGTTGTTCTGAAGGTGGGCTAGAACACAGTGTGGGAGGGTCTTGACCTGTGCCTTGTTGCTGATGTGTGTGTTAGTGTGCCCCTGCCTCAGTCAGTACTGAGACTGGGGACCCTGTAACTAACGGAGGACCAGGGCAGTGTTAGCACCCCTGCCTTCCTTTGGCATGTCAACCTCAGGTGGCCCTTTCTGGGAATGGACCTTCTCTTTGTCCTGGTTGGCCCTGGGTGTGGGATTCTTACAGTGCCGTTGGCAGGTCTGAGATGGTAGCTGCAGATGCAGGCAGAGAGCTGAGGCCAGAACGGCTTCAGCACACAGACCTGCCGGAGCCTTTGCCTGCAGAGTGGAGGATGCTGTTAGCTCGGGCTTCCCCGCAGTATCCCGCAGACTGGCTGGCTACACAACAGAAGTTTGTTTTCTTATAGTTCTGGAGGCTGGAAGTCTGAGGTCAAGGTGACAGCTGAGTTGGTTCCTCCTGAGGCCTCTCTCCTGGGCTTGCACATGGCTGTTTTCTCGCGGTGTCCTCACCTGCTCTTCCCTCTGGACCTGCCTGTGTTTTAATCTCCTCCTCCTGTAAGGACACCGGTTGTATTGGATTAGGGCCCACCTTTGTGACCCGGTTTTAACTTAGTGACCTCTGTAAAGGCTCTGTTTCCAAATACAGTCACATTCTGAAGTGCTGGGGGTTAGGGCTTAACATAGGAATGTTTGGGAACGCAGTTCAGCCCAGGTCAAAGGCCTGAAGGGAGGCTGGGGGACCTGGGTACTGCCGGTCACCTTCCCTCATATCCACACCCTTGGTAGGAAGTTTCTGGGCTATCTTTTCCCAAATGTCTGCCTTATGTTAGCTTTGTGTTAGATGCTGAATGACATTTTACACATCCCTTTCTAAATTCAGAAGGTGCGCATGTGGACATTTTCCTTCTCTCCAGACAGCTCACACTGCCGTTGCTTTTTTTCTGAGAGTCTGTGCCCCTGCAGAGAGAGGGTCCTGGCGCCAGTGAGGAGAGGGAGCTGGAGCCTCCTGCAGCTCCCGCCCTGGTCATGCATGAACCGTGACCTCCCCCACCTGCCACTGCCTTGCCAGGGAAGTGGGCTGTGCTGTTGGGATGGATTGTCTTTTGTAAAACAGGCCCTTCACCCTTCTCCTCACAGCATAGTTGAGTGAAGGTAGCAGACCTCCCTATCTCAGAATGGGTCAGAGAAAAAGCCACGCTTTGTGGCCAGTGATAGCTCTGCAGACCCTTCCATGCCTGAGACCCAGGGCAGGGCTCTAGGGCAGCTGGGTCCCTCGTCTTGCCTCTTGACTGCTCATTGTAGACGATGTGCAGTGCCTGAACCATCAGGCAGGTGTGCGAGCTTCAGGAAGGCAGCCCTGCGAAGCTGAATCAGGGAGTGCCGTGCTCACGGGCAGGCAGTCGCCCTCCTTGGACCCGTCTGCCCCTTTGCATTGCCCAAGATCCTTCATTGGTGACATAGATTTGTTGCGAGTGATGCTGAGATTCCTTGAGATTTGGGACGAGTTTTCTTTCTGGCAAGGCTTTACAGTGTTGAAGGGACACATCTGAAAAAGGCAAAAAGCCATCTCTCACCAGCCCCAGCGCCCACTTCCTGGATCACCTGACAGCCTTGGGCTTCCTGCCTTTTCTTACTGGTCATATAATTCAAAGGGAAATCTCCTTCCCAGCCTCTGCATTCCAATTGCCTGATTATGGACTGCTTGGCATGGACATGGCATTGAAACAAAACTTCGTTTCCCACTTAGTCTTTGAGTTTTTGGCTTGAAATCTGATGATCACTGGCAGCTTACAGAGCAGGTCCACCTGTGTGGTGGCTCCATTTGGTGGGGTGCTTCCTCTGTCCTCCAGGAGGGAGACGCTGAGTCTGTGGTCATCTGTGGTCCCACTTGACAAGTTTGAGCCCCTTGAGGGGTCAGCAGGTATTGAATGAGGCATGGTCTTCCAGGGAGTGCTCTGGGAAGTAGTTTCCAAACTTTATAAGCCATGAAACCTTTCCTTGACTTGGGACTCTCAGATGGGCTCCCTCTTGTCCAACAAGAGAATGAGTGAATGTGGGCACCCATTTGGTACCTGGCACTGTCCAGGTGCCGGGCACCATGGTCACAAGATGGCCCCAGCTCCTGCCTGCAAGGAATGTATTTTTGGTAGAAAGATATCCTGTTAAGAACTCACGTTTTGCTTGACCTAACAGTTGAAGCCCAATCCCCTGGGGTTTCAGAAAGATGCTACAAATCAAAATAATAGAGTCTGAGAAGAGCTAGTTATTGTCAGAGTAGACTTCAGTTTGCAGAGTGTCTCAGATGAGGGCACCCAGGCCTGGATGTGGTGGGGCCTGAGGTGGGAATCCCAGACCCTATAGTGACGGGCCATGGCACTAGACTTGGGGGAATCAGCTGGGCCTCAGGGCAACCCTCCCACTGTCCTTCGCTGCTCACTGCCTCTAAGAGCCAGCCCTGTTTGTTTTGGGGTCAAGGAGGGAGAGGCAGAAATACTCAAATGGTCCCAATGGTCTCAGTTTCTATTCGTTAGCTCTTGGGCCCAAAGAGACCTCTGAGCGTTTCCCTCAGGCCTGTGGTTCCTTGGGGACCATAGCTTAGCTTTCCTCTGTCCCCATTTTTGGTTACTTGTCTTGTTCTCATGGGAGAAGTTTTAGGGGTTGCCTGGGGTTCAAAGCATCACATCCCCAAACTCAGTGTTCATGCAGCAGCTTCTGCCTTGCGGGGCTCAGCCTCAAGGAAAGAGCTCTGTTCTCCTGCTCTTGGCCTGTGGAGACCGGCCCAGCTGCGATGGTACAGCTCTTGCTGGGCTCTTACTCACACAGGAGGGCAACTCTCATGGCCCTGCTCACCCTTGGAATGCAGTCAGGGGAGGGCTCATTATCATGACACCAATCTACCTTAGCGACACAGAGCTTGGCTAAGGATAGGGACCATTTCTCTGGCCCAGATGCTCTGATGCATGGTTCTTTCCCATTTATAGGACAGTTTGAACTAAAAAACTTTCAGAAACTAACCAAGAATGGTATGCCTTTCACCTTTCTCTTTCCAAGGGCAGGAAACTTCTACAGTTGTGCCACACAACCGTTTTGCTCCTCAAGGTGTCCCATAGCCTTTCCCGTAGGAAAGAGAAACTCTTAAGTACCTTGATGTTGCCTCAGCCTTCCTTTTTTGACATCCTCTCAACTTTTGGCTTCTGTAACTTGAGCCTCCCTGAATCTCCTGTTTATCCTTTTCTATTTTTGTAGCCCCTCATTTTTTCCCCCCTAATAACTTTGCTTCACTGTCCTCCCCATAGGAGAGCCCTCTCACATTCTTCTGTGGAGTTCTTATTGTCTTGTTTCTGCCTCACGTGGGGCACTTAACCTGCACACCCTGACTCTGTGGTTTTGTATGAGCTTCTCCCCACTGGATTGCGCTGGGAAGCTTGGGTCAGGCATCATTCATGCCCCTTGGCATCCTTGATCAGCCAACGAGATACCTCAACAGTATATTTAAGTAAAGTGTCTTTAAACAGAAACACATAAAAAGAGGTTACATATTGATTGGTTGATGAAAATGTGACTGGCTCATAGAAACCTAACTCTGTATTTCCCCTAGGGCCAAAGACTCACCATTCACTAATTCAGTGTTTGAGGTGACTTTAAAGCCCTTAACTATACCACAAATAAGGAGAATCACTCCACTTGTTCTTGGTCACCAAATTCCTTGCTATCCACCTGCCCCCAAATTGTTTTCATTCTTTTTTTAACCAGCTCAATTTAGATACAATACATTGAGCACAGAAAACTGCACATATTTAAAATGTGCAAACGGATGCATTTTGACATATGTGAAACCATCATCAAGTAACCAAGGTAATGAAAATATTCATCACTTCCCACACTTCCCAGTGCCCCTTTGCAGTTCTTCCTTCCCACCCTTTCACTGGTCTGTTTTCTCTCAGTATAGATTGCTTGCATTTCCTAGAGTGTTGCATAAAGGAATCAATTTATTTTATCTGGCCCCTGGCTATTTATTTTGAGATTCGTCTATCAATATTTCACTCCTTTTTAATGCTGAGTAGTGTTCCATTGTATAGATGCATCACAGTTGGCTCATTCATCCACTTCTTGATGGGCATTTGGCTTGTTTCCAGGTTTTTGCTGTTTCAGACACAGCTTCTATAGATTGCTTTCTTTCTGTATCTGAGCCTCTTTCTAGGCTTCTAGGAAAGCAGTGTCCTTCCTTTTTTCCTTCTTTTTGGATTGGATTTCTTCCTGCTGAGGTCTTGGGTGTCTGGTTTGGACATGGCTGTGGGTCTACCTGGAGTCTGAGCTCTGGCCTGATACAGAGGGGTAGGAGTGGTGAGGAGGGCAGTGTCCAAGGCAAGTCGAGGCTGGGACATGGCGTCTCTCTTGTTGGTCAGTGAGCTCTCGGTCCCTGTGGGTCAATGCCTTCATTCATTCTTGGCGAGTCTGATTTGCAGGCTTGGGGGCCAAGCAAGCCACTGTGGACCCTCAGAGCATACCCTTATTTATTGACTCCACTCACGTCCTAGGTGGGTAGAGATGATTCCTGGGAGAGCTGTCCTCAGACAGCCCAGGCTGTGATTTGGAAGGGCCCATCCATCCTTCTGACCAGTGGTGAGTTATCTGGGGACCCAGGAGATGAGTGCAGGCTTGATGCTGAGACTTAGGGTAATTCATTGCCCAGAGTGTCTGCTGTCTTTGCTCTCCTTCTAAAGTGGCTGGCATAATTAGATTGGGGACTTGCTTGTCTTTTGTGATGTACAAACTTGTCTCTTCTGGTATTGACAACAGGCTGTTTGACTTCACAGATGGGGGTGGGCGTGGGAAACCTAAGCGTGATACTCATCTATATAGTTCTGTCTGCAGTTGGTTATTGGAATTGTGGGACTGCGTTCCCTAGCACTTCTAGATGTCTTGCCCCAAGAGAGACTCTCGGCAGGCTCAACGTGTGCTGTGATCATTGGAGCTTCTATTGAACAGGATTGCCCTGAAATGGAGGGTGAATGGCAACCGTTGGATATCTCCGCGTGCGCACCTGCTTAGGTGGAAGACAAGAAACGGTGCAGGAAAGCCCCTTTCATTTTATTTATTTTGGTCTTTGTCCAGCATTCAAAGTTAACTCAACTTTTCAGAAAGGTTTTATATATGAGTGGTGAGAGCAGAGTCGACCAAGATGTTGCTTATGATCATCCTTGAAATTTATGATTAAAAAAAGAAGATAAAATTTGCAAAGAACTTGCTGCCTTGGCAGCTCCCAAGAGAATTCAGTTCCTGAGGTTGAGAGGGAGCTGGTTTTAGGGTGCTTTCCCACGGAGAGCTGCCGGAGGGCTCCTCTGTGCTTCTGTAGACAATCTGCAGGCCAGACATTCCAACTGTCTTCACGAAATAGGTTCTCCTTTTTTCTTTGCCCCCACCTGGGAGAGTGGGGCCAGCCTGGCAGCAATCTCACCAAGGGAGTAGCAGGATCAACAGGCTGTTACAGTCTGTCCTAAGTTGAAAAGAAGATTAATTTTTTTTAAGTTACAGTTTCAATTAAAGGAAGATGGAGGAATGTAATAACATGCAATAAGATTTATGATAAGTACAAACTGTGCTTGAATACCTACATTTAAAGCATTTCATGCTTTCAGAAGTAATAGAGCTGTGGGCCCAAAGACGGGATGGAGGAGAGAAGAGGGTAACATTTCAAAGGTGCCCTCTCTTTATACTGTTAATGGTTATTTTGATGGATTACTTCATAGACCAACGAGTTGATGACTGGGGGTCCAGAGTGTGCATGATTGATGTAGATGATTGCATTAGAAGATGATTACCTAGTTATTGCAGTGTTTAGAACCAATGGAAGAAAAATGCTTTGAAAATGACAAATTCCACAAATTATACAAAGTTTCTAAGAAGAACTCCTGGAGATTATTTATAGAAGCTCTGGTAATATAGGATGAGTGTGGCCAGAGTAGAAAAAAATCTACTTTTATCAAAGCAAAATTATTTAAAATTCCATCTCACAATTATACATTAAAGAATTTTATAACAATACAAATTTTGGCCAGGCATGGTGGCTCATGCCTGTAATCCCAGCACTTTGGAAGGCTGAGGTGGGTGGATCACCAGAGGTCAGGTGTTCGAGATCAGCCTGGCCAACATGATGAAACCCTGTTTCTACTAAAAATACAAAAATTAGCTGGGCATGGTGGTGAGTGCCTATAATCCCAGCTACTCTGGAGGCTGAGGCAGGAGAATCGCTTGAACCTAGGAGGTGGAGGTTGCAGTGAGCCAAGATCGCACTATTGCACTCCAGCCTGGATGACAGAGTGAGACTCCATCTCAAAAAAAAAAAACAAACAAAAAAACAAAACAAAACAAAAAAACCCAACATTTTATATAGAATTGACTAACGTGTTTGTAAACATCTAGACCATTTGAGTTTGACAAATTGTGGCATCCTCTAGATTGTAGAGTCTAGACCCATTCCACCCTTTTACAGGTGAGAGAACAAGAGTTTTTATTTAATATGTCTTTTAATGTAGCACCTCTTTATAAAGTAGAGGTTCTGATTTCTTATGGCCTTTTGGAAATAAATGTCCTGGTAGCTTTTCCCTGTTTTGAGGATTAGAGAAATTACATTTTGCACACGTGGGTCTCACTCTCTCCATGAAATTCGATTGTTTTACTTCAGAGTCTTTGTGGTCAAGATGGATATCATTGCCCTTTACCCCAACTGGTCCCTATTCCTGGAGCACTATGGGGTCCAAAGGCCTCGGTCCCCGCCACAGCAGCTAAACACTGGGGTTGCTTACATTCCTGAACTCCAGGCTCCTCCTCAGTGACACTCGGGGTATTGTTAGGAAGAATGAGAAGGAAAATGGAAGTCAGCGCTTAGCTGAGAACCTGGCCCATTATAAATGTTCCACAAAGGCTTGTTTTTACCCGACCCCATCCCTGGTACCCTGATTTTCTCCGCATTCTCCCAGCCTGTTGTGTGTGCCTTTGCCTCTGGTTTTGTTATGCTGTTTCTCCTACCTCCTTTCTCCACTCCTAATTTCCAACACTTTCCCGAGCTCAGCTCTCACATCTGCCGTGACGCTCTCCCTGGCTGTTGTGGTGCCCACTCGTGTCCATCTGCATGGCACTTGGCCTATAGCAGGTAGGTGTGCACTGTCTGATGTCCATCTCTAACACCAGCACATGGCTACTCCGTCATGGGCCACGGGGCCTCCTCCAGGGTGCTAGGCAGAGAGGAGGAAAACCCCTACCTAGGGCTTCCTTAATTAATCCGAAACCACAGGACCCCGTTAAAGATGGGGCGGGGGGTGAGTGATTACGTTCAGTTATTAGAGCAGATCCACTCCCTCCCCATCCTGAAATAACAGTGTCACCAGCATCATCAGGCGGGGATGAGAACAATCCTATCCTCTGGAATTTCCCACCTGCACGCATGCGTCCTGCCTTCTAGAATTTGCCACCTGCACGCATGTGTCCTGCCTTCTGTGATTTCCTACCTGCAGGTATGCTTCCTGCCTTCTGGAATCCCACCTGTGCATGCATCTTGCCTTCTAGAATTTCCTATCTGCACACATGCATCCTGCCCATTCATCATCTCCCACGCCTTTCCTATCTCGATGTCTGGAGACGCCCTCCTTCTACTTGCCCAGGCCCGAGGTCTCCACTCCGCTTTTCTTTCACGTGTCCCACCTGCTAGATTCAGAATGCACCACTTCTCTCCTGAGCATCCATCAAGGCCTGGGTGCAGGATTCTGCTGACTGGTTTCTCAGCTTCTCTCCTCCCAGGCGGCCTGTTTTCAGCAGAGAAGCTGGGGTCCCATGGAGCTGCCCTGCTCCATGCTTGCATGCCATTTCTCTCAGCGTTGGAGCAGAGCCCTCAACAGTGAGCGTGGTGGGTGTCTGCCCAGTCAGCTCTGGGGGTGAAATGGAGAAGCGGGGTGGAGGGAGAAAAATCCCAAAGGGTTGGAGAGAGGGTAAAACCATCTTTGAAAATGCTTCACCCCACTTTTCCTCTTGAGAGAGCTGCCTTGCTAGATTAAAGGCTCAAAGAAGCACTGGAAGAAAGGAAAACATTTGACTTTATAGAAAACCTGAACTTGTTTGACTGTAAGCGCCTTTGTTTTGTGGATTTGGAGGGAACGGTGGGGACCTGCTCTGCTTCGCGGGTTTCCTCCTCAAAAGCAGGAATCCCAGCCCCAGGCCAGGTTCAGCTACCGCGCCTGGGCTCATGGCTCAGGGATAGGTCGTGTGTCTCTCCTTAGCCTGGCTTCCTCATTGTAGTGCCCACCAGCAGCGACCATGACTGTGAGAGTGAGAAGAGACCATGATGGAAACTCCTAATGATTCAAATAAGTTTAGAGAGAATTTCGCTGCAGAAACTGGGGCTTTGGAGAGACTGCTGATTTGAGGGGTAGGAGGCAGCGGGTTTCGAACATGCTTTGTCAACACTTGCAGAGGGATGCAGAGAGAGAAAGGGCTAGAGCTAGAGGAGGACATGCTTAAGAGAAATGTCACTTTGCTTCCTCCCTTCCTTCCCTCCTGAAGTGGGAAATGCACACAAATGTTCATGGACCCAAGGGAGGGAGGACATGGGCAGGAAGAGGTCATGAATTGAGGCGAGAGCACAGAATGGCTCACGCAGGGACAGGCCAGGGGAGCCCTGGGGACTGGAGGCCCGGGGGGCAGAGACTGGGTGGTGTGCAGGCCCTGAAGTGATATGGGTGTTCTGCAGGAAGGGGTTTGGGGATGCTGCACTGAAAAGGGTGGGGATGGGAGGTTTAGGGCAGTAGGCAAAAAGCCTCTTTTGTGGAGAAAGTGAGTAGCTGAGGGTGAATGAAGATTTGCAGCACAGCAGGGAGGGTCTGCAGGTAGTTTTTGGTGATTGCCATTATCCTCTTTGGTGCTGCTGAGGAAAGGCCCTCACAGGAGTCCACACAGTTCCTGGGTCTGGCAGTGTCACCAGAGGGTGCCCGCTCCTCCCTTATTTCATTAGAATCCCGGTCTTAGGTATAAAAGAAAATAAATCACTCCTTGGTTTACAGGGTTCCATTCTGATAAACCCATCATAAGACACAAATGTCGTAAGTTGAAAATGCATTCAGTGCTGGCAACACGGTACATGGTGCCTGATTTAATGACGGTTTGACTGTTTTAATTTTAATTTTTGATCTAATAATGCTTTGTGTTTTTGGCTTTTGGATGGTGTGAAATCGACAAGTGTTCAGTAGAAACTATAACCCAATGGTAAGTTGTAAGGAGATTCTTAACTAAAAATGGGTTTACATCCTCATCAACTCATCATAAAGATGAAAAATCCTGAGTTGAACCATTGTCAAGTTGGGAACCATCTGTACAGATTATGAAGAAACCAGGCTGCCTGTGGAGCTTGTATGGTTTCACACTGCCACATCCTACTCTCAGTGGCACCCAGGACAGCGTCCTTACAGCTCAGATACTGGACTCTGGGGCCTAATTGGGAAGAGAGCAAATCCCAGGCCTTGTTCAAGATTTGCCAAAAGAATGAGATTAAGATCTGATGCCACTATCTTCAGTATTTCCTAATTTAGCCAGAGAGTTTACTTTAGCATCTAGAAAGTGTGATTAACTACTTTAGCGTTTAGAAAGAGTGATTAACTTTTTGAGGCCTTTAAAAAGTTTTCTTTAGGTAAAAAGATGTCTTCTGTGAGTTATTTGGGTTTTATTATAGGGACAAATGGTTTACCATCTAATATTGATTGGAATGACTTTGGAGCGCATTTAGTTTATAAAGTGTTTAAATCCAAGGGCTGTTTTATAGAGCATCTTTTATTTTTCGGATAAAGTTCTAGCCGTTTTCCCAACAGTTATGAAATTCACTATTTTTAGGCGGCAAAGACAGATCTGAGTGGTTTTGCTTTTCCTTCCCGTTGGCTTTATCTATTCCCAAAGGAAGACAGTGCTTCCGGACCAGTGGGGGTTATAGTTGGTAATGTGTTGTCATGGCAATTGTTCCCCTCTTTGTCTTAATTGATTTGGTGTCTTAATTTTTGTTTCTCTTTTTATAGTTTAAATGTACAAAGATCTATTCCTTGGAAGACACCCAAAGGCATTCGGTAATTTGTAAGAATTTGTAAAATTCAAGTATCAAGGATTCCAAAGGTAGAAACAAATCTTTAATGAATTTAGAAAAATATTAATATATCAGAGAACAATAAGTTCTTTTAAAAGGAACCCAATTTTAAATCTATATTTAAGTAATACGCATTGCAAATTTAAAATTACAGTTGACTCTTGAACAACATGGATTTGAACTGTGTGAGTCTATTTATATGTGGAGTTTTTTTCAGTAATTACTAGAAAATTTTTTTGAGATTTGCAACAGTTTGAAAAATCTTACAGCATAGCCGAGAAATACCAAAAAAATTAAGAAAAGGCTATGTCATGAATGCATAAAATATATGTAGAAGACTAGGCTGTTACTCTAAAATATATACAAATCATAAAAAAGTTAAAGTTTGTCAAAACTTACACAAACACAGACCATACATGGAGCCATTTGTTGACAGAAATGTAAAAAAACCCATGAAGGTGCTGTATGAAATCATCACTGCATAGAATTAACTGTAGTACATACTGCACTTAATTTCATAGTTATGAAAATTACTGTACTACTGTAATAATTCCACTGTTGCTGTGAGCTCAAATGTTGCAAGTATACGCTTTAAATGCCATGTGATGCTAATCATCTCCATGTGAGAAGCTCCCATCCCAGTAAATTGCTCATTGCATTAAAAAGTGACCTCTCGTGGGTCTTGTGTATTTTTCATGTTTAATGCAATACCGTAAACTTTGAATAACACAGGGGACCCATACTAGTGAAACTGGAAGTGCTCCCAAAGAGCTTACTTTATTCTAAGAATACAGTATGTAATAACTATATGACATACAACATGTGCGTTAATGACTTTCTGTTATTGATAAAGCTTCTAGTCAACAGTAGGTCATTAGTAGGTAAGTTTTTGGGGAGTAAAAAATTATACATGAACTTTTAACTGCATGGGATGTTCGTGCTCCAACTCCTACCTTGTTCAGTGCTCAGCTGTGTAATGTTTATTCTTCTCTCCCCATCCTTCTCCATGCCAATATTCCCAGGGTGCATAAAGGTAGGATGCTTTGATCTCTGGAGCACCTGATACTGCTCCCTCCCTGCCGTCCTTTTCTTTGACTCCAGCCTGCCGGCCTGTGATGGTTCTACGCGGTTTCTTTTCTTTTCCATGAAGTCCTGTGGTCGTGGTGTTGCAGCGCCTGCGTCCTAATCTCTACGATTGAGGCAGTACTCTGACCTGTTCCACAGTGTGTCTAGACTTCATTGTGCACATGGGTTCCTCTTCTCTGCACATGCCTACCACAGAGCAGGGGTATCCACTCTCGGTGAATGCGGCTTGAGAAGGCTGCATGTGGAGGTGGCCTTCATCACCCCACCTCTTTTCAGGGCTAGAAAATTGGTGTTTTCCTCTGGTGAGGCTTTTAGGATGGAGGGATTCGAGGACCTCCTGCCTGTGGATAGCCTAGGCTGTTTTCTGTGGTTACCTTTGCTCAAGTTTTCTGTTGACTTTCTGGGTCTCAGATCAGTTGGATCACTGCATTAACAGTCCTGCCCTGGGCATTCATGTCTGTGTGTGGACCACAGCACGGCAAAAGGGAAGACCTTCTCTCTGACACCAGTGCTAGTGGTGAGGGTGCCTAGAAAGTGAAAATTAGTTTCTGGTGTCGGCCTCTCCTGGTTCTCCTGAGTAGGATCTTGCTGTTGGGGTTCTGTGCTGTCCCCTTCAGGACTCAGGCTCTGGATTTGCGGAGAGCATATCTCAAATTAACTATGCAGCTGTGCAACAGGAGTAACTGCTGGCCAAGTTACTTGGATTCTTTCTCATCGGTTGAGTGGGGATGCTGCTAGTGTGTCTGCACAGGTTTCTTGAGGGGACTTGATGCTTCCCACAAATGACAGTAGGGATGTGGCCACCGTAAAGTGGTGCTGTGCTTCGCAGCACTGCGTGATCTGACCCACGCTTACGTTTCAAAGCCATTGAAACAGATTCAAGATCATGTATTGATTTAAAAAATTTACTCTTTTCTGTCGGGAGGCTGACCAGACTACTGAAGTGGAAGGAACTGTAGATGCTTGAATAGAATATGCCACACAAGTCTTTTTCAAACTGCTGAGAATAAAAAATCAAAGGTCATCCTCATACCTATGGTCACATATAGACCCTTGTACCTAATAATGTGCAGTTGGAAGCAATGAGGTCATGCTTTGCTGCAGATAATTAAAATAGCTCTTGAATCTGTCCCTTCTCCCCCTTCTCCCATCAATGCATTGTGGAAGAAAAGCGGAAATTGGTGTTCTAAAAGGCATTCTTTGTATTTGCATATGCCAAAAAACCCAAGAGTTATTATTTTTTTTAAAGGCAGGAAGCAGAACAGGTACAGCTTTTAGTTAGGGATCTAGTACTTAGGATTCAGTTAGGGCATTTTGAGGAACCGAGTATAGTTTTTACTTCAAGCAGTGTAGTAGCAGCAGTTTCCCCCTTCCCAGCCCCCAGGAAGTGAGATATGATTCTTCAAAGCGTTACTGAATTTTTTCCCCAATATTTTCCCCCTGCAGACATCATAGAAACCAACAGTAATTTAAAGAAAAGAGTGGTGGTGCTTACCTTTGGAAACAGCTGAGGAGCTTTTAACACTATTACCCCCCACCCCCTCCCCATCCCCGAGATTCATTTTCCTTGGTCTGGGATGCAGCCTGGGCATGCAGAGTCTTCCCCTTTCCCCCTAGTGATGTAATATGCAGTCCAGTAGTTGGGACTATGTCAGCAGTAGAATCATGCAAGGGCTTGCAGAAACACATGTTATGGGACCACACCCCCTCCACTGAGTTTCTGGTTTAGTAGGTCAGGGTCTGGGCTCCAGAATTTGTGTGTTAACAAGCACCCGGGTGATGCCCATGCTGTATGTCCGGGGACCATCATTTGAAAACCCTAGGACTTGTAGGATCCTGGTTAAGAGCATGGACTCCTGCACTGAGCTTCGTCTCCTTCATTGAGTCCCATCACCAGCCCTTGGCCTTCATCTCAGCACTTCATTTTCTTGTTGTGATCAGTGGGAATGGATGCCGTGTATGTGTGTGTGTGTGTGTGTGTGTGTGTGTGTGTGTGTGTGTGTGCGCGCGCGCGTGCGCGTGTGTTTACACATAGACAAATACATAAAAAGCACTGAGCCAAGTGCCTGTTATTAACAGGTGCTTCAGAATCTTTCTTTCCTTCCCTTGACAAATTATGGTCATTGATTGGTTCTTCCATCCAAGTCCATTCACTTTCTTTATATTGGTAGGTGGGTGGAGTTTGGGTTTTACTCAGTTTCATCTTCACTGTTTATATTTTAAGTGTTTTTACTTTAGATGATTCTGATTTGGGTTTTTTTTTTTGTAAAAATTAAAATTTCAGTAATGTTCAAAATTTATTTCTTTACTGGTGTGCATAAAAATTACTGTGTGATTAAAAATCATTGTATTTCATTGTTTAAAATTTTGTATGTTTTTTTGACTATACATTTAAGAGATTTGTCTTTTATTATATTTCTTGGATTTCAATTTTGTCATGCTTTGCTTTCCGATTTTTGACTGTATATTTCCCTCTTTCTGGTTCAAGATGGATGGGTTGGTGTTCATTTATTTTGTCTTTATAAAATATGCATTTCATGGCATGAGTTTTTCTTCTTTTATTTCTCTTGCTTCATTTTATTTGTCTTGACACATGGGGGTGTGCATTGTCCTAATTGTCTAGGACTGTATTGTATCTTTATTTCCTCCTTGAACCACTTATTTAGGCCAGAGCTTGTTTTTAATTTTCAAGTGCCTTCGTTTTTTTTTTTTTTTTTTTTTTTTAAACACATGTTCCTAATTTCTGGTTTTCTTTATTTGGATGTAGCATGGAGCCCCTTGGCACATTGGCCTACGGTCCCTGTCTCAGTGCTGGACATTTGGGGTCCTGTCTGCAGCTGCATGCAGGCTGGGAGGAGGCAGCATGTAACAGGTTTTTCCTTGGGGCCGTGTTCTGCAACTCCAGAGATCTTTGCATTTTTGTAAAATGCACTACTCTTCTTTGTGGTTTAGTATTTTTAAAAAATAATAATTTTGCAAATGTTTATAAATATTTGCAAATGCCTGTTTTTCATAAATATCAATTAATGCCTTCTCATTACTCATTCCAATTTTATTTCTTTGTCCTACATAATAGACCAACATCTGCAACAACTAGTTTTCCTCGTTTTCTCCTTGAGACTCTCATAGTGTTTGTTTTTAATGTAAACTTTTTATTGAAGTGTAAACTTTTTATTAAACTTGCTTCTAATTTTAGCTCTTTGTATTTTGATACTTTGCTGTTTGGAGGATAATACTGTTTTTATTCATTATCAATTATGCTTTTATCAATGCTTTTTAGTATTTGGATTATTGTTTCTTTGCTTTAAGTGACACTTGACTATCATTGCTACCATTGCTTTTATTTTGTTTGCATTGTGTTTGGTTTTTATATCTGTCCATTCTGTCTTTTTCTTTTCTAGCTCCCTTTTTAAAGCTTTTCTATTTGCCTTGGGTATTTTTTTTTTTCATTAGAATGGTTTTGAATATTATTTTGAAAAGGAGAATTGGATGACTGACATTTACTGCTATGTCTTCTCTCTTCTGTTGCAAATTGTTTGGGTTTCGAATGAATGTGTCTTCATCTATTTTCCCTTTGATGTTTAAAGAATTATGAGTTTCTTTTAATGTTTTTATTATGGCTTAGAATGTAAATATTGTTTTCCATTCTACATGTGATTATTTTAATATACCGTGAACATTGCTCAATTATATTTTTCTTAATAAAGAGTAGGATCTTCTGGCTTTTATGGAAGGTACAGCTTTTAAAAAAACAATTCTATGATGATTTAAGACTCAAAACGTCTTTCTAAAATTTTAAATTTTGAATTGAATTTTATTATTTAACCCAATCATCATTAATTGTACAACTTACCCTTATTAGTCAGCAGATCTTTCTTGGGTCCCTGTTACTATCTGCTGTTCTGGGTATGGCAGGGAACAAGACTGAGTTCTTGAACAAGATGGGGTTTGTGACTGTCTCAAAAGTGAAGCTGTCAGGAAGTGGTTGTTGCCATGGAGAAGATACACCAGGGCGATGAGCTAGAATGGTGTGCCACTTGAATGGGTCAGGTGTGGCAGACATGCGACTGTCATCTGAGTGACTGGCAAGTGGGGGCCAGTGTTCTGGGGGAGAGAGGAGAAATTCTGAAACACACGTTCAATGTAGATTTCCTAAGGAATGCAGTAAAATGTTCTAGTACTGTTAAATGCACATTTTGGATTTGTGGCTAAATAACAAAAGAAAGGATTCATGTGGCACAGTCACATGACTTTCCCTCCAGCCTCACACAGTTTCCGGGCTGGCTAGGTTCCTTTAAGCAGATGAGCTGTGTTTTCAAAGAGCGGGAGTCACAGGAAGAGGTGGCATAAGAGCTGTGGTGTTTGCTGGGAATGTTTCTGGCTCTCCTGAGTCAGGGAGGAGAGAAATGAGGACTGAGGGGTGAAGAGGGAATAGAAAGAGAAAGGCCAGTGGGCCAGCCTCTCTGTGCCCTGGACAGCACTTGGATGTGAAGGGGCAGGCATGGGAGGGGACGTGAGGGAGCGGGCCCTCCAACTGAAGTTGGTGACCCCGATGTTGACCACAAGCCCAAACACAGCCCTGCCCTATTTTCAAACTGTAGGTTTCAACCTGTTACCGGGTCTTGAAATCAAGTTAGTAGGTCATGAAAAGCGTTTTTAATAAATACAGTAGAACAGAAAAGGAAATATGAGAGTGGATTGCATGGGTTCTTAGCATGCACTTAGTACGTTGCCATGTGTGATGAGCCACATGCCATGCGGGATAGACAAGGTGAGCATGGATTGGTCACGGATGTGTCATTTGGTCATCTGCTTACTGGCATTGGGTTAGAAGATGTCTATTTGACTATCTTTTCAGAAGGGAGGGTAAACGCTCTACAGTTTAAATCCACCATAAACATAATTTGCAATTAGCTGCGAGGTGAGGGCCTAAGAGTATCATCTACAGTCTGCTAGACTCTAGAGTTTCAGTTAGGAACACCCAATGTACTTTTCAGAAAAAGTGTTATTGGGTGCAACATTTTTGAAGTTTATGACAGTTGTATCATTTTAATTTAACTAGTACAAGTTGCCCTAACATGGAAAAACAAAAAACAACCCATATAATCGGAAACACAAAGACGTTCAACTTCAGCTGCTGGATCCAGAAGTGTAAATATTGGCATTGTTAAGAAAAATGTTGACTTTAGAATGAGTAAACTTTTGACTCTGCTTGAACGATTTTTCTGAACTATAGTCCAATAAAGAAGTTTAAGCTTTATCATGAAGATTATTTAAATTTTCATTAATTAAAATAAACAAATTTTAATATATTATTTATAATGATAATCTTGCAAAGGAGGGTTTAACCTTCGACATTAAAAGAACAATGTGAAACCACCACAGCAAGCCAAACTTGTTAGTAGGCCCTTTTAATCAAGGGAAGCAAAAAGACAACAGATATTGATACAATTTCTTAATCATCTGACAACGGTTAATGAGAAAGTCTTTAGTTATTATAGACAGAAAGCTGCTATCTATCTACTGGCTTATAAAACTATTCCTCATTATCTGTGAATATGAATCACATATTTTGATAAATCAGCTGATGATTTAGAATCTGAACTCTTTAAAGTAGCACAGTAGATGATCCAGTTGTATAACTGTAGGATGTTCAGAAGTGAGCTTTTTATCTGGGCATGGTGGTGAACTCCTCTAGTCCCATAAGTCCCAGCTGCCTGGGAGGCTAAGGATTGCTTGATCCCATGAATTTGAGGCTGCAGCAAGCTTTGATCACACCACTGCTCTCCAGCCTGAGTGACAGAGGGAGACCGTGTCCCTTAACATTCCATGTATGTATATACCACATTTTGTTTGTCTGTTGATGAATTATCCATTAATTCATCAGTGGACACTTAGGTTGCTTCCACCTTTTGGCTATTGTGAATAGTGCTGCTATGAACATGGGTATAGAAGTACCTGAGCCTCTGCTTTTGATTAGTTTGTATTATATGCTTAGAAGTGGAGTTGCTATTATATGCTTAGAAGTGGGTCATATGTTAATTCTATGTTTAATATTTTTGAGGAATCACCATATTATTTTCAACCACAGCAACACCATTTTGCATGCCTACCAGCAATGCTCAGGGGTTCCAGTTTCTCCACATCCTCACCAATACTTGTGGTTTTATTTTTTATATCAGTCAGCCTAATGAGTGTCAGGTGGTATCTTGTTGCAGTTCTGATTTGCATTTCCCTAACGACTAGTGATGTTGAGGACCTTTTCATGTGCGTTTTGGCCATTCGTATATCTTCTTTGGAGAAAAGTCTATTCAAGCCCTTTGTGCCTTTTTAGATGAGGTTGCTTATGTCTTTTGTTGTTGAGTTGTAGGCATTCTTTATTGCATTCGTCTGTTTTTTTTGTTTCTTTGTTTGTTTGTTTGTTTTTGAGGTAGAGTTTTGCTCTTGTCGCCCAGGCTGGAGTGCAATGGCGTGATCTCAGCTCACTGCAACCTCTGCCTCTGGGTTCAAGCAATTCTCCTGCTTCAGCCTCCTGAGTAGCTGGGATTGCAGGTGCCTGCCACCATGCCCGGCTAATTTTTGTATATTTAGTAGAGATGGGGTTTCACCATGTTGGCCAGGCTGGTCTTGAACTCCTGACCTCAGGTGATCCACCTGCCTCGGCCTCCCGAAGTGTTGGGATTACAGGTGTGAGCCACCACGCCCGGCCTAGTCTGTTGTTATATTGCTATAAAGAACTACCTGAGACTAGGTAACTTATAAAGAAGAGATAAAGAAGAGAGGTTTAATTGACTCACAGTTCCGCAGGCTGTACAGGAAGCATGGCTGGGGAGGCCTCAGGGAACTTAGACTCATGGAGGAAGGTGAAGGGGAAGGAAGCACATCTTACGTGGCTGGAGCAGGAGAAAGAGTGAAGAGGGAGGTGCTACACACTTTTAAACAGCCAGATGCTATGAGACCTTTATCATGAGATAGCACTAGGGGGATGGTGTTACGCCGTTAGAAACCACCCCCATGATCCGGTCACCTCCCATCAGGCTCCATCTCCAACGCTGGGGATTACAGTTCAACATGAGATTTGGGTGGGGACACAGAGCCAAACCATATCATTTATATATTCTGGGTTTTAATCCCTTATCAGATAAATGCTTTGTAAGTATTTTTTCCCATTCTATGTGTTGTCTTTACAATCTTTTGATAGCATCCTTTGATGCACAAACATTTTGAATTTTGGTGAAACCCAGTTTATTTTTTCTTCGGCCTGCACCTTTGGTGTCATATCTGAGAAATCATTGTCATATTTAATGTCATGAAGATTTTTCCCTGTCTTTACTTCTAAGAGTTTTATAGTTTTAGCTCTTACGTTTAGGTCTTTCATACATTTTGAGTTGCTTTTTGCTTATGGTGTAAGTTTAGAGTCCAGCTTCATTTTGTTGCATGCTGATGTCCAGTTTTCCTAGGACCGTTTAAAAAAAATTGGTTATTTTTATTTTTTTGAAACAGTCTCACTGTTGCCCTGGCTGGAGTGTAGTGGCGTTAATCACAGCTCACTGCATCCTCAATTCCTGTGCTTAATTTGATCCTTCTGCCTCAGCCTCCCAATTAGCTGGGACTACAGTGCACGTGACCATGCCTGGCTAATTTTTTTAGAGGCGGTGTTTCACCATGTTGTTCAGGCTGTTCTCAAACTTCTGGGCTCAAGCAATCCACCTGTCTCTGCCTCCCAAAGTATGGGGATTACAGGCGTGAGCCACCATACTCAGCCCCCAGAACCATTCATTTATTGAAAAGCCTGTCTTTTCCTCAGCGAATGGTCTTGGCATCCTTACTGAAAATCAGTTGACCATATATGTGAGGATTTATTTCTGGGCTGTTTGTTTTATTTCATTGGTGTATGTTAGTCCTTATGTTAGTACCAGACTGTTTTGATTACTGTAGCCTGGTAGTAAGTTTTTTTGTTATTGTTCATTTTGTTTTCTTTTGTTTTTTTGAGATGAAGTCTGGCTGTGTTGCCCAGGCTGGAGTGCAGTGGCGCAATCTCGGCTCACTGCAACCTCCACCTCCCAGGTTCAAGCAATTCTCCTGCCTCAGGCTCCCAGGTAGCTGGGATTACAGGCACATACCACCACACCTGGCTAATTTTTGTAGTTTTAGTAGAGGTGAGGTTTCACCATGTTGGCCAGGCTGATCTCGAACTCTTGACCTCAAGTGATCCGCCCGCCTTGGTCTCCAAAGTGCTAGGTTTACAGGCGTGAGCCACCATGCCCAGCCGTTAGTAAGTTTTGAAATCGGGAAGTGTGAGTTCTCCGTGTTGTTCTTTTTCAAGATTGTTTTGGCTGTTCAGGTCCCTTGAGAAGCCATATGAATTTTAGGATGGCTTTTTGTTTTGTTCTGTTTTGTTTTTTTTCCTGTAGTTTACTCAAAAGGCAAACAAAAAATCTTTCATTTTATATATATCACAATATTATATAAACGTCTTTTTCAAAAGAGAAAACCAAATTTCATGTTTGTATTAGTGCATCTTTAATGCTAAAGCTACTTTTTAATAAAATTTTTTAAATCTGTCTAGTTTTAATTAGTTTTTATTAGTTTTAATGAGTTTGACCATAAGGTAAGATTTTCATAAACTTTTTAGAGTCCTTTACAGTTTTTCATTGAATAGCAGATCACTTTTTTTAAGGAAACCCTGTTACTCAGACACATGGGCCCACATTCTGGCCCTGCATCAGTGTGCTTTCATTTTCATGTTCAACCTACAGAAAAACCTAAATCATCCCCTTTCAATCTTAGCCAGCTTGCTCACAGAACTTCACAAGATCAGCCCTTCACACACCCTCAGCTCTGTTTCTGCAAAAAAAAATATCATTAGGATATTGATAGGGACTGCATTGAATTTGTAGATTGCTTTAGGTAGTATTTCATCTTAACAATATTAGTTCCTCCAACACAGCATGTCTTACCGTTTATTTATGTCTTTATTCTTTTAGCAATGTTTTAGTTTTCAGTGTACAAGTAGTTCACCTCTTTGATTACATGTATTTCTAAGTATTTTGTTATTTTTGATGCTATTGTAAATGGAATTGTTTTCTTAATTATCTATTGGATTGTTCTTAATTTATAAACACAAATGGTTTTTGCGTGTTCACTTTGTATCCTGTACCTTTGCTGAACTCATTTACTAGCTCTGATAGTTTTTTATTATGGAATCTTTAGGGTTTTTACATATAAGATTATGTCATATGTCATCTCTGAACCTTGATGATTTTAGTTCCTCCTTTCCAATTTGGATCCCTTTTATTTCTTTTTCTTGTCTCAGTGCTCTGGCGAGGACTTCCAATACTATGTTGAATAGAAGTGGTGAAAGTTGGCGTCTTTGTCTTGTTCCTGATCTCAGGGGAGAAGCTTTTCATCTTTCACCATTAAGCATGATGTTAGCTGTGGATTGGTTACATTTTATTAGAGACCAGAGATAGCCCAGCCCTCTTACTGTATCTAACTATAGTTTACTTGTCCCAAGGAAACTGTTCCACTGGGCTTATGGGACACACATTTTCCTGGCGGAGAAGCCATCTCCTTTGGCAAATACTTTCAAAGGTGATATTTAGGTAATAAAATTGGCATATTAAGTGATATTTTTGACAGTCTTAACACACATTAAGTTTGAAACTTCAGGGAGAAAATAAGAACATATTTCTATATGTCAAACACATCCAGGAATTCCAGAAGGCATATTAGTGAGGGCCAGTGAGTCTCCACGGATGAGCTGGGAGACTGGGAGATGACCACAGCAGGGAGGCGTGCGGCGTGCGTGGGGGGTGTGGGCAGCCTGGTGGGATGTGGCAGAACTGTCACCCAGCGGGCAAGGTGGCCAAGAGGACACTCCTTCCTCTCCCAGGCCCTCAGAGATGTGGGCGAAGGGGAGAGAAACAGGTCCTTGCAGTTAGGGGAGAAGGCAGAAAGAGTGTTTAGAGATGGGGCTAGGACATGGGAGGTGGTGGGGTGAGGTAGAGAGTGAGGAGTCGCACAAGAGTGTGTTTGCTGGTGTGGAAGGCAGAGGCCGCCTGGCTGCCCGCAGGAGACATCCAGGCATGG
The DNA here is from genome assembly GCF_000001405.40 of Homo sapiens. NCBI lineage: Eukaryota > Metazoa > Chordata > Mammalia > Primates > Hominidae > Homo > Homo sapiens. The sequence continues at coordinate 50,734,183 of NC_000007.14, read as the reverse complement.
TCCTGCGATCTGGCAGCAAATGATTTGGGGCACTGATCCACCTCAACGGCTAGGGGTGACGGCCTGTCCAGTGAACCCAAACCGATATGTGTATGAAAATAAATAAATATATGTTTAAATATATAAATATTTATATTCATATGTATTCAATATATAAAGATTTATTTTAAGGAACTTGCAAGTTTGAAATCTGCAGAGCAGGCAGGCTGGAAACTCAAGCAGGAGTTTGCTACAGTCTTAAGCTAAATTCTTGTTTCTCTAGGAAATCTCAGTGTTTGCTCTCAAGGCCTTCTGTGGATTGGGTAATGCCTCTGTTAAGGGTCATTTCCTTTAAGCCAAGTAACTGTAGACATTAACCACACCTACAGAATACCTTCATGGCAATAGCCAGACTGGTGTTTGACTAAGTGACTGGGAATTAGAGCCTGGACTGTTGACGTGTAACACCAGCTACCCCGAGGACAGGCTGACTGTGAGCCGGAGAAGGCTGAGGCCTTGGGGCTGCTGATCATGGCAGAGGTGAAGGGTGGATGCGGGCACAGTTCTCACTGAGTAGGTTGGGGACGTCTGAGCCAGGTCATGGACCTGCTCCCTTCATTGTGCCAGTACTTCCACTGCTATTGACTGCTTCCTTTCAGCCCCAGCAAAGTGTTCTGGGGCGTTCTTTGGTGATTTGAGGGATTCTAGAGAAACTCTTGCAGAAAACATGGTTGGTAGTAAATTTTACAGATCTGGGATGCTTCTGTTCCTTTTAGCTGTGATGAGAATTCCCTAGTGATTTTATATTTTGGGTCTGTGTTAGTTTAGTAAGGCTGTCATAACAAAGTGCCACAGACTGGGGAGGGGGCGAGGGGACTTAAATAGCAGAAATCCATTTCCCGCAGTCTGGATATTGGAAGTCCATGATCAAAGGTATCGGCCGATTTGGTTTCTCCTGAGGCCTCTCTCCTTGGCTTGCAGATGTTCATTTTCTCAAGGTGTCCTGACATGGTCTTCTCTCTGTACAAGTCTGTGTTCTAATATTCTCTTCTTACAAAAACACCGCTTGTATTGGATTAGGGCCCACCCTCATCATCTCATTTTAACTTAGTGACGTGTTTAAAGACCCTCCTTCCAAATACAGTCACATTCTGAGGTACTAGGAGTTAGGGCTGCAGCTTAGGAACTTTGGGAGGATACAGTTCATCCCATAACAGGGTCTTGTCTTGATTTTTGTTGTTGTTATTCTGATTGTTAGAATTAATATCCCTCATTTTATTCGGTACTAGGTGCCGTGGCCCACAGGGGAGAGTATGTAATGAGTTTGTCAGGTTGGATGTCCACTGAGAATTCCGATTTGTTCTATGGCTTGTGGAGCTAGTGTTCACTCAAATGATGTTCTGTGGTCCTGTCCCCAAACACACACACACAACCCCTTCTGGGCTTCTTTGGAATTTGTCTGAATCCCTATTTGCGAAAGCTTGATGAAGTTTGCAGGGTGTTAATAGATGGTATAGGGAAGAAGGGTGAGGCAGTGCAGGAGAGTGCTGGGAATGTGTGAGTTAAATTTAGAGGGTCTGATGTCACCCTCACCACTCTGGGCACCCTTCTACCCCACAGACTTTTGACCTCACAGATGACCTCTCAGGGCACCATAGTTGGGGACCATCTCTGCATGTCAGCAAAAAGCTGGTGCCCCGAGCAAGTGTCCTTACTGAACCTACAAGCTAAGACCAAGAGCTGCCCATTCAGACATGTCACACTTGAACCAGCCATAAGTAGTGGATTTTTTTTTTTTTTTCTGGCTTGGCTTCTCACAGTCTGTCTTTATTCCAGGTGCTGCAGCGCAGTAAATGTAATTTGAAGAAGGCAGAAGGAACCCATGGCTTTAGCCGGCTGCCCAGATTCCTTTTTGCACCATCCGTACTACCAGGTATGGGCGAGCACATATATCTGATCCTGGCCCGATGGTGCTGGTCGAGGGCCAGGGCACACATGTCGCCAGCAGCCATGGATCGTTTCTGTAGCTCTCAGGTCACTAGGACACGCTGGAGCAGGGGCTGGTGACAAGTCCCATGGTGCAGAGGCCCACTGCCCTTTCTGCCTCGGTCTTCTGTGTCTTGCTTTGCCTTGTAAGATAGCGTGGTCATATTCCCGTTTGACTGTGCGTACTTTTCTAAAAGAGTTTGGTTGTAGTACAGAGTTGCCCCCTGAGAGCCGGGCTTCCGTGTTTGGAATGAAGCAAGCACTCACTGTGTTTTTCACCTTCTGGGTCGGGCCAGACACTCCTGATGACGGGTTCTGCAGTGATGGTGGTTGTCGGGACATTCACCTGGACACATGTGCTCACGCGTGAGGGAGTGGGAAGGAGAAAGGGCTTGGTGTCTTAACAGATGTTCTAGAGGGAGTCCTCTCCACAGATTGGCTCTTTCCTTTCCTGAGAGCCCTAGGTGGAATTTTGTGGGAGAACAAGTTCATTTCTGTTCCTTCACTTTCTCTAGCTCTTCTTCATGGGCTGCTAGAACAGTTTCATCTGCAAGTTCCCTTCATCTTCTGAAACAGATTTTATTTGAACTTTCACTTGGTGTAGACAGATTCATTGTTAGGGGATGGTCTTTGGTTCTTTAGATTTGATTCGCGAATCCTGGTTCATCCTTACTCGTGATTTGTCATTGGAAGTACTTACACCATCTCTCCCAGGCCTGTGACTTTTCGGCTGGAGCAGTCCTAGGTTTGGAAGTCCTTTTATATGTTCAGGCTGTGGTCAGCTTTTTGCACTTCTTTGAACTTATTTTCTCTCTTAGTCTGTGAAGTCTCTTTTTAGCTACTGTGATGAGAAATTGCCTACAGCATTATGGCTGCAAAAAGATGCCTTTGAACATTTTTTTTTTTTTTTTGGTATCTAAGTGAAGCAAGCCTTCGAAGAAAGGCTGAAGATTAGGAATACCGTTCATTCTAATCGTCGAATGTGACACAAAGCCAAAATTGGTTACAAGCCAGAAAAGAGGATTAAAACCTTAGCGAACTGCAAAGTTTGGTGGTGACCCCTGAGTCTGTGTAGTTTGTGAGCTCTGGAACAGGCATCTGCCTCTCCCTCTGCATAATTGTCTTCTTGTTCTTAAAGAGGCTGTGGTTGCCTCCCCCCATTGATTAAAGCTCTGTGCTGCACCCACAGGTCACAAGTCCAGTTCTCGTGTGGCCAGTTAGTGTTAGCTAGTTGTCCGGGCCCGACTGCACCCTTCACCCCTGCCTGCCACTTCCTACTCAGTCCCAAGAGAGTGCAGTCAGTGAGCTCAAAGAACATCCCCAAGGGAAAGTCTCTCTTGAGGTCATTTTCGTAGTGCTGTCCTCGGCTGGGTATAGAATAGGCTTTTAGGGCCAGATAATGGCCACAGAGGTTCTGTCAGCTTCCCTTCCCTTCCTGGCATTTCCAGTTTCCTGCTGGTACCTACAGAAGTGGCAGACTTACAAGCTGTGTCAGTTCCTCCCTTGATGGCCTTGTTAGGTGTTTGTAGTCACCGATGCCCCAGGCTGCTTTCCTGGAGCCAGGAAGTCAGGAAGGAAGGGTGGGCTTTCCCTGCTATGTGCTGTCATGCTTTGAGGAAATACTCATTGCTTCTCAGGGCCATTTGAAAGCACTGTCTTACTCTTTAAAAAATTTGACAGCAAGACTTGGCGGCATATGTCCCTTGTTCCTGGAAAATAAGATGACAGTTCCAGAATTTCTCAGAATATGGGATGATTTACAATGGGTTCCAGTCTTGAGCAGTCGTAATTATATTATAATAATTAGATAAATCTCCAGAGTTTTATAGAGAAAAATTTATTCTTAAAACCTTCAACATACAAATAATTTTCTAATTCTAGCTGTTCACTTGCAGCAGTGGCTTGGATTAGATAGATGGTTCAGTCCGTGAGTCACTGATGTGATTTTTAAAATATGCACAGAAGCACCAAAATTACTGTATGCATTTAATCATCCTGCTGTTGGAGGGCAGCAGTTGGGGAGGGGTTCTGGCAAGGTTGGGGATGACCCACTTCACTTTTAAGACTTAAGTTTTTCCTTTAGAATGTGACACATCATAATTCTCTGACCTTGGAGAAATCCTGCAACTTTCCCTACCGCAGTTTCCATACCGAAGTTTTGGTAGAAAAGGGTTAGTGGTATCTGGGTTGTAGCAGGGATTAGAGGAAATATGTCTAAATTACCCGGCGCCTGGTCATCCTTTAGAAGCTGAGTCAAGGGCTGTGATCTTTAATTCTTTGATAGAGCACCAGCCAGGTACCAGGCACATGTTTTGGGCTAGGGAGCCAGCTTTGAGCTCGGCAGACAGATCTTTGGGGCTCCTGGATTCCAGTGGAGGAGACAGACATGGAACAACTGGCAAGTGAGATAGCTGTGAATAATGATACTAATTCTGAAGCAAATAAAATGGGACAACGGGGGGAGAGAGGGCCGGCTGCCTTGGTCTTCGGGGGGGGCTCCGTTAGTAGGGTCCTATAGCTCATTGTCTGCCATTTTTAAAATCAAAAGGTCTGAAGCAAGAAATTTCCTCATTTATTATGCCACGGCAGAGTCCAGAGCTTTGCCGAACACAGGGTCTGCCTGGGAAGTGGGATGGGGTTTATGGAGCTCCCTCTGGGCCCTGCACATCTGTGTTCATTGATGTGGACACTGTGTTATCATTCTCCATTCCCCAAAACTCTTAATTCTTAACCATGTCCAGCCTCCAGGCTTTTGAAGAAGGAATTATGCACCTATGACAAAATTATGGTAAATAAAAGCAACATTTATTATCTTTCAGAAAAATGCAAAATAGGAAATAAAATGTGCTTGGCTACAAACTTCCGTACACAATGTTGAACTGAGCATTAGAAATGAAACAACTTGCATGTGAATTTTATGTAGGTGATTAAATTTACTGTTGAATTTCCAAAAGCAATGTTTTTATTTTCATAGTTTTCTGATTTCTGAATTAAAAACAATCATGCTTAGAAATGAGCCATCTTAGAAACTCTCCTTGCCATCCTGCCCTGCAGAGCCTCAGCTTTTGGTGGAGATAATGGCAACAGCATTAGTGCACATACACGCTGTCCAGCCCCAGGACACCACAAGATGTGTGTTGTGGTTCCATTTCAGTGCTGTGTCCCTGAAGCTTCAGGCGGGGAACCTACTCTTCTAGTGCAGGGCTTGACGAACTGCAATCTGCTTTTGCAGATAAAGTTTTATTGGAGGCTGGTCTTGGTGGCTCACGCCTGTAATCCCAGCACTTTGGGAGGCAGAGGCGGGTGGACCACTTGAGGCCAGGAGTTCGAGACCAGCTTGGCCAACATGGGGATACCCTGTCTCTATTGAAAATACAAAAATTAGTCAGGCGTGGTGGCGCACACCTGTTATCCCAGCTACTCAGGAAGCTGAGGCAGGAGAATTGCTTGAACCCAGGAGGTGGAGGTTGCAGTGAGCCAAGATCGTGCCACTGCATTCCAGCCTGGGCGACAGAGCAAGACCCGGTCTCAAAAAATAAAATTAAAGTTTTATTGGAACTTGGCCATTGGGTTTTGTATTGTCTGTGGCTGCTTCCAAGCCCCATCAGCAGAGTTGGGTAGTGTTTGACCCTTTACAGAAGAAAGTTTTTTCTGGGACACTGACTGCTAGAATGAACCTTTTTGGATGGACAGAGGCTCAAGGGGGCCTCCTTGTATCAGCTCATCTCCTCCCCATTTTCTGGGTTAGAAACAGTCCTCAGATGAGACTTCATCTGCTGATCACATACAGCTTTGGATTTTCTGTTGGGTGCCCTAGATTCCTTAATCTTTTGGCAGTGCGTGGAGGAGCTGAAAGATGACATCATCTCCGAGAGTTGATTTGGGCTCAGTTCCTGGAAATGAATTCCATTCCCAAAGTCTGTCACTGTTGTTATTATTATTATTATTTTTAGTGAAAGAGTGATTCTGTAGTTTTTCATTTTTAAGTACTACACCCCCCCCCCATACTTTGGCTAAAGAACATTTTATTAGACTACATTTTCTTTAAGAAATTTGTTGATAGTACCTGCCACTCTTAACCCTTGAGGTGGGAAGTTACGAAGATCATTTGAAATGTCTCTCTTTAAATTTTATTTGACTGTTCCAGCTGATAGGACATTTACCTAAAATGGTTTTCCAAGTCATTTAAGGTTATGATTCTGAACTTAGGAACAGCAGCTATGTTATGGAGATATTTTGTGAGGTAAAACAGGCAGTGTGTTGACTACTATTCACCTGCATGGCTTTAGGCATGGTGTTTAAATTCTCCACATTTCTTCTGTTTTCAGCGTCATTGTGAAAATTGGAAGACACTTATATAAACTTTGGCATTGTGTTTAGCACACAAAAGACCCTGTTAAATGTGAGCCACTGTTTGGATGAGCTGGTATGTGATTTTTTTGTTTTAGAGTGTAGAATTATTTTTAAGAATGTAAGTTTTTTTTTTTTAAGTGATTTGTGCGATACTTATGTAAATTTGAGATTATAATCTTTTTAAGTCTTTAAAATCATGTGAATATTCACTTAAAACAAATAGATGGCATTTGGTTTGGGAAAATACTTTTCATTGATCTGGCAAATTGCTGTTAACTGGCTTTATTTATTTAAATCCTAGGTAGTTAATTACATATTAGTAAATAGTTTACACTTTCTGTAACTAACAGAATCAGTTGAAAACTCTATTCTTTAAATGTTCTAAGTAACTTTGACTAATTTGTTTGTTCGCTTACCATTTTATGAACAGTTGATTGGCAGACCATGGCTGGGTATTAGGGTACCAGGTGAACAAGATGTCAACCCTGCCTGCAGGGAGCTCCCAGCCCTGGAGGGAGACAGACAGGTACAACAACCAACCATGGGCCACCATGACCTGGGATGCTGTCAGTGGTGTGCTTTGTGCAGACAAGTAGAGGGGAGGGTGATTAATCCCCCATCCCATGTCATTTCCTGCTAGAACTGTAAAACTAACATATTCGACAGCCTGCAAGCTGACCACTCAGAGGCTGGCAGTGGGGAAAAGATTAAGCTCTTCCTGTTTACTTCCCTTGTCTTCAGCCTTCCACCGACTCTGTGAATTGGGTACCTTCATGATACCCATTTTATAAATGAGAAAACTGAGGTTTTTACTATATGCTGGTCATCATGCTGAGGACTTTACTTGGATTTTCTCTCCTGCCAATGCTACGCGGTGGGGACCTTCATGTTCTCCCCTTTGCAGATGAGATTATCAAAGCAGAAAAAGACCATCTCTCCTACTGAGTAACAGAGGTACATTCGTCTCTGTGAAGTGTGTTTATGTTTAATGTTGGTGAGACTGAGGAGAACAAGTTTTTGTCCAAATGCCAAAATCTCCTCCTCAGAATTATTATAATAAAACATAGAATTTGTATCCTGCAATTTTGGACTTATTGAATTTCTTTGATCATGAAATGCCATAAGTCAGTTTTAACAACAGCTTTTCAGTTGAAATAAAGATTATTATGTATTGTCCCTAAATGTGTCATGTGTGCTGATCGTAAGGTGTTTGCATTTTTAAAATGTTAAAATGGGGAGTGGGGCATGTCTTAAAATCAATGAAATATGACAGATAAGTAAATAAATGGAAATAAAAATACATAAATATGTATATATTTATTCTCAGTGCTTTTCTTTTTAATGCCTAAATCTTCTCAAACATCATCATCCTCAAGTATGGGCTTAAAGTCTGATTTTTTTTGAATAATATAAACAACTATATTTATCACATATTTTCTATGTATTATTTTTGTTTTTTGTTTTTTTTGAGACAGAGTCTCACTCTGTCACCTAGGCTGGAATGCAGTGGCCCAATCTCAGCTCACTGCAACCCCCACCTCCCGGGTTCAAGCGATTGTCCTGCCTCAGCCTCCCGAGTACCTGGAATTATAGGCATGCACCATCACACCTGGCTAATTTTTGTATTTTTAGCAGAGATGGGGTTTCGCCATGTTGGCCAGGCTGGTCTTGAACTTCTGGTCTCAAGTAGTCTGCCCATCTCTGCCTCCCAAAGGTCTGGGATTATAGATAGGGGTGAGCCACTGCACCCAGCCTGTGTTATTTTTATCCTCTCTCTGGTACTGTGGCAAATATTCTGGATGTGTTATTTTTTCTATTTCTTTTTTCCAGGAAACCAGGGCTTGCAGATATTGGTAAGTTGCCCAAGGTCACACAGCTTGTAATGGGATAGATCAGGGATCAGGCGTACGGGGTCAAGCCTGAAGCCTATGTCCTTAACCATTCCACTGTCTGGTTTTTCCTTGGCACCGTGTGCTTGGCTGTGCAGATATCTATTTGATTGGGGGTGCTAGAGTTGATTATCTTTTTCATAAGATTTCATAAGCAGTGGAGGAGCAGAACACAATATTGGTCTATGACTTTGCACTGCCTTTTAGAAGGACATATCTAATCAGGGATACCTATATCCCACTTCTGTTTTCCTCCTACTTATCATGGGGGTTAAATCCCCACAGAAATATTTGTGTTCTTTTAATTTTCCATCCCATGAAAGTTCAATGTTAGTAATCAACTTTCCCTTTGCCATCTATCTGCCCAGAAGCTACTGTGAAATCACTTATCAAAGTCTTTGTTTTTGTTTTACTTATGAGACCAGATGGTTGCCTTTTCTGTTGTAAAGTGTCAAAGTTTCTACTAGACCTACAAAAACCAAAACTTACCTGCTGTGTGTGTGTCACTGTATTCGTCCACACTCACACCGCTTATAAAGAACTGCCTGGGACTGGGTAATTTATAAAGAAATGAGGTTTAATTGACTCATAGTTCCGCAGCCTGTACAGGAAGCATGGCTGGAAGGCCTCAGGAAACTTAAAATCATGGCAGAAGCAAAGGGGAAGCTGGCAAGTCTTACGTGGCTGGAGCAGGAGGAAAAGAGCACAAAAGGGGAGGTGCTACACACTTTCCAACAACCAGGTCTCGTGGCAACTTACTGTCATGAGAATAGCAAGGGGGACATCTGCCCCTGTGATCCCGTCACCTACCACCAGGCTCCTCCTCCAACCTTGGGGATGGACATGAGATTTTGGGCGGGGATACAAATGCAAACCATATCAGTCGCCATTACAGCAGGTAGGGCAGGCAGCAGGCAGGTAACCAGCAGAGCAGGCAGCAGGCACAGCTACCTTGCCGGGAGTGTTTTTCCAGGAGAGATGGCAGTATCAAGCGCACGCAGACTTGGAAAGGCATCATGGCGTACCTGGTTGGAGCATGAATCCTTGATTCAACTGTTTTCTTTGCACAGAGTCATATTACTTGATTACCAAAGGGAAGGGAACTCATGACCCTCAGGGACAGGCTGTTTATCTGTGGTCAGAAGATGGGCCTCCTGTAACATTGACTGTGCTCCCTTCTGGCCTTGTCAGTAACGCAGAGCAAATCACTTCCGTCTCTCTGCGTTTGAAGTTATGTGTCATTACCCAGCCAGCCCCCAGCTCCTTCAGGCATCCTTCCTTTGTCGGGGTTTGTGGCACTTTTTCCTGTTTCCTTTCTCCTGTCTTGCCTAGCCCTCTTCAAGGGGAAGGACCAGAACTAATCAACACTTCAGATGAGACTGACCAGCTCAGAGCTGGGCGGCTCACGCTCTCCCTTCAGGACCCATCCTCCCATCCCTCATTGTAGCACAATGTTGACTTTTTTGAAGGAAGGTCTCTTCATGCACCCACTGCTGTGTCCCAGGTCGTGTTTATTTCCAGTTCATGATAAGTAGAGACATTGAGAAAATGTGTTTAGAGATTTTATAGCAATTTGAATGTTGAACTTAAGAATAAAAATGTGGGTGTGTATCGTATTTTTGTTTTATTTTACTTTCTGGCAATTCATTGCTATGTGAGTTGTGAAGTATCCGTGCTTGACAGGTTGACAGGGACAGCAAAAACTGCTTCTTCCCCGCAGGTGGCTCCTGAAGCACTAGTCTTGGCTATCTCAGGATATCACAGTCATGCCTGTGGTTTTTCTGTCCTTGGCAGCTCCAGTTTGCAAAGTTGAAGCTTTGCGTTTATGACCCATTGTGGCCTTGGTGTGTCATTTGTGCATGGTGAGATTTCCTCAGGCGCTGCTGGAACGTGCGAGTCCACTGCCTCCAGCCAGTGGCGGATCATGGGGGACAGCATCTGTGCCCTCCCACTGTGTTGTCCACTCTTCCCTATAGGCCTGATGTGACTCCGCTGTGCTTTTGCTAACCGTCCTTAACCAGCTCCTTGCCACTGCACTAGGGCGTGAAGGTTGGAGGGTGCCTGTGGGTCCCTCTGTAGCTCTCAGTGTGACCTACCTCCCACCTTCCTATGTCTGTTTGCCTTGAGCAGCTGTTCTAGTCTTTTCTCCATCAAGAGTCTACACCGTTTTGGAGGGTCATGTGGCCAGCGGGAGGTGAGCCAGCCCAGGAGGCATGCAGGCCCCAGGTTTGAATCCCAGTACCGCTTCAGGCGTGTGAGGCTGACAGTTATACCTGCACTGTTATGAAATGAGAGCCTCCAGGGACCACCCAACTAGTGGGGCCTTAGGAAATCCCAGTTGACCAGGGGCACTTCGCTGGAACCCTGAACAGGGCCTTTGCTCCTGGGATCCAAGGGGCTGGATCGCTAAAAACCCTTCATCGTCTTCCTTTGCCCCCAGACTCTGGTTTAGCAGGCTCTGGGGTACTGGCTGAGGGGTTCATCCTTCATTTCCAGACCTCAGCTGAAACCCAGCTAATTTGTAAGATGGGACCAAACAACATTAGAACATTTCGTTCTTTGGACAATGAGGAAATGATTGGCAGTTTCTTTGTGGTTGCCCATTCTGGGAATACAGAAGTGTGTAAGACATAGCCGGGGCTTAAAGGATGTACCCAAGTAATAGAGGAAGGAGAATTGTACCTGTTGTTTAATGACTCTAAATAAGGAAACACCTGACCCCTCTGTCTGTGGACACAGAGTTGGAATTTGAGTCCTTCACTGCCAAGGACATCATTGCTTCACTGCAACTTTTCTCTTTTTTTAAAGAAAAAAAAGCTACTTGGTATTGTGAAAAAATAGCTATAAGGTTATATTTTGCTTTACTTGTCCCTTCAGAACTTCACTAAAAGAAAAGTAAATTTTATATAAATGTATTTTATTTTTCGACATTGTGAAGGTGTTAATTCCAATTAAATTGGTCTTTGAGGTCAGGTTCTTGGCATTTGCAGGGTACTTATATGGATTTTTCAGCTTTCTAAGGCGTAAATGTGGCCTTTGTAGCTTGTGCAGTATGAGGGGTGAGTGCCAGGGCATCTAGAGAAACAACTTAATCCTGAGAGCGCTATCTTTACCTAAGGTGGGTGAAATGGGATTAAAAATAACCCTACCCAAGGAGGACATTGAGGGCAGCTTCTGAGGAGAGGCTTTATGGAGAACAAGCTGTGTGTTTGGAGGCCAGGTATAAGTAATGTCGGGGAAGGAGAGGGGGCGGTACCCTGTCACCCCACCTCATCACTCTGTCACCTTGTCACCCTGGCATTCTCCCCCATAGTCCATCCCCCATCATCCGGTCACTCTGGGCCCTGTCACCCTGGCTCGCATCACTGGTTCTGTCACCTCTTCACCCTGGACTCCCCTTTCTTGAGTGCTTGTCACAGGGCTTTGAAGCTGTTGCTGCCCATGTGCCCCCATCAACTATGTTCTCCTGGCAGATGGGAATGTGCTTTCTGTGGCTTTGAAATCTTCGAACACATGGAATTTCCCACCTTGCTGCAAGCTCATGGGACTACAGATGCTCTCAGAGCTGCTCTGTCTGTGCCATCCAACATCTTTGCCCTGACACTTCTTTGGTGCCAGGCGGGGTTACCCTGGGGCCTTCCAGGGGACCTTTCTATCACCTTAGGAAGCCGCTTTGGATCTTGGAATGACCCTTGCAGGAAGTCCTTGAACGTAAGTTTATGGCCAGTCCTTGGCCTCCTGAGTGGGCATGAGAGTGGGCAGGGCAGAGGGGCTGTGGCGTGGTGCAGGTTAAGGGTTCGGGGCTCAGCTGGTGGGGGACAGCCTGGGAAGCTGGGAGCTACTGGGCCCGTGGTACACCCTGCCTCTGGGGTGCAGGAGAGACAGGAGAGGAGGGCATAGGAGGTAGCATAGTGACCGGGCCAGCCTCCTCAGCCTGTCTTTGGCCTGATCCTCCCTACCAGCAGCCTGGGCTCTCCTTTGCCACCAGTAATACTGAACTGCTCTGCTCCCTTCTCCCCGCTCCACGCGCTGTCTTCTTCTTCCGTTTCTTGGCCTGGGCCATTTCCCTGGACTTCAGCCCAGACACCTTCCCTTCCCACAGCAGTCCCTGCCACACCCCCATGGAGCCTTCTCTTGCATTCCTGCAGCCAGTCCTGGGCCTCCCTCTGCCTGACCCCTCCTTATGCTGTCGTCTGTCCTCCCCCATCCTCAGCCACCCCAGATTCTGCTTGAGGACAGAGTGGAGACCTATCACCCTTCTGTTTGGCCCCTACCCAGTGGGGAATGGGTGACATGGTGAGGTGAGACCCCGTCCCCAGCCCAGGTCAGAACACCTAATTCTCAAGCTGCAGAGCCCTACGAGGGGCAGAGACAAGAGCTAACAGACCGGGGCTTGGGCCAGCAGAGCAAGAAGGTGGTAGCAGGTGGGGTGGGCTCACTTTGTCATGAGTTGCTTCTCTTTGGCATACTCAAATGGCCAGCATTGTTCCTCTTCACTTTGGCGCTGTTATTCAGTATAGTAAGGGCTACTTGAATTCAAGCTCTGTGATCCGCGGCAGTTGATCTGATGATCACTGCGACGGCTCCTCTGTGACTCATGGGCAGGCAGCGCCTGCAGCGTGGATCTTGGAGTCGCATCCTGGGCAGAGGGAGGAGTCGCATCCTGGGCAGGACAAAGCGGGTTGGTGCAGGATCTCATCACTCTCCTCCACACAGTGTGAAACTGATGAATTATTTATTTCTGGAATTGTCCATTTAATATTTTTGGACCACAGTTGACTGTGGGTAACTGAAGCTGCAGAAAGTAAAACCAGGATAAGGGGGGGACTACTGTATTCTCCAGGAAAGTTTAAAATAGTTTCGTGTTTGGGTACCTTTACTGTGTTAAAATTGTTTGAATATGGCAAATACTGTATGTGGTGTTCATGTTAACAATTTATGAAACTTTTCAATGAAGCAGGGCGTTTCTTTTCTTTTCTTTCTGGCACCTGGATGAAGAGGGTATTTATTGCGACAATTTCCTGCACTGGATTTGGGTGCCGTGCAGCTTCTGTGATTGCTCACTCAGTTGCAGAAGAGAAAAGCTATTGGATAATATCGTGCTTTAGACAGCCAGGCAGAGAAAAATGCTATTTTAAACAAGCAGTAAATACATTGATGAAAATTTAGGAAACGGCAACTTTTTTTTTTTTTTTAATGGTGTACTTTGGCAGAGAGAGGAACCTTAAAATTATTCCTTTTATTAAAAGCATACAGAGTAATTTAAACATAAGCTTCTTTACTTACTTTCTGATTGAAGTGTCTGGTCTTTTAAGGTGGTAACTATGTTTAAATTATATTTTTATATTCCTGTACCATGCATGTTTAGTTGGGATGACTTGCTTTCACTGTTATTTTTCCTTGGGGTTTTAAGTGTTGCCATATGTGCTGGGCTCCCCGTCCGGGATGTGCCTGTCCTCTGCTCTCTGGGCCTTTTTGGCGCCTGGTGTCAGATGGGCCTCATCACCTGTGTTTGCTGCCACCGGTTATGAGTCTCGACAAAGGGGGTCACTTAGGTAGGGTTTGCGATCCAGTTTTCATCATGCAGTCAATACTGTCACTTTAGCAGTTTCCCCAGAACCTGTTAAATATTTATGTGTGTTTCAAGCAGACTCTGCGAAACTGGCTACTGGTACATTTATTATTATTATCATCTTAACTAGAAACAAAGTATTCGAAGTGACTGTGATATGAATTATTAACATTATTTTTAACTTTTGTGAGGTTTTCCTATCATTGATCTTAAAGAAGAAAGTAAATATTTAGCTTGTATTTAGTTTTTCCTCTTACTGAACTTTCTGTGACTTAGTTGATGTGTTTGTTAGTGTTTCTGGAAAAGTGGTAGGAAACCGTGTTTCTTTATCTGAAGATGGGCTTCAGCCTGCAGCTCTGCTAGGGGTTCTCTGGTGTTTGTTGAGAGGCATTCAAGTTCTGTGAAGGATTTCAGCCCCGCTCCCAGCAGCTGGAGTGGGGGGCAGAAGAATGTGTCTCCACCAGCTATTTCTAGGTGCCAGAGATCCTGCGTAGCATGCAGGAACTCGGATTTGATCACTTGATAGTATGACTTAAGAAAAAAAAAAACCTATAAAAGGAGTAAACTCACAGGAAAAACAAAACTTGTCATTCTTGGTAGGAAATTCCAAAGTGTAGTGGAAATGTAAGGAGCTGGTTGTAGCATTTATTTCATGGAGAAAGTGGCATCCGTGTAATTGTTAAAGATGGTTACTCTTTTTTTTTATTTTTTAAATTTTACTTTAAATTTTGGGATATATGTGCAGAACGTGCAGGTTTGTTACATAGGTATACATGTGCCATGGTGGTTTGCTGCACCTATCAACCCATCATCTAGGTTTTTAAGCCCCCCATGCATTAGGTATTTGTCCTAATGCTCTCCCTCCCCTCGCCCCCTACCCCCGACAGGCCCCAGTGTATGATGTGCCCCTCCCTGTGTCCACGTGTTCTCATTGTTCAACTGCCGCTTATGAGTGAGAACATGCAGTGTTTGGTTTTCTGTTCCTGTGTTAGTTTGCTGAGAATGATGGCTTCCAGCTTCAAAGGATGGTCACTCTTAAGATGAATTCCCTTTGCAGGGCCTTCTGTCTCTGCCTGCAGTGATATTCTTTTGCCTTGTTTTCCTCCTTCATGTAGGTGTCACAGGACACCTGTGGGCCTGGCCCTTCCTCCTTGCAGTCTTCACTTTTGGACCCCTTTTCAGTGAGGCCTTCCCTTGTGTTCTGTGTAAATTGCAGTCTCCGCCCCGTTTATCCAGCTCTGTTCTGTTCTTTTATTCCATAGCACTGCATTCTCAGATTATAACAAGTAAATGGTGTGTTTATTGCTCACTACTTGTTTTCTTTAGATAAAATACAAACTCCATAGGGCAGGATTGTTGCTTTAAACACTCATGTGCTGGGCATAGAGTAATTGCTTGGTAAATATTTGTTGAATGGATCAGCCTCTCTGAAGATTGACTATATTTTTCTTCTGCTTGGGTGACCAAGAGGTTGGATACTCCAAGTCTCTGAAACTCTGTGATTGGTTATCCATGACTGTGTCACCCTTGGGTAAAGATTTTGAGGGGTTCAACAAGCTTAGACATTGGACAGTAATTGCAGGACCCCTCTTGCTGCTTAAGCGCTCTTGACCCTGAGAGCTGTGAATGGCAACCTCTGCTCTCAGGGTTTCGACGGTTACAATTTCAGTATGCACGGGACTTAACGTTGGGCTCCTGGTGAACTGGGTGTTAATGTGTTTTTGAAACCTGCCCTTAATGTACAAATTACTTTGGAGTAAAGTTAGATCTGTGGTCCTCAAAAACTGAAATATTAGATGTAGAGTGCGGGTTTAAGACCCAGGCTGGAGAGTCCCTGAGTTCTATACTCTGGGATCCTCGTGTGAGAGTGAGCTCTCACTGATCTCAGTCAGTGTGCTCAGGAAGCAGCAGTGAGCAGCCTGAGCCGAGGGCGCCGCAGTGGCCGTGAGAAGAAAGTGTGGGTGGAAGTGGATGTAGAAGGCAAAATAATCAGGATCAGTAAGCAGTTCATAGGTGGATAAGGAGGAGTTGGAGGCTGACTGATTTCTGCATGGGTAACTAACCCATGCAGATGGCTGACTGGCATTCAGGGAGGTGAAGGTAATGCCAGCATTTCAGAAGAAGGACATTTCAAACCAAACTCATTTTCCCATTCCCCAAACTGGCCTCCCCTCTCTCTGTTAATTCTCCCTTGAACTGGGCACTGGGCTTCTTGATTTGAGGGAGCTTGGATCCCCTTCCCTTTCTTCCTTCCTGCTGGACACAGTTCCGCAAGCCTCCGGATCTTGCCTTGGGAATCCCCTGTCCCCTCTTTGTCCTGGCACTTAGTCAGTGGGCTGGAATTGTCTGGGCCGACTGAGTCCCTGGCCTCCTCCCTTTGCTGGGCGCCCAGGGCCCTTTGGACTCCCTGGAGTGACAGAGGAGTCTCTGCCTGGGGGGATCAGAACTGGGCCTGCTGCATGTTGAGCAGTCTGGAGTGGGGTCAAGCAAAGCATGGCCATGGCCTTGTGGTTGCGTCTCGTAGGTCCCTTCAGGAGCTGGTACCAGCACAGGGTGAACCGATCTGTGTATCTGACCATCGCTCCTCAATGGGTCCAGAGACCCCAAGAACCTCATTTCAGAGAATGAGGCCTTGGCTAAGTGGTGCTAAAAAGCAATTTCCATCTAAACACCTGGTTGATAATATGGACACAGGAGAAGATACGCTGTCTTCAGATCTACTGATAATGAACGAGGTTCCTAACTTAGGGAGAAAGTGTTTAGGTAAAGAAATGTTTTGTAGCTTCAGTGGTGGATAAGGAGGGGCCTGTTGTCATATCTGTAGATTACCTGTATCTGTGTACATTTTAAGTTTGTATTACTTGTGTTTCCACACATGGTTCAAATTTCATATTTATGTATATATACATATATATGTGACTGTGACGCATGCGCATGCACACACACACACACACTCTTCAAGCTTCTCATGTGAGTGAGTGTCTCTCCTTGCGGTGGCAGCATTAGGAGCACATGGCCTGGCAACTGCTTCCTGTGGTGGAGCCCAGTTGCCCCTGACTCCCTTGCTGTTTGTTGAAGCTGGAGCAGTAACCAGACTATTGTGCTTATAACTGCTTTTCAAGTACGTAAGAGTAGGTTCACCTCTGAGTGGAAGGAATGGTGAAGACTTTCTGTGTTTCTGTCCTTGATACCCCCTTGCAGTTGTTAGGCTGCCACAAAGTGGGAGACTGTCTCCTTGGAGTTTGAGAAGGGAGCTAGCATGTGTTTTGTGACAGGACTTTGTATACCTCATCTCACTCAGTTTTCCTACCAAACTTTTTGAAATGGGTATGATCCAAATTTGCCTACAATAAAAGTGAGGCTCAGAAACTTTGGTTGACTTATCCAGCCCGGCCAAATAGCGGGAATGCAGAAAGTGCTGGCTGCAGCCTTTATTTTCTCTGGCCCCAAACCTGAGCTCCTTCCTCCCTCCCCTCATCTGGCCTCATCATTTGGAGGTAGTTTATCGTAATCTTTTCCATCTTCCTTTTCTCTCTGTGTGCCATTCTGGATAGTTTCTATTACTATGTCTTCATAGGGTGCTCCTACCCTAGACCTCTCCAGACCACGCCAGCCGTTGGGCGAGGGAGCCTCACAGTGTGTCTTTGGAGATTGGTCACTGGGGATGGAGGGAGGGGAGAGAAGCGTGGTGTCCAATGTCTGGTTAATCCTGCCCACATATTTTTCATCTCCTGTGTTGCATTTTTCATCTGTAGGGTTGGATTTGGTCATTTTATATCTTCCACTTCTCTCCTTATCACTCATGCTTTGCTTTTCCTTCTTGAATGCACAGAGCATATTTATCTTCATCATTTTAATATATCGCCTGCTGTTTCATCTTGGACATTTCTGTATCCGTTTCTCTTGGCTGATTTCCCTTATCGTTATGGGTTTTATTTTCTTTTCATGCCTGGTACTTTTTGTTTCGATCCCAGTCATTGTAAATTTCACCTGGTTGGGTGTTGGCTACTTCTTGGGAGGGGGCTATTCTTTTAAATATTTTGGGCTTTATTCTGGAAAGAAGCTTCTTGGAAATAGTTTGACCCTTTTGAGGCTGGCTTATAAGCTTTGTTAGCTGGGCCCAGAGTCACTTTTAGTTTGGGGCTAATTTGCCCCCACTGTTGAGGCAGGACCCTTCTGAGGGCTGTCTTGTGTCCCATGCGTAAGGAAGTTTTCCATTTGGGTTGGTGGGAACACGCTTCTCTCCAGATGGCTCTGTCTCCTTCATTCTGGTGGTTCTTCCCAGTCTTGGTATTTTCCTTACATGCATGCGTCATTAATCCTCAGCTGGAGATGTGTGTGGAGAGCCCCCTCTCTTGAGCGCTCTCCTCTCTGCCTTGACCTTCCTGAGTGTTGAACTCTGTCTCCTTAGGACGATCCTAGGCTCTGCCTGGAAGGGAGATTCCCCCTCCCTGCGCTGCAGCTTGGAAGCTCTCTCCAGCCAGTGAGTGGGCACTAGTAGGGCTGCGTCATGTGGATCATGTCTCAGGAATCACTGTCCCATGCTGCCTGTTGTCAAATGTATGAAAACTGTTTCAGTTTTAGTTATTTAGGGGGAGAGGGTACATCTAATCCTTTATATTCCATATTGGCCAGAAGCTCAGAAGTCACCCATGATATTATTTTAACCGTGGTTCTAGGAGTAGATTTGCTTTGGAACATTTTTGTGGAGTGTGCAGACCCAGCTTTGGAACTCAGAAGAAGTTTAGACGTCATATGGTCCAAAAACCTGATTTTATTGGTGAGGAAATAGGCCCAGAGAGTGAAGTTATTTGCTCAGAATCATAGTTTGTCACACTGGCAGTTTGTAAACATTTGGCTCATGCCACAATAAGATTTTTCATACCTGAAGGGCGAGGTGAACTGTTTCTTATGGCCCACAGCAAGGTTGGGATCCACCAATTGTTCCTGCTGTAATGGCTGCCCGAGTTTGGTCTTACTGGGAAAAGTCACTCTTTGGCAGAGGGATTGAGTTTCCTGAGCCCTGGGATCTGTGCTGTTTATTCATTTTTATGAATAAAACGAGCTTTATCCAAAGCCTCTGGGGAGCATCACTATGAACCGCCGTCCTCTTGCCCTGCCAGCCCAGCCCTTCTGCTTGCACCTGGAAGCTGCTCCATGCCCTTCCCTGCTCCAGATCGCGCCTGCCCTTCAAAGGGCTGCCACACCTGGGAGCCCCAGGCTGGAGCTCCAGGCCAGACCTAGCTTACCTCATTCCGCCTCCAGCTTCTTGGCATTGGCTGCCATTTACCCTTGGCCCCCTGCCCTCTACCTGTGGGAGGGACTTAGAAATGAGGAAAAGCCACCACCAAGGATTCATCATATCAAACCCTGGGGCCTTTTCCTGGTCAGCCAGGACAATGAGAGTTATTTCCAAATTCTGAGATTATTGTTGAGAAAGTTCAAGGAAGAGATTTCTCTCTTCCTTCTGCTCATGGGGGAAGAATGTGGGTGTGTCATGTGCCTCCTACGGCCCTGATCTGCTAGGAGGGCAACCCTGGCTCTGTTGATCACTCTCACAGCCGCACATGGTTTGGTTCTCTGGTTTTAGTGTAGAGGTTGCTGGGGTTGTGGGACCCAGAGAGAAAACGAGAAGCTTGAAGCTGAAGAAGTTGGGTTCAGTGCAATTGCAATGGCTTTGTGCACCCCACCTGGGAGCTCAGGAGGGCTCAGGATTGCACTCCGTTTTTTGTTTTTTTTTTTGAGACAGAGTCTCGCTATGTAGCCCAGGCTGGAGTGCAGTGGTGCAATCTCGGCTCACTGCAAGCTCCGCCTCCTGGGTTCACGCCATTCCCCTGCCTTAGCCTCCTGAGTAGCTGGGACTACAGGCGCCCGCCACCACACCCGTCTAATTTTTTGTATTTTTAGTAGAGACGGGGTTTCACCGTGTTAGCCAGAATGGTCTCAGTCTCCTGACCTCGTGATCTGCATACCTTGACCTCCCAAAGTGCTGGGATTACAGGCATGAGCCACTGCTCCTGGCCTCAAGTTATATTTAAAGTATATAAATATAATTTGACTATAACTTGCATTGTCACTGATCCTCTTGTGGTACTTTAAAGATTGTGTTGTCAAAATTATTAAGTGGGTAGTTTAGAGATTCTGATCTTCTGATTTCTCAGACTGTTAAGTTACTCTAGAACTCATGATCGATTAAGGTACTGCTACATGTTGACTATTCTAACAAATTAATATTATGTTAATACATGTGGATATTTTGGTGTCTGAATAGTTGCCTTTTTGTTGAAGTTGGGGATGGAGGAAGTGGTGAGGAGGGGTGAAGGTAGGGGAGGAAGAGGTAGAGGTGATGGTAGAGGTGGTGGTGGAGGGGGAGGAGGATATAGAGATAATGAAGAGTGTGGAGGTGGATGTGTTGGTAGCAATGGAGGTGTTGGAGATGTAAGAGGTGAAGGGTGGTGGGAAGGAGCAGAGGTGATGGAATGGGTGGAAGTGGTGATGAAGGGGTAGGTAGTGGAGGAGGAGGAGGAGCTAGAGGTGAGGGTGGAGGTGGTAGAGGAAGTGGACGAGGTGGAGGTGATGGTGGAGATGGTGGAAGTGATGGTGGAGGTGGTAGAGGAGATGGAGGAGGTGGAGGTGAGGGATAGAGATGGTGGAGGAGGTGGAGGTGATGTGATAGTAGAGGAGGTGGAGGTGAGGATGGAGGAGGTGGAGGTGACAATGGAGGAGGTGGAGGTGGTGGTGGAGGAGGTGGAGGTGATGGGGGAGGTGGAGGTGATGGTGGAGGAGGTGGAGGTGATGGTGGAGATGGTAGAGGAGGTGGAGGTGAGGATGGAGATGGTGGAGGAGGTGGAGGTGATAGAGGTAGCAGAGGAGGTGGAGGTGATGGTGGAGATAGTAGAGGAGATGGTGGAGATGGTAGAGGAGTTGGTTGAAGTGCTGGAGGTGATGATGGAGGTGGTAATGAAATGATGGTGGGGGTGGTAGAGGAGATGGAGGTGGCGGTGGAGGAGGTGGAGAAGGTAGAGGAGGAGCTGATGTGGCAGGAGAAGTGATGGAGATGGAAGGAGGTGGTGGGAAGGGGTGGAGTGCTGGTGGAAATGTCGGGAGGGGAGGTAGTGACCGCAGAGGAGGAGGAGGCAGGGGCAGTAGTGGCAGTAGTAAAAATAGCAGCTGAGATTTACTGAGCCGTGCTTTCCATGTGTGATCACACTAAATCTTCAATAGTCCTTGGAGGTTATACTCACACAGGGTGGTTTAATGTCTTCCCCAAGGTCATGTAGCTACTCTTCTGTAGAAATTCTAGAGCTAGTGCTGTCCCCCTTTCGGCCAAAATGCCTCATTGATGTGGGAATACCAGATGCAAAAACAGGAACAAAACTGACTTGGCAAAGGCATTTTATTTTGGGAAAACCATTTGTCAAGATTGACAGGCTCTGGGCAGGAGGTTTCTTTGTAGGGTGATGGAAATGTTCTAAAATTAGATTGTGGTGATGGTTGTACAGATCCTTAATTATACTAACATTCATTGGTTTGTACACTTCCAACAGATGAAATTTATGTTATGTAATTTATATCTCAATAGAGCTGTTTAAAATGTAAATGATTGATAGACTCCTCCCCTTGTGAATAACCAGAATTGATGTTTCTGTGCTGAACACTGCAGAGTGGGTGGTTAAAGTGAGGCAGCTCATGCACTACTTTTGCTTTTAATTCAAGAATGGCTGCACTTGGAGGTAGTTATGTGGAAATAAGTGCCTGAATATGGAGTACAAGCCACTGATCTGTGTGTTTTTTAGGCCGTATGATTTTAGTGAAAATGTGATCATTTTTTATGTGGTGGTATTTTCCCTGCCAGGCCAGGCATTCTTACCATTTGGGAGAAAAGTTTTTTTGTACTCTGACCAGGGCTTGCCCAGATATTTTCATGTTGGCCTCAGCAGCCTGTGTGAATACAATTGTAAGTAAAGAGCATCCCCCTTGTTCCTTGATACGAGACACCTGGCTTGCTGACTTTTCTTTTTCCCCCATCTCAGGCTTTTGGTGGAAGCAGCTCTTGTTTTTGTTTAAGGATCAGTTTGACTGAAATCTCTGCTTAAAAACCTCTTGCTTCCTTTCCTCTTGCATAGACCTAAAGTGTAATATCAAAACAGGCAGTGTCACTTTGGGTGAGAAAAATGGCTCTGGCTCATTTATTATGAAGGTTATTTCCATTTGAGGGACTAGTTTTGTACACCTTGCAACTGGCAGAATAGGAGTGCTGATACTGCAGCTTTTACCAAGTTCACTAATGTTTTAGGATTTTTTTTTTCAGCCTTTTTCAGCCTTGTGGAGTTTCTGCATGTTTTAGGAATTCTCTGAGTGACAGATTTTGTAGTTACCCATAGCTCGGTTGTTAAGGACATGTTCTCTGATTCAGCCCCAATGGGTCTCACACCCACGCTTACGAGATGTGATTCGCTGGGCAAGCTGCTGTCCTCCTTTTTCCTCATCTGTAAAGATGAGGTAGCAACAGTACCCATTAGAGACAGGATTTAAGTGGGAATGTGTGTAAACTGTCTAGCACCGTACCTGGTACCCAGGAACTATAATATTAGTAGAAACCCTGCCATTTTTACATTAATATTTAATAAAAGTATAATTACATGGCTGAGGGAGGGTAGTTGTGAAATCTGTAACTACACTGTATCTGACGGCTTGTGTGTGTTCAGAGTTCTAGAGCAGGCATATGTGCAGTTGGTAGAGAGGGTATCAGGCATTGGAAGGGAACTGATGAGCTGGGTGATGCCTCCGCTTTCAAAATGCAGGTGACACAGGTAGTCACTCTTCACTCGGCTGCAATAGCTTAATAGACTTGCGGTTTGAAACATTTTACTTCTTTAAGTGCATCCTGTGTGAAATGACAAACCCCATCCCTGTTGCAGTTCACATGTTCATCTGCAGACTCAGCGCCCTTGGGTGGACTCCAGCAATGTGCCCCACCCGTCTCAGCTGATGTCCCTGGCTGGGCAGGAGGGGTTTGGGAAACTGCCTGCAGGAAGGCCCCAGGGAGCTCTGGGACCCGGATGGTGGGTCGTGTAGGATTGCGTCTTCTCCTTTGCACCAAAAATCTGAGGGTAGCTGCAGGAGAGGGTTTCAGGGGGTGGGGGAGGGCTGGGAGAGCCCCTTTTAACTGCACCCTCAGGAGCAGTTCTCATCCACTGTTCTCATCTGTTGCTTTTTTTTTTTTTTTAATTTGGTTGGCTGTTTTTGCATACCTGTAATGTTTAAAGTTGATCCCTGTTAAGCCTGTAGGTTATGATCGGGCATTCTCCCAGGTGGAAGACATTTCGAATCCCTGTCATTCTGCTCTCTGTGGCATTGGTCTTTGTTTACCTTAGTGGAGTTATTAAGTGTGCCTTCTGTGCCGTTCTCCAGGTTCTGAAAATATTGTGCACAGGGCAGGCTGAGGACACAGCCACGTGATACCCACTGTAGAGAGAGGGAGAGAGAGACCTCCTATGCAAGCTGCCGGCCCTCTGTTCCGTAGTAAGGTCAGTGCCCGCTGTCTACCGAACACTCAGTACCTTTAGTTGCTGGGCAAGCCCTTTATTTATGTTATTTTAATTTGAACCTCAGAAGTGACCTATGAAGTGGTCGTTCTGCCTCAGGAAGGTGTGGAGATACCCCGAAGGTGAGGCAGTTGCCCTGAGTCCCAAGACTAACCAGCATGTGGGGGCCTGGGATCTGAGCCAGTGTCCAGCCTGCTGTGCAGTCCTTCCATTTGTCACCTGCAGTGCCCGCCGCACTGATGATGGCACTCCTCTCATCCAGTTTTCCCGCTGCCCCTCCATCCGTGTGTTGCAGTTTTAGATAAGAAAACTGCCTGAATCGCCCAATGAACAACATACCCTGGTTCTCTGGGGCTGGTTCCTCTTGTGCATCTTGTAGTGTTTAGTTGGTACCCAGCAGAGGCAAGAGTGCATTTGATGCTCTAGTTGAAACGGAACGCCAATGACTGGTGGTAGGGGCTGCTTCCTCGCTGTTTTGTGCCCAGGCTACCTTGTGATGCTTTTTGCTGAAGCCTGGGCTTTGAAAGGTGGGTGGTGGAGCATTCTTGTCCCTCTATCCTCACAGAGAAGCAGAGGCTTCTCTCCCCAAGATCTTGGGGTGAGGCTGGGCCATGTGCTGGGGTTGTGAGGATGAGTCAAGGAGGCCCGTTTCTGGGGAGAGGGTGGGCACCAATCCATTCACCCTTGTTACTTCCTGCTTGGAATTAAAGCAGGGCTGCTGGGTAAGGTACGAGGAGGTAGACTTTTCGTTGGGGTTGTCAGAGAAAGTGCCAAAGGGATGAGCCTTGAGGATGGGTTGATGGGGTGTGCATGGTGGATGGGGTAGAGAACATTCTACATAGTGAGCACCCAGGGCCGAGTGCTGTGAGAGGCATACAGCAGTCACTTTGGAGTCAAGGAACACCAGCTGGGTTGTGGCTCCTAGAGTGCCATGGAGGTATGAGCCACGTTACATTAGGAAGGGCAGTTCACACATAGACACCTGGGTCCCCCATCATGGGCCTGACTTAGCAGCTCTGGCTGGGGCCTGGGAGCCTGCATTTCTACCATGTTCTCCAAGGTGAGGACCAGCCACACCAGGCCACCTGGTACCCTAACAGGCATGCCCACAGTCCACAGCACAGCTCACCATTTTCTTCCTCCCACGAGTCACTTTTTATGTGTACTCTTTGAAACCTCCAGCCCTTAATCCACAGAGTGAGGGAAGTTAAGCCACCTGCCTCTGTTAGCCAGGGTCTCGGCAGTCTGCAGCAGGCACCCTCCGGAGGGCGCGGGGTGGGGGTGGGGAGCAAAAAAAAAGAGTTTAATGGAGGGGTCTGGAGAAAGCAGCTGAGTTGTGGGTCCCAGCCTGAGGCCAGCAAGGAGAGGGAGTGAGGCCAGGGGGCATTTGTGCAATCCCCAAAACGTGGCTTACGGAAGGAACAGCCCAGCTGGCCTCCCGGGCCATGTTCCTGCCTGGCCTGGCTCCCTCGGCCGCCCACCACTGGGGGCCAGAGGACCAGCTGTTGGTCGATGCAGCTCAGGCAGACTCACTGCCTGGCACAGGATGGAGGAGCAGACAGAAACCATTCTCCTCACCCACTGGAGGGCTCTGTTACAGGAGATGGCTCAGCACAGGGCCTGGGACTGGGTCACCCTAGGAGAGGGAGGGCTTCTCGTGTTCATCTTTATGAAGGTGGTGTTTCTGCCCTGATCTTGCTGGATGGGCTTGTTCTGACTTTGGCAAGTTTTTCTAAAGCATGTGGATTTGGGAAAGTTCAGCATTAGTGAAGTGACCTGTGGGACTTTAATTAAGGAGCTTGGCTGCCCTCTCCCATCCTTTCACCTTCCCCTAGAGGTAGAGAGCATAGTGATTAAGGGCTCTGAGTAAAAAGCGGACTCACAGCTGGGTACTGTGGCTCACGCCTGTAATCCCAGCACTTTGGGAGGCCAAGGCAGACGGATCACGAGGTCAGGAGATCAAGACCATCCTGGCCAACATAGTGAAACCGCATCTCTACTAAAATACAAAAAATTAGCCAGGTGTGGTGGTGCGTGCCTGTAGTCCCAGCTACTCGGGAGGCTGAGGCAGGGGAATTGCTTGAACCCAGGAGGTGGAGATTGCAGTGAGCCGAGATCACGCCACTGCACTCCAGCCTGGCGACAGAGTGAGACTCTGTCTCAAAAAAAAAAAAAAAAAAAAACAGACTCACAGGGCCTCCCCCATTCCCTTCCCAGTCCTTCCCACAATGGGCGAGGCTGGGAAACAGACACACAGACAAACAAAAACTAACCTGGAGAGGAAACCAAGCTAACACAATGATAAACCTTTTATTCTTGTCCCTGTGTTCATTACCCTGCACCTGGCAGAGCGCCACTGTTTGCCTCTGAATGGTGGGTAGACATTTGCCGCTTACCTTCCAGCTCTGTCCGGATGATCTTTAGTGCCACAGTGGCTAACTTTTTCCCTGCTGCCTTTTGTGTTTTGGCTTTATTTTACAATCACCATCATTTGTCATACCATGAAATCTTTCTTGGCTTCTCAAGACAACAGACTTCATGTCTGAAGTGTCTATCTATTGAATTAAAGAAGGTACATTTCTGTTTTGACCTTGGAATTTCATAAACAAATGAGCCACTTGTTGAAATTTTGTTCTTACTGCCATACTTTGTCATGCAGGCCTGTCAGATTTTAACAGTGTTTGAGGCATAGAGTTGCAAGATAAAATATAGTATCTCCAGTTAAATTACAGATAAGCTACAAATACATTTTAAGGATAAGTCTCATGAAATATTTGCCACATACTTATACCAAAAAATTATTAGTTATTAATCCGAAATTCAAATTTAATTGGACATCCTGTATTTGTATTTGCTAAATCTGGTGACACTGTTTAGACAAGGTTGCCTTAAATTAGGTTTGCAAGTTACTTGTCTTCTAAATAGATGTCTCAGTGGAGCCTGGTTGGCACTTAAAAGAGGAGGTCTCGGGCAAAGCAGTCATCTGACAGAGGAATGGGCCTCATACCTCACAGTGCACAGGAAGCACGCAAGGGGCTTGTTAACCTGCAGGGCCTTAGGGCTCCTTGCAGGACAGGCCTGGAGCAGGGCTGTGCAGGCCCTGGGTGATCTGGAGGCTGGTCCCACCCACCCTTTGAAATACGTGGGGTAGCATGTCTTCTGAATGTAGTCTCTCAGTGCTTGTGGGATCAACCCAATAGCAACATTTGTATTAGCAGTATGTAGTAATTATTCACATACATAGCAGTAAATATTTCAGATGAGATGTTTTAATAATTTAAGCAAACTTTGAAACTGTTTTGATGTTTGCTTGGAAGAAAATGACTAAGGAATTCATATAAAAGAAGCAAGAGGGGAAATGTTCTGCTGATGAGAAAACACGTTGGCAGGCTGTGAGAATGGAAAATGTAGGATTGCCGGCCCGGGAGCGGGCAGCTCTGTGGAACCGGTGAGGAGGTGGCTGAGAAACACTTGGATGTGTGTAAGATTATAACACGTGAGCAGGGTGACCACCTCCCAAATCAGACAAAAGGAAGGCTTGGGTGCTAAGTGGGCCTGGTAGAACTGATCAACTACTTTTGGGGGGAAGGAGTCATTGTATTTTCTCTCCTTTTACTATCCTCCAAAATAAATGTCAGGAAGAGGAAAGAGTAATACATCAAGTCAGAAGAGGAATCAGAGTAAAACACAAATGAAGGTTTTTCAGTTTTCTTGATAGAAGCTGCAAATCATTTTCACGGTTAAATGATGAGCCAAAAAGATAAGGTCAATAAACTTGACTACATTGGATTATACTTTTAAGAATCAAAAGTATAATTAAATTTAAAGACATGCAAAGTGGGAAAAACATTTGCTACAAATGTGAATGAACTTACTTGCCTACTGCGTAAAAAGCTCGTCATGGGAGAAGTGGAAGCAAGTCGGTGTTCAGTAACAGAGGGTTGGGAGGCCAGCGGGCCACCAGGGATGGGTGCTCACCCAGGGCTCAGCCTGGCTTGTTTTCCATCATAAACAGATGAGCAGATTGACTCAGAGAATCCAGGTAACTGGCCCCAAACCCTTAGCTGATGAGTATCAGGGTTGTGATTCATTCATGGACATTTTTTACTGGGAACCCCTTGTGCCCTCAGGATCTAGTCTAGCTGACCTGTTAAAGGATAGCCCAAAAGAAGAAATATAAAGGTCTAATTCGCTTATGAAAAATGTTCAACCTCAGCATTATAGACCTGCATATTAAAACCACAGGGTGGGGCCACTGCTTACCTCTGGAATTAGCCAGAAAAAAATTCCAGAAAAATAAACAGTCACTGGCTGGCTTGGGTGTTATGAAACAGGCGGTTGCCTCCACTCCGGGTAGAAGGGTGAGTGTGTGAAGAAGAGTTTGACTGTGTGTATCTAGAATCTTAAAAAAGTGCACGTGGCCTCTGGCCTAGTCCTTCTACTTCTAGGGATCCTAAGCAAATAATCAGAAATGTGGACAAAGTTTTGTGCTCGAAGGTGTTTATTTGATCATTATTTATGCTGTCTGAAAGTTGAAAACAACTACAGAGTGTCTACTAGAGTAGTCTAGAATATGAAAAAAATAGTATTTACTGAAGTTTTAAAATAGTTGAAGACAGGGACAGGAAAACACAATTATTTACACAATCTCACTTCAACAGTGTCTAGTTGTGTACAACAAAGGTGCAAAGACCACGGGAATGCTATTATCCCACTGTTGTATGATTTAGGCTAATTTTCTATCTACTCTAGGTTAGATATTTATATAAAAATTTTCTTTGCATGGATTGTTGTAAAATTCAGAAAAGAGGAAAAATATTTCAGATGCCAAAGAGCAGACTGGGTGGGAAATGTTGGCCATGGAATTGCAGAAACTAGATGGGGGATGGCTGAACTTGAGGGGCTGGGGCTGGGAGGTACCACCCTCTCAGATAGCCAGGGGAGCACAGCTCCCTCCTCAGCGCCTGTTGCGGAGGTTCTTGGGGACCTTGCCCTTTCCTCCCAGACACTGTGTGCTCCAAACTGTCTTTCCCCTCTTTCTTAGTGGAAAGCTTACATTTCCAACAACCTGTATTTTCATTAGTAGGATATTGGTGAAATGAATTACACTACACTTCTACTTGGTGGGGTACACTAGAGTGCTGATGGAGATGATTGTTGGCCTGAAAAATTTCAAAAACGATATTAAAACACAATATGTGGAAGATAATTATGATTCAGTGTTTATCAGGATCATTTGTAATCCCCATGTGACTCAAATAGAGTATGCATGTTCTCTACAAATAATTCAAACATTGCACAGATGCACATGGTAGTTTTTGTTTTTGTTATTCTGATAAAAAGAGAGGTTCCGTTTTAATTTTTTGTTCATTTTTTAGCATACAAAAATATAAATTTTTATACTTAGCAAGTTTTACATCTGCGATTAAAAAATGAAAAGAAAGCTATTTCTTTTGAAAGGGGAAAAAGAGAGAAGCTGGTGAAAATGTCTCCCTTCCTTAGGGCTTTGTTCGTTTTATTTTGTTTTCTCCAGATATTCTGGAGGAAGGTGTGAACGCAACTTTGCCTCCCAGGGAACAAACATCCTCCTTCTAAGTGGTAGATGTGGGTGAGCTGACCCTGCTGGAGTCTGTCCCCTGGGCTACCCTCTGCTTCCCCCCATTGTGAGTGGTCCGTGAAGCACAGCGTTGACCAGACCTAAACCTGTTTGCTCCCAGGTCAGTGTGCACGCAGCAGAGAAGTGAGCATCCATCCCATTTCATGCGTGAGCAAGGAGGGCTCTGGGCAGAGAAACTGCTTGCTGGGAAGCATTCAGGCAGAAATTAAGAGTCACATTCCCAAGGCCTGCTGCTTGGGCACCTTGTTGAAATCAATGTGCCTTTTGAGTTTCTTGGGCAGTTTGGGCACTGCAGAGTGGTGGGAAGGAGTGTGGACTCTGTAGTTCGAGACCCAGAACAGCCGGGACCCACTGGGTGATGAGGGTTGTGAGGGTAACTCACCTTCCCATGCCTCAGTGGCCGCCTCTGTGGCGAGAGCCCCGCTTGGCAGAGGGAGCTGTGTGTGCATGTTGGCTGTCGCCAGCACCTCGCATGTTGGATGTTTCACGTGCTTCAGTTTGCAATCTGGAAGGTCTCTTTTGCATGAATAGGAGGGAATTTGCTGAAGTCAACTATGATATTTGTGACAATGTATTAATATTAGTAGTTCTGGGGCACATCTTATACTTTTGGCACAGTTCAAACCTTTCTAATTACAGTAGTGGTACATATGCATCATAAAGATGTCAAAGATTTTTATAAATCTATAAGAGAAAACAGACATCTCTCTACCCCAAGTTAGTCACTGATAATATTTCTTTCCCCACATTTGAATGTATCTTTCATTGGCTTCTGGTCCCATGCAGGTGTGTTTCTAGAATTATGGGCTTAGGATCATAATATTGCTGTTTTACATTTTGCCTGAAAGTGTTGTTCTCACACTAATGTCTAAAAAAATGCCACTGAGCTCCTTAACATTTTGTAGAGGGAACCATTTATAAAACACTCTCTAGATGTTTCTGTCCCAGGTAATAGAACGCCCAGCACTTGATTACCTGTAGTTGTTACAGAAAATGCATGTGTTCCATGGAATGTTAATTATTTCTATTCACTGCCTAAATTGGAGCAGTTGGCAATAATTCTCTTTGAATTGCTATTCAGGGAAAGCTATTTAAGCCCAAACACAGGAGTAACTTTTAACTCCTTTGCCAAACAGCTTGCACCTTTTCATGATTAGCTTCCCTTATGCAGTCTGTTTTCAACAACTATCATTGAAAATGGAAAAAGTAAGTAAGTGGAAAGGAAGTAAGGAATTGAGGAAGAAAGGAAATGCTGGGGAAGCTGGGTGTTGAAAAGAGTGGGATGCTTCTTGTGAACTCACAGCCTTTCTGCTGCGGTCCTGTTTTTTTAGGACAAGGTGGAGCAGACACCTCGCAGTCAACAAGACCCGGCAGGACCAGGACTCCCCGCACAGTCTGACCGACTTGCGAATCACCAGGGTAAGGAATGAGCAAAACACAAGAACACTCCCAGTTCTAGCTTTGCAGCAGTGCCCAGATCTGATATTCTAAAATGTTGCTCTTGACACTAATAGATTACAATTCTAACATTGGTTCTTCTTTTCTCATTAAGGACAGTGAATTCCCAAATAGAGAAAGATCCTTGGTTCTGATATCTTCATGTATTTCCTTTCAATTAGCAAACTTCAGTGAGCAAAACTTCACGATCAGTTTCATACGAGTTATCTAGGTTTCAGCCGAAAGGCAACTTGATGTCACCTATTGAAGGGTACTCCAAGGTGAATCCTCTTGATTTTGGCATTTTTATGTTTCCAATTAAGACGGTTTTGGGTGCATGTACTCTTGGTCTTTCTCTACCTTTCTGTGATTCTGTTCCTTCTATTAATATTTAATTTCTGATGAGGTCATTGTGGGAAAGGAATGAAAGGGAACTACCTTTAGAAAATTAGACTACTTAGGAAATTAGATTGAATAAATGGAAGCTTTGCCGTAGGATGAGGAGCCTGAGGATTAAATAGAATGAAATGTGCGTGTGGCACGTTGTTTGGCTTATTGGAGAGTTTAAGTACAGTAAATCACAGGTCCTAGAGCTGGTGGGAATGTGAATATTCAGATTTTCTTAAATTACTTAATGAGAAAGGTTGACTATAAAAATAAAAGCTGGGATCTGACCATGAAGTCAAAGCAATGTTTTCTCAATTGTTAGAAGATTCATAAAAGCTGTCAAGGTTTTCTGTGGCAAGCATAATTTTGGGATCATCTTTTAGAAAACTTTGAAGTGACATGATGCGGGGAAAGGGTACCAATTTGTTAGTATTGACTTCAAAGCTTAAGAAAATTTTAACGTGTTACGTTGTATGCTCACAAGTGATCTCATTTAAATGGAAATAATGTAAGCCTTGGTGTTAATGCTTATATAAAAACTTAGGTTAATACTTGAATTAGGAAACCAGAAAAAATTACACTGAAAGAACTCTTTAAGGCTTACCTTTTATCCTTTGTCTTTAAATTGTACACTCAAATATTCTACAGATACCAAAGTAGTTCAATTAAGGGACATTTGCAGCACAGAACGTGGAGCACATTCTGTGTAGAAGAGAGCTGGTTCTCTTCCCTGATGTGGAGTTACACCGTATGCAGTTGAAACTGAGTCTTGGATGTATCCCCACACCTGAAACAGGGCTTAAAGGAATGGATGAACACGTCACTATGTTGAACCCTACCTCTGCTCCGTGACCAGAGGGTTGATACCTTTAAGCACACCCTTGACATTGGCCACCTCTCAATCATTTTACATACACATAGCATGTAAAATGGGAAAGCCAAAAGGACTCAGCCTTGCTCAGACCCAGGCATGTCCACAGAGCATTGAATAGTGCTGTCTCCTCAGGGCTGTGGCTCCCAAAGCGGCATGGGTGCTGCTGGCCTAGGTCCTAGGGAATACAAAGGGCTGCGCTTTCCCTTCTCCGGCAGTGACTGGGGAAGCAGGGCCAGAGCCAGGCCCACCGTATCCAGCCGAGAGCTGTGGTGGGGCTCCCCTCTTTTCAAAAGATGCTGGAAAAGGGCCGTTGCCTGGGAGGAATTGTAGTGCATGTGAACTCATGGCCAGGCAGCCAGACAGAGTGGATGCAGCCCTGCAGCCAGAGCTAACCCAAGCAGCCTCCCAGTGCAGTGACGCAGACTGCAACCTTGCAGTCTTCCATGAGGCAGCAGCTCCAGACTGTCCCGACTTGACCACTCAGTGGGGAGGGGGAGGCAGGAAAAGAAAAACAAAACAATCCACAAACCAGCATTCCAAAAGCACATGAAGCAGTCCCATACTAAGAAATATGGTATAGCTAACAAAACCAAGAGATTACCAATTTAGCCTATATGCAACAAAAAAAAGTGTGACCATGGCTTTGAAATATGTGTTTATAATGCTCAGACAGATGCATGAAAGAATAATGTCTGTAAGACAAGGCAAGAAACTATGAAACACAACAAGACAAAATGAGGCAAGACTTGGGCACCCTGGGCAATGCCTGAAGGCAATGCAGTGTACTCCCAAGTGCAGGATGCAGGGGGAAGGATAACCATCCATCTACAATGTTATGCCAACATATCACTGACTAGGGAAGGCCAAATAAAGCTTTCTCAGGCAAAGATTGAGAAAAAAATGTGTCACTGGTAGTCTTCACCAAACGAATGATTATTATTTTATTTTTATTTTTTAAGAGACCAAGTTTTGCTCTCTCACCCAGGCCGGAGAGCAGCTCGTAGCTCACTGCAGCCTTGAACTCCTAGACTCAAGTGATCCTCCAGCCTCAGCCTCCCGAGTACCTGGGACTACAGGTGTGCGCCACTACTCCCAGCTAGTTTTAAAAATTTTGTAGAGATAGGTCCTTGCTAGGCTTCCCAGGCTTGTCTCGAACTCCCCAAGCTATCCTCCCATGTCGACCACTGGAAGTGCTTGGTTTACATGTGTGAGCTGCAGTGCCTGGCCTAGAAGAATGATGAAAAGTACTTCTTGAGGAAGACGGAATGTGGATACTAGGGAAACAGGGCACATATGGGAAAATAATATGTGATGAATAATCAATTGTGTATTTAAAAATATTAGGTGCGTCTAAAGTATTGACTGTAATTACTAAAAGAATGTGCATATAATCTATAGTTCCCAACCTAGCAGAAAAAGATATAAGGGAATATATATGAAAAACACAACAACAATCAAACAACATCAAGTAGAAAACGGAAGAAAAAACAAGATGTGAAGAGAAAAAAGATATTAAACAAAATACAAAATAAGATAGTAGGAGTAATTCCAAGTCAATTCGTGATAGTGTTAACAAACTCAAGTTAATAGACACACATAGCTCCCTCTACCCAACAGACAGAGACTCTTGATTCTTTTCTAAAACCTGTGTAACTTTTTGAAAAGTTGACGGTATATAGAAAGTTGCACTGAATTTTAAGCAATCTATTTCATGCTTGTTCTTTGACCCAGTGTGAATAAATCAGACGTCAACATAAAAAGTTGAAAACAAATCACATAAACATGCATGAGGAAACTTTAAAACACACCCACTCTTATTTTACTTATGAGTTAGAGAGGAAATTGCAATGGAAATATCGATCATTTAGAACTGAATGAAAGTGAACATAGTACAGGTGGAAAGTCATACAATGCTGCAAAGGTGGTAAGGCTAACTTTCTAAGCTTCAAAAAAAGAAAAATTGAAATTACAGAAATGAAATAGAATAAGGAATGTAGAAGGAATTAATTATAAAAATTAAAGTCAGAAATTGTTGAAACAGAGTACCAATAGGAACAAAATCAAACACCAGTCTTTGGTAAAAACGACCATAACAGCAAACCTGTAGCACAGACACTCAGGAGGGCAAAAGGTGCCCAAGAAAATCATGGTAAGAGCACGTTAGCAAGTTTTAAAAACAGCATCAAGAAAACTGTGAACGAAAAAATGGAAATCTGGGGGAAGATAGATGATTTATTGCAAAAATGTAAAAACAAAATAGACTCTTGAAGAAATATAAAATCGTAATAGAGAAACAGCTCTGGAAGAAATTGTAATCAATACTATACCTTCAAAAATACTCAAGTGGTTTGCAGATGAGTGATATTAAACTTTCAAGAAAGAAACAATTTCTCTTTTTTTTTTGAGATGGAGTCTCGCTCTGTCATCCAGGCTGGAGTGCAGTGGTGAGATCTCGGCTCACTGCAATCTCTGCCACCTGGGTTCGTGCCATTCTCCTGCCTCAGCCTCCCGAGTAGCTGGGACTACAGGTGCCCGCCACCACGCCCGGCTAATTTTTTTTGGTATTTTTTAGTAGAGACAGGGTTTCACTATGTTAGGTAGGATGGTCTCGATCTCCTGACCTCGTGATCTGCCCGCCTCGGCCTCCCAAAGTGTTGGGATTACAGGCATGAGCCACCGCGCCTGGCCCCAACAATTTCTCTTTTTAAACATGCTAAGAGTGTGTACACTCTTAAACACAGAGGACAACAGCTTACACAGAGGACGAGATCTCCAATTCATACCATGTTTGTGTATCTTTGAAACAGTACAAGAAATCAAAATTATAATACCGTTTTACATGTTAACATAGAACAAAAGGTCTAAGTAAAACACTAATGAACCAAATTCAGTACCTTATTTTAAGTGAAATGTAAATGAAACAAATGTTATGACCAAGTTGGTTTTATTATAATAGTGCAGGGGTGGTTTACTATCATAAAACAGTGAACACACTGAATATGTCAGAATTAAAGGGAAAAAAATAATCATTTCACCTGGCAGAAGAGTATTTAATACAACTCTTCACTCATTATAATACATAACAAATAATAACAAAATTTGTACTCAACTAGTACTGAAAAGAAACCTCCTTAACTTGTTAAAATTCATTTGTTAAAAACCTACAACATTGCATCATACATAATGGAAAACTGTTAGAGTCATGTTCATGAACATCTAGAATTAGACAGCAGTGCCTGCTGTCACTGGAGGTCTTAGTGTAATAAAAGAAGCAAATGAAGAAACTAAAATGTAAACATTAGAAAGGAAGACTGAAATATGTGTCTTTTTGCAAATAATTATTCAAATAGAAAATTTACACAGATATGTTAGCACTTTTAAAATGAGCAAGAATTCTCTAAGCAGATATAATGTGAGATCAACATGTAAAATGGAATAGTACTCCTGTATGCCAAGAAAAAACAATTGGGAAATGTAATATAAAAAGAAATCCCACTTATAATATTAACAAAAATTATAAGCTATCTAGGAGTATATTCAGGAAGATTACCAGGCATTATAGGATGTTTCAGAGCATGAAAACAACCTGAGTAAGTGGAGAGCTATA
This sequence comes from Homo sapiens, assembly GCF_000001405.40. Classification (NCBI taxonomy): domain Eukaryota; kingdom Metazoa; phylum Chordata; class Mammalia; order Primates; family Hominidae; genus Homo; species Homo sapiens. The sequence continues at coordinate 50,698,934 of NC_000007.14, read as the reverse complement.
TTATGATCATGGATCAGGAGACAGAATATAGTGCAGATGTCACATTTTCTCAAGTTTATCTTTAAATTTAATACAGTTGCAGCCAAATTCTTAACAGTTTTGTCACATGTGACTTGAAAAATGTTTCCTAACTTTAATAAGAAAGAGTGAAACTCAAGAATTTGAAGACAAATTTGAAAAACAACAAGGCGTTTGGAGGATTGATTTGCACTATCAGATAGCAATCCCTCTTATGTGGTATCACAACTAAGAAAGGATGTTGTTAGTTCAAGGCCAGACAAATAGACCAAAGGACCAGAATAGATATCCCATAAGGAGACCCACACATTTATGGAAACATACAGCACAGTGAAATCACGGCAGAACAGAGATTACAGGAACCATGACTGTTCACATGGGGTGGCAAGGAATGGAACCCTGCTGCGTATTCTACACAATAATTGGTTTCAGGCCAATTAAATAATTAAAAGTGAAAGAACAAAATGCCTTTTATTTGTTTGAATGACAAGAATTAATGAATAGTGAGAATCTTTATTCTCTTAGGCTAAGAAAGACTTTTGTGAATAAGACTTAGCACAACCATAAAGGGAAAATGGTAAATTTGACTGTATTACCATTACATATTTCTATGTAGACGTTACAGATGATATTTAACATGCTGAAAGGCGCACTTCAGCCTGGGAGAATAATTTGTAACTTCTTGCATGTACATACAAAAATGCATGTAACATGCAGAGTATTAGTATCCTGTTTATGTAAAAAAAATCCTATAAATAAAATAAGATAAACAATTACATAGAAAAACTGGCAAAGAACATGAGCAGGCAGTTTACAAAAAAGGAAAGCATGATGTGTTTGTGTCTGATTCTGGATACTCATTTCACAAGAAAAATGGAAACCAACTGAGCTGGAAATCAAGGAAGCCTGTGCTCTGAGGGCTGTTAGATGGAACAGAAAGACACAGATCCTTCTTTTAAGTGGGTCCAAGTGCAGAGTGTTCATCCTCCCTCTTGGCGTGTTCACAGCCCTGTGAGTCTGTGCAGAATGGACCTGGGGCTTGCAGCTCCCTGGCACTGGGTACAAAGGCTCCTTCCCTCCCTGGGGTGGGGTGGGGGTGGTTCAGCCCACAGCACAGCCTACAGGAGTCAGTGCCTTCCCTTTCCCATCTCTGTGCCTGACACCAAGTTCAACTTTGGGGATTCTTTTTAACGAGATGCTTTGGGACCTATGACCAAATCTAACAAACATACAGTGCGGTTCTTTCCTGCTTCCTTAATTTTCGAGGCATAATCAGATGCTGCCATCATAGGCTGTAGCTTTACATGGTATGTTTGATCCAGAGTGGCCTGGATCCTTGCATGGAACCTGATGTTTAGAATAAAAGATTAGCTGTGACTTTCCTTGACCTGTTACTGCTATCTGGCAAAGAGGATTTATTGCTCCTGTTTTATTACCTTGTTCCTAACTAATGTAAGCAGCTTATTTTTGTGTGACAGTTGCTAAAAATGCATCCCACATTTCTTAGCAGCACACAGCAGAGAGGGATGTACTTTTCTTTGAAAGGGGGTGGTTTTGCAATAGCTGGAATTACTTTTGACGATTTTGAAAAAACCTTTCTTTATTAAAAATATATAAAACAAAATTAACCATTTTAGTCGTTTGTATAAGTGTACATTAAGTGGCATTGGTCATGTGAACAGTGTTGTGCAACCATCACCATTTATCTGTTTCCAAAACTCTTATCACCCCAAACAGAAACTCTGTACCCATTAAGCAATAATTCTCCCCAGTCCCTGGTAACCTCTAATCTACTTCCTGTCACTTGATTTGCCTGTTCTTAGTACCTCATGTAAGTGGGACCATACACTATTTGTCCTTTTGTAACTGGCTTCGCTCAGCATGTCTTCAGGGTTCACCCATGTTGTAGCATGTGCCAGAATTTCCTTCCTTTTGAAGGCCAAATAATATTCCATTGTGTGGATGGACCACATTTTATTTTTCCATCATCTGTTGAGGGAGGGACACTTGGGTTGCCTCCACCTTGTGGCTGTTGGGAATAGTGCTGCTGTGAACATTGACATACAAGGGTCTGAGTTCCTGCTTTCAAATCCTTGGGGTATGTATCTAGAAGTGGAATTGCTGGATTGTAGGGTAATGCTATATTTAGTTTTTTCCTTAACAATATTTTTGAGATGTGAAGTTTTATTTTTAGAAGTTTGGCCTCTCAGTTTTAGGCAAATTTTGTCTGATTGTTGTTACTGCTCATAACCCAAGCAGAGATTCCTGGCCATGCCTCTCACCAGGAACCCAATTGAGTAAAGATGCCCAAAGGGTTGAAAAAGAGATGTTGAAGTCTGTGTACAAAAGCAGATAGAGTTGACTCTGTAGAGAGCTCCCAAAGGCTCATGAGCTTAGTGGGCCGTGTGGTGCAGTGGTAACAGCCTGAGAGGCTGCCAGTGAGTGCTGGTTTCATTTGAAACTCTGCTGTCTTGTGTACTGAGCCTCAGTTTCCTTGTCTATAACATGGGACAACAGTGCCTTCTTTGTGAAGTTGTTGTGAGAACTGGAAAGAGGCGTCTGTAAAGCACAGGATATCATGTCTGCCATGGTGTGCCCTCTTTAAGAAGTAACTCTTGCTGGTGAGTGCGAAGAAGTGGGTCTAATTCTGGAAGGCGGTTTGCTACTGTCTAACAAAAGCCTTGCAAAGGTCATACATTTAAACCCATCAATTCCAGGAATTTATTTCAATGACGTGTGCATGTGTGTGCATGTATATCCATTTCAATTCAATCAATAGCATATTCCCCTAGAATAAAGGAAATAGGGAAAGACAAGACTGATCAGATAAACATTACATACACTGATGATAGACTATTATTCTGTCTTAAAATATGTTAAATATCTAGTAATTTGAGAAGATGCTCAGATTTACTGAGTGAAAAAAACAGGGAAACAGGTTACGGTACTGTATGGTCCCAATTTTGTAGAAAGAGAAAATAAGAGCACAATATATGTTTTATATAATGATGTTTAATTTGGGTGGTGGGATTATGGGTGATTTTTATTCACCTTGTAATATTGTGCATTTAAAAATTTTGAACAAATGTAACAATTTTTCATAATGAAAATAAAAATATAATTACTATTATTTTTCATTTTATTTAAAAATACAATGACAGAACTTTGAATGTTTATTATCTAAACCTATAGCAGACAGGAAGGAACAAAAGACCCTGGAAATTCCTGTAAGTTCACCTCAGTAAGAGTTGGTTTTGGCAGCGGTATAGTATTGGAAGAGAGAGGCCAGCAAAAGGAGCCATTAGAACTCACGGAGTCCAGCAGGGTAAGTCCATTTACCTAGGAGCAAATAGCATTACACCTCATTAGCCCAGTGGACATCAATCATGCTCAGAGAGAGGACTGAAGTCAGTAAAGGTTGCGTTATATTCTTTGCCCCTGCTTAAGAAAGAAAGCAGCCAAGAGGATGACGTACGACATGTACAAGAGGGAAAATGAAAATAGGTCCTCTTGCTGGAAGGTGTGTTACTCTCACTCCCTAGAAAACTTACTGATCCAGGATAATGCCTTCCTCAAAGGTTTTGCAGTTGTCAAGAGATAGGGTGTTTTGCTATCAGTAATGTGTGGTTTTGATGTTGATACATCAGTCTGGAGCAATTTGTGGCACCACTAGTTGGAAAATGAATAGATGATGAGTTTGAAATTTGAGGAAGTTGACTTATTTCACTCTGAGTATTTTTCTTGATTTATTTCCCAAGAATATTTGTAGATCTTTGAGGACGAGGCAGTGTGTAGGCAGTGGGGAGAAGTCATGGTCTGAGCAGGTGGTGGGGGACACATCCAGTGGATCATACCCTGGGAGGATGCAGAGGTGTGTCCCAGGCACGGGGAGGGAGAGAGCCTAAAGCTCTCAGGATCTGGGGGCTTCCTAATAGCAGAGAGGTTAGGAGCTGAGAGAGGGAAGGAAGACATTCATTGTCAAGTTTTTAGAGATTGACAGTCTATCTGCTATCATGGCATTCCTCTTGGGGTGAGAAATGTGTTTTTGTTATTGGCTTATTTGCAGTTTCTCAATGTACCTATAATGTAGTTATTCTTACAATGGAAAAAAAGTAATATAAATTAAATATTTGAAATGAATGATTGTGCCATTACAGTGTACTCACCAAACTGCAGAATTTTCCTACTAACAGGTGCTCTGAGACCCCTGAGTTCAGTGCTTGGGGGAGTCTGAGGTCTCATCCCCAGGAAGACAGGCTTCAGTAATCAGTGCCAGCCTGTGGGTAGGTGAGGGATGAGTGGCTGCACACACCACAGATTCTTCATCCTGTGAGATCTCACCTAGCCTAGTTTGGGTGGAGACAGGATCTGAGAATTTAAGTTATTGGCCAGAGTCATTCAAGGTCATTCACTCTATTGAGAGATCCACTCTATGAGAGTTTGGCAGAGAGCCCAAAACTCATTTTTAGCATGTCCTTAGTCCCCTCAAATACCCCGTCACAAATCGACCCTAGCCCCCTACTCTTGTATTGGTATCAGTGGCCTCGTGATGGATTGCAGAGTTTCTGATTTTGGTGGTGTGTGTTTGTTTTTGAGACAGAGTCTCGCTCTGACACCCAGGCTAGAGTGCAGTGGCACTATCTTGGATCACTGCAACCTCCACCTCCCAGGTTCAAGCAATTCTTGTGCCTCAGCCTCCCAAGTAGCTGAGATTACAGACATGTGCCATGACACCTGGCTAATTTTTGTATTTTGGGTAGAAACGGGGTTTCGCCATGTTGGCCAGGCTGGTCTTGAATTCCTTACTTTGGGTGATCTGTCCGTGCTGGGATTACAGGCATGAGCCAGGATTGCAGAGTTTCTGACCACAGACGAAGTGGTCCCACCCACCCACTTCCCTCTATTCTCCATAACAGAAGCATTGCAGAGTCTCTGCCCAGCTTTTTTTGTCTTCTGCTTGGCCAGAGACACTTTGTTGCTCCAGCTGGCTTCTCTTCTTTGCTGACTGCAACTGCTTGGGTCTCCCTTTCTCCTTGCTGGTGTGGTTGCTTTAGCCTTGTGGGCAGGGCAGGCTATGGTCCTGCCTGAAAGTGGAGACTGCTCTTCCAGCCTCTGTGCCTTCTGTGTCTGTCTCCTCTGCATCGTGTGTACCTCGGGCGCCCCAATCCCATGCCTGCAAAGCACACACATTCATCATGCCTTTGTTCCGTCTGGAGAACAGGGCTGTGTGTGTGATTGTCGTAGTAAAGCCTCCTGAGCTGGAATCAAAACATTTTCCTTGATTGCTGGAGTCATAACCCAGGAAGTGTAAGTAGTTCATTCTCTCAGTTGGAGACATCCTACACAAACACTTAACTCCTGACTTGAGGAATGTCTTTCAGGCTCTGGAGTTCAGGGGTCCTCTCCAACCCATTACGGCTGTTTTCTGACTTTAGTTTCTTTAGCTTCTTTTCTTGGTTTTCTTTAAGCCAGAAATACTGGTTATAGGCATGCAGCTTTAATTTGTAGCAATGTATTTGGTGCAATGCTTTCCTTTCTAGTAACAGGGGAAGTGTAGAAAAAAGATTGGAGAATGGACTATTTCAGAAGCACCAATTTCTTAGTGGAGAGACTGTCAAGAGGAAAAGACCAAAATTAGAAAAGAATGCCAATTATTAGAGAAGGTAAAATAGATCAAGAAAAAATTTTGTTTTTTTTCCTCCAAGAAGCCATTCTTAGCAACATTAGGTGCCGAGGGACATAGCCTGGCTTTGGGCTGGCTGTTTTTCTGTCTTTTAGTCTCTTCCAGCAATGCTCTTTGACTGGGGGTAAGTTAGGAATCACTTTGCACTTTAGATTCTTCGTTTGCATGTACCCATCATGCATAATTATTGGCAAAAATAATGATGCTGATGATGACTTTGAGGCCTGTGCTAGAACCTCCCTGCATGTCTTATCTTCCTCATCAGAGCTACAGATGGGAAAACTGAGGCTGAGAGGTTTGATAACTTGCCCAGAAGTCACAGACAGGTGTTAACTCAGTGGTGGGATGGGAATCAAAGCCAAAGTCCATCTCAGGTTTTAATTTAGAGGAGCCACCCTGCACACACCTATATGTATAAGCTGCCTGTTGCGAGCATTATTTTATATATTGTATTTTTCCCTTTCTCCCTAGATCATAGATTTGTTGAGGGCAGTACACATGTCTTTCTTACTGTGACATATATACTGCCTGGTATATACCACAAGGTTCTACTATACTGCCTGGTCTGAAGTCATACTTCATAGATATTTAATGAATTCCTGAACTCACATGCAATTAATAGACTTGTGGACTCCAGAAAGGTCCTGAGCCCCTGCCTCTCCCCTTCTTGTGGGAAGTCCTGGTTACTCTAGGCAAGCAAAGGTAGAAACCGGTCCCTAGCGCCCTGTCTTCCTGCTGTGCCTTGCCATTCATGAGATATCGGCAGCAGTTTGGATGAGGGCATGATTGATGAGAGAACAGGAACTCAAGCAGGAAGACAGCATATTGTGTCATGATTCCTCTAATGTCCTCTTATCTAGTTCATCTTTTACTATGTTATCCACAAAAAATCTTGAAGATTTTATTCATTATATATATATGTGTGCGTGTGTGTGTGTGTGTGTACACAGTTGTCCCTTGATATCTGCAGGAACCTCCTGCAAATGCCAAAATCCAAGGATGCTCAAGGCCCTGATGTAAAATGGCATAGTATTTGCGTATAACCTACACATTTTCTCCCCTATACTTTAAATCATCTCTAGATTACTTATAATACTTAATGCAATGTAAATGCTGTGGAAATAGTTGTTACACTGAATTATTTGGAGAATAATGACAAGAGAAAAGTCTGTACATGTGCAAGTACACTCTGTTTTTCTTAATATTTTCAATCTTCAATTGGTTAAATCTGTGGATATGGGGGGCTAACTGTATCTGTGCAGAAGTAACTTTTGTTAGTATCATTTTCTCATGGTGAAACTGTGCTATTTCCAGGGGTAACTTTCTTTTTCTGAAACGCTCAGCATAGTCCTGAAAAGTAGTGAATGTTGGTCTCCGGTTGCACACTGATGCCAAAGTTGATGATAATTGTGATTTCTGTGACTGCCCCCACCCCAGACACTAAATACCTTCTATTCGGGTTGAGATGCAGAAAAGCTAGGAGAAAAATCATCTATAATCCTTTTCCCACAAAATAACTAATGCCCATATTTTATTTCTGCCTTATGGAAATGGAGTCATGCCACACCAAATAATAGCATTTGTACATGTCATTAATGATTATTCTGCAACCTACAGTTAAATTATGATAGTATAGTTTATTAGATATGTCATGATTTCTTACCTTCATCTCTGTTTCTTACATGTTTAAGTGACTTCTCCAGCTATAGTAGTAGGTTCCTAACCTATTAAGAACTTATGCTTCGTATTTTAACCCATTGAATCTACCTATCCTATGAGGTAGGCACAATTATTATCTCCATATTTATAGGGAAACTGAGGAAACTGAAGCCAGAAGTAGGGGAGTTGCCCAGATCACAGCCCTTGAGAGTGGCAGAGCTGGGATTTGAACCCAGACTGGTGGGCTCTGGCCTCTAAGCATTTCATCCCTCTACTATTCTGCTTCTAGATTAGCCCTCCTTCCTTATCCAAGTCCACCAGTATTTTCTTTCTTTTTGATTCCTCGATCGTTCAGTGGCTCAAACCAAGATTTCAACTGTAGGGATTGAGTTTTCCTTGGCCTTGAAAGCAGTAGATCGAATCCCTACAGTTGCCCCCGCTGCCTGGGACAGTGGTTTCCCTTTAATTGTGCTTATTCCTTCCTTTCCACTTTGAAGATCATTTGTCTTAATAAGGAAGATAGGAACAAAAAAGGCATTGAGGAGCCTGTGTTCTCTTTGTTTTGCCCCAGTGTGTTAGGCAAGCAGCAGACCTCTCCCTCCTGGTCCTTATTTGGAGCAGAACTGAAAAAGCCATTGTCATCCTTTGTAATTTTTCAAATCTCAGCTATTCTGGGCCTTCGCCTTCCCCATGCTCTGACAGTTCACGCCACTCTTTTGTCTGGTCCCCTTTGGCAGATAATTGGACTCCATTAATGTTTCATGTTTCCTTTAGCTGTCAGGATGCTTGCAGCTCAATAGAGGGCTTTATCCCAGCAACTCTTTCTGTTCCCCTGGTGTGTTTGCTTTTCATCCCGTTGCTCCGCAGTTTCCCTGTGTCTTTCATTCATTCGTTCATTCGTTCATTCATTTGTGAAACAAGTATCGGTTGCTCGTGTAGGCGATAGGAGGCCTGGGGCCCAGGCCCAGGGGATGCAGTGGTGAGCAGTGAGTCATTTCTGATTTAATGATCCACAACATATGGACCGTTTCCGTCCAAGGAAGTGCAAATCCTTTTTCGAAGTAGCAGAGTACAACTTAGAAAGAAATAATTCTTTCATTTCATTAAGATCAGTGATGAAAGAATACTTTTAAATTTCCCCTAGGTAGAAATGAGAATATTCTGTCTCCTAAAATCCAATGTCTGTATTATATTTTTCCACTATATTGTACTTTGCCTAAATTAACCTTTTTTTCTTTTTTTTCTGTTTTTTTTGTTTGTTTGTTTGTTTGTTTGTTTGAGACAGAGTTTCGCTCTTGTTGCCCAGGCTGGAGTGCAGTGGCACGATCTTGACTCATCGCAACCTCCACCTCCCGGGTTCAAGCGATTCTCCTGCCTCAGCCTCCTGAGCAGCTGGGACTACAAGCATGCACCACCACGCCCAGCTAATTTTGTACTTTTAGTAGAGATGGGGTATCTCCATGTTGGTCAGGCTGGTCTCAGACTCCTGACCTCAGGTGATCCTCCCGTCTTGGCCTCCCAAAGTGCTGGGATTACAGGCGTGAGCCACCGCGCCCAGCCTTTTCTTTTTTTTTTTTTCCTTTTTAACCACAATTAACCAGTACTAATCAGCCAGAGTCTAGTCATTCCAGATAAGTAGAATGCTTCCTTATTTTGGCATGAGTTATCTTTCTTATACAATTTTAAACTCTATCCCCAAAGGAAGATGTCAAACTAGAGAATTTCAGTTAGATTACAAGTAAAAAATAAAAAAAAAAACCCTCTGTCATTTGCTACAGAATGTACTAGTATTGCCTTCAGAAGCAATTTAGCAAGGTTTCCAATATCACTTTTGTTAACATGGCTAATATTATATTCCCCACTATGAATTAATCCCATCTTTAAGGAGGTCCTCAAAAATGTTAGTTTCTTACCCATGGGTAGACACTGTGTGCACATTTGCAGTCAATCCTTACAGTGATCCTCTGAGGAGCAGACATTTCAGTGGTGTTTAATGCTTGGTGTTCGAGGGCGCCCCGAGACTCAGCAAGTGTTGGAGCCAGGAGCCTGCCTTGTGGTCCCCCCATCCCCAGCTATTTCCCTTACAACCTGCATGGACTGGCCACTTAACCCCTTCAACTTTGGATTCAGCCTGACCAAGAAAGTCTTTCACGATAGTCCTGAGTTGTTCAAAGAGTGAGGGGGCAATGACAAGAGGAAGTTAGTGCCCAGCCATTAACCTTCCCATCTTTGTGGATATATTTTTAAATGCACTGAAAAATAATTGCAGCAGGCTTCTAATCTACTTGCATACCAAATGGCTGAAAGTACCTTTGCATAACTAGTGTGCTTCCTCTTGGGGACTCAGCACCCTGAATGGGGACTCCCTGCAGCACCCCAGCTACTGATGGGGGGGATCAGCTAGATTTCTGCATCATGGCAAAATGGTTTCCCCACCTTGGAGCGGACGGGGCACTCCCAGTGACTCTAGACTGTCATTACTGAGGCTAATCCACTGTGGGTATTTGAAGCAGGGAGTGGTTTCGGAGAGAGATGAAGGCAAATTGTCTGGTTGGACTCTTCCTGGCCTCCACCCTCCAGCAGGAGCAGGCTCTGTGCATGGCCAGCTCTCCTTGGTTGGGAGTACTTCCTGTCACAGACTCACAGTATGCCCCTGATAACCTCCACCCCTACTTCTGGTGCACTCTGCAGTGACCTGGAATCCATCTTTCCCTGTTCATGTGCTTGCCGACAGTTCGGTTTCTCCCAGGTCTCACTCAACATCTGCTCCACCTCTGCCCCCCCTCACCCACCCGACCCCCACCCTTGTCACTCACTGCCTGCCTCTGCACCTTCTGGCCATTCTGTGTGGTTGTCAGATTTTTTTTTTTTAAACAGTCTGGGAACACCATTGTCTTCTCTGAGAGTGGGATTCAGTGGCCTAGGAGTGAGTCCTCACTCTACTCTTTGGCGTCTTCTCACATCCTTCCTGTACACACATCACCTGGGCCAGCTGCATAGACAGCTTACCTTTCTGGAACCGCTGTTTATTTTTGCCCTCCCCGGCCTTTGTCTATGGGCTGCCCCTAGCCAGGAATGATTTAACCTCTTTTGAGTGTTTAAGTTTCTCTCATTCTTTGGTCCTGACAAAGATGACACTACCTTCTCCCTGGATGTTTCTCTTTCTCCCTCTGCCCATTAAAAGCAGCTGCTTCCTCTTTGGTATCCCCTGTGGCTTTTTACTTCTCCCCCAGACCTGTCATACTTCACTTTATTAAATTATCAAATACATGTCTGCCTTTGCAGTTTATGTTCCTTAAGCCCAGGGATCATGTTGTTTTTTGTTTTTTAAATCTGGGAAAACTGAAAGATGTTGGATTTGTAGTTAAACCAGAGGAGGAATCAAGTTTTACTCATAGCTGTGTGGTGCTGAGTGTGTGTTTTAGCCTTGCTGACCTTGGTTTTCTCATTTGTGAAATGTGGCTGATAGCATTTAGCTCATGGTTTGGCATAAGGCTACTTAGATGCCATATGTGAACATTTGGCATAGTGCTAGATTCTTGTACTGTTCCTCCCTCCCCTCCACGGTTTCTCAATCTGAACCACTCTTTTTCACCAGCATACACTGCATTGAGCAGAACAGACGAGGAATACTTGTGAAATACAATACTGAATTTGGCTTTGTTGAGTGCTAAGTGTCTATGCTTCTTGGAGATGTGAGCAGTAAGTACACGATGTGTCAGACACACTTATTTTCACCTTCCATTTGGAAATAGAAATCTTCCCAGGGCAGCGCCCAGCATCCCACCAAGCACCAACTTCTCATATTCCATTGTGGTCTCTGCTGGCAGGACAAGGTACTGAGGGGGAGACTGACCTTACATCATGGGCAGCTGCTGTGCCTTAGAAGGACAGCAGATTTGTTGTTTTGTAGACACCATGCGGAAGCAGAGAAGAAGGTAGTGACATGCAAAATGGTGTCTTCCCTACGGCAGGATCCGCAGATGCATGGAGCTGCACCCAGGGTTGAGTGGAGACATGAAAGGCTTGGGCTTATGTGGGAAGCGTGCATGCAAGAGGTGGCTGGGGTTTCTCAGAGCAGAAAAGCCCAGGGCAGACGTTGAATTCGCTGCACTTCCTGGACAGAAACACTATTGGGATGGGCAAGGCAGGATTCAAGGCAGAGGTGTGAAGGCTCGCCATAGAGGAGGGCTTGTTGAGTGTCACTCCTGGAGCCTACGGAGTCGCAGGGAGGCCTGGCATGGTCAGGTAGACTTGGTAAGGCCTGACTGCTGGGGAATGTATCCTGCCAATAGATTCCTGGGCCTGGAACAGCTCTTCTTTGGACACATGCCATCCATTTTTGGAATAAGACAATCTGGCATTTATGTACCTGGTGGGTTACCCTCTGGGCCTTTTTCCAAGAAACTAAAAGTTTGGAGATACAGCAGCCTCCAGAGAGTTTGGGAGCTCTGCCTGGCTGGCTGGCTTTCGGGAAAATTCTACCGCTTGATTGACGGAAACTGATGAATCTATTTCCCACCTACTCAACTAACGTGTACTGAGCACCTGCTGTGTGCCAGACTCAGGGTAAGGTCATGAGGCAAGGGCAGCTCCGGCCTTCTAGAAACTCAAGTTCACTGACAAAGGAAGGTATCTAAATAAAAAAATAAAACTTACATTTAGTGAGGAAAAAACTAAAGAAAATTATTAAAACGTAAGGAGGCAGTATGTGCAACTTTGGAGTTAGGCAGACTCTCCACTCTGTGTCTTGGTAGCCAAGTTTTTGGGTGCCTCAGTTTCTTCTCCTGAAATATATAAAAATGCCTGCTTGGCTGGTTTGGTAGGAAGATGAGGAAAAGCTTGAACTATGAGAATTGCCTGGCATAGTATCTGGTACCTTGCAGGTGCTCAAAAAATGGTGGCTTTTGTTTGTCATGCTGATTAATAATGTAATGTTCTATAGAGAGAAACAATAAAAATCAAAACATGAGTCTTTTCCTCTCTCATGACTCCCCACTGTGAAATCTCTCTCCCTGTGCTTGTTCCATACTTTGTTCATCAAAACCTGGAGCATCCCCTCTCCCTGGAGCATTGTTCAGAAGGCACCTCAAAAATAATTATCTTAAAAATAGTAAGCATTCATTTTGGAACTGTCTTAGTCTGTTTGAGTTGCTGTAAGAAAATGCCATCAATTGGGTGGCTTACAAACAACATAAATTTATTTCTCCCAGCTTTGGAGGCTGGGGAGTCCAAGATCAAGGTGCTCCCAGATCTGGCAACTGATGATGACTCTCCCTCTGCATCACAGATGGCGTCTTCTTGCCGTGTCCTCACATGGTGGAATGGGGAAGGGTCTCTCCAGGGCTTTATAAGGGCACGAATTCCATCATTTGGGTTCTACCCCAATGACCCAATCACCTCCCAAAGGCCCCACCTCCTAATACCTTCACTGTAGAGGTTAGGATTTCAACACATGAATTTTGGGAGAACACAGATATTCAGACCCTAACAGGAACTCTGTTCGTTTTCTGAGCCCACCCCCGGAGACTGGGAATCAGAATGCCAGGTGCATCTCAGGAACTGGTTTTCCCACCCCAGAAGTTCCTAGGTGGCCCCATGCATCTGGCGGTTTGAGGGTTACAGCTCTAGATCATCTGCCCCTTAAGGCCCATCTGGAGTGTCCTGTTTTTCTGGTTACACTGCATTTCCATCCACATTCTGGAAAACCAGCTCCTCTCTCCTGGGCATTTCAGTTTTTGGAGAACTGCCATTTCTTGGAATCGCCTGGTACTGTTCTCCTAGAATGACTTTTCTCATCCTGATGCCTTAGAATTCAGGCTCTTTTTAGAGCTGAATGCCCTCTACTTGACTGTCTTGTCTGTAAACAGAGATCTCATTTTAAAACTCTTCTCTCTGCCAAGCAGTGTGCATAACCATCCTAGGAGAATTTCTGGCCTCTGGGATACTTTTATAAACTGGGAGCGTCATGAACTCTGCCAAGAAACTCTTCATCTGAGGACGCACACTGTACTCGACTCTGCACTTCCCTTGACTTCCCACTCATCCTTCACCTCTCTTGCAGAACGCTGGGGCTTGGGATCCCTCCTTCGGGCTCCAGTACCCCTTGCCCTTGGGTGCCCACTCTTTCCTACGGGATATGTCCACCCCCTCGTCTCTCCTTTAGTTGCCACTTAACTGAAGCAGGTTTTAGCTTCTTTGTGGAGGGAATTATTTTTCCAGAAGTAGTAAAAACAGTTTCCTGTCCTTTCTTGCTATGTTATATTTAGCCTTGTAAATCCTTTTCCAAAGATCGTTGCTTAAGACGTCACTGCATCGAGGTGGCAGGGATTTGTCTCTGTTTTGTTAACATCTGTATTTCCAATACCTGAAGTGATGTAGTTAGTGTTCAGCAAATATTTGTTGAATGAAGAAAAATATCGGGTAAATGAATGGATTTTAAATTTATGGAGTTAAATCCACAGAATCATAGAGTGTTAACATTGGATGTGATGGTAAAGATTCCCCGGTGTCTAATTTACCTTTAAAAAATGGACTTTCTGAGAGAGCACAGTGCTAGTGAGTGACAGAAATTTGGACCATAACCTGGATTTTCCCTCTTCAGTTCCAGTGTTCTCGGGCTAATATTTTTAGGGTTCATGGAAAATGAGAACCTTCCAGAATGACAAGTTATTTATATAGTTTCTTGTACTTCTGCTTCTCCGTGACTTGTGATGTAATAGAAGAGTTAGGAATTGAAATAAAAAGCCTGAGAGGAAACAGATCAAATGGCTAAGGAAGACTTGGGAAAGATACAGTTAATCCTTTGCTCTTTTTGAGTAATATTTTGTGGGTATGTTTCTCTGTCACTCCCGAAGTGTCTTTTGAGTAGTACAGATAGAAATTGCTTAGCTGAATCTGTGCATATTAAATGCAGTTTTAGCTTAGGTTTTTGGTTCTTGCTGGGCAGGCTGTAATGTTTTGGTAGTGGAAAATTTGTTTTCCTGTGTTGTATAGGCTCTATGGTGCAGAGTCCAGGCAGTCATAAAGGGCCTGACGGGATCTTAGTAATGCCCAGGTGCTTCCTTGCAGCAGTGTAGCAGGATGAAACCAAGGAAAAGGAAACTTTACATGCTTTTCTAGGGGATGCTCACTGAACATTGGATGCCAGGTCTTTGATGAAATCGCTAAGATGAATTGCTTTCCTTATTTTTTTTAAATATAATTATTGTACAACTCCCTAAACCACAATTAAAAAAAAAATCTCACTGGAATCAAAGTACAGAGTGATTAATTATTACCTTACCTTTTTTTTTTTTTTTTTTTTTGGTGATGATTGAGTTGCAGTTGTCTGGCCGCCAGGCTATCTGCATTTGATTCTGAAGTTTGTCCTAGACTTTAGCCTTTGCTACCAGTTGTCCTGGGGAAATGGGTGAGGGGCTGTTGGCCCAGCTGTGTGTAAAAGGAGATAGACTTTCTACATTTTTATAAGTTTAATTTAATGAGCCTCCACTGGCGGCGGCACTTTGCATGTGTCATTAAAGATAAACAGTTTTTTAAAATCCCACCTGCCATGTTCTGCAGGATTGGTGGGGAAGCATACACATTTATACTGAAAATTCTTATTTTTCTAGGAAGAGGAATCTATGTTTAGTGTAACTTAGGAAATGACTAGCCTTGTCCTGGTCCTTTAACAAGCCAATCTGCTTGGCATCACCTGGAGGGTAACCTGGGAACAATTCAATTTAAAAACTGCGTTTGTTTTTTAATTATTATTTTTAATTGTGGTAAAATATACCTAACACAATTTACCACCCTTACCATTATTTTTTATTTTTTGTTTTTTATTTATTTTTTTTGAGATGGAGTCTCGCTCTGTCACCCAGGCTGGAATGCAGTGGCATGATCTCAGCTCACTGCAATGTCCACCTCCCGGGTTCAAGCGATTCTCCTGCCTCAGGCTCTTGAATAGCTGGGATTACAGGTGCACACCACCACACCTGGCTAATTTTTGTATTTTTAATAGAGACAGGGTTTCGCCATGTTGATCAGGCTGGTCTCGAACTCCTGACCTCAGGTGATCCACCCGCCACGGCCTCCCAAAGTGCTGGGATTACAGGCGTGAGCCACTGCTCCCAGCCCATCCTTACCATTTTTAAATGCACATTTCAATGGCATTAAGAACGTTCACATGGTTGCACAACCTTCACCACCATCCATCCATAGAACTCTATTCATCTGGCAAAAATGAAACTCTGTACCCATCAAATAAATAACACCCCATTTCCTTCCCTAGCCCCTGGCCACCACCATTCCACTATCTCTAGGAATTTGACTACTCCAGGGACCCCATGAGCAGAATCAGATAGTGTTTATCCTTTTGTGACTGGCTTATTATGTCCTCAAGGTTCTTCTGAGTTCTAGTGCGTTTCAGAGGCACCTTCCTTTTTTGTGGCTGAATAATATTCCATTGTGTGTATATGTGCCACATTTTCTTCATCTGTTCATCTGTTGAGGGGCACTTGTGCTGTTTCCGCCTTTGGGTTGTGAATAGTGCTGTTGTGAACAAGGGTGTACGATTATCTGTTGAAGTCCCTACTTTCAATTTTGGGGGGTATATACCTGCTTTTACTTTTTAAAAATAGAACAAAGAAAGAAAAACAAATTTGTATTTCTTCTAAGCTTTGAAGATATTTAATTATTGAATATGAATAAGCCCAAATTTCCCCATTGCAACATTTCAGTGTGAGCGTTGAGATTTAACAGATTTATGTTTCCCTCCCCTTTGAATTGGACCAGAAAATATATGCTGACAGTTACTAATTAATAAAAACCATTTTCTGTCATGAAATCTCATTCCTTAGGCCACCTTTCCTCTCTGATTCAAATATATTTTCCAAAGTGTAAATACTCATTTCTGATTTAAAACTTTTCAAACCACTGCTATAAAGTGACAAGCCAAAAAGTACAGAAACAAAGTAGTATATATATTGGTTTTTAACTTGTCAAATACTTAACTGGAAATACTAAAGGCCTGAAAGATAAAAAGCAAAAATGAGGGTCATCCCTTTGTTCGGGTGATGTTGAGCCGACATGATCATTGATTTTCAAATACGGTTACCAATCCTTTTCACACACTTACCCAAAAACACCAAATAGCAGATATCATGGCTCTGACCCTGCCTGAGGGCACGTTAATGACTTTTCCCACCTAAATCCCAGAGCCTGGGGAAAACGTCAGCAGAGGTGTAGGCCAAAATGAGCAGAGCCTAGCAATCTACCCAAACAGATGCCAAGGCAGGCTGCCACCTGCCAAACTCTCTTCCTCACTGGAGTGACTCACCACACTCTGGACAAAGGGGTCAGGGGCTCCTAAAATTGCTGTGTTTAGCCAACTGCTCCAGGCGTTCTGAGGTGAGCTACGATCCCTTCTCAAGAGTCTCTGGATTCCCTTATGCCCTTCAGGTCCCTTCCCAATATCTTGGTTCCCAAGGTGGCCAGTGCTGGGGGGCAACAGAAACATTGGGTTGAGTGGGTAGCAGGGCTGCCTCCAGCCAAGGAAAGCAAAGCCCCCTACCATCTCCTGCTCTGTTTCTTCTAAGGATCACCTGACACACTCAGGATTCATCAACCCGGGGCTCAGAGACTCCTCTGCTCAGCACTGACACACCCAGAGTCAGAAATTCTATTAGGTTGGCAGCCCTGGCTGGTGAAATTAAACTCCTACCAGGCGCAGAAGCAGGAAGGCTAGGGCAAAATGACTTAAAAGGGGAAGTTACACCTCACATGGAAGGCAAGGGTGCAGCCCCCGTGAAACGTGAAAAATGCAAATGGAAACTTGAAGAAAGCATGTCAAATGTTTACTTTTGCATTTTGAAGGAGCCCCATAAACTCAAATACACTCAGATGCCCAGGCAGTCTTTTCAGTGCTTCATGGCAGGCTCCGTGTGCACACAGAGGAAAGAGGCTCATAAACCAGATTATTCTGGCAACAGAATCATTTCCTGGTTGTTGCGTTGTAAGAATCCTCTCTCCTTCCACAAGGGAGATATGATTTTAGCAGCTCATTTGTAAAATACAGGTTTTTCTCTATCCACTGTTAACAGTCACATTTTCAAGGAAACAAAGAAGAAAGGGTCTGGAGAGCCTTAAGGTCGGGCGGCATCCTGGGAGCCATAAACACCATCGCCCCTCGAGTTGGGACTAAGAGGAGGCCGGAAGACTGGAGCAGCTTGCCTAAAGTCCAAAAGGGCCAGGGATGCAGCTCAGGGCTGTCTGCATATCCGATGGTAGTCTTTGGGGTAGAGCCGGAGGCTTCTCCGTGGAGGGGCTCCCCTTCTTGTCTCCCAGCCTTCTGCACCCTGCCAGGCAGCTCATGAGCTGTGCCTGCTCTGTGCCTCATCTTCGTGGTTGTAGACTGAGATTTGGCTCTCAGTCGCTTCTTAGTTGCTTTGAATCTAAATAGCAGCCATAGATACTTAAACACTCAAAGGGCGGGGTAGTGCTTTATTTAGAAAGAATGTGTATATTTAAATGTAGCTTTAAGGAGAGCAGAGGACAGATTTTATGAAAGCAGAGAATCAGTAGTCTCCATATTTTGTGTTATCTGTAGAATTGTTGAGTAGGGCCCTGGATCTGTAAGTCATATTGGGATCTTCTTGGAGGAGGGTCTGGATGGAGTTTCAAGGTAGCAGAAGACAATGCCCCTGCCCTCAGGGAATTGGATATAGGATTAAATATGCATGCAGCCTTCCTGGATACACTAGCCTGCATTTGTCTTAGGAGAAGAAAAAAAACATTCTAAGAAAAATAATTAAGAAACCACCTGTAAATAGTAATCAGGAACAAGTGAGTGTAGCCTCAGCAGACTGAGAGGATCCTTGTGATTTTAGCTTTGTCTAACTATGTTATGCCCAGGATATATGTTTATTTTTGTCCCATTTTATGTCATCACAAACTTTGAATATGCTTTGGATGGCGATTCTGCCCATGTGGCCTGTGGGTCCTGGGAGTCGGAGTGGAGACTTCTGAGTCTCCATAGGCACCAGCACTGATTGGAGCCCTGCCACTGCCCATTAGCATAGGCCACGACTCTTTTGCAGATGTGTCTGTACATAATGAAAAACCAAAAAACGTATATTCTTACAAATTGTTAAATTCATCAGTTTGTTGATATGTGTTTTCTCAATTACTAGAGACTGAAAATGGTGGTTCCCCTTGTCTTTTGTGAGCTGGGTAGAGAGGAGAGGATGCCATTTTCAACAAAGGTTGGGAGAAGGAAGTTTCTCTTATAAACACTGAAAGCCAAGAGTTATGACTGTGTAGCTCTTTCTAGGTACAAGGATATTTATATGCATTTGCTGGACAGACTAATTCTAGGGATTTTATTTTCTGCCTCAAATCCTGCCTGTGTGTAGGAACCCGTGAAATAAAGCATTGATTCCATTTGTATTTTTATTTGGAGTTGTGGTTAGGTGGTTTGCTTTTGTGTTTGCTGAATATCTTTAAATACCATAAATATGATAGAGAAGAATACTCTAACCATATAATACCTGGTTTTCTTATTCTACTTACTTATGTCCAAACTCTATATATGGGAAATTAAGTGCATGTGACTAGAATACATGAGAATAGAAGATAAATTGTTGTTCAGAAAGCTGTTTCAGTAGAAGGTTAAGTTATATTTGCACAAAGTTTTAATTGGTTAGAAGTTAACAGAAATTGCTTGCCAAGTGAACATGGTCTAGTGGAAAACACTTTTGCAGCCTGACCTTCACTTCTTTTCTAGATAGAAATGTGTAAGGACTTTGGCTTTTGCACATGTGTTAGAGACTTTTCATGTAAAGTGCCATTTATCTGTTTCTTAGGGACTGAATCTGCTTTGACTTAATGATATACCCCCACCCCAGCTGTTTATGACTTAACAGGGTATATCTTCCATATGAAAATGGGGGAAGGGGGTAGTGGAGAAAGCTCTGAAGGCATCGCACACTGATGGAAGCTTGTGTAGGTCTGTGAAGAAGGGATCGTAATGGACACGTCCTAAACACATGGTGCAAATAACATGTCCTTATGTTGCCAAATCATTTAGTAAAGTGAATCCAGTGTCATCTTTAATCCCTAAACAATGTAAAGAAGACACTAGATGGTGCTGTAAACTAAGAAATGTATTGGTGAAGGTGGTGAGATGGTGCTAGAAGTTAAATCCTCTGTCCCCGGAGTTTCTCTGTCCTCTTTGCCTTTTCCTAGTCAGCACACCTAGCCTGCTGCATGGAAGACATTTACTCGTGATGATTTATAAGCCCGATGCAAATGTGTTTCGCTGAGTTTATATCTATTTTAAAACTAAGCCAGCCTCAGTTTGCTAATGACAGTGAAACTAGATGAGATGTGAATTTGAGATCAGACAAGCTACTCAAATATTTGGGGCAAAGTTAATACCCAGTTTTGGACTGGGTTATTTAAAGAAGGAAAATAACTATTAATAACATGATTGACAGCCATGTTGTTTGACCTATATTTGTGCAGAAAATACATTCTTATAAATCCGTCTGAAGTGAAATTTTATATATAAAATTATTTTTTTCTTCACCTTTCACTATTCCTCCCAGTGGGGCAGCCCCATGGAAAATATTTTGGCGTCAAGTTAACATTAAATAGACAATCTGAATATTCACTGCGAGAAGCATTTGTTTACTTGTTTCTCCCACTTCTGTTACGTGGCAGAAGGCCTTTCACAAATGGGTGATTATTGATCCACTTGGATTCATGGGACCAGACAAGAATTTTGCAGTTGACCACACCCACAGAGGTGGCACACAGAGTCCTTACTGAGGTAGACCAGCTGACAGAATAAACGCCATAGGGATGCTTGTAAGAACTCAGTGTGATTTCAGTCGTATCTTAATGTAGTAATTAAAAAAAAAATGGTGTAGAATATGAAAAATTGTCTTCTTTTGAATCAAACCTTTAAAACCCCTGTTTGGAAGATTTAACTGTCGCTCTTCGTTAGAATTTAGTGAAGCTTACAAGTCAGAGAACCATAATTGATTTTATTATCTAAACAGATAAAATGCTAATGAACCCCACAGGACATTTTACAGTTGTTTCTAAAGTATGGCATTTAAAATTTCTAAAAAGTTTTATTTTTGCTGTAATGGCTCTGGAAAGTATGAAGGTTTGAAACATCCAGATAGAGTGGTTGGATTCAGTTTATGAAGATTATAACCTATTGAGTTACCAGATTGACCTGGCTTTGTTGAAAATATTCATGATTGAATGTATTAAAGTAGAAAATAGTTGTACAAATAATCCACCTCAGAGGAGAGTAAAAGCATTTTGAGGATATGTGTTGTGTTTATATTTTGGCATCTGTTACCTTATATTTACTTTGAATAATGACAGAATTACTTTGCATTTGACCTAATTGCAGAGCTATGACCCAGGAATGATCTGGTTGACTGACAGAAGGCTTAGCAGGAAAAGGACAGGAGACCCCGGGGGCTGCTTGCCTGGGGAGCACAGCCAAGGGGCTGTTAGGAATGCATAGAGAGAAATAACTGCACATGAAAATTCCCCAGAGGGAATGAAAACATGTTATTTTCCTAGAAGAGAACAGTCTCAGAGTAGGAACTGTACCACTGTTTTTATTTCCAAAGCAGGATTAAAAGCCTGGCATTGAATTGGCAGAGTGGCCCCACAGCACACGTGTATGTGTGTGCAAGTGTGTGCATGTGTGTGGACATGTTCGCACGTGTGCACGTGTGTGGCATTGAGACCAACCTGCATCACCCAAGACTGACTATACTTAACAGTGAACTTTGTGTTTTGGCCAGTATTGACTTTTAGATGGCCCACTGAGATAGAAATATTGAGCTGTTAATACGGTAAGTTAAGAGTGGCGCTCGTGCTAATTGTTTTGCAGAGCTTCAATTAAGCAGCTATTCCCTGTCAGCTAAATAGGAGTGTAGGAGATGAGTGGGTGCGTGATGCATACGTTCTAGAACTTTCCTGAAGCCCCAGATTCGTGGTCTCCACTATAACTTTTCCTCAAGATGGATGCAGCAGTCTCAATAAATACAGAACTGAGGTCTTGTCTTTGGCAGGCAGAGTTCTCTGGACTGCAATTTTCGCTCCAGCAGTTGGCAGTGAGGCTCTCCTCTCCCTGAGGCCACAAGCCTTCTGGGCCTCGGGTAGCTCAGGCAGGTACATGCCTGCCCCTCCAGGGGTCCTGATTTTTTGCCAACCAACTCTTCCCCACCCCACCTCACCCCAGCTATGAGCAAGAGTTCGCCTGCTGACTCTGAGTGTTCTTCCTTGTGATTAATTATTGATTATGCAGTAATTATTAATTATTGATTCAGCACTTTGTCCTTTTAATATCTGGCCAGGATTAATATTTGACCACTCACAACCTGAACCATGGCAACATCTCTCTTCTTCCCTCCTTCCACACAGATCCTGGGCACACAGGGCCCTGCTTGCTGCGTCTCAGCTGCTGATTTCACCCAGTCCGCATCTTCGGATCCATCTGACCCCTGTTTTTCTAAGGCAACCTTCCTCTTCCAGCCTGATGCTCCCCAGCCCCTGCCCTCTCCCCTGGCCCTGGTTTGAATGTGGCCTCTGTTCTTCCAGCAAGGGCTGTGCTGGCCAGGCCTCAGTGATCTCATCGCTGCCATTTCAGCAGCCTCCCTTCTGTCCTCACCCCTCCCTTCTATCTGTCTGTCTTCACCAGGATCTTGAGCGTGATCTGGCTAAACCCTGCTCCTACTGTCCCACCCACTCCAGAAGCCCAAGCACTACCCCCGGGGGTGACCCTGCCCACTCCATACCCCCTCTGCACTACCGTGGTTGCCCAGGACTTCCCTCCCTCATTGTTGTTGTTTTGTTTCCTTATGTCTTGTCTTGTTATGCCCTTTAGCCTTGAGAGATGAGGGGAGCCCTTTAAAACAAAGGCCTTCCTAACCAGAGGGCAGAGTGCCCCTCTGAAGCTTCTGTGAGGAGCACACACCTGGTAGGAGAGAATGAGGGATGCAAAGCTTATTTTCAATACCGCTTATGTGACCTTGGGCAGGTGATTTAATTCTTCCAGGCCTATTTCCTCAGCTGTTAAGCCAGGTTAATAACGATCACTTTTTGTTATTTTGTAAGAAATAGATGAAATAGGGCTAATAAATAACATCTTCCTGTTTACTGTGTGCCAAGCTGTGTTATAAAGCAGATAATAACTAACCTAGTCCTTACAACCCCCCCCCCCCCCCGGTGGGGTGGACACTATTGCTAAGCTCATGTTAGAGTTGAGGACTCTTAAGAAATAGGAAGCCCACGTCCTGGGCCCTGGGCCCAGAGCTACTAGGAGCAGGGCAGGGTGAGCAAGTTTGCAAGTGCCGGTCTCTGCTTTCCTTCCTACCAATGTAGCCTTTGGTAGGAAGAGGGTCTTGCTGTCTGTGACCCTGTGTGTTAAGTGGGTGTAACTTGCAGCTATTCTGGGAGCAGAAGAGAGGACGAATTATGTGAGCTTCCATCATTATTTGCCATGATGTCAAAAAGCGAAAAATCTAAAAATGCAGAAGAAAGGAGTCAATATTATTAGAATGTATTGGGTTACACGTACAAAACTCACTCAAATTAGCTTAAGCACAACAACAACAAAATTATTGTATGGATGCAAGAATGTTTTACCAATCTTCCCTGAGCAGGAGTGCAGCCAGGCCTTAGGAAGCACCGGAAGCTGCACAGCCCTAGCTCCTGGCTCCCTTTCCCCGTCCCACCCCAACCCCTCCCCATCTCCATGTGCTGGGTTGTAGCCCTAGGTCTCTGTTTCTCTGGAGAAACAGACCCATTAAATAGGCTGTATACAGAGAGAGACACATGTGTTTTAGGAATTGGCTCATGACACTGTGGAGGCTAGCAAGTCCAAAATCTGCAGGGCAGGCTGGCAGGCTGGACATCCAGGGAAGGGTTGCAGCTCAGGTCTGGAGGCAGAATTCCATCTTTCCCCTTGGAGGCCGGTCTTTTTCTTCTATTCAGGTCTTCAGGTGATGGGCTGAGGCACTCTCACATGAGAGAGAACAATCTGCTTTACTCAAAGTCTGTGGTTTAAATGTTAATTACATCTAAAAAATACTTTCACAGCATCTAGTCTAGTGTTTAGCTAAAACCTGGCACCATGGCCCAGCCAAGTTGGCACATAAAACCAACCATCACTGTCTCTGCGTGCTCATTCCTCCCTTTCTACAGTGCGTTTTCCGCCGCTCTCTCTCTCACTTACTCTCTGTGCCATTGTGGCTTCTCTCTCTGCATCTGCCCCATGCCTTCCTCTGTGAAGATGGGCTTCCTTCTGCACTCTGGCCAATCGAGAGGATGGGTGGGCACCCGAAGCCCTCAGGCATGTGTTGTAGTAGCAGCCACACACAAACCCCTGCCACAGTGTCAGCCCCTACTTAACCTTTCTGGGCTGGAACCAGTGTCAGTGTTGGGTGCTGCTCTGTTTCTGTCTCTTGTTTCACTTCTGGAATCCCAGGGAAGGGAGAGTCCTGATCCTGGGAGACACCTGTGATTCAGTCAGCTGAGTCCAGGCCAGTGGGGTCGTGCTATGCAGCTGTGGCTGTGTGCGGCCTACCGGAGGGGGTGGGGAGGAGAGAAGGGGGTGCTGAAGGGAGCTGAGCAGATGCTCTGAATGGCTTCTCCCTGGAGACAGGTAGAAATGCAGCCCAGCTCTAATGATTGAATTGTCTCTGGAATGTCAGTCATGATGAATACATGTAATATGCATGCTTCCATACAGTCATACTTGTCTTGGTGTTTCCCCTCTACCCCTTCCATAATATTTGAAAAATAGGATTGAGGTTTGGAACCTGATCACCAAGATGTACATTTGGGTTTGATTGCTCTCCATTGTTAAAGTTTCTTTTTTGCTCTTGCCTTTTTCTGTGCAGAGGATGATGTGGACCTGGAAGCCCTGGTGAACGATATGAATGCATCCCTGGAGAGCCTGTACTCGGCCTGCAGCATGCAGTCAGACACGGTGCCCCTCCTGCAGAATGGCCAGCATGCCCGCAGCCAGCCTCGGGCTTCAGGCCCTCCTCGGTCCATCCAGCCACAGGTGTCCCCGAGGCAGAGGGTGCAGCGCTCCCAGCCTGTGCACATCCTCGCTGTCAGGTAGGTCCAGGCCTTATGGGCAGAGCCTTCTCCAAGGATGAGAGCTGTCGGCAGGGACACTGCTCTCTGTGAGTTAAATGGTGTTGGGGGGAATAGTGTTGGTCTTGCAAAGTCAAGAGGCAGATACATTGCTTTGATGGGATAACGGATACACTGAGTGTGTGCAGTGTGCCGCCCTTGGGTTGAACTTTGTAGCCAGTTCAATTCCAGTAGTACCTTTTATTGAGTGCCTGCTATGTGCAAGGCACTGTGCTAGGTAGAGGGATATGCAGGAAAACCACCAGAGGAAAAATCTCTGGAAAGATTGGAAGAACAGCCATGGAGCTGATTGCATGCCCCAAGTCCTCACTACCCAGAGTAGGGACGGGAGGCTAGCAGCTACAGCACCCCCTGGAGCTTGTCGTGCAACCCCAGACCTCCCTCAGAGTTGCATTTTGCCACATTCCTCTGCTAATTCAGGGGTAGGCACATCTCTGTGGAAACAGGGAGGCTGGAGGGAGGAACGTGCTGGGGACGTTGAGGGAGGTTCCTGGGAGGTAGGATTTCTGAACGGATGTCAAAGGGTGATAGGAGCTCAGATAGATGGAGGCAGAGGTTTTGTGAGCAGAAGAGATGATGCAGATGGGGGCCGGTGCTGAAGCACTTTGTGTGCCTTTTTCAGGAGCCACGTGAGAAAGAGTTCTGGACAGGCGTGTGAAGGGGCTGGGTTTGGGTTTTGACACCAGCATTCTGGTTGCCAGGGGTCGTGGGGGCAGTGGTAGAGGGCAGCAGGGTTGGCAGAGCATGGCCGGTTTGGAAGTGGTCTCAGGAGCCCCCGGATGGGAGATGATTGTGCGCTGCCTGAGGATGAAGAAGGAGGGGGGATTTGAGCACGTTGCTGAGGAGGAGCAGCTGCGTTTTGCCAGCACTTGAATTTTGCCAGGGCTGTGAGGAGACAGAGAGTGTGTGGAGGGTGACTTGGATTTTGTCTCGAGTGCCTGGGAGGAGGGTGTCTAGAGAATGGTCATGTCGAAGGTGAAGGTGCTGAGAGTACCTTAGACATTCTGAATGAAGATCTTTGTAGAATCAAGCTGAGAGCCAGGGGCAGCCCTCAAGGATCCGCCTGTCTGCCCTGTCGCAGTCGGGATGGCGTGGGGCTCCGTGGGACCCTGCGTGCCTCTCTGGGCCTTTGCGGAGGATGTACAGCCATCTCTGCTGGGACTGCCCCTTGCCCTCACTGGCCTCTGTCAGGATGGGGTTCTGGTGCCTTCTGTCTCAGCACCCCATCTTCCGGGGAGCTCTGTTCATTTCCTGGGCTCTTCTTGCTTCTAGAAACTTCTGAGAGTTTTCTTTGTGGTCTGACATCTTGGGTCTTCCGCAGCCCAGATAATCACCTTGCCCCAGGTGGCAGCTGTTTCTTACGGAGGGGAGAGGGTGCAGCGGCCCTGGCGCCCGTGGTCAGCTGCCTCCCCAGCTTCCCACCCCGGCTTCCCCTCCGACTTCTCACTTTTTGTCATATTCATTGATGCTGAATGATGCCTGTCCCAGGGTTTGTTCAACTTTGCTCTTTGAAGCGTGACCCCTTGTACTTAGCTCCTGAGGAGTTAAGTCTGGTGGGAGAGCTGTTTTTCTCTTGGGAGCATCTCTTGGGAGCATCACAGTAGCCTTGGGGAGTGCCTGGGAATATGGAGGTGCAGTTGCATGGCGAAGGTGCCCGAGGGTGGGCTGGAAAGCCAGAAGGCCTGCCTCCCTGCTGGAGTAGTTGCCCAGGACCCTTGAACCTCGAGTTCTGGCTGAACTCGCCCATATGTGCCCCGGGACTACCTGCGCTAAGTCCCTGGGATGGAGGGGCAGGCTTGCTCTGTGGGACAGCAAAGCCCTCTCCCTACAGGGTCACAGGTGCTGTTCCTTGGGCCCAATGTCTTCTCTCTGGTGTCCTCTCAGATAAGTAGTTTTGTTTCTTACTTTCAGGTGGATTAAAAAAAAATGTGGAGATCAATCTGGAATCACCAAAGATTATTTTGTGAAGTGAGGCCATTTGCTGAGTGCTTACTGTGTGCAGATGCTGATGAGCTCCTCCTTGTTATCAGTGCCCTCGGAGGGAGGCAGTGTGGGTTACCCTCGCTTCCCAGCTGAGGAAACCGTGGCACAGCGGGGCGGTAACTGGGCTCACCACATCAGGTGGGAAGTGGCCATGGAGCAGGCTGCTGGGTACCAGAGGTCACGGAGCATGGTCCACGCTGCAGAGGAACTTACCGGGGGCTGCCATGCAACCCGAAGGGAGCTGGGGGGCAGGCAGGGTATGGGCAGAGGAGACACTTGGGAAGGGCAAGAAGGCTTTGCACATAGGAAAGCCGATGGGTGAGCCGATTCTGTACAGAGAAGGAACCCAGGCTTTTGAGAGTGCAAGGGCCACGCATGTGTTCTAGACAAACACAAGTGAGCCAAGGCACAGAGAAGAAGGACCTCGCCCCTCAGCTCTGCAGTTCCTGCCACCATCCCTGACATCCCTAAATCTCAGCACCCCTCTCCATAGTCACTGTCCCTTCTATTGTGAGCCTCTTTGGTGGGGATTTTTTGTCTTTGTGTGATATCCCTTAGTCTTGCCTTAGGCGATGTCTCTGAGCCGCTTTAAAGTCAACACAGGACTTTTTAAAATGCTCAAAACAACCCAATAAATAGAGAAGCTTTTGTGGACACTAAAACGTCAGATTATCTTTTTGGGGTGAAGTCACTGGCTAGAAGCCGTGGATGGGAAAGTGGCACTGGCCACCCGTTTTATCCATCTCCTCCTGTATGACAATGGCCAGACGTTTCAGTTGGACGCCTTGCCAAGGCTGAAGCTGTTATGGGAAGAGTGGGATTTGTTCACAGTAAAAATAAACTTTATGGCATGTCATCAAACCATTATAGGAACGGCTTTCCTGTATTTCGCAGCACTGATTCCCTTCATGCCATGTGAGTTCTCGTAATTTTAAATCCATGCATCATTTGCTGGTCTACGTGGGATAGTTAGCTGGATCTTCCTTTAAAAAATAGGGAAAGTTGGTAAAAGAGAAAAAGTAATACAGTCACAAAATGTGTTTCTGTAGTGGCAAATCTCCTGGGAAAGCTAACGGATTGTTGATTTTGTGAAATCGTAAAAATTGTCAAAAAAATTACTTGAGGACACAGCCTATGATGGGGGTTTCTGAGGTATGTTTAAACATGGGGAGGGATTGGAAATGCCGAGTGAAGATAATGTGAGGTTTGCTCCCCTCTCCTTGAAGGTAGGAGGCTGCAGACAGGGCCGCGTGGCCTCAGGAAGGGTGGAGGAGGCTGTGTGTCCAGGAGTGCCCTGGAGGTGTGGGCCAGAAGTTACTCTACAGAGGGGAGGTGCCAGACACTTGACATTCGCTTTGACTTTGAACTTGATTTCTCTGCTGTTCACAGTTGCTTCTGATTCGTCATACTGTGTGTGTGTTGCATAGTTGTGTGACAAGTGGGTTGTGCATTTTTCGGAGGAGGGAACAGATGCCCCTGGAGATGTGCCAGGAAAGTAGAGGTGGTGTGTGGATTCAGCGTGTGTTTCCAAGGTGTGTTTCTAATGTGGACACAGGCTTTGCGAGGACAGATACATGAAGCTATAATTTCCAGTTAATTCAGTGTCAACAACCTTTTTATATAAGTAACCATCCATTGCATAATTCAGATGAGAACACACAGCCTTTTCTTGTATTTTCATTTGATTAGATTAATGCTCATTTCAAGGACATTGAAAAACACTTGGTTCTCATGAAAATGCTCATATTCAGAAAACTTTCACACATCAGGTATTCACTGATCAAACGGATGAGGTATTTGGAGCTGATGCCATGTCAGGCACTGAATGCTGCCTGAGATGAGCACGCACCCAGGACAACAAAACTTCGGCACCCCGCCCCCCGCCCCCGATGCCTAATGAAGAAGAGAATTGATACCCAATACCCTTTGGGTCTGAGAATGACAACTTGTAATTTTTTTAAAGTTTTCGTTTTAGTAAAATACATGTAACATAAAATTTACCATATTAACTGTTTTTTTCAGGGTACAGTTCGGTAGTATTAATGCACACTCACAATGGTTGTACAATCTCCAGAACTTTCTCATCTTATGAAACTGAAACTCTGTCCCCAATAAACAGCGATTCCCCATTGCCCTCCCCTTAGTCCCCTGGCAGCCACCCTTCTATTTTCTATGGGTTTGAATACACTACCTACCTCACTGGGTGAAATCACACAGTGTCTCTGGTTTTGTGACTGGTGTGTTTGACTCTGCATAATGTCTTCAGGGTTCATCCGTGTCGTAGCCTGTGTCAGAATGTGCTTCCTTTTTCATGGCTGAGTAGTGTTCCATGGTATGGATATGCCACATATTGTTCATCCATTCATCCATCTGCAGACCCTTGGGATGCCTCTACTTTTTGGCTTTTGTGAAGGATGCCACTGTGAACGTGGGCATGCCAGTGACTCCTAGAAGCCCTGTGTCCTGCTTTCTGGGTGTATCACCACAGTGGTAAGGCTGGGTCATGTGGGGAATGGCAGCTTTTAACAGGCACTTATCCCTGCCTTCCAGGCGCCTTCAGGAGGAAGACCAGCAGTTTAGAACCTCATCTCTGCCGGCCATCCCCAATCCTTTTCCTGAACTCTGTGGCCCTGGGAGCCCCCCTGTGCTCACGCCGGGTTCTTTACCTCCGAGCCAGGCCGCCGCAAAGCAGGTGAGTGTGCCCCTGGCTGGAGCCCAGGCTGAGGGATATGCCAGATTATTGGGATCTGCACAGATGTGCCAGATTATTACTTTGGGAAGAAGGGCGGGAAGTCCTGGGATCTTCTCTCTCAGTTCTTTTCTTGTTGTCACAGTACTTGTTGTCCTATGAGGCCGATACAGTTTGGATGTTGTCCCCTCCAAATCCCATGTGGAATTGTAATCCCCAATTTTGGAGGCAGGGCCTGGTGGGAGGTGATTGGATCTTAGGGGTAGATTCCTCATGGCTTGGTGCTGTCCTCACAATAGTAAGTTCTCACGAGATCTGGTTGTTTAAAAGTGCGTGTCATCTCCTCCCCTTGCTCCCACTCCTGCTGTGCGAGACGCCAGTTCCTGCTTTGCCTTCTGGCATGATTGTAAGCTCCTAAGTCCTCATCAGAAGCCGAGCACATGCCCGCACCATGATTCTTGTACAGGCTGCAGAACCATGAACCAATTAAACCTCTTTTCATTATTGATCAAAACTCTGTTTTATCTTTATATTTTAGAAAAAGTCTCATAAAAAATGGCAAATAATAACAATGATTTGATGTTTAAAGATGAATCTTAGTTCTTTGAAAAAGTTTCACCACTGGCTCAATAATAGGTGTGAAAATGCTGGGCTCACCCGGGCACCTGGATGTCAGTACACAGGAGTTGAAGAGTTTCTGTCTTGTAGTCCTGACTTTGAATATGATCTGCCGAAAGCAGAAGAGTTTCCATTGGACCCGCAGGGCAATAACCTCCTTTTTGAACTTGTAGTTTCTACTTAAAGTAGATCCATGAAGTAGATAGGACACAACCATTGTCCCCATATGAGGAAACTGAGGCACAGAGCATTTCAGTAATGTGTCCAAGGTCAAACAGCCAACAAGTCAGCTTAGCAGAGAAACTGGCAGAGAAAGGGGTTGAAAGTTCCTCCCCACCGGTTGGCAGGGCTGTGAGCCAGGATGGGCTGCAGCCTCTGGAGGAAGACCCCTAGGGGTGGAGGTGATCATTAGAACAACTGCGCCATCTGATGTTTATGGAGTGAGGGATTTCTGTGTGCCAGGCCTTGTCGTAAGTGGTGGATATGTTTATTTTTTGTTTATTTATATGTTCATTTACTCCTCATGCCATCCCGTATGAATTAAGTACGCATGTTCCCTCTGTTCCACAGTTGAGGGAAGGGAGGCCCCTGTAAGCAGCTGAGCTGAGTGTGGCTGAGACCTGATGGTGCGGCTGAGTGTGACCCGGCCTCAGAATCGGAGCCTGTGATTGCAGCCACTGTGCTGATTGGCTTCCCGGGACTTTGACTTTCCTTCTGCTAAATGCATATTTAGAAGTCATTTTGCCCTTCTACTTGAATCATCTCTTCTCCCTACTTGCTCTCACTTCCCTACCTTTGCTGTTCTCAAGCAAGACAGGCCAGCCATCCCTTTCTCTGCAAATCTGCCTGTCCTGTGCCATGCAAGGTCTGTCCTCTTGAGAGAGAGACCTTTTTCCAATACCCGCTGGCTCCCAAGTGTGGGTCCCGTTCTGACCTCAGGCCCCCGGAGCAGGCTGCATTATGGCACTATCAAAACTTAGAAGGTGAGGTAAGTGTCCCTCATCTGGGAGCCAGCACTGGCTGGGCTTGTGCACTTTGTCACATGTCTAAAGTGCATCTGGGATGTCTACCTCGCTGGTGACCTTCTGCTTCAAATAAGGATCCAGACAAGCTGTCTGTGGGTTTTGTCACTGAGGTTGTTTACAGAGCTACCCATTCTAAAATAAGACCATGAAAATATTATCTGGCTCTCTCAGCCTTTGGCAAGAAAATTGGCCTCCACCCCCAGGGATTGTCCAAATTTGTAAGCAGAACAAGGAAACCGGGGAATTTTGCCTGCTGGTGTTTTTCTTGGGATCAGAGCTTGTTCCCCATGAGAACGTGGCATTGGTGTCTGTGTCACTCGTGTCCTCAAGCCCACAGAAACGACCAGGAAGGATGTTTCTCACTCAGAACTAGAACTACTTGTAGAAAGTCCTTGTTCTTTGTTCTTTTTTTTTTTTTCCCGACTTGCTTGAAGGGATATTTCTTTATCTGTACTTGGTGTTGACTTCTGATCTCATGAAAAGTGTGTTTTCTCAGTGCAGTCGGTAGCAAGTGCTGGACAACCTCCAGCCACTTCCCAGGGCTTTGGATCTAGGATCACGGTGGGGGATGGTGCTGGGCAAAGAGCTTTGGCTCCATTCCTTGCCCCTTGCTTGAGGAAAAGAGAAATCTGATGTTCTTCTTCCCTTCATTCAAGTCAGAGGAAGTAATGCTGAGACCAAGGTCTAGTCAAGGATTCTGAAGTAGTAGAAAAATTGACAAAGTGGACCCGATACATAAAGTGGCTTTGCTCACAGGGAAGAACTCAGTTAACGTAGGAAAAGAAGAAAGCATAACGAAATCTATGGAAGGTAATGGGATAGTGAGGTGATTGGAAACTTCCTCATTCATGTCATTATGTTCACTATTAAATAGCAGATTCATGAAGAAGGCAACGGGAGGAAAAAGTAGAGATATTTAAACTTCCATGAGAAAGGAAAAATCATTCTTGCCCAAGCTTTGTAGGCAAAGCCTTCTGAAATTCCCACACAGGCATTAGTACCTTTCTTCTGCCTCTCTCCTTTTTTTTTTTTTTTTTTTGAGACAGAGTCTCGCTCTGTCGCCCAGGCTGCTGGAGTGCAGTGGCGCAATCTCGGCTCACTGCAAGCTCTGCCTCCTGGGTTCACGCCAGTCTCCTGCCTCAGCCTCCTGAGTAGCTGGGACTACAGGCGCCCGCCACCACGCCCGGCTAATTTTTTGTATTTTTAGTAGAGACGGGGTTTCACCGTGTTAGCCAGGATGGTCTCGATCTCCTGTCCTTGTGATCCGCCCACCTCGGCCTCCCAAAGTGCTGGGATTACAGATGTGAGCCACTGCGCCTGGCCCTGCCTCTCTCCTTTTTAAGTGACTCCTTGGTAGCTCCGTAATGTGATAAGAGATCAGATGCTGGTGTCCAGAGACCCCAGGTCTGAGAGCAAGCAACTACCATGATGTGGACCTGGCGCTCCTCACAGCATGCTGAGCCCCCTGGCCCGCGTGCTGGGACAGGGTGGGAGAGTGGCAGTGGTCTCACTGCAGCATTTGTGGGCCCTCACGGATCTGAGTTCCACCTGCAGCTCTGGTGTGTCTCCTTTCTAGACATGTAAGATACAAGCTCAGTGCCCTGTAAAGGCTACGGGCCAATGGGACTTGATGAAAGGAAGGAGGGGAGGGAAAATTCTGCATGGGAGTAGTCATGGGTAGAGAAGAGCCCTCAGCCTCCTATTCAACAGCACGCGATTCCTCCAATGCCGCCTCCCTCTGAGCTCTCTGCCTTCGCTCACCTTGAGCCCCTACAACGGGCCGGGTGTTTTGCCAGACCCTGAGACCAAGAGGTTGACCGCAAAGTGGGCCCTGCTCTCGTGAGCTTAGCACGATGGTGACAGAGTGAAGAGCTATCTGAGAGGAAGCAGGATGGAGTAGTTGGTAGTCTAAGACGTGGCAGGCATGTGCCAAAAGAGAGCAGCCATTATTCTATCTAGAAGGACAGGGAGGTCTTCCCCAGCTGCCTTGCGTCCTCTCCCTGGGGATCCCAGAGCATGCAGCAGCCCCAGGCAGGCTTACCAAGTTCTTCCACGATGACTGCACCCTGGCTTCGTGACCCTGCATTGGCCAGGTTCTTCCTGAGTGCTGTGCTGAGTTTGCTAAGGGTACCCATGGGGCTTGCCTGAGTCATCTGGGTTGGCGGGAATAGCTGAGTTTCAAACCTGTGATCCTCCAGCTGTGGGGGAGACGTACACCGGCGCAAAGGGGGCTACTTCTGATCGGAGATCCACGTGCTGGGATGTCACCGTCTGACAGCCCACTCATTCCTTCCTGCCTGGCTGTCCTTCACCTGCCCTGGATTCAACTTCCTCACCCTGCCCAGGCTCTGCTTCCTCTTCTGGGTCTGGGGTCCTGCCCAGGTGCTTCTACAGAAGCAGTGCAGGGTCGGTCTCACCTCCCTGGTCCCACCCAGGCTCGTTGCTACCCCCACGTGGGGTGGCACCCGCCCTGCAGCTGCTCAGCATTTGGCCAGGGGGAGCCCTGAGAGCAGTTTGTCCAACGTGTTATGGGTTCCAAACCTGGGCCGGTCAGACCCTTGGTGGAAGCATGGAAATCTGGAGCCAGTAAACCCAGGCACTTCCACGCACCTCTGCCACTGGCTCATGGGCCCTCACTGGTGTTTGGGTGCTCATAAATAGTGTGAGATGTTTTGGAGTTGTCTTTCTAGACTTCTTGGGCTTTCTGTTTTATTTTGTTGTTGATGATGAATTTTAAAACAGCAATGTTTTGGCTTGTTAATATTTAAGCCAGAGTCTATTGGTCTTGCGTTTACCTGAGGTTGTACTCTATGGCTTCACCATTAAAGTGAGAGAGCACACAGACCTATTCCCTCACGGAAGGCAAAAACTGATGTTAGAGCAGACATCCCCCTTTGCTCTGGGAGAGTGCATAGAGGAACCGTGATGTATGGTTTTACATAGTGTCTGTTAGAGGTGACAGCAGTCCTCCTTGTCAGCAGTGAGTGACTTTCATTGGAAGGTATAGCTTCTGTGGAGATGATTCCATCATTTATTAAATGGCATTTAATTTTATTCAGTGGTTTGATTTATTTAAGTTTAATAATACCTCGTCATTGACTTACCAAAAATACAAATACATAAGAATTTCTTTCTGAGTGTTTAATTTCTTTCCTCTAAAAGGTGGTGAAATTAAATTAGTCATTGTTCAGGAAACTGGATATTTGTGGTAAAAATCAACAGGGTATTTTTAACTGCTTTGTGACTCATTTGAAAAGACAGGCTGTTGTGGTAAGGGTGATTGATATAGCAAAGACTTGTGAGCCCTGAGGCCAAGCACCATGCTCCGGCCGGAGAGGCTGGGCTCACGGTCTAGTTGGTGCCACTGGGTCTCTGTGGTGAGGCTGCCTTTGATCTTGGTGCCCTGGCAGACACTGGCTGCAGTGGTCCTCCTTTGCGTCAGACCCTCCGGGGCCTTCTGAGTTGAGGAAGCGCCATGCAGTGTGCCTGGAGCTGGCCTCGGGTGTCGGGAGGGAGGGGCACCACAGAAGGATGTGCTCCGAGACCTGGGACTTGGGCCAGGTGCCAGACAATCCTGGGTAAATACCAGAGCTGTCCCCCCTGCCCCCACAGACACACTGCAGAGGACCCTGGCAGGTGGGCTGGCCCCCCGCCACGGCCTGGTGACTGTCTCCCTCTGCTGTACTTCTTTAAGGTCCTGGGAGAGGAGAGAAAGGTGAGTGGGGTGCCATTTTCTTCCTGCAGGTGCTGGGTGAAGTTCAGAAGGCTCTGAGAGGCTGAGGGGAGCCATGTGTATAGGTACATTTGACTGTTCAGGCTGGTGGGTACGATACCCTGTAGGGGGGCTGTCCCAAAGGCCTTCTCGGTTCCTGCATTCTGATCCTGGCTGTTTGCTGTGTGAGGAGGGTGTCAGCTCAGCGACATCAGAAGTCAGGGCAGAAGTAGCTCCTCGAGGCAAGACTGAGCGTCGGTGTCCACGCTAGGGAAGAGGGGCCCTGTGTCCACAGCCACCGCCCATCAGCCGAGCATGGCCAGCAGGAGCATGGGACCAGTGTCACCAGAAAATTGGATGCTTTGAGAGAAATCAGAATTGCCACTGAAGACCTGAACTCTCCACATTTTGCACATTTCAGTGTCTGTAAGCACTGTGTGGGCTGAAGCAGACACCCTGGCAGGCAGGTCCTGGCCTGCTGGTTTCGGCTGTGGCATCCTGCGAGGTGACTCCTATGGTGTCTGCATTGTCTCCCTGCACCTGGCATGCCAGGGGCTTTCCCTGATGGGCACTGGATCTGGCGTCCACTAAGGGCTCAGCAAGCTGGGATGATGGCCCGAATCTAAAAAGGATTACATTAAATAGGCTTTCAAAATGATGTCTGCACATGCAGCTACAAAAGTATCACCAAGAGGATGGCAGCTGCAGCCACTGCTGCTTGTGAGAGAAGGGCTCAGTTAGTTAGACACGTGGCTCCAGTCAGCAGTCCAGTATGACCTTTCCTGAGTGGCTGGCTTGACCATTCTGCTCTGACAGAAATAGGTTTTCTAGAAGCTAGTGGCTTTGTTGTGTTCTTTCTTGGATGCCATTATCCCTGTGAGAAGGACCCTAGTCACATGGCACTCATCCCAAGTGGAGGGACTCGATGGTGAGAGGCTGTGGCAGGAGGCAAAGGAGAAAATGGGAAGTGGTTAAGGATCATTTGGGGCACTTGTGGCTATTTCCTACAGCACACACATGGGAGGGATGCCTCCTACTCTCTGGGTCCAGAGGCTGGAACAAGGGCCAGAGAGGTACAGGGAGGTGCCACCTACTCCTTGTGGGGGAAGGTCCCTTCACCTGTCAGCATCCCCAGGGAGGGGGCTGCCTGGGGTCCCACTTCCTGTCACTGGAATGTCCCAGCAGCATCTCACTCTGCAGCAGGAGTGGCCTTGCCCTTCCCAGGCTGTGCTGGCTTTATCTCCATGTCAGCTCTGAGGATGCACCCTGGGCCCTCTTCCCTGTCATCCTCACCCGTGGAGCAGGGACAGCGAGTGGGCCTTTGAAAGAAATGTTTTAAGTCAAGGGATAACTGAAAATGTAATGAATCAACAAATGAATCTATGTTATGGAAGAGAATTTGCAAAATTGGTAAAGGTTGAAGTAGATTCCCTTGAGAGTCTAGCTCAGGTGTCTGTAAGAGCATCACCTGAAAGCATAAGGAATAGCTTCTCTGCATTCCAGATGGACAAGGAAGAGGCTTCAGATGAATCAGGTGATGTTAGACCAAGACTCACATTTGGGTTCTAAGAGATTCTATCAGGTAGAATCTTAATTTTCCTGTTTTTTAGCATCCGTTGGTGGTTACTACACATTTAATTTTCACAGCACTTCCACATGCTGCAAGGGAGAGACTATTTTCATATGGTGAAACCAAGGTCCTGAAGCTCCACAAGGTGAAATACTTTGGCTGGAGTCACACAGCCAACTAGAGGTACAGGCAGGAAATTGTACTCAATCTAGATGAGCCCAAAGCCTTAGTCTTCTTCCTGCCCCTCCCAGACCTCTGAGGTCAGCACTCTGCTGAGTTTGGAGAAGACACTCTGAGTCTGTCCCCCCTCCTGCCTGGGGCTGAAGCATCACCCCCCAAATGCAGCACACACTGGCATTTGCTGCTGAAAGGAGATGGATTTGTGCAGGCAGTGGAGGAGCTTAGCATCCAATTCTGAATAACCCTTCATTTCTTGGAGGTATTGGCAGACTTTCATTCCACTTATCAGGGAGCCTCGGTTTCCTGATTGTGCCTCGCACATCCTGGGTCATGACCATCGGAGAGGAAGACCTCTCTGAAAAGGAGGCCCAGGGGCTTTTAAGGACAGCACCTCCACTGCCAGGAAGCTGCCCCTCCTGCCATGCACCAGCCTGGGACTGCCAGGGGCTTGGTCTTCAACTGAGAAGGTCAAGGCACCTGGGCATGGGGCCAGACTCCAACTCCACAACATTGCAGGTAATGACAGTAGTAACACCAGCTGCTGAGATGTGGGGAGTCCTTCTCCTGGCAAGCGTGGGACACTGTGCTTCACCTGCTTTCAGGATGCCTTTGGCTGCAAGAAATAAAACCAAATCTGTCTGGTCTCTATTGTAAGGAGAGTTGCTTTTGCAGAACAGGAAGTCTAGGGCCGGAGACAGCAGCCACCACAGCCTCGTCCTGTGTCACGGCACTTGTCCTCTCTCCACAACGGCAGCTGGTGAGACCAGAGTTGGGCTTGTCACCCAGAAGCAGCTGTTCCATATACGGGTGGGTAAGCCAGGTATGCAGAAATGTGAAGTGGTGGCAAGGGCAACTGAGGCAACATGTGGGGCGCACTGACCCCACAGGCCCCAGTGAGTTGGTTGTGGTGTGTGATGCCAAGAACAGATTCACATGTTGAAGAAGCAGAAACCAAGAGCAGGCAGAGAACTGACTCCTACAGTAAATGTGCAGAGGTGCTGAGACAAGAGGGCGGGGTGTCCCCAGGGGCACCCTAGAGAAGAGTGCCGGTGAAGAAAAAGTATAGTAATGCTATTAGGAACTTGTTTATTTATGAACTTAAGACAAGCTCAGTGGGCACTTTGACAGGCCACACTTTCCTTCAGCCAATAAAGATTCTCGTGCAGCTACATAATGAGTTTTTAGAGCACATTTTTCCATTTGTTATTCAAACACAATTAGTCACATAGTTTAACCCTGTTAGTAATAGGACATAAATCTTGTCTTAGCTCCAATCAGCTCTTCTCCCTCTGCTTAATTTTAAAAATTAATTTTCTGGAACCACAGTAATCACTTTGGATAAGGGTTTGTGCATACAATTATTTACTAATGATCAAAATTAGGTCTCCTGAGGCTTTAACTGCATGCAATATGTTAGACCATCTTTGCTGAGAAAAACTAGTCCTGGCCTCCCAGTGCAGGTTGTTTCACAGAATGTATTGCACGGAGAGAATGCTCTCTCCTGCAAATGTGTGTCTGCAACTGGGCCTGTCCCGAGCAGTTTGCTGGTGGGCCTTGCTGAGGATGGACTTCCTCCATCCTTTAGCCCCTTCCACCCGCTGGCAAGCCCTGTTACTCTTAGCACCTCCACAGTCTGCCCGTGTCACCTTTTCTGGTGCCTTTGGAGATCAGAAGACATTGGGGCCTGAGCCTAACTGCAGTTTACCCTGAGTGCTGGGGACCCTGAGGGGTGCTGGCTGCAGTGGGTTGGGTCTGCAGCCCCCAGGGCCTTGGCCCTGGCGGGATGGATAAGATGCTGCGCCATCACAGGATGGTCCCTTGTGGCTTCACGCACGCAAGAGTCAGCATGAGGTGCACTTCAACTCATCCCGCCATTTTCAAGTTAAAATCCTCTGTCCTCGGCCCCCCTCACACCTGCATCTCTAACTCCTTTCCTTCTGCTACTGCGTGGCTCCTGTCTCCCAACGGAAGCCACCTGCCTGTAACCATTTCCCGTCTGCACCGAGAGGCCACGGTGTGGAGGGGGAGCTCCTGCCCACGGCACTTGGAAGGTGCTGGGGCAGAACCCAGCTCCAGCGCTGATGTGTGGCAGCATCTCTGGAAACTTCCATTTCCTGCTCTGTCTGAGGAGGCGGGGCCCTGCTGATGTCTCTGTGTCTTGGAGCTCAGGACAGTCAAATCTGCACCACGGCTGCCTCCCCTCTTGCCGTGTGAACGTGGCAGGACGTCCACTCCACCCCACTTCCTGCATGGACATGGCTCCATGGCTGTGCCCTACCTCCCTTCCTGCATGAATGCAGCACCACGGCTGCACCCCCCACTTCTGTGGTTGTGGCATGATGGCTGCACCCCCACTTCCCATTTGAATGCGGCACCGCAGTTGCGCCTCCCTGCCACTTCCCCTGTGGACGCGGCATGATGGCTGCACCCCCTACTTCCCACGTGAACACGGCACCGCAGCTGTGCCCCCATGCCCCTTTACTGCATGAACGCGGCACCACTACTGTGCCCCACCCCTTTGCCACGTGATCACTGCCTTCATCAGGAGTGACCACGAGACATGTGCTCTTAAGGAACCTGAGGCCCAGGGAGGATAAAGTCATCTTCCAAGGTCATTGACAAATACATCACAAAAAGTGGGTTTAGACTCAGGACCCGAGCTTCTAGCTGTCTTCTCAGTGTGCCACAGCAGTGCCCCAGACGACAGAAATGCATTTCAGTACGCCTAAGTGAACTCTCAACTTGTCATTCAATTACTTATGAGGGGACGCGTGAATCCCTGAAACCGTGCAAGCAAAACCCACACATGTAGCAGATCCCATTGCATTGCTCACCATCATTTATGCCCTCCGGCGTGGCCACCACTGAAGGATGGATGTTCTAACCTTATGGTCCTGTAATATGCTCCTCTAGGTGAGGGGCTGTCCTGGACAGGCTCTAGACAGAGATGAGTTTGCTCTACTGTCTGCCTTCCAAGACTTGGGCTACCCGGAGAAGAGACGTGGGCACACACACTATTGCACAGCTGCTTAGCTCAGCATGGGAGATAGGTGCAGGACCCAGAGCGACCTGGGAGCAGCCCTGCGTCCAGCCTTGAGCGTTGGCAGGTTCGGGTGTCCTCGGTGACTGTGAGCATTGCATTTGAGCCAAGGCTTTAACAGCAGGGTGGCCAGGACATGTTTTTTTCAAAGGGGGGCTTGGCTAGGCTCCCTCAGCTCTCCGTGGTTTGAGTAGGGTCTAGCTTTCTGGGTTTCAGTCTTCCTCTGGCGTTGCTGAGGTGACTGAGATCTCTTCACGTTTTTTACCTCTCATTTTCTAGAATGCCAGTTACCTGAGTTGTCCTGAGGGGGAAAAAGCCATGCAGGTTCAGTAAGTTTGGGAAATTTGGCATCGTCTATCGTTTTCTTGGCAATTCTACATTTCCCGTTTGATTTTAGAGGATCTGAAAAATCTTACAGAAAAAGAAAACCTACCTATTCACTCAAGCTAAGCTAGAGCATCTGAAACATTTGTGATCACAGAAGTGCTTTAGAGACAGCACCTGTAAACTTTACACAGAACGCACTTTGGGAAAGGGTGCTAAATTGCCCATGATTATTTTTAAAATGGTGAATGTCATCCTCACTTTTTTAGACTTTTCTGGCAGCTTTGCTAAAGCGGAGGTCTCTCACAGCTCTCTAGGGACCGCAGCCCCTGCAGTCTGAGAATAATCCCGAAGGCCCGACGTGACGGCACCTGCATGTTCCCGTGTTTGCATCAGAGCAAGTGATGCAATTGCAGCGAGGCAGTCGTGACCTGGAGCAGACCACTTGTTTGGCTAAATATGACACAGGAAATCAGTGCAGGAATCTTATGTGAAATCCCAACTACTAGTGTTTCTCCGGAGTACAAATATCTTTTAAAATATAAACCTCTGAATTTGAGGGGCCTAAAACAGATATTTTACTGTAGCATTGAATACCTCTTGATATCTATAGCTGTCAAGAGCATTGGAAATGTGAGCACTTAAATTATATACGTCTTTCACAGGAAGAATCACCATAGTTTTGCCAAAAATCTAAGTCTGTGCCTTGCCCACCTGTGGCCATCTACGTGAGGCTCCTGTGGACTCAAAGGCAAGGGCAGTGTGCAGTCATTGGTTATCGGTGGCCATCAGTGCTTTCACAGAGACCGCCTATTTTGCTAGCAACAGGAAGTAATTTTCCTTGGCAAACTGATTTGCTAATTCTTGCTGCTGCTTTGACTCGAAATTTCATCAGGTAAGGGGGAACCACTAGACAATGCACTTTCCCCAATTTACCTACCTGACAGCTTCTGCCATAAATGACTGCGAGCAAACAGCCTGCTGGTTTGTGTTTGGTTTTGAGTAGGAATCCACAGTTCACCCACTGGAGAAGCCTGTTACACTCACTGAACGTGGACATTGGCGCTTTATTTATACCTGTGAGCAGCCACGGAGGGACTTTTCTTTTCTCCTGCAATAGGCGCATGTGGCAGGTCCACCCAGTTTAGGATAAAGTGTTCTAGAGTTTACAGTCGAGAAGTGTTAGGCCTCTGGGTCTTGGTTGAGACCCAAGATGAGATGGGCCATCTAGGCCACTGCCTGGACAATGGCCATCTCTTTTCCTCCATGTCTTTTCTGTTTTTCTTTCCTTAGGCTCTCGCCTCAGTCTCTTAACTGGCTGAAGGACAAGTAGTTTGAGTAATAAAAATGTAAAAAAGAAAAAAAAAAGAATTAGTGGAGGAAACCAAGTGAAAGTGTTTTGAAAATCCAAAAAATTCACAAGAGAATTTGGTAAACATCCTCCCTCTGCTGTTGGTGCCAAGTCTGGACATTTCTAGGAAAGAGAGCACAGACATAGTCCCTGTGTGGGAAGGTTTACAAGTACATACCCTCTGCTGGTGATTTTTATTTTTTGGTCCCTGAGAGAACCAAATGCTAATGACTAACATGGTTTATCTTTTACTTTGCCCTAAAATAGCATCTTCGCTGTCATCTTACAACAGAGATTCTCTAGAATCAGGGCAGTAGTTTCTAGCCCTATTTATAGAACCCTGGCATCTTCAGATTTATTTATATGAGGAAATCCCCGAAAAGATTTAAATGGGAACACCATGTACCGGCGCACATTCCTCTCTTTTTGTTCACGGGTAGTGTTTCCGCTCACACAGTCCCTGGTCTCTCTGCAGAATCCTGGAAGGGAATGAGAAGCAGTGTTGCCATGCCAGGAGCCGCGGGAACATCACAGACACTCGAGGAAGTGGGAAGCAACATTGCTTTCTTCTTCATTTAACCTTGGAGCCTAAGTGTGACTGCCCTTTTGACTCTGACCATTGAACTGGCACAAAAACAGTATTGTAACAGTATTAAAAACAAAGTCAGCTCTTTCCATCTGCCCAGAGTTTGGTCGAGTTCCTGGCCCCTCGGCATTTTATCAGGTTTTAGTAAAGGTGGATATAATTTTAGATATGTTTTCAGTTATTTAACATCTCATAAGTATTTTCTGTGTTTCTTAGTGTGGTCTTCCTAAAAAACACTCATGATAGCTGATACCTACATTGATGAGTACCGATTTGTGCCATATTTACCTACTTCACAGTGACCAGATAATTTGCATTGTCGTCCAGTGTCTGTGCTATAAATGATGCTTCACTGGGTGCCTGGAGTGCAGCTGTT
This sequence comes from Homo sapiens, assembly GCF_000001405.40. Classification (NCBI taxonomy): domain Eukaryota; kingdom Metazoa; phylum Chordata; class Mammalia; order Primates; family Hominidae; genus Homo; species Homo sapiens. Next base: position 50,656,942 of record NC_000007.14, on the reverse strand, counting down.
GCCACATTTTGAATCCTTTCCCCAGGGTAGACCCTAGAAGTCAGATTCCTACTAAAAGGTTGAGGATGTTTTATAGCTCAGGATGTGTGTTGCTATATCTGTCTGCAAAGACCTGCTTATGTTGATTACCACATCCGGGATAGAGTGAGTTTCGGGACTTCCGAGCCCTGACCCCATTCCTGGAGCCTTTCTCCACCTCTGCATTCTCCCTAATGAGAGAGTGGCTCAGAGGCACCGCATGGTAGCACACGGTGGCTTTGGAAGCCTGCCTTCCCCAGCAGGGGTGGAACTCTGTGTCCCAGGTGGTCAGCAGCTGTTTGCAGGGACTCCAGGATTTGTGTCTTCAGAATACCGCAGACACCTTAGCAAGCCCTCTGGCTTTTCCGTGGCTATTTCTGGGTGTATAGTAATTTTATGACAAGTCAGGCCTGTGTGGCCCTGCAGTGACAGGGATGAAGGAAGAAGAGAGTCTAGTGGCGTTTGCATAGGCTACTGCATAGTCACCACATCGGGTCTCTGACCTTATGAGCTTAGAGATCTCCAGCATGTATTGTTCCAGTAGTTACACATCCTGTCTTTTTCAGCTGTGCAGCACAGCTCACTGCCGCTGCCTCCCTGACATGGTCTCAAGTCCACAGGATCGCCCTGGGACGGAGGATCAGAGTGACCGATAGCAAGCAAGGACCTTGGGTCTGCTTGTCTAAACCCCTCACATGTGTGCACATCTCACACTCTGCGCTCAGCCCGCGCCTGTCTCCTCAGGGTTCCAACTTCCCCTACCAGGACACAGTCAGGAAATAACGCCCTTACTGTCCTCTGTTCCTCTCTTGTGCCCATTCACTGATAGATTTTAGGTGGTTTCTACATGCAGGTACTGCCTGGGTGCTGGGGTCTGAGGCTGGCAGGGCAGACACAGCCTTGCCCTCTGGGAGCCCATAACCCAGTGAGAGAAACCAATGCTAATCACCTTATAGAGGCACATTATCACAGACAGTTTCCAACATGCTGCCAGGACATTCCATCATGTGGGGAGAGCTATCAGTGGGGCCGAAGATGAGGAATCCTTAAGTGCCTTGGAAGGCATACAGTGTTCCAGAAAGAGGGAATGAGGACAGTTGAGGAAGGCACAGGCACCCTGGATGGTGGCTGAGATAGTATAGAGGAGGCAGCGCCTAGGAAGCCAGGGCCTTAGGTGTCCCAGGAAGAGATTGGTCTCCAGGGCAAAGGAGGTCTCTGGCAGAGAGGGGAAAGCAGCTTTGTACTTTGCTTTGCCTGCTGCAGTGTGAAGGATGGACTGGGCTGGAGGAGGTGTGGGATAGCCGGTTGGGATGCAGGTGCAGGAGATGCTGACGTGTTATCTGGACTAGGGCAGTGGAGTGAAGTTGGACAGCTGAGTGCATCTAAGTAAAATTGGTAAGATGTGATTTATTGATTTCTCATAGTTTTCATGGTCTGTAAGACAACTTGCAGTTCTGTGTTTCCTCTGTCTTTAAATATACGTTCAACCTAACGCTCAGGTCATTTCTAGATACCATTCTCCAATAAAAGGAGCCAGGGCTGCCTGGGAGATGCTTAAAGAATGAAGGGGACATGGCATAAAGACACAGGAGCCAGCATGAAGGGCCAGGGGAAAATAATAACTTACGTGTGTGGAAACACCTGGCAGACACTCTTCCCAGGTGAGCCACACTGATGTCACCAAAAAAGGGTCAGGGCAGCATTGTGTGGCTCCTGAGCTGTGGCACCCAGGGGGACACAGCATCTCTACAGCTAATCTCAAAGGGACGTCAGCTGAACCAGAACCAAGAGACATTCTAGAGAATGACCTCGGGTTTTGAGGTCATAGAAGACCCCCACAGAAACAAAAGCCAAAAACAAAACCCAAATCTGAGGAACTAAAGAGCCAAGGCAGTCAAACGCAGCTTGGGTCCTGGACTGAATCATGAACCAAGAACAACATTGTTTTTGTTTTTTTTCCCTTTTCTAAAAGGACAGGAGTCAGACACTTGGCTAAATTTGGATGAGGTCTGTAAATTAGCTAATGGTAGTATATCAGTGTTAATTTCCTGATTTTGATCATTGTACTGTAGTTATGCGAGTGTTCTTGTTTGTAGGAAATATACACAAAGCCATCTAGCAGGAAAGGGGCGAGATGTCTGCAACCCACTCTCCTAGGTAGGTAGGGAAAGAGAATGGGAATTTGATAAAGCGAATGGGGTGAAATGTTAATATTTGGAGTACTAAGGTGAAGAATATATACAGAGAGTTTTTGTATTGCTTTTTGCACATTTTTTGTAAAAATGCTAAACAAATTATTTCAAAATAAAATTATTTCAAAATAAAATGCTAAACAAAGAAAAACCCCTGCTTAGAATCAAAAATGTGCCTCTTAACATGCACTGATGCTGCAGTGAGCTCTTTCTAGAGGAGAAACCTCACAGAAAACAGAACTGACCAGGTCATCCCACAGTAATTCTCCCTGTTGACCAGAACCTCGTCTGTTAAGGCCAGACCAGGGCAAGCTCTGCAGAGGTGCCCTTGCCTGGGACTCTGTGAGGCTTGGCAGCGGCCACCTGAAGGCAGGAGAATATTTATTGCCATCAACTGATCTGTCTCTGGTTTTTCACAACTCGGGATCAAGGCACGCTCTGAGCTGGTGCTGTTGGCCATGGGAAACACTCGCAGAGCCACCTCCCTGGGACCCCGTGGTGCCCTAGGCATCCCCAGGCATTCCCCACACTTCAGGAGAAGCTGGGGACATGCTGCTGCTTCCTTCCTTCTTTCCAAAAGCCATGGAATACTCATAATTCTGTTGGCAGAACACACTGTGCAAAGGGGGTTGTCTCTTCCATGCTCAGCTTCCTTGTGTATAAACGTCATCCGAGGGCGGGGGATTCCTGAGCCTTCAGCCCTTGAGCCTCAGCATACTGTGAAAGGTTCCCGAGAAGACGGAACACAAGGGAATAAAGACCTCATGGTCTCAAGCACAGTGACAGCCGCATGGTTACACTTCTAGCTGGATTTATATTAGTGTCTGTAATCACTTACAGTTCAAGAGGAAGATCTTGTTATCATTGTGAGCCCCTTCCAGCCTGTACTTCAGAGGTCCCTTTTTGATCTACCAACTTTACTTGGGTAGCTTCTTCATGTAGCCACCTGGGGGATGGCAGGGGTGGCTAGTCATGGACCCTGTGAACAGTGGTGAAGCGTGTGGAAGGAAAACTTAAGTCTCTTCCCGATGCATCGTTTCACCAGCCCGGGGAGGCCAGCGGCTGAAGTGGTCTCTGGCAATTTCCAAGGGGAGGAGTGTGGGAGAACTCAGAGGGCTGGGAGGGCTCTTCCTGCCTGGGGAGGGTTGTGGCTTGGAACACATGCAGGGCAGTTGTGCAGAGCCTAAGCTGCACGTGTGTACACACACCTGCACTTGTTGTGTGCTGTTTCCTATGAGATGAAAATGTCAGACCTGAAATCTCTTCCTGAGTCCCCCACTCTCTTGGCTGTCCCAGTTGCAGCGGGTGGGGCTGGCCGAGACAAACAGCTTTTAGTGCAATAGCGTCTGGAGGCTGTGGGAGATTAGTTGTACTCCTCTTGTGCAAGCCCTTATGTATGCTGTGGCTGTTCCCGGCTTCATGGGCGGTGCTGCAGCACAGCACAGACTCTTCCTGCTGTGGCTACCTCCTGCTGCCCCACCACACAGTCCTCCCTCGGAGCATGCACTGGGGCCCACGGCCTAGGGCTGACAGTGCCTAGGAAGACGGTGCCTGCCTGCTGCCCGTGCCCAGGAAGATGCCTTGCTCCTCATCGTACTGGGGCCAGCTGAAGAAGGGCACAGAGGCCAGCAGGGGGGAGTGTGAAGTGGGCCCTGGTATATTGCACTCAGCAGTTGCTCACCTCCTTTGTAACCAGTTACATGAGAGGGGACAAAAATTCTTCATTGTATTCCAGTAAGATTCTAGTAGGTACCAAGAGCATAACTAGGAACAGCTTTGGGAATGTGAATTCTGACCACAGTGAATTGTGTTGTTGAGGGCAGGAATCCAAAGAAGACTGGGCCATTGGAGGATCAAGAGTGAATTATCTCCATGCTGATAATTCTGAGTCAAACTAAACCTGGTGTGCAATAAGCCAAAGGATGAGGCAAAGAAAACGAAGGGGATGGGTAAAAAGAAACATTTTGATAGAAAAATCTGCCGTCTCAGCGAAGTCTGCGTGGTGTCTGCTTTGACCAATCTCATGCTATTAAGATTTTCAGGTATTTGATCGGAGGGCTTGGTTGTTAGCAAGCAGCGGAAGTCTCAGAATCCTTCTCCTCCCACTCTGGAATGACCTGGTCTCTGGACACATACCTGGTGCATGTGGCTTGTCTCTTTCTCTGGTGACGCTGTATGGCCATCTCCCTCAAAGGCATTGTTTGTTCTTTTATTAGCAGTCAGTTCAGTGGCCCAAGTCCCTGGAAGGCGTTCTTCTCTTATTCTGTGTCCACCCTCTTTGGTGTAATTTGGAGTTCCCCTAATAAAGGACAGGTTGCTTCTATAGAAACCGAAGTTGTTCTGTAGGTGAACAACTTTTATGCCATAGAGACTAAAGAGAACCAGATTTGCCCCTGCCATAACCGTGGCCCTGATGGGAACCTAGAAGCTTGCTGCCCAGCCCACCAGGTCTCAGGTACTTAACGGGTGTCTGCAATACTAGCAGTGTGTGCTCTCATATTCTTTTATTATAGATGGTATTCCACTTACTTTTATAGATGGAGTTCTTGTTTTAATTTAGTTTTATATTGTCTCAGCCACTGAATCAGTCAGAACCCTGATTTGGAACTAGAAATACACATTATTTACATCTAGGTTTTTGAAAATTTGAAATCCAAAATTCTACCTACAATTTCCAGAATAGATCAGGGCCCTTCCAAGTGGGGACAGTACATGGAAGCCTGAGATGAAGAGGTTAGAACAGACTGAGTGGGACCTGTGTGGCTGGGCGTCCAGTGAGGGTCGTCAGCAGGGTCCAGCCCTGCCAAGAGGTTGGGTTGGATGGAAACACAGAAGAGACCATTTGGATTTGGTCTTTCAATGCTGACAGATTACCTTCTTCAAAAGAGTGGCTTTGATGTTATAAAGCTACTGTCATGAAAACCACATGGTTTGAGTTGAAGAATGGAGAGTGAAAGTTCTGTGCACTGAAGCATGTACTCAAGAGAGTCAAATACATACAAGGTTAGAATCTTGTAAAAGTGGCATCATTGTTTAATTTAATGTGCTCCGACAACTATAAACTATTTGGATGAGCAGCTGAATTAGGGCCTTATTGCACACTGTTATGGATTGAATTATGTCCCCCTCAGAATACATAAGTTGAAGTCCTAGCCCCAGTTCCTCAGAATGTAGCTTTATGTGGAAATAATGTTGCAGATGTGATTCATCAAGATGAGGTCGTACTGGAGTAGGCTGGGCTCCTTAGCCAATATGACTGGTGTCCTTTTCTAAGGGGAAATTTGGACACAAATAGACACGGGACGAGAATGCCACATAAAGATAAAGGTGGAGATTGCAGTGATGCTTCTGTAAGCCAAGGAATGACAAAGATGCCAGCAGCCGCCAGAACCTCCAGGAGAGGCCAGAAGTGGGTTCTCCCTCCAGACCTCGGGAGGATCAGACCTGCTCGCATCTTGATCATGGATTTCTGTTCTGCGAAACTGTGAGACACTGAGTTTCTGTTAAGTCATCTAGTTCATGGCATTTTGTTATGGCAGCCATGGCAAACTAATACACATACACTGAAATATTTTTAGGTTGATTAATCTGTTAATAAAAAATCAGACCGTAGGAGGAATAGAAAAATATATAGTTGAATAATTAATTGGTCCTCAGATTAAGGAATGAAACCCTAACTATTAAAGCAATAGGTAAAATCATAGTGGAAGATTGCTGGATTTGACCATGAAGAAAATTAATGCTGTAAATCAAATGTTAAACTGTTGATAAGCTGCAAAAGAATATTTGCAATATTTACATTTGCAATATCCTAAATAAAGAGCTCTTATAAATCAGTAAGAAAAAGGTAAGTCTCCTCTCTCTATCCCTTGATTTTTTTTCTCCCAGGAGATTTTCCTACTCCCAATTTATTCACTACTTTCATGAAAAAGACAACTTGTTACTCCTTTTCTTCCCCCTTCTAACTTCTCACCTGGTGTCGTAGCCTTGGGCTTAGTAGGCAGGACCTGCTCTCAATGAGAGCCACCTGCTGTGTCTACCACCTGTTTTATCCATTCCCCATCAGCACTCACCTGCCTGTCTTCCCACCCAAACAGGGGAACACATCCTTACATCTTCCCAGGGCCACCACTCCATTTGCAGCTGCCCCCTTTATCTTCTCTAGGACGTTGAGTCTGTAGTCATTGATTTTCTTTTCCTTCCTCCATGGTCAGTTTCATCCTCATTCCAGAATCATTCCTGCCTGCATGCAGACGTGCCTTGACACATCTCATCTAAGTGAAGCCCTTCTGTGGCCACATTCCTCTCTGGCTGCTGCTTCCTTTTATGCTGCTTTTCTGCAGACCTCCCAGGACCAGCTGCTTGACTCCCTGTCTCTACTTTTCCTCTCCTGGTTTCTCCCCCACCCACCTTGGTTGGCGCTCTGTTCTACTAGGTGCCTGAAATGGGTCTCATCAAGGGGCCTTGTGGCCTGCCTCTAGTTAAGATCAGTGGCCAGTTGGGGGTGGCATCTCAGCAGCATGTGACACAGCTTTGATTCCTAGAAACTTGCTTCCCTAAGTGTTTTCGACCCCAGCTTGTGATCTCTTCATCTCTCTGCTCCTTCATCCCTTCGCTGTCTCCTGCTCTGCCAGGCTGCTTGGTGTTTGGAGGCCCGCAAGCCTCTGTCCTCAGCCTCCCCCACTCTAGTGGTCTTCTCTCTGAGAGACTGCATCTGGCCCCATGCCGTCAGATGCCATCTCTCTGCTCATGACCCAGATCTATAACCAGGACAAGTCACCACTGAAAGGTACCCTCCGTCTTCACTTGGGTCTCTAGTTGCCATGTGAAATTTAACAAAAGAAAATATAGTCGAAGCACACCAAGGCCTCCTCACCTAACTAAAAGGGGTCATTGTCCGCTCAGTTGCTGTGGCCAAGGAAGAGGAGCATATCCTTGATTCCCCCTTTGGACTCAGGTACAAATCCAGTCAACTCTCCCTCTCCAATGTGTCCCATATCCAGTGCTTCCTGTCCTCTCCACCATGCCATCTCCAGTCCCAGCCTGGGACGACACAGCAGCCTGTCTCCTGCTCACCTCACCTTGCCTCATATCATCCACAGCCCAGCAGCTCTTGTATGATTTCTAGAGAGTCATTTGAATCCCACTGTTCTCCCATCACACCCAGAATTAAATCCAAGCTCTCCCCTGTGGGGTGTACAGTCCCGTTCTCCATTCCCTCCCCCGTGTGTGTCGTCACTGTGTTCTAGCTGCCCTGGCCTTCTTGGTCCCTCACATTTGCCAGCTCAGGTCCACCTCTGTGCATTTCCCCTGTGGCGTCTCCACACAGAGGCTCTTTCCTGAGACCTTTTCTTCACTGCCACTTGGTCATCATTCAGGTGTCAGTTCAAATATCTCTTCCTCTGGGCCTTCCTGGGCTTCTTTGGAAAAGGCAGTGCCCCTGGCCAGCCTCCCTCTGACACAGCACTTGCTTGTGGTCTCCGTGTTGTTCACTGTCTCCTGAGATTATTTTGTTTGTTCTCTGTTTTACCACTAGAACGTCAGTCCCCCAGAACAGGGACAGGGTCTCTTATTCACTGCTCTGTCCACACCTCCGAGAATGGAGCCCAGCACATCCCAGGCAGACGAGTACAAGGACGATGGCCTTGTTTTTATAGAAGTTCTGGATGCTCCTCTAGGGGGATGGTCGCCCTTGCTTTGGCAGAGCCAGGATCAGAACCCAGCTCCCCAACATGGGTTTCTTACCCCCAAGTCCCGTGGCCACTCAGGAGCAGGAAGAAGAGGCAGCTGACCTTAACCAATGCATCCATCAGGAGCTAGCCCGACCACATTGAGTAGGTCTGAGGCCTGGGAGTCCCACCCAGAATATTTACTTTGTCCTCTCCTAGTGGAGCGGGAGAGCTGAGAAGATTGCTCTCAAAAGCTTCAAAGAAAAGGACCTGGGACTACTTCAAACAATAAGTCCATTGTTATGTCTCAGTGACCTTGATGACCTCCAGAAGTAGTGTTCTGGGCTCACAGCACACTGCCCTGAAGAAGGGAAACTCTGGAAGCCCAGAGGGAGTAGCTGTAGGAGGGATGTGGTCAACTGGAAAGTCCCCAGGCGTTCTATGGGAGGGGGACCTATGCTCTGCCATCCTTGGGCTGGCAGAGGACTTGGGATAAGGATTCCCAAAGGCAAAACTGAGGATGGGTCTTCCTTACCGCCTTGGGTCGAGGCTCTGCCTTCCTTTCCCTCACAGATTAAGGCAGTGGTTAAAATTACTGCTTTCAGAAGATTATCATTTTCCTTGGTTTCCTAATGCTCCTTTTTAAACCTTTTTAAAAACGTTCCAGCAGCCCAGCTTTTGTCCCCACTGTGCTATTCAATTCCACTTGTTCCCATCAGGGTGGCATCCACATGGCTAAAGCCAGCGGGGTTCTCTGTCTTCCGCTTGCCGGGCCTGCAGCAGCATGAGGGCTCCTGTCGCTCGCTGCTCTCCTTTCCACAGCTCCGTCTGGGTTTCCACCCTCTTTGCTGGACTTTCCTTCTCAGCCATCGTTGCTGGCTCTTCAGTCACTGGGCCTTGGTGCTCCGTCTCCCCTCTCTGCGCTCCCTCCCTGGACAGCCGTGGCCATTCCCTCAGCTTTCCATCTTGTCCCTATGTTGATTACTCCCCGGTTTACATTCCCATCCAAACTCTTCCTCAAGGCCCAGACTCCTGTTTCCAGCTGCCAACATGGCACCTCCATGTGGGTGCTTAAAAGACACTGCCAACGCAACAGGTCCAAAGTCAGCATCTGATCCTTCCCTCCAAACATGATACCTCCAAATTCCCATCTCAGAGCAGCAGACCAGTACCCCCATCAGAATTCCCAATTCCCTTCCTCACTCCTCTTTTGAGTTTCACGCCACCCCAGCCTGTGTACCAGAATTGGACAGCGCCTGCCTGGTCTCTGCTGTGGGACCCAGGCCTGGGCTTTACTTTCCTTGCCTGTGTCGTCATGGGAGCCTCCTGACTCAGCTGGTCCCCAGTTTCTGCCGCCTGGGAGGGAGCATCACAGTCGGCCTGTGGCATCTTTTGCTGCCTTTGAGGACCTTCTTAGCCAGCAGCCCTTTGCTGAATGTTTTTCCTTTGCCTTCTGCCATCTAACAATCTCTGAATTTTGCTTTTTGTCTATCTCCCCTACTTGAATGAAGTTCCATAAAGTCAAGGGGTTTTATTCCAGACCCGAATCCCAGCACCTTGGTGCCTGGCACGGAGAAGGTTCTCAGGGAGCATCTGCTCAGTGACTGACAGTGAGGGCACATCCGCACCCTCCCCATGTAGCTGGGCCTGAGATGGCTTGAAAAGGTTCGGCCAATCTGACTCAAATCTGAAAACATTTTTTCAAATTATAGGTTACATTTTAGGTTTAATGTTTCATTAAAGTTTGATTACCACCAAAGAAACTTTTTTCAAAAAAAGATGTTACTGGTGGAAATCCCTCTTGTAATTCTGGAGCACTAACTATTTTGATCTGCTTTTTAAGTTATAAAATGCTGAGGTTAGATGCCACATCTATATAACCAAGGTCTCTATTTAGACACTGATAGATTCTAAGTGAGTTTGTTTTGTTGTTTTGCTGAGACTGTTGTGATTTCTGTCCGAAGAGAGAATTGGACTCTTCATGCCTAAATGAGCTTTCTTCCATTAATAGGCACATTTCATCTTATGCTCCACACTTTCTGCCTCTTTTTAGTTAGTGATACTTTTATGGATGCTTGGGGTTGCCGACTTTGTGGCTGGGATGAGTGGAGGAGCCTTGAGCCTGGCTCTGCACCAGGGTTCCTATCTGGCCCCACCGGCCTTACCAGGTGGGATTGGTGCCCGTAGCAGCAGGGCTGGTTAAGTCTCAGTAGATGAGATGGAGGATTGGTTGTTGAATCATTACACCAATTGGTCCAAGAGCTACTTCCTTTTCTGGAGAAAAAGGCCTCCAGGAACATGAATGCATTAGAAGCTAGCATTTTCCCCAGAGAAGTTCACGTGAAAACTTTTTCCCACTCTACCCCCACTCATCTCTTTCCAAAGAAGCTGGTTCATTCAGTCAGGGCGTGACAATTTGCGGAATCTAGCACTACAAACAGGATTCAGAGTCAGGAGTAAGTTTGCCATGACTTATTACCATATCACCTCTATGTCCAACCAGGAGACCAAAAAAAGGAGAACCTATTTTATTTATAAAAGTAACATTCATAGTAAAAAACAAAAAGTGAAACAAATACTACAAAAAGGTATTTGGTAAACGGTGAGATTCACTTTCTTCTCAGTTTCCAACTCTAGTCTCATTCTCCAGAGGTGACACTGCGGACAGTATCTTGTGTATCTCTTCACAAAATTGATGTGCATTGTTGTGATTTCCCCTGCAGCTTCATAGTGTTGTGTTGTATGGAGGTACCGTGATAGATTTACCTCAACCCTCTTTTGATGAACAGCTCCCGGAAACAAGGGCCCCCGTGCTTTCCATTGTGTAACCTCACGTTCTAGGGTGAACGTTGCTAGGGGAAAAGACGCTACTGAGATGTTTATATACCATTTAATGGCACATAAGCTTACTTTTGTTTGCAGCTTTTTCTAATTATGAATAGAGCTGAAATGAACATTCTCGTGCATGGGTCCTTGGTCATGAATGGGGTTGTGGATGGATAGACAGATGGATAGGTTGGTTTCCAGCAGTGTCATTGCTGGAGCAGAAGTTTTATGTATTTATAAGTATGTGGGTGGGTGTAGAAAGTTCATTTTTATAAATAATGCCAAGGGCTGTATGTCACTTATAATACGATGGGAAGGCATATGACTTGGGGGCTGGCCACTGGCTAGGACTCTGCAGTTCCTCGCAATGTGGCTTTGGACCAATTCTTCTCACTGCCTAGGGCCTCGCACCACTGGGGCTCTGGTGACAGTTCCCTGGGTGGTGAGGGGACTGTGTCCAGGCAATCTATCACTTTGATTGGCTGTTTCTGTAGTTTCAAGAAACTCTAGACGATGTTTACTGAGCCTGTCTGGGAGCAAATGGACAGACCCCAAGAGGTCTGATACGACGGCGTTTGCTTTCAGATCTGCCTGGAGACCTCTTGGAGTCTGAGAACTCCGGGCGATTGGAGGATGGGGGTAAGATGTGCACAGTCAGTTTCAGGTACTTATTCTTCTTGGTGTTAGACCTTCTGAGCTGGTGCTCAGCAGATCCTTTTTGTTTGCTTGGTTTTAAAGGAGTTAGTGCCCAAATGGCAGTGTTTTTGGCTCATGTTTCTTCCCTGCCAGCCCAGCAGACATACTCCCCAGATGGCTGAAAGCTGCTGTGGGTCACTGGTGATTTTTGCATGGGTTGTGTGGTTTTTAGTACTGAAAAAGTAGCAGGCTGGGAGTCCAAGGGCTGCCAGTGAGTGTGTTCTGCTTTTTCAAAGAAATCTCCATAGTTTCTGTTTTGCCTTTCCAGTTATCAGTATTTTTGTGATTATATAATCTCATTTTGATGGTATGTAAGCTTGCTTTTTAAAAAATGAATTATGGGCAGTATAAAGATTATTAGCGTCAACTGTATTCATAGCAAATATATTTTGGAGATAAATCGGGATTTTGAGGGTGAAAATTTTATCTTCAAATACATTTTCTGGCATGTTGTAATTGAATAAAATTATAGCCCTAAATGATAGCTCCATTTATGAAATTTTTCTCATGGCTGTCATTTTCTGCGTCGTCCAGACTGGAGATGGTACTGGGGATTATAGCCCTTTTGCAGTGTTTTAGCCATCCTGTGCCTGCTGTGTCTCTCAGCTTCTCAGACTTCACCGTTTGTGAATCTGCCAGTCTTCCTTCACCAACTGGTCCGCCCATCCCATACCCAGCCCCTTCCACCTGTCTGTCATTGTTCTGTCTGTCTAGCATCTGCCCACACCTTCTTGGTCATGGGGCCTTAGCAGACAGGACAGCCCTGCTCCACTGGCCAGTGGGTGGTGGCCCAGTGGGCTGTGTAGAGGCTGATGTCCCGCTCTTGCTAGTTCGGTGCTGTGATCCAGGGTACCGCTTTCACAGCAGGCCTTACAGAGCTTACCTGAGGTTCCCTACTCAGGAAATCACAGTTAGACCTGTCCTGCTTACTGATGGTCTCAGGTGAGAGTTTTTCTGAAACGGAATGCCCATCAGTCAGTGACAGGGTTTGAAATAAGACATGAAGGAGAAGTTGTCCTGATAAAGACAGTACATTACCATAAAAGTAGACTGATGATACTGCATGCGTTTCAGGTTGCTGGGGGGCTGCTTTTGGGCTTCCAATACAAGAGGGAGGAAGAAGGCAGTGGAAGCGGGTGCTACGTCCCTTCCCTATCTGTGTCCCTGAGCTCGGCCATCACATAGCCACCAAATAAAGAGCTCGGGCATGGACTAGGGGACCCTGTGATGGTCAGCTTGTGGGACCTCACTGGGCAGGTGAACACACACCTATAGGGACCCAGTTCCAGGGCCTGGACTCAAGGAACCCCACCTGGACACCTGGGATATTTTGTTGAACCCATTGAGCTCCTAGTCTGTGATTGAGCCACACTGGCTGAGTGTTTTGGACATAAATATCCGGGATAGTGAAGACAACTGCTGAATGGAAAAGAAACAGAGATGCTCCTGGTGAAGATAGCCCTGAAACAAGGGCCCCCATGCTTTCCACTATGTAACCTCATGTTCTGGGGTGATCGTTACTATGGGAAAAGATACTACTGAGATGCTGAGTGAAGAGAGGAGAGCCGCAGGTCATTATTTTCACGCACGTATGTTTCTTTAAACTTTTATTTTGAAAAAATTTCAAATGTATAGAGAAGTTGCAGTAATAGAGCAAAGAACTCTCATATATTCTTTACCCTGATTCCCCAATTGTTAATATCTCTGCCACATTTTAAGTCATTTCCATTGTCCTGTACATATATAGAGATACATATATGCACATATATACATTTATATGTACACACACCATGATTCTTTGGACCATTTGAGACTCATTTGTAGATATCAAGTCCCTTTACTCCTAAATACCTCAGAGTCTATTGACTAAAAACAGGGTTACTCACTTACATATCATAATAAAGTTACCAAAGTCAGGATATTTACCCTTAATAAGATGCAGGGTTGAAATCTACAGACCTCGTTCAGGTTTCCCCGATTGTTCATATAAACATCCTTTATGTTATTCTTTTATTCCTGTTCAGGAACCATTTGCATTCACTTTAAGATCTCTAGTTTCCTTTAATACAGAGTGTTCCTCAGCCTTTTCACACCTGTCGTGACGGATGGGATTTCTTGAAGGGCCATTTTGGTTTGTGTGGTGTTTCCTTGGAGTCCCATCTGGTCCACAGACAGGAGGCTGTGGCCCACAGGCATGATGATGTTGGCTGGTCCAGTTTATGCTGATGTTGATATTTATGACTTGATTAGGGTGTTGTCTGTTACGTTTCTCATTAAGTCTTTCCCCAGTGTACATGGGGGATTGGTTCCAGGACCCCCTCCATGTACCCTAATCCGCTCATACTCAGTCCTGCAGTCAGCCCTTGGAACCCAAATTTACAAAAAGTTGGCCTTTCATATACACAGGTTTCAAATACCACCAAGACTCTATTTTCCACCTGCATCTGGTTGAAAAAACTATGCTTATTACTGGACCCGAATGGTTCAAACCTGTGTTGTCCAAGGGTCAAATGTATTTTCCTTTTGTAATTAAGAAGTAATTTGAAGGAAGATGATTTGAGACTGTGTCGATCCTCTGCTCTCTGCAGATGTCCATTGACTGGTGCTGTCCTGATGATGTTGTCCAGTTTGTCTATCATTCTACATTCTTGAGTAGGCATTCTGCTTGAAGGAATATCAGTTATTATTTTTTGTTCCTTATTTAGTTTCCAAATTTGCTACAATGAACACATTATATTTATAATAGAAAACTAATGTATGTATGTGTCTATGCGTGTGTGTGTGTAGGAGTATAATGATTGAGTATTCTTTATCTGAAATGCTTGGCACCAGAACTGTTTCAGAGTTCGGATTTTTTTCTGATTTTGAAATGTTTGCAGTACACTTACTAGCTGAGTATCCCAATCTGAAAATCCAAAATGCTCCAATGAGCGTTTCCGTTGAGTATCATGTCAGCACTTAAAAAGTGTCAGATTTTAGAGTTTTTTGGATTTTGTATTTTTAAATTAGCAATACTCGACCTATATGTATGTGTATATATATTTATGTGTATATATATTTATGTGTATATGTATATGTATGTATGAAGCATGTGTATATGTGCATGTGTGTATGTGTTTGTGCATGTTTGCATGTATATGTGTACGTGTTTACATATATGTAGGTGTATACGGCATATATGTGTGTGCATTTGTGTATCTGTATGCATATGTGCATGTGTTTGTATGTGTGTGTGTGTGCATGCGTGTGTGTGTGTGTGTGTGAAGTTTCCAAGCCCACATCCTCTTTGGTTGGCTGTTCTGGCCCCTTGGTTCTGAGTGCATGGCCCTTTGTCCTGCCTCTCCTGGCTGCATGCTCTGCAGTTTCCCCTGCTGGTTCCGCCTCCTGCTTAGGCCTCTGAGGCTCAAGAGGAGGGGACAGTGAGTGGAATGCAACAGGACCCAGAACAGCTAGTTAAGAAAACTCCCAGACACTCAGCAAGCTAGGTTAGAGACAGATTTTGAAGCCTCTATGTAGAGCCTCTGTCGCTGCCGCGGAACTCCTCACCTTCTCCCCACCCCGTGTTCCTCAGGTGAGCAGCAGTGAGTTCGTGCAGACTTCCTGGTACTCTGCCGCTGGCCAGGTTGAGCCTTCCCACGCCCTTGCCTCCTCGGCGCCAGTCTGCAGACACACTCTGGGCTCGCTCACGGTAAATCCTCAGGCCACTGAGCATCAGCCCAAGAGAAGGCTGTCACCACCAGCAGTCCCAGTGCCTTCTCTCGCCAGTGTCACCAGCTGACTGTCCTGCCGCAGAGATGTTGGAGCAGCAGGAGTGGACACTGTGGCCCTGCAGCTGCCCACGTGTTTGTGTTTGTGATGGTCTGCCTTGTCTGTGTGTCTGGAACTCATGGTTCCACCCCTCCCAACTTTGCACAGCTGCAGGGACCATGAGTGGCTGCAGCCTTCAGCTGCTGTCATTGTCCTTACACAGGAAAATGAGTGCCCCCAAGTGGCCTCTGGCCTGAAGAAAGTCCTTTTCCTTATCTGTTCTAAATGTACTGCCCTTCACAGCTCTCATGAATGTGTCCTTGTTACACTAGTGCCAGGGCTTTTAGGATGCCCTTCAGGGAAACTTGCATGCCCTAAGCACACTCCAGTAGAGGGAAGCCATTCAGATAGGGACATCTTGGTGCAATGTTGAATGGAAGACTTGAACAGTCACCAGCAAAACGTTTCGGCTGAGAGTGGAAGAAGCTGTAGGTTTGAATGAAGGCTACCCCCCCACCTTTTTTGATGAGTATAAAATTCAAGCATAGTAGAAGTGATGCAAGCAACTCTTTCCTAGGGTTCATTCATCGAACAGACGAACAGGTGGACAGTGCAGAGTGAGCAAGAGCAAGCAAGAGTGAGGAAGAGTGAGCAAGATGTGACTCTCTGTCCAGGAGCTTAGGAGAGGAAGAAAGACAAAAAAATTGTTCCCAGCAACGGTGGTAGGCGCTCACTGGATTGGCAGCAGGACCGCGTTCCCATGAGCCTGCGTGACTAGCCCTGGAGAGGAGATGGTGCTGTGCCTGTGTCACGTGAAAAACTGAGGCTCCAGGCACTACAGCCTGCCTTTCTGTGCTCAGCTCCATAGGGCTGGGATCCGGCAAAGCTGAGGATGGAAGGCCACAGAGGCCCTCCCCTGAGTCCATCTACAAGAAAAACAGTTCAGTGCTGTAAACAATGTACAAGGAATAGATTAGATAGAGGTGAGAGTCCCAAAGTTAATTCCAATTTAGGAAAAACTTCAGCTCATACTCCTGGATATCATGGATGAGGTCAGTGAGATATCAGAAGAAAAGGAAGATTTTAAATGTGAGATGATTTGGATGGCAAATAAGCTACAGAGAGAAGAGAGAGAATGCTGGCTCTCCTCATAGGTTTGAGAGGACAAGTGAAATTCTCTTTATGGTCAAGTTTTGTAGCAATGTCTGACTCAAGGGAAAATGCATAAATTCTAATACTAAGTAAAATACAGTCGTGGGTTACAACATCCTCTTGAAGTTCAGCACCTTCTAAAGAGAAGGGTGGAGGGGCACAGGACTAAATGCTTGGCCTTGCAGTAAACCTAATGTGGTGTCATGGTGTCTCCAGATGTACCACAGGCTTCCTCCATGATGTCACCCATCTGAAGATTACCTCGAAGGGGGCAGCCATTCCTCCAACATGTCCTTCTGTGCCTGCTGGACCTGCCTCTGTCATGACCACACAATTGAAGTAGGAATTCAGATTGTGGCACATAGCCCATTTGGGGATCTCCAGCATCCTTAGAGCCAAAAACCATACCCAACAAGGAGTCATGTGTGAAAACAGAAATCTCTAGCTGACTGTAAAGCAAGCTAACTGTGTCCCTTCTGGAATCTTAGCCCCAAAGGACAGTAGCTCCAAGAGGGCCCTGCCCCTGTTTGGGAGGAGCCCTCAGGTTGTATCTTCAGCCCAGATTAAACCTTTCTAGAGATGACCCCAGCAAGGACACTGGTACTGGGGGTCACAGCCCAGATGCCTTTCATGCCATACTTTCTTATCTTTGCTCCCCTTTAATCCACCAATGGAGATTTTTTAAAAGTGGTTTTCAATTTTATTTTTGACAAAATGATTCTATTTTATAAAAACATGTTTTTCAAAATAACAGGCTATGCATATCCATTTTAGAAAAGTTTAAAAAAATGGCAGATGAGCACATCAAAACTGATTCTTCCAAATAAGCCTGTCTACTTGGTATAAAACAAGGGTAGAGGCTACTGCTTTGAATCTTGTTGTCCACCCCCTTAGCCAGTGAGACTTGTTCACTGTGGAAAGTCCTATTAGGGTCTCTGAAAACCATGGTTGACTTTTTTTTTTTTTTTTGAGACAGAGTCTTGCTCTGGTCGCCCAAGCTGGAGTGCAGTGGCGCAATCTCGGCTCACTGCAAGCTCCGCCTCCCCGGTTCACGCCATTCTCCCGCCTCAGCCTCCCAAGTAGCTGGGACTACAGGCGCCTGCCACTACGCCCGGCTAATTTTTTGTATTTTTAGTAGAGACGGTTTCACCGTGTTAGCCAGGATGATCTCGATCTCCTGACCTTGTGATCCGCCCACTTCGGCCTCCCAAGGTGCTGGGATTACAGGCGTGAGCCACTGCGCCTGGCAAACCATGCTTGACTTTCAAGAACTCTTTAGTTATTTCTAGAACTTTATCTCCTTTAGAAAAAAGGATTTTTAAAAACAACATCTTTTTAATTTTCACTGCAAACTTGAAATCTATCAATTATAAAGCAGAATTTTAAAACGTATTTTTAAATTTTAGACTCGGGGGTGTATGTGCAGGTTTGCTACATGGATATATTGCATAATAATGAGGTTTGAGTTTCTACTGTACCCATCACCCAAATAGTGAAGATTTTACCCAACAGGTAATTTCTAAAACCCTCACCCCCTCCTTCCATCTTTCTCCATTTTGGAGTCCCCAATGTCTGTTAATTCCATCTTTATGTTTATGTGTATGCATTGTTTACCTCCAACTTCTAAGTGATAATATGTAGTATTTGCTTCTTTGTTTCTGAGTTAATTCACTTAAGATAATGGCCTCCAGCTCCACCCATGTTGCTGCAGAAGACATGATTTCATTCTTTTTTATGACTACATACTATTCTGTGGTGTATATTACCACTCTTTAAATCCAGTCTACCATTGATAGACATTTAGGTTGATTCTATGTCTTTGCCATTGTGAATAGTGCTTTGATAAACATACAGATGCATGTCTTTTTAATATAATGATGTCTTTTCCTTTGCATACATGCCCAGTAGTGGGATTACTGGGTTGAATGGTAATTCTATTTTTATTTCTTTGGGAAATCTCCATACTGTTTTCCATACAGGTTGTATTAATTTACATTCCCACCAACAGTGTATTTGGCTTTCCTTTTCTCCACACTTATGTCAACATCTTTTGTTTTGTTGACTTTTAAGTAATAGCCATTCTCCGTGGTATAAGATGATATCTCATTGTGGTTTTAATTTGCATTTCTCTGATAACTAGTGATATTGAGCATCTCTTTATGTGTTTATTGGCCGCTTGTATGTCTTCTTTTGAGAAATGTCTGTTCATGTTCTTTGCCCATTTTTTAATGGGATTGTTTGTTTTTTCTGGCTGAGTTGTTTGAGTTCGTTTTAGATTCTGGGTATTAGTCCTTTGTCATAATTTGCAAATATTTTCTCCCATTCTCTAGGTTGTCTGTTTACTGCACAGAATCTTTTAATTAAGTCCCACTTGTCTATTTTTATTCTTGTTGCATTGCTTTTGAGGGCTTAGTCATAAATTCTTTGCCTAGGCCAAACTCCAAAAGTTTTTTCCTAGGTTTTCTTCTAGGACTTTTATAGTTTCCAGTCTTACATTTAAGTCTTTAATCCATCTTGAGTTAATTTTTGTACCTGGTGAGAGACAGGGGTCCAGTTTCATTCAGACAAGGGTCCAGGTTCATTCTTCTGCTTATGGCTAAAATTTCCTGTAGATGTTTTAGTTTGTATGGATAGAGATGTTCATAGAGATAGCCAATTTTCCCAGCACTATTTATTGAATAGCATGTCTTTTTGCCATTGTTTATTTTTGTCAACTTGGTCAAAGATCAGTTGGTTGTAAGTATGTGGCTTTATTTCTGTGTTCTCTATTCCATTTCATTGATTTGTATGTCTGTTTTTTTTACCAGTACCATGCTGTTTTAGTTCCTTGAGCCATGTAATTTGAAGTCAGGTAATATAATACCTCTGGCTTTGTTCTTTTTGCTTAGAATTGCTGTGGCTATTCAAGCTCTTTTTTTTTTTTTGTTCCACATGAACTTTACAATCTTTTTTTCTAATTATGTGAAGAATGACATTGGAAATTTGATAGAAATTATGTTGAATCTGTAGACTGCTTTGGGGGCAGTATAGTCATTTTAATGATACTGATTCTTCCAATCCATGAGCATGAGATGTGTTTCCATTTGTTTGTGCCATCTATGATTCCTTTCATGAGGGTTTGTAGTTTTCCTTGTGGCAATCTTTCACCTCCTTGGTTAGATGTATTGTTACGTATTATGTGTATGTATGTTGTGTGTGTGTGTGTGGCCATTTTAAACATGATTGAGTTCTTGATTTTGTTCTCAGCTTGAATATTATTGTTGTATAGAAATGCTAATGATTTTTATATGCTGATTTTGTATTCTGAAACTTTACTGAAGTCGTTTATCAAGTCTAGGAGTCTTTCGGAAGTGTCTTTAGGGTTTTCTAAATATAAGATTAAGGCAGTGGCTCACACCTGTAATCCCAGCCCTTTGGGAGGCTGAGGTGGGTGAGTCCAGGAGTTCGAGACCAGCCTGGACAGTATAGTGAGACCTCATCTCTAAAGTACAAAAAAAATTAGCTGGGTGTGATGGCACATGCCTGTAGTCCCAGCTACTTGGGGAAGGTAAGGTGGGAGGATCACTTGAGGCCAGGAGATGGAGGTTGCAGTGAGCTGAGATCACGCCACTGCATTCCAGCAAAGTGACAGAGCCAGACCCTACCAAAAAACAAAAACAAAACAAAAAAAACACAACTCATGCCATCAAATGAACACAGAAAATTTGACTTTCTCTTCTTCAATGTGGATACCTTTTATTTCTTTCTCTTGCATGATTGCTCTGGTTAGGGCTTCCAGTGCTACGTTTAATAGTAGTGGTGAGAGTGGACATTCTTATCTTATTCCAGTTCTTAGGGGGAAATGCTTTCAACTCTTCCCTATTCAGTATGATAGTGGCTGTGGTTTTGTCCTATATGGCTCTAATTATTTTGAGGTATGTTCTTTTAGTGCCTAGTTTGTTGAGGGTTTTTTTCATGAAGGGGTGTTGTATTTTACTGAATGCTTTTTCTGCATCCATTTAGATAATCATATGGTTTTTGTTTTAGTTCTGTTGATGTGATGAATCACATTTATTGATCTGCAGATGTCAAACTATCCTTGCATCCCTGGAATTAAACCCACTTGATCATGATGTATTACCTTTTTAATGTACTGTTGGATTTGCTTTGCTAGTATTTTGTTGAGGATTTTTGCATCTATGTTTTTATAAGGGATATTGGCCTGCAGTATCCTTACTTTGTTGTGTCCTTGCCTGATTTCGGTATCAGGGTGATACTGGTTTTGTAGAATTAGTTAGGAAAGAATTTCTTCTCAAATTTTTGGAATAGTTTCAGTAAGATTGGGACCACCTCTTGTTTGTATGGCTGTTAAAATTTGGCTGTAGGGCCAGGTATGGTGGCTCACACCTGTAATCCCAGCACTTTGGGAGGCTGAGGTGGGTGGATCACCTGAGCTCATGAGTTCGAGACCAGCCTGGCCAACATGGCAAAACCCTGTCTCTACTAGAAAATACAAAAATTAGCCAGGTGTGGTGGCACGTGCCTGTAGTCCCAGCCACTTGGGAGGCTGAGGCAGAAGAATCACTTGAACCCAGGAGGCAGAGGTTGCAGTGAGCTGAGATTGCACCACTGCACTGCACTCCAGCCTGGGAGACAGAATGAGACTCTGTCTCAAAAAAAAAAAAAAAAAAAAAAAAAAAAGGAAAGGAAAAAAAAAAAAAAGCTGTGGATCCATCTGGTCCTGGGCTTTTTTTTTTTTTTATTGGAAGATTTTTATAATTACTGATTCCATTTTATTACCCCTACTTGTCTATTTAGGATTTCTGTTTCTTCCTGATTCAATCTCAGGAAGTTGGGTGTTTCCAGGAATTTATCCATTTCCTCTAGGTTTTTTAGTTTGTGTGGATAGAGATGTTCATAATAATCTGTGATGATCTTTTGTATTTCTGTGGTATCAGTTGTAATGTCACCTTTTTCATTTCTGATTGTGCTCATGTGAATCTTCTTTTGTTCTTAGGTAAACTTGCTAGCTATCAATTTTATTTATCCTTTCAAAGAACCAACTTTTGATTTCATTGATCCTTTGTGGGTTTTTTTGTTTTGTTTTGTTTTTTGGGGTCTCAATAACACTTAGTTCTGCTCTGATCTTTATTTCATTTCTTCTGCTAGCTTTGGGTTTTGTTCTTGTTTTTTTAGTTCCTTGAGGTGTGACATTGGGTTGTTAATTTGAGAACTTTCTGTCTTTTTGATATAGACATTTAACACTATAAAACTTATTTCTTAGCACTGCTTTTGCTGTATTCCAGAGGTGTTGATATGTTGTGTCTCTATTTTCATTAAAAAAATTTCTTTTTCTGCCTTAAGTTCATTGTTTACCCAAAAGTCATTCAGGAGCACGTTTTTTAGTTTCCACGTATTTGTACAGTTTTGAGAGTTCCTTATGGTATTGATTTTTAATTTTATTACACTGTGGTCCAAGAAGATACTTGATATGGTTTTGATTTTTTAAAAAATTTATTGAAATGTGCTTTATGGCAAAGCATCTGGTCAATTTTGTTTGATGTGCAGATGAGAAAAATGTATATTCTGCAGGTGCTGGGTAGCATGTTCTATAAATGTTTATTATTTCCATTTGATCAGGTCTAGCTTAAGTTCAGAGTTTCTTTGTTGACTTTCTGCCTCAGTTACCTGTCTACTGTTGTCAGTGGGGTGTTGTAGCCCCCCACTATTATGGTATTGCTGTCATTCTCTTCTTTTAGGTGTAGTTGTATTTGTTTTATGAATGTGGGTGCTTTGGTGCTTGCACACGTATTTCCAAAATTTATGTCCTCTTGTATTGAATGCATTCTTATGATATAATGCCCTTCATTGTCTCTTTTTCTAAAACTGTTGTTAGCTTAAAGTCTGTTTTATCTGATATAAGAATGGCTACTCCTGCTCACATTTGTTTTCCATTGCATGATATATATTTTTCCACCCATTTACTTTGAGTCTGTAGGTGTCTTTAGCCGTTAGGTGGGTCTCTTGTAGGCAGCAGATGGCTGGGTCTTGTTTTTTTATCCAGTTTGCCAGTCCATGTCTTTTAAATGGAACATTTAGGCCATTTATGTTCAACATTAATATTGGTATTTGAAGTGTTATTCCTGTCATAGTGTTGTTAGCTGGTTTATTTGTAGTCTCAGTTGTGTAATTGCTTTATACAGTGAGCTTTGTCTACTTATGTATGCTGTTATGATGGTGAGTATCATCCTTTTGTTTCCATTTTTATAACTCCTTTGAGAATTTTTTTGTAGGATTTGTCTAGTAGTGGCAAATTCCCTCAGCATTGGCTTATCTGGGAAAGGCTTTATTTCTCCTTCATTTTTGAAGCTTAGTTTGGCAGAATATAAAATTCTTGACTTACGTTTCTTTTTTCTTAAAGGAGGCTAAAAATAGACCCCCAGTCTCTTCTGACTTGTAAGGTTTCTGCTGAGAAGTCCACTGTTAGTCTAATGGGATTTCCATTATAGGTGATTTGACACTTCTATCTAACTGCTTTTGAAATTTGTTCTTTCATGTTGACCTTGAATTAATCTGATGACCATTCTTTGGTGAATGTGCATCTTCTGTAGTATCTCTAATGGGTTCTCTGAATTTCTTGTATCTGCATATCTACATCTCTAGCAAGTTTGGGGAAATTTTCCTGAATTATTTCCCTTAAATATGTTTCCAAACTTATTTTTTTTCTTCTCCCTCAGGAATACCTATAAGTCCTAGGTTTAAATAATCTTACATTTCTCAAAGGCTTTATTCTTTTTTAAAAAATTGTTGTTTCTTCTTATCTGGGCTAATTCAAAAGACTAGTCTTCAAGCTCTGAAATTCTTCTGCTTGGTCTACTCTATTGTTGAAGCTTTCAACTGTTTTTTGAAATTCCTTTAGTGAACTTTTCATTTCCAAAAGTTGTTGTTGTTGTTTTGTTTGTTTTTAATATATCTATCTCATCTTTCATCTCCAGAATTACTCTTCTGGTTTTTTTGTGTTGGTTTTCAACTTTCTCTTGGCTCTCATTGAGCTTCCTTACACTTCATATCTTGAATTCTTTATCTGTCATTTCAAAGTTTTCATTGTGGTTAGGAGCCATTGCTAGAGGGCTAATGTGGATGTCACAACATTGTTTCTTCATGGAGCTGGAGTTCTTGTGTTGGTTTCTTCTCATCTGTAGAAGCGGTCACTACTTATTTTTGAATTTACTTTCATTTGCTTGGTATTTTTTCTTCCCTCCCCCACCTTGAGGATGTGACTGTTCTGTATGTTGGTTAAGTTCCTTTGTCTTGGCTTCTCTGTAGTTTTAGGGGGCCAAGGCTTTTATGAATTACTTGGTTATAGATAGCTTTAGTGTAGTGGTTTTCTCAAATGCTAGTTGTTTGTAGGTTGTAGTAACAGTGTGCTGGACCAGTGGTCAGACTCACTGTCTCCTACAGAGAAATGGGGAGGTGGAGGTTTCAGGAGGCTTATCTCATCCCCCACCGCTGTATACTGTCAGCAGGAATTACTTTGAGTTATGCAGTTCACCCTACAGGCCAGTAGGTGGCGCTTGCAGTTGAGAGGCAGTTGCAATAATAGCAGTGGAATTTTTGGCCTTTGTTGATGTGGGGAAATACCAGGGTTTCCCTGGCCATGGGCGGGATTCCCAGGGATCCCGTCCTGCACTCTGCCACCACCCTGGCTGGGGGCGGCAGAGCTGGGTATGGCTGGGTCTGGCAAGCCCGTGACCAGGCTCTCCAGGGCAGGTACAAGCACCAACCTTGGCGGGGGTCTAGGGACACCTCTCAGGCCACTGGGACAACCCTCTAGTGTGCAGCACAGTTGCCTTTCCTGCGCAACAGAGTCTCTTCAGTAGGAGGAGCAACTGGGATGCTTAGCCCAGCAGGTAGCCCTGGAGACTGCCAGCTCACACTCCCCCAACCCTGTGGTTCTCCCTCCAGCATCCAGCCCTAGCAACTGGCCCAACCAGCTAGGCTTCTCCCAAGTCATCCGCACTGCCCTGAGCTCCTGGTACTCAGGACCTCAGGACTCCCTGCAACGGAAACCAAGGCTATCAGGCCACACCCTTCTGGGTCTGGTCTCACTAAGGGTGGGGCACCCGGCTCCCATGCCACCCCTTGAACCTGCGCCACACTCTTTGCTGTGTTCAGACAGTGGGGGCTCCTCCAGTATTTGAAATCAGGCCACAAGTCTCATCTCCATAGCCCTGGGCAGTGTGCTGCGTCCTGGGGAGCTGAGACCAGGCCTCAGGGTCAAGCCTCAGCTGTGGTGGGGGACACTGAACTGCTCCCAGGCTAACAACAAAACACTTCAGGTGGGACAATGCAGGCTATTAAGCACATTTTTTTTAAGTAGGTTTGAGTCACTATAATTGAACAGGATTATTATGCGTGTTCTCTTTATGGTGAGTAGAGCCATATAATCATGTGTAGTGCTTCAGTTATCCCTTATATCAAGAAATAATATCATTAATTTAAAACAGAACTAAAAATAATGGCAGAATTACATTCCTTTTTGGTGAGATTAATTTAGCCTACCCTGGTTGGTTATGCCCTAGTCTGAAGTAAATGTAATTTACCCCAAACCTCCAGGCTTCAGGGTCTGCCCAATTTGAGGCCTTCAGGGCCACATGGAATCAAAAGCCTTTTTGTGTGAAGCCTTGGAGCCCACCTGGTACACGCTGGGTAGTGGGTTGCAGTGGAGAAGAAAGGCAAGCAGAGCCAGGGCGGGGAGCCCTGGTTAGATCCTGGCTCCAGTACTTTCCACCTCTGTGACATCGGGCAAGCTTTCTGCCTTCCAGAAATAGCTCCACCTCCTGTCAAAGGGGCAGAGACATGTGCGTGGAGTTAAGGCTTCCTTTGCCTTCCTGGCACAGCAGTCTTCCTGCTTTCTCCTCAAGGCCCCTCGGAGGCCAGGTAGGGTAGGGTAGGTCACCCAGAACAGGATTTCATCCACATGCACAACCTCATATCACGTCTTCGGGACCTTTTGCCTGCTTTGATAATTTCTCTTACCCTGTGAATGCCTCCACTTGGCCCTGTGATTACAACCTGGCTTCTCCAAAACATTTACCACGAGTATTTACCAGAGTTACTAAAAACTCCATTTTACATTACATCCTAAAAGAGCTTTTGAACTAAAAAGTATGCTAGATCATAATTAAGCACTGGGATGAAACTGGTCGCAAGAGCTGCTGGCCCAGAAGCCCTCAGATGTCTCGGTTTCTGTGTGAAGGTCTCAGGGTAGGTGTGGATCTCGGGTACTGTGGGTCAGTGTGTGCACCCTGGAGGCTGGGCCGTCTGTCCAGGGACATCTTATGCTGCAGAGGGCTCGAAGAGGACAAAGAGAGTGCCCCATTTGCTATTTTTACAAGGCGATTACTGCTGAGCCTTGAGCAAAGACTCACAGCCAGTCAGGAGGTCTTTTGGATGCAGTCATGAGATTCCCTGAGCCTGTAAGTTATCCAAGAGCAAGGTCTAAGACTGTGGCAGGAAGCAAGAGTGAGGGTCTGTGCTAAGATTGACAGCAAGGAGGGGCCTGAATGACTCCCACACACACAACAACCCCGTGGGGGCCACTGAGACAAAAAACCAGGTGCCCCAGAGTGGAGTTTGGGGCCGTGGAGATATAATGATCTACCTTCAACTCCAATTGTTCTTAAACTTCTTCCTTTAAGTTTGCAAAAAAAATTAAGCTCTTGCTTTTTTGTCTATGCAGTGAATATGTAAAAAGTGACAACAGAAAGTCTGGGAACAGTGGAACCTTCTATTAGCACTTCAGGGCTTTTATAACGGGATTCAGTGCCAAGCCAGCCAGAGGCCTGGGTAGCTTTGCAAACCATTCCTCCCCCAACTAACTCTAAAAAGACAGAGTTTCATGCTGTTGACATAATTATGCCCTCTTTAATATTGCCGTTTTATTTTTAAAAACAATTTGCTATTTAGGGGCTTTTTTGCAGTAGAGAGAAAGAAATTGAGGATTTGAGGGGTGGCTTTTCTGACTGAATTGTTCCTGCTGCATCTTAACTGGTCATGAGGTTTGCTTTCTCAGAACTGAAATCCTGAGTTGGAAGCAGCTTTCAGGGTCCTGCCCCTGCACCCTTCGGTGGTTGTCCACAGGCCTTCAGCTGGAGCCTGCCTTGTTCCCAGATCCACGGTGGATCCAAGCACGTCCCAGGGAGGGCACGTGTCAGGGGCCAGGATCTTTTCAAGAGGGTATCTCATTAATCCATGTCATAGCAACACTATGAGGCTGGTGCTGCTTACAGATTTCCATTTTACAGATGAGGAAACTGAGGCACAGAGAGGCTGGATAGCTCAGCCATGTTCCCACAGCTAGTTACTGATGAAGCATGGTTATGGCCAAGTCTGTTTCTAAGTTCCTCTTTGGAACCACCACCCCAGGCCAAGATAGGTCATAACTAATGTAGAACTTCCATACATTGATTAAGCAGTGTTTTGCTTACATTACTGATTCTCAGAGCAGTTCCCCACAGCTTGGATGAGGAAAGCAAGTCTTAGATTGCTAATTACCTATCCGAGGTCACAAAGCCAGTAGGAGGCTAAGCCGGGATAGAACTCAGATAGAACTTGTGGGTCTCAGCTTCTCACCTTTCCTGGTGTTACCAGATTCTTATATTCCCTAAACAAGTCATACCTTGGAAATTAACTGCCTGTGGTAACAATCTCCGCTCTGAACTGTGAGTTGCTGCGGGACAAGGGCCTTGACCTGCTCGAGAGAACCTTCTAGGCCCACCTCGTGTGAGATGCTTGAACACTGGATGGGCCAGGGAAACCCAGGCCTGCTCCGCAGGAGACCTGAGCCCCCAGCAGTGCTCAGGTGGTTACTAAAGGGGCAGTTGGTGCTGTACAGAATGCTCCTCCTAGAACTGCCAGCTCTAAAAGACTCCGTGGTCAGTGGCTGGCAGTACCCTGTAATAGGAGCCCTCGTACCTCTTGTGTTCCTTACAAACATTCTCATCAGTAGCTCTACGCGTTGACTGGGTGGTTTGAGATGGCTGGTATACACAGGGCTTTCTTGGTGTTCTGTCTCTGGGTCTTAGCTTTGTGTGTGGTTGGAGGGCCCTGGTGAGATTGGAAGTACCAGAGAGTGCTGTGTCAGGGGCAGAGGGGCCTGTCGCTGGAGCTGGAAGGTGCCTGCCTTTGTGTCTGACTCAGTCTCCTGTCTGCCTTGCCCCCTCAGGGTCTCGCCAGCCCAGCCTCTGTGGGAATCTAAAAGGAGTGGATGTGGACGTGTGACCAAGCACATCTCAGCTTTTAATACCCGGGCTATTTATAGACCTTTGGGGGGATGGCTGTGGAACAACAGGGGTTGGGGAGAGAGTTTAAAGAAAAATGCAGCAGGGCTGAAAAAAAAAATGAGAAAACCATTGGCATGGCTGATTTGAACAAGAAAAGTGGCAAAGAGACTTGGAGAGAGATGAGACACACACTTCAACATAATTTCACTTTCCTAGAGAAGATCATGTATCCTCAGTGCAGATAAGCTCATTGAGAGACTCAGGGAAGAAGAGCATTAGGAACCCTGATTTGGGTAGCAGAAGGCATGCACTGGTCCTGAAGACATTCCCTATGATGGTTAGCATATTTATAAAGCATTGTTGGAGCTCAGTTATATTTTCCAAATTCCTGTTTTTCTTTTATGTTAATGCATTTTAATAACATTCCTACCTAGGACCCAGAGACATGTTTTCTTCACTTAAATTGTATTTCTGTAGACTTATTCAGCCATGTCAGCTGTATTTGAATATTTTGCTTGTTAGGGGGAAGTATACTTTCATTGAGTGACACATAAATTCTGGAAAAGAGATGGTGGATTTCTTGAAAAATAAATAAGAGTTGAAAACAAGTCTCTGGGTCCTGATCCAGCCCCAGCCCTGGGATTTCTTTGAGTTGGAGAAGTGGCCCGTAGGTGGCAGGCAGGGGGCAGTGACCCTACCTGAGAGTGCAGGCTCCCCTGGCTGGTCCCCCGTCTGCTGGGAGGCTAACCTGCCCTCACAGAGAAGGGCTCTTCCGCTCTCGCTGAGCCCCGCCTCTACCACCCCCACCACCCCCACCTGGGCACTCAGGCTTGAGTGACATTGACTCCTTCCTGCCCACCGGGTGACAGCTGAGGGTAGCTAGCTGTAGGAGGGTCAAGAGGGTCCCTGTAGAATGGTGTGGTCCCAGTTCCTGATTAAGGTGGGGGCCTCCCAGCCCTTCCCTCTGCTGTCAGACTCCACGCCGGCCACAGAAATCAAAGTTCAGAGCAAGTAAGCACCCCCTTCCAAACACAAGAAAAGGGGCCAGAGAGAGCGGGGAGCCTCGGAGGGAGTTTGTCAGGACAAACTAACATTCTCACCCACCCTGCAGATCCAGCTCCAAAGCTGCCACTGACACATCAGTTGCGGGACAAAGATTATTTGGAGGTTGGCAGATGGGTCTGGATTCAGAGAACGCACGTGTTTCAGCCTCTCAGCTGCCTGTGTGTGATTTCACTGCCATGGGAAAGCATTGAGCGGGGGTTTTTCTGACCAGTTGGTGTGAGAGTTGTGTTGTTGCGGTTGTTGTGGTTGGCGTCCTCACCCCCAAGTCCGGGTCTTGTCGTATGGGAGTGGGAGAGCAAGTCCGTGGGGTGATTGCATCACTGTGGCTGGATTCACTCCCTAAGGGAGCCGGTGCAAGGCAGCCTGGGAGCCCAGCGGGTGGGTGGGTGGCCTCCCTGCTGCCCGGAGACAGCCTGCCCCCCAGGGCACACGCAGGCTCCACACAGCCAGCCTGGGACAGTGGGGAGAGACGGAAACACGCTCCCTTGCAAGAGGCAGTCGCAATTTAAAATGCCATCTTGCTCCTCTGACTGCTTTTTCCGGGCTGTCGAGGTAAGGATTTGTTAAACACACCTCGTGTTCTGGGAAGGGTGCATTGCTGCAGGGTCTTGCCTGGAAGGGATAGACTCCCGTCCTCTGGACTCTACTTCTCCATCCCTTGGCCTGGAGCTGCTCGGTGTTCATGGATTTGAACAGCACCGGGCAAATGAAGCTTGCTTGTAACTTTGTAGGGGTTAGGGGCTAAAGAATCTTGTGACTATGTTTTTATTATGCCCTTCTTTTGTATTAATTCATCTCCACTCCACCCTGAGCCTCAGTGTCTGTGAGGGGTGAGGTGCTGCGGGAAAGGCTGTAGGTGCCGCTGCTGGACCCTGTGCCCTGGGAGAACAGGTCGACTCGTCAAAGGTTATGATGGGAAGAGGGAGATTTACAGGATTTGTTGTTGCTTGCTTGTTTTTTCAATTGGTTCAACTGTAAAATGTCCAACCTGGAGACCACCAGCGTATTTTAAATGAATCCTGTGAATCCTGTCACTTCTTAAGACAGGTTTGGTGGTTTAGCCGTGTGCTGTATGTTCCCATGAGTTGTCCTGGGCATTTTAAGAGTATCATGTTGTAATCCTACCTGCTCTGCCCCCAGGAGGTGGGAAAGGGGAGATAGGGAGGAAGAGTCACATCCCTGCAGCTGGTGGGGACCTGTTGGCTGCCTGGAAAAACAGTTGCCCATGTGTTGGAGCACTACTATTTTTACTTTACCTGTTTTCTTTTGTTTCAGTTTTTATTTCTTGAAAGCCCGAAGTTGTTTATCTGTAACTATCCCCTTTGTGTGTTGCAGGATGTTAAAGTCTTTAGTGAAGATGGGACAAGCAAAGTGGTGGAGATTCTAGCAGACATGACAGCCAGAGACCTGTGCCAATTGCTGGTTTACAAAAGTCACTGTGTGGATGACAACAGCTGGACACTAGTGGAGCACCACCCGCACCTAGGATTAGGTAGGGAACCATCAGAACAGGATTGGCACCTGGGGATGCTTATGTGCAATTGAATGAAGACTGCTGCTGCCAAATGCCAAATGTGTGACCGCAGTGTCCCCTGCGAAATTAGCAGGCAGTCTCTGGGTTCCCCTCGACTCTCCTGTTTCTCCTAAAATTTCACTCTCCTCCCTCCAGCCCCTTTCCCCTAGTACTTTGGGAATCTTGCCTTGGATGGTTGAGGTAATAACTTGCCAAGGGCTCAGACATGGCGAGGTTCCCTGTGGCTTGTCCAGCCTCCCCAGCTGTCAGAGCCACATGGAGCTTGCTGCACACCTGTGGGCGGGGGACAGGAGGGAGGTGCCCTTGAGGTGCTCTGGAGAGAGCTGGCCATGCACAGGATTGCAGCTGCCCTTCTGAGATCAGCTCCTCAGCTCATGGGAAGAAGGGAGCCATGGTTATAGGCAGCAAAGTGCAGAGAGGTCCGCTGGGAATTGGAGCAAATTATGAAGCACTTTGCTGTAAGTTTGAGTTGAGTCTTACATGGCATCTCTGCCTGCTGGTTAATAAGGCTTTGAACAGTGTTCATGCACGTGTATATGTGTGTGCCCATGTCATGCCTAAAAAGTAAGAGAATATTTTGTATCACAGAATATTTGAAGATATTGACTCTTTACAGAACGTATTGAGGTATTTTGTTCAGGTGGCTTATTTTAGGTAAAAAAGCTTTTCAGACTTTTGCTTAAATTCTTATCTAATAAATATAGTTCTT
This sequence comes from Homo sapiens, assembly GCF_000001405.40. Taxonomy (NCBI): domain Eukaryota; kingdom Metazoa; phylum Chordata; class Mammalia; order Primates; family Hominidae; genus Homo; species Homo sapiens. Next base: position 50,626,070 of record NC_000007.14, on the reverse strand, counting down.
ACAAAGTCATAGTAAAATATTCAAAACCAAAATTTTCTCTAAATCAACAGCTATATTTGTTCCATGTCTTGAAGGAGAGAAAAATAACACAGATTGGAAACTTCCCATAGTTCTAAATTTTTCTCATGAACCTTTTTTGAAAGATTAATACATTGAATTTAAACCTCTAGGTCTGGAATACTTAATTTAAACCTCTAGGTCTGGAGTAGCATCCTTCCAGGTAATATTATACAATTTAAGCCTAAATAATGCAGTGTAAATTTGAGCTGACACCACCTTAAGTCTCTGTTTTCTAATGCGCCCTGTACTTTGGAGAGACGGTATGCTTTTTGAAGGAATTGGATAGAACTCTTGCTGGTTTCTTTCCCATCTCTATCAATTGCTAAACGCATTTGTGTGACGACAGAAGCCTTCTCCTCCATTGTCACTAACAGCTTTCTCCTGCCAGGATCACTTACTAGGTCCACAGTTAGTGACCATGATGTCACAGTTGTTCCCATGGAGACTAGCTGTCCCGTCAAGCTCCAGCTTGGGACGTCCATGAGTGGATCCTACAGTGGTCTGATAAGGCTGTCAAAAGCACCTGTTGACACACAAGTAACTTGGAAATTAGACAGCAGTGGGAAACCTTCAGCATGTGTCTCTACATGTGTATATATATGTATGAAAAAATATATATATATAAAATTTTAAAAACAAGTCTGTATAGTTTGACCCAAATACAATGATTATTGTTGAAAGCCCATTCACAAGTCTCAATATTCTTTTCATTTGAAAGAACTATGAAAAGGACTTCTGCGGACATTTAGTACTTGAATATAATTGGACACACTCAGGACACATAGAAATTGGGTACAGATATACATACATAAAATTTTAACATATAAGGAATGTTTCAGAAATTTTGAATTATCTATTTCATGTGATACCCTTTGATTTCTAGACTATCATATGGTAGATAAATAAATGATGCATTAAAACTTTAACCAAATGAAGAACCATTTACTCTGAGAGAATAGGAAAAGAAATGTCCATAAGCACACAGGATTTGTAGGGTTGTGATATTTACATACCTTATTTCTTTCTCTTCTTTATAGATGGACTTAATACATTCTAGTGGGCGATGACACTTTATTGTAAAATTAAGTATAAAAGGAAAAAAAGGGAAAGGGAAACAAGTGAAATGATTAAAAAAAAAAGAGGAATATTTGTGTCAAATTTTGGGTCCTGTTTCACAAAAAAAATAAAAAATAAAAAAATAACGAACCTCACACAGCCGGGATTTGAAGATACATGAAATTCCTTAGAATATCCTTCCTCTCCTTCCTCAGTTTTCTTTCTCACCACCAGTCCCGTTCTTATTAGTTACTAGGAAACACATTTTTCTGTTGGCTGGGTTTGCAGAGGACTTTGCAAGTTTTTAGAGCTACCAGTTTCACCAGCCTATAAGGTCAGTACCCCCAGGACTCATTCCCGTTGACACAGGGTTTCTGTGTCCCCATCCCTATAACTTCTCTGAATACTGTTTTGTGACCCAACCATATCACTTAACGTTTTTTAAAAAATTAATTTAAGTTGCTGTTTAACTAAAAATCTTATTTCTGCCATGATTTGGCAGCATTCAACTATCAGAAGCTCATTAGTGAGAAAATGCAGGGCTGCAGGGTGCCTCTCAGAGAGCCTGTTGAGTATCTCAGCTTTATCCCCGTTGGAAAGGGACGCAAGGGCCGCAAGGCCAACAGGGGCTTCTTCTTTATCATGGATGGTATTCCTGGGCCCTTCTGGCCCTCCAACTCTTAGGGCACATCCCCAGGCATTGCTGTCTCCTTGTAGAGAGCACTTGCCCAGGTAATTATATGTCAGGTATTCTCACAGGGATGTGTACATACGCCAGGCTGGTGGCTGGGGCAAAAGGCAGGTAGTGCTTGCAAGTCTATAAGGCAGATACTAAGGCAGATTGTAACCCAACCCCCCCATAATTGAGGGTATAGGGCACCCAAGTTGGACAGCATTTTAAGCCTATGTAGGGCCTCCAGAATTGAAGATTCCAAAGTACAAAGTACATTATTACTGATTGAGTATCCCTAATCCAAAAATCTGAAATCTGAAATGCTCTAAAATCTGAAATGTTTTGAGTACTGTTTTGATGCTCAATGGAAATGCTCATTGAAGCATTTCTGATTTTGGGATTTTGGATTGTTCAACTGGTAACTATAATGCAAATGTTCCAAAATTTGAAAAAAAATCCAAAAACCAAAGCTTCTGGTCCCAGGCATTTAGGATAAGGGATATTCAACCTGTATAAGGATCTTAACAGCTAAAATATCAGTCCCTTAATAATATTAAACCTTTTCTATACCCAGAAGGAAGTGATGGCTTTAGAAAAAGTGAGGGTAGTTCCCAAGATAGCCTGCAGCAGGTGGTTCCCTTTCTGCGGGAGAAAAGCACCATGCGTGGGTGTCTGCAGCCTGGAGGGCATCGCTCCTCTGAGATGCTGGTCACCCTCCATTGGCAGCAACAGTGGCATCCCTGCTGTCACTCGGCAGAGTAGCCCCTCTCGCTGAGGGTGGTTTTTCCTGCCCGCTCTGTGCTGCGCTTGTGGATAAGCAGAGAACGACTCCTATGAGCAGACTGAGGTCAGGTGGCCCTTCCCAGCGTTAGCTCCTGGGGACATTCACTACTGGACGCACTTGAAAAAGTTGTTGCAAAGCCCCTTGCCCTGGTAGGTGAAGCCCTAGTGAATGATGGTCTGTTTTATGATTCCCAGTTCACTTGTCCCTTTAAATGGTCCCTTCCTATGTTAGCACTGCCCCCAGGTTCTACCTGTTGGGGATGTTTCTCAGTCTCAGTGTCTGGAGTGGAGTTCTTAGCCATGAAAACACTGTCCCTGACCCAGGCCACTCAACAGCCGACAGTAAGTCCAGCTGAGGCTGCCAGAATGGGGCAGGTTTTTTGGAAGGTGTCCCCATCCCTTCTGCCCCGAGCATGGTGAGCTGCAAGTCTCTGGAAGGTTCACCTTAGCCAGGGCAGCTTCACACATGGAGGATGCAGTGATATTAAACAGTCAGCCTGCAGACATATCAAGTAAACAAATTATATTTTAAAAGATATTTTTGGCCAGGCACAGTGGCTCATGCCTGTAGTCCCAGCACTTTGGAAGGCCAAGGCAGGAGGATCACCTGAGCCCAGGAAGTTGAGGCTGCAGAGAGCTGTGTTTGCATCACTGCACTCCAGCTGCTTGACAGAACAAGACCCTGCCTCAAAAATTAAAAAAAAAAAAAAGATAAAAGGAATTTTGAAAAATACAAATTTAAACATACAAAACTAGTATCTTGATGCCCCCTGAACTTGAAAATGGGATTGCAGATAAACCCATCCCTGGGAATGTGGGGGGCACCTGGTGCCTGGGGCTCTTGCACCCAGGCCCCAAGTAACTGTAGACATCAGGCATACTAAGGTCAGATAATCTGGGAGAGAGGCTGGAACTTACACAGAGAACACAGTAAAGAGAAGAGGGTTTCCGCCAGATCTTACAAATTTCAAGGATTTGAGGAATTCCGTTGTCCTGAGAATTAGGTTGAAACAGGAAGAGCAACAAGTCCTTTTCGGGCTGTTTACAGCTTTGTGGTTGTTCCTGGTCAGATGGGAAACACCGTGGCAGTAACTCTGGAGGTCCTGTGGCTGCCACGCTGTTGGATGCTGACAGCTGGACATGCAGAAAGGTGTGGAGGGAGAAACAGCCGGCGCCTGTTGACTCTTGCTGATTAGAGGGGGCCTTTTGCAGGCTGGTTTTATGTCCCTCTCTCCCTTTTGTATGTGAAAAGCAACAAAAGATGTCCTTTCCCCCACTAAAATTTATAAATAGAAGTCCACTTACGGCCTTATCCACACGTCAGGGCTATCTCACTGATTACTCTGTTGACAGTTTCTTAGCCTGGGAAAGCCCTGAGCTTGCTGACAGCTCTTTTCTCTCCCTTGGGTGGGCTGTGCTGAGGAATGATGGGCAGGGAGTGGCCCAAGGGCTGCAGCTCGATGTGAGGCCGAGACAGTGGGGTGCACAGCTTCCGTGCACCGGCTCTGCCATGGCCCCTCCACTGCCAACTGGCAGCACAGGTTTCTGCCGAGGAGTCACACTTTAGCTGCAAGGGTTAAGGCAAGGAAGTAAGATTCTCTTTTTTGAGTTGTCTTGATATTTAAATATTTTTTCTTGAGGAGTAGAGTAATGCCAGCATTAGTTTCAGAAATTTGAAAAATACAAATGTACTTCAAGGAATTTTTGCCCTTTCCATTTCTTGAAATTATTTTTGGAATATTATCTTGAAAAGTAGTGTTCCCATTTAACTTAGGCCATTGTAATCATATGCAGTTTATAGATAGTGATGTGATTGTTTATAATCATGCAAGGTCATTTGAAAATACATATCTTTAAATCATGGAGAAAATTAAAACTGGAGGGAAGATCTTTGAACAGATGTGCAGTCGATGGCCAACTGGAACACTGGTGCCTGGAGCATTTGTGCCAGGGGCACTCAGCTGCATCCGGAGGCTGCACAGCTCTGGATCTCTGAGAAAGGGGTCACCTGCCACGTTGTGTTCACTGACCTGCTGTGAGTGACGAAAAGGGAGTTGATGTTTTGTTTGTCTTGGGACCCACCTCTGGGGATGGTAGGCGCCCTCTGGAGTCACCAGCCTCAGAAAAGCACACTTCTGTCAGGATACACAGTCAGTTTCACAGCCCACCGGTTATCCCGAGTTCCTGGGCCCCCCTTTGCCAGGGCACCAAGCCCTCACCTGTCCACCTGGATCTGACCACCAGGGACACGTCCCCCTGTGTGTTTACACTGCCATGTGCAACTTTCCCATGATCTTTCCAGGGGAGGCGCAGGGAGACAGGAAAGTATTGTCCACAAGGATGGGCGCCTGCGTGGGTTTGGCCACCCCCTTTGGGGCTGGTGGCTGCCCCAGGCATCCTCTTTGGCTCTCCTCAGGGTTCTTTGGAGACAAAATGCCCTTCGCTTTGGAAACAGACATATCCTCCTCATTTAGGTAGCTATCACCTCCCATTTTTATTTCTCCTTATTTTGCCTGATAAAAATTTTTAGTTCTGTAAATCAACCATCAACAGGTTATTAGATTGTTGGTTTTGGTTTTGGGTTTTTGTTTTTGTTTTTTCCTGTAACTACAGAAAGACATTTTTCTCTGAATAAACATTTCAACAGAAGTCATTGATTTGTTTTCCTTCTGGAAAATCCATTTTCAATGAATGAACCTCTTTTTGGAAAGCAAACGTAACAGTTTTTGTTGCATGTTCTTGGTTTCTCTCTTTTTCTATCATGGGGAGACATGAGGGCCACGTATTGGTTCACATGTTGCTAGCAGCATTCCCTCCCAGACAGGGACAAATGGGAACTGCTCCACACTTGGTGGTGGTGCCAAGTCTGAGCTTTCTGGCAGCCACGGGGAGAAAATTCCTTTCCTTCACAAACTCTGGCTTTAAATGTGTTTTTACCAAGGAATCCTTTCCTTGTAATGTCAAAACCGGGGCCGAGCACGAATCAGCTCCAGAATTTGCTTCTGCATGCCGGTCGGGGCTCATCTGAGATGAGTGCCCATGGCGACAGTTGTTCGTTGTAGACGGAAAGTCTTTTCTGCATTCTGAGATCACTTTGACTCAGAAATGCTTTTGCCTTTAACTTCATTCCTTCCTTCCAAGATGAAACTTTCCTCAAGATTCCAGTCTGGCTGCAGGAGAGGAGGGTAGGGTCTTAGGATAACAGAACTACCCTGGTGTCAATTCCATAGCATGTTAATCTGTACCATTTTGGCATCACTTCACACTTTGACCCTGCTGTACATTTGTTCATCTTGTTTATTCCATGATTTAATAAGGTTAGTTTCCCATGGCCACCATCCTCCCATGACAGTTTCTGAGGAGGTGCCTGGGAAGGGACGTAACTGCCATGAAAGGGAGCAGTGCGGCCTCTCTGGGCACACGCTGTTCTAGAGTATGCTGAGTTCTTCCCGCTCCACTTGGAACCACTGTGTTCACACAGTGAGGGAAGCGACTTTTCCCTTTCTGGGGGACAGTGCTGCTATGTAAGATGCTGTGAAGGAGGCGTGTGCGTACGTGCATGTGTGTGTGTGTACGTGTCCACAGCGGGTGCTGGAGGATGGAGTGTGTTTTCTTCCCTGCCTTCACGTGTAATTCGGTTGACAAGAACTATTCCATGATGTGCGTGCGGGCTTCAGTGTGAAAGATGAGTATGTACGTACAGTCTTGCTGTGCATCACGGCCTCTCCCACAGTACACAGCACCATCTTTTCTGGCAACCAAGTTTGATGTCATCAAAAAGCTTCTATCTCCTTCCATCTCTGCACCTTCTTGGTCATCCCCCTCCTCCACCTCTTTCAAGTTCTTTCTCCTTTGTCTTTGAATATTGTCTCACTTGTTATAGTCTTTACAAGAGTTGAAATTTCTCAATTTAAGGGCAAAATCATTTGCTAAGAGTCTTACGGGCTCATTCCTTAACATCTGGTTGATGCCAAATTCAAAAAGTATATAAAAATAAGTATTGACCTGAATTCTTCATGCTGTATATCTTAAGACCTCTTATGCATTTGGTAATGCATTAAAGAGAGATTTAAATTTAGTTTCCTTCCTGACCTCATCTTTATTCATAATGTTTAAAGAAGAATAGAAAGTTGAACAAATCTTCCATTTGGTTGTAAAGCTACCATGAATTTCCCACCTGTTGCGTCTCACACGTGATGCTTTGCCCCTGCAGAGAGGTGCTTGGAAGACCATGAGCTGGTGGTCCAGGTGGAGAGTACCATGGCCAGTGAGAGTAAATTTCTATTCAGGAAGAATTACGCAAAATACGAGTTCTTTAAAAATCCCATGGTGAGTCTTACCTCTTCAGGTTTGGGGTTTGGGACTCTTGAAATCTTGAAGTTTATACTTGGGTTTCATAGTATCAGATTAGAAAGTGACTGAGAGGCATGGTGTAGCATATGGGTTTGAGAATCAGAGTTGTAGTTTAATGAAGCAGTCCTTGCTTGAAACCCAGTCTCATGCTTCACTAAATGTGCGTGGGACTGGCTGAAGGTAGAGGTCTCCTTCTTCACATAGACACAGTGTAAAGGGGGTTAGTCTCTAAGACAGGAGCTGGGAGAGGCTGGGTGTTTTCTGTTATTTTGAAAGTTCTCAGTTGAACTGATCAAACACTTAGCAGAAGAAAAACTCATTATTCTCTGCAAATAGCAAATATATTTTGTGATCATACGTGGAAGAATGACTAGAGAAATCAGTGCGATTGGTTGGTGTCTTGAGCTGGTCACCTTGATCTCTCTTTTCTTTCTTTGGGAGAGGCACTTGTCCTGTGAGAGGCCAGGATAGGGAGGGCACCTCCTAGCTCCTGGGGCACTCGCTGTCATCCTGAGTCATGGGTCAGAGCTGCATCAACTGGGGAGAAGACCCAGGGCCATTTCTGACTCTGATAATGTAGCTGCTTTTTTATTCCAAAGTAAGAAATTTGAAGACTGTTTTTGGGGAATGCAGCAGAACAGGCTTTTCTCGTGACTGGGCTTACCTTTTAGTTTCAGGAATTCTTTATCTCACGCTGTGCACTTGTGCCACTGGGCTGGGACGCTGGCATCGCTCTTTGCCATGGAGCATGCTGTGAGACATGAATCCCTTAGTAAACATAGTTGGTATTCCACACTAGTACCCAGCATTTCAGGAAACAAAATACAACCTTTTGAAGGAGGTGTTTCTTCTGTGTGATAGGAGAATAAAAAGGACCGCCATTTTAAATACAGGTGTATGTAATTATACTGGTAGGAATAGTTTTAAAATTGACATATCTATATGACATACCTTCCCTCACTTTGAAGCTAACCTTTTACGTATTTGTTTTTTCCCATTTTCTTAGAATTTCTTCCCAGAACAGATGGTTACTTGGTGCCAGCAGTCAAATGGCAGTCAAACCCAGCTTTTGCAGGTACTGGGCCACAATAGATCTCTGCTGAAATAGACTTTCTGAATAGAAATCCTCTTGGAACTGAATGGCAGCATTGTAAAAAACCTAAAGAGATCGCATCTTTCACCATTTATAACCTTGGCTCTTAAGCCGGAGGGGTGGTTGGGGGGAGGGTTTAGAGTAACCAGAAATTAAAAGTTTCCTTGGAAAATCTGTGTGTAGCTGGGTTCCTTCTAAGCCAAACAGGCACTTACACGATGCCCTTGCTCTGACTTAGAAGAGTCCAGTGATGCCACTGCTGAGTGTGGGCCAGGGGGTGCATGGAGAAACCCCAGTCTCAGGGCTCCCTCCCCAGCTCCTTTCTGAGCAGGGGTCCCAGGTCAGGCCACCGCCTAGCTGCTTGGAAATCTCTGCAGAAGCACAGAGTCTATAGTAAAAGATGATCGGGTTACCACAACAGACTTTTAAAAGTAACTTGCCATATATTACAAATAAAGAAACCTGCTTTAATTGTCCTGATTCATAAAGTCTGTTCTAAGAAAACCTGGTCTCTCCCCACCTCCTCTTCCAGTGGAGGGAGCCACCAGGGCCTCTGTGCCCAGCTCTCACACACACTCCTCCGGGGAAGCTGGGAGTGGGGAATGGGAATGTTACAGCTACACCCTAAAAATGTGCCTGTGTACATGTTAAAAGTGAGAGAATAAACCATTTCCTAAGGCCACCAACAAGATCCAGGTGACATTACATGTAAGAGAAACTACTAAAATGTAGTTCCTACAGAATTCTCCTCATAAGCCCTTTTTCTACGTTGTTATCACCAAATTTGTTTCAGCATCTAAAAGATAAGAGTTTCAGAGCTCTGTTCTGGTGGTGTCTTCAGAAGCCCTTCTGACCATAGCATGTGTCTGTTCTGGCGAGAGGTGTCAGCACTAAGTTACCACCTATACACAGTGAACAGTGAAATAGCAGATTCTGTTTTAATTGCCTTGACTTTGAGAGGATCCATGCGCTTTGTGAAGATGTGCAGTGATCTCTTGAGACTCAAGAAGGACTGACCCAGGTGCACCAGGGCTCTGTCCGACGTGCCTTTCCCACCTGGGGGAAAAGAGCTTTGTCCCCTCCCAGTCTAGTAGCAGGACCTGCCAGCATCACCTCCCCAACTTCGCTCCATGACCTGGCCCTTGGCCTGTCTTCCCTTTGATGAAAAGCGTAGTTTCTTGTTTTGTTTTGTTTTGATAAAGCCTTTATTCTTAAGGCTGCCTGTGGGAAGAGTTAGCTGGAACAGGGGGACATCACCAGGATGTCCTGCACCTGGGTGCATCACTTGCGGACACATGACACCTTTTATGTGACCCTTGACTGGAGGGGTGCCTGGGTAAAAGTGGCCACTACATACTCACTGTCAGTCTCCAGAGTCCCAATCACTTGGTCATGGCACTTGCTCTTGCCCTCAGTCTGATATCAGACTGGATCCTTCAGTGCACTATCTTATAGGGAAATTCATGACTCGTGTTATCACCAGTGTTGGAAAGGTCCATTTGCTTGCATATGTTTAAATACGAATTATGTTCTATGCAACACGAATTGAGATGGGATTTTAAGACTTTGGAAAGGAGAACACTCTCATTTTGATCCAAAAAGGAGTCTTTTAATAATTCAGAAAATGTCAGCTATGCTGATAACATGTCTGCTTTAATTATTTTAGATTAGCATTATGTGATTTTAAAAATTTGTTCTTCAACAGAATTTTCTGAACTCCAGTAGTTGTCCTGAAATTCAAGGGTTTTTGCATGTGAAAGAGCTGGGAAAGAAATCATGGAAAAAGCTGTATGTGTGTTTGCGGAGATCTGGCCTTTATTGCTCCACCAAGGGAACTTCAAAGGTGAGCTTTAAAAGCTACCACCACCAGCCCTAATTCTGCCACAGTCACTCCCCCCAGGTCCTCAGAGTGAACCTGGGCTTCATTTTTAAATGCACCTTAGACTCCTCCAAGCTCAGGACAACTTCTTAATAAGCTAATTGTGCAGCAGCTGAACTTGGAGTCACAGGTTTCCTGGTCTCGCTCAGAAACTAGGTAATAAATAATACAGGCCTAAGAACCCCACCTGCCTAGCCCCACCCCCACTGCGGGTTGGGAGCAGACACCCCTGGCTGCCCCATCACTTCAGAGACTGGCCTAGTTCTCATAAGTTGGGATTTAAGCTAGCTGTAAAGATGTTTGATAGACTATTGCCACCCTAATGCCAGTGTAACTTTATGTATCATAGATATTTCATGAAATAAACTGCAGGCTTGCATGTATCCCCAGTGAGAAGAAGGTGGGAGATGGAAAACAGCTGCAGGCCCTCAAAAGAGAGCTTAGGCCGGAGGCTCCTTTGCTCCCATGTACACTCTTGTCTGCTCTCTTCTTGTGCTGTCCACATATACCCTGTGGCAGGAGCCTTGTCCACCCAATACCTGGCTGAGCACTTACCATCTGAGGGCTGTGGTCTCTTTTGCTCTGGCCAGCAGAGGTGAAAGGGAGCTGGCGGGACCCCAGCACAGGTGTTGAGCATCTGGGAACCGGCTCTGGGAAGGTGTTGGGGCCGGCTCTGGGAAGTCAGCAGCTGCCGACACCTGGGCCAGAGAGAAGGGGCGTCTGCAGAGAGGGGCTTTGAACTGACACAGGGCATGGTAGCTTCCTGACCTCCCAGCTCTGCTGTGTGGCCCGCTCACTGTCCTCGTGTGTGCTGAAGTTGGGAGGGTATTTCGTAGAGCAGGAAACAGAGCTGGGCTGGAGAGTTGAGGAGGAGAAGGGTGGGACAAGCAAGCTACCAGTGGGAAAACCCAAAGTACGGTTGGACTCTGGACTCACAACAAACCAAAGGCAGACAGGCCCTGTGCTCTTAACTCTGACCTTTGGGTTATAGATTTTCTCCTGCTTTTTATCTTGAATATCCGGTCATGGGGCTTTGATTTGCCAGAAGTATCAAATACGTTCCAACAGCCTTGTGTGTCTGAGAACTGGGGAAGTGGGTGTTTTGGGTGAGACTGGGTGAATTTGGTTTTAGTTTAGCACTTATTACACCTCGCGTAATAATCATATGTAATATGTATAGTGTCATCGGGGAAAGTGCTTGTAAGTGTGCAGAGACTGCCCTCTGTCTACCAGAGGTGAACACATTTGCTCTTTGCTGTGCTTGAGACTTTAACCTGGCCAGTGTTGTCACAGGAACCCAGACACCTGCAGCTGCTGGCCGACCTGGAGGACAGCAACATCTTCTCCCTGATCGCTGGCAGGAAGCAGTACAACGCCCCTACAGACCACGGGCTCTGCATAAAGGTACCCACGAGCTGTCCACAGACGGCGCGCATGCTCAGCAGCCCACAGGAGACTGACTTCTTCTCTTGCCCAGCACTTGATTGTTGCTTCTATTGTCTTCAACAGAAACATAGTTTCACACTGGATTTATCCATTCCTGTAAAAACATTTATTGTACACTTGCTGCTATCAGTCCTTGAGTAGCTCAGAAGCTCAAGGACAAGCAGACAGGGATGGATAATGTGGCTAGTGGGCTCAGTGTTTTAGGGAGGGTGGCTTTTGGCATCAAAGGGTGGGCTGTGGCTGTAGCCCAGTACTAGTAGCTGGAAGGGGAGGTGGGGCAAGGGAGGGGACCCCCAGCCTGTCACCTGGGTTGCCTGCATGGTACTGAGTGAGCTGATGGCTTCTGTGTGGGCCTCTGGCTGTGGGGATGGTCAGACAGGAATAGACACAATGCTGCCCACCCTCTGCATGCATGTGTGTGCTGGCATGCACACACACGTGTGCACACACATCTACATGCACATACCCACACGTGCATACATACATGTATAGACATACACCTTTGTGCATACACACAGGTATAGACATACACCTTTGTGCATACACATACATTATACACACATGTACATAGACACACATACACATGTGCACACACCTATAGGCAGAGCCCACTCCTTTTCCCCTGATGAGGTTGTGGTGGTATTAATAATCATAATGGTAGATGATATTTACTGAATGCTTACTGTGCATGATATGTTCCACTGACAGTTTTACATCCATTATCTTAATCTTCACAGCCCCTTGTGGGATAGGAAGTTGGCCACATTGCCCACATCCAGTAGCCAGTGAATAGTTGTGCTTGGAGTTTGCCCTGTAGGCTGACTTATGAGCCATAGCCCAAGCCACATCCCGAGAACACACAATACGGGGAGCCCCTCCTTAGGGGAAAATTTCTTTCCAAAATATCACCTCATACCTTGCTCAGGGAATACTCTTTCGGTTATAAGTAATAGGCGTCTAATTCACACCAGCTAGAGGCCCAAGGCAGCCTCAGGCGGGGCTGGAGGTATGAGCAGCAGCTGGCACTCTCCCTTCCCACCAGCCCACACCAGCCATGCTTGCCTGTCTCTGCAAACGCAGTCTCTGCTTCTCTCATAGCACCAGCCGAGCGCAGGGTAGTCACACCTGTCCCTCAACCCCTCCAGATTCTTGGGAGGGAGAGCTGGGGTGTGTCCAGCATTGTTTCTTGAGTCTGAGGTCGGGGGTTCTTCTGGAGATGCAGGTCAGTTTATGCCTGCAACAATTCTCCTCCCTCACCAAAGGGCCCTGCCTCTGGAGGGGCACCTGTCTTCTCCCCATGGTGCCTACTTCCCCTTCTGTCTCATTCTCCAGAGCCAACATCAGTCTCCCTCTCTGGACCTTCTACTTGGGGTCTGATCTTGGGGCTGCTCAGACATCAGAATCCCTGAGCTCCTCAGGGGTTGCCCCTCTTGGCTAAGCCCTGCAGCAGCCCCTCCTCTCAGTGGCCTGGGGGCAACTTTAAGATCTCTCCTCCTGTAAGTCAGAAGGCAGGTTCTCCTCCCATAGAATCCAGTCCGTCGACAGAGTTAGATGCCTCTTCCTCTTTGTCCTATTGTGCTTACCACATTACGTTGTCCTGTGCTAGTTTGTTTTTCTGTCTCCTCTGAAGTTCCCAAAGGATGGCTTATTATTCAGCTAAGTGGTACACAACCTGGGGCCAGTCCATGGTAGGCACTTAATAAAGTCTTGTCAGGAAGGTGGATGAATGAACGCTTAACACACAGGTGTGTGTGTATCTGCTGTGCTCCTTGCTAGGGGGATCTCCAGCTGGTTGTCTCTGGTTTGTGTCAGATGCAGCCCTGCCTTGACAGAAGCTGTTTCTGACTCCCTGTGTAACACTAACAGGACTTTCTTTTACCTCCTGTAGCCAAACAAAGTCAGGAATGAAACTAAAGAGCTGAGGTTGCTCTGTGCAGAGGACGAGCAAACCAGGACGTGCTGGATGACAGCGTTCAGACTCCTCAAGGTATGTGACATCTTGCGGTTTGTGTTGAGTGCACATCTCTTCGTGGAAAATTGGCCTCTGGACTTGATGTCTATTCTGGCAGGAAAATGCTCGTAACTTTTCCGCTGTTCTGTCACAATATTTTATTTATCAAATGTAGTTAAGCATCTTTCTAAACAAGATCTCAGGAGCTTTTAACAGAGGGCCTAATATTAAACAGGGTAGAGCTAGGTTTTCCGGACTCAGTACTACTGACATTTTGGGTAGAATAATTCTTTGTCGGGGGTCTGGGGGACATCCAAGCATTGCAGGCCACTTAGATGTGTGGCATACCTGGTCTCTGCCTGCTAGATGCCAGTCGCACGCCCGGCCAGTTGAGACAACCAAAAATGTCTCTAAATGTTGCCAAATGTGCCCTGAAGCCAGAGGATGGGGAATTGCCCCTGGTTGAGACCACTAGATTAGAAGAATAGGATTCGAAAAATCAGGACCAGGGAGAAAGGAAATAGTACATGAGGTGTTAATTATTTTCACGACTGAACCAACTCTCAGGTTCCCAAAAAGCCAGGGCCATGAAGTAAACATGATGAATTATACAGTTGACTGAAGCTCCTCAGCAGAGACAGTACCTCCTGACTGTAAGTTCTAAAGGAAATTTATCACGTGGTACTGCATATAGAGTAATGCCCTTGACAGCAATTTCATGCCAGTTGCCAGAGTGATTTCATAGGGCTGTTTACTGTAGTCACTTTGGATTTCCCACAGTGTTTCTGTGCACATATACCATATCCCACATGTCTGGAATTAAGTCTACAGAGTCCTTGTGAGTTGTAAGTTAGCTGGCCCAGGTGAGCTTGGCTAAAGTCCAGGGGTCTCCATAGGAGATGTTCGTTTAGTCAACTGGAGCCAATGGATACAATGGTCTAGGGATTTCTTTACAAAAACTCCCAGCCTTCGTTGAACTGTAGTGGCCTTTGAGCTGGTCCAGAGACTCAAGGTGAAGTCAATTAAGGAGATGGAGGAACTGAAGGAAGCATAGCTCAAAACTTTCCTGGAGGTGCTGCAGATCCAATTCTGAATGTAGTCCTGTTGTCCCATCCACTTGGCAGGTAGCATTTTGCACCCAGTAATCCACAGATTCCAGAGACATTAAGGATACATCCTAGTGCCATTTTTATAGGATGCTGGGGCCCAAACCAAAAGTTCCACAGATTGGCTTCCTGTATCTCTCTCCCAGAACCTTATTTTATGTTTTCACTGATTAAAAAAAGAATTATGGAAATCAAAACTTTACAAATTCATAATGGAAGAGGAAATGTCCATGTTAATACATCATAGATCATAGACCACTCCTGTGTAAGCCGGTTTTCAGTGTAAGGGTCATCAGTGGGAACTGGTCACATAGGTGACATCCATTGAGGGCAGTATTCTGCATGGACCTCCAGAAAGAATGAGATTGCTCTTTGTGTCCTGTTGCGGAAAAATTACTAACAATTAAAAAGCAAAGTACAGAACAGTATATAGAGAGAAGGCTACATTTGTGTGAAGGGAACAGGAAAAATTGGAATATTTGTATTTGATGGTATGCTCATGAACATTGTGTGAGCTGCAGGAGAGAAGAAAGAGGTTGCTTAGTAGGGAGAGGAGATGGGAGAGGCAGCTGTGCAGATAGGGGCAGCGGCCAGGGGTGATCTTTTGAAGCTGTCTGTATATGGTTGAAATTTTAATCTGCAAATGAATCATCTGTTTTGGAAAAGGCAAAAAAAAAAGGAAATGAAAAAGGAAAGTGGTAGTATACTCCAAGAAGCTATGAATTCTATTACTTTGGGTAATATATAATAAATCCAAGTATCAGGTTCTTAACCACTGTTTCTTGGGTGTCTCTCCTTTGTTGCGCTAACATAACGAGCCACAGGAAAGGATGTGGGCAGAGTGACTAATGCAAAACGAACTGACTTTATTGTTGTCAGTGTTAACAATGATGTGTTACATAATATTAAGATTTTTTTGAGCATTTGCTATGGGCCAGGCATTCTTTATCACTTTACTGTTTGTGACAGCTCAGTGACATGCATATTATCATCCTCATTTTGTGGATGACAAAACTGAGGCCCAAGCTGTAGCTGCCACGATGTGGCAGAGCAGGGTCAGAGCCCTGACATTCTGGCCCCAGAACCCCTTTCCTCACTACCATGCTTTGCTGCCCTCCCTAGAGCCACCTGGAAGCTGCCGTGAGTTCTGAATGCATTCCTCTTGTCCCAGCCACTTTGCAGGGAAGCACTTTGCATCCAGTGATACACGGATTCTAGAGTCATTAAGGATACGTCTTAGGTACTATTCTTATAGGAGGCTGGGGAGCCAGACCTGACAGGAAGGTGGCAGTGATGGCCTCGGGGCCGGTCTCAAGTGGAGTGCAAGTGATGTGTTTCTGCCCCAAATAGCCATAGGATTGTAATGCAATCGAAACGCCATTTGAGTGTTGTCGGCACTGATTCATTGCCCACTATACAGAAATGATAACCGGGATAGAGTTAGGGACAGTGGGGAGGTAACTCTTTATGACTCCAGGGTCTCCATGTTGACATTCATTCTAAAACAAGGCATCCCGTGTGTGTGCTCTGCCTTCCTCCAGAGGAGGACACAGGACACCGGATCCCCTTTTAGAGGATAAGAGGGTCTGAGGGCTGAAGTTGACAGGGCCCTTTTACCATCTACTACAAACAGCATCTTCATATCAACCATGGAAAGGCAGAGCTGGGTTGTTATTTTGAATTAACCTAGGACCTTCTTACATCTTTACCTACACAGATACACTTTCTTGAAAAAAATGAATAAATCTTATAACTTGGGTCTACATAGGAGAAAGCTGGCATGGCTTTACTTAGCTTTTCAGAAAGATGCTCTTAGTAGCGCCAGCAGATAATCTTTTGTCTCATTTCTTCCTGTTACATTGTTTGTTAGGTAATTTCTTGGAAGCTGTAGGAGCTGTGTGAATAGTATTAAAACTTTGCAACAATTATTTATTGCCATCTTTCCTCCTCCCTCTGTCTTCTAGAAGTCTCTTAATCTACTGTAGAAACTCATCCCCAAGAGGGAGGTCTTGCCTCATCCACACAAGAGTCCCTAGTACTGATTGCTTTGGTTTTACATGACCTGACATTGAAAAGGCAATGAACGCAGCATTAAACCTTTGCAACAATTATTTATTACCATTTAATCTTTTCTGTCTACACACACCCATATATGTAAATATATACATGCAAACATGTGAATAAAATAAAATGTGTATGTTATTAGGTACCCAAAATTGAGAATATTTGTATCTTCCTGGTATGTCAATTCTAAGACATTATAAAATATGCTTTATTAGCAATGCTCCTTGCCCCAGAGTCTAATCTGGCACATATTAATTTATTTAATGATTTTTACCTCAGCTTTGCTTCATTACACAGTTTTTCTTGGACCATCTTTTTTCTACTTTTCTGGGTCCTTATGTTTAAGGAATATCTCTTATAATCACAATGTAACTATTTTACTTTGATAATCTTTATCTTTTAACCAAAATATTTACTGTGATTTAATTGTATTATTTAGTGTGATAATCATATTTGTATTTGAACCTGCCATTTGCAGTTTTTTCCAGGTTGTCCCACCTCTCTTGTATTCCTTTTCTCTTAATTTTTTAGATTTATTAAGTATATTTATGTTTTTCCCTCTGTTAACCCAATACGTACATGTACATTTACTATTTTCTCCTGGTTACCCTAGATATCACATCTTTTTTTTTTTTTTTTTTTGAGTCAGGGTCTCACCCTGCCTCCCAGGCTGGAGTACGGTGGCATGAGCTCATCTCACTGTAGCCTCAACCTCCCGGGCTCAAACCATCTTCCCACCTCAGCCTCCTGAGTAGCTGGGACTACAGGCATGCACTTCCATGCCCAGCTAATTTTTGTATTTTTTATAGAGACAGGGTTTTGCCATGTTGCCTAGGCTGGTCACAAACTCCTGGACTCAAGCAATCTGCCTGCCTTGGCCTCCCAAAGTACTGGGATTACAGGCGTGAACCACCGCGCCCGGCCTAACATGCCCCTTGAACTTATTAAAATCTTTTATAATGTAGTACATTTACTGACTGCTTTCAGGCAGGCATGAGGACCTTTCACTCCATTTGCTCCATTGTCCCTTTTGAAGGATTCTTGTCATATATATAAAACCTCTTAAGACATAATGTTATTGTTTTATATACTCTTTAATCACCTACATCTTTGCACTTTAATATTTCCTAAATTTGCATTCTTCTCTCTGGGACTAGAAGACCTCAGCTTAGCGGTTCTTTTCATGTGGGCCTGAGAAATTTTCTCACTTTTTGTTTCACTTTCATTCTTGAAGGAACGTTTCACTGGTTATAGGATGCAAGGTTAGCGGTTATTCTCTTCTGCATCTTCCCACTGCATTGTCTTCTGAATCTTATAATTTATGTAAAAACATTAGTTGTCTGTCTTCCCATTGCTTCTGTGAAAATAATGCACGTTTTCCTCTGGTTGTTTTTGACATTTTCTTTGTGTCTGTTTCTCAGCAATTTTTCCATGATATATGCTCGGAGCGGGCTTACTTATCCTACACCCTGAATCTGTAGCTTGACGTCTTTTTGTCAACTTTGGAAAGTTTTTGGCATTATCTCATCAAATATTTCCCCTGACCTGTTCTTGCTCTTCTCTTGCTGGAGTGCAGTCGTTCCTGTATTAGACCTTTGCATCATGTTCTAGGTATTTTTATCTTAGAAATGAGTATGTGCCATGAGACCTAGAGCCAGAACTGAGCTTAGATCCCATGAAAGAAGAGCTGTCCCACTTGATGACTTCACTTCCTGTTTCTGACTCTTTCTTCTTCTCCACATGGTTGGAATGTGTGATTTGGGTGTGTAGGTTGGGATGCTGGATGTGTATGAGACTTTGCAGGGCCCTGAGTCCTCATTGCCAGGATCAGAAAGTGCAGACTACTGAGCCAGTTAGGTGGCAAGCCTCAGCTAGGGAGGGCACTGGGTCTGGAACAGGTCGTGTACGTTCAAAGTCGTGACTGCGGGCAGCTTGCCTCATTCCTCTGTGCTTCAGTTCTGTGCTCTGTAACATGGGGATAATTATAGTGTACAGCTCATAAAATGGAGAGGATTAAATGAAATAACATAAAGCACTTAGACACATAGTGTCTTAGACATATTGAGCCCATAGTGGCACTCAATAAGATTACTTGCTCTTGATGTTATTATGTTTGTCACTGTCCCGCTTATTCCAAAACCAGTCAGCTCTTCCCTCCTGAGGGGCCACAGTAGCAGCAGCACTGAGGCATGCACCATATTGAATGTGAAGTTGAATGATTTGAACTGTGCAGGTCCACTTAGAGATTTTTTTATATATATTAATCTATTATATAAAGTTAAAATTTATCAAAACTGAATGCATGCAAACACAGACTGTATATGGCACCATTTGTAGTCAAGAGATGTAAACAAACAAAGATGCGGATTACCTCAGAACTGCATAAAATTAACTATAGTCCCTGCTGTATTACTCTCATAATTTTGTAGCCACCTCCTGTTGCTAGTACAGTGAACTCAGATGTTGGACATATCCATTTAGAAACCCACCTTGTGTTGCTAATTATCTCCCCATGAGCAGGTCCTCTCTCCAATAAATTGCATGTTGTAGTAAAAAAATGGGCTCATGTTTCTGGAGTATTTTTCGTTGTGTGTAGTGCAATACAGGAACTTTAAAGAACACCATGGGACCCATGTGAAATGCCACTAGTGAAGCTGGAAGTGCGCCCAAGAACAGAGAAAAGTCACGACATGACAAGAAAAACTTAAATTGCTTGATACATACTAGAGATTGAATGGTTGCCCTCCACACCACACAGATAATTCATTGTGTCAACATGTAGACTTACAGAATCGAATGCAGTACAGTCCCATAATTGTATTGTCTCTTATGATTTTCTTAATAACATTTTTTTCTCTAGCTTCCTTATAAAAATATGGTGTAGAATACATATACGAAATATATGTTAATTAACTGTTTATGTTATCATTAAGGCTTCTGGTCAACAGTAGGCCACTAGTAGGTAAGTTTTGGGGGAGTCAAAAGCTATACTCGGATTTTTTATTTCAAGGGGCGTCATTGCTCCTAATCCCTGTGTTGATCAGGGTCAGCGGCACTCAGGCTCCTGGAGGCTGGTACAGGGCATCACTCCCTGTTCCGCACTCAACATTGCCCTTTCCTGCTGTGGCGTTTGTCACATGCCGGGCCTCGGGGCTCCCGGGCCGGTGACTAACTGTGGCTTCTCCTCTCCAGTATGGAATGCTCCTTTACCAGAATTACCGAATCCCTCAGCAGAGGAAGGCCTTGCTGTCCCCGTTCTCGACGCCAGTGGTAAGTAAAGCCAGGAGCTTCAGAAGTCTAGTGCCTTTTCAGCTTCTGCATCACATGTGTTAAGGACGCCTCATTTCACACAGGGTGGGCAAGAGAAGCTCTGGAGAGTGTGTGTGCATTTCAGGGAAGCCAGTATGTCCCACGATGACGTGGGTTTTGTAGTCTCAACAGTGCAACGACAGGGAGTGAATTCCTCTGCCGTTCTTCTCCCGTCCCTGCATCTCCCCTCAGGGTTGTGTAAGTAGGTGGCTCTCTTTAAGTGCTCAAAAATGGCAGCAACAACTTCTGGCCTTGTGGGGTACTGCCTTTCCTGCCTTTCGCTTTTGTTCCTTAAACCTTGGGACCCATGGGAACTGTTGACTATTAACGCTGCATTCATTCCCTGGTGAGAATTTAGAGATTGTCATCGTTCCTCTTGTGTTCTGGGCACTCTGTTCTCAAAGGAGCAGAAGCACTTCATCTTCTCAAAATACAGTCCTGAGGGTCCTTCAGCATCTGCCCCTTTGAGATGCCAAATGGTGCCACAGAAAGGGTCCACGAGTTTTCCTGAACCCACGTCCCCGAGGGAATGACTCACTGGGGAGGCCTAGGCTCACCCTGGCTGTTGATTTCTTTGATGTGTTGGAGTGCAGGTCAGGAGCCTGTGAAGGACCACATGGTCCAAATGCTGCGGGTGCCGGGGGCCTCACCAGCAGCCTTTTTAATACTCAGGGAGGACTAGAATGTGTTTCGTTCTTAAGAAAAACTGAAGGGGCCACTGAATTTTCAGCCTGAACCGGTGAATTTCCCACCTGAAACTTGGGGAGTTCAGAGGTAGAAAGCAGGCATTCCCTGCTCCCCTTTCCTGACCGTCTTGATGATAGTTTCATGCCAAGACTCCACTCTGCCTTATTTCCCTGCATTTTAAGAACTGCGGCCTTTCCTTTTCAGCGCAGTGTCTCCGAGAACTCCCTCGTGGCAATGGATTTTTCTGGGCAAACAGGACGCGTGATAGAGAATCCGGCAGAGGCCCAGAGCGCAGCCCTGGAGGAGGGCCACGCCTGGAGGGTAAGGCCCCGGCCCTGGCCAGCCTGGAGGGGCACCCTCAAGGTGGTAGCCCCACCACGTGGTCTTCTCCCAGAGGAACAGCTCTATGCGGGTTGGCAAGAGGGGTGCCATGTTGGGTGGGGTGAGTTCTCAGCTGCAGGAAGCAGTTGGCCCTTCTAGGCCCCTTCCATGTTCCCAGCACCCAGCCTTTCCCCGCTGTCCCCTGTCCCCTGGGCTTTCATGGAAGGGACAGGAGAGGAACAGAGTTCTCTGCCCTCCGTGGCTCCTATGCAGAACTGTTCTGCTGATGAACTGGCAGTGGCTGTCTGTGGAGTGCACAGAGCCCAGGCCTGAGTGGGGCCAGCAGGTGCTCACATCAAGGTCTGCTACTAACAGCCTGGAGGCCTTGGGCCACTCCCTCACCCCTGAGGCTTAGGTTCTTAATCTCCAGGTGGGAAGACTATCACTCGGCTTCTAAGTCCTGAGACTTAAAGGCCATGTGCAAAGCAGGAGCCTGGACTCTGGCATTTTCTGTACTTCAGCCTCAGGGGATGGGAAAAAGAAGGAAGTCCCAAGCACGGGGAGTCCAGTGCCCAGTGTTTTGAGAACTGCGTGAGTTTAATAGAAAGGCTTGTGTGTTTCTCCTGCGATTTACCAGGATGTTCATGGCGTTTTCATCGTATGTCTTCAGTGTGAGAAATAAGCATGTCTACTTCGATACTGGGGCTACTAGAGATATTTCAGGGTGTTCTTAACAACTGGGAACCCTGAGCTCTTTGTTCTCAGGGGTCAGTGGGGTCTTCAGATGGGGCAAGGTCCCTTGTGAGCCCAGTCAGGCACCCCACCCAGTGGCCTGCCATGAGCTTGGACATATTGGGTGACTTGGTGTGTCTGTCTGCTGTCCTCGGTGCTAATGTGGGATTTCTTTTGCAGAAGCGAAGCACACGGATGAACATCCTAGGTAGCCAAAGTCCCCTCCACCCTTCTACCCTAAGTACAGGTAAACAGGGCACATTGCCTGATGTTTTTGTACATAAAGAAAATCAAACAGCACCCCCCTCCACTCCCCCTCAGCCTTACGAATTTGCCTGTGGCCAGAGTGCACCACACAAGCTGTAGCTGGGGGAGTCAGGGGCTCTGAGTTGATCAGAGTTGGTTGTGCTGTCAGGGAAGCCATTCTGCAGAGGCACCACCATCCTACCCTCCTCCTGTCTTCCCCCCACAGTGATTCACAGGACACAGCACTGGTTTCACGGGAGGATCTCCAGGGAGGAATCCCACAGGATCATTAAACAGCAAGGGCTCGTGGATGGGTAAGGAACCACCACTGATAAGAGCTGTCATCTGCTAAGGTTTTATTGTGCTGGGGATCTGTTCTGTTTAATTCCTCAGACATCCTTGCTGGACAGGCAGCAGTTTTGTCCTCATTTTAAAGAGGAGAAAAGGTAGGCTAGAGGTATAAGTGGTACGCAGGGCTTGCCCAGCTAGTAAGGGGCAGAAAGGGATCTAATCCATGTCTGCCCAGAGTGTATCTGTAATTATCCTTCACCTCTGTATGAAATCTGAAGAGATGGACAACACAAGTTGTTTTATCTTCATAAGGTAGTGGGCAGATGGAAAAAAAATGCTTTTGCCTACGCTTTTTGATTGTGTACTACATGAGGTTGGTTTTGCTGAGAACAAATAGCCCCAAACCTTAGTGGCTTAAAACAACAAAAATAAATTACGTATCATTGTTGGTTGAGTGGCCTTTCTCACCTGGGCCAGCTTGGCTGGGGCTGGACAGTCCAGGATAGGTTCACTCGTGTTTGGTTGTTGCTGTGAGCTGTTGCCGTGGCAATTAGTGACTGGGCATGTGTCTGCAGCAGATTACTTGAGGCTCCCAGGCATAGCAAGAGAGGTTAAACCCCACTACACATGCACGAGACTTCTCAAGATTCTCGTACCATCACATTTGCCACCATCCCGTTGACCAAAGCAAATCCCAAGACCACACTTGAATGACCCTGGGAAGGAGCCAGCCACAGTGTGGATATAGGGACAGGGACATGGGATGCAGTTACCACAGAAGGCCGACACTGCGGAGCCAGCAGTCTTCCAGAAAGAGACACAGGCTGATCATCCTCCCTGAGGAAGTAGTTACATCCATGTGGGAGCTGTCCCATACGGGGTCTGAATACTCAAAATACAGGTTCCTGGAAGCTGCTAAACTCAAAGAATGATTCTTGTGTCCTTCGTTTTACAAAAAGTTTTATTACGGAAATTTTCACATTTACATAAGTGTATAATGAAACCCCACTTACCCATCACGCAGCTTCAACCTGCTTACTTCACCTCTTCCCTTTCCTACATTCTCCTCCTCCTCCTCTTCATCTCTCTTTTCCCTTTTCTCCTCCTCTTCCTCCTCTTCTATTTTAAAGGAAATTTCAGATATCCTAAATTTTTGCCAGCAAATACATCTCAATGCCTGTCTCTAAAAAAATAAGGACCCTTTTGTTTTGATATAACTGCAATGTTATTACACTTAACTAAATAAATAAGAATTTCTTACTATCATCTAAAAGCTAATCCATGTTCAGATTTCCCCAGTTGTCACCAAAAAAACTCCTTTAAATTAAGTTGAGGTTATTTAAGGTAGGACCCACAAATGGCATTTAGATGCTATACCATATACTTCTGTCTCCTTGGATATAAAATAGTCTTTCTCATCACTCTGTTTTTCTTCTATTTTTTTAAACATCTTTTGTTTGTTAAAGAAGTGGGTCATTTGCTAATAGCATGTTTGTGGTTTATTTTAATAAGTTCCTCTGTCTCCCTGATTCCTGGGGAGTGGTGGTCATGGTGTGATCAGATGCATTTCTTCTGCCTGGTGTCTGCAGGGCAGGTACTGGGTGCTCTGCTGCCTGGAGTGGAGGAGGCCTGAAGCCTGGTTGCTGTTTAGTGGTGTCGGGTGAGCAGGGGTTCAAGTGCAGCCAGCTGGAACCTCCCCACCAAGGCTACCGTCCCCGTCCACCACATGGTTTTAGCAGCCCTTGGTGAACTTGCCCAGGTTCAGTATTTCATTAGGTGTTCCAAAATCATCATTTTCTAATTCCTTCCTATATGAGCTGAAGTTCTTTCTTGCATTAGATATTTCCTGGAAAAAGTAGGTAAATGCCTGGTTTTCCCCTTTACTTGTCAATTTTTAGAACGAGTTTGTGTTCTCCCACCTTCCACTAGAGGCAAACAAGGGGTGTTTTTGTTGTTAGTTTGGATTTTGTTTAAACTGTCACTGTGAACTTAGATTTTTGTGTTTGATTTATTTCAGTCAAAACCTCTTCTCGACGCTCACTTTGCCCCTCATTGGCCAATGGTTCCTTCAAGTTGCTTCCTGAGTTCTTTTGAGCTAGCATTAATGGTATTTGATTTTGGGGTGACAAGATGTATTAGACTCAAATGATGCATTTCTCACAGGGACCCTGATTCATTCTAATGCAAAATGGTATTTGGAGACTACAATCTTTAGATCTTTTTAGTAAACAGAGCTAGGACATGGGCTTTTTTAAAACAAAAAATAAATGTTGGGTTCACGTTGATATTGCTAATTCAAATTTGAGATTACAGGATTTTTTACTTCTTTGATTTTGTTGTTTTTTTTTTCCTCTGATGATCTCTGTTAATGGCATTAACTTAATTACTTATTACTTTATATTACATAATACAAAATACATACCTGTAATATCTTGAAAATATTAATGCTGATATTTATTCAGTAAGACACCTGAATTGCGATTTCTTTACAGTCCTTTTAATCCTTAAGGATTAATCCAGGCAGGTTACCTTAAAATACCTTGCCCAAAGTCACTTAAAGTAATTCTTCTCTATGGTTCTGTCACCAAACTGCTGGGTAAATCAGGTTTGTTTGTTTCAGTTTCTCTTTAGTGTTTGCAAGTGGATCTGATTTATTTTCTTTTTGGTTGAATGCTGCTTTGTAAATTGCATAAAACATTTTCATGGTTCCAAAGTCAGATCTATGAAATAAGGCACATGCCCTGTCCTCTCAACTCTGCCTCCCAACCCCTACACCAGATAAACAGCTTTTATTAGTGTTTGTTTATCCTTCTGTCATTTCATTGTACAAATACGAGTGAAAAGATTTTGTTTTCTGCCTCTCGTTAAGCAAATGTAGCGTGCTGCAAGTACTGCGCTGCGCAGTTCCCGCAGTCTCTGCATCCCAAGGATCGCTCCACAGCAGCGCATCGCGATGGCCCACATTTCTTTTCCACTCTTGGGTTTTCTTTTATGTACATGGAACATCATTTTTTAAAATGTCCCCTACTGAGGGATGTTCACCATGTTTCCAGGCAAATGTTATGAGACACAGTGCTGCATTGTTTCATAATTTTGCCATGTATCTTTGCCATGAGTCCTGAGAAGTGGGGCTGTGGGGTGGAAGGGCAGGGCCTATGTAATATTGTGAAGTATCACCAGAGTCCCTCAGCAGGCTTACTTCTTCATCTGAGAGTCATGCTGTCAGCCGCATCTCTCATGAAGGAGGCTGACCCTCGTTTCATGTATGGAAGGACTTCTTTGTCTTTTGGCAGTTCTACCCTGTTTACATTTTTTGTCCATTTTTCTAATCAGTTAAGTTGCAGACACTTTTGTTTTTCCCACTCCTAAATCATAAAGGGGTGCATTCATGTTGTCTTGTACTTGGATTCTTTTCCCCCCTCTCTCCTTCCTTCCCTCTGCTCCTCTTTCCTTCCTTCCTGCTCTCTGCATTCTCCCTTTCTTTCTTTTGTCCTTAGTTGGTTCATTTTTGGTCTTTGTTTGGTTTTGTTTCGATCCCAGATGCACTTGGGTTTATTTATCCTCACTGCTGGGTAGAGTATGGGTCTGATTTTATTTTGTTTCCCATGTGGCTTTACAATTGCTCCAAAACTCCTTACTCAAGATGTCAGCTTTATCACAGAGCAGTCTCTCAAAGCATTAGAAGCAACTCCTCCTCTAACTGTAAAACAGTATGTTTCTCCTCTAAAGTTTCTGGCATGCCTGAGGAGAGAAAAGCCTAACACAGAAATTTCTCTTTCTGTGACGTTTTTGAGTTAGGGGTATCTGTGTGTTCTGGGGCTTCTAATACAGTGTATACCTGCTTATACCCCTGAACCGTATCAACAGTGGGCCCAGAATGTTCTAGGGGGACCTCTGTTACCCTTGCCGTGTGTGGGAGGCAGCGCAGGCTCACTTCGGGGTAGCGTCACTCTGCTGGAGAATTGGCACTTCCACAGGAGGCTTTATTTGGTGCTGTGGCCACTAAGTGTCCTCCCCAAGGCCAGGGCAGTGAGGACGCCCATCATCCCGAGGCGAAGATGTTTCTGAACCTTGGGGGCGGGTGTGGCAGTCATATGTTTGAAGAAGCTTCCTGAGTGATTCTGGGATAAGGCCCACTCTGTCCACTTTGGATTGAAAGGGCTGCCTTGGGGTGGGGTGGATTGCAGGTCAGCACTGCTGGGCCACCTGAATTGTGTGTCAGCGTTTTGCTTCCCCCAGCCATGTTTGTCTTTCAATTTTTCTCGGATCAGAAACCCAGTTGGTGAGGCATCCGTCTTTCCAGACCTGTAAAGCGATAGAAGCATCACCTCTGTTACCTTCCGTTCCCCAAATCAGCCCGGCTGGTGCCGCCCGTCTTATTCTTCAGCAGGTGTTCCTCTCCGTCCTCCCTGGAGCCTTCCTCGTCTCCAAGGCTGTCATTTCCAGCTCCCGCCTTAGGCTGCTGGAGCGCTAACCACACACAGAAATGCAGATAATGGGATTGATTCAGGCGTTAACACAGGAACAGCTCATCTTCCTCTCAATTCTTGGGTGTAGGGAGGAGGTGTATTTGTATAACAAGGTAAATAATCCATTTCTAATCTTTACTGATCCCTGCAGAGATGATGAAGGCAAGCCAGTTTAAAGAGTTAAACAACAAAGAAAAGAAAACCACCTCGAAAAACAGCACAAGATTCTGGACAGACAGTATAACAACAGCATTTTCCATAGCTTTATTCTCAAACGGTGTATGCAGTTAGAAAGAGACATCAGAGCCTTAAATAAGCCCGTCAAGTATTCCTGAAATCCCAGGATCCAGGCAGCTCCCCTCCCATCCCCGTCCCCACCCATGCAGCTGAGCGTGTGCGCGCACATACTCGTGCTTTACCAGCCCTGCACTGAATTTGCCGCCTGCTTCCTTCCTGTCTTGCCACCCATGCCCGTCCCAGAACTGCAGGAGAAGGATCTTTTTAAGGGGAAATCTAGGTCTGTAGTCCTCTCTGCCAAACAATCCCACCCCACCCCCAACACCATGCTTATCCCCCCAGGGCATGTGGATGCCCCCCCTGCCATGCCCACACTCATGGTCCAGCCCCACTGGCCTTCCTGCTGTGCCAGGCATCGATCCCTGTGTCATCTGCCTGTGCAGTCCCTCTGTCTGCACTTCATGCCCCTCCACATGTTGGAAGGAAACCTCTTCGGCAAAATTTGAATTCTTTGAAGCTTTCCCTTCTCCCAACCGCAGAAAGAGAGGTGTTATCCCCAGGACTCACATAGCACCCTTGTAAGAGGGATACTTTCACTTTTCGTCTGCTTTTCCTGCTGAACCAGGAACTCCTCCATGACTGGCTGTGTGACCTTGGGGAAGTTGCTTAGCTTCTCTGTGTGTCACTTCCCTTATCATTGTGAAATGAAGATAACAGTATCACCATGAAGATGAATGAGTTAATACATGCATGAAACACTTTGCACGGTGTCTTGCTTGTAAACGTGGTCTAGATTGTACTCTGATCACTGTCGGGTCCTGTCACAAGGGGCTCTTCGTTCATTTATGATGGACTGGTGAGTGCACCATCCCTAGCATCGATTCTTAAGAACTTACCTGGTTCTTGCCACTGTCCATCCTGGGCCGTGTTTACAACTTCTGAGCCTGGTTAGTAGTCACTTAACATGCTTAGCTTCTCCCTGGGCATCTTTCCTATAACTGCAATCCCCTTAGAAATCACTGGATTGTGGCAGTTGGCTGATTGCAGTGATTGTTATTTCAAGCTACCTTGTATTGCGTGTGATCATGCACAAAGCTGTATATACATCAGCCATGGTCTTCTCAATGGTCCTGTAAGAGAAGAGTTATTCTGGCTGGGTGCAGTAGCTCATGCCTGTAATCCCAGCACTTTGGGAGGCCGAGGTGGGCGGGTCACCTGAGGTCAGGAATTTGAGACCAGCCTGGCTAATACCATGAAACCCCATCTCTACTAAAAATGTAAGAATTAGCTGGGTGTGGTGGCGGGCACCTGTAGTCCCAGCTACTTGGGAGGCTTAGAGGGGAGAATCGCTTGAACCTAGGAGGCGGAGGTTGCAGTGATCTGAGATTGCACCATTGCACTCCAGCCTGGGTGACAAGAGCAAAACTCCATCTCAAAAAAAAAGAGGTGTTGTTCCCCTTCTGCAGATGAAGAAATTGAGGCTGAGAAGAGAAGTTGCCCAAGATGATGAAGCTAATAAGTGACCTATCCAGGATTCCTGCTGATGCCTAAGCCATGCCATTCTCCCCGCATAGCAGTCATCTCAGATAGACAACCTTCAGGCATTCCCTATAAAGCTCAAGCCTTCCAGCAGCCTTGGGACTTCCCAGGGTGAGCCTGCCCCTCTCAGGGGTACACGTCCCTCTCGGGTAAACAGGCCTGGGCCATGCTGCCATTCACTCGTCTGTAGCTTCCCATCTGCAGAAGGAGACAGCAGATAGTTAACGGCAGAGAAAGGGACGCCCCACATTTTCCTCTAGTTAGAGCTGAAGCTCGGCAAACTTCTGGGTGTCAGAGTAACGATGTTTTATTTGGAATGACATGACTCTGACAAGTCTTTGAGGTGGGCACAGCTGCCCAGCATGCACCAGCGCTTGGGAGAAGAACTGGATCTCCTTGTCTTCTCTCTGGCGGTGCCGCGTGTTCCCCAGTGGGGTCTGAGCTTCCTCACGCCGTCCCATCTGGCCTGACCAAGCCAAACCATGGAATCCCATTCTGATCGGTGTTTCCCAAAGTATATCCTGAAGCACACAAGGCCTGCAAAGTGCTATTTTAGAAAGGGTGGGGGAGGTTTCTACATAGGTAAGATTGGAAAACTGCTAGGCAGTTACCATGAATATTCACATATTTAAGGCTCTGAGAAGTCCTGTAGTAAAATATATTTCTTTTACCTTTTCAGCATGGGATTTTCCAGTCTTATTTAACTGCTTTCCATCTTCACATTACAATCTAGACCTGGTGATTTTGCTGATGATTGTAGTTTGGTTTTGGATACATTTAAAGTGAGTTCCTTTTCAGGCCATTTCTTCTTTGTAGCTTTCATTGGATCTTTCTTCGCTTTCTGATGTATAACTATCTTTTCAGCTAACTCCAGATTTTCTCATGTAAGAGCAATGATTTTATGCCTTTTTTGTGCTATTCTAATTTAGGATTAAAAAAAAATTTTAAGGTTGTAGAAAGGTTGTAATAGTAATAGGATGAACTATACACACTTCGCCCAGATACCCTTATTAAGATTATGGCACATTTGCCTTTGTTCTTAGTTACTGTTTTTTCTTCTGAACCGTTTAGGAGTAAGTTGTGGCATGATGTCCCTTTAGTCTGAATTATTACAGTGTAAAATTTCTAAGAACAAGAACTTCTATAACCACAGTACCTTATAAAAACCAGGAAGTTAACATTGACGACGCAGTTCATTGTCTAATCTATACCCTTCTTCCTAATTGCCTCCTTTATAGCAAAAGAACATCTTCATCCTAAATCTTCTCTCCCAGCATGTATTCATAATCTTGACCTGCGTTTCGAGTAGAAGCCAATTCTTGTAGAGTGTGCCTGGGCTCAGCCTAGGCTCCTCACTCATGGTGAGATTCAGGCTATGCATTTTTGGCGGGAGCACCCCCGAAAAGTGATGTTGTGTCATCTTCAGTACATCGTCTCCGGAAGCCCTCAAGGTCAATTTGTCTCATTGCTAGTGGTGGTAATTTAGACACTTGATGAAGAAGATGCTGTCGGCCGGATTTCTCCACTGTAAAGCTATTATTTTCCCCTTTGTAGTAAATAAGTATTAACAGTACAATACTTTGATGCCATGAAAATACTCTTTTTTCTCATCCACCTTTCATCTGCTGGTTTCAGCATTTGTTGAAGATCCCCCCTCCTTCGTTAATTGTTAGTTACTACAGTAATTGCCAAAGGGTAGTTTTTGAATACATCTTGCCTTTATTTATTGGCTGACATTCTCCTCCAAGAAAGATTTTCATCTTCTCCCGTATTAATTTATTTGCTTATTTATTTTTAAATAATACTACAGACACGGATTCCGATTTCATGGGTTATGATTCATTACTTTTAAAATTCATTTTGATGCCCAGATTTAGTCATCCTGCCTCCTGTGTCTTTTTGACATGTCCTCATTATTCTTTGAGCACTTCTTGATATGCAGGCACAAAATAATCCTTTTCATCCTATAGTTTCCCTGCCCTAACCCTGTAGTCAGGCATATCCCCAAGGAGCCCAGCTTTTTTCCAATGGAGAATGACAATTCAGAATTACCGTCTTGGTGCTTGCCTGGTGTGCTGTTGCCCCTAGAGGCCACTTAAATGCCAAAGCACTGCACTGAAGCATTGTGGCTCCAAGCCTGTGTGTGTGTGTGTGTGTGTGTGTGTGTGTGTGTAAGAGAGTGTGTGTGTGTGATTAGTTCCAGATTTTAAAATATTTTAGCAATCAACTATTTTCCCTTCCCCAGGCTTTTTCTCCTCCGTGACAGCCAGAGTAATCCAAAGGCATTTGTACTCACACTGTGTCATCACCAGAAAATTAAAAATTTCCAGATCTTACCTGTAAGTATTGATGTTCTCAGACCAGTCCTTGTGGTTTGTTTTCTGGTTTCATTCTTAATGCAATTTTCAAGTTATAAACCGACAAGACCGGTAAGTATCAGACAGTTTCAAGGCTGCAGTTAAGAAACTTTCAAGAATTTCTTTACAGGTTTGTCTTTTGAAATTAGAAAAACATTTCCCTGGAAATAATCCTGAAAGTGGTGATAGGGTGTTGAGGCCCCCCTTGAGCCTGTGAGCTCTTGGTTGCAGCAGAAAGGGTACTGATGGGGAGGATCAAGGTCGCAGGAAGGGGAGGTGGAGGAGAATTAGCTGAGGGCCCACAGCTGAAAGGGTACTGATGGGAAGGATCAAGGTCACAGGAAGGGGAGGTGGAGGAGAATTAGCTGAGGTCGCAGCAGCTGTGAGCACGTGGGTCTGGAAGGCAGGAGTTGTGCAGCAGGATTGCCTGTTGGCTGCTGGAGTCTGAGGAGTCTTGTAATTTGTCCTGGTGTACACCAGGGCTATCCAAGAAGCGTTAAGTGGCCTCCCAAAGAGTAATTTTGTTTCTCCTTCCACATGGTCCTTGGATCTAAAGACCATTCTCCCTTTGAACAATTCCAAAAACTTCATTACAGAATACATTAATCAACACTACTTTTTTTGACAAAGCACTTTATGTTTGATTCGCCTGATGTTTACCTCTCACTTCAGTATGCCACAGTTCAATTCTAGTTCATGATTAGAGTGCTAGATCAGCGCCTACAAGAATTCAGTTTAGTTGAGAATACAATACACAAAATTAATAGCAGCTGTTTACATGCTGAATTGATAAATTCTGCAGGTAATGATAATGTTTGTGAAATGCATCCTGTGGAACCCAAACTCTACCAAAAGAGGCTGGCTGGACAGTTTCCTCTCAGAGATTCAATCTGCATGTCAGCAAAGAAAAAGCTCTGAGAAGGCTTAAATTAACTAAACTCACCTGTTTTACACAGTTGAACCTGGAGTTCTTCAGGCTTATCTGACCCCCAGGACTTTGTTATGATCTCAAGAATCGTGTAGTGACTGGCAGCCATGGACCATACAGGATGAGGAGGGTGTCTTGCTTAGCTTTTGTGAGCCAGGGGAAGGCAGTGTGCCACGCACTGTCTTTTCTGTGGCTGCTTGCTTCCTGCTGTGTGCTGACATCCCCACCTTACTCGTGAGGAAAATGAGGCTCATGGCTGTCAGTGGCTTTTCCTGCACCGCACTGGGGTGAGGAACAGAATCTGGGGTTGAGCCCAGCCTTCCCAGCTTCCAGCCAACCTTATATGCAAATACAGGAATTACTGTCCTAGGGAAAGTGCTGCATAGACAATCCTTTTTGTTCTTCTACTGCATTATATTATTCACACAGTTATAATTCTTTTAGCTCAAAATATAAAATGAAAAGTGATTGACATTTTAGGCTGGATGAGTAAATTAAAAAAAAAAAAGAAAGAAAGGGGGCTTTCGTGGTAGGCAGAGTGTGTAATGCCCAAATCCTACAAGTAACAAAAGAACAGCAACTTGGGACTTAGGGCATTAGGTGTGCAGCCTCTGTGTGTGAAAACTGGCTGTGGGATGTGCTGTTAGCTCTAGCAATGGTTTTAGAGTTACGAAGTGGTTCCAAGCTCATTAATTAGCCAAGCCTTAAGGCTGACCTATTCCCTGTGAACAACACGACCTCCTTTCAGCAGTGTTTTGCACTGTACTACAGTCATCCAACTGAAAACTCACTGAGTTAAAATAGGTGTTAGGAATATGATTCTCTCTGGGAGATACTGTGGCATTCCCCTGCTTTAATAAAAATAACTGCCCCATATTCAGGGACCTAGGAACGGAATTTACCTGCGTGAGCTTATTAATCCCTCATAGCCACCCAACAGTTGCTTCATCATGGAGCAGAGTAAACCCCTGGGGCCTCAGGAGTTGGCTGAGGTCGTATAGTGAGGACCCAGGTTTGTGCAGTCTTCTCGGGGCATGCTGTGTGCAGTGGGTACTTACAAGTTAACTGGTAAATGTAATTCTCATGAGCTGGGTGAACTGGGGGCAACTTCGAGCCCTTCCCCTTGACCACCTTAGGGAGCAGGGGAGCTAGCTGTCCTCAGCAGCCTCCGCAGCCCACCCAAAGTCTGTCCCTCGCTCAGGGACATGGCAGCCCCCAGCACACATCCTCTGCTCCCGTCTTTCCCGCCCCTGGTGTTTTCTAGCCTACCTTGCCCTGTGTGTCCCTCTGGAATCAAATCATGGGCAGATGTAGCTGCTGCTGGCCGTGGGCCCCGTTCTGTTCCCTGAGGTGGCAGCCTCTAACCTGGCAAGTGTTCTTGTGTCTCTCCAGTGCGAGGACGACGGGCAGACGTTCTTCAGCCTAGATGACGGGAACACCAAATTCTCTGACCTGATCCAGCTGGTTGACTTTTACCAGCTGAACAAAGGAGTCCTGCCTTGCAAACTCAAGCACCACTGCATCCGAGTGGCCTTATGACCGCAGATGTCCTCTCGGCTGAAGACTGGAGGAAGTGAACACTGGAGTGAAGAAGCGGTCTGTGCGTTGGTGAAGAACACACATCGATTCTGCACCTGGGGACCCAGAGCGAGATGGGTTTGTTCGGTGCCAGCCGACCAAGATTGACTAGTTTGTTGGACTTAAACGACGATTTGCTGCTGTGAACCCAGCAGGGTCGCCTCCCTCTGCATCGGCCAAATTGGGGAGGGCATGGAAGATCCAGCGGAAAGTTGAAAATAAACTGGAATGATCATCTTGGCTTGGGCCGCTTAGGAACAAGAACCGGAGAGAAGTGATTGGAAATGAACTCTTGCCCTGGAATAATCTTGACAATTAAAACTGATATGTTTACTTTTTTTGTATTGATCACTTTTTTGCACTCCTTCTTTGTTTTCAATATTGTATTCAGCCTATTGTAGGAGGGGGATGTGGCGTTTCAACTCATATAATACAGAAAGAGTTTTGAATGGGCAGATTTCAAACTGAATATGGGTCCCCAAATGTTCCCAGAGGGTCCTCCACACCCTCTGCCGACTACCACGGTGTGGATTCAGCTCCCAAATGACAAACCCAGCCCTTCCCAGTATACTTGAAAAGCTTTCTTGTTAAAATAAAAGGTGTCACTGTGGTAGGCATTTGGCATATTTTGTGGACTCAGTCAAGCAACCACAGTCTGTTAATCATTTCTCTATGCTCAGATGTCAGATCCTCTTGTTATTAGTGTGTCTTGTTCTGCACAGTGCAGGAGACTTTATTCCTTTGGAAAATTCACTGTTCCACAAACAGCAGGCTGAATGGCCTCGCCTCTAGATTGACGTGGGCCAGCCTCCTTGAGACACACCTGGCACCCGTCATCGGCCAGCGGTGGATGCTGCATAATCCACCTGGGTACTTCAGCCTTGCGTTTCCACAGCCTTCAGCCTGTTCTAGAACGATCACTGCCTTACCCCTGCTGCTGCAGTGGTGTGAGTCGTTTCACGGCTGATGTCCCTCGGGGGATTAAAGGATCTAAAGAGAAAATGGCACCTGGTTGTCTTCGTGCTGTGTCTCATGGGTTTCCATAGTGATAAAGACAAGGAAACGCTGCAGGGGCCACAGGCACAGGCTGATATTTAAAGATCTTTGCTTGCAGCCCTCCGTCCTGCTGAAAACCCCCATAAGCCAGTGAACACAGAGCAGCTAGAGGCTCCTCCTCTGCTGGCTTAGGGTCAGAAGTACCTCACAGTGGTTGTGGACATGGAAGAGTTTTGTCAACACAACACTTTGTCCCCGCTCCGGGAGATGAGTCAGATGGTGGCTTGAGTTGTCACTTGGTCCCCTCCGCCCCTCGGGTGGCCCCCTTTGCCACGTCCCCTTAGCTTAGTGATCAGGTGTGAGAGTGGCCATTTCCTTACCTTTGATCCCTGTAAAGCAGAAAGGACTCCTTTGACAGGCGACAAACTACTGTGGTGAGCAGAATGATTTCCTTTTTCAAGACAACACCTGCCTGGCTTCTATTAATGTGTGCTGGCCATGATATTGCCCCAAATCCGCCCCACTGAAGTGTTCCCTAAGGAACAGCATTTCTCTGCTCCTCAGTCAACCCCCGTAGCCTAGAGCAGTGTCACAAGCTTCAGTAAGGCCAGTCAGCTGGAAGTCAGTCTACCGTATAGTAACACTGTATGTCAGTCTACAGACCACACTCTAGTTGTTTTCCATGAAAGGTATACAAATGAAGAATTTTCTAGCAAAACATGTTTTTAACCATCAGTGCTCAATTGCATTTTCTTCCTTTCGCAGCCAGTCAGTCTTTCAAACTATTGACAGTAAGATAATTCTCACGTTCACACCTGGTGGCAGGCTTCACTGTAGGGACGGACATTGCAGTTACACCACGATTCCTTCCTCTTCACTGGCTCGAGGTAAACCCTTTTCAAGGAAAAACAACTCTAGGATTTCTTTTTTCTGTGTACGTAGACCAGTCCCATCAGTGTATAATCTCTCTCTCACACGCCTCTCTCCAATAGACAGCTTGTATTTGCAGTATTTCATATTTATAAATATGCGTTTATTTAAAAGGAGAACAAAAGCTTGACTCTGATTCACAGTTTTGTATGTAGCTGGTTTGACGTAGTCTTTTGTATTTTCCCTGCCGAAGTGAATTGTTGGAGAATGTAAACCGCCTCCACGTGGCGGCAGACTTCCTAAGGCCCCAGCTCGCTGGCCTCGCGCTGGGCGGCTGGGAATTCCACCTGAGAACAAGTCCCGCAAACCGGGGACGGAAGGACATTTGACTTTTATTTTTGTATTTAATTGACATGAATGTAAAGGGGACAGCTCAGGGTTGTTTTGGAGCCTGTTGACTTTGTATCTCTGCCTGTGATTTTCTTTTCTAAATGAAACTCCATGTAGCAACCAGGACGAAGTTGAGAAGGAAAACGCCAAATGCTTTGGTTATTAGAGTTTAATAGGTAAGCTCTGTTACACTAGGTGTTAGAGTTCCAGAATGTTCTTTTGTTTGCTAAACCTTGAAGAAACATGTGCCTCAGCCTAGATGTTTTGTCTTCTCTTTTCTGCACTTAATACCTGACAGTATGACCGATCTCTGCGCCTTTCTGGGGGCGGGCAAGCTGGCGGTAGATTTGTGATGTCACAGTGCAAACTGCAGTGACTGTAAATTGGCCTGGCGTGTATAAACGTTTTCAGGGAATGCAGAAGGTATTAATGAAGAGACAAAACCTTTATTCCATGTGCTTTGCTTCATTCTGTACATAGCTCTTTGGCTCGTGAACCTAATTGTAAACTTTCAGGTATTTTTGTACAAATAAGGGACTGATGTTCTGTTTCTTGTAATTAGAAATAAACATTAATACAGTGTTCTTCATTTTCTATTGCTGGTGATATCTGTTTCTAATTTTAAAACACTGGCCAATCATGAGGTCAGGAGTTCGAAGCCAGCCTGACCAATGTGGTGAAACCCCGTCTCTACTAAATATAAAAGTTAGCCAGGCATGGTGGTGCGCACCTGTAATCCCAGCTACTCAGGAGGCTGAGGCAGGAGAATCACTTGAACTTGGGAGGTGGAGGTTGCAGTGAGCCGCGATTGTGCCATTGCACTCCAGCCTGGGTGACAAAGCAAGACTCCTATCAAAACAAAACAAAAAAAAAACCCTGGCCTGTCATCCACTAAAAACATTTTGAAATGACTTAGAATACTAAAAACACACTTCTTACCACTAGCTAGACACTATCACAAGGAATCCATAGCTGTTTGGGACATGTCACACACAAGCTTGCACAGCCCTCGTGAGACACCAGGCTCTTGGCTGCTTAGTGCTCCAAGTTGGTGGCAAGACATTCTCAGCTGGCCTCTCCTCCCCCATAAAAATAACAGACCTCAGAAGGTTTCAGAAACCGTCAGATACCCACACAGGCTTCAGAAAGACCTCAAGAAACTCACATTCACCCTTGAGCCCAACTGGCATTTTTTCCACTGCAGTAAGACAATTAAAATGTCTAGAACCTAGGTTTTCTAAGCCAGCAAACAACTGACAGAGTAAGAATAGATGCCCATTATTGTTGTTTCTCCAGCCCTCGCCTGGGATGATCCTGGCTGAGCTACTGACCTGACACTTGGGCCAGACTTGCCATCTCATGCCTCTTCCCTGTCACACCCTGGTCAGCTGGAGGGCATGTGCATGTTGTCACAAGCTAGCCTGGTCTACCAGCAGGAGGGCCCCTGTGCTGTGTGGACTCTCCCGTCATTTGTTTTCAGAATCTGAATTCTCAGTTTCTGGAAGCCCACCCTCTGCTTCAACATACAAGGAGAGCCCAGGGCAGGTGGGGACCCACCGGGCCAACTGCAGTTGTTGATCGTAACACCAAAGAAGCTTGTAGGTGCAGCCACGCAGGGCCAGCCAATGGCCTCCCAAGAGCACCCCTGTGGCACAACGCGAGAATGCATCTCACTGCCTCCAGCACGTTCTTCATCGGTTTTCACAGCATTTGAGTGATGAGTAAAATTATAAAAAGGGATTTTGTTTAATGATAAAAGCCTTAGCTTCTTAAGTGTAAAAAGGTAAAATATTCAACATCTTCCGATTATAGAATGGTAAAGGCAGCGTTACCCCTTTTCATTTTGGAAGTTATACAACATTAAGAAGGGCAGGAAACAAAAATGAAAAATCCGCCTTTGACAAAATTGGGCTTCATCTGCCATCCCCAGTCATCATCCACAAGATGGGCAGCTTGGGAGGCCTGCAAAGATCAAGCAAGGGCCACGTGACAGGATGTCCATGGCTGCTGGCCTCAGCACAGCTAGCAAAGGGCACTTCAGAATGAGTGGTGTCCCTCGGGGAACTTGGGGTCCTCTGGGAACAAGGAGAAAGACACTGGGGTTGGTGGCAATTGGTGTCATTTTTTTGTTTTTTAAGACATGGTAGGCACTTTTGATCTGTAACTACATCAAAGTCTCATTTGATTTCTGGGAATGTTTTGTGAATTGCATCTAAATACATTTTTCTTTTTGTTTTTTCTTTTTAATTTGTTTTTTATTGAGGTAAAATATACATACATAATTTACCATGTTTACATTTTAAGTGTACAGTCCTTATAAATGTTTCCACTTCCCTGCCCCATCCCATTTCCCAGCCTCTGGTAGCCACCAATCTACTCTCTATCTTCATGAGATCCACTTTTTTAGCTCCCACAGAGGAGTGAGAACATGCAAAGCTTGTCTTTCTGTGCTTGGCATATTTCACTTCAAATGGTGTCTCCATTTCCGTCCATGTTGCTACATCTTTGCAAAAAGATGGAAATTGTGTGTTTGCTCCCTTTTGTCAACCTCTCCTAGCATTTGCGGAGAGGCCCTGCAGCTCTCTTGGTGTTTGAATCTGAGTTGCTGTCTTAGTCCTGTCCTCCTCCATATCCGTGATGGTGTTTCAGTAGGGTCTGTTCTCTATGCTGTTTCCTTGCACACTTCCCTGCTAGGCTGGCTTCACTTTTCTCTGACGTTTCTCTTCAGAGCTCTGCCAGCTTTCTTTATCTAGTGCCTGAGCTTTTACAGCTCCGCTTTGACCTTCGGTGATGTGATTGCTTTCTTGTTTCTTGTTTTGTTCTTTTAAGTTCGTGACATTATGTTTGGTTGCAATTTTAATCTACTCACAGCAATGTTTTTCTACAGAATGCTCTTGCTACCATTTTTCTCCTATTATTTTCTTTTATCTTGGGGTATCTACATAGAAGATCAGTGCTGGTTCTTTAAAGGAGATGAGCTCTTCTTGGACTAGCCAATAGACAGGAAGTTTAGGCAGGGAAGTCCACAAGGGCTGTGTTGGATGCTACCAGGACAAAACAAAAGTAAGGCTGAGTATGAGAGTTTCAAGAACTTGACAACGTAAGCCATTAAGATGGCCAACCAACTAACTCCTCTCACTTCCTGTGGTCACCCCACCTTCACGTCCAGCCCTTACACCACTTCCAGATGAAACTCCAGAAATGACAGCTGGTAAATTTATAATAGAACCACATTTTCTCATTGGTCATCACTGTATATTCATACGTAGGCACACAGATCCACTCTGCTCTGTATACTCACACCTGGGCACACGGATCCATTATGCCGTAACTGTATACTCACACCTGGGTACACAGATCCACTCTGCTGTAGCTGTATACTCACACGTGGGCAAACGGATCCACTCTGCCATAGCTGTATATTCACATGTGGGCAAATGGATCCACTCTGCCGTAGCTGTATACTCACACGTGGACGCAGATCCACTCTGCCGTGGCTGTGTACTCACACGTGGGCAAGCGGATCCACTCTGCCATAGCTGTATACTCACACGTGGACACAGATCCACTCTGCCGTAGCTGTGTACTCACACGTGGGCGCAGATCCACTCTGCCGTGGCTGTGTACTCACACGTGGACGCAGATCCACTCTGCCGTAGCTGTGTACTCACACGTGGGTGCAGATCCACTCTGCTGTAGCTGTGTACTCACACGTGGGTGCAGATCCACTCTGCCGTAGCTGTGTACTCACACGTGGACAAGGATCCACCCTGCTGTAGCTGTATACTCACACCTGAATACAGAGATCCACTCTGCTGTAGCTGTATACTCACATGTGGACAAGGATCTACTCTGCTGTAGCTGTATATTCACACCTGGATACACAGATCCACTCTGCTATAGCTATATACTCACATGTGGACACAGATCCACTCTGCTGTAGCTGTATATTCACATGTGGATACAGATCCCCTCTGCTGTAGCTGTATACTCACACCTGAATACACAGATCCACTCTGCTGTAGCTGTGTACTCACACGTGGACAAGGATCCACTCTGCTGTAGCTGTGTACTTACACATGGACAAGGATCCACTCTGCTGTAGCTGTGTACTCACATGTGGACAAGGATCCACTCTGCTATAGCTGTATACTCACACCTGAATACACAGATCCACTCTGCTGTAGCTGTATACTCACATGTGGACACAGATCCCCTCTGCTGTAGCTGTATACTTACGGATGTGCACACAGATCCTGTGAGAGCTGTGGCAGAGATCTCTATTGGGAGCACAGAGGTGAGCCTGAGTCCCATGGGAGATTCGTCTGGAAGGTGTGTGTGGATGAACGTGAGGGTGATTTGACCACAGGCAGGAAGAGACGATGCAGCCTACATAGGTGTGTTCTGTCCAATATAATACTAGTCACACGGGACTATTTAAACTTTAATTTTAATTATAAAGTAAAATGAGAAGTGTAGTCCTTGGTTGCACAAGCCCACATTTCTAGTTATCAGTAGCCACACGTGGCTGGTGGCTACTGTGTTGGAGCGTGCTGATCTAGAACAGGTCCATCATCAAGGGAAGTTCCATTGGAGAATTCCGGCCTAGGTGAGCGGCCATGATAGCCTAAATTACAAAGGTGGTTACTGATGATCGGAATGAGGAGGGAGTCATGTGAGAACTGGTCTTTGCGTCTGGGGGATGCGCTGAATTGGTGGAGCCCAACTCCAGATTCCAGGCTGAGGGTCCTTCCACTTGAGTGGCTCCTCTGTCTCATCCACAGATAAGACACACTCACCTCACAACCAGTGAGCAACCACCCACTTCTGCTTGCTTTCCAATTGTAACTGAATGCCCACGGCTTCGAGTCATAAATGTGTGCTGTATACAAAACTCAAATGTGTCTGTGTAGCCTCCACCTCCACAACCTCCCTAGGAAAATGATGGCATCCCAAGTGGGTATCACCCTACTCAATAAGCAGATGTCCTGGAGTGATCCAGAGGTAGAATGTGTACATTTTCTATTTCCCAAGTTAGTCACCATTACTGTGAGCATACTGTCATTTGAGCATCTCCCTGGAAAGCGGAGTATAGTTTTATTGTTTAAGTATAAAGTGTGAAATGTAAGCAACAAGTTCATCTGGTGCTTGTCTGAAGACACAGCTGCCTTTTTCTTAGTTCTTGCAGGACTAAGAATTGTCTGTGCAGGACTTCTCAAGAGACAGACCGTTTTGTCCTAGGCGATGACACTTAAAACAGGGATCATTCTGCATTTTCAGTGCTGGTTTTATAGCTCAGCCGGCTATAACATGGGACTCCTCAGGCTATATCAAACCTGCTTTTCTGGTTCTTTCCCTCCAAAATGAGTACCTTCAATATGATCAGTGCAGACACATTCCTGGCCTCAGGCCCAGAGATTCTGATTCAGTAGGTTGAGCAAGGGACAGAATGGTGCCTTTGTACCAGGCCTCCCCTGTGATTCCGTGCATCCCCCACTGGGAAAGGGAATTTTAGCAGATGCCAAGGAGTCAGGCCTGTGGCTTCCTCTGCCACACGATAGCAGCGTGACTTGGGGAATCCTCAACACAGCTGGAACAGGATGCCACTTGGTCACAGCAACAGACTCTGATCTGCCCGCTCATCAGCCACCTGGAGGGCTGTGCAAACCCACAGATCTCTGGGCCTTCCTCAGGCCTGTGGAGTAAAAACCTTTGACTTGGCAATTAAAGTGCTTTCTCACATACCACCACAGGTGAATGAGATCATCTCCAACTTTCCATGAGCTCCAGTAACTTATGATTTATGAATTTGCTTCATCTTCATCCCTCCCCAAACCATCAGAGATTTTAGTTTCTAAATGTAGTGGTGTTGGTAGTGTGGGCGGAAAGGTTGACGATTAAATTCTAAAGTGCCCAAAGCTGCCCTCAGGGGATGTGCCAGTGAACTCAGAGTGGGCATCACTGGAAAAGGCCCATGGAGGACTCAGGCCCCAGGCAGGACACGGGCAGCTTCCAGCTCAGCACCACCCACTGGTAGGCTCCATTTTTCCCCAGGGTGCTGTAGATGATGCACAGGGCTGGAGGCAGTGCAGCCCCCCATTGTCTCAGTCTCACTCCCTGCCCAAGGCCCACCAGCACCTGCTGCTCACCAAAGGGAAAGGAAGCTGGTCGATTTGGCATGTCTAGGTTTACACAGCTGTTTCATGCAAAGCCAGGCCAGCACCTGGTCTCCCACTGGCCTGGCTGGGTTTCTCCCAGTACCCTCCATCCTCTCTCCTTGCAGCTGAGGTCTGCACTGAATCATCCTTTGCAGAACCTAATAGTGGCCTTCAAAGTCACATTAAACCTATGGCCAGGTAACAGCAAAGGGACTGTGTGTCGCCACCTCTCCCTCTTGCCAACCTAAACACCCCTGGCAGGACACCCTCCAGCTCTGTCTCCTGACTCCACTCACCCCTCTGCTCATTTGCAAAATGAGACTGCCAATACCACCTCTGTCCATCTCCCAGGCCAGGCACAAGCAAGAGGGTAAGTGTGAATTCCAACTGTAATGCATCACAGCCTGGTTATGGGAAGGTTGATTTGAATTAATTTAAAAAGTAATAAGTGGATCACTTTGTCTTTGATCAGGAATCCAAGTGACTGAGGAAGTGCTG
The DNA here is from genome assembly GCF_000001405.40 of Homo sapiens. Taxonomy (NCBI): domain Eukaryota; kingdom Metazoa; phylum Chordata; class Mammalia; order Primates; family Hominidae; genus Homo; species Homo sapiens. Next base: position 50,584,000 of record NC_000007.14, on the reverse strand, counting down.
GGACAGTGAGTCTCCAGACTGAGGACTCTGTTGTCATGGTGTATTGGGGGAACCAGCCCCCAATATTTCAACATAGGTTCTTTTCTATTTTCCCTAAGTGTCGGCTGGTCTGAGAAATAAAGGGAGAGAGTACAAAAGAGAGAACTTTTAAAGCTGGGTGTCTGGGGGAGACATCACATGTCGGCAGGTTCCATGATGCCCCCTGAGCCATAAAACCAGCAAGTTTTTATTAGCAATTTTCAAAGGGAAGGGAGTGTACAAAAAGGGTGTGGGTCACAGAGATCACATGCTTCATAGGGCAATAAAAGATCACAAGGCAGAAGGTCAAGGTGAGATCACAAGGTCAGGGAGAAACTAGAATTACTAATGAAGTTCCATGTCCTGCTGTGCACACATTGTCATTGATAAACATCTTAACAGGGTTCAAGAGCAGAGTACTGGTCTGACTAGAATTTACCAAGCTAGAATTTCCCAATCCTAGCAAGCCTGCGGGCGCTGCAGGAGGCCAGGGCATGTTTCATCCCTTATCTGCAACTGCATAAGACAGACACACCAAGAGCAGCCATTTTAGAGGCCCCCCCTGGGAATGCATTCTTTTCCCAGGGCTGTTACTTATTAATATTCCTTACCAGGGAAAGAATTCAGCGATATTTCTCTTACCCATTTTCGGTAATAAGAGAAATATGGCTCTGTTCTGCCTGGCTCCCAGGCAGTCAGACCTAATGTTTATCTCTCTTGTTCCCTGAACATCACTGTTATCCTGTTCTTTTTTCAAGGTGCCCAGATTTCATATTGTTCAAACACAGATGCTTTATAACCAATGTGTGCAGTTAATGCAATCATCACAGGGTCCTTAGGCGACATACATCCTCAGCTTACAAAGATGACGGGATTAAGAGATTAAAGACAGGCATAGGAAATTATAAGAGTAGTGATTGGGGAAGTGATAAATGTCCATGAAATCTTCCCAATTTATGTTCTTCTGTCATGGCTTCAGCAGGTCCCTCCGTTCGGGGTCCCTGATTTCCCACAACATCTCTCCCTTTCTTTATATGTAAATGTGCCATGGTGTTGAAGGCTTGTTCATTCTCTCGATTTTGACGCAGGATTCTTTGACTGGTCTGGCACACTAAAGACAAGCCGATTAAACAGAGAAACATAATTCCAAAATTTACTACAGTGGAGCCCCCAGTAGACTTAATCCAAGTTATGGGGTTTAGTCCAGAAAGATTTTCTGCCACCTGATCTAATGCCTCAGCTCCAGGCACAATGGATAAATGAGCTTGAGAGACTTCAAAAATTTGTTTCTTTAATTTAGTTATGTCCAATGATAAATTATCTTCCCTATCCAGAAGGTGTCCTTTGACCATTTCCCATGAATGATCAGTCTCATTATAGGAATACAGGGTGATTTAGAAATTAGAGGTATTCCAATCGCACTGCATTTGCATGCGATGCTGAAGACTCACTACCCAATCTCCAAGCCAAATAACAGACTGAAATCATTAATTTGATTAGCCAATTTTTGACCAAAGCCTTGTTGAGAATTCCTCATTTAGGTGGAATTGGCTTGCCAATCATTAACAAAATGAGCTGTTTGAATAGATTGATGTAACGCCATTCTGGCAGTGGTGGCCATTGCAGTGACTGTAATTAGGCCCATGATCACAGCGATTAAAGTGAAAACAAATCTCTTAGATCTTTTTAGAATTTGCTGTAACACTTCATTAATTCAGTGTATCGAGGGGGAGGATTCCCAAGGTCTGGGCAAAGTTACCAGAATCCAGATTCCTTCTCGAGCTCGAACCAACATTACACTTTTCCTGGAGTGAAAATGGGAGTTAATACAAGTGTATAAATGACAATTAATACATTGGACAGTTTGATTGTTCATCCAAATTTTGATATTTTCCACTAACAGCATGTAAGGAGACTTAACACAACTCTGTATGGGAACAGTCAGGTTGGAGATAAGTAAAGCAGAATGTGTGGATCTACGTTGACACTGAGAGAGGGGAAGGGTAGTGGGGACAACAGACAGAATAGTTTCCCCTTCCCATACTCACAGTCCAGACGTGGCAATAGCCAATTTCCAAAGTTCTGGGTGTTCTGGGCTCAGAATGGGGAATATCATATGAGGCCTCGGGAGGGTGGGGGGGGTAATGCCTTTATCTTCCCATTTTAAGGGATAGAACGAGCTGAACCTCCTATGCAAAGTAGAATGATGATTCTCATTCTCCTGATAAGAAATAAAATAAATAGCCTCCAGGCATTCCCTTCTGCCAGAGGAGCAATTGTGTTTTAAATAGCTCTTTGTTGCCCAGTCTATTACTAAACCATATGAGTTATTTTTTAATATTACTGCATGTGAGTTAAGACAGTCTTCCCAAATTAAAGTTTTAGATGGGCCCTCAAAACTTTTAGGGCATGGCTTTCCTGCAGGTTTTATATTGAAAGTATGGAGTATCTCCCATTACTCCCTCTTTCATTTGTTTTAAAGGAGAAAGGGAGAGGCTGGAGACCAAATGTCCTGGTTTTTCTGTAGCTAATCTCTCCAGAAGATAAGCAGCCCAGACTTGGGTTTCTATATGGATACAACCAGGTGCATGTCCGAGGCACAGAGGGGGACATCTATAACCCATGGTAACATTAAATGCAGTGCCTTCTTCTCCTGGTTGAGTGGGGCAACGGTCATCTGTAGCTCCAGGCATCCACACACTATCGTTAGTGTAGATTTCTGCAGGAGCTTCCATCCAGGTAAGAGGTCGAATAAGTGGAGGAAAAGGTACATAAGCCCAATAAGAATAATTTTGTGTAGCAGGTAAATCAGTGTGAGAGGAAACTGGTGAGATAGAAAGTATAAGGAGGAGAGTTCATTAAATAAAACCTAGTATAAGAGAGATTCAGTGCTGAAGAAGGAAGAGAAGAACAGAGGGATGTTATTTTGAGGCTAATAGAAATGGTGAGATTTTTAGGTTTGTAAGGAGAAAAAGAAAGGTAATCAGGAGAAGTGGGATTAGTTAGATGGGTCTCCATTGCCATCAGGGAGGATTGAATCAGACCCATTTTGATTTGGCATGCCAGCTTCTGAGGAGTTGGCACAGATCTCACCACATCTGGGAGTGGTTTGTGAAGCGGACATCTTTTCCCTGTGGTTTTCATTTGAGGATCTCCTGGTGAAACACAAGCATATCCTCTTCCCCACATTAAGTAGAATCAGACAATATTTAAAGGTTTGGGGAAGCTTGTCTGTAGGACCTACATAACCAGCATTTACATTACAGGAGCCATCAGTGAACACTCTAACGGCCTCAGGAATAGGCTGATCTTTGGTTAATCAAGGGACCACCCAAGACGTCATTTTTATAAAATCAAACAATTTGTTCTTTGGATAATGATTGTCAATAACGCCAATCAAATCAGCCAAGTGAATTTGCCACAGTATGGAATGCTGAAAGGTGGCTTGAACTTCAAGCCGACTTAAAGGAACTACAATTAAATTCAGATCAAATCCGTAAATTTTAAGTATTCTACACCAAGCCTGTCCAATTAAGATGGCTATTTGGTCCAGATAAACAGACAAAGTTTTCGACAGAATGAGGAAGAAAACACCACTCTACTAAGTCATTATGTTTAACTATTAGCCCAGTAGGGGAAAGCAATGAAGCAAAAACTAGAAGCTGAAAAGGCTGAGATTGCTGTACTCTAGATAACTGGGCGGTCTGGATTCTTTCCTCTACAAATTCCAGTTCTAGTGAAGCCTTAGGGGTCAATGTCCTGGGACTGCAGAGATTGGAATCTCCCCACAGCGTAGAAAACAAGTTAGACAGCGCATAGTTCGGAATGCCTAAAGTAGGTCTTAAATAATTAATGTTACCCAAAAGTTGTTGGAAGTCATTTAAACTTTTCAAAGAATCTCTCCTAATTTGAATTTTTTCTGGTTGAAAACGTTGTTTATCGACCATCATTTCTAAATATTGAACAGGAGTGGCCTGTTGAATTTTATCCTGAGTGATGTGTAATCCAGCCTCTGTAACACAGTGGCTCATAATTTGATAACAGTCAATTAATTATTTATCAGTGGGGGCAGCAATTAAAATATCATCAATATAATGAAGAATACAGGCCTGGGGAAATTGGGCTCGAACTGGTGAAAGTACTTGCCCAACATAAAGCTGGCAGATTGTAGGGCTATTTAGCATTCCCTGAGGAAGTACTTTCCATTGATAATGAGCTGCAGGCTCCTGATTATTGATAGATGGTAGAGTAAAAGCAAATTTTTCACAATCCGATTTAAGTAAAGCAATATTTAAAAAACAAACTTTAAGATCAATAACTATGAGAGGCCAATTTTTAGTTATTAAAGCAGGGGCAGCCATGCCAGGTTGGATGGCCCCCGTAGGTTTAATTACAGCATTAATGGCTCTTAAATCGGTTACCATCTGCCACTTAACTGATTTCTTTTTTACTAGAAACACAGGAGAATTCCAGGGGGAAAGAGAAAGTTCCACATTTCCAAGTTGTAACTGTTCAGAAACCAAGTGAGTTAAAGCCTCCAGTTTTTCTTTAGAAAGCAGCCACTGCTCTATCCAAACAGGTTGTCAGATTTCCACTGCAAAGGAATAGGATCAGGAGGCATGGCAGCAGCTGCCACTAAAAAGGATAACCTAAACCAGCTCTGTCTTCTTTTACAATAATTGGGAGGGGTTTAGTTTCATGCGCGTCCATGTGAAGAGACCACCAAACAGGCTTTGTGTGAGCAACATGGCTGTTTACTTCACCTGGGTGCAGGCGGGCTGAGTCTGAAAAGAGAGTCAGCAAAGGGTGGTGGATTATCATTAGTTCTTATAGGTTTTGGTATAGGCGGTGAAGTTAAGAGCAATGTTTTGTGGGCAGGGGTGGATCTCACAAAGTACATTCTCAAGGGCGGGGAGAATTACAAGGAACCTTCTTAAGGGTGGGGGAGATTACAAAGTACCTTCTTAAGGGTGGGGGAGATTACAAAGTACATTGATCAGTTAGGATGGGGCAGAAACAAATCACAGTGGTGGAATGTCATCAGTTAAGGCTATTTTTACTGCTTTTGTGGATTGTCAGTTACTTCAGGCCATCTGGATGTATACGTGCAAGTCACAGGGGATGCGATGGCTTGGCTTGGGCTCAGAGGCCTGACATTTAGTAATCCCTTCATGTTTTGGACCGATACCAAGTCCAGGAACAAACCCCATGTTTTCCATCATGTGCTGACTGGCAGCACTGTAAGAGTTATGTGGAATATTAATTTCAGCCCCCCATTGTGCCAGTAACTCTCTTCCCCAAAGATTAATGGGGATTGGCATGATATAAGGCTGAATTGTACCCTTTTGACCATCAGGGCCAGTGCAAAGCAAGATAAATGTGCTCTCATAAACTTCTTCGGCTTTTCCAACACCTACTAGTCCCATGTTAGTGGGATGTTTAAGCCAGGAGGAAGGCCATAAACTAGAGGAAATAATAGAAACATCAGCCCCAGTATCTACTAGGCCCTCAAACTTTTTTCCTTGAATGTGTATGGTACAGGTGGGCCATTGTTTAGAAATTATATTAATCCAATAAGCGGCCTTTTGACCGCCGGAGCCCGTCCCAGGGCCAGGTGTCTTATCTCTTTTGTTTAAAATGATATTAGGTAGTAAAAGCAATTGAGCAATTGACTCACCAGCCAGAATGGAAACAGGAACCTTGGCAGTCATGATGAGTTTAATCTTGTCAGGTGAATAAGAGTTAGTGAGACCAGTGGCATAAGTATCAGAGAAACTATCAGAGCCTTTGAGCTGAGCCTGAGTAATTAGAATGCCATTAGTCCAATTTAGCTGAGCCTGCAGATGGGCCTCTGCTGACCACCAGGTACAGAATTGTAAATGCTGAGATGGGGTTAGAACAGCTTTTGCCAAAAGGTCCCAGTCTAAAGGAAGCAAAGTGACCTCCGTACGAAAAGTTTGTAATACGATTTTAACATAAGGAGAAGTAGGACCATGCTGAGTACAAGAAGAAAGGTACAGGGAAGCAGGTTGAGTGGATGGCAAAGTGACCACTTGAGGAACCGAAATGACAGGAGGGTGAGGGACTGTAGTGGATGGGGGAGGGCCTGCAGAATTACAGGTAAATTTAGTTTTTTCCTGGAGCCATTAGGTGATGCCCGGAGGCAAATGCTGCAAAGGTTTGAAGAGGGAAGAATTAGCATATCTATGGTCCCAGGATATGTGGGTCCGGGCCGCAGGAGCTATGAGTACCAGCTCTTTGTGAAAAGAAATAAGATCATCAGGCGCTGACTGCAATCCAAACTCACCGGGGTTAGACATTGAATTCTCAACATCGTCAGGTGGGGGAGGAGTAGACGAAGGAAGAGGCTGATCAGATAACGAAGGCCGTGCAGGAGAGGAGGGTTGAGGAAGAGGTGGAGGGTCAACAGATTCAGAAAATTGTGGTAACTGTAGGGGGTCACGGGATTGGTATGTCATTAATATGGCACGTACCAAGGCCCAATCACCAAAAACAGGGACGGGAACATAATTCCCTGCCGAGACCATTTCCTGGAATGTTGAACCAACATGATCCCATAGTTCTACATCTAAGGTTCCTTTTTCAGGAAACCAAGGACTGTATTCTTCCACTGCCCTGAATAGAGTGACCATATTTTCCATGGGCACTCAAACTCTTTTCATTTGTTTTAATCGGAGTTTAATATAAAAGAGATAAGTATAATTTTTAGACTCCATGTGACCCATAGTTAACCCGGACCATACACAGACTACTCACCAGTTGTTAGGGAGTCAAACATGCATTTCTGTGGACTGAACCGATGACATTTCTCTGCACCTACCAAAGGGAATTGTGTTCCCATATGCACTTAGGAAAAAAAAAAACCCACGTGGGTGCCAGATATCAGGGGAACCAGTCCCAAATATTTCAACGTAGGTTCTTTTCTATTTTCCCTAAGTGTCGGCCACTCTGAGAAATAAAGGGAAAGAGTACAAAAGAGAGGGATGGAGCCAAGATGGCTGAATAGGAACAGCTCCAGTCTACAGCTCCCAGCATGAGCGACGCAGAAGACGGGTGATTTCTGCATTTCCAACTGAGGTACCAGGTTCATCTCACTGGGGAGTGTCAGAAAGTGGGTGCAGGACAGTGGGTGCAGTGCACTGAGTGTGAGCTGAAGCAGGGCGAGGCATTGCCTCACCCAGAAAGCACAAGGGATCAGGGAATTCCCTTTCCTAGTGAAAGAAAGGGGTGACAGACAGCACCTGGAAAATCAGGTCACTCCCACCCTAATACTGCACTTTTCCAACAGTCTTAGCAAATGGCACACCAGGAGATTATATCCCGCACCTGGCTCGGAGGGTCCTACGCCCACAGAGCCTTGCTCACTGCTAGCACAGCAGTCTGAGATCAAACTGCAAGGCGGTAGTGAGGATGGGGGAGGGGCGCCCACCGTTGCTGAGGCTAGAGTAGGTAAACAAAGCAGCCAGGAAGCTTGAACTGGGTGGAGCCCACCACAGCTCAAGGAGGCCTGCCTGCCTCTGTAGACTCCACCTCTGGGGGCAGGGCATTGCCAAACAAAAGGCAGCAGAATCCTCTGCAGACTTAAATGTCCCTGTCTGACAGCTTTGAAGAGAGTAGTGGTTCTCCCAGCACGCAGCTGGAGATCTGAGAACAGACAGACTGCCTTCTCAAGTGGGTCCCTGACCCCCGAGAAGCCTAACTGGGAGGCACCCCCCAGTAGGGGCAGACTGACACCTCACACGGCCAGGTACTCCTCTGAGACAAAACTTCCAGAGGAATGATCAGGCAGCAACATTTGCTGTTCACCAATATCCGCTGTTCTGCAGCCTCCACTGCTGATACCCAGGCAAACAGGGTCTGGAGTGGACCTCCAGCAAACTCCAACAGACCTGCAGCTGAGGGTCCTGACTGTTAGAAGGAAAACTAACAAACAGAAAGGACATCCACACCAAAACCCCATCTGTATGTCACCATCATCAAAGACCAAAGGTAGATAAAACCACAAAGATGGGGAAAAAACAGAGCAGAAAAACTGGAAACTCTAAAAATCAGAGTGCCTCTCCTCCTCCAAAGGAACGCAGCTCCTCACCAGCAATGGAACAAAGCTGGACGGAGAATGACTTTGACGAGTTGAGAGAAGAAGGCTTCAGACGATCAAACTACTCCAAGCTAAAGGAGGAAGTTCGAACCCATGGAAAAGAAGTTAAAAACCTTGAAGAAAAATTAGACAAATGGCTAACTAGAATAACCAATGCAGAGAAGTCCTTAAAGGACCTGATGGAGCTGAAAACCATGGCACGAGAACTACATGATGAATGCACAAGCCTAAGTAGCCAATTTGATCAACCGGAAGAAAGGGTATCAGTGATGGAAGATCAAATGAATGAAATGAAATGAGAAGGGAAGTTTAGAGTTAAAAGAATAAAAAGAAACAAACAAAGCCTCCAAGAAATATGGGACTATGTGAAAAGACCAAATCTACGTCTGATTGGTGTACCTGAAAGTGACAGGGAGAATGGAACCAAGTTGGAAAACACTCTGCAGGATATTATCCAGGAGAACTTCCCCACTCTAGCAAGGCAGGCCAACATTCAAATTCAGGAAATACAGGGAAAACCACAAAGATACTCCTCGAGAAGAGCAACTCCAAGACACATAATTGTCAGATTCACCAAAGTTGAAACGAAGGAAAAAATGTTAAGGGCAGCCAGAGAGAAAAGTCGGGTTACCCACAAAGGGAAGCCCATCAGACTAACAGCTGATCTCTCGGCAGGAACTCTACAAGCCAGAAGAAAGTGGGGGCCAATATTCAACATCCTTAAAGAAAAGAATTTTCAACCCAGAATTTCATATCCAGCCAAACTGCACTTTGTAAGTGAAGGGGAAATAAAATCCTTTACAGACAAGCAAATACTGAGAGATTTTGTCACCACCAGGCCTGCCCTACAAGAGCTGCTGAAGGAAGCACTAAACATGGAAAGGAATAACCAATACCAGCCACTGCAAAAACATGCCAAATTGTAAAGACCATCGAGGCTAGGAAGAAACTGCATCAGCTAATGAGCAAAATAACCAGCTAATATCATAGTGACAGGATCAAATTCACACATAATAATATTAACCTTAAATGTAAATGGGCTAAATGCTCCAATTAAAAGACACAGACTGGCAAATTGGATAAAGAGTCAAGACCCATCAGTGTGCTATATTCAGGAAACCCATCTCACGTCCAGAGACACACATAGGCTCAAAATAAAGGGATGGAGGAAGATCTAACAAGCAAATGGAAAACAAAAAAAGGCAGGGGTTGCAATCCTAGTCTCAGATAAAACAGACTTTAAACCAACAAAGATCAAAAGAGACAAAGAAGGCCATTACATAATGGTAAAGGGATCAATTCAACAAGAAGAGCTAAGTATCCTAAACATATATGCACCCAATACAGGAGCACCCAGATTCATAAAGCAAGTCCTTAGAGACCTACAAAGAGACTTAGACTCCCACACAATAATAATGGGAGAATTTAACACCCCACTGTCAACATTAGACAGATCAACGAGACAGAAAGTTAACAAGGATATCCAGGAATTGAACTCAGCTCTGCACCAAGTGGAACTAATAGACATCTACAGAACTCTTCATCCCAAATCAACAGAATATACATTCTTCTCAGCACCACAGTGCACTTATTCCAAAATTGACCACATAGTTGGAAGTAAAGCACTCCTCAGCAAACGTAAAAGAACAGAAATTATAACAAACTGTCTCTCGGACCACAGTGCAATCAAACTAGAACTCAGGATTAAGAAACTCACTCAAAACTGCTCAATTACATGGAAACTGAACAACCTGCTCCTGAATGACTACTGGGTACATAACGAAATGAAGGCAGAAATAAAGATGTTCTTTGAAAGCAACGAGAACAAAGACACAGCATACCAGAATCTCTGGAACACATTCAAAGCAGTGTGTAGAGGGAAATTAATAGCACTAAATGCCCACAAGAGAAAGCAGGAAAGATTTAAAATTGACACCCTAACATCACAATTAAAAGAACTAGAGAAGCAAGAGCAAACACATTCAAAAGCTAGCAGAAGGCAAGAAATAACTAAGATCAGAGCAGAACTGAAGGAAATAGAGACACAAAAAACCCTTCAAAAAATCAGTGAATCCAGGAGCTGGTTTTTTGAAAAGATCAACAAACTTGATAGACTGCTAGCAAGACTAATAAAGGAGAAAAGAGAGAAGAATCAAATAGATGCAATAAAAAATGATAAAGGGGTATCACCACCGATCCCACAGAAATACAAACTACCATCAGAGAATACTATAAACACCTCTATGCAAATAAACTAGAAAATCTAGAAGAAATGGATAAATTCCTCGGCACATACACCCTCCCAAGACTAAATCAGGAAGAAGTTGAATCTCTGAGTAGACCAATAACAGGCTCTGATATTGAGGCAATAATTAATAGCTTACCAACCAAAAAAAGTCCAGGACCAGATGGATTCACAGCCAAATTCTACCAGAGGTAAAAGGAGGAGCTGGTACCATTCCTTCTGAAACTATTCCCATCAATAGAAAAAGAGGGAATCCTCCCTAACTCATTTTATGAGGCCAGCATCATCCTGATACCAAAGCCTGGCAGAGACACAACAAAAAAAGAGAATTTCAGACCAATATCCCTGATGAACATAGATGCAAAAATCCTCAATAAAATACTGGCAAACTGAATCCAGCAGCACATCAAAAAGCTTATCCACCATGATCAAGTGGGCTTCATCCCTGGGATGCAAGGCTGGTTCAACATATGGAAATCAATAAGCATAATCCAGCATATAAACAGAACCAATGACAAAAACCATATGATTATCTCAATAGATGCAGAAAAGGCCTTTGACAAAATTCAACAACGCTTTATGCTAAAAACTCTCAATAAATTAGGTATTGATGGGATGTATCTCAAAACAATAAGAGCTATCTATGACAAACCCACAGCCAATATCATACTGAATGGGCAAAAACTGGAAGCATTCCCTTTGAAAACTGGCACAAGACAGGGATGCCCTCTCTCACCACTCCTATTCAACATAATGTTGGAAGTTCTGGCCAGGGCAATCAGGCAGGAGAAGGAAATAAAGGGTATTCAATTAGGAAAAGAGGAAGTCAAATTGTCCCTGTTTGCAGATGACATGATTGTATATCTAGAAAACCCCATCGTCTCAGCCCAAAATCTTCTTAAGCTGATAGGCAATTTCAGCAAAATCTCAGGATACAAAATCAATGTGCAAAAATCACAAGCATTCTTATACACCAATAGCAGACAGAGAGCCAAATCATGAGTGAACTCCCATTCACAATTGCTTCAAAGACAATAAAATACCTAGGAATCCAACTTATAAGGGATGTGAAGGACCTCTTCAAGGAGAACTACAAACCACTGCTCAATGAAATAAAAGAGGATACAAAGAAATGGAAGAACATTCCATGCTCATGGGTAGGAAGAATCAATATCGTGAAAATGGCCATACTGCCCAAGGTAATTTATAGATTCAGTGCCAACCCCATCAAGCTACCAATGACTTTCTTCACAGAATTGGAAAAAACTACTTTAAAGTTCATATGGAACCAAAAAAGAGCCCGCATTGCCAAGTCAATCCTAAGCCAAAAGAACAAAGCTGGAGGCATCATGCTACCTGACTTCAAACTATACTACAAGGCTACAGTAACCAAAACAGCATGGTACTGATACCAAAACAGAGATATAGACCAATGAAACAGATCAGAGCCCTCAGAAATAATGCCACATATCTACAACCATCTGATCTTTGACAAACCTGACAAAAACAAGAAATGGGGAAAGGATTCCCTATTTAATAAATGGTGCTGGGAAAACTGGCTAGCCATATGTAGAAAGCTGAAACTGGATCCCTTCCTTACACTTATACAAAAATTAATTCAAGATGGATTACAGACTTAAACATTAGACCTAAAACCATAAAAACCCTAGAAGAAAACCTAGGCAATACCATTCAGAACATAGGCATGGGCAAGGACTTCATGTCTAAAACACCAAAAGCAATGGCAACAAAAGCCAAAATTGACAAATGGGATCTAATTAAATTAAAGAGCTTCTGCACAGTGAAAGAAACTACTATCAGAGTGAACAGGCAACCTACAGAATGGGAGAAAATTTTTGCAATCTACACATCTGACAAAGGGCTAATATCCAGAATCTACAATGAACCCAAATAAATTTACAAGAAAAAAACAAACAACCCCATCAACAAGAAGGCGAAGGATATGAACAGACACTTCTCAAAAGAAGACATTTATGCAGCCAAAAAACACATGAAAAAATGCTCATCATCACTGGCCATCAGAGAAATGCAAATCAAAACCACAGTGAGATACCATCTCACACCAGTTAGAATGGCGATCATTAAAAAGCCAGGAAACAACAGGTGCTGGAGAGAATATGGAGAAATAGGAAAACTTTTACACTGTTGGTGGGACTGTAAACTAGTTCAACCATTGTGGAAGTCAGTGTGGCGATTCATCAGGGATCTAGAACTAGAAATACCGTTTGACCCAGCAATCCCATTACTGGGTATATACCCAAAGGATTATAAATCATGCTGCTATAAAGACACATGCACATGTATGTTTATTGCATCACTATTCACAATAGCAAAGACTTGGAACCAACCCAAATGTCCAACAATGATAGACTGGATTAAGAAAATGTGGCTCATATACACCATGGAATATTATGCAGCCATAAAAAATGATGAGTTAATGTCCTTTGTAGGGACATGGATGAAGCTGGAAACCATCATTCTCAGCAAACTATCTCAAGGACAAAAAACCAAACACCGCATGTTCTCACTCACAGGTGGGAATTGAAAAATGAGAACACATGGACACAGGAAGGTGAACATCACACACCGGGGCCTGTTGTGGGGTGGGGAGAGTGGGGAGGGATAGCATTTGGAGATACACCTAATGTTAAATGACGAGTTACTGGGTGCAGCAAACCAACATGGCACATGTATACATATGTAACTAACCTGCACGTTGTGCATGGGTACCCTAAAACTTAAAGTATAATAAAAAAAAAAGAGAGACATTTTAAAGCTGGGTGTCCGGAAGCGACATCACATGTCGGCAGGTTCCATGATGCCCCCTGAGCCGTAAAACCAGCAAGTTTTTATTAGCAATTTTCAAAGGAGAGGGAGTGTACGAATAGGGTGTGGGTCACAAAAATCACATGCTTCATAGGGCAATAAAAGATCACAAGGCAGAAGGTCAAGGCGAGATCACAAGGTCAGGGAGAAACTAGAATTACTAGTGAAGTTCCATGTCCCACTGTGCATGCATTGTCATTGATAAACATCTTAACAGGGTTCAAGAGCAGAGAACTGGTCTGACTAGAATTCGCCAGGCTGGAATTTCCTAATCCTAGCAAGCCTAGGGGCACTGCAGGAGGCCAGGGCATGTTTCATCCCTTATCTGCAACTGCATAAAGCAGACAACCCCCCCAGAGCAGCCATTTTAGAGGCCCCCCTGGGAATGCATTCTTTTCCCAGGGCTGTTAATTATCAATATTCCTTACCAGGGAAAGAATTCAGTGATATTTCTCTTACCCATTTTCGGTAATAAGAGAAATATGGCTCCGTCCTGCCTGGCTCCCAGGCAGTCAGACCTAATGGTTATCTCCCTTGTTCCCGAACATTGCTGTTATCCTGTTCTTTTTTCAAGGTGCCCAGATTTCATATTGTTCAAACACACATGCTTTACGATCAGTGTGTGCAGTTAATGCAATCATCACAGGGTCCGGAGGCAACATATATCCTCAGCTTACAAAGATGACAGGGTTAAGAGATTAAAGTGAAGATAGGCATAGGAAATTATAAGAGTAGTGATTGGGGAGGTGATAAATGTCCATGAAATCTTCCCAATTTATGTTCTTCTGTCACGGCTTCAGCAGGTCCCTCCGTTCGGGGTCCCTGACTTCCCACAACATCTTTCCCTTTCTTTTTATATAAATGTGCTATGGTGATGAAGGCTTGTTCATTCTCTCGATTTTGATGCAGGATTCTTTGACTGGTCTGGCACACTAAAGACAAGTCAATTAAACAGAGAAACCTAATTCCAAATTGCACTAGGCTGTCCCCCTGAAAAGCTGAGTCTTTTTCACTACCTGGCTAGAAGGCATATGAGAAACGGAAGCAGGAAATTCACAGAAGAAAAACTATACATGACTATGGAACATTTCAATGTAATTTTTAAAATTACATAGAAAACATAGGCATAGCTAGTTGTCCATGAGTTGCCTTGTCTAGCTTTTTGTAGTCATTGATTAATCCTCACTTTCAGATTTCACAAATCTCGACCCACTTTATTTTTATAGAATGAGATCATCTCTTGATAGAGGCCTTTGCAGTCTGATCACAACCTACAGTAAGAAATGCATTCTATATTATGACCCAGTACACATATTCCTGTACATCATTGAAAGGTTCAGAAAGCAATATTTTCATCATTAGGTGCAATGTCTCCTGTTTTATATTTTATTCTGTTCTATTGCATTTTTTAAAATGCTGGTCATGAGACCTGCAAAACCCATTCCATGACCCACCAATAGTCTGAGGCCAATGATTTGAGACTTTTGAGAGAAAAACAAACTTGGAGGACTGACACTGCCCAACTTAAAGACTTACTACAGCCAGGCGCAGTGGCTCACGCCTGTAATCCCAGCACTTCGGGAGGCCGAGGTAGGTGGATCATTTGAGGTAAGGAGTTCAAGACCAGCCTGGCAACATGGTGAAACCCCATCTCTACTAAAAATACAAAAATTAGCCAGGCGTGGTGGTACATGCCTGTAATCTCAGCTACTCGGGAGGCTGAGGCACAAAAATTGCTTGAACCTAGGAAGTGGAGGTTGCAGTGCACCGAGATAGCGCCACTGCACTCCAGCCTGGGCAACAGAGCGAGACTGTGTCTCAAATAAGTAAGTAAATTAATAAGTAAATGAATAAAAGACTTACTACAAAGCTACAGTAGTTAAGAAAGTGCTATTGGTAAAAGAATAGACAGATGAATGGAACAGAATAGAGAGCTCAGAAATAGACCCACACAAATATGGTGAAATGGTCTTTGACAAAGGAGTGAAGGCAATACAATGAAGAAAGGATAGGCTCTTTGACAAATGGTTGTGGAATAAATGGACGTCCACATGCAAAAAAAAAAAAAGAATCTAGATCTAGACCTTTACTCAAAATGGTTCATAGACTTAAAGGTAACATGCAAAACTATAAAACTCCTAGAGGATGACACAAGAGAAAATCTAGTTTAGTTTGATGATGACCTTTTAGATAAATCACCAGTTTCCTCCATTAAATACAATCTATGGAGGAAAAGGACTGATGAATTGGACTTCATTAAAATAAAAAACTTCTACGCTGGAAGAAAAGAAAACAGAATTGATATTCTCACCAGCTCCTAAACAAATTGGCTTTTCCAGGAAAACTCAGTTCCCCTGACACTCCTGTCTGTGGGCTTGGCCAGAGTGTGGGCATAGCAGTAGAGCTCCTCTCTCTTCACCCATGGCCTCAGCAAAGCCCCCAGTGCCCACTTTGCTCTGGCACACAGTGGTCTCAGCAGGAAGCCCCGTCTCTTCTGCTCCCAGGAGCCACACTCAGGTGCACTGTGAATCTCTTTCACAGTCACGTCTGCACCTGCAGTCTCCCTCCTGCAACATGCACACTGTTGCGACTGACTGCAGGCCACTCTGGCATCATGAGAGATGGCCGTTGCTGCTCCTGTGGAAGAGCAGACTCACCCTCTTCCAGGAACAGCCTTGGCTGCAACCCATGCTACCTTCCCCTGCCCTGGGGCATTACAAGGTCACACGAGATCAGCCTTTCTCAACCAGGGGCAATTTTGCCACCAGGAAACATGCAATGCCTGGAGACATTCTTGGTTGTCACAACTGGGGACTACTGGCACCTAATGAGTAAAAGCCGGATGCTGCTAAACATTCTATAATGCACAGGACAGCTCCCATCACAGAGAATTATACACCCTTAATGTAATAGTGCTGGGATGGTTAATGTTATGTGTCGACTGAAGTGGGCTAAGAGATGCCCAGAGGGCCAGTAAAGCAGGATTTCTGGTTGTGTTCATGAGGGTGTTTCTGGAAGAGATTGGCATTGGAATCTCCAGAAAGTAAACAAGATCCATCCTCACCAGTGTGGGCTGGTAACATCCAGTTTGTTGAGTGCCAGAATAGAACAAAAAGGTGGATGAAGGGCAAATTCTTTCTCTTCTTGAGCTGGGATATCCATCTTCTCCTGCTCTTGGGCCTTCAAACTCAGGATGAATTACACCACCAGCTTATCTAGTTCTCCGGCCTGTAGATGGAAGACTGTGGGACTTCCCAGCCTCCATAATCACATGAGCCAATTTCTACAATAAATCTCTTCTTATATTCCTATATCCATATCCTATTATTTCCAGTTTTCTGGAGAAACCTGACTGATAAAGTGCCATGGTTGGGAAATCCTGCCCTAGATTTCTTTCTTTGGTCCTCGAAGCCTCACCCCTATTCCCCATAAATCCCACACCTGCAAGAAGAAAGGAAATGTAAAAAGAGTCCCTTCTGGGAACGGATGCTGATTCCTATGTAGATTTCTCTATTGAGAGATAACTGTTGCTCAGTAGTTGGACACTACTAGTTCACTTTTTTGAGGATTTCAAAACTGAGGTCTCTCTTCTCTATGGATGTTTTTTTTCCAGTCCTATTGCTTCAAATATCATCTAAACACTTTCAACCCATAACTTTATTTCCTGTCTGGGCCTCTTTTTCTGAGCTGTACTGGACATCTCAAATCACACGATTTGTGGATATCTGAAATTTAATTCCCAAACTGAATCCTTGGTGTCCTTCACCTCCCCACACCCAATACTGGTCCACCCCAGTCTTCTTCCTCTCAGTCTATGACCGTCATCCCCTGCCCACTGGCTTCATCACTGGGTAGTCGTTCCATCCCCTTGACTCCTCCCCTTGTCCAGCAACCTCCTAACATGCACACACACACACGCACTTATGGGGAATATTAGCACGCTTCTTCATCTCAAGCCCCCCCTCCCTCCCCCAGCCCATCTCCTAGAATGGATTCACTTGAATTCACTCCTGGTTTGCAGGAAAGTGCAGAAATCCAAGGAATGTGGTGGGAATTGGTGGTCCAACTTAAAGGGTCTAACCCTTTCACCCTTATCTCCCTCTGATCCATTTTCTACCCCAGAGCCAGAGTGATCTTAAACCATAAGTAAGCTAAGGTTACTGCTTTCTAGAAACACTTCAATGCCTTCTATTACAGTTGGGGGGATACAAATTACGTAACGTGGCTTGCAAGACTCCCCCTCCCCTACTTTGAATGGTCCTTAGGAGTTGGCCTTCTGTCAGGGCCTGGGAGATGCCGAGCTTGATCCTCAGTAACTTTGCAGAGGCTGTTCCCTCTTTGGAGCCCTTCCCTCACTCTTCCCCTTACCAAGGACAATCACTTCTTCGGTTCTCAGCTCCTGTGAGACCCCAGGCGGGAGCATTTGGGTGTGCGTCATTGGAGGGCTCACTTGCCATTCTTTCTCTTTTCCCTCTTTCCTCCAATGGCTCCTGTGGAGGTTTTGAGACTCCTCAATGTCACTCTGCTTCTCTCTCCAGTTCCAGTCCTAACAATAGGAACCCTAGGTGCCCCGCCCCAGCCTGCTCCAGTCCCCTAGGATAGAGCAAGGAGAGCTCTTCCCTGCATCTAGCCTGTGACAAATGGCTCTAGTGACAGCCCTCTCTGCCTTGTTTCCAGTCCTTTAATGAGCTGCCCGCAGCCAGCCTCACTCTCACTCTGCTCTTCACACCCACTGAGCCCCACGCTTGGAGCTGCTGGGGGTCTGCCAGAAAGACCAGCTCCTAAGATCCCTGCAGGCTGTGCCTGCTCAACTTCTCAATGTGGCTTTCTCAGCCCTGCTTTGTGCTCTCATAAAATTCTATCGACTTTGGGGTTTTTTTATAAATTTGTCCAAATTCCACTCAGAGTATTGTTTCATGCATCTCAACTATGATTTTGATGGGTTTGGGGAAGGAAGGTGAGTTCCTGGGTTCTGCTGATATCTGAACCTGGAAATCTTACCCATATTGCTGAGTGCTGCACCGGGAAGTGCAGGCTTACTTTGGGGCTGCCTTCAGGGGCAGGAGGCTGTGTGCAATGCAGGCATCACCTGGTGCAGGGCTGGAACATATCAGATGACTTAATGGGCTCCAAACTTGAAATCAGGGCTGCTTAGTAAAAGATGGGATGTATGTAGAATTACATAAGAAAGATCCAAGCTTCCAGGATTTGGAATGAAACAGTCTCTTCAGAATGTGCTCTCAGGATTCCCAGAGGCGAGCTATTTCTCAAGATTTCCTTGACCTTTGTCACCATCAGGAATTAATGTTTAACTGGCACATGTGGCTGGAAATGCAAGAAGAGGGAAACGTGTGGCTTGGAGTTTCAAGAAGAGTGACTGTCTCAGTGCCGAGTGCCTCAGCAGCTTCTCCACATGCTCTTCAGTCCCCAAAGTTGGAGAATCCCATCAAGGAGAGTAGCCCTGTAAGGAATTCGAATTTCCAGCATGTAAGTCTCTGATTTTATACCTACTCAGATTGTAGTAGTGGAAAACAGCAACATGTACCTTGACTCTCTGGCCCCATGTTACTGAACATTTGCTTAAAGGTTAACTCACTTGAGGGAGCTTGTGTGGTGCTTTCTCTTCTGCTGCAGGCTGGCAGGGGTTTTTGTTCAGTGGGGGCTGTGCACTTGGTGGCTCTCCATGCACACACAGTCACTCCAGTGACACATGTTTGATAGGTGCTGGGAATGATTTCATGACTGGCTCAGTAGCAAATGCGGGCCAGATGTGATTCTATTTTTTCCATGCACCACCAGGGATGGTGTTGGGTATTTTATTCCCCCAGCCTCTGTTTCTTCTGTAAATGAGGATTTTCTTAGTATCTACCTTGTGAGGATTAAATCCCATGATTTTATGGAGGTGATTAGTAAATGTGAACTCTGCCCTTCCCTTTATAACATCTGAGGCTCCGTCAGGGCTCTCTCCTTTTGGTGTATGTTATAGTTTACTTAGAGGTCAATTTGGTGTCTACCTATGCAGTGTGATTTGAGGAGAATTAGAAGATCTTTCCCACCAACTTGCCATGCTGAGTACAATTCCCATCTGAAAACATATGCGGATAGGAATTTCTATTGGGAGAATTGTTCGGTTATCGACTTCAAGGAGTCGAAGTTCTCCTGGTTTTAAGTCTGTTGTCGGAAGTATATAAGAATCAAAGCTTAATCGATGGAAATCATTGCTCTCCATCATGCGTGAGTTAAAACCATTACTTCTGAGTGGTCAGTTTACATTGGGCTCTGTCTAGAAGGTTTGCCTTCTTCACCTCCAGTCACATCCCCATTTCACAAGTGAGCAAACAGCCAGAGGAGGGGAGGAGGATGGCATAAGATCTTGCAGCTGGCAGAGACGAAATGTGAATGTAGCCCGTTTGCACTTGGTGCTGTCGGGCAGCCAAGCAATCCAGTGTGTAGGTCCAGGGCGACAAGCGCTGCTCCCATGGCTGGGGTAAGTCCCTCCAGCATTCAGCCTTGCTCCCTGTGCTTATCTGGATGCGGTGTAGGATGAAGATGACCCTATAGAACTCTACCCTGGAAGTCCTGGCAAAGTGGATATGTGACATTTTTGAAACCAGGGACATGTTGGTGCTGCTTAATATTTAAATCATAATTTTCAGACTCTTAAAAATTACTAAATAAGTTTGAAGAGACACAGCCATCTGCCTACAGTGCCACCCCTGAGCTTCACGCCACCCTGGTCTCCAGGAAAGGGGAGAGTCTCAGGAATATTGAATGCAGGTAAGATGTGGAAGAAGAGCGGAGTTTTCACATTTTAACAAGGTCAATTGAGTAATCAACTCAATAAATAAATAAATTATTATATAAAATGAGGGCTGGGTGCTGTGGCTCACGCCTGTAATCCCAGCATTTGGGGAGGCTAAGGCGGGCAGATCACTTGTGCTCAGGAGTTTGAGACCAGCCTGGGCAACATGGTGAGACCTCATTTCCAATAAAAATACAAAAATTAGCCAGGTGTGGTGGCATGCACCTGTAGTCCCAGCTACTTACGAGGCTGAGGCAGGATAATCACTTGAGCGTGGGAGGCGGAGGTTGCGGTGAGCCGAGATCGAGTCACTGCACTTCAGCCTGGGTGACAGAGTGAGACTCTGTCTCAAGAAATAATAATAATAATAAAATAAAATTATGAAAGTTTTACTCTGCCAAGAATATGTTGCAGTTTTAAAGATACATAGAGCCTTAAATATATAAAGAAAATCTTGGTTCAACTATGGAGAGAAATCAACAAATCCACCATCTTTACCAATTATAGTAAACTGGATGATAGATTTAGCAAACAAAACATTAGTAAACATTTAGAAAATTTCAAAGACAAAAGTAATCATCTTGCTTTATTGGACATATATGGAATCAAATACCTAAAAATTAGAAAATACACTTTCTTAAGTGTCTTAAGTGGCATTATGCAAATGTCAACATCTATCAGAGAACTGCTCTCACACCAACATGTTCTCTGACTGCAATTCAATCCAATTAATTAAATTAGAATTCAATTAAAAAATAAGCAAATATTGCTATGTATGTCTGGACTTTTTTTTTTTTTTTTTTGAGATGGAGTCTCACCCTGCCACCCAGGCTGGAGTGCAGTGGCACAGTCTCAGCTCGCTGCAACTTCCACCTCTCAAGTTCAAGCAGTTCTCCTGCCTCAGCCTCCTGAGTAGCTGGAATTACAAGTGCCTGCCACTGTGCCCAGCTCATTTTTGTATTTTTAGTAGAGGTGGGATTTCATCATGCTGGCCAGGGTGGTCTCGAACTCCTGACCTCAGGTGATGTGCCCACCTTGGCCTCCCAAAGGCTGGGATTACAGGCATGAGCCACTGGGCCCGGCAGTCTGGACATTTTTTTAATAGCTACTGAATAACTCATGTATCAAAGAAAAACAAAATAGAGATTAAATACTATTTATACATAAATGATAATAAAATATCAGCACCTCCTCATACCTGTGTCCCCCTGGTGTGTAGCCCAAGCCGTGTGCAGGGTGAAGGGCACACATCCAGGGAGCAGTGCAGCCCCAGCTCCGCCCTGTAGGAGCCCTGTGCTCAGTCACCCACTGCAGCCCCCAAGCTCCTGGCCAGTCCTCCCTGACCAGGGCTCTTTCTCATGGGTGCATTGCCAGGGGCAAGAAAGTGGGAGTCTGTGTTCCTCAGGACAGAGGAGTTTCAGCTCAAGAAGTGCCTGGCTGTCCAGCTTGACACTGTCCCCTCCCACAGACCTCCAATGCTCACGGCTGGGGCCTGCCTCTCCTCTGTGGTCATGGCTGAACTCACAGTGTTTGGGGGGATGAGCCACCTTGCTGCTGGCTTCTGGCTCCCCCTGGATGGTGACGCTTGGGCAGCTCCCATCTTGCCCTCTGTGCAGATGGGGCCTAATCTCCTTACTGCCTCCATTGTCCACATGGCTGCTGCCTGCAGGTCCCTGCACGGCTGCTGGAGGGAGCTGCTTATGCACAGGCTGAGACCAGGATCCCCTCACTTGTACCACCTGCCAGGTCCCCGCCCTGCAGCCCCTGCACTCATGGCATGTTCTGCTGCCTGGAAGGCCGCTGCCTCTGTCCCAGTTCCATGGGGATCTCTGCTCTAGAGGGGTAGCTTCTTCCTTGAAAAGATGCTGCTTAAAGTCAGAGGATGGATGGCTCTCCTTGGGGCATTTCTAGCTCTGGACTGTGCCACAAGCCCTGGATGTGGTATGTGTATGTGTGTGTATGCATGCACTTAGGTATGTGTGTGTGTGCATGTGTGTGTGGTATGCATGCATATATGCATGTGCTATTGTACGTGTGTAGTGTGTATAAACATGCATGCATGTATGCTTGTGTATGTGTGTGCATGCATAAGTGTGCATGGTGTGTGTGCATGTGTGTGTGGTCGGGGCAGGGGCACCTGCAGGCTGCTCGTCATCTGAGTGGACCCTGTTCTCCACTCTTCCTCCTCTGCAAAGCCCAGGCCCCTTTCCTAGCTTCACATGACTCTGCGTGCACCTTCAGGAGAAACGGAGTCCTGCTCCTTCTATTGCACCCATCAACCAGGAGTGGGGGGAGGGGGTGGAGGTGGGGAAGATGATCCTCCCTGTTGCTGCCCCATGGTGGGAGGAGAGACTGAGCCCAAACCATGTTTTAGATGCTGATAGGCTTAAGGGTAACAGCACAGGAGTTTGAGATGCATGCGGCTCAACACCTAATCTACATCTCACTTCACTTTCTCATCTGGGGAAGTGGGCTTGGGACCCTGAGCCTCCCGGGTATCACAGGGTCCTAATAGTCCCTCACAGAAGGAGCAGACCCAGAGTGAGCACTCCCCAAATGCCACGCCGTCCCTTCCTCACCCTTGGAGTGGAGCCTGGTCGTTCTCAAAGTTGCTGGGAGAGTCCCAGGAGCCCTGGCCCCAAATCTGCATCCTACACAGTGCCTGGGAACACAGGGCCCATTTTTTCCTTGGCCTCTCGCCAGTCCCAGCAGGCCCTGATGCTCCTCTCCATCCTGCTAGGATGGCTCTCTCCCCCTGGGGGCAGAGTGGGGGCAGGAGGTGGTGGGAGGGTGGAGGGATGCTGCTCAGTAAATAATGCAGAGCCGGCAGCTCTGATTGGCTTCGGGGAGGCAGACACTCTGTCTACATAAATGGCAATCACATCTTCTGTGCCTCTTAACTGTCACTGTGGAGAGGAGAGAGAGAGGACAGAGAGCAAGTCACTCCCGGCTGCCTGTGAGTACTGCTCTTTGTCCTCATGGCTCACGCGTCCAGCTCTCTGGATGGCCGTGACCCTGGGGTTTGGGGTGGGAGGTTTGCCGGTTGATTCTAGCTGTGCTGAATTCTCCTCCTGCAGGAGGAAGGAGGTTCGGCTGACAGGGACAGCTGAGCATTCAGTGTGTGCAGGTGACACAGGGTTTACAGGAACTTTTCAAGAAAATAGGCACCAACCTAGGTCGGCTTGCTTTTTTGTGCTATCTGCAAGCAACAGGTCAGGCAGAGAATCTGAAACTTTGGATTGCTTTTTAGGCCACATTCCTAGAGCCATGACAGCAACATAACTAAGTGAGTGGAAATTATTTTCCAGACTGGCTCATGTGCATGTAGAGACCGTGGAGGCCACACGATGGGTGGGAAAGAAGGAGGCTATGCAGCCCCACAGACTCAGGTTTGCATTCAGATGCACACCTCCCTGGCCGCCTTTCCTTCCTCAGACGTGAAGGAGAGGAGCTAATTAACAGCATCCTCCCCCAGATCATAGTAAAAACCAGGTTTGATTTTATAAAGGGGCGGGCACACAATAGGTGCTCAATAAATGAGAGCTCTATTGTGAATAAGGGAGGAAAGTGTGAGGTCACTGAAAATGCTGCTGAGTGGTCTGCTGCGCCCTCCACAGCCTGTTTTCTTCAGTTTCCAAGCGAAATTCAGGCAGGTGACATGGGTTCTTCCCACAAGCTTGTTTCTCTCTTGAAGACTCCAAGGGCGAGGCTCCTTGCGAAAATTTCTCATTCAGATAAGCAGAGTTTCCCCTCCAAAAGGTGACAATCACTGCACAAAAGCTGGTCCTCTGTTGGTTTGTCAAGGGTGCCAGAGAAAAACACTCCTTTTGCTGGGGGCACCGGAGTCCTGCTGGCAGCGTGCGGTGACCCCAGACTAGAACACAGGCATCCTGGATGGCTGACCACAGAGCAAGTTAAGGGGTGTCTGGATGGTTCTGAAGGAAACAAAATCAAGCCATTCTCAGCAGTTTCTTTTCTTCCTGTCTTCTGGGCACACGCTAGGTGGGCGTCTACACACAGCCAGTGTGAAGAAAATAATTAAAATAAATCCCCCTTAACTCCCCTTGCCACAAATTCAAAGAGATAGCCTGGGGGATCTAATTACTTTTGTTTTCTGCTCTTCAAGATGTTGATTATTCTGAAGGTTTTACTTTCAGACACTCAACTTGAGTCAGCAGTTAAGTTTAGGGAACGGCTCTAGGAAAACCACACTATGCGGGTATTTTAAAAGAAGTGTTCTGCGGCTGGGCGCAGTGGCTCACGCCTGTAATCCCAACACTTTGGGAGGCTGAGGCGAGTGGATCACCTGAGGTCGGGAGTTCAAGACCAGCCTGGCCAACATGGTGGAACCGTATCTCTACTAAAAATACAAAAATTAGACAGGCGTGGTTGTGCGTGCCTATAGTCCCAGTTACTCAGGGGGCTGAAGCAGGAGAATTGCTTGAACCCGGGAGGCGGAGGTTGCAGTGAGCTGAGATCATGCCATTGCACTGCAGCCTGGGCAACAGAGCGAGACTCTGTCTCCAAAAAAAAAAAAAAAAGAAATGTTCTGATGTTTTGTGTTTATCTGGTGCTTGTTGGCATTTCTGGAGGAAGACATTCAGGGAGCCCAGAGGCACCTCGTGGGCATATGGGACAGCGATGGGCACAGGACCTCGTAGAAAAGGTTAGAATCCCACTGTGTTGAGAGACAGCAGAGGGTCCTGGTCTTCTGGTTTGTACAGAGGCAAGTGTGAAAGCCATTTCTGAGCTGTGCGGGCTGAGAGGAGCTCCGTGCCTGCTGCATGCTTCCCTCAGCCTCTTCGCATTGCTGTAAAGGGGATCAGGCTGCTACTTTGCAGAGCTGATGTGAAGTTTAGGAGGATATAGGTAAAGGGCTTACACTGCTGCCCTGTATATGGCAACTATTCAACATTTCTTCTGCTTTGGAGGAGGTAGAGGAGAGGCACTTCTCTTGGGGCATGGAGGGCAGCAGAGTTTGTTGAGCCTCTGCCTGTTTCTGTTGGGATCAGCCCAGGTGGGTGGAGGCAGACGTGTGTCTGCGGGCTCAGCACTCCCACCCGAAGCCACATTCCCCTGTTCTCTCATGTGCAGTGAACCAGGCAGGAGCCCTGGACCACACTCTGGGTTGCAGGCACCACCTTCCCCATCCCCAGTGAGAGCCCTGTTTAGAGTCCTGTGGTCTCATCTCTGGCCATGGTGAGGACACAGGCAGCTGACAGTGGAGGTGTAAGTGGATTCCCAGGCCAAAGGTGTGTTAGGAAAATGCTGGCTTCAGAACACCAGCACCCACTCCTTCACTTACTGGCTGTGTGGCTGTGGTCAAGTTAAACAGCAATAACTCTACTGGCCTGGCAGTGTTGTGAGCGTGTTCAGTGAGATAATGTATACCACGAGCTTATCAGGAGCTTGAGCACTGCTGATTTGTTTGGTTTCTTGGACAATAGGATGTGGCAACCAAAGTTCAACAGATTCTCAGGATTTTTTCTTGGAGGGGGGCACCTCAAGTGCAGGCTTCTTAGCAACACCAGGCCCCAGGCCAGCAGCTGTTCAATATGAGGAATAGGGAAGCATTCACTGTGAATGTAGAAGTCAATATTTACCACCAAATTGGCTCATAAGGACTCCCCAAAGAGTGTACCAAAGCATACTAAATAGATTCACAGTGCAGGTGTCCTGTGTTTGTAATAGACGGTAAACCAGGACATGTCATGGGCACTGGATATTATGACTATGATGAAAAGAAGCAACCAACTAGAACATAATTCGAATTGTCTCAAGCCAATAGCAAAGGCAGATGGTTATGATCTCTTGTGAACTATTAATGTGACTGCAAGAGAAAGGGGGAAAGAATTGAGAAAAAATAAGGGAAAAAATTTGTAAGGGGGGGGGTGATTTCTGAAAAGTTTCTTCTGACATAACTCTTCAATAAAATGAAAACAAAGGAGAAAAGTTAAAATTACCTAGTAGTTATCATATAAACTTTCAAAATTAGCAACCATGAATGAAAATAATAAAATTTGAATGTTTTAAGGTTTAAAGTTAAAATGTGAATGAAGGAGCAAAGCTTACAGAGATGGAGTGTCTATGCTCAATGCCTGATGGTGGGTGACATTTCTGTATCATTCCAGTTTTTCAAAAAGAAATTGACAACACGCAAAAAGAACTGTACAACTCACATGTCTCAATTCCACTGGGGAATTAATATCTTTGAGAGACAGACCCAATAGGTGCGACCTATATGGTGATGGTGGGGTGGCATCTACTCATGACGGTGCTGCCCATAACAGCAAACAGCTAACAGGCAAAGTGGGGATGGATGGTGTCATAGGAACACGGTGAAATCCCCACTCAGCAGCCCTTAATAAGTGCAAATAGGAGCGTTATGTTAAGGAAATTCTGCACCTTGTAATTAGGCATAAAGGAAAAATGTCAAGTGAAAAAAGGATCCCCAGTCATACACACATCCTCATTCCAACTATTTGAATTGTCTACGGTCAGGACTAAAATGGAATAATATCAATCAGTTTCATGTCCTTGGCATTCTTTTTTGTCTTTGGAAGTTGCTCAAGTTATGAATTTTTCCAGCCAGCATTAACTAAGGTCACAGCATGGTTACAGAGATATGAGTGGAAGTAGCATCTTTCCATGGGAGGAAAACTGAAAACCAAGACAAACTTCTCTATGGCTCCTTTCCACGGATAATTGTTGGCCAAGAATCTACTTTGACAGAGCATTGTTTATTAAACAGGGAATGAATAAGAAACAGCTGCACAAAGCTCCTTCCTCCTTCATGTCAGCAGAGGAGCAAGGCTTTCCCCTGAATTTTGATCTTTGTTTGTTGTAGAAAATTTCTCCCTTTTCTCTTATGCTACCTCAGGAGAAGAGGCTTCTGCCTGTCTTTTGTAGCATCAATAATAATAATTGCTAGACACAGGTTTACAGTCCAAAGTGCTCTCTGCCTGCATGAGCTTGCGGCCCCATTTTATAAGTAAAGAAACAGACTCAGAGACTCCAAGACGTCAGCCAGCAGCTGCATGCCTCTTGCCGCAGAGCTATGGGCTCAAGCTGTTTTCTCTGAATGCAAATCCACCATTCTTTCTATTCTTCATGAGGAGGAGGAGGAGGAGGACTGTCCTGTGGAATTGTAGTGCTGAAAGCTTAGCTCCACTTGATTGTGGCAGTTCCATTTTCCAACGCAGACCAATCTCGCCAAGGAGGCCAGCTGGGCGGAGTGGGACTTAGGACCCAGTGCAAAGTCCCTTACAGGAGTTCCTTTCTGGACAGAAACTCCCTTGAGATGATGGATTTGATTCCTCCTGAATTTGCACAGGTGTGGAGAGTGAAATGCTATGCTTCGAGCATCTACTTTGTAATTATCTTGTACTCTCTTCATGGTTTTGTGTGGTGCCTAGGATGATGGCCATGGTACAGATTGCAAGTGGAGCTGCAATGGAGTGGACGTGTGTGTTTCTCCCAACATTCCTATGTTGAAATCCTTGCCTGCAATGTATTAGGAAATAGGAACTTTGAGAGATGATTAGGTCATGAAGTCAGAGCCCTCATGAATGGAATGAGTAACCTTATAAAAGAGACCCTAGAGAGACCCATCACCCCTTTCACCATGTGAGGACATAGAGAGAAGGCTATGTCTATGAGAAACAAGCCTCACCAGATACCAAATCTGCCGGGGCCTTAATCTTGGACTTCCAGCCTCAGAACTCTAAGAAATCATTGTCTGTTGTTTATAAGCTGCCCAGTCTATAGTACTTTTTATAGTAGCCCAAAGGGACTAAGATAGGGGGCTTGGCCACGGTCTCACCTCCAGCCAAGAGCTGCCCAAACCCTTTCTCTTTCTGGTTACCATTTGTAACGAACATGATCTATAAGCAAACAAGGCACCGTGGAAGCTGCGGTGCCCCTGTGGTCCTCAGTAGGCATTCGGGAAATCATTCCTTGCAGCCCTAGGAGAAACTGGTATTACAAGTTTCTAATCCTGAAGTTACTTAAGCCATGCTCTTTTCATCAACTGATATGCATCTGGCTACAGCTGTTAGAGATGCTCTGTACCTGTGTTTGAGTCCAGGACATTCTCTCAGGTGCCTTCAGGAGCCAGACTGCAGGAATTCAACTGTGGCCTCATCTGACTACAGCAGGTGTGGAGTCTTGGTTCAGTTGTGCAGCCTCTCTGCGCCTCGGTCTTCTCATCTGTTAAAGGGAGTAATAGTAGTCCTGACAAGGTTCTTATGAAGATTAAATACGAGAACCAGGCAAAGAGCTTAACGTGGTTCTTGGCACATGTAAGTTCATATCAATGTTAACTATTTTTTAGACCAATGAGAGAGTGCCTATTTAAACAAGAACACCCGGGTTTACATAAAAATAGTGGTACAAGTGTAAGACAGTCGCAAGTGTGTGTGCGTATGTGTGTGTGTGGTGCCCTGGCTTTATTGTGTCAATTATAAGTAGAGACACTTTGGCCTACAGGATGAAGGAAACAGGGGTTCTGCCTTGGCTTTGCTGCAACCAGCTTCACACCTGGGACAGTCCTTTCCTTCTCTGGGTCCCAGGTCCCTCCCTTTTAAAATGAGCATAGTAATAGCTCTCACCAATAAAGCATTAAAGGAGCTAAGATGTCAGCCTGTCCTGGGTCTCGTTTCCAACAGATCTCTTGTCTCCCCCACTGACTCCAAACCACACAAGCCATGCTTCTCAGGAACCCAGGACACCCGGATTGTGGTAGGGTTCTGCCAATGGGAGGTTTAGTGGGAGGCTCGAAGGCAGAGGTACCACCATCCCCGTGACACTGGCTCAGCCTCCTCCTCCATGCCTGCTGACCCGGCAAGCCTGACCTGGTGGCAGCTTTGCACGGACAGCCTGGATCCTGGTTCCAGGAGCACAGTCTCTCCCATCTCTCCATCCGAGGGATGGGAGTGCATCATATTGGCCATAGAGGTTACCTGAGCTTCCTCGGTTACCTAAGGTCACCCAGCTAATAAGCCTTGGAGATAAGACGCAAGCCGAGTTCTCTGGATCCAGAGTCCACCCTTCTCCCCCGCAGTGCCATGCTGCCTCCCAGAACACTTTATGTTGCTTTTTACCCATGTGAGGAAGTCTGTGATGTTTCTCTCTCTGTAGTTGAGAAAACTCATGTGCTAAGGGCCTCAGTGACACAGAATCTTCATGACTTTCTGAAGAATGCTGCGGGAACCTGGGGTCAATCATGTAGAATAATTGGCTTTGAGGACCACAGTCTCTGAGAAGAGCAGTTGTATGGAAAGTAGGCCTGAGCACTAACTCTGGCTCTAGTCCCTGACTGTTATCTCATCAAAGAATCTGACAAATCTGTCAGCGCTACCTAAGTCTTGTAAGCTAAAAAAACCCAGCAGTTGCAAAACAGTGGATTTCCAGTTTGTAAACAGATGAGTTTGAGAGCTGTGGAAGAGAAATACAAGTGAAGATAATGTGTCCTAGAAAGGGAGGAAGGAAGGAGCTGAGGAAGCCGGCCTCAAAAGCCTCAAAATGAGGCCACTTCTGCCCAGTTAATAATTTTATTTTTTACTTAAAGAAAATTAATAGACTTTCACGGCAGTTTCAGGTATAAAGGAAAATTGGACAGAAAGTAGAGAGTCCTCATATTTCCCCTCTCCCCCTGCCCCCCACAGTTGCCCTATTATTAATGAAAACATTTTACTGAACACTGACTCTGCAGCAGGCTCTCACCCCATCATCTCATTCATCTTCCCAGCAGCACTGGAGGGAGGTATTTGCATGCATTCTTGCTTTCACAGAGGCTGAGAAGGAGCCTCAGAAAGGGGTGGAGGTTAAAGGTAACAGAGTAACTGAAAGCAGTGACTCTTGACCTCAGGTCTGCCTGACACTTGGTGGTGTAGCTGGAGGCCACTTGTGAGCGGATTTAGATTATTCACGTACCTCCTGGCCACTGACAAAAATGCTCACGTAAAGCTTCTTAGTGGCCTGTTGTGTAACCAGAGTCTTAAGGGTTAAAGAAAGAACTTAGAGGATGTTTTTTTGAGGCAAGTTTATCAGATAGCCATTCTCCTGTGATTAAAAAGCTCTCATGGCTAGAAACTTCTTTATGGTCTTGCTTGGAAGCATTTCTCCTACTGAATATTTTTATGGTCTTTGAACCCACAGAGAAAATGTCCATCAAGAAACAAGTCAGGCTGGGTACGGTGGTTCACACCTGTAATCCCAGCACTTTGGGAGGCCAAGGCAGGCAGATCATGAGGTCAGGAGTTCAAGACCATCCTGACCAATAAGGTAAAACCCCATCTCTACTAAAAATACAAAAATTAGCCAGGTGTGGTGACGCACACCTGTAGTCCCACCTACTCAGGAGGCTGAGGCAGGAGAATCGCTTGAACCTGGGAGGCGGAGGTTGCAGTGAGCCAAGATCGTTCCACTGCATTCCAGCCTGGGCGACAG
Source organism: Homo sapiens (assembly GCF_000001405.40). Taxonomy (NCBI): domain Eukaryota; kingdom Metazoa; phylum Chordata; class Mammalia; order Primates; family Hominidae; genus Homo; species Homo sapiens. Next base: position 50,553,520 of record NC_000007.14, on the reverse strand, counting down.
AGCAAGACTCCATCTCAAAAAAAAAAAAAAAAAAAAGAAAAGAAAGAAAAGAAAAGAAAAAAAGAAAGCAGCTAATCCAGGGGGAAATCAGCCAAATTAGTGTTGTGCCTGGATTTATAAGTATATGCTTGAGGGGGATAGTGAGCCAGAGCCTCAGGCCCAAAAGCTTACGTGTTTTCTGAGACATAAACTATGGCTCCTTTTTACTGGAATAGTGTAAAAAATGTCAACCCTATTTTTTTCATCAGGATGGAAAAGGAAAGTCAAGAGAGGCTGAACAAAGTCTCCAGTATCCCGGTGTTTGCAGCAAAATCATGTCTTGCGTGCATGAACAGGCAGTACCATGGACAGATCCACAGTGCATGGTTGCCATCCCCACTCCGGGCTTGTGAGGAATCCACTACCTCACATGCACAGTGGCGTGGATGGGCTTGCCCATGGTGCTAGGGGCCTGGGCTGCATTCTCTTCAGTGGCTGTGGCAGAGAAGTCCTAAGAGTGAAATTGCAGTGCCCAGACTGCAGGACACTTAGTCAAGTGCTGAACATGGAGGGCTAGATGTTGGGCAGGGACTGAGACAGGAGATGGCACAGGTGGAAGTGGTCAAGACTCAATGGTGGGAGGGGCTGTGGCTCCTGAGCCATAGTGTCTCCTGTGACTCTTCCTTGTGGCAAATATGTGAGGGGCTGGTGATTTGAATTGTCTCAAAGGTAGAGAGTAGAGTCCAATAGGGTATATTACAGAAACAAAATGTCTAGAGGACCAAATATCATTCATTCATTCATCATTCAGCAAATACCTACAGTGCTCTCTGTTGTCCAGGGCCCCTGACTGGTCCTGCAAATGCAAAAATAAATAAGTTGAGGACCCTGCTTGGAGAAGCCCACCATTAGCAAAGGGTGTTATTGAAATGTTGCATTACAACAAAATAACCCCACAGGTCAATCAGGAGGTCTGAGGGAGTTCAGGGGAGTCCATCTCTTCTTGAAGCGTGTGGGGCTGGAGATGAGCTCTGACTGTTGCTGATGCAAAAAGACATTGAGCCAGAAGTCCAGGGAGGCAGCCAGCTCACCGTGCACAGGCAATGCACCACAGGGGCTGCATGGAGAATAGCGCAGCATGGAGAATAGTGTGGGGTAGAGAATAGTGTGGAGAATAGTGTCGTGTGCAGCTGCTGGAACACTGGGCAGTTTATGTCAACAGAAGCTATTTCAAGGGCCTGGAGAGGCATAAGCCACAGCCTTTATCATAGGCTAAGTCTTCCAGCTAATATTTACACAGCTTGGGGGCATAAAATATCAAACAGCTACAAATGAGCACAAGATTCTCTGTGGCTTCATGCTAAGAGCCTTCTAAAAAGGTCTTTGTGGGAAATAATCTGTGAATAAATAACAGAGAATAATTTAAAATATAAGAACCAGGTCTTACTTTACACTTTGACTAGGAATATTTCTTTTGGTGTATGTGGTATGTGTCTGCTTGTTGTGTTTTTTTATTCCAGAGCCACATGCTTTGGCCTGGTGCTGTGACTTAAAGCTGATATCCCCAGAAGCTGAGCGTCTTTCTGAATCTTTCCCAGCTACCCCTTCTGAGTCTTCAGCTTGCTGCCTCACATGTGTGGCCCCCCAGGAGGGCAAATAGATATAGCTAGAATATTTGCTTCAAAAGGCATTGCTAATAGTCACACATCAGGTACAAGTCCTGAAGAAAAGATTATGAGATTTCACTACATAAAAATTGACATTCTCATAGGTCAGAATAGAATTATAAGCAAATTGGGTCCAACAAAAATGAGGAAAATGCCTGCAAAACATTTAACAGACGTAAGAGTAGAATTATTAGTATATTAGAACTCTCACAATTAAATAGGAAATATCTAACACCCTAGTGGAAAAGAATGCAGTGAGCAAGAAATTCAGTAAAAAAGTAATCCAAATGGCAAAGAAACACACGAAAAAGCTATTCAGTTTCATTAGTCAAAGTACAATGGGGCCGGGCGCGGTGGCTCACGCCTGTAATCCTAGCATTTTGGGAGGCTGAGGCGGGTGGATCACTTGAGGTCAGGAGTTAGAGACCAGCCTGGCCAACATGGTGAAACCCTGTTTCTACTAAAAATACAAAAAAAATAGCCGGGCATGGTGGCATGCGCCTGTAATCCCACCTACTCAGGAGGTCAAGGCGGGAGAATTGCTTGAACCTGGGAGGCAGAGGTTGCAGTGAGCCCAGATCACACCACTGCACTCCAGCCTAGGCGACAGAGTGAGGCCCCGTCTCAAAAAAAAAAAAAAAAAAAGTACAACGGAATCATTAAGGCTGGTTAAACTTAAAATGGATATTCAAGCCCAGTGATTGTATGGTAAAATGAGCATTCTTATACATGTTTTAGGGGAAAATTTGGCAATATATTTTCAAGACACTAAAAATATTTATCTCTAGAAGAATTTGTTCTAAATAAATTATAAAATAAGTGTTCTCCTTTTTATAAATTTTTAATGCAAAAGAAAGTGTGCAGAAACGTAAACAAGAGGTTGCACATTTTAGGATTATTTGGAAAAGCTAATAGCTGACATTTATTGAGTGCTAATTTGTTACCATTTATTTATTTAGTTGTTACACAAAGTTCTTCAAGGTATTACGGGCATACCTCTTGTGAAAGGAAAATATCTTAGGCCCTTTCAAGCTGGGAACCACTCAGGGAAAATCTGTCTCCCATTCTATTCAAGTCATCCCTTTGCTCACAGAGATAGATGCATATTTTGATTGCCTTCTTTAGAAAGACTTATCAGAAACTCAAAAGAATGCAACTAACTGTATCTCACCTACCGTGACCTGGGAGCCCACAGCGGGAGGGCCTTGCTTTGCACTGTCTCACCTTTCTGGATGGAACTAATGTACTTCTTTCAAATTGATTGATGTCTCCTGTCTCCCTAAAATGTATAAAACCAAGCTTGGCCACATGTCATAAGGACTTCCTGAGGCTGTGTCACGGGTGTGTCCTCAACCTTGGCAAAATAAACTTTCTAAATTAACTGAGACCTGTCTCAAATTTTCGGTGTTCACACCTCAGAAATATTGCAAATTCAGTTCCAGGTGACCACCATAAAGGGAGTCGCATGAATTTTTTCTCTCCAGTGCATACAAAAGTTCTGTTTACACTATACTGTAGTCTATTAAGTGTGCAATAACATTATATATAAAAAGTATATACCTTAATTTAAAAATAATGTATTGCTAAAAATGCTAACGATCATCTGATCCTTCAGCAAACATAATCTTTTTGCTGGTGCAGGGTCTTGCCTCCATGTCGATGGCTGCTGACTGGTCAGGGTGGTAGTACCTGAAAGTTATGGTAGCTGTGGCAATTCCTTAAAACAAAGTAACAATGAAGTTTGCTGCATCGATCAACTCTTCCTTTCATGAAGGATGCCTCTGTAGCATGTGATGCTGTTTGATAGCATTTTACCCCCAGTAGAACTTCTTTCAGAATTGGAGTCAGTTCTCTTAAATCTTGCTGCTGCTTTAGCAACTCAGTTTATGTAATATTCTAAATCCTTTGCTGTTGTTTCAACAATACTCACAGCCTCTTCAACAAGAATAGACTCTATCTCAAGATGTCTTTGCTCATCCATGAGAAGCAACTAATCTGTCCAATTTTATCATGAGATTGCAGCAATTCAGTCATATCTTCAGGCTCCATTTAAAATTCTAGTTCTCTATTTCCACCATATCTGCAGTGACTTCTTCCACTGAAATTTTGAAACTTGAAGTCGTCTGTGAGGATTGGAATCAACTTCTTCCACCTCCTGTTAATGTTGATATTGTGACCTCTTTCCATGAATCACAAATGTTCTTTTTTTTTTTTTTTTGAGACAGAGTCTTGCTCTGTCGCCCAGGCTGGAGTGCAGTGGTGTGATCTTGGCTTACTGCTGCAAGCTCCGCCTCCCAGGTTCATGCCATTCTGTTGCCTCAGCCTCCCGAGTAGCTGGGACTACAGGAGCCCGCCACCACACCTGGCTAATTTTTTTTGTATTTTTAGTACAGATGGGGTTTCACCGTGTTAGCCAGGATGGTCTCGATCTCCTGACCTCGTGATCCACCCGCCTTGGCCTCCCAAAGTGCTGGGATTACAGGAGTGAGCCACTGCGCCCGGCCCACAAATGTTCTTAATGGCATCTAGAATAGTAAATTCTTTCCAAAAGGTTTTTAATTTACTTTGCTGAAGTTCATCAGAGGAATGACTATCTATGGCAGATGCAGCCTTATGAAATGCATTTCTTAATAAGACTTGAAAGTCTAAATTACTCTTTGATCAATGGACTGTAGAATGGATGTCGAGTTAGCAGGAATGAAAACATTAATTTCCTTGTACATCTTGCTCTTGAGTGACCAGGTGCATTGTCAATGAGCAGTAATATTTTTGAAAGGAATCTTTCCTTCTGAGAAGTCTCTCTCAACAATAGTCTTCAAATATTCAGTAAACCATACTGTAAACAGATGTGCTGTCATCCAGGCTTTGTTGTTCCATTTATAAAGCACAGGAAGAGTAGATTTGGCATAGTTTTTAAGGGCCCTAGGATTTTCAGAATAATAAGTAAGCATAGGCTGCAACTTAAAGTCACCAGCTGTGTTACCCCCTTTGAGAGTCAGCCTGTACTTTGAAGTTTTGAAGCCGGGCATTGACTTCTCCTCTCTGGCTATGAAAGCCCTAGAGGGCTTCTTGTTCCAATAGAAGGCTATGATGTCTATATTGAAAATCTATGGTTTACCGTAGCCACCTTCATGGATTATCTTTGCTGGATCTTCTGGATAACTTGCTGCAGCTTCTCCACTGGCTCTTGCTGTTTCACCTTGCACTTCTATGTAATGGAGACAGCTTCTTTCCATAAACCTCATGAACAAAACTCTGCTAACTTCAGGCATTTTTTCTGCAACTTTCTCACCTCTTTCAGTCTTCATAGAATTGAAGACAGTTAAGACCTTACTCTGGATTACGCTTTGGCTTAAGGAAATGTTGTGGCTGGTTTGATCTTCAATTCAGACCATTAAAATACTCTCCATATCAGAAATAAGGCTATTTTGCTTAGCATTCATGTGCTCACTGGAGTTATACTTCTAATTTCCTTCAATAACTTTTCCATTGCTTTCATAGCCTGGATAACTGTTTGGCTTCACTTTTGACCTGGCTCAACTTTTGACATGCCTTCCTCACTCAGCTGAATCATTTCTAGCTTTTGATTTAAAGTGAGAGACATACTACCTACTCTTCCTGTCACTTGAATACTTAGAGGCCATTGCAGTGTTACTAACTGACCTAATTTCAATTTTGTCACATCTTAGAGAACAGGGAGGCCCAAGGAAAGGAAGAAAGACAGGCGAATAATGGGTCAGTGGTTCAGTCAGACACAAATTTATTAAGTTGACCATCATGTGGGTGTGGTCCATGCTGTCCCAAAACAATTACAATAGTAACATCAAAGATTGCCGACCATAGATCACTATAACAGATTAATAATAATGAAATGGTTTGAAATATTACAAAAGTTTCTGAAATGTAACACAGAGTCATTGAGTGAGCACATGCTTTTGGAAACATTGTGCCTATAGACTTGCTGGATTCAGGGTTGTCACAAACCTTCTATTTGTAAAAAATGCAATAAAACGGGGTGTACCTATACTATTATTGTCACGATTTTTGTTGCCAGTTAAAGAAAATGAGGTTTAGCATGGCAGCAATTTACGCTGGGTTGTACAGCTAATACATGCTGTTATAATAGCTAATACATGCGATTATGATAGCTAATACATAGAATCAGGGTGTGACTCGCAGTCCTTTCTTTGGCTCTCGGTCTCGGAGTGTTGGCCACTGGGATACACCAATGCTTCCCACTGTGTGGGTGAAAATTGGAAATAATATAAATGCTCAACAATAGAGGTACATGTTGTGAATATGGCACATTCACATTGTGAAATACTTGTGAGAAATCACACAATAGAAAAGTATTTATCGGGCAGGTGCGGTGGCTCATGCCTGCAATCCCAGCACTTTGGAAGGCCAAGGCAGACAGAACACTTGAGATCAGGAGTTCAAGACCAGCCTGACCAACATGGCGAAATCCTGTCTCTACTAAAAATACAAAAAAAAAATTAGCCAGGTGTCTGCCACCATGCCCTGTAGTCCCAGCTACTCGGGAGGCTGAGGCAGGAGAATCACTTGAACCTGGGAGGCAGAGGTTGCCGTGAGCCAAGATCGCACCACTGCACTCTAGCCTGGGTGACAGAGCAAGACTCCGTCTCAAAAAAAAACAAAAAAAAAAGAAAAAGAAAAGTATTTATCAACATGAGAAATGTACTTAGAAATTAGTAAAGAAAAACAGGCTAGCAAAAAGATCTGCAGTGTGATACCATTTGAGTTAAAAATTTGAGTCATATTAATTTGAAATACTTCCACTTGAGGTGAAAACCAAGTTTCACTGTATGTGCAAAATTAAAAAAAAACAGTCACTTCAAACTAAAAACTAATTTCAAAGCCTGCAGGCCCCAAGGAATTGTAAGCTGGCTGCTTTAGCACATGGCCTTGATGTTTTGCTGGTGAACAGGACACTCCTTGGTCGTTGGCTTAAGAAGCACAAAGGTGCAACAGAACTTCAGACAGTCATTGTGGTTGTTCTCATGCTTGTTAGTTTGGCATTTGCTGTTGCTATAATCTAGAGTCTAATCTTACGTCTCAATCACTGCCACTCAAGCACTCACTAGCTGAGAAATGCATCCTCAAACAATAGCTTTAACATGGGGGCTGGATCTAATAAGCCTTGAAATGACATAAAAACTTCTGTAACTGTTCATTTAACAGAGAACATGGAAGTAAAAATATTAGAGAGAATGCCAATGGAAGGAAAAGCACATTCTAGCAGGTTTACCTTTGTCAAAGTACCTTGACCAAACATCAGCCAAGCTCCTCTGGCCCAAGGGGGAAGAGCTTAGCCAAGTCTCCTCCTTGGCCTTCTGAGCACAACTTTGATGTCCAATCAGGCTCATGTGCTTCCACTTTTGGTATCTCATCCAGAGTTCCTTTTTCCCCTCCACCCTTGATACTTACCCAAGTTCCTCTTAGTAATTTTCCACCCAGGGACCCTCTCACCTGACCGTTGGCTGTAAGTCCCTATGTGCCCCTGTTGTTTTTGGAATTGAGTTCAGCCCCTCCCCTTTTGCAACATTCTATCCCTATTGCAGTGGTCTTGAGTAAAATCTGTCTTGTCACTTTTAACAAGTGCCTGGTGAACAATTTTTCTTTACCACCTTTAACCTCACAAAAATTGTTAAAAATCCCAGCATGGACAATGGGAAAATAGAGAAGTGCTGGAAGCTGATAGTAAGGTCATCACCATTGCTAATAACAGTGAATTTAGAGTATTCCTAAGCACTTAACTCCCATGGGAAAATTTATCTTAAATTTGTCCTGGAGCCAGCTATAAATTTGAATCCTATTTCTGCAATTACTGGTCATGTGATCTTGGGCATGTCACATTGCCTCTCTGAGCTTCCATTTCCTCATCTACAAAACTTTGGAGTATGAAAAAGATTTGAAAATGCATCCCTATGCATTTTCCTTGTGCCATCCTATGCACAAGACGTGCCTTATGGAGAAAATACATGTGTTAGAGAAGCTTCCCCAGACAGGAGTTACAGTGCTGTTGGCTGTGAGTCCATCCCTAGCATGCAATTGTCTCTCATAAATAGAAAATATTCTAGAGGCTGGGAGCGGTGGCTCATGCCTGTAATCCCAGCACTTTGAGAGGCCGAGGCTGGTGGATCACCAGAGGTCAGGAGTTTGAGACCAGCCTGGCCAATGTGGTGAAACCCCGCCTCTACTAAAAATACAAAAATTAGCTGGGCATAGTGGTGGGTGCTTATAATCCCAGCTACTCAGGAGACTGAGGCAGGAGAATCACTTGAACCCGGGAGGCAGAGGTTGCAGTGAGCCGAGATCGTGCCATTGCACTTCAGCCTGGGCGACAAGAGCAAAACTCCGTTTCAAAAAAATAAACACATAAAATAAAGTAAAATAAAAATTCTAGAAAGACATGTGCCAGAATTTTGGGTTGTGGGATTTTAGGCTTATCTTTTTCTTTGTGTTGTTCACTGTCCTGTTTTGAAAATACAATTGATTCTTATTCACATATTCCACCTATGCAAATTCTCCTACTTGCTAAAATTCATTTGTAACCCCCAATGTCAATAAATATCAATACTCATGGTGCTTTTGAGACCACTCAGGGACGTACATATGTGTAGCGTAGTGGAGAATGTGCTTGTCCGATGCGTATGTTCCCAGCTGAGGCTGAACAAAGGGACACACTACCTTCTTGCGTCAGCTCTCATAATGTAAACATGTCCTTCTCTCTGTCTATTCAGTGCCACATCCTTCACATTTTTATGTTTTTCTTCTTGGTGATTTTGCTGTTTAAAATGACCCCCAAATGTGGTGCAGAAGTGCTGTCTAGCCATCCTATGCACAAGACGTGCCTTATGGAGAAAATATATGTGTTAGAGAAGCTTCCCCAGACAGGAGTTACAGTGCTGTTGGCTGTGAGTCCAATGTTAATGAATCAATATATATTAAATAAAGTGTCTCTTAAAAACACATGAAAAGTTTATGTACTGATTTGTTGACAAAAATGTTGGGATCACGCTTCAGGAAATTGTATTTCCCCTAGAAGAAATGGTTCAGTATTCACTAATTCAGAGTTTATGGCCATGGCAACTGTTGTAGATAGAACACAGCTACCAGCAATAATGAGAATTGCCTGTATATTACTTATGCAAGGAGGGAGGAGAGCATTAGTTTTAAAAAGCAGATGGTGCGTAAAGGTGCAGTTCCATCTGTGACAGAATCAAGAGGAGAGAAGAAGACTAAGTTTGAGGGGGTGTGCTGCCCCAGGCTCTGAGCTGAGGCTCGTGTGCATTGTGTGACTGTGCCTTCATGCCCTCCTGAGAGGTCAGCATCACAGTCTTCATTTCTCAGATGAGGAGAGGGGCTCTAAGGGGCAAGCTTGTCTCTTTCAAAGGCAGGTAAGGGCAGAGGCAGGACTTGGACCAGTGTTTGTCATTAAAGTTGGAATCGATCATGAAAATAAACGTGTGCTTCTAGTCTATTGAAATAAAGCGACGTTGTGTTGTTCCCAGTTGAATAGCTGGTGAAGAGGAGAAGCAGCTTTTGCCTCAGTCCCAAATCCAGTGCCATTTCTACCTCCTACAGACATGGAGGGAAAGCGCCCCTTACTTGGGATCCAAGTGGCCTCCAGGGCATGCAGTCACTGCCCAGGTGTCCCTACCCACGGCTTGCTTGGTATCCCCGCCTTCCAGTTCAGAGGTTGCAAAATTTGCTCACTGAATCATTTTCTTTCTGCAGTTTTCACCTCTGACAGAGCCCAGACACCATGAACGCAAGTGAATTCCGAAGGAGAGGGAAGGAGATGGTGGATTACATGGCCAACTACATGGAAGGCATTGAGGGACGCCAGGTCTACCCTGACGTGGAGCCCGGGTACCTGCGGCCGCTGATCCCTGCCGCTGCCCCTCAGGAGCCAGACACGTTTGAGGACATCATCAACGACGTTGAGAAGATAATCATGCCTGGGGTAAGTGTGTATCCAAGGTCAGAAAACAGGAGGGCTAGAACTCACATAGCACCTACTTGGCTCTGAGCAATTCACATACTTTGTTTCAAGGAATCCCTATGGCAGTCAGGTTGGAGAGAAATTTTGTCATTTCTATTTTACAACTGAGGAAACTGAGGCTCAGAGAGGTTAGGTGGTCCACCTCAGGTCACACAGGTAGTACACGATGAAGTCAGGATTAAAATCCAAATCCAAGGGCAGTGAGGCTCTTTCCCCCAGGTCCCCTGAGACTCAGTCCCTGCCCAGAGACACTCGGTACATAGAGCGTGTCCTCATATACATTAGGAAGCAAGACACTGGTGGCTGCTTTCAAATAAGTCAATTGCCCCAAATAAAGCACACTTCCACCATCCTTGGGTTTAGCAATAGGTAATTAGCATATGTGGAAGAAACGTTTTCTTTAGTTTATTTGAGAGTGGGCAGTGTGGTGCTGCCCACCAAGGCAGCCCTTTTTCTCTGAAGCCAGTAGGCCTGGGGTACACAGAGGGCAGAAATCAGCGGGACTGGCTGCTGTCTCCGATACTCACTCACAGGGCAGCAGAGTTGGAGCTCAGAGAAACTTCCCTTCAGCTTTACGCTTCCACAGTAGATTTTCTCTGCCAAGGAGTTCACCTAAAAGCCTGTTGGTTAAAGTGGCTCTGGCCTAGTCAGGGTCTGGGTGGGAGTTGCAGCCCGGCCAGTTTCTAGATCACGAATGTTTATGAGGATGGCCAAACCTGCCCTTCCATGCAACAATGTGCAGAGTCCAGGCAGGGAAAATCTCCGTGGGCTCCACTGGTTGATCACTGCCGCGACCCAGCATGTCTGTGGTTGTAAGGCCTATGAGCAACGACATGTGATTTTCATAGAAGAGGGGTCTGGGACCATCAAGACCCACTCCCTCAATGTAGACAGAATGCCAAGGCCCTGTGAAGGCATAAGGTCAGACAAGGTTACAGTCCACTGATCATGGGTTGAGACTAGGCCTCAGGCCCTGGACCTCAGGGACTGGTTTCTCAGTAGCTGAGCGCCTCTCTCACCACACTGCTCACATTTCTTCTTCCAGGGGATTCTCACTTGGCATTTATGCTTTGAGCAAAGAACAGGATTCAGGTTCTTCTAGAAATTGTGCAAGTACACTAAGCTGTTCAGCATAAAACCCTTTGGGAGAGGTGTGGCTAAATGTCAGGCAGTGGGGAGTACAGGAGAGTAAGGGAGGATTTGAAGTCTTTCTGCTTCCTTCTATGGGGGCATTCACTGCGCAGAGCTGAGCTGGGAAATGCACAGGCGTTGGGCAAGGTCCCTGGGTGGGAGCTGCAGCCCACGAACTGCTGGCTGTGTGATCGCAGGAAACCAGGTGAGCTCTCGAGCCGTGAGCGGAGCAAGTGCAGGCCCAGCCATCTCAAAAGTTGCTGTGAATATCAGCGGAGAGTGAAGCAAAAGAGCACACATCTGTCCCTAATCAAGAATCGCTTCTGTCCTTTTCCAGCCCAAAGGCCACAGGAAGGGGAGAGAGACAAAGGCACATGGGCCCTCCAGGTGCGGAGGGGCTAGTCAGCCACAGGGCTGCTCTTAAACTCTCCTGGGCCCCGGGCGCTTTGTCTTTGTCGGCTCCTTCCTCCCTAGAAATATGGAAAATTATGCTTTACAAATGCATTGGCATAAAGATGAATATATTAACATCGATTTTTTTTCTTTAACCTGAAAGTTCACTGTTTTTTCCTCCTGATTACAGAAGAAATTTAAGCATTTTTTCAGCCCCTAACAGTGTCGTGGGCCTGGACCTGCTGTGCTGAAGGCATCACAGCCTGTGCAGCTCCTCTCGGCCTCTCAGCCTCATCACCAACCTCCCACACCTGAGCCCCCAAGCCTAGACTGTGTTAGCTCCCTCTCTCCACCACTCCCCAAGCCCTGGCAGACTTGGGGTGGCCGTGGTTGTTAAATAAACCTTACTGAACACTCCTAGTTCTTGGTGAGCTCTCTCAGTTGGCTGCCTTCACAATCAGAGGGGGTTGCTCATGCTACATCTTAGACAACATATATTTAACGATGAGTGCTATTGAGAAATAAATGTTTGCATCTCTTCTCAGATTGTAAGAGATATCTTACAGATATCTTAGCTTGGACTGCTATATCAAAGGACGTAGACTGGGGGCTTAAACAACATTGATTTCTCACAGTTCTAGAGACAGGAAGTCTGAGATCAAGATATTAGGTTCAGGTGAGGGCTCTCTTCCTGGTTTACAGACAGCCGTCTTCCCAGTGTGTACTCACGTAACCAAGAGGTAGCCAGCTCTCTGCCTTTTCTTATGAGGGCACTAATCCCACTGTTGGGGGGCACTAATCTTATTAAGGGGACCCCACCCTCATGCCCTAATCACCTCCCAAAGACGCTGTCCCTTAATGCCATCACTTTGGGGGTTAGGATTTCGACGCGAATGGTGTGCAGATACTCACATTCAGAGCAGAGCAGCCAAGCCCGATAGAGCATATCCTCTGCTGCTGGGATTCTGAGCCAGACCTGGAGGAAGCATCAGAGCACGTGCTTTCATTTTATCTGAAGGGATGACAGGGCCCAGGGAGGTGCAGTCAGTTGTCTGGGGTAACCCAGCAAATCAGGGTTCCTGCTGGACTTGCAGTCCAGGGGTGCTCCCAACACCATGCTATTCCCACAGGCAGGATGGACATGGAGCACCAGCAGGGGACAATGCGGAACAGGGCAATGTCTCTCAGAAACCAGTGCGTGGTCACAGCCTGAGAGGGGTCTGAATGGCAATTTCTATACCTTCTCCATGCACAGGGGCTGAGGGTTGTCCTGAGGGCTTTAGGACTTTATTCTGTTCCTTCAGGGCAGGTACTGCATTGGCAGGAACAAATTAAAGACCCAAAGACTAGGCTACACCTGCTCCTTCTCTGTCCTCCCCTGATCGTCCTCCCAGACTCCAAGATGTTTGAGGCTGGCCCCTTGTTACCATTGCTAAATGTTCCCTGCCTGGGTGTCCACCACAACCCTTGCCTCCTGGATCCTGAAACCCCCTGTCCCCAAGTATACCACCTGGAGCTGTCACTACCCCTTATGGATCTCCTCCCTGGCCCACATGAGCTTTTCCTCTGTGCCTCACCCAGGGAGTGGCAGGTGTTCACCTTATGGGCTGGAGAAAGGTGGGATGCCCCTAGCCAGGGCAAATGGCAAGGGGCAGTGGCCAGGCTGAGGGACAGCAGAGGTGAGACATCTGTGGGGTGATCCAGCTGCTTGGCTGGAGGGAAGGCCTCAGCTCCTCTAGAAGAGCCAGGGGCAGCGGGAAGACCAGATGCATGTTTGTGGCTTGACTGAAGAAACCTCGAAAATCCAGAGCTTGGTTTTTTTTTTTGTTTGTTTGTTTGTTTTTAATGGAGACTTTATTTTTTAGAGTAGTTTTAGGAAAACTAAGCTTTTGGCACAAAGAGATCAGCCTTGGGGCAGCGCCTTCACTGACGAGAGCACCGGAGCAAGAACTTGAAGCACAGTGTGGTTTTTTGAGACTTCTTTTGTTATGGAAAATGATAAGGATTTTCCACTTTATTTTGGAGATAGAACTTTTCCTTCTGAGCTAGCAAATACATTCCAGTGTCAAAAAGGGAGCTGGTTTAAAGGGAGTGGGGACAGTAAGGTGATGTGTAAATGCTCCGAAATAATGGAGGAAGGTAATGGGATGGCTGACATTTGGGGAACTGCACTCACCTAACTCTGGGTCTGGCTGCATCTGGCAGCTGGGAGCCATGGGGGTACCTGGGTCCCCCGCTCTCTTGAGGCCTGGCTTTCCTCACTCCTCAGCAGCTGCTCTGTCCTCCCATGCAGGTGACGCACTGGCACAGCCCCTACTTCTTCGCCTACTTCCCCACTGCCAGCTCGTACCCGGCCATGCTTGCGGACATGCTGTGCGGGGCCATTGGCTGCATCGGCTTCTCCTGGGTGAGGGTCCGGATGCACCTCGGGAAGGGGTCCTGGCTGTGGTGGGATCCCGGGGTGGGGACACGGTACCTATGCACAAGGGACCTGAGCAGATGGCGGTGCTGTCTGTGGGCAGACGGGCTACTGTTGCAGGGAGGAGAAAGGATTCAGCCCAGAGAGAGTGCCTCTGAGAAAGTAGCGATTGAGAACAGAGAAAGTCTCAACAACTCAAAGCCCATTCTGCACAGGCTGTGTTGGAAGCACTTGGTATGAACTAACATCATGGTCTGGGGCCCAGAGTTTCTGCAGCTCGAACCTGGGAATCTGCATTTCTCCAAGCAGCTCAGAGAATTTCTATATCCTCCAAAGCTTGAGAACCGCGACTGCCCCTGTCTCATTCCTTCTGTTCTCCACCAGGGCTGCTGCCTGGGGAGAGGCTCCAACCAGCCTATCAGATGTGTCCAGAGCCTTGGAGCAGGGGGGTCTCTGGAAAAGGGCCTAGCTCCTGCCTGCAAACCACCAGTCCCACCCTATCTGGAGGTAAAATGCCTAAAAAAGTCCCTACTCAGAAGAACGGTAGGCAGGGCTGGCTCTGCCCGTGACTCTGTGCTCCAGGCACAGATTACAGGAAAGATGCATTCCTCCCAAATGCAGAGAGCTTGGAGGTAGAGCTGCCTGCTGATGGCCAGTGTCCGAGGGCTGCTGCACCCTGGGGAGTTCCTCAAAAGCCAGGGGCTGTCCTTGGCCTTTGGGGTCCAGAGCACTCACCTTGTCTGTGGCTTGGAGCCAGGTGGACTTGTGGGCATCGGTCTATGTGGCATGCTGTGATGTGTAAAGGAGCTGTCAATTAGGAATTTGCAGCACTGAGCCACAGGGCCCAGCTGAGCCACCTCTGCTTCACCAGCCTGGCACTTGCTCTTCTCTGGGCTGGGGCACTGGAAGTTGCCGGGTGAGCAGGCATCATGGGCCCTACAGGCAGGGCTGAAGAGCCCACAGATGGGCTCTTCAGTGTCTGTGCTGCTCCTCTGCCAGGCACTGGGGCCTCCCTCTCTGCTGGGCAGGGCTGGCCTGGGCTGAGCATACCCTCTCCTAAAGAGCATTTTCTATCACTGGATATTGCAGCAGATTTCATTTAGCTCTGCTGGTCCAAATCCATTCTGTCCCACAGAGGTACTTGGCATCCATCTCTATCTGCTCATTCTGGGACAGTCTGATTGCCCTCAGGCCTTGAAGGGAGTGCCTCACTATCTCTCAGGCTGCGTTGCCTGATACCTCATCCCTAGCAGAGAGCATAGGCTCCTGGTAGAGCTGGGCTTGGCCAGGCTCAGGTAGAACCCAGCAGGATGGGGCTGACCAGAAGGGAGAATGCACTCTTCTCACTTAGATCTTACTGGTGACGCATCGGGATGTTGCTGTGCACATCTAGGCACGAGAACATCTTGGACCCCTTATGTTGGAGACTTTTATGAAGGTGGAGACTCAATCCACCTTTGGATGGGGCTCAAGACCAGCCTGTTCAGAGAGAGGGGAGAGTTCATAGAGAAAAGTCACTGGGAGTTTAAAAGACAAGATCAATGGCTTCTCGGGATGCCCAGAGGGTGACAGCTGCCCAGCGCCCACTTTCTCATTCCCTTCATTTGTGACTACGGAGGAAAGTCCACCAGTGGGCTTTCTGGACCCTTCTGTGAGTGAACAAATGAATATCCTAGCAAGCCCGCAGAGCCCATGCAGTGAGGCTCAGTGGAGTAAGGTTCATTATGGTGGCCCGTATGTTCCTTCCCAACCGCTCTCCTTGCATGATTCTAGGTCAAACAGCCTTCAGGCCTTTGAATCACATCTGAGATTGGGTGATTTTAATCTGGGCTTTAGTGGAAGGTTAAATCCCCTTGTTACTGCTGACCCCCAAATTCTGCAATGCCTGGCCCTCGGTTAATCCCTTCCCTTCCCCCACGACAGGCGGCAAGCCCAGCATGCACAGAGCTGGAGACTGTGATGATGGACTGGCTCGGGAAGATGCTGGAACTACCAAAGGCATTTTTGAATGAGAAAGCTGGAGAAGGGGGAGGAGTGATCCAGGTAAGGTGGGAGCTGTGAGGGCCACTTTTGGGATGCATGGGCTCTGCACAGGACTGTAGCCGCAGGTGGGGAAAGAGGCACTCATGCTTCTTGTTAGTTCCTCAAATTTCTCCTGGAGAATAAACAAAACCGAGCTCTTGGGAAAATGCTGGCTTTGGGATTGGCAGGATCTGGATTAGGATCCCAGTGCTGTCTTTCACTCGCTTCCCCAGGGCAGGGCACTCAGTTCCCCAGGCCCCTAGCTATGGTAGGTAGCACAGCCGCTATCTCACAGCAGGTGCGTGGAAGTAACAACTACAGCAACTATCGTTTGTGTGGGGTTCCCCATCGCCGGCCACTGTGCCTAAGCATTTTCCAGGCATTAACTCATTTAATTCTCACAACAACACTGTGCATTTTAGTACCCCTTTTTACAAGTGAAGAAACATTTTAATAGCCCTTTTTACAGGAGAGGAAACTAGGGTCCAGAACATTAGGTAGCTTGCCCCATGGCTTCCAGCTACAGACTCTGTGTGGCTCAGAGCCCGTGATATTCCTCGGAGGACAGCACAGGTGGCAGATGTGACCAGGCTTCAGAGGCTATAAATACTATTTGTCTTTGAACCAATCATTTACTTAAAGATGCTGCTGCTTCTATGCAGCAACTGAATTCATTTTCTTCATGTAACATGTATCTATTGAGAGTGACTGTGTGTCAGAGCTTACACCAGGGAACAAGATAGACAAAAGACAATCATGATGGAATTTCTATTCCACTGGGGTTGCAGGACAAATGGCACTGGGATGACTTGGACTTGATGCATTAAAAAAAAAAAAAAAAAACAACTTCCTAGCATGGAATATGAACTATATTGAACCCAGTACTCTCCCTTAATCATTTTTCTCATGTCAAGTAGATGATAGTCTCATTAGGAAAGCATTGTTAACTTTGGGAAAAAGGGGCTTCCTTTTCAGATATTGTCTTTCACAAGGCTCTGAGAATTGGTGAAGGCCCATTCAGTGGATGAGGACAGTGAGGCACACACTGGAGAACACCTTTGTGCAGAGCACATGGCCAGTGTGGCCACGCGAAACTAGCAAGCAAGTCTCTCCACTTCCAGTCCTGAGAATGAGCAACAAGACTGATAATTTTATGTATTTGTTTCTATTGATGTTGTGACAAATTTTGTGGCTCAAAATAAGACAAACTGATTATCTTACAGTTCTGTACATCAGAAGTCTGACCTGGGTCTTACTGGGCTAAAACCAAAGTTGACACCTTGGAGGCTCCAGGGGTGAATCTGCTTCCTTGCCTCTTCTGACTTCTAGAGGCTTCCAAAATTCCTTGGCTCACAGCCCCATTTCCATTTTCAAAGCCAGCTGTGTCCCATCTTTCTGACCTTTCTTTTGTAAACCCCAAATATCTGAGATGGGTCTCAGTCAACTTAGTTTATTTTGCCAAAGTTAAGGATGCGTGCCTGTGATACAGCCTCAAGAGATCCTGACTACATGTGCCCAAGGTGGTTGGGCACAGCTTGGTTGTATACATTTTAGGGGGACATGAGATGTAAGATGTACATTGGTTTGGTCTGGAAAGGTGGGACAATTCAAAGCAGGGAGGGGGCTTTCAGGTCATAGGTAGATAAGAGACAATTGGTTGCATTCTTTTGAGTTTCTGATTAGCCTTTCCAAAGGAGGCCATCAGATGTGCAGCTATCTCAGTGGGCAGAGGGGTGACTTTGAGTTCTGTCTGTCCTTCATCCAAAAGGAAATTCCTTATGAGGGAGGCATGTAGCTTTTTATCTTAGTAGCTATCTCTTTTAGGAATAGAATGGGAGGCAGGTTTGGCCTAAGCAGTTCCCAGCTTGACTTTTCCCTTTGGCTTAGTGATTTGGGGGTCCCAAGATTTATTTTCCTTTCACACTTTCCTGGTCGCATCTCCTTGTGACCACATATAAGATCGGAAAGTGGGTCTCCACTTTTAAGGACACATATGATTGGATTGGGTCCATCCAGGCAATCTGAGATAATCTCTCAAGTCAAGTTTCTTAACTTAATCACATCAGCAAAGTCACCTTTTCCCTGGAAGGGAAACAGTCACAGATTCTGGGGACCAAGACCTGAAATCTCTGGGAATGAGGGTGCATTAATGTGCCTACCACATCCAGTGTGCTTCAGAGTCATGGAGGGAACTTGCTTGTAATGCCTATTCCTAGACTCTGGGCCAAAAAATGTGAACGCTAATTCATCCGGATGACACCCAGATTCCTGAATAGGCCACATGCCGGGACTGATGACTGCCTTCTCCATGACCCACAGGCCCTGTGGCCAGGCTCAGAGTCATCCCTCCACGTGCTCCTCCTTCGCATTCTTTGGTTATCTCTTTTTCCATCAGACATAAGTGATATTAAATGGGGAGCTGAGGAAAATGAAATGTCAGGCATAGTGGCTCACGCCTGTAATCCCAGCACTTTGTGAGGCCAAGGCAGGCAGATCACCTGAGGTCAGGAGTCTGAGACCAGCCTGGCCAACATGGTGAAACCCTGTCTCTACTAAAAATACAAAAATTATCCAGGTGTGGTGGCGGGCACCTATAATCCCAGCTACTTGGGAGGAGAATTGCTTGAACCTGGGAGGCAGAGGTTGCCGTGAGCCAAGACCTTGCCATTGCACTCCAGCCTGGTTGACGAGAGGGAAACTCCATCAAGAAAAAAAAAAAAGAAAGAAAAGAAAACGTCAGCTATGTTGTAAGCAAAGCTTCAATACGTTGCTGTGAACCATACCATTCTACGTAGCAGCAACAATGACTCAGCAATGATTCAGCAAATGAATCATGCTTCAGTCCCAGCACAATTTTCTTCTGGTCAGTGAGTATGCAGCTGGAGAAGCCTCCTTGGCCAAGATCACAGCAAGGATAGGCTGTCACAGGTGCCCTTCCAGCGAGGGGAGGGAGCTACTGCACACTGTCCGCAGCCAGTGCTCTGTCAGCTGCACTTTGCCTTGGTGAGGGCCAGATGGCTTTCTGGCCTCTGGAACATCAGTCCTGATTCTCCAGGGGACAGAGGGCAGCAGCACTCAGCGACCCAGTGGGACAGCTGCGTGCCTGCAGAGGGCGTGGTTTTGATTCCAGGCAAGGGCATGCATGGTCTAACCCTTTACAAGAGGCCTCGATGTTGGTGGCCGACTTACTTTTTCTTTTAGTTTTATACACGGGACAAGGTCTACTTTTCCATTTCTTTTCCATTTGTTCCTCTCATTTTTTTTTTTTATTTTGTCTTGTTTTTAGACGAAGTCTCATTCTTGTCGCCCAGGCTGGAGTGCAGTGGCACGATCTCAGCTCACTGCAACCACTGCCTCCCGGTTCAAGCCATTCTCCTGCCTCAGCTTCCCAAGAAGCTGGGATTACAAGGCACCCATCACCATGCCTGGATAATTTTTGTATTTGTAGTAGAGACAGGGTTTTGCCATTTTGCCCAGGCTGGTCTCAAACTCCTGACCTCAGGTGATCCACCCACCTCGGCCTCCCAAAGTGCTAGGATTACAGGTGTGAGCTGTAGGAGATCGGTCAGAGTGGTGGGAGAAACTATAGGGAAAAGGAGCAGGCCTTCTGAAAGGTCAGAAGGCTCTGCAAAGCTCCATGGCAGAATAGCTGAAGGCAGCTGTTCTATAACCCTGAGGCAGAGGATAAGGAGTAGGTACAAGGGAGTGTAGGGGAATTTATCTTGGTCAAGCTTGTTTGTTAGAAGTTGTCCAGGAACTGACCTCGGAACATCCTTGCACGTGACATTCCCTGAAAGGGGAACAATAAATGTTAATTATCTACAGGTTGTGTTTGCTCCAGGTTTTCAGCATTGTGCTTGCACTCAATAAAAGCAAGCTGCTCCAGCTTCTCAGGGCTGCTCTCTGGCCACTAGAGCCAGGCAGTCACTTAGCTGCTCTTACACTGCATACCTGTGTCTGAGCACTCATTTCCTCCATCGGCCAGGGTCTGCAGGACAGATCCAGCAGTGAGCCACTGCACCCAGACTGTTCCCCTCATTTTGACCCTCCCTAGCATTTGGTGAGCCCTGCTGATTCAAGACTCAGCTCTGTGCAGTGTGGAGATTTTTCTTCTACTGTATGTTAGTTATTGTGGGCCACGTCACTCTTTTTCAGGGACTTCAATTTTCCACAGATTGGGTACCTCTTCCATGATTTCTCTCTTCCTTTCGATATTTCCCTTTTTTGTTATCTTCTATATTTTAGGAAGCTTTTCATGGTTTTCTCCACATGATTATGTGATTATGGACCTGGTGTGGTGGCTCACGCCTGTAATCCCAACACTTTGGGAGGCCAAGGCGGGTGGATCATTTGAGGTAGGAGTTTAAGACCAGCCTGGCCAACATGGTGAAATCCCATCTCTACTAAAAATACAAAACTTAGCTGGACATGGTGGCATGTGCCTGTAATCCCAGCTACTCAGGAGGTTGAGGCAGGAGAATCATTTGAACCCAGGAGGTGGATGTTGAGGTGAGCTGAGATCATGCCACTGCACTCCAGTCGGGGTGACAGAGTGAGACCCTGTCTCAAAAAAAAAAAAAAAAGTCCCCTTTCCACCTAGATACTGGACATTCATGGTAAAAATGAAAAGACACAGGAGCTTTCTTGTCATATTCCCTGTGTTATTTCAGTATCTACATGTGAATATATGTATACAGACAAAATTGAAATGATACTACGCATATGGATTTTCTGCATGGTGCTTTCCTTATCATTTTATTGTGAGCATTTCCCACTATTTAAATATTGTTTGAAAAAAGTATTACTCCATGATTTTCTATGATGCATCACAATCTATATAAATATATAAATAATACCTAAGATATTTGTGTTGCATCAAATTTTCCATTCTTATAAAAAAAATTTTGGAGGACACCCTTTAGGATGAAGTGCAACAATCTTCCAAGATGATCACCTTCCTCCTAGGACTCTCCTGGCTGTATTCATGTTTAACATTCATGCTCCCCACTAAATCCAAATGGAACAAAACAAAAATTGAAGCATTTCTAGGTCATTGCATCTTATAACAAAAACAATTTCATATTCAATTTTTTCAGCAGATGATTCCTCTAATTATATACTCCTCAAAAAAATCTTATCAATCCCTCATAATATAAGCTGTGTCTATTATAATAAGAGCTACTTTTCATTGAATAGCAATTATGAGCTTGGCTATGTTTTAGCCTATGTCTTGTGCTTTGTGTTATTGTCTTCATCCTCAAAGTATTTATGAAGATTGATTGGATTATGGACAATCTTTTTCATGGATGAGGATATTGAGTCCCAGAAAGTTAGTAGAACATGCATAGCAGCAAAAGTGAATTAAAGCCAAGGCTAGTAGGAAAGACAACCAGAGTTATGACTGTTACACCAGCTCATCCCTGACCATAGGCTTGGGTTGGTGTCCAGAGATGTGCATGCTACTATGGGCTGCATTTTCGTTTCATTAAAGACAACCTCATTTTTGAGAGACCATACAAGTCTTTAGCATTTGGGTAGGAATATTCCTGGCATCTCTCAGCCCCCGCTTTAACACAATCTTCCTGTGAGCCCAATCCACTCAGTTTTTTTCTGGATGAAAGGAAGAAATGGGATCTGTGTTTGCCACCGGAAGCTCACCCTTCTCAGCAGACAAGGCTGATTGTCTGTAATTGGTGAGGCCCCAAAGAGCACAGGAGCCTGGTGACAGCCTGTGAGCCAGCCTGCATTATTGATCCCCTCAGAGCTGTAATCACAGCTGTGGGCGTCAGCGCAGTGATGCGTGTCTGAGTCAAATGGCAAACTGTTGTTGTGAGGCTGGACAAATGTGGTCTGGGAAAATGGTCTCTTAATTGGGTTTTAAAGTTCTTGTGGAAGAAAAGACAATTTTTTGCTTCGAAAAAAACTGAAGATGAAAGGACATTTCTGCTCACGGCATCAGCAGCCAGAAGCGTCAGACCTTACCAGCATCCCCTCCTACCTCCTGAGCAGGCTTGCCATGGCAACCTTTGTCTGCTGCTATCGCACAGAGCCATCGTTCCTGCTCTGTACCACATGTCACCCTCCCCGTGCTTCTCTCCGCGAAGATCTGCTGCCAGCAAAGTGCAGAGAGCTCCACCTGACATCATGCTTGAGGCCACCAGGCCACCCTGGTGGCATCGGGGTGGTGTGGTTCTAGATGTGCTACTGACGATTTGCTCCTTCAGGCTTTTAAAACATCATTTTGTTGACTTAAGAAGGTGAATTTTCTCTTAGGACATGAACTAAGCTCCCCCATCCCCCCCCAGAGAAAAGCCATAATGAGTTGTCATGGTGATTCAGGTGATTCATGGTGACTCATTTCATTAGAATGTTCAGAGAATGAACACCTGCGTTCCAACGCTTCAAGCAGAGGGTAGAATTTAGCCGGGGAAGCTGCAGTCACGCCTGCTTGTCAAGCATCAGAACAGGGAATTGTGCCTTCCACCAGGCTTTTCATGTTACATTTCCAATGAGAATGGGTGGGACATGACAAACAAAATGTGTGTGGGGGCAGATAGGGGGACAGGAGGAAATCAGGGACAGGAATGATGGGGTACATAGGAGAAGTGTAAGTAAGGTACAATGCCTGCTCTCAGGGAGCCTGGGTTTCCTGGGATGGCTGATTTAGCTTTGCCAGCCAAAATTGGTTTCTCCCCTTCTCTCTCCTCTGGCCAAGGTTTGTAAACCTGGCCTAAAACAATGTCTAAAATCATTGCTCATGAAAATATAGCCTGAAGGAAATAAAGTACCCATTTTAGATGCTGAATTAAGAGACGCATATATCTGTATATTTGAACCCATCCATTAGTGCTACAGAAACATGAATAAATGTATTTATCTTTCAATATTACTGTCCCACCAAAGGATGTGGGTTGGCTCAAAAGAATAAGTAAAAGTAGTGTCAAGGCAAAGTCAAAATGAGAAATCAGGGTCAATGAAGAGAGCATCAAATGTTAAGAAGAGAGGTTAGCATTTCTACTTAATTATTTTATTATATATTTCTCTGTAAAAACCTATCATGTTATAAACTTTTTCAGAGTCAACAAGAACCTACCTTCTTTTATTTGCCCTTTCTAATGTCCTTTCATACTGGTCGGTAGATGGGTTTCTTCTACGACTTACTTAAGAGGGAAGGTGCTCGCTGCCCCTACCTTTCTAGGCCCATGGCACCCTAAAAAGCGCAGGCGTGGGCTCACTCCTAACCGTGCCCTACCTAGCTGCTGATTTGGGGCAAGTTAGTGAACCTCTCTGCACATCTGTTTCCCCACCTGAAGATGATAAAACACAAAAATGGGATTATTTTTACAACTTAAATGGGATAACATAGCAGGCCCTGAATCCATTAGTTTGCCAGGGGTTCCCTAACAAAATACCACTGACTGGGTGGATCGAAGAAGAATTTCTTTTCTCACAGTCCCGAAGGCTGCAAGTCCAAAATCAAAGTGTCCACAGGGTTGGTTCTCCTGGGGCCTCTCTCCTGGGCTTGCAGATGGCCACCTTCTCCCTGTGTCCTCACATGGTCTTCCCTCTGTGCACCCACATGTCTGGGGGCCACATTTCCCCTTCTTTTTATTTATTTATTTTTTTGAGACTGGGTCTCACTCTGTCGCCCAGGCTGGAGTGCAGTGTTGTAATTGCGGCTCACTGCAACCTCCGCCTCCCAGGCTCAAGTCATCCTCCCACCTCAGCCTCTCGAGTAGCTGGGACTACCAGGCACGCCACCATGCCTGGCTAATTTTTGTATTTTTATAGATACAGGGTTTCGGTATGTTGCCCAGGCTGGTCTCGAACTCCGGGGCTCAAGTGATCGACCCTCCTCTGCCTCCCAAAGTGCTGGGATTATAGGCAAATTTCATATTATCAGAAACATGTCAGATTGGATTAGAGCCCAGCCATGTGACCCCATTTTCTTTTAATTACCTCTCTAAAAAGCCTATCTCCAAATATGGTCACATCTGAGGTCCTGGGGGTTAGGGCTTCAACACATGAATTTTTGGGGACACAATTCAGCCCGTGTCATTAGGAATCAAAAGAAACCCTTTAAGGCATCTCTTAGTCTCAAGGAAAATGCACCCCTATTTTATAAACAAATGCAAATCGCTCTGTCCGAGTGAATATGAACGCAGAGTCAGGCTTGCATGCTGGTGCCCTGGGCCGTTCTCCTCTGATAGAGACAGGAGCAGTCGTCCTAGGCCAGGCTGGGGGCAGTCCATGAGGAGAAGCTCTCACAATACCTGGCGCAGGGAAGTGGTCAGAAATGTTAGCTGCTGCTGTTACACAAAATAGACCCACCAATGGCAAACTCATACCAACAGCTGAAGTGGTGGTCTCAGGTGTCAAAAATATTAGTTTTCTCCTAAGCAAAGGAGAGTGAATTTTGCCATTTCAGACTCATATTTTAAGAAAACTATGGACACAAAACAATATGTCTTCCAATAGTGTAGGTACCAATGCCTTCGCTATGTTTGGGATTTCATTTGGACCTTCTCTTGAATTTAGGGAAGTGCCAGTGAAGCCACCCTGGTGGCCCTGCTGGCCGCTCGGACCAAAGTGATCCATCGGCTGCAGGCAGCGTCCCCAGAGCTCACACAGGCCGCTATCATGGAGAAGCTGGTGGCTTACTCATCCGATCAGGTGAGTGTGTTGTGGGGGTATCAGCCAAGACTTCAAGACCCGAATGTTTGGTTTTATGTCAAATTCAAACCAAACCAAACAGCATCCTTCCAAATCTAAGAACAGTTCCTCAGGTATCACTAAATAGAGACCTGAACTACAGGGAAGGGGTGGATTCTTGGGTGGGAACTGGATAGATCAAGTTAAGAAGGAAATAAATGTGTGGAGACATCACCGCGACTGGCTCTGTCACCTTTTCTACCAGTGCGGACTTCTGTTGTGATTATCTGGCCTTCCGAGCACCATTGCAGAGAAACTAGATATGGGGATCAAAGTCCTCGGCCCTAACTGCAGCTTTGTTATTCTGTGATCTCAGGCCCCTGGGTAGCGTCAAGCAGGAGACAGTGGCGGTGGGGGCTGCAGGGCAAAAGGTGGCCGGCTTTCATGAGAATTGCCTTTCCTGAGAATCTCTGAGACAGGATGGATCTGCCACAGTGGTGATGCCTCCTGGCTGGTTTCTTTCCTCCAGGTACTGTTTACTGAGCCTGGCCACCAAGCTCCCCAAGGCTCCACAGTCAGGGGCAGGGCACAGATTTGAGCCTAGGATTTCTAAGTCCACCTCTGGGATCTACTTTCCAGGGTCTCGCCACTTATCCTTGAGTTCAAACAAATGAAAAACTTCATAAATATTGACCCAGCACTTTACCCTTGTTAGTGCCTGATACTTTAAACTTAAAAGCAAGATTCCACAGGAACAGAAACAACTCCAGGAAAAAAGGGGTCTCATGAAGGTGCAGGGGAGAGGGAGCAGTCAGGAGCAGTTCTGCCTCCTGTGCCGTTAAGAGGGACCTTGTGTTTGCAATGTTGGCTGCTCTCTGCCGATCCAGGGCCTGGTAATAACTGCATGCACACACCTGTACAAATCCAACTCTGCTGTCTTCTTTCCAGGCACACTCCTCAGTGGAAAGAGCTGGGTTAATTGGTGGAGTGAAATTAAAAGCCATCCCCTCAGATGGCAACTTCGCCATGCGTGCGTCTGCCCTGCAGGAAGCCCTGGAGAGAGACAAAGCGGCTGGCCTGATTCCTTTCTTTGTAAGTTCGGCAGCACTTGTGGCTCCTGGCCAATAAGGTGAAACTCCGTCTCTACTAAAAATACAAAAAAAAATTAGCCGGGCATGGTGGCGCATTCTTGTAATCCCAGCTACTCGGGAAGCTGAGGCAGGAGAATGGCGTGAACCCGGGAGGCGGAGGTTGCAGTGAGCCGAGATCGCGCCGCTGCACTCCAGCCTGTGTGACAGAGCAAGACTCTGTCTCAAAAAAAATTAATCTTTGAGAAACGCTTTTTACCTCCATTTTTTTTTTTGTTTTGTCAATTCAAGTCAATTCCACAGTGTAATGTGGAAGAACTGACATGGCTCAAAGTTAGCACGCAGAGCAAGGTGACAGCCAAGACATTTTGAAGGATGCAAAAAGAGTCTGCCAGTGGATCAAGGTGTACCTGCCATCTTATCCCAAAAGTCTTATCTTTCTCCGTTGCGTTCATCTCCACAGGCCATACAGGTTTGTTCCTATATGTGTTTACTGCTTCCTTCTTCCCAACAGAATGTGCGGGGAGGTAAGGTCCATTTGAATCCCTGCCTTATCCCTAGCTCCTGAAACAGTGCCTGGCACTGAACAGAAGCTCGATAAATATTTGTCAAACAAATAAAGATTTGGAAGAAAGATCATTCAGGTAGAAAGAAAGATCTCCCTTAAAATTCCCACAAACAATTTCAGTACAATTTGAATAGATTCTATTTAAATAAGGTGAATTTCTTTGAACCTATAGTGTCAATATTAAGACTCAGAATACTCTGTCTAGGGAAAAATAAATCTGTCAAAACACACTCTTTTAGGTTTCAAGAATGAAAACAATGCAGGAAACATCACTGAAAATGTTAAGATTGTATTTTACAAAAATTTCAAAACTCATGAAATAAAAAGACAAATGCTGGCAAGAACCACTTATAGCGTATGTCGTAAAGTAAATCTTAAAAAGAAGGCTTACATATCAGTAAGCAAAAAGGCAACATTCCAGTGGGAAAACATGCGAAATATATGAAGTCAGTTTCATATATAACCACAAAAAACTAAGAACACAAAACCGATTCTGATCCTCTAATAACCAAAGAAATGCAAATTAGTTGCCAAGAGAGGTATGTTAAAAATCTCACACTATGAGTGTAGATATGTCTATTTCCACTTTTATATCTGTTAAATTGTGTACATATTTTGAAGCATATTAATTTGGTGCATACACATTTAGAATTGTCATATCTCCCTGGTGAATGATCGTTTATCACTAGGAGATGCCCTTTATATCTCTAGTAATGCATTTTGTCCTGCAGCCTACTTTGTCTGACATTGCTATAATTGCATATGTTTTCTATTGGCTAATGTTTGCATGATATAGACATTTTCCATTCTACTTTCAACCTCCCTGTTCATTTATATTTAAGATGTATCCTGTGAAAGCAGCATTGATTGTTGCTATTTTAAAAATTTGTTTTTAAAATCCAGTGTGACGATTGATATTTATTTTGTTCATTTACACTCAAGGTAGTTATTGATACATTTAAATGTTATCTGCTGTCTATTTGTTTTTTATTTGGCTCAACTATTATATGATTGCTTTTCTCTATGTTCTTGCCTCTTCTTGGATTAATTATTTCATATTATTCCATTTTCTTATCTCTGCATTTTCTTATTTCCATTCGGCATCTTTTCTTTTAGTCTGTAGAATTCCCTTTAGAAATTTTTAGTGTGAATTTGATATAATGAATTATCTCAGTTTTGTTAATCTGAAAGTGTCTTTACTGTGCCTTCACTTTTGGAAGATATTTTTTCTGGGTATAGAATTCTAGAGTGTTTGGTAGCTAGTTTTATTTTTGGTACTTTGTATAAGTCCATTGAATTCTTTCTTCCATGATTTCTGTTGAGATGTCAGTTGTAATTTTAATGTTGTGATGATGAAGAACATACAAAAATATGACATTTCCTTCTGTGCCGCCAATGGAGGTGCTGCTTGCTTTTTGTCTTTGTTTTACTGTGATACAAGGATAATTTTCTTTTTATTTACTCTTCTTGGATTTCACAGAACTTCCTGAATCTGTAATTTGGTGTCTCTCCTCGGTTTTGGAAAATTCTAACCTATTATCTTCCCAAAGTTTGCCTCTCCTCATTTCCTCTCTCCTCCCATTCTGGGACTCTGATTATGTATATGTTAAATCTTTCTGCAGACTGCCATATATCTCTTATGCCCTTTTACATGTCTCACTTTCTTTTTTTTTTTAATCTCCATGCTTCATCAACTTATTTACAATTTACCAATTAATCTCTTTAGCTATGCCTAGCTGATAAATATGTCATGCTCATAATTCTAAACATTAAAAAATTTTAACTTATTTTATTTTATTTTATTTTTTTGAGACAGAGTCTCACTCTATCACCCAGGTTGGAGTGCAGTGATGCAATCTTGGCTCACTGCAACATCTGCCTCCCAGGTTCAAGTAAGTCTCCTACCTCAGCCTCCCAAGTAGCTGGGATTACAGGTGTGTACCACCACGCCTGGCTAATTTTTGTATTTCTAGTGGAGACGGGGTCTCATCATGTTGGCCAAGCTGGTCTCGAACCCCTGACTGCAGGTGATCTGCCTGCCTCGGCCTTCCAAAGTGCTGGGATTACAGGAGTGAGCCACTGTGCCTGGCCAACTTTTTATTTTGAAATAATCGTAGATTCATAGAAAATTACAAAGTTAGCACAAAGAAATTCTGCGTACTAACCCTTCACCCAATTTCCCCTAATTGTTCCAACTTTTATAACTATAGTACCATATCAAAGACAGGAGACTGACACTGGTTCATTGTGTGTGTATAGGTCTATGTCATTTATCACAAGTGTTGATTCATGCAGCCACCATGCCAATGAGAATACTGAAATCCTCTAGCACCACAAAGGTCTGCCTCTGCTACTCCCTGATAGTCACTCTCACCTTCCTGATCTCCTACCATCATCAACCCTTGGCAATCACTGATATGTTTTCTACCTCTACACTCTTGTCATTTTGAGAATGTTATATAAATGGAATTATACAATATGTGACATTTCAAGATCAGCTTTTCTCACTCAGCATAATGGCCTTGAGATCCATCCAAGTTGTTGCATGTATCAATAGTATGTTCCTTTTCGTTGCTGCACCACAGAGATTTGGTACCATGTTATCTATACTACAGTTTGTTTACCCATTCACCTGTTGAGGGGCATTGTAGTTGTTTCCATATTTTGGCTATTACAAATAATGCATCCAGGAACATTAATGTATAGGTGTTTGGGTGGACATATACTTTCATTTCTCTGGGATAAATGCCTAAGAGTGCAATTAAGGGTCCTATGGTAGTTGTTACATTTAATTTTTTTAACAAAGAAACTGACAAGGTATTTTCCAGAGTGACTGTATTATTTTACATTTCCATTATCAATGCTTGAGAAAATCAGGCTCTTTATACATCCTTACCAGCATTTGGTATTGTCACTATTTTTTATTTTATCCATTTTGATAGATATGCATTAATATGTTATCATGGTCCTAATTTGCAGTTCCCTGATAACTAATGAACATCTTTTCATGTGCTTATTCACTATCTATATGTCCTCGTCAATGACATGTGTCTTTATGTCTTTTGCCCATTTTCTAATTGGATGATGGATTGATTTTTTAAATGAATAAGCTTAATTTTGTTAGAGTTGTTTTAGGCTTACAGAAAAATAAGTAGGAAGAACATATACCTTCTTATATCCCAACCTTCATTTCCCCCATTATTAGCATCCTGCAGTAGTGTGATACATTTATTAAAATTGATTCACCAATACATAACATCCATAATTTACCTTAGGGGTCACTATTTCTATTGAATTTTCTATATGTTTTAACAAGTGTATAATGACAAGTATCTACCATTTCAGTGTTACACAGAATAGTTTCACTGCCATAAAAATCCCCTGTGCTCCACCTGTTTATCCCTCTCTCCCTCCACTTGAACCACTGGCAGCCACTAATCTTTTTGGCTGTCTCCATCATTTGTTCTTTTTTAGAATGTCATACAGATAGAATCATACAATATGTAGCCTTTTCAGATTGACTTATTTCACTAACATGTATTTAAGTTTCCTCCATGTCTTTTTGTACTAGTTTATTTCTTTTTATTGTTGAATGCTGTTTTCTGATATGAACACGCCACAATTCATTTATGCATTTATCTATTGAAGGACATCTTGTTTGCTTCCAAGTTTTGACAGTTATTAATGAAGTGCTATAAGCATTTGTGTGCAGGTTTTTGTGTGTACATAAGTTTTCAACTCATTTGGGTAAATACCAAGGATCACAATTGCTGGATCGTATGGTAAGAGTGTGCTTAAAGTTTTATAAGGAAAGGCTGAACTGTGTTTCAAAGAGACTGTACCATTTTGCATTCCCACAATGAATGTTAGTGTAGGTTTTCCAATATCTTTGTCAGCTGTTAATTTTTTTCAGTGTTTTTTATTTTATCCATTCTAATAGATGTGTAGTGGTATCTTATTGTTATTTTACTTGAAAATTCTGTAATAACATATGATGTTGAGCATTATTTCATGTGCTTATTTGCTACATGAACATCTTCTTTGGTAAGATGTCTGTTCAGGTCTTTTGCCCACTTTTTAATTGGATTGTTTCATTATTATTGAGTTTTAAGAGTTCTTTGTGTATTTTGGGTAGCAAACCTTTATCAAGATATATGTTTTGCCAATGTTTTCTGCCAGTCTTTAGCTTGTCATTTCATCCTTTAAACAATGTCTTTTGCAGAGCAGAAGTTTTAATTACAATGAAGTCCAGATTATCAATTACTTCTTTCATGGATCATGTTTTTGGTGTGGTCTCCAAAAATTCATCATCAATCCTAAGGTCATCTAGGTTTTCTCCTATATTATCTTCTCGGAAATTTATAGTTTTGTACTTTAAAACATTAAAATAGATGTAGGTCTATGATCTATTTTCAGTTAATTTTTGTGAAAGGTGTAAGGTCTATGTCTAGATTCATTTTTTGCATGTAGATGTTGATATGGTTTGGCTCTGTGTCCCAACCCGAATCCATGTGGAATTGTAATCCTCAGTGTTAGGGGAAGGACCTGGTGGAAGGTGATTGGATCATGGGGATGGATTTCTCCCTTGCTGTTCTCATGA
This sequence comes from Homo sapiens, assembly GCF_000001405.40. Lineage (NCBI taxonomy): Eukaryota > Metazoa > Chordata > Mammalia > Primates > Hominidae > Homo > Homo sapiens. The sequence continues at coordinate 50,522,972 of NC_000007.14, read as the reverse complement.
TAGTGAGTGAATTCTCATGAGATCCGGCTGTTTAAACAGTGTGTAGCACCTCTCCCTTTGCTCTCTCTTGCTGGCAATATGAAGATGTGCTTGCTTCCCCTTCACCTTCTGCCATGATTGTAAGTTTCCGGAGGCCCCCCCAGCCATGCTTCCTGTATAGCCAGTGGAACTATGAACCAATAGTTCCTTTCTTTGTAATGGAACAATAAACCTCCTTTCTTTATAAATTACCCAGTCTCAGGAAGTTCTTTATAGCAATGTGAGAATGGACTAATGCAGATGTTCAGTTGTTCCAGCACCTTTTGTTGAATACTACACTTCCTCCATTGAATTGCTTTTGTTCCTTTGTCAAAGATCAGTTGACTTCATTTGTGCGGATCTATTTCTGTTCAACTCATTTATTTGTCTCTTCCTTTGCCAATACCATATTGTCTTGATTTATAGCTTTCTACTAAGTCTTGAATTTGGGTAGTGTCATGTCAGATCTCAAACACTGTTGTTTAATATTATGTTGACTATTCTAGGTCCTTTGCCTCTTCATATAAGCATTAGAATCAGTTTAGCAAAATGCACAAAATAACTTTCTGGGACTTTATATAGGATTGCATTGAATTTACGCATTTTGTTGAAATAACTGACATCTTGATGATATTGAGACTTCCTATCCATGTATGTGAAATATGCCTACATTTATTTAGATCTTTTAAAAAATTTTCTTCATTAGAGTATTGTAGTTTTCCTCATATAAAGCTCATTCTTTTTTTTTTCTTTTTACTTTTTTTGGTGCTAATGGGAATGGTTTTTATTTTATTTTCAAATTTCATTTTTTTAATTGCTGGATGATAAGAAAACAATTAACTTTTATCTAATATTATCATTTTATCCTACAGCTTGCCATAATTGTTTACTTAGTTCTGGGAGAGTTTTGTTTTTGTTTATTCTTTGGGATTTCTACACAGATAACCATGTCATCTGCAAAGATACTTTTTTTCTTTCCTTCCAATCTGTATATCTCTTATTTCCTCTTCTTGTCTTATTGCATTAGCTGAAACTCTCAGTACAATGTTGATAGGAGTAGTAAGAACAGACATCCTTGCCTCATTCCTGATCTTCGTAGGAAAACATCTAGTTTTTCATCATCAAGTATGATGTTAAGAGTAGGTTTTTCATTCATCAAGTATGATGTTAAGAGTAGATGTCATTCATCAAGTTGAGGATGTTCTGCTCGAATCCTAGTTTGCTAGGAGTTTTTATTATGAACAAGTGTTGAATTTTGTCAAACACTTTTCTGTATCTATTTACATAATCATGAGATTCTTGTCCTTCAGCCTGTTGAAATGATAGATTATATTAATTTATTTTTCTATGTTGAATCAGCCTTCCATCCTGGAATAGATCTCACTTGGTTCTGATATATAATTTTTTTTACATTGTTGGATTCAATTTGCTAATATTTTGTTGAGAATTTTTGCATCTCTATTTATGAGAGATATTGTTCTATAGTTTTCCTTCTTGCAATGTCTTTGTAATACTGGTCTCATAGAATGAGTCAGAAAGTATTCCTTTTGCTTCTATTTTCTGTAAGTAATCCTTACTTCCTTAAATGTTTGGCAGAACTCAGCAGTGAATTCAATTGGCATGGTTTCTTTGTTTTAGAAGGTTTTTAATTATTGATCTAATTTTAAAATAGATGTAGCACCATTGAGGTTATCTCTTTCTCTTTGTCTGAGTTTTGGCAAATTGTATCCTTCAAAAAGTTGGTCTATTTTATTTAGGTTTTTGAATTTGTGGCCTTGGAATCCATTTTGTTTCTTTATTATCTTTTTAATGTCCATAGGATTAGTAATGATGGTTCTACTTTCCTTTCTGATATTAGCAATGTGTGTCTTTTTTCTTAACCTGTATAAATGTTTGAAAATTTATTTATCATTTCAAAGAGTCAGCTTTTTTCTTTATTTCCTATTTCCAATTTCATTGATTTCTGCTCTAATTCTTATTATTTCTTTTCTTTTCTTCTGCTTACATTGCATTTATTTATTTATTTATTTATTTATTTATTTATTTATTTATTTTCTGAGACAGAGTCTTACTCTGTTGCCTAGGCTGGAATGCAGTGGCACAACCTCCACCTCCCAGGTTCAAGCAATTCTCCTGCCTCAGCCTCTTGAGTATCTGGGACTACAGGCATGCATCACCATACCCAGCTAATTTTTGTATTTTTAGTAGAGATGGGATTTCACCATGTTGGTCAGGCTGGCCTTGAACTCCTGACCTCAGGTGATCCGCCTGCCTCGGCCTCCCAAAGTGCTGGGATTACAGGCATGAGCCACTGCACCTGGCCACATTGCATTTAAATTGCCTTTTTTTCTAGGTTATTAAGGTGGAAGCTTAGATTATAGATTTTAGATTTCCCTTCTTTTCTAATGTACTCATTCAGTTCTGTAAATTTCCCTTTAAGTACTGTTTCACTGCATCCCACAAATTTTGATGAGTTTTATTGTCATTTTCATTGAAGTACTTTTAAATTTTTCTTGAGACTTCTCCTTTGACCTTAAAATGTGTTGTTTGATCTCTAAGAGTTTTCGGGTCTTCCAGCTATCTTTTTATTATTGATTTCTAATTTAATTCCAATGCAGTCTGAGAGCATACTTTGTATAATGTCCATTATTTTAAATTTGTTGAGATGTATTTTATGGCTTGGAATGTGGTATATCTTGGTGAATGTTGATTGTGAGCGTGAGAAAGAAAATATATTCTGCTGTCATTGGATGAAATATTTTACAAATATTGATTTGATCCAGTTAATTGATGGTACTTTTCCATTCAATTATATCCTTACCTATTTTCTGACTGCTGGACCTGTCCATTTCTGACAAAGGGGTGACAAAGTCTCCAACTATAAGAGTGAGTTTATCTGTTTCTCCTTAGAGTTCTATCACTAATAATATAGTAACTGTGAAAAGTAGATTCTCGCCCATCTTCAGGATTTACTGGTTTTTGTTTGTTTGTTTGTTTGTTTTGGTTTTGATTGTTGTAGACTACCTCTGTGCTGAAAATTGGCCTTAGGTGTAAACTTTTTTTCCCCCATAAGTTATTAGGGTACAGGTGGTATTTGGTTACATGAGTAAATTCCTTTAGTGGTGATTTGTGAGATTTTGGTGCACCCATAAACTGAGCAGTATACACTGCACCACATTTGTAGTCTTTTATTCCTCACCCCCGCTCCCACTCTTCCCCCCAAGTCCCCAAAGCCCATTGTATCATTCTCATGCCTTTGTGTCTTCATAGCTTAGCTCCCACATATCAGTGAGAACCTACAATGTTTGGTTTTCCATTCCTGAGCTACTTCACTTAGAATGTGTCCAATCTTATCCAGGTCACTGCGAATGCTGTTAATTCATTACTTTTTATGGCTGAGTAGTATTCCATTGTATGTATATATACCACAGTTTCTTTATTTATTCGTTGATTGATGGGCATTTGGTTGGTTCCACGATTTTGCAATTGTGAATTGTGCTGCTTTAAACATGCATGTGCAAGTATCTCTTTCTAATAATGACTTATTTTCCTCTGGGTAGATACCCAGTAGTGGGATTGCTGGATCAAATGGTAGTTCTACTTTTAGTTCTTTTAGGAATCTCCACACAGATTTCCATAGTGGCTATACTAGTTTACATTCCTACCAGCAGTGTAGAAGTGTTCCTGGATCACCACATCCATGCCAACATCTAATGTTTTTGATTTTTTGATTATGGCTATTCTTGCAGGAGTAAGGTGGTATTGCATTGTGGTTTTGATTTGCATTTCCCTGATTATTAGTGATGTTGAGCATTTTTTTTATATGTTTGTTGGCCATTTGTATATCTTCTTTTGAGAATTGTCTATTCATGTCCTTAGCCCAGTTTTTGATGGGATTGTTTGTTTATCGTGTTACTGATTTGTTTGAGTTCATTGTAGATTCTAGATATTAGTCCTTTGTCAGATGTATAGATTGTGAAGATTTCCTCCCACTCTGTGGGTTGTCTGTTTACCCTGCTGACTGTTCCTTTTGCCATGCAAATGCTCTTTAGTTTAATTAGGTCCCAGCCATTTATCTCTGTTTTTATTGCATTTGCTTTTGGGTTCTTGTTCATGAAATCCTTGCCTAAGCCAATGTCTACAAGGGTTTTTCCAATGTTATCTTCTAGAATTTTTATAGTTTCAGGTCTTAGGTTTAAGTCCTCAATCCATCTTGAGTTGATTTTTGTATAAGGTGAGAGATGAGGATGCGGTTTCATTCTCCTACATGTGGCTAGCCAATTATCCCAGCAACATTAGTTGAAAAGGGTGTCCTTTCCCCCACTTTATGTTTTTGTTTGCTTTGTTGAAGATCAGTTGGTTGTAAGTATTGGATTTATTTCTGGGTTCTCTATTCTGTTCCATTGGTCTATGTGCCTATTTTTATACCAGTACCATGCTGTTCTGGTGACTATGGCCTTATAGTATAGTTTGAAATCAGGTAGTGTGATGCCTCCAGATTTGTTCTTTTTGCTTAGTCTTGCTTTGACTATGCTGGCTCTTTTTTGGTTTCATATGAATTTTAGAATTGTTTTTTTCTATTTCTGTGAAGAATGATGGTGGTATTTTGATGGGGATTGCATTGCATTTGTAGATTGCTTTTGGTAGTATGGTCATTTTCACAATATTGATTCTACCCATTAATGAGCATGGAATGTGTTTCCATTTGTTTGTGTCATCTATGATTTCTTTTTTTTTTTTTTTGAGATGGAGTCTCGCTCTGTCACCCAGGGTGGAGTGCAGTGGCATGATCTTGGCTCACTGCAACCTTCACATTTCCAGGTTCATGCCATTCTCCTGCCTCAGCCTCCTGAGTAGCTGGGACTACAGGCACTTGCCACCACGCCTGGCTAATTTTTTTGTATTTTTTAGTAGAGATGGGGTTTCACCATGTTCGCCAGCATCTTCTTGATCTCCTGAACTTGTGATCCGCCCATCTCAGCCTCCCAAAGTGCTGGGATTACAAGTGTGAGCCACCAGGCCCGGCCCCATCTATGATTTCTTTCAGCAATGTTTTGTAGTTCTCCTGGTAGAGGTCTTCAACTCCTTGGTTAGGTATATTCCTAAGGTTTTTTTTTTTTTTTTTTTTTAGCTATTATAAAAGTGTTCTTGATTTGATTCTCAGTTTGGTTGCTGTTGGTGTATAGAAGAGCTACTGACTTGTGTACATTAATCTTGTATCCAGAAACTTTGCTGAATTCTTTTATCAGTTTTAGGAGCTTTCTGGAGGAGTCTTTAGGATTTTCAAGGCAAGCAATCATATTGGCAGCAAACAGTGACAATCTGACTTCCTCTTTACTGATTTGGATGCCCTTTATTTCTTTCTCTTGTCTGATTGCTGTGGCTAGGATTTCCAGTACTATGTTGTAAAGAAGTGGTGAGAGTGGGTAACCTTGTCATGTTCCAGTTCTCAGAGGGAATGCTTTCAACTTTTCCCCATTCAGTATTATGTTGGCTGTGGGTTTGCTGTAGATGGATTTTATTATATTAAGGTATGTCCCTTTATGCCAATTTTGCTGAAAGTTTTAATCATAAAGGAATACTGGGTTTTGTCAGATGCTTTTTCTGCATCTGCATCTATTGAGATGATCATGTGATTTTTGTTTTTAATTCTCTTTCTGTGGTGTATCACATTTATTTACTTGTATACATTAAACCATCCCTGCATCCCTGGTATGAAACCCACTTGATCATGGTGGATTATCTTTATGATATATTTTTGGATTTGGTTAGCTATTATTTTGTTAAGGATTTTAGCATTTATGTTCATCAAGGATATCTGTCTGTAGTTTTCTTTTTTGGTTATGTCCTTTCCTGGTTTTGGTGTTAGGGTGATTCTGACTTCATAGAATGAATTAGGGAGGGTTTTTCTTTATCTTCTGTAATAGTGTCAAAAGGATTGGTACCAATTCTTTGAATGTCTGGTAGAATTCTGCTGTGAATCTGTCTCGTCTTGGACTTTTTTTGTTGGTAATTTTTAAATTACCACTTCAATCTCACTGCTTGTTGTTGGTCTGTTGAGGGTATCTAATTCTTCCTGATTTAAGCTAGGAGGGTTGTATTTTTCCAGGAATTTCTCCATGTCTTAAGGGTTTTCTAGTTTATGTGCATAAATGTGCTCATAGTAGCCTTGAATGATCTTTTGTATTTCAGTGGTGTTACTTGTAATATCTCCTGTTTCGTTTCTTAGTGAGGTTATTTGGATTCTCTGTCTTCTTTTCTTGGTTAATCTTGCTAATGGTCTATCAATTTTATTTAACTTTTCAAAGAAATCAGCTTTTTGTTTCATTTATCTTTTGTATTTTTTTTTTGTTTCAATTTCATTTAGTTCTGCTCTGATCTTGGTTATTTCCTTTCTTCTGCTGAGTTTGGGTTTCATTTTTTTCTTGTTTCTCTAGTTCCTTGAGGTGTGTCCTTAGAATGTCAGTTTGTGCTCTTTCAGTCTTTTCAATGAGGTGTTTAGGGCTATAAATTTTCCTCTTAGCATCCCCTTTGCTGTATCCCAGAGGTTTTGGTAGGTTGTGTCGTTACTGTTGTTCTGTTTGAAGAATTTTTAAATTTCCATCTTGATTTTGTTTTTGAGCCAGTGCTCATTCAGGTGCAGTTTATTTAATTTCCATGTATTTGCATGGTTTTGAAAGTTCCTCTTGGAGATAATTTCCAGTTTTATTCCACTGTGGTCTGAGAGAGTGCCTGATATAATTTCAGTTTTCTTAAGTTTATTGATGTTTGTTTTATGGCCTATTATATGGTCTATCTTGGAGAAAGTTCCATGCGCTGTTGAACGGAATGTGTATTCTGTGGTTGTTGGATGAAATATTCTGTATATACCTGTTAAGTCCATTTGTTCCAGGATATAGTTTAAATCCATTGTTTCTTTGTTGACTTTCTGTCTTGATGACCTGTCTAGTGCTGTCAGTGGAGTACTAAAGTCTCCCACTATTATTGTGTTGCTGTCTATCTCATTTCTTAGGTCTAGTAGTAATTGTTTGATCAATTTGGGAACTCTAGTAATAGGCACATATATATGTAGGATTACAATATTTTCCTGTTGGACAATGCCTTTTACCATTATATAACGTCCCTCTTTGTCTCTTACAACTGCTGTTGCCTTAAAGTTTGTTTTGTCTGATATAAGAATAGCTACCCCTGCTTACTTTTGGTGTCCATTTGCATGAAATGCCTTTTTCCACCCCTTAAGTTTATGTGAGTCCTTATGCGTTAGGTGAATCTCCTGAAGGCAGCAGATGGTTGGTGAGTTATTATCCATTCTGTGGATCTGTATCTTTTAGGTGGAGCATTTAGGTCATTTACATTCAATTTTGGTATTGAAATATGAGGTACCCTTGCATTCATCATGCTCTTTGTTGCCTGTGTACTTTTTTTGTTTGTTTGTTTTTTGTTTTTGCTTTTTAACTTGTATTTTTGCTTTATAGGTCCTGTGTCATTTATGCTTTAAAGAGGTTCTATTTTGATGTGTTTCCAGGATTTGTTTTAAGATTTAGAGCTCCTTTTAGCAGTTCTTGTAGTGGTGGCTTGGTAATGGTGAATTCTCTCAGCATTTGTTTGTCTGAAAAGGACTGTATCTTTCCTTCATATATGATGCTTAGTTCAGCTGGATACAAAATTCTTGGCTGACAATTGTTTTGTTTGAGGAGGCTGAAGATAGGGTCCCAATCCCTTCTGGCTTGTAGGGTTTCTGCTGAGAAATCTGCTGTTAATCTGATAGGTTTTCTTTGTAGGTAACCTGGTGCTTCTGTCTCACAGCTTTTAAGATTCTTTCTTTCATCTTAACTTTGGATAGTCTGATGTGCCTAGGTGAAGATCTTTTTGCCATGAATTTCCTAAGGGTTGTTTGTGCTTCTTGTATTTGGATGGCTGGGTCTCTAGCCAGGTCGGGGAAATTTTCCTCAATTACTCCCCCAAATATGTTTTCCAACCTTTTAGAATTCTCTTCTTCCTCGGGAACACTGATTATTCTTAGGTTCAACATAATCCCAGACTTCTTGGAGGCTTTGTTCATATTTTCTTATTCTTTTTTCTTTATCTTTGTTGGATTGCGTTAATTCAAAGACCTTGTCTTCGAGCTCTGAATTTCTTTCTTCTACTTGTTCAATTCTATTGCTGAGACTTTCCAGAGCATTTCACATTTCTAAAAGTGTGTCCAAAGTTTCAAGCTCTGAATTTCTTTCTTCTACTTGTTCAATTCTATTGCTGAGACTTTCCAGAGCATTCCACATTTCTAAAAGTGTGTCCAAAGTTTCCTGAAGTTTTGATTGCTTTTTCTTTATGCATCTATTTCCTTGAATATTTCTCCTCTTACTTCTTGTATTGTTTTGTGGATTTTCTTGCATTGGGCTCTGCCTTTCTCTGGTGCTTCCCCGATTAGCTTAATAACTAACCTTCTGAATTATTTTTCAGGTAAATCAGGGATTTTTTCTTGGTTTGGATCCATTGCTGGTGAACTAGTGTGATTTTTTTGGGGGGTGTTGAAAAGCCATGTGTTGTCATATTACCGGGGTTGGTTTCCTGGTTCTTTCTCATTTGTGTAGGCTCTGTCAGGGGGAATATCTAGGGCTGAAGACTGTTGTTCAGATTCTTTTGTCCCACAGGGTGTTCCCTTGATGTAGTACTCTCCCCTTTTTCCTATGGATGTGGCTTCCTGTGAGCTGAACTGCAGTGATTGTTGTCTCTTTTCTGGGTCTGGCCACCCAGGCAGTCTACCCAGCTCTGGGCTGGTACCAGGGGTTATCTGCACAGAGTCCTTCAGTGTGAACTATTTATGGGTCTCTCAGCCATGGATACCAGCACCTGTTCTGGTGGAGGTGAGTTGGGGAGGGGGTGCAATGGACTCCGTGAGGGTTCTTAGCGTTGGTGGTTTAATGCTCTGATTTTGTGCTGGTTGGCCTTCTGCAGGAGGTAGTGCTTTCCAGAGAGCATCAGCTGTAGTAGTATGGAGAGGGCCCAGTGGTGGGCAGGGCCCTACAACTCCCAAGATTATATGCCCTTTGTCTTTCGCTACTAGGGTGGGTAGGGACCGACCACCAGGCGGGGGTGGGGCTAGGCATGTCTGGGCTCAGGCTTTCCTTGGGTGGGTCTTGCTGCGGCTGCTGTGGGGGATGGGGGTGAGAGTCCTAGGTCACTGGAGTTGTGTACCTAGGAGGATTATGGCTGCCTCTGCTGAGTCATGCAGGTTGTCAGAGAAGTAGGGAAAGCCAGCAGTCACAGCCCTCACCCAGCTCCCACACAAACCGAAGGGCCTGTCTCCCTCCCACCGTGCCCCTGCCAAGAGCCCCAAGTCTGTTTCTGGGCATGGGCGAGAGGGGCTTAAAAACTTGCCCCAGGCTACCTACTTCCCAGCTATGAAAGAAAAGGGCTTGGTTTTTCCCCTCCCTCTGGAGCCTGCACACCGGATTTGCACCGTCCCCGAGTTCTGGCCAGGAGGCTTCTCATCCGTTCGAACTGTTACAATGTTCAGCTGGAGATTTCCTTCTCCCTGTGAAGTTTTACCCACTGCTCCTCTGGCTGCCTTCCCAATGGATCCCTGTGGTGCCAGCAGGAATGACCTGCTTGGGAACCCAGTGAGTTCCCAGTGCCTTTCTGCTGCTTCCTCTACCCCTGTATTTTGCTCGACTGTCTAAATTGACTCAGATCCAGGTAAAGTCGGAAACTTCTCCCGCAACAGACCTTCACTTTCTCTAGTGGGGGTGTGTGTTCAGGAGAGGAGGGTCTCCCTTTCCCGCTTCTGCAGCTGGGGCACTCACAGTACTTAGGGTGCCTCCTGAGACCTGCAGGAGCATTTCACTTCCTTCACAGAGTCTGTGGGTCCTCTCGGGATTGCTGGTTTGTTCTTGCAGTCAACCTGGAGCTAAAATTCACAAATGTGAGCCTCCACACGCTGCTCTGTCCAGTGCTGCAATCTCAATCTAGTCCTGCCTCCCATATGCCATGATGATTGGCCTTAGGTATAAATGTAAGGTTCTTTCAGTTATTTTCTGAGCCTGTGTCTTTTCTGGGTATGTGTGATGACTTTCTAATTTCCCCTACATAGGTGTTAGTCTTTGAATATCCAAGTCTTCACACTGTCTGTATCCTTAAAAAGGGAAAAGAGGAAAATAAGGGGGGAAAAAGGCACTGGCCCTTTTTATCCCCCAGAAGTCACTTCAGTTGGATAAGGTGGGTCTTGCAGCAATGGGCAGGGTGTACAACAATGGCCACCACCTCTTTGCACCTGTGACTGGGATCAGTAATCAACAATCAACAATCAAAGTGCAGACTCCCAATATTTGGAGGACAGTTCCCTTTTTCTCACTTTGGCTCTTGCAAGCTCTGTGCAAGCTGCTCCAGGGACACATGCTCAGCTATGTGCCATGGGCCTGGGGGTGGTGGATGGGTAGGTACTACTGTACTAGAGCTAAAATTGACCAAAATTAACTGTATTTTCCTGTCCAACCCTTATATTGAAGTTGCAAGCCTTCAATAGACCCCAGAGTTTCAAAATAATTGCATCAAACAGATTCTGCCAGTAGGTAAAAGTTTTGTTTAGCTGGGAGACAGATTTCCTGGTGCTTCCTACTCCTTCATCTCCTCTTTACCCTATATCTGTAATGCTCTTTTTTATCCCTGACAATTTTCTTTAACAATTTTCTTGATCCACTTTGTCTAAAATTAATATAGCTATTCCAGCTTTATTTTCATTGGTGTTAGCATGGTATATTTTTCTACATCGCTATACCTTTAATCTGTATCTTGACATTTAAAGTGCATTTCTTATACAGAAAATATAGTTGGGTCTTGTTTTCTTACCCATTCTGACAGTCTGTGTGCTTTATTTTATTTTTAATTATTTTAATTTTAATTTTTTATTTCAATAGGCTTTTGTGGAATAGGTGGTGTTTGGTTTTGTGGATAAGTTTTTTAGTGGTGATTTATGAGATTTTGGTGCACCCATTACCCTTTTCAATTAGTGCATTTAGACCATTGATATTTAAAATAATTATTGATGTAGTTGGATAAATATCTACAATATTTATTACCTTTTCCTATTTGCTGCTCTTATTCTTTGTTTCATTTTTGGTCTTCTATTCTTTGCCTTCTCTTGTTTTAACTGAGCATTTTATAGAATTCCATCTTTTCTTCTCTCTTAGTATGTGAATCAATTTTTTTTCTTTTTCTTTTTTTCTTTTTGAGATGGAGTCTCGCTCTGTCGCCCAGGCTGGAGTGCAGTGGCGCGATCTTGGCTCACTGCAACCTCTGCCTCCCAGATTCAAGCAATTCTCCTGCCCCAGCCTCCCAAGTAGCTGGGACTACAGGCGTGTGCCACCATGCCTGGCTAATTTTTTTGTATTTTTAGTAGAGACACGGTTTCACCGTGTTAGCCGGGATGGCCTCAATCTCCTGACCTTGTGATCTGCCTGCCTCGGCCTCCCAAAGTGTTGGCCAGGCTAGTCTCGAAATCCTGACCTCAAGTGATCCATCTGCCTTGGCCTCCCAAAGTGTTGGGGTTACAAGCATGAGCCACCATGCCTAGTCAGATTTTCTTTCTTTACATCAAATATTACAAGCATTTTTTTCAGGTCATTATATATATTATATAAAAGTATAATTTTGTTAAAAAAAGTCGCATAGTACTCTATTATATCTCTATCTTTCCCAGCTATCTCTCTCATATATACATATATGTACACACATACATATAACATAAATAAATATAAATGTAATTTATTTAATAGGAATTCACATATATGTACATATATGTATGTATTTGTATTTTATGTATTCATAAAATTCATATTTTATGAACTCCTATTAAATAAATTATATATTATTTTGTGTGTGTGTGTGTGTGTGTGTGTGTGTGTGTATAGATATATCCTAATATCCTAGCAATAAGCTAGTGTTAAACAGTTGAGTTTTTTTTTTTTTTTTTTTTTTTGAGACAGAGTCTCGCTCTTTCGCCCAGGCCGGAGTGCAGTGGCGCTATCTCGGCTCACTGCAAACTCCACCTCCCAGGTTCATGCCATCCTCCTGCCTCAGCCTCCTGAGTAGCTGGGACTACAGGCGCCCACCACCGCGCCCAGCTAATTTTTTGTATTTTTAGTAGAGACGGGGTTTTACCGTGTTAGCCAGGATGGTCTCGATCTCCTGACCTCGTGATCCGCCCGCCTTGGCCTCCCAAAGTGCTGTGATTACAGGCGTGAGCCACCGTGCCCTGCCATCTTACTTACATTTTTTTTTTTTTTTTTTTGAGATGGAGTCTCACTCTGTCACCCAGGCTGGAGTGCAGTGATGTGATCTCAGCTCACTGCAACCACTGCTACTTAGGTTCAAGTGATTCTCCTGCCTCAGCCTCCCAAATAGCTAGAATTACAGATGTGCACCACCACACCTGGCTAATTTTTGTATTTTTGGTAGAGATGAGGTTTCACCATGTTGGTCAGACTGGTCTTAAACTCCTGACCTCAAGTGATCTGCCAGCCTTGGCCTCCCAAAGTGCTGGGATTATAGGCATAAGCCACAGCACCCGGCCTACTTACATTCTTTCTTGTAGTAATTGGTGCACTTAAAAATTTTATTCATTTACTTATTTACTTATCTATAATAGCTTATGTAAACAAAGTAAATAAGTAAGATACATAAGTGGCCAGGTGCGGTGGCTCACACCTGTAATCTCAGCACTTTGGGAGGCCAAGGTGGGCGGATCATGAGGTCAGGAGATCGAGACCATCCTGGCTAACACGGTGAAACCCCTTCTCTACTGAAAATACAAAAACAAAATTAGCCGGGCATGGTGGCAGTCACCTGTAGTCCCAGCTACTTGGGAAGCTGAGATGAGAGAATGGCCTGAACCCCGGGAGGCGGAGCTTGCAGTGAGCTGAGATGGCACCACTTCACTCCAGCCTGGGCAGCAGAGTGAGACTCCGTCTCAAAAAAAAAAAGATACGTAAGTATCTTATATAAGTAAGATAAGTAAATGAGAAAATTTACTTATCAGAATTTCTTGGGAATGATTTATAGCCCTGAAATTACTTAATGAAAGAGATGGGTTTTTTTTCCCCAAGACTTTGATACATACTCTCACATTCTACTTCAAAAACATTGTACCAATTTATACCAAAAGTTTCTTTATAAAGAGTTATTAAACATAAAAGTCATGTTAAAATAGTGACTTCTACTGAAAGAAATGTAATGGTGAAATTGCTGGAAGTGCCAAGTAATACAGGCACTAAGAAATGACTCATTCATTCATTCATTCATTCATTTGCTAAGAGGAAGTAATTTACGATTTTCTTAGGAGTTTATTTACTAGAGTGTCTGTGGGTGAAATTCAGATTCCACTGGGCAAATGAGGAAATGAAAAATGTGGGAATGGATTCCTTTATAAAGAAGTTTGCCTGTGAAGGAAAGAAGAGTAAATAGTGCCATTGCTGGAGCAAGTTGGGCCGAGGGAGATGTGCTGAGAGAGAGATTTATCTGTGCATGTGAAGGAGCTGGTGGAGGAGGCAGAAGCACGAAAGAGAAGACTACACATTTCATTAAGAGAAACAAAATCAAATTTTATTTTCTTTGAGGAAGATGGAAGGACCAAATTAATATGCCTCTGTTGGAATTTTGCCCTAAAGACCAAAATTCCAGAACATTCTGCTGATAGAAGCCACAGATGTGGGCCAATTGTAGGTATCGGATCAGAGAGGAGAATCACTTTTTTGCCGTAGACTGCCCCATGCACCGGCACCGTACCAGCCCTGGAGGTGTGTGGCGAGCCATGGTCCCTTTCCTCATGGCATGGTTCTTGGTGGGGAAGACAGGTATGTTCCCATCTCCACGCCATTTGATGAGAACAATGCATATATACATGGGTAGAGGGCGCAAATAAACTTCCTAGAGGGGATTTGGAAAGCCTGTTGCTGAGAGAGAACACAGGAGCTGTGTCAGGGGATATCCAGGCAGGTACTTCTGGGCATGGTGCCTTTCTTGTTGGAGGGAAGAGGGCTGCAGCGTACAGAGATCAGAAAAGCACAGGACATTCCAGGAAATGCACCTTGTTTGTTGTCTTTAACTGGCAGCCAAAGGATTGTAAAGCTGGAGAGAGTCTGGGCCCTCATAGGAGAGGGGTTGGAGCCTGAGCCTTGTCTCACTGCCCAGCTGTGCCCTTGTGGTTATAACTGGGCATGTGCATAATGACTATATGCGTCCTTCTGGGATGTAGCCACATGGTCTTCATTATATTCTCAAAGGGGCTGTAGATCCCTTAAAATTGAAGACTTGCTGCTGAGGGCAAGGGGCACATTTGGCAGGGTTTGAACCAGAAAAGCTGAATCATTGCCCTTCCATGAACAGGCTTGGGGCTTGTAATAAAGTTTCCCCTTGTTTCTCAGGACAGCTTGCTTCCCTAATGAGCCAGCTTGATAAGGTCGGGCCACAGAGGGCGATGCCTGCGAGGCACTTACGTGAGCACAGAGGGCTAGTCGAAGGGGCAAGGATGCAGAAGAGAAGGTTGTGCTGGGCTCTGCCACTGCAGGAAGACTGTGGGCTCTTTGAGATGGAGGCCTGAACTGTCCCCTACCCCTCCTTCCCCCTGCACAAATGTGATTATGCCTCTGCAGAGCGCCTGGAATCAGGTTAGCGTCATTGAGCAATGCTGAGCTGGAGTAATCAGAGCCTGGAGCGGAGCAGGTGCTGGCTTTAAAGTGGCTTCTGAGAATTAGGACAGGCTGACTTGTAGCTCAGCCCCACGTAGACAAGCCACTTAGAACACTGTCCTTGCAGCCCCCAGGCCTCCTCCTTACCACAGCAAAGTGCTTGGGTTTGTTGGAGGGGCCTCTGGCATGGCCCAGGTGCTGAGCTCGTTAACTGATGTTCAGGGACTGGTGTCCCAGGGGTCCTGTTTGCCCAGCATGTGGCAGGACAACAAGAGCTAACCAAGCCTGGGGTCACATTTGGTCTGCTCCTGCCTATCTGGGTGTCCTGGGACAATTACCCACCTCTTGGAGCCTCACATAAGTCAACTGTAAAGTGGGAATCACGAGCATATCTAACTCATAAGGTGGTGGCAATTAAATATCATATAGGAAAGGCTGTCAGCATTAGGCCTGCTGCAGAGTTAGCCGCAAAGAACATCACCCCTATTCTCAACCTAGGCCACTGCCAGGACAAGGCCGGGTTTTATTGTTTCTGCAAAGATGTTTCATACTCAGAACAAAAAAAATCAGTAATTACATAAGAATCTAAGAATAAAGGTTTATGTTAACCAAAATCTTAAGAGAAATGCAGTATTACTGTTTGGTGAACATCACTCTAGATACTCTTCTATGCACACATTAATAGAGAGAAAATAATTTTAATAAGGGCACATTTAATAAATTTTTAATAATAGAAGTTATTGGCTGGGCATGGTGGCTCTCCCCAGTAATCCCAACACTTTGGGAGACCGAGGTGGGTGAATCACCTGAGGTCAGAAGTTAGAGACCAGCCTAGCCAACATGGTGAAACCCCGTCTCTACTAAAAATACAAAAAATTAGCTGGATGTGGTGCCTGTAATCCCAGCTACTCGGGAGACTGAGGCAGGAGAATCACTTGAACCCAGGAGGTGGAGGTTGCAGTGAGCTGAGATCGCACCACTGCACTCCAGCCTCGACAAAAAGAGTGAAACTCCATCTCAAAAAAAAAAAGTTATTGCATTTAGTTTAGTGTTTAACTGAAGAAAGTCAGATGAAACAGAAGGAATTGCTAAACTAGAGATATGTCATTTCTAAGATATGACTCTGGGAGTTGAGAAAATAAGTTTCAAGCAATATTAATATTGTTAAGTCATTCTTTTTCGCTATTCTCTTAAGGATAAAGATAAGGCATTCTAAGACTCTCATGCTCTACAAACTGAGTAGCCAGGTGTCTTAGACAAAGTGCTTTAACATTCAATTATATGTCAAGATGAAATTGCAAATAGCAGAGAAAAACAACACACTGACTTCAATTCCCACTAAATGACTTATCTTGCCAAAATGAAACAAATGCGGAGAATTATTGATGCTTGACATGAGGAGGGGACATCCAGAGGTTAAGAAAGGATGCTGACAGCACCAGGAGAAACATTGAGGTATGCAAGATGTTAGCCCGTTGGCACCTGATAGACCGGGCAGGTCTGTAAGTGCAATACGTTGCTTTGTAGGTAAGAAAAATAAAGCCCAGCCAGGTGCCAATGTGACATGGAGTTGGGCCTCCAGCCCAGGTCTCTGTGCCCCACATACATGGTTTAACTATCTGTATTCACTGTGCCTTTTTACTATCTGTGCTTCTGATGCTGTGACACCTTTGGGTCTTGCTGACCCTGGAGGGACTGCCCTTCTCAGGGAGAGGGGTTTCCTAGAGCTCTTAAAGGACTCACTTGCAAGTTCACCTTTCTTTTCTTTTCTTTTTTATTATAAGTTCTAGGGTACATGTGCACAACGTGCAGGTTTGTACATATGTATACATGTGCCAGGTTGGTGTGCTGCACCCATTAACTCGTCATTTACATTAGGTGTATCTCCTAATGCTATCCCTCCCCACTCCTGCCACCCCATGACAGGCCCCGGTGTGTGGAACTCAAACAAATTTGTAAAAAAAAAGCAAATTCACCTTTGAAATGCAAAATCATCAGTACAGAGCTCCTACCCCAGCATCTCCTCTGTGGGGCTCTCACACTCTGGGCTACTATCCTCCTGCCCTGACCACTCAAGGGCTAGGTACCAGACATCTAGGGACAGCCACTGCTCCAAATGTGACCTGGAGCAGACCAAATGCGACCCCAGAGCCCACTGAAATTATTCAAACCAGCCGATCCTAATCCTGCTCACCCTTGCCCTGCCTGGTTCTTCCTGTGGAAACCACAACACAGGCCCTTGCCGCTGTTTTTCCCCCACCCCTCTGCTGCCCAACTGATCCTCGTGCTTCCCCATGTCCCCCTCCCCTTGGGGACTGTGAGGAACAAGCTGTTTTTAATGGCAGTCATCTCCTGACTTGTTGGGCTCACCATCCTGAACAAGAAGAAAGCCTACATTTAAACAGACTGCCCCTCCTGCGCCTGAGGGTAGCCCCTTGGGGGACTGACTCCCTTGGGCATAGCTCAGTGACACAGAGAGCCCTTCCAGAGTCCAGCCAGGACCTGTTTTGGGCCCACGCCCCGGGGTTTGGCATGGAAAACTCTGGTCCCTGAGCAGGCATCGCTCTGTCTGAGAAGTACCTTGTCCAGCCCAGCCACCTGTGAGAGGAGCAGGGCAAAGCTGGTGAGACGAACCTTCTGCAGGCTGACTCTGTGCTACCTGGGCATGAACACTTTGTCTCTCTCTAAAAGGAAAAGTTGGTTTCCAGGTGAAATGCGAGGCAGTCATAGGTGAAATGGAGCCACAAAGGTCTCGAACTGGGGTTCTCACATACGAGTTTCTGACCTCTCTATCTTTATCCTCAGGACACATGGCATTGCTAAGACTTTACAGGGGGCTCAATAAAGGTCACACAAATTTAATTCTATTCCACACTCTTGTCGCATCTGCAAAGAAATTTCATTATCTAGACTGCATGACATCCATAAATCAATTAGGCCCTTTGGTTTTGTAAACATAATGTGCGTTTTGATCCTTTGGAGAGAGCTGTTTCAATTCAGCAATAGGTTTCAGCATCTATGCAATGTCCAGCAAAGTGCAAATGCTCAGCCCAACACAAAACAATGAGACAGGGTCCCTGGCTTTGGGAGCATCATGGGTCTGGAGGGAGAGACAGACATGTGTGTGGGGACAACACAGTCAGGCTGTGCCAGTGCGATCGTGGCACCACAAGGTCCTCAGAGCTCGGGAGAGGCCGCAGTGACTCCCAGCCCGTATTTTCTGGGTTGTGTGACTGACAGCACTCAATGCTTTCTCAGAACATCCCTTTTAAAATTATTTTCAATGTCAGCAGTGTTTTCTCATGACCTCCTGAGGATTTAATTAATCTTTGGGAACAGTATCATTCAGAAAGAGAAAGGCAGCGGATTAAAGCTGGTAAATGATACTCTTGCTCAAAATCCTAGTGTGACTCTTAACTGATGCCAAAGTCTGTTCTGAAAGAAGCATTCCATGAGTGCCTTGGGCAGTCTGGGCCCTGCTGGAGGGAGACTCATCTCTACTGCGCTTGCTCTGCTCTGTGCATTGCACATGGGTGTATGCACACACACACGTGCACACACACAGACACACACACACCCCCCCAAACTAGGAAAAAATCCCAGGCTTCTGCTCCATAGTAGTAACTATGTTCTTACATTCTCTATATATGTATATATATACACACACATATATATATAGAAAATAAAATATATACACTTGTGTATATTTTAATTATAACTTAATTATAAATTTAATTAGATTATAATTAAATTAAAATGTATATATGGAATATAAGAACATAGTTACACTAATGTTACATAGAACGTTAATTAAAATTTAACAAAAATATACACACATACATATATATGTATATTTAATAAAGTAGAATATAGTATATGTATATTTACTAAAGTAGAATATAGGTATCATTGTCCAGGTGGTAGATTGCTTCATGTCTGCCCCAAGGCACCCTGGAAAATCTTTTGCAACTTCCCGGTTTCTAACCTCAGAGCTTAGTTTTCTGTCTGCAAATCTGTTTCTCTTAACCTGTTATGATGCTTTCACCCAAAGATTCAATGTGCATCCATGGGCTTACGTTTCCATGTAGCAGACATTCATTGGGATCTCGGCTCATGGCCCCAGGTTGGACCATGGGGCAGCAGTTGCTTGTGTGGAGGTTACAGCGGTGACTGGCACCTGGGGAATAAAAGGCTGTCTGCTTTTTACCCTCTAGATGGTTGCCACCCTGGGGACCACAACATGCTGCTCCTTTGACAATCTCTTAGAAGTCGGTCCTATCTGTAAGTATCCGATTCCATTTTCTTTTTGGAAAATGTTCTCTGTACACGGGGAATTTAGCAAACCTTCCTCGTTGATCTCTTTCTTGTCGTTAACTTCATATTGTGATGGTTTGCCCAGCTCTTCTCGTATTTGCAATAACACAAACCTCATTAGCTTGAACTCCACAAACTCAGAATTTGGGCTAATTGGAAAAGAACTGAGCTTAGTTCTACCAACACACTATTTGTAAGAAAAAAAATCCGAGCAATATAGAAGTTATGTAAAATTGCAGGTTATGTTGGCCCTGTTGAGGAGAATAAACTCTTCAAAATCTTAGAGTAACCACCTTCATATGTGGGTCGTGCATACACCTGATATGAGAATTGTCCACACTTGAATTTAATTCTTTGGTATATCCCTTTTTCACCTTTTTTTGGAATTACTGAATGCAGTTAAGAAAATTGCTGAAGGTAGTTTAGCAAATCAACACAATGAAACTGGATTTCGCCAAGGAATAATCTGTGCTTCAGATGTTTTCCTGGTCACTCTCACCTCCTCCCTTCCTCATTCAGAGATCCTAGGTTTTCTCATTGAGACTAGGATGCTGTGTTTTCAAAAGGTGAATGTGAATGAGCAGCTCTGTTTCTAGAGTTTCACCTTTGACATGTAGCTCTGGGAACTCAGCAGGTCTTGAAGCTGCTTCTGTGGACAGAAGAACCCTCGTAGGGCAGGGACACTGGCTCAGGGGGCTCCCCCTTTCTCTGTCCCTCTAGGATGGGAATGTTCTGACCGCTCGGCTGTGAGTGGAGCTGCCCAAGTGGGGCCTTCAGATCACATACCTGTGGCCTGTGCCAGATCCCACAACAGCTACCAGGGAATTGGCTTCCTCCTTAGTCTGCACAAGCCAAGCACAGTTCTCACCTCTCCTAACCCAAGAGTCACCCATAGTCCATACTCAGAGGAGTGGACCCTCCTCTCCTGGGCGTTGGCCTCCCTTCTTGGGGTCAGCAGCTGGGGAAGGCCGGTGCTGAAGGTGCAGGTGCCTTTGTGTGAGCTAGACATGAAATTGGTGACAAGGAAGCTAGGGTGCAGCCCAGGATCCACCCCTGAATCTTACATTCTGAGCTTCATTTATGCTGTCTGTAAAGTGAAGAGAAAAACCCCACTTGTGCTCATAAAATAACAAGATTTCCCCACACGATTATTCAGAGGATAAATTAATGCAGGGAAAATGCACCATCCCAAAGGTAGAGTGCATTGCTGCACAGCAAGGAATGCAGTGCTGGGAACTACTGGGAGGTGGGTGGCATAGACTTACCCGCTCTCACAGGGTTTATGCTCCACCGTTTATGCTCTGTGGCACACAGCTGTAAGAACAACTGGCGGGAAGTGGTCGTGCACAGCCCCGGGCTGGGGAGAAGGGATAGAACTGGCTGACTCAGGACTGCAGCCACAGCATTGGCCTCATCAGCTGCAAACCTTCATCAGCTCAGCCAAGCAACTTGGAGTCCTCTGACTCAGATGTCAGGCTAAGAACTGAATGTCCTGGCCAGTAGCTGGCTGATGTAATTCCCTAGGGCTATCGGATTTAAAGGGCCGAGGTCTTCTGCTGGATAGAGCCCACATGGCCTGCTGTCCCCTGGGCCAAGTGTGGGCTGCCCGCTGGACCATGGAGATGACAGCCAGCGTGTGTCACCTGCCAGTCACAGTCCCCTGGATGGATCCAGCTCAGGCCTTCCTGCTATCTGGGGCCCCCTCTTCTTTGTAGAGGCTGGAGGCTGTGCACAGAGCTTGATTTATGATTTGTTTGGTTTGAAACACTGAGGTTGCTTTTGGGGTTGTGCAGAAGGAGCTGACATGGGTGAATGCCAAAACCCTTTCATCCATTGGCAGAATGCATAGGGGAGGTCAGTTTTGACAATTCCTTTTTTTTTCTTTATTTTTGAGATGGAGTCTTGCTCTGTGGCCCAGGCTGGAGTGGCACAATCTCAGCTCACTGCAACATCTGCCTCCTGGGTTCAAGTGATTCTCCTGCCTCAGCTTTCTGAGTAGCTGGGATCACAGGCACATGCCATCATGCCTGGCTAATTTTTGTATTTTTATTAGAGATGGGGTTTCACCATATTGGCCAGGCTGGTCTCAGACTCCTGACCTCAGATGATATGCCCGCCTCAGCCTCCCAGTGTGATGGAATTACAGGCGTAACCCACTGTGTCCGGCCAACATTTCCATTTTTATTGATGGTGTTATATTACTAACTGTTGGTGGTACCTTAACAATTAAGTCAGCACCCTTTTACCTACTTTCCCTCTCCTGCTACCATTTTCCTATCACCAGATATTTAGCATTCTCCAACTCCAAGCGGGACTGTTCTGAGATCCTGAGCTGACCTTATTCTATATATGATTAGAATAATCTAACATAATTCAGATAAGTTATTCACCCACCATCATTTGACAAAGAAAACAAATCAGAAGATGGTTTTCTTCCAATTGCTGCCTTAGGAAAGACATTTTCTTTTTATTGCATTTGAAATGATTTGCCAGTGAGGGTATTCAGATTGGTCTGCTTGGATGGATCAGTTGTCTGGCAGGTTTTACTGAGAAGATGGAATACAAAAAGTGGATAGTTGAAGTCAGTTAGGTTGCCGATGGGGAAGTGGGGAAACTGAGGACGAGGGTATGGGCTGAGTTGGGGAGGCCATCTCAAGGTGTGAGGAAGGGAATAGCACAGGGCAGGCAGCCAAAGCTGCATCCTGAGGTGCCAGCATAACTGAGAGAGGACGTGCAGCTGGAGGGGCAGCCAGGCCTGCCGCAAGTTCCTGGGAAGTCTCAGAAGGAAAGAGTCACTGACAGCAGGAAGCTGGAGGGGTGTGAGCCTGTCCCATCCCTCCCCACTGAGGCAGCCTTGCCTCAGGGCTAGGTGTGCCCCTGGTGCATGCAACTTCTCAAGCTCTGGCCGAGGGTCTCTGTGTCTGCCTGGTTCCTAGATGGGCCGTGCTATGCAGTGTGTGCTGTTAGTGGATCACATATGAGATGCAGAATGCAGAATGCAGAGGCATGCCCACAGCTCCATGCATCCCCATGGAAACCAGAGAAGCCCTTCAGAGTCCACTTCCTTTAGGGGTCTGTAAGTTCCCTTCTGCAGGAGTTGTAGGCCAACTGCAAGCTTAGAGAGAACACAGTCCTCCACAAAGCTGATAAAAGACATAAGGCGTTTCAAAGCTTTGACTCAGTTTAATCATCAGGATGAAAGCCCTCAGTTGGATTAAGGTCAAGTGTGTCCTGCGGACACGGATATCCACCCCAGGGCATGGGAGGCCAAAGGTCACAGAGCAGTGTGGACCTGAACCGAGGCTTAGGGGCTCATCACTTCCCCCAGAATCAGTCTCACCTGGTGCTTGCATAACCCCAGATGGATGCAGCAGTGAGCCAGGAAGAGCACAAGGCCTTAGGATTTGCAGAGTTTCTCCCTGAGGAGTCACTCAGTAATCATGGGATGTCCATGCCTGTAGCTCAGATCAGCGGTAAGGTTGAGAAAAACCTCAGATCACATCATAAGATAGGTGTAAATTTGAAGCTTGCTGTAGTCTGAACGTTTGTGTCCCCCGCAAAGCCCATTTGCTGAAATTCTAACCTAAGGTGATGGTATTGGAGGTGGGGCCTTCCAGTGGTAATGAGGTCAGCACAGTGGAGCCCTCCTGATTGGAACTGTGACTAATTAGTGCCCCTGAGAGTCTCACGCCTCATTGCACAATGAGCACCATGGATGGTGAGTGAACGGTGAATCCATGGATCCCTACAAATGCATATGCTGACCCTGACACCTACCCCACGGTACCCTGACACTGGTATCCACCCTGTGAGGTGAGGGTGGCTCGCGCCCTCTCTGTGGTCCTTCACCCTTCAACTCTTACTCTCCTGGGTGCCTAGGGCTGAGAGGCAGCAACCATGGAAGCCACATTTATTTCTCCCCTACTCAGTGCTGGGGTCCTGGCAAGCACATTGTAAATATTCCCTTGCTCATCCCTTGGGCCTATGGGTACTATTTCATCTCCATCTTCCTGGGAGGAGAGTGAGGCTTGGAGAAGTAGATAGGGCCCCTTGGCTGGGGAGCAACTGGAAGCAGGAGTTGAGCCCAGATCTGTCAAAATTGAGGGAGCATGCTACATCTGTGGCTCTCCCAGCTCCTGAATGAGGCAGCCCCTGCCCACAAGGCTGCTATGCATGGTTGGAAAACAGAACCCTGTTCATGAAGAAAGCAGGGGATGGTCTAAGATGGTGTAAAGTAAAGAACTTCACCTGGTGGTGGGGATGGAGTGGGGCAGGTAGAGGTCAGCGTGGACTGTGTGCAGACCTCCCCTTGGATGATGTTTGGGGGAGGACTTGAGAATGGATTAGCAAAGGGAACCAGGAAGGGAATTCCAGGTGGGTGGAAAGGGTGGTGTCACTGGAGAGAAATGCAGGTGAGTAACATGAGGCTGTCACACGATGGTCCCTTGGAGTTACACTTAGCCGCCAGGGTCAGGAGAGAAAACCAAGTGGTGCAGTGGCTTCCATTTTCCCTGGTGTGTCTGGGGCCAGCAGCACACACACTGCCCTCAGCTTTAGACCCTTTGAATGAGGGGGCCTTTTGGGGATTCAGCCATTAGTTCAGCAAATACTGTTGGCATGCTCTACCCAAGAAGGTGCTCAGACAGGGCGAGGTCAGCTGGCAGGCTCCGTGGTGAGGCATCCATCTGGGGACTCACAAGTTGATTCTGAACTTTAGGCAACAAGGAAGACATATGGCTGCACGTTGATGCAGCCTACGCAGGCAGTGCATTCATCTGCCCTGAGTTCCGGCACCTTCTGAATGGAGTGGAGGTAGGTGCACCCTTCGCTCTCCCTAAGGCTGTTTTCACAGTGCTCTGTTATTGACCTCTCCCTTCATGAGGAGCTGACGTCCAGTCTCTTGCTATTGAGGTTTGTTTCAGCCAATTATGTTTGAACCAATTCCGACTTCCTCAGAATAGGGGCTGAGAGCCTTCCCCAGCCATACAGCCTGTCCTCCTGAAATACTCCTGACACTTACAGTTCCATTTCAATCTACACAAATCCCAAACAGAAAGAATAAATGTTAGCTTATAAAACTGTGGGAAAGTAGGAACAAAATAAAATCTTAATGAACTTAAACTCAAAAGAGTAATTTAAAATACCAACCCGCAATTCCATACAATCTGGTTCAATATGACAGTCATGTTCTGCCCATACATCTGAACATGATATTCACTTTAACCAATATTGAACGAGAAGCTACCAATGCATTTAAATGCCCCTAGGCAGTCTTCTGGAAATTGTAAAGCATGATCTTTAATGCTAAGTGAAATGCCTGCTTCTTTTGAGAAGTAGCAATCAAAATTATTGACCAGCACTCCGCTTCTCCAAAAAGCAACAGAATGTAAATTGGTACAGACTTAACACAAAAAAATGACCTTATTGATATACTGTGGTGTGTTATTTCAGACTCAAGCGGGATTTCATTGTTGGTGGTGGCTCATAGGGTAGGAAGTCTCTTCTCCCCAAGAACTCAGCTTTGAATGCCATAGAGGGTCCTGAGAGGCAGTCTTTGGCAGTGTTTCCAAGAGAAGGAGGTAGCAAAGCAGGGGAGCTGTGGCACTGGCCAAGAAAGAAATGCTTTCTGCCAAGGGGCAGGAGGTGTCGTGAGACCTCACCCATGTGTGATGGCAGATGAAGGGCACAGTCCTCTGCATTAGACTCCTTGGTTTGAATCCTAGATTTATCCTTAAGACTAGCTGTGTACCCTTGGGCGAGTTAGATATCCTCCCTATCCTCCAGAAAATAGATTTCATAAGAATACATCCGGTGTGGGATTGTCGCCAGGAGTAGATGAGTTAATCATGTTTTAAGGGCTTAAAAACAGTGCCTGGCAGACAGTAAATACTGAAATTGCATTAGGTGCTTTTGTGATTTTCTACTACGTCTTAGAAAAACTTTCCCTTGACAGCTTCCTCTGCTTGCATGTCAGGTTTGCTAATCACTATTCTAATTACAACTTTGAATTCTCATAATGCTGTAATACCAGAAAAGAGGGTACCAGAGGTATAGAATACAAATGTCCCCATCTTTGGAAAGAATAATCCTCTTACTACTAATCAATGAAGTAGTATTCTGGTTTATGTCTGCATCACAATCATTCACTCATTCATTCAATAATTACTTGTTGAGTACTTAATACAACCTAGGACTTACATGATGGATCCTTGGGGGTAAATGGAGCTTCCAAAGACCTATGTACGCACTGGAGAGAGGGTATAGTATATGAGAAGTTCTCATAATGTGATGCCAGTACCCAGCTGATATAGTTCATTGCCGGTAGCTAGTTTGGTGCGTGTTTGGTGCTGGGAAACGAAGAGTAAATCTCTGTATCATATAAATGCATGGCATGATGGAGATAATCTCCATTATTTGAAACATCTGTCCTGGGACAGTTTCAAGGGAGGAAGGGCTAAGCAGTCCTCTGGGATTTATGTGCCCTCCCCACGGCTGGCCTGAGCTTGATGCTCTTTTCTAACTCTGGGTATCAGGTTTAGGGTTCGTGATCTTTTCCTACCACTGCTCTTCTTTTCCCCAAGAACTGACAACTTGAGGTTTCATCTTTCATAGAAGGGTGCCTCATTGTCAGACCACCACAGCAATGGGCTTTCCAGCCAGATCCTATCAGCAACAGACAGGATTTCATGCTGTACAATGAGTCACTGCCATTTTTCTTGCATTATTGCTCCCGACTCTTTCCATGCCCAGCTGAGGGCTGTGCGTCTCAGTGGGGCAGATAAGGAGGCTGCAATATCCTGTTGTGGCCCTGCCCTTGGAGATAAGAGCCTTTCTCTCCGGTTGGCAGGAGGAAAATATCACTGCTGGGTAATGAGAGAAGTTTAAACAGATCAGCCCCATAGGAGGGAACTCATAAGACTCCTAGCAAACAGAGCTCCTCTTTAACCTTTTGTCTCCTTTTATCAACAAATGAAACTTGCTGTAATTTCCTGTCCTTTTCTCAAAATTACTTTTATTAAAACCTAGAAGGAAATGAACCTGGGTCTCCAGAGCAGTGGAAAGTTGTCATCCACCAACCAAATGCCTCCCAGGACGCCCCCCAGGTCCCTCAAGCTTCTGCTGCCTCCTCGGTGCACATCCCTGAAACCAAGTAGACAGGAGGTGCCCTAGGGCCTTGGGAAGACTGAAAAGTTTCCCAGTAGGAGAGTCGGCCAGACTGGCGCCTCACTGCAACAGCCACCTTTATTTCGGTATCAATTATGAATCCAGCCGCATGGCCAAATCCCTGGCCATTAAGGTGGACCCTGTTCCTGTTCACCAGTCAGGTGATAAACCAGGACATGCATTTGAAAAAGAAAGCACCATTTATGACAGCTCAGGGAAAATGCAGAGTGTCCTCCTCTGCCACTCTTGGTGGTTTAAACCTCTTATTTTCTCCTTGAAAATAAGGTAGCCCCTAACACTGATGCATGCAGCCAGAGCCGGTTGTTCACAGTTTTTACCCAGGATCTTCCAGCTACGGGAGCCTGTAGCTGTTAGGAATACAATGAACTTTAAAAATAAAGGAGCTGGTCGGGGTGCAGTGGCTCACACCTGTAATCCCAGTACTTTGGGAGGCTGAGGCAAGAGGACGGCTTAAGCCCAAGAGTTCGAGATCAGCCTGGGCAACGTAATGAGACACACTGTCTCTACAAACAAAATTTTAAAAATTAGCTGTGTGTGGTGGCACACGCCTGTAGTCCCAGCTACTTAGGAAGCTAAGGCAGGAGGATCACTTGAGCTTGGGAGGTTGAGGCTGCAGTGAGCTGTGTTCATGTCCAGCCTGGGCAACAAAGTAAGACCCTGTCGCTCAAAAAAAAAAAAAGAGAGAGAAGCATTTAGGTAAATGAGGAGAATTGTTGATATGTTACAGCAATGCTGGCAAAAGAACCCATCAATTAAATGAAAACTGGGTTTACCCCTATCTACTGTAGATTAGTAATAAAATTTCCTCTTTCCCACTGTTTATCATGACACGTGTAGTCTGAGAACTTTGCTAGCTCAGCAAGTGGAAGGAACTTCAAGCATGAAGTATTCCACAGGCCAAATCAGTACAATTCCTGTACGTTGTGCTTGTGAAGGACAATTCTGATTTTTCCAAATATTCCAGTAATTTAAAATATAATATGGATACATTTTATGTCACATTAGATTATGTAAATTTGAAAATGCTTTTCATTTGGGAATATAAACTTTTAATTTTAAAATTCTTGTTCCATTTTATGAGAGTATAATCTAGATATAGCAAAACATACAAATCAACTCTAAATACATATACCCACCCCCATGTACTTACCACCCAGATCAAGAGTAGAACAATTCCAGCACTCCAGAAGACTCCCCTACCCACTACAAGTTACTACTCCCCTGGGCAACCCTACCTGGCCCCTACCACTGTGGATTAGTTGTGCCATAAACTTTTATTATCATGTATGGGGTCTTCTTTATAATTAAACATTTATAAAGAAAATGTTTTCTTTTTCTTACTCTTGTTCTTTGGCAGTTTGCAGATTCATTCAACTTTAATCCCCACAAATGGCTATTGGTGAATTTTGACTGTTCTGCCATGTGGTAAGTTTCCCTGCTCACAGATGTCAGTTGCCTGTCCGAGGTGACAGTGAAAGAAGCTGGCAGGGAAGATGCCAGAGCCAAAGGGGTGCAATAGTCACTTAGCTCACTGCTTGCTGCCTTTTCTGAACCCTTGATGGAATTATTGCTAATTCTTAGCCTCACTGGAAACTTTTATCTAGGGAATATCATTGCAACATACTGGCATAAGAAATGAGAAGCCTAAAAAGGACAATTTTTTATTTGATTTATCCAGCATTGACAGAAAACAAATGCAAGTACACACTTCTAATTCAGTAGCTTGTGTTTTCATTCTTAGATTCGTAACCAGTCTTAGTGTAATGCTAAGTTTAAGCAATCTGAGTCCAAATGCTTAAAAGTATTTGCTAAGGCCGGGCACAGTGGCTCACACCTGTAATCCCAGCCCTTTGGGAGGCCGAGGCGGGTGGATCACCTGAGGTCCGGAGTTCAAGACCAGCCTGGCCAACATGGTAAAACCCCGTGTCTACTAAAAATACAAAAAATTAGCTGGGTGTGGTAGTGCATGCCTGTAATCCCAGCTACTCAGGAGGCTGAGGCAGGAGAATCGCTTGAACCTGGGAGGCAGAGGTTGCAGTGAGCCGAGATCATGCCACTGCAATCCAGCCTTGGCGACAAGACTCTGTCTCAAAAAAAAAAGTATTCGCGAAAGAAAAATAATAGTAACCATGTTTCCTAAGAATTTCCCTGGAAATTCTTTTCTTCCTCTCTTTTTTTTTTTTCGAGACAGTGTCTCACTCTGTCGCCCGGGTTGGAGTGCAGTGGTGCGATCTTGGCTCAAAATCTTTTCTTTCTTTCTTTCTTTTTTTTGAGACAGTGTCTCATTCTGTCGCCCAGGCTGGAGTGCAGTGGTGCAATCTTGGCTCACTGCAAGCTCCGCTTCCCAGGTTCATGCCATTCTCGTGCCTCAGCCTCCCGAGTAGCTGGGACAACAGGCGCCTACCACGCCCGGCTAATTTTTTGTATTTTTAGTAGAGACGAGGTTTCACCGTGTTAGGCAGGATGGTCTCGATCTCCTGACCTCATGATCCACCCTCCTCGGCCTCCCAAAATGCTGGGATTACAGGCGTAAGCCACGGTGCCTGGCCGGAAATTCTTAATAACAGCATGATAATACCTTGGTGATATTTAGAATAAGAAAAAGAACTAAAGCATTAAAGTGGGTGATATTACACCACCTACACAATGTTTAAAGAAATAATGATGATGGGCAGTGATACAGGGACACTAGAAACTAGTTTCTCTAAAGTTTTAAAGTAAGAAGTTGATTGATTGATCATAGGGCCAGGAGGATTTGCATGAATTTTGTACAGTATGCAAAACTGCAAAATTTTCCAAATATTCAGAAGGCTTTGCAAAATTGTTCAGTATGTAATTAAGTGAATAACTTTTCACTTTCCTCCTAAGCATGAGGAAAGCAGCTTTTATACAAAACAACTAATGTCAGCTCTCAAGGTTACCAAAATACCCGTTTGACCTTTTCCTGTTTTTTTTTTTAAGGCTAACCACATTTCTAGTCCTTTACTTGTATACAAATCAAATTATTTTTTGTCAGTCTTTTTCCCCAAACTTCTGCTATATAATTTTAAAACCAGTTGGTATGTGGGCATTTCAGACTTAATTTTGTCTGAAATAAGTATTTATGAAAGACATGGCCGTTATGAATGTGAGTATTCTTTTGTATTCTTGTGGTTGTGTTTTTCTGTTTCACCCAAGGTGGAACACAGTGAGGACAGTTTGCACCGTGTGCCAGAGGTCCCTTTATTCGAGGGGTAATTTTGATTGAAATGTAAATCCGCTCTGCTGAGGTTTTTGGTCAGTGGGGAAAATCCTCTAAGGTGGCTGGAGTTCGGAAGGACCAGGCAGAGCATCCACAGGCTCTGGCGGGAACAAGTGGCTCTCCCTACATGCTTTTGTTTTGCAAGGGGCAGGCGTCCTCAGATGCCTTCCACAAAGGAAGCCCTAGAACCACCCTTGAGCAGGGCAGGGCTGATGGGCTGTCCGGAGGAGGGGTTCTCGTGCGCCCTGAGGCCGTCCTCAATGCCTGGATAGAACAGTGATATCAGCAAGGCTGTTTAGTGACTGCGGATAGGTACATCCAGGCTCCCTTCTAAGTCCCTAACCTCTCGTAGCTCTCTGGACCCCCACGACAGCCCTGTGTTGAGGGACACAGACATTGCCACGCTCTCTTTACAGATGAGGAAACTGAAGCGGTCAGGGACCAGAAATATTTTGGGTCCCTAATCTTGGAGGCAAATATTGACACACGATAAGAAGGAGTGTAATGAATGCGGCGTCCTGCCCTCAGGTCCAGACAACCAGTGCGTATGTTAAGGCTGAAGAAAACCTGCTTAGTCAGTGCGGTGGTGAGAAGGAGTTGAGCCTTTCGGGACGTGGAGTGCCTGCCGCAGAGCTGATGCCCCGAGGCTGCCGCAGACGCTGCAGAGCTGATGCCAGCAAGTTGGCGGCTGTGCGCTCATCTCTCCCGGACAACTCTTCCCCGGCGCTCGGGGTTCAGTTCAGCCACCAGCCTGTGAGGGGAAATTTGACAAAGTGGAGGTGATGTAGGGAAGAGACACAGGACACACAGGGATGAGGCCAGGCCATTTGGAAAAGGCCATTTGGAAAATTTCCTTGTAGAAGGAATTAAACGTAAGCCCTAAGACACAAGAGAGGCCTGCGGTGTCTGGAAGTCTGCCACAAGAGAAGGGTGATGGGGTTAGTTCCCATCCTCTGGAGTGGGCGACAGTGGTGGGGCAGGGTGGTTGCAATACTTGAGGAACCTCTTACCTTCCTATGGGCTTGAAAGGCTACAAAATATGTTTTTAAATTGCAATAGAGAATGTGCTCTTTCTCTCCTGAGCCGGTGCGTTCTCGACAGAACAAGAGTCAAAGAATTTGGTGAGATGCTGTGTACCTGGAAAAATCAGATCTCTCCAAAACCCAAGGTTTTGTCCCATGACACTATAAAAATGGCATGAATGTTGATAGATGAAATCTGATCTTTGAAAGATTTGTGTTTTAACACAGAAATTGCTGATCTTTACTGTTTGGGGGCACTGTGCCTGCATTAGTTGGCTAGGGCTGGCTTAACAAAGTGCCATGGACAAGCGGCTTAAACAAGAGATGATTTATCTCAGTCCTAGAGGCCAGAGGTCTGAGATAAAGCCATCAGCAGGCTGGTTTCTTCTGAGGCTTCTCTCCTGGGCTTGCAGATGGCTGTCTTCTCCCTGTCCTCACATGGTCTTCCTTCTGTTTACCTGTGTCCAAATTTTCTCTTCTTATAAGGACACCAGTCACATTGGATTAGGGCCTGTTAACCAAAAAGTATCTGAGACAGGTCTCAATCAATTCAGATGTTTTATTTTGCTAAGCTTAGGGACATTCCTGGAAGAATAAACATGGAATCACAGAAACAGGGTGTGCTTTGTGCCTTTCCCCAAAGATGATTTTGAGGCCGGCAGTATTTAAAGGGGAGGGCAAGCTGGAGGGGAAAGAGGGAGGGAATGGTCACATTACTGAATCCACGTGTTGTGAGAGAAAAGGAGCAGGTAGAGGAATAGTCAATGATATATTTGTCTCACGCCCAGTAAATCAGCTCTTTATATAAGATAAGGTGAGCATAGAGTAGCTACCTGTAGAGATATTTAACCTTTTATCTGTAGCTTTCTGCTTAGGAACAAAAGGAAGGGTATCTTCTTGCATGAAAGCATCCAGCTTATTTTTTTTCCTTTGGCATAGTAAATTGAGGCACCAAGTTTTTATTTTCCGTTCACATTTCTTCCCCTCCCCTTTTAAAAAAAGTCTTCAGAAAATGCATTTTAGAAGAAAATGCGTCTCTAGTCTTGGGGTTTTGTCTGGTCTCTTGTGACTAAGACAGTTTATTTCTAGACAGGTCCCACGTGGTTAGGAAAGCTCATTTTTAGCAGGTTGTAAAGTCTCATGACCCATGAAGGAAAAAAATAGGTGGAGGAAGAGAGAGAGAAACAAACAAACAAACAAACAAAAATAAAGGGAGAACAATCCTGGAAAACTGACATAAACCGTATTACTCTGAAGTCCCTATGTCAGTAGGCAGGTATGAAAGTGATTTACGTATATAAATAGGTTCCTGTTATTTTCTTCCAAAGTTGACGTTGTCTAGCTTCAGTTTACAGGGCTTTAAGAAAAGCATAGCTTAATATTTAGTGATTTCAAATCACGATTAAAAAGGAAAAGAAAGAAGGAAAAAAAACTGACAACATTATTTTCCAGAATTGTAGCCAGGAAAAATTTTAGAATTCAGCCCAAATTGTAGAAAATAATAAAAACAGACAAACATTAGGCAAGGCTAGACTCTAATTACAGATGTACTATAGTTTATTTTGAAACATAATTTTTCTCTTTCCAGTTCCCCAATTGTATTAAATACAAGATTATAATAGGGCCAATTTATTTGTAAAATAAGTTTTAGTTCTATTATGATTGGCTTGATTATTTGGATAAAGTGCAGCAAGAATAATCATTTGCCATATAGGTTTGCTCTCTCGCTCTTTTTGTTGTTGTTGTTTTTAAATTGGTTTTGTTGGAACCTTTTCATAAAGAATCTAAGATTTAGAGCTTTTGTTGTTGTTGTTGTTGTTGTTGAGACAGAGCCTTGCTCTGTTGTCCAGGCTGGAGTGCAGTGGCATGATCTCGGCTCAGTGGCATGATCTCAGCTCACTGCAACCTCCACCTCCCAGGTTCAAGCGAGTCTCCTGCCTCAGCCTCCTGAGCAGCTGGGACTACAGGAGCGTGCCACCACGCCTGCCTAATTTTTTGTATTTTTAGTAGAGATGGAGTTTCACCATGTTAGCCAGGATGATCTCGATCTCCTGACCTCATGATCCACCCACCTCAGCCTCCCAAAGTGCTGAAATTACAGGCATGGGCCACTGTGCCCGGCTGATTTAGACCTTTTTAAAAGCCTCAGTCCCAGTCAAGGATTTTTCTGTGCCTATAGATACCTGTATGAATTGGTTGAATTTTTCTATTTTCAAGGTCCCAAGAGAACTTGAGGTTCCTAGCCCTGTTAGAAAGTGACATTTTTTACTTACCATAGGTCAGGACCCTGTAAAGGACAAGGTATGGGGCCAGTTTTTCTAAGAGGCTTTTACTAGCTCTGTAGGTCACCCTTATTTTCTCAAGGCAATCTGAAAATGTCATTCCAATCAAAGCCTTGGTAAAATAACCAATGACAGAACAGGATCACACAGAGGCCATTGTAAAATCAGTCATTCATTTAGCCAAAGCGATAACTCAAAGATTTCACAACCTTTATTCTTTGAGAGAAGAGACTTACTTTTCTAAACAATAAACTCTAATAAAGACAGTATGAGGCCAATTAAATCTCTCTCAAATTTTATAAACAAATCTATTAAATTTTAATCATCTTGACCAAAATATATAATTTCCATAAATCATTTTATAACCTTTTATAATTTTTTAATTAAAGAATGGGTTAATGTCCCAAGAAAACCTTGTTAAACTGGCATAGGGACACAGATGCTGGTCTTGCATCAGTGTACCTTTGATATTAGTGTTTAATTTATAGAGAAACTAAGCTAATTTTATCTGTCAATATTAGCTCTTCCAATCTATGTGTCCACCTCTTCTGTGATACTCTGATAGTCCCTGGGCCTAGAGGGGTTGAATAGTTTTAATTTCTGGCCCTGTGTCTCTTGAACACAGTTTATTTTGATTGTCATCTTCTCCTGGGTCTGAAGATGAGGCTTTTAACTGCTGTCAGTGTTTAAGATTTAGCTGGACTTGGTATCTTTTTTAGACCCAGGAGTCAAAGTCCTGTAATAGTACAATGACTTTAGAAGCAATACAGAAAGTTATATGGATATAATAACCTTAATTTTTTAAATCTCAGTTTTCGTAGGACTTTAATTAGTTAGACATAGGAAGAGTGCATCCTGTGTTATAAGTTTTCTATTTCATAGAAGAATTTAGAGAATAATATAGGAAGAAAGCATTTGCTTTAGGCTGCGTGTGGTGGCTCATGCCTGTAATCCCAGCACTTTGGGAGGCCGAGGTGGGAGGATTGCTTGAGGTCAGGACTTCGAGACCAGCCTGGCCAACATGGTGAGACCTTATCTCTACTACAAATACAAAAATTAGCCAGGTGTGGTGGCACGTGTCTGTAATCCCAGCTATCCTGGAGGCTGAGGCACAAGAATTGCTGGAACCTGGGAGGCAGAGGCTGCAGTGAGCTGAGATGGTGCCACTGCACTCCAGCCTGGGTGACAGAGCAAGACTCCATCTCAAAAACAAACAAACAAACAAGCAAACAAAGAAAACCATTCAGTTTAGATCTTTAAGTTAAGATATATTTTTTAATTAGGCCACAACATCAGTCAGAACCAGAGGGGAAAAAGTTAAAGGAGCTGATAAAAAGTTGAAAGAGTTACTATCTCGGGCCCTCTTGAAGGGGAGAGAAAGCTGAAAACAGCGAGATGAAATTAAAGTTGAAATTTTGGTTTATGAAAATTAAAATGTCTTGTAATTTTATTAAGAATAAACCAGTACCTTAAGAAAATTTAGTTGTTCTAACAATTTTTTTAGTTTATTAGTGTATTTTTAATATCAAAGCCCAATTTCTAGAAAGACTATTATAAATAATTTTCTTTTAATTATGGCCAACTTGATCACATAAATATTTTTTCATAAATTCTCTTTTTATAAACCTTATTATGACTTACACAAACCATTTACTGAATACTTGGAGTTTCTGTTTTATCCCAAACATCCTCTTTTTTAAATAACCAGTGATTTTATTTTAGGACAAAAAATATATCACACAACATTTTTGTCATGTAAAATTGTTTTCCTTTTAATCTTTCTTACCAAAAATACCACTTAATATTTATAACTTTTTTTGCATCTCTTTTATTTACTGTTTCCTTTTACCTTGTTTTAGAAACGACCTTTAAGTAATCTTTGAATTAGACAAAAATTATTTCTTTTTAATAAGAAAACATTGTTTTTCAGAAAAACATTTTCCTATATTTTTTTTTAAATTGGAAATGACCCAGACATTTAAGCAATATCTATTATTTTGTTTAATGTTACTTTAGATTCTAAATTATATGTCGTTTTTTAACAAGCATTTATTCTATTATATTTATCTAATTAATTTTTTAATAGATTACTTATAAAAACTGATGGTCATCATTTAAAGTTATTTCCCTGCTAACCAATTTTATAGCCTGCGAATTTCAGGTGTTTACCTATGTAAAAAACTTAAGGTTAAATAAATGTATTTGTTTTTTCTTTTTGCCAAATAATTCAGTATTAACTGTTTGCTATTAAACCAACAATATTAAATGCCTTACTTACCAAAAGTTACACAAAGATAATTCTCTTTTGGGCTGCATTTATGGCTTTATAACCCTCATTCCAAATATTGACACCTTATAATATTTAGCAAACATAAATATAAAACTACTTGACCAATAAATCTAAACAATAATATGTGTTGACAGTACTTAAGACTTTCTAATTTTATTTGGCCAATAATTTTAAAGCCAGCTTATTTATTAAAAGTTAAGTCATGTGAACTTGAAAAGCATTTGGATTATTTACTAAATTTATGAGTACTCCTTTATTTTTAAGCCAATTTGGTACCTTGTGGCCACAACACATAACAAAATGCATGTATGTATACATAAACACACCTAAGCACACATAAACAGTCATGCAAATAAAGATCCTATAGCTTTTACTTCAGAACTCTAGCCATGATATATCAATACAGACTCATCAGTTTACAAAAAAAAAGATTAAATAGAAACAGTGGTTTTTATCTCAACACCAGTAGAAAGGTCCTCTAAACTAGAAAAATACATTTTCTTAAGCAAAAAACACATCCTCGCGTGTTTTATAAACTTTACCAAAAACACATCCTACGATACACTACTAACCCTAATTCTCCCTGAAAAATCAAGGATTACTTAATTTAATATAATATGACTTTAAGTGTTCAAATTACTGGGGACAGTTTTGAGACTAACTTTACCAAATTAATCTTACCAAAGATTACTAAAACTATATGAACTGAAAAGCCTCTGAGCTAGTTTCTATTAGTCTGATAAAAACTTACTTTTCTTTAGGCCAATTAATTAGAACTCTTTCATATAATTGGTAGCAAAATATTATTTCCACATGACATATCTGAACATATAGACATAACAGACCCAGGCAGAGGCAGATCTTATATATTTAAAATTTTTCATTTGCCTGTTTTCAAAAATGTTCTTTTTCCTACTTAAACTATTAAAGTTGTCTGGAGGGAAAGAGGGAGGGTATGGTAATCCACGTGTTGCAAGAGAAAAGGAGCAGGCAGGGGAATAGTCAATTATGTATTCATCTCCCACTCAGTAAAATAGCACTTTACAACAGATAAGATGAACTTAGAGTAGTTACCAGTGGAGATATTTAACCTTTTAGCTGTAGCTCTCTACTTAGGAACAAAAGGAAAGGCAACTCCTTGCATGACTTAGCTTTAAGCTTAATTTTTCCTTTTGGCAGAGTGAATTGGGGTGTCAGGTTTTTATTTGCCTTTCAAAGTCCCCACCATATGACCTCATTTTACTAAATCACCTCTTAAAGGCCTTATCTTCAAATACAGTCAGTCATATTCTGAGGTCCTGGGAGGTGGAGCTTCAACATGTGAATGAGGAGGAAGGGGGACATAATTTGGTCCATAACAGCGCTCACAAGAAATCACTAGTTAAAGCCATAAGCCTCATATCTAAGGATTTAAACCAGGTCAGCTTATTTTAAACTCCATAATCTTAATGATCATCTACTTACTGATTTGTTTATTTGATAGCTATGAAACTTATATTTTCATTTGATCTCACTATACCCAAACACCCACATCCCTGTTTTTTCCTCATTTTCTTACCACCAAAAACTTATTTTCTTCATTCCACAGTGGATAGTCTTCACATTGCCTTGCTGACACAGTGGCCTGTGCTGTATCTGATAGTATGCAAACCAAGAGTGCATGCACGCAAAGCAACATACGTTTTACAAATACAAATACAAACAAAAAGATGCACATAGAACCCACTGGGATCACTTCTTAT
Organism: Homo sapiens; assembly: GCF_000001405.40. Taxonomy (NCBI): domain Eukaryota; kingdom Metazoa; phylum Chordata; class Mammalia; order Primates; family Hominidae; genus Homo; species Homo sapiens. Next base: position 50,486,197 of record NC_000007.14, on the reverse strand, counting down.
GGATATAGAAGCTGGAGAATGAGAGCTGTTTTTTGGTGTAAATGAGCCAAAATCAGGGTCACTTTTGTTCAAGCTGTTATTGACTTGGTTTTCACTGTAAACACTGGAAGTAGTCTCGAATTTTAGCCCAGGATGTACAGCCTCAGAGCAAAAGACAAGTAGGTGGAACACAGCATCCCTTCCTCTAGACACCGTTACATTAAAATGGCAATCATTACAAGTACAGCAAGTATACTTCATAATGAATTCATTATTCTGTTCATAAGCTTTTTAGGGACTATATTATTATCCCATCTAAGAGGCAGGATCCACTGATCATGCTTGGTCGAGGTTGGCTTCCCCTGCCTGTTTGCGAATGGTGCCTTGTAACGTGGAGACAGGGAGTGGGGAGAGTGAGGGCTGAGAATCTCTACTCAGAGGCTTTTTCACACTGTCCAGATATCATGAAATAAAAATAAATATTTTGACAGTCTAAGAGAAGATTACAGTAACGTGATCTACCTTAACACAATAGAACACAGATAATAAGGACACTTGTAAGAACCAGAATTCACAAAAGGACAAATATTCCTCTAGATTCCTAAGAGTTTAAACTAAGCAAAAAAATCCTAAGTGGTGAATTTTTAAAGTGTCTTTTAAAATTTCACTAATTCAGTAAACAACATATAAATGGATTTTTTATTGCTTTCACTGGTTTCTTTGTATTCTTTAAAATTAGAAGTGTTTCTCTTTTGTTTAATGAAATTTTACTAATGGTTAGTCCATAATTTAACATAAACACTTTGGTTGTACTCTTTAAATACTGAAATAGACAAAATAATTGAAGTTTCTGAAACTGGCAATCATTATAAGCACAGTAAATACATTTTATAATGAAATAATTATTCTGTTCATAAGCTTCTTATTGTTCATTTGATATTCTGAATCTTTTATCTGTAAATGTGAGCCATTCTGTCCAGAGCTTATTGCCTCTTTAATATCAGATCTCCAAAGAAAGACTCAAATTCCATACACACGAAAGGCATATATTATCCACATTTAAAAGATGGCCTGTTTTTTTTTCCCAAAATGTTAAATTTTGCCACAAATTATTTTATAGTGTTTGTACACTTCTGTTGCATTGGGAGGTTTTTAAAAATTCTATTTCTCTGAAACAGTTTTAATCATTCTAGTAATCGTTGAGACTTGATTCTAGAACTTGTTTTAAAAGTCTTAGTGGATAGTTTTCTATTTATCTATTTGGATTCTTTGCACTTAGATCTGGGAACCCTTTATTATCTTGAATTTTTTATGGATGTTATTGGGACCAGGAGGTCATGTGAGTGCTCATTCAGTGAGCACTATGTAGTGTTGTAGATTTTTTAAAAAAGAAAACGTAAGGAGCCAGGCTTTCAACCCAACACAAGGGTCCTTTTCCTGATCCCCTAGGAATGTGTCTGGTTACAGAGAGAGGCTTTCCTCACCAAAAGTCTCATGCAGGTGAGGTCACCATGTGAGGTGACTTTGGTGCCACAAAAGCATGTTTCTCTGTGTGTGTGTGTGCCCATGTATGTCCTCAAGTACACATACACATCTGTTTCCATAAAATTCTTTCTCTTTATAATATCCATTAAATCTTAACAAGAAATGCAAATTTAGTACCTAAATATTGAAGAGGCGACTACCACAGGCCCATTAGAAACATGGGCCAATGAATAAAGTATAATGGGAAGCTGCAAATACTGAGAATTGAACAAAAAGAAACATGCAACCAAACTTGCCACACACAGCTAAAGCAGCACCTACAAAACAGACATCAATTGAAAAGAGGAAAGCCAGAAAATCATAAGCTAAGTATCAAAATTAAGCTAGAAAGCAGCAACAAAATAAACCTCCAAAAAGTAAAAGGAAGAAAGCAATAAGAATTAAGAAATGTAACAAAATACACAAAAAAGACCCAACAGAGAGGATCGACAAAGCCAGATGTTGGTAGTTGGCCTGCCTAATTACATAAACGATCTCTGGAAAGATAGGTCAAAAATAAAGAAAACACAGATTAACTTGTAGTAGAAAATACAATGGCACAATTACAGATACTTCAGAGATTTCCGAAAATAGTAAGGGAGCATTATGAGTAACATCATGCCAAGAATTGCCCATAAACACATATATTCAATAACTACAACAAAACATGATACCAAAACTGACTCAAGAGTAAATAGAAAACCTGAAAAATCTTATTGTTAATACAACATGTCAATAGTAAAATTTTCTTACAGCAGAAATACCCAAATTATTATTCTTTTTTTTTTTTTGAGATGGAATCTTGCTCTGTCGCCCAGGCTGGAGTGCAGTAGCGCGATCTTGGCTCACTGCAAGCTCCACCTCCCAGGTTCACACCATTCTCCTGCCTCAGCCTCCCCAGCAGCTGGGACTACAGGTGCCCGCCGCCATGCCCAGCTAATTTTTTTTGTATTTTTAGTAGAGACGGGGTTTCACTGTGCTAGCCAGGATGGTCTCGATCTCCTGACCTCGTGATCCTCCCGCCTCGGCCTCCCAAAGTGCTGGGATTACAGGTGTGAGCCACTGCACATGGCCAGAAATACCCAAATTCTTAAATAATGAGTATCCTAAACTGCAGGAAACTTATCAGTCCAATCCTAAGTATAATTCACAGAGAGCAGCAAAAGAGGCCACACTGCCTCTTATATCTTGAAGCCAGTCTAAATTTGATTCTAAAACCAGATGAGAAGCTGAGACAGAAAAGCTATAAACAATCTCACAAACTTAAATGTAAAAATTCTATGTCAAACATTAGCAAATAAAATCCAATGAGATTTTAAAAAATATAGTATACCATGTCCAAACTGTGTTTAATCTGGATATGGCAGGATGGTTTAATAGTAGAAGATTTTTAAAGTGCTAGTCACCATGTTAACAGAGAAGGAGAAAAAAAGTTATCATATTAGATGCAGAAAAAGCATTAGATAAAAGTCAACAACATTTCAGGACAAAATGTCTTAGTAAAATCGGAACAGCAGAGAACTTCTTAATCTGATAAAAGGTAACTACCAAAAAACATAGTGAACCTTTACTTAATGGTGAAATATTAGAAGCACTCCCTTTAAAATCAGAAAAAAATGAGGATTCCCATAATCTGCACTTCTATTCAACACTGGACTTTCCTAACCTCCATAATAATTTAAAAAAAAAAAGATAAAGAAGTAAACATGTAAGGATCAGTATGGAAGACATAAAACTCTCATTGTCAGATGATGTAACCTCAATAAAAAGAGAATCCTCAAAGTATTATTAATAAAAGAACCCAGCAAGATGTCTAGATACACTAACATTTTTAAGGTTGCATTTTTTTACATCTACATTAAACAGTATGTGTAATTTTTACAAAGGTAACACTCTTTATAATAGCAAGAAAAGATATGTTTACTATGAACAAACATATCCAAACCTGTTCAGATTTATATGGAGAAAATTCTATAATTTTTTGGAAGTCATTAAAGAAGTCCTAAGTAGGATGATATGTTCATAAAGAAGACTCGATATTAGACCTCAGCACAATTCTAATAAATATCCTGGCATAATATTTATATGGGCCAAGAATAGCCAAGATAATTGTGAAAAAAAATATAGTGAGGAAGTTGCCTCCTTAAATATCAACGTGTGTGTGTAAAGTAACCACGACTGAACTCATGTAGCACCAGCGCGGGCACAGATGGGTAGAGCACATTAGAAGAGAGAGCCAGAAACAGACTCCACATATTCCAATTAGGGCTTCTAATGTTTACAGAATTGTTGCAATCCAATATGACAAGATAAGCAATCTAACAGAAAAATGAACAAAAAATTCTTTATCAAGGAGGAAACAGATATGCTTAATAAATACAAAGTTACTCACCCTCCTTAGTAATCAGAAATGTAAATTGAAATCCCAGTAAAACACTATAGGTTGTTTACAATAGTCTCTTCATACTAAACGTTGACCAGGATATGGAAGAGGAGCTCGCAGACTGCAGAACTGTTGTGGAGACTGATTTGGAGCTATTGAATACGGCCGTAGATAGATGCTTTCCTCCAACCTTAACATAGCTCACCTTGTGCTATTCCATTGGCAGATGCATGGCCGACGGGCGCTGCCACTAGGGGCTCCAGGAGTATGCACAGGGATGGTCCCATGTCCACATCAGTGTAGTTTGTCTATCAATAAATGGGAAATGATAGAATGAATGGATTGGGATATGTGCATGCACTAAAATCCCAGGAGGTCATACAAATGAGTGAGCAAGAGCCCTGCGCATGAATGAATGTGAAACTCATAGGTCTATTTTGGGGTAAGAAAGCAAATTATAGAAACATGCATGGAATTATAAAATTTAAGATAATACATCTTAAGTTTATGGTACAGTATGTTTAGCAGTGTGCAAAATAATATAGATTGCTTAGGGATTTGGAGAGAAAATTTTGTAGAACTATGTAAGAGTAGGAACACAAATTCAGCCTTGTGGCCTCTTGTGTGGGACAGGGAGAGGAAGTAGGTGAGGGACAGGAATATTTAACTTTTATTAATACTTATAATTTAAGTTTTATTTCATAAGCAGGGGGTGGTGATTTATTCTTTACATCTTTTGTATGGCTTTAATTAGTGCAAAATTTTTTAAATTAAAAAACAGCTGGAAGGCCCCTGCTGAGAATGAGAAGGGAAAGTGTGATCTTTGTGGACAAAGGGCAGAGTTCTACTGATAGCCATAAATATTCACATCCCTCTTGGTCCCCTCTTTTTAAGTCTAGGCACAGAGCTTTCTCTAATGCAGAGAGACCCAAAGGACCTCCCCCCACAACCAGTGGCTCCCCATAAAATGCCTATGATGCAAGAAAATTCCTATACACACAAAAAATTAGGTGCAATTTTCTTCCACAAGTCAAAGAAAGAATATACACTAGACAGCTTATTATTCCTACTGACTTTGTCTGTCTTTAACCTTAAAACAAAAATAAAGGCTCAATGACCATTTATAGATAAATCCAGCCTCTCTCTCACCTCCTTGGTAAGCCACATCTCAGCATCCTATTTTGTGCTCACTGGGTTCTGTCTTTCAGGGACTCTCACGTTTTATTTGTTTTCAAGCCTAAGCTACTGTCAGATTAACATTTCTTCTCTAGTTTGCCCTTAGGATACTTTATTTGCTACAAAATTGCTTTGTGATGGTGTCACCACACTGCCAATGAAGCAGAGCAATGGCAATTACCGTAAAGCACAGGCCCTTCAAAGGCCAGCCCAGTGAGAGTTTGCGTCCGAGTTCTGCAGAATGACTACCAGTGTGAGTGCTCTGTGTGCAGACAGGTGAAAGAGGACCCCTGTCTGCAGCCCAGGGCATCCTGGCCTTCTCACTCATTAGCCCTTGGGATTTTCACCCCACACACACTTACTGATGCCAGCAGGGCCAGTCACTGTGCTGTCCCTGGAAAGAGAGAGAGGAGCAAATGCTAACCTCTGTGGTTTTCCCTCTTGACACCAATTCTCCAACTCTGCAGACACCAGCTGGGTGTCCTAAACTCACTCCTATTCTGACTGTAACTACCTAGAGGTAGCGTCAGACTCCACAGGGTTAAGGGCTCAGTCCCATCAGCCGGCCCCCACTTCAAATGCCAGTTACAGTGTTGGGTCTCCAGGTTACCCACAGTTCTGTCCACCGTGGCTACAAACTCAGGGGGGTTCCCATAACCCTTGCCCCAGGTTCAGTAACTTACTAGAACAACTCACAGAATTCAAAAAAGCATTTTACTTAGGTTTACAGGTTATAAAGAGTACAAACAAAGAAATGCAATGGCAAAGTACAAGTGGGGTGGTAGGTCACGTGGCTTCCATGCCCTCTCTGTGTATGCCACCATCCCAGCATCATGAAGCATTTACCAACCCAGAGCTCTCCAATCCTGCCACTTAGGAGTTTTTAACGGAGTTTCATTCAGTAGGGATGATTGCTTAAATCACTGGCCAACTCATCTCCAGCCCCCTACCCTCCCTGGAGATTGGAAGCCATCGAGGAGACCCCAGCTGCCAGCTATCTTATTAACATGCAAAATGAACCCTTATCACTAGGAGATCTCAAGGGTTTTAGGAGCTGTGTGCCAGGAACTGGTAACAAAGACCAAATATTTATTTTTTATTCTAAGACGCCCTCCCCAGGTACTTGGAGCAGAGACAGGGCCGTGCAGGCAGAGTGGTGTTCAGGGCAGGGCTGGGAGCAGGTGCCTGAGCTGAGGCAGGTGGGGAGAGGGGAGAGGTGGTCCAGTCTAGGGTACTTGGTTATCAGCCCTTTCATTTGTTCTCTAAAACCAGGGTGAAAAAGAGAACAGACTTAACGGGAGCCTTTAGACTGGACCCCACTTACCTGAAGCACAGCCATCAGGATTCAGGTAAGCTGTGAGCCTGCTTTCTGTGGACTGTTTCTGGTCTTGTTCCCCTCAGAGCTGCCCTGGAGGTCCCTGGGAGTTAGGGGAAGACCATCCATATCCAAGGAGGCTTTCACAGAGAAGACGGGGTGCTGTGCATTCCTGGATTTGCCCTTGTAGCCCACTCCCTGTGGGTTGGTTAAGAGGCTTGGGGAGGCTCCCTGGGGGAGGCTCCTGCTCTAGAAGCACTGAGAACCTGCTGGGCTCATTGCAGGAGCAGGGGCAGGTGGGCACAGCCATGGGATTTTAATATGGGCATGCATACCACCTGCAGATAAGGAAACGTCTTTAACATAATGACAGCCATAATGTCTACAAAAAGGCTTTGCATCACCTTCCACCAATACCATGAGGGGGCAAAGTAAATGAAGAAGGTTGAGTAGGGTTGGTGAGGGAAGAGAAAATAAGATGAAGCCAAGGCTCAGATCAGCACACAAAGGTGCACCTAAGTCATTTGGTCAGTAGGCCTGCTCTCTGTGCCTGGCGCTGGTGACAGCCAAGGAGGCTCAGCACCCACCTGCAACGTCTAGCAGGGAGGGGATGAGTGGGCAGTTATCGAGTGGCATCAGGGGACACAGGCTGCTCTGGGGCCACAGCACGGAATGCACAATTCTTGGCTTTTGCACTTCACCTATGTCGTCTCATTTGACTTGGGCCAGTGTATCTGGCTAATTAATGGTAGGCGTTGAACTAGAACCAAAATAAATAGAATTTTTTTGATAACTGAAAATTCTGTCACAACGCTGGTGAGGAGGTAAAGTGGTTACACTAGTCATGTAGGCTTTGAAGATGTATTCCTTATTATTAAAGATGTACATTTGGAAAATAGAGTCAACGCTGGGCCAGAAAATTCCTGTAATCCCACCACTCAAATGCAAATATTGCTAATATATTGCTGTATTTCTTACCAGTCTTGTTCAATGCATTGTTCGCTTTAACTCTGCACCACTTACCAATTACCAATATACAAGCTGCCCTTCCCACATGTACCTCATGAAGTTTTACATCTTATGAGGCACATAAGACCTATTAAGTAGTCCACAGTTCAAGTAAAACCATTGTCAGAGGAAACTACTGGCTAAGAGGTTTGTCATTTCTTTATGTTAACAGTAAAGAATTGTGCAAGGAAGCTTCTAACTGGGCCAGTTCTTTACTCGTCCATAAGGAAGCAGATTCACGGAGAAGCAGATAGGAACTTGCACTAATTAGACACCGTATCTGAATTCTTCTACTGAAAGCCTCCAGTTTTTCTTTCCTGTAGAAGTTTCTGCAATGAGGGAAATTTATAATTCTGCACCACCCAATATGGCAGCCACCAGTCCGCATGTGGCTACTGAGTGCTTGAAACGTGGCTCATCTGTTGAAGAACTAAAGTTTAATTTCCTTTAGTTTTAATTAACTTAAATTTAAACGTCAACAGCCACATGTGGCTACTAGCTACCGTATCAGATGGTGCGGTAATAGAAACTAAAAAGGTGGGCCATTCCCTCATTTTCATTCATGACAATCATCTGGTTCTTTGACAATTTTTTTTTTTTGAGACAGGGTTTGGCTCTGTCACCCAAGCTGGAATGCAGTGGTGCAACCTTGGCTCTCTGCAGCCTCCACCTCCCAGGCTCAAGTGATCCTCCCACTTCAGCCTTCCAAGTAGCTGGGACCACAGACGTACAGCACAAGGCCCAGATAATTTTTTGTATTTTTTTTTTTTTTTGGTAGAGACGGGGTTTCACCATGTTGCCAAAGCTAGTCTTGAACTCCTGAGCTCAAGCGATTTGCCTGCCTTGGCCTCTCAAAGTGCTGGGATTACAGGTGTGAGCCACCACGCCTGGCGTCGACAATTTCTTACTGAGTGCTTTCTGCATGCACTCTGTTGAGTGTTGTTGTTTCATTTGCAGTGGTTTCTGTGAATCATTGCCAGATGCTGCTATTGATGTTATGTTTGTTTAACAAGCTCCCTTACTAATGAGAGGCCATGTGTCGTAAAGGAGAGTACTGTGTATGGGTTGAGATAGGCTGTATGACTTTGGGCTTCCATCTCAGGGTCACTCATAAAACAGGGGGTGGAGGTCTTGCATCTCCTCCCAGCACTGCCATTTTTTATGCTAGTGGAGAAAATAACTATTAGGGAATGATACCAAGTGGTGACTTCAGATGTTCTTGTAAATACAATGTAGGCACTCCTGTGCAGTGGATGAAGTGCAGGGTGGGGCGTGGGTTGTATTAGGTGGACAGCTTGTCCCAGCTGAGCATGGTCAGGGCCTGCTATGGCCCTGCCACAGCCCCTGTTGACTGCGGAAGTAGGGGACACTGATGTGCCTGGTCCAGCCCACATTCGTGGATCTACTCCCAGAGCACAAGACTCCCTTTTCCACCGATCTGTGCAGCAGGACTGCAGCATGTTGTCATAATCCTCACCTGATGTCTTGTGCAGGATCACTTGTATTAATAGAAACTCCCGTCTCTGAGCCTGCATTCAGGGTTCCTTCTCCTTTATTGTCCTGGGGTTTGCTGCTTTAGGCATGAGGGGAGGCTCAAAAGCAAATCATCCATTTTTCATAACCAATGTGGAGCCAATGATTCCTGGATGTTAAAACTGACTCAGCAGATATTCACTGAGTGTCTGCTCTGTCCCAGATACTGAACTAAGATCTGCTAAGATCCACGGATACAGAGATGAATAATCCCACCAAGAGTTTCATTCTCCTTTTTAAAATATTCTAATCACTCCGTATATCACAAATTCACCTTCCCATGCATGAATGAATGAATGATGAACGATTTACGTGATCTGAATGCTAACTCTCTACTGGGCACTAGATGAAACCTCAGATGTTCATGCTATGTAACTGCAGAAAGCAAAACTAATGGGGGTCTATTGAGAGTGTAACATTTCCAATTTGTGTTTTGGGCATCCTGTTCTCGGGACACACCCTTAGAATATGTTACCCTGGGAAGTGCCGCAAAGAACACCCAGACCCAGCCTTTGGGCAGTTTTATTTCTGGCTTAGAAGACACAAGAAATTTACCTGGAAAATGAAAAGGATTAGCGTGTGATCAACAAACCTGTCTAACGATTTCTTTTTTCTTTTTCTTTCTCTTTTCTCCAGGGCTTATCACTGACTACCGGGTAAGTGGGAGATTCCACTGTAATCTCAAATGCTAGTGGAGTGCTGGGGGGCTACGCCACAGCTGTCACACATCTCCTCCCCCACTCTCATGATCAGCACGCACTGGTGGGCACCTTCTAACTGGGTCCTAACTGACAAATTAGGGGGGTCCTGCCAGGTGGCGGGCAGCTCTGCTGAACCCCTCAGTCAGAGGTCTCAGGTTAGGAGGGGGAAACCTGGACCCTGGACTTTGCTCCTGGGGAGGAGAAAGGAGCTTCTGCCCCTCATTCCTCTGGAAGGAAAAGGCCCTTCTGCCCTGGGCTGCTGTGTGCCTGGGGCTGCACTGGTGGTGGCAGTGGGAGAGTGAGGGAGGAGTCAGGGAACAGAAAAAGCTCCCAGGTGGGGCCAGTCATCTCAGCAGCCTAGTCTCAAATGCATTGGTCCTCTCTCGTTTTTATTTGAAACAAGTGTTGAATGAGGCATACTTTGAAAATGCCAGGTTGTTCTAGTGTTAGTCTGGAAAGGAATTTGGGACCAAAGGCAGTACTGCGAAGCTTATCAAAAGAATAGAACCCAAGGGGGAGGGTGAAACTCAGGGGGAACAGAGGTGTGGCCACTGAGCTGGCTGTCTTCTGCCATCAAGAGATGACCTGTGGCCAGGTGCTGTGGCTCACTCCTGTAATCCCAGCACTTTGAGAGGCTGAGGTGGGTGGATCATCTGAGGTCAGGTCTTCGAGACCAGCCTGGCCAACATGGTGAAACCCCATCTGTGCTAAAAATACAAAAATTAGCTGGGTGTGGTGGCAGGCACCTGTAATCCCAGCTACCCCGGAGGCTGAGGCAGGAGAATCATTGGAACCTGGGAGGCAGAGGTTGCAGTGAGCCGAGATCATGCCACTGCACTCCAGCCTGGGTGACAGAGTGAAACTCTGTCTCAAAAAAAAAAAAAATGACCTGTGTCCACGTGTGGTGGGCACCAGACATCATCAAAGCAGAGGCTGCCATTTCCCGACAGAGGTGTGTGTCTAAGTGCGTTTGGAGCAAACATTGTCAGCAGCCGGTGTGATAATGACCCAGCAGGGGCTTCCCCTCAAAGGCATGGGTAGCTTGCCTTCTTCCTGTGACAGCTGTGAGCCAGGAGGCAGGGGGGCAGCAGTAAACCTTCCCAAGCCATCAAGGCTGGTCCTAGGACAGTTTTGGCAAAGTTTGCCTGGGACCACCCAGCTCTACACCCAGGGAGAAAGGCCAGGGTGTGTGCACATAAGGGCACACTGGGAAGATCCATGGATGATGCCATTTAAAACTTTCATATAATCCCATTGTCAATCTGACTTATCTTTTGGAAAGTTATTATTGAAGGGAAAATATGACAATAATATTAAAAATAACCTGAGGACCAGCTCACCCTGACCTTTCATCCTCGCGCCTCTGTGGCCTGTGTTTCTGTCTCCTCCTCTGGTTCGTGGCCTTTCTCAGACTTCATGTTGCATGAGGGCCACGTGCTGTACAAACGACATTGCAGCTGGTTCTCATGGCACTGAAACTAAAATTGCAATACCTTCTCCACTCCTCCACAGCCTTAGTAAGTACAGAAAATCTACACAGAATCCCATGTTATATGGTATAATTATTTCCCTGTTATTTAACTACTTCCCTGGGAAAGTCCCTTGCTTTCCTAAATGACTATGCAGTGGGCATCTGGCACATCCAGCTTTCTGCTGAGGATGAGCTGCTTCCTGCAGCATGAGACTGAAAATGGGGTAACAGGCACGAACACTTCATGCCTTTTATTTTATTATTTTTTAATTTTGCTCTTTCCCAGCTTAGATATCATTAGAAAAAAAGGCACAACACCATCTCTGGTTCACATAAAATAACATAGGCTTTGCTAAAAACTCCGTATTGACTAACAAGTCCTCTGGGAACCAAAGTCCTTTTAGATAAACTTGGCACTGTCTTTCAAAGGCCTGGGGCACAATCCCCAGCAATGCTGGCTTATGTTACATTGCCCAAGACAAAAACCAGCCCAGCTCTGCCCGCATCTAGCAGCTCAGGGAACATGATCTCCTCAGACAGTTTCTACCGTTCACCAAGAATCACAGATCTGTACTGGCACCCGCCTGCAGGACCACGAAGGTGGCAGGGCTTGCCTGAGGCTTCCCCAGCCTGTTCTTCTGCTCCATCCAGGGCCTTCCAGTCCTCAGGGCTCACTCCTTCTTCCCAACCCTAGGTTCTTCATCCTACTCCCTCCACCACCAGTCCCTGACCCTCATGGGGTCTTTCTGTCCCCTTCTGTCTTTAGTGCTGAGCCTCACTCTCCTCAGCACCTCAGGCCCTTTCCGCACTGCTAATCCAGAAGACTTGAGCCCACCATTCACCCTGCCTTGATAGGCCAAGCATTCTTTGAAAAGCGTTTGTCCTTCTGTTACTTCAACTAGTTATCTCTACTAGTTATCTCTACTAGCTTAATGAAAGGCATTGGCCTCGGTTAAGGAAAGGTCAAGCATCAGCAACCTGTGCTCCAGCCCTACTTTCAAAGCATCCTTTGATCAGCCCCTGTACTCCCCACCCTGTTGGTCCTGCTGTGAGACCTGGGTCTCTTTCACCCCATCTCAAGGCAGCCCCTTGACTGGCACTCCCTTTCCAACCAGGAGCTATGAGCTGCTCCTGCAGCTACTCAGAGGTGAGTGAGGCCCAAAGCCACCTCCAAGACTCCCAGGCCACTGAGGGAGACAGAGGCGCAGACCACGCAGGCCCTGATGCCTGTTCTGAAACACACCTGAGACACCTCGATCCTCCAGCCTGCCCTTTGTGGCCCAAGAGGACATGCCCCAAGTCCTTAGCTAGTCCTCTGCCTGCCAGCTCTCCTCTTGCCGCTTGTGGCAGGCAATGATGCTGAGATCCCTGGCACTATGGCTGGCAGTGCATGAGTCAGGAGCCATGTGGGGACAGTCCTTGTTTGGCTGCCTGTTGCTTCTAAAGGAACCCAGGCAGATGGGAAGCACCACAGCAGCCCAGTCCCACTGGCATCCATCCACCAGGCTTGGGAGGCTCTCTGGGGTGATTGGCCTTCTGTGCTGCTGTGTTCCTAGAGAGGGCTGGAGATGGCACATCATGTGTTCACAGCCAATGTTTCATGGCTGATGAGGGGACAAACGCATGAACCTTATGAAAGATGGAATGCAGAAGGTGAAAGCTGTTCTGGAGCAGAGGGGCTTCTAAATGCGAAGCACAGGCATTAGGCCTCAGCATACCAGCCCCAGGAAGCAGGAGTGGCCATGTGGGGACAGCCCCGGGCAGCCACCGGGAAAGCACACACAAGTTGGCCGGGTGTGAGTATGGGAGCAGCCTCAGGGCCCTGGTGTGCAGAGCCCCCAGGGCACCTCTCAGCCCAGCTTTGCTCTTTCTATCCCTTGGGTGCAGGCACAAGTGTCACTGCCTCTTACTGAACCCTCTCCATCTGCCACAACCCAGGGATGTCCCTGGCCGTATTTCCCGGCATCTTCTCTTTGCTGCTATTTTAGCTACAATGCAGTGACCTCTTTCCCTCTCTGTGCTCACATGCACCTCTCAGGCTCCTCTATGATTCCCACCTTGAATGTGAATTCCAGGCAAATGTCCCCAGAGCATTTGCTTTGCTGGGCTCAGCAGGGAATGGGAAGGAATATCATAGACATTCTCATTTTGTTCAAAGAGGCTGGAAACCCAAACCTAAGGCGGTCTGGGGAGAAGATCCATCAGTCTGGGGAGAAGATCCCTGGATGGTGGGCTGCCTACTGGGCCAGTGAGAAAGTGTGGGGTGAAAAGGATGAGCAGACCCTGGTAGTTCTATCCCCCGTCAGTAGATGAGGGCACGAGGACAGAGTGTTAGTCCCAGGAGGAGGCTGTTCAGGACGCGAGGTATGGCAAGAGAGCTCTGTGTTCTTTCTGATGGTGAACGGCACACTGAAGATGTAAGACAGCACCATTTGCCTCCAGTTTGCACGGTCCTGGGTAAAGTGGGCATCATTATGCCTGTTTCATAGGGGAGGAGACAGAGGTTCAGAAAAGTTTGCTGAACCTATTGAAAGACAGGACCACGGACCTAGGTCACAAGCCACTGAGCCATGCAGCCCTGCATGCTATTTGGATGAGGAAACTGCATCTTCTGGAAGATGTTGATGGCTTATCAAAAATGGGACAAAATACAGGTTTAAAAATGATCAATTGTGGAGGAAAAAGTACCAGGAAATAGATCATTTGATGTCCGGGAAGCATCAAATATGAATTGACTTCTACATAAAGAATCCTTTCAGATGACCCATGAATGAGGGTCAAATGGGTTTTACTCCTGATTTATTTAAGTACGTCCATCAACAATCTTCCACAAAATGTGGGCTGGCCGCGCCATGCCAAGCCAGGTGCTGGGCTTGGGGCTGGGACTAAAAAGGCAAATGAGACAGAGTCCCTTTCCTCTGGGAACTTAGTCTGGCAGGAGGTGAGGCTGGGTACACAGGGGTCACAGCTGTCTACTGCAGGCACCCAGGAGCATATTGGGGGAGGGGACAGTGCATCGAATTCAGTCTCTGGAGAGAACATGACAACATTTGGAGCCACATTTGAGTGAGCATTCAATTAGATTGTGTGCATTTTCACTCCGGGACCACAGAAATTAAGTTTACCTTGGTATTCTTCCAAATGTTAGACTGAAATCTAACATTTTAATTTGTAGGAAGTTGACCAGTCGAGGAATGATTTTGGAACACAGCGCCCATGCTGAACCATGGCAGGGAAGCGTCGTTTTACTGACTGTTAGATAGTCAGTCAGCTAGTGGTGGGATAAGGGGTTCTTCTTTTAGATTTCCCAAAAGACAAGTTAGCTTAGTTCTTGAGCAGCCCAACAGCTTGCAAACAGTGCTGACCAGCAGACAACTGTGTGTGCAGGTTCGGCTCAGGCTCTGCTGCATGCTGGCTTGGTGACATTGGGCAAGTCACTCTCCATACCTGCTTTTGCTCCAAGAAAGTGGGGATCCGAACCCTTGTTTACAGTGCTGCTAGGAAGCTCAAAGGAGATAATGTGTCAACACACCGGGCAGGGCCTGGTGTGCAACTGGGGGGAACCACACTGAATGCCTGAGTCAGAGGTTGGGTCCCTGTTTCCCTTTTGACTTGAGAAGCTCCTGCAGAACCATGGCTCTGGGCCCTTGAGCTACTTCTCTTGTGTTCAGAAGCAGTTGCCACCTGTTCATTCCACCCACACTTTATTTTATTTATTTATTTATTTTGAGATGGAGTCTTACTCTATTGCCCAGGCTTGAGTGCAATAGCGCCATCTTGGCTCACTGCAACCTCCGCCTCCTGGGTCCTGCCTCAGCTTCCCAAGTAGATGGGATTACAGGCATGTGCCACCATACCAGGCTAATTTTTGTATTTTTAGTAGAGAGAGGGTTTCATCATGTTGGTCAGGCTGGTCTCAAACTCCCGACCTCAGGTGATCCACCTGCCTTGGCCTCCCAAAGTGCTGGGGTTACAGGCGTGAGCCACCGCATCCGGCCTTCACCCACACTTTAAAAAACACCTGCAAGCCCTCCTACTGGGGAGCAGTGCGGGACTCAGGACTCCGGCTAAGCAGTCCCACCCGGCAGATGGCCCAGCTGCGCTAGAGTGTCGCGCCTGGCTGCACTGTGTCACCCAGGCCCAGTAGGGAGCTGGCTCAGCTCTCCTCAGTGTCTCCTTTATAGCTGAAATAGAATATGACTGTTAAGATGACCACACAGTGCTGCTATGCTCACTTCCCAGCAGTCTCCTCGTCCCAGTCCTTCCTTACTCACTTCACCACATCTCCATCCCTCAGTGTGTGGGGGCCGGTCAACTGACTGGGTCTGGGAAAACCAGAGGAAGGACAGGGAAAGCTTCTGGAGCACCAGCATGGAGACACACATTGTGTCTTCTGATGAGGGGTCTTGGGGTCACTCCATGGTGATCAGTAGGACCAAGAGGGAACCAGTATTGCTCTAGAAAACAGTGCCAGAACATCTGGGGCAGAAGTGGCAGACAAGAGCAGGTTCTGGCTCCCTCCTTCCTCGTAGGCAAGGACATCAATGAAAATTACCCCCTTATCCCCACTGGATGGTGAGCTCACTGGGGGCAGGGCCGTGTCTTCCCTGTTTGCTCACCACGGAACCCTAGGGGACAGCCCAAGGTCTGGCCCTGCTGTGCATGCCGCAAACACCTGTTGAGTGAAAACAATGAACATCACTGGCTCCCAGGTCAACAGTCCCCATCTGTGTTCCTTTCTCTTGGAGATTTGCAAAGAAAGCCTCTGCCCACATCACCGAGGGCCCTGCCATCCAAGACAGGCCATGGCAATGGGAGCAGGTTGGCCACCAGGGAATCGGCTGCCTCCAAGAGAAATAGGCGAGCCGGTGAGCCGAAAAGGAAGCCAGCTTTTAATATCTTCCTCACTGATGGTCTGTTTCATGTTTCATTTCAGCATTGGCAGATACCACTGGGCAGAAGATTTCGCTCTTTGAAAATGTGGTTTGTATTTAGGATGTATGGAGTCAAAGGACTGCAGGCTTATATCCGCAAGGTGACTTTGTTTTTATTATTTATCACGGTAAAATTGCGGAGGTCTTTCGGGACTTTAGAAATAAATTCAAATTTTTTTTCTTTTTTTTTTTTTGAGACAGAGTTTCACTCTTGTCCCCCAGGCTGGAGTGCAATGGCACAATCTCAGCTCACTGCAACCTCTGCCTCCTGGGTTCAAGCGAATCTCCTGCCTTAGCCTCCTGAGTAGCTAGGATTACAGGCATGCGCCATCATGCCCAGCTAATTTTTGTATTTTAAGTAGAGATTGGGTTTCACCATGTTGGTCAGGCTGATCTTGAACTCCTGGCTTCAGGTGATCCACCCACCTCAGCCTCTCAAAGTGCTGGGATTACAGGTGTGAGCCACTGCACCTGGCCTTCAAATGTCTTAATAAGCAAATACATGGCAAGAGAACCAGACTGTAGTTTGGGTTGTTGAGATGAGGTTATTTATAAGATCTGTTAAGTCACTTTCGTTAAGATTGCAGGTTATCAGGTCCAGGAAGATGGTCACAGTAGAAACATCACATAGGTTGTGCTTTAGCCACATCTAGCCAAGAATGAAGTTCATTGAGCAATGGCAATTATGAGAACATAAGGACTGTGTTTTTCTCCCCCAAAATTGCCAGAATAAGATAGATATTCCCTAGTCCAGTGGTTCTCAGACATGCTTCCAGACCAGCAGTGCCGGCCTGCAGTGGGGCCCAGCAACCTCTGTTTTAACAAGCAAACCAGACACCTTCTCTATGCACTAAAATTTGAGAACCACTTATCAGCTCCAAGCCCCACTCCCCTGCTTTTTTTTTTTTTTTTTTTTTTAAAATAACAATTGGCTGGGTGTGGTGGCTCACGCATGTAATCCCGGCACTTTGGGAGGCCGAGGTGGGCAGATCATGAAGTCAGGAGTTCTAGACCAGCCTGGCCAACATAGTGAAACCTTGTCTCTACTAAAAAAAAAATACAAAAAATTAGCCAGGCATGGTGGCAGGCACCTGTAATCCCAGCTACTCGGGAGGCTGAGGCAGAAGAATCACTTGAACCTGGGAGGCAGAGGTTGCAATGAGCAGAGATTGTGCCACTGCACTAAAGCCTGAGTGACAAAGCAAGACTCCGTCTCACCAAAAAAAAAAAAAAAAAAAAAAATGAGGAAACTGAGTCCTGAATATGAGCCTGGATCTGCCTAGAGCCACCCGTTTAGCCAGCTGCAGAAGGCCTGCTGCTGTTCTGCTGGCTCTCTCTGATCCTGGTGTCCTTCCTAAGCTGTGGCCTCATCTTGATGGACAGAGGTCCCCAGGCTTCATGGGAACAAGCACACTTATGATATTCAGCCTTAGTGATGGTAACAGCCCTCCATTTTAAGTCCTGTTGCCACTTCACAACCAGGTGTGCAGGGGCAGGTGTCCCCAGCCACCTCCTCTGTGGCACAGCATATATAAACACATCCATCTGCAAGCTTCATAGAATGCCTAGGATGTGCCATGAACTGCCTACTCCCAAAGCTTCGGTGAGGACAGTTCCAGGAGCTGCCGAGCACTATGAGGACCTGTTTGGGGGCGAGAACTGGGAAAGGAGTATGTATATGAATTCCTGGGTAGGAAATCCCCCTCTACCCATTTGAGACGAATTCAGCTTTTTTGGGGAAAGAAAGCCAAAAAATAAGGGATTTATCTCCCCACAATGATGACGTCTTTAAGCTCAAGGACAACTAGTTATGATCATGCTGGCTCCTGTTTAAAACACACTCCACTTCTTTCTTAAAGGGGACCCAATCCTGCCTTAGGAGCAGAGTCCAGCGATGCTCAAAGCCTGTCTCCTTGGGCGGGAACCGGCTTTCGGGATCGCCCATGAGGCCGAGGTCTTTGGCGCTCTCTGGTGGCATGACGAGGAACCACTCGTATGACACGTGTTTTTGTCCCAGCCACCCCCTGCCCGCGAGGCGCCGCGTTTCCGCAGGTCCTCCCCAGCACCTGCAACATGGGGGCCCTGCTGTATCCGCGGGCTTAGAATGAGCAAGGCACGGGCCTACGCCACGGAGGGCTCCTTCTCCTAGGATCACATGCTGTCTGAATAGCTTCTGAGTTCTATAACTATTTGGAAGTGAAATAAGGTCAGTGTGATATTCAATGAGAGGAAGGCCGTTTCTGAATGTGACAGAGCGGACAGGATGCCCAGCTCTAGGTGGCAAACGCGGAGGAGGAGCAACAGCTGTGGCAGCCACAGAGCTGCAGCTCCATCAGGCTGCCTTAGAATCCTAGCTCAGCCAAGGCCTCCGGGTGCACCTTGGGCATGTCGCTCACCCTCTCCCAGCCTGTTTTCTTATCTCCAAAATGGGGATAATCATGATATCTTCTGTGTTGTGGGCTGTCCTGAGGATGCCGCAGTGGTGAGCGCTGGCACCTCAAGCACAGAGGAGCAACTCGATGGGCATTAGCCATTGTCTCTTCCAGAATGATCAAATACCTCCTCACGGTGTTTATTCTAACATTATAAAAGACAGTTTGGGTGGGATAAGAATAGTCCCATGAACAGAAGAAAATGACAATTGGTGTTCTGAGGACACTAGACCTGTGCTAATGTAGGGAATGAGTTTCTTAGCCTGCCTGGAAACAGCTGGTCAGTGAACGGTAAAAGCACTTGAGGAAAATTGCCAAGAGCGTCTAAATGAATTATACATGGGCAGTCTAATAAGGTTTTCTAGGTAGTTAAGTTCTGAATTAAATGGCCATGAGAAAAACAGATTTTCCCTTTCCTCTTTGAAGCATGTCCAGCTGTCCCATGAGTTTGAGTCACTGGTGCGCCAGGATCCCCGCTTTGAAATCTGTGTGGAAGTCATTCTGGGGCTTGTCTGCTTTCGGCTAAAGGTTTGTCTACATCTATTCCATTCTTCATTTTCTGTGAATGTGACAGAGGGGAAAGTGTTGTTCATTACCTCCATGCTCAAACACTGGCACTGGCTCTCCAGAGATGGCAGAGCAAAGCCTGCATTCTTTGGCCCACCGGCCTGCCCTGCCCCATGCTACACAGCCTTGTTTCCACGCACAGCGGCTGTTCCCGCTTCCTCAAGCCTGCCATGAGACTTCTAACTTACATAGCTTATTGGCCGCAGAATCTTTACCATTTTTCCTTCCTCAAGGCTCCATCCCACACCTCTGCCACTGGCCCTCCTTGGAGGACAGCGGCCTGTCCATAGCCTCACTAATCTGAGTGTCTTCTGTGGATCAACAGCATCAGCATCATCAGCATTGTCTGGGAGCTCCTTAGAAAAGCCAGTCTTGGGCCCCACCCTAGAGCTGCTGGCTGCGCACCTTTACAAGATGCCCACACAGGAGTCTGTTTGACACTGTGTTGTGGCGTGCTGTTATTTTGCTGCCTGATGCTGTGCATTCACCAGGTGAGGGCAGGCTGGCCCACACGGGTTGGGGCATAAGCCATCTCTACTGAGAATCATGATACAGTTCTCAAAAAGGCTCTAAGATGCACTGCACACATGCCCCTTGGTAATCTCCCTTGTGTACACAGAGCCAGGTGAGACCAAATGCTCTGTTTGGTTTATAAGGTTTTTTTTTTTTTTTTTTTTTTTTCTTTTTGGAGACAGAGTCTCCCACTCTGTTGCCCAGGCTGGAGTGCAGTGGTGTAATCTCGGCTCACTGCAACCTCTGCCTCCCGGGTTCAAGTGATTCTCCTGCTTCAGCCTTTTGAGTAGCTGGGATTACAGGTGTGCGCCACCACGCCCAGCTAATTTTTGTATTTTTAGAGATGGGGTTTCACCATGTTGGTCAGGCTGGTCTCGAACTTCTGACCTCGTGATCCACCCGCCTCAGCCTCTCAAAGTGCTGGGATTACAGGCGTGAGCCACTGCGCCCGGCTGAGGTAGCTTTTAATTCACAATCATTTCAAGCCTTTCCAGGAGGCTTCCTTGTTCAAATTAAAGACAGCACTCAGGAGAAGGAGCAGGCTGGGGTCAGTGTCATTGTCAAGGGGCTGCCAGTCAGAGTGTGGCACTGCCACTCCACCTACTATGTCCTTTTGCCTCACCTGACTCTTGGAGCTCTGAGGCGAGGAGGAGCTGCAGCCGTGGGAAAGCCTGCAGGTAGCAGAGCAGGAGAGGAGACTTGAGCCCTTGGAAGAGCACAAAGTGATGAGACCTGGGAGGTGCACAGAGGACCGAGAGGGCAAGACACGCTCTGGATGTTTGTGGGAGGAGCCTCAGTCCATCCATGTCCAGGATGTGTCCAGTCAACCAACCTTAGTGTTGGCATCGTGCTTATTAGACTCATCTGCTGTCAAGCAGTTGTTTTCATTCTTGTTTTTGTTGACAGTTTTCTTCTAGGACTTTTATATTCTATTTTTTTAACAGTTCTATTGAGATATAATTCACTTTGTTCATTTAAAGTTAACATTTGGGCTGGGCGTGGTGGCTCACGCCTGTAATCCCAGCATTTTGGGAGGCCGAGGAGGCCAGATCACTTGAGGTCAGGAGTTCGAGAACAGCCTGACCAACATGGTGAAACCTCGTCTCTACTACAAATACAAAAATTAGTCAGGAGTGGTGGCACATGCTTGTAATCCCAGCTACTCGGGAGGCTGAGGCAGGAGAACCACATTGAACCTGGGAGGCGGAGGTTGCAGTGAGCTGAGATTGTGCTACTGCGCTCCAGCCTGGGCGACAGAGCAAGACTCTGTCTCAAAAAAAAAGGCTACGTTTGAGTATTTTTAGTATATCTACAGAATTGTGCAGCCATCACCACAATCTAATTCTAGAACATTTTCATCCCCCTAAAAGAAACCCCACACCCAGTCATGCCACTTTCCCCATCCTCAGGGCTACTAATCTGTTTTCTGTCTCTGTAGGTTTGTCTATTCTGGACATTTGTATAAATGAAAACATACAACATATTGCCTTTTATGACTGTTTTCTTCACTTAGCATAATGTCGTCAAGGTTATGGCTTTTATTTTATTTGCATAATTTGTAGATGCCACCAAACCCATCTGTGTACTGGTTTCTGTCCATTCTTCTCTCATGCCATATAGTGAGTCCTCTCATGAAGGAAGTCCAAGGCATTTTTCAGCTGACAAATGTTTCCTTTTGTAAAACTTTGCTTGTGCCTCCAGTCTGCAAATCCAGTTTCTGGAGGAAGCGCGTTAGTCAAACACTGTGGCTCACTTTTCTGCCTCCATATCTGCCATCTTGGCCTCACTCTCTCCTGGTCTAATCCTCTCTAATCTGAATTTCAGGTCCTCTCATGCTGAATGCTTCAGTGTGTCATGTGGCTCTTTACTAAAGCAGAAGTGATGTTGCTATGGCATCACGGTCCCTCTCCCTCCATCCTCATTATGGCCAGAACTTGCTTGGTCTCCATCTGTGTGCACTCAGCCTACTTTGTTCATTGTAATTGTCCCACCTCTGCTAGGCTTCTTGCCTCTACTTCATGGAAGTACTGCCCTATCCAGTCTGTTTGAAAATGGCAAGCACATTTTTCCTAAATAATTTGCTTCCATTTTCTGTGCTCTATACTTTGCAGATGTTTGCTCTCATACTGAGTCTTTTTGGTAAAATTCCATTCCCTTGGTATGATAATTTCTTTTTTTCTCTATCCTCATCCTTGAGTCCTCATCCAGATTCACCCAGCCTTGGTGTTCACCCACGGTTTCCAAATTTCCTCTGGCCCATCACTGTCTACCTGGGCACAACAGGAGCAGGGCACTCAGGCCCATAGCTAGAGGCCAGGGGATTTGCACAGCTCTATGGCCAGGTGCCAACATCCAGCAGGTGCTCGTCTGAGGTGGTTCCATGCAGTGGATAGAACTCTCTCCTTCCCACTCATCCTCCCTGCTTCTCCACTCTGAAGACAGGGCCACGAAGTGCAGTCCTGTGAGGTTTGGGTGACTAGGATGCAGTGTCCCACATTCAGTTCCTTCTATTTAAGACTCCATGGCTTAGAAGACATGGAGTCACTGCCTGCAAACAGAAGAAGGACAGAGGAGCAAAGGGAGATGGAGGTGAAGTGTCAGAAGACCGGCTGCTATGGAAGCAGGGCCCAGGCAGGACAGCAAGGGCTTCCCATTGGCTTATTGATACCAGGCTTCCAACTCTAGTGTAGTGGGAGGGGTGGGGCCTCTGCGCCTACCCCAGGCTGGTGGGCCGTGCTTGTCTGGAGAGGCACCAGTGGTTGCTCGGTCCTGTGGTTCATGGACATTCTTCTCAGATTCTAGCACTAGCTTGACCGTTATGCTTCATTTTCTAGGTTGCTGAGACTCTTCTATGTTTCCGTGAGAATTTAGAGACTCCTCCCCTGGTGCCATCAGAAACCCCAATTCTGCTGTTTAAGCTCATATATTTGTAGATTACATATCCAGGGATCCTTATTTTCCTTAAAAAAACTTAGACCATGGAAGGGTCATCTTTTGATGGCACATCAGAATATAGAGAAATTGTCTGTGGGGAGAAGATGCATGCAGTCTTTTAGGGTGCATTACTATTATTTTGTTGAATTTTGTAACATCGTAAACGCAAGGGGGATGGTTAGTCGGCTTCTTCCTGATGTACGGTAGGGTTGCCAAGCACTGTCTTTCCTACATGACCAGTTGATTTTTGAGTCCTCAGAGACCTGAGCACAGTTCCTCTCTTTCAATCCCTCCAGGGTTCCAACAAAGTGAATGAAGCTCTTCTGCAAAGAATAAACAGTGCCAAAAAAATCCACTTGGTTCCATGTCACCTCAGGGACAAGTTTGTCCTGCGCTTTGCCATCTGTTCTCGCACGGTGGAATCTGCCCATGTGCAGCGGGCCTGGGAACACATCAAAGAGCTGGCGGCCGACGTGCTGCGAGCAGAGAGGGAGTAGGAGTGAAGCCAGCTGCAGGTAGGCTGCCCTGGGCTCATTTTCTGCCTGTCTCCTTGTCCCGTGGCAAGAGTGTCCTCCTGGAGTCCAGACCCAGCTACAGGCCCAGCCCGGCCACTCAATGCTGCCAGAGTGCATTTCCCTCACCTTAAAATAAGGAAGAGAAGGCCGGGTGCGGTGGCTCACGCCTGTAATCCCAGCACTTTGGGAGGCCAGGGTGGGCAGATCATGAGGTCAAGAGATTGAGACCATCCTGGCCAAAGTGGTGAAACCCTGTCTCTACTAAAAATACAAAAATTAGCTGGGCGTGGTGGCATGCACCTGTAATCCCAGCTATTCCAGAGGCTGAGGCAGGAGAATCGCATGAACCTGGGAGGCGGAGGTTGCCGTGAGCCGAGATCGCGCCACTGCGTTACAGCCTGGCGATAATGCAGGACTCAGTCCAAAAAAAAAAAAAAAAAAAAACAAGAAGAAGAGAAAACCATGTTAATTCTGGAGAAGTAGAAGGAATGATACATTGTAATAATTCTTTTAAAACTTAGATTTTTACTTTTTATTCTTACATCAATCTCTATAATACTTCAGGTTTCTTCAAACAGCATTTGTTGAGATAACTTACTATCATAACAAGCTCATATAAGAAACTGGTGACCTTTAGAGAACTAATGAAAACAATAAAAAGGGAATTTATTATGACTCACGACTTGCCGTCCAAATTCTTGATGGTTTGAAGAAAGGATATGTTTCGACTACCGGGCTTCTTGCAGTTGTGAGGGGTTTACCCCTCATAGTTAAACCCTGGAGACAGCATGCAGTTAATTTGTAAAAACAAAGCACACATTTTAAATAAATGCAGTGTTGGCAACATGGAGGGTATTTAAAATTATGTTTGTGGGAACCTAGACAACCTTAGAAAGCCTCTTCATTAGGTTATCTTAAGAATGTCATCCTGTTGGGGTATGTCTACCTTTTTCTGTTTATTTTCTTTTTTTTTTTTTTTTTTTTTTGTCTTTTTGTCCCATTTGGTGGAAGAATCTGTGATCCCTCCTTAGGGTCTGCTTCTCTTTCTCTCTCTCCCTATCCTTTTTGCAATGGCTCGTTCATTATAACCCGTGGGGGATTTAGAATCTGTGGATCATGTAATGCATTTCCTGATTGCCTACAATTTTTATCTTCTTTGCTGTTGATTTTAATTGTGAATATCTGAAAAAGTATAGTGCTCAACAAGTCAGAAGTTGAAAATCATGTTTGGTATATGTGATAGACCTGTCCATGGCTCCTGAAAGTTGAAGCCAAAGGGCTACCTTCTGAGTCAAAATGTGCCCTGAGAACCAGGTCCTTTCCCTGGTGCAACCAGGGCCTTCCCCTACTCATAAGCTGAGAAAGACCTGGGGTCTGAGGAAGAACTGCTGACCCAGAGCAACTCCAAAGTGGTATCTCAAGCATCTCTGGAAGGTAGTGGGGAGAGGCTTATATGTTGAAGTTATTCCATTGCTCTCAGCATAAGACTATGTGAGGGGAGGGAAAGTACCGCTGTAAGCTCTGTATGAAACAAATCCCTATCAGGCAAACGCTCCCGACTCGCATTTCTGCAACCCCACGTTTGCATCTGTCTCATAAGCATGTATCATATCAGGATCTTATTGACATACGCCCAGAAGAACATATGTGGAGAGTGTAGCTCTGAAAATTTATCAGCAAAGGTGTGTTTCCGATAGGAGTCTCAGTTCCTCTGGAGTCATTATATTTGCTGTAGATTCAAAAGGTAAAAATGAAATTCAATTTTTAAAAAGATATGTGATACAATAGTAAGTCCTAATGCATGTATGTTGTTTTGGACAGATTAGAACAATAAAAATCTTAATATCTTGATTTTACTTGTACTTATTTGAGTTTATTACACATATTCATGTGGTCATAGCTCTGAGAGAAAGTAGGAACTATTCTTATTTTACAGAGGGTAGAAAATTAGGCAGAGATTCTAGTTGACACTAATACAGTTTTCATCAGAGAAGCCAGATTGGCAATAAAAATTCCTTTATTTAAGTTCAAACTCTTTGGCATTGCACAATTGTCTCTGTTTCATTGGAGAAATTATACGTTCGTTCTTTATATTCAAATAAGAAGTACATGCAATTCTTATTCTTTATTTTTTTAATTTTTATTTATTTATTTATTTTTTTTTTTATTGATCATTCTTGGGTGTTTCTCACAGAGGGGGATTTGGCAGGGTCATAGGACAATAGTGGAGGGAGGGTCAGCAGATAAACAAGTGAACAAAGGTCTCTGGTTTTCCTATGCAGAGGACCCTGCGGCCTTCCGCAGTGTTTGTGTCCCTGGGTACTTGAGATTAGGGAGTGGTGATGACTCTTAACGAGCATGCTGCCTTCAAGCATCTGTTTAACAAAGCACATCTTGCACCACCCTTAATCCATTTAACCCTGAGTGGACACAGCACATGTTTCAGAGAGCACAGGGTTGGGGGTAGGGTCACTGATCAACAGGATCACGAGGCAGAAGAATTTTTCTTAGTACAGAACAAAATGAAAAGTCTCCTGTGTCTACCTCTTTCTACACAGACATGGCAACCATCCGATTTCTCAATCCTTTCCCCGCCTTTCCCCCCTTTCTGTTCCACAAAACCGCCATTGTCATCATGGCCCGTTCTCAATGAGCTGTTGGGTACACCTCCCAGACGGGGTGGTGGCTGGGCAGAGGGGCTCCTCACTTCCCAGTAGGGGCGGCCGGGCAGAGGCGCCCCTCACCTCCTGGACCGGGTGGCTGGCCGGACGGGGCGGCTGGCCGGGCAGGGGGCTGACCCCCCCACCTTCCTCCCGGATGGGGCGGCTGGCCGGGCGGGGGGCTGACCCTCCCACCTCCTTCCTGGACGGGGCGGCTGGCCGGGCAGAGGGGCTCCTCACTTCCCAGTAGGGGCGGCCGGGCAGAGGCGCCCCTCACCTCCCGGACGGGGCGGCAGGCTGGGCCAGGGGCTGACCCCCCACCTCCCTCCCGGACGGGGCGGCTGGCCGGGCCAGGGGCTGACCCCCCCACCTCCTTCCCGGACGGGGCGGCTGGCCAGGCAGAGGGGCTCCTCACTTCCCAGTAGGGGCGGCCGGGCAGAGGTGCCCCTCACCTCCCGGATGGGGCGGCTGGCCGGGCGGGGGGCTGACCCCCCCCACCTCCTTCCCGGACGGGGCAGCTGGCCGGGCAGAGGGGATCCTCACTTCCCAGTAGGGGCAGCCGGGCAGAGGCGCCCCTCACCTCCCAGATGGGGCGGCTGGCCGGGCAGGGGGCTGACCCCCCCACCTCCCTCCTGGATGGGGCGGCTGGCCGGGCGGGGGGCTGACCCCCCCACCTCCCTCCCGGACGGGGCGGCTGGCCGGGCCGGGGGCTGATTCCCCCACCTCCCTCCCGGACGGGGCGGCTGGCCTGGCGGGGGCTGACCCCCACCTCCCTCCCGGATGGGGTGGCTGCCGGGCAGAGACGCTCCTCACTTCCCAGACGGGGTGGTTGCCAGGCGGAGGGTCTCCTCACTTCTCAGACGGGGCAGCTGGGCAGAGACGCTCCTCACCTCCCAGACGGGGTCGCGGCCGGGTAGAGGCGCTCCTCACATCCCAGACGGGGCGGCGGGGCAGAGGCGCTCCCCACATCTCAGACAATGGGCGGCCGGGCAGAGACGCTCCTCACTTCCTAGATGGGATGGCGGCCGGGAAGAGGCGCTCCTCACTTCCTAGATAGGATGGCGGCCGGGCAGAGACGCTCCTCACTTTCCAGACTGGGTAGCCAGGCAGAGGGGCTCCTCACGTCCCAGACGATGGGCGGCCAGGCAGAGACGCTCCGCACTTCCCAACCGGGGTGGCGGCCGGGCAGAGGCTGTAATCTCGGCACTTTGGGAGGCCAAGGCAGGCGGCTGGGAGGTGGAGGTTGTAGCGAGCCGAGATCACTCCACTGCACTCCAGCCTGGGCACCATTGAGCACTGAGTGAACCAGACTCCGTCTGCAATCCCGGCACCTCGGGAGGCCGAGGCTGGCGGATCACTCGCAGTTTGGAGCTGGAGACCAGCCCGGCCAACACAGCGAAACCCCGTCTCCACCAAAAAAATACGAAAACCAGTCAGGCGTGGTGGTGCGCGCCTGCAATCGCAGGCACTCGGCAGGCTGAGGCAGGAGAATCAGGCAGGGAGGCTGCAGTGAGCCGAGATGGCAGCAGTACAGTCCAGCTTCGGCTGGGCATCAGTGGGAGACCGTGGAAAGAGAGGGAGAGGGAGACCGTGGGGAGAGGGAGAGGGGGGAGAGGGAGAGGGAAAGGGAGAGGGAGAGGGAGAGGGAGAGGGACTTCTTTATTTTTTTTAATGTAGCCATATGCTCATGCTATTTTTTTTCCCTGTAGGAATCAAAAATTGAAGAGAGATATATCTGAAAACTGGAATAAGAAGCAAATAAATATCATCCTGCCTTCATGGAACTCAGCTGTCTGTGGCTTCCCATGTCTTTCTCCAAAGTTATCCAGAGGGTTGTGATTTTGTCTGCTTAGTATCTCATCAACAAAGAAATATTATTTGCTAATTAAAAAGTTAATCTTCATGGCCATAGCTTTTATTCATTAGCTGTGATTTTTGTTGATTAAAACATTATAGATTTTCATGTTCTTGCAGTCATCAGAAGTGGTAGGAAAGCCTCACTGATATATTTTCCAGGGCAATCAATGTTCACGCAACTTGAAATTATATCTGTGGTCTTCAAATTGTCTTTTGTCATGTGGCTAAATGCCTAATAAACAATTCAAGTGAAATACTAATTGTGTCAGATGATCATCTTGTTCTATGTTGTATCAAATTTATTCTTGTGATACAGACATTCCCTCCAAAGTAGACAAAGATACAGCATCCTTGGATGTTTTTAAACGGCATTCATTTATTCAGCAAATGTTCACTGAGTGCCTAGTATATGTCAGGCACTGTTCTGGATACATTAACAATACACAGGTTTTACTTGAAGATGACTTCAACTTCTGTGGAAATAAAATTAGAACCAAGAGTCAACCTGGAGCAATGAGATCGAGGTCTCTGCTGTGATGGGAAGGATTCTCTGGCTTTCTGGGCCTTGATTTTCTGGTCCGACAAGTCTATCTGTCCTGTAGTATCATGATTGATAAGCAACTGAAGAGTACTTCTGTAAACATTAATTCCAACAAGGATATGGTATTTACTCAATCTCACTTTAAGTTCACTATCTGTATTGGGAACCATTTTGCTTTTAGAAACATGTGTTTTAATCCTAAGATTAGTTATTGTCCTTTGAAGACTACAGAACTATCAAAGGCACTGTCAGAAAGGGTCCTTGGGTTATTACCAAGTATATTTGAATTTCAAAGACCTCAGATATCTATGTGAACTAAGTGAATGATACGATCTGTTACTCAAAAATCTGGAAATATGTCAGATGCCAAGTAGTTCCCCATCTAATTTAGTCAGGTCATTTGTTCTCTACTCAACAGCAAACAAGACCTGTTCTCCATCATGATGTGGGGACAGAGGCTGTGTTTTTGGGGCCCACCAGGGGCCACCCTTGATAGGACCAGTGGAGTGTGGAGTACTCAGGTTGAGTTGAGGCTGGGATGTCTAAATTTTACAAGATTATTTTTCAGCCCGTGAGTTAAGATTGCTGCAAGGGCTCCAGTGTGAGCCACCAACATCATTGATACCAGCTCTCTGCTTTAGTGGGCTCATCCAGCCTCATCCACAAATATACTTCAGAAAGATGGCTGAGACCTGATGGGAGGGAGGAGACTGGGTGGCAGGGGCCAACGGGGATGCTGTACAGAAGCAGGGCAGGAGGCCAGCAAGTGACTGAAGATTTCCTCCCTCCGAACTGGCTGGATCCTTTTGATGGAGAGTCTAAGACATCAGCTTAGACACAGACCCAACAGAGAGAAAAGCTTGTCTGATTTCTCGCTCATTTCTAGGTAACTCATAGCAGTTCACCCCACCTCCTGACTTCTCCAGGTTCCTCCATAAAGTGGTTCTCAGATCTGAATCCCCCAGCCCTAGAAACAGGAAGAATAACTTCCTCCCAGTTTATTTAACAAGAACACACCCATAGCACTTGCTGTATGCCAGGCACTGTTACACGTGTTTTAAAGTATTAATTTAATACTTATTTTAAAATTCTACGATGCGGGCTCAATTATTATGCTCATTTTACAAGTGAGAAAACTGAGGCATTGCAAGGTTTAGTGATTTATCCCAAGGTCATATAATCAGTGACCAAGCTGGGATTGGAGCCCAGTCAGCCTGGCTCTAGAATCCATGCTCTTGCCCAGTAAACTATGCTGCAAAAGATGCCATCTGCTACCCAGGATTAACCATTTCTGAAGGTAACTGGCAGTGAAGACATTTATTCTCTTCTGGGTAAAGCCCTATCTTTGCCTACCAAGGTAAAGTCTTGGACCCTAGACCATCCCTAGGGGGCCCCTAGACCCCACATCCAATGTGGGGAAGTTTTTAAAGTTTTGGATTATTCAGACTAATCTGTGGTCAATACAGAGCATCTTTATTTAAATACATATTCAAGTTAGTGTCAAAAAGAGTGCACAAAGTGCTGCTGGCACTGGAATTAGATGTTTCCTTACTGACCTCTGGTATCTCCTGATAACAGGCCCCTCCTGCTTAGTGTTGGGAAAGTCCCAGATTGATCTAGACACAACTAACAGCTGATATGAAAGATTTGTCCTGGAATCACATGTCTCCTCTCTAAAATCCAGCAAACAGCAATACTCCCTAAACCTGGAGAATCTCATTGTTGCTGACCACATGCCCATCACCAAGGAGCCTGCAGGAAAGCCCAAGACAAAAAGGGGAGCAGGTGTCACTGGGTGGCCCCTTGATCATCATGAGGGTGTGCCACAGTTCAAAGAGAAACAAGAGAGGAGAAGACCCCAAGGGAGGGCAGTTCTAATATCCACTGACTCCACACCCGCACCCCTTAATTCAGAAATCCAACAGACATGACAAATTAGAAACTGATTCTGCTGGTATGCAATTCAGAAAGTCTACATTTGAGGAAAGATATGAACATTGACTAACGGCTTTTTTATCTAGGGATCATTTCATTGCTTTTCTAAATTATGTAAATATCCAAACGTCAAACACTATAATTTTTTTTTGCCTTTTCAACTGCATTTGATATCAAAATCTATTTCCTTAATACCTCTGGGTTACTTGCCATAACTTACACTTGTAATAAGTAGTAGAAAAAAATTAATAAGAAAGCACTGTGAGTGTAAGTTGCTTGCATAAACTGGATACATCTGGAGCTACCAATTTAGAGAAACTTGTGAATGGTTCCCCAGAGCACAGATGTGCAGTGGATGGTAGAGGAAAGAGGAAGAAGATAACAGAGCAGGCTGTATTGCAGCAGACCTTGTGAATCCCAAAGTGCTCCAATGTGGAAGTGAGATCTAGACCCCAGGATTTATGAGATGGATGTGTCCCCAGGTGTTGTGAGAGAGGAGCCAAGTCACACAGGAAGAGTTCTAAATGGAAGGGTGTCTCACAGGACAGACTCAAAGAGGACTCAGCAGCTGTCTTCACATTTTACACTCCCTTTAATTTGAAGAGTCTCCTCTCTAGCTCCAAAGACAAAGTGAAAGAGACAGATTTTCAATACAAAGAAAAACTTAGAAGTCAGCCTATCAGCAAGTGGAAGGTGTTTTCTTACAGGGCAGTGAATTCTCCATTGTAGGTGCTCAAATGGAGATAGGAAAAAACCAAGAGTTGGGACATCGGAAAGTCAGTCTTCTATGAGACTGACTTTTCAGTCCATGAGATTGGACTGAAAATTAGAAAATTCTTCAGCTTCCTTGTATATCTGAGATTCCAATGTCCTGTGAAAATAAGAGAATTTGGCTACTTTATGAAACAGCAAGGTTAAGCAGCCTAAAAACAGTAGAAAAAAACACCAACAAGGTGGGTTATTTTTTCCTTCCCAAACTCTAAGCAAGGAAACCTAAGAGGAAGAACTGGCCAGCCCAGCCATAATAACACCTGGCACCTGGGCAGTGCTTACCGTGGGCGAGGCTCCGGTCTAAATGATCTTCAGACCTCAGCTGGGTTGATTCTGAACAATTCTCAGTAGTGGCTCCTGAGCAGTGGAGCTAGGACTTGAACCCTGGAAAGCTGACTCCATAGCCCCTGCTCTTAATCACTCCACCCCTGCCGCAGTGCTGTAAGAATGCAGGGCATTCGTTTCCTGTGGCTGCTGGAACAATGGACGGCAGTCTCAGTGTCTTCAAATAACATAAACGTGTTCTCTCACAGTTCTGGAGGCAGAAACTGAAATCGAGGTGTTGGCAGGGCCATGCTGTCTACAAAGTCCAGCTGTTGGTAACCCAGACATTCCTTGGCTTGTGACAGCATCACTCCAATCTCTGCCCCCATCTTCACATGGCCTTCTTCCCTCTGTGACTCTTTTCCTTTTCTTTATAAGGACACCAATCAATCAGATGAGGGCCCACCCTAATCCAGAAGGACCTCATCTTAACTGGATTATGGCTGTAACAACCCTCTTTCCAAATAAGGCCACATTCACAGGTGCCAGGGGTTAGGGCTTCAACATATCTGTTTGGGGGATGCAATTCAACCCCTTACATACTGTACCAAACTGGAGGCACCTAGAAGTGTTGACTCCAATTGGTAGCGCAGTCCTTGAGGAAAATGACGACCCAAGCAAATGTTTCCTTCAATCTCTGCTCTACCCCGTTTCAGGTGCTATAGAAAAATTACGGGAGGGCATTGTTTTAGAGTGAGCTCCTGCACTAGGTCCCAACAGACCAAACTAAAGTGGAGTCACTCATGCTAAGTGCCATTTAACCAAGCTGAAACTTTAAGAAAGCTGGTGGTCCCCAAATAGACCAGTTTTTCTTGAAAACAAGAGTCACAGCAACCCATCAGAAAGAGTTCAGTCTGCCTGAGTCAGAGTAATAAGGAAGTCCCATTTGCTTTAACCATGACGAGAAAAGTAGTCTGAATTAAGCTGACACTAACCAATCAACCTTTAAAATAATACTGTTTCCTTGTTCCCACCTTACAAAACCACTGTTCTGCCATTCCCCAGTGGGAACTCTAATTCTATTTTATAGAATGGAGGCTACTGGATTCATGAATCATGAATAAAAGCCAATTTGATCTGTAAATAATTTTGTCTTTTGACACCAGGAGAACACCACCTCCCCCCTCACCAGCTGTGTTTATGACAATGATGCCAGAGGTAGCCTCTTCACATCCCTTTATGATTCATTCAGTATGGCCAATGAAAATCTTTTACTAAAATTGTGCACTTGCTTCACCCTGGGCTCACACATCTTACTCCTCTGCTGGAGGGCTAGAACACCATCCCCTCAATCCTGGTACTTTTTTCTTCCTTACCACTGAGTCAGGGAGCTGAGAGGTTTGGAAGTCAGTGGGAATCCACACAGAGAAAGAACTGGATTTAGATTGGGCTGTTTTCCCTCTGAGCTTTGTCCTGTTGGCTTCCCTATCTCCTCAACACCACCTGCCTCCCGCACCCACCGACACACACATCTCCAGAATGTAACTCTCCTGGCTGACAGGGAAGCACATTATTTAGGGCCGTATTATCCCCTCTGCTCAAAAACAAATGAGCTCACCGAAGTGTACACTTGCATTTATCTGAGACCATGTTTATAAAATTCATGAATATGGAAATGGGCAGCCATCTCCCAGAATCCCTCACACCAAGAGAACTGGCACTGTCTGCTGTAGGTGAAAACCTCTTCCCTTGAAGGCTCAACAACTTCTACCCAGAAGAAGAAAAGAACAGCATATTCTTTCTCATACACACACACAAACACACACACACACACACACGCACACAGTATATACCACCAGTCTGTGGTCTTGGAAGCAAAGTTTAATAATTGAATAGCTCAAGCACTAAACTCTTACATATTATTAAGATACTATCCTAATATGTCTCATTTGTCAAAGATGGAAAAGTTTTGATATGACATAAGGGTTTCAATCCCAATAGGAATATTAATGGTAACAATAAAAATAACATAGCAACACGGTTTCTGTTGAATGCCTGCCACATGCCAGCAACTGCTTTGATAATTAAAGAATTATATCTTATGTTGATTATAATCCTTATAATGGCTTCCTGGGTAAGAAAGGTTTATTACTGTTTTACATTTGAGGAGGAGACTAGGGTTCAGAGAGGGTGCAGAAGTGAGTTACACTTTTGCCAACCAGGCCAGAAGATGAAAGCCGCTGGATTGGGAAATGCTTTTGTATCAAAAGCACAAAATGAAGTGGCTAGTGTTACTTGTTGGAAAAAAATTAACTTTGGCAAGCATAAATATAATTCAGTATTTGAGCAATACTTTTAGGAGGGTAACAGAGTGGTTTATGTGAATTCTCCAAAATGCCATCATGAAAATTTTGATGATGAAAATCACCTAAAATTGCTAATTACCTGTCTTAGCCTGTCTAGGGCTACAAAGTACCATATGCTGAGTGGCTCATAAACAATAGAAATTTATTTCTCACAGTGGAGGCTGGAAGTCAGAGTGCCAGAATGGTCGAGTTCTGGTGAGGGCTCTTCCAGGTTGCTGTCAACTCTTTGCATCCTTAGGTGGTGGCAAGAGGGCTAGAAAGTTCTTTGGAGTCTCTTTTATTGTATTTTATTTTTTGGAGACAGTCTCACTCCGTCCCCCAGGCTGGAGTGCAGTGGCGCGATCTCAGTTCACTGCAACCTCCACCTCCTGGGTTCAAGCAATTCTCAGGCCTCAGCCTCCTAAGTAGCTGGGATTACAGGTGCCCACCACAACACCTGGCTAATTTTTGTATTTTTAGTAGAGACAGGGTTTTGCCATGTTGGCCAGGCTGGTCTCGAACTCCTGACCCCAGGCGATCCACCTGCCTCGGCCTCCCAAAGTGCTGGGATTACAGGCATGAGACACTGCACCCAGCCTCTGGAGTCTCTTTTATAAGGATACTTACTATTCTCATCCATGAAGTCTCCACTCTCATGACCTAATCACCTCACAAAGGCCCCGCCCCTTAAAACCATCACATTGGGCTTAGGATTTCAACATACAAATTTTGGGGGGACATAAACTTTCCATCCCTAACATTACCCAAATAGTATCTATATAGTCATTTCTAAATATACACGTATTTAGAAATTTCTAAATAGCCAGTAAACATACAACTGACTTGGCCTTGATATAACTGTTTTCATTTTCTTTTATTTTCATTCTACATGACATATTTTGGGTAATTATAAAATAATTAAAATTAGTTGATAAAGTATGGAATTAGAATAAAATAATTTTCTATTACTATCTAAGCCATGAAATGAATTAGGAGATGCTGTTTTCAGTGAAACGTCTTCTAGTTTTTAAAGTGCATTGTCCAATTCCTTTTTATTTTGTGAAGATTTTAAAAACTTAAAAAAAGTCTTCAAATTGTTTGTGCCTTGCATTTCTTTAAATCTTATGTTTAAACATCATGTGCTGCTAGTTGCTAGTCATTTTCTCTATCCCCTGCCCCAGACCCTCTCTTTCTCAGGAAAGGATATCCAGGGATCCGGGTCCCAGTTAGTCAAGGAGATATAAGAGGAAGGCTATGAGGCTTTCTGGGAAACATTTTCTTTTTCCAAGAGAGAAGTGTTCAGAGGGAAAAGGTCCTTTCTCAGTTTGGCTCCCTCTTTGTGTTTTAGATCTGGTCATGTGAGGCTGCCTGGCTTGGATTGTGAGGGCATCTCTCGACAATGAAGTGACAAGCCTGGGGAGGAAAATCCACAGGCGAGAAGGTGGCAGAATGGAGAGATGGTCCTTCATGACTTCTTTGAGTCACCAGGTCCAGATTTCCCGCCAACCTCCAGTCTTCTTGTTATGTGATCTGATATCATTATTTACTGCAGAGGCCACTGAGTGGATGCTCTTACTTGTGTCTGAAAATCCAATTCACTAAATTAATCAAAATACGGCACTCTTCTTTTGAAACCTTGCTCCAGAACAAAGTGGAAGGTAATGATGGGGTGCTTTTCAAAGTTCCAGGGAGGTGTCCCTACACAGCAGACAGCTGTCCAAAGGAATGTAGATGTTGGCTGCGGGGAGATCTGAGTTGCCAGACTCAGTCAGAACAGGTGTCCTCTCCCTTATTTTATCTTAAACATGCATGTCATTTTTGCATGCTACTCTATGCGGTTCTTTCAGCCAGGGAACATTGCTGAGCACCCGCTCACGTGCTGTATGGAGCGCAGACTGCAGGGTGCGAGGGGCGGAGGTGATGTGCTAGGCCTGAATTCAAGAGGGGGCGCAGCCACAGGCCCCGCGATGCCGGGGTGGCCTCTTGTAACGACGTTTTAACCGCTGACCTAAGTGGATCCGCTCCTCTCCCGCCGCCCGCTCCCTGCCTGCAGCACAGGATGGCGGCTGGCTTTCCCGAGTGGGCGCAGGTGAGCCACGCTTGCTCTCCCGGGTGGGCGCAGGTGAGCCATTGTTTGCTCTCCCGGGTGGGCGCAGGAGAGCCACGCTTTGCTCTCCCAGGTGAGCCGCCGCTCGCTGTCCCGGTGAGGGGAAGTGAGCCACGCTCTATGGGAATCCTTCGAATCTTCATTCAATTTCCATCGCCTCCTTGTATTTATTTGGGAGTACTTTTAAAAATGAAGCCTATGCACAATGATGTAATAAGCGTTTATAGAACACCACTGGTCGGAGCTAGGGCCTAGGTGGCGGTGCCCGGGCCCAGGTGCCGCGCCCACGCCCCGCGCGCCGAACGCACGCACGCACGCACTCACGCACTCACGCACGCACGTACGGCGCGAGTCCGAGGGCGACAGCAGCGCGCAGGCGCACGTCAGTCCCCGCGCTTTTCGGAGGCTGCCAGCGTCCCACACCAGCCGCAGGTAGGATGCGGTGACGGGAGGCGGGGCAGGGGCGCTGCTGACCCCTGTGGAGCATCAGGGTTGGGGCGTAGGGGAGAGGCGGGCGTGTGCCTCTGGAATGCTGGGGGTCGCGGGGCGGTGACTTCGCGGGAGGCCGTGGGAGGCGGGAGCCAGGCAGTGGCTGTGCCCTTTTGCTTCTGTCTTAGCGGGAGGGTGGCTGACCCGCTAGCCCAGAACCAGACTCATCCAGGATTAGGAAGCTGGGGCCCGGCGTGGACGGCAGGCTCGGGGCCAGGTCTGCGGGCGGCTTCCTTTGGCAGAGCCTGTCCGGGGGCGGGGCCGCTTACCGCAGGCATTTACTGGGCCCAGCGGGGCTCTGGGCGCCCACAGCGGGGGTCAGTCAGTTCCCCTGTGACCCAGGCAAGCTCTTAATCTCTGTGATGAGAAAGAAGGGCTCATACCTTTCAGGGGTCATCGTGAGGAATCAGAAGAAGCAGTATTTTATAGAGTATTTTCTAAGTGCTGAGTCCTCTGTCTAGTGCTTTGCAGAATTAAAATACCTTGTCAGCTCAGTGATGTTGCTGCGCTTCTTTTATAGGTGAAAACCGGCAGAAAGACATTAAGAGATTTTCCTGCAGTCACTGCTGGCAGATGATAGAGCCAGGATTTGAAAGCAGGCAGCCTGGCTCCAGACCCTGTGCTCTTAACTCCCGTTTTGCATCAAGAACAGAATCCTATGAAAGGCTTGCACAGTGCTTGGTACTGAGTAGGCACTCCGTCAGTATTTTAGTAGCTATTATTCCAAAGGACACTGTATTCTAGGTACTAAGACAATGTGAATGGAATGGAAAACAATTCCTCCCTGCAGAAGCCAACTGTCTAGGAAGACAGATAATGACATTATTAAAATAATCAGAACATTGGCAAAATAAAGAAGATTGAAATGCAGTTCATATGACAGTGCTAATTAATCATACTTTTTAGATCTAGGAAAGGCCATAAAGGTTAAATTGACTTGGAAATGGTAAACAAGACAATGGTTGTGTCACTGATCGGTGATGGCCAGTTTTTGGTTATCCTTATTTGCCATTTAAATGATTGAATTGAAAGGAAGAAGTAAGACTTGGAAGATGAATATTGAAGGAAAGGTGAAGATGGAAAAGAGAAGGGGGTTTATTCTGAGAACAGTGACTAGAACTCTGAGGTATGGTAGAAATTTCAGGATAACAGATGATAAAGGGGAATGAAGCCATGGAGAGGAAGAGAATGATAATATTAATTGTGAAAGTTTGTGTCAAGTGTTTTCTGAGTCACCTTTCTTTCAGTTTCTCATTTCTAGTATTGTATAAATGAGTTTAACATCAAAATGGTATAGTGAAAAAAAGGATGAACTGCTTGACAGAAGAGGTCAGATCTAGTTTTGACTCTAGCTTATTTAGCTTTACAGCTTTAAATAAATTACAGTGTCTTTAAAGCTCTGGATCTTAAGTTTTCTAATTGTTTTTTAAACAAAGATTTGTGAACACCTACTTACAATGTGACAAATGTCTTTGTAAGGCATTATGGGAGATAAAAGCTGCATTAAACCTGGCTGTTGTACTTACAAGTAATTTGGAAGGCAAAATTTCAAATACTTGAACCTAAAGTAGGGTTTCTTGGTTTTCATTTAATTGAAATACTGTTAGGAAACAAAAATTTTTCATAAATTTTTCTTGTGGATATGTAAGTAAATTCTATATATCTAGCAATATGATACATCTATAGTTCTGTTTAAAGGTAACAATGTGAGGAAGCTTATGCGAATAACTTGACAGAAGAAATCTAAAGTAAAAGCATTTTCCTAGTAGGCTAGCTTGTTCTCTTATTTCATTTATTGTAACAGTTTCACTTTTTAATAATTATGTGAAATTAGGAAACAGATATTCTAGGGCATTCTGTTTAGGGTGATGAACTTATTCATGAATGTTATTAAAACCATTTAAATATGCCATAGTTTAAATTTGTGATCCATGCTGTTCAATCTGTGACCTAGGATAGCAGCATCAAGGAGCATTGTGTACATGCAGAAGTGCACAGTACCTGGAGTGAAACTGCTTGTGTTCGATTTCTGATACCATTCATAACTGGCTGTGTGATCTCAAGTAAGTTCTTTAAGTCTCTCAGCCTCGGTTTGTACATTTGTGTGATAAGGATAATGATAGTTTTCAGATTATTTTCATAGTCATTGCTTGATTTGATTCTTCCAATGGTTCCTCTCACTTTGCAGATAAGAAAACTGAAGAACCAGCTGGGCGCGGTAGCTCACGCCTGTAATCCCAGCACTTTGGGAGGCTGAGGCGGGTGGATTACCTGAGGTCAGGAGTTCAAGACCAGCCTGACTAACATGGCGAAACCCCATCTCTACTAAAAATATAAAAATTATCCAGGGGTGGTGGCAGGTGCCTGTAATCCCAGCTACTTGGGAAGCTGGGGCAGGAGAAGCACTTGAACCCGCGAGGTGGAGGTTGCAGTGAGCTGAGAGCGCCACTGCCCTCCAGCAGCCTGGGTGACAGAGCGAGACACTGTCTCAAAAAAAAATAATAATAAAATAAAAATAAACCATCAGTGATAGTAAAAAGCTCACTTAAGCTCATTCACCTAGTTTTATAGATCAGACTTAAACCTCTTGTTTATTTTGTTTTGCTTTATGTATCTATAGTTCCATTGTTTTTAAAATTTAAAATTAATTTTAAACCTTATGAATGCTTTCCCTACAGATAAAATTATGTAACTAGAACAATTTAACTCATATAAATTATTATTTAATCAAGTCCTTAATTTTGAAGACTTCATATTGATATGTCTTGAATACTTGAAATCTATAGTTAACTAGATATTTCTCTTATAACCTGTCCTTATAAATCTACATTATAAATAAAAAGTCCAGTGTCCCTTCCTTCAGATTAGCAGAAGTTTCAAAATTACATTTAAAGTATTTTCTTTGTTTTCCTTCATACTGATTTTCATTTTTATTGTTTGTTATAGAACCTCTAAAATGCAGACCTCCAGCTCTAGATCTGTGCACCTGAGTGAATGGCAGAAGAATTACTTCGCAATTACATCTGGCATATGTACCGGACCGAAGGCAGATGCATACCGTGCACAGATATTACGCATTCAGTATGCATGGGCAAACTCTGAGATTTCCCAGGTCTGTGCTACCAAACTGTTCAAAAAATATGCAGAGAAATATTCTGCAATTATTGATTCTGACAATGTTGAATCTGGGTTGAATAATTATGCAGAAAACATTTTAACTTTGGCAGGATCTCAACAAACAGATAGTGACAAGTGGCAGTCTGGATTGTCAATAAATAATGTTTTCAAAATGAGTAGTGTACAGAAGATGATGCAAGCTGGCAAAAAATTCAAAGACTCTCTGTTGGAACCTGCTCTTGCATCAGTGGTAATCCATAAGGAGGCCACTGTCTTTGATCTTCCTAAATTTAGTGTTTGTGGTAGTTCTCAAGAGAGTGACTCATTACCTAACTCAGCTCATGATCGAGACCGGACCCAAGACTTCCCGGAGAGCAATCGTTTGAAACTCCTTCAGAATGCCCAGCCACCTATGGTGACTAACACTGCTAGGACTTGTCCTACATTCTCAGCACCTGTAGGTGAGTCAGCTACTGCAAAATTCCATGTCACACCATTGTTTGGAAATGTCAAAAAGGAAAATCACAGCTCTGCAAAAGAAAACATAGGACTTAATGTGTTCTTATCTAACCAGTCTTGTTTTCCTGCTGCCTGTGAAAATCCACAGAGGAAGTCTTTTTATGGTTCTGGCACCATTGATGCACTTTCCAATCCAATACTGAATAAGGCTTGTAGTAAAACAGAAGATAATGGCCCAAAGGAGGATAGCAGCCTGCCTACATTTAAAACTGCAAAAGAACAATTATGGGTAGATCAGCAAAAAAAGTACCACCAACCTCAGCGTGCATCAGGGTCTTCATATGGTGGTGTAAAAAAGTCTCTAGGAGCTAGTAGATCCCGAGGGATACTTGGAAAGTTTGTTCCTCCTATACCCAAGCAAGATGGGGGAGAGCAGAATGGAGGAATGCAATGTAAGCCTTATGGGGCAGGACCTACAGAACCAGCACATCCAGTTGATGAGCGTCTGAAGAACTTGGAGCCAAAGATGATTGAACTTATTATGAATGAGATTATGGATCATGGACCTCCAGTAAATTGGGAAGATATTGCAGGAGTAGAATTTGCTAAAGCCACCATAAAGGAAATAGTTGTGTGGCCCATGTTGAGGCCAGACATCTTTACTGGTTTAAGGGGACCCCCTAAAGGAATTTTGCTCTTTGGTCCTCCTGGGACTGGTAAAACTCTAATTGGCAAGTGCATTGCTAGTCAGTCTGGGGCAACATTCTTTAGCATCTCTGCTTCATCCTTAACTTCTAAATGGGTAGGTGAGGGGGAGAAAATGGTCCGTGCATTGTTTGCTGTTGCAAGGTGTCAGCAACCAGCTGTGATATTTATTGACGAAATTGATTCCTTGTTATCTCAACGGGGAGATGGTGAGCATGAATCTTCTAGAAGGATAAAAACAGAATTTTTAGTTCAATTAGATGGAGCAACAACATCTTCTGAAGATCGTATCCTAGTGGTGGGAGCAACAAATCGGCCACAAGAAATTGATGAGGCTGCCCGGAGAAGATTGGTGAAAAGGCTTTATATTCCCCTCCCAGAAGCTTCAGCCAGGAAACAGATAGTAATTAATCTAATGTCCAAAGAGCAGTGTTGCCTCAGTGAAGAAGAAATTGAACAGATTGTACAGCAGTCTGATGCGTTTTCAGGAGCAGACATGACACAGCTTTGCAGGGAGGCTTCTCTTGGTCCTATTCGCAGTTTACAAACTGCTGACATTGCTACCATAACACCGGATCAAGTTCGACCCATAGCTTACATTGATTTTGAAAATGCTTTTAGAACTGTGCGACCTAGTGTTTCTCCAAAAGATTTAGAGCTTTATGAAAACTGGAACAAAACTTTTGGTTGTGGAAAGTAAGTGGGATACTTGGAATCAAGGCATCTCTGTAGTACAGTCTTCTTTATTTTTTAGCATAGAAAGTTGGGGATGTGTTAATTGTATTTTTAAGAATATATTCTAAGTTCTGTACTTCAAATAATAGCACAGATTTTACATCTGATTGACATAGTGTATGTTAATGTAAGTTTTGCTTTCCAGTGATTACCTGATACGTAAGCCTATTTGAACAAAGTGAGAATGAACTTTTGTTTCTAAGAAGTCTTTATCTTGAAGCTATATAACATGAAAAGTGAGCTCAAATTTTTTTTAGTTGAAGATTACATATAAAGTTGTGTCTGATTAATATTCATCTTTTATTGAAGAAAGTGCCTTCTGATGGCCACATAATTCTTAATGTCAGCTAGTATAATGGTTTACATTTGGACAAAGTATTGCTTAGTGTTATTTAAGTAGATTTAAGATCTCAAAGCTAAAGTGCCAATTTTTACTTTCTTCAGCCAATTTGTTACCTCTTTTATGGTTTTTAATTTTTATCAGGACTAACATTTTCAGAAATAGCAAGGTGTGATCTAGTATTAGATTCACAGAACTGAAAGGTTAATTAAGAATGTTGGTTATTTTCACGGGAGCGTGTGATATTTAACATTAATATTTTATTTGACACTACAGCCTGTAATACTGCTCTCTTTCAAAAACAAGTTTTCAGATTTTTATAACAGACCCATTTTGTTTTATGAAACATGTTCATTACAGAAACATGAGAAAATAGAGATAAGTAAAAAGAATAAAAGTCACTATTATCCTACCACTTTGCGGGACACACTATTAATATTTAAGCATAGATTCTTCCAGATGTTTTGTTTTATACAGCAGTAGGATTGTGTAATGTATTCTCTCTTGTAGCCTATTCTTCAAAGCGTATCTTCACTTTCCATGTTAACATAAATGTCCTTTTATGATTGTCTAGGATTCCATGGATGGATGGAATATAATTGAGTCATCTGGTAGAGCGCATATAGGACAGGACGCTAGGTTGTTTATCTTTTGTTTATTGTAAAGGAACTATGTGGGATGCATTTGGTGATCTTTTTAAAAAATGTATAAATTTCTTGAGTAATTCCTGGATTAAAGAATATGCACTTTTTAAAGCTTTTGGCTTGCATTCTAAATTGTCCTCTTGAAAAAGTAGTTCCTGTGTAAAACTCCATCTGCACTGAATCAGAGCTATGGCAGCATTGGGCAGTAGGCAGTTTTGGTATTTGTTGGCATTCTTTTTGCATTTATTCAAAAAACTGAAGGTAGTGAACGTAGAGCAATGAACAACACAAATATCCTTGGTCTCGTGGAGGTTATATTTAAGTTCTAATGTTTTCTCTTGTGAACAGTGCAATTTGAAATGACAAATTGAAACACTTTTAGTTGTTGAATTTAGACAGTTTGTGTATATAGTTTAAATTTTTATTCTTGGTTTGCCTTCTGTTTTTATGTTAAAAGATTGTTGCAATTTTTAGTTTTTCCCTTTGTAATATGTGATTGTCTTTCATTAGAATTCATTTTTTGTTTTGTTTTGGTTATTTTGAAACAGTCTCGCTGTGTTGCCTAGGCTGGAGTGCAGTGGTGTGATCTCAGCTCACTGCAACCTCTGCCTCCTGGGTTCCAGTGATTCTTGTGCCTCAGTCTCCCTTGTAGCTGAGACCACAGGTTTGCACCACCACACCCAGCTAATTTTTGTATTTTTAATCGAGATGGGGTTTCACCATGTTGCCCAGGCTGCTCTCGAACTCCTGGCCTCAAACGATCCACCCACCTCAGCCTCCTGAAGTGTTGGGATTACAGGCATGAGCCACCACGCCTGGCCTTTTTTATTAGAATTTGGACGTTAAACTTCTTGTCTTCAGTTCTTAGTTATATCTTTTAACATCCTAAAACATTCCACAATATTCATTACTGTCTTTATCCCTTTCTATTTCTATATAAACAGCACT
The DNA here is from genome assembly GCF_000001405.40 of Homo sapiens. Taxonomy (NCBI): domain Eukaryota; kingdom Metazoa; phylum Chordata; class Mammalia; order Primates; family Hominidae; genus Homo; species Homo sapiens. The sequence goes on along the minus strand of NC_000007.14, from coordinate 50,443,295 downwards.
ATAAACTTGGTTTCTTTGGTATTGATGTCAAGGAATTCTCTAGTTTTTCTTTCTTGGTGTTTAATTGCAGATCACTCCCACCTTCTTGGGTCTAGCTATTTAGATTTATCAGCATTTGCCCTCTAGCTGTTAATGTTTTATTTAGCTCTGAAATTTGGTCTTAATATTTATTATCAGTTTTTTTCAGTTACAGCTTCTGCCAGCCCTGACTTTAAGCTCCCTTGATCACCAGCCACAGGGCCACTTCTTTCTATGGAGTTTAGAAATTGTGACAAGGAGAGAAAGTCTAGTTGGTTTAGCTCATCTTGGATTAAGCAGAGCCCATGTCTCTCTTGTTAGCTCAAGAAATGGTCTTTCCTGAATTAAGGTCTACTCTGTTAAATAAGAATCTAAACCTGAAAGGAATAGTCAGGATATTTTAAAGCTGGAAAGAAAATTTGAGCTGGGGAGTCAACTGTTGTTTCTACGTTATACCACAGAGAAGCTTTCTTTGTCTCAACACTTTGTGATTTTGAGTGTTTCTGAAGCAGTTGGATAGGAAGCTTACTGAAACTTTAAGATTGCTTACTCTCGCCACATGCGATTGTCTTCATCGAATATAATAATCTTGGATTAAATTATCTCAAGTGTGGCACTGCCCTGTCTTTAGCTATTGTTTCAGAAACATGAATGCTAGCCTGATATTTAATGTCTTCAAAAATTACATTCCCTTAGTAGAAATACACATTTTACTAAACATGTCACTTGGTTATGGTATTAATGCTTAACAATTTTGATATGAATATGGTAATTCTAATTTATGATTTCAGGCCTTCTTAAATCTTTATTATACATCTAATAATAATATATGATCCTTTTGATATGTATTCATTCTGTGGTAAATTTCTAATTTTCTGAAATTTTAACTCATTTTCTCAATTCTAAAATATCTCTCAGGTGTGCCTTTCATATTGACAAGCTGGTCTTAATGGAATCATAGTCTAAAGATCATGGGCTGTGGAGCCAAATAGACCTGTTGAATTCTGGCTCTGTCATTTACTGGTGACTGTTGGTTACTTAATTATTCAATCTCAATTCTAAAGTGAGAATAGTTTATACCTGTCTTGTTGGAGAGTGAGGATTAAATAGTAAAATACAGATTTAAAAGGCCTGGTTCATGTTTTATGATTGTGCCTCTTCTTTGAATCTGCCTTGATTTTGCTCTTGTTGCTGTGAAGGATCTTTTCAGCTATTTTGTGTGGTTGTCCTAGCTCATTCTGCTTAGTGTTTGTGGTATTTGCATCATATTATTAGAGATCATATGCCATCTATCTTTAGTTTTGTGGAAAAATTCTAATTCCAAAGAAATATCTCTTAGTTATGTTTCTCCTTTTCTACACTTTAGAACTTTTTTAAAGGTCTGTCCCAGATTATTATTTTTCTCTACTCATGCTTATATGTTATTTATTGGTCTCCATTTTTACTCTCCCAGTGTTTTTTTAAGGGACACTTTACAGCCCACCTTTAGGGATCTGATTAAAAGAAAGGATTCTATCAAGGTCCATGGCAAAAGGACAGGTTGGATAAAGATAACATCTTTTTACTTCCTTCTTATATTCCTAGTTCTTGACCTTAGTTGGGGAGCTGGTGGTGAGGGAGCACATTTTAAACAGTTTAAGCAGGTGAGGCCATCTTGAAGGTTTGCCCCAGCAGCCTGGGTGAATGGAGGGAGTCTTGGGAGAATAGATAAGATGCAGTCACCACTTTTAACTCTTGCCCTTAAAAAATACTTTTACAACACGGCTTATAATGGAAAGAGCATTAAAATGGACATTAGAAAACTGCCAGTGATTCTAACCTTAGAGAGTTTGTACAGACTCCGTAAGATTTGTTTTTTTAGTGATAAAGGGAAATTGTACTGGTCATTCCTTAATAACACATCCAGATTTCTGTTATCACTTACCAAAAATTTATGAATTTGAGAATTGCTTACACAGTATCAGGTGCTGGGTACTGGGAGGTACAAAACAAAGTATAGTCAGGTAAGGGCTAACTTTATTACTAATTTGGCTCATTATAAAAACAACGGGAAAACATGAAGAGAGGGCTTTATTAAGGAGTTAAGTCAGCATAATGGACCACTTAATATATAATAACCACTTAAGAGAAAAAGAAAAATTAGGAAGTCCACATAAGGTGGCGTTTTATAAAGGCAACATGCTGTTGTTAAGGGCACTTGGGCCATTGGTGTTTTGTGACAGCTGGGCTCAGGCATCTCAACAAGCAGCGGTGTGCCTGCTGACCAACAGGGCCTGCCACGGCCAGTGAAACACAGCTATTAGAGCTCTCTCAATCCATTTCTGCTCAGAAATGTAGAGATGGCAGGGGAAACGTAGCTAAGTCCCAGGTTCCTCGGATATGGCGAGGGCAAGCACTCCCATATTATAACAACCTGTGCAGTCAGTGAGTCCAGAGCAGAGGCCTTGTCTCCTCCTTTGCTCACCTTCACTCACTGCCCTGGACTGTCAGGCCCCAGTTCTCATCCCCATGTGTGATGAAGCCATGCAGTCCCAGAGAGGGAGCCATCAGCGCTTGGTAGTCTCATGCTTTAGTGTCAGAGTTGCACCTTACCTTTGTATCCAAGAAATGCATGCAGCTCAACTTTCCCTTAAAAGGCTTCTAGGAAAAAACTACCCCAGCATTTTTTTTCCCCCAGAAGAATATATTAGCTTAATAATAAAAGGTATAGTAACAAACTTTCCATTTAAAATAGTGGCCTAAGCCACAAATTTACCTTTCCTGCCCGTATGTGCAAAATTTTCATTGAAATGAAAAAATACACACTAAGAATCAATCCAGTGTGATGTTGGAAAAGAGAGAAGGTTACCATTTTCAAATATGACAGGTGTTTCTGGAGGTCACAAGGCAAATGGTACTGGGTTGTTGGAATCCCTGAGCTAAATAATGGCTGTGAAAATGCCAGATGAGATTGGTTATCTCAGCAGTGCCTGGGCTGTACCCCTAGCTTAGGCAGCAAAATAGGCTGTGGGCCAGTGGTCTGGTATCTGAAAGGATTGCCAAGACAAGCCTTGCGGAGCTCATGCCCAACTGTTCTTGTGGAACCACTGGGAAGTGGAGTTCCCTAAATCAGGGGGAGTCATTTACAGTCGCCTGGCTTTTGTGGGCCCTGCAGCCTGAGAAGTGAGTCAGGATGGCAGGTACTTGGTTGCCACGTTAGACAGAAGCACAAGTATTTGATGAAGCAGTGGAACTTCTTGATGTAACTCACTCCTGTCTCGGTAACTTTTTACCTACTTCCACATTTTTTTAAGGGTCGACCCCCACTTCCTACAGTTTCTCTATATCCTTGCCACTGACACATGCAGGCTTACGCCAAGACATAGAGGAGGTCTTGCTCACGCCACAGTTAACACATCTCTATCCATGGCTGGGCAATATGAAAGACAATTGCTAAGGAAGCTTTCTCCTGTCAGCATACTGATCACTTTTAAAGTATAACTTAACATTACTTCCCCTTGTAAAAATCCTCCAATAGATTCCCATCTAAATGAAAATAAAATCCAAATTCCTTCCTAGAGCCAAATATCATTTCTCTTCACTCTCCTTTCTTACTTTCCTTCATCCCACTGGATCTTAAGGTGCAACAAACATGTTTCTCATATAGGAAGTGTGGTAGGCAGAATTCTGAAGATGTTCCTCCAAGAGACCCATCCCCTGCTTATTCAGTCAAATCTAGGTACTGCTGGGAAGGGACTTTGCAGAGGTAATGCGGTTACAGACCTGCAGATAGGGAGGTTATCTTGAATTATTTGTGTAGGGCCAATCTAATTTCACAAGTCCTTAAAAGCAGAGAATGTTCTCTGGCTGGTTAGAGAAGAGGAGGGCTAAAGAGGCAGAAGAAAGATGTGGCAGAGAGGATGTCCAAGATTCCGAGCATGAGAAGGATTTTCTCTGAAGTTGCAGCTCTGTGAATCAGGAGCCCATGCACGAAGGCTGGAGAGAAGTCTCTAGGAGCTGACAGGAGCCTCCAGACAATAGCCAACAAAAACCAGAGGTGTCAGTCCTAGAACTGCATAGAAGGGAATTCTGCCAGCAACCTAAATAAGCCAGGAAGCCTCACCCAGAGGTTCCAGATGAGAATCCAGGCCGGCTGACACCTTGATTTCAGTCTTATGGGACCCAGAGCAGAGAAACTGGTAGAGACTCCTATACTTCTGATGTACAGAACTGTGGGGTCATAACTGTGTGTGGTTCTAAGCTGCTAAGTTTATGGTAGTTTGTTACAGCAGCAATGTGGGGTAGGGAACATTACACTGTTCTTTGAGTGTGGAAAGCTCTTCCTTACAGCTGCTGCTTCAAGTTAGTAAAATATAATTTCTCCAGCAAGACCTCCTTTGACCACTGGGGAGATAGCCTCCACTAACTTCCAACACGTGCATGCCATCACTATCATATTATCCTACATTTTTTATTGGTAACTGTTACTAACTGAAAATACTTATGCTTACTGTCTTTGTCTCTAATCCTATTTCACACCCATTAGAAAGTTCTTTACAGCTAGGGACTTTATGTGCACTTCACAACCATGCAAGATTCATGAGACTTCTGAAAAACCCAACATCATGAGAGGCACCCAGAGAAGAAGCAGAGTGATTCCCATCAAAGAAAACCATTGATTCAGGAGACTGAGTAGAGCTTTAGAAAGTCTCGATCCCAGAAGACATGGTAGCCACCAAATTAAAATAGGCAGCTATTGTATTAGTATATTGTTACATAACAATATCACCACAAACTTAGTGACTTTAAACAACACACATTAATGACCTTGTAGTTTCTTTCAGGCTTAGCTGGGTCCTCTGCTTCAGGGACCCACAGGGCTGCAATGAAGGTGTTGGTCAGGACTGTGGTCTCATCTGAGGCTTGTTGGGGAAGGATCCACTTCTCAGCTCACATGGTGGTTGGGCAACATTCAGTTTCTTACAGATGGCTGGACAGAGGGCCTCAGTTCTTGCCATCTGTTGGCTGGAGGTTGCCCTCAGTTCCTTGCCATGTAGGCATTCCAGTGTGGCTGCTTGCTTCCTCAAAGCCGGCAGGGGAGAGAGCCTTTCCAGTAGCACAGATGTTACTATCTTCTGTAATGTAATCACACAGGCAACACTTTGTCATCTTTGCTGTATTCTGTAGGGTGAGAGCAAGACACAGGTCCTTCCCACTCTTAGGGAAGGGTATTAAAAATGACAACTACCAGGAGGTAGGGATCATGGAGCCTGCTTCAGAATCTATCACAGCTGTGAAATAAAGGCCCAGGAAACAAGAATTCTAATGGTTAAAATAAAAATCTTAGTGGAAGAACTGAATTTTTAAAATGGAAAGGGCTGAAACAAGATAGTTAAAAGGAAGAATAAGCTGTGGAATTATTTTACAATCTTCAGCAGACAGAGCTAGAGTGAGGAGTTAAGTAGTATGACAGATTCCAGGTAACTAATATCCATATAATGGGGAATCTATAGAAAGTAAAAAGGAGAGAGGTAGATGATAATTGCATTATTGAGAGCAGATAATTCTTCTGAGTGAAATACATAGTTCATATCAAAAGCATCTACTGAGTGTGTGGTGTTATATATATATGTAGGTTTTTCATCCAGGGTTCTTTGGCTCATAACTCCCACAGCCCTTACACAGTCTTGTTATAATGTTGGATGTGTTAGGCCTCAGGTAGGCCTCTGGTGTTCTGCCCTCCTTCCACTCTAATATTCTCCCACCTTTCTGATTGTGGGTCTTAAGACTCAAAATTCCAAGAGGACAGGGTTCAGAGAGCTTCCCAATAGCTGAACATGTGGAGGTTCCGGGAGAGTGGTGTGCCCAGGTAGGGCATGGAAGCTTCAAGCCTCTTCCCCCATACCTTGCCCTAGCGTTTCTTCGTCTGTATTTTTTCCAGTATAGAGCAATAAACTGGTGAACTAAGTGTTTCCCTGAGTTGTATGAACTGCTTCTGCAAATTTATTGAACCCAAAGAAGGGGTCATGGGAACTTTGAAGCTGGTTGGTCAGAAGTTCTGAAGGCCCGGACTTGGCGACTGGTGTGGAGGGGCAGTCTTGGGGACTGACCCCTCAGCCTGTGGGATCTGACACCATCTCTAGGTAAATAGTGTTGGAATTGAATTAGAGGACATGCAGCTGGTGTCTGCTGATGGGTGTATGGGGAATTAACCCATATTTGATCACAGAAGTCTTCTGTGTTGATGATTGTTGTGTGAGAGTAGAGGAAAAGTGCGGTTAGAGGGAGTTTTCTCTAAACAGTGTTAAGCAAGAATTGGGGATGGACTGAGACATACCTTGGTAAAGTCTCTGGGGAAAGAGAGCAAGAGAGCACAACCAAATAGGCAATCTATAAAAGACTAAGAATCAGAGTGTCAACTAAAGTGTCAAATAACATTAAATGCTGGAAAGTAACGGGGCTGAGTGCAGTGGCTCACGCCTGTAATCCCAACACTTTGGGAGGCCAAGGTGAGAGGATCACTAAAGGCCAGGAGTTTGAGACCAGCCTGGGCAACATAGTGAGACACCCATCTCTACAAAAAAAAAAAAAAATTAGCTGAGTATGGTGGCATATGCTTGTAATCCCAGAGACTCGGGAGGCTGAGGTAAGAGAATCACTTGAGCCTGGGAATTCAAGGCTGCAGTGAGTCATGATTGCACCACTGCATTCCAGCCTGGGTGACAGAGTGAGACCCTGTCTCTAAAAAGAAAATAATAATAATAAAACAGTGCTCACAAAGTTCTGGGGGCAAATAATTTTGAGATTAGAATTGTAGATCTAAGATGTCAAATGGGCGACTACAGTAAATTCTTGTTTAGATACAGTGGACCCCCAAATTATCATATATTCTTTCTGGGAAAGAAAGAGGAAAAGTCCCCTGAAGGATGCCTTAGGCAAATGAGAAATGAATCAGGATAAGGAAGTTAGCAAAAGGGAAGCTATAGTCCATGCCAAGCCACCATGAGCAAAGGAACCAGCAAACCCTGTGACTAATTAAGTCTAAATAATTTTTGACAATGTAGTTGCACAGTTTAATACAACTGTTAAAATGAATTCCTGAAATAAAAACATAACATTAAAAAAATGCAAAACTAAAATTCCAGAAGATTTCAACAAACGGATAAAAGATAAGAAAAATAAAGCAGCTGCTCACATTTTATTGTGTTATGTTTTGTTTGAGGGAGTTTGGCATATATTCGGGTAAGTCTTGATGTTGAGAGAAAGTATGTAGGTTCAGGCTTAGGACTGGGGCATTGAGGCTGACAGGTGGGGCCCATGGCAGGCACAGGGTGTTTGAAGTGAAGCCTGTGGGGTGGGTTGGGGTGTGTCAGGCTCTGGCCACATAACAGCAAGGGCAGAAGGCAGTCAGAAGGCCATGGGGTGAGGACATTGCAGGGAACCCTACTCAAGCCATGTGCTTTATCCACTAATATTTTTAAAATTTATGTATTTATTTTTATTTATTTTTTGAGACAGAGTCCCGCTCTGTTGCCCAGGCTGGAGTGCAGTGGTGTGATATTGGCTCACTGCAAGCTCCGCCTCCTGGGTTCACGCCATTCTCCTGCCTGTCTCCCGAGTAGTTGGGACTGCAGATGCCTGCCACCAAGCCTGGCTATTTTTTTGTATTTTTAGTAGAGACGGGGTTTCACCGTGTTAGCCAGGATGGTCTAGATCTCCTGACCTCGTCATCCGCCCGCCTCGGCCTCCCAAAGTGCTGGGATTACAGGCGTAAGCCACTGTGCCCGGCCTATTTTTTTATTTTTAGAGTATTTTTATATGGAATACTTCATGAATTTGCATGTCATCCTTGCTCAGAGGCCATGCTAATCTTCTCTGTATCATTCCAATTTTAGTATATGTACTGCCAAAATGAGCACATCCACTAATCTTTTAGAACAGTGACTAAGCAAACAATAAGATCACATTTTTTCCTAAAAGGATGATATTGTCAGGAGGCTTGGATGTTACTCTTCATAGAGGACAACAATAACAATAAGAAGTCAGGATTTTAGAGTAATATATCTATGGAGCACAGGAGTAGTTTAGTGTAATTTATCAACTGCAAGGGCTCTGAGTAGTTAGAAAAACAGGAATAATATGGTACAAAAACAAAGTAAATCCAGACTCAGAAATTCAGCCACTGCTCCCATTACTGAGCCCTATCATGAAGTTGGAACATATGATAATAACTAAATCAAAAAAAGGCAGCTACCATTTTGCCATGAAAATGACTTCAGTAGACATTTGTCTCATTAAAGAGAGGATACTCCCTCCTGTTTTCAGCAAATTACTGCTGAAATCCTTTGGACTGAATTAAACTAGGCAGACCTGGAACTGTCACAGATGTTGCCAAGACAATTATTGGAACTCCAAGAAAATGATAATTAACATATTACCTCTGAATAATGAGAACCACATATGAAATTTTAAACCTGGTAGCCATATTAAAATAGTAAAAGGAACCAGGTGAAATTAATATCCTATTTCAACATGTAATCAATATAAGAATTGTTTATGAGATACTTTATATAAATTTTTCTTCTTCGTATTGAGTCTTTGAAATCTGGTGTATATTTTGCATTTAAAGCACATCTCAGTTCCACCTCACCATAGTTCAAGCGCTCAGTCACATGAGACCAGAGGCCGCCACGTTGGACAGGGCAGATCTAGACCAGTATAGCATCCGTGACCATGTCTGTAATTAAGGCTGTTTCCCTTACAACTCTGTGCGGTATATCTGCAGGCAGCCTTTTGAACTGCAAAATAATTTAATTTTTATACCTTTAAGGTAAAAGTTGAGAATCTGGTGCTTCACAGAAACAGACTGGCTTCTGCTCCTTAAGAGCCTCACATCCTGTTACCCCAACATTGCCACAGATTTGGACACTGATCTTTAAAAACTCTTAGCCTTCATTGTTAGGCATTTTGCTGCAGTTCAGGCTCATTCCATTATCTAAACTCATGTGGTGCAAATCATACCATAAAATTATTTTCAGAGGAAAAGTTTAAAAAGTAATATTTTATTAATAGTTACAAATAATTTAGAAGTACTACATATTGAAGAGCAAAAGAACATAAGGCTATAAAAAAATAGAAAGCTTGGAATAGTGCTATTATTGATAGATGTTTTTATTGAAAAATGTCCCTGAAGTTGTTGATACTGAAGTTTGAAACTCACAAAATAATGTGTTTCTAACATTGCCTTTTAATTTACTGTTTGTGTTATGCCTGTTTAATACTTGAGGTAGATAGATGACTTTGTATTAATAAATGATCATCAGGTGTTTTACATGCTCACTTTCATTTAAATAAAAAATTAGTATTCAGTATTGCTAAAACATCTAACTAAACATATGTAACATGTGAATATACATATATTTAAATTTGTGTATATCATATAAATTAAGATCAAAACAAAACATATATATATGTATTTGTTTATGTCTAAAATGTAAGTGTAACTGTTAGTAAAATAGAAATAGGACATAGATCAGAAATAGGATATGAAGCTTCCAAATCATAAGAGAAAAAAACAAAGGAAACCCAATTCGTGAAATTGAGAAAAAAATGTTTAAAGGTGAAGAGAAACTAATAAAAGCTTAATAAAGAGAAAATTTTAAATAAGATGTCAGGAAAAAGAGGAAACATTTCAGGATTCATAACAAATGCAAAAACTTCCTTGATTAATAAGCATAGCCTCCTAAATTAGGTAAAAAGGCAAAGTTTAATTACATTATCTTTATAAAATGAAATAGAAATATTGAAAATAAGGGAATAGAAATATAAACAGGAAAGTGCCAACAAAGATCAGGAACAGGATTATTAATACCAGAAAAAAGAGGAATCAAGGTAAAAAGCAATAAACTCGATAAAGAAAAATATTTTATACTGTTAAGAAGTTTTTGCCTTTATATCCATCATAAACCTTTACACATTGAGCTAAAAGCATCCAAACAGAAAGAAAATACCAGTCACAGATGTTTACACATTGAGCTAAAAGCATAAAAATGTAAATTTAAAATTTAAAAATTATTAAAATACTAGCATAGCATTTGGAAATAGTGACATTACCCAGTGTTGGCAAATATTTGGAGAGTAGGATCCTGGCATCCACTGTTGTGGAATGTGGATAAACTTAGCCTTTTTGGAAAGGAATCTGGTAATATCCGCCAAAAGTGATTCCACTTCTAGGAATCTATACTACATAAATAAGTTCACTGAGACATTTTAATATGTAAAAAATAGATGGCTTAAATATCCATCAGTGGAAGATAGCTGAATCTGTTCTATGATCTGTGCAGTGGGTTTTAAAAATCAAGTCAATGTATGTGCACTGATAGGGCAAGAGCTCCAAGTTCTATAATTCAATGAAAAAAGCAAGGTGCGCATAGTCCATGTGCTTATATATGTAAGTAAAGGAATGTGAAAAAGCTCCAGAAGGGCATACAATGACAGTTAAGAGTGTTTACCTCTCTGGAGGTATATGTGTTGTGTGAGGGAGGAAGATTTCCATATTTGACTTCACTCACACACAATATGGTTGTTTTGCGTACAATGACTATCTACTCTTTTATAATTTAAAAAACTCAAATACTATTTTTAAAGTACTGAACATAGCTTTCTTAAATAATTAAACTTTTTTTTTTTCAACTGGCGCCATTAGGTTTGTTTGGAGAGGCAAGTGGTTAAGAATTGAAAATCCCTATTACGAATTCCTCTCAGAAAACATCATGCATGCATTGCATTTAGGAAATGGGGCTGAAAAGACAATGACCAAACAGAAAATGAATCTTTAAAAAACAGATTGAAAGTCTCCATGTTTTACACACATGTAAGATTGTATTTAGAAGTAAACCTCTCAGAATCAGAATCCTTAGCAAATAGTCATTCATCCAACTCCAAATTGAGCAAACTTATTGAAATTGCTTTAAAAAGTAGTTGTGAGGCAAATACAGATTTCATCTGCATGTTAAGAAACCAAACGTTCAGAAACCCATTTTACAAAGGAATTTTTGAGCAAGCAACATATATGCATAACATTACATCTGTGACCACAGAAGTGGATAAATTCTATTTTATCGGAGTTTGGGATGCAGAGAATGTTGAGCTCTCACATCTGGAAAAAATAGCATGACTATATACATGCTTCTGACCTGGTGGAACAATGCAACCCCCAAGTGCATGATAAGCATCTGGAGGCATAATTTCACAAAATACAGAAAATTGCTGTAAAACCAGGGCATGATTGCAATTTAAGGGAAATGGTGCAGATAAATCTATTTTAATGGATAAGCTTAGTAGATGCAAAATAAATATGTCAGCACTTCATTATTTATTCGTTTCAACTGATCTAAATTAGAGTGGAAAATGCACATAATATCCACTTTAGAATTGTACACATAGAAATGAGAAAAATATTTTTCCTAGGCCTTTTTATTGCTTTGGAAAAACTTAATCCTAGTCGAGCCTTAATTTCAAAGCCTCTCTCTGAGTCTCTTTTTCAATTCCACTGCATAATCTATTGAGCACCTTTTTGTGTCAGGCATTGCCTAAGCAGTCAAGTTGCTCGCCACTGAATGGAGTTCACAAATTCCTTTTTGTTCTGGTGAGGCTCGTTTGACATGGTAGAGTTGGTTATTTCATTCAGCATAAAATAAGTTAGGGAGACTGAACAGAGAGATCCCCACCTGGGATCACTGCCAGACAACAGGGCAGTGATGTCAGTGATGATGAGCCCAATCTGAGTACCCTGCCAAGGCTGTGATACCTTCCAACCTGGCAAGTTTTGGTTTATTGGCAGTGGTACTGAGGCAGGCTTGTCTTTCTTGCAGCCTGTGCAATAAACTTTATTACTAAGGATCTCCTAAAATTATACCCAAATTTAGGAATCAAGTCATAGATATCTAGTTTCAGAAATGAGGAATCCAATATAGTATTTCCTTTATTTAATTAAAAGTGCTAATTTATGTAAGCATAGTAGGTACTATATAATGTTCTAGAGAAAATATGACTTTTTTTAAAAAGCAGGGAAAAATCTTCCCTGGTAACATGATAAATGATGCTATCAGCTTAAGATTAGTTATTAACTTTAAACGGGAGAAAATAAATGAACAAAGATAACTTTGCGTAAGAAACAAAAACACATTTTCTGAGGTAACCATAAAATTTTGTACAGGCCCTGGGTCAAAAAATAAAACACCCCAAACTGGCTCTAAAAAGTACTAGAACTCAACAATCTCTGTGTTCCTTGTCTCTTCTTCATGTTCCCTGTGTTTTAATTAATTAATTTTTATTTATTTTTTTGAGACAAAGTCTTGTTCTGTCGCTCAGGCTGGAGTGCAGTGGCGCGATCTTGGCTCACTGCAACCTTTGCCTCCCAGGTTCAAGCGATTCTCCTGCCTCAGCCTCCCAAGTAGCTGGGACTACAGATGCCCGCCACCCATGCCCAGCTAATTTTTGTATTTTTAGTAGAGACAGGGTTTTGCCAAGTTGGCCAGACTTATCTCGAACTCCTGACCTCAGGTGATCCGCCTGCCTCGGCCTCCCAAACTGCTGGGATTACAGCCTATGTTTTATTTTTCATAAAGATAATGTTCTCTACTTTTTACTATAAAGTCAATAAAATATTTCATTGAATAAATAATAAAGCAAATAAATAACAAGTAAATAACATAATATTAAATAAATAATACTTTATTGTCTTTTTAAAATAAACAACTACAACTCAGAAAATTTATGTTTATGAAATCTCACCTTGAGACTACAGTGAAAAGTTTCCTTATGGATCTCTGCAGTATGCTTCCACCACAGATTCTTCTAAAGATTAGAGCAATCTTAATTTAAAACAGATTTAATGCATATAATAAAAGTTTAATTATTGTAATATATACTCATTGAAGAAAATCTGAAAAGTTCACAATGCAAAATGGAGAAGAAAACAGACACAATTCTACAACTCAGAATGTTCTGGTGTATTTATCTCCTAATCATCCTTTCTGTTTACACACACAAACACATAGCATAATATATTTTAATAAAGCTAGAATTACACTGTAGTTACAATCATCATTAAAACATCTCTATGTACTATATGCAGAACTCAACATTCCTAATAACTCTTCAGGGGTGCGTAGTTTTCCATTGAGTGGGTGTACCATGCTTTCTCAACTGGTCCCTGGATGTTCCACTGTTGTAGAGGACAAGATCTTTAGGTGTTGAGAAAATTCTTATAAGAACAGCAGAGAACCATATGGGCTTAAGAGAAATAAGAAGTTGATAGCCTTAACAAGACCTCCAGAAGTTTATTTTTGTTAGCACCTTAGTTCCTGGGTGTTTTCTAGGGATCAGCAGCACCCTCATCACTGGAGACCCAGCCCAGGCCCACTGCCTCAAGGATCTGCATGTTAACAAGATCCCCCTGGTAATTCCAGCGCATGTGACAGTGTGAGAAGCTCTGGCTTCATGCAACAGAGGAAAGGGTGTAACTAGAAAACTCTCAGCAATATTTCAAAATAGTACAAAAAGCAGTCTATGGGTATGATTCTTGAAATCATTTCAAGTCATAATATTGTTCACAAATACATCAGGCTAAATTTAAGAAATGGGATTTGGGGTTTGGAACAACTCAGAGTAAAGTTAGGTTGAAATAGAAGCGATAACCATCTTGGAAGTAGATTTTTTATCAGTCAAACCTTCAAATCTGTGTTTTGTGATTTCTTTCTTTCCATTTAGAAAGACTTCTCCTAGCCAGGGGTGAGATATCCTGTATATCTCTTGTATTTAAGTTCCCACCTTTTTGTCTAGATATCTTTTGTGTTTAATATGATGAGGCACTAATTGATTTTTTTCTAGTAGCGTACTGATTTTAAAGAATCATGAATTGCATAGTTATGCTTTTTCCTGTTTGTTTTTTATCTACTTGTTCTTTTGAATCAGCTCTCAAAGTGTGGTTCACAGATCTCTGTGTTCCTTAAGCCCCTTTCAGGGGATATGCAACGTTAAAACCCAGATATTACTTGCTTTCCCCTGTGTTCATATGCACAGTGATGGTGAAAAAGCAGTGGTGGGTAACACTACTGGTGCCTGAATCACCACCGTGACTCCACACTATGCTGGTAGCCAGTGTATTTCTCATTGCAACACATTCCCAGTTTTTTAAAAATTCCAGTTTTACTTAAGAATGTCCTTGATGAAGCAGTGGAAGTTGTTAGTTTTTTTTTAATAATCTCAATCCATGAGTAAACATCTGGTATTTTGTGAGACAAAATGGGAAGTAGACATAAAGCAAATCTATAGCATATCACAGTACCTGTTTTCTCGAGGCAAAGCACTTGAACAATTATTTGAATTACAAGCTAATCTAGCCACTTCTTTGATGGAACACCATTTTTACTGAAAAGAATGACAGGTACACTATGTTTATTCACACTTGTGTTTTTGGCAAAGATTTTCTTGTAAGTGAATGGCATGAGCCTGTCACTTCAAGCAGAACAACTGAATAGTTCTTCAAAATATAAAATTTAAGTTTCCAAAGAAGAATTGGAATTTTAGGAAGCTTTTCATTGTGAGCAGCTTCCCAATACTTCAGGACATTTCTGATGAGATTAGCGGTGAACAGATTTTGATGTGGCCTCTACAATCCCTGCTTCCTGGGGCTCACGCCTTTTGACAGTCCCTCTCTTGAATGGGGTGGATACTTGTGACTTTCGTCTAGACTACAGCATGCAGCAAAAGTCATCGGCTGTCAGTCCCATGATTGTGTTGTCTAAGACTTGATCTTGCTAGAACATTCACTCTCACTCTCCCGCTGGCCTTGAAGAAGCAAGCTGCTGTGTTGTGAATTGCCTGCTGTGAGAGCCACAAGGTGGGACAGCCTCTAGGAGCTGAGGGCCACATCCAGGCAGCAGGGAGCAAAACCCGGAAATTTTCAGTCATATAATCACAAACAAATGAATTCTGCCAGCCACCCGAGTAAGCTTGGAAATGGAGCCTTTCCCAGTTGATCTTCCAGAAGAGAATGCAGCCTGAATGGCACCTTGAATGCACCCTAGTAAGACTCTGAAACAGAATCCAGCCAGGCTATGTCTAGACTCCAAACACATAGACGCTGTGTGATTTTAAGCTGCTAAGTCGGTGGTAATTTGTTATGTAACACTAGATAACTAATACAGATTTTGGTATCTAGAAGTGGTTGGGGGCTGTCACAAATCCCTACAAATGGGGCAGTGGCTTTGGAAGCAGGCCATGGTCGGGGGCTGGAAGAATTTTGAGGAGTGTAATAGACAATGCCTAAAGAATCTTGGACAGACTGTTATTAGCTATGGAGACTTTGGCACTGTCATTGGGATCTCTAAAGAAAAGGAGAAGCACGTTATTAGATACTGGAAGAAGCAGAATCTTATTATATAGTGGCAAAACGCTCAATGAAACTGTCTCCTGAAATTCTGTGAAAAGCTGAACTTGTAAATGATTAACTTAGCTATATAGTGAAAGGGATTTTCAAGCAAAGTGTTGAAGGTGCTGCCTGGTTTCTTTTTGCTGCTTATAGTAAAATGTAAGGGCATAGGTATATTGACAGAATAACTGTGCATAAAACAGAACCATGACTTGAGGACTTTGAAAATTCTTTAGCATCACCAAATGGCAATGATGCCAACATGAAGAGATTTATTGTCAGGAAAATGCACTCTGGGAGAAAAGCAGAGGGTGTAACTATACAACCATTTGCCAAAATCTTAGAAGGAATATAAGCTCAGAATATTCACTCACACAAAATACCTTTCAGTGCTTCACAGACCCTCTCAATAAATTAGCGGGCCTCTGGGAAGCTTAAGGGCACTATCTGTCTTTCATGCCCAGGGGGCCAAGGTGGAGGAGGTATTATTACAAAAAGGTCTGTGGATGTGACTTGTGTCCAATGGAGTGAACCCATTAAAATCCACAGAAAGCCCATAGAATATTTGAGAAAACTGTTTCAGCAGAAACATCACAAGCTTAGACTAATGGGGACAGACAGAGTAAAACAAAAGGCCACTTCAGACTCCCAAATTCTACTGGCAGGACAAAGGCTGATAAAACTTCTCACCTGCAAATGCCTTTTAGGAAAATGGAAGGATGACCCAGAGGGCAGCGTTAAAACTCAGAAGGCAAAGCCAAGAGCCACAGGTCATTTATTCTAAGGGCTTAAAGCTTAATCAAGAAACCCAACATTCTCCTGCCTGGATTTCAGAACTGTAATGGATTGGTGACTCTTTTGTACGTCCCGGGTATGAGAATGTGTATAGCTGTTATCCTCTGCCTGTCCACCTGTGTGTACAGGGTGAGATGGGGGCAGATCATTCTTCTCTTTTGTTTCCCAGGTCCACAGATCAAGGAAGGGTGGGCCCCAGGAACTATACTTATCTGGACCTGGACTTGATGATAAGATTGTGGACTTTGTGCCGACACCTGAATGGGCAGAGACATTGGGGAACCTTGGGAAGCATGAATATCTTTTACATGTGTCATGGATGTGAATCACTGGGGGCCAGAGGGTGGACTCTGGCAGACTCTAAGGTGGTCCCTGCAAACCTTGCCTTCTGTTCATGTTTCTGTGTAATCTCCTCGCCTTGAGGGTGTTTGGAACTTGGGACTTTCTGCTAATGAACAGAATTTAGAAGTGATAGGGTCTCACTTCTGTGACTAATTTACCAAAAGACTGTAGCTTCTGGCTTGTTCATCCTCTCTTGCTCTTTCACTCACTCTGATTTGCACCTGCTGCCATAATGGGAGCTGCCCTGTGGAGAGGCCCATGTGGCAAGGAACAGAGGGAGGCCTCGGGCCCAACAATCATAAAATGAGCTTAGAAGTGAACCCTCAGCTAGCTGAGTCTTCAGATAAGACCTCAGCCCAAGCTGAGGCCTTGTGAGACACCTTGAGCCAGAAAACAAAGCTAAATGCACCTAGATTCCTGACCCACAGAAATGGTTAGATAATAAATATCTCATGTTTTAAACTACTAAGTTTTTGAATAAATTTTATGTAGCAGTAAATAGTAAGGCCAGTAAAATGATATTTCTAGCACACTTGAGTTTGTGGCCCAAAATTCAAACATACTGCCCTATTTGTGAGTTCACTGCTAACCATATGTATTTACCCCTAAAAATCTCATAGTGAAAGAAAGACATGGTTTACCTCCATAGATTCCTGAGTGTCCTTCCAATAGCTATTGTTTGTGTAAAAACTTAGAGATCCTACTGCTTATTGGAAACTTGCTAGTTCATGCACCTTTTTTTGTCTGATTAAAATATCTCCTGCCTTCTTCATCTTAAAATAATTTTTTATTTTGAAAATTTCAGACACAGAAGTTGCAAATATAAGACGGAGTTCTTTAGTACCCTTCAGCCACTTGCCCCCAGTGATAACATTGTATACAAGCATAATACATTATCAACATCATCTGATTCCTTTTTTGAATAGAAAAACAATTCTATTTAGTAGATCTATTAGTAGGCTTTCACCCTACATGGAAAGTCTTTCTTATATTGGAACTTTTCAAGAAATGTGGCTGCAGATCTATCTAGTACTATCTAGAGGGCAGGGCCCTCAGATCCCGACCCGCAAAATGAGCCTCAGTGGGAATCTATACTTGCCAACCAACATGAACATAGCAATAAAATGATCCATTCGTCAGGGCCTTGACGAGGCCTGCGCCCCAGATTGTGCTCAGCTCCCAAGCTGCTGAGAGCTTTGGGGGGTAGCAGGTGTGGGGAGCAGGTGGCTCTACCAAAATAACAGCAGCAGCAGCAACAGCAACAATGACAACAGATAAAGTAGAGTCCCAGGAAGAAGGGAGGCACTGTTATTTGAATTACATTACTAAAGTGATAATAAATGTCACTTCAATAATGTGTCCAGTGATAATAAATGCCACTTCAATAATGTGTCCGTGGACATTCTAAGCATCAGACTTCATGTGAGCATGACTGTAGTTCTTTCAGCTAAATTACGGATTCTCTTTGCTTCACATCTCTCACGATAGGCAAACAAGCTTAACCATAATTTCCAAGTTTAAAATCCTATAGAGATGTTTCACTTAAGATTAAGCATGTTTTCAATCTCACCAGCACAAACTCTGGCAAAAACACAATGAACAGTAACTGTGGCAAAGCAAAATAATTAGATACCATTAAGGAAATAATCTACTTAGAAGATGGGTGATAACAATTTTTTCAGATCCAGCTGTGGCTGTGCTGCCTAACATAGCAGCCGCTATCCACGTATGGCTATTTAACATAAATCTATTAAAATTAAATAAAATTAAAAATCTGTCCCTCAGTTGCACTGGCCACATTCAGGAGCACACGTAGCTAGCGACTTTCATACTGGGCAGTACAGATATAGAACATTTCTTTTACCACAAATAATTTTCCTGGACAGCATCAACTTGCAGGATGCAAGAATCTGAAAGGGGCTAAGAGAAAAGAAAAAATAACAAGGCACATGAAGTGAGATATGAAATGCAGCAGAGCTCTCTCAATATCATTAAATGTCAGAATGATATTTAGATGTATATTATCAGATAACTCACCAATTATCTCAGCAAAAATTTTTGAATAATCTTCCTTTCCCCACTGATATTTCTAATGCCTCCTTTATTAGTCTTAGGGGACTCTGGGCAATCCCACCCTTTGGCAACTGGAATCGTGGCCACTCGCTATGTGAACATTTTTCTTATTTGAAGGAAAGATGGACTCGGAATGCTGCCACTAGGAAAACATGGCACGATGAGCCCTGGGTGGTTCTCGTCACAAGAAGCCCTTTTGTATAGCGAAAATAATATGATCTGATACGATACATGATATGACATGCCACAGGGAAGACTGCTTGAATGACAGGTTCAGCACAGGGACTCTGTACTGCCAGCATTTGCCCACAAAAAGGACAGACTCTCCCCTTCGAGCTTCATGGGCAAGGCAAGAGGGTGGCACTGCTTCCAATTCTCCCTCAAGTGTGTGGGCTCAGGACCCTCTCATGAGATGCCAAAGCACCGTCAACACCAAGCTATGGAGTTTAACAGACTTTGTGGAAATTCTATGGTTCATAGAGATAAGTTATTTTGCATTCAATGGAAACCATAAAATGATATAGGACATAATACTGTTCCTCAAGTTAACTGACCACAGACTGGAAGGGAGTCTCCCAGAGGCCTCTGGGGACATCTCAGCCAGATGACGCCCAGCCTCAGTGTTACAGAAGGCTGCTCATCTTACAACACAGGACCTTCAGCCTCGTCCTCCTGCCTAGAGCTCAGACCCAATTGCTTCAAGCCCCCAAAGAATCCTTCACCCCACAGTAAAAGTTCTTCCCTCCCTGCTTGGGGTGACTGCAGTCCGAACAGTTTCTCCTTTCAGGAGAATCTTCCACTCCAGGAGCCAGGCAAAACCATGGGGAAGGCTGCAGAATGACTGGCCTTGAAGCTATGCACTATTTACTTTGGGGGTGGGCTGAAGATGATGGATACAGCTACCCTAGCTGCACCTGCTGTCCCCACTGCTCCCAAAGCAAAAGAAGAAGTTGACTTGAGAAATTTCAGCATCCACACAAAATACAGAAACCGCTGGCACTCTCCCACATCATCAGTCTCCACTAGCGGAAACCCTACTAGTCATCTATTACATTAATCATAATAGCTAATACTTATCGGGTGCTTACTGTGTTGCAGGCACGTGTTAAGCTCTTGATATGCATTAAAAGATTTGATCAGCACAACACTCCTATGAAGCAGGTACTATTATGGCAAAGTCTAATTTTCAGAGTTGAAACTTGACTCTGACAAACACTGGACTAGTGTCCTAGGGCTGTGGTGACAAATGACCAGCACAATAGAAATCTCTTCCCCCACAGCTCTGGAGGCCAGAAGTCCAACCTCAGGCTGTCGACAGGCCACACTCCTGTTGGTGGTTCCCAGTGCTCCTCCGCCTGCCACAGCGCCATTCCAGTCTTGGCCTCTGTCTTCACATGACCTTCTTCCCCTGAGACTCCGTATCTGTCTGTGTCACTCCCTTTTCCTATAAGGACACCAGTCTTTGGATCGAGGGCCCACCCTAAATCCAGAATGATTTCCTCGTGATATCCTTAATAACCTCTGCGAAGACCCTACTTCCAAATAAGGTCACGTTCTGAGGATCCTGGTGGATGTGAATTTTCAGGGACATTGTGCAATCCACAACACATAAAAATAGTGAGGAATCATCAGAAATTATTTAATGAGTTCATGAGGGGATCAGCAGGATGTCAAGTTGAGGAAAAGAGCACTTGAGAGGCTGAGTGTGTACATGTAGCTGGGAGGGGAATGCCGGAGCAGGTTTGCTAAGTTAGCAACAAAGCCTGTGAATGTCTTCAGGTCAATAAAGTGTCACTTTTGGGGTTATCTTCACTACTGGGCAGAAATCATTTGTATCTTTACAGGACAAATGTACATGCATATAAGCAACTTCACAGAATCTAGGGCCAAGTCAACGGCAATGCAGGTTAAACACAAATAGATTGTCCTAGAGAATTAAAGGGTCCTTGGGTGGGTCTGTTAGCCTGTGTCCCAGTATGACATTAAAAGGACACACCCAATCATTCTCTTTTCTGTTTTGGATCATTTTTCTTAACAATTTTTATCCCCATCTTACAGATGAGAGGTTTGGTTGCCTAATAATTATATCAGTGATTCAGCCAATGGATTCAAGCTCAAAACCCAAGCCTGAATTTAGAGCTAAAATCTTTGCCAAATATATTTCCTCAGCTCTTTGGTTTTGAGACTTCTTGCATTAGGTGTTCATTATTTATTTTTGTCTATAATATTCACAGAGTGAAGCAGAAGCAAAGTTCTTTGTATCATGAAATAAGAACTACTATCGCGTTTTGACTTGAGAATTAACATGAAATACACACAATATGACTCAGTTCCTGGCTTTAAAGTGAATGTATACAGGAAATCTTGCATTTTTGGATAAACATTTGAGATTTTGGCCATTTGTGAGGACCCAAATTTCAGGACAGGAAGTGCTGTTAGCTGTGCTGAGGCCTGGATTTTATGGGCATGTTGTGTGTGCTGGCCAGTCTTTCAGCCTAAAAGGGGAGCCTAGTATAAAAGATGCCATCAGCTTCTCTAATCTCTGCTCCTCATTACTCAGGATCTCAGCAGGGTGTATTTGTGGTGGTATTTGTGAAGCTGGGGATCTGTAAATCTCCCCTGGCCCAAATTGCTTGTGAATGCCGAGTGCCTATTCTATTCTGCAACATGCTTGTCCATGAATTACCAAAGATCATCAGCATGCTTTGATGTTCACATGTTTCCAAAAAGAAAACTCATGCTAGAATAGAAGAGAGCTGGAATCTTCTAATTGCAGGATGCTTACCAATTCCAGTGATTATGAGGAGGCTTGAATATCTCCAATGACAGAGGATTCAGTACCTTCCCAGGCATCTTTTAGCCATTTCTCACTGTGGAAAATTTTTCTCTAGTTTTCATCCATTGTTCCAGTTCTTCCTTGTGTGTTCACATGGAATCAGTCTCATCTCTTGGTCACAATCATTGATTAAGTAAATATTTTTTTCACATCTACCAGCTTCAGTGGAGGTACAAAAATGAGTGAGACTTGGAGCCTGCAAGGAAGTCATAGTCCAGGGAGGGTGGCAGACTGCCTGTGGAAGTGATGCGGCTCCCAGAGCCTGCTCTCCCTTCACCGAGCACCACAGTCTCGGCAGTGCTTGGTCGTGTGGGAGGATGACTGTTCCATAGGCTGGCTTCCTGGTTTATCTCTGGATCTAGGCGGATCACCTGAGAGCCAAATGTCTGGGCCAGGATTGACCTCTGTGTTACTTTTTGACATCAGGTCTTCAGGCTACCTTGAGTTGTCTAACAAGTAAAAGCCTGGAGAACCCCGTTAGGCAGTGCTTGGGGAGGGGGACGGCTGAGGACATCAACCACCTATGTCAGTGGTTCCCAGCCCTGGCTGCACCTGGGCAGCTTGGAAGCAACAGACCCTTAAGCTCCCCGAGACACCTGATGTCATTGGTTCAGCCTGGGTCCTGAGCTTTTGTATTGCAAATGCTTACCACTCAATCCTATCATGCAGGCAAGGTTGGGAATTAAAGCATTACAAATATGCAAGGTCTCTTATTTGAAGTCCCATGAAGGAAGACATTTCTCTCAGAGTAAAGTGCAGTGTACATTGTATTCTCCTAAAAGGAAAGCCATGGAAGTAGTAACGTAGCTTAGAACCCTAAATCAGGAGATGAGTTATAGATATAGATACATACACACATATAACGTGTGTATGTGTGTGTGTTTGCCTCATTTTAACCATTTGTTCTACTTTATATTAGCTCTGGTAATGATTTTTTAAAATTATATTTTCTTACATATGGGGAAAGATAGTTTTTGAGGTGTTCACTTATTTTTCCCATTTTCTTTTCTTCTTTCCCTTCCCATAACAGATAGCTAAGTCTGTAGTTTCTTTTCTGGGAGGATATTTAAGACAGGCTTCTTAAATCTAATAAAGACAATAAGATGTGAGAAAAAGGGGTGCCTGAAGAAAATATGGAGAGGACAGGGGATTCCCTTCAGACAAAAGCAATGCTTCCTTGGATTGGAGGAAGGAGAGAGAGAGAAAGAAAGGGGGTGGGGGAAAGACGGAGAGGAGAGAGATGGAGGGAGAGAGGAGGAAGAGAGAAGGGTAAGGGGCAGGGGAGAGGGGGACTGATCCACTGTCGTAGCTTTTTGGCAGTGCCCTAAGGCAACGAATGACAGGGCTTCAGAGCTGGGGCCACAATACAACAGGAAGAACCGATTTTACCTCACCAAGGGTTCCTCAGCTCAGCATGGCCCCGAGCAAAAGAGCCAGCAAGGCCAGAAGGACCAAGGAGAGGTCATCATCAGTGGACAGATGGCAGCTGGTGCAGGGGACTCTTGGATCCCAGCCCTGTGTGAGGCCCTGAGAGCTTGGCAGCCTTAGTGGGGGGGCCTGGGATTGCTGAGGTTGATTTTCTGCTATCTTAATATGACAAGGCCTGGAGGTAAAATTAACATAATTCATTAAAATAAAAAAGGAAGAAAGCCAAAATGTAACTTCTTACACACCTGCTATTGGGGACTGTTACATATTCAAAAATAATCTCAAAGAATTTCTAAACTGAAGTGAGCCATAATTCAAACATTAACTAAATACAATTAAGAGTAAAAGGCTACCCCAGATGTGCTCTGACTGGCACAACATCTGTGAGTCCAGATTGGCTGCCTACCCTGGCTTCATGGCTGTGTACCCCAGCTTCTGAGGGTTCTCCTGAGATGTTCAGGCCTTGCAGAGTCAGCTCTGAAGGCCTCCTGGGGATCTGGCAACATTCTCCGTAAAGCTCTCAAGTCAAGTGCAGTTTCAAAATGATTTCATCCCAGTCAGATACCTAAATTTTTAAAGCAGCTTTGTTGAGGTATAATTGAGACACAATAAACTCTACCTGTTTAAATTTGATAAATTTTAACAAATATATACACAGATAAAACCATCACCACAATGAAAATAAAATCCACATGCATAACCCCCAAATTCCTTTGTGTCCTTTGGAAATTCTCTTCTCCCACCTATGGCTCTTCCCCCAACCCAGGCAACTACTGAACTGCTTTCTTGACCTAGACAATAGTTTTCATCTATTAGTATTTTATATAAAGAATCTTTTTTGTCTGGCTTCTTTAATGGAACATAATTATTTTGAAGTTCATTCATGTCATTTTATGCATCAGTATTCATTCCTTTTCACTGATGAGTAGTGTCCCATTGCATTGATGTGTCATGGTTTTTATCCATCCATGTTGATCGATATTTGGGTTGTCTCTGGTTTTTGGCTATCACGAATAAAACTGGTATCAACAGTGCTGAATGATTTGCTTGAATTTAGTTGCCTATTCAAAGATACAAGTGATTCATCACAAGAGAAGTAAAGGCTTCTGGTGGAAGATGCCTTGTTTCACGGAGAGAGAACAGGAAAAGAAAAGCGTGTGGAAGAGGGGTGCGGTCTAGAGACTGTGAGGAATGCCTGTCTTCCCCTCAGTTGTGTCCTCGCCACAGTGCTGCTCCTGGACCTCCCTGTCTGAAAGCTGAGCCCAACTCACTTCTAAGTGAGTCAATTTTGATAAGTAGATGACAAGATCTAAGTAGCACTGAGGGTGTGGGAGTGAATGGGAGGCTGAGGGGCCCAGGGAAGGGAGCTGCCTTTTTCCAAGACGTCCATGTGCTGGGCCTTATGTCATTCCTATGCCATCTCATTGCATATTCGCAGCCTCCTTTTAAAGCCGAGATTATTATCGTCTAACTTCATAGGCAAACATGAGGGCTTGCAGACAGTAAATAACATGCCCAAGCCCACCTGACTCACAATTTGCAGGTCTGGAATTTGAGCCCAGGTCTCTTGGCTTCCAGGGCTGTTTTCTTTCCTCCACCCTCTCCAGGACGGCCTCTCAAGCTGTGGCACGTGCAGGTGGCAGACAGCAGCGACAGCCACGGTTAAGAGGCCAGCGGGGGAGAAAAAGTGCATTCTGAGCTGGGTTCTTAGCACATGCAGGGTTCTTACACCCCTTGTTCAGGCCTGGGCGAAGCTCAACTGAGACAGGGAGGGTCCACATGCCAGAGTAGGACAGGAGCATCCATCCAGGCCAGAAGGGTTCTGGGCCACAGAGTGATGGTCTCTGTACAGCCCCTCTGGTGTGGGAGATATCCCTGCCCTGCATGTTAGCAGGGTTTATGCAAGAATTGATGTGAGTAGGTGCAATAGCTGATTTTAAGGATAATTTTGAAGTCAAGCCCTAAGCAAAGAATCAACCTGGGTGGCAGCCCCTGTGTCTACCCTTAACTTGGTAAGTGACCTGGGCAAGTTCCCTGCTGGCCCTGGGCTCAGCTTCTCCCTCTCCCCACGAGGAGCTGGGCTAGGCCTGCAGGGGCCAGTGGTGCAGCGCCTCCTCCCTGGAAATGGCATTGGTTAACTACATCCATTCTGGCCAGCCTTGCGTTCCTTCACCACTAGGTGGAGGGCATCTCTTAGGTTTCCCCACTGCTCCCTGAAGGCCTTGGAGGCGGTCTTAGCCATCCCTCCATGAAAACCACCTTAAATTTTGACAGCTTTTTAAGGAATTCCAACTTAGATGTTAGGAAATATTCAGTCAATTCATTTGCCCAAAAGCTCAAATTTTGAGTTTCTTCACTTTCTATTTTCCTATTTCAATATATTGTACTTTTTAAAAAAACTTTTATACTAAATAAATTGAACTTTAAAAATGTTCTGGCCTGTATTTATTACTTGGGAGATTTCCAGCAGAATTGCTTTACTGATGCTTGCCTCTATGTGAAAAGTGCTTTTGATCTCTTTTAAGTGAACTGTTCTCTCTTGCTTCAACCAGACACAATGAAATAGTGGAGATGTGGGAGAGAGGTAAGGACTCGTTCTTTCAGCTGACATGTTTTTGAGAATTCTGTTACCCCCAAGGGTATTCATAAGGCCTCAGCACAGAGCAAACTATTCTCACAATCATGCCTGATAATGAATTGATCACCTTGGGCATTTACCAAGTGCTCTCTTCACATCTCTTATCTCATCGAATCCTTCCTACTCCTCTTACAATGAGCATTTTTTAGTCTCTGCTTTTATAGAAGAAGCAGGCGAGGCTATTATTGGCCATATAGATTCCCCACCTGCACCACAACATACACAAACTATCCAAGCATAGTTTGGAATTAGGAAAGGGACTTGACCTTATTTAAGTGTCCGTGAGTATAGGAGTGGTCAGACTTTCTCAAATCCTGCATCTAGCAGTAGGGACCCAGAGAAGCCTGCCTCATTCAGGTGGCTGTGTTGGCTGGCATGGTTATGGGGGCCATG
Source organism: Homo sapiens (assembly GCF_000001405.40). Lineage (NCBI taxonomy): Eukaryota > Metazoa > Chordata > Mammalia > Primates > Hominidae > Homo > Homo sapiens. The sequence continues at coordinate 50,417,357 of NC_000007.14, read as the reverse complement.
CAGGGACATCCCCAGCCTTCAGATGGAACCTTCCAGAGCTGTGTCTTGCCTGTGCCTAGAGTCCAGTGGAGGCCAGCACCCCTCCACTGAAAAAAGAATCTGAAGACTTCAGCCAGGCTGACTTGCCCTGGGGTTGCTTTTCAAGTGGAGGTACAAGGACAGAATCAGCTACAGAGAGAGGGAACCTGGAAAAGCAAATGACTTCCAGAAGCCCCGGAATCTGCACAGTGTGTGAATGTGTGGAAATAGCAGCTTTCACAAGGAACATTTCTCTAACTGCAAAGGAAATTAGGCAAGCAGTTTATTTAGGAGAAGCAGAAGCAAGAGGAAAGTGATTTGCCTTTTTTTCCTCTTTTTCTCCTGAGAGGAGGATGATCCTGCAACAATCTACCAGCAGGGCGTAGTGAGTCCTTCCCTATTTGCTGGAAATCCCACCCTCCTGCTATTGCACGTCTCGGTTTCTGTTTTGTAGGTTGCTACTGGCAGGAGGGGACTGGAAGTCACAGAAACCCAAAGGGCTCAGACTCATGAGAGACAGAGTGTGGAGCTAGGAGATCCCAAGCATGTCTCGGCATACAGGGAAGAGAGCCAGCATGTCAGCCCACACCTTGAAAGGGACCAGTGTGCCTGCTTGAGAAAAAGCACATGTCCTCAGGCAAGTGACATTTCCCTCTCAGGCAGAGTGAAGGGCCAGGTCGAAAAAGAAGAAGTGAAAGTTGCTGCATGCTTCGAATACTGAAGGCAGCCTTCAGGATTTAGTACCCCAGGGAAGACTTCTTTGGGGAAGCTGGGAATGAATGGTTTACTTGGAGAGGGAATTGAATCTTTTCTGGGCACCCCCCTCACCTTGTGCCAGGCACTGTGCTAGACCTTGGGGAGCTCCAGGGAGCAAGGCAGGTACTGGCATGTCATCAGCACTTCCCGACAGAGCCTTCTACAACAATGGAAACGTCTGCTTCCACATTTGTGCTGTCCAATATGGTGGGTACAGTCACATCTGCTGATAGAACACCTGGAATATGGCTAGTACAACTGAAGGGCTGAAGTTTCAATTCTATTTCATTATAATGTAAATTGAAATAGCCATGTGTGGCTAGTAGCTACTCTGTGGAAAAGCACTATTCCACGTAGACCCTTGATGTGGGGAAAGAAAGAAACACACTGTGCTGCAGGTTCTGGCGTCATGATGTTCCTTCCAGGTGTGAAATGGTTGCTCGGTTTCTCTGAGAAGACAATCAGGAAGTAGGATCGCTGGGTGCATCTGGGAGGTGTGCCTTTCCAATGACTACATTTACTCTCTCACACACTTAGTAGAGCCTGCAGGGGTTGTGTGTACCTCGTGTGTATCAGTGACCAAGTACTCCTTAGGATGACAGAGTGTTTTCTTTTTTGGTTGCTCAGCATCATCCTGCTCTTTATGAGTTACGGCTCACATTATCAGGAGCCTGAGCTGCTCCCAGGGCACTAGGGGCTGGTGAGAGGTGTGGTATCCAGCAGCTGGGGGACCTCAGTGAGGGGTTGGCCTGGCCCCATTCTTCTCTCTAAGGTGTGGGGATAACGACTCCTCTATTCCTTTTCTCTACGTGTCGGGCCCATAAAAATCCTCATTCCATGACTGTGCTGGTGTCCACTGTGGGGAATGCTCTGTTCATCTGTGCAGTGGGAAAGCTAGTTAGCTCCTGGGTCCGGAGCCCTTCTGAAGGAAGGCCTGGCAGTGAGAAAGGCTTTCCTTTTTGGTTGACATTGGAAATGCTGGAGATGGCTGGCTGCTTCAGTGCAGCAGCTTTCTGCCCTCTCAGATCCTAGGGAAGAAAAGAAGTTGCACATTCCTCATACCCTGGTCTGCAGCCGTTCTTCATATTAAAGAATATTTAAACGAACAGAAAAGCTGCCATCAGGGATATGAAGTGAGGGATTATGACTATTTCACAAACATTTACTCCACACCTACTGTGTGCTGTTAGGTTAAGCATTAAGCCTTCTGGGGCCTGCTAATGCTGCAAGGCTTTGTTGTTACTGGCAGATTTATAAATGTGCTTTTAAAGCATGGAGATTGTCAAGAACAGGAAAGATTTAATTTTATCCCAAGATTGGGCTAAGGATTTTGTGCAGTATAGAACAGGGTCTGTGGAGGAGATTCTTTTGACATCACTGAGACTTGCTTTACCCAGGAAGGTGACATCTTGTGCTGTGTAACTGTTTGATACCTGGCTAAGACTTTGAAAATAATCACTACATATTAACAAGTAGGGTACAACGGAATCTTTTTATGTGCTATTTTTCTACCCAAAATACTCAAAATACTACTTCTCCTACTTTTTTTTTTTTTTTTTTTTTTTTTTGAGACTGAATCTCACTCTGTCACCCAGGCTAGAGTGCAGGGCCATGATCTTGTCTCACTGCAACTTCCACCTCCCGGGTTCAAGCGATTCTCGTGCCTCAGCCTCCCGAGTAGCTGGGATTACAGGCACCCGCCACCACACCCGGCTAATTTTTGTATTTTTAGTAGAGACAGGGTTTCATCATGTTGGCCAGGCTGGTCTCTAACTCCTGACCTTACGATCTGCCTGCCTAGGCCTCCCAAAGAGCTGGGATTACAGGTGTGAGCCATCACGCCCGGCCTACTTCTCCTACTGATTTTCCTTCTGAACTATCAGTCCTGTTCAGCACTTTTCCTTGTTCCATTGTTGAAAGTCAGGCGCATGCCTTTGAAGTGCATTGTCAAATCTCTATATCATGTTTCCCTTTCCCAAAACTATTCTATCCTCCCCACTGCAACCTCTCACATGCAGTATTGTAAGGGAGTTTACTACCCAAGAGAAACCATTTTGAGGATTCTTCTTCATGATTTCAAATGATTGGCTCTACATAGAAAGGTCTGTACACTGTCAAACATACAAATGAATATGACCTAAAGGCATCCAGTTGTAGGGAAATATTTGGAAAACAAAGATAATTTATTAACTTAACTGATACCTTTTCTTCTTCTCTATTTTAAAAACACAGATATGTTATTAAGATCTCATATTACTTCAATATTGGCGCATTGCACTGATTTTGTTATAGTGAATTGTGTTATCCTGGCTTCAAGGATCTGTGAACATTGTATGGTTTTGTGGACGTTACTTTTCCTGTCTGAGCCTTAGGATCCCATATTTGTAAGTGGGCACAATAACACCTTGTGAGAATGACAAAAGCACTTATATGATACCAACGCAGCAGATGCTAATGTTCCTCCTTCCTTTTTATTCAAGTCTCTAAGCATTTTACAGTGAATCTAATGCTACCTTTCATCCAGGCCTGAATGAGAAAGCACATAGAAATGGTAAGCTGGTACTTTTCATACGGTTCACACAGATGCTTAGGACCCAAATCTGTTCTGAATTATCCAGGCCCAATATCAGGTCCTGAATTTCAATGCTGAGTAGAGATGCAAGCTGAGGAGGCAGATAGTCCTGCCTCTCTGCTTCCTGCTCTAGGGAGAAAGGCCTTAGGCACCCCCTCCCTCCCTTGCAGCCTCAGCACTGAAATCCCCCAGCAGCAGATAGAGGCTCCCACCAAGCCAGTTCCACTCTCAGGGCAAGGGTAATTTCCAGAAGTCAGGAGACAGCTTGCGTGATGACCTTGGAGCAGGTTCTGGGCCACCCTGCTTCACCCTGGGATGGCGTAACTGTGGCCAAGTCACCGTGTGAGCCGAGCCTGTGCCTTCATCCATGATCCAGGGCCTGGTACTGCAGGGAACGAAGGGAGCGGCAGTGCTGGGTACATTAGCAACCCGAGGGCATCAGGTCAGGAACACGGCCAGGCCAGGGAAGAGCCAGGGACAGGCTGGCTGTGGTCCCTCCCTAGCTCTCGGTGTTCCCCCAGGACCCCATTTCCTACAGTGTTTCCCTTCCTACAGTGACATGCGTATTAATGGTAATGTTGAAGAGGGGAGGTGGAACATTTTTAGTTTAACTATATTTGTGGAAAGCTGGATTAAATAAACCATCTTCTATTCTGCCCAGGGCATTTCAAATGCTAAGGCACATTGTGGATCTCCAAAAGAGGGAAGAGTGTGTGGCTTTTCCCAAATCGTTTGCCCCATTCTCCTTTTTTGCATTATGCATAATGGGCTTTAGGAAATGTGGCTTGAGGGTGACTCCCTATGACCTTGAAAACGGCTCTCTGCTTCCTTGGCCTTAGTTTCACTACCTGAAATTGGTGCTCACACCCCTCTCCGCCCTTCCTCAGGGGGCCCATGCATTCATGACAGCCCTGCAGCTTCAAGGTCAGGACAGGGGCTCAGCTCCTGCTGCCTTCCCCAACCCTCAGAGGGCACCTCTTTGGCTGAATGGTGGACCCCTTCTCTCCAGGCGTCTGGCACTCCCCAGCCCCCAGGACACTCCTCCAGCCCAGCCACACGGCCTTGCCTTCCTTCAGCACTATTCCGTGTCCAGGCCTCTGTACCGCATTCACGCTGCCCCCTCTGCCTGAAACTGTCTGCTGCCTTTCTTTGCCCAAATAACTCCTGTCTTTCAGTTCAACTACATCCTTACTGATTTTCTGCCTGCTGGATCTGTCCATTTCTGATGGGGAATGTTGGAGTCTCCAGCTCTAGGAGTGGGTTCATTGATTTCTGTGTGGTTCTCTCCGCTTTTGCCTCATGTATGCTGGTGCTCTGTTGTTAGGCATGCACATGCTAAGGATTGTTACATCTTGTTGGAAAATTGACCCCCGTGTCATTATAGAATGCCCCCATTTACCCTGATGCCTTTGCTTGCTGTGACTCTGCTGTGTCTGAAATCAATCAGTATAGCTACTCCAGGTTTCTTTTGATAGTGTAACTATGGTATTTTTTCCTTAATTTCTTTACTTTTAATCCTTATGTGTCTTTATACTTAAAATGGATTTATTTTTTCCTTTTTTTATTTTTTTGAGACGGAGTCTCACTCTGTCGTCTAGGCTGGAGTGCAGTGGCGCGATCTCAGCTCACTGCAACCTCCACCTCCCGGGTTCAAGCGATTCTCCTGCCTCAGCCTCCTGAGTAGCTGGGATTACAGGCGTGTGCCACCATGTCTGGCTAAGTTTTGTATTTTTAGTAGAGACGGGGTTTCACCATGTTGGTCAGGCTGGTCTTGAACTCCTGACCTCGTGATCCACCCGCCTCAGCCTCCCAAAGTGCTGGGATTACAGGCATGAAAAATGGATTTCTTATAGACAACATCTAGTTGGGTCACATCTTTGGATCCACTGAAACTCTATCTTTCAACTGCTGTCCTTAGACTATTGATGTTTAAAGAGATTATGGGTACATTTGGATTCATGTTGATTACATTTGTAACTGTTCTCTATTCTATGTGTGGGCCTTTTTGTTTTGTTTTGTGTTTGTCTTCCACTCTTCTTGCCTTCTTTGCTTTGAGTATTTTGTATAATTCAATTTGTCCCCTCTCTGCCTTCTCTTTTTCAAGATTCAGCTGAGGTGCACTTGGTCCCATGGGTCCTGTGTACCTTTGGGTCCTGGGTGTCTGTGTCGGCAGCACAGAGCTTGTCTGTGGACAGTCTTGCCTGACGGTTGCCCATTTCACCCGCAGCTCCTCCAGGGTGGTGGCCTTACATTCTCAAGTCTCTGACCCTGGCTCCTGGTCCTGGGATGACAAGGTCAGGCCTAGTCAATGCTGGTGGGACAGGACAGAACTATGTATATAGGGCGGCACTTGAATGAGCATTAACACAAACACACATTCATAGTACTAAAAGCATGTTTACATTGGAAAATAAAAAGCCCCAGAAGCTTTCTTGAGGGAAATCCCCTCTCCCCCACGCCGACTGCTGCACAGCTGAACTCCTCCATGACCAAAGGGGGCTCTTCCGGCCTTCCCTGCCCCACAGCCCTTCTCTAGATTCAGCCAATTCACCTCAGGGCCAGAGGCTCTGCCTGTCCCCTGGAGGAGTTCTTTGTCCAAAAGAAGGGCCTGAATGCTAAGATGAGGAGAGTACCCTCCTGGAGCACCCAGGAAGCCCAGGGGTCAGCACGCTATTGCGTCTGGCCCTTTCTCTGGGAGTAGGGGAGGAGGGCAGTTGATGTTGGCTGTGGAGCAAGTAGAAAGATGGCCAGAGCTTCAAAGGGAAAGCCATGGGCCTCAGGCCCACGTCATTGACTGGGGCAAGATAAGACCTCAGGGAGTCCAGGGCTCTGGGAAGGAATCTCCAGCAGAAGCTTCTTTCTGTTGTTATTGGAGGCTCAGGATGTGTGAGACCAGCCTCTGCCCTCCACAGGCTCACAGTCCAATGGAGGAGGTGGACATCCCATACACTGCGGGGTGAGAGCCCTAAGACGGCTGACATGAGGGCTTGAGGAATTCAGAGACCAGATCTTGAGAAAGCTCCAAAAATTAGGTGCAATAAGTTCTGCCTTGTCCCAGAAGAACTCAGCAGGCAGCCAAGCATGGGAAGACTTCCCAGGACCAGCAGGGCCCTGTGATGCGAGGAAACCTGGGAATCGGGTGTGATTTGGAGGTTGGGAGGAGGCTGGGGGATCATCTGGGGTCACATCTCACTGAGGATGGATGCCTTCCTGAAGATGAGATCTGACCTGGGAGACCAGCTGACCAGCTTCCCTCAGCTCTTGGGGTCCCTGCCTCCATGCTTGTCAGCTTTAATTTCCCATCAGTGCACGAAAACACACAACCATTCTCCCATGGGGTGGTATGAGAGACCAACTTAAAAAAGGAATCGTGGTGCTCACAGAGGTGGGAAGTGGGTGTGGGCAGAGGGGATTTACAGAGGATTTTGCAAGGGGCAGTGCCCACTGAGGGTGGGGATCAGGGCAGTGCCCAGAGGGAGGAGGTCCCTGAAAGGGGAATCAAATTGAGGGACCCTGAAACTGCACACCCTCCTTACTGTGGGGCCCAGCCCACCCTCTACCCACAGGAAGCTGGAGGGAGAATGACAATGAGGAAGCTCGCGCAGGTGCCTGGGGAGGAACAGCACCGTGAGACGGTGGCGGAGAGGAGGCCGCAGCCACTGAGGCCTTCTGGGAACCTGGGATCACATGTGGTCGCAACCACAGAGAGAGGTCTTAGGGTGGCCTTGTTCAGGAGAGGCCCATATGCATGTGCATGGTACCTCCTCAGGCCCAGGGGGGTAGCAAAGCAGAGAGAGAAGCCAGGGCTGACTCATGGGCAGAGAAACAGAAACATTGGGACAATTCACACACTCAACGTCACAACTAGTTGGTTTGACAAAACATGGGAAAGAAGAAGTGAAATTTGTTAACTGTATCGAGATCCATGCAGTTCACTTCAGGGGACAGTTTTGGTACCAAATTATCCTTATTATGCAAATTCCCTCCCCCAGCAGGTTCCAGTTGTGCCCGGGGACCCATGGCGGGTGCATCTGCTTCCCATAGTTCCGATTCACCGAGTTGCCAGGGCCCATCTGCTCAGCCCAGGCCCAGGGCCTGCGGCCAGGGAGGAGGGGGCGTGGGCAGGGGCCAGGCTGTTGCTCCAGGACCTGCAGGGCCACTCCTGGAGCTGGAAGGTGATGCAGCCTGCCTTGAGAAGCCCAGATCCCAGACGTGGACAGGAGACAGAGTTCTAGGGATGTCTGCCTTGTTCCTGTCTTGGCCATGTCAAAAAGCAGAAAAAGCAAGGGAGTATCCCCATGAGGCTCTTACCTTTCTCCTTAGAAAAGTGCAGCCAAGAACTTGGCCTTTCCAAAGCATCGGCCTCCATGAGGCCTGGGCTGCATTGCAGGGTCCTGTCTTCTTTGCCGGCTGCTCTCCAGAGCCCATCTCTGCCCACCCTTGCAGTCCACTGTCACCCACCACTTGAAGGTCATTGCCAGCATCCTAAACACTTGACTCAGTGGTCTCATCTCTGCCCCCTTCCTTATTGCATTGGCTTTGTTGAACCTATTTGTGGGCCTCTTCTTTTGAATTAAAAAAACAATTCTGAGATGCTGTCCCCAATGAGTTTTCCTATCTGGAAAAGCCCCTCTTATTTCCTTTGCCTAATTCCTCCTGCTTCTCCTCTCCCCACGCTCCCCAGAACCATCCCCTACCCTCCACCTCTTTCCTGAGGCGACATGTACCTGTCACAGCTCCCATTATAGTAGCCTATGCCTCATGACTCCCAAATGCATTGGCCATCCATGGGGACCCGGCTGTCCCACCCATGCTTACACAAAGCCAAGTTCCCCTCCTCCAATCCTCTGCCCATTTTCCCTTTTCTCAGTAATGGCTCATATAGGCTCTGAGACTGGGTTTCACCTCCTTACCTCTCGTCAAAGCACAATAGATTTAATTATCTTAAAAAGATGTTATGCAACAAATATTTATTGAGCATCTAATATGTTCCAGGTACTCTTTTTGACACTGAGGATATGGCATTAAATAAATACAAAAAATCCCTGCTCTTGGAGCCTGCGTTCTAGTGGCAGAGTCCAGTCCTCTCTTCTCTGCTTCTCTCCTCTCCTGACTTCTGCTGGTTAGTGTCAGCATCCTTGCTGTGGGTAAAGCCTCTCTTCTGCCTGGATGGCATGGCCCCCTTCACTGTCTCCAGAGTTCTCATTGCATCACCCCCTCCCCCTCACCTCCTAAGACTCCTGGATGCCTCCCTATCCACCTGTTCAAACTCCTCCTATCCTCAGTCTACATTTCTGAATTTATCTCCTATTTTTTTCCCCTTGAGTACTCTTTCCCAGACAAACAGGGCTATTGCTGTTGGACTTCTGGTTCTGACATACAACAGATTTCATTCACATTTGTTCTGTCTTGAATGCCCTTCTTACACCCCCAATCCTCTGCTTCCAACATCAAAATCCCAATCATTCCGAAAAGCTGGGATCAGACAAGATCTCTTCCAGGAAGCCTTCTGTAATCCTCAAGTGAGAAGTGATGTTTCCTTCCACTGGGCTTTTACAGCACTTTAGAGCGCTTTTCATTGCACCTTGTTTTGTAATCACCTTTGTGCTGGGTCATTTCTCCCTGTGCTTTCTAGAGTGCAGGCACAGGAGTCAGGTGCTCAGGGACAAGTGCTGGTCCTAGTATTTCCAGCTGTGTGACCCCAGGCAGGTTACTCAGCTTTTCCAAGCTTCGAAGTCCTCATCTGCAGAACTGGAGGTGACAATGGTACTTGTAGAGACAGACAGGGAGTACACATGGCACAAGCAGGTGGTTACAGCGCCCAACCCCTGTGATGCTGTGAGCCTTGATCCCAGCACATAGCCAGGCACTGAAGGCTGAGGAGCGATGTGATGTGAGTGGGTCAAGTCATTATGTGATGTCAGGAGTGTCTCTTTTATCAAGAAGATATTGATTTACTTTATTTCCAACTTCCCAGTCTCTGCTTTGCAGCTCAAGTTATTCAACAAACCAATGAAGGATCTTAAGATTAAGAAGAGCCAGAGACAAGATGCAGTGCAGAGAGAACAGAATGGAGTCAAAAGTCAAATGTGTCAATGTGTGTTGGGGGCAGGGACACAGAGGGGGCACTGTCTAATTGGGGGAAATGTCCCTGCTCTTGTCCTTGGTCTTGAGTTTATTGGTTGTAATTGTACTCATCTTTGACTAGATACCTCTAGGCTCCCTGATATTTTTCAGAGCTCTCCCAGTCCACTGATGCTTAGCTTAGCTTGTGTTTTCAGCTCTCTGAAACATCCTTTCATTGCTCAGACTCTGTTTGGCTCTCATTTCTTTTCCTGGTCCTTCTGCCCTTCTGTTTCTAGTTCAGATTCATGCATTCTCCTTTCAGAGACCAGCTCTCCAGCAGCATCAGCCACATTGCATGCTCTGTGGGGCTGGAGGGGACCAGAGCTGTCCAAAAACCCCCAACCCCACCTCCTCACTCTGTGCCTGCCCTGGCATATGCCCTCGAGATGCCTCTGAATTCTCTGAAGTGAAAGAGCCTGCTCCCCTAGGTGGAGGTTGGGAAACTTGACATGCAATTTGTGGGTGAGTTTGGTTGAGGAGGCAGCCAAGGGAAAACCCTCTGAAAGCAGGTTTTCACCCGCATCTTTCTCCTCCCCTCCCTGGAATTCAGAAGCTATGGGATTGCCAAACCCTGTCATTCCCACGTATCAAATCCCACATCCTCCCTGGAGGAAGCACTGCCGAGATGGAACAGGAGCCAAGAGAAGAATGGGCTTGAGGGGCCTGGGCCCATCCTGCCTCTGCAGCACTGGACTCTGGGTGCTCTGTGGAGCCCTGAGATGCAGTTCTTTCACTTTACGATGGGGCACATATCATCTTCCCCAGGCTCACCCAGAACATGCCCAGCATGGTGATGGCTGAGAAGGAGGTTTGCTGCTTCGCAGACACAATTGTTTGATCTCTAAGGGGGATGTGGATGGGTCCCTGTCTCACTTGGCTGTCATGCAGCTGGAATGAGATAAGGGGGCTAGAAGGAGCTATACAAACGCCAGGTGAGGCAGGAAAGGCTGAGCAGCCACTCCCACAGCACTGAGTCCAGTGGTCCACAGACACTGAGGATTTAATCCTTCCTGTAACCCTCCAGGCTTTCAGTGAGGAGAAAACTGGGGCTCAAAGAGGTTAGACCATGTGTCCCATGTCACACAGCGTTAATGTACAGAGCAGATATTCACACCCAGGCTTCGCAGCTCCAGAGTCCCATTCCTAATCACCATGCCTTATGCACATCTTAACATGCCCAGAGGGACACCTCTAAGGCAGGGCCACCTTGTGCTCCTGGCTGAGGAAATGGCACTTGGCTTTGGAGTAGCAGGAAACCAGGGGAGATCTGTGTGCAGGGCAGTGTCAGTGATTGATCAGGTTCCTGGTTTAACACAATCACTATTGAGAAGTCAAAAGTCTAGGTAGGATTAAGGAGACTTGGGAGGTAAGGAGGCCTTTAGGAGGCTCCCATTGAAGGAGGGCCAGGGAGAGAGACTGTGTGACACTGAGGGTCACTGTGGAGACCAGTGGCAGCTGGGGCATGGCCTTCCATCTTAGTGGACCATGGAGGGCCAGGTGAACAGGCTTGGCTTCTCCATTAAGGTAAACAGGCTGAGATCCAGGGGTGATGCAGGGATGGCTGTGGACTCTATTTTCTCACTCCTGTCTCCATGTGGATGGACTTTGGTAAAACCCCTTGCTGGACCCCAGGAGGAAAGGAGTGGCCTGGACTTGAGTCTGGACGTAGGAACCGAGTGCGCTTCCTATTGCTGCACGGGGGTCTGCTGCCTATAGGGTGTAGGTTCTGGTCCCCTCTCCCTGTCCTGCAGGGCAGGGGCTCAGCCTTTGCTGGGGCCTCCTAAGTTTAATTGCTACCTGTGGCCAGGTGGGCAAGTCTGTCTAATGCAGAACGAGTGTAATGCCCGCTGGGGTCACACCGTGAAGCTGTGTCCTCTCATCTCGGTTTTATGAGTAAGAAAGCTAGTTTTTTGGTTTCCCACTTGTTGATTCTTTTATCTATAATATCTGGGTTGTTTCAAACTCAGGGGGAAAAAAAAGAGACTATTATTGGTTCCTCCCCTCCCTTCCAAAAATGGGTTTGGGCCCAGGAAGAGAGGCAAGGCTGTAACTGTCTCTAGGAGGAATGGACTGGGAGTCTGCTTAGCACGACTTGGTGGCTGGTCCCACACCTCGAGGGTGGGCTGTGTCCAGACCTCCAGCTCCAGAATGTTCAGGAGGAGGCTTCTGAAAGCTGCATTTTTAACAGCCACTCAGATGATTACAAGCTGCATTTGGGAAACAAAGTCCTGGGAGATCATTGGAGGCACTGGAGCCGGGGCAAGGCTGGAGTCGGTGAGGGAGTCTCATGGCAACTCAAAACTAGGGAATGGTTTTGCTCAGGCCTGTTTAATGGCAGGAGAAGCCAGTGGGAGCCTAGGATGCTGAGGGCAGGGTTGCTATTCTAAGAGCCACGGGGAATCCCTTTCTGCCTCCTTAGAGGAAGTTAGGGGCGGATGATTTGCAAAAAGGCAGAGAAGACAGATCTGTGCAGGCAACAGCAACATTTTGCCTTCAGCTCCGCACAGCAACACTGTGCCAGCCCGTTCTGGGTTCTGGTGCAGAGAAAAGGCCAGAAGTTTTCAGAAGGATTTCCTGGGCTTTGGAGGAACGTGGAGTTTCGGTCTTGGTTGTCAAACTTCCTCCAGGTCTTTTACCAATTGCTCAATCCCTTGAGTGTGTCTTTTGTGCCTAGCCCTGTGTTGGAGTTGTAAGGCCATAAAAGAAAAGACATGAGTTTTGGGAACAGCCAAAGGGATTTCGTTCCTTGAGAACCCATATGCTTCCAATGAGAATGTGAGAAGGTTTCACCAAGGAGTCATAACCTCCAAGACATTTTATTTTGACAGAAAAGGTGTGACACATCCATCAGAAATGGGATCAGAAATTTTTGGTCTCCCAGTCCCCAGTCCTGATTTTTAATTCCCAATTTCAAAATTCTATACTAACATCCAAACTATAACTTGACTTTTAAATTTACCCCACTCCTCGGGAAGAGAAGTGCAATGCAGGCAGGCAGCTGTTTCCAGGAGATCAGAAAAGGGTAAATGAATACTCAAGATTTACAGCGTCAAAAGGCTATGTTGAGGATAATTCTTATGACTATGTAAAAGACAAGGTAGTGAAATTGTGAGGGCCCTGGGCCCGGCCACTCACAGAATGACTGAAGCATGCTGCAGTGGAGAACTGGAAATGTATCTCTTGTTGCCCTCCATCTCCACCCACCCTCAAGACTGGGACTTAGAATTCCCACGTCCAGCACTGTTGTAGATGGGAGGTACGTTGTGCTGAACTGCTGCGCTGGCCACATCAAGACACCACATGTGTTCCCAAGTGGTATTGCAGCTGTCCTGAGGCCCATCTCTTCTCCCTCTCATATTGGGATCTCATTGGGAGAAAGTCTAGGCAGATTCCTGCTCTGCTGGGCCTTCTCTTACGCCAGTGTGGACTTCACGGGATAGGGCAGACAGAGTATTCGTTGCATTTATTTGTTCTATCACTACAGAAGAAGCATTTCAAAATGTGTACAAAAGGATACTCTATTCCTCCAGTGGTACATCCCTTGTTCACAGCTAAACAGCAATAATTTAACATCATCATAGAGGCAGACTGGAAATATGACTGCATTTCTCATTTACAATCCTGTGCATGTACTCGCCAGAAGGGCAGCTGAAGACCTAAAGCTGTACTGGATACAACAGATTCGACCTGAACAATCACCACACACAACATTATAAAAAACTGTATTAGAAAGTATTGGAAACAATATTGCATATTAATATGTGGTTACACATGTTCACAGTGAGTGCCATCGCACCAAAAGCATTATGTGCTTCTTTTTTCTGATGCCTGTACATCTTAAATAAGTCTAATAATTTTGGTTCATCTTAAAGTAAAAATACATTGAAATGAATGAGAGAGATCTAGATTTTAAAAAAGTTGACCATTCATTATTGCTGGAACTGAAGAAAGGAAGGATACACTGGCATCACGATTTGTCTACATAAGTCCAGTTCATCTCGCGTTTGTTTTGGCAAGAAGAGGACACTACAAAACTCACAGTGCAGTCAAAACAAAACAAAACAAGAAAAAAGCACAAAAATGGTCGGTGGGGAACCATATAACAAAACTACATCTCAGGCAGCTCTTTCTCAAGGAAGATTCTAAGATTTTATTATGTGGCTAATTCTAAATTGGAAATGGAACATGCTGGTATGTGAAGCAATTGGTGCTAGGACTTTACCCTTTGCTGATATGCAATGATAATGTGATGAGTTTTAGTGACTCTTGAATTAGGATAATCACACTCTTTAGGTACAAATTACAGAAGGGATATGGGGCAAGGAGCTGAGATCCAGGCTTTCCACATCCTGGGAAGCTGGGGTGTCAGGGAGGGGGCGGAACAAGACACAGCGATTACTAGCTGTAATCAACAGGCCAACCTGTTACCCTCCGGTCTCCAATATTTACTTCAAACACAACGAGAGTGCATGGAATCTAGGCACACAGTAGTACACAGCGGTACCCAAGACACACACTCACGCCATCATACAACAGAAGAAACTACGCAAAAAAAGTGTGAAGTCATGCAAACTCCTACTTTACCAGCTAGAAGAGAAACTTCAGCAACTTTTGGTACATGATATGGCCACCTTTTAAACATAAGTTAATTACTTGCTGACATAATATGAAACCTTACTTTAAATACAATAGTTTCAAAGAAAAATGGTGTTACAATATAAAACCACAACAAAAGGTGTGCAAAGAGACATTTATATTGGCTATAAAAGGCAGTGAGAGGAAAGGGCAAAGCAGTTTAGAAAAGAATTCCTGCAATCACTATTTACAGTTCTGGTTTGAGCTTTGTTTGAATTCCACTTGAAAAAATAACTCCCTTCAACCAACTGACTCAGGGGGATGGATGGAAAAGAACAGAGTAGGTGAAATTTGCAACAAACTGACTCTAAGAAGGCTCTCACCTTAGAGATATTAACTTGGATAAGGCGCATCTTTCTCTGTGATTGCATATTGAAGGAGTGCTGTCTAAAGCCCTTGATCCTCTGTCTCTCTTCCTTCACTCAGTGCATTGGTGCAGCAATTTTGTTTATTCCCGTTTCCAAATGCCACACCCTTCTGTGAGCAGAGAAATCCATGACTCAAGAATGGTATCTTTGTAAACTCCATCTTTTCAACAAAACTCAAATGTTTATGAGGAAATATATTTTTAAGACCGAAGGGGAATAATTGATTTATAGAATTTATAATGACTCCACATGAACACAAGTCAGCCTTGATACTGCTGACCGGGAATATTGGGAATATTCTTCAAGTGCTTTTCTATTTTTTTTCTTGGAGGGCTTCCCAGACATTTGATTGGTTTAGAATTCATTTGGGTCAGTGGTTCTCCCCCAGGAGTGATTTCTCCTCGCAGGGGACAGTTGGTGATGTCTGGAGAGTTTGGGTTGTCAATTCGGGGTGCTACTGGCGTCTATTGGGTAGCCACCAGGGATACTGCTAATTATCCTACAATGCACAGGAGAGCTCCCGCCTAACAAATAAGTAGTCAGCCCAAAATGTCATAGTGCTGAGACTAAGAACCCCTGTTTGGATTAAATGCTGAGGTACTTATGTACAATTTCCTCTCTGTTGCTTCATTTCACCTTGGGACAGTGTTGGTGAAGACAAGTACTGTAAATATTTGAAATGGTATATTCTTCATTGCCTAGGTGGTTGAGAGTAATGACCTTAATGATTGATAGCATTAATCTTGAAGGAGACCCTTGCTTGTTGGGATTAGAATCTCCACACACCTTCCTCGGGCTTCAGTGCCTCCATGTCATAGCACGGATGGGCGGGGTTCTCACCTGCAGTGCCATTTGCCTCCTCTTTCCTAGGGGATCTGGTGGCATTACTCTCCGAAGGTCTGGCTCAGTCCCTCAATTGCCCTGTGCATTCCAATATCCTACAGGTGCAGAGCCAGCCATCCTATGTATGTGTGGACACACATGCTGGCTTGCCTTTACAGTAAAGAGCTTCAACATGTTTGAAAGCTTGGTTTCAAACAGGTGAGCTCTGTGTGTTAGCAACAGAGATGCTGGGCTTCACATATTTCATTGAGTTGAAAATTAATGACTGTTCTAAATCACTCCTTTATGGGTTTTAAAACGAGAATAATATATAGTGAGGGTAGGTAAAGAAACTTACCAACACTGAGAAATTCAGGCTTGTGGCTACAAACAGATGTACATAATTAAAATGAGGGCTAGGATTGGATTTCTTCAGGAAAAGAGGCCTCTGGTACTAGATGGAACCAGCCAGGGAAGGAAGAGATTTGAAATAAAGCTTTGGTTTCTGAGGAATGTTGCCGTTTGAGAGATTCAAAAAGAAAGAAGATCCAAATTTCGGGACTGGTGTTTAAATTGTAGTGACAGATTTTGGGGGCCATTAAAGGTATGGGAGTGAAAAAGCGGGGAACAGGGCTCCCCAGATATGCCCACGGGAAGACAGTCTCCTCCTACGGGGCAGCAAGCCTCGGGAGGCTCAGGCCATCTGAGCAGCCTCCGCAAAGCCAGTGAATCCAGGACGATCCCAAAGGCTCTAGCCCGGCGTCTCCCTCCACCCAGGGCAGTCTGACAGACACGACTTTCCCCAACCAATTCATTTTCCTACGCAGAATATGACTTGAAATAGTATTTTCTCTCACAAGTGCAGCCTCTCCGCCCTAGATGCATGTAGCTCGAAGCTGGCCTGGGCACAGGTTGTTGGCCCTGCTGTGTCTTGGCACTTGGGTGGCGGCACACCTGTCCTGTCTGCTCACCTGCAGACCCACACAGCAGGGGCTGTGCTCTCTGCTTCTGGGGACTGGAAAAAGACACCTGGTGCGCGAACCCCGTGCTTAGCACAGGGTAGAGCACGCTCCTTCCCAGGCTGTGGCGTGTTTTATCTATTTCTCTCTGAAAATTTAGACTAATCGTTTGGAGAAGGGGATTCTAGGAAGCGACAGGTGAGGGAATCTCAGCCAGCGGTCTGGGGAAACATCTAGGAAGGTAGCAGTTCTGGATGCTCCCAATGCAGCCCTGCCTCTAAAAATAAAAATCTTTTCAAAAGCAAATCAAACCCCAATCAACCAACTCAAACAAAAAACAAAAAACAGTTACAAATCCAAACACAACATTGTCTGGTCCAGTCCAGTCTATGCTGCTGGCGGGAGCGAGAAGGCGGCAGTCCTTGTGCTTTTCCTGGGGTGGCTCGGGGTCTGGGGTGGGGGCGCGGGAGGGCTTTAGCTCATGTGGAAGCGGTGCTCCCCTCGCGTTATGTGCGACGAGAACTCGTACCGGTCCTGGCTGTGGTAGCCGCACATGTTGCACTCAAAAGGATCACGGAAGCCGTGGCAGCCCATGTGGATGGTGTACATGACGTGATCCAGGAAGAGCACCCGGCAGTGTTCGCACTTGTACACCTTCATCTGCTCCCCGCTGGTGCTGACCACGCGGAGCGCGTCCTGCGAGTTCTCGGAGGCGGCGCGCAGCAGGTCGTAGGCGCGGTGCTCCTCCTTGAGCGACAGCCCGTTGCGCGCGTGCGGGGCGATGTGGTTGGTCAGGTAGATGAGACCGCTGCGCTGCTCCTCGTTGTTGCTCTCGGTGTCCGTGGAGTCTTGGCAGCTGTTGCTCGGGGACGCCTCGCGCTCCGAGGGCACCAACTTGGCCTTGGAGAGCAGCAGCAGGTTCTCCACGGCGCTGTCCTGGGCCGAGTGGTTGGAGCGCGGGGTGCCCTCCGCGAGCGGCTTGTGCAGCTGGTACATCGGGCTGATGACCGGGACCACCTCGGAACCGCCCGGGGGCGTCTGCACCAGCGGGCGCAGGGACTCGGCCCCCAGGTAGTTGATGGCGTTGTTGATGGCTTGGTCCATCACGTGGGACTTCATCATTTCGTTCTCCTTCTCGTAGCTGGCGCTGCTGTCGTAGGGCGTGTCGGACAGGCCCTTGTCCCCTGTGGAAAGCAGGCGACAGTGAGTGGGGCGCGGCCACCTCCGGAACCGGTCAGGTCTGGCAGCAACAGCTGAAATCTACAACCGGGGAGGGGAAGGGGAACACGGCCTGGGGGCCCAGCACGCCTGCGGACCCCACACCTGCACACATACACACACACCTGCGGACACATCACACCTGCACCATACTGACGGGCTGGGGGAAGGCCCATGCGTCTGTCTAGGGGACACCGAGCCAGGACCTACCCATTATAAGCACTTAAGGAGATTTTGTTGGATAAATGAATACATAAATAGGGGAACCAAAGATTAGTTTAATTATGTTATTGTATTTCATTTAATATTTTAAATAGTGTATTTGAAATGATGCTTTTTCAGTAGAGTGTTCTCAGTAATTTACAACTGGCTAACTTACTATACATTTATTGAATTAAAATAGACAATAATTATATTATTATTCATTATATACAATATATTTAAAATATGTGATATGTTAAATTATTAATTTTAATAATTGTATTTAATAATTTTAATAATCTAGTGTAAAATTTAATCAAAATACATGATGATTGTATATTTTTTGTAATAAAATGACACATTTTTGACAAATAACCCAAAGGTAGATGAACTCTGTCTTGAGATGAGAGTGGAAGGGATACTCAAAAGTAATTCTCTGTAGTTGGCAGGCCCGAAGCAGGGCTCCCCAGAAACATGTGGTGGAGGGTAGGAGGCACAGCAAGGGAGCTACAGGGAAAATAGTTGCTATTCATCTGTTATTTTTTAAAAGTAATGAGAATTATTGATGTACAAGGAACTACTGTTGACGCCTCAGCAGTGATTGGGCCCTGGCCTTGAGAAACTTCTGATCTAACATCATCAGTTCATAGGAGTCCATGAGCTCATTTCCCTGGCAATGGTGAAACCAGAGCCTAGATTTGGCTTCTTCAATTAGCTTTGGAGTAAATATCTTAATACAAAAAATAAATTTTCTTGAAGACACACCTTCTCAATATGTTGGTCATAAGTTCAGTATGAAATCATGGCTTAATTAGCAAATTCATTAATTACAGTAACTGCACTCTTACTGGCAAGACTGCGGCTGTGTTCTGTTTTCAGCAGTGGTACATTAATGAGTCAAAGCACATGAGCCCATCCTTGGAATGTCTGAACGGTTTATATTTTACCACTACTCTGTATATTTCCATCCTTCAACACATCTGGACTGGGCAGAGGGACAGAACAGTGAGTAAGTGAGAATGGTCCCCATCCTTAGCAGCAGACAGCTACTAGGGGAGGGTAGGTAGAAGTTTATGTGTGATTGCATGGATAATTCCTTCCCATCTGAGAAATCCACGAAGACAAGGGGAGCGTGCCATGAGAGCATTACACAGGTTTCTGATCTTGTAAGAGTCAGCCAGATAAGGAGGGTTGATAAGGAGGGTTTTGTGTCCCAGTGTTGGGGACAACAAGAAGGAAAGTTCTGAAGGGAGAAGGGGCTGGGAGGTGTGGCAGGACCGAGTGAAGGTTGGGGAACCAGAGCCCTAGGTGGGGGCAGTGCTCGAGAGGTAGGCAGGAGGGGCAGGCAGAGGCCAGCTAGGCAGAGACTTTGTCTAAAGGAAAATGGAAACCACTGAAAGGTTTGAAGGAAGAAGTGGCCTTCTCATTCACTGTGGAAAGAACAGCTTGAAGAGGGGCAAAAGTGAGGGATAAGTCAAAACTTCCCCAATGTGCAGGTTATGGCTGATGATGGCTGGTGAGGGTGGTGGCAAGGGAAGGTCCCAACACCTTCCACGATGCACCTGACACTGAGGTCATCAGCTGGTTCTTACTAACAGAAGGATAAATTACTCTGTAATTCATACATTTACTAATAGTCCTTTTATAAAATCTGTGACCATTAAGAATTGTCCAGGAATATATGCCCCATTATACCATAAAGTACCTTTGAGTTTCATGTCTTATTTTGTAATGGATATGTATCATATAATAGCCTGGTTTCCATTCGTTTTCATCTACTGGTGGTCAGAAGTGGCACATACTCTGATTAGAGAAAAAAAACTTGTGCATGGCCAGTTACGCCCTCCCAGAAACAGAACAGGATGAAAACCCTATGAAGCTGATGGTAGGGACCAAAGAAGTGGTGTTTCTCTCCATTAAAGGTCAGAAAAAGTAATTGTATAGCACTGCTGAAACCACACAATTTTTTTGTTTCTGTTTTTGTGTTGAGCAGCTAAATGTCTTGTTACACTAACTCCAGAGAAGAATGAATCCATTCTAGTTTGTATCCAAGTCTATCCCTCTACCAAATCAAGGCAAGAAAAGGAGGGGAATGGACTTTGTAGCCAATTTTGCTAAATATAAAAGTCTTTACAGCCCCACCAAAAGGGTGCTTTCCCACCTAATCATCCTGTCTCTCCCCAAGTCATGGTTCTGTGGTTTCCCAAGCAACCACTGAAATCTGTTGTTTTCAAACTTGGTATCACAACAAATGGGTGTAGGAAAAAAATCAACATATATGCCAGATTACTGTGCCACATGAAAATTACCATAGAATTTCTCTTCCTTAATACCCAACAAAACAAGAAAAATAAAAACCTATAAATTTCTCTTAACAGCAATCAGCTAAAGGAACATGTCATGTATAGTCATAGAATATTATATATACACATAATTATATATAATATGCATTTCATTATGGCGTGTGTGAGAACACACATACACTCAAAGACTAGAAAGAAACAGAAAATTCTGACATGAGATGTAGGGCAAAGCTTTGCTGCTAATCTCATTTCCAAATCTTTAGGTGTGAGTCAAGAATAACCTCAGAATTTTCCCTCATAGCCTCATATCTATAAAGACATGATTCAGATAGGTATCTTTTCCCTGTTCTGATCAGAAAAGCATTTGAAACCTTGGCTGACAAGAATCAGATGAACATGGAGAAGTGAGCCCCTGCGGGCTCCCTGGGACAGAAGCAAAGTCCTCTGTGGTCTACACTGAAGGGGAAGATGGCCCAAAGCCCCAGAGAATCTCCTGTGGGGATGAAAGCATTCCCCAACTAGGTACAGTGCTGATGGCTTAGGGTATTTAACTAAATTTCAGATGAGGGAGAGAGAGCAAAGGAAAAGTATTTTAACAAAGGCTGCACTTTGCCTCACCAAACTCCTCCAACCCCATCTTTGGCATTCTTTCAGGATTTAGAAAACCCAATAGCTCTCACAGGAAAAAAAAATATAGTGGGAAGAAGGCTGAAATGTCAATCAAGCTATATCAGACCAACTAGAATAAGCAAGATGAAAAGAAATGTCAGGGTTACTAGGA
This sequence comes from Homo sapiens, assembly GCF_000001405.40. Classification (NCBI taxonomy): domain Eukaryota; kingdom Metazoa; phylum Chordata; class Mammalia; order Primates; family Hominidae; genus Homo; species Homo sapiens. The sequence goes on along the minus strand of NC_000007.14, from coordinate 50,396,598 downwards.
AAATATTTTCTAGAAATACAGGGGAAGAAAGGAAGTAAAACACAGACCATAGAGTCCCTCCTAGGGGAAAAAATCGTTAATTCCAACAAGAGAGGAAATGCCTCATAATTGCTTCATAACATGGAATCAATTTTAAAAGTATTCAAAATAAAATGCAAAAGCAACAGAGTAAGAGGAAAAAAGAGATTTCGGGTCTCAGGAGACAAAATAAGGAGCAAAATAATATTATTATAAAATTAATGCATGGATTAAAAATAGCAAGTAATAGAACAGGAACTACTAAAAATTAAATTACTGACAGAGGAAAACCACAAGAGAACAGTGAGTAAATGTAAAAATAGACAAAGAAATAAACAAAAAACTTTAAGAACTGTTAACAGATATGGAAGACAAATTATCTAACATATGGACAACTGGTATCCCTCAACAGAGATCACAATAGATGGAACAAAACATATTTATATAAAAGAGAATTTCCCAGAAATAAAGAGAAAAAAAAGGGACTCTCTAGACAAAATGGCAGGAATTTTTTATTCCGAATGAATAGACCAAGATACATCCTAATTAGGGTATTTAACTTCAAGGTTAAATAAAGAACCCTCAGGCATTCAGGAATAAAATGCAAATCACCTTGAAGAAGAAACAGTTACACTAGACTTGATGTTTCCACAGCAACATTCAACAAGCAATGCCATCAGCAAAATCTAAAAAGTTCTCAAGGGAGAAAAAGAAAGAGTGGCCCAAGACCATAGACTCTGTCAAAATGCTCATCAAATACAAAGGCAACAGGCCAACATCCTCAAAAACAATACAATGATAGAAATAGAACATCTATAGAAACTTTTTTTTAAAAAAGTTGCTTGAATGTAAAGTCCAATCAATTAAGAGATTAATCAAAATAAACATAAATAAGAAGAAAAGGGCAGGGTCTGATCCTTGAATCTATTTAAATAGAGTTAGTAATAAATAACTAAACTACTATGAATTATGATTACAGAATAGAATGTGAATATTACAAAGCTGGACAATGTAAAAATAATAAGATAATGTGAACACTGGAACACTGAATGTGAACTGGAATACTGTCCTTATTTTTCAAAGCAGTGAGCCAGTAGATGCTGCTTAAATTGAAACAAATGGATTAAAAAAAATTCAAATTTCTTAATGTTTTTCATAGTACATATTTTTAATCTTAGAGGATCCTTTAAATATAATATTCCTTTATGTCAGAGGATATTTAAAATAAGCCGCTTCTCTAGTTTTGTTTGGGTCTTTTTTCACCTCTTGAATTTAAGGCATGTATGATAAGTTGGAATATTTATGAAAGTATTTATTTCATATTTACCTATCCATCAATCCACCTAATTCATCAGCCTATCCACTCACATACATATGCAACAGAAAATATTTAGAATGATACTTTTCTACTTTTAATATTGGTAATTTCTGGATGTTGGGTTTTGTGGTGATTTGAAAACATTAATCTTTGCATTAAAATTCTTTATATTAACTTTGTGTTATTTTAACAATATAACAGGGTTTCTTTTTCTTACAAAAGAAGAAAATATACCTAGATAATTATAATGGGTAGCAGGAATATTGGTAATTGTTGTTTTCCTCTTTGTGCTTTTCTCTATTTTAAAAACGTTCCCAAGTCAAACACCAGACAGACTAAAAACAACAATTATCATTGCTATTTAATACAAGCCCTTTTCTAATTAGATTAATCAGTCCTGTTGACCTGTATTTGATGGTCTCAGAGGGGGAGATCTTTAATGGCCCCAGTGGTGAGGAATGTTGCTGGCAAAACAAATACTTATTCACACTCACGTCAAAGTTTAAGGTAAAAATTTTAATCATAGGTTATAGAACAATAAAGCAAAACTATAATAGCCACTCTGAGCAACAGTCATCATGAAAATCTTACATTCTTAAGATGCTTTCTAGTGTTGGGAGCACCATCACATCCATCACCCCTTCTGAGCCTCAGAATAGCTCTGGGAGGAGGCAGGGCAACAGACCCACACCCATTCCACAGATGGCAACACTAAGCCCAGCACCATGCTCAAGGCCACCAGTCACTCCTAGCTGGAGCTGACTCTGAAGGATGGGGCTCTCTCAACTGAACCACTATTGGGCCAGCTTGTGTGATAACAGCTGTATTCCTAGTCTTTCCACATTCACATGAAGGCTAAACTCAGCATCCGAGAAGTGGAGAGGGGCCTCAGAGACTCACTCACCTTTTAATTTTAGGGCTGCAGAAGCTGTGACACATTGGGAGTGACTGATGGAAATCTCATCAAGTTGAAGCGGGGGTAAGGTAGGTATTTTAGGGCAGGAAGAGGCATCATTTTTACAAATGAACTGCCAAGCACCAACAGATTATGCAGCTGCTTGTGAGTCTTTTGCTCCAAACTCCTCTTCTGCTACCCTCGTCCACTGTTCCTACTATGTCCCCTGGGAACTCCTTTTTCATCTTCGCTTTGCCTCATCAGAGCACTGTGTTGTTTATTTCTTCTACTAACACAGAAGCATCTCAAGCCAACGCCCACATTGTGGTCTCACAAGGGTGGGGGTTGGGGAGTGGCTCCAGTAGAGTTTCACAGATGAATCTCTCCTTTGGTTTCAAGTCTCCAAAAGCTAAAAGGGGCTGCAAACGTTCATTCACCAAAGCATTCTCCAGGCTCCTCACCTGACAGAGGACGCCATCCCTGCTTCTTAAGGTCAGTAACCCTTCACTCCCCTTGCACACACTTGCTGCCTTATCTCTGCCCATACCCCAGTCACCACCCATCTCTCTGTCACTGTGTCCACCCCAGGCAGATGCTGGCTGCTCAGGAGGCAGCCCGTGGGCTCTGTGCCCAGTGCTGTGGGAATCCCACTGCTTACGCTCAGCACAGGACCTCACTCCTACTCCGTTCAGGAAGGCAAGGCCTCCCTCGTTCTCATGGTCCAAAGGCTCATGTGTGTGTGGACAACTCCCCACTGGCTCAGCCAGTGGCTTTCATTCTTTTTGTACACTGAATCCTTCTCTCCCTTGCTCCTCTCAACCCCCAACCTATGACAAACCTCTAATTAATCAAAAGGTCAAAATGGAGCCCTATTTGAAGCTGCAAGAGGGAGGCTGGTGCCCAGGACTTGGCCTTGCCTCTGTCCTTCCCCCTTCATGTCATCCTGCAGGTCAACAGGTGCCCTCTGGGACCCTTGGCCTCACCAGCCCCTGTTCTGGCCCCACCTCTCTCCCACCACAATTTCCCCATGTGTCACAAACACCAGAAGTCCTTGAAAATCAACACGTCAAAAACAGAACCCCATCTTTTCCTAGAACCTGGTGTTATCCTTTTCATCAAGGGCACACTACTCTAGAATCAGTGTGACTCATGGTTTCCCTCACCTAATCCCTGCCCCCAGCCCTATGTTCCTCTGACACCACCCCTTCCCCTTCACAAGCCCTTCTTTCCATGCCTGCTGCCACTGCCTCCACAGTCTCCCTTTTCCAGTCATTTTTTGGTACTTGCTGTCTTTACTATCCTAGCCTTTGTTCTCATAAAAAATATGCCAGTGCTTCTTTCCTGCTGACTGAATGAAGGGTCCCTCGCTCACCTGGCATCTGAAGCCATTCATCCTGTGGCAGAGCTGCCTAGGACACCTTCACTTTTCCTGCTTCCCCATGGGTACCTGAGTTAAGCTGGGAACACACCCTGCTCCTCCGTCATGTCCTTAGGCCCCCACTCCAACCCTCATGGTCAGCATTCTGGTTTCTCATTGATTTTAAACATCTGCCTAGATTCCCCCATTCCTCCAACACCTAGAATGTGCTGAAACTCTATTCCTCTTCCAAAGTGCATCTCAGCCTCATGAAGCTTTTACTGGTCCTCTTTCCGGACAGAGTTAACCTTCACACCGAGGGATTCTAAACGTTTTCTCAATCTTGGAGTCATGGGATATTCACAATCACCCTGTGAGATACTAAAGGATGGAACCAGGGCTCTAGGGGCAGAGCCATTTTACTAAGCTGACAGAGTTGGTGAGTGGCGGTGGCTCTGTATTGACTCTGAGCTGGTTCCCAAGCCTAGCGCCTTTCCACTCGGACCCTGGCTCACTGTCCCTGCAGCGTCTGGCTGGATGGTGGTGTTGGTGTGTCTAATACCTACTCTGGGCAATGCTCCTAGAGAGACGAATGGTCTTGTTCTTCTTCTTCTTTTTTTTTAATCCCGCAGAGCATTAGGCAAAACAGCAATCCTAGCTAAGCCCTGTCTTCACTGGACACTTCTCAGGGGTCAGTCACTGTATGATTCCTCCCATTAACCCTTCAGAGTCCCCCATAAGGGGAGCATTAGGAGCTTCATATGAAAAATGAGGATCTGAAGCTCTGAGAAGCCGGCCAGGCCTGGAGTGTCCTGCAGTGTGGTGTCCCCCGGACGAGCCAGGCCCAAACTCTCCACCCTGTGCACGCTGGTGCAGCCGCCCCTAAGAGCGATGTCCACAGGCAGATCACAGGGCAGGCCCCAGATGCTGCAAAATCAAATCTAGGAAAAACTGATGGGAGGTTTGTTATTTTTAAGATACTTATTGGAAAAAATTCTAAGATATTTAAGGAATGTTAAGCTTACCAATTTTTCCTTTTGAAAAAATAAGATTTTTTTCCCTTTCTTCCACCCTCAACTCATTTCTACTTGCATCTAAAACACCCACATAGTTTTTTTTTAAGAGACAGCAAACATTTAACTCTTACCAAGAAATTTCTGAGGCATAGAGCTCTTACGTTTGGCGACGTTACTTGCTAGTCTGTCCAGCACGAGAGATCTCTCTGATCCTATCTTGCACAGGTCTTCTGCCATTTCACTGTGATTAGTTTCTTCTTTAATGACTAAAGTCAAAGACAGAGAGGCCAGTTTAGAAAGGCTTATGTTTAAAGGGTTCAGTCGCGTCCAATGTTAAATCTGACATTTGTTAAGTGCCTACAAGAGCCAGGCCCTTCCTAGAGATTAATTCTAATCTTCCCAGCAACACTTCCAGACAGGCAGAGGCAGCCGGAGCAATGCCAATGACCAGCCACCTGCAAATGCTTCTTCCTCCAACAGCTGCTCACCACACATCATCCTCTTTAAGTCCAAATGCACAGGCACCACCACCATCACCAGAGGCTGGACTGGGATTAAGTATTGATGTCCCTTTGACAAGTCCTTTTAACTTTTCATAATACTCCCAAATCTGCTACCTCAGTCAGTCCCTAACAGCAGCCCTCTGAGACGCAAAGAACTGTGTGATCTAACATCTGACTTCATGGACCAGCACAGTGAACGGAGATACAAAAATGTGGCCCCCAAGAGCCTACAGCAGATCTGGGCAATGTGGAGGAAAAACCCAGAGCCCCTTATCCCTGAGCATACAACAAACTCCTGAAAATCAAAGCACCCCTGACTGCTGTAGAAAATTTAGAAATTATGGAGGTAAATGCTGATGTGTGGGCCATTTCTAGTCATTCTCAATTGTTCTATGTCATCTCTTTCCATAATTGAAGATACAACTTTGTATCCTGCATAGCTGGATCTATATTTACATCAGTTATTGTGGTTGGAGTTATAAAAATATAACTCTTTCATTTCCCGGCAATTTATCCTAGTGTATAAGGAGATGATAATGTAAACTGATTATCTTAAATGCCTGATCAATTCTTCCAATACCGTTCCTGCCTTATGCTTCCTCCTGCCTCGGATATTTCATGCTGATTTATCATGGGGTCTTCAGTAGGGTATCCATCTCTATTATTGATTTGTTTGTCTATTCTTCAAAGAGTTCCATCCATTTCAGCTACATTTTCATACATCACTTGACATTATTCTTCTTCTAAAAAGTTGCCAATTATCTCATGTATATATCCAGATACTTTATGATACATGGTTACCAGATTCCAGTAAAATTTACAAGCCAGTTTTATGTTGAAATGATACACTAATTTGGGCAGAGGCCCATGGACGGCATCCAGACCTCTCTACCTCTCCAATCTCCCATGTTTTCTTTCTTGCCTCACTATGGCTTGCTGGTTTTCTTCATTTCTAAGTATTTATGTCTTCATTGCTATTATGAATGTTACTTTGAAAACATATATTTCAAATTGGCTATTGTTGCTGGTATATTTTATATTTTAACATTTGGAATATGTGTTTTTTATTAAATGGGCAAACATATATAGGCCACACCCTGATTTATATGCAAGATAAATATAAATCCATAAAACCCAATTACACTGGTCACACACTTCATCTATTAAGCTAATATGCTTCCTGACATGTCCATCCTTCTCTGCCAAGCCACACCCACAGCCTGCCCAGGGCTCCCAGAGGTCAGGGGTCTTCCTCTGCACCATGGCGCAGGGCCTCCCAAAAGCCTCCACCCCCCAGAGTCAATCACAGCAAGGAACAAGTGAGCCTGATGCTCGCGAGTCACAGGCTGCTCTGTCATTAGATGCATGCACCTCCAAGGGCTGGTGACTCTGTTTGTGCACCAAAGGCTCAAGAGAAACTTATTTTTTCCATAAAGACATTGAGAAATTATAAGAGGTGACCAAAAGCCTTTTACTAAAGAAAATTATATTCACAAAAATTCATCTTTTCCTATATTGCCTAACTGAGGCTTTGATTTTACTGAATCCACCCCATCTAAGGAGGTTTTTGGGGTGGGAGAAGAGACTACTTGCTCATCCATCTGAGCACAGACAAGGGGTTCTTAGAGGGGAACAGAGGAGGAGAGATGCATCAGAAGGCACAGTTTCCACTCATCCGGGTACAGCACAGCTGAAATGACCAAGCCCCTGCCTGCCTTCCTGGCCCTAAGCACAGTTCAGGAAGACTTCTGTCAAAGTCCTTTTATGGATCCCCTTAATACTCCAAGTTCCTTAAACCAGCAGCACCTACAAGGGCCAGGTGCTGGCAAGGGCAAAAACCAAAGGTGACTGTCGAAAGATATTTATGATCATTTTGCACCTTTTGAGGCCATACCAGACAGAAATAATTCAATGTAATTAAGTGCGAGCCTGGCTTTGTCTGCTGCCACACTGAGACCAGACCACTGCTCCTTCCTAGAGACGCTTTCATACCTCCTGAGTGTGGGGACATAGAGGCATCACTGTGGTAGTCCAAGTAACTTAACCACCAAAGGGAATAAATGAACATTTTAGGGTGAAATTGATACTCACCACAGGGTAATATTTAATACACATTACTGGCACGTAGCCTTACTGACATAGAGACCAATAGAGAAGAATTAGCTTGATGGTGTCAGTATGTCAGTGACCTAAACATCCATGTTTAGGTAAGTACCTGACACATGTCTAGGCTCCTGCTCACACGTGTATCCACTCCTTTATGTTTCTTTCAGAGCGCTGCTATGAGGGTGGCCAGGCACGAATTATCAGTCGCATTTAAGCGATGAGCTCTGGGTCACATTCAAAAACAGAGAACTCAAACCCAGGTCTCAGTGAAATGAGTGCTGCTTCTCCTGCTCCCCCGGAAGCAGCTCTCAGCCGGCTGTGTACTGCAGCTTGTTTCTTTAGTAATGAAAACAGTGGAGGAAACAGAAATGATATACTGTCTGTTTCTTTTGTTCATTTTGTCTTTTCAATTCTATGTGTATATTAGATTACTGTATTCAATAGGGCTTGGTATTATTGATTATAAGTCCTCAGTGAATATTTGTTGAGTAAATAAAATGGTTTATTAAGCATTAATATGTAAACTACATCATTAGGAGCACTTCCTTCCAAGACCCATTCACTTATTTTTTACAGAAAAAAACAATATTTGAATGTTGACATTTTATTTCAAAGGAACATAATCATCCTCTCGTCCATTAGTCTTCTGCCCTGGGGTCTGGCCATGTGAATTAATAACTGTTACATTATTATTATTTTAACATCCAGTTTCTTCTCTTCCACTCACCTTCAATGCCTTTCCATTCTAGACCTGAGATTTTGAAAGAAGCCAAATGACAATTTAATGGTATCTTCCCATTTCACAGGTGAGAAGATTGAGGCCTGGAGGAATCGCCTGTAAGCCCCAGATCCCTGGCTGACTGGCAGAGGAGACAGCACTCTGGCTGCAGGGCTCTGGCCAGGTGAGATGTTGCCTCTCCATGCCAAGACTAATTGGAATCAATTTTTAGCCATTCTCAACATTCTTTTTTCCTGCTCTCATCTGCCATTAATAATCTGAGGGTACTCTGGTGAATTTTCCCTTTTGAACCATTTGTTAAAGTCCGAAAGGTGAATGAGGCTTAATAAATTTTCCTCCATTCGTTAAATTTCGACTCACAGTCTAGTGATGATTTTTCCAGGGGTAGTGCTAAATGAATACTGTTTTGAAAGAGATTAGTTTTATTTGATCTCTTTATAAATTGCTTATCTCTTAAAAAATTAGGGAAGAACCTTTTATAACATTGCCATTCCCCCAGATAAATCCAGCCTTTTTCAATACTCTCTCCACATCATTTATTCTACAGGCTCTGGGGTCTGAATCAAGTGCTATCTCGTTATGCAATACAGTGGAGCATCACAGCTCCTAAGAAAGAAGCGACCTTTCCTCTCATCCTTCAACAACCTCAATATTATCAACTACCAGGGGCTTCCAACAAACTTCAACCTCACACTCCATGCAGGAGTGGATACCCTGCCCTCAGTCTGAACTGATGCTTAAAATCACAGCCTGAAAGTTCTTATTTGATCAACTTTGTTAAAAAATTGTTTCAAAACAATATTTTACATTTTATTTTGTTTACAAAGAAATATCACTACTTGAGGTGTTTTTTTTGTTGTTGTTTTAAAATCACCAACATCCAAAAAACAACCCCAAAACTTTCAAGGTCACTGCTATCCTAGGAGTTTCTCCCGATTGGAAGTGGGAAGGGTTTTAAAATCAAGCTCTCTCTGGTCAGATGAGGACCTAGAAAGCTGGGAAGCACAACGTGCTTCTGGTGAAACTGATGCTATTGGCCAAAAACTTCCCTCCCTCCTAGCCCCGGCAGGAAGCAGGCCCAAGGCTCTGCTCCTAAGGCTGCATGCAGAGCGCCCTCCTTCCCCACCGTGCTGGGGGGAGAGCCCACCAGGCTGGCCTCCGAGCAGCAGCGCTTACCTGGGTACAGTGTGCCCGGAAGGCCCATGCTTTCCAAGTAGTTGTGGCAGCGCTCTTTATGTTCCTCTAAAGAGCTTCGCTGTTTATAGCTTCGGCCACAATATCCACATTTGTGAGGTTTACCAACTGCAGAAAACACAATTGAGTTCAAGACCCCAATTAAATGCCAGCCTTCTGTGTAAGGGGAATGCATGCAATACAATTATTACCAAAAAAGTTAAAAAAAAAATTCTACCCTTGAGAGCTAAAACTGTTACGGACTTGGTGAAATTCCTGAATTTAAAAACGTTGGTGGCCAAGGGTTTCTTTAATTGTACCAAGAACTCATGCGACTCTTGTTTTGTCTTAGTTTGTCTACTTTACTGACTACCAAATTCTCTCCTGCTTCAATCACGGAAGCCTAGCCTTTAACTGGAGAAAACGAGCCACTGCTGTGTTATAACGTGGATGCCAGCGACTGGACAGAGATGTGAGGAAGGCCCATGTGTTGGCCACATTGTCTGCAGATTTGCCTCCAGAGTAGGCCTCAGTCTATGCTGTGGGCTGGATCTGTCATGACGCTGGTGCTACATCTAACACAGCCAGAGTGAATTCAGTTCCAGGTGCTAAACTGGGTAACTTCAGTCTCTAAGAAACCATGCTGGACAAATATGCTTGAATGAAATAAGCGTTTTATTGCACAAATGTATTTTCTTACATAATATAAATATATCTTACATTTGCATTATATAATACAAAATATTTTGTATTTCCATGCATATGTATATGTAATACAAAATATTTTGTATTTTCTATGTATATGTATTTCTATTTTATGTATATGTATATTTATATGTATATGTATTTTCATATATTTCTATGTATACGTATTCTCATATACATATACATAGAAAATACAAAATATATTGTTCATAAACTGAGCTTATGGAAAAGCTCTGCTTTCTTGCCAAAGAGCTTTAGGATGGTGTAGCTTCCAGATCAGCCTTGTTCAACAGAACTTCCTATGATGATAGAAATGCTCTCTATTAGTGCTGTCCAATATGGCAGCCACCAGCCATATGTAGCTGTTGGACACAAAAAGTGTGGCTAGTGCCACTGAGGGCTGAAGTTTTAATTTTGTTTAATTTTAACTTATTATAATTAAAAATACTGCATGTGGCTAGTGGCTGCTGTATTGGGCAGTGCAGTTCTATATAATGAGTTTTAGTCCTTCTTGGATTTTATTGAGTGATATTTTAGGAAAAAGAAAGACTAGCCAGGAATTAATATCATGCCTAAGTTTAAGGACTTCAGTAGATACCATTTTAAGGGATAAACTGAATAAAGTATCTTTAATCACTTATGTAAGGAATATCAATTTCCAACCTAATAGCAGAATCTTCTACTTCTTTCTCATGTTGTTTTATTGAACACATTTCAAAGTATTGTATAAAAGTTAAGAGCATCCAAATAGAAATGTTTGGTACAATGGTTTAGCCAAAGCTTATGTTGGTTAAATCTCTTTCTTAGGTGAACAGAAGCTACAGTAAGAAGACCAACATGAAAGCCAAAATTTGACTTCTCGACCATTTAATAGAGAATGAAAAGGATCTTTCTTTATCTATATAAAGTGATGTACCCCCAACATAAGGAAATAATGTTGAAACACAGAATATTGCCTAAAATTGCACATTTTATTGAGCATTGCTTTTAGAAATTAATAGGATATAGATAACCACTCGATACCCTTTCCTGAAAAAGCTGTCACTTCAGTAAATTCCATGATCAAATAGCTTCCTGTAAATATGACATGATGTCTGAATATCTATTTTTCTGAAAATATGATTGAGTTTAACTCTGGAACATAAGAAGTATGTTCACTGTAAGCAACTGAACTCAAGTGTCTCTTGAAGCATAGTCCAATATTCTTTGGGAAAGAAATTCTAAGCTTGCAACTTCCAAAGGAAGCCATGAGGCAGGAAGGGAGATCACTTCTCCACCCCTCCAGCTCCCCCAGCACCCTCTTGCTGTCAGCATCGGACAAATTCCCTAACTCTATCCCTGCTAACATGCTAGTTCATAAGACCTCAGGCCACCACCAGTTGCTAGAGAAAGCTGTGATGTTGATCCTGGTTTTTCATGGGACAGGGGAGTCACCATTCCACAATGGAGTAGAGTGTGGCCACATTTGAATTTGCCAGAGCAAGGCCAAAGTCCTTATTTCACTTCAGTGAAATCATTTTGAAGAAATCATCACTGTTTTTTTCCCCAAGAGCAGTGTGTGTCTCTATAGCATTTTCGGACAGACAGATCCCCAGCAGCCCTGCATCCATGATGGGTTTTCTCCACTTGCTCATCCGTGGATCCAGAATAGAAATACACAGTCCAAAGTCTACCACCATTTTATAACTACTCAATACTTAGTGGTACTTAGAATAGGAAACCATCATGCCTCAAATGAAATACATAGGCCTGGAGCCAGAATAACATAAAATACTCCACTACATGTTCCTAACTCCACAACAAGAAAGGAAAGAGAGCAGCTCTGCTTTTAAGGACTGATGGGCATGAGAGATTCCATTGCAATCAGAGTAATCTAGGAGTGATGATGACCTATGGTTGGTGTCAACCTAAGAACGAGTGTCTGTGTTTTCCACTGACATGGGAAGTGGTGCTTCCCACTAACCCAAGGCAATATTGCTGCCAACTGTGTCTATGTCTACATGGCTCCTTAGAAACAACAGATGTGAAGCTTCTTCCTAGACCACTGGTTAGCATGGCAGACAGACTGCACAGTTCTCTTAGCTGAGGCCTCCATGGGCCTTGCTTATCAGGCCCAGGTACCACCTTTGTCTCCAGGTGGGACCACCATACATGCTCATCACCCATGTGAACATTTAAAGATGCTCACCGTCATGCTACTGTCTTCCTATCTCAGGGGAACCACCTGTTCTCCCTGTCCCTCTGTAACAAGGCAAGTGTCCCACTCCATGGCCCCCCTGCTGATCTGCCCGCCCTCTCGGGCAAGCAACTCCTCAGCTTGGTATAGCTCCTTTCTTGGAAGTTTTTAGGAAGTCAAATCACCCAAATCATGACAATTTTCTGATGGCGAGCATGTGGGGATCCTTCTCCATGTGCACCGCCAGGAAGGAGGTCAGGATGGAGAGGAGGTGATGCACCAGCCCCTGTGACTCCTCTCCTTTTTGTCTCCAGCCAACTGGGTGAACTACTGCAGGGACCACCTGCCAGGAGTGAGACCGAGTTCTTGCCAACATGGGTGCCGCACCCCTCTCTGGGATTACTGCCGACTCACACACTAGTTTAGAATGTCTCTAAAGCAAACCTCAGACACTCGCCTTCCAGCATGTACTTCAGAAGCCCCTCCCTTCTATGGGAAGTCTCTCCTGACTTTCCACCCCAGGACCCACTGTCCCCTTCCTTATGCTCCCACTGTCCCCTCAGACACTCTGTCATGCCTCCTGTAACACATTGGTGCTTTCCTTGTGTGCACCTGAGGTCTTCTGTGCAGAATGGGCACCCAGGGGTGCTCAGTAAATGTGTGATAAAGAGATGGACACAATGAGCAGCCTCTAAAACCCTCAACCATCAAATACACGCATCACATTTGGGAAGAGATGGCCTGGGCCGCTGCAGATATTTCACAAAGAACACACGTCTGCCTCCCTGAGGGAGGCTCCTCCTTATCCTGCTACCCAGGGTGGGTGAGGAGTAGCTGGTCTGAGGCATTGCCATCCCCCAGGGCACCGGCTTAGAGAGGCTGCTGCTTGGAGAAGGGCCCTGGCTGGTGGCTGGCTGGGGCAGGAAGCTCCTTGAGGGGAAGGACAAAAGCCATCAACCTTTCGCCTCCGAAGTCTCATGCAGTATGCTACAGCAAATATCCCCAACTGGACGGTATGAAGGAGACCTGTGCCATGTCATGTTGTATAGACCACACTGTAGGCAAACATGATCCATGACAGGCCGGCCAAGAGCCCTCTCTTCCTCTGCCCTGTAGAATTATGGGACTGCTGGATAATGAAACACCCAGGACCATTTCTCAGGAGGCAGAGGATCTAACCAAACTTTAGTGGATTTGAACTTTGCAGGCTGAGACTGTTTTGAGAATGATAGAGCGTTTATGCCTATGATGATCTTGTCAAGACTCCAGATTATGTGGGTTGTACTTTAACTGTCTAATTCAAAGAGAAAGGCTGCTGTCTAAAATCTGGTAACAGCCCCAGACTGGCCTCTGTAACTGTGGCCTTGGCTGGTTTTTGGTGTGAGAGCCACACGGGGCTCAGTCTGGGTGGGTGCGCCCTAAATCACCCTTCTCTACCAGCTCTGCAAAAAAGCTATCCATTACACCTGTGTAAAACACTCCAAAGCGGGACTTAACAACAGAAAGAATTGTACTTGAAAACGTTTTGGGTCTTAGCAGTACACTTGGTGAAAACATTTCCCGCAAAATCCTTTAGGGAAACCATACCAGCCTGACAAACGGGATGAGGAGGCCTGTTCTGAAACATGCTACCTAAGGTGAGACTTCTGTGTGTGTATGTGCATGGGGGTCCTGCGCCCAATCTCCCTGGTGCAGTGGGAAAAGGAGAATATGGGGAGGGGGGATGGGGCAATGTCAAAGAAGCAACAGCTCACACCCGATGCAGGACTGCGAGCTGGGAGGGACTCAGGGTTAGCCAGCAAGGACACAATCCGGGACCCAGGCGGGCAGAGTGGAGGAATCCCGGGACACCCAGACAGCCCCGGACTGCATCCAGGGGACCTACCGGAGTGCGTCCTCAGGTGGCCAGTGAGGGCGTCCCTCCGGCGGCAGGCGTAGTTGCAGAGGTGGCATTTGAAGGGCTTCTCCCCGGAATGCAGCTTGATGTGCCGGAGCAGGTTGCCCTTCTGGGTGAATGAGGCCCCGCACTGATTGCACTGGAAGGGCCGTTCTCCTGGGACGGAGAGAGGAGAGCTGGTGAGAACTAAACTCAGCGTGGGGACATGAGGACGATGCTACGAGAAAGTTGTTTCCCACGGGGGCCTGGTGACTTCCACCGGCTGCAGGTTTGATAGAACATGAGGCTTTCAGACTAAACCTGCCAGCTCCTTAACGCTTCACTGGCTGGGTCAATTTGATCTGAAAATCTAATTTTTTTTCCCTAAATCAGAATGGCACATCACAATGCAAATTCAAACTCATTTAAATAAAGTGACTGCAACATTTTGTGATGAAGAGCCACTCTTCCTGATCAGCAGTTTTGGAATAAACCAATATCCAATTTTGCGTGTTGTGGCATTTGGTGGGGTTTTTTAATGTGGCTTTTTTCAAAGGGTCTTTAAAATATGCCACTGAAGCAGCAAAATAAAAAGGAAACTCATTAAAAATGCATTTCAGGATCACAAGTTCATTTCAGCGTTACATTCTTATATTTAAATGAAAGGCACTTCATTATAACAGTTATAATAACTTCTTTTCATTTACATTTTCCCTGTATTTTCCCTTTCAATTTCTTCTCCATTACCTGTCTGTCCCTAAGCAGACAAATCAGGAGAGAGACAGACAGAGAGCGTGAGGATGAGAGAAAGAGAGAGAGAGATGGAGAAAGATTGAATAAAATGAGAAGTTAAGAAACTGTGAAGGAAGCCTCCCATCTTCCAAAGAAAAGTCCCAAACCTTCCTATGGCAGGACATACAAGTCAGAGTTGCATTGAGATTTCTAGCTTTTTCTTTCTTTACAAATCCTAAAACATTTAAGCTATTATTTGTCTATATCCATAGAAGACAAATTATATTTTAAGTACAGGTATTCTAAGAGGTGCAATTTAGTTGTTATGAAGGAATTCTTTCAGGGGTGAGACTGCTGCATTTGTGACTAAGAAAACACCTGACCCTCTCCTCTGTGTGGCAGCACCTGTGTCTCCATTCTGGAGCTGACAAAGGGATAAACAGGTATCTGAGTAAAAGAAATATGCTATTGTCCTACTGAGTAGTCACAGGTCTTGGAATCTAAATCAGGGAACATTTCATTTAACTCTCACTTCGAAGAGTGATACATTTGTCACGTTTAAGTAAACATGAAACTCTTTTGTAAAACAAATGCTTTATTTAGAAGAAGAATGCTATGTGACCACAATTCCTGGTGTTGAGATATTGTAACAACATATTTCCTGGAGTCACTTTTTTTCTCAGGAAAAAACAATGTATTAAAATGTCTATTTAACCATTTCCCGATTGATTAATGTGATTATGGTAAAGAAGACAGCACTTCTCAAAAATGATTACACAGAAGCATATCTGGCACTATTAACATCCACACCAGATTTAAAAGTCTATATTGACACTTGAATTTCATGATTATCATCACTTTTTTTTTAAGCTGGCGGGTTAGATGCATTACTATAAAAGCTGAAACTAATTTACAGTGATGTTCAATTATAGGCCAATGGAGAGGTCCTGATACTAACCAGGAGGTATCTGGTATTTCTCCAAATCCTTACAGAAATCTGTATTAGCTAAGCAGAGAGAAGGAGTTTAAACGTAAGCAGGTTGGAAGGTGATGGTGAAACAAACTAACTAACTATACTGTCTGAGTTACAAACCGATGCATGTAAATCAATACTGGATGAAGAGGCTAAAACAGCTAGCAGCCAGGTAGCCCAGGAGAGTTTCCACTGGAGAGAGATCATTTAATTATCTATTAGGAACAGTTCTGGGCCTTCTGTGCACTTGTGCATAAATGTGTGCATTTAACTCCAAGTGGATAAAAAGGAAAAGTAGAGTGAGCTGGTGCAGGGAGACCCAGGCAGCATGAGACGGATGTGCCTCCAACTACAGCTCTCATTTGGACAGGGTGGCCTCTCAGGAGAAAGCTCATGTCACAAAAATGCTCACAATAAGCATGTGACAACATCCTGGTGACACAACAGTGTTTGTGGTATGACCCTAAATTAGTGAATGCAGCCCTACACTTACACCTGGGAAAGACCCCCTTCCGTGCTGGGCAGGTGCTGGAGTCCCATGTCTCTCCCCAGGTCTGGAGGGCTACAGGGAAAACAGGAGGCAGAGCCAGGGTCTCTGCCCATCGCAGACAGAAAGGGCAGATTGCTACAGACACATGCCCTTCTGCAGAGCAGAGCAGGGCAGGCAGGCAGGCGGGCAGGGGTTCACTTGGATCCTGCAGTGTCTGATGTCTTAATACCTGCCTGCAAACAAATTTCACTGGAAACCTTTTTTGCTTCTGAGTGCCTATGCTGGTATGAACACATAGCACAAGGCATGGGGGTGTTAAGAGAGCATTCCCAGGAGTGACAATACAGAGCACTCCACTCAAGCAGTTTCCTTTGGAGGGGTCCACAGCTAAGAAGACACGTCCATGGAGCTGGGGCACAAGAACGCAGCCCACGCCATGTGTGTTCTTGCGTGGCCGGGGTCCATCATTTGCCTTCTGCAGGTCAACAGCTATTGCAGCTGAGTAGGTCAAATTTCTTCAAGGTTGTATTTACTTTTATTTAACTGGGATGAGGACATTGATGTCATGAATTTGAAATTTAATTTTTAATCCCAATGACTCCACAGATCTCCCATTTTAGGAACCCTCTGTAAGAAGGTTTGAACCCCCTCTAGTAACTTCACTGGGTAAAAAGGGAAGTCTTCATGGATACTATGTCATAGAATTTGAGGGCATTTCAGAAGAAAGTGAAAAAATGTGTTTGAACTGCAAGAACTGACGTAGGTCTACTGCAATCATACCTGGGAGGAGCAGTGCCATTAGGGTGCTGTTTTTAGGAGGCTCAGGGACTGCACCTTTTTATCTTACAGATGGGAACTAGATAGGCACAGACAATCTTCTTGGTCTTTGTTATTAAAAATCCCATTATTTAGAATAATAATGTGGTGTATTTGCACCCTGCATTTCCTGCTTCCTTCCTACCTCTCTCCTCTCTGGTTCTCACAATAACCCTGAGACATTGGTGGGGAAGATGTTACTATTACACCCGAGTCAGAAATATAAAACTGAGCTGCACAACAGGGGAAGTGACGTGCTGGTGCCGATGAGCTGATTAGAAAATGGCGCCAGTGGTACTTCACCAACGTGGGGATATGGGCAGAGGCGAGACCGCCCCTGAATCCTCTCAGTGTATCCTGGAAGGGACTGAGAAGCTGACTCAGCCATGGGCAGGAGGAGGAACAATGGCCACAGTGCAAGTCCTAGCCTGTCCAGTGGGGATTCCCGTCGTACCTAAGCCCCAGGTGGAGAGCCCTCTGAATGGCCCTGTTCACTGTCACTGCTCAGCTGCACTGCCCTGCTGCCTGAGGCGGCTCTGTGCTCCACAAGCTGGGAGCTTGTTAGGAATGCTTGCTCTCCTGCCTCCCCCCAGGTCTGAAGCAGAGTTGTATGTTCACGAGATCTCAGGTGATTTACATGCTCTTTCAAGTTTGAGAAGCACTGCTCTAGAAATGTTTTAAGCATAGAGAATTCAGAAAGCATGCCTTTTCTAACATATTCCACTCAGATCCCAGGAAAATGAAAACCTTTTCTAGCATGTCTAGTTATTCAAACCAAGTTTGGCCAAACCAGGTATTTCTGTATCTACCTGGGACCCTTTATATTTAGGCAAGTGGAAATGCATGATGAAAACAATTCATGAGTTCATTGCTTCAAGTGTGTGTATTTTTTTAACAAAGGGCAAGGCAGAAACTATAAAATTGACTTCTGAAAGTTATTTGTTCCGTAAGTGAAAAACTCAGCTTATTGGTGTGCAGGTGGCACCTAGCTGCTATTTGTTGGGAGAAGTGAGCAGCAAACAGCAGGTGCCACCTGGCATATCTGTACTTGGCAGGTTTATTCATTAAATGTAATTATTCTTTTTATCAAGGCAGGCAGTCATTATATTTTGGCAATTTAGTAAGCCAGAATTTGATTCACTTATCAAATATTTATTTAAGAGAATTTTCACTGTACAGTCAGGCTTTAAATGAATTAACAGGCAAGTAGTTCATTTGTGAGGTCTATTCCTTATCAGGGATGTATTACCATGGGTCCCCGAGTATCCTGTTAAGTGTCTATCACAGGGTAGCCTACCTTCATGTTAATTTCCACCTCATTACAAAGGCGAGGCTGGGACTACTCTCATGCACGCTTGCTTCACTTAGGGCTGAGTGTGATCCGTCTATTTCAGTGGGTAATTTGAGGATAAAGGGGCCATTAGAAAAAGCAAAGTTTGCTTAATTTTAGAAGTTGAATTTTTATGGAAGATGGATATCTATTGATATCAACTTATTTTTATAGGTTTTCAGATACACTACAAATGGAATAGATCATTTTGAAAACCGCCCGATTCAAATATAAAAAATTACAACCCCACAAATATCTGCATTTCCTGATAACACAGCTTTTTTGGCTCACAAAATTTTCTGCATTTCTGCTTAATTTTTGATGAACATATTTTTGTTCGCCCCCACGGAAGCAGCATACGAGGGTCTGATTTCAAGTCATCGTCATCATTTTCCCAAGGTATCTTATAGAATCTGCTAGGCCTTTAAAATAGGATTTTCAACTATTTTTTTCCTCTTGGGTTTTGCAGTGGGAGACGCTAGCTTTATGATGACCTAACAATGCCAGCTCAGAGGCAGTGATAGCTTAGGGTCTCTATGTTTCACGTTTCAGCTATCAGTGGCTGCTAGAGGTGGTGGATCTATTGTGTTTTACCCAACTTTAGAACAGCTTCCCACGCAAAGAAAAGTTTCTCTTCAATTCATAAGAAACCTCCTGCCTATAGTTAAATAAGTGTGTGTTATTCATATTTTACTTCTAAGACACTCCAGCACCATGAGTGGTGGTTTTCTGACTGGACAGTTCTGTTGGACAACTCTGTGACACTTCCATCAACGTGACCGGCTATTAGAAACAGTGGCAGAGCGCGGCCAGCTGGGGCTCGCCGTGTTCCCACGCCTCTGGTGAGGGGGCATCCTGTGAGCCTGAGCACAACTCGCTGACACTAGGGTGCCCGTGTTCCTTCCTTTCTGGACACAGAACATGACATTCTCTTATACTTCCAGTAAACCTTTCAGCAAGACAGGGTATTTGGGATGAAGTTCTTTAGGAATTTGAGCTGATAACCAGTGGCAATAGAAGCATCTGATTCAAAGTCTTTCCTGTTAGAGGGCAAGCCATTTGAAAGCTCATCTGAGGTCTTTCTGAAAACTCGATTTTGCTGCTATTCCATCATTGATTATTGTTTCTAAACATCAAACCCTGTTAGTTTGGATACAATTTAAACACACATTTTACTCATGGTTTCTCAGTGGAAACTTTGAGGAGTAAGTTTTGGTGTATCAGGATTTTTTGTTTTGTGGAGGGTGACCACTCAGCACACGTACCCTGAGGGCTCAGCTGAGACTACTTAGTATGTGTTACTATAATAGCAGCCCTCGCCAAGCCTCTCATGTGATGCTGTTCACTTTTCCCTTGTTTTATTTATAGGGTGGAATTGGTACGTGTTGAGAAGTCCTTTACAAGGCTGTACCAGAACAAGGACTCTATGACTCGGTACCACTTGGAACCAATCGCTTGCAACAACTGAGCTACCAGTCAATTAGAAACATGCTCAGAACACAAGGAAGACAGGATGCTTTCCTCCTTCAAACCCCATGCACCTTCTCCAGGCCACTAAAGGAAAAACTGAGCCAGGCCTTACCAGTGTGGCTTCTTTTGTGAACCATGAGCACATTGGGCCCGATGCAAATGATCCCACAGATATCACACTTTAGTTTTCCGTTAGGAAGTCGAATGCCTCCAACTCCCGACAAAGCCGAGCTGCCTTGGTCCCTGTGGGAGCCATTCATTTTCTCTCCCGAGGCATCAAGCATTCGTAAATCCTCCGCACATTCTTCCCCATTCATTTCACAGGCACGCCCATTCTCTTCATCACTCTGAGTCTCTACTTTAACATTACTGGCTGAAAGAAACAATACAGGAGGCCACTCAGTGTCATTGCAAAAAAAAAACTCAACAAAACAACACAGCAGCAAAAAGACAATCAAATAGGTGTGGAGAGCTACTAAACAGAAGTTCTTAGCAAATACCAAGGGGAGAGCAGCCTGAGCTCGCCGTGCATTCAGCCTTGAGTGGGCTTCGGTGGCAGGCCTCGGGATGCACCTGGGGTTACAGGGAGATCTGCCAGCCCTCTCCATCCATAGGCCCAGTGGCGATTATCTGAAAATGCACTAGAAAGGTATTTACATAGTTCCCACTTTAGAATTGGGCCCTCACTTTAAGCAGGTTCACGTCAGGAGTGGTCTGAGGCCTACTCCTACACCCTACCCATCAGATGGGCACCTTGCCCTAGAGGGTGGGTTCTGGGTCACACAATCCAGCTCTCTAGGATGTGTGAACTTGTTTGGCAAAATACCTAATAAGTGGTTATCAAGCCTGAAAAACGTCTCTTATTGTGATGCTACCTTTCCTTGTGGCATGTAAACATTAATAAACTTTGGGACAAAACTCAGTAAACATAAAAATGCTCAGAGTTCTGACCACAGTTCCCTTTCAGATTTCCGGAAGTTCTTTGTGTTGCTTTGGTACATGACCATTTGAATTCCTGTTTATCTTAAATAACATAAAAACAAACCCTGTGTTCTAAAGAAGAGGTATCCTTTCTTACACTTCTTCCACTTGCTGAAGGGTTAATTGGGATAGTTTATGAATGTAGGTATCTGGAAGAGCTTTTTTTTCCAAAGGGAAAGAAGCTTGTGTGTTTGTTGGGTGGTGGGTGGGGGGGGGGGGTGGGAGGTGAACTTTTAGTGTCTTGAATACAATGACCACTATTGACTCTGCATTACTGTTACCTTTAAGTCACACATCACAAGGTAATTATGTCATTTGAATATTTTTCTTCCTAAAGAAAGTAGGAGTTATTTCATTTACACACTTCAGAAACACTGACTGATGATACATTGGTGAATCCAACACTATAATGACTAAGAGAATTTGTAGTTACACTGAAAGCCACCATTTTAATAACCATTTTTACAGACTAATAAGAGTAAGTAGGTAAATTTTGCCAAGTAAAATGATCAATGAGATAGATGACAATCAAGACTAAATGTTTCTTTTTTGAGACAGGGTCTTGCTCTGTCTCCCGGGCTCAAGTGATCCTCCCACCTCAGCCTCCCCAGTAGTTGTGACTACAGGTGTGCACCACCACATCCAGCCATTTTTTTTTGGTGTTTTTTGTAGAGATGGGTCTTGTCATGTTGACCAGGCTGCTCTCGAACTCCTGAGCTCAGTGATCCACCTGACTTGGCCTCCCAAAGTGTTGAGATTACAGTTGTGAGCCACTGTGCTCAGCCTAGACCACATAATTTTTGATCAACATTTTCAATCAATGGTTCTCAAAATTTGGGAGAAGCAGCATAAGCATCACCTGAGAACTTACTAGAAGCACAGACTCTCAGGCTCAACCCAGAGTTGCAGGCTCAGGAACTCTCGGTGGGCCCAGCAGTCTGTTTTAACATACCCTCCAGAAGATTCTAATGTACACTGAGGACTGAGAACAACTGTCTTAAATAACCAACTTAGTTAACAGCACTCCAAGCTTATTTTATTCAGGGAGTTCCTCTCGATTTAGAGATCTACAGTCCAGACACTGAAATAAAAATACCTGGTCTGGAATCTTAGCTGCACTATTTAAAAGCACTGAGATCTTAGGCAAGTCATGTAACTTCTCTGTGCCTTGATTTCCTCATCCATGAAAATGGAAATTATTATAGCACCAGCCTAACACTGACAGACAAGAAGTTAGCTGAGGATAGTGGTTGGGGCATGGCACATGGAGGCTCACCCCCAGTGATCCCAGTACAGTCTTTCACCTAACCCCAATACCACACGCTGGGCACACAGCACATTAATTGTACTCTGCCATTTAACCTTCACAAGGACTCCATAAGGGAAGTGCTATCATTATCCTATTTTACAGTTGAAGAAGCCAAGGCACAGAGAGGTTGAACAACTTGCTAAGGTCACATAGCTGGCAAGTGGCAGAGCTGGAAGGTAACTGCAGGCAGCCTGGCCCCAGCATCCAAATTCCTAACCACTTACAGTCATCTCTTGGTATCTGCAGTGCATCAGTTCTGAGACTCCTGAAGGTCTGTAGATGTGCAAGTCCCTAAAATGGCCCTATAGAACCTATGGATACGAAAAATCTGCCTTCTATATCCACAGGTTCCATGTCTCTTGAATACTGTATTTTCAAGCCACAGTGGGTTGAATTTCCAGAGGCTGAACCCATGGATATGGAGGGCTGATTGTACTGCCAGTGTTTTCTTATTAGCTCTTTAGGGAAATGACTTACAGATGAATAATGAAATGAATTAACTGGGACATGGTGGACTTGGAGACCACAGAAGTGAGGATGCACCAGAGGATTAACAGAGCTGCCTGTCTCCTCCATCAGATCCTGGCATTATGCAGGATTGTCCTGAGAAATCCAGCAATGGGGATTCTTCAAATGCTCTCCCCTTCAGATCCTGAAGATCAGAGACCGAGAGCATCTGAGCAGCCTCCTGCTAACCTCTCCCCACTGCCAGGGACAAGATACTTGGAAAATAAAGGAGATAGGCAGGCAAGTGAGGCTGGCTGGCTGTCGAGGCAATGGTGCTTAATGACCATTGAGTTCTCTGGAATTGGTACTCTCAGGTAGAGGCTGTGCATCTTTCTGGGAGAAAGCTAATTCTCTAGGCCCTCCTTGTTCACCAGTGTCTACACTAGCCCGCTCTGGAAACACAATGAGGCTGCAAAGATCTGTGTACTCCTTAATCTAAGATTATTTTTAATCATTTACCTTGTGGTTTTTAAAATGAGATTAGAACACAATGGAGCAAATTAAGATTGGTGTGGCAAGTTTTTCAAATACAGGCGCTAAGACGAGGGCTATAGCGAAGGTGTAGGCCTAGTGCTTCCGAGGCTAGAAAAAGGACACCACGCAGAACAGGCATTGGGATAATCCTCTTGGCATGTTCCCCTACGCGGCTTGACTTCATAAATTCAGAGGCAACCAGCTAGAGAGAATTGACTCTTGCTTTCCCATGGGCACATATGGCCTATTAGAACTTGCCAGAAGCTATCACTTGTTCTTCTGGATCATTAAGAATGAGTATTTCTGGGATTCTTTGGCATGCTCTATGGCGTGTGCTGTTGATCAGTGTGTGGGCGCTTGCAGGTGGGGAGCAGAACAGCAGGGAAGCATTGGACACGACCTTTGGGTTTCTGGCTTCAGGAACACCGGTTCTGCTACAGCAGGCTGCTTGCAGGAGGAGGCAAAGCTATGTGACAGGAAGGAAACAGAAGCATGGGGGAAAGCCCACAATGGATGCTGCCTTAGATATCACAGATGTTCTCAAAGCCAGAGGCCTGGAGATCAGCCACTCATTGGACAAATGGTGGCTGAAAGCAGTACTCTGTCCTTGTTAGCCTCAATGACACTGTCACTGAGAGCTGTAACAGAACCAAAAGAGAACTAGGGACACAAACACTCTGGCTCAGGCCCACCCTGGGCTCTTTCACTGACTGAGACATAATGGACAAGAGCCCAATTTTATTATTCAACAAATGTGACAATAAATATGAAGAGTGGATGTTTTCAAACTCCTAGTCGAAAAGGCACAAGAGCCTATCACATACTGTCCTGAGGTCAATGTGGATACCAAGTACAATTTTAGGGAGATAGGTACCTAGATCTCCACCTAGATGGCTAGATGTAGGGACATATATAGAAGATTAGTCACACAGTTCTGTAGGAACAGCAGTAGGGATGATCAGCTCAGGAATATATAGAGTTTGAAGAGGAAAATTAAGGACACTGCGATGCTCTAGGTTTCTAAAAAAGAGTATGCAGACAATATCCACAGATCACTATGGGCAAGGCCAAGGAACTGAAAATAATGGGGAAAGGACAGAGGAACCTGTATCAGCAAATGCTCAAAACGTTTTAAATGGAAGTTAGATGGCAGATGCTGAGCATTCCAGGGCTGAAAGCTTCTAGCACTATTCGGACAACTTCTAAGCCATGTTATGACGGGAAAGGTTGGTGAAGTCTAAGACAAGGACTGGATGACTGCCAGGTGCTGGCAGGATTTGGTGGGAAGGGAACAGAGTGGGCAACACCGTCACCACGGGGCGCGTAAGATTCAAGCAGTGCGTGGATTTCCCGTAAATGGGGTTAAGCTCCTCTTTTCTTTGCGGAAAAATGCAAAGTGGGTGCTGGTTACATAGACAAGATCAGGAGACTTCTGTCCACCCAAGGAGGCTGTCCATGAAAACGGGGGTCTCTTATCCAGCTAGGAGGAGAATACAAGCAACTTGCTTACTGTTTTCATAGATGACAGAAATCAGGGCTTGAAACTATCTTCATAAGTTGCAACTACAGATTGTATCTCAAAATCTGAAATCTATTAGTCATAAATGTAAGGACCTGTGAAATTAAAATATAGATTTTAAAAACACAAGCCCAGGATGAGAGTGTCTTGGCTTCCCATGTAAGTGTGAAAAAGGTTTCTGGGGTTTTCCCTGAAGGTATGCTCAATCAGAGATGTGGACAGAAAAAAGAAAAACAGAAGGGGTGACAGCGTCCTGTAGTCACTGAAATCTGGAATCTTCTGTACCAGCCAGGCTGTACGCACGCCTCCTTTCAAAAGGGCAGCATAGGCTGGTGCAGGTTTGGAAGAGTCAGTCACTGGGGACTGAAACTAATTCCTGCGAGCAAGGTTGGTGGCACAGGATGCACACTTCCTCAGCTTGGCCCCTGAGGGTGGAGAAGGTGCCGAGGAGAGGCAAGTGGGAGATGAGGGCAAGAAGTGGTTCTTCTGAGAGAGGGGTTTCCAGTGATGGAAGGTGTCCACACACAGGGCAGAGAAGCAAGCCCTGGAGGCTGATGGGAACCCTGATGGCAGGTTCCTGCCACCTGTAGTTGTGTGACAGCCTCCACCAATATGCCTCCCATTCAAGGAGTGAGGAGTTCAGGGCCTTTGTCCCACAGACCTTTTCCTTTACCTAGAAGAAAAGAACAAGTGGGTGTTGGCCTGTTGATGGCAGTGAACACATGCAGTTGTGACGGAGGCTCTGCGAGAATGTGAGTTTTGTTGGCCCTTCATTTTGAAATCCATCCTCCTGAAGAAGGCAATGACACCAGCTGATACTTCCACTAATGAAGGAGGAGGTTGGGAAGGAATGACTGGCACTTACTGAAGCTGAGCACCTCCTGGCAGCTCCATAATACCCCGGAACCCATCCCAAGGGATATGCAAGGCTCCTGCTGAATTCTGTTGAAAATGCCATATGAGAAATCCCTTCAGTTTCTTAACAACTGCCACTCCTTAAATGGTGCTGATCATACCTGCCCTAGAATCAATTCCATGAACCCGCCTGCCCGATTTGCAGGCATTGTGCTTGGTTCAACCCCATGGATGCTGTCTCTATGGAACATTTGCCAGGGCCCGAGTTGCCTGGCCGTGCCCTTCTGTGAGTTCCTAAATCGCTCACTCCTTCCTCTGTTACTCGGAGCTGGAACTGCTTAGCTGTGGTATTGCTTCAGTGAAATGGTACATCTCCCTGAAGATAGGAAAGATAGTTATAAATATTTTGTAACCCCCCACCCCATTACTTAGAAAAATGTCAAACTCAGTAAGGTGCTGAATTGAACTGATTAAATATAGAACATGAAATGGAGACTGGTCCTCTCTTTCTCCGGAACACTCTGGCTCATGCCCACCGTGGGCTCTTTCATTGACTGAGAGATAATGGACAAGAGCCCAATTTTATTACTCAATAAATGTGACAATAAATATGAAGAGTGGATGTTTTCAAACTCCTAGTCAAAAGCTGCTTTCCTTCCCAGATGCTATTTAAAGTTGGGAAAAATTAAAATCTCATTGACCTATCTTGGAGGGCTTCTATGTTATTGGCACCCAACAGTACTAAGAGAGACCCCACACCCCTGTATGGAAGGTGGACTTTGGTAGATAGACAAGTTTGGATTGAAGAATCTGGAGAATCCAAGGAACTCAGATGCCAAGAGGAGCCAAGAGGCCTGAATCTGTGCCAGGCACTGTATGTGCTCATGGATAATTAAACATTTTTTAATGCATAGGTATAATGTACACTGTTAGTCCCCACCTGACCAATGAATTAAGCTTCCTCTTCATTTCCCTTTCCTTTTTAGAATGTGTCTTCATATTTACTGAAAAAGTAAATGTTTGGTACTCAGAACGCATTTTTCCATTGAAAAGATAGTCCGAAGTAGTCACTCTAGTGTGAGTTTAGGCCATGTAAGCTTGAAATGCTCAATATTTTACTTGAAAAATGGTACAGAAATATTCTTGCAACACTGGTGACTAGCAAGTAAAAATCAAATGAAATGGAAATATTTAAGATATATCTTGAATCACGGTAATTAAATGAAAATTTGAGGTGAAGAGAAGATATATATATAGATATTTTTGTGTTGCCTCTAAAAGAGATTTATAAAACTTTTAAGCGTTTTAAAGTTCATGGAACCATTTATTATAACTTAATATCATTTAAAATGTAGAAGGTTGTTTTCGTCCCACTAGGGTATATTATTAGAAAATACTTTTTTCGTTATTTGCAATTTAAGGCCTTTAAATGGAATGAAGTCAGGGAGAGAAAAGAAAGGCAGAAGAGTAAACAGATAAAGAGAATAAAAAAAAGAGCAATAGGCATTTTCTTTCCTCCAGCAACTACGGACACAAACTGGAATAAGGACAGTAGAGGGGGTGAAAGGGGTTGTTTTTAATTTTCAAGAAGAAAAGAGGTGTTGAGGGCAAAGGGGGCAATTCTTCATCATGACCACAAGGTGGTGATATTGGCCCAGAACAGTTTGGTTGCTGTTTTGCGGGGGAAGGCATCAAGACCAAGTAGCCGCTTGTGTGAGAAGATAGTCACAATTCCAACACTGGGGAGAGTGGGAGAGAAAGAGAGACACCAATACCTTATGGACACATTTGCATAAATATAGACAGAAAGCATATCCAAGTGTATATCATCTCTTTTATAAAAACTGTAACTATCATAACATTAACACATCTTCACATGCAGCGATTCTTACAGACTGAAGGCTTCACTGAAGGGTCTGCTTCAACATATGCTCTGGCTGACACCTTCCTCAGACTTCACAGAAACATGTTTTAGGATGCATTAGCTTACTCTCAAGTGCATTTGACTTCTCAAAATACTTCAACAATATGATTCTTCAAATCAATATCATTTCTCTGTCCAATACCATAATGTTTTATATGTTCATATAAGCTCACGTGTAAACAAATACACATATATAAGCATTTACAAGTACATACATATACATCTCAAAAAGTAGGTATCAAGCTATTGCTTTAAAGTGGAATCAA
Organism: Homo sapiens; assembly: GCF_000001405.40. NCBI lineage: Eukaryota > Metazoa > Chordata > Mammalia > Primates > Hominidae > Homo > Homo sapiens. Next base: position 50,369,070 of record NC_000007.14, on the reverse strand, counting down.
AGGAATATCAGTAAAAGAAAGATTTCTGTAACTTCTATAGGCTGGAAAAGTAGCCAATCTAGTTTGTGAGCAAAAAGATGTACTTTGATACTGTTAAATTCCTTAGACACCAGATAGTTTTTGATAACCAGGATGTCAGACACCTGTCTTTAACTGTTACTGGCACTGTTCAAATTAGAGCCTATAATTATAATTGTCACAGTGTTAACAAATGCGACCTGTTTTCTGATGTTGCTTTATAGTATTAGAGGATTTACTAATACAGGTCCTAAGGGGATTATCAACTTGTATGGCTTTAAATATTCAGCTCTCTATACATTTTCAAAAGCACTCTCTGTTCTTTAAAGTACTCATTTGAGGATGTTACCCAAATATATTTATCATTTATCAGCTCAATATCTAAAAAAGAAAAATGAAATTCACATCTGTTTTTGGTTTAACAGCTCAGATCAGAGAAGGTCCTGCGGGCACCAAGCAGGAACAGTACGTTGGCTCCAGCAGCGATGCACCACAGAATAACGGCCTGGAGGCCTGCAATTTTCTCTTCTCAGTTCTGAAATTAATACTCCAGAACCACAGATGAAGAGCATATCTCCTTCTCCTGTCCCACAAAATTGTAAAAATTATCTTGAAACCATGTTCAGTTCTTTGTTGGTGACAGAAAATATGGCCATTTTATCCTCACACTCAATAAAAAGGATTACAGGAGTAATCTCAAAGCTGTCCAGCAGCATCTGCGAAGTAACAATCCCATCAGTGCTACTGTGACTCCAACCCTTACTGTTACTCCACTGCCATGCTCCCAGGACACCGCACAACTGCCTAGACCTTCGTTTTGCACTTTATGGTATAAATACCCAAAAATGATATGGTAGGTGTCTAACGAATAGAACAGTGAATATTTAATGTATCTCGGGGGTTGATGAAGGAACATGCACGTACGATATTTACATGATAGGAGATGAAGGCATGCTTTTGTTTTCCAGAAGCAAGGCATATACTTACGAGAGAAAGATTTGGGAATTATTGCATGGAAATCCCTAAAGTCATCAGCCCCATATGTAACTGCAATAAAGAAGGCAAAAAGAAAGCTGGGTTGTGATACCAGGAGAGAGTATAGTCAGAGTTTAACAGAAAGCATTACTTTTTTTTAAAAAAGAACGTTTTATTACTCAAAACCACTGTTCAGCTACTCATCTGCTATTGCTGGCCCTTCTATAGGCAACAGAAAAGTAATTACTCATGAACAGGACCACAATCCCCTCAGGTGTCAACTCACAGCATTATATCCCATAAAGTGGTTTGGAGCAATTACTGATGGGTTCAACATCTTAGAGGGTGCAGCCCCAAACATTCTAGAACTGTGAGAAACCATTCAGCAGCTCCAGTCCAAACACTCGGCTCCTCGCAGAGCATCTCCTGGGACAGCACGTATCTCCACAAAAGTGCGTGTTTCTTAATGAGCTGATTGCATCGCAAATGTTCTTCATTCAGCTTTTTCTTAGGAAGTGTTCATAGAAAATTAGAAAATGCAGCACATTGGGTGGGGGAAAAATTCCTGTTTTCCCCAACCAACAAAAGAGCTACCCCTTTTGGTGATTAGTCCTTATCTGCTGCTTTCATAAATGCTATCACTGCCTCAAATCTTCAGGTTTCTATTCTCTTTCACAGGACAGTTTCCCAGCATGTTCCTTTCTCTTAAGATTTGGTAGATTCTGCACATGTGCACACATGTGTACACACACACACACACACGCACAATCTTTCCCCCAAGAGTCACAGCTCAGTGACTGTTAAAGTGACGTACACAGTGTAGCTGTTAAATTAAACTTGTTGGATGAGTTCCTAGGTTAGCAGAGTAAAGACTCTGAGGTGACCTGCAGGGAAGCAGACCTACTGAACTTTGCTTAAACCAGTGTTTTCCAGATTTATCTGACCACAGAACTTCCTTCTTTTCCCATGAAATTATTGGGAAATAAATTATTGGGATAATGGGCAAACATAGTTTGAGAGACACTTTGAAAGCTGTTTCTTGAACAGCTTTCAAAGTGACTGGCTGAATTATTTCCTAGCAAATCCTTACTCTCCATCTGCTTATTTTATTCCCTGGTAGTCCAAATCTAATGGATAAAGTCAATATTATGAATCCCATCAAACAGACAGAGGTAGCATAAACTGATTGCCTCCATATGGATGTGCTTGTTGGCCTGCAAGCAGCCAGTTTTACAATAACCTTTGCTGTTCTTGTTGTCTTCATTGAGCTCCAACCCTTTATATAATCTGTTTGCCCTTAGTTATTCTGCTTTATGAAGCTGCTAGCATCTCGATAATGGGAGAAAAAGCAAAGATGTTTTAAAGGGTATGTATTACCTTTTGCAAATAGGAACATTACAATGGGTGATAGAGTACAAAACTCTGACTAAACAACAAAGCACTGAGATACTACTTATATTGCTGATCATGCTGATATGGTGCTTGAAGATGACTTGCCTTGAGAATTAACTTCCTAATATATCCCTGCAGTCTACATCCAGAGCTCAGCCACCTGCTGTACATATCATGATGACTACAGCACTGGGGAGGTCTTCATGTTTACCAGTACCCTGAAGATTAAGGAGCTAAGAGATTAGATCTGAATGCAATGCGTCTGGAATTTGTCTCACCAGTAGAAAATGTAGCCTTGTGCAGTCTTGGGCATCAAAGTGTAAGCCTTGAAACACCGAATTCTGTCAAGACACTTCCCACTTCACACATTGCCATTGAATATGAAGAATACTGTAATATATTATTAGACATTAATTTTTTTTTAATTTAACTTTTAAGTTCAGGAGTACATGTGCGGGTTTGTTATATAGGTAAACTCATGTCATGGGGGTTTGTTATACAGATTGTTTTGTCATCCGGTATTAAATCTACTACCTGTTATTTTTTCTGATACTCTTCCTTCTCCCACCCTCCACCCTCTGATAGGCCCCTCTATGTGCCCATGTATTCTCCTCATTCAGCTCACACTTAAAAGTGAGAACATCTGCACTTGGTTTTCTGTTCCTGGGTTAGTTTGCTAAGGATAATGGCCTCCAGCTCCATCCATGTTCCTGCAAAGGGCATGATCTCATTCTTTTTCTTATGGCTGCATAGTATTCCATGGGGTATATGTACCACATTTTCTTTATCCAGTCTATCATTGATGGGCATGTAGGTTGATTCCATGTTTTTGCTATCGTGAATAGTGCTGCAACAAACAAATGCGTGCATGTGTCTTACGGTAGAATGACTCATATTCCTTTGGGTATATATGCAGTAATGGGATTGCTGGGTCAAATGGTATATAGGTCTTTGAGGAATTGCCACACTGTCTTCCACATGGTTGAACTAATTTACAATCCCCTCAACAGTGTATAAGCGTTCCTTTTTCTCTACAACCTCACCAGCAACTGTCATTCTTTGACTTTTTATTAATAACCATTCTGACTGGTGTGAGATGGTATCTCATTGTGGTTTTGATTTGCATTTCTCTAATGATCAATGATGATGAACTTTATTTCATATGATTGTGGGCCACATGTATGTCTTCTTTTGGAAAGTTAGACGTTGAATGTCAATCACGTTTCAAAAGAATCAGTCCTTTGCCTAGTGTAATTCAAATTTACTTGTTGATTTTTGTCCCAAATATGTGGTTCACAAAATTGTTTAAAAAACAAAATATAGCTGTACCTATTAGTTTGTTTCATGTCTCCAGAGTAATGCTGAATTGATAAGCGCTCACCCTTGTTCCTGTACCATCCGTGTTCAGGCACATAAACTTCTGGGCTCAGTAAAAGAAGTGTGTACTATTCTAGCTGGACAGGTAATTATGTACAACAGCAAATGTGGAAACTCACTCTGTTCCATGCCAAAGTTCAGTATCTTTTGGGAGCCAATCACTGGGAGCTCTGTGGATGCCAGGTGGGTAGTAGAGGTTTTGTGGAAGCTGTTTTTATGATGCTTGAGAGGCACTGGAAGATGTGTAAGGTACTGCAGCTGCACATACAGGGACACACATAAGTGTGTTTGTGTGTTAATGCAAATATACACACACTCACCTGCACGTGAGGCATGGGGAGTAATGGTGTCCCCTCAATGAACAAATTCCCAACCAGTGAATCAATGACTGGTCAAGTGCGACTGCTACACCTCTTAGCCCTGCCCCCTCAGGGACCTCACTGGTCCAGCAGCTAAGCCTGGCACCCTTCACCACACATCCAGGGTAGGGACTGAACAAAGTCACAGAGCAGGTGAGTATGCACAGCAGTCACTGAGAGCTCCTCGCACTCTAGGAGCCAGCTGGCCCCAGGTCTGTGCAGTCTGACAATATTCCCACATTGCTTCTGGCAAGCTGCAAAATGAGCCATACAACCTGCTTTTTCTCACTCTCTTGGAGAGGTTTGTAGGTGCTGACTTGCTTTTGCCCCTGAAGACAGTCCTGCCTCTAAGTTGACCCTCTTGCTTGTCATAAGAAGCAGTCACTGTGGGATTAGCGAAGCTATTATTCAGTGATTACCTCTCAACCCTGTTCTCTGTCCTTTAGTAAATTCAGGCCACTGTTTAATAAAAGGATGCAGATAAAACAGGTGTCAAACTTTTTTTCTCAGTTTTCTACATTTTACAAAATATATTCTTATCAAGAGCAAATTTAACTTATTTGGTAAGAATTTCTATTCCCCAAACTCTCAGGCACATTTTCATATAAAATGCTGCGAACACCTTGGATTCTGAATCCTATTTGAATTGCCAAATTGATGAACATTATGGGAAAAATGAAATACCCACAAACCACACTTTTCAGTTTGCATTTAGCTGTGCATAAAATTATAAACTTCTTGTGCCGTTGTCACTCTGGGGAGAGGCTAAACCTACTTGAGATTTTCAAAACTAGAGGGAGGAGATCTGATCTACTTTCAAATTCGAGAACACTGACAATTTTCTGGGAAAATCTGTCTAAAGGTAAACACATTCAGATTTGTATTTAGGAGAAATTTATAAAATTTATAAAATTTAGAAAAAATGCTGTCATTCTTTAAATCACATGAACCTGTTAGCCACAGTGAGATCACTAGTCTATTATGACCTTGTTTGAGTATGGTTTGTGGTACCTTGGCAATGCCTCCAAATCTAGCATTTCATGGCAGGGCTTCCTGACCCGGTGACTGAGCTAGTGAGAGTCACAGGACAGGACAGCAAGGTGGAGGTGGATGGGAGGACCAAATACTCCAGACAGAACACCACAGGCCACACTTCTGGAAAGCACGAGTTAGATCCTGAAGTGCTACCAAGTCAAGATTCTATGAAAACCTTTCAGACCTTCTGTGGATGGATCCATTTGTTTTTAGACCACCCTCTAGTGAGGAGGCTCAGAGTCTTCTCATGGGAAGAGAACACTGGCTGCCATCTATGGACTGCACATGCACACTCAAGGAAGGTATTGTTGCTCCGGTCTTAGAAAAGAGGCAACTAAAATACAATCAAGTTCAGTGGGACCCAGGGACACAGAGCTGGGGAGTGCTGGGTGGTGTAAGTCTCACATCTAAGCTCCCCAGGGCACTGGGTAACTCCTCAGTGGCTCGTTTCACCGCCTGTCCTGCAGTCAGTCCTGATGATGTCAACTCTGCTGCCACTTGTCTCCTTCCCACTCCACCAGCTCGTTCTTTTCAGATGTCAAGGGTCACACCATGCAGGCCATGATGTCTTACACTGCTCCGGATCCTGGATGGCCCCAGCATAGTACCTTCCACCCAACAGGCACACAAAAGTTTGCAGAAGAAGGCAAGTGGAAATATGCCCAGGGCCCTGGTCTGGGGGCTCCACCAGGGCTTGATCCTCGTCATTCTGCCCATTCTTCCCTCCATGCCTGGAACATGCACACCCAAACCCAAATCCCATCTTTTCCCCCAGACCCAGCTCTCCTATGTAGCCCATGCATGTTGATGGTGCTTCATCTGGATTCCATACATTCCAACCCACAGGGGGCTCGCCTCTACCCTTGCCTCTCATGGCCAAATTATGTCTGAGGTCTTTGGAGAGGTCTCCATTCTTATTGTTTTCCAACCACGTCACATCCCAGCATGGCCATGAAGCCCCTGCCTTTGCCCAGCCAAGGCAGCCCAGCCTGCACCACATCCTGCCTGTGTTTCCTGTCCACCGTCTGGCATGTGAGTTTGTTTGCTTGCATCATGGGGACCTTGCTTTCAGGCACCCCTCTCAATCAACCTGCTCATTGCCCTAAGATTATCATCCTCAACCTGCTCTTATCCGGTCACAACTGCTTCCAAGCTTTCCATGGGTCTGCACTGTTACGATGAGAAAAAAATCCTCCAGTCCTGTGTCAAAATCTCCCTACAACTGGTGAGCAATGAATAAACTTCTCAGCAGGTAATATTATTCAGATAAGCAATAGTAAGGGTGAACCTTATGGAAAAATGCTTTAAAACAAAAAAGAGAGCCCTGTAGCTCATGTTTTAGTAGAAAGCCACACGCAGATAAAGATAACATCTACCTTCTTGTCAACAAAGACCTCAAGACCCATAGGATTAGCTACAACCAACCAACATTCACCATGTTTCCCAGATGGGAAAAACAATAGGGCTAGTGCTTTGCAAGTCCACTGAAGGTGAAAAAGAAGGCAGGAAAACGCCTTCAGTGCCTGCAAACCGTGAGTCTGTACAGTCTTCCCTTCAGCTCCAAATGCCCCTGGCAGACACTTACTCTATCTGGCAATGGGGTTGAGTGGACCTTCCGAAGCGCCTCACTTACCCTCATGGTGTTTCAGGGATGAGTGTCAGGTCGAGGGACAGTTTTGGTTGCTTCAAATGGGACATGTCAGTGATGGCCAAAGTCACTATGCTTTACTTCAAATCCCAGCTGTTGGAGCTACCTTCCAGAGCAGATGATTTGGAGAACTTGACAGAAGATTAGGAAAAACCAATGTCTGGCCCTTTCTCTCTTCATGTAGTACAACTAGGCACCAGTCCTATTTTTGTTTTTGTTTTATTAACACAATTTTAATTGTTCACAGTGAACTAATTAAGATAGAAAAAGCTCCAATTAATACACCTATGGCTTAGAAAGGGAGAAATGGGTACTTCTAAAGAGTACAAGAAAGGAAACAGCAGGTTCAAAATGATGGTTCTTTTATGGGATTAGCTTTTTTTTTCTTTTTTGAGATGGAGTCTTGCTCTGTCACCAGGCTGGAGTGCAGTGGCATGATCTTGGCTCACTGCAACCTCCTCCTCCCGGGTTCAAGTGATTCTCCTGCCTCAGCCTCCCGGGTAGCTGGGACTACAGGCGCGCACCACCATGCCCAGCTAATATTTGTACTTTTGGTAGAGATGGGGTTTCACCATGTTGGTCAGGATGGTCTCGATCTCTTGACCTTGTGATCAGCCCACCTCGGCCTCCCAAAGTGCTGGGATTACAGGCGTGAGCCACTGTGCCTGGCCAGGATTAGCTTTTAAATGATTGTTTTGGTGCCATGTGCAATCTTCCTGGATCCTGAGGTTGGAGCATTTCCTCAGCTGCCCTGCTAGGCCTGTTTCATGTCAGCCAACTTCCGGGTCCAGGATCTCCATATAACAATTTAGGGGAAAACATTCAACAGGTTGAAGAACAGGCTTAGGGATATTTTCCCAGTGTTGTAACCTTCTTGCTTACTCTTTTTTGGAAGAAATACTACTTTTTTGTAAAAATGATATTTGCTGATTCTAAAGACACTGAGTAGACAGAAGCACTATGATGGCACCTCTAGAAATTACCCCCAAGTTTTATAATTTAAGGAGAATCATATGCAAAGAAGAAAATGCAAAAATGATAATGAGAACGGGGTAAGAAAGCTTGGTTCATGCTTTAAAAGGAGAAGGGAAAGGGACATTCAGGCAATCAAGAAAGGCTGAAGAAAACTAAGAGGGCTGGAGGAACAATGATTAGATAGGAAGGCTCTTGTCAGGGATCGTGGCAGGGGTGAAGAGTGTGAGGTCCTCAATATAAGTGAAAAATGAAATTTAATTTTGTCATTCCAAATTTTATTCTAATAAGGGAGATTTGTGCTGGATCACTGGGCCAAAATGATAAGGAAGGGAAATGCTACAAAATAACTGGGCTGCCCATAAGAGTGTGGGTCACACGGCGGGCAGGAGGGGCTTGGGGTGTGTGCATGGAGAGCCACCTTTCCATATCTAGGCCCTGTCAGGACATGCTGGGGCAGCGCCGGGCAGAGCCACATGGTGATGACTGGCTGTGTTCCCTGCCACATGGAGAGGAGAGGCACAGCAGGCAGTGCGGAAGGGACGACATGGGGCTGCGGAGCTCGGCAGTCGTCAGAGTGTCTGCAGCGTGGGCCACAAGGCAAGAGCCTTTGATCAACTGTTTAGCATGTGCTCTAGCTGATGTAACTGCACACGTGTTTTAGATGTGGTTTTCCCAGTAGCACACTCTTACAGAAGCAACAGGTTAAACTGTTGCTGCCGGTGTAAAAGGGAGTTCGGCAAAGTGAAGGACTAAAGACTGAAGGAAATGTTTTGACTGTTAAGCTGGACTTGGCTTCCTGAAATGGGGTTATTGTATGTGCATTTCACACGTTCTTGAGGTGTAGGACATATCACTTCTGACTTCAAATGAGAACAAACATGCAAAGAAAGGGCTGAGGAGTTTAAATCCATTTCTGTGGCCTTTGTCCACCTAAGCGATCAACTGAAGAGAACTCTGGAGGCTGTGCTCAGCTCCTCCTCAGGCTCTGCAGACAGACACGGCCATTCCCTCTCATCCCCAGGGCTGGCAGGGTGTCAGCCTCAAAGATTCCAGAAGCCCAGGCCCTGCTTCAGGGAGGCCAGAGATAAGTAATCTCCCCCAGGACACACAGAGGGTGGATCCTCTGCTGTCCCTCCCTTCCAGAAGCCCAACGGGTCCCTGTCAGAATTCCAAGCAGAAGGTGACTCAGCACAGAGGAGGAGGGATGGGAAGAACAACTCAGTTGCCCTCTTAATCCCGCCGCTCTCGGCCATGGGTACAGTCCTGCACACTTTGTGTCTTTAAGTGGTTGCTAATCTTTAAGGAAGGGGTATTTGTGTAATACTCTGCTGAGAAATCCTGGGGAGTCAGCCAGCCTCTGGTGACCTGACCCCACTACAGGTGGAGGTCAAGTCTTCAGTCCTGCCTTGGCAGTTTCTTCTGCCTTCCTCCCAGAAAGTGGATTTCTCAGGCATGAGCTCAAGCTGAGAGTCTGGTGATGGTAAAGATCAGAGTGCAGGCAATCTGGCATAACTGTAGCTGAACTGGCTGTCTGCAGAGGAAAGCAAGGGGCTGAGGAGCGTGGAATTGGGTGGGTGCATCTGGTCTGGTGCACTGGTGCACACACATGTGTACATGAGTGACCACGTGTGCACGTGTGTACATGTGTATGTACATGTGCAAATGACACACAGAGATCGCCCTTTCTACACATATATTTAAAAAGGCAGCTCAGTAAAATCGACTCACAGGTAGAGAGTCCATTATTTACTGTGACTTTTCCATGCAGAAGGACAGTGGTGCGGCCAAATAGGCAGCAGTCTCCACTGTTCGGAATGTCAGATCAGCTCCTCCTCACTCTGCGCACATTCCCCCGCCTGCCAGCTCTGTGGGCAGAAGGCTGCAGGAGTCAGATCTGGTCTCTACAAGACTCAGAAGTCAGGATGAAATTCATGTTTCCTCCATTTCTTAACAAAGAAGCACACCTGTAGAGATTTCTGAGCAAGGAATTGTGACTTGTTGCAGAATTTATTTTATTTTATTTTATTTTTTGAGACAGGATCTTGCTCTGTGGCCCAGGCTGTAGTGCAGTGGCTCGATCACAGCTCACTGCAGTCTTGACCTCTTGGGCTCAAGCAATCCTCCTGTCTCAGCCTCCCGAGTGCCTGGAACTATTGGAATATGCCACCATGCCCAGCTAATTTTTGTATTTTTTTGTAGAGACAGGGTTTTACCATATTGCCTAGGTTGGTCTGAAACTCCTGAGCACACATGATCCTTCCACCTCAGTCTCTCAAAGTGCTGGGATTACACGTGTGAGCTACCGCACTTGGCCATAATTCTGTATCTTGATAAGAAACTCACAAGTGGCTGTGAGAAGACATAAGGAAGGAGATGTGGCTACTTTAAGCCGTTTAACGTTTCATGTAAACTTATGTCTAACCAGGGAAAAAAAACTCCAAGGACTTTGTAATATATAGTTCTCTTAAGAAACTCTTTAAGGCTTTTTTTTTCTTTTTCTTCTTTCCCTTCTCTCTTCCTCCACCTCTCCATGGTCGTCTCACTATTTCCTAAAAAGCCCCGTGCTGTATAAATGCTAGGCATATGTTATTTTATTTAGCCCTTACAATAAAGCCTTGGCTTGTGAGTGATCAGCATTGGCTGCAGCACCCTGCCTCCAACCACCTGAAGGTGTTTACAGACGGCCTCTGCCTCTGAGTAGCTCTGGAGTCCGAGCCATGCACAGGACATCACCAAGCCTCAGCTTCCTCACGTATGAAACCAAAGAAAACGCCAGCCTCATGTCACCATACAGCTGGAGAGTCACAGAGCAAAGGTGCCAGGTCCCCGCCATTAGCTGGCGCTCAGGAAATGCTGGCTGCCCCTCTCCTGCCCCGTCCCACAGCCTTCACGCGAGATTGGCCCACTACTCACACACCTCTGGCTTCCTGGCACTTCTGTCAAAACCTCACATCTCTTAGGAAGAAACTTCAAATGTCATGTTTTTTCCTAGTAGATATCAGCTGTTTCTTAGGATGAGAGTGTCTCAAAAAGTCCTGTCCTTCACATCAACAACACTTCTTCGAAGTAAGGGGGGTTCCTCCCTTTCTTTCCCATCTTTCTAGTTTTATGATTCAACAACCATTTACCAGGAAATATCTGGAAACGACTAATTTGGGTCACACACTCTTCCCATTTACAAATCGAACAACTAAGAGCGTGTAACATGTAAGTCAAGTCATTTACCTGGTTCCACAGCTGTTGCCATGTGACTCCAGGGGCTTGCAACCAGGTGAAGGTGCTATGCTATGTCCTTCCTAGACATTAACTTTGTTAACCCTTGAAGCAGCCCTGTGAGAAAAATATCACCCCCGCTTTACAAATGAGAGAAACTCCGACTCCAGATGGTCACCCGACCTGCCTAAGACCAGGTAAGACAGTAGAAAAGAAAAGTGGAGGCCAAATTCGAGGCACTCCAAAGCCCATTTCTTAACTCGTTGCCTCCCTCCCACTCCGTGTGTCCTGAGCTAACTTCTCCAAGTCTTCGCGTCCTAGCTGTTAATGAGTTTATGAAATGAGGCCCTCTGAATAGCCCACACTACACATCAGGGAGGACCATCTCCAACTTGGGCATTCCACAGATGTGTGTGCAAACCCCGAGGGAGTCTCCAGAGAAATTATAGAGGGAAAATCCAAGATCTGTCCAGGGATGTTGCAATTTATAAACAGCAGGAGGAAGATGCACCGAAACTCACGTGCCACGGTGCACAGCAGCCCTGGGTACTGGGAAGCAGCACATGTTCTTAGGAAGACTAAGCCATGCCAACTGGAGGGAGGGGTGGCAGGGGGGTTGTGAGAAGTCACAGAAGGGTGACATTCAAAATGAGAAGCAGGAAGAGGGAATCTCAACAAGTGGAGGTGGGGGGCTACAGCAGGGTCAGCAGTGGACTTGGCGGTGGGGGGGTGGTGGGGTGGTGGCTGGCTCAGAGAATCATGGGGACAGTCATGCCCAGGATGCAGGGCCTGGTTCCAGAGGCCTTGGAAGCTGAGATGAAGTCCCCAGGCAACAGGAACTGTGAGAGGTCCCTGCTTGTGGGGGTCCTGTGGTGGGAGGTGGTTTAAGGGAACTGGTCTGGGGTTGGGATGGAGATGCCTAGAAGAAGGAGTCGGTTATAACACTCCACAGGCAGAGAGAGAGAAGTGGGAGACCACCAGGGTGGGCTGGGGAAGTAGGAGGATCACAAGTGGAATCACACACCCATGGCCCTCCGAAGCCCGGTGAGTCGGCAGTCAGGGGTGCAGTCATCCTGCTCTCGGTTACTCTAGGTTTTAGAGCACCACCAGCCCAGCGACCACGAGACCCCAGCTTCCAGAAGACCGGACAGTCGGGCCTTCTGCCACCCCGTGATCTTCCGCCCTTCCCTCCATATCCAGAGACACCGTCCCACCCTGGTCTCCAGGAGGTAGGGCCCAAGCACAGCGATTGTGACACTGTGCTTGTGTGTCATCTTGTAACTGGGTTTCCACATCCTCCTGGCTATATTGTAAAAGCCCTAGAAGAGGAACAAGAGCAAATAATGAAATATAGGAATGCAGGAAAAGAGGAAGCCGCCGCGAGATACCAGCCCAACCGAAATACAAAGAATTATGGAGAAGTGACAGAAAGGGAAGTAAGAGTAAGGAATTGCATTGAGTAGCTTAGCAGAGTGCGTGCGCACACACACAGACAAAGCCATGCACACGCACAGACACACAGCCGTGCACACACAGACACACCCCACAGACACACATGTACACACAGACACACACAGAAACACAGGCACAAAGACACACTCACACACTCTCACAAATTCACACACACACAGCCTTTCTTGGGTCTAAATTAAACTGCTAGAAGAGTATGAGCTCATAGTTGTCAGCCTTGGAGGGACAGTAACAAGTTCACTCTATGGTCCAGATGGCTGAGAGAGATCATCCAAGTGCGCTGGCTCCAGACCATCTGTCCCCACAGGGTACTAGATCCAGAAGTTCCTGATAGTTCTAGAAGGCCATTCTGTTATTTTTCTTTTGTATTTAAAAAGCCAGAGTTAAAATATGGTAAAACTTCCTTACATTATAATCAAAAACTTAATTTTAGGGCTGAGACGCAAAGTGGACTAATGGAAAAGAAAACATAAATCTATCGGGGTAGATGCGTTTAGGGACCCCCACATCATTTTTTAAGCGAGGAAAACAGGCAAGGAGAGAAAAGCCTGAAACTGAGGGAAAATGAGAACAACACAGTGAATTAACCCATCTGTGGCATTTTCTGTTCGTGGAGATAACCAGTGGCAGAGCTCTGAGTCAAAGACATCCCCACTGAAGGAGCGTGGAAGTTGCTGAGAAAAAGTCCTTATCTAGCATTTTCACAGGCATGTGGCAGGAGGGGCAGGACAGCCGGGAGGCCTCCAGCCTGCTCTGCTCACTGTGGCCTCGGAGTTCACAGGGAACGCTGCCTCCCTAGGGCAGGTTTTTAAATGAATGCACCGCTTTCCCTCTTCCTTATTTTCCAAGAGAAACACTGGCTAGCCCCAGAACTCTCATTGTTCTTAGAGGAAACTGCTGAATATCTGTTGGAATTAAAATTTGACTGGGACTTTCTGAGGACTGTTTCTTTCCATTTATTTATTTATTTATTTATTTATTTATTTATTCGCAAGCTAACACATTAAACTTTGGAGTGAATTAAGAGAGACTGCAGATTCAGTAAAATTTGGACAAGAGCATTGGCCACAGCCTCTTAGCACGCAGCCCAGTGGGCACAGGGTTTCCAGTGGATGGTGTGGCCCTGCAGAGCGGGGCACACCTAGCCAGGACTCTCTTGTGCTCTCGCCTCCCATCCGGCGGCCAGGCCTCAAGGCGGGCGTTGGCCGGTACCCCAACCCATCCTTATACATGACACTGACTGCTCTCAACCCCTCAATAGCTCACTGATAATGATGACCACTCTGCAATCCAGCTGGCTAGGCAGGATCATCCGAGTGCACCCAGGACCATCTGCTCTCACAGGGTACTAAATCCAGAACTTCCTGATAGTTCTAGAAGGCCATTCACAGGTGCCCTTCCCCATGTGAATTTCCGCCTGTTGGGAAGCAGAGCTCACACATCTCAGTCATTTGCCTGCAGAATGGAGGAGGCTTCTCAAGATTTGCCTGATGGAGACTGAGGCCACTGGGGAGAGAGGCATGAGGCTGGTCATCTCCACCTTCCCCCAAGACCCAGGCCTGTCCCCCTCCTCACCTGAGGACTCTGCCTCAGAAGCTTCCTATGGGAATCTCCTGAACAGGTGTCACAAAAGGCATTGCCACGCATTATGTATTGTTCCTACCCAAAGTGACGTTTTTGACGCTGAAGCATAGTACTGATGCTGTCCAAATGCATCACTGAAATCCTACGCTTGAGTATCTTCCCTTCTAGATAAACTTCAGGGCATTCAACAAGCTGGAGGGGAGGTCTAAGTTTCTGCACTAACCACTCTCCATCCCCATCATGGGGAGACAGCCTGGTGACCACAGGGCCTGTAACCAACGGTATGGGTTGGTTACTTTAAAAATTCTTCACCAATACTAGGGAAAAGACAAGCAGAAATGCTAGAGAGGGTAATGGAAGACCCGTGACTCCAGGATTTTGGTGTTCTCTTTTTGGCAAGAGTATTTCTCATCTCTCAACCTTGACTTTTTGTTCTCTCTTAAAAAACAAAAACGTACAGTACAAAGACTGCTGCCCTGTCTTTCTGCCTTGTAGTATCTCCTGCCAGCCACCTCTTAGGCTCCCTTCAGGCCTGTGTTCAATAACGGGGGCACCCAGAGCCCTCGCCCCAGCTCTGCCCCTTGCTTGATGTCTGCCCTGTGCCTGGGAGGCTTTGGAACGGGCTCTGTCCACACAGGTGCAGCCAGAAAGCAGAATGATGCTCACCTCCGCCAGGCTGCCCTGGCTAGTGGGGGCTCTGGTGGGATGGAAGCCCGGGCACCCACAGCAGTAACCAACTGGATGACACACCTTTGCACTGGTTTTCCATTTTCATCCTCCTCTTCTCCCCAGGATCACCGTTCATGAACCAGCTGCTCACAGCACCTGTGTTGGGCTTGCTGTGGAGGGTGCCTAGGCTGCAAGAACCACTGATCCTTCCACACCAGGGAGAACTGCTAAAGACGCACCTTGCAGGCACAGAAGGGACACCACACCTGGGGCTTTTAAATCCTGAGTCACAGATGAACCTGGCAGAGCACACAAATCAGCGCCCTCCAGGATGATGCTATGGGGGGAATTCTGCCTCCTCTATGTTCTGACATCATTCCAACCTTTACTAAGATCCCAGCATCCTGGCTTGGGGCCTCCCTGGGTCCCAGTGTGGCATGAAGGGTCTGCTTCTTGTAACAGAGGTGCTGGGGGCAGGGGGACCCGGGACAACAGCAACTTCCTGCAGAAAACAGGCACAGGGCCCTCAGAAATGTGATACTCCTGGAGAGAAATATGTAAAAGGATTGTGGGATCATGGATACATTTTAATAAATGCGAGTGTTTGTGACTAGTACATCTAGAGATTCGCTGAAAAGAGAGCCCCTTGAATAAAAAGGACACAGTTGAAGATTCTTCCTGGAGCAAAAGTGGCATCTACTGGCCCCTGGGCTCTTCACAGCCTCGGGGGCTGACCCACCTGAGCTCACCTGGAAGCTCTGACTCTTCCGGCCAGGATGTCCTCTCCTGCATCACTGGAGGATTAGCCTGGATGGTTAGCCCTTCTCTCTTATAAGGGTGACAGCATGGCAGGAGGTGAGGATAGAGGGAGGAGGGCAACTTCTTTTTCTCTTCTCCCTCACAGGGCCACAACATCCATTGCAGAAACAAGAAAGGAGGGGCCAGCAGGCGCAGGTGGCTTCCAGACCTCAGGCCTTGCAGGAGGTGTTAGGGCAGGGGAAGGAGCTTTTGGCTGAAACTGCTCATCATGGCAAGAGTGTGGCTGGCAGAACTGAGGAAGAGGAAAGGCAGCTTGCTTGCTCTCTCTCTCTAAATGCAAGTGCCCTGGAAGCTTTGGAAACATGGAGCTGCAAATTCTGCTGAATGTTGGTGGAAGGGAAGGGCCCCATTGCTCTCCCTGCCTCCTGTGCCTGGGCTGTGGCACAGCATCCTAGCAGACCACTCACTGGGCAGCCCCTCAGGCTTCTCCAGCTCTTTCTTTCATGTCTTTCTGTGTCTTCTATGAAAAGATTCTACCATAAGATCTAAGCAAGGGTAAGCAGGGGAAAAGAGGCGTGGACAGCCATCACCTGGCTTATGAGCAATATTTCATTTGCAGAAAACAAAGTATAAAAAAATTCTTAAAATATGTAAGAGAGGAAAATACAAATATGTGTAATTCATAGAAAGTCTTACCTTATGCAAGGATAAGATATACAAATTTAGGATAGTGATTATGCCATGATATGTCATGGCTGAGGGCCAAGTAAAATAAATTTCCTAATAAATAATAAAAACACATTTATACATTAGATAAAAATGTCATTAGTATTTGATTTCAACTTGGAGGCTTCCTTTAAGTGATAGAAGCACAACAAAAACTTAAAATGAAAAAACTGAAGAGAGACCGAAGAGGTTGAAAATGTCACCGCTTTGGTCTCATTCTGAAACACTAAACTTAAAATATATAAACTTTAAGATCAACAGAATCACCAGCCAATCCCATCCCGTCCCATTGACATTATTCTTACTCAGAAGTTGTACACATCATCCATATCAGCTAGTGATGATAGGTCAAGAATGAGAAAGAAAGTAAAACTGATCTCTGAGGTAATCAACCAAAAGAGAAGCAAAAAACCCTTGACCTAAAATTCATGCATTTACTCATGGGCAAGTCCCTCATACACTCTCTCGGCACTTACACACACTCTCTTTAGGCACAGTTGTAAAAATGATTAAATGGTTCTTTCTTATTGTAATTCCCAGCAGATTAGAAGTAGCAAATTAGAATGCAGAGGAAGAGACAGATAATACTATCCAAGCAGATAAGAGAATTCAAAGCCAGGATCATTTAGGGTACAGCTATTAGCTCTCTATGCACAATGACTTTTCAGAAGTGAGGTTCAGGACCTATGGCCAGGGAAACACAAGTGTACTTTCTGGCTGAAAGAGCACTACACAGTTGAAATCTGGACTGTTGTGGAAACTGTAGAAGTCAATTTCTCTGCTGCATTGGAGGCAACAGAAATGTGTGCTGAAGGAATGAATAAGAAAACTAATAAACTGATAATACAATCTTCTCTGCTTAAGGGGTTTATAATTTACTGTGTGTGCCCACAAATTAACTCCCTGTAATGCCAGAGCTAGTATTTAGGATAGTACTTTTGAGCTAAGAAGAAAAGACTGAAGCGTTTTCAAGAAAGTCTTTAAAGAATCTTGGCATGGGGGCGGGGGGGAATTGTTAGTAGGTTCTAGGAAGAGTCCTCATCCAAAAGTGTTAAAATACACAAGAAATAAAATGAGGTAGGCTTGAGCAGTTTAGAAAATTTAGTCTTGAAATGCTCCTTCCCCTAAATGCTGGATTAAGGTAATACTGGCCAAGGTAGCCTCCAAACGTGTGAGCAGGAGTGTGAGGCCTGACATAGCCCCAGATAGTGCAGGGGCTCTAGAAAAATCTTTGTTGCAATGAAGGGCTCACTGGCCAGCTAGCTGAATGATTTCATACATGAACAGGGCAGCACATTTTACTTCACATATCCATTTCTGAGCAAAGATATTGTTGATTTGATTGCAACTATGTTCAAAGCGCACAAATCTCAGGTGGGGTAAATGAGGTTGGTGTGACTGCTTCCAGGGTCCTGCTGCCGGGAAAGTAGATATGGAGGAAACACAGAACATTCTGAGATGAAAAACAGGAAATGGGTGAATTCAGTGCCCCTTCTGGGAAATGATGAAATGAAATATGTTTTAACCTTAAGGTGTAATCATGCAAAACTTAGTTTATCAAGGTTACTAAGACATGATTTTACATCAAGATAAGTGACTTTTTAAAATTAAAAAATCCAATTTACATAATGGTTAAATCTACTCCCAATATCATAAAAATATAATGGTTAAATCCACACCCCCACTCCCCATATTATAAAAACTGCATTAAAAAAGAGAGAGCATGTAATGAACAATTGAGATGTGGTAAATGTTTTGGTGATCTTAAATCCAAACTAATGAAGTCTATAGTTAATTGGCTTCCACTATTTTATTCCGAGAGGTAACACACGAACTGAATTAAACAATTAAGAGTTACTGTGTTAAAATATAAACCTCTTTTGCTAGAATGCATAGCTAGTATTTAAACGCAGGTCTTAAATTGCTAAATACAGAAAACAGAAACACACTTGGCTCCCTGGGTCCTTGGCCCCAGCGCAGCTGAATGTGAGACTGCCTCTGAGTCAACCCGGGCAAGCCAGCACGCAGGGATAAAGCGCTACCAGAGCCCAGCTTGCTCTGCTATTTCTTTCACAGATTGACACCCGGCAGTTGTACAAATCATACCAAAGATCTACATTTATGAGTAACCAATGCAAATGAGAGGGAATGAAAGAACAGAAATGATGGGAAATCTAACAGCATAATATGTTCACACTTCAGTGACACATTTCTAACGGTTAAGCACAAGGCAGAATTATCTGTGCACGAGGTGAGGTCGTCGTTAGAGTCCACTGGTGTAACGTGCCGTCAGAACCCAATTTATCCTCACTCATCTGCCTGCCTCGGAATCCTGCCCCAAGATTCTCTACCCAGCTGCAAAGTCACCTGCAGCAAACTCTCTTTCAAAATCAGTGGGGAGGGCATGGGTTATGGGTGGGTTCAGAAATGCTACCTGTTCAGTTCACTAAATTCCCAGATGGGCTCTGAAAATCAAACTTAGCATCTGCACCGTGAAAGCCAAAGGTGACTGGAAACAGTGGTGAGGGGAACATCTGTACAGGCTTCTTGAGAAACAGAGTCAGGGACCAGCCTCTGGAGCTGGGCTCCACCTCAAAGAGGGAATGTGCAGACCCTGTGGGTGCTGGATTCAGGTCTGCATCACAGGATGTCAGACCACGGTCCCTTCAAGGATACAGCATCAACATGTGCTGGTCAGAGAGTGGGCAGCCGGCTCCAGGCCTCCCAGCGGACGGTGGTGGCCATGGGATTCAAGCCCAGCCTGCAAGGCCCACCCCGGGGCTGCCCCACCTCCCTACACCCTGCTGCCCCTCTTCCCATGTCTGCTGAGACATCTCTACTGATGTGGGGGTGATTTCATGTGTTTCTCAGAGCTTCTTACATCTAAGTTTGGAATTTTCAAACCTACGGCTTTCTGAATGAATTTATAAAGTGAGTAAGACACTGTCTTGTTTCCAAAGTCTTGACTGAAACTTTGCATGGAGGGTGCTCATAGGTTTCAGCCTTATTTTTCATAGACCCAATAACATGTTTTAAAACATAAGCATGAATGCCCTCAATGTGACAGGGTTTTCACTAGGATGGTACTTCCTATAAGATTTATTGATAAAATGCAATAGAATAAATGGTTCCAGCTAGCTATCATTTTGGGGTAAGTTACCCCAATAACTCCCCACCCATTCCCCATCACCCCCATGCCCACTCAGCTTATAGACTGGGTGGCTGTTACTGCCTGCAGGATAGACTTCTGGAAGACCTCCCTGCTGCCAGCCCTCCCCACAGGGTCTGTCCCCTTGGCCCACGATAAACCAAAGCCGGCGGTGAGGCTTCCATGGCTAAACCTGCTCTTCCTTGGTCCACGTTTTGTTCCCACTCCCTGTTCCTTTTCCCCATCCATCTCTTCTAAAATCCTACCCATTCTTATAGGTACATAATACACGTCCTATCTTCTAAAAATTCCATGCGCTTCTCATCAAAACTGTTTTCTCTCCTTGCTTATTTTATAAAGACTCAGGCCATTTCTTATTCACCTTCCTTACTCCTCATTACACACTCAACAAACACTTCGCAAGAAAAACTAGACTGGATAGTAGCTATATAGTCAGATTTCCCTAACAGTTTACTAGTGCTATTTAGAACACAACACCAACATGTCTCAGTATGTTATTCAGCTAATAGTTGATCTTTTGGTGGCAACAAAGGCCATGAACACACAGGCCTACACTAGACAGTGGTAATGACTAAGAGTTAAAGAGCAAAAGATTTATAATCAGAAGATGTGGGTTCATACCAGTTGTGCGATGGGAAGATCAGTTCATTAACCTCCGTTCGTGTTATAAACTGGCTGACCCCATGACCAAGCAGGAGGCTGGCGATGCTAAGTAGCACCTGCCACCTCTAGGCCATGCTGGAGACTGGACCTGTGCCAGGGACCTTCCTCATCTGTGAAGCATAGAAAGGGCCATGCCTGCCCATGACAAGGACCAAATAACATAAACTGCCCCACGGCCAGTGGGGCCTATCTCCTTTGTTGAAGGACAACTCTCCTTAGCATCTGTAGTGCATGGTTCTGGTGCATTTTATTCAATGAGTGGGTACATCACTGTGCAAAATAACAAATCGCTTGTTGAGATTGCTCTGCCATGACCATCTCAAGTGCTGCCTTGTTTGTTTATTTTTTACTATGTCCATCTTCAGAAGAGTTGCTGACTTAACAATATCTGGCATGGTGGTTCACTTTGCTCATTCTCGAAACAAAATGGTGGCCTGTCTCATTGTTCAAGTGGGCAGGGCCTCTGCTGCGGCTGTGGATGATGTCCAGGGTCTGAAAACCACTATGTTCTTGCTCTAATCTTGGTCCCATAGCAATAAGGAAGCAGCATCTTAAGGAGGTGTTTTACCTCAAAGAATGTCCCAAAAATAACTGTTTCTCATTGAACATAGCTCACACTCATTTTCCTTTTAGAAGTGAGAATTCTGCTAATAGCCAACGTGTGGGGCATCTTACAAAATCAATAATCAACAAACGCCCCTCTCCTTCTCCTTCTTCCTCAGCTAGGACTAACATGGATTCTGGAAGAGCCAGATATGTCATGTCCGGAGGCAACAATTTAAGACTTCAAAGAATTTATTTTTCTGACAAACTTAAAAAATGAATTTCTTTCACTATCTAACAATTATGCAGTATGGCTGACTGATGGGATATCAAAGGAGATTTCTCTCAAAAAAGGAATTCTCTTGGAAATGTCCCTGGCATATCAGCGGGAAAACCTGTGATTTTCTTTATTCTTTTGAAATAAAGGGCATACTTCACACTTTGGTTACACTAAAATGTCCCTTGGTCCCCTGCATGGCCCCCTGCTCTGTGGTCCCCTCTGTGTACCTTGCAAAGTGGGCCTCCCTGGTATGAGTCGGGGAAATGGGATGGGTGTCCATCTGCAGCACAGCTTGGTTCAATGCAAACACGAGGGTTGCACAGAGCGTCACAAAGAGCCGTCCGCATACCTATTCTCACGAAGCACACTTTCTCCCTGGTTTCCCTTTCACTTAAGCTTTCTAAGAAATCTTTCCGTATCGATGGTAATCCTCCTGCCCTTGAGTGACTTGTGGAATCATGTGACACGCGTCAAACATGTAAACTGAGCTCCAGGAATTCTGGATTTCAGGAGAGGACTGATTTCTTTCAAAGTGATATTTCCACTCACGAAAATAAAAACGAAATTCAATTAAAAATTGGACAGACAAAGCTACTTATAAGACTAGTGTCAATGGATAAAGTAAAGTAGAAGTCAAGGAGGGCTCCTGGGGAGACAATGGCATGTTTTCCTGCTTGTGCTCAGGTGCATTGTGGGATTTTTGCCCACTTTAGGCAACTCGCAAAAACTTGGTTTCCAATGGTTTAAAGAGTATGACTTTGACTTTAAGCTTGGTTCAAAGTCATGATGAACCACCGTAAACTGTTTCTCCTTCTGCGAGTGCTTGTGCAGACAGGGAGGACAGGGATCTCAGAGGCTCTAGGATCTGATCCTTATCAGAGATCAGACCAGGAGGCAGCCCTTGCAGCTCAGGTATGCTAACTTTATCTTTTTCCATTATTATTTTAACAGATTAGTAGGCTGTTTCCAAAAAAGGCTCTGTTTTTAACTAGGCATCTCATGGAGCTGTGGAAATAGCATCTCAAGGACAGGAATGCTGTCTTATTTATCACTGTCCCTGTAACTAGCACATACAGTATTTCCAAAAGATCTTAACAGGCTGAAATGAAATACACTGAACCAAATGAGATAACGATAATTGCCAGATCCTACCCTTCCCTCCAAATATCAAAGGCACAAATACAAGATGCAGGAGATAATGTCTTCAGGGCTGTTCCTGAGAAACTGACTCATGAGTTCTCAGTTGACAGTTAACATGGGTCGTGGCTGCAAAGATCGAACACAATTTTATATGTGCACATGTGCCCCATTAGGAGGAGCAAGGAAGGTGTTATTCCTGCTCAGCTCTCTGCCCCTCAGAAATGGAATAGTAAATAAAGTTGGGAAGCATGGAAAATGAGTTTAATATGCCATGCTTTCTCAGACTAACGGCAGTGAGTCATGTGAAATTACACAGTTAGCTTTGGCAAACTGTTTCCCATTATGCCCTGAGGGGGAAGGTACACTTACACACAGAAGAGCTCCTTTCGAGGCAGGGGATGGGATTTCTTTTTCATTCTGCATTCCCTGGAAAGACCAGGAAGGCCCTTTGGGTGCAATGTTCTAGGAAGGACTTGGGCACATTGAAGAATGCCAGGGAAGAGTGAGACCAGCAAGAAAAAGCAAGGCAAAGGCATCATGGTGTTTATTTCATCATATGCTGAGGAAACCAACACACTTTAGCCAGGAGAACGGGCTATTTAGAGGGCTTTGTAGAGCTGTTGTCAATGATTTGAAGGGCTGAACTGCTTGAGAGAAGAGAAAGTAGTTACACTGCAGACATCTGCAGGGCTGGCTTTAGAGACAAGCAGATTTAGTTCAGGGCTTTTGTAACAATCAGTGCTTCCGTAAGTGGGCTGCCTCCTGAGGGTTCTCAATAGGCGAGGTGATCACCTGTTAAGGATGCTTAGGAAGAACTTATGCACTGGGGCCTGATGATCTCTCGACAGCCTTCCATCCAGTATGTTTTATGAGACTGGGGATCTCTGTGCACAGCAGCAACATAACATTGTTCAAACACACCGTGCACATGGCTAGCTCTGTGGGCAGCGGGGGTGGGATGAAGTTGTCTGCACTAGAATCTCTTCTAAATTTCCATCTGTTTCATGCACATGCAGACAGAAGCTATTGCTCCCCTTTCCACTAGGAGAACAGTCAGACTGCAGTCAGTGCATCCCACAAAAGCAGTGATGGATTTCAGTGCATCAAGCTAAATATTTTCATGAAGTATTTTAACTGAACCAGATGTTCAAACCAGGCAGAACTGCCACTGCACCCGGCCCTAAATTTTTTTGCATTTTTAGTAGAGATGAGGTTTCACCTTGTGGTCCAGGCTAGTCTCGAACTCCTGACCTCAAGTGATCCTCCTGCCTCGGCCTCCCAAAGTGCTGGGATTACAGGCGTGAGCCACAAACCAGGCAGAATTGCTTGTGGGATGAGGAGATAGATTATTCTGTATTTCATTTCTATCTTTTACCTTTTTTTTCTTTCTGCCAAGCTGCCTCCATCTTTTCTTACACCAGAAGGCAAATTCTTTGGCCCCATGAATCTCATTCTTCTGGTTCACCCCTCTGCCTAGCAGAGTGCCTGGGCCACAACAGACATTTAACATGCATCTGTCTCATTAGCTGATTCTCCAAAGACGGCTCAATTTCCACCTCCCGGGGATCCCATGTGTTCTGGAGTGCTGACACCACTCAAAACCTGAGCTCCAAACCTAGAGTGTGGTGCAAGGCTTCCCTTTAGGTCTCTGCAGTTTGTTTAGCTCCACAACGGAACTAGGTCTTATGTACCTCTGATTTGCCATGATCTCTAGTCCAATATCTTGTAACTGATTCAGTTTGTGCTTTGGAGACAATATGATTCTGAGTAATATGTTAATAAGCCTGCAGATTTCTTTATAGTTTTTAAGACTAAATAGGATAAAACAAATCCATAGTATATACCCATGAATATTTTAGTAAGGTGGTAATTCACTGTGGGATGTACTAATAATTTCTGAGATCCCTGGATGCCGTCAATTCAGATTATTTATACCCTATGGGCTGGGAGAAGACCAGAGGGTGTGACCTTCACAGACTCCAGACTTCTAAGAATATTTTAATTATATAGCAAAGCTTAAAATATTCATTCCTCTTATTTTTCCCATCTATTAGGTTGGTGCAAAAGTAACCGTGGTTTTTGCTATTACTTTTAATGGCAAAAATCGCAGTTACTTTTGCACCAACCTAATATATTTGATTTAAATTTTTAGATGATACATTTTATTTTTTCCCCTCATCTGTGTAAGCACTGCTCCTTTCCCTTTTAAGTATTTTCATCTCTTACTTAAAATGTTGCTTCTTGACTTTCAATTCCAACTAAGATGATTTTCTATTTCTATAGCCTATCTCTTAAAAAGGTATCATCACAATACACTGAATTTAGTGTTTCTGTTAGTCAAGATGTCAATTACTTTTCTACTTTTAACACTGCATTGTGTTATGTGATCGTGAAGCAATTCAAGTAGATGTAGTACCTGCCTGCAAGGAACTTGCAATCTACCTGCACATGAGGTACAAAATAACGGGAGTATAACAGCTTATACATGATTGTACTTTTAGCACTGATGCAGAGGAGTGGAATAATTCTAGATGTGCTCAGATGAACTTAGGCAAATAGTTTGGAAGTTGTAAAATGTGTTTCCCAAAGCACAAAAAATAGAGAGGCAAAATGTGGATGACTTGCCCTGTGGGTTGGGGATGTGTGAAGAGAAGGAACCTGGCTTAGAAACACTGCTGATTGACTTCATAAAGGAGTCATTGGAAGGGACAAAGAAGTAAAGGAAGACAACATCAGCGGATGTGGCCTGGGTCATCTACATGTGAGGACAGTCACACACTAGACACAAGGCAAAAGGTGTGTCTTTTCTGACCTGGTCATGCAGATTAATGAGTTTTTGAAATACCACTTTACATGTCATATACTTAGGAAAAAATATGATTTCATTCAATGTATTTTGCAGATGAAGAAAGAGGAGGTAGGCCTGCCCCACACATCCCGATTCTGGTAAGGCAGAGAACTGAAGCTTAAACCCAGGACTTCTGCTTCAAAATCTTTTACAACAAGCTGGGCTCACCTTCTGGAGGATTTTTTGGGGGTTTGGGGAAAAAGAGGTGGGTAAATTTATAAGTCAGCTCAGAAAGCAATTCTCACGACTTCACAATTAAGCCTTATTTGTGAACAAAAAAACAGCATTCCTCAGGTTAAGTTAGCACTTTATTCAAAGGTCTAGGCTCTAAAAGGATTTTGGACTATTTCTAAAAGGAAAATAAAACCCAGACTCAAATATACAAAAGCAAGTGCTTGGGTCTCTGAAGGTAATCAAAACAGGGAGATGCAAAATAAATGTGAGTGATGAAAAAAATGCGGATTCTCAACGTTAGGTCTTCCAGGCATGTGTGCTGGTGCATTAGGCCTTCAGCCCATCACTGCTGCACTGTATTACACTCTAGGTACACTCAGTTAAAGACATGAAATGACCATAGCTAGAGACAGTAACATTGTAACCACAGCGTGTCTTCTCCTGGCACAAGCCTCTTGTACAAAGAAGTAGTTCTCCTTGTCCACAAATCTCAAACCAGGAAATCCCTAATTCATTTAATGATCAGGAAAATGCAAGAGATTTGTGTAGTTGTGACTCTTCCAGTTACTCCCCGCTGTACCATTATTTTAGGTTACCTATCACACAGGATGGTGTGCCTGATGGCACTGGCAGTCATTTCTCTATGTCTTGTAGAAAAGTTTACTCCTGGGAAAAACAATTTGGTCACTAGTCCTTGGACCTAAGTAACAGAATCTTGATGAAATGGTACCCATGATCAAATGTTAAAAGGAAGAAAGGGATGGAGAAAAGAAGAGAGGAAGGAAGGAAGGAGGAAAGGGAAAGAAAAAGGAGGAAGGGAGGGAGGGAGGGGAGGGGAAGGGAGACGAGGGGAAGGGAGACGAGGGGAAGGGAGGGAGGGTGGGGAGGGAAGGAGGGAAGAAAGAAAGGAAGGAAGAAAGAAAGGGAGGGAGGGAGGAAAGAAAAAAAGAGGAAAGAAGGAAGGAAAGAAAGGAGAAAGAGAAAGGAGGAAAATTAAAAAGAAAAAGGAAGAAAGGAAGGAAGGAAGAAGAAAGACAGGAAGGAAGGAAAAAGGAGGAAAGAAACAAAAGGGCAAGCAAACAAGAAAGGTCAAAAGACAGTAACGGCCCAATCAAAGCTTCCATGACGAATCTGTGCCTTTTTGGATCATGGTGTACTCAGGAAATGCAGCCGCCACAGGAGCACACGCTGTCTCCTGAACTGCAGGAAGAGCAGCGGTTAGCAGCAGGAGGTGTCCCTTTCACAGGAAGGCTGGGGTCTGGGCTGCACACTGCGGAGCAGATTCACATGCCAGGGTGGCCCCGCTTGGGCTATGAGGACATGGGTGCCAAGGTGGAACTGCTTTCTCAGGCTGCAGGCAGGCAGCTTGCTGCTTCTCTTTCTCTCTTTGAAAAAAAAAAAAAAAAGCCTTTCCTTCACCACCTCTCCTCGGTTGCTTTATCAGGTTGCAAAAGCATCTTTTAGGAAGTATCAAGGGGCATCACTCTCCACAATTTTTGCAAAACAATTCCATAGTTGTGATGGTGTCTGTCTTTGCAGCTTAGTTTACTTACAGCCTGTCCTCAAGGGCGCTCTCTGGGAACCTGCCTCATGTCTATAAAGCAGCTACCTCATTTCAAAAATTTAAAGAGGACTTCCCAACTTAAAAAAGTTACCATAGAGTACATGGGAATACAATGAAGGGATGAAGACAAAAATTAAATGTCATGTTTTTCTACATTTAATTCAGCTACTTAGCTTTGAAAAACTGATTTGTTTGACATGTTCACATGTTGTTGTATTCTCGTTACTTTGTACTTAACCAAAATGCCTACAAGTACAAGACCTGTACTTAAAACACAGCTACATAAAATAAACCCAATTGATGTTAAAATTGGACTGGACCTAGATTTTCTTTACATCAAATGTGGGCAAAAAATGAAAGACTTAAAAAGCAGATGTTCACATACATTTGTGACAACACTGAGAAAATGTTTTGAAAAGCAAATTGATTTAAAAACTACTTTTAGAGAGTTGATAAATGACTAGTCTTTGGCTAACATTCAACAAGGGTTAATCTAAAAAGTTTTTTTTTTTTCCACAATATAATGACACACAGTTCTTTGGAGCTCTCAAGATCTGCCTGCCTGTCCAATAGGTAACCCCTAGCTGCATGTGACTCCTGAGCACTTGAAATGTGACCAACCCAAATTGAAATGTGTGGTGAAGATAAAAAAAAAATACATCCGGGGTTTCAAACACATAGTTCAAAAAGAGTAAAATATTTCATTAACAATTGCTTATATTGAGTACATACTTAAATAATATTTAAGCATACTGAATTAAGAAAATATATTCAAATTAATTTCACCTGTGTCATTTTTCTTTTTTAATGTGACTACTAAAAATGGACCAGCAAATATGCAGGTCAAATTATGTTCCCCTTGGACAGTGCTACGCTGGAATTTCTGATTTCTATATTTCACAAATAATGTTCCACAGATGCTAGTTATCATCCATCTGTAAAACCTCTGTCCCTCAAACAATGACTGTTCAACGTTGTTGCGTCTCATAAGGCATAAAGCTGGGCTAGGACTGTCTGCCTATGTCCTGATTAGAAAGACTCCATACAGCCTGGATACGGTGCCTCACATCTGTAATCCCAGCACTTTGGGAGGCTGAGGCAGGTGGATTACCTGAAGTCAGGAGTTCGAGACCAGCCTGGTCAACGTGGTGAAACCCCATCTCTATTAAAAATGCAAAAAATCAGCTGGGCATGGTGGCGGGCGTGTAATCCCAGCTGCTTGGGAGGCTGGGACAGGAGAATCACTTGAACCCAAGAGGTGGAGGCTGCAGTGAGCCAAGATCACACCACTGCACTCCAGCCTGGGCTGCAGAGTGAAACTCTGTCTAAAAAAAAAAAAAAAAAGACTCCATACCCAACATTTAAAATATGTGTGCAGGCACAGGGCAAGCAGATTTTAAGGGTATATTTTTAGGAGACTCCATCAATAATAAAACATGGTTATTGAAATGGGAAAAATTAACTAACACATATAAAACCTTAACAGAAATTTTTACACTTAAAGCTACAAAGTCAAATATAAAAATCAGTGTTGAGACCATATATAAGTAGCAATAATGCTTTAAAACTGCGAGTAAATGCAGCCTTTACAGTGACAAAAACAACTCCATTGTCATCTCAGGATGAAAGTCACTTCACTTAGATCACAGCATTCTCTACAGAACAATAATTTCACTAAGGATTACTTGCACCATAACACTAAGATTAAGTAAGGGTGGCTACACCTGGTAATAGTTAATTGTCACTAAACATTATGGACAGAGTAGAAATGCTTGGGGGGCACTGGCAGATTCTTAATTTTATTGCCACCAAGTTCAACTGGAGAGCACAGAGATATTGCAAAAGCAGTCAAAATTCTGCCAGGTTCCAAGAATCATAATAAAAATGATCATATAGCTGCCTGTAGAAATATAATAACAGCACTTTTCTCATTTCAGCAGGATTTCACTTCTAGGGTAACAGTCCTTCACTCTGAAAAAGAGAACAGCCACATCTGCCACTGGGCTCTGCCATGCAGCAGGGGGCCATGCTGAAGGCCTTCCATCGATCACACCCAGCCTGGTGAGGAGTGACACCGGATGTTCAGGGCTTCACCAGAATCATCTCCTGGTGATTTCAGTGGAAATCGACAGCCTGCAGCCACATCCCCTGTGGGGGAAGTACTCTCCTGGCAGCAGGCCTTGCGGAGACACACCCTAGACCTGTCTCTCTGAGATCCCTGCAGCTGAACTCACTCCTGAAATTAGGGCACCAAACGGCTCTTCAGTTAATGGAGTTACAGCAAGTGTCAGGTGCTTCAAAGCACAAAAATACAATCCCCAGCCCTTCCACAGTGGAGGTAGTTTTCTGATAGACTCCTTAGACATGCGCATATTGCTAAGCCCTTACTGCGAAAGTATCCTCAAGAAGCCACCCCTGCAGGCACAGGGAGAACTGCACAGGCCACTTCCTGGACCTGCACACCTATCTCAGGGCTGCATTTAATCTAAGGAAGTCAACAGAAATTTCTTTGCAGAAGACCAACTTAATCACAGGAATTAAAGAATATTGCATGGGCTAATATTTTTCTGGAAAAATCATAGTAATTTAGTAACATATTAATGTAATTTAGACATCTTGCTTTACATTTAAAAATAATTCAGCCCCAAATAAAAATCATTCAGCCCCAAATAACAGCAATAGCATAATAGCTCATAAATAAGACACAGAATCCTTTTCTTTCTTTCTTTCTTTTTTTTTTTTTGAGAAGGAGTTATCACCCAGGCTGGAGTACAGTGCCACAATCTTGGCTCACTGCAACCCCCGCCTCCCGAATTCAAGCGATTCTTCTGCCTCAGCCTTCCCAGTAGCTGGGACTACAGGCACACGCCACCACACCCAGCTAATTTTTTTTTTCATATTTTAGTAGAGATGGGGTTTCACCATATTGGCCAGGCTGGTCTCAAACTCCTGACCTCATGATCTGCCTGCCTCGGCCTCCCAAAGTGCTGGGATTACGGCGTAAGCCACCATGCCTGGCCAAATCCTTTTCTAATCATACTCCCCCAGCAACCAAACTAAATGCTAAAGATGTGTTTTGTTTAGAATATGGAGAGTCTAGTTGCTCCAACATTTCCAGTTTGTGACTTCAACAGCAAAGAGTCATTTGGAACCAACTCTTCTGTTGGACAAATTATATGTACCCCACAGTCCTCCCCAATAGATTCACCCTTTCCCAGCTCCTCCTCCACAACACACACACACACACACACACACACACACACACACACACACAACCCTACCCAAAAGAATTCCTCCTTTCAAATTTCACTGTCAAATTTCAGCTGTCAGGACATTAAAAGTGTATTTAAGCTAGTGGTGCACAGATAAACCAGCTCTCAAAAAGAAAAAGCCTTGATTTGCAGCGTTCACCGATTTCTGTGGTGTAAATACTCCCAACCACGGTAGACTTCAAGCTACCAAAAGTTTACCAACAACCTGGCAGATTTTCCGCATATTACCAGTTGGCTGATTCTAGGTGGCTCACTGCTCACCGGAGCATGCTTTCTGAGTTCCCTATAAGTTTCTGTTATCTCACTGATCCTAACAGGCAAAGAGTTTAAAATTGTGAGCGTGTCTGCGGTAATTTGTGAAATGTAGGTTCCTGTTAGGGCCTTGAAGAAAGCTGGGCTTATCTGGTGGGAGACAGTAGCCCAGGCCCAGCCCTGCCTTGCCAGCAAGAGAGGGCTTGGTAGGGCAGCTTCCTGGCATGGCCCACTCCCCCAGAGCAAGAGCTTTCATTTAGTCTAACGGGTTCTGTGGAAACTTTCCGGGGCAATGTTAAGGCTGTACTCTGTTTAAGCCTTTCTACTTTTGCATAAAAGGAGGGGAAGCTGTTTTTTCTGGGTTATATTTACACTTCCCAAATCAGAAAATGCCCTAACCAGATAGGGGGACAGGTGGCAACTGGCAACCACAGCTCAACCCCCCAGCCTTTTTTTCCCCATTTCTTTCTGAAACCCCATGTAGAAGGAAAGTTAACGAAATGTCAGTTGGTTGTTTTATACACAGAGCTAACTATTCTTTCAACACAGATGGAACAAGGCAGAAAATAAAACTGGGACCAAAAACCCGGCAACAGAAAATGTTATCTATCTACTCTGACAGCACTTTTAATCTAAGGATCTCTTTATTTTCTAGAAGTTGGTTCTATTTATTGAACGAATTAGGTTCAATGTGATCTTGAGTGTAAGGCATCAAAATAAAATGAAGATTAACATTGGTTTTTGTTTATAAAAATAAGCAACTTTCCATAGTTAATCTGCACCTTTGAAGACACATAGTCATCACTGCAAGCATGGTTGAAAATGCAAGGTTTGGCATTTTTCAACCTTTCTGGTCCAATTTCTCTATAGTTTTTTTTTAAAATTCACATGTCAGATTCTGGAACATTACTGGCTATATTAAAAAACCTTAACAAATCTGCCAAAGATTGCCCTTCTGAATTTTCAAAGCTCTTACGAGTGGGAAGTACTGAAGGAAGTGAGGACGAATGTGTCCGGGCTAACTGGTGGCTTTTCCAGCAGGGTCCTCACCTGAGAAATGTGGAGACATTTTGGGTATCACAATCACCATGGTACCACTTGTGATGTGGGTGGCTAAATATCCTGCAATGGGAGGGACAGTCTCACCCAAAGAAGTGCCCCCTACATCAAATATCATCGTGCCCACTGAGAAACAGTGACCTAAAATAAGATGATGAACATCAGATGCAGCCTCAAATTCTCTCCTCTCACTTTGAAAGTTCTCTCTACTGTCCTACATGCTCCATTTGCCCTCATCTTTGAGAAAGCAGTGCCACATTCCCATTCATTCATTCAATACCAATGTATCAGACAGCACCTACTCTAGGCTGGGGGATGCCCAGGTACTGGGGATCACGCAGGGAGCAAATCAGAGCTGAGTCCTTCATCTACGAGTGGTGACGTTGCTGCTATAAGGCAGGGCAAGGAGCAACAGTGCTGAGAACGCTATCTTAGGGCATGTGTCCAGGAAGACCTCTCTGTGTGGAGACCACTGCACAGAGCCCTGAGGGAAGGGAGAAGAGCGCCAAGAGGAAACCTAGGGGATAGTCCAGGCCCAGGCCCAGCTCATAGGTGACTCACGCCGGCCTACCCTGGGGCTGCTAGTTAGATTTTAATCCTTTCTATTCTGCTAGCTCCCACTTACTGGACTTCAATCACATTTAAACATTCTCCTAAAAAGACTACCCTGTAAATACCATCCCCTAGTCCTGTGACCCCCGACCCCAACCAGCTCCTTGTCTTCTTTCTTCCCTTGGTTCCTGATGCCTGACAGCCCACAGCTGCTGCCTCCTCTCCTGTGCCGCTCCCGGTCCCTCTCACATGGTTGGTTTTGCCCCAATCCTACCGAGCCGCTTGTGGGAAACCCACCGCCAACCCCCAGACACCTCTTTCTAGGGCATTATCCTGTCCCCAGCAACTCCTCTCGCCATGTTTCTTTCTAGAAATTTTACCCGAATCACACAACTCACTCTGTCTCCTTCTTTGCTCCTCTCTTAGACAATTAAAGGCATTTACTCCCCAGGGCCCCTGTGGTCCTGCTGTTTTGTTGGCTGTCCCTCCTGAGCTGATAGTGTCCCACAGATGGAACTTGCCCTATGACTTACATCCCTACCTTCCAGACTGTTCCGTGGCTAGACACCATCCCTTGGTCTCATGCGAACCCCTACTCTGGGTACAGTTCCCATTGCATTCAGCAGAATCACTGTGGCCCCAGTCACCGAAGTGGACAATGCAGCCAACGGATGGAACCGCCTCAAAGGGGCAAACACCACGGGGCTGCTGAGATGCCCTTCTCTGCCCTCTGAGACGCCCCTCCCTGCCTTTCTTCCCCTCCTGCACCAAAGGCCTCCTGGCCTCTCGCCACCGCCTGTCCCAAGGGCGAGCTATCTGACAGGCCCCCTGAAGGGCTATTCCCAGGTCAGCAGGTTTGAGGGTTCCCTTTCCAGCACCACACCCTTTATTCCTCAGCCTCAGAGCGAGTGCGGGCCTCCTGTGCCTCTGAGCCTGCAACCCGCCCCACTCCTGCCACCTCCACCCCTTCCTAAAGAAGGGGACAGCCGAGATGTGACCCATGGTCCCCACGCACGCCCCTTCACCAGCACATGCGTGCCTGTGGCAAAATGACTCATCCCCTCCCTCTGCACCCTCCCCCTGCACCCTCCCCCTGCCCCCGCCGGGGCCAGGCAGGGCTCCTCCTCCCCCAGTGCTTCCAGCTGTGGCAACCACATGGCGTTTGCCAACTGAGTCTTCTCCGGGGACCCAGCCTGGCCACGGGCTGCACCCTGTGTTTTATCACTGAGGAACTGTAAGCTTTTTGTAGGGGTCAGTGTGTCAATGCTTCTCCCTAAAGCCACCTGCTTAACAGGAATGTCAGACATGGAGCAGGCCAAAATGCAGATGATGATGATATCAGTGCAGCTGCTCTGGACAGCCCTCTATGCTGTGCCCTGCTGGGTCAGGCTTCACAGACATGACAGCCAGGATCGGGTGAGGGGGCGCCCTCACCTCACAATGAAGGAACAGCAGAGCCACCTGCCAGGGCCAACAGCTAGGAATCAATAGAGCCAGGCCTACCTACCCACATGGCCTGCTCCCAGGCACAGCAAACACCCCAGTGGCTCAGCTGCCACATGCATGTGCACACATACACCACAGACACACCACACATCCCATACACACATACACACCACACATCCCATAAACATATACACAGCACACATCCCATAAACATATACACACCACATACCACGCTTCCCATACACACATACACACCATACATCCCATACACACCACACATCCCATACACATATAACACACATACACACTACACATCCCATACACATACAACACACATACACACCACACACCACACATCCCATACACACATACACACTATGCACCACACACCACACATCCCATACACACATACACACCACACATACACACTACACATCCCATACACACATACACACCACACACACACCACACATCCCATACACACATACACACCACACATACACACCACACATCCCATACACACATACACACCACACACCACACATCCCACACACACATACACAACACACCTCCCATACACACATACACACCACATACCACACATCCCATACACATACACAACACATATACACACCACACATCTCACACACAACACATATACACACCACACATCTCACACACATACACACCATACATCCCATATACATATCCACACCACACACCACACATCCCATACACATCATATATCCCATACACATACACATCACACATACATACCACACATCCCATAAACATATACACACCACACACCATATATCCCATACACACCACACATCCCATGCACACATGCACACCACACACACTACACATACACACCACACATCCAATACACACATATACACCACACTCCACATATCCTGCACACATATACATATTACTTGCACACACACCACACATACACACCATATATCCTATACACATATATACACCATACACCACACATCCCATACACACACACACACCACACATTACACATCCCATACACACACATACCCCACACATACACACCACATATCCCAAACACACATATCCACCACACATCATGCATCCCACACACATATACACATCACATGAACACACCATACATACACACCGCATATCCCATGCACATATACACACTGCACACCACACATCCCATACACATATACAGACCACACACACACTACACATCTCACACACATATACACACTACATATGCACACCACACATCCCATACACATATACACAGCACACACATACACTACACATCCCATTCATATACACACACCACACACATACACACCCCATATACATATACACAGCATACACATATACACTACACATACACACACACACCACACACATACATGCACACACAAACATATGACACACACAACATACAACTACATGCATAAACATACCACATGTACATAGATACAAACACACACATGCCACACACATACATATACATACATCACACACCACATATACCCCCCACATATATACAGACACCTGCACACACACAACACATGTACCACATGCACATATACACAAACACACACACATCAATTTCAGTTTTCCAAGGAAAGTTATTAAACTTCTGCTGCCTGATCTCACCGGTCTATTCCAAAACCTAGTACAAGATGTTATCTGATATAGCACAAAAGTCACTTACTTTAATCTAAAATCAAAACTGTCATGAAGTTCTGTGGAAGACATCATGATCCCTAAACATTTTGAACTATTTGACAAATTAGCAGACATAAAAATCCTACCCAAAACGAATCTGGAAGACTGTAAATTAAAATTTACTTTGAAATGCGAAGCAATGAACCTGTTACATGATGGCCTCTCTTATCAAACATGGAAAAGCTTAGAGGTGGGCAGATCATTTTGTAATACTATATTTCATGTTTGGGAAATTTGAAAAAGGGGAGGCTTTCCAACCGGGATCATCTGGGTTTGGATATGTTCATGCTGACAATACCTGCTGTCTTCACGAGGCATTCCAAGATAGTGGTAGTAAATTGCAAGATGAATAACATAGAATTTTCAAAATTTGCTCCATGGACCACTGAACAATAATTCAACTATGAAGGGGGAAAGGAACTAAAAAAGCAAGGTGAACAAGAATCCAAATAATATGCTTTCAGTTATTCCTCAAAGAAGAAAGAAAAGAAAACTTGAAAACCAGTACTCCAGCCACTTGAAGTTCGGCAAACAGTTCTCGGCTTGAGACTTCTCTCACATTTGAACATGCTTGAGTTCAGCTGCAGCTAATGCTCAGATGCTGCTAGATAATATTTCTCCCCAGCTAAAATGGGGTTTATCGGTTCAGAAGAGATGCATTTCGCAGATAAAAACAACTTCCTCTAGCTGCTGATTAGATAAGCAGGCTCCGCATCCGTGCTCAAAAGCCTGCTGCCCAATCTCCAGAGCGGCTGCTTTCTTTCCATGGTGAAAGCTGTCCCCAGCACCGCTCCTTCCCTCCCAGAGTGTAGAGGACTGTTACCACCATTTGTCTACCCACCCCCCTCCCCCGACTACCGTGCTGGTCTTCTGCCTGAAACTGTAAAATGAAGGGGAGATTTGGCACCAGAATAGCCAATTTAAAATATGGTAATCCTCTTACAATTCCCACTGCAGTCTTAGAACTCATGGCTGAGTAAAGAAATTTTTACTTCAATTGAATGAATAAAAAAGATTTATGCTTTTACACACTCAATCATTTGTTCTGGAGTCCAGAGGGAAAATACCTAGATTTCTTTTCTACTTTTTTTTTTTTCAATTAGGCTAGGGTAAATCAAATTCTGTTCAAACTATTCAACATGAAGGACCTAAGTTGTGCTGATTCAGTTTCTATCTCTCAGTGCTGCCAGGGAGCCTAGAGCCTATGCCTCTGAACACCACACTGTGAGATGCAAGCTGAAATAAACCACTCATGAAACCATGGCGATCCCCTCCCAACTTCAGGAGTTGGCTGCTCCAGTGCACAGAGCCAGAGAAGCACATTCTGGAATGTACCAGGGCATATAGAAATATACCTTATCTCCCTATATTCAAACTCATGTGTCCTCCCGCCTGAATAACTACTGCCTGAGGTTGTCCCGATTATCAAGCCAGGTAGCAAGTCATTTAGTAAGCCCTGTCCCAGGCCCATATGGGCCTCAATCCTTTGGCCTTCCACGGATTCAACCAACCCATCTCCACTTACATCAATCATGGTCCCAGTTCAGTCCTACAGCATTCCTGTGCCTCTGCCCTGGGTTTTTTCTTCAATTCTACTCTAAGCCCTAAATTTGCTTGTCCTCTTTCTCAGGGGTGGCCATCCCGTTTTCTAGCCTGCAATCTTTCTTCTCTGTCCTCTGGTCTTTTGCTCCTCTGTTCCACCCACCCAAACGCCTCCCCTGCTGCCTGATTTCATGGGGGAGGAATGCCCTTACTCACACCTCCAGACCTGTGGGCTTGTCAATAGAATCCTAGTGGCTGAGGACTCTTGGTTAATTTAGGACACGGAAATGTGTACAAGAGAGAAGTCAGTAACTGGCAAAAATGTATGTATAAAGGAGGAGGAAAAAAATGCAAGGATTACTGAATACGGGAAGAAAATAACTAAGTTTTTACTTTTCTCACACAAAACACTTATCTGCTCTCCAGACCCCAACCCTGACATAATTCCTAAACAAAAAACTTTTAAGAGCCCCTGCTCAAGAGTTTTCAGAACAAGTCTCAATTCATTTTTTTACTTCTCTAGCATGTGTGCCATGGCTGACTGAGTAAATCTGGGGTTGCCTGAAGAGGTCACTGAGTGCATCCTCGGCTTTAAACAGTTTCATACACAACCACTTCAGAGAGGTGAGAGTTCTCTAGTTTTTAAAAAGACCACTTCAGAAGAACAAGCTACAGTCTCACTAAATAGACCATTCTGATGACTAAACTCTCCTTGCCAAAAGGAGAGTAAAGACCACATCTCTCCTTTAAGTCTAACTTAAATTCTTCAAGCAACACTTTAAATCCTTTGTTTCATTTTCTTCAGACCGGGAAGAAAATGGAGGCCAACTGAGGGCTGCAGGGCTGCTCTGCCCTCTGGCTCTGTCTCCTTCTCCCCAAACTTACACACAAACCTAGAATGTTCCTTCCACACTGAATGAAGCAATGAGGTGTGAAACCATTATTTGTTTATTCTGGGAGTGACTCACCAATCAGTATAACTTTGCACCCTCCTCATAGGGAACTGATTTCCACCATTCCCATCAATTTGTTTATTAATATGGTC
Organism: Homo sapiens; assembly: GCF_000001405.40. Lineage (NCBI taxonomy): Eukaryota > Metazoa > Chordata > Mammalia > Primates > Hominidae > Homo > Homo sapiens. The sequence continues at coordinate 50,331,593 of NC_000007.14, read as the reverse complement.
TGTTATCCTTGTTGAGATTAGATTTGTCTAAAACTGAAGGATGCCAGTGGTCATAACAGCTCACAGCTTTCCAAAAGTGTTCCTTGTCACTTTCTAAAGCAGACACTCTTGCAATCTATTATTAGCAAATAATTTCCCACTTTTTTTTTTTTTTTGCATCTTTTAGCTTCTCACCATTTCTCCTTGAAATTTCAACAGTGGCAGCTCGACTTGAACTTGAGTCAGGTGGCGGCCAGCACCCTTACTCTGTCCTTTAGTCTTGCCCTATTCTAACAAATTCTTCCTTTCTCTTTTGGCTGTTTTCAGTTTGTTTATTCTTTGGACCATTTTTTTTAAAGTAAGAAATCCCTCTTCTATCCTTGGTGCTGGTCATCTGTTCTCTCCCTTTTCCCAAGTGAAGCTACGATAGCTTCATTTACCCTTCTTGTAAATCTTTGAAAGTTCTATTTTGCACAAGTTGCATTTCTTTTTTCTGTCCTTTTTACTTTGTGTCTTTGCTACTCTGTCTTCAACAAATTATGTCTATATATGTTCCATCTAACCCTCAAGGCCATTCTGTGATGCAGGTTCAGTTACTATTGCCACCTTCAAAAGAGGAAAGTGAGGCTCAGAGAAGAAAAGCCTTGCCAGAAGCTCCAGGCCAGGGAGGAGAGGGCCTGGACCTGTCCCTTCTGAGGTGTGCCTTACCCACAGGGCACTCTCCGCCCCTGCTGCTCACCCTGCATTTCAGCAACTCCATTTCCTCCTCTCGGCCCCACTGCTTCTGTCTTTTCATTTCCTGCTGTGCACTCCTTACAGTCCTTTGCACTGATGACTTATTCCCATGGAATAATGTGATGAAATATGGTACCCAGGTTATTCCCTTTATCCACGAATTCCCCTACCTTTTTATATTGTTTCCTAATGTTCTCTACATACTTCATTTATTTAATGCTGTACACTACAAATTAATGAACAGCCTGTCACCACATATGAAAGCTGGCTGGTTTCCTTCCAGAACCATGGAGGGTGGTCTCTAAACTCAGCTCTGTGAAGAGCCCTCTCTTCCCTCCATGTCTCCTTGGGCACTTCGGTCTTGTGGAATCCTCTCCCTCCTTCACTTCCTCTTCTCAAGCCTCTCCTTTGTGTCGTGCCTGGTTTGTCATGTAGGCTTTTGCATCTTTTTTGCTTTCTTTACAGTAACCTATCACTCCTGTGGCCTCTAGCCCCACTGAGGAGCATTCAATCTCCCAAATCATCTCAGTGCCCACGTCACATGGCTGTTCCCGCCTGTCCACAGGGCTGCATCAACTGCTATTTACAAGCAAAGCAAAGAGGTTTTCTAGGGTTTTTAAATTTCACAATTCTGAAATCATATTTTCTAAATTACATCCTGAAGGAAAAGTAGACTGAAAATCATGTCAAACATGATAAAGGGCAGGGCCAGGACCCATGGGCTATGACAAACCCGCCCCTGACTCCAAGGTGACACCTGTGCTGGGGGCAGCTGGGACCGAGGGCAGGACTTTGAACCAAAAGACAGCTCTGGGAACCCATCAGTAATGCCAACCAGATACTGGGTGATCTCCCACCCAGGAAAACCCACCAACAATATGACGTCCGTAAGGGACAGGATACTGACACTGTTTTGAAGGCACGTGTGCTATTCTTCACTCTCCAGGAATCGGCCTGACTTTCAGTTCTCTAAAGATGCCCTAGCCACGATGGCTCACAGCCTCTAAGGGCAGCTGCAGGGATTCCAGGGAGAGCCCATCTCTTTCTCCACAGCGACCCGAGCTGGCCTCCTCACTCTGACATCCAGGCTCTCTGTTCATTTACATGGTTAATGGATCATTTCTTCTGGTTCAGTCCCTGAGCCTCTGTGTTCTTGGGCAGGGTGTGAGCATCTGTTTGCTCCTGTGTTAAGCAGGAAGAACAGTACCCTTGGCGCTGGGTGCTTCAGGGACTAAAAAAATCAGGGAACATCACCACCCAATGACTATTCCTGTGCCACTTTTGCAAACTTTTATCATATCTATGTACTACTATTGACTTGATGTTTTTATTTAAACTGATTTTTTAATTTATATGAATGTGTTTTGAAAGGAACCCTCGTAGTGGTACAGTGCATGGTAAAACCAGTATCACTTGCAATACATAGAAGACAATCTCAAAAATAAATACATAAATTAAAATGAAACATGATCCTTTGCATCCCAACTTTGGAAAACCCTGAAATGATATATGTATCTTTCTTTGGTAGAATAGAGTAGATAATTCACAAGTTCATTTCTCTTCCCCTCTACTTTCCACATATAGTAGCCATTTTCCAATAGGGTAAAATAATTCATAAATGTACTTGTTTTCTGGATTCATCTACACCAAATGGCTTTAGCCACCATCTTTATCTGTTTGTGCCATTAACTGTGCTGCTGAGTTAAAAAAAAAAAGAACCATTATACCTAGTCCACTTGGTTTCTAAGACACATAAAAAACATACAAAATATGTTTTCTTTACTTTTTCTTTTTTTTTTTTTTTTTTGAGATGGAGTCTGGCTCTGTCATCCAGGCTGGAGTGCAGTGGCGCAATCTCGGCTCACTGCAAGCTCCGCCTGCCGGGTTCACGCCATTCTCCTGCCTCAGCCTCCCGAGTAGCTGGGACTACAGGCGCCCACCACTACGCCCGGCTAATTTTTTGTATTTTTAGTAGAGACAGGGTTTCACCGTGTTAGCCAGGATGGTCTCGATTTCCTGACCTTGTGATCCGCCAGCCTCGGCCTCCCAAAGTGCTGGGATTACAAGCTTGAGCCACCATGCCCGGCCCAAAATATGTTTTCTATACATGTAGATAAAATTCAGTTATCACATTTTCCCATTATTGCATTAGGATGTCCTATAGACATACAGTTGTGATTCTCATAAGCCTGAGAATTTTACATACATGTTCCCTCCTTGGCTATGGGGGCTTATGTAGCTGACCCACATTGATCCAGTCTACCTCATTTTACCTGTATGTCCTTCATATTCTTTTATGCCAATAGGTAGCTCTCAGTATCACAGCTCTTTCTCTTTTTAAAGAAGAAAACAGGTATTCCAGGGAACTGTTGACTCATTAGCTCATTAGAACATGGTATAATGGAGCGAGAACTAGTTTTTCAGTCAGAAATTCAGTTCAATTCTGACTCTGTCATTTCACCTTGGTTAATTCACTGAACTTCTCTCCGTCTTTGGTTTCTTGAAATAAAGAGGGTGGGTGAAGTTTTCCAAACACAAACTGTCGCATGTGTAAGTTAACCAGTGGAGTTGCAGATGGTTTCACACACACTTTTTTATGGAAAAGGTATGTAAATGTGTGCTTTGATTTTTTTCTAACATTTAAAAATTACCATTTATGAAACTTTCTATTTTCAGTTAAATCTGAAATTTAAGAACTAGAGATTAGAGGGATAACATAAAATGGCCAGATGTGGCTTGTTCTAACCCCAAACACTGAAAAGCACTGTTGCCAAAACACGTAAGTGTGTAATTTTCACGATCTACAATCCATAACATTTGATATTCCTGCAAGTGCAGTGAGGACAGAGGACAGTGACAGAGACGCGTCCCTGGGCAGGATTGCTCCTCAACTTGGACATTTTGCGGGGTGTGTGGCTCTCACGGCCATGCTGGCCTGTGAGTGTCCATCCTCCCACACACCAGAGGACCCCCATCCTGCTGATCTTTGTGCCATATTTCTTTAATATGCCAGTTGAGGGAACACAATGGATAAAATGACTTGCATCCCTTCATCACTGTCTTGGAAAAATACAAAGAGATAAAGGTTTCACAGGCACAGAGGCCGCTGGTGACCCACTTACCCACGACTCTGTCACTCTTGGAGCTTTGCTGTCCTCCCGAGGTGGTGGAGAGGTCCTCGGGGATCGGCATGGGCTCATCGCCCTCATCTGGAGTATCGCTTACAGGGGGGCTTTCCTTCCCTGATGAGAAAGAAGAAGTGTGAGTCTCGGGCGGTCATGGTCAAGGTGCCTGGGCTTCCCCCGGCTTTTGGCTTGAGAGGGTGGCATGAGGAGGCAGGTACTGGGTGGAGCCAGTGCTTCTCTGCTGGGATGCATATACCTTTTTCTTTTTATAAAAAAAGTCACTTCTCCCCACACAATACAAATGAGAGAACATAGATGTGCAAAAGGGAAGAAATACAATCACCTATAATCCCAGACACTGCCACTCTTAAAATCATCTTTATATACTATAAATAATATGAGGTGACATTATTTTGTTTTTCAAAATGAACTAGCTTTTAGACATTCTCATGTACATATTTCCATGCTCAGGGTCATATTTCCATAATTTCATGTATAACGGGTACACTAGGATTTATTTAAATTCTTTTCCTATTTTTGAGTCCACATTGCTTTCTGTCCTTTTATAATTATTAAACAACACTGTAATGAACATCCTAATAGCCAATCTTTGCACATATTCCTAATAATCACCACAGTATAAATATCTAGACATTTTATCACTGCATAAAAGGCATCTATATTTTTAAGGTTCTTCCTATCTTTTGTCAACTCTTCCCCCTGTAAGCTTATTCCAATTTACCCCCACAATGAGCTTGCCACACCACACCCTCCTGTCAATTTGTGTTTGAGGATACCACACCAGGTATTCTGCTTAGAGCTATACATTCTGCCATCTGCTCACTTTCTTTGCAAGAACCAGGGAATATCTTACCAGCTGCTTAGTTTGACTTAACTTAGTGGGGAAAAGAAGACTGGACAAGGAATGGAAGGGAACCCCATGCCTACTGGGAAAATGATCCCCTCTCCGCATGCAAAGGGAGTCTGCTAATACAAATTCTTCTCTTTGAAATAGGAAAATAAAATATAATCCACACAAATACAAAAATTGCTTATACTATACAAAGTAGGATTTACAAAATGAAATCGGGTTTTACAGAATACCTGTATTTATTTTGACTGGATTAGAATTATATTTGACCAAAGGTTCTAGCATTGGGGAATCACTCCTACTCTGAGGAATCTAACCTTCCTTGGGAAGCCATAACTAGTAGGAAATGCTCTTTTCTCCACTGAAGCTGCAACTCCTATAGTTTCCGCCCTTCCAAATCTAACTTAAACTTGAGTTGAGACACAACCCACATGCAAGAAACAGATGATGTGAACTTATGCAGTATAGCTACGTGTGGAAGACCATTTTAGATGAAGGTCCTGAAGAAGTCTAACAAAACAGCAACAGCCTGGGAGAGTGTGCCTGCTGACTGAGCTGGCAACAGGCAAAATGATATGAACACATAGACAAACCTAGATTTTTGAGAGTGTGTGCAAATGATGAACCAAACATTAAAATGTCTGAAAAACATGACTAGGTATTGTGTGAAATGTCCTTGTTTGTTTGAATAAACCTTCCACAAGAGTAATACCAGCATTTCAGACGACTGGCAAGACCAGTAAAATCATCCTCAGTATATAAAACAACCCTTCCTGGAATATTTAAAATAGAACCTGCACAGGCACCAAGCCTATGCTCTGGGGAATACTACTTCATTCTCTGGAAAACAGACATCACAATTTAATATTCCAGCTTAGCTGTAATTACCACAATTGGCATATTTTCAGAAAGAGCATTATTGGGTATATTTGGATAGCCAATACAAAATGAATAGTTAAAGACGGAGCAGGATTATAAGAATTTCCCAAGGAAAAACAAAAGGCCAGAGAGACATTGAGTGAAAGTGTTCATGTTATGCTAAAGCCTTGGCAATGTGCATTAAGTCACTACTATTTTCACTGCTGTAAATAGAATTTTTTTTTTTTTTCGAGACAGAGTCTTGCTCTGTCACCCAGGCTGGAGTGCAGTGGCGCGATCTTGGCTCACTGCAAGCTCGGCCTCCCAGGTTCAAGCCATTCTCCTGTCTCAGCCTCCCGAGTAGCTGGGACCACAGGTATCCCCCACCATGCCCAACTAAATTTTTGTATTTTTTTAGTAGAGACAGGGTTTCACCGTGTTAGCCAAGATGGTCTCGATCTCCTGACCTCGTGATCTGCCTGCCTTGGCCTCCCAAGCGCTGGGATTACAGGCATGAGCCACTGCGCCCGGCCTATAAATAGAAAATGTTTAAAGTAATAATTGCTAAATATCTTAGCGTTTTCACCTCTTTCATAAATGGGGAAAAACTCCAAATAGGAGAACGCAGGAGGTATATGAACCACCTCACAACTCTTATTTTTGTATAAGATGACTTCCTAGAGCAATGGTGTTCAAACTCCCAGGACTTTATGAAGGTTGTCAGAGGAATTTTTTTTTTTTTTTTTTGGTGGCAGCGGGGGGTTGGGGGGTGGGTGTGGGGGTAAGAATAACAAAATAATCTTACACAGAACTGTAATATACACATAGGTCTCCTACATAAAGCAGGGAGCTTGCAATTTGGGGAGGCAGGGACCCAGGCCACTTGCCTTCTTGAAGACCTGCTAAAGTACCTTCATAGAAATGACCATGGAGCCTTCTGGCCTGACATGCTATCCCAATGAGTAAACATGTACAGGGCGTGTGGGGTGTGCACGCGTCTCATGATTAACCAGCTGTCATTATTATGGGGTGGAGGTGGGAGGTTGAGAAACTAAACTTTATTGACTCTTTTCCTCCTATAGCTTTTCCCTGCGATCATGCTGGAGCACTGCAGGATGCTCTGAGACACCCTTAGATGCATGGGGCCCTGGAACCAAGTGAGGATCATAAAGAATCAGGACTTACCCAATGAAGAAATGTCGTACTTTCCGCTCAGTGCATGCTAAAATACATCCAAATAACTCTTAGTTACTTTTATTAAAAAATTTAACTGCTGTATCTATGAGAAAACAAGATCCACTACAATTTGTTGAGGATGGTTCATAATAACAGGTACGCTTCTTAAGAATTACATCTGCCTTCAGTTCCTGCACTGAACTAAATGTCAGTGCTCCAGTGTCCCTGATCTTGCATCTCAGGACATTTATTTTTTTCAACATGGGGGAGAAAAAGGAATAATGAAACAGTAGGGATCGCAATTCTAAAATACCATGGGTCAGACTGATCAATAGGAACTCTCTATGCAGAAGAAACCACATGGGGAGAAGGGAGAATAAAAAATCAGTCTTGGTATGTACAGGGGCATCTAGTAAAGAGTCAGAACTGGATGGTAGTGAAGTGAGATATATTCACATGCCCACCAAGGGCCCTGTGTTAATTCAAGCTCGCCTTGCCTGAACTCAGTGATAGTTCTTAAGAGGTTGTCTGATTTGCCTAAAAGCCCCAAAGTGTAAGTCCGGGCTGCTGAGACTTTCATCCCTCACGTGAGCCTCTGTACCCAGGGCCCCTCATCTTCTGTGACAGCTGAGGATCTCCATGATGAAAAGTTATCACTTCATGAAACCCATCATGATAGGCACAGTATTTTTATGCACTGATTTTAAACCAATTTGCCTGGTTAACCATTTAAAATGTAAAAGTATGCAAGGATTATAAAACACTAAAAAATAAATGACTAAATCAAGCCAACAGGCATCTCAAATACTAACACACAGTGACTAGGAGTTAGTGACCCAGGACATAGTTCTGGCTTTCTGGCTTGACCAATTAGTTGTAAGACGAATGGGAACATGAGACTGGTCCCTTTTTTAAGACTCCTTTCCTCAAGTGGAAAAAGGAGGCTGAAAAGCATGATTTTGGTCTATCCCACAGGGTTGCGGTGAAGATAAAATAAAAATAATGTGCATGGATTCTAATATGCTAAGTAAACTTATGGTATTATTTGGTAAACTATATGCACATAGAAACATAAGGTATATATTGCGTCAAGCTCCCACACTTTTCCTAAGAACATGTACAATGACATGCAAACACACAGAGACGGAGACAGCAAGACATCAAGTGTTTAAATAGAATAATTTAGAAGATGCAATACAATTTCACTTATTTAGAAAAATGAAATAAACTTCTGGTTAAATTATAAAAATACACATTTACACTTAACTTACCTATGGCCTATGTTTCAAATAAAGCATTACCTATGAGAAGTGTTCTGGGAAAACTGGATGAGATATGGTATAATTAGCTTATAAAATGTAAGCAAATAATTTCTCAAGTAGATTATAATTCACTCAACAAAGTTCTGTCATCCCGCCTCTCCTAAATGCATGAGGTTTTATTATACACAATTGCCCAAGAGGATATAATTCTCTGGGTAAATACAAGCTCAAAATATAGAATCTCAACTCTATAAAGTAGTGGAGAAGCTTCCACTCTAGGGTCCAAGTGGGGATCACACCCCAGAGCAATCTCTGACTCCCTGTTGGACTTCCGGTCAGTTGCTTAAATTCTCTGTGTCTCAGCTCCCTGCAGGTTGGAAATGATAACTGTATTTTCTTCTGTGGGTCCTTGTGAGGTTGAAAGGAGAAAACACTTTGGGTAATGTTTGGTAAATACAAAGCATTTAATCAATGTGATTTACTATGCTTAACTTGATAAAATATTCCCATTGACACTGCAATATATACAAACCTTCTTTACGTAAGCAGATTATATATATCTAAAGGTTTCCATATCCTTTAGATATATACAGTTTATGTTTATGTTTATGGAAACAAACTTCTGGTTTCCATATCCCCAAAAAAACACACTACAAATAGCATTAAACCAATATCCAATATCTATTTAGGGTCACAGGTGCCAGAGGAACCTTAGAGATCAACTGGCTCAAGTCCCTCCTGTTACAGATGATACTATAGTGGTCCAGGAGGCAAAAATAACTGTCTCAGGTCCCATCGTGGGAGGTAGAGGTGGGATGCTGATGCAGATCTCTCAGTTCCCACATCCTTCACTTTCCCACCGGCTGACTCTTTCTTTAGAAACCAAACCAAAAAATAATGCATAGGTATAACACGTATTTTTGGAAAGACTGCCAAAAACACAAAAGGAAGAAAAATACGCTTTACCCAAAGAATTAGTGAGACGTGCCCTAAAGGAAAGGGTAGCTTGCTTTAGATATGCTCTCCTCCAAGTCTATCAGTAGCATTTTCTCAGTACCCTGTGGATTCAAGTCAGTAAACACTTATGGAGTGTCTACTACTACACATCTGTGAGACACTGTAAACCAGGGTATAGCCCACATTTAGGATAAATCTCAAGGAACAAATAACCCAGTGCTTTGAAAAAAAGCCAGATATTAAGTATTTATCTGTTTATCTAGCATTTCGCATACATTAGGTTGAATCCTATGAAATTGCTGATACTTTAATATTTTATGGGAAAAGAGGATGATTTAGGAACATATTCTTGTTAAGATTTCTTATAATCTATAACATAATCTTGGTAAGATTTCTTACCAAGAATGTCAACTCCTATTTGGTTAAATGTACATCCTTATGCCATAACTAACTGTCATTTCTTCCAACTTTAGAAATGAAAAAAACAAATACTGGTTTTAACTGGAGAAGCAGAGATCAAACTCGAAGAAGTAGAAAAAGTATCCTTTGATTCTTTACTAAAAGTGACATGACTCTTTAAGTGCTCTCATCATTACGTAGAGTGCTCAAAGGTTAACAGGAATCAAAAGCAGTATGAGTGTTTTAGAAATAGGAATCCCTTTGGTAAGTGTACACAAACTAAATTTCAGACCAAATCATTTCAAACAAAAACAGAGTTTCCTTTTTCAGGAAGTCTTATGTAATAAGGTCTCCATTCTTGTCCCCGCCCCCAGCTACCCTATCCTTTGAACAGTCAGGGTGCAGAACAAATTACTTATTTTGTATTATGGTAAAGACAAGAAAACTACCAGAGGAGAATCAGGCTTTTGTTAGTTTCGTTACTAAGATACGAGATCGGAATACTGAGGGGCTATTCCTTATATAAACATTCTAGAGATGAATTCCTAGGTGTCAGCATTCAGCTTTGACTCTAGAATATCAGAGTGTAGACTCCTGCATTGGCCAAAGGGGTCTCATTTTCTTTAAATGCACCATGCAAAATACCAATTTAGAAGCTACCCAAAGTGAAAGCGACAAGGAAAAGAAGAGCAGAACAATGAAAGCATCTTTTTGGCCTCTGGAAATTTTTAACATGCTTGGGTTTTTTGACACCCTAATCACTTCTAGTCACAGTCAGCAAACCCAGTGAATGAGATCCTCTTCCATGAGTGAGGATTACAGTCCTCATCTACCAGTGTTTCCCAGACCAGCTCTCTGAGGCTGCAGTGAGAGGCTGGCGAAGCCAAATGAGAGGCTATAAAGAGCTAAACTGCTTTTTTTCCCATTTAACTCGTTTTTTGTTTTTGTGCTTTTTTGTTTACGAAACAAAGTAAACGCTTAAGGAAAATAAATTCAAATAATGCTAAAAGGTAGAAGATGAAAAGCAAAGTTTTCCTTCTCCTCCTCTTCCCTAACTCGTCCCCTTCCTTCTACCATCAGTCTTCCAAGAGGAAGTCCAGGTTAATAAATATCACCCAAGAATTTTCCTAAACGTTATGGGCAAGCATATAGAAAATATGTATGTGTATGTAATTTATTTTCTTTTAAAAGAACGAGATCATACTTTGCATACCATCCAGAACCATGCTATTCTCACTTTCACATGTATTTGGACTTCTTTTCATACTAGTTCATTCATATCCTCCTTATTTTTAAGAGCTGTATGTGGAAGTACATGGATGTACCATAGTTTTAAAATACTGATAACAATGCTGCAGTGAACAAATGCTTAAATGCTCTGTGCACTTGTGAGAATATACCTCTAAGGTAAGTTCTTCAATGCAAAATTGATATTTGTATTTATACCATTTTTGTTTATATAGATAATCACAAACTTTTGGACACATTTTCACTTTTACCAACTGTACCATGAAGTGCCTGAATACCACATTCTAAAAGTTAAAAAGCCACATGTTCTCACTCACATGTGGAAACTAACAAATGCTGCTGTCATCATTATAAGTAGAAAGTAGGACAGAGGCTAATAGAGGCTGGAAAGGTCGGGGGAGTGGAAGATAGGGAGAGATTTGTTAAAGGAGACAAAATTACAGCTAGGTAGGAAGAATAAGTTCTAGTGTTCTACACCATTGCAGGATGACTGTAGTCAACAATAATATATAGTTTCAAATAGCTAGAAGGAAGATGTCGAATGTTCCTAATACAAAGAAACGATAAATGTTTGAGATGATGAATATGCTGATTTACCTGATCCGATTACTATACATTGTATATATCACAACATCACTATGTACCCAATTATTTTGTGTCTATGTACACAATTATTTTGTGACGATTAAAAAAATTAAAAATTAAGTGAAAATATTCAATGATATACAAAAAGAGAATTATATAATTCTCATTCATGAGAATTATATTTAAGATATAAATGTGAGAATTACACAAAGAATGTGGCAATTATATTGTAATAAATACGAAGCCTCACTCTAAAAGAAAAATAAGCTAGCCTTTTGTTTGTTCTTTGCACCTGGGAGAGTTTAAGTCCAAAATCTGAAACATGAATAGAGCGGCTGAGGAGTGGTGGAGAAGGAAGCCTGTGATTGGCAGATCTATCTCCAGTTCCATGGAACTCAGAAGATCCTCTCCTGCACCTTCCCCAGGGAAACCACCAAGCAGGGGAGCAGCCACACATAGGTCCTGGTCTTCATCAGGAGCACCAACTTGTAGAATCCCATAGAAACTTCAAAACACGAGGGCGCTCAGCCAAGGCAAGGTGCCACTGAGAACTTTCTCAAATATAAGTCAGCCTCTGGGGCTGGCTGTGAGTCTGTGAGGCTCAAAAATATGAAATACCGAAAACCCCAAAGTCCATGAAAGCTGCTACTGGGGCTGACGCCTCTGGATACAGGGCCAGATAGAAAGCTGTCTTCCTATGTCCATGCACTGGGGAACTGTGCGGTTTTGTTGGACTGGCTCGCCGTCCACCCTCAGTGCTGCCAAATGGTCACAGTCTGTGACCTACCCTTAGGCTTTTCCTACTACAGACTTCTCCACTTCCTGGGTCTCCTGGATGAGAAGAGCTATATCCAATACGGCTTGAAAAGATATATGGCAAAGGGGAGCAATGTTGTGTCCATGCTTAATGAACAAACAGTCATGACTGTGCCCAACAATTATGTTTTTCAAGCTTCTCTCTCTCTCTCTCTTTAAGTACCATCATTGGCATGTGTTTGGGTTTTAAACCAATCAGCCATTTTTCCTTCCAACAGTACAAAAATGTATTTAACTCTTCCCGTTTTTTTTTCCTGAAGTTTAACAGTAAAACTAATTTCATCTTGGAGGCTTTCTGTTCAGCTCAAAGTGAGATAATTTGTAACAGGTGAAGGAAACACTCAGGCAAATTCCATCATGGTCTTTTCTTTTGCAGAATAGCCCCTATTCCTCCCCCATGAGCATACCAAGCACTGTGACTTCCGGCCCCAGGGAAGCTTTTCTCATGAACTTCCCACACAGCTATCTCATAAGGTCTCACCTGAAACTTGGGACATGTCTTGACCCTCATCAGCATCCATGGTCCTCAGGTTATCTGAGAAAGAGAGGAAGGGATTTTAGTTTAAAGCAAAAATACTAATAAGATATGAGAAAGAGAGAGAGATAAAGAACCCCTATGCTATTTAACAACAAGGTTATCTAGCAAGAATAATGCATTTTCCTCCTCACATACTTGCTGGAGTATCAGACTGGCACAGACCTTGATCCTTTTAAAAACAGCATTACAAAGATTTATAAAAATATCATTACAAGCACAGGAGGACCAAATTTGTTATTTATTGTTAATTTCCTACTGCATAATAACCCAAAATGCAAACTGACTGCAACAAAATTAAGCAGAAAATTAAATGGCCCTGGGTCATTGTAGGCACAGAATTCATTCTCTTGGCTGATCCATAGTTATGTTCTTTCTAATTTACTGAGCATGCATCGATGAACCTTGAGTCAGCTTGGTGACACGCGTACAATCAGCAATCAAAAAACGAAGCAATTTGCTGAAGAATGTCTCATTTACCCAGGCAGGGCTGCATATCTGAGCAGCAACTGCACTACCTCCATCAATAATGAATACACCTCCAGCCTGGCAGATGGGCAATGCGGGCGCTCCTGTCTTTGTCCCTCAATCTTTCTGGGCCCTTGCCTCAGCCTTCACCAGCACTCTTACACGGGGAGAAGTGACGCTCACTACGGCAGCAAAACGAGCCCAGGAGACAGCCCGAGCCTTCCTGTTTTGCTGACAGATGGCTGGCTTCTCAGATCGGTTTAAATTAAAAAAAAAAAAGAAAAGAAAGAAACAACTGGGAAGATGCTGCCCTTCGATGACCATAGTGAATGTTCCACAGAGTGTACTACGAGCCACAAACACCAGGGAGAGAACCCCAGCATCAGTGGAGTAGAAACAAAAAGGTGTTCTGTGTTTTCGCACTTGGGTCCTGGCCTGCCGCTCGGCAGTCTCAGGTGCCCCAAAGTGGATGACAGCTGGCAGCTCCACAGATAAGAAAGCTATGGCCAGCAGAAGGTGACCTCAAGGAAATCTGCTCATTTATGCTCTGGTATATGACTTTCAGGAGAGCTCCTTCACTAACCAGAAAATGCAGTCTATTTGTTGACTCTAAACCAGGTTGTCCCCCTGTCCCCCTTTTTATTTTTGGCCACCTCTGTCTCTGGTTCAGATGTGTGGATCTGAGCTGTGGCCTGCTTTCAGCAGAGACCTGAAAAACTGATGGATGATTCAGGGATCTTACCCTCTCAATTAGGCTGAAAACTGTGAGGGTAGAAGTGTTATATATAATATATCTATCACTCCATATATCTTTAATACCTTTTATGGTACATATGGAATATGTATTTTCAATTTCAGGAATATCAGTATTAGTCATGATGAGGATATACATGATAGTCACTTTTTCTGGATGGGAGGGGCTTTTATCTATTTCTAAAAGTGACATGAATTTTCAAGGTAGGTGTGTGGCTTAGGAGTACAGCTAGTGGCCACTGTACAGAAAAAGTATTTCAGAAAACAGAGTAAGCATCCACCAGCACACGGAAGCCAGACACACTAGCCCAGATGCAAGCATGTGACCAGCACAAGCATTTCCAAAAAGCAATACGTCAAGAGTCTCAGGTACCTTTACTGTAAAAAAGGGGAAAAGCCACGATTCTTCTGAAACTGTCAAAACAATGATAAAGAAGCAAGATAGACTCAAATGAGAAAAATCTTTGTAACAGCCGTGCCACACTAATATAGGAAGTTAGAAGTTAGTTCTCTAGTTTTCTGAAGATGTGTATAGTATTTTAGCGCGGCCTATCACACACCGGGTCTTAAATACCTCTGTATTGATTGGTGAAGCATACAGAAGTTAAATCTTGTCACAGCAACTATAACAACACGAAATTTTTAGAATGCTGACTTAAAACTTTTTGCTACATAAATGATACAATCTTTTACAACTTTTTTTAAAGGCAAGAAAATGCTCATAATTTCTACCACTTAGGACTACTATTTTTTCTGTATATTTATTTCTGTACTTTTTACAAAAAGAGGACACTAAACAGATTACAAATATGTTGTTTTAAAATATTTTTTAATTTAATACCACACATATCTTTTTATTTAACAAATACACACCACCATCATCATTTTACTGGCTACACACTAGTCAACTAATTTATATAACAAATGCCCTACTGTTGCATACTCAAGTTATTTTCAATTCTTAAAAAAAGATGTTTCCTAAGGCAAAGTCAAGGCTCTTCCAACCAACACCACTGGCAAACGCCCTTCCAGTGGAATGCGGGCTGAGCCTCTGAGTTTGCTGCATGGAGACAGAGGTGATCAATGCTAAGTCCTCTGGACACACTCGTCCTTTCAGGCGGTGAGATGTGAGAACAGTTTCAAGCCGGAATCCTGACAAACTGCCCTCGGCTGGTCCCCAAATCAAGCTCTGCTCTGTGGGAACCTTCTTACTTTTGCAGTCATTTGCAAACAGTCCCCGCACCAGTCTCCTGGAGGGAGCTAGGGGTGGGCAGCAGATCACACCACAGCGAGCACCTTCCTGGAGCGCGTCTATTGTCAGCAGCCAAGTCTGCAAGAGCCAGAGAGCTCTGCATTTTCGCACGTGGGCCTGCTGGACATTTCCACTCCATGCCCTATCACCACTCCTGCCCCAGCATGGAGACCTGTGTTTTGCAATCCATCTCACTTCCAAGTGCATACACAATTTCAACCACATTGTTTCTGACAGCAGGGGGCTTCATGGGCTTATGAGTGCAGTTGCTTGGGGGCTGGTGCTTAGGGGATCTCTTTGCTTGGGGTGATGTTCACCAAAATTTTTAATAATTTCTGAACAAGAGGCCTCAAGTTTTCGGTCTGCACTGAGCCCTGTGAATTCTGTGGCCTGACTCGTCTGACATCATAAAGGATGACTTGACGGGCACCTGAAAACTTCCCCAAACTCCAAACTTGCATCTCTTGAGATGAAAAAGCAGTGACTTTCTCGTAAAAGTGGCTTTGCTTCCAGAGAAAGGCTAAAAGAATAATCAAACAATGAGAAACTGTTTGAGGGAAAGGAAATGTGGCCTCTTCCAAGACAGCTTACAAAGGGGAGCCTGAAGTGTCTAGAAGGGCACTTAAGTCCTGTCACACTCCTTTGTTAGCACGTGCATCACTTCGGCTGTGTATTTTACAAAGCACTTACTGAGCCCCTCCTCTCCCACATGGAAGAAATGCAGAGTGCCGGGTAAAATATGGAATTTAAGCTTGATATGGCCTCAATTTAAAAGGAGCTCACATTCAGTAAAAGGAGTTAATCACAAAGCAAGCTAATGGCATGTTTTCACAAACTTTCACCTAAATGAAAAATCAAGATCAGTAGGTCTGTAAAGGGAGATGCCAGAAGGAATAATTATTTCACAGAAACGTACCGCAGTTTTCTACTTTGCCTGGGAAACCCAAACAATTTCAGGCAAGACCTAAAAGAAGCGATAGTAAAAAATACAACAATATCAGCAAACTACCTTTTACCTGTGCAATTCTTATGAACATGAATGCTTTTATTGTTTTTTTGGAGCATGCAGTTCTGAATCTTGCACAAGGGGAAATAGATGCAGAGATAAGTGCAGGGCCAACGTGACAGAAGCTGTCCATGGCTGTGCCTCTAGGAGCGGGGAGTGGAGTCTGCAGTCACAAGCCACCAGGCACCCTCCACTCCAACTCTGGACTGCTCACTGACTTGGGAGGTCTAAATCTCTGTCTGTCTTTCCTCTGCCTTCTGCATCTCTCCCTCCTCCCACACCTACCTCCCATCTCTTTCTCTGTCTCTCCCTCCCTCCCTCCGTCTCCCTTTGTCTGAGACTGTCTCTCTCTCAGTCTCTCTCTGTCCTTCTCCTTTCTCTCCCTCTTTCTGACCAAACAGTGTCAAGTAGGACTTACTTTCCTAGTCTCAGTTGGAAACTATTAGCATATCCATAACTTTACAAAGGAGGAGCAGAAGCCGGACTAGGAGCCGGGCAAGCCGGGCAAGCCGACAGCACAGGGGCCTCTTCCAGGCCGTGTGGGCCCTGCTGATTTACAGCCTCCGCTGACCCTGAAAGGCATCCCTGGGGGACCTTGGGCCTGTCCTGAAACAGCTTCCTGGACCCTGCCTTTCCTCCTTCCACACCGAGGCGGGACTGGGACCTGGCTGTCCCCTGGGGAGAAACATCCAACAGCCCTGGGCAGTTGCTGCTTCCAGGTGAGGAGCCTTGGCAAGACTGGCTGGGAAGTGAACTCATTCTGACTTCAGCATCCCAAAGGAGAGTGTGGCCAGAGCTCCACCGAACCTGCTGGGGCTCCTGTGGAGGCGGGTCTCAGGCCTCTGAGCTGCCTCCAGCTCCCCTCTCTTTTCTGACAGTGAATACCTCTCTTCACAGTGCTTGCCCTGACACAAGGAGTCTCTTCCATAATTCTGACAAGCTGAGTCTAGACAAATGAAGTAAAAATGAAAATGCAGATAGATGCCTGTCAAGAATCACAACTTTACTACTTTTCTAGCAGCCCAAATTTATAGCTGTTAAAAAGCCACTAAGTACACAGCGTGCCAAATTAACTGTACAAAGTACTGAGGGTCACTCAAAATTAGCCTGTCTGTTGGTAGCACACAGTAATTCTACAAGCTTTAAGAACAATTGTAGTTGCCGGGCGTGGTGGCTCATGCCAGTAATCCCAGCACTTTGGGAGGCCGAGGCAGGCGGATCATGAGGTCAGGAGATCAAGACCATCCTGGCTAACACGGCGAAACCCCGTCTCCACTAAAAATACAAAAAATTAGCCAGGTGTGGTGGCGGGCGCCTGTAGTCTCTGCTACTTGGGAGGCTGAGGCAGAAGAATGGCATGAACCCGGAAGGTGGAGCTTGCAGTGAGCTGAGATTGTGCCACTGCACTCCAGCCTGGGCGACAGAGCGAGATGAAAAAAAAGAAAAAAGAAAAAAATTATAGGTCTCTGAGACTTAAACAACTGCCTTACAATGTCTTTCTGTTGGTTTGCTTTTAAGCAAATGCCTTCCTTCTCCACTGGTACTCTAAGGGGGATTCTTTGTCCAGTGATATTTCATATGTACTGAGTATTTTTAGTGTGCCAGGAAAAGGCTGCAAAGAAAAGGATACTGGTACTCACTGGCTTTATCTAATCAACCTACTAAGTTTCTGGCATTGAAGAGGCAAATGGTTAAGCCTCATAAGACCATGGGTGTTGTCTGTCTTGTCCACTTGTTTATTTGAGCACCTGGCATAGTGTCCAATGTAGAGCTAGAATTCAACACCTACTTGCTAAATATGTAAATGTGTCTTTAACTCTCCCAATTAAACCCAAGGCATCTGCATCATTATCTCCATTTTATAGATGAGAGAACCAAGGCTAAGAGAAATAGCTTTCCCCAGGTCACACAGCTAATCAACCACAGAGCTGACACTTGAACCCGTGCAGTCTGATGGTGATGCCTCTTTCTCCCTAGCACTCTTGCCCATCAGAATGTTGCAGCCCAGTGCAGGGGTCGCACACTCCAAATGCATGACAGATAAGGATGGATGCTACTTATATACTGCTAGAAACTAAACATGATCTTTGTAATACTCTGCACTAAAGGCAAATTTCATCATAAAACTTCTACAGTAAAGTTCTGGTTATTTGGCCAAATGTATGCTATTTACTTTTTCCTCCCTGACAAGTGAAGCTACACTAGAGTTACATTTGGGGTTATTTCCTTAAATACTCAATGATGCTTATATTGAAGGGAGTAGATACATGGGGGAGACAGGGACCAAGCCTGTAATTTATTTAAAATGCCTTAGGTCACAGACCTCTTTAATAAAACCCATTATTCCTGCTAAGAGACAAGTCCTTTCATCTTCAGACTGGTAGATTTTACTTTTGCAAATCTATCATATCACTGTGAATTACACTGTATTTTAAAAAAGGAAATGCTTCAAGAGAAAGCTAAGGCAATGTGCAAAGTCTTTGTATCTAGTCAAAGAGACCTTATAGGTTTTCGTAACAATTTGACAAAACAGGTTGAGAGAACATAAAAACTTCCGAGCACTCTTATTTCATTTCTGATTCTTTTCATTTTTCAAAAATTAGCTGCCAATCTACACATTTTCATGATTATTCCACAGAGTATTGCTGGTGCAAATAACAATGAAAAACAAGATTTAAACAGGAAAGCAGGAATCCAATTTGGCTTTCACACCACCCTCCCCCGACATTTAACTGAGCCACAGAAAACTCCTCCTGCGGTTTGTTCCACTGTGAAACTTTTTGAGGGCAAATCAGCTCAGATGTGCAATTCTGTCCTAGCATTTTTTATTTTTATGGCCAGGAACTGATATGCAAAAGAGGAAGGGTCAAAGGGAACTAAGGAAACCTTTCAAAATACAGTTAAAAACTATGCTGTTTGAATGTTTTCTTGGTAAAGAGGTATTTGATACAGAGGGAAAAGAAACAGAACATTTTAAATGCCACAGTGGAGCCACCTGTTTCAAAGTGAGGTATAAGAAAAGATGGCAGATACTGTATTCAAAAAGTTGTTTTAAAAATAGAGAAAGTGGAGTTGGAGACAGTCCTCTGTGTTCACGTTTGTTGCTGCAAGAAGCCCAGGGCTGGAGTTCAAGCTGGCCATGACTGTCTGTCCTGACGTTACAGGCATATTGTATTGTCTCTACCCTCTCATAGGGGTGCACGGTTCACACGGAGAGGAGAGGCTTCCCGTCTATACTACTGTACCATCCACTCTTAAACTAATACTGCTGTTTATTGAGCCGCCATGGTAGAAGCATACACAGTCAAAATTGATAGAAGCTTTTACAGGCCCTCTTCTGATTTGGGCCATCGACATGAGCCACTTCCTAGGTAGCTTCCTCAAATATAAATGGCGTTTCACACTTCATCACTTAAGTTAAAAAAATCTAAGTTTAGAATCATTTTCTTCTGCCCTCTTACCGATTTCAGAGGACCTTCATGCATGGTCAGGAGCTGTGCAGCAATATGAAGTGCAATGAAAATAGAACCTACAGCTTTACAAAACACAGAAACTGCCTCTAAAAGAAGGGTCCACACAGACATGCCCCAGGTCATTATTTTTTTGGTAATTTACTATAATAAGATAAAGAGACAGAGGACCCCAGGAACTGCTGTGTTCCCATTATTTTAAACGTTTTTTTCTTCATTTTTTTTTAAAAAGAGAGATAAACACAAACTTATAACAGTAAGTTTTTCCCTCAGCAAGGCCATATGGTGTCACAAAGAATGCTTTATCTTGCCTTCTTAGCAGTTAAATTATCTTAACGTACAAGTAAATCATTTCAGGTGGACATTTTGAAACTCAAACTTAACACTGTACATAATAGAGAAATCCACTTGTATACCCGTAACATTTCAAACAATGCACCTGTAAAACTGAAGTTTCTGCAAAGCCATTTGACTTCTATTAAAATAAGTGCTTGTGTGAGTTTATTTGGCAAAAGCTATATTTTATTTAGTCCCAAAGAAGTAAAATTATTTAGATCTTCACAAGAACATCCCATTGTTTATGAACCCATACGTGTATATTTATTAAAAATAACCTGAAGTCATGATTGATTGATTGGCCCACTGAGGACACATTCCTAGGTACTATAAATTTTCCTCAACTTATTTAGATACAGTATCTACCATTAGCAGGTGGTAAGACAAGATCTACAAAATCTACATATAAATACAGAAAGAACATGTGTTCTAGAGTAAACACATTAGGGGATTCATTGTTGCACATATATCTATTTACCTCTTATTCCTTGCAATATAAAAGGCTGCTTTGGCCTGACCTATATACAATAATGGGTATTTAGTCTTTCCTCCAGAGAGGATGAAAAGGTGCAGACATCCTGATGGGTGTCTTCAAACTAAGGTAGGCCACTTGGTTTCCTACTAATTGGAAATTTTCCCCAAGGGACTGAATTCTGACCTCTGTTTTGTTTACGACACCCACAAAATTATCAGCTATCATCAAGATGAGATTTTTTTCATAATAACTATAAGAAATTAATCTATGTTGAACTATACCCACAGTATATGGAATTTGATTCAAAAATCAGGTTCCTTAAATTGTAGTTTGGTCTCTTAGTAGCTTTACTTTGAAAATTCACCTTGCTCATCACCCCACCTTCGAGGGGTTCCACTGAAGTCAAAATGAGCTGTGTCTCAGAAGGGCAAAGGGAAGAATAGAAGCATCAATGGCTTGGTAACAATTACTGCTACTGACAACAATCAAATAATGACAGAAAAGAACATCATTTAAGAATCTAACTTGGTGTTTTAGCTGGATCCTGTTAGCAAGAAAGTTCTAGATTCCTACTTTGTTCTGCAATAGGGAGCTCAGCGCTGGCTGTCCTGTAACCCGAATCTGGAAGCATTCTTAAGACACTCATGCCAAAACCATTCATCACATCGTAAGGTCCATGCGAAACGTGGGTATCAGGCCCCACCAGGATAGTTTAGACCCCATTTTGTAGTCCTTTATTTGTGGCCTATGATCTCTTCATGCAAACCCAGGGGGAGGGGGCTCATCAGTAAAACCTCAGAGAGCTTACAACTTCCTCATTTGTGGGGGTACAAAAAATGGGCATGTCTTTATTTATAACCTGACAGAAAATGCTCCTGTCCATAAGAGAGCGAAATGTGGGAAAATTCATTTTAAACACAGCAATCAGATTTTTCTGCAGCTCTTAAGTAAGTTGAAATTATTTATTTTTAATGTTTCACTTTACATGCTCCTTTTTAGCAAATTTCATTTCTTTAACAAAACATTGTCTGCTCTTAAAGTGAAAATTCTGTAAATTCAAGCAAACATACACAACCTCATACTAAAGCGGGAAAACACTCATACTGCAAAAGTACTCACAACTTCCTACCAACTTTTAAAATGATAATTAATTGCCTTATGTTTAACAACCTGAGATAATTAGCAGTATGGTTTTAATTTAATGAAATAGAATATACGATTTATCAATATGTTTTTGCAGTGAATCTCTTTGAATATCAGCTTAATTTTCTGCCCTACGCAAAACTCAGCACAAAGGAGGAGGAAAAGGTCACTTTTTCCGGTTAAAAGTGGGGCTCACACTAGGGGGTTGCTGGCTCTCTCTAGTTTCCATTAAAAGCACTGGAACACACTTCAGAGTGCCTCAGAAGTAAGCTTACAAAAGGTCAATTCCTCATTCTCATTTCTCCTAAAGACTCTAAATTAAACATTTTTCCCATTAGGTCTAGGGAAGTATCTTATGTGGAATTTTATTTGCTCTAGGTTTGCCAGTGAAAATCTGGTATAACAACAAAAATTTGTCAAAAACTGATAAATCAATATTCATAGTGGAACTCCTAGCTTCAGAACAGGACTCTAATCTAAACCACATTGTTCATTTTCAAATAGTTTCAAACTAACAGAAAATGCTTTAAAGGTATAGATTTTAGTGTGTGATCTCAAAAATGGAGCATAAAAATCTACTTCAATATGTGTAAGGCCATTCAAAAACACTTTACACAGTTCTTAGTGTTTTGGCAGTCTGTGCAAACCCCCCACCAATTATAGAAAGAAAGAGGGGAAGGAAGGGAAGGGAAGGACAGGAAAGGCAAGGCAAATGGAGGGAAGGGAATGACAGAGAAGACAAGGGAGGAAAAAACGAAGAAAGGAAGACCAGACAGACAAGACCACATTGGATCCCCTCTTTTTACTGCATTGCTCTCTCAACAAACCTAACCTCCTACCCATTAGAGTTAACTTTTGGTGTGCAATGGCGGGAAGAGAGTCAGATTTACTTTAGCAGTGAGCTGATTGCAGAAGAAAAATGAATCACTGCACACTCGAGTGAGAAAATATGAAGAAAGCACTTTTCCACTAATTAGGACCCATTTTCAGCCATTTGTTAAGCCGTGGCCCCGCGCCACGAGCTATCAGGAGGTGGAGCATGGGGCCATCCGAAAGCAGAGCGTTCAGACGGAGCATAATGATGCTCTCCATCACCCGAGACAGGTGGCCTGCACAGGGATATGGGGAGCTGCTCTGGGCTCAGGCCACCCACTGTGGAAACACCAGCAGGGAAGACGGAAGAACACAATGGCTATTCCAATCCATGCAAGCACACAAAGAAACCGTGTGGCACTCACCAACCAACCGAGGCCTCGCCAAGGCCAAGTGAGAGCTGCCTTTTCCACACAAATCCAGACTTTGAGGACCTAGGGCTGCTCGGAGTTCCCCTCAGACCCAGCCACCTGGGAGGGATCTTGGTGCCTGGCTACAGGGCCTCTGTGTCCTCTTCCTCCTCCAAAAGGTTCCTCTGCTGCCTTCACACTCCACCAGGGTGCAGAGAAAGGTGGAACCACTTGCCAAATATGCAAAAAAGGAGGGAAGACCGTTTTCTCTTAGGAAAACACAGACAGGAAGGGAGCCTGTGCTTCCTGTCCTAACCAAAACGAGTTCAGAAATTATGTGGACGTCTGATTTGTCAGGCTTGTGGTGGAAAAGGGTGCTCTTTTAGTCAACAGGAATTGTGAGTTCCCCAAAGGCAGAAATGGCCATGGGAGAAAAGAATTAAGGCCAGGCCTGTTAACAGGCAAGACAAATGGCCCCCACACCTGTGACCTAGGGTTTGCACCATTTTTAACAGTTTATTACCAGGTGGTTGGCTGAAGGCTCCACTGGCAACTACCTATTTATTATAGTCAAACATGAGAGGGAAAAACGTCAACTGAAACAATTTGGCAGTTGCCTGTAGATTAGGCCTCAGTTGCTCTTCCTCCAGGCCCTTCTCAGGAGTAACCACCAAGGAGACACCAAAATGGGCAGGCCCGCACTTCGCCACTTAAAAACCTTCTGCAAACCTTCTTTTGCTTGCTGTTTTATCTCACTTGTAATATATGGCACTTCATAAGGTTTCATAATGTCTTAAAAAATATTTGTTGGAATATTACCAAACATTTAAAAACTCAAACTAAAGCTACTAAAGTGACGACACTGAAACTTTAAGGACATAAACATATATTCCAGGAGATGTGGAAAGGTAACCTGAGATATGAAGTCATTTATTAAACTGCAAAGAAATACAAGAAAGCCATGGTCCACATGAAGACACCAGCATGAGTGTTCAGTCAGCACTACAGTAAAAACAGCTTTGTTACTGTCGATATCCTTTGGTTTTAGGTGCTCTGCGTCCCTAACAAAACCTCATTCCTATCTTGTTCCTCATCTGAATTTTAAGTGTGTGTGTGTGTGACAGTGTGTATAATGCTGATCCTCTGAAACTCTACGTTTCTAAGACCTAGATCAAAAATGTACATGTGCCCTTTTTGAGCAAAATAAAACTGATCTGTTTTCAAGACGTGAAATAGATTAATGTTTCTCTTCTTGTAAGCTTCAAAGGATGGGTCACTTGTTGCTTTTACATCTTGTGTTTTCTCCCATAAAATGGAATGATTATTCAGCACAAATATGAAATGGAATAGAGCTGAAGTCTCTGTAGTTATGAACATAGAGACACCAGAGAGAGAACAATGTTCACAGCCAGGACAGGAGCTGCAGCAACTCTGCCGCTAGAAGCAGGCGTCACAGTGCCCCCAGAGTGCTTGTCAGTCTTAGAAACAGAGGCATCGGAAGACAAGCGTTTTCAGAGAACGCAAAAAGGTCGTGGTTTACCTTCTGTAAGCTGGAGTGGAGCCACTTACATCAATCTCCCTTAGAATATGACAAGAACCAACATTTATTTCATAGTGAAATTATTTCACAAGTCCAAAGATTAGAGGAGGAAAAAAAAAATGCCACAAAACAGTGATATCCTTGATGAATTCTTCGTTAACCACAGTTACATTACATTAATACGTACAATTATGCAACACTCAAAAAACGTTATTTATGCCTAAAATTCACCATTATATAACATAGGGAAATCCATCTTGTTTTAGTAAAAGTTTAAAAATAAAGGGGGCCTTTAATACTCATTTCAGGTCTGTTTGATGTTAAAACTCTTCCACACTGCCCCATGCCTCTCACTCCACGCTGTGTGCATGCTGTGTGTGTGCACGCTCTGTGTGCATATGTGCATATGCACATGGAATTTATTTCATGTATCTGTTAATAAATGCATAATCTTGAAGTGTGTGTATAAGTACATTAATATATAGAGAGTTCTTTCCTATTTCAAAATTTTTGACATTTATATTGAAAATATGCTATATTAACCACGCATGAAACACACACATCCAAATCAAGAACAAAAAATGTATCCAAACCAAAGAACCACTGTTCTCAAACTCCAAGTCTCTAGTCAAACAAGGAAGACAGTGGCCTGCAGTACAACAGGGCTTTAGACCTCTTGGCTAATACATTCACTGCGATCTTAGTTTTTCGACAAAGGAAATGGCTACAAACGGCCACAGCTGATCTTCTCTTTAGGAGCCTGTGTAAAACTCTTCGAAAGGGTCAAACCTAACACATCCAGACTTTTATCTGCAGCCCTTGTGGTCTCCTGGAGACCCTGAGGGTGGGTGATTATTGCTATGATGTTTCTGCATTAGGGGGGTGTGTAGTTTTCCAAGAGGTACCACTCTAATTAGAACACTGATGAATTAAACAAGTACTGGAGAGTTTCTAAACTCCTTCCTTCAACTCTCACCGTGAAACAAAAGGGGAAGAAAACATGACCATTTAGTTCAATAAAATGTTCTGGTCACCAGCTCTGATTGACTGTGAGACTTAAGAGTCACGTTTTTTTTCATGTAAAAAATGTATGAAATATGTTCATGGTGAAATTGGAAATCAGATACATTCCATCAAGCAAGAATAGTGTAGTATTTTTAATGTGACATCATTATTTGTATGTGTACACATTATTTCTTTAACTTGTTCTGCATTTTACAAGATGCCAGCGTAAGAAGGTGAATCTTCTTGTCATGAATATTTGCCTCGTGTACATTTTAAGCCATAGCCCAAATGATCTGATTTGTCACGGAAATAATTCTGACACATTCTAATATAAATAATACTGAAATTGTTACTTTTTAAAATTCCATATAAAAGATGAGTACAATAAAACTCATTGAACAAACATCTTCAAACAAAGAAATAAACTCAAGAGGACCCAGGACATTTCTATGTGGGTCCCCCCCACCCCTCGACTCATAACCAAATTGAACCTGGCCTTAAAAGCATTTGAATGTCTATGAAAGTTTAAATATCATACGCAGTATTTTCAAATTCCATAAATTTTCCTCTTTTAACAGAAGTTGATGGGACTAGTAAGGAGACATTTCCTCAACACCATTTTGTCTGGAATTTTAAAACAAGGTATCTCAAAGCTGAAATATACTGCCTGCGGCGCAGTGGGAAATTGTGAGTGGGTAACCTAAGCAAAGCGCACCGCATTGAAATTCAGTCTGGGTGGGCTGCAGTCCCTAGAGAGAGGGAAGCTGCATTTGAAAGCTGTGCCTGGTCAGACCCTATGGAATCGCTACGGTTTTCGGTCATTAGATGCCTCCAAATTAGAAGGAAAAACAAGCCCTCACGAGGTTCCTTAGGCATCAGCAGCGATGCTTGACAAATATTTAAAATACATTTCAAATATAACCGCAAGTAACCTGATGCCTTAATATTACTAAGGGTTTTCCTGAGAAGGTTTGGTGACTTGAGCGTCAAACCTGCGGTCAGCAAAAGGACTAACTTTTCAAAGCCGGGATAATTCCTCTCTTGCAGAAATTAAGTTCAGACTCGATCTCATCATATTTATAGTATAAAAAGAAAGCTCCCGGCTCAAATATAAGGAAAACTCTTTACACACGACTTTATAAAGGCTGACTTCCGTGGGTATATGTAGGTCTACATAAATTTAAATATGGTTGGGAGCTAGAACTCCTCTCCTGGTGACAGCGGGGCTGCTCAGAAGTGTCCCATGTCGGCCTGGTCCTGCACCTGCTGGCACAGTGCAGAGCAACAGACGCTTGACAGAAGTGAACTCTCTCACTGTCCTCAGAAAAGAGAGGCGGACCTGAGCGACACCAGGGTCTACCAACCTTACCGCTTTTCTTTACTGTGTTTTTTTTTTTTTAAATTCACCAGTTACCCCAAGTTTTCCTATTGAAATTCAATTTGAAAACACTCACGTGGATTTGTGCGTCGCGCTTTGGGGCCAAGACTGATCCTCGGGTGCGAAGAGCAACCTCGGAGCCGGGGCTCCCTCTGCCCTGCCAGGCTTGCCCGCCTCGCCGCGGCCGAGCGTCCCGCCCAGGCTGGGATGCGCCGCGCGGGGACCCAGGGGGCTTGCCGCAGTCACCGCCCCGGGCGCGGGCCGCGCAGTCACTTGTTAGAGTGTCCTGCTAACTTGGCCGCGGAGCTCTTCCCAGCTTTCTTTCACAATGACTTCCTGAAGTTGCTCACTCGCATTGTTCCCCATTTCTCCGCCACACTCCCCGCCCCCAGCCGGCTCAGACCAGGCTTTCGCGCTCCCGGCCGACCGGCTGCCCCGCGCGCACAGCGCCGCCCGCGGGCCCCGTACCTGGCCCCCTCCGCGCCGGCCGCCCCCGCCGCGCCCTTGCGTTGCCACCAGCTGCCGCCCAGAGCGGCGGGTGGCCAGAGCGCGCGCCCTGCCACCCCGCAAACTTTGGGGTGACGCACGCTGGCGGTCCCTGCTCGACCTGCCCCGCAGCCGGCTCGGCCCCGCGCGCACCTCTCGGCCGCCTCCCGGATCGCTGCTCCGGTACAGGGAGCGGGGCGCGCAGAAGGGCGCAGAGCGGGACACGGAGAGGGTGCGTCGTCCCGTCCCCGCCCCGTCGCCGAGTCCCCCGGCTCGCGCGGCGCGCGTCTCAGCCGCAACTCCGGGCCAGAGGGGCCGCGCACGAAAACTTTGCAATCGCGCCGGGCTCCGGCTCAGCCCCCAAAGGCCGCCGGGGCGGCGGCGGGTGCGGGCCGTACCTGCTGGCGCCGCCGCCGGCTGCAGCCCGCTCGCCCGCGCCGGGCCCGCTCGGCGCGCCGCCGCCACCCCCGCGCGCACCGCGCCCGGGCCCTCCCCTCGCCGCCGCGCTTCCTCATTCCAGCGCAGCATCGCGCCGCGGCCCCGCACGGGATGCGGCGGCCGGCGCTGTGTCCGCGGGCCGGGCAGCCCGGCTCGGCCGCGGCGCTGCGGGACCCGCGCGTAACCCGTGGGGGCGCGGCGCGGGCGACACGTGCGGGCCGCCAGGAGGGGGAGGGGGACGCGCGCCGCCGGGCCCGCCACCCTGCACCCGGGGCCGCTGGTCGGTCGGGGCACCCTCACGCTCGCCCCGCTGGCGAGACTGGAGGGACTCGGGACATCGTAAAGCACTTTCCCCAGTGTCTGGGAGCGCCCGCTGTACGCTCAGCTTCACGTCCCTGGAACTGGGGCCCCTTGGCTCCCGGGTTCAGGCTCCGGCCCCAGGATGCGAGTGCCCACCCGAGGGGGTGGGAAAAGTTGATCCTCCGCAAGGGAGGGGAAGGTGCAATTCATTTTCCCAGACAACCAATGGAATACCTCTCGTCTCTCTTCCCTCCCACCTGCTCACGGCAGAAGTTAGGATGGCGCCTTCCATGTTGGCCTGGGTGCACACACAAGTGCGTGCGGAAGGGTGGCTGCAGGCGGAGGTGACAGCGAAGCAATCCCGCAGCCCGCTCGACGGCTCTTTGCGTCTCAGACCTCTCCCTGGCGTGTAAGACACCGTGTGTCTCCGTAAAACGGGAATGCCACATCTGACAGCGCACCCCTTCGCCCTACGGGGAGCCCCTCACTCTAATTAGCCGGGCTCCACCCGAGCAGGAGCCAGCAATGTGTTCAGCTTGAGCAGGAGAGAAAAAGTCATGAATTCCACAAATGCAGCCTGGGCTCCCGCCAGGCGCTAGGGGAGGGGACCCAGAGGAGTGAGATGCGCCTCCTGCCCTTCCAGACTTGTAGGAGCCACCAGGAAGGCACAGAATAAAAATCCCGGGCACCCCTGTGAGGAGGAGCGCCCTGTGAAGAGGGCCGAGAACGTGCTCCTGCTTGGGCGCGGTGGTTCGGGAAGGCGTGAAGACCCATAGGGAGAGCGATGAAAGACCAAGGGAGCCTCCTCAGGGTAGGACATGCAGGCGAAGAAGGCACAGGCCTTCCGGGTGGAGGACACAGCCGGGCAAGGGAATAAGCAGGAAATGTCCCTTCAGGGCAGTTGAGTGTGGCTGGAGACCATCGCTGCCGGGGAAGGTCTTGGCCTGGCCCAGGAGGCCTCCAAGTCGGGGGCCAGGGCACACCAGAGACAGGATCTGCCTCTGCTGCCTCTGGGAGAAGGCCCTTTACCCGTGAATCACAAACAGCGTCTATCCACATTCTCCCTGAGCGCATATGCAGCTCTTACTACAGTACTCAGTGTGTCCTGAAGGGCATTCCGCTGGGCAAGTCTGAGCCAGTTAACTCACTGCTACAGCCCAGAGAAGGGGAAGGTAGTGAAAGGTCCATTGATTTACCTTCTAGTCCTCTCCTCCACTGCGTGACCTTGGGCAGGTTATCCAAACTCCTGAGCATCATCTTCCTTGTCTATAAAAAGAATACATGCCACCAATCCTAAAGACTCCTTACCTGGATTAAATGAGGCAATAAACATAAGGTACAAGGCCCAGAGGGAGGCCAACAATGTTGTAAAGGGGACACGGGACACCTCTAGTTCTTGGATGCAGAAGTACCTTTAGCCGCTGGTACGTCTCTCTAAACCTGTGCCTTGGTCTTCAGGAGTGGACCAGTGGACCGAAACATAGGCATCTCACCAAGGTGTAGCCCACTGAGGCAGGAGCATGTGGGGCTAAGAGCCCAGATAGTTTGGGCTTATGAATCTGACTGAGGTCCTTAATCTCTCAAAGCCTGAATTTCCCCATCTGTAAATTGGTGGTGATAATATAACCCTCCTGGTGGGGTTGTTTGTGGGTTAAGGAGATCACATATGGAAGACCTTGCCACATGCCTGACAGAGAGGAGTACTTTCCAAGTAAGAACAGTTATTCCCTGCTAGCCCAACCAATGTCCCAATGAGATGAGGAGTGCACTGTGAAGAGTCAGGCTCCTTGGCTGGGTGCAGTGACTCACACCTGAGTTTGGAGCCCAAGGTGGGAAGATCACTTCAAGCCAAGAGTTCCAGACCAGCCTGGGCAACAAAGCAAGACCCTGTTTGTACAAAAAAATTTTAAACTTTAAAAATCAAACCCCATTTGTATTAAAAATTTAAAAATTAGGTGTTATGGTATGCACCTGCAGTCCCAACAACCTACTTAGGAGGCTGAGGCAGGAGGATCCCTTGAGCCCAGAAGTTTGAGGCTGCAGTGAGCCATGATTGACACCACTGCACTCCAGCTTGGGCGACACAGCAAGACCCTGTCACAAAACAAAACAAAACAGCAGTCAGGCTGCAGGTACCATGCCTTACCCTTGCCCCCAACCGGGTGGAGTTGAAGGAAGTCAAGCTTATATTATTATAACCTGGGGTCTGTGGATAGACTCAGAGGGACCAGAGAGGTGATATAAATCAAATGTTCAAACCCTTAGGGACAACAGTAAAATGCACAATGGATGGGAAAACATATAGGGAGAAATTGGAACATGTAAAACTGTTTTTTTTCATATTATGTCTAAAGTCATTTTATTTTATTTACATATTAATTCATATATTGCCCTCTTCATAATGTTAAAGTATTAAATAAAACACTTTAATTTATTCAGGCAATAATTGCTAAATCACCAATTTTTCTTCTTATGAGGCTGTATTATCGAAAGAATAGAGACCACCTATAGGATTAATCAAAGGCTACTTATTCAGAGCTCACTATGGAAAGAGAGGCAGCTAGGCACTTTTGTCCAGGTAGAGCCTGGATGGGATTTTCAAAAGAGAGTGAGTTTTTTACTTTCAAAGGAAAGTAAAAGGATGATTGAGGTGATACGATATGGTTAATAGTTTTGTTTCTTAGTAACTGTGTTTGGCAAGTTGTTTAAAGCCTGAGCTTCAGTTTCTCATCCGCAGAGCACATCTACTTCACAATGGTCTTGATAGAATTACGTGAAATTCAATGAAATAATCTATGGAAGTTATCATAATTGTATTTTTCTTCAATAAAAAAAGATCTGTTAACAGCAATGAAAAGTGCATGTCTCCTCTGATGGTTGGAAAACAGCAAGAATATTTTTAAATAACAGCAAAAGGTTTTTTTTGCTAAAAAATAAAATTTTATTTTATTTATATACCCAGGACTTGGATGAAACTGTTGCAACAAAGACACTGTTTCTTTGGTTTCTTTTTCCCAGTTTTCATGACTTCCAGCTTCTGCCTCTGCTGTTTTTGAAAAGTAATGATCACTGGCCTGGTGAGAGGTCCTCGATCCTTTTTCTTGGGCTCCCTCGTTGGTTTGGCTATTTCTAAGCATAGTCCACTAGCTCCCGCCTGCTGCTGGGGGTGAAGGAGCAGGATGCAGAGGAGAGGCAGGGGGCTGGTGCAGAGCTAGGACTGTCCTGCTGGCAGTGCCTGGGTAGGAAGCACCTGGTGAACCTGGCAAGATACTCCTCTGGGTGCTTGGTTTCCTGAAACATCTGTAAGGCCCTGTCTTGGCACCTCAGTGTCTCCTGGTTCTGCAGGAACCACAGAAATCCTTTAGCACTACTGACCATTCACATCTCTGCCTGTAGGTTTCGAATCAGGGATGGGCTGCAGCTGACATATGAATTCTTCCCACTTCCTGATAATACTTTCACTTTATTCCCTTTGAAATTTGTAAGAGAAATACACTTAGGTTCTCAAAAGCAACAAATTTCTATCAATATCATTTGGTTATAAGAGACTAAAAATCACACTGAGTCAGATATAGTGATTTGGAGGAGATAGATAGGTTTACACAAAAAATCTTTCTGATGAAAAGTTTCTGAAGATGTTTTTGATGAGTAATAAAAAATAATATATTAATCTGACCTGAACAGATCAGAACAAAGAAGAACAGAGCTGTGTGTCACTCCAGTTGATTCTTTGAATAGGAACAGGATTGGAGCAGGATTTCCGGAAGCATAAACACTCTGGTGGCATGTATTCATTTATTTATTCAGAAAGCCTGTATTTATTGAGAGTGTACCATTGCAGGTGGCTCTTGAGATGCAGGTAGTCACAAGAAAGCAGAAAGGAAGATCTGTCCCTTAAGGAGCTCACAATCTAGTAAAGTCGGTGGACAATTAATAGTTTCATTCTGATGCAAAATGTGTCATAATAAATTCTGACATGAGCCTTATGGAACACAAAGGATAGCACTAAAGAGTTGCCAGAACTGGGGGAGGCTTCATGGACAAAAGGAGGGAGGTGGTGAGGAGAGATCACACAGGAGGTCTGAGCAAATGCTTTTCTGCTCCACACTTGGCTGGCAGGGGAGCTTAGAAACATCCGTCTCAAAAGAGAGAATTAACTCAAGATTAATAGTAATATTGTAATTATCACCCCACCCTGAGCCCAGCTCTGTGACAGGCATGCAGGCATTATCTCCCATCTAACGATGCAGCAAAGCTAGCACTGTGGTCCCCATTTCACATGAGTACACTGAAGCTCAGGGAAGGGGACTCGCTGGGGGTTGATGGAAAGCCCAGAACCTGGCTGTGAAATGACAGACTCTGGGGCCAAACTATTGGAGTTAGTTCTGCAAGTTACTAGACTTCTCCATGCCTCAGTTTCCTCTTCTGTAAAATGGGAACATTGCCATAGCACAAACATCCTCGGAAATGTTTGAGGTCTCAATGAGTTAGTGCACATTAAGGACATTTTGATGGCTCCTTGGCAGATATCAAGCACTGGGTAAGTGTTCGGCACTTTGAAGCATTCAGTTTTTATGTGACCAGGCTGGGATACAAATCTTGGCCAGTTATAATATTTCAGCCATGCGTCTGCCCTCTCTTTTCAAATTACCTTGCGAATCATGCTGGCTCCTCCTCTGGCTCCACACGTATCCTCTTTCTTCCTGCTTATGCCACATTTCCCAACACAGAAATGAGATCTCTCCAAGAACTGATTTCTGTAAGACGGGAATTCCCAACCTCAGGGCCACTGACCAGTATAGGGAGGGTGAGCAAGCAAAGTGTCATCTGTATTTATAGCCACTCCCCATCACTCACATTACCTCCTGAGCCCCACCTCCCATCAGATCAATGGTGGCATTAGATTCTCTTAGGATTGCAAATCCTGCTGTGAACTGTACATGTGAGGGATCTAGGTTGCATGATCCTTATGAGAATCTAATGGCTGATGATCTGTCACTGTCTCCCATCACCCCCAGATGGGACCATCTAGTTACAGGAAAACAAGCTCAGGGCTCCCACTGATTCTACATTATGGTGAGTTGTTATTTCATTATATGTTACAATGTAATAGTAATAATAGAGCTCAAGTGCACAATAAATGTAATGCTCTTGACTCATCCCCAAACCATCCCCTCCTGACCTCTGTGGAAAAATTATCTTCAATGAAACCAGTTCCTGGCACTAAAAAGGTTGGGGACTGCTGTTTTAAGACACCTTTCTCCAATTTGTGGGAAGCGTTTTCCTTCACTTCTCTTTAAATTTTTTATTTCCCCTAAGGCCGAATTGTCAGTCTTAGAAGCAACAGTCTTGGTAGAGAGGTCAGATGGAATGGACCTGTCCAGGAAAGAGTAAGATATGTGAACAGCCTTTCCAGCCTATCAAGTAGGACTGAAATTTAGTCTAGTTATTTTTGAATTATGATAGCAACTCTCTTTTCTTTTCTTTATTTTTATTTATTTATTTTTTTGAGACAGGGTCTCACTCCGTCACTCAGGCTGGAGTGCAGTGGCACGATCTTGGCTCATTGCAGCCTCCACCTCCTGGGCTCAAGGGATCCTTCCACCTTAGCTTCCCAAGTAACTGGGACCACAGGTGCATGGCGAGGGCACTGCGTGAACTCAGCTGAGTTACGTCACCTCTCTCAGGATCACACTGTCATTTCTGCAACAGGGAAAATGAATCCTGCTTCATGGAGTTGTGGTTTGGATTAAACAAAAGCATGAACATAAGTCTTGAATTGTAATACCTAGTAATCAATGTGAGTTAGCCCTTCTCCCTTTCCCCTGTTTATGGGTGGCTGTAAGATTTCTCAGAAAGTGCTATCTAACAAGTCAAAAGTAGGCAGAGCTTCTGATTCCCAGGAATGTGTCTCCAGATTCTCAGTTGGGACTAACCTTGACTAAGTTAAAAGTGGATTTTTTTTTTAATCTAAGAAGAGCTGGAAAGAATGATCTCAATGGATGGAGCAAAGTCCATCTGGTCCCAAAGGTAGTAAGTCAGCATTTATCTAGCACTTTAAAATTTACCAAAAAATGCACGAACATTTTATTGAACCCCGATATCAGTGAGGTAGATCTTCAGGACACCCCACTCGCCATGCTTTTCTCTTGTGCTATTCATTGGCTGTTTTCTCCCCTCTTTCCTAAAATGCTGCAGCTCTCCAGACATGTCTCCCTCCGCAGTCAGTTCCTTGAAGGCCTCTCCAGAAGCAGTTTGCAATGTCATCTCTGTACCCTTACTCCAAAAATTAATATCTGCTCTTCAGACCTCCTTTTGAACTCTCCCACCTCCTTAACACCTTTACTTGGAGGCTTAATAGGCAACTTATATTTACTGTCTCCCAGCTGAATCCCTGATCTTCCTCTCTTACTTGCTTCACTGAGACCCCTTCATCTCATTGAATACCAGCTGGCAATTGCTGAGGCCAAAACCTTGGAGTCATTCTTGATGCCTCTCTCTCTCACTTACCATCCAGTCCATTGGGGAATCCCACTAGCTCTGCAGGTATCAGGTGTCCATGGTCGGACCTCCTCTCCCTCCATTGCAGACAGGCTGGTCACCTCTCATCTGCAAATAGCAGTGTCCTCCTCAGGGGTCTCTCTACTTCCACCCCTGCCCCTCACAGAAGCCAGAGAGAGCTTGATGAAGAGCAGAGTCAGATCGGGGTGCTTCTGTGTTGAATGCAGGCCAGACTCCACTCTCCCACTTACTTGCCTGTCTCTGGCCACTTGGCCCTACCTTATAGTCCTCAAGTGCTCCAGACCAGCTCACTGCCTTTCACTTACTGCTGTCTCCTAGAAGGTTCTCCCCTGGATTTCTGCCTGCCCACCCCCCTTACTGGCTTCAGGTGTTTGGTCCATTATCATTGTGGTTGAGTTGTCATTGTCTGTTCTCCATGAAAGGGAACGACCTTGACCCACCCGAGCGTTAGCTTTTCTCCTGCCTTCTCTCTGGTTTTCATTGGTAACATTTGTTGTTTGCTCTCATTGAAAGGAGAGATTTGGTTTTTTTTCTATTTTGTTTCCTCACAGTTCCTAGAACAGTGAGCAGATATTCAGCAGATAGTTCCATTTCATGGTGCTACTTTTGAAGGGTTTATCTTACTTACAGGAAAAATATTTTTGTTTAAGTAACATGTCAAGGAGTTGGCACATTTGTTTTCCAATATGCAGAGGGACTGTGTTTTCCTCTCCTGACAGCTGAAAGACCCCCATCCCTCCCTATGCTTCTGTCCTGTCTGGGGCTCTGCGATCATGCACTAGAAGTGTTGCTTCTTCACCTATTTAATGCTGTCTTAGCAGTAAAGGCTTCAACACAGAATATTCCAAATTTCCTTCCTTCAACTAAAAGTTGACAATTTATTTCACACTTTCCTTGTATGTGCATTATTCTGCTCATTTTTAAGCCATTTTTCAAAAAGGAAGCAGAGAATACTTTTAAAATACAACACTGCAATACCATAATGAATTTTCCCTAATCCTGTTCTGGTTGTATCAGGCAATTATCCTAAGTGAGTTGATACCTCTTTATTTCTGTAGGATAAGAAGACAGATTATAATTTAGTAATGCCAGGAGCAGGACTTTCTCTAAATTTGTGATTTAGAAATAATTTAAAGATATAATGCATTCTGTAGCTACACACAGCCCAGTACAATGTATTCTTGTAATATTTACTCATAATATCTTATTACTTGCAGATATGTTTTTCTAATGAAGAAAAAGAATTCATTTTCTGTGATATGCAGTCTGAAACTGGCAACTTTATTTCCACTTCAGAGCTCAAATTCACAATTTTCTGTAGCTTAAAAAGTGTTCTGCAATTAAACTGAAAGATTGACTTCTCATTATAATATCCCTTTATTTTCTATGATTATAGCTCATAAACATTTTCAGCCAAGCCGGTTTGTTTCCAACAAGTTGTATTGAATAACCCTGCATTTTGGGAGAAGGAATAATGTTGTCTTGATTTATAGATGGTAAACAAAGGCTAATTTTGAAAAGAGAATATGCAGGATGAAGATCCAATTCTTTGTACAAATAGATATACAGGATGTATATATGTTTGTAAGACTGTTGACTATAGTTAGGTACACATTCCATGGCCAATCAAAAGATGATTAAGCCGAGGGACTAAACTGAGGGTAGAACCATGGGATTTGGCTCCAATGGCTAAAGTGTAGAGCAGGAGATGCATTTGTTTATTGATCCTTTGAAGGTCAGAACCTGTATGCTACTTTAATTATCTTACTCTTAGGTTATTTATTATTTGTGAATCAAAAGTCAGTTCATCCTCCTCGTACTCCTCCAGCCTTTGAAGAGCCCTTTGCTCACTTCAGAGGGCGGCTTTTGGCCCTCTGGATTCAAAGGCCATTAAGCCCATAAGACACAGAGTGTTGCACCAAATGATTGATGTCCTTTGAGCCGGACTATCTGATATAGCAGAGTTCTCAGAGCAAATCCAAATGCAGCGGTCGATAATCATACACTTAGCAGTTGCCCCTCCACTACAACACTGTGCTTCAATAAGCACCACCAAAATGCTCTGGACCCATCTCTCCCAGTACATATTTCTTTTGCATTCCTGGAGCTCCTGTTGATTTCAGTGAAAGCTCCCAGCACCTCAGGTAGCAGTGTGGCAATATGTGCAGTACTCAATAATTTATATTTGCATAGCTTTTGAGCTCATCAGCAAAAAGTGCTTGCCAATCTTCTCCTCCCCAGGAAGTTGGACCACATTATTATTCTTATTTTATGGATGAGGAAACTGAGGTAAAGGAGTCCCCCAAGGTGAGGAGAGTTATTTTTAATTTTTTTAAGAAAGAAATACAGCTGCTTCTTGATGACCCAAAAAACTGTTTGACATGTGAGCTTCTAACAGGTGGCATTGAGCATTTTGACTACTCAGTAGAAAGGGCATTTTATAGAGACATTGTTGCTGGTAGAAAATACCACCACTCCACTGTGACAATTCTGTTTTATGAGGTAAATTTTTTTTTTAAGTTAAGGCTTGGAAAACTTATTGACGTAGCAAGGCAAATAGGACCAATTTCTTGCTCTGCTCCACCTTGATCAAGTTAGATAAAGTGCCCCATGGTCATGGCCCATGGAGTCGCCTTGACTTGGCCTCTGTAACTTGGGGTGGGAACCAATAATACCTGTAGAAGGATGTTCTGCATGCCTCACTTCTTGGCTTCTTTCAGGATGGGTTTGCACTAGAATCATTTCCCAGGTATAATAAATTTAGGAGCCTCCCACAGTGGAACTGACAGCAAAGGCAAAAACTGTCAACCCCCCTCCCCCCGTGATGGAAAACTTCTCAAGGTTTTCCCAGCAGTGCATTAGGCAGCTCCGTAAGAACCCACTGTTGTGCGCGTTTTGAGACTTCACGTCTTCCATTAACCAATTCTAAGACAGAAGACCAGTGTCTTCATTTCCCATGTTGTTGAAGTACTTTACATAGACTTTAACCCAGTTGCTAAATTGCTTGAATTTGTTAAATGTACAAAAGGGCCTACTCCCCGTTGATGGAGTGAAAGTAGATGTTTGATTAAGTAGATAGCTAGATGTGCTTTTTTCCCCCCATCTGGATGTGTTAAGGGGGTATGTTTGAAACTTAGCACTCAGTTCATGCCTTTCAGAAGGGGAGGGAAGAGGGTATTTAACAAGGTTAATAATGACAGAAAGAGGAATTGACACCACAAAAGAAAAAGAATCATTCTAGCATTTCGTGACAGTTCAAAGACAGATGTCGTTGGCTAAGTGAGAATCTCGTAGACATGGGGGTAATATACACCTTATATGCATATGGATTAGTGAAAGCAGACTGTCAAGTCGGTGAGTGTAAGATTGTCAAATATGAGACATAACTGCAGAAAACCTGGAGAACTACTTACTATTTATTTCTTCACTTAAGGACCCAATCCTGTTGTCTTTTTACAGACAAAAGACCAACTACTTTAAGGTCTGAGGCCGGTCAAGGGTAAGATGGGACTGAAACTTTGTCCTGGGGCTTCCTGTGAGCACCAGAGCTCATCATCTGTTCTCCTTTGAAGTCTATTTTTCTTCTTAGTCCCAGGCTCACTATTCCCTTTTGTTTAGTAGACTTTAGTTTATCCCACAGGGCCATACTAAATTCCATTTCCCTGATGTCCATCATGAGGGATTCTAGAATTGCGACGAATGAGATCCCAGATTGAGAAAGTTATGTTCCATATCCTTTGGAGTCAATTTGATTATGACAGTTAGTCCCACCGAGGTTGTTTGAGGCTCTGCTGTAACACATGATGCTTTGGAGAGTCAACACTGGCCTTGTGTGCTTGAGTAGAAAGCACAGTAGCCAGAGAGTGTTACCAGAGATGGTTTGGTTTGGTTTGGTGGATGGAAGATTCAGGAGACCTGGTTTGGGTCATGATTCTCTCTCCAATCCTGGGCAGGTCATTCAGTTCACCTTCCTAAGCTTTGGTTTCTTTGTTCATTAGATGATAGAGGTTGACAAGATGATCTCTATGAAGCCCTCTAACTGATACTCCATGACTTCAGCTTGGCCTGGGTAACATATATCTGGGAGGCTGGTATGGAACTGAGAACAGCTTTAGGGAAAAGCTTCAAAAGTTCTTGCCCCATCATCTCTAAGTGGACCTGACCTCCCTGGCTTATATGCCATACCATTCCAGAAGGACTCAAGCACTGAGAGCTAACTGTGCTAAAACCAGCTGGGGCTTATCACACCCTCAGATATGCACAAACACAATCACCAGCTCCATCACCTGCTAACCTATAGTGACTAACCCTCTCTGGTCAAACTTGGATGGTTTGACTTCAGGACTGTGTGGGTAGGAGTGAAGAAGTCACAAATTCTCCTAACCTGAAAAAGAAATAAAACAGAAGCATCCTAGGGATAAAGATCCCTCACTGACAAGTTTTATGTGTTTTTTTGTTTTTGTTTGTTTGTTTTTTGTTTTTGTTTTTTTTTTTTTTTTTTTGCTAGTGGCATGGTTTTCCTGGGAAAGTCCTCCTGAGTAAAAGAGGAGAGACACCTGGTGAAGACTGGGACTCTGGGGGCAGGCTGCTTGCTGCATAGGCAAAGGGAGATTTAATGAAGATGAGTTAATATGGGACTAAAATAAGTGTATTGATCTGGGGGAAATCCTGAAGTCTGCTGTGAGGTGGACAGTTGTGGTAAGTGGGAAATGCTTTGGGGAAAACCCTTAACTTCCCCAAATGCCTATGTAAATGCCTACAACATGGAAAATTAACAGGAAGAGCTTGCCATCTCAGCAGACACTATCACTTAAATTGGAAATATTGAGCTGCAACTGAGGAGAGGCAGTGAAAATAAGAATTACAATTGCCTTTAGGTTCAAAAGCCTACAATTATCTGATACACAGAAAAGAGAAAGTGAATAATGTGTGGAGAACATCTGAATGAAAACAAAACCTTTGTGGAAAAAGTGAATCTGATAAACATTATGAAAATATGTTCAAGAACCTATGACAAGTAGATGGATGAAATAGTTTCTGATTAAATAGGCCAAACAACTTTAGGAGAAGGTCCAGGAAAAGGAG
Source organism: Homo sapiens (assembly GCF_000001405.40). Lineage (NCBI taxonomy): Eukaryota > Metazoa > Chordata > Mammalia > Primates > Hominidae > Homo > Homo sapiens. The sequence goes on along the minus strand of NC_000007.14, from coordinate 50,292,167 downwards.
TATGGATAATGGTAAGAAGTTTCAAAATGGGTATATGCTATCCAAAGCGGTTTTGTGTGAGTTGGTGAAATTTCCATCATATTACAGGTGGATAAGTTGGGAACATGGTATGTGATTATGGGTCCAAATGTCCATATTAATTAGAGATGCCTACAGATATGTTTATGGGTAATATGAGCTTGGCTTAAAACAACAAAGAAAAACAGTGGTTGAAAGATAAAACCAGATTGGTAGTAGTTTCAATAATTATTGAAGCTGAGTGATAGCTATAAGGGGATTCCTTATGTAATTATCTCTATGTATCTATTTGAAAATTTCAGAGATAAAGTATTTTTAGGAAAGAAAGAAAAATGACAAGGAGACCCTTATTAGATACTAATGATATTTTGAGGTAATATTTGCAATGAATATGAAAGAAGAGTTACATTTCCTAATATATAAAGAGCTCTTGCAAATTAATAAAAAGAAATCCTCAATAAGCAATGGGTGAAGAACATAATTATACAATTTATAAAAAAAATACAAAAGACCACTGAATGCAAAATAACGTTCAACTTTAGTAGAAGTTAAAAACTAAAAATTGAAATAAACTGTTAGATGAAGCCTCAATTAGACAAGAGAAATAAGGGTGTTTTCTGAGATCTATTGTACAGTGTGGTGAATATAATTAGTGATAGTGTATTGTACCTTTTCAGAATCACTAAGAGTAAACATTGTCACCACAAAAAAATGAAAAGTATTTGAGGTAATAGATATGTTAATTAGCTTGATTTAATTTTTCTAAATCATATTTATAAATCATTTTATATTTATAAATCATAAACTTTTAAATAAATTTATTAAATCATAATCTCACTTTGTACCCCATAAATATATACAACTGTAATTTGTAAATTTACAATGAAAAGATTGTCTTTAGGTCATGGAGATTGGGGTCTGGTGGTGGGATTCCTAGGACAGATCAGAGGGAAGTCAGCATTGCATATCAATATCAATAGAATTCAAACTATAGAAGGCGTGAGGCCTTTTACTTCATAACCTCAAGAAATACATGCACAGATAACTAATTGTATATGAAAATACATGTATTTAACATTTAACATATGTGTGTTTAACATTCACTAGAATGAGGTTCATAGAAGGAAGAATTGAAAACTGAATGCTCATCCCAAATGAAATAGTATTTGATATATTCCCACAAATGAATATTTTGGAGCTATCAGTAGATGACTTATGTCTATTTTCTAAGATGAAAAGATATCCACTATGCATAGTAGACTGAAAATGAAAATTGCAGGATTGTTTTAAGCATTTTACATATCTCTCATACATAGACCTGAAGGCTATTCACTAAACTATTAACGTTGCCAGCAGGTAAGAGGTTCTTGAGTGATTTATATTTTCTTCTTAATAATTTTCTATATTCCCTGACTGAGCTACATTATCACTTATTACTAATTGTATTATAGGTGTATTAGTCAGTTCTCATGCTGCTAATAAAGATATAACCAAGACTGGGTAATTTATAAAGGAAAGAGGTTTATTTCACTCACAATTCAGCATGGCTGGGGAGGCCTCAGGAAACTTACAATCATGGCAGAAGGGGAAGCAAACAAGTCCGATTTCACATAGCAGCAGGAGAGAGAAGAATGAGCAAACGGGGAAAAGCCAAACCATCAGATATTGTAAGAACTCACTCACTATCATGAGAACAACATGAGGGTAATCACCCCCATAATTAAATTATCTCCCGCCGGGTCCCTCTCACAACATGTGGGGATTATGGGAACTGCAATTCAAGATGAGATTTGGGCAGGGCGGGGCAGGGGGGCGGGCACAGCCAAACTGTATCAACAGGTCTCCAGAGAACAGAACCAATAGAATACATATAGGTGTGGATACTGACATAGATCTATAGAGATTTATTATGAGGTAATTTGTTCACATGATTATGGAGACTGAGAAGTCCTATGATCTGCCATCTGCATGCTGGGGGCTGAGAAAACCTGGTGGTGTAGATTCTATTCCAAGCCTGAAGGCCTGAGAACCAGGAGCACGTCAATATCCGAGGGCAGGAGAGGATGGATGTCCAAGCTTAAGCACCAGTGGGCAGGGCAGGGGATGGGGGGATTGTGGGGAGAGAGAGAGAGAGAGAGAGATGACATATAACATTAATCATTGCAGTAATACTTAATATTATCAATAAGCCTACGTACATTATGAAAATGTAGTTGAGATAACTCACTTGACTTGCTTCATAGAATTAAAAAAGTGTTAATAAGAACTTAAATTTGGTCAAAATTATGTTGGAAACTAATAATTGATTCATTTTTGAAGGGAAAGGAAAATACATAATAAGCAAAGGCTGTTTAGAAAATTGAATTAAATCTAAGAGATAACTGAGTCCAAAAATGTTAGATGCAATTTTAATAGCCATTAACTTTACTGGGAAATTGAAAGACTGGGCTTACTGTAAAACAGTAACTACAAGTCAGACTTATACAAAGTTTAGAAAAACTCATAAATATGATTCCAAAAGCATTTATGATGAAACTATCCTATATCTTGAACCCCAAGCTATAACACATAACTGTGGAGGTCAAATTAAGTTGAAAAAGAAAAATAATGTACATTTGCAGCCAATAAGCCAAATTAAATACTCTCCAAGAACACAGGGTGAAGGTGAGAAACATTACAACATTCTCTCTGCCCCGTATAGAACAAAAGCTTAAAACATGGATTAATTCTACCTTTAGACAATGTAAACACCGATTTCTGAAATAAAATGAACTAGTAAAACTAATTTAAATCATGCCTTTGAAGCATTTATTGTCTCTTTTATTGTGGTAAAATACACATAACATAAAGCTTACCGTCATAACCTTTTTAAAGTATACAATTCAGTGGCATTAAGTACATTCACAATGTTGTGCAACCATCACCACTATTTCCAGAACTTGTTCATTCCAATGCCCATTAAGCAGTCACTCCCATTTTCTGCTGCCCTCAGCCCCTGGCAGCAACTAGTCTGTTTTCTGTCTCTATTAATTTGCCTGTTCTGGATATTTTATACAAATGGGGGCATATACTTTTTGGCCTTTTGTCTGTGGCTTCCTTTATTTAGTATAAGTTTTTGAAATTAACCTATATTGTAGCATGTATCAGTATTCCATTCTGTTTTATAGTGGAGCAATTTCCGCTATATGAATATATCACATTTGGTTTACCCATTCGTCTGTTGATGAATATTTAGGTTGGTTCTACCTTTTGGCTACTGTGAACAGAGCTGTTATAAACATTCATGTACAAGTTTTTGCTCAAACACCTGTTTTGAATTCTTTTGGGTATATACCTAGGAGTGGAATTGCAGGACCACATTGTAATTCATTTTAATTCCTTCCAGCAATATATGAATATTCTGATTTCTCCACATCCTTACCAACACCCATTATTTTCTTTTTTTTTTTGAATTATAACCATTCTAGTGACTGTAAAGTGGTTTTAATTTGCATTTTCCTAATAACTAATGTCATGGAGGATCTTTTAATGTGCTTATTGGCCACTTGTATATCTTGGGAGAAATGATAGGCAAGTCTTTTGCCCATTTTTAAATTGGATTGTCATTTTGTTGTTGAGTTGTAAGTGTTCTTTAATATATTCTGGATATTTTATATCTTCTGAATATGTACTTGGCTTTATACATTCTAGTATAGAGAATCATATCAGATATGTGGTTTGCAAAAGCTTTCTCCAATTCTGTGGGCTGTCTTTTCACTCTCTTGATAGTGGCATCAATGCACTACAGGTTTTAATTTTGATGAAGTTCAGTTTATCTTTTTTTTTTATTTTGTTGAGTGTGCTTTCCGTGTCATATTTTAATGTCATTTTAACTGCATTTTGAAGTAGTCAAATGTTTTGATAAGAGTAACCTCAGTATGTTTTATAATCTACGACTATTTCCTTAAATATTTTCCCCAAAATATTTCAAATTAAAATGTCTGTTTTCAGATTTGTTGTTGTTAAAAAAATGCATGTGCTTAATCTGTTTAGTGAAAATGGAGCTTTAGGGTAAAATTAGGAAAGTGCAGATATTTTATGGTTTTTGTTTTCTTAAAAAAATTGTGACCTAAAACCTAAAAGCCTTCATGTGGGGAAATGAAATGTATACTAGAATTGGAAAGAAAGTGACCAAAAATTATCTGTGAAGGATGAGTTTGTTCATTGCAGTTGGCCCAATGGCTTACATTCTATTATACCCAAGGAATTGGAAGATGTTATTTGCTGAGCCATTACTTCTTCATTGAAGAGAGGAAATAAAAAAATAGTCACCAACTTTAAAAAGAGATTCTGGATGATTCTAAAAATGATAAGGTGGTTTCAATTCATAAGCTATAAGATAAGTAATCAACTGGATTGCTAGTGACAAACCAAATATTTAAATTAATTTTGGTTTTCATTTTGTAAAATAAGGACAAAATTTTAGTTTTGGAGAAAATTGATCTAAAATAAAAGCCAACAAGGAAGGGTTACAACGATTTCATGAGAAACAAGGTTATAGCATTTGCTGTAAGAAACCTCATTACCAGTAGAATAAACAGCATGGAAGTACAGATACCTCACCCAAGAAAATATGCAGGTGACAAATTAGCACATGAAAGGTACTGAATATCATATGCCATTAAGAAGTTGTAAATTAAAACAATGAAATAATACTACACACCTACTAGAATGATGAAAATCCAAAGTACTGACAACACCAAAGGTTGACGAAATGTGGAGCAATAGGATGTCTCACTCATTGCTGGGGAGAATGCAAAATGGTCCAGCCACTGTGGAATTCAGCTGACAGTTTCTTACAAACTGAAACATACTCTTACCAAACACAGTTCAGTAATCACTCACTTGATATTTACCCAAATGAACTGAAAACTGGTGTCCACACAAAAACATGTAGTAAGTATTTCTAGCAGCTTTATTTTTAATTGTCCAAACTTGGGGGCAAGCAGATGTCTTTCAGTAGGTGAATAGGTGAATAAACCGTGGTACATCCAGACAATGGAGTATTACTTGGCGCTAACAATAAATGATCTATCAAGCCATGAAAATAAATGAAGGAATCTTAAAGGTATATTATTAAGTTAAAAAAGACGGTCTGAAAAGGCTGCATACTCTATGATTTCCACTCTATGATATTCTGGAAAAGGCAAAATTACGGAGACAGCACAGAGATCAGTGGTTGCCAGGTGTTGGGGGGCAGCAAGGAAGGATGAATTAGGAGAGCACAGAGGATTTTTAGGGCAGTGGAACGATGTGTATGATACAATAATGGTGGATATATGTCATTATATATTTGTCGTAATGGATAGAATTTACAACGTCAAGCATGAACCCTAATACAAGCTTTGGACTTTGGGTGATAATGACATGTCAGTGCAGGCTCATCAATTGTAACAAATGTGTGCCTTCTGCTCAAATTTGCTGTAAACCTAAAACTGCTCTAAAAAATAAAGCCAGCTGGGCACAGTGACTCATACCTGTAATCCCAGCACTTTGGGAGGCTAAGGCAGGCAGATCACTTGAACTCAGAAGTTTGCAACCATCCTGGGCAACATGGCAAAACCCCATCTGTACAAAACACAAATACTGAGCCCAGCAGAAGGTCGAGCTGTGATCATGCCACTACATTCCAGCCTGGGCAACAGAGTGAGACCCTGTCTCAAAAAAAATCTGTGAAGGCTGGGTGCAGTGGCTCACTCTTATAATTACAGCACTTTGGGAGGCCGAGGCAGGCAGATCATGAGGTCAGGAGTTAGAGACCAGCCTGGTCAACATGGTGAAATCCCATCTCTACTAAAAATACAAAAAATAGCTGGCATGGTGGCATGTGCCCAGCTACTTGGGAGGCTGAAGCAGGAGAATCGCTTGAACCTGGGAGGCGGAGATTGGAGTGAGCCAAGATTGTGCCACTGCACTCCAGCCTAGATGACAGAGCAAGACTCCATCTCAAAAAGAAAAAAAAGATCTATTAAAAATTATGTATGTGATAGTTTGTCCTGGAAGGCCAAAGGTAGATAATTCTAGAAAATTAGGAAGCAAGGCTGCTAACCGGTTGACACATGCCAATCATTAATGGAGGGCGGCTTCCCAGGGGCTTTAATGTTCTGGGACTTCCATCCAGTGGCCAGTGTGTGTGAGAGAGAAAGAGAGGCACAAAGGGCCAGTGAGATCCCAGAGGACAGGAGTAGTGCTCCTATGTCACCCTGCTATCTTACTGCTTCCCAGTTACCCAGAAGTCTAACAGGGTTCCATTTGTGCACTTTGAAGTCTGATTCTGACCAGAGAAATTTCTTCCTCCCTATCTGGTTATTGGTGCTTGATAATCCTCTAAGTAACAGACTTCCCCAATTAGAGATCAGAAGCTTAAAACTAAAAAAGAGCCAAATAATACAGTCTAGTAGACCCTGATAACAGATCTCAAGTTGGGAAGCCCTGAAACTGAGTTGGTGCATTTAAAGGGTGGTGGGGGGTGCGTTTCCCTGAGGAGAGGATCCATATCTTTTATCAAGATGTCAGGGCAGGTCTGTGATGCACCGAGCCAACTTCTCTTTTCTCCTGCCAAAAATGGTTAAGAACCACTGGGCTAAAGTTGATGAAGCATATTCACACTGCAGTGTAATCCATCAATAAGAGCAAATGGCTAGTGGGAGTGACTTCCCTTTTGATTTGGGGCGATGCCAGAAGAGCACTGCTGCCTGAGTGGAGGGAAAGGGCACACAAAGAGGAGGCAAAGAAGGATTTCCCTGAAGACCATGACACTGAGAACTTTTAGCCTTGGGTCAAGCTCATTTGCTTCTTGAGTGAAGCCCAGTCCCAGGTCCGTGTTGGTCCAGGAGGTTTGGTCCAGGAGGTTGCACTCATTTGTGTGCGGCACCATATCACAGGATGCATGACCCCTGTGCTCACTGGGATTGTTACACTTGCTACTGAACACCCTCCTTCCCTCCCTCCCCTCCCCTCCTTCCTCCCTCCTTCCTTCCTTCTTTCCTTCTTTCCTTCCTCCATCCCTCCTTCCTTCGCTTTCCTTTCAGTCCCTTCCTGTTTTCTTTCAGACTTTTAATCCCTAAATGTTTCCCTCCATTCATCATTTCTTCATCCATCCACTGTCAACTGTTTATAGCGACATGCCAAATCCTGGGCTGGGCCCCAAGCCTACAAGAGGCTACAATATGCTGCTTTCATTCAAGAACACCAGTATTTACTGAGGAAGACAGAAATGAGATCAAATTCCACTCAGGGTGATAAATGCTATGCAGAGGAGGAGATGTATGCTAGTCAGGGGCTTCTTTATAAATCATTTGGTGAATTAAGAGATTATTGAAATGTGGACATCATTATGGCTTTGTATTCTACCTGTCTTCTATCCTCCAAGTAATAATTCAGTTCTTTATTTCATCTTTACAAAGATGATACAGAGTGCTTGGGCTTTGTGACTTCCTTCTGACAAGTGACAGATGGAGGCTGGCTGTCCAAACTGACTGGCTCATGCTTTCCTGTGGCCAGCAGCATAGTGGGAATGGGTTTAGTACTGGGGACAAACCTGTGCAGGGGACCCACCTACTACTAACTGATCCCTGCGTGAACTAACCCATGGCCCATTAACACACTGATCTGTTCAGCGGACAGGATGTGGGCTACCATTGACCACACCCAGGGAGGGCTCAGGCCCCCTCAAAAGTTTCTCACACATTGAGGCTTAATCCTAGCCAAAGTAAAGAGTGCCAAGGAAGAATATAAGTGCTCATGTAATCTCTCCTCCAAGGTTCTAGAGCTGCCATTTTCTTATACAGGGTAGGACGGACAAAGCTTATTAACTACTTTAAGTCTGTGAAAGTTCTTAGCCAGTCTCTGTAATGGATAGGTTTTGGAAGTCTACATAGGTCTCACTAAAAAAGTGGGCAGGTATCTCTATCTCACCCTGTAGCCCCCCACCTTCTTGGCATTGTTTATTGGACCTGGGGCAGCCCCCTAACTCCAAATGGGTCAGTTAGATTTTCACCCCCAGGAATTTGGCATTGGCACCTAACATGCTGATTGATAGCCAAGGAAGGCTGTGAAACAGAGGTTTGGGCTTTCATATGTGTTCATATGTATAACACAACAGGCACATGCCTTTGCAGAGTTATAGGAATGAGAGGCCCTAGAGAGGAAGAGAGAAGACTCTGTTAAGGCCTGCTGGAGGCAGGAGAGGGGCCGAGGTTCCTGCTGAGCTCACTGGGACTTTCTTGTTTCTCCTTCTAACTTCTGAAAGGCCTCGGGTGCCTCTCTGCCCCTGGACACCATGGGACTCACCTCATTCTGGAAAGAAACATAGAAAATAAAACCAAACGCAAATTTTTACTTTAGGTAGCTGAATGGGTCTCCGTTACTCTCCTCCTGACTAATTATCCAAAGTGCAAATGGTTAAACTGTGAGTTATTGTTGCTATTGCTGACCTTCACGGCTGAATTTCTTTAGGCAGTCCTTTATAAAAAGACGATTATGACCATAATGGCAGAGGAATGGTATCTTCAAGTCCATCTATTTGGCTCTATGACCCTAGCACATAATAACGCCCTCTGGAGAGAATGAGGAACTAGATGAAAATGGAACAGGCTTGCCCCCAGGAAAATTGACATAAGTGTCTGAAACAACTGGCCAGTGGAAAGGAACCAGCCGTCAGGGGAAGCAGGAATGCCCCCGTGGTGAGGATTTTCAGAAATGTGATCGTCATTTGCTTGTTTGGGATAGCTGGAAGCATTCCAAAAACGAGGTGACCTTTGGCTGTTCCTCTTCTCGGGGCCCTTGCGTCTGCACTGCGAGCTCCATGGCTGTCTTTTGTGCTGAGTGGCTGGGTTCCTGCATCCCAGGACTTTGTCTGGCCAGCTTTGTGGGTATGTTGCCTACTTCTGGGATCTATTTTTACTATACCTTTTACCACTGGACATTTGAAAAGCCCTCATGCCTCCATCTCCTGGATTCTGGTACTGTAGCTGGCTCCTTGTAGTGCTATGAAGGCGGTGTGAGAAATAAATGATTCAGAGAAAATTCAGAGTGAAACCAAATAGGAAGCTGGAAAAAGTGAAATTTTACAATGTATTTCCCTGTCCTTCACTTGTCTCTATTTTCCTGGCCAGGATTCATCCTCAGAGACTATTTTTACCCTGTTCCTGACCCAGCGAAACCTTGAGGTTCTGCAAATCTTACCAGATTTAGATTCCATTTGTGTTTTCTCTATAACCTCTTATTTCTGGGAAAGAGAGGCCATCAGAAGAGACTGCGTTTAGCTTGTACTCATTTCTCTCCTCTCATGCTGTGTGGGCCTCGGTCTCTTTTTCGGGAGATTGCATGGAGAGCCTCAAACAACCTCACCAGAGAATAAAAGTTTTGGCCAGGCGCGGTGGCTCATGCCAGTAATCCCAGCACTTTAGAAGGCCGAGGAGGCAGGCTGATCATGAGGTCAGGAGATGGAAACCATCCTGGCTAACATGGTGAAACCTTGTCTCTAGTAAAAATACAAAAAATTAGCCGGGCGTGGTGGCGGGCACCTTTAGTCCCAGCTACTCGGAGGCTGAGGCAGGAGAATGGGGTGAACCCTGGAGGCGGAGCTTGCAGTGAGCCGAGATCGTGCCACTACACTCCAGTCTGGGCGATAGAGCGAGACTCTGTCTCAAAAAAAAAAAAAAAAAAAAAAAAAAGAAAAAGAAAAAGGAAAGAAAAGTTTTACAAGCCGAAGAAACCAAGGACAATGAAACCTCTTCTCCCAAGGAATTTGGGAGCAGAGCATGCCACGCTTTCTCTGTTCTGGAAGGCCCTATCCTTGGGGACTTCAGAGGTGCACAAGACGGAAGCTCAGAGTAAACTGTATCTTCTACTGCAGCTTCCAGGAGTAGTCTGGGAACTGCCAGCCCTGCCCCTAAGCAGATGTGCACGTCTGCTGCTGTCCTCGGGAGGGGGAGGCCGGAGTGGCAAACTCCCAGAGTGCTGAAGAAAAGACGTGTCCCACGCAGAATTTTCCCACAATCAGCACACGGGACAAGGAGAAACCAAGAGGCCAAGCTTGAGCCTGGCGGAAATCACAAGATCTGGGCTGCAGCTGTGGGAGGGTGGCTGGTGCTCTTGCCCGTCTGCGTTTCTTACATCTGGAATATTCCAAGTGCTCAAGCCAGTTAGCAGAGGAGTTTCAGACAGGCTTGAGGGGAAGGGGAGAAGAAAGGTCTGTTCTAAGGAAAATAATTCTCTTGCTTCCACTTCACAGATATGGTCTGTTGAAAATTCTCTCCCTCTCTCTTCTTTTTCACTCAACATCAGAGCAGAACATGCTGCCTTGTCTGAACTGAGAATGAGACCTGGGGTCTATTTCTGGTTCTGCCAACTGACTCCTGGGTGACCTCAGTCACTTCCTCTCTTAGAGCCTCAAAGTTCCCCTCTCTAAAAAGAACCTTAGAATATTCTTACAACCAGAAATAGAGCCCAAAAACATAGAATATGTAATAGACACAACTCTTAATTTCTACAGTCTAATCCCACATGGACTGGATTCAGTGATGGGCAGATATGGTACAAGAATATTCCCTGGTCATCTTCATCCTGGCAAAGACGTAGTCAAGTATAGCAGTTTTCTCCTCTGACTTTCTCTGATTTCACCAAAGCCTGAGGATAAACTCCTTCTAGTTACATCCAAAGCTGGTGATGGGAGATCCTGGGAGGAGAGAGGTGGGGCTGTGCCAATATAGAAATGAATTTCAGCTTCAGGAAAACTACCATCTGGATGAAATCGAAGGCACTGGCCAGTCTTTGTTGAGTTGCAGCTGTGGCAATAGGCATATAAGTCAGGATTAGGAGGAAAAGGTCTGAAGCGGAGATGTTCTCAGGTCTCAACATGATTTGGATTGAGGTAAAAATATTTATTAACTTTTCATATTAAGTATGCATGTTAACACTTCTATGGTGACCACTAAAAAACAGGAATAAGGTAGATAACTTCCAAACCGGTAGTGAAGAAAACCCCTAAATCCAAAAGGAAGCGAGAGTAAAAAAATAAAAAGCAGTACAAATAGAAAACATAAAGTAAAAGAAATAAATTAGAATACGTCCTTACTTGAAAGAAATTTCAGTAGGCCAAATTCTGTAGTTGAGATTGAACTAGATTTGCAGTGGATTTTAAACACAAAGCAAGCTATGTACCTTTTACAATAGACATATAATACAAGTTATCAGAAGGATTAAAAGTGAAACTGTGGGTAAATATATCATAGCCAAATAGAGACCAAAATAACAAACAAAAACAAACAAAAAACCAACAACAAAGAAACAAATAAAAACAGGTGCAGCTTTATTCCTATTAAACAAAAGAGACTCTAAGGTAAAGGATATTATGAAAAAAATAAGAGAATCATTACAACCTGATCAGAAAAATATAATTATTCCAAGCTTTTAAACTAAGAAATCGCCTCATAATATAGAAACAGAAAAGGACACACAAGTCTAGATGGAAATATAGGTAAATGTACTATCATACACTTAAATAGATATACCATGTTCATAGATCAAAAAACTTGATATTTTAAAGATGTTATTTTTTTCAAATTGATTTAGAAATTCAATACAATCCCAATCAAACATCCTCTTCTTAAAGAGCTTGATAAGATAATTTTAATATGTATGTCAGGAGCTCCAAGAGTTAAGGATAGCTAAGAAAATCCTAAAAAATGTGGGGCCATATGCCTTAACAGCCAACAAGAAATATTATGAATAACAGTGATTAAAATGGTCTGGTATTGAAATTAAACAGATCAATGGAACAGAAGAGAGCCTAGAAACACACTCATACCTATGTGGTATGACTAGTTTGTTATCCACACAGGAAAAAAATGAAAATTAAATCTTTTCTCAGTCCATTTCTCTAAAATAAAATTATCACAGATAAAATTGTGAACTACCAAACATTTGCTTTAGAAAAAAATCTACCCTCCAACTCAGATTTTTAAAATTGATAATAAAAATAATAGCAAAATGGACAAAAGGCTTGAATAGACACTTACAAAAAAGAAACATAAATGACTTATTTTAATTTTTTTAAATTTTACTTTAAGTTCTGGGATACATGAGCAGAACGTGCAGGTTTGTTACATAGGTATACATGTGCCATGGGTGGCTTGCTGCACCCATCAACCCATCATCTAGGTTTTAAGCCCCACATGCATTAGGTATTTGTCCTAATGCTCTCCCTCCCCCTGCCCCCTAACCCCCAATCGGCTCTGGTGTGTGACGTTCCCCTCCTTGTGTCCATGTGTTCTCATTTTTCAACTCCCACTTATGAGTGAGAACATGCGGTGTCTGGTTTTTCTGCTTCTGTGTTAGTTTGCTGAGAATGATGGCTTTCAGCTTCATCCATGTCCCTGCAAAGGACATGAACTCATTCTTTTTAATGGCTGCATAGTATTCCATGGTGTATATAGGTCACATTTTCTTTATCCAGTCCACCATTGATGGGCATCTAGGTTGATTCCATGTCTTTGCTATGGTAAGTAGTGCTGCAATAAACATACATGTGAATGTGTCTTTACAGTAGAATGATTTATAATCCTTTGGGTATACACCCAGTAATGGGATTGCTGGGTCAAATGATATTTCTGGTTCTAGATCCTTGAGGAATCACCACACTATCTTCCACAGTGATTGAACTAATTTACACTGCCACCAACAATGTAAAAGCGTTCTTATTTCTCCACAGCCTCACCAGCATCTGTTGTTTCCTGACTTTTTAATAATCACCATTCTAACTGGCGTGAGTTGGTATCTCATGGTGGTTTTGATTTGCATTTCTCTAATAACCAGTGATGATGAGCTTTTTTTCATATGTTTGTTGGCCACATAAATGTCTTCTTTTGAGAAGTGTCTGTTCATAACCTTTGCCCACTTTTTGATGGGTTGTTTGTTTTTTTTCTTGTAAATTGGTTTAAGTTCCTTGTAGATTCTGGATATTAGACCTTTGTCAGATGGGTAGCTTGCAAAAATTTTCTCCTGTTCTCTGGTTTGTCTGTTCTTTCTAATGATAGTTTATTTTGCTGTGCAGAAGCTCTGTGATTTGATTAGGTTCCATTCGTCAATTTTGGCTTTTGTTGCAATTGCTTTTGGTGTTTTAGTCATGAAGTCTTGCCTATGCCTGTGTCCTGAATGGTATTGCCTGTGTTTTCTTCTAGGGTTTTTATGGTTTTGGGCTTTACATTTAAGTCTTTAATCCATCTTGAGTAAATTTTTGTATAAGGTGTAAGGAAGGGGTCTAGGAGAAACATAAATGACTTACAAGCACATAAAAAGATGCTTAATCTCATTCATAATTAGAGAAATGCAAATTAAAACTGTATTAGAATATTATCAAATTAGCAAAAATTGAAGTATTTAAGAATATTATTTCTAGTAGCACCCTTTGTAATAACAAAAGATTTAAGAAACCAGAAGGTCCACTGGGAAGTGAATATTTTTAAAAATTGTGATGTATGCTTGTATTGGGAGGCCACAAAGCAGGTGAAGTGAGCTGACTCTACGCTACACATCAATACAGATGAATGTCAGGAACTTAGTCTTCAGTGGAAAAAGCAAATCACAAAAGAATATAAAAGTTATACTTCCATTCCTATAAATCCAAAGACATATATTATTTAATAGATGTTGGAAAATAACAATAATTTTCTGAAGAACATAAGGAAATAAACCTAAGATTCAGGATAATGATTTTTTCTGAGTAGGTACAGAAGAGAATAAGATTAGAGACATCCCCAGGACTTCAGAGTAAGGATGATGAGTATTTTCTCAAGTGCTAAGTTCATGACTGTTGCATGACTAATCATTATACTTTATGTATATTTTATATTATTGTGTCTACTCAGTAGTTAAAAAAAATTATAATCTCATGAACAATTTTGAACTTCAAACATACAATTCTATATCATTATTTTTAAAATGCATAGTGTTACATTGAATGGATACATCTTTTTTATTTAATTATTTCCCTATTGATGTAAATTTAAGAGTTTTCTTCCTCAATTTTTGGCTATTCTCATGCAACACAATTTTGAGGCATCTTAATAATTAAAAAAAATAAAACAAAGAAAGTGTCTTTGTTTAACAAAACAAGAAACCCATGTGAAGATTTGATGCCAAGGACATTGGTGTGGTCAAAGATTAGCCCAGAAAGGAGACAGCTAAACTAATGTGCAAGAGAAAAGGAAAGGTTGGGAATCAGACGGCAGAGGGTGAGATGGGAGAGGGGTGAGTATTCATTCTGTGAGGCTGATTCTTCTTCTGGAATACAGGTTGGTTCCAAAACACCAAAGACTTTCTGTGTGCCCCTTAATCCCCCATAGTAGTGGGTCCTTCAGTTTTGCTAAAACTTCTGTTACTACCCAGTCGCTGCCCAGATGCAAATTTCTCTTACATGGAATTCTGTTATAAGCAAATTTAGTATGTTTTCTTTTTTCCCTGCAAAACTCAGGAGCTGCGTTTTCTGTATGGTTATTGAACATAATTAGATAATGCGGGAGCCAAGGATTGGATGTACAAAGGGATGAGAAGGGAAAGGAAGAGGAAGTGTAAAGTTCTTTTTCAGTCCATCTCTGCCAGGAGGGCCAGGGTGAGTTGATTGGAGTATATATAGACCCTCCTGCCCCTGTGATGCTTAATGAACATTTGTTGATTGTTTAATTTGTTGACCGTCCAATAAGGAAAGAATTTATTTGATTGAGAACTGTTAAGAAATGAGTTTCTTTATTAGCGATAGCTCTTGTTATTTTTTTGATGTGTCTTTGAAAAGATGGCCCAAGATGACATTTAAATAGAGATGTTGCCATATGTAACGGGTCACATAAACCACAAGCACAATATCCCAGTAATTTAATAACAGTTTAGGAATAAGATTTCCATTAGACATGCCTGAAATTAGAGCGTACTATTTTACTGCTTTCTATCAAGGAGACCTCTAAATTCCCAATTTAAAATGGATACATTTCTAGCACGAGAATTAGTTAAAGTGGGTATCTGAGTAAGAGGATAAATTGGGTTGGAGACTTAGCCATTGTCGTGGTGTGCAAATCTGATAGCTCCTAAGGTTATTAAAAATTCTGGGCTAATGTTCTGGAAAGAATGAATTTGCTATTACAGAAATATTCCTGCATCATGGTACCTCTGCGGTTGAAGAATCTTCTCTAAATTTAGCATATGTTCTAGGAAAGAGATTAATCGAATTAATAGGAAGTATTTATTAGAGAAGAAATAAATAGATTTTTGCCAATTAATGAGATCAATCAGCTCAACCACTAAAGAAGGTCAGGAGCTCTGCCAGAGGTGTGGTGTTTTAAGATATGGAGTCTGATGGGCAATATTCCAGGGGAGGTGGGGCCCATTCGTGAGCTGTATAAATTTAGAAGCACAGAGTAAATGAAGTGTAAAAGAGAGTAATTGAGCCATTGTAAAATCAGACTAGAAAAACATATCATCTCTTGCCTCACCTTCCCTTCCTCTTTTTTTTCTTTCTCTTCTCCCAATCACTTTACTTACATAATCTTCCATAGTGACTATTAAAGCAGGTTTACATGTAGTGGTAGTAGCTGCTAGGTATTAACATTTGACACCATTTGTCACTATCTGGACAGCAACAATGTACTTTTTTCCTGTCTAAAACTTTTTTTTTTTTTAGTTTTAGACAGAAAATACTAAAATAAAGTTTTCTGTTTAGACATTCTGAAAATTTTGAATCTTCTACTGCATTTTGTAAAAATTTCAGTCTTACAAGGTGACATTAAACAAGTAAGATTCTCCTTTCCCCAACATCACTACTAGTTTTTTCACAAGTTATTATTTCTTTTTATTTCTGGACTTTATTGGAATTGAGTAATGACACATTTTTCCTTGTATTTCAACAAGTGTATTGCATTCACTTTATTAGTTTCCTGCTAATATGTTACATCAAAGGCAAAGGAAGTTTGCCCAAGATAGTCTTCAACTAATTTTCCAATGTCAATATATTTTTATTCTGTGATTATTGATTAACTTGTCAATGATAATGACAAGAGGATAATTATGGATTATACCACATGGATTATACCAATTATGGATTATGGATTATATCATAATTATGGATAATTACCGTAATTATGATAATCTTGATTCCTGGAGCATAAACTGTTTGAACCAGAAAGAGCCTCAGATCTTACCTGGTCACATCACTGTGGTCTGAACAGCCTCTGTGTCTGCGTGTTCAGCAGAAGCTGTTAGCGGCAGCTTTCCAGGTGCCACAGGTACGCTGGGGACACTTGAGGAAGGAGTGTTGCCTGATCCGGCTTCACAGTAAATCTCCATCCAGGAAGGCGTGACCTGGGCTATAGAAGTGAGAGTATTTGCTACTCACCAAATTTGTGCTAGACACTGTGTGAATAGTTATTCATGCATCACTGAGTTCTCATCATGCTTCTACGAGGGAGATATCATTATCCCCATTTTGCAGATGGGTAAAACTGAGGCTCAGAACAGCTGGTAGTTTGTGAAGCTAAGACTTGAAATCCCACGTCTGGTATGAATTTACTTTTCCTTTTCCATTATAAGCTCTCCCCTCAACCCCACAGCCCAGTGGAAGGTACTACAACTGTCTCCCTGTTTGAATATCTGGTAATAGGGATGGGTTCTTACTGAAACAGACACCTCCAGTCCTGCTGCTGTGCCTGACATTTGCTGCTTCTCTACCTGGGATAAGGCACTGGAGTTAGAAGCATGGAGTCCACGGTGAGATTGCCTGTGTTTGAATCCTGGCTCTTCCTCTTACTTGCTGTGTGTCCCTAGGCAAATTATTTAGCTTCTCTGTGTCTCAATTTTCTCATCTGTAAAATCGGGATAGTAACAGTACCCTTCATAAGATTGCTTAGAGAATTGAATTATTTCATATTTTAAAGTACACAGAGATATGCCTGGTACACAGGCCTAAGGCAGTGTAAAGTGATGATTAAATAGGTGTGTAGAGTAATTAGAATGATACCTGGCACATGTCAAGCACTTAATTAAATAGGTTGTTCTGTAAGAACTTAATGGGTTTATTCTGCACAGCTGTTCTTTTTTTCTCTGTTTCTTCAGACAAATGTTTAAACTTTGCTCTGCAGGATGAGAAGAGTAAGTTTCAGAAATCCCTTTCAGGACCCCATCGTCCTTCCAAGATGGAGCTGCTTAGATCTCCTCCCTATCCTTGCTGTACATGCCCAAGATTTTGTGAACATGATGTGTGCGATTTCAAGAGCAGGATCTGGAGCTTCCTTCTGGTATCTAGACTCATGATAGATGCTCAATACATGTTGACTGGATGAACAAACAAAGATAGGGTCCCTATTCCAGGATGGTAGCTAATTCTGTCCTTGGCACTCACAGGCTGCCACTTGGGCCCATTTGTGGCAGAATCGGCAGGAGGGGCCCATGGGTTGATCTCATCACTGTGGCCCCACACGGTGAAGAGGGCTGCCGTTCCTCAGTGTCCACGGGGTTTGTGGCCAGAGGAGAACTCCTGCCTTGCTGCTGAGGGGATAGCTGCAATGGTGACTGATCTTCCTGCCCACTTCCTCCTGAGCAAGCTGCATTGAAGACACGACCCATTCCCACTCTAACGGATGGAGTTAGTCAAGAGCGGAGAGCAGAGAGGGCTGGACTAAATGTCCCTTTCCTTCCTACCTGCTGGTGAAGTACTGTGTTGAATACAATGAAATCCTAGAAGTATATAGAAATAGCAGAAAATTTAATCCAAAGCTAATTCTGCTTCACCTTTTTAAAAATTTGGAAATCCTGTAATATATTTCTGTAATAAATTAAATAGCACAGACAGTGACTTTCAGGCAAAATTCTGCAAAGAAACCTGCTTTCCTGGTCTCCTTATTCTTCTTAAAATAATAGAGAAAAGCTTGATTTAAAAAAATATGTCTAAAAAGTTGTCATTAAGTATGACATCAGGGCACTCCATGCAGACTGAGTTTCTGGTGATGGTCTACCGATTTGGATTGCAATAGATGACTGTAACTCAGGGGTTCTTATGATTATGTGTATAAAAATAACTAGTTAATTGCTCAATGTGTCTGACATTAGCCTTCACTCCCCCTCTGCTGGTGAAGCTCTCAGCTGAGTGCAGTGGAGGGACTGCTGTTGGTCCTATTTTTTGTCATTGTCTGGAATTCTCAGGTCTTCATCATTGTTGAGTCCCTTTGGAGCACCCCTGTTCCTGCTCCACACCTTGTCCATGACAAAGGGGCTGTTTCTTGACTGGAGTTTTTCACCCCAACTGAAAAGATTCTCAGCCTCTCTCTGCAACTGATTGACACTTATATCTTAAGGACAGTCACCCACCCCTGTGTTTAAATCTGTTTGGTTGCCACTGAATGTAAGGGAGAGTCTTTCCTCTAGCTTAGTCTTTCTAGAATATTCTGTATTGTTACCTGGACATGAGTTTTCTCCCTCCAATCTGAAGACTACTCTGGATTTAGTGTGAGGGAAACCAGACTTGTCTAGAGTATAGACAACAAATTCTCCCCCATTGTGAATGTGGTTCTCTCTCCCACATTGTCTGTGTCCAGCTGGTGAAGACTCCAGCTCTCCCAACCCACAGCTGCACACATTTGAGGTTTTACTGTTTAACCATTTCACATCCACAAGCTATACTGGTGCAGTTTAGACCACGCCTAACTAAATAAATGAAAGGAGAGATTTTGAGTAGCACCCAAAGACCTGTTCCATGGTGCATGGTTAGGAACAGGGATACAGATCTCTCCTGAGTAAAGTAACTTATTTAGACACAGTTCTAAATAATTAGAACCAACTTCTAAAATAATTCAGGGTTTACAGGCACAAAGGCTAGTCATTTAAACACACTGCACCCATTCTCAGAAGTGGATTCTGAACAAGTCTGTAGCTCAGGACAGTTCACAGAAAGGGCTCCTTAGTAGCACAGGCAGCACAATGGAAATGCTTCTCTTACTTAACTCAGAGTTCATTTTTAGCACACCCAGACGGCCCAACTCGTTATACATTTATTACTCTGTAATGCACTTGGCAACACACACGATGCCCATAGCTGTCCATACCAGGGAGCTCACACTGCTTCAATCAGACCTGTCTCATCCCCTCAGCAGCCCCATTAAGTCAAAGAGTAAATTATTAATAATGCTGACTAAAATCAAAGCTCCAAATGATGCAAATAAAATTAACCAACATGAACTGGAGAAACAGAAGTATATAAGAGAGCAGAGAGAAGCCTGTTACCCTCCCCTCCCAGAATGTGTCTTAAAAGTTATCATTAGGTATTGCAATGTGGTATCCAATGAGGAGTGAATTACTAAAAAAGCGTACTTATTTAAGAAGGGAGCCCAGGAAATTTGTTAAATTACTATGTAGTAAATAGCATGAGCAGACCATGATATTCAGGCAAAGTAGAGTATTCTGTAAAGAATACTGCTTTCTTGGTCTTCCTACTGCTGTTATAATAACAAAGGAAAGCTCGATCCAAAAGCTTTTCAATTTGGTCAAATAAAACCAAGGAGTCCTGACTTAGAGAATCTCTTTCCAAAGATGAATGGTAGATGTGAGATTCCTTGGGAGCCTGCGTCCTACAGCAGCCTGGGAAATCCCTGCTCTCCAGCAGTAGCAGGTGCTCACGGTCATTTCCGGGAGAACACAGGGCATGGCAGGAAGGGGGGTCATCAGGAAGCTTCCCAGCACCTCTTAATGATGAGACCACTGCCTGACTTTGGAGGTCAGCCTTTTGCCTGGTTCAGACTTCTAGGAGGCTTTGTACCATGAAGAGCTCAAAACCAATGTTGAGTTTTAGTGCCTTCTCACTAGGTGAGAATGAAGAAGTGTCTTCTAGAGGCAACACTCACCAGTTGTTATAGGATTCCATCTGCTGGGCCAGCAGGGGTCCCAAGCTGGGCCAGTTGGGCCCTTCCCTGGACTTTACTGGGTGCTTCTGGAAGAGGGCTCATCATTGCCTTGAGTGATGGAGCTGCAGAACTTCAGGCCTGAGCTGTCCTGTTCTCTTCAGCAGGGCAAAATTTAGGCCAATGGAAAAAATAATAGTCTGAGCTCCTGGAGTTAGGAGAGAAAAAGAGAGGAAGGCAGTTTTCCCCTCTTAGGCCTCCTCCACCCTCGTCACTCTTCATCTTGGCCTTCGAATCTGTGAACTACCCAAATGTCTTTTAAATAAATCATCAAGTGTTGTTCATGCTGATTTGAATTGAGATTCTGTATCTGGCAACTGAGGCCACCTTAAAAATGTGATAAAAGAAAAAAATAGAAAACACACAAAAACAAAATAGATAAATAAATCTAAGACGTGAGTATTTGAAGAAATAAATGACATGGACAAATCCTGGAAATGAATATAGAAGTAAAGAGAAGTAAAGTGTATATCAGAAGGTTTTTATGATTCCAAAATTTTGGGCCAATATACGAAATCTTAAAGGAAACAACAGATATGAAACATAAAAATAAGAGACTTCTACCAAACAAGTATAATATACCTAATAGAAATAAAATTCAAAAAAAACCAAACAGAAATGGTTTAAGTATGACAGAAAATTAATAGGTATTCTCACTGAAAAATGGCAAGAAAAAAACCAGCACTCCAATAGAAAGTTGATCATAATTAATGAACAGAGAGTTCACACAAATTGATTAAACATATTAAGTTTGAAAGCTAAAAAACAAAACAAAATGCAGGTACAAATTAATACCACCTTTTAACCAAATAATACAAGAGGAGTGATAATGGTAGATTTATGCTGCTGTTGGTAAATTCATAGTTTTTTTTTTGTTTGTTTTTTTGGTGGCAGGATATATTGACATTACTCTTTTGGAAAACAATTAAAAATTCTCAGCAAGGTTGCTAAAAATCTGAATATCCCTGGTCCAGTTAGTCCTATTCTTTGCAGCATATCATAAAATATAAATTAAAAGATATTATAAGAACTTAAGAAATATGTTGGGAGGCTTTTGGTCACCAAGAATGGAAATTGAATTTAAATAAACTTAGGCGAAAAAGGACTCTAATTTTCCAAATAACTGTGAAGGCCAGGGTACAAATAGCCTTGTAGCTTTGGGTGAGACTTCAGACAGCTGCTGTGGTCTGTCCCTCTGTGTTACTTTCCTATTGATGCATAACAAATTATCATGAAATTAGTGGCTTCAAACAATTCCCAGTTATCACCTCACAATTCTGTGGGTAGAAGGCTGGTTACAACGTGACTGGGCTTTCTGCTTAGGGTCTCCTGAGGCTGAAATTGAGATGCTCACTGGGCTGAGTCCTCAATCCGGAAGCTCTGGGAAAGAACCGCCTTCTCAGATCATTCAGGTTATTGGAAGATTCAGTTCCTCTGAGTTGTAAGGCTGGGCCCTGTTTCCTCATTGGCTCTCAGCAGGGACTGCTGTCAGCTCACACTGCTGCCCATGTTCCTTGCCAGGTGGTCCCCTCCATGTTCAAAGCCAGCCACAGAGAATCTCCCTCACGTCTTATCTCTCTCATGCTTTGAGCATCTCACTTCCCATCTCTGACCACTAGAGACGGATGAAAAGGGCTCTTGTTCAACAAGATGATATCTCTCTTGATTAACTCAAAGTCAACTGATTACTGACCTTAATTCCATCTGCAAAACCCCATTTGCCATGAACTGTAATATAAGCACAGGAGTGGTTATCTCAACACATTCAACAGGTTCTGCTCACACCCAAGGGGAGGAGACTATACAAGGGTGAGGGTCACTGGGGCTGTCTGAGAATTCTGCCCACCACAGTCTCCATAGCCCACTCTGCCATGCTCTTTAGATTGACTGTTTTTCCATAGAATGAGCACAATGCAAGCTCTAGGCTCGCATTGGGGTGCATCAATCACCCAGTCCACAGAGTTATCCTGGTAAGGACTTTGAGATGCTTTCCTGTGCCATGTGGTCAAGAAGAGGTAAAATTAAGAGTTAACCTCACTACTTTATGAAAATGCAAATTGAACATCGATATATAATTTAATGTCTATGACATGAGTAAAAATTTTTTAATTAAAAAACCTGAAACTTGTCTAAATGATATGGGAAATGTATCAGCTCCAATTTTAAAAGCTGAGAGCAGATGCCAGGGGCAGGATCCAGTGAATGGATCGGCAGTGAAATGAATGGCTCAGTTTCTCTCTACTTTTGTGGTCTGCCTTCTGCAGTGCCGGCCTGGTGGACTGCACTTGGTGGACCTTGGATCATCTCAGCCCTCACATCCAGACCTTGTATTCTCATGCCCTACCATTCAGAGAAAAGGATGATGTTTGCCCTTGAAGGTCTCCCACAAGACAAACTTCTTTTTCTCCAAGGCCCTAGCAAATATCCTTGCCTCTGATTGGATCCTAACCCTGTACAGGCCAAGGTAGTGTGATACCAGGATGGGTGTCAGCCCTCATGGCCACTCCTAAGCTGGTGGAGGAGTCAGTACCAATCATATCTCAGCTCAGAGATTTCTGAAAGAAATTCCAGCAGAGGTGAAGGCTGAAGAGTACATGAGGGATGCCCAGTAGAGGAAACCAGCATGTGCAGGACAGAAAAAAGTTACACAGTTTTATGTAGAGCCTAACAGGGGAGGATTGCAAGCATCTTAAGGCAGTGAGACTCCTGGGATGGAATGCCAGGCAGTGCAGACTGCCCTTCTGGGGACACACATCTCACACAGACAAATCCTGCTCTGGTCTGGTCTCCTTCAAACCTTGCCTGTCCCCTGTAAAGTATGCGCTCTTGCCCTTTCCCGCATTTCAAATGAGGAAAGAAGGCTGGTCCCTCTCTGGTACCCAGCAGTAGTGCTCATGGCAGCTGCTTGTTCATGGCTCCTGAGTCTCCCTGCACCTGCTATGTGTGTTTGCACAGCTCTAAACCACACTTGCCCCATGGAACAGCCCTCCTAACTGTCTTTCCAGTAGGTGGGAATTTCACTTCCTTATTTCCAGGCATAAATTATTGCAGATGCAAAATTGCGACCTTGTTTTAGACACAAGTGTTAAAAATATAGCTCTTAGATATTCAACAATACTTTTTATCCTCTCCTTTGAGCAGGAGGTGGCCTGAACTCAACTTGTTGGCCAATGAGGCCCTTGGCTTAGCAGAGCATGAATTTTGAGAGAGAGGTGGAAGGAGGTCAGTCTCTGGAGCACGTCATGAAGGTGGCATTTTGCTGCTGTTCCTCCTTTCATCCTATTCCTTAAGAATAACTACAATCTAAGATACTAGGCCCTATGGGGCACTGGAAGGGCCAATTGCCCACCATCCATCTTGCAAGGTAGTGGACACATAGGGTTACCTGGCACACCTCTGCCAGACAGGGCTGCTACATAATTTGTAGGGCCCAGTGCAAACTGAAATTAGGGGGTCCCTTGCTCAAATGGCAGGAAAAACATTTCTTCCTTCTTTCTGGGTCTCTCTCTTGTCATGGTGTTTTTTACTTGCTATTTAATGTCACATCCCTTGGACACAGGAATACTCATGGGGAGATTGCAGACACTCACAGGTACCCAGGGCCCTGTTCACAACTGTGTAGGCCCAACCATTCCCATGCACAGGCTCAGGTCCCCTCCCAGCAGATGGCAGTGGTTGCTGGGGGTTGCTTGGGCAGGTAGCTGAGAACCCATCCCTGGGAGGGGGAGGCACCTGGAAGGGAGCCCCACATGAGCAGAGTCTCCGAGTCCCCAATGCATGCTCCATTGCTTCGTCAGACTTTACGGACAAAACACAAATTCAAGGTAAATTTATTCACAGTTTCAAGACTGCAACCACAGAGCATTAACTGTAAAACCCTGAGAGACTGCACTGCTCGCAGGCCCATGAAGCTGCTCCTGTCACCAGGCTTAGTGGGTGGCTAGGGAAAAGAAAACAACCAAAAACACAGTGACTTGGATTTATCAACATTTGTAGGTTCATATGTTTGGTCTTTATGAGTTATGTGATCTTGAAAAAGTGGTGTAACCTCTCTGAACCTCAGTTTCCTCATCTGTGCATTGTGGCTAATCACTGCCCATGTAACAGGGCATTGTGAGGATGGAGAAGTCACAGAGTGCAGAGGCCTCATAAACTGGAGGGCACTGCCTTGGGAGGGGTTCCTACCCTGGGCAATTGATTGATTGGCTCTGGAGTTGCAGCTGCAAAGGCATGCTGGCCTCTCCAGTCTTGCAGTCAGGAAGGCTGAATGTGGTCAGCTGAGGTGCTCACTGCAGCCTCAGGCAGGCCTAAAGGTGTCAGCTGCAGAGTCTACTGCTGGCCTTGGCTGGCTACCTCTGATCTAGCATATTCCTTCTTTAACTGTTCTGCAACCAGGTAGGCCTCAGCTAGGCAAACCAGAGTCTTCTTGACTTCAAGCTGAGGAGCATCTTCTGAGTGCCTCCTGCAGCCAGACTCTTTGCTGAGCTCCAGGGATGGGGGATAGACATTGCTCTGTCCCCCAGGGGCTCAGACCACAAGCTACAGCAGTGAAATGCAGGGGCCTCGGGAGCCAGAGGAAAGTCCTGAAGAAGCTCGAGGGGAAAGTGTGCATTTCAGGCCCTGGGCTGAGTCTAAAATAAGGGAGTAGGCAGGTGAGAGAGGGAAGAGGGGCTCTGGATGGAAAGAGAGACTGCAGGGGCACAGGAGTAGGGGAGAAGCAACTCTCAATCGTGGTTCCAACTAGGTGGGCTTTTCTTCCTCATTCCATAGTGAAGCATCCTGGGTTCTGATATGACAGGTGGCAGCTAAAAACATCTTGGTTTTGCTTAGAGCTCGTTGTTGTGTGGTGGGAAGGTGTTCATAACAAGAAACAGCCTCCTCCTTTCTACACACCAGCTGAGCTAGAACTCTATCATGCAGCAGTGGGGCATTGCTACCAGAATGGCTGCTCTTGAGGGAAGGGGAAGACTGAAGATCAAACCATGCATGGTTCACAGTAATTGGTGCTCCTTCCCAGTTCCAGTTGAGCAATGTAAAAGAAGGTGACTAACAAGACATTAAACTGTGTGCATGTTTCAAAGCACACCCAGGACAGAGGCTCTCGGAACCCACAGGAGCCTGTGGTTTCTGAAATATGGGTGGGTGGCTTCCTGCAGCTGCAAGGCATGCTGGGGAGGGGAGATGAGATAGGCCGCGGCCCCGCCTCACCCCCTCTTCCCGAGTGGTTTGGCGCGGGTGTGCCCAGCCTGCTGCTCCTGGCCAGGCAGTTAGAGTGGAGGGAAACCTCCCGTTACCAGGAAAGCAAATAATGGGCAGATCAAATAAATCCATGTGGCTAAAATGCAAAAACAGATAGAAATCTATCTCAGGCCAGTGCCTGTGGGAGCAATGGGAAGAGATTCATTTTATTTTGCATATGTAGACAGTGATTTTAATGTTATGTAAATGCAGCCAGCGATTCCTAATTGCTCCTGAAATGCACGTGTCAGGGGCTCTGTTGCAGCACAGGTTGCTAATGATAGAAATAAGCTGTGTTTTTTACAAGGAAGGCTCGCGATTACCAGCTTTTGATTTTTCTTTTTTTTTTAAATTACAAATTTTAATTAGGACAAGCCAAGGCAATGAAGGTGGAGGGGCAGGACTGCAGAAGTGCCTGGGGTAGAGACAGCTCAGAAGAGTCACCTGGGCATGGAGAAGGGGTGCCACAGGTGGCCTTGCGGCTCTGGGTCAGCCTGAGAACAGACACTCCTGATTTCAAAGTGTAAAGTGTCATTCACCCCCTCTGAAGCACTTATCCAAGCTGACATACTGGGAAGTCAGGGTGGGAGGCAATAGTCTCTGGTTTCTCCAGGAAGATGAGCTGTGATGATCTTTCCCGGCAAAAAGCCGAGACTCTCAAGAGCAAAGTAGCATTGCACAGGGGCAAAGAATGACAGGAAAGTCACAAGTGTTGGGTGATGCAGACCACACACTTGGGGCAGGAAGAAGAGTTGGTGGAGCCCACCAGAAGGGAGGAGGTGAAGACCAGTAAAGGCAGTACAGCCCTGCCCCCTACCCCTCCTGCCCTGTGCTCCAGCACAAGCCCAGCTCTGTGACCCTCTTAACATAACACCCTCTCTGAACAGAGCAAGAGCCTCTCCCTCAGGCTGCAGGTACAGTGCCTGTCTGCTAGGCGAGACCCACCACCTTCAGAGATGCCACTTACCCAGGACACCCTAGGCTGTAGTGATGGCCTTTTCATCAAGATTATCCAATCTTTATCCCAGGACTAAGCCAGACCTCCAGAAATGTACATACCTGGACCCAATTCTCTGCCTCTCAAGACGACGCCACAAAGCTTTTCAGACTTAGATTTTCCACTAAGGATTGTTGAAAGAAACAGCCACATGGAATAATTGTTATTGTGGCCATTTTTTTAAAAAAACCAGGGATGTTATTGATAATTTTGCATCCTATGCATATATACCTTTCTAAAGCACGGGGCCAAGGAATGTGATTTTTCCTGAAAAGCAGCAAGATCCACTGTGACCAGACTGTGAATTGTGCAAACTGGAGTTTTCCTATTTTGTCCTGACTTAGACAAGCCAAGGAAGCTCAGAGTCAAGGCCTCAATCAGTTTCTAAGCTTCTGTGTATGTTATCTTCCATCCCTCAACTCTCAACAGAGGTTTTTCTTTATACCCTCCACCATCTTCACTCCTTTATATTTCATGCTCCCTGATTTCATTCTTAATGTGGCTGGTTTTTTTTTTTTTAACTCTGAGCCAACTTTAAAACAATTTCAAAATTGGGAGAGCTATTCATAACCAAATTTAAAACTAGTGAAATGTGTTTTGATAGAAAAATGCCTGGAGTCCTGCCCCTTTGGCATTTTTGCACACTCCACATTCACACGTTGTAGGTAGAGGTAGGTGTGACCACCTTTCCCAAGGCACACAACATTCTCAGCTGAGCAAATGAGTTCTGTGATGTAGTCAGCAATTCCAGCTTCGGAAATTCCACAATGGTATGAAAGAAAATAGTTTTGCTCTTATAAGAAAGAGGTTTCAAGCCACAAATGAGTCATGGGCTACCTCTATCTCCTACTGCTCTTTTTCATAAAACCGAAAACTTCCCCTTCCCCCCAAGCCAAACCCTCACCTCTCCTTGTCACCTCTTAGTCCTAGAGAATCACAAGTCTGAAATCACCCTGAAGTTCTTCCTTACCCCCATGTTCAAAGACACACAGAACCTACAACAGAACCTATCTTCCTAGTGTGTCTTTCATTCATGTTTTTCTTCCCTCATTCAATATGAACCCTGCATCGTCAGACCTCTGTCCTCTCTGCAGACTTTCCCTGAGCCAGGCTCCCTCCCCACTCTGCTGCCTGGTCTTTCTGGTCCTGGGGCTTGTTCTGCCCTCCTGAGGCCTTCCCTGTCCACTCAACCTCGCACATCACCAGCCCCTCTATCTGACTCTTCACCCCACTATCCTGATGATTCTTCATGATGCTGTTCCTCTCTAACAATATTCATTTTTTTTCCTCTTAACTGTCTCTCTTCCCCACTAGAAAGTAGGTGCCATTAGAAAAAGCATTGCACCTGCCCTGTTCTTTTGCTGTATTTCTTGAGATACTTGAGAATACTTAAGGGACTGAATGAATGAATGAATAACTCACTTTACCCAAGTCTGTCAGCATCATTCCGCTGGGCGCTTGCAATAGCTCTCATTCTCTGCCTCTGAGTCCTCCCATTTTACTTTACCTTATATAAGAGCTTGACTAATTTTCCTGGAATACTTATTACCTTTTAACATCTTTGAAAAGTTTTCCATTCAAAGCACAGAACAAAGTCCAAGCTGCAGAGCATGCTTTTGACTATTGCTTTCATCTGGCTTCTATCTATGTTTCTAGCATTGCCTCCCTGGAAACTAACTCCACTCCATCTTAACATTTCAGCTTCAGTTGCAACCAGGCATGCCCCCCAATTCCAGGTCCTTTCTCATGCCATTCTCCCTTCATTTAATTCCTTCTTCCTATTTTCAGGTGAGAGGTATTCCCATGAAGAATGAAAATATTCTTCAGAGTCAGTTAGCTTTGGATTCAGATCCTGACCCACTATTTACTACGCATGGGCTCTTATTTTTTCCCCCTCTTTGATGACATGTGAAGATGAAATAAGAAAATATGCATCAAACACATGGCAACATTTTAGTTTCCTTACCTACATCTTCCATTTTCTACAGTCCTTCTTGTAAGAGCTGCTTCCAGTCTGTGTATCTCCCAGAAGGCATTCCTAACTGCCTGTGATTATGTCTTTAGTAAATTTTCTTCCATGTTCCATGTCTGCACACATCATAGGTAACTTAAATTTACTTGACAATGTTATCTAACTCTCTGTATCTATATCATCCCTTCCCAACTAAATTTTATCCTCATAAAGGACAGGGAACCTGTCTTCCATTACGTTTCTTTTTAGCTTGCCCTCCAGAAGGTTCTGAATAAATGTTTAATACTTTTGTTCATTCATTCATTTATTTGATAATAAATACTTGTTATGTGGAAGGTGAGATGCTCAGCCTTGTAGAGGGGGATGCATATGAAGCAAAAGAGAGATTTTTTTTCTTCAAGAACTTACAATCTTTTTGGCTTTAATCCACAGTAAAAAGTGCATTATATAGTGATTTTGTTTCTCCACTATGCTGGGAACTATGCCAGCACCAACGATGCTGGTGAACAAAGATATACATAGTCTATGCCTTAAATTCTTACAGACCAGATAGTAAGAGAGAAACTGTATCAAAGGAGAGATTAATTCAAATTTAATAGACATTTAGGATAGAAATAAGTGAAAAGGATAAAGATAATATAAAACAAAAGTGTAAGAAAACATTTCTTACTGGATTTTCAGTTTGAAAAAGAAAGATCAGATTTGCTATTCTGAAATATCCTGAGTTGGCAATTATCTGGTTAACTTCCACAGTTTAATATAGAGTTCCTCTGGGAGGAGAGCACCCTGCCATTTCATATTGGCCCCTGTAGATCTTCTCTTTCAGATCATTTCCTGTTTTGTCCAACTTCACTGGGTTTGAGGCTACTGAATGAGAATCAAGTCCAGTGATGACTCAGTACTGTGTTCACTCACCTAATCTAGGAAAGGCAAGAGACAGAGGTGGGAGGGACCTTTTCTTCCTCTTTTCCCATTGTGCTTTTGAATCAATGTGTTGTAGTCAGGGATAATCACAATTATGCTTGGAAATTTTCAAAGAAAAAGTTTGTTAATTGACTTAAAGCAAGGTTAATCAACCAGACGGGAGTGACCTCTTTGGGGCCTTCTCTCTATTCCAGAGAGAAGTGGTGTGGTGAGTGTAGTCTCCCTCCTCCTGCATGGCCTTCTCAAACCTTGACTCCATCTTGGGGTGCAAGCTCTCAATGGAAATTCACAGGTTGTCTGTTTAGTTCTTCATCATATGGTGCAATAACACACATGGTGGATTATATAACCTATTTTTTTTGTGGGTGGGGAGGGCAGTCCCATTACCAGAACAAGTCCCCCCAGTGGAAGGCAGAAGAAGAAGGGGAGGGAGATGGGCATTTTCAGAGCCTGAGGTGTGCCAGGAAATGTACGTTGGCTTACCGGTTCCCATGAGAACCTTGTGAAATGGTGATCTCTGTTCACATCTTCAGATGAGGAGTTTGAGACAGTGAGTGGAAGGTCTGGGTGGTGGCCTGCTGTACTATCCTGACTCCACAGAGAGATAAAACTGCCAGGTACAAATGAAAAACAGAAATCCTGCAACTCCCTGCCATCCAACTACCGATTGTTTAAAATCCAGGAAGTGCAGGGTTATCTATGGGGTAGGGTTAGGTGGAGATGGAAAGCTGAGATGGTTCCTGAACACTTCTGTTTGGTTCACTCTATTTGCCATCAGAGGCAGTCGGACTCCACCGTGGTTTTTCTTTTTTCAAAGAATTTCTGGCCCCTTCAAATTCAGGAAGTTATGGAAATCAGGCAACAAAGTATAATCATGACATTTTCTACCCAAATAGGCACTGAAAGTTCAAAGTTTCCAGATAAGCATTCAGCTTCTTGATACTTATCTAACCTTAAACTTCAAGCATCCTGATGTTCATTAGATTCAAAACCAGAGAAAGTCAGATATCTCTTTTGTAAAAGAGTGTTTTCTACCATCATTGCTGCTATAATTTAGGAAGAGGGTGCTGAGTATTCTAACTTTATAGTTAGTCATGCCAGTAACAAATATTGTCCATAATATGCTACTAGGAGGGAAAAAGTCAAAATCCCATCAGTAAAAGATTGACTTATAAACAGAACAGGGTGTCCTAGTTATCTGAATACCCACAGATAGAGATCTCTCCCACACTGAGGCCTGCCCATAAACAAGGGCTGCATCCAGGCACGCATCACATGTAGAAAAAGCTGACACATGCTTATAAAGCACAGTGATTGATTCACAAAGATGTGTCCATTCTGGAAAAAAAATAAGGCCCAACTCAATAAAGAATGAAAAAAAAGTTCCACCATCTATTTGTATCATATTTTGTACTTTTCAAAACACTCTCACTCTCATGATCTTACTTGATCTTCCTAATTATCAGGGATATAGGTAGAGTCATTATCATTGCCATGACACAGCCAGAGAATTTTGAGGCTCATACACATTAAGTGGCAGTGATGAGGATCTGCAAGAAGTAGCCCAGGGCTGTTGCTGGGATCCAGGCTCATGCTTTCCTAACTGTGATCTCTATGTGTTAATACTGAAAGAGAAGCATGGAGACAGCAGAGGATGAGCTCATGACCACCATTTATTTTCGGCTTCCTGGAAAAAGAATTGAGCTTTAAGCTACCACCCTCTTCTATTCCTGCTTTGGCCATTTAATACTTATGGGATCTTGAGGCGGAATACTGTAAAATGGAAGGTTTGTGATGATTAAATAAAATAAATATATTAGGTACTTACTATGAATGAAATTTTACTATGTTAGATTTCATCTTTAGTTCCTTCCCTCTAAAGATTTACCAGAACTAAGTAATCCTATTTCTATAAACTGTACCAGCAAGTCAGTCCAGCTACTTCTCTTTCATCCTAGAGATTCCATGGGATGCCACCACTTCTCCTAAACTCTGTTATCTCATGTATTAACTGGCTGAAGATACAGAACTAAAAAGATACAGTCCCTTCCTCAGTGGGGATCAATGCTTATGGTTTCTTTCTTCCTTTTTCTTCTTTCTTTCTTTCTTTCTTTTTTTTTTGACTCTATCAATCAGGTAGGGATGAGCAAACTATGGCAATGGACCACATTTGGGCTAGTCCCTGTTA
This sequence comes from Homo sapiens, assembly GCF_000001405.40. Lineage (NCBI taxonomy): Eukaryota > Metazoa > Chordata > Mammalia > Primates > Hominidae > Homo > Homo sapiens. The sequence continues at coordinate 50,260,851 of NC_000007.14, read as the reverse complement.
GTATTCAATTGTGAACTAAGAATGGTTTTTACATTTTTTTAAATGGTTGCAAAAACCTCAAAACAAGCATACTATTTCCTGACATGTAGAAATTATAGAAAACTCAAATTTCGGTGCTCATAAATAAAACTTCTTGGACATACAGTCATATGCATTCATACTCAATGTCTATGTCTTTTTCATGCTATAATTGCGGAGTTGAGTAGCTGCTACAGAGATTTTATGGCTCAGAAAGCCTGAACTATTTACTATTTGGTCCTGTGAAGAAATGTTTCTTGATTTCTATTCTATGTACCATTCTACATTGTACTGCAAGAGTGTCCAATGCCCTGTATAGTGTTAGCACAAAATATATGCCCTTTCTTCTGCTCTCTTTAGCTTTAGTTTGCTTTTTCTAGTATCTGAAAGCCGAAAGCTGAAAGCCTCAGTTGTTGCTCTAAGACATTGTTATTTTCTGGTATGCATGTTAAAGATGTAAATTTCCCTGTAAGCTCTATTTGAACTGTGTCCTATAAATTTTGGTATGTTGTGTTTTCATTTTAATTCCATTTAAAATATTTTACAATTTCCCACATGATTTTTTTCCTTTGACCCACTGGTTAATTTGGTAACGTGCTGCTTAATTTCCAATTACTTGGGGTTTTTCTAGATTTCTTCCTATTGTGGATCTCTCATTTAATTCCATTATGGTAGAGAATATATTTTATATGACTTCAGTCTCTTAGATTTATTGAGAATATTTTGTGACCCAGCATATGATTTATTTGATGAAGACTGTTCCACATTCAGTTGAGAAGAATATGTCAGTGGGTGGAGTGTTCTACAAAAGTCAGTTAAGTTGAGCTGGGGGAGATGTTGTTCAAGTCTTCTATATTCCTGCTATTTTCTGACTAGTTGTTCTGTCAGTTATTGAAGAGGGTATTACAGTTTTCAACTATTATTGATGAAATACATATTTCTCCTTTCAATTCAGTTTTTGCTTCATGTATTTTTTGGCTGTTTTTAAGTGCATATGCACTTAAATTATATATCTTCCTGATGTGTTGACCCTTTTGTCATTGTGAAGTGTCTGTCATTGTCTCCTATAATTTTTTTTGTCTTAAAGTCTATTTTACCTGCTATTTGTACAGCCATTCCTGTTCTCTCATGGTTATTGTTTGCATGGTATATCTTTCTTGTCTTTTTAATTTCAACAATTGTATCTTTAAATCTAAGCTGTATTTCCTGGTGATAGCGTATTGAATTGTCCCTCAGTTTTTGTGGGGAATTGCTTCAGGACCAACTGTGACTACTAAAATCTGTAGATGTTCAGTCCCTGATATAAAGTGGTGAAGTATTTGTCTATAACTTATGCACATCCTCCTGTATAATTTAAATTATCTTTAGATTACTTGCAATATCTAACACCTTGTAAATGCTATTGTTATATTGTATTGTTTAGGAAATAATAAAAAGAAAAAGGTCTATACACATTCACTACAGACACAGTTTAAAAAAAATTTTTTTATCCACAGTTGGTTGAATCCACTGATGTGAAACTCACATATACCAAGGGCCAACTGCAGGTAGGTCTTACTTTTCTATCCAGTCTGACAATCTATAGTTTTTGAATGGGGTGTTTAGTGTATTTACATTTAATATAATTATTAATATGGATGAATTTATGATTATCGGTTTTTAAAATCTGTTTTCCATTTGTCTCATGTCTTTTATTGTTCTTCTGGTCCTCCTTTGCTGCTTTTTTAATGTTAAGTAAATATTTTTAGTGCAGTATATGAATTCATTTTTTACTATATTAAAAAAATTTTTCTTAGTAGTCGTGTTAGAGATTTCAATACAAAACTTATTAACATCAACTTTAGAGAGAAATTTTCCTCCTTTTCCTTACCACTCCTTTGAGCTGTAATTGCCATATATATTATGTCTGCAGAGGTAATTAATGTAAGAATACAGCATTATAATTATTATTTTACACAATCCTGTGTTTTTTAAAGTTAAGGAAAGGAATGAGAAAAGTATCTTTATAGAGTGTTTTCTATTTATCCACATATTTATCATTTCTAGTGCTCATTTTTGTGATCCCGTGGAGTTTAGTTACCTCCTGGTGCAACTTCCTTTTAGCCTGAAGTATTTCTTATAAAGCAGATCTGCTACAAACATATGCTTTCAGTATTTGTTTACCTAGGAATGTTTTCATTTCTCCTTCATTCCTGATGGATAGTTTTACTGGATGTATAATTATTGTTTGGTAGTCTTCTTTTAGCAGTTTGAATAAGTGATTCCATTGCCTTCTGGCCTCCATTGTTTCCTATGAGAAGACAGCATTAATTATATTGTTTGTACCTGATGGCTGTTTTTTCTCTTGAAGCTTTCAAGATTTTCTCTTCGTGTTTAAAATTTATCTAAGATGTGTCTAGGTGTGGATCTCTTAGTGTTTGTCCAAATTGGTGTCAGTAAGCTTCTTGGATCTGTAGATTATTATTTTTTTTAATCAAATTTGGGAAGTTTTCAGTCGCTATTTTTTCAAATAATTTTTATTTTCTTTTTGCTCTCTCTTATTCTTCTGGGGTTTCCCATTACACATATATTGATAGACTTGATATTGAACCATGGGTTTCTGAGGCTTTGTTCATTTTTATTAAATCATTTCTCTTTGTTTTTCATATTAAATAATTTATATTGATATATATTTTTAATGTTACTGAATCTTCCTTCTGCCATCTCAAATACGTAGACGAGCTCTTTAGAGAATTTTTCATTTCAGTTTTATTCTTTTAAACTCCAGGATTTCCACTGGGTTCTTTAGAAAGAATTTAAATTTCTTTATTGAGACTCTCCATTTGTTAAATCTATTGGCCAAGTTGCATGTTTATTTCTAACAATATCTTGAAGGTAGGGTTTAGGCCTAATTAAATTTTGTGTCTAGTTAAATTGACTTATTCTAAAAAATTGGTTATATCAGTAAAAAACAGGTCTTACACAGTTGAAAATTAAATAAAAAATGTGAAGTGAAAAGTAGAAGAAAGAAACTGTACTATCTTTCTAAGTATAGGGACAAAAGTAAAAAAGATGAAAGAGAAGATGGTTGTTATGAAGGATTGAGACAAAAGACTAACCCAGCATTATAGGTATTCCACAAGAAGAAAACAAGCAAATTAGAATTGAAGCAATAAATAAAATCAAGACTGATTAAAACATTCCTGAGCTAATAACAAAGTGCCCTGAAATCGAAGCAAAATAAGTGATAAGGAGTGCACTAGAACTGCCTTGGCAACATTTTTCAAATACAAAGATAATAGTAACAAAAAATCTGTTATAAGCTTCAAGAAAAAAGTGAGGAAATTGATTATACACAAATGCATAATAACTATCATCATCATCATCTCACAGCTTTCCTCTGTAACAGTACTTCTGGGAAGAAAAGGCAGAAACAGCATCTACGGGGATTTTAGTACAAAATGTTTGGCTCAGGAATGTGATACACCACCAAATTTCTGTTCTAATATAAGGGCTAGAAAAAAGCATTTTTCAGATATTCAAAGAAAATGTATCACTTATATTTAATAATGGCATAACTGCCATTATTAGATGCCAATAACTGCCATTATTAAATAACAGTGATATAAGTGGTACATTTTCTTTGAACATCTGAAAAACAGATTCAAGAAATGGATAAAAATTTAATCAATATAGAATAGGAAAGTTAAAATATCAAAGGATTAGAGGTAAAAATTAAGTATTTTAAGATTGGTTTCAAGTTGAATACAAGGTTAATGTCATTTCTGAAACTGAAAATAAAATAATTTAATAACAGTCATATAAATGAGCATTACTGCAGAGTAAATTCCTATCTTGTATATGAATTCTGACCTGTTTCCATGGCTACCTAGAAAGCAGAATTGTGAAGGATTCTGAGGCTATACCCGGCTCAAAGTGAAAGGGTGCTGTGATTGATTAGTGGTATTTCCTGTGGTCTATCTGTAAAGCCTGCCTCAGGTGCACAGGTATGAATGCTCATATGCCACTTTCATGGCACCCTGTATTTCCATAGCCTAGAAACACTTAAACACAATTGATAATCTAGACTAAAACTTATATCTAGAGTTTATAAATAGTTAAAATATGAAGCGACATAATTGATATACAAAAACTAAATAATAATTTATCTTATACATATATAAAATACCAGAAAAATATAAAATATAATATATGATGGATTTTCAAGATGGGGATTTCATTTGCCAATGGTTAAAACCAGTACTACATATCTTTTTAATGAAAAGATATGTTGAAACATTTTGAGTGGCATCCACAGGATACAAGTTCCCTGAGATATTAACTGATCTATTAAAAATGAAGGTTTTCAGAACAAATAACCTTGTGAAATGCTACACATCAAGTCAGTATCATGGATATTGATGGTACATATTAGAATATTATTGTCTCTAAGAACTTCCATGCTAAAAACCATAACAGGTAACTATAACCCTTTACCAAACTTACCAAATATAAAACTGATAATATGCTTGGATGCCAGTAGATTGTGATGTCACTTACGCATATTATAATACCCAGGGCCACCGCTAAGAAAACCATACCAATAAATATAAACACTATAAGTAAATCAGGATGACAAAATTTAGAAGTAGAGGCTAGATCTACGTTTCCAGGGGTTAGGAGTGGAATGGGGTGGGCAGAAGGACAAGGTGGAAGGTGCTATGAAAGCACAGCCTGAGGGATCCTCGTGGTGATGGAATGCCTCTTTACCTTGACTGCTATGGTGGATACATGGACCTACACATGGAATAAAATTGATACAACTAGATACACAAGCACACCCTCAAGTATGAGTGAAATGGAGGAAATCTGAATAAGATCAGTGGATTGTGTCAATGTCAATGTCAATGGTTGTGATATTGTTCTGTAGTTTTGCAAGATGTTAGCATAAGGAGACAGGGTCCATTATTTCTTGCAACTGCATGTGAATGTACAATTATCTCAAAAGTTTAAAAGTTTAACCATTAAGTAAATGGAGGGAAAAATGGAAGGAATTTTTTTAAAGTTTAATTAGGACAGAATAAAAAAAAAGGAAGGAAAAAATGAAGCTCAGAACAAGTGCAACAAATAGAAAATGAATTGCAAGATAGTAGATTTAAATCTAAATATAAAAGTAGTGATAATGAAAATTGATAATATTTCAAATAAAAGGACTATGATTGTCAGTCTGAATTTAAAGTTTAAAAAAATAAGATTTATACCTTAGGTATAAGGACACAGAGAGCTTGGAAGTTATTTCTTTGAAAAAGCCAATCAGATTGGTAAATCTCTGGCCAGACAGATAAAAGAATAATGAGAAACACATACATTATCAACATTAGGGATAAAAAGGGGACATTTATAAAGAAGCTATGGACATTAAAAAGCTAATATTAGGATATTATTAAAAGCTTTATGTCAATAAATTTGACAATTCAGATAAAATGTCAAAATCCCTGGAAAATACAACTTTCTAAAATTGACACAATAAGAAATTGAATATTTGAATAATCCTCTATCTAATGAAGATATTGAATCTGTCATGAAATTCTTCCGCTAAAGAGAACTCCTTTCTAATTGGCCTTATTGGTGACTTTTTCCAAACACTTCCAAACAATAGAAAAATAAGAACCTTTCAATTTATTTTTATAATGCTAGCATACCCTGGATATAAAACCTTCAAAGAACATCACAATAAAGGAAAATTAGAAGCCAAATTATTTTCATGAACACAGATACAAAACCCCTAATCAAAATATTAACAAAATCCAGTAATATAATAAACAGCAATACAGACAACTAAAATGGGATTACTCCAAAAAGTCAAATTTTGCTTAATATTGGAACATTAACCAATGTAATTTTCCACATTTACAGATTAAGGAGAAACATCTTATGATTATCTCCATAAATGAAGAAAAAGCATGAGATACAATTGAATACCGATTCATGATAAAAATTCTTAGGAAACTAGGAATCTTTTTTTTTTTTTTTTTTTGAGATGGAGTCTCGCTCTCGCCCAGGCCGGAGTGCAGTGGCACTATCTCGGCTCACTGCAAGCTCCGCCTCCCAGGTTCAGGCCATTCTCTTGCCTCAGCCTCCCTAGTAGATGGGACTACAGGTGCCCGCCACCACGCCTGGCTAATTTTTTGTATTTTTAGTAGAGATGGGGTTTCACCGTGTTAGCCAGGATGGTCTCGATCTCCTGACCTCGTGATCTGCCCGTCTTGGCCTCCGAAAGTGCTGGGATTACAGGCGTGAGCCACCGCGCCCGGCCAGGAATCCTTTCTTGATCTTATAAAGAAAATTCACAAATACAAAACAGAAGGAAAAGAAAATAAACAAAATCCTATGGCAGCTTCCGCTATGGCTGTGTTAGCTCCTGCTGGACCAAACCTCCCAGAGACCAGCTAAAAACCCTGGACAAAACACAAAAATATAACCTGAAGGCACCGGGGTGAATGAACATAGGCAGATGCCACAGTGGAGTTGATACTCGGAAGAAGACACAATATAGGGTAAGTGTTGTCCTTTTTCTTGGTAGGCTTTTAGCTTGCAACAAGACCTGGATGTGTGCCATGCAGCCTGATGTGAGGTGTCTGGGCCAACTGGGATTAAAGAGGCATCAGTGCAGGAGAGGGAGATTGGTTATGGCCAAGGAGATTAATCAAATAAATATTAAGAATAATGAGAGCTAGTTTCTTATTGTTGGAGAAGGATGTTAGAAATATAAAGGAACCAAACTAAAACTATGGTTCTGAATTGAAATCGAAGCTATCTGTAGATTTGTCCATATTATCACCTATGTGTAGGTATTTATACAATGATATGCCCTAGCTCTGTCTCCAAGAAATAGTAGAAACAGCAACATTCAATAGCAATGAGTACACCTAGATCCAGCTCTTGGTTTTGCAATACCATTTCCACCAAATGGGAACCATGGATCTTTGGAATAATGGTTGATTTCAAAGCTAGAACAGAGAAAATATGACATGAGCTTGGAATAGTTTGCTGTGATAAAGTAAGAAAGTTGTTAAGGTTTGAAAAGGAACACATTAAAAGGACACAGAAGAAAACTTGAAGAGGGTCCCACTGTTCAAATCTAGAAGAATTTAAACATTAAAATACATCAGTATAGTAATGGATTGTAATCCACTGAATTTAATAGGGAACCAATAGTTCATAGTGATATAGACAATAAATAAGTGAACAAATTATAACTTTAATGAGGCATGGGATATTTGCATAGTCTCTCAAAGCAGCTACCCATAAAACCCTCAATTAAAAAGGAAAAAAACAATTTTACAGTGAAGAAACATGACACTTACCACTTTAAGCAATCAAAGTCAACATCACTAGTAATGAAACAAATCGAAACTGTGTTTCACTTGATAGGACACAGCAAGACAAATCACAGCACAGCAAATCATGAGGAGACACCAGGCAAATCCAAATTGGGAGAAATTCCTAAAACACCTGGCCTGTATTCTTCAAACCTGTCAAGAACATGAAAGTCAAGGAGATACTGAGTAACTTTTTCAGGTTGAAGAAGACTAAAGAGAAATTATAACTAAAAGCAATGCATGTTTCTAAACTTGATCCCTTTGCTATAAAGGATATTTTGGACCAAATGACGATACTTGAATTGGGTTTGTGGATTGAATGGCAGTCATATAACAATTTTAGTTTTGTATTTTGATAGACTTATGGAATATGTTTTTGGGTAATTTATTTGTTTTTAGAAAATGTACTCTAGTTTGGGATAGATTGAGCATTATGTCCACAACCTGCCATCAATGATTTGAAGGTACAAACTTTTTAGTAGTGTTCTTGAAACTTATCTCTAAATTTGAGATTGTTTCCAGAAAACATTACTGTAAAAAGAAAGAATATGATCAATTTGGAAAAGTGCACATGGGTCTATATGTTTGTAATGTAAGATACATGAAGAAATAAATATAAGGTACATATTAGGTTTTGAAAAAATAGTGGGAGGTAAAGCTAGAGCTGTATTACAAAGAACCAAATGATTCTTATGTTTGACATTTTAGGATTTTATGGAAAGGAATGTCATGATCTTTCCATAAAGGATGGCATTTTAGAAAACAGCATTCCTGTAGCTTAACAGAAGATAGAAGGAAGAGGGTGGAGACACTTTAAACAGACAGAGTGACTATTTACAAAGCAAGTTAGAGGCAGACCGGGACTCAGGAAGAGATGCTTCAGATTTTGTGTCCATTGCATACATATTACAATTACAAGCCAGCAAGAACGGTTGGAGGGAATGGGTTAATTCTAAACCAAATTGTAATGGGACAAGGAACAACTGGGAGATAAAGAGTGGCAGATTTGGCAATCATGTATCATAATAGACACCTTGGATTTTTAGTTTTTTAATATACCCAGATCATTCCTAAATCATTCAGAGAAGCACAGCTCTATTGCCAAACATGCAAGGCTGTCCTACTGCCTCAGGCCGGCATGTCACCAGGCAGGCAGAACTGAAGCTGAGAGCCTATGGTTGGGACATTCTGACAAGAGTTGGGGAAAGAATGTTTCAGGTATCTGGTGGTACTTGTGACATTTGTGGGAGGTCTTGGGACCATACCAGCGAGGGCTCAGGATGGCAGATGTTTAATGCCACTCCATAGAGGCAGGTTCTGGAGAGGAGAGATGTGCATCGGAGTCTAGGGAACAGAGCTGAGGTTGGATGTCAACAGCAAACCATTGGGAGGGTCTTAGCAGACAAAGAAGGGAGAGCACATGAGGGCCAGTGACAGTGCAGTCAGAGGTGAGATGATATGCAAGCTGGTCCAATGGACACACCCCCCAACCTGTTATGTGGCTGCCCCTCCTGCTCTCTGTGGCGTCCTGAGCTAATCAGGCAGGAATGGAGACAGGCTGAGCAGAAACAGAGCTTCTCTGTTCCAAGAATGTCCTGGGCCTTTCAGAGGCATTATTGTGCTTAATACTTGCACTAGCCCACCAGGTGGTTATTTAGACTTCATTTATACATAGTAAACCTGAGGCTAGGCGCAGAAGCACAGTACTTAATTCAGTGGGAATCCAATGCTGTCTGACTCCAAAGCCCTAGAACTTGCTTCTGCAGCCCTGGCACTTGGCTCAGATCTACTTACAAGCAAGAAAGCTTGTAGAGTGATGCCCAGGACAATGGCAGAATATGTTCCTTCCATAAAGCTGTCAGAATTATAAAATTCAAGATGATGGAGAATCTTCGTATTTTTACCAGTAATCAATGGTGTATCCTAGAATTTTAGAATTCCAGGACTGGCTGAACTTAGTTGCCAATTTATCATTTTTATTTTTAACTGGTTTGCAAATTGTAGCACACGTAATTGAGGCAACTTCACAATGAGGACATTGGATATTAAAGCTCATGGAGGATCTATTAACTTTTTTTTATTATACTTTAAGTTTTAGGGTACATGTGCACAAGCTGAATGAAATGAAGTTTTAGTTACTTCCTATCAATGCTGTTCTCTCTCCTTCATGAATCTATTGCTTCACAGAAAATGTCTTAAAAGACAGAAAACAAAACAACAATAACGAAAAAACACAACCCCTGTCATCTGTTTTAAAACAGTTCTTATAATAATGATAGTTTACAAACTTGTGTGACTTTCAGATCATAATAAAGCATAATAAGTACTGACTATGCTTGTAATAGTTTAACAATTTAAAAATCATTTTAGTGACTATTTTATCATCATCTAAAATATAATCTCTCACTATGGCTACAAAAATAGATGGCAGCTGGTTTGCACATTACTATGATTTTGTGATATTGTTATTTGAATTAATTTGATCATCAGAGTTTTGGACACTGAATGGATTTTAGGTGCACTAAATGAATACATTGAAAATATAGTCAGTGTGACTGGTTTTGCTTTAACTTGAGGGACTTTGATTTGCACTTAAAACCACTTGGCTTCTTCACTCTTTTGTTGGACTTGCTTTTCATGGTCAAGGAACACCCTTTGTAACACTGGTTACACAACCGCCCTCCTGTGTGTTAGGCACAGAAAGTACTCACTACTCCTCTGTCCCACAATGTCCTAGGCACTTGATATTGTCAATCTTTAAGCTTCTTGCCACTGTAATATAATTGTGGCTTTGATTGGAATTCCCCTGCTTACTAATGAGATTGAGCATCTTTTTCATATTTTATTTTTCTCTTGCATGAAGTACCCATTGAAGTAATTTGTTCACTTCTCCATCGAATTGTCTTTTTTGTATCTATATATTGGGACTCTTTTATATGTTTTAAAAAATACTTGCTCAGTGATCTGTGTTGTAAATATTTTATTCCGATGTGTATCATCTTTTCACGTCTTCATTGTACCTCAATTTTCAGACCAATTGGTTAATCATTTCTGCGAATGTGTTTTTCGACTCTTTAAGAAAGTTTTCCCTATACATGGTAATAGTCTACTACATTGCCTTTCAAAACTTTTATAGTTTTGCTTTTAACATTTATGTCATAAATTTACCTTGAAACGATTTTAGTGTATTATGTGAGATAGGAATCCTAGTTCATTTTCTTCCCTATGTAAAAGTAATTGTTGCTGTCCATTTTCCCATGTTCTTCAATGCTAGCTGTCATAACTGGGTTTCTATTTTTTTGTTAAGTCTGTTTCTGGGTACTCTATTCTGTAAGTATATTTGTTTATCTCTATACAAATAAAACATATCTCAATGATCATATTTTTATAGTATGTCTTGATATGTGATAATGTCCATCCTTCCAATGTATTCTTCCCTTCAGCAATGCTCATTTTTGACTGTTGGCTCTTACATATAAATTTTAGAGCTAGCTTGATGTAACCAATTACCTGCTGGAAATTTGGATTTTTCTTGAATAGAAGGATGAATTTGAAGATAATTAACATCTTAATATATTAAGTCTTCCTATACAGATATCTAATTTTTTTGTTTAGGTCTTCTAAATTTGTACATCTATTAATATTATGTTTATTCCTAGGTAATTACAATTTTGGTTTCTATTGTAAATTTCATATTACTTAATATTAAATTTCCACACTGTAAATACTTTTGGCTGAGGTATACAAATGCAATTAACTTTTCTCTATTTATTTTGTATCACACATTCTTTTAAAATTCCATTATTTAATTCTAATAATTCATCAGCAGATTCATTTGGATTTTCTACAGAACATCATATTATCTGCAAATAATTATGGCTTTGTTCTATTCATTTAAGATGTCATTCTCTTATTTTGACATCTTACATGTCATTTAGATGTTCTAGTCATTTACGAGCCATTCTCTTATTTTGTATCCTCTTCTTGTATTTGATTACTGGCTACAGTCTCAGATATAATGTTGAAGGAAAGTGTGATATTAGGAATCGTCATCATGCAACTCATTTTAAACGGGAGGCTTTTAACAGCCCACCATTAAATACGATGTTTTTCCTAGGATTTTATACGATGTTTTTCCTAGGATTTTAGTAGCCTCCTTCTATCAGTTTAAGTAAGTTTTCTTAATTTCCTACTATTCTGAGCAATACTTTCATGAATAATGAATGCTATTAAGTCGCTTTTTCTCATTTTCCCCATTTATGTATAAATATTTTTATCTATCAATGAGTTTTCTGATGCTAAACCATGTAGTTATAAGATGAAACCCTACATAGCCATAACATTCTATACATGTTAGATTTCATGCTGATGTTCTTTCTCTTGTTCTTTGCAGATGAATGAGATTGGCCTATGCTTTTTTTTTTTTCACCTGTTTATTCTTATCTGGTTTTAGTATTTGGAGCAAATTAACTTCATAAACTCAACTAAATAGTATTCTTTTCCTCTGTACTCTAAAAAAGTTTGTATAAGGTTAGAATTTTTTGAATAAATTGTGCAGGAATTTACTTGTACAATTATCAGGCATGATATTTTCTTTTCTCAAAAGATTTTATGCTACTGATTCAACAGATTTAAGGGATGTTGGACTGTTTGATTTTTTTTTAACTCTCCTTGAGTTATTCGTTAAGTTATTTTTTTTCTAGAAATTTGTTAATTCTAGTTTGGTTTACATATTAAATTGCCATCAGGTTGTACTCAGTATACTCATCTTTTTATTTCTTGAAGCATCTATAGTTTGAATTTATTTTCCTTTTCAGAAGTTGCTTCTGTGCATTCTCTTCATAACGTGAAAATTTTCATTAGAGATTTCTTAATTTCATGAGATTTAAAATAAACCTGTTGTTTTGTTTTTCTAATCTGTCATATTTTAGTTCTGTATTTTATTAACTTCTGTTTTTATCTTTACCATTTTGCCCTGTGTACTGTCTTTGGGTTTATTCTCTGCAATTAAAATAGGGTGATTCCCTTTCTCTCTCCCTCTCTCTTTCTCTTTCTCGCTTTCTTTTTTTCTTTCCTTTCTTTCTTCTTTCTTTCTTTCTCTTTCTTTTTTTCTTTCTTTCTTTCCTTCTCCTTCCTCTTCCTCTTCTCCTTCCCTTCCCTTCTCTTCCCTTCCCTTGCCTTCCCTTGCCTTCCTTCCCTTCCCTTCCTGCCTCCCTCCCTCCTTTCTTTCTTCTTTTCTTTCCTTCCTCCCTTCCTTCCTTCTCTCTCTCTCTTTCTTTCTTTTTTTCTTTCTTTCTTTCTTTCTTTCTTTCTTTCTTTCTTTCTTTCTTTCTTTCTTTTTTCCTTCTTTCTTTCTCTCTCTCTCTTTCTTTCTTTCTTTCTCTCCTCTTTCTTTTCTTTCTTGGTTTTACTTCTATACATTTTCTATTAAGTGCTATTTTAGGTAAATCCTATGTGATTTTTTTCCAATTTTTTATTACAATAAAATGCACAGAATATAAAACTTACTGCCTTACCTTTTTTAAAAGTATACAGTAGTTCAGTGGTATTAAGTGCATTAACATTGTTGTGCAACCATCACCACCAACCATCCTCAGAATTTTTTTGATCTTGTAAAACTAAAACTCTGTCCCTATTAAACAACAGCTCTCCATTCTCCCCACTCCTCAGTCCATGGAATTCACTGCTCTACTTTCTGTCGCTAAAATTTTGAGTACTCTAACTACGTTATCTTTTTGTGACTAGTTTCTTTTACTTAGCAAAATATCCTTAAGATTCATCCATGTTGTAGTACATGTCAGAATTTCCTTCCTTTTGAAGGCTGAATAACATTTCATTGCATGTAAAGACCATGTGTTTATACCTTCACCTATGGATGGACATGGGTTACTCCTAAGTTTTAGCAATTGTGAATAGTGCTGCTATGGACATGGATGTACAGAGATCTCTTTGAGATTCTACTTTCAGTTCTTTTGAGTATAACCCAGAAGTAGGATTTCTAAATCATATGGTAATTCTATTTTTAATTTTTTTGAAGAACTGGCATATTGTTTTTCACAGTGGCTATACTACTTGACATTCCCACCAGCAAAAGAGTACCAAATCTTCACATCCTCACCAACACTTGCTATTATTATTATTTTTGATATTGGCCATCTTGATGGGTGTGATGTGCCTATGTGTTTTGATATGTAGTTTTTGAAGTAATGTTTATTTAACAATTTAATAATGTTCCAAAAGTTATATATTCTTCAATAGAGGAGTTATTTGGAAGTGTAATTTAAATTTCACAGGTTATATATATTTCAGTTATTTTTTAAATAAATTACATTCATGTCTGTACTTAAGATTTGCTTGTTTCTAACACCTAAAATTAAATGTTGTTATTATTTCTATTATTATTTTGTCATACAGTCAATAGTTATTTAGATTTACCCATCAGATTTACTAATGTATTTACTTATTATTTTTTCTTACAGGTTAGATTTTCCATCTGAGTTCATATTTCTTATTTAAAAAAACACCTTTAGAATTTCTCTTCAGTTGGTGTCTATAGATCCATTTTTGTTTATCTGAGAACATTTTCTATTTTTCCTCTGTATTCTAGAGTTTTACTAGATGTACAACTCTAGATAGATCTTTCTGCCAGCACCTCCGTGATATTATTCCATTGTCTTCTGGTTTCCATTACTGCTGTTGCAAAGTCAGCTGTCAGTGGAATTGCCATTTAATTTCAGGTTTTTGTCTTTTCTTTGACTAATTTTCAGATCTTTACTTTGTCTTTGGTGTTCTGAAACATCAGCACTTTGTATCTAGGTATGAATTTTATTTTATTTATTTTGTTTGAGATTATCTGGGCTACCTGAATGTTAAGAGAAACGTCTAATAATCAGCTCTTGAATATTTTCAACCATTACCACAAAAGATATTGTCCTATTTCTCTCCTACTAGACTCTGAATGAATGTTAAACCATCATAATCTATTTTCCATGTCTCTTAATAACCTCTCTTTATATTTAGCATCTCATTTTCTTTATGTGCATAGTCTAAATAATTTCTTAAGATTTAAGTATCAGATAAATAATTATTCAGCTATATATAATTTGTTTTCTATTGTACTTCAAATTGAAATACTTTAAGAAATTTTTAGAAGTTTGATATACTTTTATTTTCTAACATGCCTAATCATATTTTCATATCACTGGTTGTTACTCATGATACCCTATTTCCTTTTGCTTTTGATGTTCCTTTGACATTTATCTGTGGGAAAATTCTGGGAGAAATGAATTGAAATGGGTTTTCTTGGAAAGAATTTGTGTTTCCTTCTAGGAAATTATGGGTACTATTAATCTGAGACAGCTTGAATTCCTGGCTTTAAATTTTTCAGGCAATACAGATAGCCAGAATTTGAGTTTGAAAATGCATGTGAATGTCATCTAGGAACAATGAAATCTCAGTAGAGATATTTATCCTTTTACATAGTGTCATTGTCAAGGTAGGCAACTTTTACTTTTGTGTCCTTAAATGAGGTAATTTTGTTTCTAAATTGCCCTATCCTTCTGTCTTTTGACTTTAAGTAGACATCTCTTTGGTGCCCCAACTTGGGAAAGTACTAGGCTTATTTCTTGTTCCTTGTGCTCCAAGTGTAGACATGAAACCAGAAAGTTAACTTCAGTAGGATTCAACTGATGCTTCTGGGAAAAAGACAGCTTAAGTACTTGCTTATGTCATTGGATTCTTTTTTTAATTATTTATTTGATTTTGAGAAATACATTAAATATATTTTAAAATATGTTTTATATTGTATTTTGTTTGTTCCATGGGAGAGTATCTCAGGACATTCTACCATAATGCCAGAAATGGAATTCAGTTTTTAAAAGCAATTTTCATGGACCTCAAAAATTGAATATTTAATCACACTTCCAAGTTTATGATACACTATAACCATTAGTCCACCCCATTGTCATTGTTCTCCTCATGTAGACAATCAACATCATGTGTTCAACATGTATTTTGGAGGTGTTCTTTCAAAATGTGCATTGCTAACTGTGTGCATGGTAACAGGTGCATCACACACATGTTATAATCTCATTTTCTTTATTACTTTTTCGTAGTAAGTGCTATTTTTAAAGATTTCTCTGTGTCTGCCTATGTACATCTAATCTGTTTCTTCTAACTGTTAAGTAATGCTCCATTGCAAATACCCACCACATTTTACTGATCCATTCTTCTTGCATAAATTTCATTGTGGTATTCAACTGTATATTTTCTTGTGCCGCCATAGTGAAAGCTATAGGGAACATCTTGATACTCGTGCTGTTGAGAATTCCTGGGTTATATCTGGGGTATGATTATACTTAATTTAACTAATGGTACCAGATTGCTCTCTGCAATCACTAAAGTCAGTCTATACCTCCACAAGCCATGCAAGAGAGGATGTGCATTCCACATAATCTCCAAATGCTTTACTCTATCTTGCTTTCTAATTTTGTTACCTATAAGTCTTGTCCACGGTTCCTGCTACTGAACAGAAATATTTAGCTTTTGTATGCTCCATTGGCAGTTTTCTTTACTTAAGGTTTATGCTTTTGTTACCCTTCTAGATCACTAAGATACTGCTGTACATTTTTCTTAGTCAGACTTTGTTGTTTCTTCTTTTACATTTAAATCTTTAATTCAGCTCAATCTGGGCTATTCACTTAGTAGCCAAGAGTCACATGTAGCTACCAAACACTTGAAGGTAGCTAGTACAACTAAGAAACTAAATTTTAATTTTGTTTGGTTTTAATTACTTTAAACTTAAAAACTTAATCAGTGTAAAATCATACATAATGTATTGTTTTGAGTTTAACTATTGCACCATGTAAGATATTGCTTTATTGTGGTGTATGTGCTGGGCACATGCATTATTTCTGTTGGCAGACATAAACATTACCAATATAATTGGCATAAAACAATTTTTTTAGTCCAAATGATTTTTTCTATGTGCTGATGTAACATTGTAGATTGTTTATTTTAATATATTGCAAAAGCATCAAGACTTAGAGTGATGCCTAAGTAAATTATAATCAGTAATTACATTAAAAATTATATTATTATTTGATATAGTTTGTTTTTTTCAGTGTAAAAATAATATTAACAAATTTTTACATTTAAAATAAAATCACACTACTGCTACAGATTCAAATGCAGATGCAGATGTGTGTAATACAATGGGAAACATTTTTAAAAAGACAAAGATTGGAAAAAAGTATGTCACAAATTTCATAATAAATAACAATTACAAATTGTTGTATCAGTAAAAAAAGCAAGTTTTAAAGATAATAAGGTAGATAATATTAAGAGATGTTTTCAGCACATACATAGTGAATTTAATAAGATGCTTCCTCTCAATAGTCAAAAAAGCATTGACAATAATTAACTGAAATCAGAATTAAATGATCAACACAAAACTTTTAAATGATTTTCATCAGAAACTGGGCTTATAACTTTGGCTAGCTATAAACTGAATTAAATTATTGAACAGGGAAAATCATTTTTAGTCAGAAAGACGGCAAAAATCATGATTAATTTATGAAAAATTTGTTAGAAAGTTGTAAGAAAAAGACTAAAAAAGATATTTTACTGTAAGCAAAAGACCTGTAGCTAAGCCACAGAAAATTTGCCCATAAAGTGCAATACCTTTCTCACAATATCAAAGATTAACTGATTCAACATTTTAAAAACTGTCAGTACCTCTGGATGCATCTTGTGATATGAGATGCTACTCAACTAATGCTTTGAATATATTTTGTCTCAAAAAACTACCAAATTTATGTAGAAATACTATCAATTCACAATCTAAAAATTTAAACTTGTGATATAAATACTGTTGAATCTTTTGAATTTTTCAAAGAAGGATTTCAGATAGATATGAAAAAGTCAATTTCTATCACAACAGAGTATTCCAGCTATGTTAGGTCGAAAATCTGAATTCACTAGAATTTTAAAATGAGAGACTGATATTTCCTTTATTGCTTCATTCCACAGTATGTAAGTATTGAAAATACTTTTGTTTAGTTTCATGAAGCTTTTAACTTCTGTTAAAGGTATTATGAATGTAGAATTGCAATCTACAGCATAATGTAAAATGGCTGCAAAGCATACAGGAAAAGTTTGGAGTATGCTTTGTTGATATGGATAATTATGGTACAATAACCTCTTTGATTTTATGTTAATGATGCTTACTGATACATGAGTTAATGAAATTATTTAACTTGGACAGACATACTATTGGTACCAATATGCTTTTTCTTCAAGTTAAATCGATTTTTAAAAAATAAGTGGATTAATTTTACCAATGTGGATTCAAACATTAAACAAAAGTGATTTTTATTTCATGCACAATTTAATTGTTGAAAATTTATTAAGTATGTTTAGAACAGCTTGGATACATGAATCAACTGTAAATTTCAACTGTAAATTTTCTGAAATCTAACATAGATAAATTGTTTCCAGTGAGATTTAGAGATGGATCAAAATGGGTTGTAAGTGTAAAATACACACCATATTTTGAAGCCTTAGAATAAAAAGAGGTAAAATGTATCAATAAGTTTTAAAATATTGATTACATGTTTAAATAATAATATTTTGGACACATTGGGTTAAATAAAATATATTACTAAAGTTAGTATACCTGTTTCTTTTTACTTTTTAAAATATGACAATTAGAAAATTTACAGTTACATCTACCTCTCACTTTATATTTCTATCGGGTAACATTGACCTAAAGCACTCATTTTAGAGAGCTAGTTTATTTTTCTTTATGTCATGGATCAGTTTTCCCAAAACTATCTTCTAAAAAATCTCCCACTTATTTTTGTATACTACCTTTATTGACCATACACACGTTGGTCTCCCTCTGAACTCTATTCTGTGCCATTGGTCTAGGTTTCTATTATTTTGCTTACCCTTCATGGATTTGTAGTATTTGTAGTGTGGTGTAATATTTCTGTGTTTATGTAAATCTCTTTCTTTCCCTCTTTCTTTCTCCTTTCCTTTCCTTTTGTTCTTTCATTCTTTCTCCCTTCCTCCCCCTCTTTCTCTCTTTCTCCCTTTCTCTCCTCCTCCCTTCCTTCCTCTTTCTCTCCTCCTCCCTTCCTTCCTCTCTTTCTTTCTTTCCTTCTTTTTTTCTTTCTTTCTTTCTTTCTTTCCTTCTTTCTCTCTCTCTTTCTTTCTTTCTTTTTTCCTTCCTTCCTTCCTTCTTTCCTTCCTTCCTTCCTTCTTTCCTTCCTTCCTTCCTTCCTTCCCTTCCTTCCTTCCTTCCTTTTATTGAACAGAACTACTATGAATAATGACAATTGACTGTATAAGTAATTGGTTTTTGCTAGTGTTTAGAAACACTATTGAATTTTTCAGATTAAGTTTGTCTACAGAAAAGTTGGCAAATACTATTTTTAGTCTTAATAGTTTCTTTGATAATTCTGTTGCAATTCCTGCATAAAGTAATCATGTTATACAAAAATAAGCATACCATTATGTCTTCTCTCCAAGTCCTACACCAAAACCAGGTTAAATGGTAATGATGGTTATGGCTATTATTTTCTGTTGCCAATTTAAATAAAATACATCCACATTTCCTTCATCAAGTAGATGTATACTCTAAATTGTTTTTTTTAATAAAATTAATGAAGCTCTGTTCTATCTCAAGGCTATTTTTCTCCATTTTATTGAAATAATTATATTTTTTTCTTAGTATATTAAGATTGCAGATTGCATTATAAATTTTCTGATATTAAATCATACCTGTACTCCTGGGATTTTAATGATAATATTTTATTTATTTATTTTTATTTAAATAGTTTTTGGGGTACAGGTGGTTTTTGGTTACATGGATGAGTTCTTTAGTGGTGAGTTCTAAGATTTTAGTGCACCTGTCACCTGAGCAGTGTACACTGTAGCCAATATGTAGTATTTTATTCCTCAACCACCTCCCATCCTCCCCATGTCCCAAGTCCTCAAAGTCCATTGTATTGCTCTGTATGTCTTTGCATCCTCATAGCTTATCTTCCACTTACAAGTGAGAACATGTGGTATCTGGTTTTTAATTCCTAAGTTACTCACTTAGAGTAATGGCCTCCAGTTCCATCCAAGTTGCTGAAAAAGACATTATTTTGTACCTTTTTTTTATGGCTGAGTAGTCTGAATAGTATTCCATGGTGTCAATATACCACATTTTTTTTAATCCACTAGCTGGTCAATGGGCACTTAGATTGGTACAATATCCTTGCAATTGTGAGTTGTGCTGCCACAAACATGAATGTGCATGTTTGTTTTTCACATAATGGCTTCATTTCCATTGAGTAGCTACCCAGTTGTGGGATTGCTGGATTGAATGGTAGTTCTACTTTTAGTTCTTTAAGGAATCTTCATACTGTTTTCCATAGAGGTTGTACTAATTTACATTCCCTCCAGCAATATAAAAGTGTTGCCTTTTCACCACATCCAAGCCAACATCTATTGTTTTTTGACTTTTTAATTATGACTATTCTTGCAGGAGTAAGGTGGTGTCTCATTGTGGTTTTAATTTGCATTTGTTTGATGATTAGTGATGTTAAGCATTTTTTCATGTGTTTGTGGGCTGTTTGTATATCCTCTTTTGAGAATTGTCTATTCATGTCCTTTGCCCACTTTCTGATGAAATTATTTGTTTTTTTCTTGCTGATTTGTTTGAGTTCTTTGTAGATTCTGGATACTAGTCCTTTGTTGGAGGCATACTTTGTGAATATTTTCTCCCACTCTGGATTATGTGTTTACTCTGCTGATTGTTTCTTTTGCTGTACGGAAGCTCTTTAGTTTAATTAGGCCACATTTATTTATTAATTTTTTGGCATTTGCTTTTGGAGTCTTAGTCATGAATTCTTTGCCTAAGCCAATGTCCAGAAGAGTTTTCCCAATGTTATCTTCTAGAATTTTTGTGGTTTCAAGTCTTAAATTTAACTCTTTGCTCAATCTTGAGTTGATTTTTGTATAGGGTGAGAGATGGCAATCCAGTTTCATTCTTCTATATGTGGCTTACCAGTTTCCCAGCACCATTTATTTAATAGGGTGTCCTTTCCCCAATTTATGTGTTTGTATACTTCATTAAAGATCAGTATTTTGTTTATTTCTGGGTTCTCTACTCTGTTTATTTCTGGGTTCTCTATTCTGCTCCATTGGTCTAAGTTCCTATTTTTATATCAGTACCATGCT